>NC_000004.12:40339016-42839016 GCF_000001405.40 Homo sapiens | reverse complement strand
GAGCTGAGAAGAGGGAAACAGAAAAAATAGAAAAAGCAAATTAAAAGTGCTGTATGAAGCTGGTTGCTGTGGGCAACTGGGACTCCATACAGGTAAGCCTCTGAGGAGGTACATAGTACATGCCTGAGAATTGTCTACCCAAAGAGTAGAGAGGGGAGTTTTTCTCCAGTTTTCATTCCCCATTGGTCAAGTGTTGGCTCATAGACAGTTAATTCTCTTGAACTCCCAGTGTTGATAGCATGGCTGAGCATGTACACACAGGCATCACACTTAGTAGTGGCAAAGAAGCCTTGGTGGAAAACCAGAGATGAGTTCAGAAAGGTGCTGTCAGACTACTCTTGGAAGCATGGGTTTCTAAAGCAATGGCTGGAGTAAAGAGGTGAGATGAGAGAATAGGGTTAGGGACACAAAATATTTCCCATACTGAGAGCTTTTGCAGTAATCTGCAATAATGACTTGAACACGAGTGGTATCAGTGGAGTTTGGCGACAAACTGTCAGGTTAGAATAGATTTTTTAATATAGGGCCAAAAAGTCAAGGTGACTGACTTGACAAAGGATGTTTAAGAAAAAGAGAGAGAGAGAGATTTTTTGGATAATATCAAGCCTAAGCCACTAGAAAAACATAGTTTCTGCTGAGTGGAGAAAACTGCAAAAGAATGAGGTTTGGAAGAAATGTTGAGATCTTTGGTTTTTGAATATGTTAACTTTGATCTTCATATTAGACAGACAAATGGAGATCTTGATACATGATTCTAGAGTCAGAGTTCAGTGGTAATATTCGAGCTGGAGATATAAATGGTGGGAGTCCTAGCACATGCATAGTACTGAAAGCCAAAAAATTATGTAAGATCACAAGAGAGTGAGTATAGGTAGACAGAAGTGGTTCAAAAACTGAGATCTGGAGCATTTCATCATTAGGATATTGAGCATAAGAGAAACTAGCAAAAGAGGTTGAGAAGGGAGCAACCGTTGGTGTAGGAGGAAAACCAGGAATTTATGTGCTAGAATCTACATTGGGAAAATGTTTCAAGGAGGAATGAGTGATCAAGTCTATCAAATGCTGCTGAAAGGTCAAGAATTGACCACTGAATTTAGCAATGAGGATGTCATCCATGACCTTGCATGAAATGTATTTTGCCAGAGCGGTTGGGTCAAAGGTCTGATTGGTTTGGGTTCAAAAGGCAGAGAGGAGTAACACTTAGGAAGGATCATGAGTTTAAAACACCAGTCAGCCTGGTTTTGTGCTTTTCTCCAGCAAGATCCAAGTCCCCAGGTAAAGACACAGAGAAGCCATAATTGGATTTAACCAGGGCTGTGGTTTAGCCTAACTATAAGGAAGCTGAAGAGAGAGAGAGAAACAAGGAAATTAGGAATGTATGCAAAAGAGTGATTTCAATAATTACCATGTACCATGGGATTAGCCTTGATACAGAGGGATATAAGGACACAAGATGGGTGAGAAACAGTGAAAAGTGTTAGTGGAGACAGCAAGATCTACCATGACTCTGCTTGACTACAAATCCAGGACCATAATTTAGAGCCTTATATACCAGAAGCATTTCTTTAAATTTTGAAGTAGTTATTGAGGTCTCATATACCCTTTATCCAGCTTCCCTCAATGATGGCATCTCATATAATGATAGTGGTTCACCCAGAAGAATTTTTAGGATTTTGGGTGCTTTGGGATTGAAGTAAACTCAATGAAACAGGCAGAGTGGCGTGAAAGAAGAAACATACTTAGTTGTCTTCATAAACTTAGTCCTCTCCTTCATTTGTACCTAATGCATGGACTCTGAGCCTGATGAACAGACTGGACCAGACACACTTAGGTTCAAATCCAAGCCCCACTTCTCATTGGCTTTGGAACCTTGGGAAGGTTATACAGTGGAATAAGGACTAAAATTGAGGCTCACTGTCATGTGCTGCTTTTTAAATTTGTGGATCCGGTAAAATCAGGAGGTTCTCAAATGTCTAACAGTAAGATGCCTTCCCTGCCCTGCTTCTCCTCCGTTATAAACCCCCTAGCCAAACAACCCTTCTTATCAAAGGGACGAGGCACAGTTTCTGCTTATCCCTGAGTAGCAAGTTTCAGTTCCCAGCAAGACTGGGGAATTATTCAAATAAGCCAAATCACATCCTCTGTGGGAACCCAGGGGGCACCCCACCCTCCTAATGCTACAAAGCCTGCTTCCCACAGCCCCTGGTTGCTCACTGTGTTCCTGAGAGCAAGCCTGTGTGGCCCCGAATGGCGTGCAGTGCTCTTCTCCCCTGGACTGTGAATATATGTGGAGCTCATCTGTCCACTGTCAATGTCACATGCTCAATCGTCTCATAACCCTAGGGCAGGAGTCATTGCCTCACCAACAGGGTAAATAGACAGCAATCAAAACATATATAGAACATATCCATCACTTGTCCCCTAATCTATAAAACAGGAACTAAAATATAACCCCATCCAAAGTCAAACAAACTATCTTCTAATGTTTCTGTCCAACAGATATTGCGTCCAGCTCCCTAAAGATGAGGGCCTCAGGTGCAGCGCAACAGCCACTTCTTCACAGTGACTTAGCTCTCCTTTCTTGGAACTCTTACAGCAATTATGTCTACCACTCTAACAATACATACATTATCTTTTCAGATGTTTCTAGCATTATTGCCACTCCCGAACTGTAATAGAGCAAAGACTATATCTTACACTTCTTTTCTGTGCCCCAAAACCTGTTATACAGTTTCATGATCATAGTAGATGCTGAATAAATAAAAATAATAGCTAACATTTGTTGAGTGCTTACTGACCTTCACATTGAAAGTATTTTACTTACTTATTAATGCATATCACACTACCCCTAACATGCTGGCTTAATGCAAGAATCATGTTATTATATTTCGTGGTTTTGTGGGTTGGAAATTTAGGCAGGATTTGACAGGGTAAAACTTCCACAAGATGTCGATGAAGGTCACTATCTTAGTCTGTTTGGGCTGCTACAACAAAATATCATAAACAAGGTAACTTATAAACAACAGAAATTTATTTTTCACAGTTCTGGGGGCTGGAAAATTCAAGATCAAGGCACCAGCAGATTCAGTTTCTGGTGAGAATTCACTTTCTTATCCATGGATAATGCCTTCTAGCTATGTCCTGACATGGTGCAAGAGGCAAGACAGCTCTCTGGGGCCTGTTTTATAAAGGCACTAATCCCATTCATGTAGGCTCTTCCTTCATCACCTAATTATCTCCCAAGTACCCAACCTCCTAATTGCATCCCATTGGTGGTGAGGTTCTAACATATGAATTTGGGCAGAACTCGAACATTTTCACCATAGCAGTAACTGAGTGGTATTTGGCTGACAGATAGGCTGGTCTGGAGGGACTGAGATGGCCTCATCTGCATGTCTAGCACCTTGGTGAAGATGGCCAGAAGGCTAGGCTCATCTGAGACTGTCAACTGGAGTACTTGGTTCCCTTGGGGTCATAAGACTTCCTACATTGAAGCACAGAGCTCCAAAAACTATAACTAAGATGGCAGCCACATGACTCCCATTACCCAGCCTCAGAAGAGACACACATCCAAATTTTTGATGGGAGGTATGTCATAGAATTTGTGGCCAGATGTTAAATCAGCTACAGATATCATCCCCATTTTAAAAGTAAATAAAAATTCGAACTTGCAGAAGGATAGAATAACTTGCCCTTTGTCATGCAGCAGGTTAACTATGCTTTCTGGAGAAGGTGTCAGCCAACAACTCCAAGATAGGGAATCTTAAGGCATCTGCATTTACTTGTTAAATTAAGATATTATATGTTGAAATATTTTAATGCTCTTCAAAGAACTGATAGTGTATAGAAAGCTGACTACTGTAGCCCATGTATTCCTTAGACAGATAGTCCCACAAGTCTAAGCATATAGCTTACAGTAAAGATTTATCATTTTGCCAGAGCTAGCATATGGTTGTGACACATTTATAGGAGTGATTGAAATGATTTAGAAAGATATATCTAAATTGTGTCACATCATCAAGGATTATGAGGCAACCTAAAAGAAGACTGATTTAGAGGGAATGTGGCTAATATGTCACAGATGAAAATTGTTTGGGGTTTGCATATATGTGCCTTGCAAAGCAAAAAGCTACTGTAGTCTGATTTTTCCTGAGACTGCTTAATTAACATATTGAATATTAGTTTACCTAATGTTTGCCCCTAAGGCCAAAGTGTGTGTGTGTGTGTGTGTGTGTGTGTGTGTGTGTGTGTGTGTGTGTTTCTGGTGGAAGATGAAAATAGGGGCTGTTAGAGATAACTGTACAAAAATGTCTCTTTCTGTGCAGAATGCAAAATTCTGGCAAGGGAAGTGACCTAGAAGAAAAGTAGCAACAAAACAGTGACAAAAAAATCCAGAACATGGTGGCACTGGGACTTATGTCCCTGGTGAAAAGTCCACTGCAGAATTGAGGGGCATAGTAAGGAGCCAGCTGTGAGGCAGCAGGACATCTTGCAGGCCAAGGCTTGATTCCTAGTCAGGCACTTGATAGCTGGTTGATATCTGAACAAATTACCAAGTGTATCTGAGTCCCAGGTTCCTTGTAAAGGGTTGTTGCAAAAATTATGGAGACAGTACAGCAAATACCTAGAAATGGGACTGGCACTTTCTAATTAATAAATGCTGCTTCATGATTATTACTCCTTCTGAAATTCTCAGCTCCTCTGATCAACTATAAGTTATGTGAATGGAAGAAATACATATCCAAAAAATTCCTGCTATATGAACAGCATGTAGCACAGGGCATGGCACATATTAAGAACCCCATAACTATTTTGATACATAAAGCATACATGACTAAATGAATAAATAATTAGGACAGAAGTAGACAATATCAAAAAATAATGGGACTAGGAAAAACTAGCGTCATCCCCAAGTGAATAAAAACATGGGCTTTGAAAGAGATCTGGCTTTGAATATCAGCAGTGCCTCTCAATAGCTTTGAGCTGCGGTGAGGATGACAATAGCTCCCTAATGGGTTATTGTGAATGAAGTAAGGTGTATTAGTCTGTTCTCATGCTGATAATAAAGACATACCCAAGACTGGGTAATTTATAAAGAAAAGAGGTTTAATTGACTCACAGTTTCACATGGCTGGGGAGGCCTCACAATCATGGCAGAAGGCAAGTGAGGAGCAAAGTCACATTTTACATGGCGGCAGGCAAGAGAGCTTGAGCAGGGGAACTCTCCTTTATAAAACCATCAGATTTTGTGATATTTATTCACTATCATGAGAACAGCATAGGAAAGACCCACCCACATTGTTCAATTACCTCTCATTGGGTCCCTCCCATGATATGTGGGAATTATGCGAGCTACTATTCAAAATGAGATTTGGGTGGGGATACAGTTAAACCACATCATTCTGCCCCTAGCCTCTTCCAAATCTCATGTCCTCACATTTCAAAACCAAGCATGCCTTCCCAACAGTCCCTTAGAGTACCAACAGTCCCTTAGAGTCTTAACTCAAAAGTCCACAGTCTAAAGTCTCATCCTAGGCAAGGCAAGTCCCTCTGTCTATCAGCCTGTAAAATCCAAAGCAAGTTAGTTACTTCCTAGATACAATGGGGTTATAGGCAGTGGATAAATATATCCATTCCAAATGGGATAAATTGGACAAAATGAAGGGGCTACAGGCCCCATGAAAGTCCAAAATCCAGTGGGGAAGTCAAATCTTAAAGCTCTGAAATGATCTCCTATGACTCCATGTCTCACATCCACGTAACACTGATACAAGAGGTGGGTTTCCATGCTCTTGAGCAGCTCCACCCCTGTGACTTTGCAGGGAACAGCCTCCCACCTGGCTGCTTTCACAGGCTGGTGTTGAGCATCTGTGGCTTTTCCAGATGCATGGTGCAAGTTGTCGGTACATCTCCATTCTGGGGTCTGGAGGACAGTGGCCTTCTTCTCACAGCTCCACTAGGCAGTGCCCCATTGGGGACTCTGTGTGGGGGCTCCAGTTCCACATTACCCTTCTGCACCATCCTACTAGAGGTTCTCCATGAGGGCTCTACCCCTGCAGAAAACTTCTGCCTGGACATCCAGGCGTTTCCATACATCCTCTGCAATTTAGGCAGAGTTTCTCAAACCCCAATTCTTGACTTCTGTGCCCCCGCAGGCTCAATATCACATGGAAGCTGCCAAGGCTTGGTGCCTGCTCCCTCTAAAGCCATGGTCCAAGCTGTACTTTGGCCCCTTTTAGCCACAGCTGGAGTGGCTGAGATGCAGAACACCAAGTCCCTAGGCTGCACAGAGCAGGGAGGCCCTGGGCCTGGCCCATGAAACCATTTTTCCCTCCTAGGCCTCTGGCCCTGTGATGGGAGGGGCTGCCAGAAAGGTCTCTGACATACCCTGGCGACAATTTCCTTATTATCTTGGTGATTCGCATTTGGCTCCTCATTACTTATGCAAATTTCTGCAGCTGGCTTGAATTTCTCCTCAGAAAATTGGTTTTTCTTTTCTATCACATCGTCAGTCTGCAAATTTTTTGAACTTTTATGATCTGCTTCCCCTTTAAACATAAGTTCCAATTCCAAACCATATCTTTGTGAATAAAACTGAATGCTTCTAACAGCACCCAAGTCACCTCTTGAATGCTTTGTTGCTTTGAAATTTCTTCCATCAGATGCCTGAAATAATCTCTCTCAAGTTCAAAGTTCCACAAGTCTCTAGGGCAGGGGCAAAATGCTGCCAGTCCCTTTGCTAAAACATAACAAGAGTCACCTTTTCTCCAGTTCTCAACAAGTTCCTCATCTCCATCTGAGACCACCTCAGCCTGTACTTTATATCACTATCAACATTTTTGTCAAAGCCATTCAACAAGTCTCTAGGGAGTTCCAAACTTTCCCACATATTCCTGTCTTCTTCTGTTCCAAACTGTTCCAACCTCTGCCTGTTACCCAGTTCCAAAGTCACTTCCATATTTTTAGGTATCTTTACAACAGCAGCCCACTCTACTGGTACGAATTTACTGTATTAGTCTGTACTCACAGTGGTAATAAAGACATATCTGAGACTGGTAATTTATAAGGAAAGAGTTTTAATTGACTCACAGTTCCACATGGCTAGGGAGGCCTCACAATCATAGTGGAAAGCAAATGAGGAGCAAAGTTATGTCTTACATGCCAGCAGGCCAGAGAATTTGTGCAGGGGAACTCCCTCTTATAAAACCCTTAGATCTCATGAGACTTATTAACTATTGGGAGATCAGCACGGGAAAGACCCACCCCCATGATTCAATTACCTCCCATTGTGTTCCTCCCATGACACATGGGAATTATGGGAGCTACAATTCGAGATGAGATTTGGGTGAGGACACAGCCAAATCCTAACATAAGGCCTGTAAAGTGCTCTGCACAGTGCATGGCCAGGGTGCACACTCCAGCTTTGGCTATTGCTGTTATCAGTCCTGTTAATAATCTAGGTTAGCAAACTCTTTCTATTCTTTGGGTTTCTTCTTCACTAACTGTGAGTTTAGTGCATTCGTGCACACACAACTAGAACAAGAATTTGATGAACTTGTTAACTCTTACATGCATTCTGCAAATCCACAGATCTCTGCCTTTTTTCTCACTTTAAATATTTTGGCTTTAGGTGATATGGTTTGGCTCTGTGTCCCCACCCAAATCTCATCTCAAATTGTAATCCCCATCATCCCCACATGTGGAAGGCAGGACCTGGTGGGAGGTGATTGGATCATGGGGTGGTTTCCCCCATGCTGTTCTCATGATAGTGAGTGAGTTCTCACAAGATCTGATGGTTTTACAAGTGGCCCTTCCCTCTTTGCTCCTTCACTCTCTCTCGTCTGCCACCATGTGAGACATGTCTTTGCTTCTCTCTCACCTTCTGCCATGATTGAAAGTTTCCTGAGGCCAGCTATGAGGAACTGTGAGTCAATTAAACCTCTTTTCTTTATAAATTACCCAGTCTAGGGTATGTCTTTATAGTAGTGTGAAAATGGACTAATACACTCATTTAATGCTAATTCTACCTATTGTTTTAAAGTCACAGCTAATCGTTCTTCAACTTAGTAAAGATGCTTAGTGCCACAGTAGACTGGATATAAAACTTCACAATACAATTATCAAAACATGTTATTTTAGTCCGAAGTAAAATGATTCACACTTTATTCTACCTCCCCTCCCCCGAGTAGTCAACATGTATGCTTATTTAATTTTATTTTTCGTTCTCTATAATGGTTTGCCTCTATTAATTATACACTAAGCACATTTCCCCTTCAAACTAGTCACCAGTTGCCTTGTTTCAGGGTTTTTATCATAAAATGTCAAATTCACAATTGATTCTGTAATACAAAGAAATAGATGCATAATCCTCTGAGCTCTGTAATGAAATGTGTTTCTTGTATTTCTACTACCCCAAACTTGATTTTTCCATTATCTTTCTTTTTAAATTACAAAAAGCAGTACAGGCTTTTGTGTATATGTTGATTGGTGAAGCAAGGGGAGGCATTATTTCATAGTATTATATTTCTTAAATGTACTTTAGTTTTTAAGAGCTTCAGTCAAATGTTAGGTTTGATTAAATCAACACAGTCTCTCTCTTTCTTCCTTAACAAAGAGAAAATAATTCAATGCTACATTAAAGGAATAGTGTAGGAAATCATTTGTCAATAAATTTCTGAAAATAAGATCATAAATGAATACAGTCATCCCTCAGTATCAGCAGGTGATTGCTTCCAGGACCCCCCTTGAATGCCAAAATCCATGGGTGCTCAATTCTCTTATATAAAATGGCATAGTATTTACATATAACCTATGCATGAATATGCATCCTATATACTTTATATTACACTTAGATTACTTATCATTCCTAATGTAGGTTGAGAAACTCTAATCCCAAAATATTAAATCTAAAATGCTCCAAAATTCATTTTTTTAGCACTGGTGACACCACAAGTGGAAAATTCTGTGCCTAATCTCATGTGACAGGTTTCAGTCAAAACATAGGCACACAACACACAGTTTATTCAGCATCCTCAAGGGAAAAAAGACTCTGCCTCTTTCAACTGTGATATATCTTTTCTACACAAGCCCAGATTGCCCAATGCAAGCACACCTACAAAAGGTAATAAAATGACACGTGTACCTGACACACTAACAGCATGTTCCCCGCAATGGCCCACATAGGGCCAAGACGTATGTGAATTACTCACGACAATTTTTGCTTATTCTCTGCTCTGTGGTGTAAAGATATTGTTGAAAATGTCAAAAAGGCCTGCAGATACCCCTATGGGTAACAGTGATTAGAGAAATAGGAAGTATTTATGTTTAGCTATAGCACAGAAAGTCAAGTTGTTGGAGAAGCTGAACAGCAGTTTAAGTGTGAAACATCCCACAGAAGAATATGTTGTGGGAATGATCACCATATTTGACCTGAAGAAGTAAAAGAGAAACTGTTGAAGTTCTATGCTAAAAGTGATGGACATAAGTTAATGAAAACATAGAAAACACTGCATACAGCTGAAAAATAATGATTCCAATCATGTATTGAAAGAGTAGATCCATGAGCATCAGTGAACACATGCCACTTAATGGTATACTAATCATGAAACAAACAAACATCTATTACAATCAACTGAAACTTGAAGGGAACTGTGAATATTTGACAGGCTGGTTGCAGAAATTTAAGAAAAGACATGGCATTAATTTTTTAACAATTTTGTGGTGATAAAACTTTACTGATTATGAAGCGGTGGAGAAATTCATTAATGAGTTTGCCAAGGTCATCAGTGATGAAAATCTGATGTCAGAACAAGTCTATAATGCTGATGAAACATCACCATTTTGGCATTATTGCGGCAGCTCCTACAGGACTTAAGAATAGCAAGGATAGAATAACTGCTGGGATGTGCTAATGCAACGGACATACATAAGTGTAAACTTGCTGTGATAGGCAAAAGCTTGTGTTCTCACCATTCTTAAGGAGTGAATTTCTTGCCGTTTCACTGTTCTGCTCATAAAAAGGCATGGATAATCAGGGACATCTTTTCTGATTGTTTTCACAAATATTTTTGTAACAGCAGCTCCTGCTCACTGCAGGGAAGCTAGACTGCAAAATATTGTTATTCCTTGACAACTATTCTGGTCATCCCGCAGCTGAAATTCTCATCAAAAATAATGTTTACACGTGTACTTCATGTGCTTTCTCCCAAATATAAAGGAAGTATAAATATTAAAACACTTTCTTTAACAGCATGCTAGCAGCAGCAAATGGAGGCATGGATGTGTCAGATTTTCAAGAAGAATTTAGCATGAAAGATACCATACATGCTGTTGCCAATGCTACGATCACAGTGGTTAAAGACAGTTGGGTATATGCCTGGCACAACCTCTGCCCTGGGATTATGTTCAGTGATGTGATGAACAAGGTGGTGAGTTTGAAGGATTCCATGTGTCAAGTGAGAAATAAAATGATGCTGGATATTCTTACATATGCAAAAATATGGAACTTCAGAGTTTACCAGTAAGTTCGAAGCAGTAGATATTGGAGACATTTTTAACATCGATAATGAGGCTCCAGTTAATTCACTGACCAGTGGTCAAAGAGCCCAGATGGTTCCAAATTAAGGTGATCATGATTACAGTGATCATGAAGATGACGTTAAAACTGTGGAAAAAGTGCCTATAGACAACATGATAAAAATGTGTGAAAGTTTATTGAAGGACTAGAAAAGTGTGTGTTTATTACAGAACAAGAAATCTTCAGTTTATAAAATCAAAAAGAGATTTATAAAACAAACAAACCAAAAAAAAGTCATTAATGGGAAGATGACTCAGGAGGAAAGATTTTAAAAAGCCGTGAAGCAGAATGCCTCCTCATCCCTGGAGGACCCACTTCTTGATCCCTCAACTGCTTCTGATGTTTCTTCCCACCTGAAATAAAATAAAATACAGCATATAGTAACCTTTTAACCAAAACACAGCCTTGTAGGTGGAAACTGAAAGCCTGCCCTGTTTGTTGTTTCTGTTGTTTAACAACCGATATAGGTAATGTAGGTAATTCCATGATGCTACCTTGTTGCTGAGTTACCCTGAACACATTATTTTTTCATTGTATTAATGGTATGCAATTTTTTTTACTGTTAAGTACTTATGCATGAATAAGTGTAAGAAAATGGTTGCATATTGGTAGCATATAAATTCAGAGTCAGGAATGATGATAATGCCACAAGACCACAGATTTTTCCACATGGGTGGCTGAGATAGTGATATCTTTGTTTTCTGATTGTTCAATGTACACAAACTATTTCATGCACAAAATTATTTAAATTATTGTATATAAAACATAAACATATAAAACATAAATAAATTTTGTGTTTGGACGTGGGTCTCATCCCCAGGATATCTCTGTGCATACATAAATATTCCAAAATCTGAAATTTGAAACACTTCTGGTCCCAAGCATTACAGATAAGGGATATTCAACCTGTACAATGTAAACACTATGTACATAATTGTTTTATTGTATTTTTATTTGTATTATTTTATTGGTATATTGTTATTTTAATTGGGTTTTTAAAAATATTTTTGATCCAGTTGGCTGAATCAGTGGATGCAAAACCCACAAATGAGGGTCAACTGTAGTTACAAGAGAATACAAGTGGTCAAAAACCACAGAAAACAATGCTTACACTTACTAACAAATAAATAATAACATAACCAGCATCTATCAAGTGCTTACAATTGTTAACATAATTAATTGGGAGGCCATTTAGACTGAGGCGACTCCAGTACCCTGGGTTCCTATGTAAGGAAACCGAGGAAAAACACTCAAACCGTGTTTTTGTATTCTCTCACCTAACAAACAACAATCAACACAGGATTTCTGTGACCAAACATGTGGCGGGGGGAGGGGGGTTTAATACACACCAATTAAGCAAGCTGTCTGCAGCAGACATCAGCTAGGTGTCCTCCAATTCAATTTTGACACAATCAAAATTGTGGAGATAGTGTCAGATCCTACAGGTAGACGGCTCAGTCCCGCAAGAATGCCCCCAACCCATTTCTTCCAATGCTAATTGCAAGTCCCAAGTTGTTTTACCTGTGCTACGGGCTACAAATTGGAGTTGCCGTGACCTCCTCCTTAGGTTTGACTAACTTGCTAGAGCAGCTCACAGAACTCAGGAAACATTTGCCAGTTTACTATAAAGGACATAGCTAATGAAACAGATGAAGAGATGCATAGCGCAACTGAAGGGAAAGGGGCACAGAGCTCCCATGCGCTCCCCGGGCACACCACCCTCCAGGACCCCCCATGTATTCAGCTATCCAGAAGCTCTAAGAACACATTTTTTTAAAATGTTTTTATGGAAGTTTCATTATGGAGGCACGATTGATTAAATCATTGGCCACTGGTGATTGCCTTTAGCCCCTCTTCCGTCCCTGGAGGTTAGGATGTAGGACTGGAAGTCCCAACCCTCTAATCCCACTTTGGTATTTCAGTTGACCAGCCCCTACCTTGAAGCTACCTAAGGGCTGCCAACCATCAGTCAAACACACGAAATTCAATTCAGCATAAATGATCTTAACCAGTCAGAAACTGCCAACTAACCTCTAACTAGGGATTTTCTACTGAAATAATCCTAATAAGGCTACTGCTCCCCTTTAACCAATCAAATAATTTCTCTGCCTTTCTACACATTCACTCTATAAACTGTTCCCCTTGTTCCCACTGGCAGAGTTCCAATCTACTTCTGGTTTGGAGCTGCTCGATTTATGAATCACTGTCTTTAATATTGTATGTGCCTCGGTTCATCTTTTAGCACTATATACAAGGCCTGTTTTGGTGACTTTCATATGTGGATTCATTTAATTTCCACAATCATCCTATAATTAGATACCTCTGGGACTCAAATAGAGGTAAACTAGAGACCACGCTAAAACAGTCTAAAACACTATGGCTCAGAAGAAATGCAAATAAAGCAACATAAAATGCTAAATGTAACCTATCAGATTAACCAGAGATTTTTGCTTATAACTTGATGTTGATTATTAAAAATGCAGTAATCTAAATATCCCCATAAAGTGATGTGAGAATATACATTGGCACATTTTTTCTATAAACTAAGATAACTTCAGTAACTTCATTCCTTTAATCCATTCATTACACTTCTAGAAATCTATCCTTAAGAAAATTTTAGAAGATGAGATAAAAATTCTATGATGGCTCTGAAGACCTTGGAGTCAGACTGCTTCAGGTTGGATCCAAACTCTACCAATTGCCAAGTGTGTGGTCTTGGGCAAAGTAGCTAGTTTCTCTGTGCCTCAGTTTCCACAACTATAAAATAAACCTTATAATAGTACTATCTTGAAGGCCTGCTGGAAGGATTCATATGATTAATAAATGTAAAGTGATTACAAATGTGCCTGGAACATAATCAGTGCTCTATAAATGCTAGCTATTATGAATCAAATATTACATGGTATTACTTATAACAGGAAAAAAATGTGAAAACCTAAATGCCTAAAATGTATTAATAGTTAAATACATTGGCTAATTTTTAATGTTATATGCTATACAATGGAATAGGACATAGCCTAAGGCAGGAAGAAAAAAGCAGTATTGTGATCAAAATTGACAATGCAGTAATAAGGAAAAGTAGGAAATGTGTTAGTGGGCCTTCAAGTTAACTTTTTTTTAAATGTATGTGCTTACAGATTTAATAAAGCAGAGAAACTCTGAAGTACAGATGGCAGTAAAGGGCAGTGTCATTCGTTGAATATCCACTTTATAATTCGGATTTCAGTTCTCATCATAAAATTTTAATGCCTTCCCATAATATAATTAATCACTTGAATTTGACAGTATTTCAACGCTTAATCACAAGAAGGGTTGTCATTTTCTGGCTGAAATACTTATTAAGTTACACATTTTTCTCTACAATCTTTTGCAGAGGTATATTAATTTCAATCCAGCCACCTGTGTTTTCAAAATATTACTACAGCATTCTGTAAATATCTTTTAAAAATTTATATGAAGGGAGTGAATGCAAATTTTGGAAGGCATATAAATCTGCAAAATATAGCTAGGCTGTCAGGGAAAAAAAAACACTGGCAACATACACAGAAAATCCATTTTGCAATCAACCTGGGTCTTATCAAGGTTCTGTTTGCTACACAAACATTGATGAAGTAGAAATCTAAGAAGTGATTGAGGTTATTTACTAAGTAATCATCCAATGTTCTGTGGTTGAATCTGTGGAATTAGGTAGAGTCAACAGAAAAGGAACTCAACAACCCAACACACATCCCTGTTTTATCTACAGATGATGAAAAAGCAAAATACTACTTTTACTTACTTAATGTACCAATCAATCCAACACAAAATAAATAGTTGAGCAACTGGATTCTGTTTGTCTTTAGAACTTTTTTAAGAGCCAAGAGGCAAAGGCATGAAAAATCTATTTATTCAGTCTTGCCCATAGAGATGAAAAGATGACACTTGAGATTCACGGAAAGCAGACTTGCAAGGGTTTAGTGAGCTGACAGAGTGGAAGTGAATGTCTCCTCACCTAAACACCTAGAGCTACAAGGGAAGCTATAATGGAAGACAAAAAAGAAAGGGCAATTGGCCAGTTGGCCAAGTGGTTGGTGGCAAAGTGGCCCTACATTTCCTTAATAAATTCATCCAGCACTTGGTCACCAGATCTGTGGACTAAAAGAAACCTGATTTTTTTATACTTTAAGTTCTGGGATACCTGTGCAGAACATGCAGGTTTGTTACATAGGGATACATGTGCCATGGTGGTTTGCTGCACCCATCAACCCATCATCTACATTAAGTATTTCTCCTAATGCTATCCCTCCCCCAGCCCCCCAACCCCCAACAGGCCCCAGTGTGTGATGTTACCCTCCTTGTGTCCATGTGTTCCCATTGTTCATTGTTCCTGCTGGAAATGTTTGTGAAGTGTGTTTTAATAATCCTTGGTCAGAGTGTATGTTAAGTGACAGAATTCTTGCTTGGATGTACTGGAATCCAGGCTCACAGACTAACTTGGCACAAATAATATTCAAGATGTATACATTGCTAATGTTAAAACACATATGAAATAAAGATAATAACTACTATTAATTTTGTGTTTAATATATAATTTATCTTGTATGCAGTGCTTTAACCACATTGTTTCACCAAATCTTCACTGAATCTTGAACCCTTAGAAGATACAATTTTCTGCACATCACGATTGAGAAAAGTAAACTATGGAGAGTTTAAGTATTTGGCCCAAACTACTAGGTCTGTCTTATTCCAAAGACCCTGCTCCTAACTATTAAATGAATGCATTAAATTTTAACTAAATTGTGGTGTAAGCCTGGAAGCTACCTAGCACATTCAGATAGCATATTAGGATTTAATGCTATTCCCATCAAGCTATCATTGACTTTCTTCCCAGAATTAGAAAAAAACTACTTTAAATTTTATATGGAACCAAAAAGGAGCCTGTATAGCGAAGACAATCTTAAGCAAAAAGAACAAAGCTGGAGGCATTATGCTACCTGACTTCAAAGTATACTACAAAGCTACAGTAACCAAAACAGCATGTTACTGGTACCAAAACAGACGTATAGACCAATGGAACAGAACAGAGGCCTCAGAAACAACACCACACATCTACAACCATCCAATGTTTGACAAACCTGACAAAAACAAGCAACGAGGAAATGATTCTCTATTTAACAAATGGTGTTGGGAAAACTGGCTAGCCATATCAGAAAACTGAAACTGGACCCCTTCCTTACATCTTATATAAAAATTAACTCAAGATGGATTAAAGACTTAAACATAAGACCTAAAACCATAAAAACCCTAGAAGAAAACCTAGACAGTATCATTCAGGACATAGGGATGGGCAAATATTTCATGACTAAAACACCAAAAGCAATTGCAAAGAAAGCCAAAATTGACAAATGGGATCTAATTAAACTAAAAAGCTTCTGCACAGCAAAAGAAACTATCATCAGAGTGAATAGGCAACCTACAGAATGAGAGAAAATATTTGCAATCTATCCATCTGACAAAGGGCTAATATCCAGAATCTACAAGGAACTTAAACAAATTTACAAGAAAAAAACAAACTACCCCATCAAAAAGTGGGTGAAGGATGTGAACAGACACTTTTCAAAACAAGACATTTATGTGGCCAACAAACTTATGAAGAAAAGCTCATCATCACTGGTCATCAGAGAAATGCAAATCAAAACCACAATGTGATACCATCTCATGCCAGTTAGAATGGAGATCATTAAAAAGTCAGGAAACCACAGATGCTGGAGAGGATGTGGAGAAATAGGAACACTTTTACACTGTTTGTGGGAGTGTAAATTAGTTCAACCATTGTGGAAGACAGTGTGGTGATTCCTCTAGGATCTAGAACCAGAAATACCATTTGACCCAGCAATCCCATCACTGGGTATATACCCAAAGGATTATAAATCATTCTGCTATAAAGACACATGCACACATATATTTATTGCAGCACTATGCACAACAGCAAAGACTTGGAACCAACCCAAAGGCCCATCAATGATAGACTGGATAAAGCAAATGTGGCACATATACACCATGAAATACTATACAGCCATAAGAAACCTGAATTTTTAGAAAACATATTTTTAAAAATCAGACTTTTATTTCTTAATATTACTAAAAAAGTTTTTTTCTTTTCATGATGGCCGGATACTAAAGAAAATAAAAATTAACTGTAATTCCCAACACAGAGAAAAAACTATTGTTCATCTTATATTTCCAGGGTTTTTCCTATGCACAAACCCATAGACAATATGCTATCTGAATGTGCTAGGTAGCTTTCAGGCTTATGCCACAATTTAGTTAAAATTTAATGCATTCATTTAATAGTTAGGAGCAGGGCCTTTGGAATAAGACAGACTTAGTAGTTTGGGCCAAAATACTTAAACTCTCCAGTTTACTTTTATCAGTGGTAACATTCAGAAAATAGTATCTTTTTAGGGTTCAAGATTCAGTGAAAATTTGGTGAAACAATGTGGTTAAAACACTGCATACAAGATAAATTATATATTAAACACTAAATTAATAGTAGTTATTATCTTTATCTCATATGTGTTTTAACATTAGCAATGTATACAGCTTGAATATTATTTGGGCCAAGTTAGTTTGTGAGCCTGGATTCCAGTGCATCCAAGCAAGAACACTGTCACTTAACATGTACTCTAACCAAGGATTACCGAAACACACTTCACAAGCATTTCCAGGACCAGCAGTTGACAAAAGAAATTCGGCCCCAAATCTGCAGCCACTCTTGGGAAATAATGTAAAACCAGTGCATTGTTTTAAATATAGATATCAAATAAACGCATGTTTATTTGCAGATGCCCTCTTTAATATGACCTACAAAATGTAGTGTTAACCTGGTAGCTAGAATACCTGGGTTTGAATTCCCACTACCAGTTATAGGTCCCTAGGCAAAGCACTTAGGTTCATTTGGTCTCAGTTTACTCATCTGTAAAATAGTAAGTCAAGCTTAAAACAATGCCTGTCACTATGTAATTTGTAACATCAGCATTATACAGAGCTCTGCAGGATTCATACCCAGAGACACATTGGTTTAAAGAGTATGTCTTAATGTCCCCATTAGACTGAGATCTAGGTCTGAAAATATAGCTCTCCATATTTCCACTTGACCATATACAGCCTGCCCATGATAGGGTCTCTCTTGGTCACATACAGATGGCTGCAGCAATTTCAAACATCACAGGAGTATTAATATTTGGTGAAGCAGAGCAGAATTTATTTCCACGAGTATATTTTTATTAACAAAGAAACCTTTTCCAGAAGCTCTCAGCAGATTGTCCATCAGATCCCATTGGCCATGTGATGGTTAATACTGTCAACTTGAGTGGATTGAGGGATACAAAATCTTAATCCTGGGTGTGTCTGTGTGGGTGTCGCCAAAAGACATTAACATTTGAGTCAGTGGGCTGTGGAAGGCAGATCCACCCTTAATCTGGTGGGCACATTCTAATCAGCCTCCAGCAAATATAAAGCAGGCAGAAAAATGTGAAAAAGAGAGACAAGCCTAGCCTCCCAGCCTACTTTCTCCCGTGCTAGATGCTTCCTGCCCTCAAACATCGGACTCCGAGCTCTTCAGTTTTGGGACTCAGACTGGTTCTCCTTGCTCCTCAGCTTACAGATAGCCTATCGTGGGGAACTTGTGATCAAATGCTTAATAAACTCCCCTTTCTATATGTCTATCTATCCTATTAGTTCTGTTCCTCTAAGAGAACCCTGAGTAATACAGGCCAGGATTTGGTCACATAACAATGCCTAAACTAATCACTGGCGAAATGAATAAGACCACCAAGGTGACCTAGACTCATCCCTCAGCATATGGAAGGGTGGAAAACTCAGACAAATTTAAAGAAGGAGAAAAGTTTGTCAAGAAAATGAAGCAAGGGATGGGGGAAGGAGGCCAGGAGAATGGCTGCTATTGTCAAGCCACAAAATCTGCCACCAAATTATTATTTCTCAGTAATAGCTACCATATCTTAAGCATATACTGTCTCAGAATGATTTACATATAAAACCTGGGGCTTGTTTTATGTGGACTGTAATTCTCATAACAATCCACTCCAGCCTGACTTTCGTCCCCATCACTTCAATGGAAGTGCTCTTATTTTGAGTCACTGTACAAACCTGAAGTCCACTTCTCTAACTTCATATTTACCTCTCAGCAGCAATAAATACAATTAACTCCTCCTTAGACATATCAACATTTTTGTGTGTTTTTCCATTTACTAGCTACCTCCTTTCCAACTCTTCAGCTTACTCTTTCTTTCAATATGCCATCTAAATTTTGGAGTGCTTCAGGGATTATCCTGTACCCTCTCCCGTTCTCTACTCATTCTTTCTCCCTGAGTCATCTCTTCCACTCCCCTGGCTTTAAACATCAGCAAAGCTAATGATTCCCTAATTTCTCTCTCCAGCCCAGAGGCCTGCCATGAGCTCCAGCTTGCATATTCTACTTGACATCCCATTCATAGGCACCTATATGATAGCTCTACTTGGATCCAAAATCCAACTTAAACTTAATATCTCTAAAATGAAACTCTTGGTTTATTTGCACTGTCGGGTTTCTTCCCAAGTCTTCCCCCATTTGATTTATTTGTCTTATCAAACCAAAACCCACAATCTGTCCCAGATTTCTCTCATTCCTAAACCCCTCACATTCACTGCATCAGCAAGTCTTGTCCTTTCTACCTCCAAAATATGCCCCAAATCCAAATATTTACCTTCATCTCCATCATTATTTCACTAGTTCAAACCACCATCATCTCTTATCTAGAATACAGCAATAGCCTCTTAGCTGTTCTTCCTATTACCATGTTTAATATTTATCCACAGCCCATTTTCTACACAGCAAAGTTAGCATTTTAAAATACAAATCAAACCGTGTCATTACACTTCCTTAAAATCTCCAATGATTTCCATTGCATTTAGAGAACATCCAAATCCTTACTATGGCTGAAATGCCTGTCGTGGTCTAGCCCCTGCCTTCCTCTAGGACCAGATTTCTTTCTGTTCTTAAAACACTCTAAACTCCTTCCTATACCAGAGCCTTTGCATTTGCTACTCCCTCTGCTTACAATGCTTTTGCTCTGATCCCTCACAAGGCTAGTGTCATTTTATCATTCAGGTCACCCTCAATGTCACATCCTCAGGGGAGCCTTCCCTAATCACCCTGTCTCCTGGAATGCTGCCATTTTCACCCAAGGCATTCTTGCTACATTATCCCATTGCATATCCTGTATAATACTTGAGACTCTCAGAACTAGTTTATTCAATTATTTATTGTCTGTCTTCCCCAACTAGAAGACAAGTCCCTGAGGGTAGGGATTTTTTTCTATCTCACTCAACATTGCATTTCAATGTTAAAATAATGCCTAGCACAGAGTAGTTAGCTACTCAATAAACATTTCTGGAGTAAATAACTGATAATCTAGAAGATAACTATTTTTATCCCCGAAGTACAGACATTGAAATTGAGAATCAAGATGTTAAAATCATTTTTTCTCCAAGTTCACTCAGCTTGCTGCACTTCGACACTATGGATGGCAAACTCTAAAGCCAGTGTTTATTCCACTACACCCCTGAAAATTTAAATAACTTGTTTAGAACCAACATTAACTTTATTTTCTAACTACACTATATTTTCTAATGTGATCCAAGTTTAAATATGGTTAAATTGGTAGCAACAGTTAATTATACAAGCAAATAAGGGTTAGGACCTGGAAAACTGACGTTACTCAACCTGCTGAGACAAGGATCCCAGACTTGTGACTTCAATCAAATGTTGTCACTAAGTAAATAGAGATTAAATGGAATAGCATGTTAAGGATCAGAGGAGATATGTGAAAATTTACAAAAACACTGTAAAACCACTATGAAATTTAAGACACTTTTAACCAGAAGTCTCAGCTTGAACCCAAATTATAGGAATGTTCTTTTTTTCATAAATCATATTTTGATGTTATAAAGCATATTCTTTATTACCTAATATCTGTAAGGCTTCCTTTTATTTTTTCCAAATCTGAGTGGCTAGTTACAAAAGTCTAGTCCATCACAATACACATTTACTGAGCACATTCTCCTCAGCTGTGGGCTGTGACTGCCCAGGGACCAAAAAGCCTATTGTAATTTATGATCCTTTAAAGTCTTAAAAAGAAATGTCAGTTAAATCCAGTGCAAATCTGACATTCTGAAAGCTTGTTAACAGCTCATCCAGTGCTGCCTCCAAGATCAGAAACCTCTGAGAAAACTAAAATTCATCAGTAGCCCTGACATATCAGAAGGAAGCTAATAATGTTGGGATGTACTGCTGGTCAACAGTCCCCTGGTTTCTCTTAAATCATTCAAAATATGTCACTATCAGTCACTCAGCCAGCCTTGGAGAGCCACATGACAGAACTGGCTCTGCTTGCAGCTGTTGATTCAAACATGGGTTTCATGGATAAGCAAAATGTGTGTTTCAATAATGTGAAGCTCTTGTTCAAAATGAAAAGAAAGCCAGAATTTCATTTGCTGCAATGCTTCACTCACTGCCCCTGGATACCTCCAAACATTTGATGTGGCAGAGCTGAATTTTTTAAACATCCAGTTTTATACACATCCTTCATCTCCTTTCACATGTCATCAGGTTTTAACTTCCACATGAAAATGCTTTCTCCTGGGACATGAAGTTGTCACACCTTTAATTGCCGGTATGCTGGTTTGCAGAGTTGTTTCTGCAGTACTAATAAACTGCCACAGGAGGGGACAAGCCTGCCCGGTTACTTGGGCCCTGTGACTGTTTCTGAGAGCAAAGCACTCTGATCAGATCATTTCCCTCAGTAGTTAAAAAAAAAAAAAAAAAAAAAAAAAAAAAAAAAAAAACTCTAGAAATGTAACTGCAAAGTCGAAGAGCTATGTATGTATACACATATTAATGTATATTTGCATGCAGAAGCCTTTCAGCTAAGACTTAAGAAACCTCACAGGTGCATCTACTCCATAGGCTTCAAATACTCTCATTTTGCCTATTCTTTCTTCTGATCTAGAAACTGGAGTTGCTTCCAGAGAACTCAAAACAAAAGGACGGCCTCACCTCTGGAAGACTATGGCTACCTTTTATACATGAATGGAGTCAGAGATACTCGAAAGTCAGAAGATCGAGTTTGAAAAGACAGTGGTGACCCAAGTACTTCTGTGCTAAAGCATTCAAGCCACGCGATCGTTTGTTCACATTCACTTTGAATCACATTCTTTTTTCTTTTTTCTCTTATTCTTTCTTTTCTTCTTCCTCTTTTTTTTTTTTTTTTTTTTTTTTTTTGGTAAACATTAAAAAGGAAGTGTCAAACACATCTAGATAAACTGTACGGTAGAGCGAGCTCCCATTTCTCCACTCTCTCTTGGGTCCCTGCCTCCCTCTTTATTCACTTTGACATGAGAATCTTTGTTCTTGTAAAAGAGAGCCACTTGAGGTGAAAATGATCATTTGTTTGTGTGTCATCATCCTGAAAACTAAAAAAAGGAACCAAATTATCTAAGAAACACTGTAAGATAAAAAGTCAATACTATGACTTTACCTGTCCAGATAAAACTCTGAACTGCTTTTTTTTTTTTTTGGCTTCTCTTCAGAAGATGGCCAAAGAGTATATCTTATCATAACAGGCCTTGTATCTCAGAAAAGCACCCTTAAGCCACAAACACAACCTTATGCATTTACTTGCACACACGTGGGGGTACACACGCACACACATGGGCATACACGCGTGCACACACACACACGAGGTCCTTCAAGTAAATGATTAAAAAGAAAATTAAGGTCAAGATAGGACAAGTACTGCTTGATACTGTATCAAATATCAGAGAATGCTTGCTTATTAGAAAAGAATCATTGCCAGGATTTGAGAATAAAGCTAGCATTATAAACAAAAAGCCCAGAGTAAGGTAAGCCAATGGCATTTTCTTCTATGCCAATTACTAACCAATCTCGGAGACTCTGCGAACAGCCTCTGGAAGGCTGTAATAAGTATTCGTAGCTGCTCTGGCAAGCAGGGCCTAGAGCCCAGAACAGGAAACACATTTGCTCAGTGTCTAATCCAGCTCAAAAAGTAAGCACCCTGAGTAATTCTTTCCACTCAAAGGACAGGCTATCTTTTCTGAGCCCAGACCTGCTCGCTGTTAGTGTAGAAGATTCCTTTAGAAAAATGTAAATGAACAAACAAACAAATTGAGTAAAAAATAAAAGATGAGAGAAAACCAGTCATCACTTTAGGACAGGGTCAAGTATAGGGAAGCATGGAGTATTTCACTGTGAGAGGTAACCTTCATTCAAATTAAGCTGGTCTTAAAACTTTAAGGTAATAGGCAAGAGTTAATGGGTTTTAATAATTCTTTGGTAGGTTAATTGACAGGATTCCTTTTCTCTGCTTCTTTTAAGAGCTTAGGCTCTGGAATAAGTTGGCTTAACCTGGATTCAGGAATGAGTTCCATTACAGTCTAAGCTCTGCCACTTAAACAAGTTACTCTAACCCTGTTTTCTCATTTCTCCAGTATGTATACTAACAGGATTTATTTCATAAGTTTTGGGGGAGAAGATTAAATGAGATAAAACATGTAAGAAGCCTGACATATCATAAACCCTCAATAAATGTTAGCTATCATGATCAATATTATCATTTTCTCTGTTATAATAAAGAAAGTATATTTCCCCTAGCAAATTACTAGCCAAAAGTGTCATACCTACCAGAGAACTTTGGTGAATCTGTTATTCTCTTTCCCCTATTTTGAACTTCTCTTACTATTTACTGGATCATTTCCTAGCAAAATTGAATCATGTTTCTTACTATCATGTTTTTACAAAGCACCCCCCCGAAACCCCCTGCCAATGCCACCTCTCCTTTTAGTTAATTGCTTCCTTCCTCCTCACTTGGTTGGAAAAAACTCTTGAAATAATAGTCTACACACATGGTTTTCCAACTTTCATTCTCATTCCAGCCCACCCCATTATGATTTCAGCCCCTTCTATTCCATTAAATATCTCTACCCACCAGCTAAGTTTTACAGTTACCTCCCTTTTTGCCAATTCCAATGGACACTTTTCAATCCTCATATAACTAGAACTTTGAGTCATATTCAATTTAGTTTACTCTCTTCTTCTTGAAAAGCATGCTGGGGTGTTTTTCCCTTTTCATGACATTTTCTGCTGGTTTTGGAAATAATAGATTTTTCTATATTCAATTCCCAAAGCTCTTCTGTTCTCATTTACATTCTCTCTATCAGTGATCACATCCAAACCCCATGGCTCTTCATATTTCCAGCCAAGATCTCTTAGTACAATAAGCAACCATCTCCTTGATATCTCTCCTTGAAGTCTTCGAGGCATCTAGATTAACTGTGTTTAAAACAAACTCTTAATATTTCTACACATGCCCCAAATAGTCTCCTCAAGTCATTGCATTCCTATAATCACATATCCACCTACTTCCTTGATCAAATAAATGTCATTCATGACACCTTCCATTTCCTTATCTTTCCACATCTAATCTGCTGTTTGTATCTGTGAATTGTCCCCTTAATATAGTGGCTCTCAATCGAGGGCAATTTTACTATGCAAGAGATATTTAGCAATGTCTAGAGACATTCTAAGTTTTCACAAATTGATGGAGGGCATTGGGGGTTGGGCTGGGGAATGCTACCGGCAGAAGAAGGGGTCAGGCATGTTGTTACACATTCTACAATGAACAGAACAAACCCCGCAACAAATAATTATCTGGTCCAAAATTTCAAGAGGGCTGATATGGTTTGGTTGTGTCCCCACACAAATCTTATCTTGGATTGCAGCTCTCATAATTTCCATGTGTTGTGGGAGGCACCCAGTGGAAAATAATTAAATCATGGGGGTGGTTTCCCCCATACTTTTCCCATGGTAGTGTCTCATGTCATCGGATAGTTTTGTAAGGGGAAACTCCTTTCACTTGGTTCTCATTCTGTCTTTTGCCTGCTGCGATGTAAGATGTGTCTTTTGCCTTCTGCCATGATTGTAACGCCTCCCTAGCCATGTGGAACTGAGTCCATTAAACCTCTTTTTCTTTGTAAACTATCCAGTCTCTGTAATGGACTGTGGAATATGTCTAGTGGAATATGTCTTTATTAGCAACATGAAAACGAACTAATACAAGGGCCAAGGTTGAAAGACTCTGCCCTAACATATATTGTGAATTTGTCAAGTTTTCTCGGTCTCCATTGTCAGTACTCTGACCCTCTCTGGCTTTATTCTGTCACACATGACCCTCTCTGGCTTTATTCTGTCAGTGGTGTCCTAAGTGGGCTCTCACCTCCTTCACTCTTGCCTCCTACCTTCTCATCCTCTTCTCTGCACAACAGCCGGAGTAATCGTTGTAAGGTGTCAATGTGATCCCATTGTAACCCTGCCACCAGCATGACACCCTTTGGTGGTTTCTCTACTGCACCTAGAATAATAGCCCAGCTTCTAATCATTCCTAAGCCCTTGTCCTCCTCTCGAACCTTGCCTCTCACATCACTCTGTCACCACTCGGTCTTCCTGAAGCAAACGGTCCTTTTTTCTCTTCCTCAACACACCAGCCCCTTTGCTTCCTCAGGATCTTGCCCTAGAATTCTCTTCCTCCCACTCTGTCTAATCCCTACTCAACTTTCGTACACTGTAGAAACATCACTTCACATTCAGCCTCTCCTCTACAGCTCCATGATTCTCCCCAGTGGCATTCTTTCCTTTCAATTTATGGCTCTTGGACAATTTCTAATTATATTTTTGTATAAATATTCATTGTTTAGTACCTGTCTCCCCAAATATACTATAAGTGCTTTGAGGTCAAGGAGCAGAGAAATGAGAAGAACTCTAGCAGTTCTGGAAATGTGGCACATGTGATCTGAGCAATTCAAAAAAGAATGGAGGGATTAAAGCAATCTTCACTTATTTCCTTCATAGCTTTGTCTATCTCATATTATTGTGAGTTCACTGGCTTCCCTATACTCCAGCATGGGAGAGGAGCACACATTCCTGTGCCCACTGAAAGTGGAGGTTCACAAGGGGTATACCCAGCTTCATCCACATTTCCCATCTCTATTCTAAGTCACCTCTGCTTCACTCTCCTATCACAGTGATGGACATCTTTAGAGTATTATTGCTGGTACAAGCACACAAAAACTTTTGTCACTTTCTGTTTGAAATACTTTGTCATGAAATATTAAATTTTATACTTTTCAGAAAGCACATTGTATGTGAACCTTTGTGGAGATAGTGAAGAAGAATTCTTACGACCTTGAGGAGTCAGAATTTTTATAATAGAAAATCAAAAAGAGAACAATCAATTTTCAGGGTATTCTTTTTAAGTTCACAGAATAAACTCTTGAAGTCCTCATCAGAAGCAATCACTTTGAAAGTCAAAGTCATTGATTTGCAGAGTGTTATTTTGTTGAGAACAAAAAAAAAATACATATCTTGAGCTGTAAAAGGGAAGATTCTAGTGGAAGTAGTAACTAGTGGATAGTTTATTCCATAACAAAGCATGGAATAGAGCAGGAATTCAAATTATCCAAGCCCTGGGGAGACTGAAAGTGTTCTTCCAGACCAAGAAAGGACAGCAAGGTGGAATAGTACAGGGTGTGAGCCTGGTAGAGGCCAGTGGGTTCTGAGACCTGACAAGCTCTGGTGAGACCATGCAGAGGGGAAAAGAGTCATTATTGTGATAGAACTGAACCCAATTGGCCTCTATCACTAGAAAGCTGCTTGGAAAAAGAGACAAGTCCATAGATCTGCATGTCCAAAATGGTGACTACTAAGCACATGTAGCTATTTAAATTTAATTAAAATTAAATGAAATTAAGAGTTCACTTCCTCAGTCTCACTAACTACATTTCAAAGCCTCAATAGCCACATGTGGCTAGGGGTTACTGTATTGTACTGTATAGAAACACTTCCATGGTTGCACAAAGTCCGGTTGGACAGCACTGCTATGTATCTCTGGTCATGCTCAGGTGCACCCCAAACATTCTGGAGCCTGGGGCAAGAGGAGTTACATATCACATGTCTAAATATTGAAAATGTATATATCAAGCTAATAAACTGTTAAATATAGTCATGTTTTATGTGCCTATGTTGACAAATATGTTCTTAATTACCTGGAAGTCCAAGGACAAACAGAATTCTCAGACTTCTTTGAATTTCACACTGACTAAAATGTGATGGTATCCAGAAAACAAGTCCCCAGCCCTCAAATCACAGTCCAGACCTTTCCCATCTTACTTGCACATGACACTGTGAGGGGCCTTCCACACATACATGGACAGCCCAGCCTACATGTGCAAGTTCCATCACATCCCTGCAAGCGAGGACCTCAAAGTGCAGACACCTGCAGGGAAGCCCACCCAAAGGAGGAAGGACTCAGAAAAGTATCCAACATGGACCCTGGAAATAGGATCAGGGTCATTTGGACCCCAGGATCCCAAGTACACAGAACATAATCTAGATAGAGGAGGAGAGGATAAGAGCTCCTGGTGGCCATGTCCCCTCAAGCTCATAGATTCTTTGTCTCATTAGAGGTCATATCAGAAAGGGCCAGAACAGTGCTCTCTAAAGGACTGGTCTCAAGCTACTGCTCTTCTCTGGGTCTAATGGTGATGCTTGCCATATTGGGTGAGCCTACTACTACAGACTTCCAATGGATACTCAATACTGCCTGATAATCCTACGATATTCTTCTAGTATATTTACTCTCTCACTTTCTAAAATGGTTATTCTATGCCTCTCCTCTTTTCTAACCTCCAGCACATTCTCCCTTTCCTCATTCTCAGCTTGCTTCACATTTTACTGAAAATGTAGAGACCACTGGAGGAAATTTTCATTAATTTTCCAACAAATCTGCCTGCTACCTGCATCTGCACCCACACTACCCTCTTTTGTTACAGTGAACAGCCTCTTCCCACCAAGGCCAAGGTCACCTCTACTAAATCCTATCCCTCTTTCCTTTTTCTTCAAAGTCCCTGATCTTGTAATTACTATTTTTTCTGCTGGGTTATTCCCAACCATGCACTTTGTATCCCCTTCCTTTAAAAGTAGAAAAAAAAAATTAAAAGCAAAACAGACAAACAATGAAAAAATCTCTCATCTAAACTTATGTTCTCTTTATAGCAAACCCCTCACTAGATTTCTCTATAGTTGCCAACACCCACTTTTTGACTTTTCATCCTGTCCTCCACTAACTTTCATCAAAGTCAACAATATCCTCCACCTTGCCAAGTGAAATGGTTACTTCTGGGTTTGCACTTATAGGAATACGCAGGAGTAACTCTTCCCTCTCTTAGGATCTGGATCATAACACTCTTCGGGTATTCTCTTACCTCGCCCTCTCAGTTTTGTCTGTAAGATTCACCTCCTCTGCTCAATCTCTAGGTTTTGGGACCCAGGCCATCTTCTCTAACTTATCTACAGCCTCTCCTTATAAATGTTATATAATGCATTCAAAAGGATTTAAATTATATGTATATAATTTAAATTATATATATAATTTAAATATATATTAAATATATATATAGTCAACTCAGTGGAGCCCACCAGATTTATGTATCCAGCTGCTTACTTGACACCACCTGAATGTTGAGTATGCGTCTCAGAACAAAACTTTGCTTTCTTCTCAAACCTATTATTACTCGAGTCTTTCTCACCTCAATAAATGGTGCCACCATTCACCTATCTGCTCATTCCAAAACTGATAAACCATTTTTTTTTTTTACTCATTTCCCATATGCAATTTAACAGCATTCTTGCCAACTACTCCTCCAAAATATACTCCAAATGGTCCACTTTTCACCATCTCCACTACTTCCACCCTAGTCCACCCTATCTTTCACCTGGACCATGAAATAACCTTCAAGCTGATTTTTCCATTTCTACACTTGCCTCTCTACAATCTATTCTGCACACAGTTGTCAGAGTTCTTTTTTAAAAATTCAGTTTAATCCTATCATTACTCTTATTAAAAGAATACTAGGGCCCTGGACTCTGCAGATCTTCAGAGGGAAGGCACCAAAAGTGGATGAAGGGAAGACACAGAAGCTAGGCTGAAAGCTGGGAACCACACACCAGGACTCATTTTGGAACTACAACAGCTCTAGGAGAACAGGCGAGTTGAACTGGCAAGGAGTAACCCGCTCTCACCATGGCCCTCTGGAACCCCAGCAGGAGGGGAGCTCTCGACCGCCACAGATTCTTGAGGTGGCTGGGAGAGCTTCTTGGAGATGTGATGGGGCAGCACACCAGCTGATGTGGAGCCCAGAGGGAGAGTTTGATGCTGGAGCATCTTTTAGTGGAGCACCGCCAGGGACAACCAATGCCCCTAGGCTTGACTTCTTCCCATAAGAGACTTTAGCCCTAGAAGAACTGTCAGACCTGGTATCTGCAGGGAGATCTTGCACATCAGACAGGGCTGGTGAGACGTGAGCGCTCCTTGGTCTGCTGGCCTCTCCTGGGGCCCCAGCCTGGCCATGCCTGCTTACAGGGGAGTCTTGGGTGCCCTGGGGAGCCCACACCATAGCTTATGTGCCAGCTGACCATGCCTGACCAGTGAAGAGCTCCAGCAAGGCAGCCCCTATGGCCATGCACCAGCTCACATGTTCCTTCCCCATACTGGAGCTTCCCCCAACCCCATAGCAACTCCCAAATCACTTTGCTGGTCATCGTCTTTACAGGTGGGTTTTGCTTTACTTGACCCCCAGCACACGGAGTGCAGTATGCCCCCAGATCCCCCGCCAACCGCCATTGCAGACAGTCTTGGTAAGCAGAGAGCCAGCAAGCCCCGCCCCACCAGTGACCAGCCCTTGCACTGACACTGAGCAGAGAACAGGGGATCCTCCCACACCCTGAGTGGTCACAACTGCTTGCAGGGCACATAGAAAGCACTCAAACCTGCTCAGCACCCCACCCCAAGCCACTACCAAATAAATGGCCTACCAACCAAAAATAGGATTCCCTATTCAATAAATGGGATAACTGGCTAGCCATATGCAGAAGATTGAAACTGGGCCCCTTTCTTACACCATATACAAAAATTAACTCAAGATGGATTACAGACTAAAATACAAAACCCAGAACTATTAAAAAAAAAAAAAACCCTGGAAGACAACCGAGGCAATACCATTTAGGACACAGCCACAGGCAAAGATTTCATGATGAAGACATTAAAAGCAATTGCAACAAAAGCAAAACTGACAAATGAAATCGAATTAAACTAAAGAGCTTCTGCACACCAAAAGAAACTATCATCAGAGTGAACAGGCAACCTACAGAATGGGAAAAAAATTTTTGCAAGCTATCCATCCAACAAAGATCTAATAACCATCATCTATGAGGAACTTAAACAAATTCACAAGAAGAAAAGAACAAACAACCCCAATAATAAGTGGGTGAAGGAAATGAGCAGGTGCTTTTCAAAGAAGACATACATACAGTCAACAATCATATGAGAAAAAAAAAGCTCAACATCACTGATCATTAGAGAAATGCAAATCAAAACCACAATGAAAAACCATCTCACACCAGTCAGAACGGCTATTATCAAAAAGTCAAAAAATAACAGATGCTAGCCAGATTGCAGAGAAAAAAGGAATGCTTATACACAGTTTGTGGGAGTGTAAATTAGTTCAACCATTGTGGAAGACAATGTGGTGATTCCTCAAAGTTTTAAAGACAAAAATACCACTCAACCCAGCAATCTCATTAATGGGCATATACCCAAAAGAATATAAATCACTCATTTATAAAAACATGCACACATATGTTCATGGTAGCACTGTCCACAATAGCAAAGACATGGAATCAACCTAAATGCCCATCAGTGATAGTCTGGAAAAAGAAAATGTGGTACACACACGATGGAATACTATGCAATCATAAAAAAGAAAGAGATTATGTCCTTTCCAGGGACATGGATGGAGCTAGAGGTCATTATCCTTAGCAAATTAACACAGGAACAGAAAACCAACTATGACATGTTCTCACTTATAAGTGAGAATTAAGTAATGAGAACACATGGACACATACAGGAGGACAACACACAATGGGACCTATTGGGAGGGTAGAAGCTGGGAGAAGAGAGAGAATCAGGAAAAATAACTAATGGGTACTAGACTTAAGACCTGGGTGATGAAATAATCTTTACAAGAAACCCCTGTAACACAAGTTTCCCTATGTAACAAACTGGCACATGTATCCCTGAACTTAAAATAAAAGTTAAAAAACAGAATGCTAAAAATTATCCAGCAGAAAGAGTAATAATTACGGGAGCAGGGTTTGAGAAAGGAAAGTACTGGTTTGATGGTGAGAAAGAGTCACATTTCATGAATATTTTAAAGGGATAGATGGCAGGACTGCAAATCAATTTGATGTGTTTCCCATTACCCTTAAAATAATATTCAAGTTCCTTTTCTGGGTCCACAAGCCCTGAATGAATTGGCTTCTACCTATTCTTCAATCTTATTTCATACTATTCTCCCTTTCAATCACCTTGTTTAGTCCATACTTATTTCTCTTCTTGAAAATATATGACTCTGGCACTTTGGACTTTCTCTTCCCTCCACCTGGCATACTGTGTCTCCAATCTTCTTGTATTTTTCTGGTATCAGCTTAGATGTCATCCTCACAACAAGGCATCTTTAACCACCCAAGATAAAGTACCTTCCCAGTCACTCTCTATCACCTCACCCAATTTTACTATGTTTTAGAACTTACTACATCGTACTTCACTCACTTTTTGTCTCCTTGTAAACAATGACAGCAGAACTTTATCTTGTTCACTGTGGTCCCTTAAGTCTAGAAAAATCCCTAGCATGTGGCAGATGCTCAATAAGCATTTGTGAAGCTATTAAACCACTACATTTAAGAGAATATCTTCATGTCACTTTTGTTAAAAAGCTATGTAAAGCTGTTCTTGCTGTCATCTGCTGAGGGTGTTCGCTGATTAAAACAGTCACTTAACCATGGTATCCATGTTACCCATGTAATGTTCATCTGTAACTAAGATTTTGCTCGACCTAATCTGAACTGTGTTGGGTGCACACATTCCTTTTTGCAATGATCCAGGAAAGTCATAAAGCCCTCAAAATAGGAAAGGGACTCCCTAACTCCCAAAGGAACGCTGATGATATGAAAGGAAAAACCCTAATATTTGTACTTGGGAGGGATTTAGGCCAAGGTGAAATGCAAATACATTACACATCTTGCTTTACACTTTCATACACATCCCAACTAAAGGTCTAGCACCCTCTGTGACATAATGTATTGGTTTCATCTGGTATCTGCTAGTGGCCAGATGACCAATATTTTATATATACCCATCAGGTCTAAATGAAGTATAATAGAAGGAAAGAACTTCAGAAGAATGTTTTAATTTACTTTAATAACTGATTACTTTACAGTCTACTTATATAGCTAGTATTATAATTAATGGTAGGCTACATTTGGACACATTTGAGTTGAGTTGAAGAATTTAGTAAGTCTTCCTCCTAAGATTGTCAATAAATTTAAAACATCAGCTTTTTTGCCGAAATATGTTGAGGGAGCCATGAACAACTCAAAGTACTTTGTGTTCTCTGTCAAGTGAAAGGACAAGTATATACTGCTTCTGTAGCACAATTTCTCAAATGCCAATGTAAAAAATATCCTTTTCTTTTAAAATTTCATCTGAAGCCAGTTAATAACAAGGCCCTCAATCAAAGTCTAGCAGAGTGATCGGCTGTGACTGTGTCCTTTGTCACAGCATTGGGAATATGCCAAATATGGAAAGTTTCTCTCTGAGTCTAAATGCTCCCAGAGTACATCATCATTACTAAGCCAAATCCACACAGTACCAAGTAGAAAGCACACCATGGTTTCCTAGCTCCAGGACAGATGGCAAAATAGTATGCGCTATGGGGTTGCTTGACCCAGCCCTAGAGGAGTGCAGAAGCAAGAGGGGAGTATGGATTACAGGAACCGGCACACCCACAAAACACATAGACTCATGAAAACCCTGAGGGACAAAAAGCTTTCTTTAACTGGAGTAGGTATAAGAAGTAGATAACTGATTGCAGCCTGGGATCAACAAAAGCCAAAACTAAAAGTAGGAGGATATGAAAATCTTCTAGATTGGCTCTTGCCTCTCTCCCATGTTAGCCTAAGATAATCATATCCTGCCCTTTCACTATCAAAATTGGCAATGTCAGTTTAAATCACCCTGCAAAGGTGAAAAGTAATGAAAATGTGTGGCCAGAAGCCATGGCTCACGCCTGTAATCCCAGCACTTTGGGAGGCCGAGGTGGGTGGATCACGAGGTCAGGAGATCGAGACCATCTTGGCTAACACAGTGAAACCCCATCTCTACTAAAAATACAAAAAATTAGCTGGGCGTCGTGGCAGGCGCCTGTAGTCCCAGCTACTTGGGAGGCTGAGGCAGGAGAATGATGTGAACCTGGGAGGCGGAGCTTGCAGTGAGCCAAGATCGTGCCACTGCACCCCAGCCTGGGCGACAGAGCAAGACACCATCTCAAAAAAAAAAAAAAGAAAAAAAGAAAAAAGAAAAGAAAACAAAAGTAAAGAAAGAAAATGTGTGAGCTACCTGGCCAAACCAGGAAACTGACTTCTCCAACCTCTTTTCCCTTAAGCCTTTAAACTGGTAGTTTACAATCTAAAGATACTGCTTTATTGCAAAGCTGCTTCTCTTTATTAATTTAAAGGTAAACTCTGAGTTGCTTGGTGGAATGATAGCAAATGGGAGTGATATCAACAGTAGTTTGTTGGTATCTGGAGATCGTATCTTCCCCTTTCCTTAAACTTGCTAAGATGAGCATGGATTAGGTTCTGGGCTTTGTCCCTTCCTCATATGCATTACTAGACCCAAGGAAATATGAGTCCATGAGTCAAGAAACAAAAACAAACAGGCAAGGAAAAAAAAGTATCTGAGAATTTACCATTGCTAATGAAAAACAACAAACTGAACCACATAAATTCTTTCTCTGAAGCAGAAATGTTGAAAAAATTGGCCAAGAATTCAAAATAAGCCAAAGAAGATAGGGAAGATATCAGTAACATAGAACAGTAAGTAGAAACTATAATGAAGAACCAAGTAGAAATAATGGATTTTAAAATATAATAGCTAAAATAAATAGCATAGTAAGTAAGTTGATTACCAGGATAAATAAGTTGAAGAATGAAATAGTGAGCTATGAAGAATAATGTGTGAACTCTCTCATAAGGCAGCAAAAAAGGATAAAAGAGTATACATATGTGTGTATGCTTATGTCTGTGTGTATTATGTGTGTTTGTATGTATATTTATGATGGTAACATGTAGATAATAGAGTTTCTAGAAGTAGAGAAGAAACACATAATTATAAACATTTGAAGAAATAAAAGAATACATTTGCCAGAATTAAAGAAAGAAAAGATCTCAGATCGAAAAATTTCATAAGCTGATAAATTACTGTTATGGAGTGAATATTTGTTTCCCCCCACCAAAAAAAAATCTCATGTTGAAATCTAATTCCCAATGCAATGGCATTAGGAGGTGGTGATATCTTTGTTATCGCACCCTGAATGGGCAAAGACAATTACCAAACAGGAAAGATGAGAAAAAAATCCCACCTAAGTGCATTATAATTAAAATGAAGAATATCTAAGACATATTATGATACAATAATGAAATTTACAAAAAGAAAAGTGGATCTCCTACAAAAGAAAAGACTCAGACTGGCATCTGACTTCTCAACCTCAGTACTGAAAGCAAAAAATCAGCATACCAAAACTCTGATAAAAGAAATCAAAGACCTAAATAAATTCAGACATTGCATTTTCATGAATAGGAAGACCCAATATTGTCAAGATACCAGTTATTCCCAATTTGATCTGTAGATTCAATGCAATCTTGATTAAAAAATACTAGAAAGTTATTTTGTGGATATTGACAAGCTGATTCTAAGGTCTATATGGAGAGGTCAAAGACCCAGAATAGCCTACACAATCTTGAAGAACAAATTTGGAGAACAGACACTATACGAGACTTCAAGGCTTACTATTAAGCTATACTAATCAAAACAGTGTGGTATCAGCAAAAGAAGAGACAAGTAAATCAATGGAACAGAATAGCGAGCCCAGAAATAGACCCAGATCAGTATAGTCAACTGACTACACTGACATTTGTTTAAACATTTGAAGAAACATTGTTTTGCTTATCTGTCTACAATAAGTTGGATAAAAAATATGATGGAGAAAATATACAATGGGAAAAAGATGTGATGCTGGAACAACTAGTGCTGTAACAACTGGACATCCACATGCAAAAAAATTTATCTAGACACAGATTTTATGCCCTTCACAAAAATTAACCCAAAATAGACGAGACTTGAATGTAAAATGCTAAACTACATGATATGGTTTGGATCTGTGTCCCCACCCAAATCTTACGTGGAAACTTAATCTCCAGTGCTGGAGGTGGGGCCTGGTGGGAGGTGACTGGATCTTGGGTGTGGTCCCTCATGAATGCTTTAGCACCATCCTCTCAGTGCTGCTTTTGTAATAGTGAGTGAGTGCGCATAATATCTGCTTGTTTAAAAGTGTGTAGCACTTCCCCCCACTTTCTCCTGCTCCAGCCATGTAATATGTTCTTGCATTCCCTTCACCTTCCACCATGATTGTAATATTCCTGAGGCCTCCCTAGAATCTGATGCCTCCATGCTTCCTGTACAGCCTGCAGAACCGTAAGCCAATTAAACCTCTTTATTATTAAATTACCCAGTCTCAGATATTTCTTTATAGCAGTATGAGAAGAGACTAATATATAAAATTGGCATCAGGAGTGGAGTACTGCTATAAAATGTATAGGAAATGCAGAAGCACTTTGGAACTGAGTAATGAGCATACATTGGAACAGTTTGGAGGGCTCAAAAGAAGACAGGAAAATAAGGGGAAGTTTGGAACTTCCTAGTGAATTGTTGAATGGTTATGACAAAAATGCTGATAGTGATATGGATAGTGAAGTCGAGGCTGAGGGGGTCTCAGATGGAGATAAGGAACTTATTGGGAACTGGAGCAAAGGTCACTTTTGTTATGTATAACGAAGAAGTTGATTGCATTGTGCCCCTGCCCTAAAGAGCTGTGGAACTTTGAACTTGAGAATGATGATTTAGGTTATCAGGTGAAATACATTTCTATGCAGCAAAGCATTCAAAATGTGGCCTGGCTGCTTCTAACAACCTATGCTCATAAGCATGAGCACAGCAATGACTTGAAACTAGAATTTATATTTAAAAGGGAAATAGAGCATAGAAGTTTGGAAATTTTGCAGCCTGGCCTTGTGAAGTGTGGGCTCTCAGCTAAAAGGAAGGCAAATGCTGATAGCCAAGACAATGGGGGAAAGGCCTCCAAGACATTTCAGAGGCCTTTGTGGCAGCCCCTCCATCACAGGCCCAGAGGCCTAGGAGGGAAGAATGGTTTCATGGGCCAGGGCCAGGGCCCTAATGCCCTGTGCAGCCTCAGGACACTGCTCCCTGCATCCCAACCACTTCAGCTCCAGCCATGGCTCAAAGGGGCCCAGGTACAACTTGGGCTGCTGCTTCAGAGGGTGTAAGCCATAAGCCTTGGCAGCTTCCATGTAGTGTGTTAAGCTTGCAGGTGTGCAGAATTCAAGAGTTGAAGGTTGGGAGACTCCACCTAGATTTCAGTGGATGCATGGAAAATCCTGGATGTCCAAGCAAAAGCCTGCTGCAGGGGTGACGTACTCATGAAAACCTCTACTAGCGCAGTACAAAGGGGAGATGTGCAGTTGGAGCCCCCACACAGAGTCCCCACTGGAGCACTGCTTAGTGGAGCTTTGAGAATAGGGCCACCATCCTCCAGACCCCAGAATGGTAGATCTACCAACAGCTTGCACCCTACACCCGGAAAAGCCACAGGCACTCAGTGTCAGCCCTTGAAAGCAGCCACAGGGGCTGAACCCTGCAAAGCCACAGGGGCAGGGCTTCCCAAGGCATTAGGAGTACTTTGGATGGGCGACATGGAGTCAAAACAGATTTTGGAACTTTAAGATATAATGGCTTCCCTGCTGGGTTTGAGACTTATATGGGGCATGGAGCCCCTTTCTTTTGGCCAATTTTTTTCCTTTTGAAATAGGAGTATTTACCCAATGCCTCTATCCCCATTGAATCTTGAGAGTAACTAACTTATTTTTGATTTTACAGCCTTATAGGCAGAAGGGACTTGCCTCATCTCAGATGAGACTTTGGACTTCAGACTTTTGAGTTAACACTGGAATGAGTTAAGACTTTGTGGGACTGTTGGGAAGGCATAATTGGATTTTGCAGTATAAGAAGGGACATGAGATCTGGGAGGAGCCAGGGGTAGAATGATATGGTTGGGATGTGTGTCCCCACTGAAATCTCATATTGAAATGTAATTCTCAGTGCTGAAGGTGGGGCCTGGTGGGAGGTAAGTGATCATGAGGGTGGTCCTTCATGAATGGTTTAGTACCATCCTGTTGGTGCTGCTCTTAATGATAGTGAGTGCTCACAAGATCTGGTTGTTTACAAGTGTGTAGCACCTCCCCCTTCTCGCTCTTTCTCCTGCTCCAGCCATGTAATATGTGCCTGCTTCCCCTTCTTCTTCCGCCAATATTGTAAGTTTCCTGAGGCCTCCCAGGAAGCTGATGCTGCCATGCTTCCTGTACAGCCTGCAGAACTATCAGCCAATTAAACCTCTTTTCTTAGTAAATTACCCAGTCTCAGGTATTTTTCTAGCAGTGCAAGAACACACTAATATACTATATGATGCCTAAAAGATAAGACAGGAGAAAATCTAGATGACTTAAGAGTTTGGTGATGACTTTTTATATATGATACCAAAGGCATGAGTCATGAAAAAAAGAATTGATAAGCTGAACCTCATATAAATTAACATTTTCTGCTGTGCAAAAGACTCCATCAAGAGAATAAAATGACAAGCCAAAGAGTGGGAGGAAATGTTTGCAAAAGACATGTATGATAAAGGACTACAAAATATACAAAGAACTTTTGAAACTCAACAATAAGAAAGAAAACAACCTGAATTTTAAAATGGGCAAAATCCTTAACAGACTCACCAAACAAGATATACTGATGACAATGTCAAATAAGCATATGAAAAGATTCCCCAAATCATGCATTACCAGGGAAATGCAAATAAAACAAGGTATCACTGCATGTCTATTAGAATGGCTAAGATTGGCTGAGTGTGGTGGTTCATGTCTGTAATCTCAGCACTTTGGGAGGCTGGGGGCAGGGAGGATTGCTTGAGCCCAGGAGTTCTAGACCAGCCTGGGCAACATAACAAGACCCTGGATCTATAAAAAAAAAAATAAATTTTTTAAAATTTTTAAAAAGAAAAAAAGGAATAGCTAAGATCAAGAACATTGTCTCAGGATTAACTGCTTCAGGAAATACAAAAAAGGGGTTGATATCTTCTGGTACTTTTACTAAGTTGAAGAGTATCCTCAAAAATTCTTGTCCACCCAGAACCTCAGAATGTGACCTTATCTGGAAACACTATAGAGTCTTGGTAGATGTAATTACTTTTTAAAATGAAAACATACTGAACTACAGTGGGCCCCTAATTTAATATGACTATTTTCCCTGTAAGAGATGAGAGGATACACAAAGACACAGGCACACAGTGAAAATGGCCCTGTCTAGAGGCAGAAATTGGAGTGATGCATCTGAAACCCAAAGAACCACCAAAAGCTACGAGAGAGGCAAGTAAGAAGCTTTCACTTGCCTCTAGAAGGAACATGGCTCTGTTGACACCTTGATTTCAGGCTTCTAGCCCCTAAACCTGTGAGAGAATAAATATCTGTTTTTTATCCCCCTCAGATTGTGGTAATTTGCTGTAGTAGCCCTGAAAAACTAGTACGGTAATATTTACTGTTGTCTTTAAAAGAGGAAAAAATCAAAATCTAGGACCAAACTGGTAAGCACTCAGTTTGTTTAAAAGCGTTTGCTTTGAAAAAGTCCAAAAGTGCCCAGCTCACTTTGAAGGCTAGAAAAAACAGAAAACACACAAGTAAAAGAAATAGCAGACCATTTAGCTAATTGCAAAAAAAAAGTCTTATATGAATAAAAGATAGTTTTTATTATGCATCAAGCACTCATCTATGCTCTGACCATATATAATTCAAAAACAACTCTTTGACTATTATCTCCATTTAACTGATAAGAAATTCAGGCATAGAAGGGTTATATGACTTACTCAAGGTCATAAACATAGCTAACTGAACCTAACAATTCGTTTTTTAAAAATTGCTTCATGCTCATATGCGGTTAATCCTAGAAATGCAAAAATTGTTATACATCATGAAATCCATGAATGCCATTTTTCTCATTAGTAAAGGGGAAAAGATCATGTTATTATTTAAATGATGCAAAAAAAGGCCTTCATAAAGTTCAGGACCTTTTCTTAAGTTCAAAAATCTTAGCAAACTGAGATTAGAAGTGAAATTTCTTGCATCAGTAAACATCATATATCAAAACCTTTTAGCAAACACTACATTTAGTGCAGAAACATAGATGGCATACCCTTTAAAATATTAAAAATACCCAGTATCACCATAACTGATTAATATAGCACTAGAAGACTCAACAATTCTAAAAGGAAGGAAAAATTAAGAGGAAAAGAAAAGGCCAGGCACGGTAGCTCACACCTGTAATCCCAGCACTTTGGGAGGCCGAGGCAGGCAGATCACGAGGTCAGGAGATTCAAACCATCCTGGCTAACAAGGTGAAACCCCGTCTCTACTAAAAATACAAAAAATTAGTCAGGCATGGTGGCGGGCGCCAGTAGTCCCAGCTACTCGGGAGGCTGAGGCAGGAGAATGGCGTGAACCCGGGAGGTGGAGCTTGCAGTGAGCCGAGATCACGCCACTGCACTCCAGCCTAGGCGACGAGCTAGACTCTGTCTCAAATTTTAAAAAAAAAGGAAAAGAAAAATGATCATTACATGCAAATAATGATCTCCTAATAAAACCATGTAATATTCACCTAATAAAGCAGTTAGGAATAAGAAAGATTAGAAATTTAGTTGGCTATAGCACAAATTTACCCCATCAGTAACTAAAAAATATGATAATAGCAAAAAAGAGAAAAAAAATAAAATATCTAGAAATTATCTCAACCAAGAACACACAATAACTTTATAGAGAAAACATTAAAACTCTAATAAAGATATAGTAGAGGATTTATAAAATTAAACAGACATTCCCATTTTCTTAGATAAGATGACGTTACAAAGTTATTTATTTTTCCTAATTATTCTATAAATTCAATGTAATACCAATAACATTTCCAGTTGGATTTGTTAAAGAATTAAGTAAATTTACTCAATTATTTAATAGAAGAAAACCAATCTTGAAAGAGATGAATAAGGAGGGGCAATATTAATACATATTTTAAAAGCATAATAATAATAAAATTAAGGTATTCTTATAGAAACAATCATATTGACCAATGAAACATGGTAGAGAGCTCAGGGACAAACCATCCACAAGAGTATCACCACAAATTCATTAAGAAATAGTGAATGGGTTAGTAAAATTTTGGGAAAAAAGCAAATCCTTACTTAACCTACCAACCAAAGTAGACTATTGAAAGAATACATGCCTGAAGATTAAGAATAAAACTAGAATGTTGGTAAAATAAAATGCGAGATAGTTACAGACCTTAGTGAGAGAAAGGTTGTTTAAACAAAATTTTAAAAGCACAAACAAGGAAAAAAGCAGATGGCTTCCATCAAAATGAAGAATTTCTGGTCAATGAAAAATACAATGGATAAAGTTACTACATAGCTGACAGAAGGAAGCAGAGATTTGCAAAATACAAAACCAACAAAGAATTAATGTTTAGAATACACAAAAACTTTTACAAATCTATAATGAAAGACAACAGCTCAAATAAAAAAAAGAAATATGAATATCCAATGTATAGAAGAATAACAAACAAATGACAAGTCAAAACAAATAGGTACCAAAAGAAGTTCTTTTGGTACCATTCTTCCAAAAGAAGTTCTCACAAGATCCATTACAACATGTACAGAGTTCTTCATCACAGCCCTAGCAATGATGTAAGAGTTTCCTGTAGGTCATGTGACCACCAGAGAAGGCATCTATGCTTGAGCCATCTTGGTAAGACCTGACCCAAAGGTTCAGTTCACCCATGACAGAATGCCTCCCATAAGAAGCTGAGAGAGATGGCTTGTTTTGACTATTGCTGAGAGTGGAAGGAGAAGGGCCAGAGCTTGCACCTCACACAGCAGTGACGTTATCCCACAAAATCCTCCCAGAAACTCATACATGTGTCCCAAGAGGAGTCAGTATTTGGTCATCAACCATAGAGAGGGCATTGATTATAAGTTACCATTAGTCAAAAAAGCAGCAAAAGAAGGGCATCACTACCAATCAATTAAAGAAAGTAATAATTATCTCTTTCCCACTCCTTACTTCTACCCCAAAAAAGTGGGGGAACAAACTTTAAAGAGTTTGCAGAAGGAGGTATCTCAGAGATACACCTTGCCTACCACCCTTCGAGCAATCAAACCCCAAGGTTATGTCTGTGCTACACTGACAGAAAAAGTTGAAGAGAGAGTCCGTATAGTGCTTTTTAGCTTGGCAGTGTTTTTTCTCTATGAACTGCAATGGAACCATAAAGGTGGCTCACTAGATGCTGGAGATAGGAAATAATCTAATTTTTCTTTATTTTTATCCCACATAATTTCAAAAGTTATTTAAAACAAGCAAAACACAAACTACTAATGGTGGTTTTTCTTCTAACCAATATTTCAAATGACACTCTGACCCTGCAACCTGAAAATCAATATCTCTGTATAGAAGCTACCAGCTTCTTTCATGGGGTTTGGGGAGGTAGCCTGTTCAATATGTGTCAAATTACAGCAGCTCCATAAAAATAGAGATCAAGATATTTTTATCAGATCACAGCACACAAGTTTCCCTATCATAAATGGGCCAAAGATTTCAAAAAGGACTAGGAAGAAGAGAAGAGTAACAAGTGAGACTATAAGGTCCTCAAATGTCTTCCACTTGCTAAGTTTTGGAGGACACAATTTTTGGCTTCCAGAGTTTGAAATAGAAGTCAACGGTTTAAAAATTATACAGAAAAAAATGGGAGTTAAATAATAAGAGAAAACATTACAGTCTACAAGCACTTAAATAATTAAACAATGTTCATTTTCATCATCTATACCTATGTGCTCAAAAATGAGATGTGACCAGAAAAGGGGCTGGTCCTATTTCTTCAGAATCACCTTTTCACAAAAGCCATGAGTTACAGTGTTCAGCTCTCCAAAAAATCCTTTGAACAACTAGGCTGCAAAAAAATTGAGCACAATGTGTATTTTAACCCTAACTTGTTCTTGGTTATATAGACCTAGCCATGAGCTATCAAATTGCTTTGTCTAAGACCAGACATCAAAATATCACTTTCTGTTACCTTGATTGTGTGTCTGATGTTCAAGCTTTAGATGCCCTTGAGAGCTAGCTAAAATGTAATTATTATTACTGGAATCAATGCACTATCCCAATATTTTCAAATACTAAGTTTGCTGTGAAATTAGACACATACAAATGTAATAATTTTGGCCAGATGCCTTAAACGAAGTAGGTAGAAAAGTACCGAAAACATGCCCCAGGTATAAATAGTTAATAATAACCACCAGCGCAGTTGCTTCTCCCATGAATAATTAAAATTTGTCAATATAACAATAAATATCATGTCAGTTCACTCCTTTTGACTTTAAGAGAATTCTCGCATCATGAAGGAAATTTTTCTTGTTAAAGTCAAAGTTCTCAAAAGCAAGAGTGGGTATAAAATTCTATTGCACTTCTTAGTACTACTGATGAAGTTGGTTGCCATTTTATCTGTTACGCTGGTTCGCAGCTTTATATTAGGAAAGGAAAATAATATTTAATAAATTAATTGAATTCAATGCAAAAGATATATTTGATGGTCTTGAAAGTCTAAGTATAAATAAAAATGTCTATCAAATCATGTTTCTGAATTTTTATGAAACCATAATTATACACGTATTTAATAACCCCATCAGGCAAGATGCTTTAGAAAACATTGAAGACTTAGATTATTATAATTAGCATAATAATTAGGTCACTCATCAGAAAAACTATGAATAATGCATTCTAATTAAGTAACTGATAGAAAAGTAAATCAACCATCAGTGCCAGAGCCCAGTAAGTTATGTATTACAGTAAATTATATAAAACTAACTTCTGAGTACAACATAGTAAATTAAAATGTTATTAAATATTTGTCCCAATGCAAGAAAAATCACCAACAATTATATTTCGGATTTTGCATTTTTTACGTTCAGTCGATTTGCCCCAGGTATATGACTCACGTTGCTGCATTACTTGAAGAACGGAAAAGAAAGATTAGATGTTAAAGATATGAGAAGAAAACGTGTCTCTTTATTAGATGATAACTGTAGTCATTGTATTACTTCACTTCTGGCTATGCCAGGTGACTAACTTTTGCAATTAGACAAATGAATATGTATTAAATAGGGAAGAAATCGCTCACAGAAAAAAAACAAATCCTCCAGTCAATTAAAGCTAGTGTAAACGATTCTGAAAAGAACAAAATATCCTGTTCCCACATCTGTTTGCCACTATGTAAAATGGATGCCAATCCTCCCAGGGAAAGCAAAGAGCCCACTTACAAAGCCTGTTGAGATCCTGGCTCTCAGAGCAATCTATTATTAAATATTCTGCTGTTGTTTCTGGTTTCGCCAGAAGGAAAACAGCTCGAGAGCTATATTTATTTTCCAGGAGAGAGATAAAGAGCATTTTAAAGATTTTAATAAATGATGAATATCAGGATATAGGCGAAGCCTAGTAAGCAAAGCCCTACCTCAGTTAGAAAAGTATTAGTTTCAAGTTGCAATAGCCTTCAAATCAAAATGTGTTTTCATTTCTTAAATTAAAATCTATAAGATTATAAATGGTCAAGTCGACTCCAGAATTTGGGAAGACCAAATAGAGTCTTGTTTCAATGTGAGAATAACTAAAAATAAAGCATTAGGGAATATGAAGAATGTAAATTGAACATGAGAACATGGGGATTATTTTCTTGGGGAAGGGAGGACACATTGAATAGATAAGCATTTTGCTCCAATACAGACTGCCTGATCCATCCCCCAGTTAATTCTGTGGCTAAAACCCTAGCCTCAAAGATGCTGCTATTGTAATACTAGATGGGGTTCAGAGTAGCAGCAGTCTCTGACTAGTAATCCAGTATTCACAGCAGCCAAGAAACACTGAAGTTGGAAATTTCCACACCACCATTCTCCAAGACAGCAAGCCACAAACATGGGAGCAATCTCTAACTCCTTCCTCTCAACGCCCCATCTTACAGGTTCCCAGTACTGTAGGTTTGATCTGCAAACACTGTCTCATGCTGGCCACAGCCACGGTCCTCATCAACACTAATTTAGTTCATGCACTAATTATTTCTACCTTGTATTGATATCACGCTCTCCTATTGGCCTTTATGCCCTCCTACATAGCCCACACCAACATAAATCTGATCACAACAATCTATTACTAAAAATACTTCAACAATTTCTAATTTCTTTGCTTACAATTTGGTGCCTACTAACTATTAACTTCCCCAGCACCTGCCTCACTAACCCTTGCAGATCTCAAAACATGACAAGCTCAAGTCTCCAAGTCTTCACACATGTATTCTGGGTTTGACCAAATTGAAGCATTAAGCCCTGTAGCTACTACTTCAAGGCCAGATGGCAATTTGATTGTAAATTACTACTTAAATAGAAGTCCCAACACTACGACACCAAGTATGGTTCTGTTTAGCTTTTCTCTTCATTTCCAGTTATTTACAATACTAGCTATTAACAGCACTGAATTTTTTCCCTCTCCCTAAAGATAGGAGAGCTTCATCTACCCACATCAGCCCAGAACTGCAAGAGAGTGTTGGATGAGAACATTTAACACCAAGGACAGAGTATAGAGGGATGGCCTGAAATCAGTAGCTAGGCCCCTCTAGACATAACTAGACAAATGAAGGAAATGGAGAAACTCCCCCAATACTCCCAGTACTTTTTATTACTTTACTCAGAAACAAAATCAAAAGCCCATAGTGAATTCCATTTCTTACATTTTTGTACCTTCTTGGGGCATTAAGGACAATTTTTTTCTACTCTATTAATAAATACCCATAAAAAGGAACCTAGCATAATTTTTCGAGAAAAAAACGGAATTTCTACCAAGAACTTCAGAGACCAAATTATTCTCTTTCTGCATTAACAGTCTGAAGTAATCTAGAACCTATCTACTTCCCAGCAAGTATTCAGCAACATTGACCTAGCTTGTTCAAAAGGAGGCATCAGTATTAAGGACTTAGCATTAGTGTGTGTGTGTGTCTGTGATAAAGGTATTGTGATTATTAGTCAAAAAGAGTCTGCCAATTAGAGATCACTAAAGTATTTATAGACAATATTACAGATGCCTGGGCTTTACTTTAAAATGAGGTACTAGGGGGAGGGGTAATCATAAGTAAAACAAGATTGGCCATAGTTTGATTATTTTTAAGATAAGCGATAGTACATGAGGGTTCATTATAAATTTCTCTCTTCCCTTGTATATATTTTTTAATTCTTTTTTTATTATACTTTAAGTTCTAGGGTACATGTGCATAACGTGCAGGTTTGTTACATATGTATACATGTGCCATGCTGGTGTGCTGCACCCATTAACTTGTCATTTACATTAGGTGTATCTCCTAATGGTATCCCTCCCCCCTCCCCCGACCCCACAACAGGCCCCAGTGTGTGATGTTGCCCTTCCTGTGTCTGAGTATTCTCGTTGTTCAATTCCCACCTATAAGTGAGAACATGCGGTGTTTGGTTTTTTGGCCTTGCGATAGTTTGCTGAGAATGATGGTTTCCAGCTTCATCCATGTCCCTACAAAGGACATGAACTCATCCTTTTTTATGGCTGCATAGTATTCCTGGTGTATATGTACCACATTTTCTTAATCCAGTCTATCATTGATGGACATTTAGGTTGGTTCCAAGTCTTTGCTATTGTGAATAGTGCCGCAATAAACATACGTGTGCATGTGTCCTTATAGCAGCATGATTTATAATCCTTTGGGTATATACCTAGCAATGGGATGGCTGGGTCAAATGGTATTTCTAGTTCTAGATCCTTGAGGAATCACCACACTGTCTTCCACAATGGTTGAACTAGTTTACAGTCCCACCAACAGTGTAAAAGTGTTCCTATTTCTCCACATCCTCTCCAGCATCTGTTGTTTCCTGACTTTTTAATGATCACCATTCTAACTGGTGTGAGATGGTATCTCATTGTGGTTTTGATTTGCATTTCTCTGATGGCCAGTGATGATGAGCATTTTTTCGTATGTCTGTTGGCTGCATAAATGTCTTCTTTTGAGAAGTATCTGTTCATATCCTTCACCCACTTTTTGATGGGGTTGTTTGATTTTTTCTTGTAAATTTGTTTGAGTTCTTTGTAAATTCTGGATATTAGCCCTTTGTCAGATGAGTAGATTGCAAAAATTTTCTCCCATTCTGTAGGTTGTCTGTTCACTCTGATGGTAGTTTCTTTTGCTGTGCAGAAGCTCTTTAGTTTAATTACATCCCATTCATCAATTTTGGCTTTTGTTGCCATTGCTTTTGGTGTTTTAGACATGAAGTCCTTGCCCATGCCTATGTCCTGAATGGTATTGCCTAGGTTTTCTTCTAGGGTTTTTATGGTTTTAGGTCTAACATTTAAGTCTTTAATCCACCTTGAATTAATTTTTGTATGAAGTGTAAGGAAGGGATCCAGTTTCAGCTTTCTACATATGGCTAGCCAGTTTTCCCAGCACCATGTATTAAATAGGGAATCCTTTCCCCGTTTCTTGTTTTTGTTAGGTTTGTCAAAAATCAGATGATTGTAGATATGTGGTATTATTTCTGAGGCCTCTGTTCTGTTCCATTGGTCTAGCTCTCTGTTTTGGTACCAGTACCATGCTGTTTTGGTTGCTGTAGCCTTGTAGCATAGTTTGAAGTCAGGTAGCGTGATGCCTCCAGCTTTGTTCTTTTGGCTTAGGATTGACTTGGCAATGTGGGCTCTTTTTTGGTACCATATGAACTTTAAAGTAGTTTTTTCCAATTCTGTGAAGAAAGTCATTGGTAGCTTGATGGGGATGGCATTGAACCTATAAATTACAAGACTAATAAAGAAAAAAGAGAGAAGAATCAAATAGACTCAACAAAAAATGATAAAGGGGATATCACCACCGATCCCACAGAAATACAAACTACCATCAGAGAATACTATAAACACCTCTAAGCAAATAAACTGGAAAAATCTAGAAGAAGTGGATAAATTCCTGGATGCATACACCCTCCCAAGACTAAATCAGGAAGAAGTTGAATCCCTGAATAGAACAATAACAGGCTCTGAAATTGAGGCAATAATTAATAGCTTACCAACCAAAGCAAGTCCAGGACCAGACGGATTCACAGCCAAATTCTACCAGAGGTACAAGGAGGAGCTGGTACCATTCCTTCTGAAACTATTCCAATCAATAGAAAAATAGGGAATCCTCCCTAACTCATTTTATGAGGCCAGCATCATCCTGATACCAAAGCCTGGCAGAGACACAACAAAAAAAGAGAATTTTAGACCAATATCCCTGATGAATATCGATGCAAATATCCTCAGTAAAATACTGGCAAACCGAATCCAGCAGCACATCAAAAAGCTTATCCACCATAATCAAGTGGGCTTCATCCCTGGGATGCAAGGCTGGTTCAACATACGCAAATCAATAAATGTAATCCAGCATATAAACAGAACCAAAGACAAAAGCCACACGATTATCTCAATAGATGCAGAAAAGGCCTTTGATAAAATTCAACAACGCTTCATGCTAAAAACTCTCAATAAATTAGGTATTGATGGGACACATCTCCAAATAATAAGAGCTATTTATGACAAACCCACAGCCAATATCATACTGAATGGGAAAATACTGGAAGCATTCCCTTTGAAAACTGGCACAAGACAGGGATGCCCTCTCTCACCACTCCTATTCAACATAGCGTTGGAAGTTCTGGCCAGGGCAATCAGGCAGGAGAAAGAAATAAAGGGTATTCAATTAGGAAAAGAGGAAGTCAAATTGTCCCTGTTTGCAGATGACATGATTGTATATCTAGAAAACCCCATCATCTCAGCCCAAAATCTCCTTGAGCTGATAGGCAACTTCAGCAAAGTCTCAGGATACAAAATCAATGTGCAAAAATCACAAGCATTCTTATACACCAATAACAGACAAACAGAGAGCCAAATCATGAGTGAACTCCCATTCACAATTGCTTCAAAGAGAATAAAATACCTAGGAATCCAACTTACAAGAGATGTGAAGGACCTCTTCAAGGAGAATTACAAACCACTCCTCAATGAAATAAAAGAGGACACAAACCAATGGAAGAACATTCCATGCTCACGGATAGGAAGAATCGATATCGTGAATATACTTTTAATTCTGTCATAAAAACACTCAAGACCACGCTTCAATCCGTAAGTTCCCCAATAAGCCACCCTTTACCAACAAACTGGATTTGTCTGCCTCCTTCTTTGGTTTCTTAGCTCCTTCCGCATTGGGGGCTAGCATTACATATATGTCCTTTCACGGAACCTCTCTAACATAACAACTTGAGCTTATTTTCACTAGGGCCTTTATCACACTAAATTGTATATATTTGCTTACTTGTCTGTCTCCTCCACTAGAATCTACAATAGAATCCAAGGTTTTTGAAGTAGAAAATATGTCTTATTTATTTAAGAAACGATTGACACTTGATTTTATCTTTAGACTACGATTTTTTGTCAGTTCTCTGAATTTGATATCTGTCCTGATAACCTTTCTTACTTCGGAAACAAGAAACTACTTTCTTTCTGCCATGTGAGGAAGCTAGGAATGAAAAAGTTTTACTTCAAAACCAGCAAGTCCTTAATTCTTTATATTTTCTATACATTATGCTTAATAAGGTTTTTTATACATTATGCTTTTTATACATTTTTTATACATTATTTTCTATACATTATGCTTAATATGTTTTTTTAATCTATTCCTATGAAGCAAGGTGACATTTGTAATATTCTTCCTGGAAATCTCCTTAGCTAGATCATTGGATTCATTAGCGATATGGTTTGGATTTGTGTCCCCACCCAATCTCATGTCAAATTGTAATCCACAGTGTTGGAGGAGGGGCCTGGTGGGAGGTGATTGGATCAAAGGGGGGAATTTCCTGCTTGCTACACTCATGATAATGAGTGAGTTCTCACAAGATTTTGTTGTTTAAAAGTGTGTAGCACCTCCCCCTTCTCTCTCATCCTCCTACTCCAGCCACATAAGATGTGCCTGCTTCTCCTACTACCATGATTGTAAGTTTCCTGAGGCATCCCCAGCCATGCTTCCTGTACAGCCTGAAGAACCATAAGCCAATTAAGCCTCTTTTATTTATAAATTACCCAGTCTCAGGCAGTTCTTTAGAGCAGGGTGAGAACAAACTAATACAATTAGATACATTTTCTATCACTGCAGGAAACAGTGCTGCTAAACTTTCTTCTATTATATAACAAGAGTTACTTTTCTTCCAACCTCTGATACTATTTTCATTACCTGCTTTTAATCCTTCCCCAACAGCCTACTTGGGGCCCTTTTAGCGTCTATTAACATGCTCCTCATGGTGTTTAAGATTTTATTAACAGTCTCATCAGCCCTACCCACCAACGAATCCATATGTTTTGGGGTTCCTTTAATGGCTGCATCCTATTTCCAAATACCATGTTCCCAATAACATGCTCATGTTATCTACTGATTCATGACAGCTCATTCCAAAACTAGGGGCTTAAAACTACAACTGTTTCAATATTAGTACTGGCTGAGGCACTGTGGGAAGGAAATGCAAAAGTGTACCCAGAATACATGCCATCTTTTCTAAAGTGGAATGTGTGTGATGTAAACAACTTGTCACCACATGGTTGGTTGGTCACCTAGAGTGATGATATCATACTAGAGGATTGGCATTGGTTTCTGTTACTGACAGTTTGAATATTCAGCAACAGAATTTGTGTATCAGCCTTAGGGAGAAGGAGTCTATGCAGCTGGGCCCAGGCATAGGCTCTATCTCTGTCACCATGCTACTCCTTTCATGAACCCATTCAGCAAGCACTGGAATAGTTAAGATCATAGGCTAGCTACCTACTCACCAAGCTCTTCTGCTCATTTGGTGGAGAAGCTCTTCTACAGTCACTGTCCTCTGGTGAGTATTAACATGCAACACAAAAACCCTCACTCTTTGTACTCACTCACATAGGTCCATCCATATGCCTCTTCCCCATACTTCTTCATCCCTGACCTTCTAATCTTCCTCCTTTAACCTCTCTAAGCAAAAAACTAAGCTACTTGCTAAGCTATTTGCTGACACTCCCCACCCTCCTAGTCATTTCTATTCCAAAGGAGGCCATAATGGCACCTTAGGTTTCTAGGTTTTGGCATCAACTCATACCCTATGTGTTAGGCCATTTTTGCATTGCTATAAAGAAATAGCCGGGGCTGGAAAATTTATAAAGAAAAGAGGTTTAATTTGGTTCACAGTTCTATGGGCTGTACAGGCATGGCACCAATAGTTGCTCAGCTCCTGGTGAGGCCTCAGGAAGCTTACAATCATGGTGGAAGGCAAAGGAGACCCAGTGTATCACATGGCAGGAGAAGGAGCAAGAAACTGGGGAGGTACCACACACCTTTAAATAACTATATCTCACATGAACTCACAGCAAGAACTCACTAATCACTAAGGGAATGGTGCTCAGACATTCATGAGGGATCTGCCCCCATGATGCAATCACCTCCCACCAGGCCCCACCTCTGACACTGGGAATCACATTTCAACACGAGATTTGGAGGCAATGAGCATCCAAACTATATCACCCTATATTCAGTTGTTCTTGTATGTGCATACAAGAACCCCATATGGAGTTACATACTCCTAATGGGGTCCTTAAAAGATCTGAGTATTCCCCTTTTCCCAGTGTACATTTCCCCCAAGTAAATGATAAAATCCTTTGAGAAAGGAGTGGGAGAATCACTACAAGACATACTTGCCATGGTGTTGAAAATCTTTTCATAGAGGGAAATCAGCCTCTCCATCCATTGATGAGTTCCAGATCTGAAAAAAATTCAGGCCTGGGATTTAGAGAAGGGATTATGACTTGCTGCTGGAGTATTCTGCCTCTCCAAGCTGGATCTTTTTGATTACACGTTAAGCAATAACTTTGTTGGCTGCCTATATATCTTTTTTTTCCTTTCAGAAATTTTTATTTACCATTATATTTATTTGTTTGTTTTCTTTTGCCCCAGCTTTAAGGTATAATTGGCAAGTACAAATTATATAGGGGGGCCAAATTGGCTGACTAGAAGCAGCTAGAGTGAGCTGCTCTCATGGAAAGAAGAAAAGAGTGGTGGGTAAAAACTAGCTCTTCAACTGGAACATCCAGGTGGACACATTAAGATTCATCAGTGAAACAAGGAGACCCACAGAGAACAGAGAAGAGCAAAAGAGGACAACTGCCCACCCAGGAGCGGCATGGAGCCAAAGGAGGCCCTCTACCATGAGGAAATGGTGAGTGAGTGAGAGTACCTGGGGACCCATACTTCTGCCACAGACCTTTGTATCCCTGGGCTCAGGAGATCCCCCATGAATCCCTTAACTGGGGCCTTCAGACTGACACAAAGAGCTATGTGGAATCTGGGCAGAGCTGCCACTCAGGCACATACAGAATCTTAGAAGCCTTGGATGCCTGGGCACCCCAGCACCAGCAGCTGCAGCTCCAGCAATAGGGGAGGCCAGGCTCTCTTGCACGCCCCCCAGGAAAGGGGTCAAATTCAAAGGGGCTGAGCAGGGATGTGCTGCAGGCCTTGCATCCACTGCACCTTGCAGGACAAGGCCCTCTGGCCTGGGACACAGGCCACTCCAGCCCCATTAAGTTCTCCACCGGGAGCAGCTCGGCTCTTCCCTGGGATGGAGCTCCCAGAGGGAGAGGCACACCACCATTCCTGCCACTCCGCAGCCCTCGCTCCTCTTGCCCTTAGGCTCTAGAGGGAGTGAGGTGGTTGGGGACTGGCGCAGACCCCTGGCACAGAGCAACAGCCTTATGGAAAAGCAGCCACACTGTTTTCCACATGGGTCCCAACCTCTGCTACTCATCACTGGCTAATACCTCTCAAACTGGCCCCCAGAATAGCCACACTGCCCCCACCTGAACACTTCAGTCGTTTCTCTGAGGAAGAAATCCCAGAGACAAACCACAGCCCTTCTGCCATTGCTGCTGCAGTGGTACCACTCTTACTTCCCTCAGGCTGGGGAAGGGACAAAGGGCCCTGGTTGCTATGCTGTTGCCTCCAGCATGCTTCAGCCACCATACAGAGAAGAGCTCTGTCTCTCTTCCCTGTCAGACCTACCCCCAACTCTTCACCAGGCAGGGCCCCAAACGCTGGACCACAGAACACCTGCTCTACCCCCAGCTGAGCATTCTTACTGCTAGTGGCTCTGTTTTTGCTGAGGAGGGGCTCCCAGAGGCAACTTACAGCCCCTCTGCCACTGCCATGGCGGCAGTTCTGCCCCTGGTGTCCTCAGACTGAAAAAACAAAGAGCCTGAAGGCTGTACTCAGGTTTCCAGCCTGCCACAATCACCATATGGAAAGGAGCCCAGTTTCTTCTCCCTGAAAGCCCTCAACTCCCCACTGTTCATTAAGTGGAGCCTCCAGCTTCCGCCAGCAGCACATCTGCCCCACCTCCTGGCTGAACATTCCCAGTAGCTGTGGCTCTGCGATTCGCTGAGGTGAAGCTCACAGGGGAAACTGAAAGCCCTCTGCCACTGCTACTGCAGTAGTTCTGTCCTTACTGCTCTTGGACCAGGAGCAGGAAGGAGCAAAGGTACCTCTCCTAGATGGGCATTTGTCTTGTTTCGCTCTTCTCTGTTCTCCTGAGTGCTTTAATCACACCTCCAGCAAGCTGCAGTTGCCCTGAGGAAAGAGGCCAGTCTGTCGCCCCGACAAAACCCCTGCCCAGAGGTCCACAAAGTAGCCGGTCCATCCCAGGCCAATTGCACCAATCAATAGAGGCTCTGCATTCCTCTGGGGTGGAGCCCCAAGAGACAAGTGAAAGGTCTTCTGCCATAGCCACTGCCAAGGTCCCTTCTGTTGCTGCCTCCAAGCTAGGGAAGGAACATAAAGCCTTAGCTCACCCCAGGACTGCAGTATGCAGCAGCCGAGGAGTGCCAAACCGAGATCTCCAGCCAGCACTCAAGTGGAAAAGGAGCCCACACTTTCAGGGTACTGAGTGACAGAGTAGCTGCAATTGTGAGGAAACACAGAGGAGTTATGGCTGAGCAAGAGCCTACCTACATGCCATTACGCTTAAGTGCCATCGACTGGATCAAAGCCCAAACTTCAGCACCAAAAATACTTTGCTAATATACCCCTCTGTGAAACCAAGGACAAATACTCAGTTACAAATGAAGACCCTGGACAAAGCCTCAGCCCTCTGAAAACATCCAGAAAAGAAGTCAGCTGACTGTACTCAAATTTGCCATAGTTAAAGGAACATAAGCCCACACAGATGAGAAAGAATCAGTGCAAGAACTCTGGCAACTCAAAAGGCCAGAGTGTCTTCTTACCTCCAAATAACTACACTAGTTCCCTAGCAAGGGTTCTTAACCAGGCTGAAATGACAGAAACAGAATTCAGAATATGGATAGGAATGAAGATTATTGAGATTCAGGAGAAAGTAGAAATTGAATCCAGGGAATCTAAGGATTGCAATAAGGTGATGCAGGAGCTTATAGGCCAAACGACCATTATAAGGAAGAACCAACTGATCTGAAAGAGCTCAAGCACACACTACAAGAATTTCATAATGCAATCACAAGTATTAACAGCAGAATAGACAAAGCTGAGGAAAGAATCTCAAAGCGCAAAGACTGGTTCTCTGAACTAGGTCAGAAAAAATCAGGAAAAAGGAACAAAAAAGAATGAACAAAACCTCCAAGACATCGAGGATTATGTAAAGAGACCAAATCTATGATTCACTGGCATCCCTGAGTGTATTAGGCCATTCTTGCATTGCTACAAGGAAATAATTGAGACTGGATAATTTATAAAGAAAAGAGGTTTAAATTGGCTCGTGGTTCTGCAGGCTGTACAGGAAGCATAGTGTTAACATCGCTTGACTTCTGGGGAGGCCTCAAGGAGGTTTTACTCACATGGGAAGGCAAACTGGGAGCTTGTACATGGAAAAGGTGGGAGCTTCACATAGCAAAAGCAGGAACAAGAGAAAGAGTGGGGACAGAGGAGGTGCCACACACTTTTAAATGACCAGATCTCACAAGAACTCACTATCATGAAGATAGCAACAAGCCATAAGGGATACGCTCCCATGATCCAAACACCTCCCACCAGGCCCCATCTCCAGTAGTGGTTATTACAACTCAACATGAGATTTAGGCAGGAGCAAATATCCAAACTATATCAAGGGAGGAGGAAGCAAGTAACTTGGAAAACATATTTCAGGATATTATCCATGAAAATTTCCCCAACCTCACTACAGAGGCCAACATTCAAATGCAGAAAATGCTGAGAAGCTCTGTGAGATACTACACAAGAAGACCATCTCCAGGACACATACTCATCAGATTCTCCAAGGTAGAAATGAAAGAAAATAATATTAAAGGCAGCTAGAGAAAAGGGGCAGGTCGCCTACAATGGAGACCCCATCAGGCTAACAGCAGACCTTTAAGCAGAAATCTTACAAGCCAGGAGAGATTGGGGGCCTATATTCAGCAATCTTAAAGGAAAGAATTTCCAACCAAGAATTTCATATCCAGCCAAACTAAGCCTCATAAGCAAAGGAGAATTAAGATTACTTTCAGACAAGCAAATGCTAAGAGAGCTTGTTACCACCAGACATGCCTTAAAAGAGGTCCTGAAAGGAGTGCTACCTATGGAAAGCAAAGACCATTACCAGCCACTAGAAAACCACACTTAAGTAAATAGAACATTATAAAGCAACCACTCAAACAAGTCTGCATAATAACCAGCTAACAGAACAATGACAGAATTAAATCCACACATATTAATATTAACCTTGAATGTAAGTGGGCTAAATGTCCCAATTAAAAATCACAAAGTGGCAAGCTGGATAAAGAAGAGTGGTATGCTGTCTTCTGGAGACCCATCTGACATGCAGAGACACCCAAAGACTCAAAATAAAGAGATGGAGAAAAATCTACCAAGCAAACGGAAAACAGGAAACAAAAACAAAAGTTGCAATCCTAATTTCAGACAAAACAGTCTTTAAACCAGCAAAGATTTAAAAAGACAAAGACGGGCATTACATAATGGTAAAGGGTTCAACTTAAAAAGAAGACCTAGCTATCATATATATGTGTGTGTGTGTGTGTGTGTGTCTCTGTGCGTGTGTGTGTGTGTATATATATATATATACATACATACATACATACATACATACTCAACACAGGAGCACCCAAATTTATAAAGCAAGTTCGTTAAGACCTGTAAAGAAACTTAGATTTCTACACAATAATACTGGGAGATTTCAAAACTCCACTGACAGTATTAGACAGGTCATTGGGTCAGAAAGCTAACAAAGATATTCAGGATATGAACTCGACACTTGACCAAATGAAACCAATAGACATCTACTGAACTCCACCCCAAAACAACAGAATATACATCCTTCTCATCTGCACTTGGCACATACTCAAAAAGTGACCACATATCAGACGTAAAACATAACCCTCAGAAAAATCAAAGAAAACTGATATCATACCAACCGTACTCTTGGACTACAGGGCAATAAAAATAGAAATAGATACTGGAAAATTGCTCAAAACCATACAACTACATGAAAATTAACCTGCTCCTGATGAGTTTTGGGTAAACAATTAAATTAAGGCAGAAATCAAGAAATTCTTTGAAACTAATGAGAACAAAGATGCAACATGCCAGAATCTCTGGGACACAGCTAAAGTAGGGTTAAGAGGGAAGTTTATAGCACTAAATACCCACATCAAAAAATCAGAAAGGTCTAAAATGGACAACCTAACATCACATCTAAAGGAACTAGAGAAACAAGGGCAAACCAACCTTAAAGCTAGCAGAACACAAGAAGTAAACAATATCAGAGGTGAACTGAAGAAAACTGAGATTTGAAAAACTGTACAAAAGATCAACAAAACCAGGAGTTAGTTTTTTGAAATAAATAAGATAGACGGCAAGCTAGATTAACCAAGAAAAAAAAGAGAGAAGATACAATAAATACAATCAGAAATGACAAAGGGGACATTAACACCAACCCCACAGAAATGTATAAAACCATCAGAGACTAGTATGGATACCTCTATGCATATAAACTAGAAAATATAGAAATGAATACATTCTTGGAATCACCATCTCCAAAATGAATACACTCAGGCTACATTCCCACCAGGCCATGAGGATCTCTAAACCCCCACATTCCTGTCAATGCTGCCATTATCCAACTGGCTGGAGGTAACAATTATAGGAGAGATGTCTGATCTATTTTAGATCTTCTGATTACCAATTATTTTGAGTAGATACTGTGATACATGATTGTTACCTTTTTCAATTTTTCTTCTCTAACATGTGTTTTCATATCCTTGGTACATTTTCCAAATTTCAGTTAAAATGGCACTCCCAACTCAACTTTCTCTTAGCTAAATTCCAAAACTGTCCATGCCCACTCTAATACTATGAGACAAAAGGGAAGTGCGATGAAGGGGAACTCAGAGTGGCAAGAGCTACTGTCTTAACTTAATGAAGCAAAATTATCTTACTCTTGAAAATTTTACAAAAACACATAACAATGTGAATATCTTAGGAGAATTCCCACCCAGAGTAAGTAAATAATGAAGCCTAAGTTTTGTTACCTCCACTGTTAATTCATCTCTGGTAGCAGGAATACATAGTTCTAACCTGAGTTTGCTATTTGATTTCACTGACCTACTAGTCTGTTTTTGTAGCACACTAGTGCTACACGGGATTGTTACCATGTCTTTGTAGTTGCTTGGAATTTATCAAAAAGCATGTATTAATCTATTTTAAAATTTTCAAAACATCACTGAGAATTTTAGAATCTTCGATAACTTGTTATACCTCCAATTCAAACTTTAAACACCACCCCCTTGGCTTTGCTCAACAGAGAATGAGTTATCTGAACAACAGGGGACCAACTCTACAAGATGCTACTTATCTCTATGCTCCCAAGGGCGTTGTTCTCTATAGTTTTTAATATTTTTATGAATGGTAGAATCTACCAAATAAGACATTGCAAAGAAAAACTCAGCTTATGCATTATTTGTTTAGTATATAATTCTTGAGTGCTCACTATGTATTTAAGTGTTTTGAATTCAACAGAAGGAAAAACACCATATATTACCCTCATGGAGTTTGATTTTTAGTGTAAATAATTTCCTTTGCCAAAAAGAAAGTACAGGATATACGGGGGATACACAAGTATTTTATTTCTTCCTCTTATGTAAAATAATTAATAATAATATACCTCTCTTTGATATCTGTGCTGTAATTTTTCTAGACGTTGCTATGCATCAGTTGTGGTTTCTGCAAAAGCAAAGCTTAATGTTTATTCCTTTTCCATAGGTCAGCTCACCACTCTACAACATTACAGTCATGCACATCTAAGTCAAAATGATTCATGCAAGCTGTTAAGTGCTACTTCTAATGCCTACCAAAAAATGCAGTGTTGATGTAGATACTATCTTATTGAATAACAGGTTTTTTCCCAGTGCTTTTATGACTCCCTCAATATGCTGTGAAGTGGCGTAACTTCATAAGCCATTTCCCTATTGAGGAACATAAACACATCCTAATGAAAAAGAGGAAATACTTTTACAATAAGATTGAAACATTCATGCAATTTTCTTTTGAGCCAATGAATTTTTTTTTCTAACATAGAATTTAGGGTGTCACATACCTATAACTAATTTAAATATGGTGAGTTTGGTAAATATTTTCCAGAGGCTTTCACACTGGGGCTCTAGCTTTTCTCTTTGGCCTCATCATATGAATCTCTTACATTATAATTTGCATCTTGGCAAAGTTTCCAGAACAGACCATGCTGTTTCACACCATCAGCATTTATATTCTCAATATAACTTCTACTTAGACTGTGTCTGCAGCATTCATTTATTTACTTAACTCCCACTGCTCATTCAAAACAAAATCTAAGATTCACCTCCCAAGTGAGGCTTTCTTTACTCCCATCCAATCATACAATGCCCATCTCCTAAGACCCACATAACTCTGAGTATCCCTCTATCAAAACACTTAAATTATTTTCTTGACATGCTCTGTTTAATGACTTTCTAGCCCAGCAGCCCACAAGTTCCTGGAAGACACAGACTGTGTCATATTCATTCTTGTATGCCCCGCTCCTACCACAGTGCTTGACACAAAGCATGCAATCAATAAATATTGAACAGAACTCAAGTCAACTAAAATAACTCCTTGGAACAGAAGTTTGAGTTTACACAATCATAATCACCACCAGAATGAACCCTGTGGGTAAGCAAAATAGCCAGCATCCTACACAAGAAATTCAAGAAACAGAGAAAGAATCACTGACAAACTTCTATTGTTAAAGTCACTTTTTATCATCCTTTAATTAAAATTTTAAAATACCAATTCATATACCGTATACCAACTGAAACACATTTATTAACCTATTTTTGTGATATTATAATGCATGGCCTAGCAAATTGGCTTTTAAATTTGGCTTTGGGGGCTTGGGGTGGGGGTTATTCTGTGTTACTTTTTGTGTATTGCCATGGTTTGAATGTGTCCCCTCCAGATTTCAGGGGTTGAAACTTAACGGTCAATGTGATAGATATAAGAACTGGGGTCTTTAAGAGGTGATTAGTTGATAAGGGCTCTTCCCTTCGTAAATGATATTAAGGCCCTCACAAAAGAGGCCTCATGCTGCATCCATTTCTCTTGCCCTTCTGTTCTCTGCCACATGAGGACCCAGTGTTCCTTCCTCTTGGAAGATGCAGACATCCCAACCTGCTGGCACCTTGATCTTGAACTTCTCCACCTCTAGAACCATGAAAAGTAAATTTCTGTTCTTTATAAATTACCCAGTCTCAGGTATTTTGTATTTTGTGGTAGCAGTACAAATGAACTAAGACATGTACATATTTTATAATGTGATTATTTTGTGTAAATAAAGCATGCACAGAAAATGTGGTAAATGAAACACATAAAAGTGAATGAATGGGTTGAGATTGAGATGGGGCAATGAGGGAAATGCAGCTGTGGCTTAGAAACCTATTGCTTTTTGAAGCTCATGATATTCATAAAGAACACGAACTTAACAAACAATGACTCTCTTCCTCCGGCACTCCTCACTAGATGATCACTTACTTCTATTTTCTTTTTGCTTTCCTTTTTTTGAGCTGTGCAAGTGGATTCTGAAATTGCCAACTTCATATGTCTTCAAAAGTTTCCATTGCTTCTAGCATTGGGATGTTACTAGAGAATGTTGAAGAGGTAAAGAAATGGCAGTGAAGAGGATTTCATAAATAATAATTATTTAGCTTGCATACTTTATTATCTTCATTACTATTTAACATGCATTGTGTCAAAAGTGCTGAAGAGCAATGTTGCTCAATTTTAAATGTGCACACAAAGCACCTAGAGAGCTTATTAAAATGCATATACTGTTACACTAAGTCTGGAGCAGGGTTTGACATTCTACATTTCTGATGTCTCCGTGGTGATGTCTCTGCTGTTGGTCCACAGATTGCACTTTGAAGTGCACTTAAAGGATGCAAAAAGTGGACAAGATATTATCTCTAACTCTCTTGGAGTCCACAGTCTCACAGGAGGCACTGCCTTCAATGTTAAGAATTTACATATAAGGCAGCAAAAAGTGAGTACAGAGGAGAATACAAAAGAACCAGGCAGCCTGGAGGTCTTAAAAGAAAATTAGTAACTTGGACAGTTTTCAAAATCTCACTTCAGATTCTTTAAGGAAAAAACATAGAAAATCAGGAGGATCAACAAGAAATCAATAAATTCTCCCAGCTTTCTGGTCCCTTTCTTGCTAAAAGCACAGTTGGATATTGCTGACTTTGTTTACTACAAGAACAATTCTGCTTTCTTGTTCCAGAGAGATCAGTAAAGGAAGATGGACCCCAGAGGTGGGAAGCTAGAGAATGCTCACTGGAGAATGCTGTCTTTTAGGTCCTGAAAACAGCCTCCTAGACTGGGTAAATATTCACCAAGACAGAGATGCAATGTTGCAAGATAGTAAAACTCAGGACAGAAAAACATACTTGTTATTAAACAGTATGTCCCACCCTTATGCATGGATGTCCAGGTGTGAAACTAAAAAGGAATCCAGACCTGCCCACACACAGAGCAGTGGATTGCTTTAAAAAATTCTATGGTATATGACAGACTGCTTTTCTGTACTCTCACATTTTGTTAATAAGCGAACAGTATCAAAACTATACTTTTAAAGCACCACAGTTTTATCAGCTTGGGTTTCTTTGCGCTAAAACCTCAAGGTCACAGAATTGCACTGCAACATTGACACCATCCTGTGCGTGTTCTTCAGGACATCCACTTCCAGTCAATATCCACAAGAGCTGAATTAACCTTCAGCAAAGCAGTGAGCAAACAATCCGATTGCTATAAGAGCTCTATCTGAATGTTACCTAGTTCTGACTATTGCTCAATGCTATGTCACAGCATTGCTTTTTGTTTTTTCTCCAAAGTGATGATATTTCAGTGACGTGCTGCACTCCACAGAAGAAAGTACGTAGGATTTCAGAGAACACCAGGCTTTAGGTTTTGGGCAACTCCTTCTAAGTCCATGTTTCTCATCCATAAAACAAGGATAATAATCCATTATAGTTATCTAACAGGATATTGTGGGAAATTAATAAACAAATGTCTGCAAAAGGACTGTAGAAACTAAAAAATAATAATGATAGCTTATATGTATGGTATGATTACTATGAGCCTCAGATTGTCCATATATTATTTCATTTAATACAATAATCCAAGAAAGAAGAAATTGTTATTGTTGCCATTTTATAGATAAGACTGAGGCTTAGAAAGGTTACGTAACTTGCCAATCATCATACTGCTAGTAAGCAGCCATGCATAATGTATATTTGTTGCTCTTTGGCCCCCAGCATCCATTATCCCTTTCTTGCAGCACTCCAATTTCCTCTTGGGGAATCATATCTCACTCATTTAGAATATTTTAATAGGTGGCAAATTGATAACTTTCATTACAGAAATTGAAGGAGAGGATCCTTCTTTCCACTAGACTTGTACTAGTTGGGGAACAATATTTAGTCAAATATTCTTTTCTGGGACTTTAACCCTTGAGGAAATGGTACAAGGCTTTAAAAAAAAAATGGTGATATTCCATTCCTTCAGAAGCAGTACCCCCATCTGACTTTTCCTATCTTGAGAAATTTTCTTTAGTTCTTATTTTCTTGACTCACCCAAAACTATTGGTTTCTGCCAATTTCAAGAAGCAGTTCTCGAATCTTCAAGTTTGTTATATCTTAAAATTTTGCCAATAAGTTTCCTTTTTGCTTAAGTTAGGCAATATTTGTTTCTCTGCAATCAAAGAAAGCTAACTGATATACCAAGCCAGGATCTCAACACAGGGCAGCCCAAAATCCAAAGCCCATGCATTGGCCCATAAATTACACCATTCATTAAGAGATCATACATTTCAAGTATTAAAATATACAGTGCTTCTCTTCTCTAACCTACAGTTATATTAATCCATGATCTTCTGCCTTCTAAAAATAAATGTGAAAATTATCTCTCAGGCGATAATTTAGAAATTCTTGTAAGCGTCATGGATTTAAGACGAAATAATTGAGTCATTTGGGATATTGAATTACAGAGCTGATAGAAACCTATGAGGTCATTTTTACCTAACTTTGTATAAATAAAAACATCATAATAATTTAATGAGAATATCATCTTGCAGACTTTAACATTCCTCTTTCATTTGGCATAAGAAGCAACAGCAACACTGCCTAGATGCAATGCACTGTAAATAAGTCCCACCCAATACAAATTGTAAACAAAGGCTACAGAGATGAAATTTGTCTTTCTGAGCTTTGTCTGTTTCAAATTTAAGAAATATCCATGCTCTGCTAAGTCCAGTGGCTCGCGAATTAGTCTAAGTGATCATCATGGACATCAAACAATGAAAAGTTTTCTAAAACAAAAAAGGTTCAACAGTTTAAAAGGAACGTATATTCACTGAGATGCTTGGGGAAGGACTTTCTTCCATCCCCTTGACACTTCTTTGTTTGTTCTAGATGAAAAAGAGAAGGAACAAACTGTTCTGGGTACTTAGATTCACAGCTTTCTGAAGAAGAGATTGCAAAAATGAGCACTTTTTACATGGGAGAAATGGAGGGAAGCCATAGCAATGGGCTGATGCATTTGTTTGCAGCAATTACCTTTCACCTCAAGCTATGGACAGTTTTTCATGAAACAGACAAAATGGAATACAAATGCATCACATTGGAATGTATATGTGACAGTAAATGATGTTTTCAAAATACTCTGCTATATGCAAAAAAGCACTCACAATTGTAATAGAGCATTCTCTCCACTTCAGCGCTAAAAGATTCCTTCATTCCACAGGGTTTTTTTTAGGACTTTGAGAGACTATGGTAAGCATATGGTGAGCATTGTGCTAAAATCAATAACTCTTTCTGAAGTTCCAAGATGAAGGACCATTTTATAAAATATTTTAAGGTCCTTTTAGTAATGCTGGTAACCCAATCCTGTTAAACATGCTCAAGTGAAAACCATAGAACACTGAATTTCATCATATATAAGATGCTCTAAGAAGGTAGGCTTTATAAATTTAAGTTCTAGCAAAGTAAAAAAAATAATTTTGTCAAATAATTTTATGTCTATTTTTATTAAATTGTGACTGTTTGGAATCATAAAGTATTATAAATTTCTTGGTCTTATACAATGAATTCCATCCAAACAGAAGTTTTGAATAAATACATGATAAAAAAATCAGAAGAATAAAAATCTTGGCATAGAATCTCCTCAGTAATCTCAGATGCAATTAGTTGATGGATATGGAACATTATTAGATAAATTTTTATTCAGTTCCTTGAAGGTATTCAGAGAGAAGTTTAGAAGTCTGAGTATACATGGGATAGGATCCTTCTACAGATAGGATGCTTCCATTATATATGTGTGAGTGTGTGTGTATGTGTGTGTGTATGTGTATAAAATGAAATTTGATAAAATGTTATTTTTCTCCAAAGAAATTAACTTGAATACAGTATCATTTATATTACAAGAAAATAAAGTTCCATTTCCTTTTTAACATCTGATATGGTTTGGTTCTGTGTCCCCACCCAAATCTCATCTCAAATTGTAATCCTCACATGTCAAGGGAGGGACCTGGTGGGAGGTAATTGGATCATGGGGGCAGATTTCCCCCTTGCTGTTCTCATGATAGTGAGTAAGCTCTCATGAAATCTGGTTGTTTGATAAGTGTCTGGCCCTTCCACTCCCACCTCTTTCTCCTACTGCCATGTAAGACTGTGCCTTGCTTCCCCTTCACCTTTGACTATGATTGTAAGTTTCCTGAGGCCTCCCCAACCATGTGGAACTGTGAGTCAATTAAACCTCTTTTGTTTATAGATTACTGAATCTCAGGTGGTATCTTTAAAGCAGTGTAAAAATTGACCAATACAGCATCATTATAAATTATAGCTTCTTTTGGCCTCTGCTGTTTTAATCGTTTGCAATTTTAATTTTATTTTTGATGCTCAAATGGTCACATTTTGGCCAGTGGTATCTCTTTTTAAGTTGGCTATTGAATTCTGTCAACACCACATCACAGCATTTCAAAGCATACTTGTTTTTTGGCAACAAAAGTTTCTAGTATAATCTTCAAATATTTCCTCCCAAGGCATAGAATAAACTCTTCCTAAAAGCATTAATATTTTTAGTTGAGTTTTATAATTCCCCTATAATCTACCTATACTTGAAATTTTAATTCCTCAAAAAACTATAACTGAACCAGTTTTATAATTCGACAAACCAAATAATTTTTTACTATTTTTATTAAATTGATATAATCACTTGATTTTTAAAATCTGCTCATAAAAAATTAAGTATAAAAATAGCACTAATATTTGGGACTTGTAATATTTTTATTCTGCCATGATTTCATGCCCATTTATCTCCATCGCTCAAGTCCCATTTCAGTCAAATATTTCTATATTTTCAGAAAGTTTTATAATTATTCTGATTTTTATAGACTTTTTTTAAAAATTTCAATAGGTTTTGGGGAAATAGGTAGTGTTCGGGTACATGGATAAGTTCTTTAGTGATGATTTCTGAGATTTTGGTGCACGTGTCATCTGAACAGTGTAAACTCGATCCAAAGTGTAGTCTTTTATCCCTCACCCACCTCCTACACTTTCCCCACCCTGAGTTCCCAAAATGCATTTTATCATTCTTATGCCTTTGTATCCTCATAGCTTAGCTCCCATTTATAAGTGAGAATATACAATGTTTGGTTTTCCATTCCTGAGTTACTTCACTTAGAATACTGGCCTCCAATTCCATCCAGGTTGCTATGAATGCCATTATTTCACTCCTTTTTATGGCTGAGTAGTATTCTATGGTGTATGTATATATACACATGCACACACACACACACACATACACATATATATGGTATATATGTATACATATATATATATATATATATACACACACACACACCATGGAATGCATGCATACATGGAATATATGTCTACATATATACCATATATATGTATATATGGACTACTATATAGTAGTATTCCATGGTGTGTGTGTATACATATGTGTGTGTGTATATATATATGGTATATATGTATACATATATGTATGTGTGTACTCCATATATATACATATGTATACATATGTATATGTATATGTGTATTCCATGTATACATATACCATGTACACATATATTCCATGTATACATATACCATGTATACCTATACATATACATATGTATATGTATATGTTATTCCATGGTGTATATGTGTATTCCATGGTGTGTGTATACATATGTGTGTGTATATATGGTATATATGTATACACCTATGTATATGTATACACATATGTATACCTATATACCATATATACACACACACACACACCATGGAATACTACTCAGCCATAAAAAGGAATGAAATGGTATATATGTATACATATACATATATACACATACATACGTGTGTATATACATATACACACACACATATGTGTGTATATACGTATATACACACGCATGTATATATACGCGTGTGTGTATATACGTATATATACACACTATATATGTATATATACACATATAGCCATATATACGTATATATATGGATATGTGTGTGTGTGTATATATATATATATATCACATTTTATTTATCCATTCATTGATTGATGGGCATTTGGGCTTTTTCCATATTTTTGCAGTTGCAAATTGTGCTGCTATAAACATGTGTGTGCAAGTATCTTTTTCGTATAATGACTTGTTTTCCTCTGGGTAAATACTCCATAGTGAAATTGCTGGATAAAATGTGAGAACTACTTTTAGTTATTTAAGAAATCTCCACACTGTTCTCTATAGTTATTGTGCTAGTTAACATTTCCACCAGCAGGGTAAAAGTGTTCCCTTTTCACCATATCCACACCAACATCTATTATTTTTTGATTTTTTGATTATGACAATTCTTGCAGGTGGTATCACATTGTGATTTTGATATGCATTTCCCTGATAATTAGTGATGTTGAGAATCTTTTCATGATTATTGGTCATTTGTATATCTTCTTTTAAGAATTATCTATTCATGTCCCTAGCCCACATTTTGATATGATTTTTTATTTTCTCATTGCTGATTTGTTTGAGTTCCTTGTAGATTCTGTATATTAGTCCTTTGTCAGATGCACACTTTGCGAAGATTTTTCTCCCACTCTGTGGGTTATCTCTTTACTCTGCTGATTATTTCTTTTGCTGTGCAGAGCTTTTTAGTTTAATTAAGTCCAATCTATTTATCTTTGTTTTTGTTGCATTTGCTTTTGGGTTCTTTGTCAAGAAGTCTTTGCCTAAGCCAATATCTAGAAGGGTTTGTCCAATGTAATCTTCTAGAATTTTTATGGTTTCAGGTCTTAGATTTAAGTCTTTGATCCATCTTGAGTTGATTTTTGTATAAGGTGAGAGATGAGGATACAGTTTCATTCTTCGACATGTGACTTGCCAATTATCCCAGCACCATTTGTTGAACAGGGTGTCCTTTCCCCACTTTATGTTTTTGTTTGCTTTGTCAAAATTCAGTTGACTATAAGTATTTGGCATTATTTCTGGGTTCTTTATTCTGTTCTATTTGTCTATATGCCAATTTTTATTTATTTTTTATTTTATTTTATTTTATTTTATTTTATTTTTTTTTTTTTTTTTTTTGAGACAGAGTCTCACTCTGTGGCCCAGGCTGGAGTGCAGTGGTGCAATCTCGGCTCACTGCAAGCTCCACCTCCCGGGTTCACGCCATTCTCCTGCCTCAGTCTCCTGAGTAGCTGGGAATACAGGCGCCTTCCACCATGCCCGACTAATTTTTTTTTGTATTTTTAGCGACGGGGTTTCACCGTGTTATCCAGGATGGTCTCGATCTCCTGACCTCGTGATCTGCCCACCTCGGCCTCCCAAAGTGCTGGGATTACAGACATGAGCCACCATGCCCAACCTCTATATGCCTATTTTTATATCAGCACCATCCTATTTTGGTAATTGTGGCATTATAGTATAATTTGAAGTCAAATGGTGTGATGTCTCCAGATTTGTTCTTTTAGCTTAGCTTTGCTTTGGCTATGTGGGCTCTTTTTTGGTTCCATATGAATTTTAGGATTGTTTCTTCTAGTTCTGTGAAGAATGATGCTGGTATTTCGATGGGAATTGCATTGAATGTGTAGATTGCTTTTGGCGGTATGGTCATTTTCACAATATTGATTCCACCCATCCATGATCATGGGATGTTTTTCCATTTGTTTCTGTCATCATTTCTTTCAGCGGTGTTTTGTAGTTTTCCTTGTAGAGGTCTTTCACCTCCTTGATTAGGTATATTCCTATATTTTTTATTTGTTTGTTTGTTTGTTTGTTGCAGCTATTGTAAATGGTGTTGAGTTCTTGATTTGATTCTCAGCTTGGTCACTGTTGGCTTAGAGCAGTGCTACTGATTTATGTACATTGATTTTGTATCCTGAAACTACTGAATTCATTTATCAGTTCTAGGAGATTTGGGGATGACTTTTAGGGTTTTCTAACTGTACGATCATATCATCAGCTAACAGCAACAGCTAGACTTCCTCTTTACTAATGTGGATGCCCTTTATTTCTTTCTCTTTTCTGATTGCTCTGGCTAGGACTTCCAGTACTATATTGAATAGAAGTTGTGAGAGTTGGCCTCCTTGCCTTGCTCCAGTTCTCATGGAGAATACTTTCAACTTTTCTCTGTTCAGTATAATGTTGGCTGTAAGTTTGTCATAGATGGCTTTTATTACCCTAAGAAATGCCCCTTCTATGCCGATTTTGCTGAGGATTTAATCATAAAACAATGCTGGGTTTTGTCAAATGCTTTTTCTGTGTCTGTTGAGATGTTCATGTGATTTTTGTTTTTAATTCTGTTTATGTGGTGTATCACATTTATTGACTTGCATAGGTTAAACCATCCCTGCATCTCTGGTATGAAACTGACTTGATCATAATGGATTATCTTTTTGAAATGCTGTTAAATTTGGTTATATAGTGTTTTGTTGAAGATTTTTGCATCTAAGTTCATCAGGTTTATTGGTCTGTAGTTTTCTTTTTTTGTTATGTCCTTTCCTGTTTGAGGTATTAGGGTAATGCTGGCTTTAGACTGACTTAGGGAGGTTTCCCTCTTTCTTTATCTTCTGGAATAGTGTCAATAGGATTGGTATCAATTATTCTTTGAATGTCTCATAGAATTCAGCTGTGAATCAGTCTGGTCTGGGACTTCTTTTTGTTGGAAGTCTTTTTATGATGATTTCAATCTCACTGCTTGTTATGGATTTGTTCAAAGTTTCTGTTTCTTCCTGGTTTAATCTAGGTGGATTGTATATTTCCAGGAATTTATCCATCTCTTCTAGGTTTTCTAGTTTGTGCACATATGGGTATCTATAGTAGCCTTGAGTAATCTTTTGTATTTCTGTGGTATCAGTTGTAATATGTCTCATTTCATTTCTAATTGAGCTTATTTGTATCTTCTCTCTTATTTACTTGGTTAATCTCATTAATGGTCTATCCATTTTGTTCATCTTTTCAAATAACCAATTTTTTTCATTTATCTTTTATATTTTTTGTTTGTTTGTTTCAGTTTCATGCAGTTCTGCTCTGATCTTGGTTATTTCTTTCCTTCTGCTGGGTTTCGGTTTGGTTTGTTCTTGCTTCTCTAGTTCCTTGAGGTGTGACCTTAGATTGTCTATTTGTGCTTTTTCAGACCTTTTGACATAGGCATTTAATGCTATGAACTTTTCTTTTAGCACTGCCTTTGCTGTATCACATAGGTTTTGATAGGTTTTGTCACTATTACCATTCAGTTCAAAGAATTTTTTAATTTCCATCTTGATTTCATTGTTGACACAGTGATCATTCAGGAGCAGGTTATTTAATTTCCATGTATTTGCATGGTTTTGAGGGTTCCTTTTGGAGTTGATTTCTAATTTTATTCCACTGTGGTCTGAAAGAGTATTTGATATAATTTTGATTTTCTTAAATTTATTAAGACTGGTTTTGTGGCCTACCATATGGTCTATCTTGGAGAATGTTCCATGTGCTGATGAATAGAATGTTATATTCTGCAGATGTTGGGTAGAATGTTCTGTAAATAACTGTTAAGTCTATTTGCTCTAGGGTATAATTTAAGTTCATTGTTTTTTTGTTGACTTTCTGTCTTGATGACACATCCAGTGCTGTCAGTGGAGTATTCAAAAACCCCACTATTATTGTGTTGCTGTCCATCTAATGTCTTCAGTCTACTAGTAATTCTCTTATAAATTTAGGAGCTCCAGCATCAGTTGCATATATATTTAGGATTGTGACATTTTCCTGTTAGACTAGTCCTTTTATCATTATATAATGCCCCTCTTTGTCTTTTTTAACTGTTGTTTCTTTAAATTCTGTTTTGTCTGATATAAGAATAGCTACTCCTCCTCACCATTGGTGTCCATTGGCATGGAATATCTTTTTCCATTCCTTTGCCTTAAGTTTATGTGAGTTATTCTGTGTTAGGTGAGTCTCTTGAAGACAGCAGATATTTGGTTGGTGAACCCTTATACATTCTACCATTCTGTATCTCTTGAGCATTTGGGCCATTTACATTTAATGTTAGTATTGAGATGTGAAGTACTGTTCTATTCATTTTGCTAGTTGTTGCCTGAATACCTTGCTTTTTCTTTCATTGTGTTATTGTTTTATAGGTCCTGTGATATTTATGACTTAAAGGGGTTCCATTTTGGTGTATTTTGAGGATTTGTTTCAAGATTTAGAGCTCCTTTTACCAGTTCTTGTAGTGCTGGCTTGGTAATGGCAAATTCTCTCAGCATTTGTTTGTCTTTGAAAGACCATAGCTTTCCTTCATTTATGAACCTTAGTTTCATTGGAAACAAAATTCTTGGCTGATAATTGTCTTGTTTAAGGAGACTAAATATAGGACCCCAATCTCTTCTAGAATATAGGGCTACTGCTGAGAAATCTGCTGTTAATCTGATAGGTTTTCCTTTAGAGGTTACCTGATGCTTTTGCCTCACAGCCCTTAAGATTTTTTCCTTCGTCTTGGCTTTAATAACATGATGACTATGTGCCTAGGCGATGATCATTTTGCGATGAATTTCCCAAGTGTTCTTTGAGCTTCTCATATTTGGATGTCTCGGTCTCTAGAAAAGCCAGGGAAGTTTTCCTCAATTATTCCTTCAAATATGTTTTCCAAACTTTGAGATTTCTCTTCTTCCTTAAGAACACCAATTATTCTTAGGTTTGGTCATTTAACATAATCCCAAACTTCTTGGAGGCTTTGTTTATTTCTTTAATTCTTTTTTCTCTGTCTTTGTCAGACTGGGTTAATTTAAAAGCCTTGTCTTTGAGCTCTGAAGCTCTTTCTTCTACTTGCTCGATTTTGTTGTTGAGACTTTCCATTTCTCTACGTGTGCCCTTCATTTCCAAAAGTTGTGATTGTTTTTTATTTATGCGATCTATTTATCTGGAGATTTCTCCATTCATATCCTGTATTTTTTTTTTCTTTAAGTGGGACTTCACCTTTCTCTCGTGCCTCCTTGAGTAGCTTCATAATCAACCTTCCGAATTCTTTTTCTGGCAATTCAGAGATTCTGTCTTGGTTTGGATCCATTGCTAGTAAGCTAGTATGATCTTTTGGGGGTAATAAAGAACCTTGTTTTGTCATATTACCAGAATTGTTTTTCTGTTTCCTTCTCATTTGAATAGACTATGTCAGAGGGAAGATCTGGGGCTCAAGGGCTGCTGTTCAGATTCTTTTGTTCCACAGGGTGCTCCCTTGATGTGATGCTCTCCCCCCTCCCCTAGGGGCTGCCTGAGAGCCAAAGTGCAGTGATTATTATTTCTCTTCTGGGGAGCTACCAGGCTCCAGGCTGGTGCTGGGGAGTGTCTGCAAAGAGTCCTGTGATTTGATCCATCTTCAGGTCTCTCCACCATGTAGCACCTGCTCCGGTGGAGGTAGCAGGGGAGTGAAGTGGACTCTGTGAGGGTCCTTGGTTGTAGTTTTGTTTAGTGTGCTAGTTTTGTGTTGGTTGGCCTGCAGCCAGGAGGTGGCGCTTTCAAAAGAGCATCAGCTGCGGTAGTTGAGGGAGGCTACAAGCTTGCCCTAGGTTCACCTGGATAAATATTTTTGTTTCTCATGTGGTGGACGGGGCCATGGAGCTCCCAGAGATTATGTCCTTTGTCTTCAGCTACCAGGGCAGGTAGAGAATGCCCATTAGGTGGGGACAGGGTTAGGTGTGCCTGAGCTCAGACTCTCCTTGGGCAGGGCTTGCTGCAGACATTGTGGGGGTTGGGGATGCGGTTCTCCATCCAATTGAGTTATGTTCTCAAGGGGATTATGGCTGCCTCTGCTGTGTAGTACAGTGGCCAGGGAAGTGGGGGAAAGCTCGCAGTGACAGGCCTTACTCAGCTTCCACGCAGCGAAAAGGCCAGTCTCACTCCCCACCAATAGCACCCAGTTTATTTCTAGGCAGCCAACCAGCAGGCCTGAGAACTTGCCCCAGGCTACAAGCCTCCCCCGCTGAGAAAGCAAGTAGGGCTTTCAGGCTTCAGGCTTCCTCGTTTCTGCAATCCCTGTTCGCCCCTCCCCCGGATTCTGTACAGGAAACTTTGCTCGTTTGGTGGAAATTGTTAAAAAGTTAAGCTGGAAGTTTCCTTCTCCCTGTGATCTTTCCCCAATTCTCCTGGCAGCCCTACCCAAGGGCGTCTGCAAGACAAAGTCATAAATGGCTTCCTTGGGGACCAAAAGTGCCCACGGGGGTCTTCCCACTGCTTCCTCAACCCTTATACTTAGCTCAGCTCTCTAAATTTGTCTCAAATCCAGGTAAGGTTAAATCCTTCTCCTGTGATTTGGACCTTCGTGTTCCCTGTTGAGGATGTGTTTTCGGGGAGAGACGTTCCCCCTTACACACTTAAGGCGCCTACAGTTTTGCGGCTGTCTCACAGAGCCTGTGGCGGCAAGTCAGTTCCTTTAAAGGGTCTGTAGATTCTTTTGGCTTTCCTGGTATGTACCTGTGGTAATTCTTGGAGCAAAAGTTCATGATGTGAGTCTCCACACGCCGCTCTGTCCATCCAGGTGGGAGAAGCAAGTTGGTCCTGCCTCCCATCCTCCATTTTTTCTCTGCCGGTGCCCTAGGCCTATATTTCCTTTTTTTTTTTTTTTTTTTTTTTTTTGAGACGGAGTCTTGCTCTGTCGCCCAGGCTGGAGTGCAGTGGTGCATTCTCGGCTCACTGCAAGCTCTGCCTCCCGGGTTCACGCCATTCTCCTGCCTCAGCCTCCCGAGTAGTTGGGACCACAGGGGCCCGCCACCACGCCCGGCTAATTTTTTTTTTGCATTTTTAGTAGAGACGGGGTTTCACCATGTTAGCCAGGATGGTCTCGATCTCCTGACCTCGTGATCCGCCCGCCTCGGCCTCCCAAAGTACTTGGATTACAGGTGTGAGCCACCGTGCCTGGCCTCTAGGCCTATATTTCTAAGAGTTGCTATTGTCTTTAGTAAGTTTTATAATTACTTTTCATTTAACCGTGAGATTAAAAGTTTAAAGCCAATTGGTAAATTCTAAGAAATATGCTGTATCCCTCTATACAAAGAGACAAAAATGTAAATCTTTGATAGTTCATTTTTCTAATTCAAATAAGAGTCATATCTATATATAATAAGACAAAGTAAACTGGAAAACACTTTTCAGTTTTTGCTTGTGAAGAAACCAAGGCTCCAGTGTATGGATAATTCATCATGGAAGTTCAGTATCTAAACCCTCACAGAAAAAGCATCTTTAGGCCGGGCACAGTGGCTCACGCCTGTAATCCCAGCACTTTGGGAGGCTGAGGCAGGTGGGTCACCTGAGGTCAGAAGTTTGAGACCAGCCTGGCCAACATGGTGAAACCTTGTCTCTATTAAAAATACAAAAAAAAAAAAAAAAAAAAAAAAAAAAAGCTAGGCATGGTAGCAGGCGCCTGTAATCCCAGCTACTCTGGAGGCTGAGGCAGGAAAATTGGTTGAACCAAGGAGGCAGAGGTTGCAGTGAGCCAAGATCACGCCACTGCACTCCAGCCTGGGCGATAGAGCAAGACACAGTCTCAAAAAAGAAAAAAAGAAAAAGAAAAAGCATCTTTAGAGCCCTTTGATGATACTTATAAGGGCAAATGGTACCCTCTGGCACAAAACTAATTAAAACTGACACTCTGAACTTTGTGACTGATCAAATTGGAGAAAGCCCCCCTGAGGATAAAATAGAAATATTCAATTAAAGTTTCCTGATTTTTACAGAAAATGATACTGATTATCATGCTGCTGAATCTCAAATTAATTATGCAAGGTAATTCTCCGCAATTTAAGACTGCCTTTATTAAGTAATTTATTGCAACTATCTTGAACCCCTTGGTCATTTTTAACACATGATTTTTCAAAAGTAATTGAGAAATGTGTTTCTTTTCCTGGCTGGAACATATTTAAGAGGTTTGAGGACAATAACTTGACACACATGCAATAATTATAATCTATGTTTGGCTTTGCCAAAACCGAGCTACATTTGGAATTCAAATTATTCACCAAACCATTAAATTACTTAAAGTTTAAACACCAAAAGTGACTTTGTCTAAATCTGAAATAATAAATAATTTGTCCCAAATATGCCATTAGGGCCCGCGTTCATGATCATGGGAAAGCAAAAGTGGGGAAATTGAACATACATTAAATGCTAGGCTTTCCTGAAGCTGTTTCTATACTAGTATTATCATTCAATGTATAATTAGATATTCTGTTAGAGTCACTTTTGTGATTTTTTTTCCTACAACAATGCAGAAATAGAAATCTGGTTGTGTTGCCTGTGCTAATTCTGATTGTCTGGTAATGGGTAACTCTAAGACTGTGTTGAGGAGTATTCCAAGGAAGAAGAGTCTATTGTTCAGCTATAAGGACTGCAGCCCAATGTTAGCCAATAGTGGAGGACTGAATAAATATTTTTGGCCACCCTGATTCCAAAGCGTTGAAAAGGATTCCTTAGGACATTACTTCTACCTTTAAAAAAGTGAAATAATTTTATCTTCTGCTTTTGAAATGACTTGAAATATGTGAAACATTTTGGTTTCTATAAATACCTTTAAAACTAAATTTCTATAATATCTAATCACATGCAATTTAATTTTATTGGAAAAATATGTTATTGATGCCTACTATGAGCACAGATACTTGGAACTGGAAGTAAAACAATGAATAAAACAGACACAATCGGCCGGGTGCGGTGCCTCATGCCTGTAATCCCAGCACTTTGGGAGGCCAAGGCAGGTGGATCATGTGAGGTCAGGAGTTCAAGACCAGCCTGGCCAATGTGGTGAAACCTTGTCTCTACTAAAAATACAAAAATTAGCCAGGTGTGGTGATGGGCGCCTGTAATCGCAGCTACTCGGGAGGCTGAAGCATGAGAATCATTCGAACCTGGAAGGCAGAGGTTGCAGTGAGCCAAGATCGCGCCATCGCACTCCAGCCTGGGCAACAAGAGTGAAACTCCATCTCAAAAACAAAAACAAAATAGACACAATCTTGCCCTCATAGAGTTCTAAATTAGCAGGAAGGTAATAATTTTGGTAATGATAATCTAAATGAACAGTTGTATCATGCCTTGTACTTTTTAATTTTAAGGCTTCCTAAAATTCCTGGGAAATATTCATTTTGTCCATGATGTATTTTTAATACATTGTAAGATTTGGTTTGCTAATAATAAATTTTCACCTCTTTCTCATGGCCAAAAATACTGTAGTGGCTGATTTTTAAAGTATTTCTTCTTAAATCTTTATTCACAAGCCATATATTTCTTTTTGAAGGTTCCTTTGAACTCTTTCTGGGGCATCTAAATATCTTTTAAATTTTGAAACCCAGAGCTTAATATTAGGCTCTAGAACTACCTGACCAATGGTGTGTGAGATGAAGGAACAAACTTACGAACCCAAACACCTAATATGTTGTCTTTCTTTCATACTGTTTTACAAGTGCTGAATTTGGAGACTGTGTAAAGGGGAGAGTAGAGGCAAATCTGTATTTCCTACTATACCAGTTATAAATAAGTTTAGCTGCAAGTAAAAAATATATTATTATCAGTAGCTTAAATAAAGTTTCTTTTTCACAGAAGAAGAAGCTCAAGGGAAGGTGGTAACTGGCATTCACTTACTCACTGATGTCACTGGAAATTCAGGAACTTTTGTCTTCTTGCCCCTGTGCCTTTGCCACATAGACCTTCTTTTCCTCATCATCGCCTCATGGTTCCACAGTGCAAGGAAAGAAGAATGAGACCAGAGCAAAGTGAAGAACGAGGCAGAAGGGGCAGCGCGGCTGTGCTTGTCCTTCCTCATCAAGAAAGCTATGGCTTTCTGGGAAGCCTCACTCAGCTGACTCTTGCTTACATCTCAGTGGATGGTACCACGTTATGTAGGGAGAAGGCTCCATATATGGGCATTGAGTGGGCAAACTGCTGTATTTGCCACACTCACATTTTTCAAGTCACAGCCTCACCTGCAGTCACCCTTTAAGGAAGAGGACAACAGCCATTTTTCCCTTGGGCACCATGTTTCAGTGATCTTGTGGCAGACAGAAGAAAGATTTCCCTCCATGTAAAATTTTATTGGGGTGCTGGCAAATACAGGTAGTAGTCTTGCTATTATACTCATTCATTTGAAGTCTATGGTAACCAAATCAATAGCAGGCCTTTGAAATTCCAAAATGCAAACACAATACATGAAACTTTTTCAAACCCTGGCAGTTCTTATCAGTTTAGAATGTAAAATACTGAGTTGTTTGTTCCAAGTGAATTTGATTCCTCATGAATTTAATTTGTCATTTCAGTCTCAGAACAGTAATGAAATAGAAGTATTTTCCTTATGTACACTCAGTGCATACAACTGAACATGAATTCTATCACTTTCTTTTATGAAGGCTTGGGAAAATACAGAAAGTTTGTTAGACAAATTATGTATTATCTTTTTAAATTCTTTGGACAATGAAGTATAGTTCACATTTGGGATTCCTAATGAATTTTATATATATATATATATATATATATATATATATGAGCTGTCATAGAAAAGGGTTTCTGGATAAAGTATTCATAAACTTATAGCACAGCATGTATTTTTATAGCACTTATTGTGTTTTCTTAATTACATATGTGAAATTATATATACATATTACATAAGTATATATATTTATAAGTACATATTATACAAGTATATATTACATATATGATTGTATATTAAATTAAGTATATATAAGTAATTATACTTTCATAAGTATATATTAAGTATATACATATATGTGTATATATACACATATACATATATATGTGTATATATACACATATACATATATATGTGTATATATATACATATATATGTTGTATTATGTATTCCCAGGATAAAAAACATTAGTCTAAAAGGATATCTAGCAAATCTACCAAACTATGAACAGTAGTGTTTTCTGGATAATGGAGTTAAAAGTATTTTATGTGTGAACATGGGTGGGCATTCATGTGCACTGGGCACTTTAGTAGTATACTGAGTTTTATCAAAATTCTTATTACATCATATTAGAAATGTTTGCATGTCAGTCTCTTCCTTCAGCTCTAAGCTTTAAAAGACTTCAAGGATCTTGTCTTGTATTTCCATATTCTTACTTTCTAGAGTAGTGCCTGGAAATCAGTAGGTGCTTATTGTCTACAGAATGAATTAATGAAAAACTGGGTTCGATTTTGGACTTCCTCATTCAGCTCACTGTACATCCATTCTTTCAGATACTCTAGCCAGGATTTGATGATCCATATTCTTGTGGTTGTATCAATAAATTAGAGGTGCTGATTTATTTTTGAACCAATAAAATAATAAATCTCTTAAACTTCAGATGCCCTGGAGAATCTGAGAATAACATGACTTCATATTCCTAACACAGCCTTAAGTCTCATGATTGTGAATTAGAAAAAGTGGATATGGAATGCTAACCTATCACTATTGAGGAGTGCTTCAAAGTGGGGGTGTCAGATGCCATTGTTATCTGGGATCATCATCAGTTATTTTAATTTCCTTTTCGGGAGAAAAGTGGAATTTGACCAACATTTCTTACAATGATGTGAAAGCAAAAGAACTACTTACTTTAAAAATATAAAACGTTCAAGTTGGATTTTATTTACAAGCTAACAAATTAGCCTTTTGTTCTTTCCTGAATGTTAGCCAAAGAGATAAAACTCCTGAGTAAAAAACAAAGGATTTTATTTTGCATAGTGCAGCCAGCAGCAGGAGCATCCGCAGATTTGCAGTGATGCAAATCCCATGCCCCAAATCCCATGGGGGAGACACTGAGGAGCTCAGATGAATACTACACAAGCAGAGTATCTGCACCCCTGCTGAGGAACACTGAGGCTGGAGAATCCAACACTTTTACAGAAAGGAGGAAGCAGACTTGTTCTCTGCCTGGAATTAAGAGGAGATGTTACCTCATCTTTCAAGATTACCAACTGCATAAACAACCCTGAAAAATGGCCCCAGTAAAGAGCAATCAGTTTTTACAATCTCGGCATAGCCAGAAAGAGGTACAGGGCAGCAAGTGGCCTGCAAGTAATAGCTTTTATTTCTTCCAATTAAAAACTACTGTTTTGTAAACTCAGTTTATCAGCCACAATTTGCAAATATATTTTTATTATTTTTGTTACCTCTGCTTCCCCTTTGGTTGATAATCTTGTATTCTGTAGAGAACACAGTACAAGCCTATTTCAATGGAGCTCAATACTTGAGTCTCACTAGGCCTTTATATCCCCTTCTATGGCTGGAACAAAGAGTTGGTGAATTAAATAGCAAGAAATGTGATGGTAGCAGAAGGCAGGGATGGAAGATGAAGGAGCATGATATGGACATTGGACTTATCCAAAGGAAATAGGAGGTATTTAAGGGTTAAAAGTGAATGAGATGATTAAAACTGCACTTTAGATAAATGGCATAGAATAGGCAAAATAGAAGCAGGAAGGCTAACTAGGGGCCAGTTGAATGTTTGCAGCCTAACCCAAAAGGTAGGAGTCAGGGTGCAGACAAGAATAGACCTGAGAAATAATTAAAAGGTAGAATTGTCCCAATTAGAGTCTAACTGAATATATAAGGTAAGGTAGAAGAATCCAAGAAACGTGTCCAGGTTTCTGGCTTAAGTAACCTAGTGCTGATGGCACTATTCAATAATTTAGGAAGCACAGAAGAGGCAGCAAATGTAAGAAGGTTTAGTTCTTTTGTGGCTATTTGGAGTCTGAGATATGTTGGGACATCCAAGATGTCCGATAGCAGTTGGATGTGCAGATCTGGTGCTTTGTAGATAAAGCTAGGCCTGTACCACAGAGCTAAATGGTAATTGAAGTTGTGGAAAAGAACAGAATCATGTGTGAAATATATGGAGAATAAGAAGGAGAAAACGCTACTACTTGACCCTTTGTTATTAAAATTATCTGATGAAGCTGGGCATGGTGTTAGACATCTGTAGTCCTAGCTACTCTGGAGACTGAGGTCACATAATCATTTGAAACCAGGAGTTTGAGACTACCCTAGGCAGCATAGCAAGAACCTGTCTCAGCATATATTGCATGATGCTGAGGTTTGGGGTACAGATGATCTCATCACCCAGGTACTGAGTATAGTGCCCAATAGTTAGTTTTTCAACCCTTGCTCCTTCTCTCCCTCTCCCCTCTAGTAATCTGTAGTTTCTATTGTTGCAAACTTTTTGTCCATGAGTACCCAATGTTTAGGTCCCACTTATAAGTGAGAACATGCAGTATTTGGTTTTCTGTTCCTATGTTAGTTCACTTAGGATAATGGCCTCCAGCTTAATCCTTATGGCTGCAAAATACATGATCTCATTCTTTTTGATGGTTGCATAGTATTCTATGATGTATATGAACCACATTTTCTTTATCCAATCCACTGTTGTTGGGCACATAGATTGGTTCCATGTCTTTGCTATTGTCAATAGTGCTGCAATGAACATGTGAGTGCATGTATCTTTTGGTAGAATGATTTCTTTTCTTTTTTTTTATGAGATAGGGTCTTGCTCTGTCACCAGGCTGGAGTGCAGTGGCGTGATCTCAGCCCACTGCAACCTCAACCTCCTGGGTTCAAGCGATCCTCCCACCTCAGCCTCCTGAGTAGCTGGGACTACAGGTGCACGCCATCATGCCCAGCTAAGTTTTGAATTTTTGGTAGAGATGGGGTTTCCTTATGTTCCCCGTTCCCCAGGTGTCTCCAAATCCTGAACTCAAGCAATCCACCTGCCTCAGCCTCCCAATGTGCTAAAATTACAGACATGAACGACTGCGCTCAGTCTGATTTGTTTTCTTTTGGATATATACCCAATAACTATTACCAGTGCTGGGTCAAATGGTAGTTCCGATTTAAGTTCTTTGAGAAATCTCCAAACTGCTTTCCACAGTGGCTGAATTAATTTACATTCCCACCAACAGTATATAAGCATGTCTTTTTTCTCCACAGCCTCTCCAGGAACTGTTGTTTTTGACCTTTTAATAATAGCCATTCTGATTAGTGTGAGACGGTATCTCATTGTGGTTTTGATTTGCATTTCTCTAATGATTAGTGTTGTTGTTGCTTTTCCATGAAGAATTCTGGTAGACATCACGTTAACCAAATGAGCAAAGTTAACATTACTAGTTAGAAAATCTATGGATGTTATATAAATTCTGATGTGATACACTACTTCTCTGGTGTTTTTTCCAAAAAGTCATACTTCAATCTAATCCTAGAAACTTCAGATGAGTACAGATTGTGGGACATTCTACAAAATGACTGATCAGTACTCTTCAAAGTGTCAAGATCTTGAAAGACAAGGAAGGACTGAGGAACCATCACTGACTGGAGGAGACTAAGAATTTATGACAATTAATTCAGTGTGGAATCCTGGATTAGATTCTAGATGAGGAGGACACATTAGTGAGAAAACTAGCGAACCCGAATAAGGTCTATAGTTAATAGTATTGTATCAATGCCAACTTCCTGGTGTCAAGTATTGTGCTATGGTGATGGAAGATGTTAATATTAGGAGAGACTGAGTGAGGGGTATACATACAAGAACTCTATTCCTGCAACTTTTACATAAAGTCTAAGTTATATCAAAATATAAAGTTAAAAGAAATTGTGGAATTCCAACTAATAAAATCCCTGGGCTATTTTTCCTTCTCACTTTCTCACTTTACTCCAAGCAGGAGAAAATAAAAGATTAAACTGGAAAAAAAGAAAGAAAAGAAGGCTAAGGCAAAAATCTTGAGGCACAACCACTCTTTTTTTTTTTTTTTGACAGAGTCCCTCTCTGTCACCCAGGCTGGCATGTTGGCATGTAGTGCAATCCTCCCAGGTTCAAGCAATTCTCCTGCCTCAGCCTCCTGAGTAGCTGGGATTACAGACATGTGCCATCATGCCCAGCTAATTTTGTATTTTTAGTAGAGACAGGGTTTCTCCATGTTGATCAGGCTGGTCTCGAACTCCTGACCTCACGTGATCCACCCACCTTGGCCTCCCAAAGTGCTGGGATTACAGGCATGAGCCACCGCACCTGGCCAGGCACAACCACTCTTAAAAGCAATCAAAAGCCTTAAAATTTCAACCAGAAAGGAAAAAGAGACTGGGTGTGGTGGCTCACGCCTGTAATCCCAACACTTTGGGAGGCTAAGGTGGGTGGATCACCTGAGGTCAGGAGTTCGAGACCAGCCTGGCCAAAATGGTGAAATCCCGTCTGTACTAAAAATACAAAAAAAATTAGCCGGGTGTTGTGGTATGCTCCTGTAATACCAGCTACTCAGGAGGCTGAGGCAGCAGAATCACTTGAACCCGGAAGGCAATGTTGTCAGTGAGCCGAGATCACGCTACTGTACATCAGCCTAGGTGACAGAGCAGGACTCCGTCTCAAAAAAAGAAAAAGAAAGAAAATAAAAAATGCAAGATTCTATGAAAAATAAATATATATAATGAAAAATATAAAAATATATATATAATGAAAAGAGACACCATAGTCAAATAGAATGATGAACTTGAACAGCTTTAGAACTTAATATGTTTATTAAATTGAATAAGGAGGTCTTTAACTGCCTTGACATGAGCAGTTTCATTAGAATCATGGAAGAAGAAATCATGTCAGTGGAAGGAGAAGTAAATATGAAATGAAGAAATGAACAAAGCATGTGTATGAAGGCAACTCTTCCAAGAAGCATAAAGTATAGGTGGGAATGCAGGAGGCTTTGGGGTTTTTTGTTTGTTGGTTGGTTGGTTGCTTTTCTAATGATAGAGATTTGAGGACACTTAAACTCATAAAAGAAGGAACCAATAGATAACGAAAGATGGAAGCTGTGGGAATAAGACAGGAAAGATAATTAAAAGAGGTGCTAAAGTGGAATTTTCAAAGAGGTAAAATCATGACTCTAATGCAAATATAAAGTGAACATGTATTAAAGACACCATTTAATTCATTGATTAATAAGGTAACCCAGAAAATGTTAAGACCTACTCAGTGATTTGAATAGCTGATTTATTATAAGAAATTTAATAAAGGAATTGAGGATAAGATTGCTACATTATGAAATTTATTAATATCCTGAAAAAACTGGAAGCTTTGGAGTTATCTTTTTATGAAAGAGAAAACTTGGACAGAAATTATTTGTAACCTTATAGGGCAAAAATACATAAATTAGCATGTAACTTCACTAAGCATGTCTAATCCATAATAAAGCGTGAGGTGAACAAAGTACATCACCTTGGATAATCCTTGGGTAGACCAATAAAGCAATCTCCCTATAAGACAATGAAAGAACATGCTGTTCACCTTTTATCCTTATTTCCAAGTTTGTAATAATTTTTTTGACAGAGAATAATTGTTAAGGAAGTAGGAGGGAAGTGTATAGTCAGGGTCTTGTCAAGCAGCAGCAACTCAAAAAAAAAAAAAGCAGGGAAATAAAGTGAGTTAATGAATGATCCATTGACAAAATTATGGATAAAATAAGGAAAAGAAACCGAAGATAGTGATGCACTCCTGGTATCAGCAATAGGTTCCTCAGCTATGCCTGATAAGGAAGGATCATGGCTGGGCACGGTGGCTCATGCCTGTAATTCTAGCACATTGGGAGGCCAAAACAGGTGGACTGCTTGAGGTCAGTAGTTCAAGACCAGCCTGACCAATATGGTGAAACCCCATCTCTACTAAAAATACAAAACTTGGCTGGGCATGATGGCACGCACCTGTAATCCCAGCTACTTGGGGGACAGAGGCAGGAGAATCACTTGAACCCAGGAGGTGGAGGTTGCTGTGAGCCGAGATCACGGACCACTGCACTCCAGCCTGGGCAACAGAGCAAGGCTCTGTCCAAAAAAAAAGAAAAAAAAAGAAGGAAATGGTTACCAAAGCCTTTGAGACATGTATGTAATGTACGTAGCTGTAGGAGCCAACTTCCCAGTGTAAGTGCTGTGGCCTTTGATACAGGAACACAGCTATGCCAACCCTGCAGCCTGGAAAAGAGGAATAAATATCCCGGCCTCACCATTCTCCTATTTTCTGATCAAATGCTGGTGACTTCCACTGGCCATATCCAACCAAATGCCAGAGGCAAGGGAGCATTTATACAGGTGATTTAGGTCAGTCTCCTGGGACAAGAGCAGGAGAAAATGGTGGAAAGTGGACACCAAGGGTCAGATAGAGAATATACATCCCAAAAAGAGACTTAGAGGATAGGTACTAAGATAAGCTTTAGAGAGGAGAGATGATTTTCAATTATCACAGGAAGAGAGAAGGGTGAATGGGTGTAGTTATACCCCATTCATTGTTTTTGCCAGTTTGTTGAACATCAGATGACTGTAGATATATGGTCTTACTTCTGAGATCTCTACTCTGTCCCATTGAACAAAAAGGAACGTTTGTGTGTTGGAAGAAATTAAGTGGCTTTCTAGTTAATGAATTATATTTTCTTTATTATCATTAAAGTTATTTTATGAGAATGAGTGTATAGTTGGCAGACATGAGTTTAGTCAGGTTGGAGTTTGGAGAAAAAAAGAAGTTTGGAATGGTTACTGTAGAAAAGTGTTAGAAGAAACTGACCAGATAAATCAGAGTAAGATTTCTTGGCAGAGGTGTGGGGATAGTTACACTTATCTCAACAAACTTATGGCAGAACTCATTTTCAAGGTCATTTGATTTTTCTCCAGAATTATTCAGTAAAATGGGTATTCTTTTTCCAACTTACCCATGTTTCTTCCCAATGAGAGTGGCTGTATACTTAACAAAACCTGTCTATTTAGGAAGTCACTTCTTAAAAATTGACCTCTCCCAAAAGCTCCTTAAGCTAATAAGCAACTTCAGCAAAGTCTCAGGATACAAAATCAATGTGCAAAAATCACAAGCATTCCTATACACCAACAATAGACAAGCAGAGAGCCAAATCATGAATGAACTTCCATTTACAATTGCTACAAAGAGAATAAAATACCTAGGAATACACCTAACAAGGGATGTGAAGGACCTCTTCAAGAAGAACTACAAACCACAGTTCAAGGAAGTAAGAGAGGACATAAACAAATGGAAAAACTTTTCATCCTTGTGGATAGGAAGAATCAATATCGTGAAAATGGCCACATTGTCCAAAGTAATTTATAGATTCAATGCTATTCCCATAAAATTACCATTGACATTCTTCACAGAATTAGAAAAACCTACTTTAAAATTCATATGAAACAAAAAAAAAGCCCATATAGCCAAGACAATCCTAAGCTAAAATAACAAAGCTGGAGGCATCATGCTACCTGGCTTCAAACTATACTACAAGGCTACAGTAACCAAAGCAGCATGAAACTGGTACCAAAACAGACACATAGACCAATGCAACAGAATAGAGATCTCAGAAGTAAGATCACGCATCTACAATCATCTGACCTTCAACAAACCTGGCAAAAACAAACAATAAGGAAAGCATTCCCTATTTAATAAATGGTGCTGGGAAAACTGGCTAGCCATATGCAGAAAACTGAAACTGGACACCTTCTATAAACCTTATACAACAATTAACTCAAGATGGATTAAAGACTTAAATGCAAAACCCAAAACCATAAAAATCCTAGAAGAAAATCTAGGCAATACCATTCAGGACATAGGCATGGGCAAAGATGTTATGATGATATCACCAAAAGCAATTAAAACAAAAGCAAAAATTGACGAATGCAATCTAATTACACTAAAAAGCTTCTGCACAACAAAGAAACTATTATAAGAATGAACAGGCAACCTACAGAATGGGAGAAAATTTTTGCAATCTACCCTTCTGACAAAGCTCTAATATCCAGAATTTACAAGGAACTTAAACAAATCTACAAGAAAAAAAAAACCATCAAAACGTGGGCAAAGGACATGAACAGACACTTCTCAAAAGGAGAAATTTATGCAGCCAACAAACATATGAAAAAAAGCTAAACATCACTGATCATTAGAGAAATGCAAATCAAAGCCACAATGAGATACTATCTTATGCCAGTCAGAATGGTGATTGCTAAGAAGTCAAGAAACAACAGATGCTGGAGAGGCTGCGGAGAAATAGGAACACTTTTACACTATTGGTGGGAATGTAAATAAGTTCAACCATTGTGAAAGACAGTGTGACAATTCCTCAAGGATCTAGAACTAAAAGTACCATTTGACCCAGCAATCCTATTACTGGGTGTACACCCAAAGGAATATAAATCATTGTATTATAAAGATACATGTATACATATGTTTATTGCAGGACTATTCACAATACTAAACACATGGAATCAACCCATATGCCCATCAGTGATAGACTGGATAGAGAAAATGTGGTACATATACACCATGGAATACTATGCAGCCCTAAAAAGGAATGAAATCTTGTCCTTTGCAGGGACGTGGATGAAGCTGGAAGCCATCATCCTCAGGAAACTAACCCAGGAACAGACAACCAAATGCCACATGTTCTCACTCGTAAGTGGAAGCTGAACAATGAGAACACATGGACACAGGGACAGGAACAACACACACCAGGGCTGTTGGGAGTGTGGGAGAAGGAAGAGCATCAGGATAAATAGATAATGCATATGGGGATCAATACCCAGGTGATGAGTTGACAGGTGCAGCAAATCACCATAGCACACGTTTACCTATGTAGCAAACCTGCACGTTCTGCACATGTATCCTGGAACTTAAATTAAATTTTTAAAACATTGACCTCTGATTTCCTAACTATGCTTCCATTTACTTATAAAACAGAAACGTGCAATGTCTCCCACAATAAGGAGCATCACGTAACTCATATAAGGCTTCCTCACACTATTTGCTCATTTGCTCATGTCATTTCTCTACAGGGAGTGCTCTCTAACTTCCTCTTAGCTAAGCTGTCTCCCTCCTGATTCAGCTAGTCTCCATTCCTTCATGACATCGTCTCTAATCTTTCTACTAAAAGTAGAAAGGATCCATGACTGATTGATTGCTACTATACTGAAAGGATACTCTTGATAAATTCCAGTATTCACAGATATGGTATCTCAGAGCATTCTGATTACAAATCAATGCATTTTAATATTGTTTCTCAGGAAAAGAAACAGATAATAGTTATGATTGGAATGAATCAGTTTTGCAGGATATCATGATCAAGCTATTTCAAGTCAATGTGCAATCAATACATTGCATCTTTGGTATATGTATTTGTATTATTTTTAATAAATTAACCAAATCAGCAAAACTTCTCAGTGTATCAAATGTTGTCGTTAGTTCTGAGAAAAGGAAATATGATATACAGCAGTATTCCCTGACAGTAAGTTCTCGGGAGTATTTGTAAAACAGCAACTGGATTATGATACATGAGTTAACAAAATTCATTTCTGTTTTTGCTTTATAATTTCACATGTTACTTTCTTATAAGGATTTTTAGTTGACCTCCAGAATATTTGGTAGAATGATGGCAAAGGAAAGGTCACAATTATTTCCAAGGAGATGTTGGTGTGTGTGATGATTAATACTGAGTGTCAACTTGATTGGATTGAAGGATGCAAATTATTGATCCTGGGTGTATCTGTGAGGGTATTGCCAATGGAGATTAACATTTGAGTCAGTGGGCTGAGAAAGGCAGACCCACCCTTAAGCTGGGTGGGCACAATCTAATCAGCTGCCAACGAGGCTAGAATATAAGCAGGCAGAAAAATGTAAAAAGAAAGACTGGCCTAGCCTCCCAGCCTACATCTCTCTCCCGTGCTGGATGCTTCCTGCCCTTGAACATTGGACTCCACGTTCTTCAGTTTTGTAACTCAGACTGGTTTTCCCTTCTCCTCAGCCTGCAGATGGCCTATTGTGGGACCTTGTGATCATGCGACTTAATATTAATAAACTCCCCTTTATATATTCCCTTAGTTCTGTCTCTCTAGAGAACCCTAATACAATGTGCAAAGTACATTCAAATAAGCTGGACAGCAATGTAGGGTGGTTTTTGTGTGTGTGTCAAAGTATAATCATATAGCTCCATAAGGCACAGGATTTGAGCTTCTGTAACTAGCTGCTACCAACACTTTCAGATCTCTTTGGCAATTATTATGCACCACTGTAAGATCTTTAACAACATCATATTTAAACAGCAATTACTTCCTACTTGGATCCTTTAAATTTTCCATACCTAAATAAATCTCTCTTTTCTTAATTCATCTCAACAAATTCTTATTGAAATACCAACAAGAATTTGTTGAGATAAACTAGGAAAATAATTTGTTGAAATGTTGTTGTGAGCAAAGAATCTCTGAACTCACTGAGGCCGTATCTGAGTCTCATTAAAGGTCATTCTCACTTTCTACCATGTATTTCACTGATTTGTACACATGTCCTTTCTCCTCTACCAGAATATGAATTCCTTATGTGTAAGTTCTTTCTTATATACCATTGTGTGTCTTGTGGGAAAAGCACAGAATTGGCACTCATAAGCATTGGTAACTATTGGATGAATGGATGGATAAATAAATACAAAAGAAAATCAAAGGGTCTATTAATCAGCCAATATTTAAAGAGCTCTCTTATCTATTTACCAACTGAAAGCTAGAATTAAAATATGCTATTGCTAATTGTGTTATTAGAAATATCAGCTGAAAACATATCTATATTGTATCCTTCTATACCTATGTCATAAATCACTAAGACATCTGAAATGATTTCTTCAAACATACAAACATAGAGCATAAACTCTAGTTTTGTTTTATAAATGAAGTTATAGCAAGATTCAATTGGCTTAAAAAAGCCTTTACATGAATTCTCACAGCAGCATTATCCACAATATCTAAAAAGAGGGAAAAACCCAGATACCTACTGCTTGATAAATGGATACATAAAATATCATATATCCATGTAATGAAATAGTATTTGGCAATAAAAAGGAATAAAGTACTAATATATGCTACAACATGGATGAACCTTAAAAAATTATATTAAGTGAAAGCAGCAGCCATAAAAGTCCACATAATACATGGCTCCATTTACATAAAATATTCAGAATGGACAAGTCTTTAGAAACAGAAAGTAGCTTAGTGGCTGCCAGGGGTTGGAAGAGTAAAGAATTAGGGAATGAATGACTGCTAATGAGTATGCGGTTTCTTTTCAGGGTGATGAAACACACTAAATTAGATTGTGTTAATTTTTGTTCAATTCTGTGAACATAACAGAAAGCACTGAATTGTACACTTTAAGCTGGTGAATGTTACAGACAGTGAGTTATATTTCAATAAAACTGTTTTAAAAAGTAAAGATTAAGTGGCTTGTTCAAAAATCCATCAATAGTTGGTGAAGCCAGAACTGGAATCTATATTTTCCCAACTATCATAATGCTTTTATCTTACTTTGCCATTGTTTTGTGTGTAACAAAGTTGGCTTTTTAAGCCTTTATTTTCTGAAAATCTTCACTTCTGTTTTGTCATTTGTGCATTTATTTCTAGTCCTCTTTCTTTCCTCCCACTCGTTAACCTCCTTAACAGTGTTCATGCTCTCTTTGTCCAGCTATTAAATGGCCTCCATTTTAATAATTTCCACTCTGCTTTATTTTTTTATTTGGCTGAATCGCAGGCTGACTTCTGATACTATTGATCTATTTCGTCCACCCAAGGGACATATCAGACTAAGTATGTGCAACTTGGTGGGCAAGACATTGAGGAAGAGGATGACTTTAGCAGTTTGTGAGCAGCAGGTGGGAAACCACTGAACAAAAGAATGATTCTATTGCCAGAGTCTTATTACATTCATAGAAATGAAAGACCGGCAAGGGTTGTTTAACCTGATACTCCTACCCAGGAGATTGACTTACAGCCAGTGTGTGAGAAATGCCATTTTCCAGATGACTTCCTCTCCTGTTACAAAGTCTGGCTATAGCTCTCTGCAAAGTGCTGGATCTTCTCCATGTTTGGGTGTTTCAGACACTTATCTTTCACCATTGCACTGGATTTTTCCACTCATCTTTTTTTAATTTTAAGTGTTCTGCTGCAGAAAAATTAATTATTCTCCATTGAGCTTCATGTTTTTTAAAAAATATATAGCCATTGTGGTATTCCCAGCTGGGAGAGATAGAAATCATAAGGTAAACAGCAGTTCACGCTATTAAAAAAAAGTCATAAGGCAATATATTTTCTCTCTCTGTGGGACAGGACTGAATAAACCTACTGAAATTATAGAAATAAAAATGGATATCTCCTTGCCCACTATTGACACTCTCTAGGAATATGATTAAATGTTATTAGCAGATGACTTTTTCCTTTTTCCAAATGAAGATGTCAAATGTCTTCCACTTGTTCAATTTGTAAATTGGATAGATTTTTTCCATTGTTGAAGACATTCTCTGGAGTTTTAAGCAGATTTTATTCACTTGCTATCCATGGTTATTCATTTTCTATTAATCCCACACTAATTGGGTATATTATGATATTTTTGTGAGAACAATATGTTAACATTGGTAAGTTCATGTCATTCAACCTAATATGTAGTAATAAATATATAGTAGGACTTGCTCAGATCCACTGGGTGGGGACGGAGAGTTGTCATGAGAAGGAAAGGTTACAATATGGAGAGTCAAGGGGGAAAAGGGAGAAGTGAGGTTGCTTGGGTACAGATATAGCAGAAGTAAACTTCAAGGTGGAGCCTTTATGTAACTCTGTTATATTTCACATAGTTCAAAGAGAAGAATTACATGTAGTAGACAATGTTAATTGCCTACATAACAGCTATTCACTCCCTTCTTTCTGGCTAACAGAAAGCTATTCTCTCCCTTCTTTCTGACGAATATAACAGCTATTCTCTCCCTTCTTTCTGACTAACAGAAGTTCAATTATGTTTGCGTTGATAATATGCCCAATCCCAAGGACTGAATTATGATAAGTCTTATCAATCATGATTTAATGTTCCCTTTTGCTTCCCTTCTATTTGGGATGATGTTGAGTCATAGTGATGCTTAGAACATCAACAACCATCTTGCCACCATGATGCAATAAAGGAGGACAAAAATTAAATATGCTGAGGCACAGGAAGGCGCAAAGAAATAGGGTCCTTGATGACATTACTAAGCTGATGAACTAGACTTACTGCTTCCTCCAGACTCTTCATAATGTCAAAAGCTTAGTTGGGTGTTTATTAACTGCAAATCTACACATTCTCACTAATATAGCGCCAAAGTATTTTCATGCCATCAAGAACATATATGATGTCACCAATTACATATAAGAAAATATAAGCCTTTGATCAGGCTTAGATAGTAAAAGCCTTTCAATAAATTTAACTACCCTCTGTGAGGGGGTAAGGGAGTTTCTTTCTCTTAAACACCATTTGGACAGGACAGCATGATGGAGTGTGAAAGGCACAGTTGTGGATAAGCAGCAGATATTGTTTTGGGTGCCCTCTGAGTCTTGAGGTAGAATTCAAAGCAAGGACCATCCTTCAGGAAAATACTGGATTATTATTAAGATTTTAGGACTCTTACTCAAGAAGAGAGGCTATTGGATCAACTTCTCTCACTTGGTAATCTTTTTAAATAAGTGTATGTGTGTGTGTATGTGTGTGTGTGTGTGTGTGTGTGTGTGTGGTTATTTCTACGCATAGCATAGGAGACATGGTTTAGCACCTAAAAGAAAAGGGGAATATTCACGAACAAATCCTGGTCTAGGGTTGTGTAGCCATGGTAAATAGTAGGCATCCTATTCCCTCTGCTCAACCCCTATTCACACCCTCAGCCAAACACTTTTATTCAATAATGAAATTAAATAATATAAAGATGTGCCAATACACCAATACTGTTTTATATGCTTCAATTCCCTAATAGGGAGGCTATAAAATAAATACAATGACTATGGGTTTCTACCATTTTGGGTTAACATTTTGGTCTGCAGGGCCCTTGGGAGCAGAAATGTAGTCTAATAGAAGCTTTAACTCTATAATATAAGGTTTATAGTCATTTATGCAGCTAAGAGTTATTGGACACCTAAGTGTATCAAGGATTGTATTAAGCACTGAAACACAGAGGTGCAAGGTGTGATTCCCAACAGCAGTTTCCGCAGATGAGAAGGAAACCTAGTTATGTACCTAAAAAATTGCACCACCTTGTGTTTGGTTACTATGACAGAGGTTCAGGACAAAGAAGAGAGATGCAAGACTCATATTGGGGTGTATGGGAAGACTTGGGATGGAAGAATATGTGAACTGAATCTTGAATAACTAATTGGAATTTTCTAAATGAGGAGAGAAGGATATTTACCAGCAGGTGAAACCGAATGTGTAAAGATCCCAAGACAATATAGATGCAAGTAGTTAATTACAGCAGGCATGAGGGATCCATGTGAAGGAGAAGCAGTAGATGGGAAGGGAGGGACATTTGGGCTGCACTAAAATGTTTAGCCCCAAAGGTGATGGGGAACCCTGAAGGATTTCGGGCAGGAAAGTAAAAGATGTTTCTGGCAGCTTAGGGTAAGACAAATTGGAATAGCAGGAGTCTGGAGATAGAAAGAAAACAATCCCAATAAAAAAAAAAAATTATAATGATAGTGGCAATGGGCATGAATCAAGAAATATCAAGAGATAGAACTGAAGGATTTAGCAATCGATTGAATGTAAGGGTACTACCATCCAAGAGGGTTTTGGGGATGACTCAGATTTTCTGAAAACTGACTGGAATGAATGATTATGACATCCTTTAGGACAGGCAATAAAAAGGAAGTTGGGTTTTATGTGTAGGGGGAGGAGGAAATAAGAAATACACTTTTTACAGTGTTGAATTTGAGGTGCTCGTGGTTTATTCAAGTAAAGTTTTCCAATGGATGAGAGGTTCCTAAGCTTTCAGGGTTCACATACCAGCATAATTCATATAAATTTTAGAAATCAATTAAAGACTGCCAACTTTTATTTTGCTAAGTCAAGATACATAAAAACAAAACAAAACCCTGTCATCCACTAATAATATTTCATTTTTATAAAAGGATATTTCAATATGAAAAATTAAAAAGAGTCTTAATATAAAAGGCAATTTATTAAATTAAATAAACTTGCCTTTATTTTAAAAATCAACCAAGTGTCCTTATTTTTTTCAATTCCTCTTGTACCAGTATAATACCAATCACTGACTTACAGCAAGCCACAATTGGCATTTGGCAACCACTAAAATAGACTATTGCATATTGAGATTTGGAGCCCAATTGAAAAGATTTAGCTAAAGATATAGAGTCGTAAGCACATAGTTTGAAGTTGAAAAAAATGAATAATCTTTAGTACTGTTTATTCAGCATCTTTTATGTGCCAAGCACTATAATAAGGGCTTTATATAATACCTCATTTCAACATCCCAGCAATTCTGGGAGGTGAAAGAAGGTGGCTTATTTTTACAGACAAGAAAATGAGACTAGAAATATTAAATTTTCTAAGATCACCGGAAATATTAAGTTTTCCAAGATTACAAAGCAGAAAGTGACAGAGCTAATATTCAAGGTTTCTCTAACTTGAAATTCTATACTTTTAATTGTGATGTTACATTGCCACCCTAAAAAGAATACATCACATGAGAAAGAGAATCAAAGATGGAGCTCTTTGAAATACTGACACTTAAGAAGATGTTCCTGACAACCCAGAAGATGAAAATGAACTGCGCCATGTAGGCAAAAGAGAGGAGAATTTCTAAAAGAAATATATTGTCAAAAATTCAAAATGTCACAGAGAAGATGTGGATATGTATACAAATCTAGGCCGAAAAATTTATAAATTGCATCTACTTCCGAATAAAGCCCAGTAATAGTACTCGGCAGTCCTGCTGACTCTTTCACATGTTCAGCAGTCACTCAGTTACTAGGCTCATGAGCTTGCTCTAGAACCCATGTTTCTAACTTCTTTTTCAAGTCTAGAACAAATCTGCATCTCCTTTCGGTTATGCACGAATTGTAAGAGGCTTAAACATGGCTCACCTGAGAAGCTGGGTAAAATAACATTTGACTCTTGATCTTGATATTAAAATAAATCTTTCAGGATCAAATCAAATCATATTCCAATTTATACAATAACATCTATGTTGCAGGCCAAGTAGCTCTAACACTAGGAAAAACATGGGCTCTTCTCTACATAGGGTACAGAGCAAATGCATTATCTTTTAACTGTGGTTCTCCAGGGCTTTAACACTGAAAGTGTATAATCCAGGTGACCAAAATAAAATTACGGAAAAGCATCCCTGTCACTATTAAGAAACTGTTATTAAAATTCATTATTCATTTTCCATAGGTCTAATCGTTTTCAAAATTCATCTTCCATCAAAGGAAGCTTCTATTATTTTGACAAACCATGCTGATTAGCACTTAAATTATCATTGAATTATATCACAAAGTTTTGGTACAGAAAATTATAGGGCCTTACATACTGAAATAATGATTTTGTTCATATTAGCCACCCTATTTTTTAAGGCCCTCCAAGGTTTGGCCCTAAACTACTTTCTAACTTATCACTGACTACCCACCTACATGGCTCTCACAAATCAATAAAACTGCTCAGTACACTCTTTTCTGACAAATCCCTTATTTCTATACATTTTCTTCTTTACTGCAACAGAATAATTTCATCATTAGGCTCTGAAGGAAACTGCTTGGATTCAACTTCCTCAGCATCATTATGAAACACAGCCCAAATATCAGTATCAATTTGTCCATAAATATGTCATTATATACCTTTAAATATAAAGGGCATTTTTCAAACATAGCCATGATTTCATTTATTATCACATGTAAATATTAAAAATAATTCTCAAATTAGAAGTCAGTGTTTCAATGTTCTCATCTTACACATTTTATTTAAAGTCTTTAATTTGAATCGGAATCCAAACAAGAATCACATGTTGCATTTGATTATGTTTCCTAAGTCTCTCAAGATTTTTTCATGCTTGCTTTTCTCCCTTTGCAATTTTTGGGTTTTTTAAAAAATCAGATCATTTGTCCTGGCAGGTTTTCTACACTCTAAACTTTAATAACTACTTCCTCATGGTGTCTTTTAACATGTTCTTCCATCCCCTGTATTTCCTGTAACCTAGTAGTTAAATCTAGAAGCTTGATCTAATTCAAAATAAAATTTTGACAAGAACACTTCAGAGGTGGTGGTATATACTTCTACCAAGAAGTATATAATATCTAATGGTTTCTCTTTTTATGGTGGTAACAACTATGAATGATCATTTCCTAGATCAACTATATCATTAAGGACTCAAAATTGACATTGTGTTCTATTTCTCCTTTATTCATTATCTGTTATACTTTTATGGAGTAAAACTTACCCTCATTAACTATTTGGCTTCCCTGAGCTATAGTTTAAATAGGAAAAATAAGCAAAATGCTTGATTCTTTCAATAGGAAGGGAATTTTTAAAGATGATTCCTCAGGAAAGAGCTCCGCTAATGTGTTGCCACTAATGGGGAGATTTGCTGTGCCCATTCTTACCTGAAAACTAGTTAGAGGAGCCTCGGTGAGACTACTTGGTGAACTTAATATGTGAACACACAGTATAAAAAAACACAATGGACTGGAATATGACTACTACCTGACAAATACAATGAGCTACAGGCAGGATGGTTAGCTGTTGATCAATGAGCCCAAGGATTGTGAGGTCTGCCTCCATCCCAAAGGTTATTAGGTCAAAGGGTATGTGAAGGATTCCAGTGAATCAGATATGGGTCATGCATGAAACAGAGAGACTAGGAAGGTTCATATTATGTTCTATCCAACAGAACCCATTGGATAGGCAATGGGACTTACATAGAAGACCCATAGGGGACCCATATAAGTTTCACACACCAGTAACTGAGGAGGGAGTAAGTAAAGAACTAGGGGAGAATATATAATTTACGTCAAGAAAACTACAGTTGAGAAGTTTCTAAATATAGGAGGTGGTGTCTGAATACCTCATTAGAGAACATTCCATCTTTAAACGCCTACTGGAACCAGAAAATGCAAAGCCATATTAAGTCATTTTTAAAAATTTCCTCCATCTAATGCTTAAACACAAAGGGAGTTTACTGGAAGAATTTAAGTTAAGTATAATCGAAGAAAGAACTGGGCAATTAACCTGTAGGAATAACAAAAATGCAGCCAAAACTTAGATGTGATAGGAAGCACGAGCTGAAATGCCATAGAATTGCTTACTCTATTCCTTGCCTCTGCTTCCTGTTAAACGTTTCATTCGCAGCCATTTCTCTTGGGATTGCTTCTTTACTTCTTCAATCCATTGATTGCTTGATTTTAGATGCCAGGAGTTATAACGGTTTTCCCATCACAGCTTCATCCCTCTGGAGAAAGTGTACTATTTCTCTCTTTGCCCCAAGCCCCCAAGTTCCAGGGATGGAACCCATTAGCTACTAGCATGGCACCTTCAGAGTTCAGAGCATCCTGTGGAATGAGGAGAGGGACACTGTGACAGACACAACTAATTAGAAGACACAACTAATTCCACAGATGCCCACTGCAGTATCCCAGCACAAGCACTGTGAGTACCAGTTCTGCCACTTAATACCTATGAGACTAAGGATAAATAACTCACACACTCTGATACTGAACTTCTAGATAGGCAAAATATATGCAACCTTGTTTCTATTTTCATCTGAGGTTTCTGTGATAAACGATGGAGTGAAGATTCTAACAACTGTTGTAAACTAAAAGCAAGATAAATATGAGAGAGAGGATCATGGTAATGATTATATAATACCCTACAATAACAAAAGATATATCTTTCTCTGTATACTTATGGGCCATGTAAATTGTCCCATATAGTCTACCATGAGAGTGTTTCTTGTCAGATATTCCTCTGTCTCCTATGTAAAATATCTTTTCTGTTATTCCAGTCATACAGTAAATGTTGTGATGATAAGAGGTGTAGTCTAATTGGGGATTACAGACTGGTGGACCACTGCTTTGTCTTTAATATCCCTAACCATTGCTCTCTCTCCAGATCACAGAATCAAACCACTCCTTATTAATTCACCTGTCTCCTCATACCCGTCTGGCTAATTTGAAAACTGTTTAAATGCTGGAGGGTGTAACTTGGGCTATAGGCCAAGGTGTATACCAAAGTGTTACAGTGTGTCTGGGAAGTAGGATCTTTTTCCTACTAAAATAGCAGGATCTGTTTCCAAAACTTTTACTTTTTTTTAAAGCAAACATTAAAGGTTATAGGGATTTATTGTTCAGGAAATGAAAGAGTAAATTTGTCCAGGCAACTAAAGGTCTGTAGCTTGGCTTAAAGTCATCTTTGTATTGATTTCCCTGGTTCTGCTGCAGGCTATTTGCAGGACTGCAGCTAAAACCCATCCTCTCCTATGACCATTTTCTGCCCAGTCATTTTGTATTTAAAAATGCTGCTTTTCATACTGGACTTCCGGGGATGAAAGATCAACTTCAATAAAATTATAGTAAATTAAATTAAGGAACTAAGCCATTAATAAATTCTAAACTTGTCCTAGATTCTTAGAACATATTATATTAGCATAGCCTCTCAAGATTTTAACATATTTCCATGTATATTATTTAATTCATTTAACAACTAAATGTTTAAGTTTATCGAATGCTTTTGCTGCATCAATTGAAATAATCATATTTTTTTCCTATTAATATAGTGAATGCTGTTGCTATATTTTCTCTGTGTTGAGACTTTAATACTTCCTGGGATAAACTTGATTTGAATAATGAATTATTACTTAATGACCAAATTTTTGATTAGCTAATATTTTATTTAGAATATTGAAATGTACATTCACAGGTGAAATTGGCTTATAATTTTATTTTATTGCCTTTATCTGATATTAGAATCAAGATTGCACTAATCTCATTAAATAAGCCAGTAGCTCCTCTACTTTTCTAAAAAAAAAATTGTAAGATTAATTTTTCTCCAAAAATTTTCTGTGAAACAGACTAAGGGGTTTAAAGTTTTGGTGGCAGAAAGGTCTTTTGCAATCATTTTGTCAGCACTACTGTTTATTGGCCTGTTCAAATTTTCTACTTTGAGCAGGTTATATTTTTCCAAATATGTTATGTCTTCTTACGTGTTATCAACTATATTCTTATATAGTTGCCCATAATAATGTTTTTATTTAAAATATGTTATATCTGTAGTTATTTTTCTTTTACATTGTGTGTTTATTTTTCTATTATTTTTCTTTTTCCTTGCTCAGGCTTGCTGCAGACTTTTTTAAAACAATTTTGACTTGTATTTAAGATTAATAGGGTACAAGCACAGGTTTGTCACATGGGCATATTGTGGGACGCTAAGCTTTGGGATTTAATTGATCACATCATCCACGTAGCAAGCAGAGTACCCAATAGTTAATTTTTCAACCCTTGTGCCTTCCTCCTTCCCCCACCAGTAGTTCCTAGTGTCTGTCATTCTCATCTTTATGTCCATGAGTACTCAGTGTTTAGCTCTCACTTACAAGTGAGAACATGTGGTATTTGGTTTTCTGTTCCTGCATTAATTCTCTTAGAATAATGGCCTCCAGCTCCATCCATGATGCTGCAAAGAACATGATTTTATTCTTTTTTACGGCTGTGTAGTATTCCACAGTACATATGTACCACGTTTTCTTTATCCCATCCACCATTGATGGACATCTAGGTTGATTTTATGTCTTTGTTATTGTGAATAGTGCTGCAATGAACATATGTATGCATGTCTTTATCATAGAATGATTTATATTCCTTTGGATGTATACCCAATAATGGAATTGCTGAGTTGAATGGTAATTCAGCTTTAAGTTCTCCAAGAAGTCACCAAACTGCTTTTCACAATGGCTGAATTAATTTACATTTCCACCAGCAGTGTATAAGTTCTCCCCTTTCTCTGCAATCTTCCCAGCATCTGTCATTTTTTGACTTTTTAATAATGGCCACTCTGGTAATTATGATAACTCATTGTGGTTTTGATTTGCATTTATCTGATGATTAATGAGGTTGAGCATTTTTTCATGCTTGTTGCACACATATATCTTCTTTGAGGAGTGTCTGTTCATGTCCTTTGCCTACCTTTAATAGGGTTGTTTTTTCTTGTTGATTTGTTTAAGTTTCTTGTAGATTCTGGATATTAGACCTTTGTTGTATACATAGCTTGCAAATATTTTCTCTCATTCTGTCGATTATCTGTTTATTCTGTTGATAGTTTATTTTGCTTTGCAGAAGCTATTTAGTCTAATTAGGTCACTTGTCAATTTTTTGTTTTGCTCCAATTGCTTTTGAGGACTTAGTCATAAATTCTTTCCCAAAGCTGATGTCCAAAATGGTGTTTCCTAGGTTCGCCACAAGGATCCTTATAGTTTGAGATCTTGCATTTGAATCTTTAATCCATTTTGAGTGAATTTTTGTATTTATATAGTAAAATGTAGGAGTCCAGTTTCATTCTTCTGCATATGGCAAGACAGTTATTCCAGCACTATTTATTAAATAGGGAGTTCTTTCACCACTGCTTATTTTTGTCAACTTTGTCAAAGATCAGATGGCTGTAGGTGGGTTGATTTCTGGGTTTGCCAATATGTTCCATTGGTCTATGTGTCTGATTTTGCACCCGTATCAAGCTGTTTTGGTTACTGTAGCCTTACAGTATGGTTTGAAGTCAGAGGGTGTGATGTCTCCAGCTTTGTTCTTTTTGCTTAGGATTGCTTTGGTTCTTTGGGCTGTTTTTGTTTTTTTGGGTTTCATATTAATTTTAGAATAGTTTTTTTTCTAATTTTGTAAAATATTATGTTAGTAGTTTGACAGGAACCATACTGAATCTGTAAATTGCTTCGGGCAGTATGGCCATTTTACTGTTATTTATTCCTCCAATCCATGATATTGGAAAGTTTTTCCATTTGTTTGTGTCACCTATTATTTCTTTCAGCAGTGTTTTATAGTTATCCTTGTAGAGATCTTTCACCTCCTTGATTAGATATATTACCTGGTATTGTGTGGTGTGTGTATGTGTGTGTGTCTATTATAAATCGTATTGCATCCCTTATTTGGCTCTCAGATTGAATGTTATTTGTGCATGGCAATGCTACTTATTTTTGGACATTGATTTTGTATCCCGGATTGAAGTCATTTATCAATTCCAGGAGCCTCCTGGTGGAGTCTTCAGGGTTTTCTAGATGTAGAATCATATTGTCTGTGAAGAGAGGTAGTTTGACTTCTTCTTTTTCTATTTAGATGCATTTTATTTCTTTCTCTTGCCTGATTGCTATGGCTAGGACTTCTAGTATGACATTGAGTAAAAGTGGGCATCCTTGTTCCAATTCTCAAGGGGAAGGGAACAAGTTCAATATTATACTGAACAGTTTTTGCCTGTTCAGTATAATATTGGCTGTGGGTTTGTCATAGATGACTCTTATTATTTTGAGGTATGTTCCTTCAATGCCTAGTTTGCTGAGGGTTTTATCATAAAGGGACGTTGGATTTTATCAAAAGTTTTGTCTTGTCTACTGAGATAATCATGTGATTTTTATCTTTAATTCTGTTTAGGTGGCAAAACAATTTTATTGATTTGCATATGTTGAACCAAGCTTGCATTCCAGGAATGAAGCCTACTTGTTCATGGTGAATTAACTTTTTGATATGCTTCTAGATTCAATTTGCTCATATTTTGTTGAGGATTTTTGCATCAATATTCATCAGGGATATTGGCCTGCATTTTCCTTTTTTCATTGTATATTTGACAGATTTTGGTATCAGGGTGATGCTGGCTTCATACAGTAAATTAGAGAGGTGTCCCTTCTCAGTTTTTGGTAAAGTTTCAGAAGAATTGGTACTAGATCTTTCTTATATGTTGGTAGAATTTGGCTGTAAATCCCTCTGGTCTGGGGCTTTTTATGGTTGGTAGGTTTTCTATTACTGATTCAATTTCAGAACTCAATGTTGATCTGTTCAGTCCTTCAATTTCTTCCTGATTCAATCTTGGGACATTGTGTGTTTCCAGGAATTTATCCATGTCTTCTATACTTTCTAGTTTATGTGCAGAGAAGTGTTCATAAGAGACTCTGAGAATTTTTGTATTTCTGTGGGATTGGTTGCAGTATCACCTTTGCATTTCTAATTGGGCTTATTTGGATCCTCTTTCTTTGTTAATCTAGCTAGCAGTCTATCGATCTTATCAATCCTTTGGTTTTGTTGGTTTCTGGTATAAATATTCAGGTCTCAATTTTGTCCAGTTCTGTTCGGATTTTAGTTATTTCTTTTTTCTGCTAGCTTCAGCTTACTTTGTTCGTGGTTTTTTGTTTGTTTGTTTGTTTGTTTGTTTTTGTTCCTCTACATGTGATATCAGATCATTAATTTGAGATCTTTCTAACTTTTTTAGGTAGGTGTTCAGTGCCATAAACTTACTCTTAACACTGCTTTTGCTGCATCCCAGAGATTTTGGCACTTTGTGTCTCTGTTTTCATTTATTTCAAGGAATTTTTTGATTCTGCCTTAATTTTATTGTTTACCCAAAAGTCATTCAGTAGCAAGTTGGTAATTTCCATGTGTTTTGTTTTGTTTTGTTTTTTCTCATTTTCATTTTTTTTATTATTCTGTGTGGTTTTAAGAGAACTTCTTGGTATTGATATCTATCTTTATTCCACTGTAGTCTGAGAGTATGGTTGGTAAGATATTGATTTTTTTGAATTTACTGAAACTTGCTTTATGGCCAAGCATGTGGTCAATGTTGGAGTATGTTCTGTGTATAGATGAGAAGAATGTATATTCTGTGGTTGATGGGTGGAGTATCCTGTAGCTGTCTATTAGGTCCAATTGGTCAAGGCTTGAATTTAAGTCTAGAATTCCTTTGTTAGTTTTCTACCTCAGCGATCTATCTAATGCCATCAGCGGGGTGTTGAAGTCCCCCAATACTATTGAGTGGCTAAGTCTTTTTGAAGGTCTAAAAGTACTTGTTTCGTGAATCTGCATACTCCAATGTTGGGTGTGTATATATTTAGGATAGTTAAGTCTTTTGGTTGAACTGAACCCTTAGTTATTACGTAATGCTTCTCTTTGTCCTTTTTTACTGTTGTTGATTTAGTGTCTGTTTTATCTTATATAAGAATAGTGACCTCTACTCTATTTTGTTTTCCATTTCCATGATAGATCTTTCTCCAACCCTTTACTTTGGGCCTTTGGGTGTCATTACGTGTGAGATAAGTCTCTTGAAGACAGCAGACAGATGGGTCCTGTGTCTTAATCCAACTTGCTACTCCGTGTCTTTTAAATGAGGCAATTAGACTGTTTACATTCAAAGTTAGTATTAATATGTAAGGTTTTCATCCTTTTGTGAAATTGTTAGCTGGTTGCTTTGTAGTTTCTAATGTGTGGTTGCTTTATAGAGTCTACTGTGTGCTATGTACTTAAATCATTTTTGTGGTAGCAGGTATTGTTCTTTTGATTCCATATTTAGAACACCCTTAAGAATCTCTTATAAGGCTAGTCTAGTGGTAACAAATTACCTTAATGCTGCTCATCTGGAAAATATTTTATTTATCCTTTACTTACGAAGCTTAGTGTGGCAGGATATGAAATTCTTGGTTGGAATTTCTTTTCTTTAAGAATGCAGAAAATAGGCCCCCAATCTCTCCTGATTTTTTTTTTAAGCATTGACTTTAGACAATCTAGTGACAGTATGCTTTGGTGATGTTAATTTTGCATGGTATCTCACAAGTATTTTCTGGATTTCTTGTATCTACATGCCTACCTCCCTAAAAATATTAGGGAAATTGATTTGAATTATTCCCTTAAAAGTTTTCCATTCCTTCTCTCTTGGGAATCCAAATAATTCATAGTTTGGTCATTTTACATAATCCCATATTTCTCAAAGGCCTTATTTCTTAAATTCTTTTTTCTTTATTTTTGTCCGACTGTGTTAGTTTGAAAGACAAGTTTTCAAGCTCCGAAATTCTTTCTTCTGCTCAATTTAGTCTATGATACAGCTTTCCATTGTATTTTGAAATTCCTTAAGTGAGGTTTTCAATTCCATAAGCTCTAATTTATTTCTTTTTAAGATGTTTATCTATTCCTTCATTTCCTGGATTTCTTTAGAAGCTTCTTTGTGTTAATTTTCAACTCTGTCTTAGATCTTGTTGAGTTTCCTTGCCATCTATGCTTTAAATTCTTTCTATGTCATTTCTGAGTTTCCATTTTCGTTAGGAACTATTTCTAGAGACTAATGTGATCCTTTGGTGGTGTCACTACATTCAGATTTTTCATAGTCCCCAAATTCTTGTTCTGGTTCCTTCTCTTCCAAAGACACTTGTACTTCTGATTTTTGTAATTATTTTTATGCAGGTAGGATTTTTTTTCTTTTTTCCCCTATAATATTATTGCAGGTTTTTTTCTTTTCTTTCCCCCACTCCCTAGGAGATGTGACTTTAGAGAAGGCTGGGTAGGGTTTTGGGGCTTTGCTTCTATAGCCCCATGCAATTCTGTCAGTAGGTTTTTTGTTGGGCTGAGTAGTTTGACCTGTAATCCAATAGATAGATGTCACTTACGGGTAAAAGCCAACTGCAGCCAATGCTGAGTACATACTTGATTCTTGTTTATTTGGAGAAGCTCTCTGTCGCCTCAGGCAATAGTGTGATCTGTGGCATGCACAGTGGCCTGAATTCCCTGCTTAGCCCCATGAGGGTGGGGAGCAACATGGGCAGGAATAGATCAGGCAGGCCTACCTACAGGTCCCCTGATGGTAGGCATAAACACCAGTGCCAAAGGAAAATCCAGTGCACTGGGATCTCTGCACAGGAAGGGTGGGGTTGCTCAGGCTGCTGGCCCAGGCAAGTGAGTGCTCTATCTGGAGTTCTGCTTGGGGATGAAGTAGAGGGGGCCCTGCTGCACAGTGAGCTCAGAGGAGCAGGCTGGGGCATGCAACAATGACACATGTCGACCCGTTCCAGGTTGCCAAGCTGGCCTTAGCTACAAGTGTCATCACCCAAGAGATACCATAGCTATAGCAGCTGTCCTCCTGACCCACACCTGAGACAGGGAGAACAACAAATTCAGCACCTACTGCTGAGGTACTTTACACAGTTCTGGCTGTGGAAGCCCCTACCCTGCTTCAGAGCAAGCGCTCCAATCTCTGGCCTGAGACTAAAATGCCTGCATGGTCACACTGCCGGGTCACCAAACAATGACTCACTCTGTATGTGCCCTGAATAAAAATGGTGTCCTGCCTCACTCCATGTCTGGGAAAATCTCTGCACCTTTTACCAGTGTCTTTCCCTCTCAATGTCTTCCAGCCTCTCGCCAAGTTAGCTCCAGAGCTTGGGAGAAACAGTGCTGTCCTCTGGCCTAGGTTAATTTGATCCCCAGTGGAAAGATGAGTCACAGAGGGAGTCTCTGTGCCTCTCTCATGTACTGGAGTTTCATTCACTTTTGTCAGCCAGACGTTGTCACAGGGCCTGTTTGCCCATGTTCTCCTTGGAATCTGGAGTGTCCTTCATGATTCCAAGGGACTTCCATTTTCCCTATGAAATGAAAGCTCACAGAGTTGATCTTTTATGCACTATCTTGCTATTTCCAAGTGGCTGAGGCATGCTAAATGCTTCTAATCCATCATCTTGGGGGAAAAAACTAGATATTTTTAGTTTTGTTGAAGTTTTTATGTTTTTTGTTCTTTATTTTATTAACTTTTTATTGTTATTAATTCCTCCTTTCTTGTTGCTTTCAATTGGTTTCTTTGGATTTTCTCTGTTGCATTTCGAACTTTTTGGATTGAATATTTAGCTTATTCATTTTCAAACTCTCTGTGTCCTGGTCATTTTATCTTACATTTCCATCAAAGGACTATTTCAGCCATGTCTTTCAAATGGTGGCATGTGAGTCTTTACTGTTGTTTCAATCCTCAAGTTTCATAATTCTTTTTATGGTCTCTTTAAGCCAAGGATTAATTATTAACATAAAGCCTGGCATTTGGGTTTGCATATGTAAAGTATATTTCTTTTCTTTTTTCTATAGATTCTTTATGGACACTGAAGGAAGGAATCAATAATCCATGTGAGTTTTTTATTTTGTCAGCTTTCTTTTCTAAACCATGTCTGACAAATAATTCTGGTCATCTCTCTGTAAATATAGGGTGGTGGTTAAAGTGAGTGTATAAAACATCATTGGAAAAAACAGGATTTTGTGTGGGTGTGCAAAGTACCTCACTCCAGAATAAACATGGCTCACGTAATTTAAGTATACCCAAATGGCTAGATGCCCTGATTTTATAACCAGTTTCATTTGAAATAAGTTTTCTTTGTGATAAAGAATTTGGTTTTTATGAAGCTAATGATCTTCCGTTTGTCACTGGACTCATCCTATTGGTTGTCTTACTTGATGTCTTTATGATGAGACATTTTGTTAACAAATTTCTTCCAAATGTGCAAAGCCAGAGCCCAGCCCACTCATCTCCTACACTTGTGCATGTTATTTGAAAATGCCTTTTCCATACAACTCTTTCGTTTATACGCTTTGAATAATGTTATATCCAAAGCACTTTTAGAGTGTCAACCTACCCATATGAAGCAGTAGAAATAAAAAGTTCTTCATAAAAGAAGAGTTCTGAGAGGAAAAACAATAGGAATTGATGTCTATCCAGCTTTTCTTCATACAACTGAACCTTGTATAGTCAGTAACTCCTCTATAATTAAAAGGGAATTGTTAGGAATCGCTTTGCTTTGCTTTAAATGAATGATTTATAATTTGATAAAGTATTGCTATGGCCCTATAAGATTAACAAACACAATTATAAACACCCTTATTCTTAAGTCAAAATAATTAGATTCCCAAGAGTTAATAACAGAAAGACAATAAGCCAAACAATAGATACACATGAACTAGAACTATTGGAATAAATGGGTCGAATTTAAAAGAAGCAAAAATCCTCAAAGAGATAAGGGAGAAAATATATATATATAAATCATCTAAGATTTCCTTCATGTCCTCCCTCCTGTCACCACCAAACATAACTCATGCTATATGTATTTGCTGTATCCATGCTGGCTCAGTATTCCTACTGATGCATTTTATGGCAGGGATATAGGGTTTTTTTTAACCTCTGCATATGATAACCAAATCCCAGAAATGCCAATTATACAAAAGCAAAGCATATCATTCATTCCTCAATAGAACGTCTGCAGAAAGAAAGTGGCCAAGGACTCTGGGGTCAGCTTCCCTATTTTCTTTAGGCTTTCTCAAGATACATATTGTCTTTTCTATGTGTTGAACGGTGAGCAATACTGAGCATACTCTGAGCATTTTATAAGCATGGAACTGTTCCTTCTTTCCAAATAAAAGGCCATGTACTCTGTGCCTCATTAAAGAGGCAGGTTAGAAACAGCATAGACTAGGAGTCAGGAAAACTGGTTCTAAAAATTCCAGCTTTTCTGTGATCAAGCTATCACACCAAGGCTCTAGATCTAATTACCAGTTTTCAGAGGGAGGGAGGAAGACAGGTACATGTTAAATGACGCCACAGAAAGCACTTAGAAAAATCTCGAATTCAGAAAACTCTACAAGATGAATGAGTTGGCTTCTTCACCAAATAAATTGTAAAGAGAAAAAAAGAGATAAAGAGAATCTACTGATTAAGAGAGACTTAACAGACATACGACAAGCAAATGTATTGAGAAACTTGCTTGGTTTCTTGTTTGATTCAAACAAATCAAAATTTAAAAATCATTTTGAGGTTGAGTGTGATGGCTCATGCCTATAATCCCAGCACTTTGGGAGGCTGAAGTGTGTGGATCACCTGAGGTCAGGAGTTCAAGACTAGCCTGACCAACATGACAAAACCCCATCTCTACTAAAAATACAAAAATTTGCCAGGTGTGGTGGCAGGCACCTGTAATCCCAGCTACTCAGGAGGCTGAGGCAGGAGAATGGCTTGAGCCCAGGAGGCAGAGGTTGCATGAACCAAGATTGGGCCACTGCACTCCAGCCTGGGCAACTAAGCAAGACTGTCTCAAAAAAAAAAAAAAAAAAAAAAAAAAAAAAATCACTTTGAAGATAATCAGGGGAACTCAAACACTGCCTGGGGACATTTGTTCACAATACAGAATTATCCTTAACTTTGTAGCCGTGATAATGGAATTGTGGTTATGTTAAGCACTTCATTATCTTTTAGAGATACAAATTGAATTAGAAATTAATGCAATGATGTCATGCATGGATTCTCCTCAAAATTACTAGAAGGTGTGGGTGGGAGGAGTTTCATGCAGAAAGAAGTGGGCAGGAACAGTCATGAAACAAAACAAAAGTGGCTATGACTTGATGATTGTTATAGACAGGTAAGGAGTCAATGGGGAGAGAGGAGGAAGGTTGACGGCACTATTGTTCTCTACTTTCCTATGTATTTGAAAATTACTATATTAAAAAGGTTTTTTTAAGCGGTAAGGGTCTGTTTAAACATTTTTCATTTGTAACCACACAACATCTTTAAATATCTTTCATTTTGGTAATTTCTCAAACTGCAAAGTTCTTCCATCCAAAGCAGGAAACAAAAAACAAGTGGGCGTGGGGCGGACGCAGTGGCTCACGCCTATAATCCCAGCACTGTGGGAGGCTGAGGCGGGCGGATCACGAGGTCAGGAGATTGAGGCCAGCCTGACCAACATGGTGAAACCCCGTCTCTACTAAAAATACAAAAATTAGCTGGGCATGGTGGCGCATGCCTGTAATCCCAGCTACTCGGGAGGCTGACGCAGGAGAATCGCTTGAACCAGGGAGTGGGAGGTTGCAGTGAGCCGAGATCATGCCACTGTACTACAGCCTGGCGACAGAGTGAGACTGTCTCAAAAAAAAAAAAAAAAAAAAAAAGTGTGTGTATGTGGTGCCTTCTCACACACCCTTGCATCTATGTTTCTCATATGTGGTCTAGATCTGATTAATGCAAGGACTACCAGGCTACATGGTTGACAGAGCATAGTCCAGAGAGGAAATGGTAATAGTGATCTCATTAAACCAGTCTTTCAATACAGGTGGGCATTTTTCCTGGCTGCATAGCTTCAAGTCTGGCTCTCTGAGCCCCCCAGAGATTTTCTATACTTGTTTAATATCTTTTAATAAGCTTATCAAATTATTCAGTGTGAATTCTGAATAACCAAGAAATGTGATTTATGTAGTGCCCTCAAGAGACACAACTGTTGTGAGAGATCGGAAGAGCTGGTAGTATCAGAAAAATTATTTCTTAGAAAATGACCTTTCAATTGATCTTTGAAAGGATGCATAGAATCCTAAAAAAAAATCTGGATGAGAAGTGAGAAATGGAGAGGGTACCTTGCAGGGGATACCGTATAAATAAAAGCAGAGAGGCAGAAATTACAGACCATGGATCTAAAAAGAATTCAGCTTGACCATACGATAAGCAGAATGAAGATCAGCAGAGGAAACTACTATAGGAAAAGTATGATGGAGACAGTTCATGGTAGTTTAGACTAACACAAATCTGCTTAAAATAATAGACCCATTGAGCATTTACTATGTAATATGCTAATTATGTGACTCATCTCTTCCTATATTCATAATAATTCTATGAGTGGCTATTATCATTTTTGTTGCTATTGAAAACTGAGGCTCTGACAGATTAAATAAACTTCCCAAACTTATACTACTGATAAGTAAGAAAATCAAAATTTGAAGCTTGGTTAGTCTCCAGAGTTCAACATTTTCCCCACTGCCCTATACTGCCTAAGGATTTTGAACCTCATTTTAGGGACAATAAGGGATCACAAAATATTTTCAAGCAAGTAAATTATCTTATCTGCACTTCCAGAATTTTAAATAGACAGCAAGATATAAGACTGATTTCTTGAATAAATCTTTCTCCTTCTTATATCTGAAGCCACAATATAGTTCTTTTTTTTTTTTTTTTTTTTTTTTTTCTTTGAGACGGAGTCTCGCTCTGTTTCCCAGGCCCCAGGCTGGGGTACAGTGGCGCAATCTCCGCTCACTGCAAGCTCCGCCTCGCCGCTTCACGCCTTTCTCCTGCCTCAGCCTCCGGAGTAGCTGGGACCACAGGCTCCTGCCACCACGCCCGGCTAATTTTTTTTGTATTTTTAGGAGAGACGGGGTTTCACCCTGTTAGCCGGGATGGTATCGATATCCTGACCTCGTGATCCACCCGCCTCGGCCTCCCAGAGTGCTGGGATTACAGACGTGAGCCACCGCGCCTAGCCCACAATATAGTTCCTATTGAACTAAATCTTATCAGTTTCTAGAATTATATGGAATATCAGTTATTGTACAATACTTGGGATAAGAAGAGATTTACAATAGCAATACTGAATGTGGGAAATAAAACAGACATCTTTGGAATTTTTAGTGTATGTATTTTCTTTAATAAATTTTGGTAACAATTTATTTTCTTGTGAAGCAGATGTTTAGTCATCGATAACTATAAACATGATGAGACAAGGAATTATTTGAAGGTTGTTTTGTTAGTTAAACAAAGGGGTATCATTCACTCTGTAACTGCAGTTGTTATATAATCATCCTCCTTTGGCTCCTCCTTAGTTCTACATTTAATTGTTTAAGGTATTTTTACATTGTTTTATGGGTTTTTGTTTCTAATATCATTCAAATACACCCTGACCACTACAGGACAAGTCTTCATAGCCGCAAGCCTGAACTGTCCTACAGCCTCTTTTGTGTCTTACTGTCCAGACATTTCCTCTTCCAGTCTATTCCGTGGCGATCTTTCAAGCTATCTCTTTCTGTCCTGATGATTACAGAATTGTCCTTCTCCTATTATGGAGAGCTTTCTACAAAAAAATCTGGCTCTCTCAACCAATTCAACCTACTCATTTTCATTATCACCAAGCGTATAAGGATTTTCAAAGACTGCTTTTTCTTTGTGTCCATTCTCTTCCTCTTCTTTACCTTCTTGTAGCCCAATCCCCACTTCTCCACTTTTCTGACCACCCTGATTCATGACAACTCACTTTTCTGAGATCTACTTCCACAGTTTTCACATAACAGTAAGTTAAAACATGGCTCCCTACCATATATTTATCTTTCCATAGGTTTCCTTTTAAAGCCCCAGATAAAACCCCCGAGGACAGAAACGTGTTGTGTCTTTTATTATGCCCTGCTCCTTCTCCAAGCATCTTACACAATAGGTTGAACATAGTCGAAAATATACAACAAATATTTAATTAGTATATGATGCTTTAAGAAATAGTAGGAACACAAAAAAGGAATATTCTTTCAATCCTTGATTTAAATATACATAAATATCCCTGATTTTTTAAAATGTTATAGAATATTTTATGTATAGCAAAGATGTTCTCTCCTAGTAAACACACTCAATGAACTAAAATAAGAAAATTATAAGCACAGTACATATACAGTAAATGGATATTATTTATAAAATCTTGAGCATTTCATGCTCCCTGTGGAGTGAATTGATAGTCAACTACCACAAGCATAATTAACACTATCACAAGTTCTAACAAGAGCTCAGGAGTCAAAAATGACAAAGCATGGAAATTTATCATTTTTTAATATTGAGGCAGGAGAATTGCACCACTGCACTCCAGCCTGGGCAACAGAGCAAGACTCCATCTCCAAAAAAAATAACGTGCGTCAATGAGAGAAATATCTATTGATTTCCATTGCAGACAGAACATTTTCAGGGATACCAAAAGTCTTTTATTTGTACATCTTTCTATTTTGTTTCAAAGTATAATTGGAAGAGTGGACTTCATCTTTTAAATAGTTAGTAAGATCTTAGGAACTCTGGTGAGATCCGTGCTCACTAACCATAACCCTTAAAAAAACAAAGTGTTCTCAGGCTACTTTTGAAAACTGGTTTGTGTCATACTATTTGTTCTTCAAGCTCCCTGGACCCTTGACCATGCATGCTACAAATACACTTCAGGTACAAATTATTTGCACTGTTGAACTTTAGAGTTCATGAAAACATCCAGGCTGATGAAAAAAAAATTAAATGTCAGATTTCCAGGAAGAAATATGAAGGTAAATTACCGGCCAACATTTCTAAATTTAGAAAATTAAATAATATAGATTTACTTACCAGCGACTTCAAAACATCTAGGCTTCATAAACACATCCTAAAAAATGAATAATGCAAGAACATTTTGGAACAAGTTGTACATAGAAGAAAACAATGTCTCTTTAAACACTCAACCTCAAGAGTATTTAATAGCACCCAGGCCTCCTAGGCACATACATCATATTTGGCTTCAATCTCTTAAAACCCACAGCAGTTTGAAAGTGGTTGTATAATCAGATAATGTCCCAGGCAAAATAAAGATAAAAATCTCAGTCATTCCACCGCACCAGATGAATCTATCCTGTCTTCATTACATGATAGGAAATGGATTAGTTTGTGATATGATTTGGCTGTGTGTCCCCAACCAAATCTAATCTTGAATTATAATCTCCACATGTCAAAGGAGGGACCTGTAATCCTCACGTGTTGATGGAGGGAAGTAATTGAATTATGGGGGCAGTTTCCCCTATGCTGTTCTCGTGATAGTGAGTGAGTTCTCACAAGATCTGATGGTTTTATAAGGGGCTCTTCCCCCTTTTCACGCATTTCTCTCTCCTGCTGCCTTGTGAGGAAGGACATGTTTGCTTCCTCTTCTGCCATGATTGTAAGTTTCCTGAGGCCTCCCTAGCCATGCAGAACTGTGAGTCAATTAAACTCCCTTTATTTATAAATTACCTAGTCTCAGGTATTTCTTTATAGTAGTGTGAAAATGGACTAATACAGTTTGTGAGGGCCACTATAACAGATTACCACAAACTCAGAGGTTTGAACAACAGAAGTGTGTTGTCTCCCAGATCTGGAGGCCAGAAGCCAGAGACCAAGGTGTCAGCAGGGTTGGTTCCTCCTATAGGCTATGGGGAAGAATCTGTTCTGTGCTTCTCTCTTGGCTTCTGGTAGTTTTCTGGAAGTATGTAACATTCCTTAGCTTGTAGAAGCATCAAGCTGGTCTCTGGCTCTATCTTTACATGGCCTTCTCCCTCTATTCATGTCTATGTGCAAATTTTTCTTGTTATAAGGACACCAGTAATATTGGAGTAGGGCGCATCTTACTTCAATATAATGTCATCTTAAGTAATTACATCTGCAGTAGCTCTATTTTCAAATAAGTTCACATACTGTGGTATGGTAGACAAGGACATGAATATATGAATTTGGAGAGTAAACAACACAATGCGTAACAGGAATTAAGATAACTTGTTCATGTGTTACACAAAATCAATCATCCACAACATACATAGGACAAAAAAATCAAATTAGAGGGAGGAACTATACATATCAAAGTTATATAGATTTAATACATCTTAATAATTTATTCATACTTGCATTCCAGAAAACCTATTGAATAATATCAACAATGTAAAGGCACAATGCAGGATAAATGCTTATTCAACATTTATTTAGTGTGGTAGAAATTAACTGATGTCCATTAATGGATGAATGGATTAAAACTATGTAGTATATATATACAATTGGAATACTATTTAGCCTTTTTTTTTTTTTTTTTTTTTACTGTTTAGCCTTTTTTAAAAAGAAGGAAATTCTGTCATTTGTGACAATATGGATGAATCTACGGGACATTTCCCTAAGTAAAATAAGCTAAGCACCTGAAATACAAATACCACATGATTTCATTTATATGTGGAATCCAGAAACATCAAATTCATAGAAGTAGAGAGTAGAATGGTAGTTACCAGGGGTGAAAGGTGGACAGGAAAAGGGGAGATGTTTACAGTCTTCCCTGAAAGTGTACAAAGTTTCAGTTAGGAGGAATAAGTTCTGGTCATCTACTGCATAGCATGGTGACTATTGTTAATAATAATATGTTTTATATTTCAAAATTGGTTTTTAAAAAGTGGATTTTAAATGTTCTCACCACAAAAAATAAGTATGCAAGGTGATAAAGATATTAATTAACCTGATTTTGTCATTCCACAATGTATTCATGTATCAAAACATCACATTGTACCCCATAAATATATACCATTATTATCTGTCAATTAACAATAAAATACAATTTTTTTAAAAGAAAGTAACTGATGTTCCATTAATACAATTATATACTTTCTTCATTTCAAAATCACACATTAAATCTAAAATAACATTTGCTTTTATTTGGAAAATTTCTCTTCACATGTTTTTTGTCATTTGTGATTGAATTCTGCTAATAATTAATACTCATTAAGAACCAAGTTGGTTATAAGACTATAGTAATAGATAATTGTCCAACATATATGTGAAAGTCCTTTTTCTTTTGGCCGTGATGTTGGCGAAATAGTTCCAACTTTTTCCATAGTTCTTAATATTTCCTCGGTTTTCTTTTGCAATTTTCAAACTAAAAGTCTGAGGAGCTATACTTAAAGTTCAAAATTTACATAATAAAATAAATTGCTCATTCTCATTAAATACAACTGCATCATTACAGAAACTCAGCTGTGACTGATGACTTCAGGGAACTATTGCTGGCTGGTTTCAGAGCAGGCAGCCCAGTCCAATGTACACATGTATCCTAAACATATTACATGGAGATAAAAGGATATCTCAGAGGAACCTGTTAAAAATGTCTGTTTGTTGGCCCTGTATGGTCAGAGATAGAAAGCAGGAACAATATGCATTTTTCTGGTTGTGTAAGGGATTATTCATGGAACTGTGAGTTAATGAACACCGTATTTCCCATTCATTCCAGTGAGACTTCAGTAGCCGCTTAAGAATTGGAGCCCCAGGAAGGTCTTTGATCTGACCCTTAATCCATTTTGCAAATTAGTAGAGGAAATGGCCAGATAAATCAGGGAACCTCAAAGTTGGAAACTACCTTGTAGTTGGAGGAAATACCAGAATGCCATTATTGTTTGTCTTTTCCCAGCTTTATACACCAGGAAAATGAACTGTATAAAATTGTGGTGCATATAGGCTGGGCGAGGTGGCTCAGCCCTGTAATACCAGCACTTTGGAAGGCTTAGGCACGCAGATCACCTGAGATCAGGAGTTGGAGACCAGCCAGGCCAACATGGCAAAACTCCATCTCTACCCCCATCTCTATTAAAAATACAAAAAATAGCCTGGCATGGTGGCACGTGCCTGTATTCACAGCTACTCCAGAGGCTGAGGCATGAGAATCACTTGAACCCTGAAGGCAGAGGTTGCAGGGAGCTAAGATCATGCCACTGCACTCCAGACTAGGCAACAGAGCAAGACTGTCTCAAAAAAAATAAGTAAACAAAATAAAATAAAATTGTGGTGCACAGACTCTGGAATAGATACCTGGGTCTGTGTCCCTCTTCTGGCCCTTATTAACTATGTGACTTTGAGCAAATCATTTGACTTTTCTGTGTCTCACTTGCCTCTTTTGCAATGTGGTAATAACAATAATACTGACTTCATTAAATTTTGTGCAAATTAAATGTTCATACCTGTTCAATATTTAGACCAATGCCTGGTACACACAAAGCATTAATATCTCCTATTATAAAAAGTGTATAACTGAACTATGTTTTATGATGTTCAGTGTTGATTTCAACCTTAAACAAGTATTTCTTAGTTGGCTGGGGTGAAAAATGAGGCAACTGAGCACACATTCTATGCTGAAAGATAAATTAGAAGCAATGATCAATTCCATGGAGGGAAAGCGGCATGAATGAGATTTATGTGAATCTCCAAATTTCTTTCCCTTAGGTCATCCTGTATATCTTTGTGGTTTGTTCCTTGTTTGATTGCCTCAATTCAATTTTACCATGCAGGAATTGTCAGGTTCTTTAGTATAAGAAGATTTTTGTGGTCAGTGGTGGGTGAGAGATACCTAATTACTTCAACTTTGTCACTGAGTGGCTTTGACTGTGAAAGCAAGACTTAACCTAAATACCCCAAATGCTTAAATAGTTATCAAACAGGCACAAAAACAGTCATACACCTGTTTGTGCAACACCAAGGAAAGTGCCACTGTCTGCTCCCAGGTAGATTGATTCAGGCCTTGCATGAAAGCTTCATTCTTATCCAAATATGATAATATTCTGAAAGCAGAACCAGCCAGCCTTGAAATGGAGTGAGGCAATTGAATTTCCATCAATCAGAGGGATTCAGGGTAGGCAAGGGGCCAGAATCTAGACCCCCACTATTGAGGTGTTACATTGTAGAATTAGTGCAAGAGTGATGGGGCCCATGTAAACGTATAACCTTCCATGTATGTTGAGCATCACATTCATCGAGATAAAATTATTTCTATCATCCTTATGTTAATTGACAAATTATCCAGTATAAATTTCGATAATGATACTTAAAATGCTAAGTAACTCTACCTCAGAAGGTTGTTGATTCTTCTTAGGGTATTTCAGCTGTAAAATAATCATTCCTAAGGTATAGATCAGAGTTTATTTGTACATGCACACAGATAACAGTATTTACACTGAGGTAATTGTAAATAAATTAAGACAACAAAATATTAGGGTGCTATTTTCTGTGTATTCTTTACCAATAATTGTTCATCTGTACAAAATTGTTAAGCTATTACTAGGATAATTAAATATCTATCTTAAAGATGAGAGAGCTGATGTACTATTTAGAAATCTACTAAATAGTTTGGTAACCTTGGGAAAGTTGTTTAACCTTTCTAAGCCTCAGATTTTTCATCTGAATAATATAGTTACTATGATAAATACACATGATAATGGATGTAAAGTTCTTTTCCCAGTGCCAGGCATTTATAATGGAGTCAATCAATTCTAGTTATAACATTCCAAATGAAATATTAATGAATTAAAGACATTTTAAGCCTCAATTAATATCTGATATTACTGTCTCTAGGCCGTAATAGAATTTTACTATTAGGTAAAAGTTTGGAGATAATCTAAGACCAATTACTCTAAGAAACCGAAGTTTAAAGAAGTTTTTGACTTGCCAGAGACAGCATAGAAGATCTTATTACAGTTAAACCCTGACAAGAGTATAATATCGGCCAAAAAATCAGAACTAGCATACTTATTAATTACATTATTTTCATGGTAGGGTTAGCATAACTATACTTAACGTACTCATCCCAAGAATGTTCCACCCCAGATATCTGTGTTCCTTAGCAGCCATCTGAAGGCTCCTATTATGCCAGGTTGTTCAGTTCTCCCAGGCTCATTTCACTATCCTGCTTCCTTAAGGTGGTAAATGACATCATTCCAGAGGGCTGCCTGATGACCCTATCTCTAGTTTAGTCTACTGCTTTCAGGCCTGGCCCAATCCCAGGTTTAGTTCCATACTGATTCACCAGTTGGCAAGAAACCATCGTGTTTCTAACCCTGGAAAGAAGAGGAGGTAAAATGAAATAGAGAAGGCAATGAAGAAGCCCAAAGTCAAAGGCTCACTTCCAACCCGTGGTCCAAGGCTCAATTTATGAAGAATATGTGCAATAATGCCAGCCGATATTGTGAATTTTAGAGAGTATGCTGAGTAATTTTTGGCCTTTCTACAATTTTTGGCATGAGCAATGCAGTAAAAGGATATTAAATCATCAATAATTTTTCCCATTTCTTAATCTCTAACATCCAAACACTTTTTCCATAAAGTCTTAGATTTGAAATGACGATCAGAGGTTCTAATTAAGTCTCCCAAAAAATATCTTCCTTTACAACACTCCCCTTGGGGGACAGTCAAGTACATCATCTGACAAATCCAGTTATTAGAAACTTCTCTGTTGCATTCAACTGAAATATTTATTTCTGCAACTTTTAGGTACTAGAAGGAAAGTCAATCCTAAAACCACAGCCTCTCAAAGTTGGCAAGAATCTCGAAATCATTCTGCTCTCTGGAACATCCTCAAACAAATCAACCCTCCTTTTCATTTCAGAGCCCATATTAGTTCACTTTTGCTGCATAATAAATCATCCCCACAACAAACATTTATTATTTTTCATGATTCCGTGGGTCAGCCAGGTGATTCCTCCAGTCTGGCCAGCTTGACTATGACTGGATGGTTTAGAATGGCTAATTCACATGTCTGGCAATTGTCAGGCTGGTGTTTCTAGTGGTGCCCTCAGCTGGGACATTTTGGCTTGCCTTTGCTCCATATGGTCTCTCATCCTCCAGTAAGTCAGAATGGACTTCTACTTACAGTGGTCCCAAGGTTGCAAAAATAACACTTTACAAGTCTCTGATGTACTATTTGCTAATATTCTTTTTGCCAAAGCAAATCACATGATGTACTGGGTCAGATAGTGTCTCCTACTCCAGTCCCCCAACTCCCAATTCATATCCTTCCTAGCATCTCAGAATGCTACCTTATTTGGGAATTGATTGCTACAGATATAATTAGTTAAGTTGAAGTGAAGCCATTCTGGAGTAAGGTGGTTCTTTAATCCAGTATGACTGGGTGTCCTTATGAAAAGAGAATAAATACAGAAACACACAGGGGGAATGCCATGTGATTAGTGGGGCAGAGAGTGGAGAGAGATGTCTATAAGCCAAGGAACCCCAAGGACTACAGGTCACTCCAGAAGCTAAGAAGAGAAGGGCATGGAACGGATTTTCCCCTAGAGACTTCAAAGAAAGCCTGAGCTTGCCAATATCTTGATTTCAGACTTCTAGTTTCAAAAACCATGAGAAAATAAATTTCTGTTGTTTTAAGCCCGCCAGTTTGTTATGGCAGCCCTAGGAAACTAATATACATGGCCAAATGGAAATTAAATGGATGGATCAGAACAACTGAAATGTCACATTGCAAAGTAATGTGCACACAGGGATAGCAAGAATTTGTGGATGCTTTCAACCTATCAGAGAGCCCTTCAAGTATATTACATATTATAATTTTTTTTTTGATCATATTTTCCAGGATAACTCCTCCCAGTTCCCATAACAAGGTTTCAAAACCCCTTGCATAGAGACAGGCTGCTGTCATGGTATTGCAAATACCTACATCTCTCTTAAAAGGTAGGCCCATGATTTTACCACACACTACAGATGTTTTCTCTTTAGTAGTACTATTGAGCTGTGTATTAATTAGGATGTGTTTGGCTGCAAGTAAAAGAAATCTAACATGGGCTTAAAGTGTAAGACTATTTATTGCTGTGCTTCACAAGAAGTCTGGAGATAACCAGCTCCAGGTTTGGCAACTCCACAATGTCCGAAGTTGTGCTGAAATTTTTGAAATTCCTGTAGTATTGTTGCAAGAGGTCTGCCTTACCTCTGAATATTGTATCTTCATGTGGCCATGTCCAAATGGGGGAAAAGGGCTGGACAGAGGAGAGAGAGAAAAGTTTCATAACTCTCCTTCCTGATGACATAACAAAGGCAACAGCTTCCCCAGAGTTCTCTCAGAAAATGTCTTACAGTTTCTTTGGCCAGAACTGAGTTCAATAGAGGCTTTAAAAGCAAGTTTCTGCTTTTTCAGCTCTATTGTGGGTACCAGCAAGGCAGAAAATGTTTTGGAATGGCTATTGGGTATAGCTCCTGGGCCACCAACCAAGAGTGTCAGATACACCTTTCCAGAAACACATGACATTTTGAGGCAAAATCCCTTCTATGTAAGGAATTTTTTGAGATGACAGAAATTTTAACGAACTCTTTAAATTAGCAAGCAATGTGCTCATTATAGTAACTAAGCATGTGGGCTCTGAAATTGGACTCTCTGGGTTCAAATCTCAGTTTATAATTTACCACATAAAAACTGTGAGCAAATTACTTCACTACTCTGTGTCTCAGATTCTGCATCTTAAAAGTAAAGATAATAATAGTACCCACTCAAAGTGTTGTGAAGATTAAATTCATAGAACTTATCATAGTGTCTGGTGCATGATAAATATTCAATAAATATTATTTATTATTATTGTTCCTGTGCCCACTCCCACTACAAGATAAAGAAAGGAACAGAGATGTTATTGTATATGTATTTACATAAAGAAACCTGGAAGAACACAGGGGAGGGACAGAGACTTTCTCGTATATGAATTATATCAATATATATACAAATGGGTCAGAAAACATTTAAAGTTTCCGTTCTATATCTAAGTCAACTTGGTTCAAGATTTTACAAAATTTAAGCAGAAATATTTGCCAAAATGTTAACAGTAGTTATCTTTGAGTGATTGAATTCAGATTGTTTATTTACATCTTTTTACTTCTCTGAAACTCTCCTGCAGCAAGCAACACAATGGGCCCAGAAGATGCCTGTGTCCTAATCTTTGGAATCTGTGAATGTGTTAGGTTACATGGCAAAGGGAATTCAGGTCATGGACAGAATAAAGGTTGCCAGTTAGTTGCCCTTAAAACAGGGAGATTATCTAGATTATTGAGAGGATCCAATATAATCACAACAGTTCTAAGATGTGTAAGAGGGAGACAGAGGAATCGGTGTCAGAGTGATGCCATGTGGTGAAGACTCAGCTGGTTGGGGAAGATGGAAAGACACAATAAGCCAAGGAATGCAGGCAGCCTCCAGAGGCTGGAAAAGGCAAGAGATGGATTCTCCCCTAGAGCCTCCAGGATGGAACATAGCTCTGCAGACTCCTAGATTTCAGTCCAGAGAGACTCATTTTGGACCTCTTATCTCCAGAATTGTGAGATCATAAATTGGTGTTGCTTTAAGACACGAAGTTTAAGGTAATTTGCCATAGCAGTAATAGAAAACTAATATAAACCACTCCCCACCCACACACACATATTAAGTAATCAGCATATATTAACAATTGGAAAAAAATAAGATTTTTAACATCTTATATATATACATACAAACTTGAAGTGTGACCTCGGGAATACATTACATTTACTTGAAGAAATACATATGTATATGAGATGATATATATTCAGCATTAGCTTGTAATTATTCAGAGACTTAGCCCCAAGGCATCCAGGCAATCTTCAAAAGGCAAAAAGAGGATAAGTGTGGGTTCCCAAACTCCTGGTGTTGATTTTTTTCATTCTACTCGTTCCCTAGTTTTTCAACAACTGCCCCACAGGTAGCAAGCACCCCAGCCTTCAGCCTGAATGTAGGCCTAGGCCTGTATATACCTAGCCTTCTGCAAAACTGCCGACTTTTCAAGAAAAAGGAAAAACACAACATCTTTGAAAAGCAGGAAATGTTCTGAGACACCAGACAGAAATCTGTTTCTAATGTGATGTATCTTGTTTTCCAGAGAACAGAAAATTGCCTGTTATAAATGCATTGTCATGATGACAATGGAAAAAAAGAACAAAAATTGCACCAGATTCCTTTGTATTTCATTATACCTTTGAAACCTAGAGACCTAAGGAAGCTTTACATTTTAGTAGCTTCATTTTTTTATAAATGAAAAATAATAGCAGTTGGAAGATCTTCTTTTAAAAATAGAAGCTAAGTAGTCCTTATAAGAAAATTGTTAAACTTTTTCTCAAATTGTTTCCTTCCTGATTATTAAGATAACACATGCTCATTTCAGGAAATTTTAAAACTACAGAAAAGTATATAGAAAAAATATTTTTCATATTCAGAGAAAAATATTGCTAAAATCTTATATTTTCCCATTTTATATTTTTTCATAGTAAAGTTATAACACACAGCATATATAATATTTTATTTTGATACTTTCTGTTAGTATTAAAACAATAGCCTTTCATTTGAGGTATAAAATTATATAGCCATAATTTTTATATTGCATAATTTTCATATTTGCATCCATTGTGAGGGTGCATTAAAATATATCCACACTTTTCTTAGTATTGATTAATAGGATTGCTTCAAACTGTTCATTATGTATAAATAATGCTGCGAGTATATAAAGATTTCTCTACATTCAGAATTATCACTTGAAGCTCAGGCTTCACTGCTATGCAATGTATCCATTCAAAAAACCTGCACTTGTACACCCTGAATCTGTCAAAATAAAAATAAATAAATAAATAATAAAAGAATTATTTCTTTGGGATCAATGCTTAGAATTGGACTAGCCTAGCTGAAATTTATAAATATTTTCAAGAACTTAATACATATTGCCATAATTCTTCATAAGGGGGTATATATTTATCTTCAAGCAATACTTGAGACCGTCTATATCCCCAACTCTCTCAAGCATGGGGTATTATTACTTTTAAATCTTTGTACATTTGATAAACAGAAAATAATATTTCTTTATATTTATTATTTTTTAATTAGGCTGAACACTTGGTTCACTTTCTATGTACAGGTCTTCTTTTGTAAATTTTCTAGTCACATTCTTTGTCAATTTGTTTCTTAGGGTTAATTTATTAGAGTTTATAAAGGGAGGCAGGGAGATACTGAAAGCATGAGAAGAGCAATAGTTTATTACGTGGGGTTAGTTTGAAATCAGGCACATTCAGGAAACAACTTCCCTGACAAGCAAGGTGTGGCCCTTCCAAACATCACTCCAAAACTCAATGTTTACATCTATTTTAAAAATGTCTAGTGAGTGGCAAGAAATAAGTCACTTGTCAGCACTTTTCTAAAATAGTCTGACTTTCAGGAGCAAGTTCAGAGGAAGTCCAGACATACCTTCCCTAGGAAATCTCTAACAGAAGGAAATTAAGATAGGCAGAGCAGAGCCAAGAACATGCTATAGGAACAAGAAAGTTCCCAGTCTATTAGATGTTCATGGAGATACTTCTCTTTAAAAGACAGAGCATCCCTTATGATATGGTTTGGCTCTGCGTCCCCACCCTAATCTCATCTCGAATTGTTATCCCCACGTGTCAAGGGAGGGACCTGGTGGGAGGTGATTGGATCATGGGGGCAGTTTACCCCTTGCTGTTCTCATGATAATGAGTGAGTTCTCACGAGATCTGACGGTGTTATAAGTAGCAGTTTGCTCTGTTCTCTCTCTCTCTCTCCTGTAGCCATGTAAGACATGCCTTGCTTCCCCTTCACCTTCTGCCATGATTGTAAGTTTCCTGAGGCCTCTTCACCCATGTGGAACTGTGAGTCAATTAAACCTCTTCTGTTTATAAATTACCTTGTCTCAGGTAGTATCTTTATAGCAGTGTGAAAATGGACTAATATAACTTATTTGGCAAGATACTTTATATCTACATACTGTATACCTATATGATATCTACTCCCTGAAACATCTGTTTTCCCAGTTAAAATCATGTAATGCAGCAAAATACTACTCCTTTTTTAGAACGCTGTTTTAAAAAGTAAAAGTTATGTATTAATCTTTAGAAGACTGCAAGACAGAGACCATGTATATCATTTAGAATTACTTTGATTTCAACTAACACAGAACCAAACTAAAAATGGCAATAAGGGTAGCAAGTTAGACTCTTCCAGTTGTGTTGGCCCACTGAACTGGCCACTCTGGAAGAGTCCGTTCTGGTCACCCAGAAGAGTCTAACTTGCTACCCTTACACAGTAAGTCACTTGTCAGCACTTTCCTAAAATAGTCTTACTGTTTAGGTGACCAGTTCAGTGGGCCTACATGACTGGATGCCAGCTGGCATCTCTGTGATTTTTGAAGCTGTCATCTTAGGATTTTCAGATAGCCTCCATAACTCCAAATATCATATCCTCAAACAACAATGTCCACTAAGACATTTTATCCATTTTACCAAGGCAAAAAATATTTCCCAGAAGCCTACAAGAAAATTCACTTCACAATGAATGGGTAAACACTGGTTACAAACCCCACTCTAAACCAAAGCAAAGGAGACCAGGATTACTATAATTATCTTAGACCAATCAAGATTTGTCCCTGTGCTGGGACTTGTTGCTCTTCAATATCTAGACAAAATCTAATTAGTGATAGTAAGATAAAAGCAGAGAAATAGCCGGCATGTTAGCACCCAATTGTGTCTATCACATCGTGTCTTTTCTATTTATATTCTTCCAGAACCTAGAGAAGTACACTTTACATAGTATGCACAAAGCAAATATTTGTAGGCTAAGTTAATACATGAAAATAAATGTTTGGAATAGCTTTATAAAATATCACTGGTACATTACTTTTACCAACATTACTCAAGAACTGTGAAATATTATTCCATTTTGTAGAATACTAAAAGGTAAAGCTCAACAAAATAAATGTATAATTATTTCCATGAACAAAGAAATATCCTGAATTTGACAGCATCAGAATTCTTTGAAATTAAAAAAAAATCAGTAAACAAAAATAGATGGTACTGGTTTGACAGATTTGGTGAGATTAAGTTTGGTGAAACATAAGGGAAATATTAAGAACTGCTCCACACTACCTTTACTGATCACTTTTAAACTGACATCAACATTGATGCTGTTTTCTATTTTATTTTATTATAATTAAGCTACAGAGATAGCACTTAATTCACGAAGTAAAGAATATTAGATTCACTACCTATAGGTTCCCCTCTCTATGCTCCCATAGTACTATGGTCACAATTATGTTTGTTCCTTCATCACATTATTTGTTCTATAAATTGGACTCCCTGTCTCCTACTTAAGGGGACACACAGATCATATTCAGCTCTGTATTTCCAGTAGCACGCAGTAGAAGCTCTGTAAAGTATTTGCTCAAGATGCAGCCACCAATACTCACTACATACCCTGTTATGATGCACAATATGTGTGTCCCAGGTATTAAATAACTATCTTGCCGCTCTAAGCCCACCCTTCTGTATACCCTGCTTTGCCATGCAGGGGTTGGGACTCCGTGGCTTGCTGTTGCCAATAGGGACAGGCTACAAGGCTGGAGGAGGAAAGAGAGACTTGCTCTTTGCTGGCTGCTTCCTGTTTGGTAAGCATCACCCCAGCAATTTTTCTTCACCCCAAGGGCAACAGTTTTTTCCTGTAGTAGCAACTGAATCCAGTTGGCAGTTTTTTAACACTTGAAGAACCAGCCTCATCAAGTCCCACCCATCCCTAGGGACCCCAGCACCAGCTGGGCCAGCACCCGCTCCACAGGTCTGTCAGTCCATTCTGGCTACTATAACAAATCATCATAGACTGAGTGGCTCATAAACAACAGAAATCTATTTCTCAGTTCTAGGGGCTAGGAAGTCCAAGGTCAAGGAACTGGCAGATTCAGTGTCTGGTGAGGGCCCACTTCCTGGCTCATAGAGAGCCTTCTTTTCACTGTAACTTCCATGGTGGCAGAAAGCACAAAGAAAGCTCTCTGGGCTCTTTTTTATAAGGGCACTAATCCCATTCATGAGGGCTTTACTCTCATGACCTAATCGCTTCCCAAAGTCCCCACCTCCGAAAACCTTTATATTGGGGATTTGTTTTCAGCATATGAATTTGGGGAGGACACAAATATTCAGTGTATAGCAAGGCCACTCCTCTGAGCTCAAAGACATCAGAACCAGCTGAGCAAGACCCCTCCTCAGAGGTCTGAGTTTCAGCTCCTCAAGGTGTGTCTTCTAGAACTCTAAATTATTTTAGTAATTCCAGCCTCTTCCCTATCTTCCCTCAGCCCTAATTTCTTCTTAACAATTGCTGCCTCAAGGATCCTTAGAATTGTCTTTTGACCTTTTCAGTTATTTAGTTAATAACTTTATACTTAGTTAACTTTTTATATTAAATTCTCTCTGTTCAAATCACTTGGTCCCTGACTGATACAAATTACAAGTTCCCTCAATTTACTAATCCATGGCATGATTCATATACACCTGATGACCTAATGAATTGGTGCAGCATGCTAGGCAAATACTGTTTGATAGTATAGCTCAGTGAGCTTTGGAGCTTAGTGGTGCTTGGGGAAGGAATGGAGAAAGACCACTGATAGGAGCTCTCCACCTTTTCACCATTACCATAAATTGGCCCAAATTTGCATTCACAAAGCAGAATCCTTACAGTTACAGGGCTCTTTCCTGAGAAGGTGATTTCGCAATCATCTATTATTGCTTGAGCACCTTTCGCAACCTAGGTGCTTCCTTAAGGCACCTCTTTCATTAAAACACAATACTCCCACAGGGAATTCCAGTAATCACATCTCTCACTTGCTACAGTTCCAATGATGTTTCACCATCCCTCAGAGCTTGGCACCTTGGGCAGCTTTTCGGCTTCTCAGTTCCCTCGATGCAGCTCTGCAGATAAGCGCATGAGATATTGTTGTGCGTTAAGTAGGAACTCAGTGTTTTATATTTCTGAGACTGTTATCTGAAAATAAACTTCTAAAAACAATAGGCATTAGCTGAGTGTGATGGCGTGTGCCTGTAATCCCAGCTACTTGAGAGGCTGACACAGGAGGATTGCTTATATCACTAGAAAAAGGGCTTTGTCCCAGACCCCAAGAGCGAGTTCTTGGATCTCACATGAGAAAGAAATCAGGGTGAATTGCAGAGTTGAGAAAATTTAAGATAGTCTTTTACAGACTGCTCAATTACAGAGTTGGGCATCCTCAGAAAGCAAGAAGAGGAAAATACCCATTTCAAATACGATGTTTGTTTACACAGATTATTAAGGATAGTATACTTTATTACAAAAGCTTGTGATGAGCTTGTAACAGGCTATCAGTATTGATGCTTTTCTATGTTACTATCCTTAAACTAAGAATGCTTCTTGTTCTTAAAGTACTTGGACTTTTCTATAAGTTCTGGGTCTTTATTTATTTAGTTAGTTAACATCATTAACTCGTTCTCTCAACTATAAACATCTTGTGACCAAGAGTGTTCAACACTCTAGGAATGTAACCCAGAAGGTTTGGCTTCATCCAGCCTTTATTCAAGATGGAATCACTCTGGTTAGGATGCCTTTGACACTTAAACCCAGGACTTCGAGGTTACAGTAAGCTGTAATCACACCACTGCACTCCAGCCTGGGCAACAGAGCATAGACCATGTCTCGAGAAAATAAATAAATAAATAAATAAATAAGCAAATAAAAACAACAGGCATACTGAATCATAACAGCTAATCCCAAGGGCTGGGCACAGTTCTAAGCAAAAAGCACAGGTTATTTCACACTAAATGAGGAAGGTACCATTATTATCTCAACTTTCTGTGTAAGAGGTTACATAAGTAGCTCATCTTACTTTAGACCAGGATCTCATTTTGAGGCAGGAAAACAGGGTCTGGAGGCAGAGAACATGAGGCTGATCCACACTTGAGCTATGACAGGAAATATCCTCTCCATAGTAAATGACGTTGTCACTTTACTTCATCCTCCTCATTTACATAGGGCATACCCCAAGTAACCAATGGAATTCTCTGGAGGGTATTTAAACTCCCAAAAATCCTGTAATGGGGCTCTTCAGCCCCTACGTTGGGCCCACTCCCACACTGTGGAGTGTACTTTCATTCTCAATAAATCCCTGCTTTGGCTCTTCATGCTTTGTTTGTGCATTTTGTCCAATTCTTTGTTCAAGATGTAAGGACCTGGACACCTTGTACTGGTAACAATTTCAGGCCATCTGACTCTTTACCTCTCTACTGGAGACTCATTATCATACCAGACCTTGAGAGCAAGCAGCTGTGGCCCATTGGTTCATAATTCTCAGGAGAACAAATCCAATCCAATGTTTCCATTTCTTTAATTGTTTTGGTTCACAACATGGAAAAATGACCTATGAGCACTAAATAAGCCTAAAAATAAAATGCTTTTAAGAAAACTTTGTTAAGCAATGGTATAATAGTGGACTTTTAAACTAGACCCATACAACTTGGCTTTAACCAACTAACTTCTTGGAGAATTTGTGACAGTTTAAGACACAGTGCCAATTCTTAAAAATGAGGCACAGGATTAGACAAATAAAACAAGTAACTCTACAAAGCAATATCACAAAATTAAGTGCATTAAATTTAATGATGAAGACCTCCCTGAGGGCTATGGTGCTCTGGGAAGACTTCATGTAGGAACCAAGATGAGAAGGTGCCCATTATCTGATGTATAGGAGTTGAATAGGTAGAGCATCTATATTGCTTGACTTGTATCAAGTTGAATTCCAAGTATAGAATTTCACTTGAGTCTATCTTTAAAAGGACAACAAAAAATAGAAAATTTAGGCAATAATCTGATACTATCAGGAAATAGTCTGGAAACCCATAATCTTAGAACTATTGCAGAGTATGTTGGCCAGAATTTTTAGAATGGACCAAATTGTATATTGATTTTCAACTTTCTTCAATTTACTTCCATAAACCAATGTCTCTAAGCAATACTAAAATCATACTATCTGAAAAGATATTTTGATCTACACAGTACAAAGTGTTCAAAAGCAGAGTAGTGTGAAATAGAAGATGTGTGTATGTACACACATATGCACACATGTGCGCATGCACCCACACGCCCACAGGTCCTGGCCCTGTTTGCCTAGAGATCTATCACTCACCCTCTCCCTCTCTACTTTGTATAGCAGCGGTGCTGGCCCTGCAGGCTGTTTTCCAGGCTTTCCTATTAGTTGGCTGTCATCTAAAGTCAGCCAGTGGGAGACACTGGACAGAGATTGGAGAGGTGGAGGAAGGAGAAGCCAGGGTATTTCTCCTGCCTCAGGCAGTGTTTAAGTGGCTGGAGCTTCTGCTGGACAGACCCACCATGGTTCTAGCTCCTGCTGGGTGACTCCAGCCCTTGGACTCTAGTAGTACCATCTTCTCCCTTTGTTTAAGGAGGGTATCCCCAGTGGAAGTTATTTGTTTCAGGAGGGTATCCACAGTTGAATTTCTTAGGTCCTTCACGACCTGAGTAGCCAAATAAAATGCCCTCTGTTAAAAACTCTAAAATTAGTTTCTGTGTTAATGGCTAAAAAGTGGTACAGAGGGGAAGGCTTTTCTTTTCCTTCTATTCCTTACCTTGTGGAAAGAGCTCCATTATGAAATAATCCTGGCTCTTCCCTGTCCTGTCCCCACTTACTCACTTATAGAGCAGTAAGTTAATTTGGTTGTTAAGTATGGAGGAGCAGCCAGGCATGCAGAGCCCAGCCTCCTCCTTTCCCCTTCTTTTGAAAGTCAGTCCACCTTCAGTCAGTGTGTGCTGTTCTTTGCTCTCAGCCATATGGAAAGAGTCTGGCCCTCCAGAGGATGCTTGTAGGTTTCCAGGGTCAGTATGCCTGCCTAATTTTAAGTTTCTGGATTAAGAAGCCTACTTGCATACAGACGCAAGCATGTTGTGCTTTATCGGCATTGTCAGTAATAAAGGAAATATTTTTATTCCCCCATCTGTATCACTCTTGTTTCTTATATCTTAATTCGTTCAGAATTCAAACAGGGAAAAAGCTCTTCATTAGAACTACTCAGAAGCCCAACATATGTAATATGTATATATATATTATATTCTAATTAATCCTATTCCTAAATTATTAGATCAATTAGATATAATAGCTAACCTTAGAGTTTACAATGTGCCAGGAGTTATTCTAAGTGCCTTATATATAACTCATTTAATCTTCAAAACAATGCAATATGTATTATTAAGAGTTTACAATGTGCCAGGAATTATTCTAAGTGCCTTATATGTAACTCATTTAATCTTCAAAACAATGCAATAAGTATTATTAAAATTCCTGTTTTATAGCCAATAAAACTGAAGATGTTATATAATTTTCCCGAAGTCACACAGGTAATAAGTGATAGAATCTGTAATTGAACTCCAATAGTTGGGCTATAGGATCTGTACTCTGAAGCACCATGCTATGCCGCCTAAATTTAGGTTTTTAACAGATGATTCTGTACTTCATCTAATGTAATTTAATTTCCAGCCTTAGATAACATTGTTTTCAAATACCTCTTATAACCCAGCATATAGTCTCAGTCACTTCAACTATGATTTAGAACTCTACATTATTTTCCTCTCAAACAGAATCCATTCCCACTAAAGACATTACTAAGCAATGTAGATTTTACCAAAGATTTCATATAAGAAATGAAAAAAGGAATTTGCATCAAGTACCTGATGGCAAACTACAGTGTTTTATGTGATTGATGCATTTCTGAAAACACCAGTCATTCTACTCAGGAAACTGGAAAGATAATTATCCCATAGGAATAAATGTAACAGTATATTATAATATTCTAAACTTTCTATTACAAAAGAGGCTAGTAATATTTTTATATCATACTATTCCAAATTTGAATAGTTCAACTTTGCATGAAATAAATAAAGTATGTAAGTCTTCCCCATGGTTTTCATAATGAGGAAGAAAGGAATGTTCCTTTCCATCCTTCTATCATAGAACAAGCTAACTCTTGCCTCCAGCTTCCTAAAATCTTAGTGCTCAACTGCCCCCACACAAAAGTTTCATCCTTTATCTCACTCAGCAATTTAGTCCTACTTCATCCCCCATACCAGCTTATCTACACATGAGGTTAAACAAAGATCTCCCCATCCACAGGAGCCCACTCTTCTTAGAAAAGGGAAGGAAGTGGATAGAAGTATATAGATTAATACAGTGTTGTATGGGAGCCAGTTTATCCCAACTGTAAGCCAACTGCTAAATTTTCAGGAATTTTGCAAGTGGTTCTTAAACATGACCATTATTAAAAACTGAATTACAGCCTTGGAGCAGTGGGTCATGCTTGTAACCCCAGCACTTCGGCAGGCAGAGGCAGGCGGATCACCCAAGGTCAGGAGTTCGAGACCAGCCTGGCCAACATGGCGAAACCCTGTCTCTACTGAAAATACAAAAATTAGCCAGACCTGGTGGCGTGCAACTGTAATCCCAGCTACTTGGGAGGCTGAGACAGAAGAATCGCTTGAACCCGAGAGGCAGAGGTTACAGTGAACCAGGATGGCGCCACTGCACTCCTCTCCAGCCAGGGTGACCGAGAGAGACTACATCTTAAAAAAAAAAAAAAAAAAAAAACAAACAAACAAACAAACAAAAAAACCTGAATTACATAAGCTTATGATTAAATAAATTACACTCAAACAAAGATTATAAATACTCAAAAGTGACTGCTTTCTAGTTATTTTACTATGTACTTTTATCTGTGCTCTGGGACTTAAGTCTTTTGTGTCTATATGGTGAAAATACCATATAAAGTGTTCTCCAGTGCATCACTTCCCAACTCTGTGTTCAATGCTGACATACTGGTAGCTTGAAATGAGCCACAGTGGGAGAAGCTATGGTACAGAAATTGACAAAGTTTATAACTAGAGCTTTTTTCTGCCTGGAGATCCTATGGTTAAACATTTACTAGCCATTAGATACTTGGTTTGATAGAGAGGGATACATACATTCATATACTCATTCATATATATAAATGTACATACATAGAATTGTAGCTAGATCAGCACTGGCTTCCTACAGAAATACCTCTGTAGGTCTTTTAATAAAAATTCTTGCAAATTTCAGTAAAACCACTGGATATTATATTTACCACTGGAATATAGAGCACGTGGTTTCACAGAGGGTATGAAAAGTTAAATTCAAACAATCCACTGAATCTCCTTTCATGTAAACAGCCAACAATAGAGAAAAGAAACTAACAATAAGGACCATGTAGAGCTGGCACAAAAGGCTCTTTGACGAACTAGGAGGAAAATGCTGAGCCAGCACAAGTTCCCCGGAGCAGATTTATGTATTCTAAATTATAGGTGGTCAGCATAAACGTTCTCCAATAGTAGGGCACACTTAGAAACCTCCTCTCTAAACAAGAAAAATGATATTTTAAGTTGCAGGGAATGGTAATCGATTTCTACACAACAGAGCAAGACCAAGCAAATTTGAAAAACTTGCAACTAGAGAACTGGGGGCTGACTTTGTGAAGAAATTTTCTCCAGTTCCAACCAAAGTAGGCAAAAATACCTTTTTCAAAAATGTAATGACACTGTATATCTAAGAGGTTTATTATATTGCTAATGATAATATACAGTAGTAACTGCAGCTTGGGACCCAAAGAGCAGAGGCAGCTCTGCTTCATATTTAATATCAAATGGCTCATACCTGCTACAGGCATGTTTGCAAATGGAAAGTATGGTTTTATACAAAACGTTTAAATGTTACATGTTTCATGATGGTAGTTATAAACATTAAAATAAACATGGGCTGGAAACAATTCAATTCAAATATTTATAATGTTCAAATCACCGTTCTCATCACCAGAGAGATATAAAGATTATTCCCCACATTGCCAACATTCACAGGGTCACTGGGGAGACACAACTAAGTGTAACCTGGAAAACCTGCTTAACCAGCTTGGAGTACAAATATGGTCACACTTTTAACAATTGAATTGCCCCATTTCTGAGTTATCTAAGCTCTTTCTGCAACAGGAGTCTTGGGAAGAGAGGCATTTATTCAGTTCAAGGAGGACCGTTTGTAGTTCACAAGACAAAATTAGAGAGTTTGATCAGGGCACTGTGAAACTTGGTTTATAATTTTCATTACTTTTGTTGCTACCACCTGGTGTGTCATTATCGAAAATGTGTCCTTGCTTTTGGTTGCTAAGTCATCCTTGCTGAGTCAGGTTCTTGAAGAGGCTGCAGTGATAATTCGTGCTTGGGCTCCCAAAGTTTCATCTCCTTTAGTTTGCACTCACAAACCCACCATGACAGGATGTCAGATCAGAGAAGTTTCTAGCCCACACTCAAGCTCTATCACAAACAACTGACCTCCACAAACAGGGACAGTGGTAATGAGTCTGGGTCATTAGTAAGGTCTTCCCTCTTCACAGCGAGCTCCCCTTCGGTCCTTCACAGCTTTTGTGACTGGGAACCACAGCAGGACCTTCTCAACCTATCAGAAAAATTCTACCACTAAACCTCTGAAAGAAAGAGATGGCATCTCCCTATGTCTTCTCAGGATATTCCTTGGCCTCTCTGCAAACATAGCTACCTCTTCACCAGGGATTAGTTCTGAATGTTGAGGGGTACTAGAGGGACAGGAGTTACATATACTTCACACTGCAGGTGCAAATTCACCTTGCAGTTGTACAACTAAGAGAAAATATTTGGGTTATTCCCCAGAACAAAAAAAAAAATCTGCAAAAAAGTAATATTCTGTTTCTACAAAGACAGATGGCCAGTTTAGTCCTCTTAAAAAGTACTGTCTCACCAGATACACTCCAACTTAAATAATTTAGAAGGTAATCTGGGCTATGATAAATGTGTGCACAAATTCAATAGGAGCATAGAGCACCCAGCAATTAAGTTTGACTGAATGGATAAGGAGAGCTTTCAAGAGCCAAAGATATTTGATCTGGGACTTAAAGTGTGGGTTATGCAAACAGAGAGGGAAAGGTGTTTATGCGCAAAACAGCTCAAGGGAAAAGGATGTGTAAATATTCAAAAGTAAAGGTGAGCCATTTACCTGGGTGACAGAACACAGGTTTCATGGGCAGCCAGGAGTGAAGAGTGGGGAAAAGAAAGTTTGCTGTAGACCTACCTTGTGTTCAGCTTTGAATATCATGTTAATGAGTTTGAACTCTATTCCAAAGATGATGGGAAGCCACTCAAGGATTAAGAGCAGAAGAAGTAATGTATTTGAATCTGTAATTTAGGGAGATAACTGATACCTATGCAGAGGATGGACAGGTGAGAGGCTGGAGCTGTTCTCAGCATCCAGGGTAGAGAAGGTGCAACCCTGAGAGTAGAGGCAGTGGCAACAAATGGAGAAAACTGATTCTGGGCCGGGCACGGTGGCTCGCGCTTGTAATCCCAGCACTTTGAGAGGCCGAGGCGGGCAGATCACATGAGGTCAGGAGTTTGAGGCCAGCCTGGCCAACATGGTGAAACCCCATCTCTACTAAAAATACAAAAAATAGCCGGGCACGGTGGCAGCCGCATGTAACCCCAGCTACTCGGGAGGCTGAGGCAAGAGAATCACTTGAACCCGGGAGGCAGAGGTTACAGTGAGCCGAGATTGTGCCACTGCACTCCAGCCTGGGTGACAACAGCGAAACTCCGTCTTCCAAAAAAAAATTAAATTAAAAATAAAATTAAAAATTAAAAAAAAAAACTGATTCTGGTAACATTGCAGGACAGATTAGCAAACACTGGGGAATAGCGGAAGAAATGCAGAAGGAAAGTGATGCTGAGGTTTGTAGCTAGGGAGATTGGATAAAAGCTACACCATTAACCGTCCTGGGAAACATTACAGGAGGAGAGTTGTAATGAGGCTACAAAATGATGGGTTTCTTTTGGGCATACTGAGTTTGAAGTGCTTACAGGACATTCATGTGGAGAAGCATTTTCTAAATTCACTTTTTAAAAAAGAGAGAAATGTTTTTATCTCTAGGTAATAAATGGTGATAACTGTGCCAGAAGGACATCCAAATACTTTTCAACAAAATTCCTCATCACAAGCAAATATTCTGCTACAAAAACATTTCTGGCACCAGTGAAACAGGGTAAGTTAAAAATACATATATTATTTTTGTTTGTGTAATTATATAATGAATAAGACACTACAAATCAATGCAAAAGAAAAAGATTAATAAATAACAAAGATCTACAGTGGCTATTTAGAAAATAATTACGGATTTAGAGACTTTCCTCATACCATATACCTAATTAAGTTAAACAAAAAATAAAGTAGAAGAAAATGAAGGTGGTTATTGATCCCAGTCTCTGGATCTCAGGATAGAAAACATTTTATACACTTAAAAGCAATGGGAAAAAAATCCCAACATTTATGGTTAGTAAATTTGACAATATAAGCATTTTATATCTCTCCTTTAATAAACATTAACTGAATTTAAAAGACTTTAAAAAGTAGCATTGAAATTTATTAGTCGCAAATATGACAGAAAAAAATAGTATTGTTTATACGTAAATATCTAGTATTTTTCTTTAAGAAAATCAATAAGAAACAAAACAAAATGGAAAAATCTAGCCTCTATAGCATCTAGAGCAAACTATTAAAAGGTTATTGCAGAGACGGCTAATTGTTTCCCAATATTCATCCTCTCCTACTTCTTTGGTAATGGAACCACTAATTTTTAGCTGGGCATATGGTTGTCCAAAATAAAATTTACATTTTAGTCTTCCTTATAGAGACACATGGCCATAGGACTAAATTCTGGCCAGTCAGATCTAAGTAGAAGTGTTGTGTACCAGCTACAGGAAGTGTTCCCCCTTAAAGGAAAGGTCAGACCCTTCCTCCTTCCTGCAGGGAGTGCAGATGTGAGGTCTCCATCTGGAGCAGCTATCTTGGAGTTTGAGTTGGAAACCATGTTAGGGTGACAAAAAGACCTGGTAGAACAAACCTTAGTCCCACCTGATTGTGGTGTCTCTTTATTAAACTGCCTGCTTCTGCCTCCTGTTAATTGACAGAGAAATAAATATCTGCCTTCTCTAAGCCACTCTTGCTTTGGGGTTGTCACTTGCACTCAGATGCTAAATGTTACAAATATCAAAATCTTGCTGTTCTATGTTCCCAAAATTATCAGAAAGGAATATAGGCAGTATAATATCTACTACTATGAAAAAATAAGTACATAATAAAAGGAATTCACAATAGGAATCAGTATTACAGGTCAGCAACATTCCCAATATCTCAAAAACCTCAGTTTGTTGTTTATCTCCTCTTATAGTTCCCCAAATTGTAAATCCTGTGATTTGTGATTTATGAAAGCTCCTCAGTTGTAGCCTCTCTGCTGACTCTGTAAGAAAGCAACAAAATCGCCACTTTGTTATTTTATAGTGGACATTGGAGAATTAACAGCCTCTGATGTTATAATAGCAAAGTCTTAAATATAGCTACCTCCAAAAATCCGTTGTAAACCTTTACAGTGGCATCATGAATCTGGCAATTGGCCAAGTTTTAAAAGTATTGAATATTTCTTCGTAACGAGAAAAAAACATACCCCAACTGGAGGTGTGAGAAAAGAAGGAGCTTGTCTCCCTCTCTTTGAGTTCCAGTGAGAAATTTGCTTGATTATAAACCAATTTGAAAAAGATTACTCTTAGTTACCCCAACACACTTGCCTCAGGTATATCATCACACTGAAAACTACAAACCAGGGTAGAATGTAGGCAGTATCTCCAGGGTAGAATGTAGGCAGTATCTCCAGGGTAGCAAGTTAAGATTCAACAAGATGAAACAATCATCTGGTCTATCTGGCATGGTAAGGAGGCCTTTGGAGGTGGAGGGGCAGTGGGTTGGGGAGGGAGTGGAACAGGCACAGCTGTTGAAAAGTACAAAGGTGCAAAGGTGTCCGGGCACAGCAGCTCACGCCTGTAATCCCAATACTTTGGGAGGCTAAGGTGGGCAGATCACCTGTGGTTGGAAGTTCGAGGCCAGCCTGACCAACATGGTGAAACAACGTCGCTACTAAAAAAAAAAAATACAAAATTAGCCAGGCGTGGTGGCACATGCCTGTAATCCCAGCTAGTCGGGAGGCTGAGGCAGAAGAATTGCTTGAACCTGGGAGGCAGAAGTTGCAGTGAGCCGAGATTGCTCCACTGCACTCCAGCCTGGACAAACCCCGTCTCAAAAAAAAACCAAAAAAAAAAAAAAAAGAAAAGAAAGAAAAAAGAAAAGTACAAAGGTTTGCAGAGATTGTGGGAACTTGGTTAGCTATAAATGATCTATACCTAGAAATATTGTTGCTCACATGTATACAAGGAAAAGGTAGCTCAACAGGCATATCTAAAAAAAAAAATGGAATGACTATTTTCAAAGAATCACCATCATTTCCCAGTTTCCCCCTTCAGGGATGTAAAGACAATTAACTTCAGTGCAGTGTTTGTTAGAGGTTGCTATCATTGGCAATCATTCTGACCAGAACAGCAACTGTAATAAAAACAAATATAAAATTGCTTAATTAATGCTTAACTAAATTGCTTAATTAATTAATATCTGGGGGACAATGTATTCTCCAGATATACACACTTTAATGAAATAATAGGGGAAAAGTTGAAGAAATAAATTTCTGGGAGCTTTATTTAAAGTAACAGAAGATTTGTTAAGAAGTTTTCCAAAAGTACTTCTAATATTTTAATATTGAAGTCTGATAAACAGACTAAACTGTTGCTTTGCCTTACTTTCTTTCAAAGAAATAGTTTTCAAAAGCTCTCAGAAAAAAATTAGAGGTAACAGTGAGAATCAGCTATATTAGGAAAGATCAAATAGCTAGCAACAGAAAGAGAAAAAGAAAATAGCAATAAACGCTTCTTTAAGGTTTGTTACTGTTGTTCCTTTTTCAGTCCCTTAACCTTTTTTGGTAAAGATTTTCCTTCAAAAGCCATTGATTATTTTAAGCTGTCCTAACATGATTGCAGAGAGTAAAAATAAAGAATAAAAAATTCTTAGGTAGTTAAAAACTTACCATAAAGGATATTTTTAAGTGCTTTTATTTTGAAATTCCAGTATCATAGGAACTAAAACTCAAAGTAGAAATCCCCCAAACTAGATTCCATTAATAACGTGTCACTCAACTTGAATACTAGAAATATTTCTTTAAACATAAGCACTGTTTTTTACTGGAAAAAGCTTTGTAAGACCAGTTTCCTCTTCTGGAGGGACCAGGGAAAATGAAAAGTGATCATCAATAATCAGTACCTGTCTTTTTTTTTTTTTTTTTTTTTTTTTTTTGGATGATTTCTCACTCTGTCACCCAGGTTGGAGTGCAGTGGTTCAATCTCAGCTCACTGCAACTTCAGCCTCCCAAGTTCAAGTGATTCTCCTGCTTCAGCCTCCCAAGTAGCTGGGATTACAGGTGTGTGTCACCACGCCCAGCCAATTTTTGTATTTTTAGTACAGACGAGGTTTCACCATGTTGGCCAGGCTGCTCTTGAACTCCCTGACCTCAGGTGATCCACTTGCCTCGGCCTCCCAAAGTGCTGGGATTACAGGTGTGAGCCACTGCGCCCTGCCAGTACCTGTCATTTTAATGGAGGAGCATCGCCTTCATCTGCCACTCGCCACCTCTCTTCCTGAGTCATGTGGGAATAGCACTTAATGGAGAATATCTCCAAATTGCATCAATGTTGTAGATTTGGCTAGGGTTAACAGCCCATTTGTGTTCTTTGCATAAATTATAGAAAGGCCCTCTGGGCAGAAGCCTCTTGATCCACGTGAAGCATCTGCTCCCAGTGCATGGCTTGGCAATCCGTTTGGCCCCATTTTCTTCTTGGCTAGGAGCCAGTGTGCAGGGTACATCCTGTCCAGTAGTTCACGGTGACACTGTTTGCACCTGAAAGATCAAGATGGTTTGCCTCAAATTCTGAAAAATCCAAACTCTGAAACATTTTCTCCAGCTAAGTGAGCTGCACAGGACAATGTATCCCCCAGATATACACACTTAAATGGAAGAATGATGAAAAAGTTGAAGAAATAAATTCTTGGGAGCTTGATTTAAAGTAACAGATTTGTTTTGAAGTTTTGCAGATACACTTCTAATATCCAAACCACTTACTCAACCACAGATTTGGTCTTTTTCTGGGTTTTCCCAGCACTAAGAAGACATAATTTTCAAGAAAACCAGAAGGGGCATAGCTGGAAATTCATTACACTCAGCTTCTCTAATTTTTCTTAATTTCCACTTTATAAATAATCCTAAATTACTTTTCCCAGTTTTTCTTGTTTTCCTACACATACTTTTAAAATATATGTACATTATTAATTCATAAGAGCAAGTCTAAATGATCATGAAGTGACTTTTTAAAATAATTTTTAAATGACATTTTTATCAAAATAGTAATTTACCACTTTTAATCCCAATTCATCCACTGTATCACAAAATTTACTTTCTCACAATTCATTGTGTTTATATTTTGCACATATTCTGAAAGTTGCTTCCAATTGTTGTGATTTGTTTTCTCAATTTTATTCAAGAAACAAAAGAGATCATTTGCATCTTAGTTATTTATTTTCCCCATAGCAATATTAAACAATATTAGCAATATTAAAACCTGATGATGACTCATATTGTCACAGAAAATACATTTATGCACCACATAACAACATTTCAAAGATGGACCACATAGGTTATAATGGAACTGAGAATTTCCTATCGCCCAGTGACGTTGCAGCCATTGCTAACAGTGTAGCACAACACATTATTCTTGTGTGATGCTGGTGTAAACAAACCTACTGCACAGCTAGTTTTATAAAAGTCTAGCACATACAATTATTATTACAGAATGTATACAATTATTACATCATGTAATTATGTAATTACTACTTATTACTACGTTATGTAATAAATTATGTACATGATAATGATAATAAACAACTATGTTACTGGTTACTATATCTTCATTGCTAGAGTGTATTCCTTCTATTTATATTTGTATAAAGTTAACTGTAAACAGCCTTCAGTAGGTTTTCCAGAAGAAGGAATTGTTATTGGAGATGACAGCTTCCATGTGGGTTATAATTGCTGAAGACTTTCCAGTGTGACAGGATATGGAGGTGGAAGACATTGATATTGAGGATCCTGACCCTGTGTAGGTTTAAGCTAATGTGCATGTTTGTGTCTTAGTCTTTAACAAAAACACTTTAAAAAGTAAAAAATAAAAATTTTAAAAATAGAAAAAAGCTTGTGGAATGAGGATACAAAGAAATAAAATATTTTTATACAGCTGTATGAAGTGTTTGTGTTTTGAGCTAAGTGTCACTACAAAAGAGTGAGAAAGTTTTTTAAAATTAAAAAGTTGAGGAGGTGGAGCCAAGATGGCCGAATAGGAACAGCTCCAGTCTACAGCTCCCAGCATGAGTGACACAGAAGACGGGTGATTTCTGCATTTCCAACTGAGGTACTGGGTTCATCTCACTGGGGAGTGCTGGACAGTGGGTGCAGGACAGTCGGCACAGCGCACCGTGCATGAGCCAAAGCAGGGCGAGGCATCACCTCACACAGGAAGTGCAAGGGGTCAGGGAATTCCCTTTCCTAGTCAAAGAAAGGGGTGACAGATGGCACCTGGAAAATTGGGTCACTCCCACCCTAATACTGCGCTCTTCCAATGGGCTTAACAAACAGCACACCAAGAGATTATATCCTGCACCTGGCTCAGGGGGTCCTATGCCCACGGAGCCTCGCTCATTGTTAGCACAGCAGTCTGAGATCAAACTGCAAAGCAGCAGCGAGGCTGGGGGAGGGGTGCCCGCCATTGCCCAGGCTTGAGCAGGTAAACAAAGAGGCCAGGAAGCTCGAACTGGGTGGAACCCACCAGAGCTCAAGGAGGCCTGCCTGCCTCTGTAGGCTTCACCTCTAGGGGCAGGGCACAGACAAACAAAAGACAGCAATAACCTCCACAGACTTAAAGGTCCCTGTCTGACAGCTTCAAAGAGAGTACTGGTCCTCCCAGCACGCAGCTTGAGATCTGAGAACTGGCAGACTGCCTCCTCAAGTGGGTCCCTAACCCCCGAGTAGCCTAACTGGGAGGCACCCCCCAGTAGGGGCAGACTGACACCTCACACGGCCGGGTACTCCTCTGAGACAAAACTTCCAGAGGAACGATCAGGCAGCAGCATTTGCGGTTCACCAATACCCGCTGTTCTGCAGCCACCACTGCTGATACCCAGGCAAACAGGGTCTGGAGTGGACCTCCAGTAAACTCCAACAGACCTGCAGCTGAGGGTCCTGACTGTTAGAAGGAAAACAAACAAACAGAAAGGACATCCACACCAAAAACCCATCTGTACGTCACCATCATCAAAGACCAAAGGTAGATAAAACCACAAAGATGGGGAAAAAACAGAGCAGAAAAACTGGAAACTCTAAAAATCAGAGCACCTTTCCTCCTCCAAAGGAACGCAGCTCCTCACCAGCAACGGAACAAAGCTGGATGGAGAATGACTTTGATGAGTTGAGAGAAAAAGGCTTCAGAAGATCAAACTACTCCGAGCTAAAGGAGGAAGTTCAAACCAATGGCAAAGAAGTTAAAAACTTTGAAAAAAATTAGACGTATGGATAACTAGAATAACCAATGCAGAGAAGTCCTTAAAGGACCTGATGGAGCTGAAAACCATGGCACAAGAACTACGTGACGAATGCACAAGCCTCAGTAACTGATGCAATCAACTGGAAGAAAGGATATCAGCGATGGAAGATGAAATGAATGAAATGAAGCATAAAGGGAAGTTTAGAGAAAAAAGAATACAAAGAAATTAACAAAGCCTCCAAGAAATATGGGACTATGTGAAAAGACCAAATCTACCTCTAATTGGTGTACCTGAAAGTGATGGTGAGAAAGGAACCAAGTTGGAAAACACTCTGCAGGATATTATCCAGGAGAACTTCCCCAGTGTAGCAAGGCAGGCCAACATTCAAATTCAGGAAATACAGAGAACACCACAAAGATACTCCTCGAGAAGAGCAACTCCAAGACACATAACTGTCAGATTCACCAAAGTTGAAATGAAGGAAAAAATGTTAAGGGCAGCCAGAGAGAAAGGTTGGGTTACCCACAAAGGGAAGCCCATCAGACTAACAGCTTATCTCTCGGCAGAAACTCTACAAGCCAGAAGAGAGTGGGGGCCAATATTCAACATTCTTAAAGAAAAGAATTTTCAACATAGAATTTCATATCCAGCCAAACTAAGCTTCATAAGTGAAGGAGAAATAAAATACTTTACAGACAAGCAAATGCTGAGAGATTTTGTCACCACCAGGCCTGCCCTAAAAGAGCTCCTGAAGGAAGCGCTAAACATGGAAAGGAAAAACCGGTACCAGCCACTGTAAAAACATGCCAAATTGTAAAGACCATCAAAGCTAGGAAGAAACTGCATCAACTAATGAGCAAAATAACCAGCTAACATCATAATGACGAGATCAAATTCACACATAACAATATTAACCTTAAATGTAAATGGGCTAAATGCTCCAATTAAAAGGCACAGACTGGCAAATTGGATAAAGAGTCAAGACCCATCAGTGTGCTGTATTCAGGAAACCCATCTCACGTGCCCAGACACACATAGGCTCAAAATAAATGGATGGAGGAAGATCTACCAAGCAAATGGAAAACAAAAAAAGGCAGGGGTTGCAATCCTAGTCTCAGATAAAACAAACTTTAAACCAACAAAGATCAGAAGAGACAAAGAAGGCCATTACATAATGGTAAAGGGATCAATTCAACAAGAAGAACCAACTATCCTAAATATATATGCACCCAATACAGGAGCACCCAGATTCATAAAGCAAGTCCTGAGTGACCTACAAAGAGACTTAGACTCCCACACAATAATAATGGGAGACTTTAACACCCCACTGTTAACATTACACAGATCAACGAGACAGAAAGTTAACAAGGATATCCAGGAATTGAACTCAGCTATGCACCAAGCAGACCTAATAGACATCTACAGAACTCTCCACCCCAAATCAACAGAATATACATTCTTTTCAGCACCACACCACACCAATTCCAAAATTGACCACATACTTGGAAGTAAAGCACTCCTCAGCAAATGTAAAAGAACTGAAATTATAACAAACTGTCTCTCAGACCACAGTGCAATCAAACTAGAATTCAGGATTAAGAAACTCACTCAAAACCACTCAACTACATGGAAACTGAACAACCTGCTCCTGAATGACTACTGGGTACATAACGAAATGAAGGCAGAAATAAAGATGTTCTTTGAAACCAAGGAGAACAAAGACACAACATACCAGAATCTCTGGGACACATTCAAAGCAGTGTGTAGAGGGAAATTTATAGCACTAAATGCCCACAAGAGAAAGCAGGAAAGATCTAAAATTGACACCCTAACATCACAATTAAAAGAACTAGAGAAGCAAGAGCAAACACATTCAAAAGATAGCAGAAGGCAAGAAATAACTAAGATCAGAGCAGAACTGAAGGAAATAGAGACACAAAAAACCCTTCAAAAACTCAGTGAATCCAGGAGCTGGTTTTTTGAAAAGATCAACAAAATTGAAAGACCACTAGCAAGACTAATAAAGAAGAAAAGAGAGAAGAATCAAATAGACGCAATAAAAAATGATAAAGGGGATATCACCACCAATCCCACAGAAATACAAACTACCATCAGAGAATACTATAAACACCTCTATGCAAATAAACTAGAAAATCTAGAAGAAACGGATAAATTCCTTGACACATACACTCTCCCAAGACTAAACCAGGAAGAATTGGAATCTCTGAAAAGACCAATAACAGGATCTGAAATTGAGGCAATAATGAAGAGCTTACCAACCAAAAAAAGTCCAGGACCAGATGGATTCACAGCCGAATTCTACCAGAGGTACAAGGAGGAACTGGTACCATTCCTTCTGAAACTATTCCAATCAATAGAAAAAGAGGGAATCCCTAACTCATTTTATGAGGCCAGCATCATCCTGATACCAAAACCTGGCAGAGACACAACAAAAAAAGAGAATTTTAGACCAATATCCTTGATGAACACTGATGCAAAAATCCTCAATAAAATACTGGCAAACTGAATCCAGCAACACATCAAAAAGCTTATCCACCATGATCAAGTGGGCTTCATCCCTGGGATGCAAGGCTGTTCAACATACAAAAATCAATAAATGTAATCCAGTATATAAACAGAACCAAAGACAAAAACCACATGATTTTCTCAATAGATGCAGAAAAGGCCTTTGACAAAATTCAACAACCTTCATGCTAAAAACTCTCAATAAATTAGTTATTGATGGGACGTATCTCAAAATAATAAGAGCTATGTATGACAAACCCACAGCCAATATCATACTGAAGGGACAAAAACTGGAAGCATTCCCTTTGAAAACTGGCACAAGACAGGGATGCCCTCTCTCACCACTCCTATTCAACATAGTGTTGGAAGTTCTGGCCAGGGCAATCAGGCAGGAGAAGGAAATAAAGGGCATTCAATTAGGAAAAGAGGAAGTCAAATTGTCCCTGTTTGCAGATGACATGATTGTGTATCTAGAAAACCCCATTGTCTCCGCCCAGAATCTCCTCAAGCTGATAAGCAACTTCAGCAAAGTCTCAGGATACAAAATCAATATGCAAAATCACAAGCATTCTTATACATCAATAACAGACAAACAGAGCCAAATCATGAGTGAACTCCCATTCACAATTGCTTCAAAGAGAATAAAATACCTAGGAATCCGACTTGCAAGGGATGTGAAGGACCTCTTCAAGGAGAACTACAAACCACTGCTCAATGAAATAAAAGAGGATACAAACAAATGGAAGAACATTCCATGCTCATAGGTAGGAAGAATCAATATGAAAATGGCCATACGGCCCAAGGTAATTTATAGATTCAATGCCATCCCCATCAAGCTAACAATGACTTTCTTCACAGAATTGGAAAAAACTACTTTAAAGTTCATATGGAACCAAAAAAGAGCCCACATTGACAAGTCAATCCTAAGCCAAAAGAACAAAGCTGGAGGCATCACGCTACCTGACCTCAAACTATACTACAAGGCTACAGTAATCAAAACAGCATGGTACTGCTACCAAAACAGAGATATAAACCAATGGAACAGAACAGAGGCCTCAGAAATAATGCCACATATCTACAACTGTCTGATCTTTGACAAACCTGACAAAAACAAGAAATGGGGAAAGGATTCCCTATTTAATACATGGTGCTGGGAAAACTGGCTAGCCATATGTAGAAAGCTGAAACTGGATCCCTTCCTTACACCTTATACAAAAATTAATTCAAGATGGATTAAAGACTTAAACGTTAGACCTAAAACCATAAAAACCCTAGAAGAAAACCTAGGCAATACCATTCAGAACATAGGCATGGGCAAGGACTTCATGTCTAAAACACCAAAAGCAATGGCAACAAAAGACAAAACTGACAAATTGGATCTAATTAAACTAAAGAGCTTCTGCACAGCAAAAGAAGCCACCATCAGAATGAACAGGCAACCTACAGAATGGGAGAAAATTTTTGCAACCTACTCATCTGACAAAGGGCTAATATCCAGAATCTACAATGAACTCAAACAAATTTACAAGAAAAAAAAACAAACAACCCCATCAAAAAGTGGGCAAAGGATATGAACAGACACTTCTCAAAAGAAGACATTTATGCAGCCAACAGACATATGAAAAAATGCTCATCATCACTGGCCATCAGAGAAATGCAAATCAAAACCACAATGAGATGCCATCTCACACCAGTTAGAATGGCGATCATTATAAAGTCAGGAAAAAACAGGTGCTGGAGAGGATGTGGGGAAACAGGAACACTTTTACACTGTTGGTGGGACTGTAATCTAGTTCAACCATTGTGGAAGTCGGTGTGGCGATTCCTCAGGGATCTGGAACTAGAAATACCATTTGACCCAGCCATCCCATTACTGGGTATATAACCAAAGGATTATAAATCATGCTGCTATAAAGACACATACACACGTATGTTTATTGTGGCACTATTCACAATAGCAAAGACTTGGAACCAACCCAAATGTCCAACAATGATAGACTGGATTAAGAAAATGTGGCATATATACACCATAGAATACTATGCAGCCATAAAAAATGATGAGTTCATGTCCTTTGTAGGGACATGGATGAAGCTGGAAACTATCATTCTCTGCAAACTATCGCAAGGACAAAAAACCAAACACTGCATGTTCTCACTCATAGGTGGGAATTGAACAATGAGAACACGTGGACACAGGAAGGGGAACATCACACACTGGGGCCTGTTGTGGGGTTGGGGGAGGGGGGAGGGATACCATTAGGAGATATACCTAATGCTAAATGACGAGTTAATGGGTGCAGCACACCAACATGGCACATGCATACATATGTAACAAACCCACACTTTGTGCACACGTACCCTGAAACTTAGAGTATAAGAATAATAAAAAAAATTAAAAAGTTGATATAGAAAAAGTTTACAGTAAGCCAAGGCTAATTTATTATTGAAGAAAGAAAAATATTTTTAATAAATTAAGTCTAAGCATACAGTGTTTATAAAGTCTACAGCAGTGTACAGTGTTGTCATAGGCCTTCACATTTACTCACCACTCACTCTCTGACTTACCCAAAGCAGCTTCCAGTCTTGCAAGCTCCATTCATGGTGAGTGCCCTATACAGGTATACAGTTTTTTATTTTTATACTGTATTTTTTACTGTATCTTTTCTATGTTAGATGTGTTTAGATACACAAATACTTACAATTGTGTGACAATTGTCCACAATATTCAGTACAGTAACATGCTGTGCAGGTTTGTAGCCTAGGAGCAATAGGCTATGCTATCAATATAACCTACCTGCAGAATACAAGATACCATCTAGGTTTGTGGAAGTATATTCTCTGATGTTGGCACAATAATGAAATGGCCTACTGATGCATTTCTCAGGATGTACCCCCATCGTTAAGTGACACATGACTGTATAAAGATTTTTTTCTCATAAAAGTTAAATGTATGAGTATATATATAAAGCATATTGATATATGCCATACTCACGTGTATATATATAATACTTCTGAAAGATGACTAAACTTACAGAGATGTAGAAATCCACCAGACATCAAGTCTGTGACCCAAATTCTAAGCAGATCTTTTAAAAGCAGGCTACTGTTACAAGAATTTGAAAAAATTCAAACGTAAAAGATTTTCTCCGGCCGTTGTTTCCTATATGCCGCCCAAAAATACCTCAAAGAAGCTGGGCACGATTGCTCACACATGTAATCCCAGCACGTTGAGAGGCCAAGGAAAGTGGATCACCTGAGGTGAGGAGTTCGAGACCAGCCTGGCCAACATGTTGAAAGCCCGTCTACTAAAAATACAAAAATTAGCTGGGCATGGTGGTGGGTGCCTGTAATCCCAGCTACTTGGGAGGCTGAGGCAGGGGAATCACTTGAACCTGGGAAGCAGAGGTTGTAGTGAGCTGAGGTCACGTCACTGCACTCCAGCCTGGGAGACAGAGCAAGAAAAAAAACCTCAAAGAAGTTGTAAGAAAGGATAGAGACTGGAACAATGAAGGGCTGAACCATCCATTGGACATACAAATTATCTAATCTTCTCTATTTTTTCTATCTAGGTATTAACTCCAGTGGCCATAGAGTGAACATTGCTCATCAAAATGTGTGATGTATCTCTGCTTCCAAAAACAGTAATAGATTTCTTAAACTGATACATTAAATAAAAAGATAATATTAAGAATAATCAAAGTAAATGGTGATAACACATATGTACATACATGCATACAAAAAATGAGGGAGGGGGAAAAGGAAAAAACAATGAGGGGTCTTCTTTACAGAAAAATGCCAGATAATAAATGTAGAAGTAATAGATTTAGAAAAATCACCATTGAGTGAAGTTTTTGAAGAACAATATAGTCCTATGATCTCAAGGCATCATCTCACAGACTACTTTTTATTTACAAGGGCAACGGGTACTTTTATTGCAAAGGTCTATTGTACATCACGTAACTAAATGACCAACTGTTTATCATCAGTAATGGTCCAGATATCATGTGCCTCCTAATGAGATGCAACAGGAGTGCACAAATGGGAAGTGGGACATTCTATGAGACGACAAATCCACACTCCAAAAAATGTCAATGGCATGAAAGTGAACAAACAAACAGAGGTGATTAAAATTCCTCAACAGGAAAACACGTTGCATGACTTTCATTAGATCTTGAATTTAAAATATATATATATATATATATTTGGGACTTTCTCTTTAATAATTGGGGAAACTTGGCTGGGTTCAGTGGCTCACACCTGTAATCCCAGCACTTTGGGAGGCTGAGGCGAGCGGATCTTTTGAGGTCAGGGGTTCTAAACCAGCCTGGCCAACATGGTGAAATGCTGCCTCTACTAAAAATACAAAAATGAGCCGAGTGTGGTGGTGGCCACCTATAATCCCAGCTACTCAGGAGACTGAAGCAGGAGAATTGCTTGAGCCTGGGAGACAGAGGTTGCAGGGAGCAGAGATCGCACCATTGCAGTCCAGCCTAGGTGACAGAGCAAGATTCTGTCTCAATAATAATAGGGGAAACTTGAATATGCACTGTATATTTGATTATATTGTTGAATCAATGTTAAACTTGTTGGGCATACTAATATCGTGATTATGTAAGTGAAAACTCTTGTTCTTAGAGACACATGCTGAGTTATTTAGAAATGAACTGTTATAATATCTGCAGCTTATTTTCAAATAGTTCAGGAAAGTGTGTGTGGGGAATACACAAACATACACCTATATATACACATAGAGAGAAATAAAGCAAAAGTGACAAAATGATATCTGGAAACTGGGTAAAAAATTTAATGGTGTTTATTAGACTATTCTTTCAAGCTTTGTAGCTTTGAAATTTTTTCACAATAAATTATGGAAGAAAAAGAACTGAAGGGAAATAGAAGGGAAGTGGTTGATCTGAAAGATTTTCCAGATCATTCCATGCAGAAGATGGCTCCTGAAGGAGTTATGAACAAGCCACCCCAAGATATGCTGCTCCAGCATATTGACTATTTTCAACTAAAGGTACTTAAGGAAAAAAAAAAAAAACACCAGATGCAGGAAGATCACTCTGACCTTCATTCTACTTTTTAAAAGCAGGAAATAAATTTCCCATGTGAAAAAATGTTCTCCCTATACCAGAAGGAAAGCATCATTCTTATCAAGGATGGGAAGTTGAGGCCAAGGGAAATCTTTACAGATAAATTTGGTTAAATTAACCCTTACCTTCCTAGTCAGTTCTCTACCCAGTTAACTACCCTAGCCCAAGCCCCTCTGTCATACCACATCTCACAATTTGCTATTCTTTGTCCAATTCAGTATGTAAGTGATAGACTCTAACTGCTTCTCTGAGTCTTCACTTCTTTATGAGAGCTCCTGTACCACCTAAAACTGTAATTAAATAAATTTTTGTGCTTTTTTCCTGTTAATCTGTCTTGTGTCAACTTAATCTTCCAGCCCAACTGGGACCCTAAGAGGATGGAAGTGGAGTTATTGCCTCCCCCATGTGCGTATTATATCATTTCAGTGCTACATGAAAAGCAAAATAAACATATATTATCAAATATATATGATATAATTATCTCTAGAGAAAATGTTCAAATGGATTAAATAATTAAATGCAGTTGATAGTTAAAATCATCTGGAAGTAGCATGGTATATAGATTCTGGAGCCTTATAACGATGAATTTTAATCTCAATTTTGCCAGTTACTAGCTGTGTGATCTTGGACATGACACTTTTCATTAATTTGACATTTCTTGGATTTCTCTTCTGTAAAACAAAGATGATCATACTTAACTCATATAGCTGCTCTGACAGTTAAATGGTATAATGCTGCAGATCAGTGCTTCTCAAACTTGTTGCATCACAGTCTCCTGGAAGACTCGTCCCCACCTCCAGAGTTTCTAACTCAGTAGGTTTGGTGTGGGGCCTGAGAATGCATTTTCAAGTTACCAGTTGACTCTCATGCTATTGGTCTAGGGATCACACTTTTTAAATTATTGCTATAAATATTCAGATCAAAAATGTGCACACTCTGACAGTGGCAACACAGAGATAAAGCTGGCTCACTACTTTTCCGAGTGACATTTATTAGCTTGAGTATACTCTTTCACCATTATATTGTCACTTGAACATGTTTTCTTTAGCTGAAAGATCCTCATCATTCTCATCTCTGCCCTGAGACCGAACACACATAAATCTCTCATTAGCCAGGAACTGAATACAACATGGAAGCTTCGTTGACTTAGATCCACCACTGTCTGTTTTTTGGAGTAGTTGTCAAATATTTCTAAAATATATGTAAAATAAACTTAGACTGAGAAAGAGAAGCAATTCCACGGAACATAAAATCCCTGTTAATAGTGCATATAAATACTACTCCGGTCGGTAAGTGAAGTCTGTGTCTTACAACTCACTCAACAGCCCAGGCTGATGAATTTCCATCAGCAGTTTCAACCCTCTCTAGGTTCCAATCCCATGAGAGCACCTGGCAGTGTATTTGGAAGTGAATGAGCTCTGTGATCGGTCTGTTACATCAATGACTGTGTGTAGGAGGTTCAGAGTGAATTACGCTTTGTGGTACCTCCATGAGCATCTAGCATTAATCCTAGAGGTTTCTTCTCTGATTCCTAATTTTCATCTATGTTTGCGGCTGGACAAAAAGTACAGACCTGACCCTCAGCCTGGGGGACCCTTCTAACCCTACTCCCAGGGCATGGCCTCAGGGATGGTCAGAGAAATCAAATTCCTTAGTCCTGGACAATGTGAACCAGAAGAAAGCTCTTTACCTTAAATCCCATGTGCCCCAGCTTTTACCCCTCTTCTCATGCCACCATACAGAACACTTTCAATCTTGCTCTGTACTCTGACTTGGATTTTGGGACCTCAACCCTTCCTGGATGTTTATCAGAAGAATAGCGTACCAGATTGTAAACAGCATGGGCTCTGGACACCCAAAGACAAGTTAGAATCCTAGATTAATTATCAGCTAGGATTGGAGGTCCTTGACCAAATTACGTAAGGTTAGTATTAACATTACTGAGGTCAAGCCTCAGTTTGCTAATCTGTACAGTGTGAATAACATAATTTGATTCATAACATTAAATAACATAATGCATATGAAAGCACTGAGCTCAATGTCTATAATAGGCATGACATATGTTATATTTTGTAAAATTCTTAGTAATGGGCAAAGATAATAATGACAACTGACAGAGAGGGGATGAGGAAAAGAAACATGCCTATTGGTGAAGTTAAATCTTTAGCTATTTTCTGGCCAGCTTCTGGTCTGCTTTCATTCCTCTATCTCAAACTCTCACCATGCCTCATAGCCCAGTCAGACTTTACAAAGGAAATAAAAACCCCCTTCAATGGCTGTCCTAAATCCTAAGATCTACTAATGAGCATTCCGCTCTTCCCATGTTAGAAAAGACTTTTATTAAAGTGTAATGGAGACAATTACTATGCCTTATGGGGTTTTATAATTGTAGATATGTTCCCAATTTCTTCAGGGCCATGAGTCTGGAGGTTGGAAACATTGCCTCTAATAAGGCTAGATCACACAGTACTCTATCTTCCAATCTCATGAGATGGGATCCTTACTGGGAGATAGTATGCAGCACATGAAAGAGCAATGGGTTAGATGTTAGGCCAGGTGGATTTCACCATGCTCTCTCACCAATAACTAGTAATAGTTGTGTGGCCTTGGACATTATCTGGGGGGGGTCTTCACTTTCCTCATGTGTAAAATATATACCCTGTAGGCTCTCTTTTATCTTTCAGAAATTATGGTTGACTCTGTTTTAACTTGGGCCCTGGCTTAGCCTTCCAACCTGGAAGAAGAATCATGATTGATACTGATTTGTCACGTTTACTGTTCAATTCATGAAAGTCCTGACATGCACCAAGAAGCTGGCATCAAGTGTCAGGTCATCATTATGATGAACTATCTTAAATAGAGAACAGAAGAAAATAATGCTGTATTGAGGTGAGTGAGTTTTATGGAAATGTCAAAAATATCAAGGATATACATATATTGTATTGACATTTCTATAGCTCCATTGATGCCTTAAAGAATAAAAATATATGCTTTTAAACTTTAAAAAAGCTACAATCAAGTAGCTTTTGCATGGCATGATTTGATTCTTAAAGAATGTATGTAGAGTTGTGAACACCAAGGTAATGATGGTGTTTACCACTCAATGAGGGTTATAAATTTCTAAGTTTCTATTATTTTCTTTGATTATCAATATTTTCTAGCTTTCTAACATGTGCACATATTGCTTTTGTAATAATAAAACACTTTATTCTGAACCCAACTTCACTCACTCTCTGGCAGTCTTTTACAATTTCTCTGTCTGGAAAATAATTCGGAATACTACTCCTCAAATATTTTTATGGATAAAAAAGAAGAAAAACAAATTACAGATCCCTAGCATGTCTTCCAAGCCAAAGACATTTTTCCATTAAACTCTGTCTCCATCTTTCAAACTCCCTTATTGATTTGCTCTTAGGTTACTATTCCTATCTGTGTGACTGTTTCTCATCAAGAAGCAGCATGTGCTCAACCTGCCATAAAACAGGATGGCAGGTTTCAGAGCTCAGATTCGCCTGCTTTTCCTGAAATCAGTTATGAAGGTTTTACACAGAGTTCTTCTTAACAGCCTGAGGGAGATAGTACAGCACAGTTGAGAGCATGGATTCAAACCCTATTCTAGATTGAATCATGACTCTGCTATTTGCAAGCTGTACAACCTTGAACCCTTTATGTGACCTCTCATATCCTCAGTTTTCCCATCTGTAAAGTGAGTGTAAAAATACCCACCTTAAAATGTTGTCAGGACTACATGAGACCTTTTCTGTAAAGAGGCAGAGCTCAATGCCTGGAAATTAACCATTGCTTATTGGAACATTTGATGGCTTGATAAATTTAGCTACAATTAATTCTTTAAAAAAATTAAGCCTATTCTCAAATAACTTCAGAAAACTAGTCAACTTACCGCAAAATTTCATCTCATCCCCATTAGATTTTCTTATTTCCAAGAAAAATAAATACACTTGAAGAATATTTTAGGAAATCTTTCTGCTTTGACTTTATTATATCAAAACTCTACCTACACAGTTTCTCAATTTGAAAATCCTTTAAATGCTCAAATGAGCAAATTTCTATTTCTTTATAAAATGATTATTATTTTTCAAAGGTAGAATTAGTATCTAACCAATCTAACTATGTGAACACAGAAATTTTATGAGCTGGAAGGAAATTAAGAAGTAGCCATATTAACAAGACATGGTGGTGCACACCTGTAATCCCAGTTTCTCCGGAGGCTGAGGCATGAGAATTGCTTGAACCAAGAGGTGGAGATTCCAGTGAACTGAAATTACGCCACTGCACTCCAGCCGGATGACAGAAGAAGACTCTGTCTCAAAGAATAAAAAAAGAAGTAGCCATGACTTTTCTATTCAAATAGCTGATTATTAATAAAAATCCATGTTTTCATATTCTAGAAAACTATTTTTGAAGTTACTAACACTAAAACAAAAAGAAATATTATTCTATTTAATATTGAAAAGGAACAATACAGGGTCTGTTAGTGTATAAGCATAATCTTCCTTAATTTTGAAACTATACTGATGGCAACTGAATGCGGAGTTCACTATTAAATGAGAGTGAAGGAATGTTGACAGGATCATCCCCATTTTCCCTAATATTTTCTTTATTTACTTATTAATTTTTTGTTCTCAGAGTAAATGATTCTCGTGGTTACTCTTGTCAGTAATATACTAACTCTGCTATGTGAATGGGAAAAGCACTTTAGCCCATCTTTTAATGTGGTTTATAATAGCAACTACTTCATAGAGACATTGTGAGAATTAGATGAGAAAATATATAAATCATTGAGTAGAACCTGAATATAAAGTTCTTATATAATATTATCATTATTTTTATTACTGCAGATACAGGAGTGTTAAAGAAGTTAACTGCTCAAGTTTTTCTTTCTTAAAGAAGACTATATCAGAATAGATTAAGTTCACATGAGAATAGCCACTTTCAAAGTTCATTCACTGACAAATTAATTCCTTTAGCTACTCCATGCCTAGCTTAGGAGAAAGCCTCTTCAATTCCCCTACTTCAATTCTGCCCACTAAGGGAATTACATTCACTTGGTTGGATGCAGCCATTCACAGAGTGAACACTTAGGAATTTTTTTCTTTTTCATGATGAAACCATTTAAACATATAAAGGAGTACAGAAGATAATGTGAAAGACACCTGTAGGTATAACATTGTTAAAATGCTAAGATTAAACCCATGTTAATATTTGGCTTTCTTTGCTTTAATTTGCTCACTTTGTCTTCTTAAAAATGAAATGTCACAGGTACATCATATCTTCAACCTACCATCGTCCTTCCCAGAGGTAACCATTATTCTAAAGCTGGTGTGCATTATTTTCATGGACAGTTTTGTACATTTATTATGTATGTAGCATCCATAAATAAAACTATGTTTAACATTTAAATGAATGTATTATACTTTAAGATTCCTTTCAACTTTTTTAAAAACTCAGCATTGCATTTTTTAATCATGTTTATTCATGTAGATCTGGATCATTCATTATAAAACTTGCATTGTAATTGTCTGAATAAACCATGATTTATATATTTATTCATTGTTAAGTGGATTGTTTCCCTTGTTACGAACTTGCTCAAATAATTTCTCTCTGCAAAAGTACCTTGGTTTTTCTAGGGTAGAGAAATCCAAGAGTGAGATGGTAAGGTGTGTACATCTTTTAATTTGCAAGATACTCCCAAATTGCTCTCCAAAATGGTGAAACCAATTCACACTCCAATGAACATGTATATGGTTTCATCTTCTCCCACATCCTCACTAATGCTTGGTGTCATTATATACATTGAATTTTTCCAACTTGTTATTAATATATATTTTTCACATCTTCCTGAATTATCTGCCAATTCAATTATTTCTAGGAATCTCATAATATCATTTTCTGGAAAAAACCTCTTTGTAAATATCAGGAGAAAGAGCAAACGAACACATAATCTAAGAAATCAGTAATTCATGAAGGATGTCTTCTTTTCTCCTCTTTTTTTTTTTTTTAATTTGAGACAGAGTTTCACTCTGTCACCAGGCTGGAGTACAGTGGTGTGATCTCGGCTCACTGCAACCTTTGCTCCCGAGTTCAAGCGATTCTCCTGCCTCAGCCTCCCAAGTAGCTGGGACTACATACAGGTGCATGCCACCAGGCCCAGCTAATTTTTTTCCTTTTCTTTTTTTTTTTTCTTTTGTATTTTAGTACAGACGGGGTTTCACCATGTTGGCCAGGATGGTCTCGATCTCCTGACCTCGTGATCTGCCCGCCTTGCCTCCCAAAGTGCTGGGATTACAGGCGTGAGCCACTGCGCCCCACCAGGATGTTTTCTTAAATAAAAAGACAAAATCAAAGAACAAAGGGGATGAATCCACATATGAAAGCATATAAATGAATTAAAAATCATGTTCTTATGAGATAATCCAAGGCAAACCAAATTAAAGAAATCTTAAAATTCAACTCCTGCTCTAAAGTTTTTGGTTAACTGGATTGTACTCATTCCTTAATAAATCAGAAATGCTGGAATTCCCTCTGTATCTTTAAGAAGTAGAAGAGAAATATATAAAGACTTCATAGAAATTAATAAATATTGCCTGTTGAGATCTCATTTTCATATTCCACTTATCTAGCAAAACAAGACTGGTTCAATAATTTATACATGGTTTGAGGATAAATTAATGAGCTCTGCGTATGAAGTTGCTTTTATGTAAAGCGAAATGAACCCAACTCTTTCATATTACAAATGTGCTTGTTACTGAGTTTTAACAAAAATAAAAACTACAGTGCTCCTATGAATGTAAATGCCAATATTATTTCACACGAGGGAATACTAAACACAATAATAAGCTATCTCACATTCTTGCCTACCAATATTGTACTCATCTTCAGATATAATAATAAGGAATAGCATAACTCTGATAAACATAACTTTTAAGATTTAAAATTTATGTTTTTGTTTTGTCATTTTTGCTATTCTATTCTTGGTTATACTTTCTACCACTGAAAATTGACAATATTCAGTTGTGTAAACTGTGTCTTTGTTCGGTCTAATTATTGGTGTGTATTCTAGGTAGCCTTACAACAAAATACATGGAAACTTCTAGAATTTATGTCTATACAGACACAGAAAAATAAAACTGATGCTTGTTACTGACATATATCTCTTTTTTTCCACTTTAAAAAGGTTCATTTTAATGTATTTCATAATGGTCTTTCTATGCATAATTTTTACATATGTGGAAGCATTTTTAAAAACAAAACAAAATGGTGTTGCCTCTACATGCTGTTGTTATAACTCACTTTTTTCACTCAGCAGCAAAGTGTACTGATACATATTCTAAGGCAGCCATGAAGCTGCTTTGATCTTGATCTTAATAAGACTCTCTCTATAGACTATTAAAATAATTTTCCAGAGATCTATTACTTTCATATTGGATAGAAGTACATTGCATGTCCTTTAATTTTCGTAGCTTCTTTCAAAGGGAAGGTAGAGGAAAGGCTGCTTTGATTTAAGGGCCTTTTTAATTGACAACACTTGATCACTTGGTGTTTAATAGTCAATGATTCAACTAAAGCTATATTTGTAAGTGCAATAATATATGAAGAAATGATTTTTTAAAGCCAAAGTGTGCATAGCATTAATAAAGCAATGCAATGATATTAGTTATTCATTTTGAAAACAATATTGCAATTACATGTCTTCTAATGAAAAAATTCACAGACAAAATGGTTATAAGCTTGTCTAAAGTGAAATTGTATAACTAGTAAAAGAAAATAGAACCAACACCACAGATTATATTCCTAGGTGCATGCAGCTCACATAACAATTAAACAAGATATAGCGGAAGACAAGAAATAATCAAAATCAGAGATAAACTGAAGGATATCAGGACACACACACAAACAAAAAATTCAAAAGGTCAATGAATCCAGGAGTTGGTTTTTTAATAAGATAGGCTGCTAGCTAGATTAATAGGAGAAAGGAGAGAAGATCCAAATAAACACAATCAGAAACAACAAAGGGGATGTTACCACTGAGACCACAGAAATAAAAATAACTATCAGAGGCTACTACAAAAACCTCTATGAGCACAAACTAGAAAACCTAGAAGAGATGGATAAATTGCTGGACACAGACACCCTCCCAAGACTGAACCAGGAGGAAATTGATTCCCTGAACAGATCAATAACCATCTCTGGAAGTTGAATTAGTAATAGTCTACCAACCAAAAAATGTCCAGGACCAGATGAATTTACAGCTGAGTTATACCAGATGTACAAAGAAGAGTTGGTACCATTTCTACTGAAACTATTCCAAAAAATTGAGATGGAGGCATTCCTTCCTAACCCATTCTATGAGCTCAGCATCATCCTGATACTAAAACTTGGCGGAGACAAAAGAAAAAAAGAAGATTTCAGGCCAATATCCTTGATGAACATTGATGCAAAAATCCTCAACAGAATACTTGCAAACTGAATCCAGCAGCACATCAAAAGGCTAACCCACCGCAATTGAGTAGGCTTTATCCCTGGGGGACAAGGTTGTTTCAAAATATGCAAATCAATACATGTGATTCATCATATAAATAGAACTAAAGAAAAATGACATGGATCATCTCAATAGATGCAGAAAGGCTTTCAATAATATTCAACATCTCCTCATGTTCAACCCCCTCAATAAACTAGGTATTGAAGGAACATACCTCAAAATAATAAGAGCCATATATGACAAACCCACAGACAACAACATACTAAATGAGAAAAAGCTGGAAGCATTGCCCTTGAAAACTGACACAAGACAAGGATGCCCTCTCTCACCACTCCTATTCAACAGAGTAATTGGAAGTCCTGGCCAGAGCAATAAGCCAAAAGAAAGAAATAAATGGTATCCAAATAGGAAGAACAGAAGTCAAACTATCCCTGTTTGCAGAGGACATGATTCTATATCTAAGGGATAAGAACTGAAGGATAAGAAAATGATTTTTGAAATGGATAAAACATCCCTAAATCCCATAGGTACATTCTAGTGGGAAAGGGCATCTCCTATAATAAATATGCCGATGCAGATCTTTAAGGAATTTATATAAACTGCTACCAGGAACCACTAAGAATCGGACAACTTAATATCTTTATAAAGCAAAAAGTGACTATTGTTAATTCTACCTTGAGTGATAGCTAGACTCAACATGCCCACCTTTTCAAGTTGATCTTTCCGAAATAAACACACATTGTTTATTACAGTCTGTCTCATAATTTTGCTCAGCTAGGCCTACCTTATTTATTCATGTTATAGTTATCTAGTTCTATTCATTTGTAAATATTTAAAAAATACTCTTCTAATCATAAATCACTGGGGTCCTTCTTTGTGTTCTTCTGAGCCCAGCCCTCACAGCTCTGAGGTGACCAGGCTCTTCAGTCATCCTTACAAACCACTGAAGCTGGGAATAAATCTGAGGGCAGAGATAAAATTTCTCAGCAAAACTCTGCAAAATTTAATTAAGAGCCACTTCACATCTTCACCTTAAAAACAAACAATGGCTAGGATGTCATATCATTCAACTTTCTTCTCATTTCTAGGTGGCCTCTCATTTTTCAGATATTTATATTAAGGCATCTGCCCTAGAATGCAATTATTCTCCAAAAAGATAAGGTTATTCAAAAGGTAAAGTGAAAGTAAGTCTTCTGCAAGGACTGTTTCGTGACAAATCCTTAATGATTATTTTTTAAAATAAAATAACTTTTCTAACTCTAGCTTTATTTGTGTTAGGCTGGGGTTCATCATCCTGCACCATTCTATAAAGTTACATAACATTCATTTACCAATTTAATTAACTTTCCCAAATAAAAATTAGTTTAAGTTTCCACATGTCAAATTACCAGAATATCCAATATATCACTGAGGAACTTTCTCTCCTAAGTGGTGTAAGAACCCATGAAAGTGACTCAGGTCAAAGAAGCCAGCAGTATTTCACCACTAGACACTGTCAGTTGCTATGCCAACAGCCTTTATCCATTTCCCCACCTCTTCCTTCTAACAGAAACTTGATTTTGTTAATTGGCCTCCAAGTAGCTATTACATTGGTGCAAAAGTAATTGAGGTCTTTGCAATTAAAAAAAGGCAAAAACAAACCACTTTTGAAAAAAATCATAACTGAGGAAATTATGTCAGGGAGAGAGATCAGACCTAACCGACCCCATCTTCCTTCGAACCTCTAAACCGTCCTTGTTCATTCGTGGGTGTAGGCTGAACTGGCCATGGGAAGGAATTTAGCTTATAGTTTAAACTCTGAAACAAAATGGATAATAGCCATTTCCTGAAAAACCCCTTCTTCCCTGGGGACCAGTCTGCCTTTGTAGGACTAACAAATCAGCTACAAGATTAGGTATCATGGTTTAGGGGCTATGCAGCCTCTGACTGAAAGAGTCTGAACCTCCCCAAGTTGCTCCTGGGACTAAAATCACTGTTGTAAAACCTAAGATCAGTGCTTGAAATATTTTGCAGACCCTGCAGCAGATGACACCACTCAGACTGTGAATCTGGCTCAACCAGTTCTGTGATCCCACCCCAAAGTCAGCAAGAGGAACTTACTTCGATCCCCTATGATTTTATCTTCAACCTGACCAATCAGCACTTCCCACTTTTGGAGCCCATACCCACCAAATTATCCCTAAAGACTCTAATGTCCGAATGCTCGTATAGACTGATTTGAGTAATAATAAAACTCCAGTCTCCCGCACAGCTGGCTTTGCGTGAATTATTCTTTCACCATTGCAATTCCCTTGTCTTGACAAATCGGCTCTGCCTAGGCCGTGGTCAAGGTGATCTCACTGGGCAGTTACAAAACCACAATTACTTTTGCACCAACCTAATATTTCCTTCTGGGAAGACAGGACCCATCTCCATCCCCAGCAGTGACTCCTGATTGGCCAGAGCCAGCCATGGTTATTTATCCCCCTTGGCAAACATTTAGTTTGGTGTGGACACTGACCAAATTCTGTCTGATGAGACATAAGAAGTAGGCTGAGGAACTTCAAAACATTTTTCTTCTCTCAAAAAAGACCAGGACGGAAACATTTCTTTATTTTCCCTCTCTCTTCACATTAGTATGAAAGGATATGATGTCTGAAGCTGCCACAAGCATCAAGCAACTATGAAGTAGAAAAATGGCAAGACCCTCAATTTCTGATGACTTTGTTGAACCTCAATTTCTGATGACTTTGTTGAATTCAACTTTGTTGAATTTCTGTTGACTTTGTTGAACTGAATTAGCCACTTCTGGAATAGTCCTATCTTCCAGGATTCTGATTGTATGAGTGAATCAACTAAGGAATGTATTCTGTTAGAAGTAATAGAAAATCCAACTTGCAGAGGTTTAAAGAAAGATTTTTTATATTTCTCTTGCAACACAAAGCCCAAAGACAGGTACAGAGTAGGCTTGGAAGATGACTGCCATTGGATAAGGTAGAAGGTGCCTATGTAAAACTATGTAGCAATATTGAAAAAAAATGTAAGTTTAGAATAGGAAACTAAATGTGAGGGCATGAGAATTGACCTAAAGTTTTGTCTACAGTGATGACTTGGGCTATGTTTAAGGTTTTGTTTATTTCCATTTACTACTGAACAGCCAAGAAAGCAATGCAACAGATCAACCTGAGATCAAAGAAACAAGTGAGTCAATATAGCTCTCCATGACAGTCCAGTTTCTCACAGAAGTGTACTCAAAGTTATCTGTAATTTAATAGAGTGGGGAATTGATCACATCAGAAAAGGCCAGAATCATGAGCTTCCTGACTCATATACTGTTAATCTAAGAAGCAGCAGTTCAGGAATCAAGGATCTACCCTGTTACCAGAAGAGAAAAAAAGTTCTACCTCTCCTCAAAATCTTTCTAGACCTAATTCTGTGACCACCTCATGGCTTATACAGGATTTTAGAACTATGTTGACAAAAGACAAGACTAGATTTGAATAAATAGATAGAAAATAAGAAAGCGGATACACAACACCAGGTCCTTGGAACTATATTCCTGAGTTGAGGAGACTAAACAGCCAAGTCAGAGTGGTCTGCTAGATTTTCCTATGATCTATTGTAGAATAATCTTTGATGGTGATAAAAGAAAAACTTCAGCTGAATTAAATTTATAAGAGTTTAATTGAGCAATGAATGATTTGTGAATCGGGCAGCCCCCAGAACCACAGCAGATTCCCAGAGACTCCAGGGGTATCTCGTGGTCAGAATAAACTCATAGACAAAAAAGGTAAAGTGACATACAGGAATCAGAAGTGAGGTACAGAAACAGTGAGATTGGTTACAGCTCGACTTTTGCCTTTTTTGAACGTAGTTTGAACATTCAGCCTCTATGAGTAGTTGAAGTATGGCCGCTGGGATTGGCCAACACTCAGCCACTGTTATAGGTGCATACTATTACGTTAGATTTTCAATTTTGTCTCACTATTAAGCTAGGTTACAGTTCATCCACAAGGATTCAAATATAGAAGTATGGAGTCCTTCTCAGGCCATATTTAGTTGGCTTTAACAATTCCCCCTTTTAGACATTTTCTCAATTTTGAGAGATTGGCCAAAATCTTAGTCACTGATGTTACTATCTCTTTTGTAAATGTACTTATTTGATTTTGAAACCCACTGAAAAACAATAGAACAGTGGGTTTTGCAAGGAGGCACCAAGGACTGAATAGAGGGTACTTCCTTATGCTGGAACATCCTGTTTACAGGAGAAAAACAAAACCTGATCTGTTCTAGGATCTGTGTTTTCTTAAAGCCTTAGTTTGATTGTGTCACATTTAGCATGAGTGACTCCATTTTAGTTTGGTTCAGTTTGTTGGGGCCTAGTGCATGAGCTCAGTCCAAAATAATGGCCTCCCATAATTTTGTTTAAAAAAAATTCCACTTTTTGGCCAGGTTTCACTTTAGTGAGAGTGTAACCAATACTTAGGGCCTTAGCACCACTCTCAGTTATCATCATTTTGGGTTTTTGATCTCAGCATGTCATTCATAGGTTACGGTGTCCTCATGGTTGCACATTTCTTTCAGCTTTTGTCATTCCAGTTGAAGAGAGATCACTTGATGTTCTAGAGATGGCTGCATGCAAACATTTAAAACCTTTGAGAGAATACAGTGTACCAGGGAGAATATTATTATGACTATTGGGAGGATAATACCAAGAGTTTGGAGTATGGTCCTTACCCAAGGTCCCCATAAACCAAACCGTGTAAAATTAAATACATTTAATAATGAGCTGGATGAAGAGTCTACTCACTTGACTAAGTGGTCTTTTCATTAATACCCTACAACTGAATTTTAATAATCTACATTTGATGTATTTCTCCATAGGCCACAAGTGTCAGCAGCTGCACAGGTACTTTTCTGTTTAGCCACATCTATTAACTTAGTATAACTTCCACAAGAGAATTTAAAGTCTGTGTGTAACGATAGCTTTTAAAGCAGAATTTGCTGTAGAGCCTATTATGAGGGTGACAATTCTAATTATTGCCTTTTATTCTAAACCATGGAAAAAGGACCCAAAAAATGATGTCCTGCTAGAAGAGTGAAGGCCTCCTGGCAATGGTCTCTTTAATCCCCAAAGAGGAGTTTTGAGTGATTATGAGGCAACATATTTACCACCAAAGTTTCTCACCTACACTTCACCTTCATCTTTTATCTATTAAAGTATAAGTTTATTCATGTATAAGGCTGACTGCAAAATCCTTCACAAATAAAACTATACCCTATAAGTGCACACAATAGACCCCTTTTCATTCCTATTGTTCATAGAAGCATAAATAAGGAAAAAATATTTAAAGATAAGAGTCTTGTGATAGTAGAAGTCATGATCTGTAAACTTGGGAAAAGCTGTTTGAATCAAGGATGTCATCTTCTTCTGGGGAGAAACTTTCCTGGTTAGTTTTACCTTAAAAGTTCCAATGGGTGTACAGTTCCAGGAGGGTGGAGGGACCCTTCTCAGTTGTGAGATTATGAACCCAAAGCTCAAGTCTCCAAAGTTTTGCTGAAGTGTGGTTGGGAAGGACAGTCTTTCTCTAATGTTCTCAGAAGATCCAATCTTAGGGCTCTAGCTTGTGAAGGGATTGCCCTCAGTGAAACATAAAAAGCTCTCTTTACCTGGTAAAAATACACTGTAGTATAATAATCTACTGTTATAACAACAGCCCTCTTGCATGGGAAAGCTGTTATGCTACCAGAAAACATGCATTGAAAATGATAATTGAATGAAATCCCTTTATAAATGTTTAAATGGCCCATCAGGTAGACAAACGTACCTGAAGCTTTGATTGTCTTCCCAGGAAAATGGAACCAAATATTGGTTTTAAACTAGCTCCAAATTTATGAGTCACCACATCAATATATTCTATTTGGATTATTTTATATTTTCCATGCTGAGTCATGGAATGCAGAGCCTTTAATAACAAAAGCTTTAAGGACTCAGGAAGGACAAGATGGCTGTCCTGGTTCTTCATGAGTCCATGCTTAACATTGGACTTATGTCCTCTTGAATACTAGTTGTTCCTCCAATTTAGGTGCATAGCACTGATAACTTACATGTTATCAGAGGTAATTTGACTTAGACCATGGAGTTTATTCAAATTGTATATTTAAACAATTTTAGTATTGGCTGATTTAGCATGATAATCTAGAGCTTGATTTTGAATCGTTTATTAAATACTAAAGATTTAAAACATTGGATATTACAAAATAGAATCTTAGGTTACCATAAGTCATCCATTTAGCCAAAATGATAACTCAAAAATTTTTTAAAGGAAAAAACATTATTCTGATAGAGAGTAGACTCAGCTTTCTAAATAAGACCCAGTGGAGATAGCAGGAAGCCAACTGACTCTGTCTCCTTTCTTTCACTTCCTCTCTTTTTCTTTTGTAGTTTACTTAAAAGGTAAACCAAAACCTTTCATAATCTTTTAATATCACATAAAAATCCTTTTTAAAAGAGAAAACCAAATTTTATGTTTCCATTAGTATATTTTTAATGTTAAAGCTAGTTTTAAGTAATATTTTACAAATCTATTCAGTTTTAATTAGTTTGACCATAAGGTAAGATTTTTATAAACCTTTTATAACCCTTTACAATTTTTTTTCTCAGAGCAGAACAATAGTCTAAGAAAACTCTGTTGTGCTTTGATTCCAATGTCCAATTCATAGAAAAAACTGAATAATGCCATTTTGACTTTAGCCAATATGTTCACGCATAGAACCTTTTACAATTTTTTTAATAAACCTTCCACAACTTTTTCAAACATTTAGCTTTATTTAATTTAAAACAATCCTTTAACCCGCTAATGTAGGCAAAAATTTACATTCCTATACCTTCTTATAATCTCTTACAAAAACACATTTTATTCTCTTTACACACCGTGTATGTAAACTTATTTTTCAGCAGTGTCAATTACATATTACAGTGTTAACTCTTAGAGACTTTAACTTTTGATGAAAACCTTGTTAAGTAAGGGATTTTAATTATGTACTAGGTGTGGAGCCCAGAACCCAGACAGAAATGCAGATAAGGTCTGATTCTTTCCAGCATCTAACTCCACGTGTTCCAGGGCCTACCTAGCTGTAAAGCAGACAAGCTGTACATTTAACAGTCATAGTGGCATTCTATGAAGAATTTAGGCCTAATCACCTTTAAATTGCACATTTCTGGAATAAATCTCTTTTTATAAATTCTTTCACGACTTATGCAGACCATATATGACATGTTTAGACTTCCTGACTTGCCCTAAACATTCCTCTTTCTAAAGACCAATCATTTTACTTTAGGACAAGAATTTACCATACAACATCCTTTCTTATATAAAATCTCTTTTCTTTATAACTTTCTTTGCATAGCTAGGGGGCATGGCTAATTCCATATATCCCCAGGCTTTATTTAGAATTTAATATCTCCAAAATAAATTGAACAATTTTCAAAAGTCAAAGCAGTTTATGATCTTAAAGCATTTAGCAAACCTAATATCTGACCTGCATAATTTAGACAAAATATCTTTATTTTATTAATAATCTTAAAAGCTTTTTTTATTTCCCAAAGATTACTAAAGTTACATGAACTAAAAGGCATTATAGTTTTTATTTTGCTTTCAAAATATTAGATTTTGTGCACTTTTGTTTAAGCCAGTTAATTAGAGCTCTTTTACATAAACATTACACACAACACATATACAATTAGACAGAAGGAGATTACTACAGTAGTTGTAAGATTTTTCATTTGCCAGTTTTTCTGTTTCTTAATCGGTTATTGGCTTTAGAGTGGAGCCCTTGGAAGAACAGGGCCAGGAAAGGGGTTTCTGTTGCCTCCCATTTTTCCCAAGGAGTCCAGGCTGTTAAAGCTTGAATATCTTTTAATTAAGCTGACTTTTAACCATAGCACTCTTTAATAAAGTCCCTTAAAATTTTTTTATTACTTGATTTTAGCCAGGCCAAACGGCCATTTCCAGCTTTTGAACTTTACCAAAGGTAAATTCCCAGATGCTCAGAGAAAGGAAAATTTAAGATAATACATAAAGGAGAAGAGACTAGACAAGGTCATGCAGATATTAAACAAAAAAGAACTTGCTTTGTAAGCATGGAATACGAACCTGGACCACTGCTATGAAAGGGCAAAACCTCAGCTACTGAGCTACAGCACAGAGCAGTCTCCACTCCCTTCCCCAGAAGGAATCCAGAGTAGCTAATTTTGAGCTTGCAAAGGCTTTTAACTACTCAAGATAATTTTTAGAGATAACTATGCCATAAACCCTAAAATTCCTGTTCCCTGGAAGACGGAGACCAAGAGAAAGTGTGGTTACAAGGTTAAGCTCTCAAGGACATAAAGCAAGATGGAGATAAACAGTGATTTTTACCATTCATTCAACCATTTGCACAGAGAGAGAGAAGCCCAAAATCTGACTGGTAAGAAATTCTTATCTTTTTGCTGGGATGCCAGGCTTCTGGGTTCCCTTTCCCTGAGTGGCTCTAGTGACTCAGCTTCCTGCAACATCGCGTTGGGGGCCAAGACACATCATAAAGGAAAATTATTTTTTTTCGTTCTGGCCAGAGTAAAATACGTGTGACAAAACACAGACATTAGCCACTCTGCTTAGCACTCAATATCAAATTGGCAAGACTCCAATTTGTCTCTGTTTGGGTCCCATCATCATTAATCCAACCTCCGGCCAGGAGTTTCAACATGTGGTCTCTGGGCAAGATGGTCGCCTTGAGTAATAGAAAAGATAAGGGAAAGGAGAGAGAGAAAAGCATTGCCTGTGGCAGGGTGGGGAAGGCGAAATGATCAGGGAGGCCAGAGAAAGACCCACCCATTGCAGCCACATGGAAAAGTTCAGGCAGCTGCTTCTCAGTAGAAAGGGAATCTTTTCCAGCAGTCTCATCAGCTCTCAAGTTTCCCCTTTTAGGAGGGAAAAAGCTCCCCATGTCCCACAATCCTGTACATGCCTAATCCTGTCACCCACAGCCATCAGCAAAGAGTGCAAGGCAGATTATTCCAAAGACAATAGCAGTTGACCTCCTGTAGTGCCAAATTCATTCTTAGCCAAAAGGGACTTCACCAAGAGCCTTCATTTTTAAATGTACTTCAATGCATTGTTGTTCATTCAGAACATTCCACTGTAAGTTATCTTTAGTAAGATTCTGCCATTTCTGTAAGACTTCGCTGCCTCCCAGGCCTAAAGCATAAACCAGGAGAAACTCAGTTTTCCAGAAATTAAGGATCCCATTTTTACCTACAATATTGGCTTTACTCTCAGATTCTCTTGATTAACTTAGCCAGTGATTTTTTTTCCTACCTAAGTGCACAAGAAAAATTAAATAAAGGGGTGGAACACAAAAATCCCTGTGAATTTTCAAAAGCCAAAGTTTATAACCCCTGCAATATTACAGCTTACTACCAGTTCCTTTCTGACCCAGTCAGATGTAAGAGGCCTCTAACTGGATCCAAGCCAGTTAATTCCTGGATCAAATCTGTTCCCAGACCCAGTCCAGTTTCTGTCACAACTCCAAACCCAGTTTGGATCAGAAATTTGCTCAAAGAAACTCAGAGAGCTCAAAACACAAATCCGTGGAGCCCTGAAATCGGAGAGCGAGCTTACCCATGATCCCCAGTGGCTCTGAGAGATCAATGGACACAAGTGGGTCCTGCAGGTACCTTGAGTGTTCATTCAGCACTGCTGGGGGATGCTAGAAGCTGCACTTCAGATCCCGCTTCTGACACCATCTGATAAAAGAAAAACTTCAGCTGAATTAAATTTAAAGGAGTTGAATTGAGCAGTAAACGATTCACAAATTGGGCAGCCCCCAGAATCACAGCAGATTCACAGAGACTCCAGGGGTGCCTCATAGTTGGAACAAATTTATGAACAAAAAAAGGTACAGTGACTTACAGGAATAGGAAGTGAGGTACAGAAACAGTGAGATTGCTTATGGCTTGACATTTGCCTTATTTGGACGCAGTTTGAACATTCAACCTCTGTGAGTGGTTGAAGTATGGCCGCTGGGATTGGCCAACACTCAGCCATTGTTACAGGTGCATACTATTAAGTTAGAGTTTCAATTTTGTCTGACTATTAAGCTAGGTTACAGTCCATTCACAAGAATTCAAATATAGAATTACAGAGTCCTTCTCAGGCCATATTTAGTTTACTATAACAATGGGCATAAAGTCCTCAACATTGGGAAGGGGAAAAAATGGCATATGATAGATATTTAAATTCATGAATCTTAGTCACTCGATACTTTATACATTAAAATTAAAAGAAGCAATGTTTAAGAAAAGAAGTCAAAGTCCTCGTGGCGTTCATGAGCCAAGTGCACGAGGGAACTGATTAGTGATTGAAAGCAGCCTCTTAAACAGCAACTGCTGTCATAAAATCCACAAATACCACAGGAGGTAGGTTATAGAGAGTTTTTAAATGGCTAGATGTGCGTAGAATAGTGTTTAAAAGCAAAAGAATACATTGATAGCTTCAAGTGGCAACTGATAGTAAAGAGAAAATAAAAAATAATTGGTATTAAATATTGTCTGGAGTCATTTAGTGAAAATATTGGTTCTCAAAGTGTGGTTCCTGTGGACCAGCAGCGTTAGCATCACCTGGCAACTTAGAATGCAAATTCTCAACCTTCACCCCAAAACTACTGAATCCGAGCTTCTGGGGTGGAATCCAGAAATCTATGCTCTAACAAGCCCTCCTGTTGATCCTGTGGGATACTCAAGTTTGGAAACCATTGTGGGGATGAGGAGTCCTGACCACAAGGCAGTGTGGTAAGGTGACCAAGACTACCAGCGTTGAAGTAAGACAGCCCTGAGTTTGTATCTCACATCCGGTTCTAGCTATGTGAAGTCAGGCAAGTACTTACACCTTCTAAGTCTATTTATTAGTGTGCCTATCCTAGAGGTTTTTTGCAGGGATTAACCAAGAACATTCATGAAACCATGTTAGCTATTGTTTCATCGTCGGCATCATCTTAGGACTCTCTGAAGGCATGACTATATTCTTTCCCTGAGTATGAAGGCACTGAGTAGTCAATGTTCAATATACTCTATAAAAGATAACAAGAAGATGGGTACCATTTCAGGGTAAGATTTGTATATGAATGGATAAATTAATAATAATAACTTCTATATGCTTACTATATATTTGACATTGTTTTAAATGTTTACATATAATAACTCATTTAATACTATTTAATCCTCTCCATAACCCTGTAAGATAAGGTCTATTATTATCTTCACTCCACAGATGAGGAAATTGAGGCACAAGGGGCTAAGTGCCTGAAGTTACGAAGGTAGAGAGTGATTAAATACAGACAATTTGCCTCAAAGTCTGTGTGCTTAACCACTGTGCTACATCATTTCTCAAAGTTAAAAACAAGTTTTGACATTTAAGGCATAGATTTCAATTGTCTAGAAAAATACACTTACATGGAACATTTCATTCTCCAAGAAATCAGAAAAAAATGAAATATTTTATTCTTATTTCTACTACATGCCCTCTCAGCATCTCTTCCATATGCATTAAATGCATCCAACTGATTCCAAAGAAAAGGTGGTAGCCTGAAAAGCAGGATGACTATTCCCTCTAAAATGGAAGAAGAAATAGAGCCAGGGAGAGCCAGTGAGAAATCCACAGGATGGGAAATTCATTGAGTTGCCCAGTTTCTCATTTTCTCAGTGCAAGGGCATTCCAGGATAACAGGACAAACTATTACCCTCTGGCAGCAGCAATATCTCTGCTATGTCTGAGTCAGATGCTCAGGCAGTTGAATGTACTATGGGGAAATAAGAACAGAGCTCAAGCGCGGCAGACTGCCTTGCTTTGAGTGGCACTCTAGGTGCCTGAGCAAACTGCCTGGATACCTATGACTGGATGAGAGGAAGTAGTTTCCTTGACCTTGCTTGATAGATTTTACTGGCATTTGTCAGGGCTTTTAAAACTTCTCAGTGTTTGAAACAAGAGAGTTTAGACTCCAAGACTGCAAAAAAGGAGGCAGTTTTTTAGACAGAAAGCTGCAAGACAGATCAATTTTACCCTTAACTCATTCAATCTCCAGTTTTTGAATACCTGCCAAGTTCTTTCAGCTTCTTCAAGGTGACCAATCCAAATAATTCACTCACTATTTCAACACTCTCAATTGCCAGTATTTTTAAGACATACAGTGTTGTGATAAGAAAAAAAGAAAAAGAAAACTCTCTCTATACTTCCCAATGCCAGAAAACAATCTAAAATGAAATTGAGAGAATGTGAGATTAGCTTTTCCTCTTATTATTTAAGATGAAATATTCACTGGACCAGGTTTTTGGCAGAATGGAAATTTCAATGTGTGCTTACTCCTCTCGTTAGCTCTTACTGAAAATGCCATCTCATTTCTCACACACGCTCCCTGAACATCTTAGCTAATATGTCTGGAAAAAGACATTCAAAAGGAAATATCTATATTTTACTCTATAATTTTTTCCACTGTCTACTCTGTAAAGAAAAACTAGAAACAATAAGATTTCCTGTAGGTCAGAGTAAAATGTTTCCTTTCACTATTGCTGTACATTTACACCAATCATAAGAGTTTTTCTCAATGAGAAAATTTTCTCCAGCTTTGATATCCAACTTGTGTGCAAAGAATCACTAAAAGTTAAATTACCTTGAGCTTCTCCTGGATATGTAACAATATGAAAGAACTAATATTAGTTTTCAAGTGTGATAATACTGGTTTTGTTATTTATCTGATCTCATGCAGGAACTAAGCTTCCCACATAACAGAAGAGGTATATATAAGGTCTACAGAACAAATTGCCTCAATGTCTTTTGTAACAAAGGTATGAGGTAAACTATGCCTTTGTATAGTTTACAAACTTTTTGTAAGTGTCATGAATTTAAAGGGAATATCTTCTTATTTTCCATCTTATAGAATTTCTTTTGGTAACCCCCAAAACTCTCAGTGAAGTACATTTCATGTAGTTTTTATGGCTGTGTTCTAGGTTGAAGAGATGAGGGAGCAATGGGAGCTGTGGCTTCCTCCCTCTGCCATCAACACTCTGCTAGTATGGGCAGTTGCCAGTGCAGACAGGGTTGCAGGCTTGGGCCAACAAAGATGTAAGGGTAGGTACCTGCAGCAGCACTGAGAATAACCAAGTAGACAAGTAAGACACCTTTAGGGGAAAGAAAAATTAAAAAGTAAAAGAAACAACAACAAAATTTTCGTTCCAAATACACAGAGTGAAATTACAATGTAAGACTGATTAACAATGTAAAACTAATCTCCCTACCAGATAACACTAATTACCAAAGGATAAATAGTAACCTTACAGTCGACAAACCTGTCAGTCCCATCTTAACCCAAGTGGTCAAAGTTAACATCAACAGGAAAGGGGTATTCACATCCTGTGCCTGTAGGATGCACTGACAGCAACGCAACATGACTTCCTGCCAAAGCCACGAGGTGACATCAGACAACCCCATACTGAGGGGTAGTGTACAAAACAAATGGCCTGTACTATTCAAAAAAGTCAATATCATGAAATTCAAAGGAAGACTGTTCCAAGTGAAAGAGATTAAAAGGACATGACAACTGAATGCAACACATGATCTAGAGAACATTATTGGAACAAAAGATAAAATCTGAAGAAGGTCTGTAAATGAGATAATAGTATTGTTTTAATATTAAATTCCTGATTTTAATCAGTGTGTTGTGGTTATGTAAGAGAATGTGCTTGCCTTAGGAAAACACACTTTGAAGTATTTAGGAGTAACAGGATTCATGCCAGCAACTTTCTCCCAAACAGTTCCGAAAAAACAATAGAGAGAAAGAAAGAGAGAAGAATAAAGCAAATACCGTATAGTAAAAATGTTCTTTGTTGGATCCTAGCAACTTTTCTGTAATCTGAAATTATGTCAAAATTCTAAAATTGAAATGCAAAACTTTAGGGTAAATATGATGTCACCACAAAAAATAGTTCACCCTGTTCACAGAGACTCTCCTTGAGGGCACATGCCAGTCTCTAGACTTGCTTCCCTGTCCTACTGTTCAATCATCTTTTCCCCACAAATGTTCTCACAGCTTCTCACTGCCAACCCCTTTCCCACTCCAGAAAACCCTTACCATCTTGAGACCAGTGCAATACACTGAACTCAATAAGCTAGTGCTCAGAGACTGGGTAATTATGACTAGAATGAAATAAACAGAGGGAGGGGGCTAGAGTGGATGAGGGTGGCATATTAAGAACCTGCCTGAGATGAGGTCCTTCCATTGGTGTGACATGTCTCACCATCCTTCCTGCTCAGTTAGAAAATAATTATTGTATCATTCTGGCATATCTCTTTTCTTGACACACACATGCAAAAGAACAAGGAATGATTTTTCAGAAACTACCAAATAGGTTCGTACTGAAGAGGAGATTGTTCTATAAAAATTGAATGATCTTCACACACTCCCTTTTCCAGCCAGGAGACAGCACTTTTTGTTACGAATGTTCATTCCAACTACTACTCTCATATTCATCCTCTAGTTTCCAAACACAGGGAGAGGCTTATTGGTGGGTAAGACAAATCTATCTCTTCAGGAAACAGAGCTGTCTGTCCTTGCTTAGCAAATTCTGGCCACCAAAAGACCCAAGGAAGCTCTGAAATTACAGATTTTCTATACCTTAGTCTAGATAAATATTTTAGGTTGGGTGTTCCCACAGGAATGCAGCAGGAGAGGACATCACCCTCCATCCATAATAACTGCTGGGGATGTTGGGAGTGGGCAGATATGGAGTGAGGATTTGGAGCTGCCAAGCTCCACCTTTCCTCTGGGTCTTTGTTCAACGTGGTCTCCTCTTCCTGGAATCCATCCCCAACCTTAGTGTTTACTGTCTATTCTCCCTTCCTAATACCTTTCCATTTTGCACTTTGTTTCCACCCAGTTGCTGTCACCCTCATTCAGGCTGTAAGCTTAGCCCTTAACCTGAAAGGTACCAGTTAGAGGAAGCACTGGGAGGTAAACAAAATCCAAATCAATGTCATTAAAAGAACTATACCTGCCAGTCCTAATAAGAAAAAATATGAAAATAGTTTAGAGTGGGGTGACACAGTAATAAACTAGTTGAAATCAACCAAATGGACCAAATGTGGTAGAGAAAAGTATTAGGTAATGGATGACTTGAATCTGGAGGACTCAGGCACATTGACAGCCAAAAATGTCATAAAATTTTCAAGGATATCTGTAATGCTAGAGCTCAAATGTCTCAGATGACATCTCTGGTTAACATTCAACCTCAGCCAGCTAAAAGTATAACCTCCGAAAGTGCTTAGCATGCTAACCCTGAAATTGTTTGGATAGCATAATTGTTTCCAAGAGAATCAATAGCTGTGAACCTGTAGAATTACATATACATATATAGGATTAAGTAAATCAAACTTATAGTACTAATATTTTTAGTAAGGTTTAGAAATAGTCACTATATTTAGGAGAATTTGACCTGTTACTAAAATTATCTGTGTAATTCCAAATTAAAGTGATGAGACTAATTGACAAAGATTCTATGTCAAAATTAATCAGTATTAGAGAGTTTATAAAAGCCTAAGACATATCTTCTATAATTTAAATTTATCGTATTATGATAGTTATTTCAGTACTGAGAAGGCTTTTTCAGATGACTAAAGCACTTAAATATGAAAAGGAAATGTATCAACTTTGTCAGTATAGTTTAAAATGTTTAAGGGGGTTTAAGTTTATAAATGGAATCAAACATTAATTAAACACCGCTTCAAAAGTAATTTTCAAAATTTGTGAGATGTCTAAGTACAATAAAATAATTAAGTTAAATCTACTTAGATGTCTAAGTATACTAAAATAATTAAGTTAAATTTCAAAGCTTAAAGAAGAGCTATGTTTGTTACATACAAATTTAATAAATTGAATATTAAATTTTTAAAATGAAGTTTGCTTTGGATAATCCTTTTGGGACCCCAAAACTACACATAAGTACAGAAAACTTCCATTGACAAGATGGCCACAGGCGCATCCTAACCGGGCTCTCCTTCTGCGCTTTCCCTCACGGTGTAGTTTGAGCATAGCTAAGAGATGATGTTCCCAAAATACCATTATGGAACTTGTCTCTTCAAAAATCAATAATTTTTTTACTTTTCCCTTTTTTTTGTATAAACAAAGGAAAAACTAAAAGAAATCTTTTCGTTTTACTTCATCCATTGCTTTGTTAGTATCTTATTCACCTCCAAGATTCCATTTATTTTTATCCAGAAAGTCACCTTAATAAGTTACTACCTCACAAAATTAATTTCAGCCTCTATTCTCTATTGTACTCCGTTTAATACTATTTCGGTTCACATTTAACAAGTTCTTTGCTAAGTGTCAGCAGTTTAAAACCCTGTTTCATGTAACCTGTTTCTAGGATGATGCAAACTCTGGTTTTTTTTTACATTTAAAAACACAATTTGGACAAAATGTATTATTTCGTCCATGGAAAGCTCCAGAATTTTCATAATGCAACCTTGAGAAAGATTTCTGAGATTTACTGAAAAGTTTGGCAGAGAATGCTGGCTGCCTACCTGCTAATCCATTCTCTCCTTCCCTTAAGTATCAGAATCCCAAATTTTTATCTAGGTACATTACTGGTTGAATAAATAACTAATTTCCCATCCTCCCTATCTGCTACACATGGCCAGGTGATGAGCCAATAAGAGCTGAACATAACTTTTATCTGAGGCTTCAGAAGTAGATGCTGAAAGAATCTGACTCAGTGTGCTAGGACTATGAGGTGACCTTGAGGATGGAAGCTATGTGTTAGCATTGCAGAGTACAAATAGAAGTCTCCGGATCTCTGAAGGCAGTGTAGAGATATCTTCAGACTTTTTTTATATGAGAGACAAATGAACCTCTACCTTGTTTAAATTACTGCTACTTTGGGATTTTCCATTATGTGCAATTGAACCTTTGGGATTTTCCATTATGTGCAGTTGAATATTTGGGGATACAATCAATATATACATTTGTAGACTACCTTTCCAACAGTACAATATACAGTGGTGATTTTATATTTATTCATTTACATAATGACCCAAAGAGGCACATTGTTTTAAATATTACTAATGAGCATTTTTACAGCAAGTTTCTTGAAACCAGTAAATAGAATCCTCCATCACAATTAAATATCTAACATTGATGCCTTTTGTCATACAAATGATAGATTACATAAACTTGCATTATTAGACTTTACCAAGAAAGGCATGACTGAAGAAAATGCCTCTAGTAACTATAATCGTTAATTTTATGTCACTTACAGAGTAGGAAAAATGTTGGATGTACTAAATTAAAATAATAACGGCAGGTAGGGCACGGTGGCTCAGGCCTGAAATCCTAGCACTTTGGAAGGCTGAGGAGGCCAAATCACTTGAGCTCAGGAGTTTGAACAAGTCTGGGCAAATGTTGAAACCCCGTCCCTACTAAAAATGCAAAAATTAGCCAGGTATGGTGGCAGACGCCTGTAATCCCAGCTACTCAGGAGGCTGAGGCACCAGAATCGCTTGAACCAAGGAGTCAGAGGTTGCAGTGAGCCAAGCTCACACCACTGCACTCCAGCCCGGACAACCGAATGAGACTCTAAATAAATAAATAAAAGCAACTAAAATTTGTATTGTATGTTGCAATAAAATATCTCAGGTACTTCTCACAATAATCCTATGAAATAGGCGTTATAATTATCCCCATTTGACAGATGAGGAATCTGAGGCAGAGAAAAGTTGGTAACTTCTCCAAAATGAAGCATCTGGCAAGTGGTATAACCTGGATCAGAGTCTAGCAGTTTGACTGCAGAGCCCGCATGTTAACCCACTGAGCTAATCTGAGGTTCAGAAAGGTCTTCAAATGACATTCCCATGATTAAACCACTCAAAAGTTCCAGAGCTGAGATCCAAACCCACATCTTCTGATTTCAGTTCTGTTCCTTAAGTCAGGTACTCTTCCCTCCTCAAACGTCAGAATTTCTGACTCAGTAGGAAATTAACCCAACATCTAAAAAGTTCAAGTATATCTATATCTATACTTACATCTGTAACTAGAGAGGGAAGAGTATCTGTTTTTTCTGCAGATAGACTATTGTCCTTTATTCTCCATAGTCCCAGAAGTATTACTATAAATGCCTCATATTATATTCAAACTTAACTTTTTAAAATCACCATTTCCTCTGTTAATTGAACAGACCTTTATCATCTCCAGTCTGGTTTCTCTACCTCTAATCCATGCTTCATATTCTATTATCACCACAAAAACCTTTTCAAAGTACAAGGTTATCATGTGTCCCAGAGCCTCCCTACAATGACTACCTTTTGTTCTGTGCATTCATTCCTATCACCTTTGCTGGTTTGCATGGTTCTTCATAATCTGGCTCCCATGTACCTATTCAAATTTTTTATTAATACTATTTCCCAACCTACAGGTCTCCCTTTGCCTTCTGCACTGTCAGTTTTAGATCAAGAACAACCCAGAGGAAGCCAAAAGGGGCCAGGACTAGGTGCAGAATTAAACCAGTGGGCATGGGAAACTGAGTGGCTACACGAGGCAACAGATTGCAGCTGCTTCAATTAGAGAATATATGGCTGCTGAAGCTGGGGAGGCAAATTGGAATCAGAATACCATGGATTCAGGAAGAAGAGAGAAGAGATTCCAATTTAATAGGCTAAGGTCAGTGTTCAGGTGTTTAGACCAAACGTAAAACAGACGACAGGAGGATACGGGCAGGGAGAAAAAAGCTGCCATTTGCAGTCTGGCACAGACAAGCAGATCTATACAAGAGGTGTAGACTCTGCTCCCACACCCGGCACGAGTTCACCTGTGCTCATACCTTCAGTGTCTCCAGCTTACACAAACCTCCATTTAGTTCCTTTATATCTTTTCCTTAAAGTGTCTGCCCCTGACCCCAGCTTCTGCTCTCTGGGACAAATACCTAAATGTAATCCTGAATTAAGTATTCATTCTCTTTCTCCATTTGGTGGATTTCCTCACAGTTCAAAGTTGGCAAGAAGCTACAGTGATAAACAATCCCTCTTTACAGCAGATGTTGTTTCTGAGATTTTTGGGGTCAGAGAAAAAAAAGTTGTGATTTTCCAATAAATCTACTAAACACTAAAGTGAATTATGAACCGCTGAACAGGGGCCATATCATCTAAGAGGCTCAAACACAATTGGCAAATATTTTATATTTGAAAGCTATAGCTTATTTCATCAGAAAATGATCTTACTTAAGCCTGGCATTCTTTCTAAATTAAAAGTCATGGAATTATGGAATTACAAAATTGTACTTGATAATCGTCTTTATTTCATTTACTATGCTTTTTAAATTTTGTATTTATTTTTTATTTTTTGACACAGAGTCTCACTCTGTCGCCAGGCTGGAGTGCAATGGCACAATCTTGGCTCACTGCAACCTCTGCCTCCTGGGTTCAAGCGATTCTCCTGCCTCAACTTCCCAAGTAGTTGGGACTGTAGGTGCATACCACCATGCCCAGCTAATTTTTGTATTTTTAGTAGAGATGGGGTTTCATCATGTTGGCCAGGATGGTCTCGATCTCCTGACCTCGTGATCTGCCTGCCTCGGCCTCCAAAAGTGCTGGGATTACAGGCATGAGCCACTGCGCCCAGCCTATGCTTGATTTTTAATAAAAATTCTGGACTTTCCCCCGTCAATATTTTTTACCTCATTATTGTGACTTTGTCTCCTTGAAATAACACCTAATGTGACATGGTGAGAAAAAAAAGCAAGATTTTCTTGGGAGGTTTTTTTCCTTCCCTTTTTCTTTTTCAATATTGACTTTCTGGTCAACATCAAGAAAATAAATTATATAATAATATTTTTCTCCACTGGTTATCCTTTTCATACATCAAACATCATACCATACTGTTTTCAAAATAAAAGACATAACATGCAGTAGAAACAAAATGTTTAGTGTAAATTTTTAGATACATTGCAAAAGCCCTATAAGCAACATTAAAGGGTTTCTGATATAGGTGTGGAGGCCCAGAAATATTTGGGGATACAATCATTATATACAGATACAGCCTAGCTTGCCCAGAGTACAATATACCGTGGTAATTTTATATTTATTCACATAATAATTTGATTAGTATTTGTCTTCCTGATGCAACATACATTCTATAACAGTCTGGATCCTGTCTGTTTCAGCTGACCACTCAATTTCCAATATCCTGCTCATTATCTAAAACATGGTGGGCACTCAATAAGTTGTGCTGAATGCTGATGAAAAAGCTTATCTAGTTACAGATAAGAACCATTCCATGGGTCAAGAGGAAACTTTTGGAAGGAATGGATATGTTTCTTATCTTGAATGTAGTGATGGCTTCACAGTTATATATATGTATCAGAACTTAAATTCTACATGTTAGACACATGAAGTTTATTGTATATCAATTCTACCTCAATAAAGCTGCTTTTAAAAATGTCTAAATGTATGACAATATTATGTTGATTGTCTTATACACAAGTTCAGGGACTATTTTATAATAATACTTTGTATAGAAACCAGCATTATTGAAATGCTGTTTGGTAACCTTTGGAAAAGAAGCAGCACTTCTAATTAAGTATGAATTTTTCACATCTTGGCTCTGATATGCAGGAAACTTTTAAAGTAAAAAAAAAATAATTTAATTAATCTCTTTTCATCTGTTTGAAATAACGCTATTGAATGTAAGATCCAACACTAGATATTATGATACAGCAGATCATTTCCCTTTGAATGTGCATTTACTTTTTGAATAAAATACTCAATAAGTGTTTTTCCCAAAAGATTGTGTGTGAGTTGAACCTGATTTTAAATATCCTGGAGATACTAATTCTTTAAAAATTTCTTTCAAGAGTTCTTTCATATAATACAAAACTGCATTTTGAAACTCTAGTTTCATTTAAACAGGAGCAGAATATTTTCAATTATATTGAAGAAAACATTGTTGTACTTTTTTGTTGGAAATACCCAGTATATGCAGAAGATAATAACATTAAAGACACTATAACTTTGTATTAAGACCTTGCTAAGGTGTTTGAAAAGACAGTAGTACTACAGGTATGAGAAATGAATCATAGTTGTGAGGGAAAAGTATTGATTTTATCATTATGAGTAAGAATAAGTGACTAAATTATTCAATGACAGCAAATTTAGAACTTTTGGTTGAAATTGGTTTATATTTAAAATTTGATCACTTAATTTTGACATTAATTTTTGTGGCACAAGGTTTTGCTGATATCAAATACTCCAAAGCAAATATGTTCTAAATTATTTCATGCAAATAATTCTCACAAAATAATATACCCCAATAAACATACTTATGAAGGACATAACTTATTATCTCTTCAGATGGAACACTACCTATCCTTCTACTCATTTCCAGTTTCCAATCTGAGGGATCCAGTTCATTTACATTCATTCATTCAACAACTATGTATGAATCCTGGACTGTATGACAGACACTGTTGTTAAGGTTGAACAAATTGCAATTAGCAAGACAAACGCAGCGAGAACTATTTATCATAAACAGGTAAACAAACAAATAAGAAAACTCCACATAGTGATAAGTACTATGAGAAAAATAGAATAAGGCAATGTGGCAGTGTCTAGCATTGGGGATAGTGGGGCAATATTAGCTGGAGTAGGCTGGAATCATCTGAGCCCTGTGGACGAATGAGGGGCTAGAGAAGCTGAGTCTGAGAAACAAGCAAGGGCAGGATCATAAAGATTTGGTTTTCTTCCTGAGTGCCATGGGAAGCTACCAAAGAGTCTTAAGAAATAACATGAACCAGTTTGTGTTTTAAAGCAATAATAATAATGGTGGCTCCCGTGAGACGAATGGAAGACAGGCATAGAAGCAGGGCGACCAGTTAGAAAGTATGGCAGGCAAGCGATGATGGTGACTTGTACACAGGTGGTAGAGGTAGAGATAAAGTAATGTGCATAGAATGAAGGTACATTCTGGGAACAGAGCCTAAACATCTCGCTCGTGTATTGGAGGGTTGTGCATATAAAGGTGGTGACACAAAGTAAGCAATCAAAATGAAGAAGGCTGGGGCAAAGAAAGTCCCTTACAAGTCTAACAGTATAATGATACTTTAACCATACACTATGCATTAAATTAATATATAACACCCATGATTATAGATACCAAAGCCTAATCTTCACTTGGAATAACCAGGCAGCTTTGCTATTAGATAGAATTTTACATCTCAACCTAAATGTTAAACTAAAAGATGTTAATTATGTAAAACTTAAGATTAATTTACCCGTTTCTTTAGTGCTTCTGCAAAAGAATTGGAAGTATAGTGGCCAGCACTGCTTAGTGTATGTATTGTATGGTTGTGTGGTAATCCACTTTCCATGCCTCAATCTCAATCACAAGCAGGGTTCTCAGCCATGTCTCCAACAACCCCCAGGACATGAGTTTCCAAAGCACCTCCAGCTGCATTGTGAGTTAACAAATTAGTGAGCAAGCTTTTCTCACCTACTTGACTATAAGTTTCTCCCAAAGGGGACCAATTCATAATTTTGGGGGTCCCAGACAATGACAAACCAGGTAATATCAAGTAATTAATAAGTGCAATTCCTCCCAAGATAGGAATATCCTCTGATATCTCTTTTGGATTTTCTGGACTTGGTCATTTTTTGGCTGATGCCTTTGGAGATTTAATTTTAAAAAATTTTTAACAGCTTTATTAAGATATAATTCACATAACATACAATTCACCTTAATATAATCCATTAGTATATTTACAGAATTGTGCATCCATCACAATATTTTTTATTACCCTAAAAAGAAACTCTGCATCAGCTGTCATCTCCCAGTGCTCCCATTCCACCCCCCATCCCTCAGCAACCATTAATCTTTTTGTTTGTGTAGATTTGCCTATTCTGGACATGTCATATAATTGGAATCATACAATATGTGAGCTTTTGTAACTGGTTCTTTCACTTAGCATGTTTTCAAAGTCATCCATGTTATAGCATGTGTTATTTTATTACTTTTTATTGCAGAATATACCATGGTATGAATATACCACATTTTATTTATCACTTGAGGGACATTTGCATTATTTCCCCTTTTTGGCTATTATGAATAATGTAACATTTGTGTATAAATTTCTGTGTGGACATCTACTTTTCTCTTAGGTGTATACCTAAAAGTGTAATTGCTAGACCATATGGTAACTCCATGTTTAACATTTAATGAATTGCCAGACTATTTTCTAAAGCAACTTCACCATTTACATTCCACCAGCAGTATATGAGTGCTACAACTTCTCTACATTCTCTCCAACACAAAATTATCTATCTTTTTGATCATAGCCATTCTACTGAGTATGAAGTGGTATCTCAGGTTTTTGATTTGCGCTTCCCTAATAGCTAATGACATTGAGCATCTTTTTATGAGTTTATAGGCCATTTGCATATCTGCTTTGGAGAAATAACTATCCAGATCCTCTGCTCATTGCTCATTTTTAAATTGGGTTGTCTTTTTATTAGTGAATCATAATAGTTCTTTTTTTTTCTTGAGATGGGTTCCTGCTTTGTCTCCCAAGCTGGAGTGCAGTGGCGTGATCATGGCTTAGCTCCCTGCAGCCTCGACCACCCCAGCCCAAGTGATTCTCCCACCTCAGCCTCCAAATAGCTGGGGCCATAGGCGTGCACCATCACGCCTGGCTAATGTTTTAATTATTTGTAGAGACAAGGTCTCAACATTGCTCAGGCTGGTTTAGAACTTTTGGGATTAAATGATCCTCCTTACTTGGCCTCCCAAATTGCTGGGATTACAGGCAAGAGCCATGTCACCAAGCCTCATAATCGTTTTTAATATAATCTAGGTACAAGTCGCTAATCAGCTATATGGTTTACAAAAGTTTTCTCCCATTCTGTGGGTTATTTTACAATTTCTTAATGATGTATTTGGAAGCACAAAAGTTTGGTTTTGTTTTTTTGTTTGTTTGTTTGTTTTTGAGACAAAGTCTCGCTCTGTCACCCAGACTGGAGTGCAGTGGCACGATTTCAGCTCACTACAACCTCTGCTTCCTGGGTTCAAGCGATTCTCCTGCCTCAGCCTCCCAGGTAGCTGGGATTACAGGCACCCACCACCACGCCCAGCTAATTTTTGTATTTTTAGTAGAGATGGGGTTTCACCATGTTGGCCAGGCTGGTCTCGAACTCCTGACCTCAAGTGATCCACCCACCTGGGCCTCCAAAGTGCTGGGATTACAGGCATGAGCCACTGTGCCCAGACAAAAGTTTTTAATTTGATGATGTGCAATTTATCTATTTTTTCTTTTGTTGTTTGTGCTTTTGATGCCATATGTAAGAAACTATTATCTAAGTTAATAAATATTTACTATTTTTCTCTGAAGAGTTTTATAGATAATTTAACTTTTACATTTTGGGTGTTTGATCCATTTTGAGTTAGTTTTTGTGTATGATACAAGGCAGGGGTCCAACTTTTTTCTTTGGCATGTGGATATCCAGTTGTCCCAACATCCTTTGTTGAAAAGACTATTCTTTCTCCTATTTAATTTTCTTGGCATGAAAACTTGATTTCCAATCTGTTTAGTTCCAGTAGTGACATCCTCTTAGTTCTTTTATTGTATTTTTTTCCTTTGTAATTTCAACTATCATTTACCCAACTCTGGGTACCTGACAGTCACCTCTGATTTGAATGAAGTTTAAACCTGAGTCTGTAGGCCAATGAAGTTCCATTGATGTCCACACCCTGCTGTGACAGTAGAACAGAGTAGACGTATTTACACATACTTTATTTTCTCTAATGACTTAAAACAGCCATCCTAATTCAAAGAGAAAGCTAAGGACATGTTTTCCCATTTAGTCCTACATGGCACAGTTATTGGGAATGTAATGAACATCTGCCACTCAATGTTCATTATATTAGAACATAATTTACTTAGTAAAGTTGAGGAAAATTTGTGGCAAAATTCAAGGGAAAAATGTCAAAAAAAAACCCACAAACGCTTAAAAGTGGGCATATTGGGATTCCTAGCATCATTCATTTAGAAGGCTCATTAGGAAACAAAAGTATCCTAAGATGACATTGCAGACTCTCCCAAATCTGGCACCTTTAGTCTCCATACATGGATTCCCAGTGAAAAACCTTTACTGTAGTCAAGTCAGTCTCTTTGTTCCTGCCAAATATATATGCTCCTCTATCACTCCACTGACCTTAAACATTCATTAAACAATGACTACCAAGCATTCCCACTAGAAAGAGGTCTCCTTTTTATTTCTATAGAATTAACCCCTACTTTAAGATCTAGCTCAACAATGTTGATCACCCTAGCTCTTAGAAACTTAGCTTTCTCTCAAAGTCCATAGTTGCTGCTTGTCTATTTGGCATGACATATTAGCCATCTTGTTGCTACTGCTGTTTAGCTTTCATTAAGTGCCTCTATAACCTAGTTCTCTGGCTCAGCACCTCACACGTGTTACGTATTCAATGTACATTTTGTGGAGGATAAAACCTGGATCTTAGGGAAGTTGTCCTTAAATAACCCTCTTCCTTCTAAGTCTATCAGCAGTATAGTCATATGACCTGAAAGATTTTAAATGATCTTGCTGACATCTGAATTCTACTACAGATTCCGTGACAAAGTCATGTGGCTGGAACCGGAGTTCCCTGCCAGGGGCTGGCACATTGCACTTCTCACACAATAGAAGGTGAGACGATCTGAGAGCCTTAAAATCAAGCAGATGCAGATTAATGCAATCCTCAACTTCAATCAAGTTCTGAACCAATAAAAATGTGTGATTTCTAGCAGTCAGGAATGAGTGGTTTTTAAGAAATAAGGTAGTTGGGATACGCTTGCCATTATGGATAAAGTGATAATATCAGGGAAAGGACACACGGTAATCTATAGACTATATCATGCAATATTCTTCTCTGTATAAGTGACTTGTTTCCTGTATCAATGACGTTTTCAACTTTGCTGATGAGTTAATGGGACACACATGTAAAAAATGGATTGCTCTATACAAAACAGAGGTAACTTCTGGAGTTCCTTCAGTTATTACTTGTAAATAAGCAGAATTGAACCTCAACCCCATCTGAGGACTAATTAGGAATTACAAAGGTGATTGCTCATAAATGAACTATCGTCATGCTGCTGCGCACTGATTTTTAATAAGAACTGGTTATGGCTTCATATAGAATTACACCTAAAATGTTAATCAGAAAAGCACTGCATTTCCTCCAGTTTCTGTTCGCTAACTTTTAAAGCTGATTATTATTTTTACTATTTTCCTTGCTATGTTAGCCCTTTAATTTTGTTTCAGACTCATGTTCATTAAGCCAGAGCAAGCCTGCTTTATACAAGGAGACCCTGGGCCTTGGAAGAAATAAAAATGCCCAGTGATGACAGTCCAGATAAAGCTGTGTTCATTTTTTACGTTTAGAAGACCATACTTTAAATCATGACTATCACTGAAACAGATAGATTCATTTATTGTTGAGTCCTGCTTTACCCTGAGATGTTCCATGAACACTGAGAATACATTTTCTTTGTTCTAATTCCAGCCTCTGAATCAGAGCCAACTAGAGTGGGCTCTTCATAAATATGCATTGACTGCCTGAGTATTAATGTAGGGCAGGGCTCTGATTAGCAAGTGCTACCTGCAGGAAGCAGAAGAAATACCACAAATGGAGATAGGACGCTATTAGCAGATTTTATTTCATTTTTTCCTGAGGCTTGGAAATAATCACTTCTCTCTCAGGTCAAACCTCTCCAGCTCTCTCCCTTCAGGATGTGAAAAGATCTCAAATAAAAGGCCTCTATGTGAGGATCTCTTTCGCTGGTTGCTGGAGGAAGAGCATGAAATGAGGGAAGAAGCAAATTGCTTCTGATTTATTGTTTCTGGTTTATTCCTTTCCTGCCAGTTCAGCAGCTCGCCAGAAACAGCACAAAACCTTACATCTTAACTTGAAGGTGAAGTATTTGTTTTGACAACTTTTTAGCATAGATCTCGGTATACAAAATAAAAGGTAATGAGGCTATGATAGTCTGAAGGACATCGGCAAATTAAAATTTAACATATTTATGGATTTTATACAAAGACTCCTCTCCCCTTTGCAGATAAAACGACTGCATCCAACTTTATGCAGATTTAACTAAAAGAAAAAAAAAAAGTCTTTTGTGAACCACCTGGGCCAATACTTAGTTGGCTTAATTGCTATTTCAGTGCCTTGTCAGGCTGCAGAGCCTGAACTAGGGAGATGCACCGGGCCCACTTGCAGGCGGGGCCCAGATGCACCCAAGCCCCATGGACAAGAGCACCATGGGCACCAGGGGCCTCCCGACCTGGCAGCCTGTTGCTAGTGGGCGAGGCAGGAGGACAAGTGCGGCTCAGGCCACGAGTCGGGCTGGGCGTGCAGAGAGGTTAGAATTACACCCAGATGGCGAACAGTCAGTCGTTCCTTTCCTGCTCTGGCTGGGAGCTAAACCTTGTAGTCCCAGACCCTTTCGCCTTCGCCTGCCGGCTCAGACCCAACAGCTCTTTCCGGACGACGGGCGGCTCCACTGCGATCAAAAGCCAGGGGTAGCGGGAGGGGATTCGTGAGAATGCAGCAGCCAGAGCAGTCTTTCCTTTCTGAGCAAGATGTGAGAGAGTCCGAGTGGCCTGGAGGAGGAACCGGGTCAACCAACTCCACAGGGCGGAGCGAAAACGCTGGAGGACTAAGGAGGCTAAGAGTTGATCCCCCCTTTGAGTCGTGATACGGTCCGAAGCGGGGCGGGGCGGGGCGAAGGAGGCTCCCCCTGGCTCTCCCCGCCCCTCACCCGCCTTCCTTGCTGAGCGGCCGCGGGAGGGGGAGCGCGAGCCCCGCAGGCCCCTCCCCCGGCGCCGGCGCCCGAGCTCCGCCCCTCGCCGAGCCGCCCCTCCGCGGCTGCAGCAAGAGCTCGCCCAGCTCTGCGGGCGCCGCCACCTTCGCCGCCACCGCTGCCTTTCTCCTCCTCCTGTCGGCGTGCGGGGGCCGCGCCCGGCGGCAGCTCTGCCCTAGGTGGGCGGCGGCGCGGCCCAGGCTGCAGCTGAGCGCTCTGCGCGGCGCAGCCGGGTCTCCCGCGTGTACCACGCCGTGACAGGTGCAGAGTCCGGGCTGAGGACCCACCTGCAGCCGCCGCCGCGATGCCCACCATGCGGAGGACCGTGTCGGAGATCCGCTCGCGCGCCGAAGGTAAGGGGCCGCCGAGGCTCGGGGCTAGCCCGGGGTCGGGAAGCGAGTGTGTGTGTGAGCGTGTGTGTTTATCCTGGAAGAGACCGCATCCTACCTCTTCCCCGGCGGCAGTCCGACTGTCGCGCCCGGCCCCTAGGGGACCCTTCCCCCCGCGCTGCCCCCAGTGTACTCGCAGACCCTTTCCAGGCTCCAGTACCCTCGAATGGGTGTTCTCCGCGGGAGCCCCGAGGCGTGCTTTGCACCGCAGTGTGACCATTAGGTCCCAGTCACTGAGCTCACTCGCCCTGCCCACCTCCCTCCCCACCAGTTCGATTTCCACTCAGCAGATCCCCAGCCCGCCGCCCCTGCCTCCGGCGCCCACCGTTTTGCAACCCCCTATCTGAGCTCCCAGCGAAGCGAGTTTGCTTTTCCCCGGCTGCAGGATCCTTTGATCCGTAGTCCCTTGGCTCTCGAAGCGCGGGGAGCCTTCATCGGGGTCGGGTGCCGAGTGGGTTCCCTGCATTACAGCTTCTGCAATTCTGCCTCCTGCAGCGGAGTCCCACCGGCTCGCGTCTGAGGTTTCGTTTTTGTGTTTCCCTTTTGCCCGAAACCCTCACTTCGGCCAGCTGAGCTGACTTTTCAGCCAGGTGGAAGCTGTTTTCTTTGCTCCACCTGGGGCCAGCTCTTGAATGGCCATGGTTGTCAACACTGAGCAACAGATGCTCCGGGGTAGAAGCAAGTAAGCTTTCCGAGGGCCCAGACTCTTCATCGTCTCCGAGGAGCCCTCAACATCCTGCCTGCCATGTGGCAGGCACTCTGTAAATATTATTTGATTTTGCTCGCGTCAAAGCCAAGACTGTAAATATCCCAAGGTTTGTTTGTCCTCTCCCATAAACCTGTACTTGAATCCTGCAGAGGGTGGAATAACATGTTTTTCAGAAATCTATCTTGCCATCATCGCTGATTCCCACTCTTCCTCCCCACCTCCATCTTTTAATGTGAGACAGGTGGTGAAGTGGTTTTAGAAAAATATATAAGTTAGGAGAATTGGATTTCAGGGATGGAGACAGGCCATTTTTTCTCCTTAGGGGCTCCCTGTAAAAATAGGGTCCCTGAAATTTTCTGATTGCAGTATTTAGGAAATATTAAATGAAACTGCTGTGGGGAGAAGACGAAGCAAGATTCAAAACTGGCCTGTGTACTACATAGGAATTCGGTACATGCTGTCATTTGTAATACCCAAAAAATACTTATATAGGGCATTATAGTTTTACATACACAGTTGAATACATTATACTTTTAAAATGCACACTGTAAAAATTCATTTTTTTTACACTTCTGAGTGAAATTAGTCATAGAGATAGTGAAAGTAGAATGGTAATAGTTGGTGGTGTTCTTTTAAATAATAGCAATTGATGGGTCCTATATTGTGGGAAATAAGGGGAAGAGAAAAAGTCTGAGAGCACTGCAAAACCTGTGGCATGTGAGGGGATTACAGGGCTGCAGTATTGTTCTTGATTGGCTTGTGTATTTTCCAAAGTACTTTTACAAAGATTACTTTATGGAAACTTACAACACTCCTGGAGGTTGGTGAAGGTGGAGTGCCATCTGATAGTTGAGGAAACTGTGGCCCATATGGTTTAGTAATTTGCCCAAGGTCAAGTAACTAGTTCAGTGACACATTTGGATTAAGAGCTCTGGGAAAACAAGGACTGCTGCTTGTTTAATCTTTGTATTCCCTGTGCGTCCAGCACAGTGTCAGGGCCATAGTGGTGCTTGGTGAGTGAATGACCCTTTCCCCTGAGATTAGTTGATTCCAGTTTATTATAGCTTCAGCATGTGCTTGGGACTGTGGTGAAGACAAATAATGACTCTGTGGGGCTGGCGTTGTGGCTCATTGCCTGCTCTGCCCACACTTTTCTTTCCTAGGAAATATTTCTTTCCTAAAAAATATAGTCCTACCTTTCCTAAGGAATATTCTCCTTTGAGAGAGGCCCTGCTGCCTAGAGGGCCTTGTTCTGAACTGCAGCCTTTTTGGCCTCAGCTGATTGGACTATGGTTGGCTCCTGACCCAGGGTCAACCAATTCTTATGTGACTCAGACACTTGTAACCTTGTGGTTTGGCTCAAAAAGAGTCTCTGTGTTAATCATATCTCTCTTGAAAACATTAAAGTTAGAGATTTAGAGTAAAAGCAGAAGGGAGCAGAGGTGAATAGGCTGGTATGGGAGAGAATGGGTGGCCATAATAAGTCATGGGAATGCTGCTGATAGAAGAAAGCAGAAACTATGAGTGAGTAGAGAGATAGCAAAGAAAATGGAATGGATGGGCAGACACAGATCCTGAGAGAGGGTGGCGAGACCTTGGAGCCTGCCCTCCCGAATTTTATAGCCCTAGTTCCCAAGTAGCATTAAAATAAGCTCTTTTCCCCCCCTTGAAATGACTTGAATGGGTTTCTGTTCCCTTCATCCAGATTGGCCAGATGTATGACTGTCATGCCTGTAAGTTGTTTACAACCAAACTGGGGAGAAAGGACTTAAAGAGGGAATAAATAGTCTAAGAGGGGATGTTGTTAATTAAATATTGTGCATGCTGTGGGGGACGCAGGACCTGTGGAAGATTAGGAATTTAGTACATACTTATTACTGAACATAAGGCCTGCTGAGTGAACATTTCATTGAGGTGTGATTTGAGATGAGCCCTCACACAGTGCTTCTCAAACTCGAAGGTTCATAGGAATCACCTGAGGATCTTGTTAAACGCAGAGTCTGATTCAGGAGGTCTGGAGTGGGGCCAGAGTTACTACATTTCTGACAAGAATGTAATGCTGAAGGATGCTGGCCTGCAGATCACAGTCTGAGCAGCAGGATCCTAAAGGATACTGACATCTATTTCTGTAGTTAGGAGAGTGTTGAAGACAGTCATAACAAGAACAAATGGGGAAAGTGAACATGGCTTATTTCAGAGTTCTTAAGGAAATTGGCCGGGAGCAGAGGGAAACTTGGAAGGAGCAGGCTAAAAGTTTGGATAGGTAGATTACTGCCAGATTACAAAGCATTTTAAATGCCAAGGTGAGTCATTTGGACACAGGACCGAATATTTGAACAGGTTCTTAGAGTTCATTGAATCTAATTTCTTATTTAAGCCTAACTCCAATATATAATATCTAACAGGGCCAGTTGGGGGCCACATCGTTATAAGGGAGGGACATCCTAAAAGTAGTAACTTAGTTAAGTCTGGAAGTGTGTTGGCTGGTTTGGAGGAAAAGGTATGGTAGATAGACTCTTTTGCAAAACAGTCTTAAAATGACAAAAGTCAGAATTAGTATTAGAGTGGAACAGTGAGAATGGGAAGGGAGGAATCAGATTTCTGACTGAATCATTAACTCATTCAGCAGATGTCTACTGAACTTCAACTACTGTTACAGGCACTTGGGATACATCAGTTAACAGAAGAGGAAAAGCATGGCCCTGGAGGTGCTTACTTTCTAGTGAGGCAGGAGACAAAACACACACAAAATATGCTAATTATAGAATTTGTTGTGTGGCAAATGGGGAAAATGAAGAGAAAGCAAAATGTTTAAGGTGGGTGGATGGATTGCAATTTTAAGTAGGTTAGTTAGACTAGCCCTCATTGAAAAGTTGGCATGAAGGAGATAAGGGAGTTGGCCTGGTGGGGATCTGGGGGAAGGGTGTTCCAGCCAGAGCAAATGCCCCAAGGCAGGAGAGAATCGGGAATTAGGAACGGTGAGGGGAAGAATAGTAGGAAATGAGGTCACAAAGGTCATTGTGTTAGTCCGCTCTTAGGCTGCTAATAAAAACATACCCAAGACTGGGTAATTTATAAAGACAAAGAGGTTTAATGGACTCAGTTTCACATCGGGAATTAGGAACGGTGAGGGGAAGAATAGTAGGAAATGAGGTCACAAAGGTCATTGTGTTAGTCCGCTCTTAGGCTGCTAATAAAAACATACCCAAGACTGGGTAATTTATAAAGAAAAAGAGGTTTAATGGACTCAGTTTCACATGGCTGGGGAGGCCTCACAGTCATGGCGGAAAGTGAAGGAGGAGCAAAGGCAAAAGAGCGTGTGCAGGGGAACTGCTCTTTATAAAACTATCAGATCTCGTGAGACTTATTCACTGTCATGAGAACAGCACGGGAAAGACCTGCCCCCATGATTCAGTTACCTCCCACCAGGTCTCTTCCACAACACTTGGGGATTATGGGAGCAACAATTTAAGATGAGATTTGGGTGGGGACACAGCCAAATCATAGCAATCATATTATAGGACTTTGCTATTTAGTGAATATTTAGTAAACATAGGGCAGGAGAGAGAAGGACTTTTTTGAAAAAAGCAAGTCTCAACAATAATTTAGAATTCTAATATTAATAAGTTACCATGGATCTTATTGGTAATAGCATATTGATATTTTATTAGTAATAACATTGGTAGTAGGTTCATAAATTATCAGGGATCTTATTGGGCTGGCTTGTGAAGATTTAGTTGAGTAAATCTGTGGTGGGCTTGGGGATTCGCATTCTTAATGAGCCTCCCAAGATACCCTGGTGCTGGTGAAACACATTTTGAGGAAATTTCCATTACAGTCTTGAGCTTGACTGGTTGAGAAAATCTATTAAACAACAAGGAAATTGGGAAGGAGGACTAATAAAATAAGAGATGATACTAATTCAAATTTTGAGGTAACGGGGACATCCAAATGGACATGTTTTAAAGGTAGTTGGAAATTTTTAGGTGAGATGTGGGAAACCTCAAACTTGGGAATCTTGAGAGACAATAGTTGAAACCCTGATAGTGGAAAAATTTGCCATAAGGCAAGAGTAGATAAAGCAGAAGACTAAGAATTTTAGGTCTCTTTATTTAGCTGCCCCAGATAAATCAAATGGGTGTTTGAACTTAGCATTTGAAATCTGGAAACAGACTGAAATAATGGTAGCTTACACAAAATAGTTTTTCTCACTCCTGTAAAACTAGTGTGGAGGTAGACAGGGTTGGCTGTGCCTGCTACACAAAGTCATAAGGGATGTTGGCTCCTTGTGCCTTTCTGCTTCACTGTCCTGAGAGTTTGTCTTCCATAAAGTCACAGCATGGTTGCTGGGGTGCCAGCCATCATGTACAATAGTTTTAGCCAGGAGAAAATGGAAGGGTGAAAGGCAAACAGGTTTTTCAGAAAGCACCACACAAAAACTAATGCTTATTTTGCATTGGTTTCCACTTGCAGGGCAAGCTGGGAAATGGAAATTTCCAGCTGGACACATTACCCAGTGTTGTGTTACAAACGGAAAAGGGTGTATGGTTATTGAGCAGTGCATTAGTCCATTTTCACACTGCTGATAAAGACATACCCGAGACTACTCAGCTTGGAATTCATTGTATCATTATCAGCATTTTGGGTCAAAGCCATTCAACAAGTCTCTAGGGAGTTCCATACTTTCCCACATTTTCCTGCTTTCTGGGCCCTCCAAACTTTTTTCAACCTCTGCCTGTTACCCAGTTCCAAAGTCATTTCCACATTTTCAGTATCTTTTCAGCAGCACCCCACTCTTCTGGTACCAATGTACTGTATTAGTCTGTTTTCATGCTCCTGATGAAGACGTACCGAGACTGGGCAATTTACAAAAGAAAGAGGTTTAATGGACTTACATGGCTGGGGAGGTCTCACAATCATGGCAGAAGGCAAGGAGGAGCAAGTCAGATCTTACATGGATGGCAGCAGGCAGAGAGAGCTTGTGCAGGGGAACTTCCATTTATAAAACTATCAGATCTTGTGAGACTTATTCACTATCACAAGAACAGCATGGGAAAGACCTGTCCCCATGATTCAGTTTCCTCCTACTGGGTTCCTCTACGACATGTGAGAATTGTGGGATTTACAATTCAAGATGAGATTTGGGTGGGGACACAGCCAAACTATATCAGGCAGACAACAGAATCAGTCACAGTGAAGTTCTCAGATTGCCAAAGGCTCTTGCTTGGATAACATAGAAACTGCTCTGGAGCTCATACTTTACATATAATAAGGATTAAATTGTTCAGAACTAAAGAAATGCACACACACAAAAACTTCACATACCTATCCAGTGGTTTGTGTTTTCTTCTGTTGAATACTATAATGCTAAAATATAATGACATTTATTTGATTATGTAAAATATGTGCTAAACGATGTATCCAGAAGTTGTTTTAGGAATTGTTTTTCTAAATGGCAACTCTAAAATGTTTGTAACTATGTAGAATAGTATGTTTTATTTACATAAAAGGTAACAAAAGGAATAAAAAGTAATTTAAGCTGTCCTTAAAGGAAAAATTTTAGGACGCTATTCCAGGTAAAAGATGACTAAGGTTTTTGTTCCTTTAAAAACCACTTATTATGCACCAGCTGTGTGCCAGCTAAATGGGTGGTGGGACAAAAGGCTGTGGTCGATGAAGGAGGTCCCAAAGGAAACATGGAGATGAGTATGGAGATGAGTTCAGTTTTACCTGAAGTGGCACTGTGTGAGAAGGTGTGTATGAGTATAGCGATACAGCATGTCATCAATATTTGAAAATCTCAAAGTAGGTGTCATTTTACTTAGTGTAATTCTGGAGATATAAGTGTATTAGATCTGATTATTTTAGGTTTTCTATCTTCAGTGCAGAATTCATGGTTTGTTTTTTCTGTCATTTCAAAAACAGAATTGAAGCATATACCTAATGTTACAGCTGTGGGAATGTTTGCAAAGGTCAGAGGACACTTTTGAAGTTAACGAAATGTTTGCTGCGTGGGTCTCTATTCACATGGTTTCATTGGAATGTCAATGACATGAAGGCCACCACTTTCCCCTTCATTCTTTACTTCTTAGCGAAAGGAGCCCAAACCTTCCAATGATTGTATTCTCCGGGTAGTAAGCTCCCTAAGGGCAGGGGGTTTTGTCTGGTTTGTCCACTGATATATTGCTCCCCATGAGGACATTGCCTGGCACATAGTAGGCATTGGTTAAATGAATGAATCTATGTCCTAAAGATGAAAATGCCTTATAATCCAATTTGTAAAATACTCAGAGCTAAATCTAGATGTACTAAATCTAGTACCCTCCTACTGAAACCTTAGCACCCCAAAGGAGCGTTTTTGTGAGATTTGTTCGCTGCTGTACCCTCTACACCTAGAGTTTTGTCTGCCACATAGCCACCACTCTATATTTGTTGAATGAATGGATAACTCTGAGCTTTGTTTTTAATGGAAGAGCTTAACTATGAGTCTTGATAGAAGTACTGCCTGCTTACTGGGAAAAACTCATGCTTCAGAAAGTCTTGCAGGAGAGAGTAAAATTCATCACAAACTATGCCATCCAAATATAATCACATTGTGATTATAAACTTTTATATACTTCATATAAATTTATATATTTACAATGTTAGAATTTTAGTATATGTCCTTCCCAACTATTTTCCAGAAAAGATATATTTGTTAGGAAGAATGAGGTAATCTGCATTATTTTTAATAATTTTATGGATATCTGTGCCAATATAGATTTGTGTAAATTTTGTCTACTGTCACTAGTTATATCCTTAGTGCCTGGAATAGTGCTTGACACTTGGTAGCAGCTCAGTAAATTTTTGTTGAATGAACAGATCAATTTTATTAATTTTATGACAGCTTAGCATTTTTATGTTAGTACAGAATAACTTACTAAAGAACCCTGTGGGTGGACATTTAGGTCATTTCAGTTTTTTAAACTCTTGAATAAGCATCTTTGTATCTTTTTGTACACCTTTCTGATGGTTTTGTTCAAAGTCCCTAGAAATGGGATTTCTGGGTCAAAAGTATATATCTTTTTATGACTTTTGATACATATTTGAAAATTGCTAGAAAGATTATACTGGTTTACACTCCCACTGAAAGTGAATGAGAGTGCCTGTTTATCCCTTTTGCAGCACTGTATAGCATTTTTCTTCCTCCTTATGGATATAGAATGTAAAAAGTAAGTCTTTAAGTTTACATTGCTTTATTAGGTTTAACATATTTTGGTAAATGTAGTGATTATTTTTTTCTGAATTGTTTATCAAGTTTTGTATTGAAGTTTAAGAACTTATATGTTAACGATAATACCTTTTTTCCTTATTCATAGTTTATCTTAACTTTGTAGTGCTTTAACATGTATGTAAATTAATTTTTATGAAGTATAATCTTTCCTTTTTTTAAATTTCTGCTTTAATGTCATATTTTTCAAGATAATTTTTCAATTATATTTTTCTTTTAGTACTTTTGGGTTTCATTTTAAACAGTTATATTAGTAATTCCTGTGTGATTTACTTTGTGGTGAAATGTGAGGCCTGGATCTAAGTTTTTCCTCAAATTATTTACCTGACATAATAACCATATATTTAATAATCCTTTCTTCCCACACTGATTTGAGGTGCTTCCGTATGTATATATTTGAGTTTTTTTCTGGAGTCAGTCTCTCTTTCCCTTCCCCCCACCCCACCCGCCGCCACCTCTCTTTATTTTGGTCCCTTTTAGCCCCTGGTATCAAATTCCTTTATTGCAACATAACAAAAAATATTCTCTTAGCTGTCCCATTTGCTTTGCTCTTTTCTCTAGGTTTTTCTGGGTTTTCTTTCCCCCACAGTTGTATTTTTCTACTAGAATTTATGAGTACATCATTGAATCAAGTTAAAAAACATGTTGGAATATTTATTGGAATTGCATTGTTTATAAATTTATATTAAGAGAATTGGCATCTTTCTTATATTGAGTCATGTATGCTTAGTTTCCCTCTTCAATTATTGCTACTTTGATATTGGTATCAGTCTGAATTCATTTCAGTTTTTCAGTTAATTTTTGTCTCTGTAGGTTTTAAAATTATATTGTATGTCTTAAAGCAAAGTATTTTTAAATGAGGTTTTAAATTAATAAGATTTGACCAGGTATCTGTTGGTTTTACTACTTTTTGAGCAAGAATGGTTCATTTCTATCTGCTGATGTATTGTGGACTCTGCTTCCAACTTACCACTTTTATTATTTCATGTAGTGGCCCTGACATGATAGCTGAGATATTACTCTTTTTTCTCCTTTTTGCTAGGAATAAGGTCAAATTTAGACCAACTAGATTTAGCTAATGGTTCCATGGAATCTACTTACAAATCAGCATTTATATCTCAGATCAGCACTAAAAGAAATAAAACGTGAGCCACAATCAAGCAGCTACATTTAAAATGTAAAAAGAGATGTTAAATGAATTTTAATACTATATATTTAATATTAAATAATACAAGTAATAGTGTATTTAATATATAAATACTAATATGTATTATAAATATAAATTGTCTTTGGCCCAATATATCCAAAATATTATTTCAATATTTTGTTATAAAAATTTATGAGTGGTAGTTTACATTTTTTGTGCTACGTTTTCTAAATCTGGTGGGCATTTTATAGTGCATCTCAATTTGTACTATTTCATGTGCTCAGTAGCTACATGTGACTAGTGGCCACTGTATTGAACAGCATAGTTGTAAATTATACCTCTAGCATATGCTTACTTGTTAGGATTTACTAGAATTTTTCAGAATATAAAATTTTGTGATGGAAACCCATAGCTCAAAGTAAGCTTGTTAGAAATACATATGTAGATCTTGAGGTTTAAGTCTTCAGCTCCCTTCTTAACAACAGAAGGCAGTCACGTGTGTATAAAACTTCACACATTATATGGGTGCTTAGATAATACTGCCTTTGACTTGGCAGTTTAGAGGTTTTATGTAAGTACATTGTGGCATCTTTTGTAGCCTGTTTTGTTTCCAATTTTTTAATCTCTTATAAAATATATTTGATAAATAAAACACCCTGCCATGTCTTCCTATTCATTTTTATTTAAATGTTAGCATGAGATGTGAAGTAGATAAAACTCTTAAGTAGTATTCTTTTATGTACAATATCACCATCACTTGTGCTAAAGGGACAACTGTATAGAACTTGGCTTCATGGATTAATTAGACCTCTAATTGACTTGGCAAAGAGAGGTGTCTGTTTTAAATTGAGCCTCTGTTCATTATTTTATGTGAATTATCTTTAAAAGAGATGACTGATCTTGATCCATCTAGGGCTGTGCTTAATAATATCAGATTAGTTGAGTGACAGCTCAGAATGTCACTAAGAAGGCCAAAGCCAGCCTGGGTTCTGGACCAGAGCACCACTTTAGTGGGCCAGACCTGTTTAGAGTACAAGATTGGCCTTTGTGAGTGAAACAAGCAAACAATGGTATGCAGGGTTGAGTCAAAGAGATGGTTTGTTCTGATGCCAGCCTACACCAGTTCAGCTTCTGTAATTGACCTAGGTCCCTGTGGTTAATTCTGGTCCTGAAGTAAAGCTAACGTTGTATAAAACAAATCTTCCAGCTTCTACAGACCGTCTTTTTCCCGTGTCCCTTCCTCAATCCCACATAGATTTAGTCCCAAAAATCTTTAACGTCAACATTTGAAGAGCTCTGACTTAGCACTCTAAAGATGAGGCATGCACACCCTGTCACCACTTCCCTGACCCTGAGTGCCTGTCCCAGCAGCTTATAGAGCTCCAGGATGGGGGGGCCTGCCTTGCTCTTGGCAGGACAAGATGCTGGTTCCCAACCCTAGCTTGGACTCCAGTGCTCAGCATTTGTGAGCCGTTTTGATGCCACGCCAGGCCTACCAAGGTTTCTGAGTATCATTTGCTTTCACTTTACCCACAGTTGCTTTTGGCCAGCTCACCTGAACCCACATCGTTGCCCCATGCAGGAGATCTTTGGTTCTGAGTGTAGGTGTTGCCCATTTCCATTTGTCCTGGATCTGTCGCTCCACCATTGTATTGTTATTCCAGTGGCTGCGACTAGTTGGCCCTTTCCAGTTCCCTTCTAGTCTGTCTCACTCTACTTTTTTTTTTTTCTCTAACCTAGGCCATGTTCTGTCTCTGACCAAAGAAATGAGATGGGTCTAAGTTTTATCCAATCCTGGTGGCTGCTCTACATGTTAAGCTGGGTTCAGTCTACCATCTATGCCAGAATGGTTGTGATAAATATTCTCAGATGGACTTAAGTCAACTTTCCTAACTTTATTTTCATTGTCATGGGTAAATGTTAGAGAAATGACATGGGGAGGAATGTCTCTGCTATCTTTAATGAAAAGTGTGTCCAATGTGGACAGGGCAGTGGGAGGCTTGTGAAATGTAAATTGTTTTTATAGCCACATCGTGTGATGCTCAACCCTGGCTTCATAGTGAATTAGATAGGGAGCTTCTAAACAATACAGATTCCCAGACCCATCCCAGAACGATGGAATCAGTTGGTCTGTTCTATAGGGATAGGGACCAAGCATTAATATTTTATCTCCTAGGTAATTCTCATGTGCAGTGGTATTGAAAACACTGGTATACAACCTTGAATTTACTTGCTGGCAGAGAGGATGGGAATAAATTGTATACAACTATATAGGTTGCGAGCCAAGAAACCAAGAGTATTAGCTAGCCAAGTGATAGACAAGCAATTTACCCAAAATATTTACCAAAGAAAATCAATATTTTTGGTAAATTGTGTATCATCCAGTTAGCTAATAGGACTAATTATACTCCTCTTAATTTCCCCTCTCAGAAATGATCAAGGTCATACATTAATACTATTTATTAGGTTTTGAAGACTTTCTTTAAAATTCTGAATTGAACATTCAATTCAGTACAACTAAGTGAAGAGTACAACACATTTAGTTTATTTTTAGCTGGTGTTATATCTACTCTGGGAGCTTGTTCAATATGAGCTTTTCTGCAGTGTCATTACTAGTTTTTTGGTAACCTGCTTGCTTTTAGTATGTTGTAGTAATTAGTTGCTTTATTCAGCCTATATTTGTAGCCCAAATATTTAGTCATTTGCAGCTGAAAAAAATAGCATAATGACTTGGTAATAGTCTTTGAAATTTCTGTGGCAACTTTTTTTTTTTCAAGGAGTATATTTTCGTCAGTCTAGATTTATTGATTTATCCCATTATGACATGAAATAATCTTTTATAGGTTAACGTACAAAATGTGAAAACTCCCAATTTACCTGCCTTCCCTAATTGCTGAGATGAGGCCAATATTTGAGACTCTTTATTTGGCCATTGTGTTTCTCGGTGGCCGCTCTGATGGGCGCTGGGTTCTAGCTTTAGGATGCTGCTGGTGGCCACTGCCGGGTGGGAAGATTATCACTTGACGCTCTGGGGATTAGAAAAACACCATAGTACTGTAGATCAAGTGCATTGTGTCCAGCATTCGTGATTGCTGTTTATTTTATAGTTCTCATCTATCCTTATTTGTCTCTGCATTTAGACTTTCCTTTTATTAGGTGATAATGTGATTTGTACTTTGCAGATGGAAATTATTTTCAAAAGCCAGAATTTGATCTTGTAGAGGTTGGAAAGTTCTGAATTGTTGGCTCAATTTAACCCCAGATGGCAACTGATTTCTGTCTCTTCGTTTAACGTTCAGTAAGAGAATCATTACATGAGTTGGCCTTTTGTTGACTTCCAAGTGAATACAATTAGCAAAAGAAAAAACTCTCTTAATTTCCCCAGGTACCAAATTGAATCCCCCTTGAACTTATTAAGTGAATTTCCCGGTGGAATTTATCCCTGTGGTTGGTGAACCACTCTCCTATATATTTTCATTTTAACTAAGCCTTAATACGAAGGCCTTCAGTCTGAACTTAGTAGATTTCTTTATAGGTCAGATATTTTTCCATATGTTCAGCTAAAATTGACCTTTTAAACAAAAATTCATTGAAGCAAATAAATCACCATTGTTACTGTTTGTTTCATGTGTTTTTGGTCTGCTCAGTACCAGATGACACGGTAGCCACCTGCAAGTAGGGCTTTTTTGTTTTGTGACATAACTACGCTTGAAGCTATCTTTAACATCCTAAGCTAATGCCCTATAAATAATTGGCGAGAAAGTGAAACAAGGCACTGGGACTTCCTGTAGGCCTGGAGTGATATGTGTGTTCTGGCCCTTCAAAGCTGTGCGGCCTTGAGCATGTCACTTAACCTCTGTGAGACTCCTGTTTCTCTTTGATAAAGTGATAATACCTACCAGCGAATCATCTGCCTGTTGGATAGTGAGGAGACCAAGCCTGGCTACACACTGGAATCTCCCAAGGAGTTTTCAACACACTGACCCCTGGTCCCACCCCCAGGGATTCTGATTTCATCTTGGGGGTAAGGGTTGAAACAAGGAGAAATGATAGTGGCTTCAACTACTAAGCATCAGTGGACATGATGGGGAGTGGTCAAGATTCAGAATATAACTAGAAGATAGATCCAACAGATTTGTTGATGGCTAGGTTATGGAATTTTAAAAAAAGGAGTCAAAAATGACTAAAGTTTTGGGCCCTGAGCCCAAAACAGTGGTGCCATTTACCGAAATAGAAAACACTGGGATGAAGGAATGAAAACCAGCTTGCATCTTAGAAAGGAGTGAGAAAGTCCCATGTGTCAAAAATACATATGTTTGTAGACATTTATTTTATTCTCTTAGAGTATTGCATTCATCCTAAAATCTGGATTTCAGAATTTCCATCTTCTGTTTCCCTCATCTTCTTTTCTCTGAATATTCTTTAGAATTTCAGTAAATGCACCTGTTAGTGTAATACGTGTTCCCCATTGCTATGAATTTTAGGTATCTGGGAACTGTATGGATTTATTCTGTTTGGGATCGATAATTACATTGCCAGGACTTTTTGCTGCCCAGTCAGAGTTGATGAGAACAGTCTTTCACGTGATCACTGCGTTCTTTTGGCTCTTGAGGTGCTCCAAACTGCAGGGACATTTTCCAGAGTGGATATATTAAATGAAAGCACTTACTATAAAGTAGGTGCTAAGCAAATGTTTTTTGAATCTGCATCTGGTGAGTGACTGGGATAAGATCAGGCTGTTCAGATTTTGGAAACTGAACTTTTAAAAACGCTGGAGTGGTTTTGAAGTCTTCGTGGAGTTTTCTTATATTCATCTGTATGCCCATCACACCTTGCATGGCAGTGGTCACGGTATACCAGCAGGTCTAGGGAGCTAATTTCATGATTCTAATTAGTAGTAGTAGCATCTTGAGGTAAAATGTTGCATTAGGAGGTACTTACTGCATGGAGTGATTTTTATTTATGGCATTAGAAGGTTCTTGAAGCATTTGTTTCATCCACCCTCGCATCGTTTTTGTTCTACCTGTGGATTGAGTAGGGCGTGCGGCAATCTCACACATGTGTAGGTGTCATTGCTTTAATGTCACTGAGCAATGTGCTGGGTCTTTTCAGTCTTTGCAGCCCACCAGCTGTCATTCACACATCCTATCTTAATCTGTTTAGTGGAGGTTTCTGTCGTCTTCTTTAGCTACATCCTGACAAACTGAAGGATGCCGACCATTCCTTACTTTGTTTTGTGAAAATGATTCTTGGCTTTTTGAGCCAGTCTCATCTGACCAGTCTTAGTGGGTTCTTCAGTACTGCCCACAGTGCTTGTGGTAGATGAGCCATCCCAGAGCCACACCCATTCTCAGAGTCTCGTTAGGGTGTGCTGGAGTTCTTGGATGCTCTTTTGTGGGTTTCCTCTTTTTCTAGCTTTGTTTAATGGATTTGTTGGATATTTGGCAAACCTGGTTGTGGCATTGTGTTATCAACAGGCAGATGAGAGTGTCACACTTTCCTTATCCTGGGTAATGTCTGTTTCTGTAGGATAAAACACTTGTCTTGTTTGTGGACAGTGTATGTTGCTGTGTGTGCTATACTGATGTCCCTACCAAAGTTGTAATGGGCAGGAAGACTTTAGTTTCTTCACTGGATGTTTTTGATGATTGAGACTTTGTTTAAAAAAAAAAACAAAGGTGAGTTGTTTTCCTCTCTTGCAAAGTCACAATGGAGATAAGAAGCAGGTGCCAGTTAAACTCCACTGACTCATTCTGAGATTAATGTAGCAGCATAATGATGTTATTTGGGTGTTTCTGCTTCTTGTAATAAAACGAGGACTAGTCTGTTGGAACTAATCATATATCTACCTGTTTGTATGTTATAAAATGTGTAAATAGCTCTAAAAGTTAAAGTTGTAATGATTCAGATAACTTTCATCATTGTTCATTCATTTTTTTCCCCAGTACTTTTTAAGGCCTAGCTCATTCAGAGCTGTAATTCAGTTCTATCTTCCTATGAACACACTGCTACTGAAGTCAATGGGGTTAACTATCCTACAAGCATTTGTAGTAACTAATTTAATAATACTCTTTTCCATGTACAAAATGCGGAAAACTTGCGCCCTGCACTGTATCAGTGGTTCTCTCAATAAGCTTATAGTTGTCTTAAAAAAAAAAAAGAAATTTAAAAGGATAGAATCCTTGGATTCTAGAGTTGGAAGGGAACTTAGAAGTCATTTAATGCAACACAGTAACTGATATGGCTTGAATACCTCACAGTGAAGGGAACACACCCACACACACCCTTTTAAGACAGCCCATTCCATTCTCAGACACCTCAGATTTTTTCTTGATAAGAAAGCAATAAAAGCAGTAAAAACATTTATGCTCTACATGCCTTGCTGGGTCAGGTGTCTCCCATATTGTATTTACACAGTTGCTTCTTTAGGCCTTTAGTATAGAACCTTCAACTTATTCAGCCTTTCAAAATCTTCTAGAATTCTGATTTTTTTCATGTCATCTGTACATTGATTAATCGTGTCATGTGTCCTTATCCTGTCATTGGAACCCAGGCAGTCTGCACCCAGAGCCCTTACCAAGTTAGGCATTTACTGTAAGGGATCCTCTTGTATCACAGCAGAGGTTCATTGTTCTTTTTTTTTTTTTTTTTTCTGGTGAGGGGGAAGTCTCTGTACGTCTGCTCCTTCACTTCCTAACTTTGGCATGCATGTGGCTTCAGAGTGCCATGATGCTCCCTCCAGCCCACCTGTCCGTGATGTTCCTTACTTGGTGCTGAGTTGACTGACCACAAATCCACATTCTCTAAAAGGGATCTGACTGGCCTGGCTGGTCAGGTGCTCCATGTTGACCCTGACACCTAGGGCTCAGGTACTAGGCCAGGCCAGGAGATGGAAGGAGAGACCGAGTCCAAGGGTGACCCAGGGGAGGCTCTTTCAGAAGGGCTCACAGGCAGGGATGGCCAAAGAATAGCTTTAGTATGTGAGACCCCTCCATGTATGTTTGTCAGCTACATAGTTGTGAATCCACATTGTTTCATAATCATGGAATCGTGTGTCTTCATTTATAACAATAGGGCCTACACAAAAGCCTTCTTGAAATCCAGATGCTGAGGGTTCTATTTTTGAAAAGAAAGAAAAGGGATTTAGTCAGTGGAGGCTTACTGATCCCCACCAGTCACCACCTCCCTTTTAAGCAGTCTGTTAATCAGCTGCACTTAATGTTTGACTAGCATTGGCCTCAAACTCATTGGCCAATAGCATTATTATTCAGACTTATCTAATGTAAAGGACCTTTTTTAGAGGAAACATTTCTTTTTGGTCTTTGAGAATATATTCTTTGTATGAGAAACACTGCTTTCAAAATAATTAAGCTCAGTTCCATGTTTAACTGAATTCTCAGAAATGTTCTTTTAACTTCTGAATTTTCAGATCTTTCCCAAAAATCCTTTAGAAGCAGTGGATCTCATTTTGTAAATCTGTGAACTTTGAAAGCACATCTGTAGACTCCCATTTTAAAAAACAGTGGTTTATGATCTTTATGATCCATCTTCTTTTTAGAACACTGGGAGAGTGCAGGTGGCCCTCCTTATCCCTGAGTTTCACGTCCATGGATTCAGCCAATCATGGATCAAAAGTATTCAGAAAAAATTCCATAGAGTTTCAAAAAGCAAAACTTCAATTTGCCACACACCAAGTACTATGTTGAATCCATGCAAATGACGTGTAGGCATTGTGTTAGGTATTATAAGTAATCGAGAGATGATTTAAAATATACAAGAGGATGTGTGTAGGTTATTTGAAATACTACATCACTTTATATAAGGTAATTGAGCATCTGCAGATTTGGTAAGGGGTCTTGGAACCAATCCCCCATGCATACTGAACGATGACTAAATTGTCTTCATCTTTTAGTTCCTCTCTCATTCACCATAGTTCTTCTCTGATTAGTAACAGTTCACTTAACTATTTTGCAGGTTCTCACAGTTCTGTAGGTTAGAAAATAATTATATATACCTACACATACATATATGTATTTACTATAGGCTAGGAATTCATTTAGAGCAGTTAGGTGCTGATTTTTCTTTTTTTCCCTCTTAAAATAATCCCCTACCTTGTCTTTTGGTTTAGTTCTTCGAACTAATGTTCATTCTAACCTTTCCAGTCTTAAGATGATTATCCTTGATAGACGATTGAAGCAAAGTAGATGTTGGAGCTGAGAAGTTCTGCCTTTTATTATCTGTTAACAACATTGTATCATCTATTCTAGGCAGCAGGCTCATCTCATCAATTCTTTGTGTCCCAGATGAAAGGGGGAAAAATCGAGTGGTCTCTAACGTTTTTTACAACACCTTTCCTCCAGTCTCAGATGTCTGTGCATCTGTTAATATTCACTGTTGAACATGTGAACCTATCTATTTTCAACCTTTCCTGTGATCTTTTTTTAATCTTGTGCTTGTTCAAGTACTTCCTGTGAAGCAGCAGTGGTCTCTAAATACAACTCCTTCAACCCTCCCTGACCACCTCCCCGCCTTGTCAGGGCCTTCCACAATTACTCAGCATGTGGGTTTGGACAGCTGTTGGGGCTTCTGCACTTTGTGGGTCTTGATAATAAATTGAAATGTGCCCTCCTGAAATCCAGAATACATATCTGACATGGCCTGGTATTCCCCTTTGACAGTCAAAAACTCTTTGATACAGTTATTTTTTGAAGAGTATCATTACTACTTTACCACTTTTGCTTGGATTAGAATCCAGTCCGTAGTGTCAGTCTGCCTTGTTTCCTGTGCATTTTTAGAGGTGAACTTAATGCCACTGCAAGTCAGTGGTGCTTTAAGCTAATTGAGACTTCTAGGAGATGCTTGGTAGATGTCTGGTGGTTGCAACCCCTCGTTTCTGGTGCAGTCTGCTTCTGTGTCAATTTTTAAACATCTATGTTGGCAAATATACTATTTAATTCTTCTGTCAGATAAAGTTATCTGTGGGTTATTCCCAAGGAGATGTCATTAAATTCCTTCTGTCTTTCATTGTTCTGGTTCCTTTTCCAGTTAAGCATGAAATGGCGTTAGTAAATGTTTTATTATTTCCAAGCAATTCAGCATGCCGAAGATGACTATTATTTTAGGTTAATATCCAAGGCTGGCTGCCAACAAGATTGACTGTTTACTATGTGTGACGCCCAACTCTAGGCATACTATAGATTTCCTTGTAATACTGCTTAAGGATATCCTTTCTTCTGAATGTCAGGAGTACTCTTTAGAATCCACCACTTAGAATTTGTAGTGCTACTTCAGGGGCTTGTCGCAATTTAGCGTGAGTTCAAGAAATGTTAAGCCATTACTTTTTTTCCTTTTTTAGACAATAACTGCTGTGGTGTGTTTTACACTTGTTTATTTTTAAATCAATTCCCTCAAAGGCACTTAAAGAAACATGTCATTTACCATGTCTCCTAATGACAGGTCCTGATGACAAAATATATTAGTGGTTATTAGGATAGAGACAAGACTATAAATTTCTGGGAATTTTTGGATGCCTTATATTGAAATAGAAAATTTAGCAAACATTTAGTGCACAGAAGGGACTTTCCTGAAGGGTCATTCATGTTACTTCCCCATATTAGAGTAGCATACTTAATAGATACTTACCCATACCCTTGTGCCTGTCCCATCCTCTGTACATAAGCATGCATAGCATTTATTATTATTGAACTAAGCATATAGCTCAAAAGATTAGTGTCAGATGTATGATGGTCTTTTACATAGACAATATATTCAAAACTTTTGTAGGTATCCCTTCAAAGAAGAATGGCCAAGGAGAGTATTTTGACACTTAAGTAGCATCCAACAAGGCTGAAGGGGTAGAGAAATGTCTGAACTGGAAATACTGTTGAGGTGTAATAGACCAGCAAAGGACAGAGTTAAAGGGAGAGGTGAGGTCAAATTTAATTGTTGAATGAATGCATGAATCTATCTATCAGTGTCAGAGCTTTAGATATGGGTTGGACTTTATCAGTTTCCAAATGTTGTCTTGCCTTTGGTGCTCAGTGACTCTCTAACCTTGAGCAAGTCTCCATATGACAAGTGATGTCTCCTAATCTTCATTTTTAGAACTCTTTTAAAAAGTGAACCCTTTTGTATAATGAAAAGCTATCAATTGTTGAAGGAGATAACCATGTTTTACATGATCAAGGGTATGTAATGTTTGTTATAACTCAGATGGACTTGGAGGTAATGAGCTAGCATCACAGTTGCATGAACAAGAGGGTGATGGAGAAGAAGGTAGGGATGTGGAAAACCGTTTGGCTATTGTGCAAGTTCCTTAGAGTTGCAATCCACAGTTGTCCCAGAACGTGCTGGACTCAGAGCTTGTTTAGGGCAGCTGTTAACATCAGAAGAGATCTGATCCAGCAAGTAGGGCCTGTTGGGGAAGGTTCCAGGTAGCCTGCTTATTCTTAAGCAGGAAAATTGCACTGTGGTTCCAGGTCATCATTCCATGTTGATCAGAAAAGCCAGCTAGCGGTTGAGGTACAGGGAACAGGGCTTAGCTTCTTGTAGAAGGCTAGCCAGTCTGGGTAGGGCATCACTGCCCACCTACATTAGATGGGTGTTGGGACAGGACTTGGCTTCCAACAGAGGACTGAAATGATTCTGTCAAGACTCCATAATATATAGGCTGAGCATATCCTTTAAGCGGGTGGAGTAGCTCCTGGAATCACATGAAACGCTTAGAGAAAGGTTGAGGAGGATCTAAGGCAGCTTGACTAATACCACAGATTCATTCCTGTCTGTGTTCAGCCTTTTCATCTCTCCAGATGGCAAATTGACTGACTGGCTTAGCCTGGACTGTGTGCTGACTTTTAAGTCAATGAGGAGCATGGAGCCTTGATGGAGCAGTCCCCTAAGACTCTGGGGGAGGGGTTCTCCAAAGGAAAGCAATGGGCTGTTTCCAGGAGAAGCAGATGCCGAGCTGGAAAGAGCAGATTGTCCACTGCACAGAGTCTGCATTAACACTCGGTACAGGGATGGTGTATTAATGCAACTGAAAATTCCATTTTTCCTCTGGCTACTGTTGTCATGATCTAGAAATTTGAGAGGTATTGCTAAATAGTTTCCATTTTAATTTCCATGCTTTTAAGGGTGTTTGATTTCTTCAGTGCCATATTTGAAAATGTGGTTTGTAAGTCTTTACCTTTGAAGCACCCAGTTTATTGTTTCCAGAGTAGTGGTTCCTTCTTTTCATGAGCTCTCTCTCTCTCTCTCCCCCTACCCGTCTCTGAACAGCTGCTGTCAGGCTCACAATCGAACATTTGAAGTGACTGTTCTGCTCTAACAATGCAGAACATGGGATTTCAAGCCTCTTTTGTCACTGCAGTAATTGCTTCTGCATTTATAATTAAATGAACTATCTGTACTAAGATACCACTAAAAACAAAGTAAATACAAACATCTTAATTATTCAGCCAAGAATTGTTTTGATCCAGCTTAAGAAGCTTATGTGTGTGTGTGTGCGTGTGTGTGTGTGTGTGTGTGTGTGTGTGTGTGTGTGTATTAAGCCCATTGCTTTCCTTTGGAGAACTCCCCCTTCCCCCATAGTCTTAGGGGACTGCTCCATCAAGTTACCATGCCCCTCTTTGACTTAAAAGTAAGCACATGGCCCATGCTAAGCCAATCACAGTCAATTTGCCATCTGGAGAGATGAAAAGGCTGAACACAGAGAGGACTGAATCTGTGGTATCTTGAACTGATTCCATTAGTCAAGCTGCCTTAGATCTTCCTCAACCTTTCTGTAAGCTTTTCATGTGCTTCCAGGAGCTGCTGCACCTGCTTAAGAAGCTTACATACATACATACATGTGTATATATATATATATATATATATATATATGTGTGTGTGTGTGTGTGTGTGTGTGTGTATATATATGTATATATGTGTGTATGTATATATTCTTAAGCTTCTGTATCAAAACAATATATACAAATACATATGTGTGCATATATATATTCAGGACTTTCAATTATTAAGCCTTTGAAAAGGATAGTGGTTAATGCTAATAATTCCATCTTAGTAGTACCTAACTTTAATCACACCTAAGTTCTGCAGTTGTGCTTGTAAAGTCTCTGTCTAGTTTCCCTGTTAATATTCTTTTATTAGATTCTTTGACTGTTGCAAGCATGACTGCTTGTTTAATGACCCCAACCTAAGTCAAGAAACTTGAGCAGCTAATATGGTCCCTTTAATGCCTAATATTGGAAACCATTGAGTGAAAGGTTATATAATTGCACTCTCCTAAATATGTTTAGGAAATAATATAATAGATATTCTGATTCCAATTACAGCCTTACTTATAATTGCAATAAAGTTGAGTCTGCAAAAAACTTAGTGGTTCTATAACCGTATTACCAGGCAACAGTGATTTTGTATCTTGTTCTTGTCTCCCTCCTACCTACCACCCCTGCATTTCTGTTGCATAACCCCATACAGATGACAATTTTGTTAAAAAAAAAAGTACTCAATATTAATTGACCAAATTATATGGCAAAATTTATTATTTTGCTGTCTATATTGATTTACACTGGTCACAACTATAAATATTATCCAAAATAAGTAAATGTTAATACCTACATTACAGTCTTTAAGACTTTTAGTTTTCCCGTATCAAGTATTTTGAAGGCGAGATTAATCTGTGGGGAGGATAGGGTGACGGGAACTGTTTGAATGACAAGTATTGTGCTACATTGCTAACATAATGTCATCCTCACATTAACCATATTTTATGGATGAGGAAGCTGAGACTCAGATGATAAAATAATTTGCCCATGTAGAAGTGTTATAATCTGAATTTGAACATACATCTGACTACATAGCCTATTTATTTTCTCCCATAGTATGCCTTTCTGATTTCATAATAAAAATAATAGCTAGAATTTTTGCATATGCATGAGGAGCCAGGCACTTTACACATGCATTATTTCATGTAATCCCCACAAACTCTTGTAAGAGCGTAGGTAGCTAAAGGTTAATTATCTTGTCTAAAGTAACCAGAGCTCATAACTGGTAGACCTAAACAGTCTCTCTCATTCTTAGGCATGATTCTTTAATGCCCTCCTTGATTATATTCTGTATTTTAAACATTATTGATTACCATGTAATAATGAGAAAAAGGATGCATGGTATCTAAGGATTAGGGTTGTTTGGCTGTAAAGAGAATTCTATTCATTAAGTGGTTAATTATTTGTTGTATTTACAATCCTACAATAAAGTAATGGGCAAAATTAATTTGAACAATACATGTAACCCAACACATCCAAAATATTGTAAATTTAGCATGTGATCAAAATAAAACATTATGGGTCAGATTTTTAAAAATCCTACATTTCTTTCATGTCTTGGGCTTTTGCGTGGAGTAGCACCAGGCAGTAGTACTATGGAGCATCATGCAATCATGAAGAGGTTATATGGCTCATGCCAGCTCTGCCTCCAGAGTATAATGTATGCATCCACTTCCTTTCATCTCTGTCACCAGTCTAACCCAGGACTCATCATCTTTTACCTGGATTATCACAGTGTCCTCGAAATGGTCTTTCTACTTAAACCTGTCAGTGAATTCCTACTGCATAAAGAATATAAATTCAGGCTGTTATTCTCCCAATCTGGCCCTGCTTCTTTTTGTTTTATGCTCTGTTTACTGTTAGTGGCCCTCATGTTCCTGGAAATGCCAAGCTCATTCTCCCCTCCAGGGCTTTTCCTGCTATTCCCCCTTTTGGGTTGACAACTGTCCCTTATCTTCCTTTATGTGTCATCAAGGTCTCAACTCAGCATCTCCTTGAGACGTCTTCTCTGACCATTCAGTGTAAAATAGCAGCAGCTATAGTAGCATCACTAGCAGTGATAACAACAACAATGAAAATAGCTCACATTCATTACTAAACTCTTACTACGTGCCAGGCATTGTTCTCATATTTACTCGCTGGGTCCTTACAACCACCCTTTGAGGTAAGATACTGTTATTAGTTCTATTATATGCATAATGAAACTTAAGCACAGAGACTTCTGTCAATTGTTCTACAATCACTTGTTTATTTTCTTCCTCATTCTTACCATGTTCTGTAATTATCTTTTTCTTCTCTAGAAAATAAGTCCCTGAGAAAGAGGACCTTATCTTATTTCCTGCTATTTCTATAACATTTTTAAAATGCCCAAAACATAGTAGATTCTTAAGTATGTTGAATGAATGAATAAGCAAATGAATGAACAACAGGTCTTATTAGATCATGATATTTCGGATGAAAAATGGAATATTTCAGAAATGATACTTCTCTCATATGAGCAGGTCAGAAGCCTTTCACTTATACTATTGAGCATTTTCCTCTGTTACATTGTACTGTGTGCATATAAGCATGTGATGATGAATCTGGGCAGATGAAGAAAGGAAGACTCTGTGTCGTCATTCTCAGCAACCCAGTAGTCACTGATCAGTAGGTGCCAGGTAGTTGTTGGCAACTGATTATAGTCACTGCTTAGCTTTTCAAATATGGATGTTGAGTTACCATCACAAAGCACCATTTCACTTCGTGACTGAGTTTTGGCTGCAGATTAAGGAAGGCAACTGTTGCTGTGAAACATCTCAATAAAGGCTCAAGAAGGGAAATTTTTTTTACTTTGTTTTTCAGAATTTTCCTGCTCTTCTGAACAAAACTATTGATTTCTTTTCTGCCTGCTGCTCAGCAGATATTAATTTCACAGAATTTTAGAGCTGAGAGTAACTGTCAGATTATTAGCCTAGCCTGGCTTCCCCATTTTACAAAGGAAGAGAATAACCCCCAGGGATGAAGTGGTTTGTGCAGGGTCATGTGGGTAATTGGTAGAAGAACTTGAGCTCACCTCACAGCCCCTAAGTGGGTTAAGTGATGAAACACTGTTCGGGGAAGATGAGCACTTGCTCACTTCAGAGTCATAATTAGGATAGTGACCCACCAGCATCCTTTGTTTTCTTGACAAATAAAATTATTGCTGGAAGCTAAAATAGTCACCAGAAGGATGTTGCTTGTATATTTTTATTTGGTAATACAAAGTAATCTTATTAACATATTCAGTAGTTAAAAGTTACATGTGACTATTCCCTATACTGAAATTCTTGGTCCTTCTGAAGTTTAGAAATAGCATTTGGCCATTTTACGACCAAGAATGCAAAATTTGGCCTCTTAGAGTCTCTGGTTTAAAATATGCATAGCAAATACTGGATAATTTTATTATTGCTTGAGATAAACCACAATTCAGAAAACAAAATTGCTTTTCTGCTGGCAGGGGGAATAGGAATCAAGCAGAATATTACAGACATTATTTGGCATAAATAAGGAAAAGTCTTTTCCTTGCTCATTTCAATAAAAGCTAGACCAGATTCATTTTTCTGGGAACTGGTTTGATTCTGACCGTTTTTAAGAAGTTACAGACCTTGGAGAACACAATGTTGAAAGAAGCTAAGATTTCCCAGAAGCTGCTATACAAATGTGCTTTCATACATAGAAAAGGATCCTTGCTCAGTTCCATTCCTCAAAGTGATAGGTGTATGAATTTGCCTGCCAATTTGCTCTGTGAAACTTAATTTAAGAAGACTAATAATGCCATTAGTGGATGTCAAATGTCTGAGCACCAAGGACATTGGGGTGAATGCCTGAGTTAGTCTCTTGGAGAATCGAAAATGTGAGGAAGGCGCATATATCTGGTGTTACTATCATCATTTACTTTGTGTGTCTGTACTTGTGGGCCATTTTGAGATGTCTCCAACAACTTGGAAATTTGCGAATTGAGTATACCTTCTCGTTTCTTTCTAAGACTAACATATACAGGAGCAAAGTCACCTGCAAGGGGGCTAGATTGGTTCCTAGGCCTACAGGATTTGGTAATCCCATTGGAAGATTAAATATCAATTTGTGTTCGAAGGTGGAAATGGGTATGGAGATGGTCAAGGAAGGGGTAAGTCATGGGGTTAAACATTATCAGCACTCTTCTCAGCTCTGCAGAAGGGAATAGAAGCATTAGCCAACAGACTTGAAGTATCATGGCCTCATTGTCAAGATATTGCAACAAACTTTTAAGAGGTTGGTCCTACAGATGCATCTACCCCTTTAGCAGGATTGGTTGCATCAGGCTGTACTTCCCTAATGCTATGAGAGTCTCAGTTCACCTAACCACTGGTGGGTGGGTTACTTTGGTCATTTAACTTCTACACAGGCCAATCTGGGAGAGTTGAATTGATTATGGAACTTCAGTTACTCTAGTTCCTGTGGCAATTACTTCTCATCATAAATTTACTAATTGTTGTTTGGACATCAGTCCTACAGGCTTGGGCAACATATGTCTACTTGAAAGAGATCTGTTTCTAGTATATTACTAATCTGGTTTTGCTCACTTGTTAATTCATCAGGCTTTGAGGGCTTACTATGAACCAGAGGTATAATAGGTAACTTACCATGTAACAAGGGAAGCAGGTGAATTGTCAGTTACACCACAAGGTAGAGAATTACCACCCCAAAACATTCTTCAACCTCTAACCCAGAAGCCGCCTCCCATTTTTATGAGGCTCAGCCTATGACTGTATCATTATTCACCCTGTTAGCTCTTTAAGTATAATAGACATTTACAATATCTATTACATTTATTGTAATACAAATTACATGTATTGTAATCTATTACAATATTAGGTGTTTTAAGTACATTGCATACATATTCCTTCATTTACTACCAACTATTCCAGGACATGAACACAGAATACTTCTCTTTGACAGATTAGGAAACTGAAGCCTAGTGAAAGTAAGTAACTATCTAAGGTCATGTTTTATTCTTGGCTTTGCCATTTACCAAATACTGTTCATTCGACTATACTTAATACGGAGTTCAAACCCATTGCATGGTGGGCTTCAGAGTTCAGTCTGAACCCAGAGAAAATGGGTGGGGCACTGAGTGGATCTCAGAAGCAGTCTGTTGAATGTCTTGAAGTCCATTTCCGTTAAATAGGTGAGTATTGTATGTCCTCTTTGCACAAGATTGTGCTAGGAAAAGCTGAGAGAGATACCAAAGAGCATGATTAAGATGCGTTTCTTTCTCTCAGTAAAGTTCACCTTTAGCATGACTTTACAGACAAAGAAGGCTTCTGAAGGCCTGACCTACCAGGAAGACTCAGAACTGTTACCAGATCAAGAACGGCACTCGCCTTCCCCTTGCTTTCTGTGAGGGGATGACATAAAAGCGTCAGAGTTTTCAGTAGTCCTTAGGAGTTCAGACAGGTGGATTAAAAGCTACTAGTAAATTTTAATGACTTATGTGAACGAACCCTCTAAATTATTAAACAGCAAGGGACATGGGTTCCTTCCTTAAAACGAGGAATAGAACTCCATGTATAAGAAGGAATACCATCTTAGTTTGACCCTCTTTGGGGCAGGGTGGTAAAGGATTCTCCTATTTTGATTGCCTTTGTCACCATTCTAATAGCTCAGCTTAGGCATTGCCCAGGTATGCACATGTAGCTCTTTATGTGGTTATTATAGCTGATGAAGGTGGTGATATGCAGAGGAAATAAAAAAATGAAATCATAAAATAGAATTATCTGGTGCATATTGAATAACTTTCAATTTTGAATGTAGCAAATGTGTTTTCACCTTTAACCCAGAGCTGTGAGATCAAAATTGCTACCTACCTTCCTCAAAGTGTTGGTTCATTAATCAAATGGAAGAGTCCGTTTCTCTTTACATGGAAAGAGTCTGGATTGACAGGTTACTTACGTTAAGTCCAGACCTAAGTTGCCCATTTCTGCAATGTAAGATGATTGCATTGAAGAGTTTAATTATAATGGTTACAAACTCTCACTTCCAAATTAGCAAAAATGCTAGTCTTTTTCCCAGGTACCTTCATCAGAATATTCCTGAGGATCTCTGAGGTCAAGTATGTTCACTGAGATATTTCTGAGAACCTCTGAGGTTGCTGTGCCTGTTTACTGCTAGCTTGCTGTCACCTGCTAGGAGTAAACAGAATTGGATACATAACAGAAGGTGATACCTGCAATCTCTGGCCTTCAAACATTCTGGGAGTGGGCTTCAGGTGCCTGATGGCTCTCCATGTCACTGCTGAGGAGACAGGGGAGAGGTGCCTACCAGCTCCACTGGCTGAGAGCCTCACTCCCTGCTTTCAGTGCAGATCTCCCTTCCTCAGTATCACACCTGGTCAGGGCACAACAGAGCGAAGCGTTCTGCATACATTCAGCTTCATGTACAATATCTTTCCAAAGCTTTTCTGTAATGCCTGGGTAAAGAAAGCCTATGTTGTCTGTGAAATCCTGTGCTCAGAGCCATCCAGTCTCTTCGATGGTCCTACCCCTGGCAACAGTTTACAGTTTAGATTTTCCCCTTCATTTTGGTGAGTTTTCTCTTTAAAGATCCCTTATTATCTGACCTAGGTTGGGCCCCTACTAATCCATTAGGATTGTTTTAATTACTCTGATTCCCACATAAGGGATGGGGTTAATTCCAGTCCCTTTAGTTCAAGGAAAATCCTTTGCCCCACAGAAATTCTTGAATACAAGTTAATATCTGAGGGGGAGATGCAGTATCCAATTGCTTTCAGTGGATAGCAATATCCAGTGCTCTCCCAGCAGCGTTTGAGACCTCAATGTAAGTAGGTGTGTCTGGATGGAGTAACACCCAGTTCCTCAGCTAAGGACATCCAAGGGCGGGGCCCTCAAAAGTCCCATTACATAAAGTAGATACAACACTCAAAAGTCCATTATATAAAGTAAATACAACACAACCTGAGAACATCAGCTCAGAGTGGAGTGAAGAGCTGGTTTTTTTGAGGCTCTCTCTCTAATCCAGAGGCGGGGAACAGCACACTCTGGTCTTCATGCTACCACGAAGGAAGACCTAATAAAGGACTCAATTTTTTTTAAAGATTGATCTCCCTCTATTCAATAACCCATGTGTGAAATTTCAATTATACAAAACTAGAGGGAAAAGTATGTGTTTAGAACATGGTGTAGGGAAACACTGTGAGCAAAGCTGCTGATTGGGTCTGAAACTGCAAAATGGGTGTGACAGAATCTACTCGGAGCCATGTGACCTCCAGGGTGATAAGGATACAATGTGCCTCTCACCCTGTGCCCCTCCTACTTGGAAAGCTTTCAGTGGTTGGCTGCCAAGCAGAGCGCAGGGTCCTCTGGGACCTGGCCTGCGTGCTTCCTCAGCGTGGTTTCTCGTCCGCCTTCTGTCTGTGCTCCAGCAGCACTGCCCTGTTTGCTCTCCCCTGCACACATGACACCGTTTCTCACACCCCAGTCCCTGTGCTCATGCTTCTCACCTTTGTAGAACACCTCAGTGATTTTCTGGTTTCATACTATAACAAACCCCACAGGCCAGCTTTTCACATAGTTGTTACCAGCACTTGGCCAACAGTTGTTTTTTCATCAGTGGGTGGAGCAGCTTTTCTTGCCCCCAAAAAACAGTCAACCACTCATTTTTCATTGGGTATATGTATTCGGCAAACATTGGGTACCTGCTGTTTGTTGGCACTGGTGTTGAGAAGATGAATAACACACCCTCTATGGCCCTAGGGAGTTCCCATTCTGGTAGGGGGAACCTGACTCAGGCAGCAACAAAACCTTCTGGTAAGTGTTTTGCTGAAGAGTGGGGAGGTTCAGAGGGCTGTGGAAACCCAAAGACGTTTTACCTAACTTGAACATCATAGAACACTTCAGAAGAAACCACATGTCAGCAGGTCTTATGGGAGGAGTTGGCATTGGCTAGGCAGAAAAGAGAAGAAAAATGGGTTTTGGAGATACAGTACTGTTGTCACCCCTTTGATTTTTCACTAGAAGACACAAAAAGCTGTTTAAAATACTATCTGTTGATATTCTGTTCTAGAACTTGTATGTATTTTTTAAAGTGTTTGTCAACATTGCAACAAAGTACCCAGTTGAATGTATCCTGTTGTTTCAATGATTATGAGATGACTTGAAGTGCTCTTGAGAAATTTAAAGTTCGTTTGTGAACATGAATTCTAACTGGAGAAAAAAATAGGTGATGATAGTGAGTTGGATCATTGTTGCAGTTCTCTATTTAAACCTTACTATTTATCTTTTCTTCTGTCTTCATCTGGGAAAAAACCCAGAAAAGTATTAAATGCATATGCTTTAATTTTTGACTATATTTTAAATTACCTTGTTAGTTTTACCTAAAACTGTAATTTAAACCAGTTTAAAATTAAGGTTTACTTCTGGGCATCTTTTTATATAGTGGAAGGAAAGAAGTTGAACACTTACGGGGGAAATGGAAAGTTGATGTTATGTCTTGTTTTTGATATGGCTCAGTTTTTACATGACTGTTAAATGCTGCCCTTTAAATCTAGTAGAAATGTTAAATATGGGGATGTTACTTTTTATTATAAAAGAAACAACAGTTAAGGGGAAGCAAGTAGCTTTTAACAGATTTCATATTCTAGACTAGTTATGAAATCTGTTTTTGGTCTGGACAATAAAACATTTCTTGTACAATAAGAAGATCTCTTTTTAAGGTTATGAGAAGACAGATGATGTTTCAGAGAAGACCTCACTGGCTGACCAGGAGGAAGTAAGGACTATTTTCATCAACCAGCCCCAGCTGACAAAATTCTGCAATAACCATGTCAGGTAAGAACTACCAAAGAATGCCATGAGACCAGCCAGCAGAGCAGAGCTGGTTAGGTCAAAATGAAAATGCTTGCAAAGAGCTTTCAGTGCAGTCAGTTAATATTTGAGAGCTCCCTGTTGGCAGTGTGAATAGGCTGTTTCCCCATCTTCTCTCCCATAGAGAAATATTCATAAGAATCTGGAAATAGCGAGGAGCAGAAAGAATAAGCACCCATCCTCTGCCGATGCTGCATAGATATTGAATAATGAAAGCTGCTTATGTGTAAATGCCTCTGTCCTAAACCTGTTAATAGAGCGATGCGTTACTGGTTTTGGTTAGCAAGTTTTAACATTTTAGAAGAGGTCTTTGCAATTCTGCACCAAGAATTCCTTCTGGTTATATAGTCTTTAAGTATTGGTTTTTGATAGTTGTGAAGTTTAGTATGGTGTGGAGGAATGGAGGGCTGTGCGAATTACTTCACTGCACTGTTGTGTTTTCATTCCAACAATAATGTAAAAAGTATCTGTGTAAGCACTGGCCACTTATGCGGCTTCTGGGACCACATAAACACCTTCAATACCAATAAAGTGTTTCTCCAGTGGCAGAGTTAACTAGATTTGAGAAGTGCCCACTTAATATGTACAATTTCAAATTCTAGAGGAACATTTCTCAATTTGGGTAATGTGGCATGTGTCTGCTTTAATCTCCTTTCTATTTGATAAACAAGAGGAAGATCTGGGTGTTTCTAAGACCTAAGTAGTGATATCTTACTGATGTGGGCATATCTGGTGTGTTTAGTGTGGATTTCTAGCCATGTTCCTGGAGTGGCAGTGAAGAAAATTCAAACAGAACCCCAGAGATCTCCCTGAAATTATCCAGGAAAGGCATCTCTGTTTACAGTGTCTGGTCAAATTGCTCAAATTGCTGATTTCGGGGTTCTTTTGGCAAGATTTTATTTTCTAGTCACACGTTGTACTCTGTCTTATGGAGGGCTGGAGCCCTTTAACTCCAAAGTTGCTCTTCTTTGTAAGCTACTTCTAGTAATGTTAAGCAGAATAATTGGCCAAATAGGACAAAAGATTATGCAAAAAAAAAAAAATCTGTGGTATTCATGCTTTACCATTTATTTAACCTTTTCACTCTTTTTCATTTAGGTTAATGACCCTTTGCAATATTCTCCCAATTTGAAACAGCCGGCAAATGTTCCTTATCTAACTTTTTATATGTTAGTAACAGAACTTTGTAAGTGTGGGTGCTAATTATGGAGAAGTTTTATGCTACTTTTCATTTTTGTTTTCTAGCACTGCAAAATACAACATAATCACATTCCTTCCAAGATTTCTCTACTCTCAGTTCAGAAGAGCTGCTAATTCATTTTTTCTCTTTATTGCACTGCTGCAGGTAAAGTCACGTCATAAAACCTTGTCAAATGTTCAGGTACTAATAAATGTTAAGCCCGTGACCAATCCCCTGAGGTTTATGTAAATGCCGAGAGATAAGCTGGTTTTGGTGGACATTTCTGGCTCCTGCTGCAAGCAGTGTTGGAATCCACTACCTTTTCCAGCCTTTTGATTCATTTTTATCAGCTTATTTTGGGTGTTCTATAAATTTGATGTGGCAAGGACTGTTCATTTTGGGTGGTAAAGGGGATGGGACGTTTTCTTAAAATGCTAATTTTCATAGTAAAAGTATCAACTCTGAACCTTAGAATGCAAGAAGTTAAATCTTGTGCTTCTCTTTGTATTTAAATTAGTTGTAGTCAGAAAAAGTTTTAGTTTATTAAAAAGTAGCATATTGAACATATGCTTAAATTTGAAAAAATATTTTCATTGAACTTGAAAATAAAAAATTTTTAAAACACCACAAAACACAAGGAAAAAAATTTAAAACTCTCATTATTCTACCATCAGAGACAACTACTCTTAAATTGTGGGTATATATCCTTCTGGTCTTTTTTTTTTTTTTTTTCCTCCCAAGCATCGTTTATTGACTTCGTTTACAAAAAGGGGATCATAGAATACCTATTGTTTTGTTACCTGCTGTATTCATATAACAATGTATGGATATTTTCCCAGTTATTCATTGTGTTTCTAAAATATCATTTTAATAGTTATATTTTAATGAATAGATATACTGTAACTTATGTAACCAGTCTTCCAATGGAGGTTGTAGTCCTATATACAACTGCTTACTGTGAAACTAATTAACATGCTTTTCCAGTACTTATTAGATACGAACACATTACCTCACTCAGCATTAGTCGGCCAAGATAGTAAAATCAGTGAGGCATATTTTAGAAGGCACTGAGACTGTTTTCTTGAATCTATTATAAATTTTCTAGTTCTCATTGGATTTCTCTTTTTTTTTTTTTTCCAAACAGCAAATACCTGATGTGTCACCAACAGGTCGTTATACAACACTGGTTCCTCTCTTATTTATTTTAGCTGTGGCAGCTATCAAAGAGATAATAGAAGATATTGTAAGTATTCTATTTTTTCATAATTGTATGTGACTTTGTTATTTATATATGCTTTAAATATTAGTTTTTTCTTAAATTATTTAATTCTTGGCGTGGGCTGTTTAAAATATCCATTCAACTTCAAAATGTCTAGAATATGTTCCTATCCCTGAAGTTGATTTTTGTTTTCTGTAATATTGCTGAATGTTTGTTACAGTGTTCTATTGCATTTATAGTTTAGCAAATAAAAGAAATTAATTTACTGTAATAATTGGCTTGAGGAGAAAAGTACATTTGAACATTATTTTCAATTAAATGAAAAACCCTCCAAATTATCTAAGTGATATTTTTTGGTATTTTCTATTTTTTAATTTAAATAATTATAAATTTCATTTTATTAAATGCCTTGGATTTCTTCTCACCTTATTTAATAGTTCTAAGTTTCTTTTTCCTTTATCTCATTTTTTTAAAAGAAAGTAATAGTAACCAAATTAGCTATTTTTATTCTGTGGTAATAAGAGAAAGGGGAAGTCTCTTTCTCCTTTATAAAACTAACTCTACCAAATAAATTCAGGCCTTTTTTCTGTTATATCTATTTTAACTGTCTTACTTGAGGAAACCAATGTTTTGTTTTGGTTTGGTTTTTTTCCTGTTCTTTTAAACTACTTCATATATATATAGAGAGAGAGAAGGAGAGACTTTTAAGTTCAGGGGTACATGTGCAGGGTTGTTACATAGGTAAACGTGTGTCATGGGGTTTTATTGTACAGATTATTTCATCACCCAGGCATTAAACCGAGCATCTATTAGTTACTTTTAGTTATTTTTCCTGATCCTCTCCCTCCTCCCACCCTCCACCCTCCAATGCGCCTCAGTATGTGGTGTTCCCCTCTGTGTCCGTGTGTTCTCATCATTTACTCCCATTTACAAGTGAGAACACACGGTATTTGGTTTTCTGTTCCTGTGTTAGTTTGCTAAGGATAATGGCCTCCATCCAGCTCCATTCATGTCCCTGCAAAGGACATGATCTCGTTCTTTTTTATGGCTGCATAGTATTCCGTGGTGTATATGTACCGCGTTTTGTTTATCCAGTCTATCATTGATGGGCATTTAGGTTGATTTCATGTCTTTGCTATTGTGAATAGGGCTGAAATGAACATACATATGCATATGTCTTTATAATAGAATGATTTATATTCCTTTGGGTATATACCCAGTAATGGGATTGCTGGGTCAAGTGGTATTTGTCTTTAGGTCTTTGAGGAATCACCACACTGTCTTCCACAATGGTCAAAACTAATTTACACTCCCACCAACAGTGTATAAATGTTCCTTTTTCTCTACAACCTTGCCAGCATCTGTTATTTTTTAACTTTTTAATAAATGCCATTGTGACTGGTATAAGATGGCATCTCATTGTGGTTTTGGTTTGCATTTCTCTAATAATTGGTGATGTTGAGCTTTTTTTCAACGTTTGCTGGCCGCATGTATGTCTTCCTTTGAGAAGTGTCCATTCATGTCCTTTGCCCACCTTTTTTTTTTTTTTTGAGACAGAGTTTCGCTCTTATCACCCAGGCTGGAGTGCAGTGGTGCGATCTCGGCTCACTGCAACCTCCACCTCCCAGGTTCAAGCGATTCTCCTGCCTCAGCCTTCTGAGTAGCTGGAATTACAGGCATGCGCCACCATGCCCAGCTAATTTTGTATTATTAGTACTGACAGGGTTTCTTCATGTTGGTCAGGCTGGTCTCGAACTCCCGACCTCAGGCAATCCACCTGCCACGTCCTCCCAAAGTGCTGGGATTACAGGCGTGAGCCACTGCACCCAGCCCTTTTCCCACTTTTTAATGGGGTTGTTTTCTTCTTGTAAATTTAAGTTCCTTGTAGATGCCGGATATTAGACCTTTGTCAGATGCATAGTTTGCAAGTGTTTTCCCCCATTCTGTAAGTTGTCTGTTTACTCTGTTGTTTTTTTTTCTTTTTTGCTGTGCAAAAGCTCTTTAATTAGATCCAATTTGTCAATTTTTGCTTTTGTTGCAATTGCTTCTGGCATCTTTGTCATGAAATCTTTGCCCATGCCTATGTCCTGAATAGTAGTGCCTAGGTTTTCTTCCAGGGTTTTTATAGTTTGGGGTTTTATATTTAAGTCTTTTTTTGTGTTTGTTTTTTTTGTTTTTGAGATGGATTATCACTCTGTTGCCCAGGCTGGAGTGCAGTGGCGCAATCTTGGCTCACTGCAACCTCTGCCTCCTGGGTTCAAGCGATTCTCCCACCTCAGCCTCCCGAGTAGCTGGGATTACAGGCTCCCACCACCATTCCCGGCTAATTTTTTTTTTTTTTTTCCTAGTAGAGACAGGGTTTTGCCATGTTGGCCAGGCTGGTCTTGAACTTCTGACCTCAGGTGATCCACCCACCTTGGCCTCCCAAAATGCTGGGATTACAGGCGTGAGCCACCATGCCCAGCCTTCATTTAAGTCTTTAATCCATCTTGAGATGAGTTTTGTATATGATGTAGTTTCAGTCTTCTACATATGGCTAACCAGTTATTCCAGCATTATTTATCGAATAGGGACTCCTTTCTTCATTGCTTGTTTTTGTCAGCTTTGTCGAAGATCAGATGGTTGTAGGTGTGCAGTCTTATTTCTGGGTTCTCTATTCTGTTCCATTGGTCTATGTGTGTTCTCCTACTAGTACCATGTTATTGTGGTTACTGTAGCCCTGTAGTGTAGTTTGAAGTTGGGTAGCATAATTGATACCTCCAGCTTTGTTCTTTTTGCTTAGAATTGCCTTGGCTATTTGGGCTGTCTTTTTGGTTCCATATGAATTTTTAAATAGTTAAATTTTAAACTATTCATTGACATTCTGTAAAGAATGGTAGTTTAATGGGAATAGCATTGAATCTGTAAATTGCTTTGAGCTGTATGGCTATTTTTACAATATTGATTCTTCTATCCAGCAGCATGGAATGTTTTCCATTTGTTTTGTCATCTCTGATTTCATTGAGCAGTGGTTTGTAGTTTTCCTTGTAGAGATCTTTCACCTCCCTAGTTAGCTGTATTCCTAGGTATTTTATTCTAAAATAGTTGTTTGCCAGTCTGAGAGGACAATCTGTTAATCCTTAGGAAAGTAAGATGGTAAAGCCAGGAAATGGTGAGAAATTTAGAACGCTCCAATTTAAAGTTATACAAACATTAACACTTTTTCTATAGAGGATCAAATTGGGATCTCATTAAGATGGCATTTGCCATGTTAGGAATGGGTCAATTGAACATTTAGATCATCAGTTTCAAAATCATCCAAGTATTTAAGAGTAGAAACAGATGTTGTGCATGTGTATAAAACAGCATAGTCTTCTTGATTGGAAATGACATACTTGATGGAGACACTAGCTGAGAAGTGTAAGAGACTCCTACCTGCATTGCTCCACATAGACTTGCCAACCTTTAAATTGTGGTAGGACTTGGCAGTCCACAGGGATTGGTCTTTACTACACTTTTGTCACTTTCTTTGCCTTTTGGACTTCCCTTTTCTTTGTTTAGCCTAATTATCATTGAGTACCTTTAATTTACTAGGCATCATGCTAGTGTTTCACAAATGTTTTTCTCGTTTAATTTTTTCAATAACATTGAAAGTTGGATGTTAACCCAATTTTAAAGGTAAGGAAGCTGAGGCTTAGAGAGGTCATGTAACTTGTCTAAGAAAGTGATAGAATCAGAATTCCGTCCTATCCAGTGCTCTTGGCTCTGCATGATTGTGAAGAGTCACCAACATTTATTGTGCTTCTAGGTTGTACTTACTCTATGTCCTTTACATTTACTAAATCTTATAACAACCCTTGAAGATGTTATTGATCTTATCCCTATTTTACAGATAAGAGGAGGCAGGAGGGGTACGGTAACTTGTCCAAAGTCACACTGGGGCTGTCAGAATCCAAACAAGGCATTTTGGCTCCAGACTCCTGCCTTATAATCACTACTCAAAACTGCCTTCCCTGTCTTGTTTTGCTTTGTTTTGTTCCCTGGCAAAGCTATAATCTCTCTAGCTATGGTTTCTAGTACTCCATCTTTGAAAGTACGTGGCAAATAAAATTGTATCCAAGAAGTTTTTTTTTAACAGAACTCTTTTTGGCATAATATAATAATCAGGTACTATTAGAAAGTTGCTAATCATGCAGTCCTAAAGAATGTAATAATAGTATTGTGAGATAATAGTATCATATGAAGTAGTTTTCCAATGAAATCACTGTTAAGAAATTGACTAGAAATTGTAAGAGTAGTTTAGCAAGAAGTTTATGCCAAACTGTAAAGTGATAGAAAGTTTGAAAGAATACTCTCTAAAATGGGGGACAAATCAAATAACAATTTAGATAGTTGGACAAAGAGCTGTCTTTATCAGTGAGAATAATGAATACATCTTTTCATTCATCCGTTCAGCAAGAACATTTGAAGAACTCTTGAGCTGCCAGGCATTCATTAGGATATGTATGAGGATGTGTTAAACTTTTGCTGTGCTGGTAATCATGTCTCATATGTCAGTGGCTTAATATATAAGTTTATTTTTCACTTACTCAAAGACACGTGATGGTGGGCATCAGGGATTCAGCCTGAATCAAGATTCTGCTTTGTGGAATATAGGTGGTTATTGTAGCAAGGGTGGGGAGAGGGGATGGAATCTCAGTTCTTCTATGTTTTGGCCCAGAAATGGAGCACGCATCTCTTTATAGCTCAATATTAGAACTAGTGGCATGGCAAAGAGAAGGTGTTATCTCAGGGTCCATGGAAGTGGAGAGCTGGATATTGGTGAAGACTGGTCATGGCTGCCACTAATACATCAGTGAATAAAGCAGAGATTACAATCTAGTAAACTTTCCTATATTCTATTAGATAATGTTTTTAAATCTCTCTATATATATAGATTTAAAATTTTAAAATATATATATATATATGTGTAGATAGATAGATTAAAATATAGTAAGAATTGCCTGCAGGTAAGGTACTGAAGACTTATCCACCCCCAGTGCATTTTAACTCTTGATGCTTTAGATAACTTAACATACTATGATTTTCTATTTTTATGTGTTAATAACAAATAACACACATACTTGGAAATACTCTAAAATTGATGGAGAACTCTCTTCTAAAAAGCTGTATTATGCTAAATGCTAGTTCCTGTGATAAAGATCAAATTTGTTAAATTGATATTTACCACTAAAAATGTTCCCTCTTTGCTATAAACTTGTTAATTTAAATACTAGGAGACTCCATTCGTTATAAAACAGTTATTCAAAGCCTACAATGCGTAGGAACCAAATACTGAGACTATGTTAGTGAGTAAAACTAGCCGTGATGGAGCTTATATCCAATAGAAGAGATCGACACTAATCAAGTAATCATACTGGTGAGAATGGCTTGAACCCTGGAGGCAGAGGTTGCAATGAGCCGAGATCCCACTACGGCACTCCAGCCTGGACGACAGAATGAGACTCCATCTCAAAAAAAAAACAAAAAAATCACACTAGGCTATTAATGAGAATTAAATGATGGACGTGAAGTCCTTAGAATAGTGCCTGGTATATAGTAAGTGATGAATAAATGTTAACTGTATTATCATCTAGAGATCCTTTTGGCTTAACAGTAGAAAATGGATTGCAAGGAGAACAGAGCATTTGTGCAGACAAGAATATTCTAGTTGTTAGTGTAAAAAAAATGAAGATATATTAGACTCAGCAGGTATGGTAGACATGGTGAAAAGTAAGAAAATGAATTTAGTACATTTTTAAGAGTAAAACTGACAAGACTTACCACTATCTAACATGGCTACATACCCTATTCTATCCACAACCACTGGAATGTAAGCTCCATGCAAGGAAGGGGTTTTGTCACTTGTTACTGTAGTCTCAGCAACAGTAACAGGGCCTGGCACATAGTCAGTGTTTAGTAAATATTTATTGAGTGAAAGAATGGCTTGGATAGGAATGAGAGGGAGACAAAGGTATTAGAATGAATTTCCTGGTTTGGGTAAATGGATGGCATGTGTTTCCATGTCTGAGACAAGTACCAGGTCTTGGAGATTAAGGTCCCTGGTTGCCTTGTGAACAGTTTGAGATGCCTTTGAGATTGCCGGAGAGATGTTAAAGAGGCAACCAGATATAATCGTGGAGCTCAGATGAGAGTTTTGACTGGTATATATTTATGTACTGGTTATAATTGAAACTGCAGGTATGAAAGAGTTGTAAGAAGAGAATATGGAGTTAGAAGTGAGGAGGGCCAGGGAGTAAGCCTTGAGCAATACCATTGCTGAATAGCAAGTAGGCAGAGGAGACAAGGGTCAAGGTGCAGATGGCAAACCTGGCAATGATGTGATAAGAAATACCTAGGGAGGGAAGAGTTTCCAGAAGGAGGGAGTGGTCAGCATTGCATACTATGTATCCTGAAGTTCATAACACTGTTTATACAATACAGTTTATTCGTGTGCTGTCAATCTAATACTGATGATATTAAATAATTCATTAGCCCTCAGTGATAGTAAATGAATTTGGATTATGACACAGTTGAGGTATTTGAACTCAGAGAATAGCTTAATTTTTTATGAACTATTAGTTTTAGAAGGAATAATCTTATCAAGACACAAAAGTTAGATGCTTTCTTTTTGTAGGCATGGGATTAAAATCTGCCTATTGAGATAGATTCTTAATATATTCAACACACTTGTTTCATGACAAGTAACCTAATTCTGTGATGGGAAGATAGAGGAAAGAGATGCTCTTGTGCAAGAGTTCGCTGTAGATGGAAAGTGATGTTTAAGATCGCCTTGGGTTTCACTAAGATTAAATTTCCTCTTTGAAGTGGAATGTTTCATTAATTAGCTTTTATTTATCTCCTTTAGTTGGAAATCTAACCATTGTCTCGTATTTTGGAAACATTTGTGCCTCCTTTGAATATCTAAATTTACCTTGGACTGTTATTTTTGATGAAAATTTGTTTTGGATCACTTTCTAATTTTCTTCTAATCTCTACTAACAAGCAAAAAGAATATTTTCAAAGTTCTGTAACTACAAAATCTCTACTGATGCTACAAATTTAACAGAACTTTAAACATTTAAGAATCTTTTTTGGCAAACTGTGCTTGCTTTTGGAAGCAATAATATGCCTATTGAAAGTCTACATTAATACACTTTTATTAGTGAGTATTTTATACTGAAAAGGAGTTCTGATTGTGTTCCTGCATGTCTGTGTGGGAAGAATCATTCTCAACAATTCTTTCGCAGAGGCATTTTGAATGTTTTGTTTGCATTTTGTGCAGTTCAGTAGCTGATTGTTTCCACAGACTGAGTGTATGCTGCCAGCTCTTATCTATTCCTCTTGGGTGTTGCCATGTCCTGGAGTGCTAATCCACACTTCTAGATTTTTCTCTTGCAGTGTTTTCATATGCACACTGTGATTCTGAAAACTGTATTTTTTCTCAAATGGAAAACTTAGGAACTCATTTGTTTTACATTTGTTCCAACCCATATTATAGTCAGGTACGCACAACTATATTCAACTTCAGGCTTTGTATGATACAATCTTTGAGCGAACAGAGTTAGTTACACTCACCGCTCTTCTGCAGTGTTAATGGAGTCTGATGAGTTACACTCGATGCTGTAAATTTAGATGGAAGCCATGGAAAACCTCTAGGTGAACCGGAGAGAAAATAGCTTTCCTGGGCACTCAGATTCTCACCTTTCCTCTGACCTTCTGTTTCTTCTTCTTACCCACTGCTATAAAACCTTGGCTTATGCAACTCTTCAAACCTACCTAGACTTAGACTAACTCACTTGCTTATTGTGTAATTTTGTAGGTGCTCTTGGGAGGAAGGAAGATATGATAAGATTATGTAATTCAATGGCTTTCGGTTGCAAGTGGTGGGAGGAGGGAATGCTGGGGAGCATTGAACAGGGGAGACTGTATGCCAGTGGTAGACATCGTTGGTTCAAGTCATTGGCCGACATCAGCATATCATTAAATTATAGAGGATGTGCTCAGCTTAATTCGGTAACAAATTTCGTAAGCTGAAAATATTTCAATACTATTATTAAACAGTAGTTATTATAGATAATTCTCTCAGGCAATCTCCTTTTTGAAGTGAGTTATTAAAGCAAAATACTAAATCAACCTTTCATACTTTTCTAGTACATTAAAATTTTAATCCTACCTATGTGCCGAGGTAAGATCCTTGTGAGGACCACAAACTTATGCTCTCAGAAGAGGAGCACTCTATGGAGATACTGGGAATTGTTCTTTCAGTTTTAAAATTCCTAGGTGTGCTCTAATTCTTCCCATCACCACTCCTCCATCAATGTATACTTTAACATTGACATGAATGAGAAATGATAAAAACCTTGAGAAACATAAGCTAAATCTTTTTTGGTATGAGTGCTCTCTTGTTTTAGTAATCTTATTCACATTTTCACAGTTGTTCTTTTTGCTTTTAAACTTTAGAAACGACATAAAGCTGATAATGCAGTGAACAAGAAACAAACGCAAGGTAGGAATTTTACATGCTTTTTTCTCATATTTGTCAAACCTACTTGTAGTATATACAAACACTTCAATTACATATAATTCAATTGCAAATAGTGTGCATCTCAAGTTTTTGTTTTGGGGTAGATTGATTTTTGCTTTGTGGCATTTGTTAGGATGACACTTAAACTCACTTTAAAGTGATTTATAGTGATAATACTTTTGAAAGCCAACATTTTAAATATATTTAAGTGCTTCATAGCAATAGTCTCTCAAATACAGTCCATAAAGTCTGCAGTTGTTTTGACAGTGTTAAATATTATAAATTTATTTTGTTTGTAATCTACAGATGTTATTCTAGAAAAGATGTATAGAAAATAATCACATGTGATGTCACTTGAGTGAAAAGCATTTTGGAAACACTGAGTTATACATGCAGATGACAGACACTCCAGAAATAAAACAAATACAACCCGGCCTGCTTCTGTACAGTGCATGGCATTTTGGCACAGCTCTTTTTGGATGGGGCTCATTTTGATACAGCCAAAAGCAAAATGATCTTCAATACAAGCAAATTCGCCATCATGCTCTAAGATTTTTTTTTTTTAATGCCCAGGAATGTGAGAAACAGACATCTTAGCTCATCTCTGAATGAATTTGCCCCATCTGAGAATCTCATCTCTGAAGTTCTCTGATGTGGTGAGGATAAGTGATGTCTGCCAACATTATCTGGTATTTAGGAAGACTATTTTTATACTGCTGATATTTCTATGGAGTCCTGTCAAAATTCCCTGCTTCTTTTTCACCACCTCCCACAATAGGCATTATATGCCAATTTTTAATACATTTAAGGATGATATATTTACTAATTAATAAATTTGCAAAATATTTACTGAGAGTATTTTATTATGGAACATATAAGAAAGTATAAGACGGGAATTTCAACTTACAACTTATAAAGAGCTTATAACATATTTGTTGAAATAGGTACATGTAAAAACATGTAAAAGTACAAAGAGATGATCTGTGTGGAAGATGAAGGATTTGGACTACATGATCTCAATTATCTTCGGATTTTTGTGGCAAATCATAGTTTCTATGTCAAGTGCTATAAAAATTGGTAAGGAGAGAAAACTGTGGTGTATCTTGAGCTAGACCTTGAATTTTAGGAGGACATTGGATGAACAGAGAGGAATGGAGAAGATATTTTTATGTGTGGGTTGAGTGGGAAAGGAGGAAGAGGGGTTTTTCAGGAAAATAAGACTGTAGGACTCCTTTGCTGAACCATTATTAGACTGCCAGGCGCAGAAAGGAGATTCACATCAGAGGGAAACAAAATCATGATTTAAAAGGTAGGCTGAGGTTGAATTGTATAGGGTCTTGAAGGCTAAGCCAAGGGGATTCCAATATTTCTTGTGGATATTGAGTCGCTGTTGAAGGTTTATGAGCCAAAACGAGACAGGCCGAACATGTGGGTTAAAGATGGAAGGCAGAATGAACAGGAGTAAGGGACTGTTAGAAGCCTGGGACAGAGCTACTCCAGGAGTTTAGTTGTGAAGGGACAAACACAGGAATTGAAAGGGAAAAAATCCAGACGTTTCAAGCCTGGTATTTTTGGCAATATGCAGTTTTTGCATTTGTTGCCGTATTGCTCAGAATATTCAGTAACAGCTTTTGAAACAGAAGTACATAAATGCTTTTCCAACCCATAATGTATCTTGTAGCAGAGGGCTCCTATGTTCAGTGACTGGCAATTATTGATTTTCAAGCCTTGGCTCAAGAAGTTGACATAGTACAGTAGAGGTGTGGTCACCATAGCTATGATGATTTTGGGCTACCACACAGGTGCTCCACCCTTCTGGGTACGTACTTACCTCCAAAAAAAAAATTCCTTGCCTACCATTCAGATAAAATTTTATTTCTTGACTATCCATCTTGGTTCATGAGTCCCCTTCATAGATAACAGGATTGGCCCTATGGCTAAATATGAGAATAGGCAAGTGAGAGGAAAAGCTTCTATAATAAATATATATAAAACTCAATTCAAAAATGAAATATTAGGGCTTAGCTATAAAAGCCATTTCAGTCAACAGAATACACTTCATATCTGTAGGTTTCTCATCCTAAGATTCAACCAATTGAAGATCAAAAATAGAAGGAAAAAAAAAAAATGAGGCCAGGCGGGGCGGCTCATGCCTGTAATTCCAGCCCTTTGGGAGGCTGAGGCGGATGGATCGCCAGAGGTCAGGAGTTCAAGCCCAGCCTGACCAACATGGCAAAACCCCATCTCTACTAAAAATACAAAAATTAGTTGGGCGTGGTGGCAGGCGCCTGTAATCCCAGCTATTCGGGAGGCTGAGGTAGGAGAATCGCTCAAACCCAGGAGGCGGAGGTTGCAGTGAGCCAAGACCGCGCCACTGCACTCCAGCCTGGGTGACAGAGAGAGACTCTATCTTAAAAAAAAGAAAAACAATGCAACAATAAAAAAAAATACAAGTTTAAAAATATAGTATAACAACTATTTACATAGCTATTTACATATTTACTATTTAAATTGTATTAGGTCTTATAAGTAATGTAGAGATGATTTAAAGTATATGAAAGGACATGCATAGGTTATATGCAAATACTGCACCAGTTTATTTAAGGGACTTGAGCATCCATGGATTTGTATCCATGGGAGGTCCTGGAACTAATCCCTCATGGATATTGAGGGGGGACTGTACTTTCTTTCAGATCTTATAAGTCCCATATCCAAGAAATTATGGCTTTTATGTTGGTAGTTGAATTTGTTTCCTAAGAGAATAGTATATTTTTGTTTTCCCCTTTGCTGCCTTTGAGTATTGGTCTTCTTGGTTTGGCAGTTGATAGGAGATAACAAAAATGTTCGAGTAGGATACTGTTTGCTGTCAGATAATTCAGATTGCTTAACATGAAAGCCATCTGTTATTAGGCCAGAATGAAATTCAATTTGCTTTTCTGAATTGAGGCAGAAGTGGGTGTATAGGAGTGGGGAGGGAGGAGTATTTTTGACAGGTAATTAATTTTTGATGGACATCTGAAGCATCCAACTCATTTTCATTTTGTCAGTGTTTGTCAAGTCCACATAATATGTAAGAGACATTTTTTTCTCAATCAAATGTTAACCCTTTTATATTCACAGAGGAATGAATATTTTCTCTCCTTATGTGAGGCATCAGAGGGTAACACTCTCATTCCTTAGCAACTTCAGAAATATAAACTTGTCTTTTTATTTCCAACATTTTCAACCGTTTAACTGAAAACTGGTGCTTATTGGATGCCCTGTTTTCACTGATAAGTTAACTCAATCAGGGATCGAATTATGGAGCTGAGACCTAACTCAGAACCTAAAAGTTGTCAACACCACTTCTGGAAACAAGCCTTGCCCCAGAGATATATAAGCTGGTTTGGTTGATGATTCAGTGACCTGATGAATATAAAATTGTGTACTGTTTTCCAACAACCTAGCTGCAGAGAGAAGACAGAGTAGGTTGACGCTCAGAAGTCCAGGGATGTGAGTGAGTCTTGATGAGTTTTATGGTCCACTCCACCCAGAGCACTGTGGCTGCTTCTCTTTGCTCCAGTGTTTTTGTTGTGTGATGGTTTGTGCATACTAGATAGGAACACTACAGAGGGAAGGTCCAACTCTTACTCAGCTTTGTGTTCCCAATAGCTCCCAGACCAGGATCCTGTCTTAGTAGGTGCTCTCTGTGTGCATGTTAAATGAACGAGTAAATGAACCACTCTCCAGATAAATACTTCAGTATACATAATAAAGGAAGAAGAAAGACTGGAAATGAAAAGAAGCCTTCCTGAAAATTCATTATCTGGAGTGCGAATAAGATGAAAAGCAGTATCTTCATAACACTGTGTCCCAGACTTTCACAGTCACTGATAAAATCCAAATATGGCAGAAGTTCTTGCCACTTTATCTTCTCTGTCAAAGTCATTATATTATCATTTAACCCTTGCTTCACCTTCTGTCAATACAATAGTTTGTCTACTGATCCCTTTCATTACTCAAAGCACTGCCCTGTTCAGAATGCGCTCATTTTCCTTGTATCTAACCTTACTTTCATTTCCTCTGATCTCTTCCCTCAGTATTTGAACTCACATTTTGGCACAGCCTCCTCCATGTGTCTACACACACAAGAGGCCATCTCTCATTGTTTTCTCTGAGATGAGTTGTTCTGCCAAATATATCTTTGCAGAAATTTATAAATTACAAATTTATAATTGTTATTCTAATATGCACATTGAAGCCAGTCCCCATATGAATTTATTGTGGTGATTGAGCTAGTTTTTATTTTAACTGGTAAAAATATGCTGTCGTTTTTTATGAAATGCCATGATGGCTAGCTTGTCAATATTTCAAGTGGAATGACAACTTCATCTAAAATCACAACATGGGGGCCTGGGAAAGGATGGATGGAGTTCAGGTGCAAACTAAGGTATTTGGGAAAATTTGTAAATGCTTCCTAATGAGTAAATTTGCTTTTTAAAGCCCCAGGTGTATTCCCTGGACGATGGTCTGTATACATTCTGCATATGAGAATGTGTGGGAGATAGAGCTGCGATCCTTAGCAGCCCATTGATCAACTGGTTTGATGCTATAGTTAAATGAAGGCTAAATTGTTTAATATCGTACCCTATTTTATTATGATACTAAGCATTAGAATAAGTAATAAAGCAGTTTTCTGATTATTTAGAAAGGGTCACATGAAATTCTTTTAAACTAGACACATAGCTAAAAATAATAAATCGACTCATATTCACCTTATCTTCCTTCCCCAGAGCTACATCAATCAGCCTTTTCTGAATGGAGTTGAGTGAGTGACAGCTGATAGCCACTAACAAGACTACTTCCCTGCAGGGCGCATAGTTGCTTATCTCCCACTGGAAACCATTTCAGCTTTAAAGTCCTTTGTGAAAAAGGTGTTGAGTTGATGTGGATTGAATGTGTTGCGGGTTGTTAAGCATGAAATGACCTACTAACAACAAGGCGGAGTTCATCTGGTTCAATTCATTTCAGTGCTGTTCAAAGAGATGTATTATGCTAAGGGACTTAAAATAGCAACACCTTTCTTGCCTGCTGAAAAAGAGAGTGTTGCTCCCTTTTTGTCTCTCTGGAGGTACCCCCACATCTGCTCTGTTCGGTAGACCTGAACATATATTCTGCCACGTGTATGTTGGCTTACCTATAAATGGTTTTTAGAAAGTAGTGTTTCAGTGATCCTAGGGACTTAAAATTAAGCATATTTATGGCCTAAGTAATTTCAGACATCTATAAGCTTTATAATATTTTCAGATTGTCACAAAGATCTGAGTATTATGCAAATACTAAAATCTAACCATTGAACTGGTTAGATGTCTTCAGCAGTAGCTCTGGATGGAGAGGAGATATTTGTGGGGAAAGACAGCTCCAGGTTGTCTTTCACTTTTTTTTTTTTTTTTGCACACAAAGGAGCAAAACCCATTGAGGAAATTTGGGAAGATGGTTAAAGTGAGAGGACTGATTTTATGGCTGGCTTTATGACTTTGCTCTGTGCTTTATTCGTGTATGTGCATACTCCACTCACATTGTCTTTTATTTTTAAATTTAAACCAGGTAGTCTGCTTTCATGGGAATTTTTCTCTCTCCTGTTTTTGCCAAACCCAAATAAGTTATATTAACATATTTTCTGGGAAAAATGGGTGTGATTCAAAGTTAGAACATTTGTTATTTTACTTCAGAAAGTCTTTATTGAACATCTTTCTTGTGTAGGACCCTGTGTAGAAAATGCAAAGAGAAATCATACTTGTCCTACAGGAAATTATAATCTTGTCGGGAAGATAAGATGCAGACTGATATAATTCAAGGTAAAAAAAAAAAAAAAATTAAGGGCCAAATGAGAGATGTAGGGATTCCAAAATGCCATTTGAGGGGTTCATGAAGTAAGAGTGGAACTTTGGTAAGCAGATATCAGGGTAGTAACTGTGAGTGATGCAGGGTGAAAGGACTAATATGAGCGTTACTGTGGAAGTGGGAAGACATGAGATGTACTCTGGAAATAGCAAATAGTCTGTTTTGGCCAGGGCATAGAATCCATGTCATGAAACAATGAGGGACAGGGACAGGGAGGCAAGTTAGGGTCATTTTTCGGAGTCTTTTGAAAACCAGGGTGAGGAACTTGGATGGAATTCTGAAAAGTATGGATAGGCTTCCACTTGTGCTTTTGAAAGAATTTGACAGCTGTATGGAGAGGTGGCAAGGAGAGGCACAGAGAGATTGATTTTCTTATTAAGGAGGGGGACAGGTTGTGTCAAGTAGAAGACAAAGGAAAGCACACAGTGGATAGATTCAACTGGACCTGGCAATGGAGAGAAACCCAGTCAAATACCAAGTGCTGCCAAATCAAAAGACCAGGACTGAGACACCCACTAAATCCAGCATTTAAAAGAAGTAGCCGTTGTTCATTTTTCTTAACTAGAGAGTAGTCGTGGAGCTCTGAAAACTGAAGCCAGATCGCAAGGAGTTGTGGAATGACTGATGGGTGAGGCAGTGGAGGGAGATTTTTCTTTCAAGGAATTTCTCAATTAAGCAGAGGAAAAAGTGAGGGACTCATGACTGTGAGCAGGAGAAAGGGAAAGCATTTCGAGAATAGGGTATTGCTGGTCTTTGTGCTCCGATCACATCGTGCCACTTATATTGATGTTTAATAAGCCATTGGTTCTCAAATTTGGCATCAGAATCCCCTGGAGCATTTGTTAAAACACAGATTGCTGGGACTCACACCTAGAGTTTCTGTAGGCCTGGAGTGGGGCCCCAGAGTTTCAGTTTTAACCTCTCAGTGACACTGCTGGTGAGGGGGTCGTGCTTTTAGGACAACTCATTTAAAGGTTGTATAAATGAGTTGATAGAAGTAGTATCAACCAATTTGACATCAATATATGTATTATTATGTGTATTACATGATTGAAAGAGGAATCCAGGAAGTTTCCATTGTCTTTTGTGTCAGTGGACACTAATGGTTCAGCCAAGCCCCTGGTGGTTTAATGTAACCTTTATAGGCAAGCTTATACAAGAGACTCTTCCTGTGCCATGTCAGTTTGTGCCACACTGAGGCTTTTGCCTTAAAGTTGTCTTTGGAAGTAAGAGTCTATATAGTGAATAAAATAATATTTTAATGTTGGCATATTGGCTTTCCTTCTTTGCCCCAGTCAAAGCCATAGTCTCAGCTATACTACAGTCCTTGATGACCTAAAATTCCTCTTAAATGCTGACTCAGAGGAATTGGAGCACACTACATTTTCTGTGGTTTTACTATTCCTCTATGACAACAGTAGTGTCATTGTCTTTTTGGATGACTTGCCTCTTGTTACCCACTTAAGAAATGATAGGCTGGGTGCGGTGGCTGACGCCTGTAATCCCAGCACTTTGGGAGGCCAAGGCAGGCAGATCACAAGGTCAGGAGTTCAAGACCAGCCTGACCAACATGGCGAAACCCCATCTCTACTAAAAATACAAAAATTAGCCAGGTGTGGTGGCACGCACCTGTAATCCCAGCTACTCAGGAGGCTGAGGCAGGAGAATTGCTTGAACCTGAGAGGTGGAGGTTACAGTGAGCCGAGATCGTGCCACTGCACTCCAACCTGGGTGACAAAGCGAGACTCTGTCTCCAAAAAAAAAAAAATGATATTATTGCCCGGGGAGGGCACCCCGGTGACACTTTCAGCAGTGGCCCCAGTGGTAGACCATTCTGATTGGGGTGGGGTGGGTGGGAGGCGTGCTTCTCTCAGAGAAGCTGATGTTAGAGTGTAAGTCAGCACCTGCACCTGTGCATTATTTGATTGGGTCCTGAGAAACTGGCCACTTCCTCCAGGGCCTTTGAGGAATCCCGAATGTTCTCTAACAGAATGTTTTCATTCAAAAAAGAAACCTATTACAACAAAGCTGTTACCTTGTATCCTGCTGAATAAAAACAAGTTACATTTGAGGTAATTGTTTAGTCTGAGCTCTCCCATGGCAGGACTGTCAGACTAATTAAGCTGTTAGAAAACTATAACAGGTGTGTTTGGTTGGAACTGGTAGAGGAGTTTTGCATTTAAAACAATGAGCTGTCAAAGCACCATACCACTAGCCATTCTGACAATCCTGTCGTAACTTATTCCTACTCCCCTTCACCAGGCTTCTTTAATCATCTCCTCTAGGCTCTTAACGCTTTCCATATATTGGAGGAATGTCATCTTCCTAAATGAAGGTAGGGAGGAACACAGTCACCTCCTTGTTGAAATCTAATCCAGTTACATTGTGACTGGTTTCTTGAACACATTCTAAATGTACAAAATTACATTGGCCTTGGCTGTGTAATGTGAGGTTTACCTAATTCTCTACTGAAATGAATACATTAAAAAAAAAAAAAAACCTGTAGAATCAGAATAGCATCTCTGTTACTTTTGGCTCAACAACCCTAAATGCTCATCACAGGCTGGGCATTGTTTCTTGCTTTCTCTAAACTTAGGTTTGTGCCGGGTCAGAGGAGGTTGATGATTTAAAAATACCTAGATTGCTAATTCAGTCACCAGCATAATACATGTGGTGGTGTTTATTTTCATTGTTCTAAGGACTGGGTGTTTAAGAACCAGTTCTAAAAGATAACAATGAATTATAGGATTGACTAGTTTCCTTGGCCAGTGTTCAAGTCTTGATTTGTATGGAAACTTTTTTTTATGTTGTGAGCTGATTTTTAACTTTATCAGAGTATACTCATCTATATTCCAAGAAGACACTAGCCTCAAGTTTGTGTATTTCCTTTCTTCATTTCTGTATTCTGGTTTTGTATTTCAAGAACACAGTAAATGGGGGATGGGGTAGAAGTACGTCCTCATTTCTAGGGAGCCTACCAGCACTGCAGATGCAGCAGGCCCATGCAGCAAGTGTTGAACAGCAAGGTTCTGTAATATTTTCAAAGAAGCGTTACTCTATTTAGTTAGGATTCCAACCCAGTGTAGGGATGTAAAGGTAATTTATACTTTCATTAATCCAGACCACTACAGCCTTCAGAATAAATATCAAATACTCATCAGACTGACAAAATTCAAGGAATGGATAAGTTTGTGCTTGTCTCAGTTTATAGTCAGTGGAAATTTATACATTGCTGGTAAAAGTATGGAGTGCTGTAGATTCTTAGGTATCTGGTTGTATCTGATAAAATTACAAACTCAAATGCCCCGGAGTCAGCAATGTTCTCTGGGGCATTCTCTCTTACAGGGTACAATCATGTGAATATATTTCATTGCTGTGGTAGTAGAAAAAAATAGAAGTCAGAATTTGCACCAGGGGGAGAATAGTTGAATGCTTTATGATGCAGCTGTTGTGGAAAATTGAGTTGTCTCACACAGGGCAAGGACAGCTCTGTGCCTATCTCTAGGACACCTGGAAGTGTGATGCTGAACACTGCCTAAGACAAGGATGAGACGGACTAGCTGGTGATTTATAATGTGCTGTTTAAGGTTTGAAACTCCCTTGTAGCCACCCAAGACTAGCTTCTCTACTCAGTTTAAGCATATATAGAGATTGATGGCTTAACTAGTTTTACTGGCTACACAGTTTGCCTTGGCTAGTCAACTAGAGGGTAGAAAAGACGCCACTGGAAACTTTTGCCTGGGCTTTCCTGAAATTCAGATTTCACATACATACCATGGAGCTTCAACACCCGTGTTGAGGGTGAAAGAGAAGGGATCCTGGGGAGCCATGCCTGTCAGTCTCTCAGGCCTCTGATGCTTTTCTGGTCTTTCATTTTCCTGCTGTACCATATCCTTTGCCTTGAGTAAAGTCTTCTGTGAATACATCCTGTGAAGTCTTGTGTGTCCACCTAATTATCCAACCCGTTGTAATTGACACATCTGTGCCATGGAGTATTTTCCAAAAATGAGTTAAATATCTCTGCTATTCATTAAAGTATTTATGGCATGTTGAGTGGAAAACCAAGTGGCAGAGAAATTTTAAAAGGGAAAGAAAAAACAAGAATGTCCATGTTTGTCTAGAGAAAGGTGTGCGAGGATTCATCAGTTAGTACTCCTTACTGTGAGAAACTGGCCTTGAGAAGAGGAATGTCAGCTTTTACCTTGTATACATACCTGTCTTGCTGGAAACATGTATTGATTTTGTCATTTGGTAGAAAACATTGAATATGTATTTAAAAGTTTCTTAGATGTGTACATTTGGGCAGTATGCCACATTTTTCTAAGTATTTCTCCAATAATGAATTGAGAGAGAACATTTGGGTGGAGAGGAGAATGCACTGTTTGGCTGGAGACAAAGATTCGCAAAAGGTCGGTTGGAGAAAGGAGGTAAATAAGTTTGAATGTGGAGAGAAAACTGATCAGAGCAAGGTTGAGGGAAAATGAGCACGTACAGAAGATGGAGGCGTCAAGCAGATTTGAAGGAGGACGGCAGAAGTGCAGCAGATTTGGAGGCGGTTTTCCATGTAAGTGCCACTGGCTTCCACTATCCGTTATTGAGTGAAGACTCTCTGGCATAATCTGTTGGATCTGAGAAGCCTGTTGTGACACTTCCCATGTGTTAAATGGCACCCAACAAAGTGGATCAGGGCTATTTTTTACATGTGAACTAACAAACATCTGTAAAGTCACAGCATGTTGAGGAGGGCTAGATTAAATTACAGAGCTGGAAGGAGTGGCCCTGAGCTGATACCAGAGAACAGTTTGTGTTAGTGCCTCTGAGGGTTACATAACCATTTCTAACTGCTTGCACTGAAAATTGGTTTAGTCACTTATAAAACTGAGATGTCTATTTTAAGCAAATGTTAAAATAGTTCATTGGCATCTTTTTCTGTAGCTATTTTTTAATTCAGTTATAGTTCACATACCATATAACTCACCATGTTGAAGGATACAGTTCAGGGGTGTTTAGTGCATTCACAAGGTTATGCACCGATCACCACAACCTTAATTCTAGAACATTTTCATTAATCCAAAAAGAAACCCTATACATGTAAACAGTCAGTCTTTCTTTCTTCCTTGAATCCCTTGCAATCACTAACCTACCTTTTGTCTCCATGGATTTGTCTGTTCTTGGCATCTTATGTACATGGGATCATACAATACGTGGCCCTTTGTGTCTGGGTTCTTTCACTTAGCATATCTCCAAGATTCATTCATGTCATTGTATCCACACTTAAATTATTTTTATGGCAGAATAACATTCCATTTAATGGCTATACCACATTTTGTTATCCATTCATCAGTTGATAGACATGTGGGTTGTTTCTACCCTTTGGCTATTATGAATAATGTTTCAGTGAACATTCATATACAAGTTTTGTGTGAACATATGTTTTCCGTTTGCTTGGGTATACACCTAGTAGTAGAATTTCTGGGTCTGTGGTAACTGTGCTTAACTTTTTGAGAAACTGCCAAAGTATTTTCCTATACAACTATTTATTAAATGTCATGTTTATGTTATTTTTAACATGAGCCCTACTAGGTAGTGGAGTTGTATCTTCAGTAAATCTATAACTGTTGCAATGGTTTTATATGATCCTATGACAGATAAGAATATTAGTGGATCCAGCATTCCACCCAGTTAGTACTTACTGAGCACCAGTGTGTGCTGTGTGATAACACTGGAATGGTAACAGTGAGTATAATAGGGAAGGTTTCTCTTGTCATGGATCTTATAATCTGGGGGAAGAGACAGCCCTTAAATAATCCTGTTTAATTAAGTATACAGTAAAACTGTGATGCTGTGATAAGTGTTCTAAAGGAAAAGTGCACGGAGCTCATTTAGATTTGGGGGTGAGGAGGAAGGACTGGGTGTCAACACAATGTCCCCTGAGAAAGTGCTGTTAAAGCTGAGATCTACAAGGTGTGTGTACAAGTTAACTAGGTGAGGATGGAGGGAAAGAGAATTCTAGGCATGGAAACATGTGCAAAGGATTTGAGACAGCAGAGAGCATGGTGCGCTCACTACAGAGGGCATAAGGAGGGTGTGTTGGGAGTGACAAGAAGTGATGACAGGAAAGAGGCAAGAGCTGCTTCATAAAAGGCCTTGTAGATGTTTTGATTTATTTTTTGAGCCTAGGGAAGCCAACTGAAGAGTTCTGAGCAAGGGGTGACCCAAGTTTGTGTGTATGGACTGATACATAATAATATGTAATTATAACATTTATGTAAAATCATCATAGATAATCCTTATAGCTACACTGTAGAAACTGAATTTGAAAGAGATTAAGAATGAATGCAGGAAACTAGCCTGAGGCTAATACAGACATCCAGTTGGGAGGGGGTGGTTCCTTGAACTAGGGGTGCTGATATTGGTGATGGTGGAGAAGATTTTTAAAATATTGGCAGATTTTGAGATGCTAAAGGCATAAAATCAACAGGAAGTTTTTAGTAGTAAAAATTATTCCAGAGTTTCAAAGGCATTTTTCTGTAAGAGTTTTAAAATGGGATAAACAGGGAGGCATATGAGCATAATAAAACTGCCAAAAAATCATAATGCAGCATTGTTCACAAAGAGAAATTAAGTTGCATCAAAAGCATTGCTACAGAAACAACAAAATAAAAGTTAAAAAAACCATACCCAAACTAATAAGTGAAGTAACAAAATTACAGGATGACAAGGTCATTCATTGTACAAAAATTTAATGCATTTCTAAATATTGCCAATGACTGGAATATAGAATAAAAAATAACCCTCGTGAGGTTAAGAAAAAACATAAAATATCAAGAATTAAATCTAGTGAAAGACCCATTCACAGAAAACTACAAAACATATCCAAGAAAAATTAAGATGTAAATAAGTACAGAAAGATAGCTTGTCCGTGAATTGGAAGACTTGAGACCCAAATCAAATTCCAGGAAGATAGTGTGTTCTCTGGAGCTTATTCATCCTGTCTAATCTGAAGTCTTAATCTTCATGTCAAATATCTTGATTTTAGAAATATTGGACACTTATAGTTTTTTTTTAAAAAAAACTAAGTATTACTATTGGGATAATTACTAATATGAGATAGGATCCGAAGGAAATAAGTGGCAATACAGAGCTCTAGACACTATTGACCAGTTTTTCCTAAATTAATGCAAACTTATAGCCCACTCACTCTGTCAGTTGATCTTGGGTGTAGTTGATTTGAACAGGACTTTACCATCTCTCTTTGTTACCATCTCTCTTATTATATTGTAGCCACTGGGTTACATAATTAAAGGGGAGCTCTCATTTATTTATTTATTTATTTATTTTAATTTTATTTTATTTTATTTTTGAGACGGAGTCTTGCTCTGTCACCCAGGCTAGAGTGCAGTGGCGTCATCTTGGCTCACTGCAACCTCCCCCTCGCGGGGTCAAGCCATTCTCCTGTCTCAGCCTCCCAAGTAGCTGGGACTACGGGTGTGCGCCACCATGCCTGGCTAATTTTTTTGGTGTTTTTTTAGTAGAGACAGGGTTTCACCATGTTGGCCAGGCTGGTCTCGAACGCCTGACCTCAGGTGATCCGCTCACCTCGGCCTCCCAAAGTGCTGGGATTACAAGCGTGAGCTACTGCTCCCAGCCCTCATTTATTCTTTATGCTTTGTTACAACTTATTTTGAGGAACATACTGTTGGACTCTGGCAGAGACAGCACCTCTTGCTTTTCTACCGGAGGCTGTTTTGACTCCGGGTCAGAAACACCAAACCCCTACTGCTCCATGAGCAACATCGAGCAGGGGATTTACTCCTGGGATCAGTTTGGGTGAGCTCTGCAGGCATTAGAGTCTTGTGTTTCAGGATCCAGTGATCAATTTAAGGTGCCTGTGCTTTAGATCCTTGGTCCGTAACTGTTTAAGCACTGTAAAAATTGGTACTTTAACTTCTGCGGTTAAGATATTGTGCTGGAAATACTTTATTTGAGCTCTCTCTAGCTTGGAATGATTATTTTTTTAAATTAATGAAGTTGATTCACCAAAATGCACTGTGAGGTATTCATTAATTTGTTTTATAAGCATCTGAATGTCCCATATACCAAAAGTGCTGCAAGTACAAGTAATAAAAAAAAAATGGCTAAGACATAATGTATGTGTTCAGGGAATTTAGAAACACAGATAATATTTTAATTTAAATAATTTATATTGTGAAACACTGAGTTCAAAACATTTTTGTTTTTAATTAATATTAAATTTGCTGTTTAACATTTTGGGGATTATTATTGTGATCGCTTTAGAGGGTTCAGGCTTCATCTATCCCAACATCAAAAGAAACTGAATCTGTTTTTGTACCTATAAATTATGCATTTTGCAAATACTTACTGAGTAGCTACTGTGTGCCAGGTACTGTGCTGTTTCCAGGGAATATAATATTAAAACAAATATTAAATGCTTTTCCCTCATGGAATTTACATCTGGATAATTTGTTGATGGGCCTTGACATATTTCTCTCCCTAAGTACTAAGTGCTGTGCCGGCTACCTCACATACTCTCTTATCCTGTTTTATTTTTATTTTTATTTTTATTTTTATTTTTTGGTGTTTATTAGCATACTCAGTGTTATAGCACAGACAACATCACAGGAAAAAAAAATTATACTGGATAACCCTACTGATGTGAAGCAGTAGCGAAACCCTAAGAAATACCTACCCCCCATCATAATTTAATAGTAGCCTCTTCTTCTGCCTTTTTTTTTTCTTTTCAGAAAACCAAATATAGAAAATTTGGATTTTTAGGGCCAGGCGCGGTGGCTCACGCCTGTAATCCAAGCACTTTGGGAGGCTGAGGCAGGCAGATCACTTGAGGTCAGGAGTTCGATACCAGCCTGGCCAACATGATGAAATGCTGTCTCTACTAAAAATACAAAAATTAGCCACACATGGTGGTGCATGCCTGTAGTCCCAGCTACCTGGAAGACCGAGGCAGGAGAATGGCTTGAACCTGGGAGGCGGAGGTTGCAGTGAGCCAAGATTGTGCCATTGCACTCCAGCCTAGGTGACAGAGTGAGACTCCATCTCAAAAAAAAAAAAAAAAAAAAGAAAATTTGGGTTGTTTTTGCTTTTTGTCGCTGTTTGTTTTTTTGCATTAATATAAACCTAAAGGTACAAATTCTTTCTCTGTTGGCTTTATGTGTTAAATTTTTACTAAACTATTAGAAATCTATTATTCTGTGCTTGTGATTTTTCTTTTTAAACATTGCTACTCTTGTAGCATCTGAAATGTTTTTAAGCTTGTCGCTTCCTTTTTCACATCATTTTTGTGGCTTTCTCCTCCAGCTGAGCCCCATAGTTCCTCTATGTGCTAAAGAAAGCCCTTGGTAACACCAATCAGATGCTCTCTGTTAGTGATGTTGTGGGAGCTAAAATATACATTGGTTGTTTCTAATTTTTGTGTAAGTTTACATATTCTTGCTATCATAATTAGAATTTTAACCTATAAAAATTGCTACTAGTTATTTTGACTGAAGCTATTCGTTTAAAATTATTATTTCATCAGAAATGGCCTTTTCATAGTAAAACATGTTGTTTAAAATGTCACCTTTTCTCTTTCCAGTTTTGAGAAATGGTGCTTGGGAAATTGTCCACTGGGAAAAGGTATGCACTGATTTTTATTTTGTTCCAGGAGAAGAAATACATAGCGGTGTACTCTAGTATATATAATTTTTTGTATAATATGAGCAAATGTGAAGAATTTTACTAATATAAAAGCTATTTAGTAATATAAACATGCATGGCATCTTCAGTCACATTCATTTAATATTTCTGCTGTATTATAGAAAGACTTATTTTGAAAAATATCTAGAACTTTTTGTTTTTTTCATAGTATATTTTGAGTACTGTTATCATAGATTTTATTTAACCATGAACTGTTTTGTGTTGTAATTTTTTGCTTTACTCATCTACTGTCCAAGTAAAAATAAGAATTTTGAGTTCTGATGTTTTACTTCTGCATATTTTACTTCCAATTCATATAGTGAGACTAATTACATTTGCTTACCACTAATTCCTTTAAAACAAAAATCTTACAAATTAAACATTGTCTTCTAATGAAATCAGTTCTTTAACATCAAAGATTAATTTGTTTATAGGACCTCTAACATGGCAGTTAGTAGGTTAAGTCATAATTTAACAAATGTTATTCAGGTGTTTATTCTTTTCAGCCTTCACTTTCAAAAGGTAAGCAATTATTATTAGTTCTCCCTTAGTTCTGGAAGAAGGTTTAAAATCTAGTCATCCACAAATGAATAGCTTTGGTAACTTGGTAAAAGACTTTTTGGAGTCTGAGCCACCCTTCTTAGGGCACTTTATTTCCTGGGATTGCCAGGACATTAGAGGTGTATCTCACAGGACAGTATTTTGCTAGGACAATCGAAGTGTAACCAACAGTTTATTTGCACTCCAGTACTTCCCAGCTAGTTGAAGTCCATGCCCTTGATTCTACCTTGTCATGGTCATCTTGTATTTCTGCAGGGGATATCTTGTACCCCCCAATTAAAAATTAATTAAATTTCTGTTGATTTTCAATCAGTGGCTAGAATAGAGACTGACATCTCCTCTTTCATATAGTTGAAAATTTACCCCTATTTTTTCTTTGGTTTTTGACATGAGAGCAACAAATGGGAAAATACCTTGGTTGTGTTTTATTTATTTCTGTGATAGGAATCTCTTTTTCAGAAGAACAAAATAAAAATGCTAAAAGCAATTTCAAAATAAGTTTCTTTTCTACTCTTTTCTGGCACCTATGGAATTAAACATTTTAGAAAGAAGACAGGTAGGATATAATCAAGTATGATAAGATGAATTTTATTACAAATATTATTTTACCTAGGGTTGTCAGTGTAGTTAACATAAATATGCATGCTAATAAATAACCTAGGCTGCTTGCTCAGAAAATAAACAGAAAGTCAGGAGATAATAATGTACTACTTCACTCTAAACCTTTAAAATGTCTTATTTTCCTAATAAACAATCATTATTTCAAGATTGTGCTAACCTACCTGGATTATTGTAATTCTTACTTTTCCTATTTTTGACAGACAAATCACCAGCCAGGATTACCCATAATAATAGCATTTTCAGTCATCTCACAGGTCAATGGCACACCTAACCTAGGCATCCCATTTTGAGATAAAGAAGGACAGAATTTAAAGTGTTGCCAAAAGTCATCCAGCCCAAAAGAGCTGAAGTTATTTAATAATTAGAATTATAGAAGTAATTAGAATCACTAAAAGTTGGTTCAGTGATGAAATCATGATAAATATTCAAAAATTAACATCATTCTTAAGTTGGCAGTATCAAGTTTGAAAATAAAGTGAAGAAGAGGTCTCATTCCCAGTGGCCTATGGGAGGCCTACAAGTAAATTTAATGTATGTGTATGACCTTTGTAAAGAAAGCATCCAAACTTTGATATTCAAGATTCATACAAATTTACAAGTATGTCATATTCCCAGAAAAATTAAAAGTGAAATATCACTTGTTCCAAATTATGAAGTAATATAATCCCAGGGAAATTATTATATTTTCCTCAAGAATTGACTAAATTTTTCATCTGATTTGCAAAAATAAACAGTTAAGAAAGTAGAATATATTTTGGAAAAATGAACAGTGTGTAAAGATTACAGGTGAAATGGAAAGCAAAAGTTATTAAAACACTGTGGTTTGCAAAAATAGACATTGATGAGTAGAATAACATGGAGCAGATTTAAGTAGTATAGAATAAAATATAGTGCCCTGAAATAAGGCCTGTTTAATATTTGAAAAAGGAGGCAAAAATTATTTTTTAAAGAATTGCTATCACAGATTAGCAGTTTTAAGAAATAGCATTTGAATATTTATATCTAAGTCACAACCTATGCTAAAATAAATGTCAACTGACTAAAAGAGTTAAATGTTAAAATGTTGTTTTTAGAAAACGTACAAATAGAATAAAGGCCTTAATAAATATTTGAAGAAGAGCAATATCTCAAAATCTATGGAATTAGATTATATAAATTTTAAAACAAATACACAACAAAAACTGCCACAAATAAGTAGGCAGGCTATGTGAAATATTTGCACCAAATAGGACAAATGATTAAGATCATTGTTATATAAATAGGAAAACTTGACAGTAAACCAGAAATATGATAATTGACCAGACTCAGTATAATATTCAACCTAATAAAATTTGCAAATTTAAACCATATTGAAGTTTCATTTGCTACCTATTCAATAAATAAAAACAAACATTTCAGATTTATTTTTATGAAATATTTTATTTACATACTATTGTGAACGAGCAGTTTGGCTATTTATATTGAGAACTGTGAAAACGGGATTCTGGAAATTTATCCCAAGAAAAGAAAAAGTTGGAGAATATCTCCACGTGTATAAAAATGTTTATTGTAGCATTATTTACTTATAATAGCAAAAAACTAGAACATATGGAAATGCAACAATAGGGACAGTTTTATAAATTATGGCATTTTATACTCATATTTTGTGACAAGTAAAATCTGTAATGTCACATGGTGTAGCAACACAGAAGAAATTATACTATTCATTCGACAAGTGTTTATTGAGTGCATATGCCAAGCAGTGAGCTTAAAGCAGCAAGCAAGACAAGTAAGGGTTCCTGTATCATAAGATATAATCATAGGTGAAAAAAAATAGTACTATGTACACTGAAATACTGGCTTTGTAAATCGTTTATTGAACAAGCGAACAGGCACAAAAGCAGCCTTACTTGTTGGGATAACAAGATTTTGAGGCAAGTCTTTTCTTTGCCTTATATGATATTTAGTCCAATTAAAAATAAAATCAATAAACCAAAACCAAGAGTGTCGTCTACATGCCAAGGTAATATGATAGACCTTAGTGTAAATGGGCTTTACTTCAGGGCTCTTTCTCTGCCTTTCTAAATGTGTGGCTACTGTGGTTGCTCTTTAATGATCCTCAAAGGACCTACAAATTTGCCTAGCATGCATCTAATCATTCACAGCTGGGCAGACTTCAGCTCTCAGATATTAGTGGTTTATCTCTCCAGTTACTGCCCTGAAACCTTTTCCCTGTTGCAAAAGGTTAACTTGCAGATACATAGTTTTAAAAGAAAGTATGGTAATCACAAAGCCCTACACAAGGAACTACATTGTGACTCCTGAACGGTAAGCTGCTGGCTTCATTGCTCTTGCCACAGATTATTTCTTTACAATGAGGTGCAGCTAACACTGTTCACAGGTTTTTGAGATGTATGCAGGTGGAGAATTTAGCCAAAGAATCTTGGAATCAACGTATTCTTCTGGCTTATTAAGGAAGCATGGTGGGCTGTATGCATGTGTAAAAGTTACTCTGTAAAGCCACTTTTGTGCATGAAGCTTCCACCACAATATGTATTTCTTTTTTCTTTTCTTTTTTTTTTTTTTTTTTGAGATGGAGTCTCGCTCTGTTGCCCAGGTTGGAATGCAGTGGCGCAATCTCGGCTCACTGCAACCTCCACCTCCTGGGTTCAAACGTTTCTCCTGCCTCAGCCTCCTGAGTAGCTGGGATTACAGGTGCCTGCCACCATGCCCAGCTAATTTTTGTATTGGTAGAGACAGGGTTTCGCCATATTGGCCAGGCTGGTCTTGAATTCCTGACCTCAGGTGATCCGCCCGCCTCAGTCTCCCAAAGTACGGGGATTACAGGTGTGAGCCACCATGCCCAGCTAATAGTTGGATTTTTAAATCAGGCTATTGCAGTCTGATAATCTTACTATTTTACATAATCCTTGATGTTGCAAATATGAGTGACTTCAGAAGGCTGTAGGTAGTGGACTGAAAGCCCTAAACATTTCCTTAACTTTGGCATTTTGGGGACTAAAATTGCTTTATCATGACATTCCTCCAATTAGAATATGTATGATTAAAGCATTTTTGTCATCTTGACTTTTTCTTCTCTTGGTTCCTCTTATGCACACACTAGGCTGGAAGGGGAATGCCGTATTAGGAGCTCAGAATCCAAAAGGAAAGACAGGTGTTTGGATGTCTTTTGAGAAATTGATCTTAAACATAGACATTCTAAGGAGTTAAGTTCCCTACTTTCCTTACAGTAAAGAACTTTAGCAGTCATTGATTTAGCATGCTTTAGTAAGAACTTCAGCATTTAGTAAGCCCCTGGTTTTCCCAGGCCACTGGGGTACCATATAAATTGTTACTATTTTATTGAGTTTAGGAACCACAAGCCCTTCTTTTGTCTTACAATGAGTAAAGATGTTGGAAAGCAGCACAATCAATTAGGGATTTGTTTAAGTCTGACTGTTAGACTCTAACACGATAGTGTAGAGGACGTGATTCTGATTTTGTGAAGCACACAGTTGAATTTAAGAGGAAACATTAACATACAGGAGTTGATTAAAGAAAATTAAATGGTAACCTGGATGCATTCTAAGTGCCATGATTTCAGAGAATTTACATTTTATTATCTTTCTCAGTGAGTGTAATCACAGTACCATCACAGCACATTATTTTAAGGACCAGTTTACATTTATACTTGCAGTTTTTAATTTTTCCTCTTTGCCCTTTTTTGAGGTAGGGGGTGTTTGATTCCAAGATCCCTGGTAATTTGCCAGTTTCAGCTAGTCCAACTTTCAGATTTCAGCTGAATTATTTTTTGAATCAAGGGACCCAGAACTTAAGCATACGTGTCATAAATAAAAAGACAATACCCCTGCCCCAACCTTTTCTAACCTCTTCTTTTGGTAAATAATAGACTGCAGTGGGCTGCCTCTGCAGTAATTTCTTATTATGATTCCCACAAAAGACACTATTCTGTTCTTACCCTCATAGTGTTATTTTAGAGTTCAAGGAAAAGTAGGGAGGGGGAAGAACAAACAGGCTTTAATTTAGAAAGTCTTTTTTTTCCATCTATTAAGTATTGAAATTCATGTTTAGTCTCATTTGTCTACTAAGAGGTCAACTTTCATGATGTAAAGGGAGCGGCTAACAGTGTAACTTGGTCAACTCAGTTAAGCCAAGTTGTTGCTTAGTTACTGTGTTGTTTGCCAAAAGCTATGTGACACATCTGTCACTTAAATGACTGCTATCAGTTTTTGAAAATAGTATCTCTTTATCTTTATGCCAGGCTCAGAAAAATGCTAAGAGGTAGTACAATGAAGAGATTAATTTTTAATTTAAAATACATTGATAGTTTCACAAAATTATGCAAAATCAGGATTTGCAGACAGTCAAATGTGGATTTGAGTCTAAGCTCTTCAACTCCCCATGATCTTGAGCAAAAATCTCAGAATCTCAAACTCATTTTCTTTCTCTCCAAATGATGAGTTATAAGCAATACTTGTTTCACAAGCGTTATTGTGAGGAGCAATTATATATGATAGCGTCTCCAGTTGCATTGAGATTTTCTTCAATAGGATAAAGATTTATATTGGTAAATCCCTCCTTTATATTTTTATGTCAGAGAGGATATGAGAAGTTAAGGTGTCAATTAAGTGGATAGAATAGATTGATTTTATCAAGATAAGTTATATATCCAATATACAATGTTCATTTTTTTTAAAGGATTCCTCCAACCCTGGTCTCACTCCTAGATAATTTTCTTCCATTTTGTGAAGATAAGTGGTTCTTGTTTGCCGATAACCATTTTTACTGTGTATTCTATGCTTTTTACAATGGGTTGTATATTTGTAACTATCTTTCAATGCAGATAATTAACCAATTCCCAGTTTTCTTTCAGGTAAATGTTGGAGATATAGTTATAATAAAAGGCAAAGAGTATATACCTGCTGACACTGTACTTCTCTCATCAAGGTAGAGATGCCTACTGATGCTCAAACAGTGTAGAGGATGGTTTCTCTACCCTGCATTGACCTTGTGATTTCTCCAAGGAAATAAGGAATAAACGAAGAATTTAAAACCTCTCTAATAATTTTTATTTAAACATTTAAAAAATTGATTGGACTTAAAGGGCTTTTTCATGTTTGCCATATAGAATAAGTGATAGGTACTATACTTTATCATTCAAATATAATTAAGAGTCTACTCTCCCTCTGGATCTATCCAGATCTTTTGTGGGGATCATAACTCTTTTAAGATTTCCTGTCATTTATTTTATATAATACATGGATTGGGTTCTATTGATATTTTTTATCTTTCAGTCCTTGTTCGTCATAAATCCCTACAGAGTTTCTTGATTATTATGATGGAATGGTATAAAAAAATGGATGAATGATTCTTTTTGCCATTATGCCTTTTGAAATGCCATACTCTTCCAACACAAAAGTACTTTGCTCTTTCTTTTAAGTTCTTTCAGTTACTTAATTTAAATAATTTTCATTTTACTCATATTTTAATCATGAATTAGTAGTCAGAACATATGGCACTGTTACTCTTTAAAGAATGTGACTTTCAAATGGTTTTAGGTTTAAAAACTATAAACTAGTCCTATTTTAAATTAAGAAAAATTGTTTTTAATATTTTAGAGGTTGTTTATCATCATTTCCTTGGACAGGTTTATTTGTAAATCCACATATGAATATGGACAGTGTCCTTTTTTCAAAATTTATTTAATCAGGTCATCATTTAAAGTGATTTGATTCATGACAAGTTAGCGAAACTTAACAAATAAAAGTATTTATACTAGATATTTATAGAAGTAAGTCTACAACCAATTAAAGTAACTGCAGGTAGTTATATTTCTATAATTTTGTGCCATGTACCTATAGGTTTTTGTTTTCAGAAAAAATAATATAGATGTTTTCAAATCACCCCCTCTGTTCTTAGTTTCCTTTGCTTATAACTTTATCAGGATAAATCTCTAAAACTGAGTGAAGCTAACCGTCCATTCTTGGCGTCTTCAGAATTAGCTTGAGGGAGAGCTTATTGTCATTGTCTCAGGTTCTAGGTAGTATCAGGCACTAGAAAGAGCTCTCTTTAGGGAGTGAAAAGCCAGGATTCTTATTCTGATTTGGTGATTTTGAACCAACTGCTTAATCTCTCATGCCTTGATTTCACATCTTTTATATTAAGATGGATTAAATGATCAAATTCCAATATTCCCCAATTCTTTTTGTTTAAATTGATAAGCTTTAAGAGTACCTTACAGAATGGTGTCCATTCAGTTTTACTAAGTAAAAATGTGATGAATGTATTGGACACTTGGCCATCTGAATGTTTGAAGTCTTGTGCTGCATAACAACATTTTGGTCAATTACGAAACACATATACAACGGTGGTCCCATAAGATTATAATGGAGCAGAAAAATTCCTATTGCACAAATACTTAGTATTGTGTTACTGTTTCTTTACACTATTCCATACAGTAACATGCTGTACAGGTTTGTAGCCTAGGAGCAATCTGCTATACCATATGGCCTATAGACTATACCATCTAGGTTTGTATAGGTACCCTCTATGATGCTCACACAGTGACAAAAATGCCTGACAATGCATTCCTCAGAAGCTACACCTGTCATTGTCACGTGACTGTATATAAGTTCAAAATGATAGTAACACCTTCTAACAATTTGGGAAAGTATTGTTTTCCCAATTAAACTCTTAGAGACATAATTATAGAATGAATCATATAGGCTGAACCGTTAAATACAATTTTTATTTTTGATGCTCAAAAATGTGAAGATAATCGACTATACTGCCCTGAATTTGTATTTAATTTTAAGTTGGAAATTTTCAAAATCTTTGCCGTCTGACTCTATCCAACTTCAGAAACTCCCCAGCAAGCTACTTGTATTTCTTAAACTTTAGACCACTTTTACAGAATTTGTTTTATAAGCATTAAAAACACTTACTGGTGGCTATGAATTTCAATTTATCGAAATAGTTTCTGTGTCTTAATATGGTCTCCACAGCGATTAACTTCCTCCAAGATTATATTTTTAAAAGATTATCTGATTCATTGCTTTTTGTTATTGAGTAGAATTCAAAATAAAAGCTGTGCTGCTAGACATTTCAATCCAAGTAGCAGAGTACCACCTTTCAGTATTTTTTTTCCTCAAAGGGTTTTAGCATTACTTAGCTCCTTTGAATCTACATTAACCTCATGAAATAGGTAGTAGTTGTTTAATCATTTAACTGAAAGAGAAATTTTGACTTTAGGTAATGACTAAGTCAGGGTTGGAATACTCCTAATTTACTATCTTCACACTGTCCACTATCAAAAGAAGTACATGATGATTTTTACCCGCAAGTGAGCAACCACTTAGCAGTAAGAGTAAACAACTGTTTATAATATTTTAATTTTCAATTTTTTTAATTTTTAATTACTAAGAGTACATCTTCTGTGAGGTAGTTTGAAATTAAAGCATGAACATGGTTGAAAGTTACTGTGTTTCGTAGGCTTTCATTTTGAAATGAAACAGATTTTAGCATTTAATAAATAATGAATACATTTATGTGTTAAGAAAGTATAAAGTAGGGTAAAATAACTCAAGCTGTTAATTCAAGTCCATATTCTCCGCATGTCTATTTCATACCCTCTCTGAAAAAATTTCTCTGGATTCAAAGGCTTACCCTTCCAAAACAATGCATTCTCTAGACTTCATTAATTGCTAAGTAACTCAAAAGGCTACAGTTATGCCTTCTGACTTCCTAAGGCATAACTGCAAAGCTTCCTAAGGCATAATGCAAAGCTGACTTCTTTGCAGCTTTGCATTAAAGTTAGTAAGATATTTATTCAATTAACTTTAAAAATATTTTGGAGTCAGAACATTTTTAATAGTTTTTTTTTAAGTGGGGCAGGGACTAGTATACTTTTTTTTTCAAGACCCTATCACAACCCTAAAAAATAATTTTCATTATTATTTTCTTCCTTTTTTGGTACAAGTGGACATACAGTAGATGGCATGAGGTTGAGAAATTTGAGAAAGAAAAATCTAGACTATAATGTAGTTCTCTATAAAATATGCTTTAATTTGATAAGCTTATGAGTAAACTTTTAAAAATTAAGTTTTCACACTAAAACTTTAAATTGGGCTAAAAAGCAAATAAATAACCCTCAAATATTAAATGTTTTCTTATGCCTTCAGACCTGATCAAAATAAGTTTTGAAAAAAATTGGCATTAGATGTTTTTATTAACATGTATTATTTTCTATAATAATTTCGAACTTTCTGTCTCTTTTGTCCATTTGTTTGTTTTTTTTCCTCTGTTCATTTTTTTTTTTGGCCATTTTAATTATTTTATACTGGGACGTGTAGGTGGCAGTAGGGGAGATAGTGAAAGTGACCAATGGGGAACATCTCCCAGCAGATCTCATCAGTCTGTCCTCAAGGTTAGAACCACTGAGTCGTATAGGATGCGTGTATGTGGGTCCTCACCGTAAACCGGAGAACAGTTGCACCCAAATATGGTTGAGTTCTGTGTCTCTTCCTTTAAAACACAAACTTTTTATACTGCTTGGTGATGGACATTTCACAGATGTTTTAAAGGGATTTTTGAATACTATGTTGACTGATGCTTGTCCTTCAGCTGGGCAAATTGAACTCCTGTTGTTATCAATAGGAGTCTAAGAGGCATGACAGTAAAGGTAGATTTTAATTTCCTGTGCACCATTAATATATATTCGTATTTAATAACATGCCTAAGTACTAAGGCTTAATTTATTATCTCTCCGGGATATTATTTTGAATAATGTTAAGCTTTTCATGAAACAGTCATTGAAAATTGATTAGATTATAAACATGTCTTATTCTTGTATTTTAAATTTTTCTGTAAGTTCTGTAAAATCCTTCCAGCGATTGTGACTATAATTTGGGCTCATAGGGTTTATAGAGGACCCCCTGCACAAAGCTGGATGTTGCACATTTTGTACCGCATGCTTTGGGATCGACTTTTATCCCACTTGTATCTAGTGACAAAGTGCACGTTACTGTGATCAATTTCAGCTGTCTACTAGTGACTGTATTGTGATATGCATCTTGTTTCATTTTTCACTTACTAATCAAAAAGCCTGCTTTGCCTCTCTTGACTAGTTTGTGTTTTAGATGTCATCATAATTTGCTGAAATATTTATGATCTAGCATGATTCCTTATCTGAGACTTCTTGCTGCCTTTTCACAGCACTATTAAGAATTGCTTCAGTAACTGCTGTCCTAAGTGATTGTTGAGAATGTTCTGAATTTCGATGCTTATTTTATTACCCCAACTTCAAATAGAACTTAGCCATTTGAACTTCCTAACTTCCTAGCCATTTAAAGACCTAGATAAGTTACTTTATGCAAAAAAAAAAAGTAGAATTAGAATATTATTCTAATTGTCAGAATATGGAATCAACATTGTCATTTAGTATTTTCTTTGTCATCGTGCTTCTATATTATCAGGTGTGTTTTATAAATTCATAAACTATGTTTCAAATGTATACATAAGTAAATTACAAATTTCGAGCAATTTCCAGAGCCAAATTGCTATTGTGACAGTGATTTTAAAAATAAAATTTTGAATAAGTTATAGAGTGAAAATATAAATATTGAAGGACTTAATTTTGGGGAAAAGTAGCAGCTTTTACGAAAGAAAGCTCATAGGGTAAATTGAAGAACCTGCAGAGCTACTTTAAAATGAATCAGTAAAATATTTTTGATTAATGTCTATGTGTTTAAGCAATTTTCACAAATCTTCGGGCCACAAAATTAAGCTACATGCCCATTTCTGAAACTAGGAATAGTCTGTTTTGCACATGTACAAGTTGGAAGTTGATTAGAAAATTCCAGGTGTTTGTAATTTGTAAATTTTTTTCTTTCTAGCTTTGAGTACACATGCTTATAAGAGATTACATTTATAATACTTATGTGATATTAGTAAATTAAGCCTATTATATAACCAAGCATTAATTAGATTAGAATGCTTTTCTTTAGAATTAAGGATCAGATTATACAGTTGGGCTACAAACTTAGATGTCTGTAGTTGCTGGGCAAGTCAAATCAGCATGTGAAAGGGAAAGATAAGACAGTCTGGGCTGTGGTGGTGTGATAAAACTGGAGAACATGGACCCCTTAGGCCAGCCGCCACACACCAGATTTTACTAAGACACACTGGTGGGGAACCCATGAAGTGCATCTTCTAGGTCAAGGAGCAATATGGCCTAGCTGACTGATTTTAGTTTTAGTTTTTACCGCTGTGAGAATCTCTCAAGCAACTTTAATAGGAGAGCAGGAGTGGAAAACATAGAGGGAGAAAGCTATATATCCGCTTTCATTGTAAAATTTGTTCATATTACTTTTTTTAAATAACCTTAAATTTAAATATTATGGTTTATGTGATCCTATTCATCATAGCTAAAAGGGTAGTAAATGCAGGTTTGTAGAACTAGCAATCTGGAATTTTCTCATCAACCACTTTCTTAACCAATTTACATGCGTGCCATGAGCATGAAATCTCATGTGGTGTTTTTGAGCTAAAGATAAATCCGGACACAAAACTGCTTTACATTTCAGATACAGTCTGTGTTGTGTCTATGTGGATGAACAATTTAAATATAATGTGCAAATCTATTCATTTGCATTATCTTGAAGACCATTACTGATTGTTGTCAGGAAATTGCTTTTGGGTCCTTCTGGCTGAAAAGCTAATCCGTGAGTTGTCATGCATGGGTTCTGCCTCACAGCATCTTGCTGTTAGAATGAAAATCATCAAGAAGCTAAGTAACTATTACTTTGTCTAGAACGAAAGGCTTTAGTGAGTCTGAGCATTTAAATAAGTTATTATTATGCTTTTCTTCCCGCACTAAATCTTTGTGCTTCTCAACTCCAAACTACAGTGAGCCCCAAGCCATGTGCTACATTGAAACATCCAACTTAGATGGTGAAACAAACTTGAAAATTAGACAGGTAAGATCTGATACAAGTATATGTATAATCACTGCTATTTTATTACATGGAATTAAGAGCTTCTTTCTTTGTGTTATTGTCTTGAACTAATCTGTCCTATTGCAAATATGTTCCCATGGAACCACAACAAAGAGGTTTTATAAACTGGTATTGTTAAGTATTATGGAAGATTCTGATGTATTTGTCTGGTTAAATATGATCTATCTTATAGATATATTTGTAATATTTTTAATTATGTAATAGCTAACACTCAGATAATAGTAGTTCTAAGTGCTTTGATATGTTTTAACTTCTTCCTATTCACCTGGTTCAAATTATAATTTGACTTTGCCATGTTAAAAAGCTGTACAAGGGCCGGGCGCGGTGGCTCACGCCTGTAATCCCAGCACTTTGAGAGGCTGAGGCAGGTGAATCACAAGGTCAGGAGATCGAGACCATCCTGGCTAACACGGTGAAACCCTGTCTCTACTAAAAAAGTACAAAAAATTAGCCGGGCATGGTGGCGGGCGCCTGTAGTACCAGCTACTCGGGAGGCTGAGGCAGGAGAAGGGCGTGAACCCGGGAGGCGGAGCTTGCAGTGAGCCAAGAATGCGCCACTGCACTCCAGCCTGGGCGACAGAGCGAGACTCTGTCTCAAAAAAAAAAAAAGCTGTACAAGGATGGGCACAGTGGCTCACACATGTAATCACACTTTGGGAGGCCGAGGCAGGTGGATCACGAGGTCAGGAGTTCAAGACCAGCCTGACCAACATGGTGAAACCCTGTCTCTACTAAAAATACAACAAGTAGTCGGACATGGTGGCATGTGCCTGTAATCCCAGCTACTCAGGAGGCCAAGGCAGGAGAATCGCTTGAACCCGAGAGGCGGAGGTTGTAGTGAGCCGAGATCATGCCACTGCACTCCAGCCTGGGTGACAGAGTGACACTCCGTCTCAAAAAAAAAAAAAAAGAAAAGAAAAGAAGCTGTACAACAAGCTCCCACAACACAAGTTTACTACATAAGCTCCATTGTACACCCCTGAACCTAAAATTAAAGTTTTTTAAAAAGCCGTACTTTCTATTGCCATTCAAAAACTCTCACTCATCTTACTCATCTTGGGGAATAGTTTACATTTCTATATTTACTTTTCATATCGTGTCAAGCAAAAATAACTGTAAAGTTTTTAAAGTTTTAAGAGGGACTTTAAAAATGTATGCCTTTGGTTTCTAGATGAATGATGAAAATGACATTTGGGAGGGTTGGGATGTGTTGGAACTAGATCATCACAGAGGGCCTGGACCCAGACTGCCACTGTGTGAGGGGCCCTGCTCAGTGACAGCTGCTTCTGGTTGGCCAGAGGGAAAACCTGTTTTGGAGTTTCCCTTCTCTGGAATAAAAAAAGAGAAACAAAGCTATGTTCTTTGAACACAGATTCCATCCATTTTCATCTTGTTTAGATTCTGAAGACAGACTCAGACTGTATAGTGCTAAATATTACTTTTATTTTCACAAGCAAATGGTTCTTTGGGGACTGACTTCAAATTATCTTTGTAGACTAGCTTATAGTCTCCTAAATATATTTAAGAACTCTCATAAAGGTGCCCTATTCTTGCGCTAAAAACCTGTGCTCAAGTCAGGGAGGAAGGTGTCTCTTAATTATGATTTGACAGAGTAGAGGAGAATTGCTTATAAAAATAATGGGATCTTTTAGATCTTAAGACTTGGATGAATTCAAAATTCCTCCTCTTTGCCCAGATACAACTTATTTAATATACTTTTTGCTTATTTAAAAATTCCAAACAGGGCTTACCAGCAACATCAGATATCAAAGACGTTGACAGTTTGATGAGGATTTCTGGCAGAATTGAGTGTGAAAGTCCAAACAGACATCTCTACGATTTTGTTGGAAACATAAGGCTTGATGGACATGGGTATGTAAAATCCGTCTTTATAAAAACACAGAATCCACTGTGTCATAGAGTATTGCTGTGTCTTCTAAGTCTGGATACATATTATCTTCTTGTGTGCTAAGTTTGAGTCCTCAAAACCCTTTTTAAAGCATTTTTATTCTGCCCTGAGTCCTTCTGTGAAGATGTTGAATCTTATCCATTCATGTAGTATAGCTGATGACTTCCCAGAGTTCCTGCCAATCTGGCTGGAGGATATTTTCAGAGATATTCCCAGCTTCTGGCACATTGTTTCGTGGGTAAACAATGGGAGTAAGAATTACCTGTGGCTTATTCTATTCTTTGGCCAAATACTCGTGTTATAGGCTTAACTATTCAATCTGCATGGCCTGGGTCCTTTCCTGTGATCTTGAGATGCTTCAAGGAGTTCAGACTCTACCTTCAAGGGGTCTATTGTACTGGATAATTTATTGTCTCCTCCATGAAATTTCAAATGTTCTTTCTAGCCTGTGGTATTAATTATAGTCATCTCATCTCTTTTTGTTACCTGCTTCCTGCCTCTCTTGTTTCTTCTCTTCTACCCCTTCCCTCATTCATTCAACCAGTACATATTAAGCACCCAGTAAGCCAAGCCAGTTAAGGTGTTAAGGAGGCAACAGTGAACAAAGCAGATAAATATTCCTGGCCTTAAGCCTTGGTCTGTTCAGGCTGTTGTAACAAAATATCTTAGACTGGGTAATTTATGAATTACAGTAATTTATTGCTCACAGTTCTGGAAACTGGGGAGTCCGAAATCAAGGCACTAGAAGATTCAGTGTCTGCTGGGGCCTGTTTCTCATAGATGTCATCTAGTATGTGTCTTCACATGGCGGAGGCTCTCGGACCTCTTTTGTAAGGGCATGAATTCCATTCCCAAAGTCCCCACCTTCTGATACACCGCTTTGGGAATTCAGTTTCAACATGTGAATTTTGGGGAGACACAAACTTTCAGACCATAGCACCTTGTGAGCTTACTTTCTTGCAGTAAGGTAATGGCAAACATACAAACAATAAGATGATAAATAAGAAGTTTATACTATGTTAGAAAGTGATAAATGCTTTGGGAAAACAAATAGCACAGAATAAGGAAGATTGGGTGTCTTTGGAAGGGAACAACTTTTTGTTAGGGTGGTCACAGTTAGCCTCATTGAAAAGGTAACATTTGAGCAATGATGAGTGGGAGGTGAGGACATTTGCCTTTTGAATATCTGGAGGGAGATAATTCCAGATGGAAGGAGTAGTCAGTGTAAATTATTAGTTCTGTCATTACATGATCTTCAAGTGGAAAAGTGCCTGGAATAATTGTGGAATGTTAGGGCAGTGTGGTTGGAGTGCTATGATCAATGAAGAGAGTAATAGAAGAAGGGCCTAGAGAAAATAGAGGGCCAGATCCTATGGGCTTTGTAGGCCATTGTGAGGATGTTACTCTGAGTGAAATGGGAATTCACTGGAGGATTTTGAGGAAGAAAGGTCAGCAGTTCAGTTTTGGACTTTATAAGTTTGGTCCAAACAGAGATGTCCAGGAGGCTGTTGAATATATATCTGAAGTTTGGGACAGAAGTCTGGGTTCATGAGATATGTTTGGAAGTAAGTGGCATAGATATTTAAAGCCATGAGGATGGAAGAAATAACTGAGAATGAAAGGGTATAGACAGAAAACTGAAGAGACCCAAGAGCTATCCTGAGACCCTCCAACGTTATGTTGGGAAAGGCAAAGGCACTAGTGAAAGAGATGGAGACCAAGTTTATAGGATGGTAACCAAGAGAGAGTGAAGAAACTGTACCAAAGCAGGGGGACCAAAACTGAGTCTGACATTGCTGATGGTCAAGTACAATGAGACTGACCACTAACATATTTACGTTTGGCAAGTGGAGATCATTGAAATTGATTAGAACAGGTGCCTGACGATAGTGAGTTTGAGAAAATGGAAGAAGAGTTGAAAATAGCAAGTATAGACTTCTTTTTCAAAGAGTTTTGTTGCAAAGAGAGCAAAGAAATGAGGCAGAAACTGGCAGAAAAGGTGAAGTCTTTCCTGCTTCCCTTCTCCCCTCTTTTCTCCTCCTCCATTCCCTTCTTTCCCTGCTTCCCCTACTTTATGGTATACCTTATCTCCCAGGCATTGTAGTGGCCAACTAAATGTTGGCTAAATATACTAGTTGAACTCAGCAGCCTGAGAGAATGTTTTTGGTGTTTTCATTATTTTGTAATTGCATTATTAGAGTGTTTGAATTCTAAAGGACATTTGAAGTATACCCTGAACTGTCATCCTCATTCAGATCCTCCAAAAGCTTTCCTGTAATCCGTGAAGTAATTATATGTTGTTCTAAAATTTTCACAGAGTGATCGTTCCATGAACATCTGGTTAAAGACTAATGATAGATTTGGCCATTTATACCAGTATTGTTTCTATAGTCTGACATTCCTAACTGGCCAGCTTCCATGTCTTAACAGTTTTCTGTCAAATTGTTGCTGAGCAAATCTATGCTGTGAAGGAGAAACTTTGTATGATGGTGCCAAGATTCAAGGTACAAAGAGAATTTATATAATATGCTGTATTTCATGTGAAAGATAGATTTTCAAGACCTTTGTATCTGTGGCACTTTTGGGGTTTACAGTGATTACCCAAAGCTCTTGGAGACCCTTTGGAATGAGTATACTTTGTTGCTTTTAAGGATGAGGGTCATAGTCTAATGCCAGAAGCCTTGGAACACCAGCTATGATGAAAACTAACTAATTCTTCTTGAGTCCTTGTAATTGAAAAGTGGTATGTTTTGCTTTTGAAGAGTTTGTGTCTAATTCCGGTCAATCCACACCACCACTGCTGAGGTGACAGTTGCCATATTATACCCCATTGGCTGGGTAAGGAACAGTTGTCACACGTGTGTCCCAGAGCATAGTGCAGCTTCCCAAGAAGTTATTGGAAACCCACTTTAGGCCCAAGGCCCCTTTCAACTCTGAAATGCACCCTTAATCTTGAGATATATACCAGAGGGGTTTCCTTCCAGACAGGTCCTAAAGGCATGCTATTGTACATAAAGAATGAGAGTTGCAATTGCTTTGTTCTTTCTCTAAATTGGAATACAGTATTTCCTAAGGATTCATTCAAGTGCAATTGTTACCTACGCATCGGGATTGATTTTACCTGTGTCAGAATTTGTGTAGTTCCTGAATGTCCAAGGCCCAAGCTGCTACTAGCCTTCCAAGCCTACTGGGCCAGAGCAGCTCACCAGAAATGAAGACCTCAGCCTCGCTTTGCCTCCACTTACAAAGAAGTTCTGTGTTGTCTGTCGACTTTTCTTGTGGAATTGTTTCCTTCTTTTTCCAGAATTTTTAAATATATTTTTCTTTATATTTGACCTTTTTTCTCTTATTAAAATGAAGACTTGGTAGTAGTAATCCATGACCCATTAAAATTTATGTATTACATTTTCCTCAAGAACTCTAGTATTGTGGTGGCTTTGTTCCTTCTTATGTCCCTGTGTGAGTTGTATCACCCAGTAACCTACCATAGTGGGTAGCCTTGTGAAAAATCCACAAAAATACCAACTGGGACCTTATTCATGAAAAATGTGTCTTAAATGATAAGGAATGAACAGCTCCAAAATGCTTACTATTCATTGGAAATTTATTCACAATTCTTGGGAAACCAATCTTCAAATACTATAAAAATGAATGTTCTAGAGGTTTTAAGTACAGGGACTTGTCTGTAGGGGGTCAGGGCTGGCAATGCAAATAAGTGGTGAGATCTGTGTATTTATCTTAGGAATTTTTTTGCACCTTTATTATGTACAAAGCTATTTTTAATTTGGGTGGGGGGGGAGAGAGAGTGTGTGGGGGGTGGGTGTGTGTGGTGTGTGTGTGTGTTGAGGCTGAGGTGAGTAGACAGATTCCTTATCCCCATCACTTCCTAACACTTTTAGAAATCTAAATGGACTTATTTAGGAAAAGTTATAAATAGTTGTGTAAATTAGCCTCTGAATTCCAAAACATTACCTATTATTTTGGTTAATGTATTAGCTTGCTCAGGCTGCCCTAACAAAACACCATAGACTAGGTGGCTTTAATGATGGAAATTTATTTTTCTCACATTTCCAAAGGCTAAACATCTGAGATCAGAGTACCTGCATGATTGGGTTCTGGTGAGGGTCATCTTCCTGGCTGGCAAAAGGCCCCTTCTTGCTGTGTCCTCACAAGGACAAGAGTAAACTCCTCGAGTGTCTTTTTATAAGGGCATTAATCCCTTCATGAGGACCCAACCCTCATGACCTCTTCTAAATCACATTAGCTCCCGAAGGGTCATTTCCAAATGCCATTACATTGGTGGTAAGAACTTCAACATGTGAATAGTGGAGGGACAGAGTGCAGTCCATACCAGATAGTGAAGTTACAGAAAATGACTGGTTGGTGTTAAGGAAAAGCAATGTAAATACTTGTGTCGTTGCTGTTTAAGAAAATTATTTGTACTGGGGGGAAATTACTTTCCAGAAATAAATATGAGAAGGGTTATTTTAATAATGGGTACTTTTGTAACTATATGGTAACTAGAGTTCTTAAGCATTTTAGAAAATACTGTTTCTAATGTCAACGTAATCTGTCCTAGCACCGTTCCACTGGGAGCAGATCAGATTCTTCTTCGAGGAGCTCAGTTGAGAAATACACAGTGGGTTCATGGAATAGTTGTCTACACTGGACATGACACCAAGCTGATGCAGGTGAAATTTTTCTCTATGAAACCTTTTGGACCTAAGGCTTTTGTGAGTGTATGATTTACAGATCTCAGTGCAGTGGTCCCAAACATAGGAGACCATCTGTCACAGACTCCTGATCCAACCCTATATGTTCAGAATCTGGTACTCCTGTGAGTGGGACCTTGAAATTACCTCCCTATAAGAATGGCTTGGGCTGGGCGCGGTGGCTCACGCCTGTAATCCCAGCACTTTGGGAGGCCAAGGCGGGCGGATCACAAGGTCAGGAGATCAAGATCATGCTGGCTAACACGGTGAAAGCCCGTCTCTACTGAAAATACAAAAAATTAGCCGGGCGTGGTAGTGGACACCTGTAATCCCAGCTACTCGGGAGGCTGAGGCAGGAGAATGGCGTGAATCCAGGAGGCGGAGCTTGCAGTGAGCCGAGATCGCGCCACTGTACTCCAGCCTGGGCAACAGAGCAAGACTCCGTCTCAAAAAAAAAATAAAAAAAGAATGGCTAACTGCACACGGGAATACTGGAAGGTTCACCAGGGATTATGCATGAACTCTCAAGAATTTTGTGTATGGGTCTATGGCAGCATTTACTAACTATTATAGTGATTATTACAAGTCGTCCATGTCATGATAAGTGATCTGCATTAAAACATTTGTCTTGTAATTTTAATGCAATAGTCAACTTTTTAAATTTCTATCTTTTAATAAAATTTTTTAGAAATTTGAATCAAATGACCATTTTTCATAGCATTTATATGTAAGGCTATTTTTGCCATCAGCTTTAATTCTTGCATTGATCTTCACACCTGCCTACAGTTGCTCCGTCCCTGTGTTATACCATCAATATTCAATAGTCAGATGGGTGTGGAAAACAGTTTTAAGAAACTAAATGAAAATCTGCTCTCAGAGCTAATACCTTTGTACCTTGTACAGGCATGAAGGTATTATCAATAGGCAAGCGAGATTGCTGTTAGTGATTCCACCACTAGCCATTTTATAAATTCTATAAATCTTCATTTCATATTCATTCTGACATTTAATTTTCTGTTCTATGGATTTTTTGGTTAGCACAGGTCTACATAACCATTTGAATCATCAAATACAACTGAGGCAACTTGCCTCTGTTATTCTTTATAGCCAGGACTACTTAAATTGTTGCTGCGTTCAGTAAAACAATTGCTAAATGCCACCAGAAATTTGAAAGCCGGAGATCCTTTAAATGTTGCCTTCCTATGTTCAAATTTCCAGGTGCCTGTTTGCGGGAGCATGGGCTGCCTTGTCTGCCTGTCTTCCTGAACGGAAACACTAAATGTTTCTAGACTACCCTGTTTGCTTACATAGCCAAGTAATGCATTATTCATCTTACCTGCCACAATGCAAAAGCTATTTTTGCAAAGGGAATGTAATTTCGTTCTCTTCTTTCTTATAGTTTACTTCCTAGAAAAAGGCCTGGGTGGTGTAGTGGCCTTGAAAAAAAGGTGGTTAACCATTGGCACCTTATTACATTTGTCATGGGTTTCACATAATTTTCACGTATCCACCCACATCTAGATACTGAGTTGTGACTTTGTCATCCTCAACAGAATACTAAGTATAGATTGCTAAATCATTGGTGTACATTTTTTATTACTCATCTTGTTTCTTTTTACAGAATTCAACAAGTCCACCACTTAAGCTCTCAAATGTGGAACGGATTACAAATGTACAAATTTTGATTTTATTTTGTATCTTAATTGCCATGTCTCTTGTCTGTTCTGTGGGCTCAGCCATTTGGAATCGAAGGCATTCTGGAAAAGACTGGTATCTCAATCTAAACTGTAAGCAATAAAGTGCTTACTGCACTTTTTTAGATTAAGACATGTATTTGTTTCACAATTGATCTTGATTTACTTTATTTCGTATTGTTTCTAAAAAGACCTTGTTGCCAAGATAGCTGGACATTTGATCTTTATTTTTCAGTGAGATTTCTAGCAAGTGTAAGTAAAATTTGGGAATCCTAAAATTTCAGAATCCTTAAAAACATAATGAGCACTCTATAGTGGTATAAAATGTTCACTAAGTATAGTCATTTATTATATATATCAACGAAAACTATTCCTTAAAAATATTTTTAACATAGGTGGTTAACTATATGGTAAAGAAAGTAGATTGACCATGTGTGGATATAACAAAACATATATATTTAAATATATATTGTATGTATTTATAAATATATAAAATATTTTAAATATATTTAAATAATATAAATATTTAAATATATTTTATCTTAAATAAAATATACTTTGTTTATATTTTATTTAAATAAAAGTACCAAAAAGTGGTTTATATGGTTTAAAAATGTTTAAACCCAATGTATTTTCATTTGAACTCAGTAATGTGGTAAGTCCTATATTAAATGTTATCTTAGAGAAGGTGCTAGTAAATAGTTTTCCTTTAGAGCATTTATCCTTTTATTATTGTGATATTAATGTACCACCCCTGGATATTTCTGTCAAATGAGTTTACATTTTCATTTCATGAGTACTTAGCCAATAAAGACTTAACTTCCAAAAGTGTGAAAGCAAATTCTAGTACAATCACATAGCAAAAACTGGTATTTTTAAATTTTTTTTATTATATTGATTTATCTTTGCAGCAATTCCAAGTTGTTTTTATAGTTACTGATTTATTATTTCAGTATCAGAACTGTTACTACCATCAGTCTGTTTCTTTGTATACTTTATAATTGTATCTGGTATAGCAGTTTTATTTTCATTTTGAGGAAGAAGAGTATAATGTACCTAGGAGAATAATTTACCTAGGACTGAATATTACTCATATAGTTTGGATTGTTTTTGCTGCTGCTGTCTTGTTTGCTTTTAAAGTATGCTTTAAATTGGAAATACTCTTAAGAATTTATATAAAAGTGATTCTACCCAATTGAGATTTTATATTTATAAACCCTCAGTGCTATCCCTGATGTCTCTAAACTTTGTGTTTGGAAGAGGGTTTGCAATATTTGACAGTCCTTTCACTGTCTTAGTACTTTTATACAGCTCTTACCTGGATTAACAACATATTGAACACAATGCAATTCTATCTTGAAGGATGTACTTGAGAATTAGGATAGATTATCAGCAAAGTGTTCCTCCCAAATTATCAAATAAGCTGCGTAGTATGGAAAACTTGTATTATGCTAATTTGGGGTCAATGCAAATAAAATATAAAACTGTAAATGACGTTCTTCCTGCCTCTCCCAACAGATGGTGGCGCTAGTAATTTTGGACTGAATTTCTTGACCTTCATCATCCTTTTCAACAATCTCATTCCTATCAGCTTATTGGTTACATTAGAAGTTGTGAAATTTACCCAGGCATACTTCATAAATTGGGTAAATATGAATTATGATTGTTATCACCCTACAAAATAATTTTGTCCTTAGGATATTTTGATATCTCAGGAGAAAAAAGGTTTTAATTATATCTACCGTTTCTTGACCACAGTATCAGATTTTTGAACCTAATTTGTTGCAAAGTTCCTCATCTCAGAATCACACAAGTTTACAGGCCAGACATTGTAGGGAAAATGGGTCTCTAGTTCAGGAAACCTATGGTGGTCGTGGGAGATGGAGAACCATGAGTTTGGAGTTAAGTGTCTGAATTATGGTTCTAGTATTATAATTTACTAGGTGTATCAACTTTCTCAAGTCACTTATTTTGAAACTTATTTTCTTGAACACAATCATAGGGATAATATGCCTTACCTACATCTTACAGTGGTTTTATGGACTAAGGAATCTCTTGACATAGCAAAGAGCTTTGAAAATAATCAATCACTATACAAATAATACTGTAATTCTTACTGATATCAACCAGATTATCATGTTATATCATGTTATTTTCTACACTGTAAACAATTTTAGCTTCACTTGAATTTTTCTTCATAATTTTTCTCTTGAATATTGTTAAATATTAGAAAAATGTTGGACATCTACTTTCTAAATGTTTTTAAATGTCTTAGTTTTATTTTTATTAAAGTTAAAATTAATGAATTTATCTAAATTAAATCTGTGGGCCTAATCTGCCAGAAAATTTAATTTTTCTTTTATTTTGAGAAACTTTGTGTTATTTTTGATGTTTCTTTCTTTTTCAATCATTGTAAAGTCTTTCAATATGAACAATATTAGGGTTTCGAAAAATATGACATACTTTTGTAACTGCTCATTATCTTCTTGTAGCGAATTATCTACCTAAACTGTCAATCTCTTAATTCATTGGTAAGAAATCAGTGTGATTTAGAAATCTAAAATGAGCTGCAGGTGTAGCTCACTTCATGCAGGAGATATATGGCTGAAAAATTACGTAATAGGATATGTACAAATATAAGTAAGACTTATTGAAGTTTCTTATAGCAATAATAGGGTAACTCATTGTGAGAATCACATAAGTAAGCTAGATAATCACTTTGTTGTTTTGATTTTCAAAAATAATATCTTTCAAAGAATTATATAATTTTAGTATTGGATGAACCCAGCAGGCTTATGCTTTCAACCACCTTTCTAATATACAGAGATTTTATAACATCTGACAGATAGAACACTGACTTTCCAGCCTTCTTTTACAAAGCAACTTTCTTGTGTGAAAATGAGATTATAACTGTCTTCCTTTGATTCTGGTTCTTCCCAATGGATCTATTAAGAAAATGCTTAATCTTGTTTCTGAATGATAGTCTTGCAAAATATCTGAACTCAGCTATCATGCCAATTCTATCCTATCTTTTCCTTTCTAATTAAACATTCCCCGCCTTCTGTTGTCCTTCAGTTCATGTGATTTCCAGATTAATCTCTATTCTGATCACTTTCTCTTCTGAACAAAGGCCCAGTTGGTTAATCTCTCTCTTAACACATGGCACATAAAACTCAATAACCTATTTCAGAAGTGATGTTGATCAGTTCAGAATACAGACATGGGAGAGATGGGCTTTGAATTTTGACCTTTTCATTTGACATGAAAATTTGTGAACTACAACCCTGATTTGTTAATAAAATAGTCTAATATAGAAAATGTTAATTTCATAGGATAATATAGTCAAGTCTCATGATTACTGGACACAAGGCAAGTACAAATAAGTAAAAAACTATGCTCTTTTTTTTTTTTTTTTTTTTTTTTTTTTTTTGAGACGGCGTCTTGCTCTGTCGCCCAGGCTGGAGTGCAGTGGCGCGATCTAGGCTCACTGCGAGCTTTGCCACCCGGGTTCACGCCATTCTCCTGCCTCAGCCTCCACCGTAGCTGGGACTGCAGGTGCCTGCCACCACTCCCGGCTGATTTTTTTGTATTTTTTTTTAGTAGAGACGGGGTTTCACCGTGTTAGCCAGGATGGTCTCGATTTCCTGACCTCGTGATCCGCCCATCTTGGCCTCCCAAAGTGCTGGGATTATAGGCGTGACATTTTTATCTTTTGAGAAGTGCATTTTGTTTTTCTTTCTTGGCCCAGAAAGTAAAACCAGATAGAATCTCTTGGGTACTTTTTCCAGGGGTTTGAAGACCTAATTATTTGAGCAGTTCTTAGTTGCTGAGTTCTAGCTCACATTACTAAATACCTGCCTTGTGTCGGACACAGTAGGAAGCACTTTGTGTGGTATCTTTTAATCCTTATAATAGGTCATTTATATAGAAAATGGTGGAATGATAGTAAACCTAGATTGCATGATTCATAGACAGGCTCTAACTACCATACTGTTCTGCCCTTACTGTGGAATATAGTAGTCTGTATTGAATACTTTTCAGAAAAATCGAATTAAATGGTATAGGAATAACAGGAAATTAGTGCCTACATATAGTTCATCAAACAGTGACTTATTGAAGTACGAATATACTAATTGTTTTCTTTTAAAGTTTCACCCAATTCCTTATTACCAGTTGTGTTCAATGATTTACTTAATTTTATTAAAGGATCTTGACATGCACTATGAACCCACAGACACTGCTGCTATGGCTCGAACATCTAATCTGAATGAGGAACTTGGCCAGGTAAACTCAATTTATTGTTGATTATGTGTGGAATTAAAAAGTTAGATTTGGTGTGGTATCTGCCATATATGATAACTGCAGATGAATGGACAGCTTTTAATTTTCCACTATTTGAATAATATATTTGTTAGTGCATGATGAACAATTCTCATTTTTAATAAATCAGTTTTTAAAAACACTGTCTCAAGGAGATTTTGCTCTCAAGGTAAAGCACTCCAAGAGCTTCGAGATGTCCCTTGGTATATAGTCAAGCTAGTATGCAACATATTGGCTATTTTCAAGTTATAAACGTAGTTTTAGAATTGTTCATACCTTTCAGCCAGGAAGGGAGGAAAAGTTCATCAACGAAGCTATGTGAGTCTAGTCAATAGGAATGTTAGATTTATAATTCATACTATATTCACATATGTGTATATTTGTAATCCATTAACATATTCTAGGTTTTTCTTTTTTGTATTGTTGCCATATTCCAACTTATGCTTTACAAATAGCATCTAGTCCAGAATTATTCTTATTTCTTACCAGTTCAGATGTTGCATGAAGTTAATTGCGCAAGCTGTTACAAATTCTACAATTGCCTGTTGCATTGAGAAATGCTGATAGCTGTTTCAGTGCTCTGTAAATGTTAAGTAGTGGTAGTGGCACTTTCTAGTGGAAATTCAGACCATACTAAGGCATATGTCTATATAGTTTTCTAGTATGGTGATAGTCTTTAATATTCATATGTGAAAAGATTCATTTGTAAAATACTTTTTAAAAAGCTGAATATATTCCTTGATAAATGGGCAGAAAATAGTTCCTTAGTAATATTCATTGTGCCCCTGCAATGTTAATAAAAAGCATGAGGGGTTTCTCTGTAAAAGAGTGGCATAAAGACTTTCAAAATATTAATGAGAAATTTTAAACTTTTTTAGGTTAAATACATATTTTCTGACAAAACTGGTACTCTGACATGCAATGTAATGCAGTTTAAGAAGTGCACCATAGCGGGAGTTGCTTATGGGTGAGTTTTTTCCTTTAATTAGGATATGAAATACATGCTTAATTAGTGCTAACAGTTTGGTACATTTGGGAGTTCTTATTAGGGGAGGGTATGGGGTTGTTTGGTTTTTTTTAGTCTGAAAAGCAGCTGTTATAATTTTAGGACACATGTATATTTCGCGTTTCTAGTTTAGCATTGTTTTCATTTGGGATGACATGAGGTGGGTGCTCTGCCCAATGGTATTTTCAGTGTTTAGTGTTGCTGAAAGTCTCTCTCTTGCCCTGGTAATAAGGAACAAATATATTTCCTTTTACACTACTATAAACTGGAGTATAGCTTGGATCTGGTAAGGACAGATAATCAGGCCTTGAGCAGTTTTCAAGTTAAAATAGTGACAGTTACCCCTTTTGATACTTTTTTTTTCTTCTATCATCTCTCCTTTTTGCAGTCATAGAGCAATCTAAAATTCTGATGATGGAAAGGAGGTAGAGACATGAAACTCTTGAATCTGGAGGATAATTAATATCATCAGAAACTTTTATCAGGCTGTTAATTTCTTTAGAATTGCTTGTTGAGCACCCATTTAATTTATTTCTTACTTCCAGGTATGCTTACAAGCTGTTCCATAGCCTTCTCTTTAAAATATTTTATAGGGTAATGTGAGAAAATTAATTTCTACATTTCCTAGAAAAGACATCAAAAGGTGAAACACTCTCCTGGCTGGTTGACATTGGCCTATTGTCAAACTTGCCAATTATCCTTATCTACCTAGAAGTGAGACTAGTAAATATCAGCCTCCTACTCATACAAGCATGGACACTTGCTTCTAGGTTTTCTGGCTTGCACCCACTCTTCCCCACTCACTCTGAGCAGTAAGCCAGTGACAAAGAGTGTTACATTTTGAAATGCCTTAGTTAAAATTATAAATAAGTAAACATTTCATGAAAAATCCCAAAAGTATATGGTTATTCCTAGATATCCTTGTTCTTTGCGTTACGAGAGCATGACTAAAAATGACTATAAACTATATGTATAAACGAGGTTAAAAAGGCAGTTGAGTGGCTTTTTCACACTGTAAAGACAGCCTGTTGATTTAAGAAGCATACTTACTGCTTCCCGGGCTGGATGCTGTTTTTCATCTTTCTTCTTTATCTGAAGATGTTCTAATTTCCTTAGATGTAAGAGGCTCACCTGCCTCCTCCACCCTCCTCCCAACAAATTGCTACTGGAGCAGGAGAGTTGCAGCCACACTTTTTGACATCTTGTACTTATATATTCTACCCACAATCATCCCAGAGGAGAAAAGTAAAGCCTATTGCAATTCTAGAGTTCTCAGATTTATGATGATTTTTTTACACAAATTCTGTATTCATTCATAACTAGTATTTCCACAATGGCCTGTTTAATAATTGGCATTGTTTTTTACTTTGTGTGATTTTATAATTCAATAAGCAGGTTCATCAAATTAGTAATTATTGATTGTGAAATTTTCAGAACAGAAAGCTAAAATCAGATCTAGCCTCTGTTTTCTTCCGCATTTTATCAGGTTTTTTCTTATTCTTGGAAGAGGTCCTTAAACACTCCTAGGCAGTAGTTCTAAAGAGCAGTGCCCATCTGTGTCTGTTGACAATGTCATCATTAACAACTGTTATAGGGTGGGTCTGAGCTCAGTATTGTCATCATTGAGATTAAATTGCCAGTGAAGTGAATTTCTTCCTGAGGAAATAATATTTCTTAATCCTGAGATACAGTCAGAAGCCATGAGTTCTGGCTTTGTCTAGAATTTACCATGTAATCCTAGAAAATCTATTTTCAGATATTCCCTACTCTTTAAGATGTGGATAGTGAGACCAAACCATTTCTAAAGTCCTTTTCCAGATACGAAATCTAACATAATGTTTAGAAATAAACAGAAGTTTATTTGTTTGCAAATTTTAACTGTATAAGCCGAAATCTGTTTCCTTTTTAGTTATGGTATCATATTTTCAAGGATACCAGAAGCCATGTAGAGTAAAGCTAGTTAAACTGCTTCCAGTGATCATGTTTGTGTATGTGCTTTTAGGCATCCTTAACCTTGAGTTTTTATCAGTGTTCCCTCCCAAACACATCCTGGTGGATTATTGGACTGTTAGCATCGTAGAGAGTTGTTGATGTCTGAAAGTTTTGGAGAAACCGTGACTTCTGACTTGACCACATGTTTACAGCAGGGAAAATAACACTGTTACTTAATTACAGCCAGTCTCCATGGTTAGATGTGAAGGGGTGAGAGAGAGTAATTACTGTCTAGCACTTTTCTGTGTAGATTTCCTCTGGGCACTCTTGGATTATGGGAATCCAGATGGGGGAAATGACCTGGCTTTGCTATCTTATTTTCCCCAGAGCAGCATTTAACAATTGCTTAATATGGGAACTATTATGTATGAGCACTTTTAACCCCAGTGGAAGAAAGCAAGGTGTTTATGCCCCTAGGGAGGTGGCAAAACCAGAGAGTAACACAAAATTTCATATCCTGACAAAAGCCTTTGGTGTTACAAGTGCAGAGCTGATTTTGCCTCAGTGTTGCCAAAACATCAGGTACAGCTCAGTTTCACCCCAGATAGGGTTCAAGTGAGTTCTGTTGTGTCTTATCAGAAGAATAAGGCTTGAAGTTTCCTGATAGTATAATTCCTAGCTAGTTCTGGGTATTCCATGTTTGTAAGAAAATTATAATTAACACTTAAAACCGTGCATCAGAATTTAATTTTAATAAATTTTCTTTGATTTCCCTGAACCTTCGCCCCAAATTGGATTCATGATGGGCAATAAAATAGATTTGTACATAGTTGCCAATGATGATTATCTTGTAGAAATCAACTTTTAGTTAGGAATGCACTGCAAAATTATTAGATTATTTCATTAGATCTTTTTATGGGACAATTACAGTAAAATGTAAGTGAATTGTGATATCATTTGTAAATTTAACTTATGACAAACCAGACATTTTACTGTAAACATTAGTTATTAAAGTATCATTTCAGCTAATTGCTTCTTGTAGGGAATAAGTCAGTTTTATAATAGTTACTTGAATACCCGGAATAGGTAAGCAGTTTCTCTGTTCAGGGGCCACAAATCTCAATAGAGTGAAGATTCTGGGATACAGTCCTAAGTGCCATCTTTGTAAAAAAAAAAAAAAAAAATTTAGACCTTTTAGAATAAGTTGGATGAGGCTTAACAAGATACAGTCTATAAAAAGAAATTCTGTTAAGCAAACAAAATGCTTTTTTGTGTGGACAAGGCATTTAATTCGTATTAAAAACATCATTTGCATTTTCCCTTTAAATGAAAAATAAGTTTTTAAAAGCAATCTTTATATATGAATATACTGTGTGAATAACTTTACTTGACAGTATTTGGTTTAGCTATATATTTGCTGGAAGGATCGGCTACTTCTTTAACCCCAAGAAGAGACTCACCACGAGAAATTTCACGATTATCATAATACTATCCCCCAAGATCTTGCTACAGCCATGTTTATCTTACTGCTCACCATGACTTGTGATAAATTCTAGTCAACTCCATTCATTTATTTATCTGTATATCTCAAGTGTTGATGTATGTGACACTTTGATAGATAATGCAGGTAAAAAAGGCAAAAGTTCACATGATTTCCTCCTGCCTAAAGTGTATAGTCTAATTGGCACTTAGTGGATGCTAATTAAGTAATCATACAGACAAATATAAAGTCCTAACACAGTATAGAGGTCTATGTGAGGCTATAATGGGTGGTTTGATCTAAACAGGGAAGGCAAGGAAATATGCCCTAAGAAAGTGATTCTGGAGTTGAGATCTAAGAATGAATTTGATTAAGTGAAGAACTTACCAGGTAGATGTTATAGCACTGGCACATACAAAGGCAAAAAGCCAGATACCACGTAGACACCAGAGCTTCTGGAGCAGCAATAACAGGGAAACTTGCATATAGGATCAGTGGCAGGTTTGCAGGCCACCTACTGCTCATCGGGCTCTAGGTAGTGCTCAGCATTCTTCCAGGGCTGCGCCAGAGTTGTGAAGAGGGTCTCTGGCACTTGAGCTCTGGAGCTTTTAAGCTGCATGACTTGGGAAACTTTATCCCCTGTCCTGGTATGAGATTGGGGCTAGTGCAGCTTGGCAGGACCATGCACAGTGTTGCTTGGTTAGTACCAGGCCCTTCCCTGGCACAGTCCATGGGCTAGGGTCCAAGCCTTGAGGCTGATCTGAAGTGATTGCTTTAAACATGGAGTTGCAGCCAGTTTCCACAGAGCTTTGCAGCATGCCAACTCCTTTTCTTGGAGTCCAGCCCACAAAGGGCTTGATTAGCCCTTCTTCTTAAGCAGGCACAAAAGCCCTTTGGTAGGAGAGAGAATAGTGAGTTAAAAGGGACCACCTCCATTGTGATTGGAGTGATATAGTGGATACTGCACTGGAAGCAAATTAATGTTTTGGTAGTGGAAGAGGTGCCTTGGAATGATGAAGTCCCTGCCTTGGCTGGGTTGATGAAAGATTGAACTTTTAGGAAGTGAAAGGATCCCATGAGTTTTTAACAAAGTTTATTGTATATTCGTCAAAAATAACAGTGACTTTTCATTTGTACTGAACTCTGCATTTTAAAACTCCATGTCTAATAAATTTACAGGAAAAGTATATGATTATATTATGAAAGAAATGGAAAATAAAAAAATCTGGTCTGTCATGTATTATGGGCCCCTTCCAATTGAATACATGACTGGCTGAAATGAAGTACATCTATCAGACTTTCCTAGTGTTCAGATGAGCGAATGGATGAAATTAAAGAAGATATTAATGAATATGTTTCCTGTTTGAAATAAAGAGTGTTTTAATGAGTGAAATAGTTTAAGTGAAAATTTTTTAATATCATTTAAATTCTTAAACTAAGGTTCCATTTAATTATAGAAATGCAGGTAACTTTTACTTTAATGTACCTGTTGAAGTAACCATCATCTCGTGGTAGCCAAAGTTACTTCTAAAATGTATTTGACAAATTTTATTAGTGTGATAATTTGTTTCAAGATATTAGCATGTTTGTTACCTTGAAACACTTTATTCTGATTATATAACACATATGATTAATTTTCCATTGGCTTTAGCATTTCAACTGCTAAGTTGAAATAATTCCTACTGAATTATGAACTTTGTGAATAAAATCAGTAAATGTTCTGGTGAAGAGGCAAATTGGCTATACAGTTACAGGATAACTTTGTAAACCTGCTGAGCTACCATGAATCATTATGTTCTATTTGCTGTACTAACTGCCATTCTTTCAGATTCAACTAAAAGTTCATTTTGTTAACTTTTCAGTGATCCATCTTTTTATACTTCCCTTCTTCGTGGTTTTATGTTTCCAGCCTTTCTGTGATTATTTTTCCTCTCTTTCTGCCTCTCTTCTTGCTTTCTGAAGCCATGTCCCTGAACCTGAGGATTATGGCTGCTCTCCTGATGAATGGTAAGCTCTATGGAACTTTCTGCCTCATTGATCCCTATAAAAGGTTTGCATTTTATTGTTTTGTAAGACACATTTCACTCTCTTTTATATAAATATATATATATAAATAAAATATTGCTGAGCAGTTAGGGTAACAATGCTGTAAAGTAGATATTTCTTGAAATCTATTGAATATTCCTGATTTTTGATGGAGAAACATGTAGTTTATAGATTAGGTTTGCCAGAGTTTTACATTGTTTATCTGTAATAAAGTCTAATGATCAATTCCAGAGTGTGGGCTTTGGACTACCTCAGGTTTCAGCTACAGCTCCTGAAGCCGTCAGGTTTTTCTAGCTCAGTACTGCCACCTTCTGCCGCTACTTATGTACTTTACAGAGCTACCAAAAGAGGCTACTGAAACATACCCAAGCAGTGGAAATTTTCTTCTGTGTTTCTTACGATTATTCTAATAAGTCTGTGTGCAGGCTATGAAGTGAACGTTTTTAAAATCTGCACCAAATGTTAGAAAACTATGCTACCAAGCACTAGAGTTAACTTTAGTATATTTAATTTTGGCATCATTAAAGTTAGCGTTTTATGGGTTTAATTTCACTATTTTATGAGTTTTTTGTTGGTTTTACCTTAAAATTCCTCCCCTTTGTGAATTTATATTTTCATCTTGGATAGTGCAGATTTATTTTGATATTTCTATAATTCATCATGAGTTGGTGGGCAAATGAAATTTCAGGAAATATGTTCCTTTAATGTTGGTAACTTTAGAAAACATTGAGAATTTATAGGTCATTCCATTTTTATTTTCATATTACTCATGTATTTGGTGACGAAGCCACATTTTCAATATACTTTGAAGTCGAATAACATCATTTAAATATTTTTCAACAGGGAATTTATTTCAGTGAAGTGAAGATTTGGTAAAAATTTTCAGTAAATCTCACAACACCTAGGGTTAATGACAGGCAGCTGTTTGGTTCTTGTGACAACTGATGAGACACCACATGCCCATTGCTTGGAGTGTCGTACATTTTGACACTTACACACAAGTAATTTTTAATATTTTTAAATGTACCAAAGCATCTTACTATTAGTGGATAATTCAAGTTTAATATTGTATATATTCCCTCTTATTTAATCCTTTGAGAAGTAGTTAAAATTTCGACTATATCTGCTTTTCTATAACATTAACATAATTCTATTAATTTTAAATATTGTTCATTAGCATAGAAGTGATATATATATCCTCTAAAATAACTCAGTTATTCCTAAGAAGAAATTGCCTTCTCCATATTTTTCTTAATGTTGGAAGGAAATGTTAAAAATTGATGTTTGTTTACTCACGTCATTCAAAATATTCTACTTTCAATAGAGGTTGTTTCATAACTTTTATTGGTGCTGGAAAGAGCGGATGTTATTTTATCTAGTTTAGTAAGTTCTTTTTGTAAAACACCCTTTTGGAAAACTTGATATTCTAAACTAGGTAACTCCAAATAAGAAATTGTCAGCTTTGTCATAAATTGCTTGTACATTTCCACTTATAGTTACATATAAGCTTAGATAGTAATGATTTTTAAAAATAACAATAGGGAAGGCTTTCACTACCGTTACAGTAAAGTGAGTTGTTTGTTAAGAGGGAGTCTCACTCTATCACCCAGGCTGGAATGCAGTGGCACAATCTCAGCTCACTGCAACCTCCACCTCCCAGGTTCAAGTGATTCTCCTGCCTCAGCCTCCCGAGTAGCTGGGACTACAGGCATGCACCACCACACCTGGCTAATGTTTGTATTTTTAGCAGAGATGGGGTTTTACTATGTTGGCCAGGCTAGTCTTAAACTCCTGACCTCAGGTTATCCGCCCGCCTCAGCCTCCCAAAGTGCTGGGATTACAGGTGTCAGCCACCATGCCCAGCCTCAAGCTTTATTTTAAATATATACTTGGATTCTCCATCTATAAAATAAGTAATTACCTATAGGCCTGCAAAAATGAAAGAACAAATGTTTCCTGAGCTGCTACTGTGTCCAAGGTTACGTGGAGTGATCAAAGATGTGGGCTTTGGATACTAAGCAACCAAGTTCAGATTTTCATTCTACTGGTACTGTTGAACAAGTTACTCAACTCTTTGCCTGAATGTCCTCATCTGGAAGAATGTAGATAATAATAGTAGTTGCATCATCAGGAGGTTTTGAAGATTAGATGAGCTCTGTTTGTGTAGTGCTTTGGATAGTGTCTGCACATAGTCAGCCCACACTGAGTGTTAGTTCTGGTGCTCTCACTTAATCCTCATGACATATTTGACATGGCCATTTTAAAGTTGGTGAAATTCAGGCAAAGAAGCAGTTTGCCCCAAATTATAAAAACGAGTAGATGATGTGAGAGTTGAAACCTACATCAGCCTGGTTATAAAACAGTACTGGTTACATTACATCCTATGGACTCTAAGTAACTTTAAAGAATATCTGCTTTTTAGATCACAAGATATCCTTGAAATTTCAGTCATTTTACCTTGATATTTCTCTTTTTCATTTAATATTTTTCAACCTAGAATTTCTTTCAGTAAATTTCTTGTGGTGTTAGGCAAGAGCAGATTAAGCAGGTAAAATTTAACAAGTTTGTGTAAAGTTAGCATGAGGGCATACAACTTTGCACAACTTTGAGCATTTGCCCAACCTCATCCACTTGGTTTCACATTGCCAATGAAACCAAGATCAAAAGTGTGATCCCAGTTGAATCCTGTGCTCCAGGCATCTGACTGCATCTTCATGCTGATCTTCAGGAGTAAAGAGTATAGATGACTCTATAAATCCAAAATCTGAAAGGGCATTCCAATATGGCTGTTCAGCAGCTTCAGTTTCATGTAAAGTTCATTGAATTCCATGTATAAAACCCATGAGCTTATGTGTATTTTACTGCCCGACTTGAACCAGTATTCACAAAAATGCCAAATTAAAAAAACATAATTACCTCTTAGATATATGTAGATTACATATTTACATTTAGTTGAGTTTGAAGGCAAACCTATAATGTATTAAGTCTTTCCACATATTCTGTTAACATTAAAGATAATCAGATGATGGTTGTAGCTCTACTCGCTTAGGTGTATTAATATAAATAGTTTATAGAGATAAAACTATTTCCCAACCAGTAGCTACCTACTGCAGATTAACCTGGTTTTCTCATCATTGCCAAGAACCATCAGCTAGCATATAACCTCACAGATTAATTCCTTTTTATTAAAAATCTACTGCTCTAGATTGATAGTATCAATACTTTGGATTGAAGGGGAAAATCTATTTATTCTTAACATCAATGTAGCCCTAAGATATGCTCATTTTCTAAAACTATATATTTCTATAATTATTTTTTATCATTTTCTGTCTTCTGTTGTGGAAAATTTTAAGCATGAACAAAAGCAGACAGATGTACTGATCCACCTGCTTCAATAATATGCACTTAAGACCAGTTCATTTATGCCTTTCCCCCACTATCATTTTGAAGCAAATCCAAAATAACATATTATTTGTTTTTTCTCAACTGTTTAATATAGTTTCACATTATTCTTGTTGATAATCGTTCAAGTAAATGCTAGTGAGGGTGATTCCCCAGAAGGATCACCTTAAAGTGTTCTGTGCTTAGTCATTTCACTGGGGTTTTTAGTATTATCACACTATCAGTGGATAGTACTACACTGTATTTTCTATCCTCTGGTCTTATTTATTTTCTCATTTCATTCTGGTCTGTAGTTATGTATGAAGTGAGTGGTATTCATTTATTCTGCCGCAAAAGCTAGGCTCACTAAAACATTCTTCCAGGTGTGACTGTATAACAAAGAGATCTGACACATCCAAATTAATGTTAGTCTTCAAAGCAGTCACCTTGGCAGATAGTTTATTTATTCCAGTAAGGCAGCCATTTCACAGAATGTTTTTGAAATTCCTCTTTTGTAATTGCCTTTAGAAAGATGTTGAGTCACATAGTGTATTAGTCCGTTTTCAAGCTACTGATAAAGACATACCCAAGACTGGACAATTTACAAAAGAAAGAGGTTTAATTGAACTTACAGTCCCATGTGGCTGGGGAAGCCTCACAATCATGGCAGAAGGCAAGGAGGAGCAAGTCATGTCTTACGTGGATGGCAGCACGCAAAGAGAGAGCTTGTGCAGGAAAACTCCCCCTTATAATAACCATAAGATCTCGTGAGACTTAATTCACTGTCACGAGAACAGCACAGGAAAGACCTGTCCCCATGATTCAATTACCTCCCACCAGGTCCCTCCTATAACACGTGGGAATTCAAGGTGAGATTTGGGTGGGGACACAGCCAAACCATATCATTCCACCCCGGCCCCTCCCAAATCTTATGTCCTCACATTTCAAAACCAATCATGCCTTCCTAACAATTCCCCAAAGTCTTAACTCATTTCAGCATTAACTGAGAAGTCCACAGTCCAAAGTCTCATCTGAGACAAGGCAAGTCCCTTCTGCCTATGAGCCTGTAAAATCAAAAGCAAGTTACTTACTTCCTAGATACAATGGGAGTATAGGCATGGGATAAATACAGCCATTCCAAATGAGAGACATTGGCCAAAACAAAGGAGCTACAGGCCCCACGCAAGTCCAGAATCCAGCAGGGCAGTCAAATCTTAAAGGTCCAAAATGATCCCCTTTGATTCCATGTCTCACATCCAGGTCACACTGATGCAAGAGGTGGGTTCCCATTGCCTTGGGCAGCTCCACCCCTGTAGCTCTGCAGGGTACAGCCTCCCTCCTGGCTGCTTTCACAGGCTGTCATTGAGTGTCTGCGGCTTTTCCAGGTGCATGGTGCAATGCTAGATCCACTGGGATCTAGCATTCTGGGGTCTGGAGGATGGTGGCCCTCTGCTCACAGCTCCACTAGGGACTCTGTTGGGGGGGGCTCTGACCCCACATTTTCCTTCTGCACTGCGCTAGCAGAGGTTCTCCATGAGGGACCCACCCCTATAGCAAACTTTTGCCTGGACATCCAGGCATTTTCATACATCTTCTGAGGTCTAGGCAGAGGTTTCCAAACCTCAATTTTCCCCGCCCCGCAACCCCAGACAGAATTCTGCTGTCTTGTCCAGGCTGGAGTGCAGTAGTGCAATGTTGGCTCACTGCAACCTTTTCCTCCTTGGTTCAAGTGATTCTCCTGCCTCAGCCTCCCAAGTAGCTGGGATTACAGGCATGTGCCACCATGCCCAGCTAATTTTAAGTATTTTTAGTAGAGACAGGGTTTCCCCAGTTGGCTGGGCTGGTCTTGTACTCCTGACCTCAGGTGATCCACCTGCCATGGCTTCCCAAAATGCTAGGATTACAGATATGAGCCACCACGCCTGGCCCAAACCTCAATTCTTGATTTCTGTGTACCCACAGGCTCAACACTGCATGAAAGCTGCCAAGACTTGGGGCTTCCACCCTCTGAAGCACTAGCCTCTTTTAGTTATGGCTGGAGTGGCCGTGACACAGGGCACCAAGTCCTAGACTGCACACAGCATGGGGACCCTGGCCCTAGCCCATGAAAACATTTTCTCCTAGGCCTCTGGACCTGTGATGGGAGGGGCTGCCATGAAGACCTCTGACATGCCCTGGAGACATTTTTCCCATTATCTTGGGGATTAATATTCGGCTCCTCGTTACTTATGCAAATTTCTGCAGTCAGCTTCAAATTCTCCTCAGAAAATAGGTTTTTCTTTTCTATCACATTGTCAGGCTGCAAATTTTCCAAATGTTTATGCTCTGCTTCTCTTATAAAACTAAATGCCTTTAACAGCACCCAAGTCACCTATTGAATGCTTTGCTGCTTAGAAATTTCTTCCGCCAGATACCCTAATCATCTCTCTCAAGTTCGAAGTTCCACAAATCTCTAGGGCAGGGGCAAAATGCTGCCAGTCTCTTTGTTAAACATAACAAGAGTCACCTTTTCTCCAGTTCCCAACAAGTTCCTTGTCTGCATCTGAGACTACCTCAGCCTGGACCTTATTGTCCACATCACTATCAGGCTTTAGTCAAAGTCCTTCAAGTCTCTAGGAAGTTCCAAACTTTCCCACATTTTCTTGTCTTCTTCTGAGCCCTCCAAACTGTTTCAACCTCTGCCTATTACCCAATTCCAAAGTGGCTTCCACATTTTCGGGTATCTTTTCAGCGGTGCCCCACTCTACTAGTATCAATTTAATGTATTAGTCTGTTTTCACACTGCTGATAAAGACATACCTGAGACTGGGCAATTTACAGAAGAAAGAGGTTTATTGGACTTACAGTTCCACGTGGCTGGGTAAGCCTCACGATCATGGCAGAAAGCAAGGAAGAGCAAGTCATGTCTTACATGGATGCCAGCAGGCAAAGAGAGCTTGTGCAGGAAAACTCCCCCTTGTAATAACCATCAGATCTTGTGAAATATATTCACTGTCACGAGAACAGCACAGGAAAGACCTGCCCCCATGGTTCAATTGCCTTCCATCAGGTCTCTCCTACAACATGTGGGAATTCAAGATGAGATTTGGGTGGGAACACAGCCAAACAATATCACATAGAAAACCAGGCCTCATTACTTTGGTCAAAACCAGTATCTAACAAAAATATTATTATTGAATTCAATCACTTGCTCATATTTTTGGACTCTACTTTGGACTTTACTTTGCAGCCAGTTGTACCATTGAAAAGCAGGAGGTGCAGAACTTTCCCCCAAAACAATGCTTTCTTAGCCAGGTCCCAAGGCCAGAGGTCCCAGGAGCAGCAGCAGCAGCAGCAGTGGGTCCCCCAGGAGAGCCTCTAAGGTCACACAGGGTGCCCACTGCAGACAGGCTATAGTGCATGGTGCCTCCTCCCTGACAACCACCTCCACTTCACACCAGCCACAGCAAGGAACTTTGGCACCAGCATGGATCTCTGCCTGCTGCCGATGGCATGACTGTCGAACAGGTGGTGTTCCATCAGTTCTTTATACCAAGTCCTTTGTGAAGCATTCCACAGAGCATGTGTCAATGGCATGTGTTCACCCGACCTCCAAAATAGAAGAGACTCCAAGACAAATAGGAGATATCATCAGCGTGTTTCATCACCTCTGACATCTGAGAGAAAAAAGAAACCTGAGCCTCTACTATTGGATCAAAATTACGTTAACTTAAAGAACCAGATTATAAAAAGCAGAAAGATGAGGGCTCCAAGAGCCAGACTTTTGTCACGATACCCACCATTAGATCATCATTATAATACCTTCAGGTGTTACAGTGTTAGTGCAACTAACACCTGGCCCATACGTCATGGAATTGCACAGGAGGGCACAGGAAAGCCTCATGAATGTCTTACCAAACAGGGAGAGAAATGGAGGCAGAGCGGGAGCTAGGAGCAGTTTTTAGGTCCCTATTGAGATCCACTCCTTCCAAGAGGAGGAAGAGCCACAGAGCTCAGCTCCCTGCAGGTCTAAGTCAAAGAGCCAGTGACTTCTGTTGAGATGAGCTGGTGGTGCTCCCTACAGAGGCTCCCTGTGTCCAAGGACTACGAGCCCCCTACAAAAGTCTCACAAGTCTTAGAGACAGACCTCATCCAATTCATGAAGCCACTCATTGGAGTGGGCAGATAATTCTGAAAATACAATAAGAAAAGTTGTAACTACAGAGATCAGTTTCAGGGTGGTTGAGGTTGTGAGTGGGCCATCACTGTGAGTGGGACTACTTTGGGAACAGCAGACATCAGAGGGTAAGCCAGGGGTCCCAGAGTCACTAGCTGACCTCAGGCCTTTTCCCAGAGGGATGTCTGGAGGGCTGCCTACCTTTGAGCCATTGGCATGTCCACCTCAGTGTGAGTGGCCCCACATTACAACTCTTTCTGGAAAAGGTTATTGACCCTGGACCTTGTGATGAACTTTGAAATGGAATTGAGGAGACCATAAGTGCTCTTCAGGCCGGCCCGAGGCCCAGTGCGCACCTGTCCCAGTGCGCGGCCCACCTGAGCAGCAGCCGTGCACACGCTGGATAAAAAGCAAGTGCACTTGTCCTCGTTTGTGTGGCTTGGTGCTAACAAGCTGCCTCTTCACTCCCAAACCAATACTCAATTACGTTAGGCCAATAAAATGGCTATATTCGCTTGAATTTACATATATATGTTTCAGTGGCTCGCAATATGAGAAAAATGATCTTAATAGCTCCATTATCTATCCATGTTATAAATAAACATGTTTAAAACAAGTTAAAGCTACATATGAGAACTCAGAACCTGAATTTTCCACTTAAAACTTGTTAAATGGGAAAAATATTAGGTTGGTGCAAAAGTAATTGTGGTTTTTGCAATTGTTTTTTAATGGCAAAAATCTCAAATTACTTTTGCACCAATCTAATATTTAGATCTGTGTTGAAAATCATAGACTTTTCTCTGTGCAACCTAAGTGCAGGCTACCAGCTCCTAAATAAAGAAATTCCCTGTATGTGCATGTTATGTAGTTAAACAATTCTGTCTACTCAGGACATTTGGAATGTTAAAGAATTCGTAATTTGTCATTCTGCTTGCTTAAGTGTTCAAATGTGTACACAACCATGAGTTCCCATTCTAGTGGTATGTCTGAGCTGCCCTCCCTGTTCCTTACTCATTAAAGTGATGAATTTTGTAAAAACAAAACAAAAACCCACACAACAAAACGGTGTTATTTTAAAGTTATCCTGCTTTTTTCGTGTGTGCATGAGTGTAATATGTATATGTGTATAATGTGCATTTAGTGTATAGATAGGGTGTTTATTTCAGATGACTGATGGGTTTTGTACTTGTTTTAAATTTGATTTTTTTAAGTTCACAATGCATTAACATATTACAAATTCAAGGAGTGTAAAAGAAAAGGTTTTGATCCCCTCCCTGTCTTAGAGCCCTCCATTTCCCCTGCCAAAGACAGCCTGTGTGACTAATTTCAAGTGTATCTTTACCGATCTCTTCTATAAATATTCATACATTTATTTTTTCTCTCTTATTTTTACAGAAAGTGAAGCATACTGTACACACTGCTTTGCACCAGCTTTTCATTTGACAGTGCATCTCTGAGATTTTTTCATATTCCATAAAAAGCTTCCCTTTGTTTGTAAATGCACCACAGTATTTTTAAGCAGCACTACTGATGGGCCTTTGTGTTTCCTAACTCTTTGCTATTAAAACTGGACTGTAGGGGTTGGGTGCAGTAGCTCACGCCTGTAATACCAGCACTTTGGGAGGCCGAGGTGGATGAATCACCTGAGGTCAGGAGTTCAAGACCAGCCTGGCCAACATGGCAAAACCTTGTCTCTACTAAAAATACAAAAATTAGCCAAGAGTGATGACACATGCCTGTAATACCAGCTACTTGGGAGGCTGAGGCAGGAGAATCGCTTGAACCCAGGAGGTGGAGGTTGCAGTGAGCTGAGATTGTGTCACTGCACTCCAAGTGAGCCAAGACTGTGCCGTTGCACTCCAGCCTGGGTGACAGAGTGAGACCCTGTCTCAAAAATCAAAACAAAAAACAAGTACTGCAAAGTATAAATTTGTACATATAGTATTTTATACCAGTTAAACAATATAAATTCCTAGAACTGGAATTACTGAATCAAAGTATTTTAAATTTTAAATTTTGCCCAATTGCTTTTCTTTTAGAATTTGTATAGTTTATGTTCTCACCAATGATACATGCTTTACTATTTTCCTACAATTACAACAGCACAAAGTTGTCAAGTTTTATTTTTGCCACAATGATACATTTAAATTTCACCTCTCTCATTATGAGGTAAAGTTGAATGTATATATAAAGCCATTTATATTTCCTTCCTTGTGAATTGTGTGTTTATATCCTTTGCTCATTGTTGTACTACATTGTTGATCTTTTTGTAAATTGATTTCTGGTAATTCTTTTTATTCCATGGAAATTAGCCTTTATAAGTTGGAAATATTTTTTCCCAGTTTGTCATTTAGCTTTTGACTTTTCTTGCAGAAGTTGGTTGTGTTTTGTTTTGTTTTAAGAGATGATCTCCCTCTGTCACCCAGGCAGGAGTGCAGTGGTACCATCATAGCTCGCTGCAGCCCCAAACTCCAGAGCTCAAGGGATCCTCCCACTTCTGCCTCCCAAGTAGCTGGGATTACACACCACCAGCTGGTGCATACCACCAGACCTGGCTAATTTTTTAATTTTTTGCAGAGACAGGTCTTGCTGTGTTGCCCAGGCTGGTTTCAAACTCCTGGCCTCAAGCAGCCTTCCTGCCTCAGCCTCCCGAAAGTGCTGGGATTACAGGCGTGAGCTACTGCACCCGGCCTGTTGCCATAGTTTTTGCTATGCAGAAATATTTAGATTTATGTAGTCAGATTTATATATTATGTTTTCTGAATTATATATGATACCTAAGCTTTTTCCATTCCTAAGTTTTTTTTAAAAAAATGTTTCACATATCTTTAGTACATTTATAAAATCATTGATCCATCTGGAGTTTATTTTGGTTTACAAGGTGAAAAGTATGGATTCAGCTCTTTTCTTCCTTTTCTCTGATGGCTCTCCTGTTGACATGAATTTTGAATTTAAAAAAAAGTCTTAGTACATACTGTCATATGCAAGGACAACTATACTGATTAAGCCATATATTCTTTGAATATTTTAATTTTTATTGCTATAGAGATTCTTCATTTTTGTTTGATCAGAAAATGAGTAGTTACAATGTATCATAACTTTTAAGTCAGCCTAAAGAAGCTGCAAATTATATGACATTGTGGGTTCCCTGCTCTGTTCTCCTTACCTTAACTGTGATACTCCCTGCCTTATTGCTTCTTGCAAAATACCATAACGTCATTGTCTCCTTGGGAGCAAAGTGACACTCAAAAATTACTAGGCAAAGATGTAACCAAATGTTGATGTTGGCTTGCATTTTTATTTGTGAAAGTTTGACTAACAGTCCTATTATTTTTACTTTTAATGTGATGGTTCTTATTTTTAACTGATATGAGCTTGCAAATTTTATCTGTTTATTTTTACTAAAAGTAAATATTTTGTAAAATTTTGGAGAGGAGTGGTGGAAGCTCCATGCCAGAGTTATCCAACCCAGGCTGTCTGATTAGAGGATGAGTTGTTTCTAGTTTTTGTTTCTGGTTTTTTTGTTTTTGTTTTTGTTTTTGTTTTTGTTTTTGAGATGTAGTCTTGCTCTGTTACCCAGGCTGGAGTGGAGTCCAGTGGTGCAGTTTCGGCTCACCGCAACCTCCACCTCCCAGGTTCAAGCGATTCTCATGCCTCAGCCTCCCGAGTAGCTGGGACCACACCTGACTAATTTTTATATTTTTAGTAGAGATGGGGTTTCATCATGTTGGCCAGGCTGGTCTCGAACTCCTGACCTCAGGTGATCTGTTCACCTCAGCCTCCCAAAGTGCTGGGATTACAGACATAAGCCATGGTGCCCAGCCTGTTTTGGGGTTTTTTAAATTATCTTGGGAAGGAAGTCACTTTCTAGAAGAAGAGTTCTTTAGCATTATCCCTGACAGAACTTTCATTACTGAATGGAAAATGGGGTATGTCCATGTAAATATTTCAATTGCATATCCAGAGCTACTCAAATATAAATATGTTTGAAAATTAAGTCAATTATAGTAACTGATTTATAAAATGAAAGAATTATTGGTGAGATTAATAAGGCATATCTTCAGATTTAAACGGCTTTTAGTCTGGAATTCTTTGGAAAGAAAATAGACTTCTTGCAAGATGTTACTGTGAATATTCCTTGACATTTGTTTAACAAGTAGAAAAGTACAGCTACAAACCATTTATGAATATATTTTAATAGGAAAATTTCATAAAGCCCCAAGTAATGAACTCTTTTTAATTAATGGTGATATTTGGAGGATAAATATATGCTATCTTTTTCTTAGATTTTTTTCCTTCCATCTTCAAAATTAGAGAAATAATGATAATGATGATGATGACGTGTTCACTTTGGCCCCCAAGGGTATTTTGATCATTCTAAACTACTACCTGCTAATAAAGATGTATTTTCTTACGATTTGGAGACTTAATAGAGCAAGTTACTACATGTAGATATGTGTTCCATTATAAACATTCTAACTTCCTCCTTAAGTTTACTGGAGAAATGTGTTTCATTGAAGATACTATGTATGTTCTCTCCTTTCAAATTCTGTTTTCTTCAAAGAGTTTTCCGTCCTGTCAAGCTGCTGCCTTTACAATATGACAGTCTTGATATCTGACATGTTGACATTGATAATACTCTTTGTAACCTGTTAATGTTGTGATCAAAAGCTTTCTGGATTATAATTGTTTAGTATTGGACACATTTTTTTCCCTCAGTGAAATCTGAAATTTTCTTCTGTGCACTAAACCTCAAATGTATATATTTTCACTAAATTTTGCAAACTATACCCTTTTCTTTTGACATTCCCACTTGTGTTCCTTGTTTTTCCTTTGAATCTCAGTATTTTTATGTTAAATTGTATGGCCGTGAGATAAATGATAGCTAGTTTGCAGAGATAATTGACTCCATTTATATCGTATGAAGTACATAATACATTTGCTCATCTGAAGATAGCCACAACACAAAAATTCCATACTTTTATTATTTGTTCTTATATTTACAGAACAAATGTAATATGTTTATAAATATTTGCTCAGATATTAATGATAGATGTTGATATAATCTGTAAATGGTTTATTCATGTTCTTATATTTCATATGGTTTTCATCACTACATATAAAGATTTCTCATGACTCAAATAGAAGAATATTTTGTATAATAGCTTTCGTTAATTCTTAGAATCCTAAAAATTGAAAATATTATGGAAGTGGAAGAAATTCAATTCCAGGTGTTTTAATAGTTTTAGTTTTATATTTTTACAAATTTTATGTGGCTGCGATATAATTTAACTCCAGAAAAAATGAACTGTAAAATACTATTTTTCATTACACTGCAAACATCTTTCACATTTTAGAATGCTTGAATATATTTTGTGATACAATCATGAAATCTGTGATGTCTTACTTAGAAATGCAGGCCAAATTACATTTAATTTATTGAGGGTTTGGAGACATAACACTTTACTCATAAAGTACATTAACAAATAGATCAGTGGGCTGGTATAAATGAACTGGGTTTACTCTATTTTTTACCCCCTTCAGGCAGAACTCACAGTTTGGAGATGAAAAAACATTTAGTGATTCATCATTGCTGGAAAATCTCCAAAATAATCATGTAAGTTACATAAAACCATTGTCTTTTTGTTAGTGAATAAAAACTAATGAATGTTTCTCTGAACTATCTTCTATGTTTACATGTTTCTCTTTTTTTACTTTCATGATCTTTTATTTATTTATTTAGTTAGTTAGTTAGTTATTTGAGACAGAGTCTCACTCTGTCGCTGGGGCTGGAGTGCAATGGCGTGATTTTGGCTCACTGCAACCTCTGCCTCCCAGAATCAAGCCATTTCTCCTGCCTCAGCCTCCCCAGTAGCTGGGATTACAGGCACTCGCCACCACACCCGGCTAATTTTTGTATTTTAGTAGAGACAGGGTTTCGCCATGTTGGTCAGGCTGGTCTTAAACTCCTGACATCAGGTGATCCACCCCCTCAGCCTCCCAAAGTGCTGGGATTATAGGCATGAGTCACCGTGCCTGGCCTCATTATCATTTTTAATAATTATCAAAATCTATGCCAAATCCTTTTTACTTGGCCAACATTAATTCATGGTGGTTATTAATTTGATTTTAATATTATCATTCATCAATATTCTGTCTTTTCAAATTGTTTCATTTTAAATGATTATTGAACCTTCTGTGATACAATTCAATATTAACAATTTTAGAAATAAGTTATCGAAATAACTTATAGAAATAAGTTATCTGCTCAGTACCATAGGCTAAATATACAATAGAAACTCTGGCTTCTGCCACCCAATGTGAAAATCCTGCTTATGAAGTTACTGACTGTATTAGGGTTCTCTAGGGGGGGGCAGAACTAATAGGATAGATAGATAGATAGATAGATAGATAGATAGATAGATAGATAGATAGATAGATAGATTAGATAGATAGATAGATAGATAGATAGATAGATAGATAGATAGATAGATAGATACACACACAAAGGGGAGTTTATTAAGTCATATTAACTCACACAATCCCACAATAGGCCATCTGCACACTGAGGAGCAAGGAAGCCAGTCCAAGTCCCAAAGCTGAAAAACTTGGAGTTCAATGTTTGAGGGCAGGAAGCATCCTGCAAGGGAGAGATGTAGGCTGGGAGGCTAAGCCAGTCTAGCCTTTTCACAGTTTTCTGCCTGCTTTATATTCTGGCCATGCTGGCAGCTGATTAGATGATCTGCCTTCCCCATCCCACTTACTCAAATGTTAATCTCCTTTGGCAGCACCCTCACAGACACACCCCCAGGATCAACACTTTGCGTCCTTCAGTCAAGTTGACACTCAGTATTAACCATCACACTGACACTCAGTTTTCATAAGATCAAGTTATAGAGTCTTCTGGAGTTAAACCCCGGAACTTTTTCTCATAACCACTTCAAACCCAGTATGTCCCAACTTGAACTCATGATTGTTACCCTCAAATATGCATCTTCTCTAGCACAGGTGGACTTGTCACTTTTGCCCAAGTGGGGCCCTATCAGTATGTTGCTAGGGGTGTTTTTGTATCTCTCTTTTCTGCGCGAGCCTTCAACAAAATATTAACTTCAGGATCTACAAAGCCTAGCCCTAGACCACCTCTTCCCTCTTGGATTCTCAGCTTTCAGTAAATCATACCATCACCTATCTTGTGACTCTTCTTAGGAATTAGAGGGTTGTCTTTGATGCCTTCTTTTCTCTCCATGTCCAGATCTCTGAGTCACCAAGTCCTTGTTGGCACTGATTGCTAGAATCTATCTTGGGTGTCGGCTGCAGTTAATCCTCATTTTCACCACCCCAGTCCAGACCGCCAGCACCCACTCTGTGGATTCCTGTGGTAGCCTCCTGGCCAGTCTCCTGGGTTCCATTTTTACTCTTCTCCAGTTATTGTTGCCCATGACAGCTGAAAAATGCAAATGGAAATCAAGTCCCCTCACTATCCTGTTTAAGCCTATTCTCTGCGTTCTCTCTTCACTCATAAAGTAACATGATCTGGCCCCTGCCTAAGCTGTCACCCTCACTTTGAGCTCCTTTCTCCTCATCCCACTGGCTGCCTTTTATTTTCTAAAACACATCGTTTTTTTCCTTCTTTACGACCTTTCCTGCTTGATGGAAAGCACTTTGCTCAATTCTTCATGAGGCTAAAACTTCATCAGCTCAAATATTACATTATCTTGAGAATAACCACAGACTCGCTCAAGTCACATTACATGATATTTGCATATTCCCTTCTTTACAGTGCTTGTCTTGCTATAAGTAAACAATACGTGTATATTTATTTGTGTTCGGTCTTCCCCACAACGCCAAGCTTCACATGGCAGGGACCATGTCTGTTTAGTCCACTGTTCTAGCTTGAACACAGTTTTTTCAAATAATGTTCTGATATATCTCCCTAGTCACTTCACATTATTATTTTTTTTTTGCCCAAGAGCATAGAGAAATGTTTTTCCTTTATTAAATTGAATGACATTTCTCTTTATTGAGAGCCAGACAGGAAGATATGTAATTTAAAATATCTGGCTTCTCTCCTATAAACCCTAAGCTCCGTGCAGAAAGGATACACCCTTCTGTCTTCTCAGGCTGTAAGAGTCCCCTGGACATAGGAGTTGTTCATAATTTTTTGATTCATTAAAATATGAATAAAGTTACCATTTTTGGAGAGGAAAGACAAAGCATTATAGAAAAATCCTCAATCATTATCACCCCAACGCAAAGTATAACCCCAGTGCAGTAAGATTGCATGCCTAAAATTTAAATCTGATCAGGAATTACAACTAGGTAAATGAACATCTTCGAATTTTTATCCTGTCCTCCAACGACAAGATTCAGCTACATCTGCCTTTCTCACTATACTATTTCTATTTGACAACACCAAGTTGTCTTGTATAAATGTTTAGAAAAGGAATGAAAGAGTAGAAAAATAATTTGAATTAAAAAACACATTTTCTTTATAATTGATGTTGGCTTCTTAGTTGGCTATAATCCCACACCCCCAGTGTATAACAGCTATGTTTTTATGGGGTTTTGTTTGTTTATCTTGTTTGTTTTGTTTTGTTTTGAGACGGAGTCTCACTCTCTTGTCCTGGCTAGAGTACAATGTTGCAATCTCAGCTCACTGCAACCTCCGCCTCCCGCCTCCCGGGTTCAAGCGATTCTCCTGACTCAGCTTCCCGAATAGCTGGCATTACAGGCGCCTGCCACCACGCCTGGCCAGATTTTGTATTTTCAGTAGAGACGGGGTTTCACCAGGCTGGTCTCAAACTCCTGACCTTAGGCGATCCACCCGCCTCGGCCTCCCAAAGTGCTGGGATTACAGGTGTGAGCTACCATGTCTGGCCAACAACTATGTTCTTAATAGACATGAAGTAATATTACTGTCAGTGTCAAAATGTTCACATGAGAAGGGCTTAAATTATGTGTTTATTTTTCACAGCCAACTGCACCTATAATATGTGAATTTCTTACAATGATGGCAGTCTGTCACACAGCAGTGCCAGAGCGAGAAGGTGACAAGATTATTTATCAAGCAGCATCTCCAGGTACAAATGAAGCAATTGTAAAGTATTGTTTTGTGGAAAATTGTTCTGAATGTAAAAGTCAATTTAATTTTAAAAAGATAGCCAAATTGAGTGTTTTTTAGATAAAAATTTTTATTTACCAATTAGAAAAACCTTGGCTTTCAAGGTTAAATATGTACATGATATTTTAAAATGTGTAACTTTGTATATGTAATTTTTGGCATATTACATAAGTTACATGAAAATGTGAATAACGTAATTCTCATAAGTGAAAAATGTACTTTTTTACATACACATAATAATTTTTCGCTTCTTTATAAATACCTAAGAACTCTTAGTCAAGCTGATTTTGCACAGGTACAAATAGGAAAAGGAAGAAGTGTTCGCCTGAATATAGTAAGCTTATATAACTTTAGAACACCAATTTTGCCTTCCTCTTTTGTTAATGATAATAAAGAAGCTTGTGTATTTATTTGGGTGAGGAAAGTTTTACGCATTTGAAGGGATTCCATAAAATATTATTAGTACAGTTATCAGTATTAAGTACTTAGGCTTAATTTTAGATCTGTTTTCAATGTAAAGTTGGGCAGATAGTCAGTTTGATGAGAACTTTGTTAGAAGTGTTTTAAACTGCATTCTAAGCCAGCATCTGTGACTTATAGGATATACTAACTTCCTTAAAAGCATAAGAATTGTTATGTCTCATATCATTAGGGTAGAAACTATGTGATGTTTTCTTATGCCATACCCTACTCTAGCAATAAAAAGGTTTTATTTAACATGATGAAATTCATAGACATTAAAATCATTAGTTCATTTAAAGCTTGTTTAAACTGAATCCTCAATTAGCAATATTAGTTTCTCTAGACTCAACATTTTAGGAGGAAAAGGATAAAAGTTTAGAAGGCAATTTTCTCTGATTCCTTTTGAGAAAGTTTTCTAGCAAATACACTGGATGAAAGGGTACATTTAAATTAAGCTTCTTAGGAATTTGTGACTAACAGTGAGACTTGACATTTCGGAAATGTAACTCTGAGTTCTGTATGTGTCTCCAACACTTAAGATTATTATCCTCATTTCTTTGGAATTGTCATGTAATTTTAAAATAATTGGATTAATAACATGAGCCAGAATAAAAAGAACTTTAATTAAACAGAAAATTATATTACCTTAATGTACTTCTCTTGTGCTGAGAATATTTTTTTTTCAATCATGTGTTTGCTTTTACCTCTTTTTCTAAAACAGATGAGGGAGCATTGGTCAGAGCAGCCAAGCAATTGAATTTTGTTTTCACTGGAAGAACACCCGACTCGGTGATTATAGATTCAGTAAGTTAGTTGTTTTTAAGGTTCTTTTTAATCCAAGTAATACATTTGCATAGCTTCAAAGATAAAGTAATACCAAAAGGCTCATAGTAAAATAGAGGTTCCCCACTCCAGAAGCAACTACTGGGTGTTCTTTTAGCTATTTCTTTAGGCATTTATACATCTCATATTTTCAAAAAATAAAGGTGACTATTAATACATGTTTTGACTCTTCAATTTTAATGTATCTTCTGATTCTGTTACATGAGGGTGTATCTCTTGAATCACCATCCTTTTAGTTTATCCTTCCTCATACTCAAATTATTATGATTTTATTCCAATTTTTAGTTAAATACTCAGGCCCAAGTTTTAAAGTGGGCAAAAGACTTGAGCCAACATTTCACAAGAGAAGCTATATGGATGGCCAATAAGCATGTGAAAAAACATTGTTAGTCATTGGGGAGATACAATTAAGACCACAGTGAGATGGCACTACATACCTACCCAAGTGATTCTCCCACCTCAGCCTCCCAAAGCACTGGGATTACAGGCATGAACCACTGCACCTGGCCACTTTTTCTTTTATTTTCTAAAGACTAAATTTTAAAAATGGATAGCACCAAATGTTAATGAGTGTGTAGAACAAGTGGGATACTCATATACTGCTAGCAGATGTGTAAAGTGGTAAAGTCCCTTTGGAAAACCTTACAGAGTTGTCTAATTGAGGTAAACTTACACCTGAGCCAGCAATTGTGCTCATAGTTATATAGCAGAAATGGAAGTTTCTGTTTCTAAAAAGACTTGGAACAAAATGCTCCTATCAGCTTTATTCAGAGTAGCCAAAAACTAGAAACCAAACCAAATGCCCATCAATAGAAGAATGGATAAACAAATTGTGATACAGTCTCACAATGGAACATCTAAACAATAAAAAAGAATGAGTTATTGATTCATCAACAGCATGGATGAAAAATGAATCAAAACATGAATCAAAAACATTATGCCGAGCAAAAAAAAAAAAAAAAGCCAGACACAAAGGAGTGCATCCTTTTTAATTTCATTTTTATGCAGCTCAAGATCAGGAAAAAGTGATTTATGGTGATAGAATTCAGAACAGTGGTTGCCTCAGGGCAGGGAAGAGGTTGATTGGAAAAGGGCACAAGGGGATTTATAGGATGGGAATATTTTATATCTTGATTGGGGTGCTAATTACCACACTGCACAATTTTCATTTGACTCTGTGTTAAAGGTCTGTGCATTTTATTATATATAAATTGTCTCATTTAAAAATTATTATTTAGTTTCTGTGTAGTATTGCCTTCTATTTTACCTGTACAGTATTCATAGCTGAACATCGTTGTATTTGGTAATTATTTTTTTGTTTTTTAAATTTTGTGTTTCCCAACACCAATTATTTTTTTTAGAGATGGGGTCTTGCTCTGTCACCCAGGCTGGAGTGCAGTGGTGCAGTCATAGCTAACCATAGCCTTGAACCCCTGGGCTCAAGTGACCCTCCTGCCTCAGCCTCTAAAATAGTTGGGATTATAGATAGGCATGTGCCACCGCACCTGATATTTTTTTTAATTTATTTTTTTAATAGAGATGGGGTCTTGCTATATTGCCAAGGCTGGTCTTGAACTCCTGAGCTCCTTTGATTCTCCCACCTCAGCCTCCCAAAGCACTGGGATTACAGGCATGGCCACCAGACCTGGCCACTTTTTCCATCATTTTCTAAAGATAAATCTCTTACCTGTTTGTTTCATTGCTTCCCTTTTTTCCCCCCTATTATCTATATTAATTGTTCCCATACTTTCTAGTATACTTTTCTCAATACAGTCACACCACATAATCTGTTCATTGGCAGTTCTTTCCTTACGACATCCCTTTTGAAGCCCTCCATTCTCTTGTCTGGACAGGTTATATTCTAAGAACTCTTCGGTGACACTTTTTGGTTTTCCTTTTGGTTTTCTCCTGTTTTGGATTTTCTGTTTCCTGTAACTCAATTTACGTAAAAGTTAGTAAGCTCCCTTCCATATTTCAGCAGGGAAAATTTGTTTGTGTTGGCATTTTTTACAGTAAAATTTTATGGCTAGGATTTATTTCCTAGAAGCTTAAGACTTTTCCAACTGTATGTAATTATATATTCCTTTTCTTCTTAGCTGGGGCAGGAAGAAAGATATGAATTGCTCAATGTCTTGGAGTTTACCAGGTAAAACATCTGCTCAGTGATTTGTATGGATAAGATAAATTTATATCCATTTTTATTTTTTCCCTTTTGAATAACTAGAAAGTATGTTTTGTTTTTATTTAACTAAATTTGTTTAGACAAAATATTAAATCAAAATCTTTAGTACATTTTTTATTCTCATTATCTGTAGATAAATTACAAACCACTTTCTTCAGAGTATTGCAATGCGTGACTACTGGTTGCAGTTTTAAAGTCTTTTTGAAAGTTGATCTCATGGAGGTAAAGAGTAGAATGATAGATACCAGAGGCTGGGAAGGATGTGTGAGTGGGAGGGGAAGGGATAAAGAGAGGTTGGTTAATGGGTATGAACACACAGTTATGTTGAAGAAGTAAATTCTGATGTTTGATAATAAAGTAGGGTAACTATAGTTAACAACAATGTGTTGTGTATTTCAAAATACTAGAAGAGAGGACTTAAAATGTTCCCAGACATACAAGTATTAAATAATCAAGATCTTGCATATCCCAAACACCCCAATTTGATCATTATAAATTCTGTGCATCTAACAAAATATCACATATACCCCATAAATATGTACAAATACTGTGTATCAATTTTAAAATTTAGAAAAAGAAATCGTTTTGAAATATAGCTGCCTGATTCACAAGCCCAGCGTATACGGCCATGCGTCTTATGGCTGGTGATCTGGAAACACAATTATGTTTAGAGGCATCAGATTTATGTGGGGTGGAGATGAGTCGGGATCAGGAAGCCGGCATTCTAATTGTATGCTCATTATATCTAATTGTCTTCAGGATTTGAAAAACCGTATTCTTGTCTCTGTTAAGTATAAGACCAGTTACCATCTGTTAGGAAAGGACAGAAAGCAAAGTGATTGTCCTACTTATTTTATTTCTTAAGGTCGAATAATAGATCCCTTCAGTTATAATCAGTGATAAGCCTGTGAGTTTTCAGCCTCTTACTCCCACGTGACAATGTAACCTGCTTACCTGCATTCTTGAGGCAGAGAGGCCCTTGCTGCAGGGTCTTTAAAGACTGCGTGACCATTCACAGGACACTTCACAGAATTAAGGCCATGAGGAAGTAATGCTGCTGCTCAAGGAAATAAGTGTCCATCATTTTTCTTGAACTTTCTTCTGCATAAGACAAACTTGTACATTGCTTAGGAAAGGCATTTCTCTTTCTGTGCCAACTTTTGTTGCTGTCTTGATTAGGAGTGACCATATGCCAGTGGTTAATAACAAAAATAATGCAGTCTGTCTGACTTATTATTTAAAGCTTTTTTTAACTTAGATACTCTGAAAAGCCCAAAGAAGATGAATACATTGAATAAACAGAATGGAGTATTTTCAAAGTGCACTCCTCGTCTCTTTCTTTTCATGTCAGAGTGATTGCTTTTCCCAAGCTTATTTGTATTATATCTGTAGACTGTCATTAAGTAGTCTATTAATTGCCATTTAGATACGTTTTTTAAACCACACTTAGAAAGCACTATGCTAGGTGATGAGTGCCATGAAGAAAAAAATAAAGCAGGGTTGGGAGTTTCTGTTCTTTCAGGACTCAATGATGAAGGTGGGTTTAAGAATGAACATGAGAAAAGTGAATATGATGCTGTTAAATAGTCCCTATGAAAGACATTAGTGGTTTAGACTAGGATGATGGTAGTGAAAATAAAAGGAAGTTAATAGAATCCGTGTACCTTGTAGAGGAATATCTGAGAGACTTTGTGAGGGATTGGCAGTAGAAGGCGAAACGAGGAAGGGGTGAGGGTCTCTGGCATGAACAACTGGGTAGATAGAGGTACCATTTACACAGATGGCAGAAGTGGGAATAGGAATAGATGTGGAGGTTGAAATGTTTGAAGTCTTAGGTTTTAGATGACTGTGAGACATACAAGCAGAGCTATCAGGCAAGCAGTTGAATATAAGGGCCTGAAACAAAAGAGAAATCTATGGCTGAAATAGCAATTTGGCAGTCAGTGGTTGGTAAGTGGTATTTGAAGTCATAAAACTGAATGGGATCTCCTGAAGAGAAGATATAAAATGAGGGGGAAATGGAAGGCTGAAGATTAAGCCATGAGGGTAAGGGTTGATTAGAAAAAGAGGAATCAGCAAAAGAGACAACCTTGTTGTTAAAGATGTAGAGGACAGAGAGAGGGTCATAGCACAGAGCCAGGAGAAGAGGATTCAAAGAGAGAGTGGTCATCTGTGTCGGAGACTGCTGCAAGGTTAGGTAAGAAGTTTGAGAAGTATTTGTTGAATGTAGCTATTCATTGTAATGGTGAGGAGAGAAGAAAAAGGAAAAGACTGGGAATGAAGGGGATAGATGAGTGATGGTTTAGAGAAGGTGAAATGTGAAAGAGTTGAAAAGGGATGTGGCTTAATGGAGGAGTGGTTGCATCGGGTGAGTTTTTTTGTTTTTTTTTTTTTTATTATACTTTAAGTTTTAGGGTACAGGTGCACAACGTGCAGGTTTGTTACATATGTATACATGAGCCATGTTGGTGTGCTGCACCCATTAACTCGTCATTTAGCTTTGGGTATATCTCCTAATGCTATCCCTCCCCCCTCCCCCCACCCCACAACAGTCCCCGGTGTGTGATGTTCCTCTTCCTGTGTCCATGTGTTCTCATTGTTCAATTCCCACCTGTAAGTGAGAACATGTGATGTTTGGTTTTTTGTCCTTGCAATAGTTTGCTGAGAATGATGGTTTCCAGCTTCATCCATGTCCCTACAAAGGACATGAACTCATCATTTTTTATGGCTGCGGGGCGAGAACAGAGTATGTTAAATGCTTATCACCAGGATCCTTACAGAAGGAGAAGAGGCAGATTCTGGGGAGAACAGCATAACCTTTGGACCGAGGTTACTGAGAAAGTGAGATGAGAGGAGGTTCACAGGCATGTGTAAGGAAGGCCTCTGATAAGAGGAAAATGTTTCTTCCATCATATCAGGAAAAAAGATGGAGGAGATGGTGCACACATAGATATGCAGGTTTTAATGGCAGAAAGAAAAGGGATTTCTTCCCACCCCCAAACCGAGACAGAGTGTCTCTCTGTTACCCAGCCTGCAGTACAGTGGCTCGATCTCAGCTCACTGCAACCTCCGCCTCCCAGGTTCAAGCTATTCTCATGCCTCAGCCTCCTAAGTAGCTGGGATTGCAGGTGCACATCACCATGCCTGGCTAATCTTTGAATTTTTAGTAGAGATAGGGTTTCACCATGTTGGCCAGGCTGGTCTCGAACTCCTGACCTCAAATGATCCCCCTGCCTCAGCCTCCCAAAGTGCTGGGATTACAGGCGTAAGCCACCATACCCGGGCAAAAAGGGATTTCTTATCTGAGGTTTTTATCAAGGTGAATTTTTGTCAAGCTTCTGGGGTGAGGAGGGAACGCGGGAGACTTGGAGAATGGAGAAGGTGTGCTGTAGCCCTGCACAGTGCAAGAGAGCAAGCTTGTTGGAATGTGCTGGGTTACTGGGCAGTAAGGAGCACCCAGTTGGTGTTGTATATCATGTATTTGCTAGTCTCTATGGCCGGGTAACTTTTCTTCAGCAACATCTACCTACTTTGATGTAACACAAAAGAGAGTTCTCATTCACCCAATATTTGGAGGTTTCACCAGGAAAAGAGAAGAGCAAGGACATTGATGAGTTTGGGACCACATTATCAAAGCTGGAGTAAAAGAGGCATGAATCAGGAAGGGCTAACGTAGAATGTATAGGTGTCATTACAAAGGAGGCCCAATTAAATGTATTCCTGATGTACAGGGATAGAGACTGGGGTAGTAATACCAGGAGCATTATGGATAAAGAAAGAGGGAACTTAAATATTCCTTTTTTTTTTTTTTTTTTTTGAGACGGAGTCTCGCCCTGTCACCCAGGCTGGAGTGCAGTGGTGCAATCTCGGTTCACTGCAACCTCCACCTCCCGGGTTCGAGCGATTCTTCTGCCTCAGCCTCCTGAGTAGCTGGGATTACAGGCACGTGATACCATGCCTGGCTAATTTTTGTATTTTTAGTAGAGACAGGGTTTCACCATGTTGGTCAGGCTGATCTCGAACTCCTGACCTTGTGATCCGCCCGCCTCGGCCTCCCAAAGTGCTAGAATTACAGGCATGAGCCACCGTGCCAGGCCGGGAACTGAAATATTTCTAAATACCTCTGAAAGAAACTCCTGACTGTACACTATGATACCATAACTGACTGCTTCTGCATATTGAACTCATCTCAGTTTTTTAGCTGGTAAAACAAATAGATACAGACATTTGAGTAGTCCTCTTCTGCCCTCAGTTCTGAGGAGGATGCTTACACACTCATGGTCCAAATGAGTCCTATCCTTTGTAATGCTGTCGCAGTTTCTTCCATTCAGTGTTATTTGCTATCTCTTTTTACTAATGCATTGAAAGATGTACATTTGACAGACAGTTCTTATTAAACTATGTCATCAACAGTATTAAAATATTTGTGCTCTTTAGCTTAATTTTGCTGCATAAATTAAGTTTTTAGCATGATGCCAGTGGTTTGCTAGTCATCATTGAAAAACTAGTTGTGAATGCTTAAGTTGTTTTTTAAAGTACTAGTATTTGCCTTCATGTGTGATGGGGTGTCACTGATTGTCATTTGTATTTTTAATAACAATTGATTTGTATTGATATTTCTATTTTTCATAAAAACTATAACATAATTTATCCTTTAAGAAACCAACTTAAATATTTTTTCAAATCCGAAAACATTGAACTAGGACTTTACTCTGGTGGGTATGAGCTCTTGTAGGTTTCTTAGGAACTATTTTGTCAACTATTCCACTAGAAGAGTAGATGGTACCCTGGTGCCTTAAAAGCATAATGTAACTTTTACAGGTGCCCAGCTGTACACCCAAGGGATAGTTTGTGTATGTGGAAGGTTAGGGCTCATGATTTGGTCAGATTTATTTTTTTACTGTGAATATCAAAATATGTGAGGCATGACAAACACATACATGCATATCCTTGGTATGATGACACATTATGCAAAACCTCTTTCTTTCAGTGCTAGGAAAAGAATGTCAGTGATTGTTCGCACTCCATCTGGAAAGTTACGACTCTACTGCAAAGGAGCTGTAAGTTTTTATTTTTATTTTTTACAGTTATAATTTATGATGGTTTATAATGTATATGTTAGGCATTCTATGGAAATGTAACACAGATGTTTAACATGAAGTTGCTGACATCCACTTTTGTTGGTGTTTTATAGTAATAGTGTTCAGCCTCTTCTGGTGAAATGTGGAATTCCTTCTGGGTAAATTTGGTGCTTTGAAAAAGTTTGGCCTAGGTTATTTTTATAATTCAATTTTTGATACATAATATTTGAGGTTTATACTATATAAATTGTTAGAAGACAGTTAAATACAGAAAATATTTAAAAATTGTATTAGAATGTGATTCACTCTAGTTTGAATCTAATTTTTTAAGAGCATAGAAATGGGGGAAAATTAGATCACAGTTACTACCATAATTATGTCATGGGACTAATTTGTCTTGCATTGTTTTAATTATAACAATTTCTGACATGGCTTTGGTATATTGGCAGCTTATATTGACAGAAATAGTAATATGTTATTCTAACTGAATTTCTCCAGTTAAATATATTTATACTCATGGGAAAATGAGAAATCTGACCAGGGCCCTTTTTTTTAATTGAGATGAGTCAGCATTTTCCTTCTGAACTGTTCTTTCCATTTACCTAGTTTATAACCTTCCCAACTTGGAACATTCCTATTTTGAATAGAGTCAACAACCTTGCTTTGTCTCATAGAAACTCGGAAATTGAACTTAAGAAGCTCAAGCCTATTATTTAAATTCATTTTGAGAATGTTAAATGCCTTGGTTTAAAGACAATGAAATGCAATTTTTGAATGCCTTGATTTTAAAGCATTTTGGTAGAATTATTTCATGATGTCTCATGAATTTAGTTTTAGAATTCTTTTGATTTTGTATTCTCATCGATTAAAACACCTAACATTTTTTCATTGTATGCATTCTACCATCACAGTTCGAACTGCATTTTGGAGATAGGAAGATAAGACCTAAGACTTGTCAGGAGCTTAGACTAGTCAGAGAAATATTAAATAAAAAGAAGATTGGGATACAATTTTAAAGTGTATTGTAAAGATCTTCCACATCCCAAAAGTAATATTCAGTGATAAGGGAATAAAGAGAGACTTTAACACATATACACCATGGAATACTATGCAACCATAAAAAAGGATGAGTTCATGTCCTTTGCAGGGACATGGATGAAGCTGGAAACCATCATTCTCAGCAAACTATCACAAGATCAGAAAACCAAACATCGCATGTTCTCACTCATAAGTAGGAGTTGAGCAATGAGAACACATGGACACGGGAAGGGGAACATTACACACCGTTGCAGGGTGGGGGGCTGAGGGAGGGATAGCATTAGGAGAAATACCTAATGTAAATGATGAGTTGATGGGAGCAGCAAACCAACATGGCACATGTATACCTATGTAACAAACCTGCACATTGTGCGCAGGTACCCTAGAACTTAAAGTATAATAATAAATAAATAATTTTTTTTAAAAAAGAGAGCCTTTAAGACCTTCCACTTTAAATGGTTGATAAATGTCCAGTTTACAAAACCCGAATCACATCCTTTCTTGTATAGTTTGGAATCATCTTCTACCTAGAAACTTGTTTGAGGAGTTAAAGCTTTGAATAAAAAATAAAAAATGATGGACTTCCATTTTTAATAATCATAGAATTAGCTTGCATATATTTTTGCTGTTCTGAAAAAAAATTTAATATATTTCATATAGACTTTATTTTTAAAGCAATTTTAAGTCCCCAGCAAAATTCAGCAGAAGATAGAGTCCACATATACACCCTGCCATCACACACACACATAGCCTCCCCATTATCAACATCCCCCACCAGAGTGGTACATTTGTAACAATCCATGATCTACACTGACACATCATTATCACTCAAACCCTAGACTGTACATGAGGGTTCACTCTTGGTATTGTAAATTCTATAGGTTTGGATAAATGTGTAGTGACATGTATCTACCATTATGGTATCATATACAGTATTTTCATTGCCCTACAAATCCCCTGTGCCCCGCCTAGTCATTTATCTCTTCCCTCAAGGCCCTGGCAACCACTGTTGCTTTTACTGTCCCCACTGTTCCTTTTACTGCCTTTTCCAGAATGTCATATAGTTAGAATGATATGGTATATAGCCTTTCTGGACTGGCCTCTTTCACTTAGTAATATTCATTTAAGGTTCCTCCATGTCTTTTCATGGCTTGAGAGCTTGTTTCTTTTTAGCACTGAATAATCCATTGTCTGGATGTGCCACAGTTTATGCGTTCACCTGCTGAAGGACATCTTGGTCTCTTTCCAATTTTGGCCATTATATGAATAAAGCTACTGTAAACATGCATATGCATGTTTTTGTGTAAACATAGGTTTTCATCTCATTTGGGTAAATACCAAGGAGAATAATTGCAAGATCTTACAGTAAGAGTATGTTTCATTTTGTAAGAAACTGACAAACTGTCTTCCAAGTGGCTATGCCATTTTGCATTCCCATTAGCAATTAATGAGAGCTTTTGTTGCTCCACATCTTCACCCACGTTTGAAGTTGTCAGTGTTTTGGATTTGGGCTATTCTAATAGATGTGTACTGGTATTTTATTGTTGGCTTAATTTCCAGTTCCCTGAAATATGATGTTGAACATTTTTTCATATGCTTATTTAACATCTATATGTCTTCTGTGATGAGGTATCTTCAGATCTTTTGCCCATTATTAAATTGGTTGTTCATTTTATTGTAGTTACTTTTTTATTTTTTTAATTGTATTTATTCATTTATTCATTTATTTTTAGAGACAGGGTCTCACTCTGTCACCTAGGCTGGAGGGCAGTGATGTGATCATAGCACACTATAACCTCAGATTCCTGGGCTCAAGTGATCCTCCTGTCTCAGCCTTGTTTTTATTACTTGTACACATTTATGGGGTACATGAGAAATTGTTACATGTATATAATGCAGAGTGATCAAGCCAGGATACTTAGAGTGTCCATCAGCTTAGTACAATACATCTTTTGTGGAGTATAGTCACCCTACTCGGGCTATCAAACATTGAATTGATTCCTTCTATCATACTGTATGTTTGTACTCTTTAACCCAGTCCTCTTTATCCTCCCTCCTTCCATCCTCCTCCCTCTGTCTCACCCTTCCCTGTTGGTGTTTGTACTTTCTACCTCTATGTGATCATATTTTTTTTAGCTCTCACATATAAGTGAGAATATGCAATGTTTGTCATTCTGTGCCTGGCATATTTCACTTGATAATGACCTCCAGTTTCATCTACGATGCTGCAAATGACATGATGTCATTATTCTTTATGGCTGAATAGTATACCATTGTGTGTATATACACCTGTTTTTTTTTTTTATCTATTGGTCTGTTGATGGACACTTAAGTTAATTCCATATCTTTGCTATTGTGAATAGTGCTGCAATAAACATGTGAGTGCAGGTATCCCCTTTGATATATTGATTTTTTTTTTCCTTTGGGTACTTACCCAGTAGTGGGATTGCTGGATTGAATGGTAATTCTAGTTTCTTTGAGAACTCTCTATACTATTTTCCATAGTGGCTGTACTAGTTTACATTCCCACCAACAGTATGTAAGAGGTCCTTTCTCTCCACATCCTCGCCTACATCAGTTATTTGTTGTCTTTTTGATAATAGCCATTCTGACTGGGGTAAGATACATCTCATTGTGGTTTTGATTTGCCTCTGATTGCTAGTGATGTTGAGCATTTTTTTCATATACTTGTTGACCATTTGTATGTCTTCTTTTGAGAAATGCTTACTCATGTCCTTTGTCCACCTTTTAAGGGAATTATTTGTTGCCTGTTGTTTCAGTTTCTTGTATATTCTGGCTATTAGTCCTTTTTAGGGTGAATAGTTTGCAGATACTTTCTTCTATTCAACAGATTCTCTTCACTCTGTTGATTGTTTCTTTTGCTATGCTTTTTAGTTTAATATAATCCCATTTGTGAATTTTTGTTTTTGTTGCCTGTGTTTTCAAGATCTTGGTCATAAATTTTTTGCCTAAACCAATGCCCAGGATAGTTTTCCCTAGGTTTTCTTCTAGTATTTTTAAAAGTTTGAGTCTTATGTTTGTTTTTAATCCATTTTGATTTTTTGTTTTCTTTGTATATGGCAAGAGATAAGGGTTCAGTTTCATCCTTATTTAGGATGGGTTTTTAGATTTCCCAGCACCATTTATTGAAGAAGAAGCATGACCTTTCTCCAGTGTATGTTCTTATCAGCTTTGTCAAAGATCAGTTGGTTATAAATATGTGACTTTATTTCTGGGTTCCCTAGATTTATGTGTCTATTTTTGTACCAATACCATGTTGTTTGGTTACTATAGCCTTGTAATAAATTTTAAATGTAGGTAATGTGATGCCCCCAGCTTTGTCCTTTTTGCTCAGGATTATTTTAGCTATTTGGGCTCTGTTTTGATTCCATATGAATTTTAGGATTATTTTTTCTAACTGTGAAGAATGGCATTGGTATTTTGTTTTTGTTGGGGGGGGGGTATTTTATTTTATTTTTTAGTACATGAATAAATTCTTCAGTGGTGATTTCAGAGATTTCCATGCAGCCATCACCCAAGCAGTGTACGCGATACCCAATATGTAGTCTTTTATCCCTCACTCCCCTCCCACCCTTCCTCTCCCCCCAGGTCCCAAAGTATGTTGTATCATTCTCGTGTCTTTGCATCCTCATAGCTTAGCTGTCACTTATGAGTGAGAACATATGATGTTTGGTTTCCCATTTCTGAGTTACTTCACTTAGAATAATCATCTCCAATTCCATCCAGGTTGTTGCGAGTGCCATTATTTCACTCTTTTAATGGCTGAGTAGTATTCCGTGGTATATACAGATACCACATTTTCTTTATCTACTTGTTGATTTATGGGCGTCTGGGCTGGCTCCATATTTTTGCAATTGCAAATTGTGCTGCTATAAACATGTGTGCAAGTATCTTTTTTGTATAATGACTTATTTTCCTCTGGGTAGATACCCAGGAGTGGGATTGCTGGATCAAATGGTAGTTCTACTTTTAGTTCTTTAAGGAATCTCCACACTGTTTTCCATAGTGGTTGTACTAGTTTACATTCCCACCAGCAGTGTAAAAGTGTTCCCTTTTCACCACATCCCTACCAACATCTATTATTTTTTGAGTTTTTGATTATGGCCATTCTTGCAGGAGTAAGGTGGTATCACATTGTGGTTATGATTTGCATTTCCCTGGTAATTAGTGATGTTGAGCATTTTTTCATGTGTTTGTTCACCATTTGTATATCTTCTTTTGAGGATTGTCTGTTCATGTCCTTAGCCCACTTTTTGATGGGATTGTTTATTTTCCTCTTGCTGATTTGAGTTTGTTGTAGATTCTGGATATTAGTCCCTCATCAGATGCATACTTTGTGAAGATTTTCTCCTACTCTGTGTGGGTTGTCTGTTTACTGTCCTGATTATATTTTTTGCTGTGCTTTTTAGTTTAAGTCCCATCTATTTATCTTTGTCTTTGTTGCATTTGCTTTTGGGATCTTGGTCATGAAGTCTTTGCCTAAGCCAGTGTCCAGAAGGGTTTTTCTGATATTATCTTCTAGAGTTTTTATGGTTTCAGGTCTTAGATTTAAGTCTTTGATCCATCTTGAGTTGATTTTTGTCTAAGATGACAGATGAGGATCCAGTTTTATTCTTCTACATGTGACTTGCCAACTATCCCAGCACCATTTGTTGAATAGGGTGCCCTTTCCCCACTTTATGTTTTTGTTTGCTTTGCTAAAGATCAGTTGGCCATAAGTATTTGACTTTATTACTGGGTTCTTCATTCTCTTCCATTGGTCTATATGCCTATTTTTATACCACTACCATGCCGTTTTGGTGACTATGGCCTTATATAGTATTATATATAGTTTGAGGTCAGGTTATGTGATGCCTCCAGATTTGTTGTTTTTGCTTAGTCTTGCTTTGGCTTTGCAGGCTCTTTTGTGGTTCCATACAAAATTTAGGATTATTTTTTCTAATTGTGAAGAATGGTGGTGGTATTTTGATGGAAATTGCATTGAATTTGTAGATTGCTTTTAGCAGGATGTCATTTTTACAACATTGATTGTACCCATCCATGAGCATGGGATGTGTTTGCCTTTGTTTGTGTCGTCTGTGATTTCTTTCAGCAGTGTTTTGTAGTTTTCCTTGTAGAGGTCTTTCACCTCCTTGGTCAGGTATATTCCTAAGTATTTTTATTTTTTTGCAGCTATTGTAAAAGGGGTTGAGTTCTTGATTCTCAGCTTGGTCACTGTTGGTGTATAGCAGAGCTACTGGTTTGTGTGCATTAATTTTGTATCCTGAAACTTTGCTGAATTCATTTACCAGTTCTAGGAGCTTTTTGGAGGAGTTTTTAGGGTTTTTAGGTATATGATCATGTCATCAGCAAACAGCGACAGTTTGACTTCCTGTTTATCAGTTTGGATTCCCTTTATTTCTTTCTCTTATCTGATTGCTCTGGCTAGAACTTCCGTATTATGTTGAATAAAAGTGGTGAAAGTGGGCGTCTTTGTCTTGTTCCAGTTCTCGGGGGAATGCTTTCAACTTTTTCCCATTCAGTATAATGTTGACTATGGGTTTGTCATAGATGGCTTTTATTACCTTAAGGTATGCCTCTTCTGTGTCAATATTGCTGAGGGTTTTAATCATAAAGGGATGCTGGGTTTTGTCAAATGCCTTTTCTGCATCTATTGAGATGATCACGTGGGGGTTTTTTTGGTTTTTTTGTTTTTTTTTTTTTTGAGACGGAGTTTCGCTCTTTTTGCCCAGGCTGGAGTGCAATGGCACGATCTCGGCTCACCGCAACCTCCACCTCCTGGGTTCAAGCAATTCTCTTGCCTCAGCCTCCCAAGTAGCTGGGATTACAGGCGTGCACCACCATGCCTGGCTAATTTTGTATTTTTTTAGTAGAGACAGGGTTTCTCCATGTTGGCCAGGCTGGTCTCGAACTCCAGACCTCAGGTCATCTGCCCGCCTTGGCCTCCCAAAGTGCTGGCTGGGATTACAGGCATGAGCCACCATGCCGGGCCTGGTTTTTGTTTTTAATTCTGTTTATGTGGTGTGTCACATTTATTGACTTGCAGATGTTAAACCATCTCTGCATCCCTGGTATGAAACCCACTTGATCCTGGTGGATTATCTTTTTGATATGCTGCTGGATTCAGTTAGCAAGTTTTGTTGAGGACTTTTGTGTGTATGTTCATCAGGGATATCGGTCTGTAGTTTTTTTTGTTTTATCCTTTCCTGGTTTTGGTATTGGGGGATAGTGGCTTCATAGAATGACTCTGAAAGGATTCCCTCTTTCTCTGTCTTTTGGAATAGTGTCAATAGGATTGGTACCAGTTCTTCTTTGAATGTGTGATAGAATTCAGCTGTGAATTAGTCTGGTCCTGGACCTTTTTTGTTGGTAACTTTTTAATTACCATTTCAGTCTTGCTGCTGATCTGTTCAGAGATTCTGTATCTTCCTGGTTTAATCTAGGAGGGTTGTATATTTCCAGGAATTTGTCCATCTCCTCTGGGTTTTCTAGTTTATGCACATAGAGGTGTTCACAGTAGCCTTGAATGATCTTTTGTACTTTGGTCGTATTGGTTACATTATAGTATCTCCTATTTTGTTTCTAACTGAGCTTATTTGGATCTTCTCTCTTATTTTCTTGGTTAATCTCACTAATGGTCTATCGATGTTATTTATCTTTTCAAAGAACCAGCTTTTTGTTTAATTTATATTTTATAGTTGTTGTTTCAATTTCATTTAGTTCTGCTCTGATCTTGGTAATTTATTCTGCTGGGTTTGGGGTTGGTTTGCTCTTGTTCCCCTAGTTCCTTGAGGTGTGACCTTAGATTGTCTGTTTGTGCTCTTTCAGACTTTTTGATGTAGACATTTAATGCTATGAACTTTCCCCTTAGCACCCCTTGTGCTGTGTCCCAGAGGTTTTGATAGTTTGTGTCACTATTATTCAGTTCAAGTCATTTTTTAATTTCCATCTTGATTTCATTGTTGACCCAGTGATCATTCAGGAGCAGGTTATTTAATTTTCATGTATTTGCATGGTTTTGAAGTTTCCTTTTGGAGTTGATTTCCAATTTGATTCCACTGTGGTCTAAGATAGTACTTGCTATAATTTCTAATTTCTTAAATTTGTTGAGACTTGTTTTGTGGTCTATCATGTGGTCTATCTTGGAGAATGTTCCATGTGCTGATGAATAGAATGTATATTCAGCATTTGTTGGGTACAATGTTCTGTAAATATCTGTTAAGTCCATTTGTTCGAGAGTACAATTTACGTCCATTGTTTCTTTGTTGACTTTCTGTCTTGATGACCTATCTAGTGCTGTCACTGGAGTATTTGAAGTCCCCCACTATTATTGTGCTGCTGTCTATCCCCTTTCATAAGTCTAGTACTAATTGTTTTATAAATTTGGGAGCTCCAGTGTTAAGTGCATATATATTTAGGATTGTGATATTTCCTGTTGGATTAGTCCTTTTGTCATTATATAATGTCCCTCTTTGTCTTTTACTGCTGTTGCTTTATGTTTGTTTTGTCTAGTATAAGAATAGCTACTCCTGCTTGCTTTTGGTGTCCATTTGCATAGAATATCTTTTTCCACCCTTTTACCTTAAGTTTTATGAGCCCTAATATGTCAGGTAAGTCTCTCAAAGACAGCAGATACTTGGTTGGTGAATTCTTATCCATTTACATTCAATGTTAGTATTGACACGTAAGGTTCTATTCTATTCATCATACTATTTGTTGCCTGAATACCTTTTTTTTTCATTGTGTTATTATTTTACAGGTCCTGTGAGATTTATGCTTTAAGGAAGTTCTATTTTGGTGTATTTCAAGGATTTGTTTCCAGATTTAGACTCCTTTTAGAGTTCTTATACTGCTGGCTTGGTAGTGGCAAATTCTCTGAGCATTTGTTTTTCCGAAAAAGACTGTATCTTTCCTTCATTTATGAAGCTTAGTTTCGCTGGATACAAAATTCTTGGCCGATAATTGTTTTATTTGAGGCTAAAGGTAGGTCCTCAATTCCTTCTAACTTGCAGGGTTTCTGCTGAGAAATCTGCTGTTAATCTGATAGGTTTTCATTTATAGGTTACCTGATGTTTTTGCCTCATAGCTCTTAAGATTTTTTTCTTCATCTTGACTTTAGATAACCTGCCGACTATGTGCCGAGGTGATGATCTTTTTGTGATGTATTTCTCAGGTGTTCTTTGAGTTTCTTGTATTTGGATGTCTAGATCTCTAGCAAGGCCAGGGAAATTTTCCTCGATGATTCCTTCAAATATGTTTTCCAAACTTTTAGATTTCTCTTCCTTAGGAACACCAATTATTCTTAGGTTTGGTCGTTTAACACAATCCCAAACTTGTTGGAGGCTTTGTTCATTTTTTTTAAATTCTTTTTTCTTTATCTTTGTCAGATTGGGGTAATTTAAAAGCCCTGTCTTTGAGCTCTGAAGTTCTTTTTTCTACTTGTTCAAATCTGTTGTTGAGACTTTCCATTTCTCTAAGTGTGGCCTTCATTTCCAGAGGTTGTGATTGTTTTTTATTTATGCTATCTGTTTCACTGGAGATTTTTCCAGTCATATCCTGCATCATTTTTTGGATTTATTTAAGTTAGACTTCACCTTTCTCTGGTGCCTCATTGATTAGCTTAATAATTGACCTTCTGAATTCTGTTTCTGGCAATTCAGAGATTTCTTCTTGAATTGGATCCATTGTGGTGACTTAGCATGATCTTTTGGGGTATTAAAGAACCTTGTTTTGTCATATTACCAGAATTGTTTTTCTGGTTCCTTCTCATTTGGGTAGACTATGTCAGAGGGAAGATCTGGGGCTCAAGGGCAACTGTTTAGATTCTTTCATCCCATGGAGTACTCCCTTGATTTGGTGTTCTCCCCCTTCCTCTAGGGATGGGGCTTACTGAGAGCCAAACGGCAGTGATTGTTATTTCCGTTCTTGATCTAGCCACCCCACAGAGATACCAGACTCTGGGCTGGTCCTGGGGAGTGTCTGCACAAAGCCCTGTGATATGATCCATCTTCAGGTCTCTCAGCTGTGGATACCAGCACCTGCTTTGGTGGAGGTAGCAGGGTAGTGAAGTAGACTTGGAGAGGGTCCTTGGTTGTATTTTTGTTAAGTGTGCTGGTTTTGTTTTGGTTGGCCTCCAGCCAGGAGGTGGCACTTTCAAGAGCTCATCAGCTGCTATAGTATAGGGAGGATGCAAGCTTGCCCTAGGGTCAGGCAGTAGGTGTGAAGCCATAGAGCTCCCAAGAGATGTCCTTTGTCTTGGGCTACCAGGGCAGGTAGACAAAGACTATCAGCTAGGGGCAGAGTCAGGCATGTCTGAGCTGAGACTCTCCTTGGGTGGGACTTGATGAGGCTGCTGTGGGGATGGGGGTGCGGTTCCCAGGCCAATGGAGTTATGTTCCCAGGGGGATTATGGCTGCCTCTGCTGCATCACACACATCACCAGGGAAGTGGGGAAAAGCTGGCAGCCACAGGACTTACCCAGCACCCATGTAGCCTGCAGCCCAAAAGGCTGGTCTCACTCCCACTGTGCACCCCCAACAGCACCAAGTTTGTTCCCAAGCAGCCAGTGAGCAGGGCTGAGAACTTGCCCCCAGCTACAAGCTTCCCAGCTGAGAAAGCAAGCTGACTCACAGTCCCTCAGCTGTCCCATGGAGCCTGCAGCAGCAGTCTTCCTCCTTCAAAAAGTGTGGATTCTCTTGGCTTTCCTGATATGTTCATGTGGTAGTTCTTGGAGCAAAAGTTCATGTCACGCACGTCCGTGTGAAGAGAGTTCACCAAACAGGCTTTGTGTGAGCAACAAGGCTGTTTATTTCACCTGGGTGCAGGTGGGCTGAGTCCAAAAAAGGAGTCAGCAAAGGGTGGTGGGATTATCATTAGTTCTCATAGGTTTGGGATAGGCGTACAAAGTACATTCTTAAGGGCTGGGGGGAATATTACAAAGTACCTTCTTAAGGGTGAGGGAGAATATATCGTATCAGTTAGGGTGGGGCAGGAACAAATCACAATAGTGGAATGTCATCCGTTAAGGCTATTTTCACTTTTGTGCATCTTCAGTTGCTTCAGGCCATCTGGATGTATACATGCAAGTCACAGGGGATATGATGGCTTAGCTTGGGCTCAGAGGCCTGACAATTCACAGTATGAGTCTCCACGCTGCTCCATCCATCTGAGTAGGAGCTGCAAGTTAGTCCTGCCTCCTATCTGCCATTTTCAACATTGGTATTTTGATAGGGATTGCATTGAATCTATAGATTGCTTTGGGCAATATGGTCATTTTAGTTATATTATTCCAATCCAGTGGGGCATGGGATGTTTTCTATTTTTTTTGTGTCACCTTCAATTTATTTATTTTTTTTTTGAGATGGAGTTTGTCACCCAGACTGGAGTACAGTGGCACGATCTCAGCTCACTACAACCTCCACCTTCTGGGTTCAAGCGATTCTCCTGCCTCAGCCTCCTGAGTAGCTGGGATTACAGTCACCCGCCATCATGCCCAGTTAATTTTTTGTATTTTATGTAGAGACAGGGTCTCACCATGTTGGCCAGGCTGGTCTTGAACTCCTGACCTCAGGTGATCAGCCCACCTCGGCCTCCCAGTGTGCTCCCAATGTGCTGGGATTACAGGCGTTTTGTTTTTCTTATAGAGATCTTTCACCTCCTTGGTTAAATTTATTCCCGTGTATTTTATGTGTGTGTGTGTCTGTGTGTCTGTGTCTGTGTGTGTGTGTATTTTTTTGAGGCAGGGTCTCACTCTGCTGCCCAGGCTGGAGTGCAGTGGTATGATCATGGCTCACTGCAGCCTTGACTTCCTGTGCTCACATGATCCTTCCACCTCATACTCCCGAGTAACTGGGACTGCAAGCACGCACCACCACACCTGGCTAACTTTTTTGTGTTTTTTGTAGAGGTGGGGTTTCACCTTGTTGCTCAGGCAGGTCTTGAATGCCTACCTCAGCCTCCCAAACTGCTAGGATTACAGGTGTGAGCCACCGCACCTGGCCCTGGTATTTTATGTTTTTTATGACTGTTGTAAATGGGATTGGCTTTTTTCTTTCTCATCTAGATATTGTTGGTATATAGAAGTGCTACTGATTTTTGTACATTGATTTTGTATCCTGCAACTTGACTGAATTCATTTATTAAAATTTAAGTTTTTTGTTAGAGTCTTCAGTTTTTTGCAGATATAAGATATGTCATCAGCAAAGAGGAACAATTTGACTTCCTCTTTTCCAATTTGTATTCCTTTTATTTTTTTCTCTTGTTGATTGCTCTGGCCTTGACTTCCAGTACTATTTTGAATAGCTGTGAAGAAAGAGGGCTTCCTCATCTTGTTCCAGTTCTTGGAGGAAAGCTTTCAGCTTTTCCCTTTTCAATATGATGTTAGCTGGGGAATTGGTGAGGAAATACTCATGACAGTTACAGTCTTTGTTTCTGCAGCTGGTCATGTAGTCGTAACTGGTATTGTTGACTGCCCTCTTCTGCTACCCATTCTGTTTTCCCTTTGCCTTCAGCAAGCACCTCAGCAGGTTGTGGTTTTTTTCCTGGTGGAGTGACCCAAACCTTCATTCCTGAAGGGTCTGGACCATTTGTAGTCCTGCCTGGATTGGGCTGTTGTAGTTTCCCATTGACCTTAATCACAGGGCATGGTAATACTAAGAGTCGCCCTAATGGATTCGCTGTATTCCGTACATACTCTTCCCTACCTCTGTTATGGAGCAGTAGACTGATTTCATCTTGGTAGTCTGGGTCAGTCACCCCAGCCAACACTGTAACTCCCTTAGCCTGTTGACTTAAAGGTAGGAGGAGCCCAAAGTGTCCAGGTGGCAATCTTAACTTCCAGTTTAATTGAATCATTGTTGTGTCTCCTGATAACAGTGTTCCTCCCTCTGGAACTAAGACCTCTAGGCCAGCAGAACATAATGTCGCAGGAACAGGAAGCAAAAATGTTGCTAGTGGATCACTAGGAGTGATGGTGAGTGGTGCCACTTCCACTTCCACCCCTTGATTCCTGGACCCCTGAATCCTGGCTATGGGAGAAACAGTACCATATATTGGATGCTGATTCAGAGCATACACGGCCTTCTGGAGAACTTTGCTCCGGCCCTGCAAAGTGTTGTCACCTAGTTGGCACTGTAATTGTAACTCAAAAGGCCATTCCACCCTTCTATCAATCTAGCTGCTTCAGGATGATGGGAACATGGTAAGACCAGTGAGTTCCATGGTAAGACCAGTGAGCCCACTGCCACACGTCTTTAGCCATAAAGTGAGTGCCTTGGCCAGAGGCAGTGCTGTGTGGAATACTGTGACAGTGGATGCATGAGCCCACTGCCACACTTCTTTAGTAAGTGCCTTGGTCAGAGGCAGTACTGTGTGGAAGATCTTGAGTCCACAGATGGTAGTCTTGGCAGAAGCACTGCGTGCAGGATAGGCAAACCCATATCCAGAGTAAGTGTCTGTTCCAGTGAGGATAAACCTCTGCCCTTTTCATGATGCAAAAATCTGCCACCAGGTGGCTGGCTGATCACCCCAAGGAATGGTGCCATATCAAGGGCTCAGTGCTGGTCTCTGCGGCTGGCAAATTGGGCACTCAGCAGTGGCCATAGCCAGGTCATCCTTGGTGAGTAGAAGTCCATGTTGCTGAGCCCATGCGTAACCTCCATCCTTGCCACCATGGCCACTTTGTTCATGGGCCCATTGGGTAATGACAGGGGTGGCTGGGGAAAGAGGCTGAGTGGTGTCCACAGAACAGTTCATCCTATCCACTTGATTATTAAACTCCTCCTCTGCTGAGATTACCCGTTGGTGAGCACTCACATGGGATACAAATATCTTCACGGTTTTTGACCACTCAGAGGTCCATCCACATACTTCTTCCCCAGATTTCTTTGTCACCAATTTTCCAGTCATGCTTCTTCCAAGTCCCTGACCATCCAGCCAAACCATTGGCTACAGCCCATGAATCAGTATATAATCACACATCTGGCCATTTCTCTTTCCATGCAAAGTGCACAACCAGCTGCACTGCTTGAAGTGCTGCCCACCGGGAAGATTTCACCTCACCACTGTCCCTCAGGGATGTCCTAGAAAGGGGCTGTCGTGCTTCAGCTGTCTACTTTCGGGTAGTGCCTGCATATCGTGCAGAACCATCTGTGAACCAGGCCCTAGTCTTCTCTTCCTCTGTCAACTGGATCATAGGGAACTCCCCATGAGGCCATCGGTGCAGGCTGGGGAAGAGAAGGCACAGTGGTAGGAGTGGAGACCATGGGCATTTGAGGCACTTCCTCACATAACTTACTTGTGCCTTCAGGACCTGCTCAAGCCTGATCACGTATATACCACTTCAATTTGATGATGCAGTGCTGCTGGTGCATGACCCACTTGATGGCTAGATGGGTCAGAAAGTACCCAGTTCATGATACGCAGTTCAGGTCGCATCGTGACTTGATGACCCATGGTCAAATGTTCAGTTTCCACCAAAGCCCAGTAACAAGCCAAGAGCTGTCTCTCAAAAGGAGAGTAGTTACCTGCAGATTATGGCAGGGCCTTGCTCCAAAATCCTAGATGCCTCCACTGTGATTCACCTATGGGGGCCTGCCAAAGGCTCCAAACAGCATCCCCGTCTGCCACTGACACCTCAAATACCATTGAATCTGCTAGGTCATATGGACCAAGTGGCAGAGCAGCTTGTACAGCAGCCTGGACCTGTGTCCGTTCTGGACCCCACTCAAAACTGGGGTCCAGTGGCCTTTAGGGTCACTTGATAAATGGGCCAGAGTAACACACCTAGATAAGGAATGTGATGCCTCCAAAATCCACATAAGCCCACTAGGCATTGTGCCTCTCATTGTAGGAGGGGCCAAATGCAACAACTTATCCTTCACCTTAGAAGGAATATCTCAACAGCCCCCACACCACTGGACCCCTAGAAATTTTACTGGGGTAGAAGGTCCCTTAATTTTAGTCAGGTTTATTTCCCATCCTCTGGCACACAAATATCTCACCAATAAGTCCAGTGTGTTTGCTACTTCTTGCTCACTGGATCCAATCAGCATAATGTCATCAGTGTGATGGACCAGTGTGATATCTTGTGGAAGTGAAAAGCAATCAAGGTCTCACTGAATAAGATCATGACACAAAGCAGGAGAGTTGATATGCCCCTGGGGTAGGACAGTAAAGGTATGTTGAAGGCAAATTGCTTGGTGGGCCTTATAGGCAGGAGTGGAGAAAAAGGAATTTGCCAAGTCGGTGGTTGCATACCAGATACCAGGAGATGTGTTAATATGCTCAAGCAATGAAACCACATCTGGTACAGCAGCTACAATTGGAGTCACCACTTGGTTAAACTTCTGATAATCCACTGTCATTCCCCAAGATCCATGTGTCTTCTGCACAGGCCAGATGGGAGAGTTGAATGGGGATGTGGTGGGAATCACCACCCCTGCGTCTTTCAAGTCCTTGATGGTGGCACTAATCTCTGTAATCCCTCCAGGGATGTGATATTGTTTTTGATTTACTATTTTTCTAGGGAGAGGCAGCTCTCATGGCTTCCATTTGGCCTTTCCCACCGTAATAGCCCTCACCCTACCAGTCAGGGAGCCAATGTGGGGATCCTGCCAGTTGCTAAGTATGTCTATGCCAATTATGCATTCTGGCATCAGGGAAATGACCACAGGATGAGCCCGGAGACCCACTGGACCCACTGCAAGTCAGACCTGAGCTAAAACTCCATTAATTACCTGACCACCATAAACCCCTATTTTAACTGGAGGACCACAATGACATTTTGGGTCCCCTGGAATCATCACCAGCTCAGAGCCAGTGTCCAGTAGTCCCCAAAATGTCTGATCATTTCCCTTTCCCCAGTGCAAAGTTACCCTGGTAAAAGGCCAGAGGTCTCTCTGGGGAAGGATGGGAGAAGGATTAACAGCATAAATTGTCGGTTATGTAGTGGAGTCCTTCCTCTAGGGTACCCAGCCTCCCCTTCATTCAAGGGGTTCTGGGTCTATAAACTGGCTCAAGTTTGGAAATTGATTGAGGGACTGTGATTCTCTGTTTTTGTAACTCAAAATTAGTCTTTTATCCATTCGACCTAGAAGTTTTCTGCTTATATAAATTTGAAAACTCAGGCAATTCCTTTTGAGTGTAGTGCATCTCCTCATGAGTCACACTCTCATCCTCACGTCTAGGGACTCGCTGGGACTTTAGTCTAGTTATAGGTCTAGAAGCAAACAGGGGTGTTGGGGGTGGGTCCAGAAGAGAATCAACATCATCTTGCCTGGCAACTGCTTCAGGGGAGGCCATCGTTGTTACCTCAGGCAGCACAGGCTTTATCTCCTCAGACAAAAGTGGAAAGGCTGATGGCAACATGGTTCAGAGAGGGGAAGTTGCCCCTACTGGGGATGGGGAAGCTGTTACTTCTGGCAAAAAAGGTTCATCAGAGTTTACAAACTCAGTGTCCCCAGCTTCATCAGGGTCCTCCCACACGTCCCCATTCCAAGTTGCGGGGTCCCATTCTTTTCCAATCAATGTCCTCCCTTTAACAGTAGACACCTGTTGAGGCTACGCATGCACCTTTCCTTGCGGGTCAGCCATTCGCATGATAACAGCTTGTGTCTGTTTTTCCACAATTTCAGCTCTTTCCCTGCAGGAGATAAGACTCTCACTCAGGGCAGTCTTAGCAGATTTGAGACTCAGTATCTGCTTCTGAAGCCAGGAGATAGAATCCCTGAGTTCATCATTTTCTTTCATTACTTTGTCCACTGAACTTAGGAGCAACCAACCAGCTTCATTATGTTCCTTGGTTCTCCACATATGGCCAAAGGTATTATGTATAGAGTCACTAAACTCATTGTCTGTCATGAAAGAAGAATCAGGAATGTCAAATGCATTTATTTTACATAACTCTCCAGTTTATGCCAAGGACTATCAGTGTTCTCCATACTACAGGTAGAGTCCTTAGCATTTTGGGGTCTAATCATATTAAGCAGCCACCTCCAGAAACCCCAAAACCAATGAAAGAACTCCATCTTAATATTCTGTTCCTCTAGAGCCACTCTTGGTACCAAAATCTGTATTAGTCAGGGTTCTCTAGAGGGACAGAATTAATAGAATAAATACATATATATAAAGGGGAGTTTCTTAAGCATTAACTCACACAATCACAAGGTCCCACAATAGGCCATGGGACCTGCAGGCTGAGGAGCAAGGAGAGCCAGTCTGAGTTCCAAAACTGAAGAACTTGGAGTCCGATGTTCAAGGACAGGAAGCATCCAGCACGGGAGAGGCTAGGCCAGTCTTGCCATTTCACATTTTTCTACCTGCTTTATATTCGCAGGCAGCTGACTAGATTGTGCCCACCCAGATTAAGGGTGGGTCTGCCTTCCCCAGCCCACTGACTCAAATGTTAATCTCCTTTGGTAACACCCTCACAGACACACCCAGGATCAATACTTTGTATCCTTCAATCCAATCAAGTTGACACTCAGTATTAACCTTCACAATGTTTATTCATTTTTCATGTGTAGGCATGGCTAGCCGACCCATTTTCATTTTAAAAACATACTATACATGTAATGCAGAAGGCCACATCTTTCTTCTGCTTTTTCTCAACACTATAAAGAAGGTAGAAAATTAATTTTTCTCATTCTAAACGTCAGTGTCTTCCGCTAGAATGTTTGGATACAGTACCGAATTTAATCCTTTTAGCTATATTACTTATCACTTTTGTTTTCATGATTTTAATGTTTTCAAATATTTTCTTAGTTTTAGAATGGAATGTATTAATATCATTGAAAATATTATTTTCAAATTTAATTCTTCTTAAAAGAAGAATTTACAAATGATTCTTCTCATTCTCAGGAAGGAGCCATGAGGGGAAACTATCATTTCCTTTCGCTTTGCCCCCCACTTCCCATTCCATCACTGAAAAATGAAAAGAAATTCAGAATTGCGGCTTGGAATACTCCATCTGTTCTGAGGTCACTAAGTTGTGTTTCTCTCAAGGGTTCTAAATCATACTCCATTAGTCTGCTTCCAAATATCAGCCCTGAGACTGGAGACCCCAAAATGGGTAATACCACTGAGAAAGTAATTGCAGATAAGTGATTTATTTTTTCCTGGTCTAATAAAACCGTGAAGGTTGAACACTAAAATTCTTAAAGCACTAAACCAAAGCTGCATAATAACTAAATGAATAGTAGGCAGTTTATAAAAGAGCAAGAACTAGAGAAGCATAAGTGATGCATGAAGTTAAAGCTGAAAAGGACTTTAAACATAATCTGGTAACAAAATTTTACAGATTAAGTAAACTGAGTCTTAAAGCTAAAGTGACACAATCAGAAATATTCAGCTATTTAAGGCATTTCGAGAGTTGTTCGAGGTTCTCCCACAATACCCACTGGCCCTCTCAGTGGATTTAGTCCTGTATTAAAGTTTGTTCTTCTGTGAGCACTGGTCCCATAAACATGCTCTAAACCCTAAAAAGTTCTGTGATTCAACGAGTTTGGGGCACATAGCATGTAGCCCCTTCGAGATCCACTGTGCACACTGGCATTTTAAAGTCCCCGAGGATTATTCCAGCAAGACAAGCTCTGTTGCTTTGCTCAGTCCAGTGTTTGCCAAACTTACTTGAGTTCTGGACCGTTCTTCCTTGCAGCACCTATGAATACCTATGAAGGTGTTCTGGAAAACCTTCTGGGTTAGGGTAGATCTTGCAGCATGTGGAAGGTAAGTGAGGTAGAATATGAGATATGAACATGGGAATAACTACAGTTTTATTCAGAAAGAGGAAAGATGAAGATGCAAGACTAGAGACTTATTAATGTCACTAGCAAAATAGTATTATTAGACAAAAATATCTTGTTCTTTAAAACGAATGCCAAAAGAGATTGGTGGTTGTTACACTGATTTCCTACTGCTATTGTTACCAACATCAACTTTATTAAACCCAGAATGCTTAATTAAATCATTTTACCCTCTGTTTGTTTTCCAGGACACTGTAATTTATGATCGACTGGCAGAGACGTCAAAATACAAAGAAATTACCCTAAAACATTTAGAGCAGTTTGCTACAGAAGGTAAGTGTAATTTGGCAATAAAGCATGATTAAAATACAAAGAAATCATATACTTCTGATACCTTGCAGGATCCTTATTATTATTAGACTTAGAGATTCCTAAAGTAAGATATCAGCTGTTGGCAATTTAGATTTTACTATATGCTGTTCCCAGCCTGTGTTTTTATTTTACTTTCCTAAAACTATATTTATTAAAATTTTGAGCAACTTTGTCCCCACGTTTTAGATGGTAGGGCCTATAAATGTTTTACTTTTAGAGTGGATCATATTTACCATTTAGATACTTCACTTTGTATCTCGAGCAATTCATTAGGAAAAGAAGCAAGACTCAAAAAAAAAAAACAGATATTCTAATCTGAATAAGAAAGAAGAAATAAACCTAAACTGTTAAAATAGCTATTAAATTTAGTTTCAACTCAGGACTTTCTATTAAAAACTTACGTAACTATTAAAATTGTTATTCAATTTATTACAACTCAAGACTTTTTTAGAGAGCCCCTACCACACGCCAGGCTCTGTGTGAGGCCTGAGAATCCAAAATAGGATAAACAAGCTTTGCTCTGTCTCTCTGTCCTCCTGAAATATATTATGTGCAAGGCAAAGCAGTACATAGTCTAGAGAGAGGATCTAGGTTAGATGAAAGGCAGCGAGGGTTGTTAAACATGAGAGTCAGTTACTACAAGAATTTGTAGTCTTATCTCGTACTTAACAATGGTAGTTATAGCTGAATCTAAATCTCCAGTCTCAGTTTTCACTCCTATCTGTTTCAGCTGGAACTGTTGCCAGTGGCACCAAACTGACCTAATCAAATACTTTTTCCCGTTAATTCAGGCAGAGAAAAGATAGGAATGTTTTTTAAAACACTAGGCAAAAACAAAAGCCAAAACAAAAAAAAAGATGGCTTTTGAAAAACCTCTGTGCAGTTCTTCAAAATGTAAAAGCATGGAAACATATATATTCATAGGATTCAGATTCCATAAAGCCCAGCCTCAGTCCTTGGCAGGTGCAACCTACCCAGCATACAACACAGGTTCTTTTTGTTTTGGAGGAGAGCTGAGGGCATCTTTCTCCTCTCTAGATGTGATGTTAAAGATACTCAACTCATAGATTTTAATGGTTTGGCCCCCACCTCTACCCTATTCTTTCTGTCCCTGGGCTGGATGACACTTCTCCCCATGACTACCCTCCAGTAAGTTTTCCAGCCAAGTTTCCAAGAGAGAAAAACATGTCCTAAGATGGCCTCAGGGATTTAAGTTCCACTCTCAGTGATCTGGCAATACACCACCCTTTCTTGGAAGGTAGAGTTCTCTGGGAACTTTGTATGTTCCTTGCTTCTTACTTCTGATGTGTTCCCTTAAACACATTTTGTCTTGAGATCACTAAGCCTAGCATCTGGTCCTAGTCATTCTAAGAGTTAAATGACCTGGAGTGAGGGCGTTGTCTTCTTGTGAACCTAGATATCTAACTGCTTCCTTGGGTAGCTGACAAGTGTTTTGGCCTCTCCTTTCTTCCAATGCATCTACTCTTTTCTGGCTGAGAGAGATGTGAGTTACGAAATTGGCAGGCACCAGACACAGGGTGGGTCACTTTACATATCAGCTTTGATTGTTTTCCCGGGGTATATCTGCTGGCAGTTCTTTTTTGCCACTATCCCTCAACTATACTTAGACTTTTAAACTACAGATTTATGATGACAAAGAATAGTAATAAATGCAGTCATATATCCTAGTAAGAGGAAGGTGGCTTTCCCAGTAGACCCCACCAGGGTCTCTCTTCCTTTGTAAACATCTGTGAGGCCTCTATAATAAGTCAGCCACTATGCTTGGTACTGAAGAACTCTGGGTCCCTGCTTTCCAAGTGCTTTAATAGAGGAGACACACAAGAAAAACTGTAAAACATTGTCACTCACGCTGTAGGAGTGTTACTGCCTTTGGTATCTAGGTGAGAGGAGGGTGCATCAAAGAGCTGATTTTCAGAGCTGAGTCTTAAACTGCTTGCAAGGCAGACAGTGGGCAGTCGTTGGGAAAAGCAGAATGGAGAAAAAGTTACCAGCATGTGCAAAGACCCCCCTATGTGGGAAGTGAATGGCAGGGAATGAGAGTGAAGGCACCTGATGAAACATGTATAAGCCGTGCTTTGGGGCTTAAATTTTGTCCTGGGGAAAAATTGGAAGATTCGAAGCAAAGAACTGCTTGATAAGATTCAGATTTTAGAAACGCCACACTATGCATGGAAGATGGATTAAAAGGGTTGGGAATTAGAAGCAGGGTACCAATTTTAAAGACCAGGGGAACATTAATCTACATTTTATACTAAGTTTTTGTCATAATTTAATTGGACTTCATCATATTGTTTGTATGGAATCACTTTTTTCAAAATGGGACTTTGTGAAATAAAAACAGAAACCTCAGACTTCTGAAGAAAATCTTTGGTGTGTTGGGGTGATGTATGCTATCTTTTTCAGGGTTAAGAACTTTATGTTTTGCTGTGGCTGAGATTTCAGAGAGCGACTTTCAGGAGTGGCGAGCAGTCTATCAGCGAGCATCTACATCTGTGCAGAACAGGCTACTCAAACTCGAAGAGAGTTATGAGTTGATTGAAAAGGTACGTGGATGATTCTGTTGATCATACAGAGGGTTTGGTTTCCAGATAGTTTTGATCTTTATTCAAGGAACCAATGGAATAAAAATCAAAATATCTTGACATACCATTCACTATTGAATACCCTCTCATCATCTAAGCATTAACAAGTATTAATATGCATTAAAATATTGCTGAGAAGCCTTTGGGGTTAGACATTACTTTGTATAGATCTTCACTCTTTTCACAATTTTGGATCAAGGTTTGGCCAGTCTGGCAATCTCCTTGCCAATGTATTTCAGTTTCTGGATCTCTGAGGATATGGAACATGCCCCTACACACACGCACACATTACATACATGACATGTGTGCTTTGAGTTAATAACTATAATATGCAATGCAATATAAAATAGTACTGTAATCACACAGCTTGCATAGCTGATAATATATATGAGAGTAATCCAGTGCTTACACTTGTCCAGTCATTGTGACAAACATATACCTGTATTATTTCTGTCGCAGCTGTAAATGTTCTCATTTTACAGATAAAGAAACCATTGTGACAAACATATACCTGTATTATTTCTGTCACAGCTGTAAATGTCCTCATTTTACAGATAAAGAAACCAAGGCTATTAAGCCAGAAAGTGATGGATACATTATGATCGATGCTGTATAAATAGCAAGAATCTTGCTTCCTTAATTAAGAAAACATTTTTGTGTAGCTCTTGCCGTGTGCCAGGTGCTGTTCATAGCACTTTCATCTATTAATCTAGTCCTCACAACATCCCTTTGAGGTGCTAATTATTCCTGTCTTATAGATGAAGAATCCAAGGTAACAGAGAGGGTAAGTAATTTGGCTGAGAGTACACAGCTTCTAATAGGGGGAGCCAGAATCCTCACTCTTCCTCCAGTATTCATGCTCTAAATCATTCAAGTGACTTCATTCTAACCTCTAGCTTGCCATTAGATAACTCTTCAATAGCACTCATGTTTGTATTGCATAGAATCAAACTAGCCTGTCCGCTGCGGTTTACTTGATCTTTTCTCCAGGTAAGTAAAGGCTGATACTTTGTTCTTCTTTCCTCTCTATCGAACTGTGTACTTCGTCGTGCCTCTGTCTTGAAAGGTGGCTGGTGCCACCAGTACCTCCCTGGACTATTTCCCCCCTCTGCTCCTCACGTCCCCTCCCTTTATGTAATGTGGGGATGCCATGTTCTAGCTGCAGATGGTTTTCTTTATTGCACAAGGTTACCATATGCAACTCGAGATATTGGTGTCCTGTCTCCTCAACAGATTATCACTTTTTATGGAAGGTGATTGTTTCTCATATAGCCTTTGTATTTTGTAAGGGGAAGATACCTAAATATAAATATAAGCTCACATATATCATACCTGTATATATAGAGATAGATATGTAGATATATCTAGATATCTCCTCCTTATATTTGAACTTTTTATTCTGCTTACTTATGAAAAGACATGGGATAGCATGTATGGTGTCTTCCAGCATGATACTCCCACCCTAAATGTTATAGGTATACACACACCAGGAGACTTGTTATCAGTTGACTTATTTCAATGTCTCTCTTGCCTATCTTCCCCACTTCTTCCCTCCCCACTCCCTCCACCTTCTCGCTCTCCATTTCCTAACATATTTATATATGATTATGTCTTTGGGGCATTTATGTAGTAAAATAAAATAATCTGAGGCCATAATCACAATCTCTTTTAATCTGCCCAACTAAAGTCACATATCTTAAAGCATTAGTGCTATTGATTTTTAATCTTTGCTTCTGTTACTCTTTTAAGAATTAAAAAAAAAAAATCCAGTTTGGAAATGATGTTTTTCCTGTCTCTGAATATAAGGCAGCCTTGCCTTGCCTTATAATCCTCATGAGACAGAATTAATATGTAATGTCAGAATAAAAAAATCTATTTGAAAATGGATTCTAAACATATTAAATTGTTTCCACTTGAAGTACAACTTCAGTTCTAGAGTAGAATGTTTAATGTACCTAATATCCTTACTCTCTGGATGCCCTAGAGTTTTTTATAGATTAGATTTTCTAGGTTTAACAGTTTTGTTTCTTGTTCTTTTAATAACTGATTAAAAGCCTTGCAACCTCCAGCTTTTAACTGAACTAGATGTTCAACGTTTTCCCAGCAGATGGCGATCATGAGCTACATTAAAATTTAAGTTGACTGAGGCACTCCATTAAAAGTGGGGAGAGTGTGTGTATACACATATACACATGCATCTATATATGTGTCTATATGCATCCATGTAAACTACATATAGTTTACAGATGACAGAAACCTCCCTTATGACTGTTTTTTACCTAAAATAAATGAAAACGGGAATTTATAACTAATTTGTCTTCACTTCATAGTAAGCCATGCTCTCTGTTGTTGAAAATCTAAGATCCGGAAAGATTAAGAGATTGGGTCATTTACTCAGCCAGCCTGCTCCAAATGAAGACTGATTCTGTGTCCATCTCTACTCCTGAAACTGGAGCTTCATTTGGTGATCTATTTAAATAACTTTCATCAAGCAGTTCATGTTTACATGCTCATGCACAAGCAAATGAGACTGTGGCCCTCTGGGTACCACGGTCTGAGCAAATTCCCTAAATGAAGAAATCTTAAGGAACCCAAAAAGGTGGCCCACAAATTTGACCTGAAGGAAGCTTTTGGAGAGGTGGTAATTTTTGAAATGGGCCTCCAAGGATTATTTTACCAGTTGGAGGAGAGCAGACATCATTGTAGGGAAAAAGAATAGACAAAATAGAACAGATGTGATGGCTCACACCTGTAATCCCAGTATTTTGGGAGACCAAGGTGGGAGGATCATTGAGCCCAGGAGTTTGAGACCAGCCTGGGGGAACATAGGGGGAGACTCCATCTCTGTAAATAATTTTTAAAAATTAGCTGGATGTGGTAGCATGCACCTGTGGTCCCAGCTACTCAGGAGGCCTAAGGCAGGGAGAATTGCCTGAGCCCAGGAGACTGAGGCTGCTGTGAGCTGTGAAAGTACCACTGCACTCCAGCCTGGGTGACAGAGTGAGACCCTGTCTCAAGGTAAAAATAAATAAATATATAAATAACACAGGGATCTTTGTGACCAAGCTGTTTTTCTGAAGTGTTTCCATTAACTGTGATCATAGGAGGACTGTAGGATTTTTAATATAGAGAGCCAGGGTTATATCACTTCTTTCTTGATCTCAGATTCTATTCTTTGTTAAAATCAGCTGGGATTAGGGTTCAGAAGTTGTGATTTACTGCCATTAAAACCACTCTAGTGAGGCAAGTTTCAGCGTGTCAGACCACAGATTCTTCCAGAATGTTACCCTGGCTTTAAATTGAGCAAATACAGTCCTAGGGTTCATCCATTGTCTTCTTCCTTACCTGCTTTAACTGAGACATGCTGTTTATGCAATCTATTTTTTATGTGATTGGAATCTATTTTTACGTAGACCATAATATTGGACTTAGCATGTCATTATTGGACTTAGCATGTCAGACAGTGAATCTTTAAACTGTGAGGGTCGTTTTCACATCTTTTATTTTTTAAGAACAGAATTTTCCAAGCAAACATTGCCTGAATCATAATATATATAATTGACGAAAGCAGGACTGCTTTGGCTGGAGTAAGAGTAGAGAGGAGATCCAAACTGGCTTTCCCCTCAGCCTCCACCTTGCCCTCGTGGGTGCTCCAGGCAGGGCTTGTTGTGACTCTGAGGATCCACTAAGCACAGTTTGAAAACCATGTATTACATTTGTATGTGGACTTTTAGAAAACAAATTCCTCAAAAGATCAGTACATCATTGTGCCCGTATGCAAGATGTTTCTGAACATATTTGAATTGATATGTCATTGCCACATTAATGGTAGTATTATATTCACAACATTCAAAATGTAAAAGATTTGTAAAGTTTTTCCTAAAATAATAATTTAGTACAAAATAAGAGGAAATGTTATAATAGGATTAAGGTTATACTTTTAAATGCTGCTCTCTGCCTCTTGTTCCTCCAATGTTTGTTCAAACTGGTAATTCAGTTTTTAAAACTAAGTTGAATCCTTATTCCTTTGGGTAGTGTAACTCCTAGCATAAGCTGAAAAAAATATCCAAATAGACCAAAAATATACAACAAGGCATTTATCCTTTGGTTGTGATGCTTAGTTACTCAGGTATGTTACTACCCAGCACACTGAGCACTAGAATGTGCTGCCTTCACTCTTGGGGAACACTATGGGAAGGAGGATATGGAAAGTGAAAAAGCCCACCGGCTATTGTTATCCCTATTGACAGTCATCTCGAGATGAGAGGATTTAGGACTTTTAAATCTATCTATAAAATATAATTATCAGCTCTGTTCCAAAACTGTACTGTTTGAGCTCCAATACTTGCATTCATATGGTAAGCTTTTCAGGACATTTCTAAAAATTTTAACACTGAGAGTTGTTTCACGAATCAGTTGCCGACACATCTATTTTGTTTATTTTTTCTTTTGCTGTTACTAAATAAATCAAGAGGTGACATTGATTAGTAGGAAGGCCTAACTTGTTCAGGAATAAGAAAGCTCACATGGTTAGAATGCAGATGGGATTATCATATGGGATATTTCAGTTGTCTTGACTCACTTTGCGAAGAATTGCAGGTTCACATTGGGCATTGTGGACAGTAACACCTCTTAGTCTCTTTTTGTCACCACTTGAGAGAATTTACAGTGGTCTCATTCTTTAGACAACAAACTTGACCTGTTTTATCTCACCCTCGTTCTTTTGAAAGGTAGTCAACATATTAGGACTCATAATTTTAGATTGGGAAACCACTTATAGTGTCAGCCTATATTTTTTAAATCAGAATTTGTTTTTTTTTTTTTTTTTTGAGACGGAGTCTCACTCTGTTGCCAGGCTAAAGTGCAGTGTCGGCTCAGTGCAACCTCCGCCTCCTGGGTTCAAGCGATTCTCCTCCCTCAGCCTCCTGAATAGCTGGGACTACAGGCGCCCGCCACCACACCCAGCCAAATTTTTGTATTTTTAGTAGAGACGGGGTTTCACCATGTTGGCCAGGATGGTCTCGATCTCCTGACCTCGTGATCCACCCCCCCTTGGCCTCCCAAAGTGCTGGGATTACAGGCCTGAGCCACCGTGCCTGGCCTAAATCAGGTTTTTAAATTAAAATTTTGTATTTCCTCAAGAAGAATTGTAAATAACAGAATAATTATGAAGTTCCTTGTTTCATTGGCAGGGGTTTCTCTGAAATTTCTCACCTTTGATCTGTCACTTTAATATATCAGGAGCCAGGGTGATATCACTTCTTTTTGGTCTGAGCTTCTATTCTTTGTTAAAATTTGTTTACTTTTATTCTAACTTATTTCTAAGACACATAAATTATGTTTTGTCTCATATTCATACTATGCTACTAGATTCCTTTGAAAATTAATAGTATAGAAGTCTCTGGTCTTTCTTCCTTATTTTATAATTAAACCATTGTTTGAAATATGAAGGCGTGCCTTCGTGGAATACATAATTTTTTGAAAATGTTTAATATTTATTTGCTTCAATAGAAAAATACAATTATGTCTTTAGTACTGCATAGATTACCTACTAATAATTTCTGTGTTTCTGAAAGTAAATCATTTATCTTGAGAATTACAGAAAACAGCGTAAGCTATAATACCTGCCTAGATTCATCACTGATTAAAGCAGTATTTCCCTGGTGATAAGATTTTTATTTTTCTCTTATTATGATGCGTGGATTGGGAAACTTTTTTTTTTAATGGAAACTTATCCAATGCTTTTATCTGTTCAAGTTTTTCTAAAATAGGTTATGGGTTAGAGGATCATTTCTGAGCTTAAGAGTAAACTCAGAACACTGTAACTCTGCTGTCAAGCCTTTTTTGATCAGATAGCAATGTTGTGTTTTATGTGCATTTTGTAGTTTGTGATTGATGTATGTCATCCACTAGATTGAAGTTTCACGAAAGCAGGGACTGTGTTTATCATATTTATCACTGTGTCTCCAGCGCTTGACTGACTAGCCTATGTTAACCACTCAATAAATATTTGATGAATAAATGAATTATTCATTTAAATAATTAATTCAGAAGTTGGAGCTTAATAAGTACTTGCTTAATGAAAGCCTGCCCCCTATTAACAAATCTAGTTCATGCTTTCCATGCATTGAAGGCACTGGTATCAAATGTGCTATCACTAAGGATTAATTTAGGGGTATGTTAGAAAAGAAGCCAATAATTTTACAGAAGGCATTCTTTAGAAGTTTAGATTCGTTCATTTATAAAACCTGTCTTCAAAGTTACTTGATATATAAATGTGAGAAAATCATGGGTTGGAAAGATTCAGCAACAAATATCTGAGCACCGCTGCGTGGCAGGTTCTGTTCTAGGCTCTAGGGCTCAGCAGGGAGAGGATAGAAGAATTTCTGCCTTTTGTTTCAGTGGTGGGAGATAGGTAGTGAACTTGTAAACTAAAACAATGTCATTCCAGAGAGGCTTTAGTGCCCTGGGCACTGAGATAAGGCACTAAGATAGGACAGTGAGGTAGTGATCCTTTTTTACATTATTTCCTTTACCCCTCCCCAAAACGTGGTTGACATTTGGGGGATGGTTAAAGAGTCCCTTGATGTGGCGTAATATAGATCAACCATTACACTCAGTGTGACTAAACAACAATTTAGTGCCCTTTGCAACATATGGCAACAAATGGTTTAGAGGATTCCTAGAGAAATATAAAACTTAATGGAAAACAGGACTTTTCTTGAGCATTCATGACTGCCAAGTTCACAGTAACTTCTGTATTAGAATGGAATGCTTCTTCAGATAAAACTACCACATCTATTCTTAGTAGCTGCACATATCACTTTCATTTGTGCTAAAAATGAAATGAAAATTTACATGATGTATGGGTGATTTCGTGGTTTAAAATTCCAGTAGTTTCCTGTTCTATTTGCTTAAGAACATTTATAGTTAGCTCATTTAATTAGACCTGCCACTTTCTGAGCATTTACTAAGCTCCGCAATTTTCACTCTTTACCCTGATTATTTAGTTGGAGGGCCTCTAAAGTGAGACACAACGTGATCCATTGGGGTAAGCAAGAAAATATTAGAACTTCTATTTGTTTTATTTCATCTTTTTTAGTTTTTGCATTTTATAATGTGAATAATTTATTAATTTTAACAATGTTTTACAAAAATATAACTGTGTCATAAGTACGTATTCAACATTTTTTCCTAGTATACTCAAAAATGTTTGTGAGATAACTGGTGTAATTTCATCTGCAGAACATCCTTATTAAATCTACGTTATTAGGTTTATCTTGCTGTTGTGAAAGTTGATTCTTAGGTAAGTTAAGTTACTTGCTCAGGGACCCATATCCAGTGGTTGGCAGAGCAGGGATGCAAATCCCTGTTCTGTCTTAATTCCAGATCCCATGCTAATAATCTGTAAGTTACGTTGCCAACTTGCTTTTGAAGAAAGCAAGAATGTGTATAAAATATTGGAGACTTGAAAAATAAAATGAAATCAATTGTGCAGTTGCATAATCACTAGATCACTCAGGGTGAGAAGTGGGGCTCATCAGCCTGTTTGAGACTCAGCTACTTAGTGAGGCAGCCTCTATGTACTCTATGTACTGTATTCCATTTTCCTTGAAAACAAGATGGAAATATGTTTTTCATGATTTTCCCTCAACTGGCCGTTAGAATCTTCTTATTTAAAGTACTTAAGATTTCCTTAGATCTCTAATCACATGCTCCTCCTTTCTGGTAGGATAGGTTCCTTCTTATGAATGCTTCGTGGTAGATTTTCCACCCTGGGTATTGCTGTCTTCTCACTCAGATAAGATGGATGCGTTGTTTTTGCAAGCTACACCCAATCACCTCTCACATCCTGATTCCTTTCAGCTGGGTGTGTGAATTCTGGCCTTATAACTAAGCCCTTGGCTTTGTGAGTTCAAATGTGATTTCTATGGTTTGAAAAGCACCAAGTTAAAATCTATTTCTTGGCCTTAGAAAAATTAACCAGTTGAATGATTTCTCCAGAAGTAGGCAAATGAGCCATTCCAATGGTTTAAGGACTTAATGCTCTTAGTCTTAGTACTGTAGGCCAGAATAAAGGGAAAGGAAAGAAGGTGTTAGGTCTCTTTAAAACAAGGATGATACCCAGTGGAATGCAGAACACAGAGGAGCCCAGCAACCTCTGAGAACCAGTGTTGTAGAATGCCTCTGAGAATCCCACAGCACATCCCAATTCCAGAGTTAACGTATTTTAAACCTCAAGAGAATGGTGACTGCAGTAGCCTCTTAATTTGTCATGCAGGCTTCTTTTGTCCTAATCCAGCCCCATACAGCTACTAGTGACCTTTCTGAAATGTAAATCTGATCCTGTCTCTCCTCTTCTAAAATTCGCCAGGTGTCCCTTGCCTTTGGGATTGTCAGCATAACACACAGACCTTTCCATTTCCATTCCCTGCTGGCTTTTCCAGCCTCATCTTCCTCACTGCCACACGTCACTTCATCTATCATTTCCATACTGACTGAATGGCAGCTTCTCAAACATTATGTGTCTTTTCACACATCTGTCTTTGTACATGTAATTTCTTCTCATTTGGAATCACCTCCCTTATCCTTCCCCACCTCTCCCCATTTCTTGGCTAAACCTTAATTCATTGTTTAGTATTTAAAGTCAAGTGTCAGCTCATGTTGGATAGATTTTCTTTGAGCCATCGAGACTAAGATGATACCTCATTCCTGTGTTTATCCTTTGTACTCACATAAGAGTACATGTATAGCATGTAACATACAATGTGTATAACATTTTTTAAGATAGGGTATAACATATAACGTGATTCTTCCAGGGGAGCACTGTTTCTCTAATAATGATAATCCTGTATTACAGTTTAAAGGCTTTGTAGTTTGAAACTGCAAGGAAAAGAAAGAGAATTGGTACCTGAGGGTCTAAGGCCAGGCTAAGGGAGAATGGTAGGAGTTGGACATGGGGATGTCTACGGTGATCAGACAAGATGGAGCCAGGTGCAAAGATGGGATGCTCACAAGCATTCTACATCAGGAGTTGCAAACTCCAGTTCAAGGGCTAAATCCACCCACTGCCTATTTGTAAATAAAGCTTTACTGGAACACAGCTACATCCATTTGTTTACATGTTGTCTGTAACTGTTTTCATGCTACCACAGCATAATTAAGTTGTTGCAACAGAGAATATATGGCCCTCAAACTTTACAGTATTCACCATCTGTCCTTTTACAGAGAAAGCTAGTCAGCCCTGCTCTAGATCAGCAGTTCTCATAGTTACGTTCTCAGACCAGCAGCTTTGCAACCACTGCACATTTCCAGGCTTCACCGTAGACCTATTCAATGAGGAATTCTGGGTGTAGGGCCCAGCATTCTGTGTTAATAAGCTCCTCGGGTGATTCTGAAAATTAAAGTTTGAAAAGCACCATCTAGATTTCTGGCCTGGTGGCTAATTAATTACTTGGGACTTGATGACAACCAGGCAGTCAGGGTTTAGGAGAAACACCAGTAAGGCAAGGAGGTACAGTTAGAAAACGAGGCAGCCAGGAATCCAAGGAGAGTTTCTAATGAAGCTTTCTGAAATATAAATTTCATGCAGGAAGGAACTCACTATTGTATCCCCGGCACAAGTACCTGCCCAGAAGCACCTGCTTGGAGTATATTTGTGAATGAATGCAGGCATGCATGTGTGCTTGTAAAGGAGCTAATCCTGAAATGTGACCCTGAGGCCTGCAGGTAGGAATAGGGAAATAGGTACACCTGACGGGTGACTCAGGCCTGAGGCTGAAACCCTCTCATAGAAATGAAGTATTATTGAAGACCAAGAACAGACACAAAAGTTTAAAAACCTGATGATTTGAACAAAATTCTAATTTTCATCTAATCTCAGTTTTACATCCCATTTGCTTCCTTGGGTATGTATTAGTTCTTGGTGTTTTGTCCTTACGGTCATAGCTTAGCTGCACCTCTAGTTGACCTTAGACAATTTACTCAACCTCCCCAAAGCTATTAACTGAATTACTAAATGTAAAGCACTTAGCAGTGCCTGGTACAATTTTTCTATCCGTGAAATGCTGGTTTCCTCTTCAACATCTTCCTAGTCATAATCTTATTTCATATGGAAATAAATCCTACTAGTATTTATCCACATTTACTCCAGTGGTACAATTTGGTTTAATAATATTACTTTGTCTTTAAGGAAATTTCTGCCAAATAGCCCATGTTGTAATCTGAAGCCTAGGTTGATACGAGTTTGATTATTATATCTTTCTCATTTAGAAGCATATCACAAACTTTAAAAAAAAATGACATCATCTAAGCACTGACATAATGTTTGCTAATATGGAAATAGGTCACTTTGAGGTTCCATTATTTAGCAAAATATACATGTATTGGGGAAAAATCATAATTTCTAAAGCTATCATAATACATTTTACCAAACTACATGAAGCTTTCTGTCCTCACTTACAGTAGAAATGTTACATTTATGTGCCTTTTTAAAAATTCTGCATACATTAGGAACATCTGAAAGAGAAAACATTACTGGAGGCTTTACTAGGTGAATAAACATTATTTTATGATTTTTTCAGTGATAACTAAATCTATATTATGTCAAAGAGTCATCAACCTCAAGCCTTTATAACATTTAGCTTGGTGACATTTAGAAAGTAAAATTAGTGTTTGGAGTTTTTTTTTGAATTCCATAAATGCCATGGGAATTTTATCGCATTTCAACACTTGCTGAATATGTAATTCCCCTAGTGCCCATTAGTGGCCATCTGTGTAAGGTAATACATATTTGGGATGAAATTGATTATAGCCTAAACACTCTTGTGTTATGATCAGGAAAAGCACGCAAAGTTCAAATCTTTTTTTCTAGTGATCATTATATAGCTAACAATATTAATTTCCAAAAGCAGAACAGCCCATCACTCAAGATTCTGATCTCACCATAAATGATACCAGGGCAAAAGGAAAGGAGTCTGCAGAACCTTCTGCTAAAATTAACCAGTGCTGTTCTCAAGGAGCTCCTGGGATAAAGGGAAAATTAACACGCTTATGGAGTACAGTGTTTCCTTCATAGGCATCAAAGTAGACCCATTACAATTTTGCTGAATATTCCGAAATGTTTTATTATTCTTCTTAAGGATTTGTGTTAAAGCCACCACAACACTCCATGTTAACCTACTTGTGTGACTTTTCTCAGCATACCTTGCTGGCCCTACATCTTTGATCCTTTATGTTATTTGTGCCTGCTTTGAAAATGTTTCTCTTTTACCTGTGCAAAACTAGATGCTTTCCTTCTTTCAAATATGATTTCAATGTGATCTCTCCAGTGAAGTCATTTTATTTTTATAGGTATGTGAGTGGTAATGTATTTTATATTGGTGGACTTTCTGAGCTCATTTTTCCCCTTAGAGTAGAGACAGAAAATATACAAAATATTTGTTTATATGTTTCTAATGAATGTGTTCGTATCTTGGCTCCCACATTATCTAGTTACCCCAGTGTTTTGGGAAACATATTGCAAAAAAATATTTTTGCAGGAAATTTTGAGGGCTTGTATTAATAAGCTGTCCCCATGATCACTAAAAAAAAAAACCTTATGCCTTGGGTAAAATGCTTAAAATTTGAACACAGCTATATCCTGATCTTCACTGGGATGTGAGCCAGAATGATTTAACTGCAAATGCCCTAAAAGTAGCTGAAGATTTGGAAGAATCATTGTGTAAACATTTAAATTCAACAGTTGTGGTGCTGGCATCACTGATGCTGAATTGTTCTTCCTTTCCTTGCTTGAACTTCTTGATGATAATTGTTCATCAGGTTATGGTAGATTTCAAATCTGCTTCCCATTAAAGGAAATAAAATAATGCTATCTTCTTGAAAGAAATTTACCTTCCTGTATTATATATTATACACTAAGAAGTCATGCATCAAGTGTGTCTAATAACCATCCATATTATTTGGAATATATTGAAAAGAAAATGGTCTAGATTGCAGCAGTATTTTTGTAATTTCTGGATTTTGGTCTTGTCATTAGCTCACTTAGCAAACATACTAAATGCTGACATTCAATGCTGTGGAGTCATTAAGATGAGCAAGACGTGGTCCCTAATTTTGAGCAAACCTACCATACTCATGCATTTACACTTCTCTTAATGTACATGAAGATGAGCAAAATTCTGTAGGAGAACAGCAGAGGGGAAATTTTATTTTAAGAAATAAAGGAAAGCTTAAAAGAAACAATAACTTTTTTTTTTTTTTTTTTTTTTTTGAGACTGTCTCGCTCTGTTGCCCAGGCTGGAGTGCAGTGGCTTGATCTCGGCTTACCGCAAGCTCCGCTTCCTGGGTTCATGCCATTCTCCTGCCTCAGCCTCCCGAGTAGCTGGGACTACAGGTGCCTGCCACCATGCCCGGCTAATTTTTTGTATTTTTAGTAGAGACGAGGTTTCACCGTGTTAGCCAGGATGGTCTCGATCTCGTGATCCACCCGCCTAGGCCTCCCAAAGTGTTGGGATTACAGGCATGAGCCACCGCGCCTGGCCAAGAAACAATAACTTTTGAGTTTGGTTTTAGAGGATGAACCAAGTTTCACCAGGCAAGGCAGTGGGGGACATGTGTGTGTATCTACTTAGACATACATACTCATGTATACAAAGACAAATACTATGCATGTGCGTGCCCATCCTGTATGGCCGCTATAGCGGGGACTGTTGCCTGGCCAATTTAGCACTCATTCCCATCCCCCTTCTTCCTCAACAGCTCTACTATGGAGCCTGGAAAAGCTAAATACAAATAGTTGGGGTTAGCCATGTAAAACTATCTGGCCGAGTATTTGGAAATATGCTGAGGGCTTTTCAAAACACTTTGCTTTTCATGTAAGAGATAGATACAGTTGGTATTTTTGTCTTCTATATGGCCTTTATAATTATACCTTGGGACATTGGGAGAGGTCAGGAGAATGAGTTGAGGTATGGTCGAGCTACAAATTTAATGTCCACAACTGCCCAGTTCAGTACTACGTAAGTGAGGAAAATTAATTTATTTAAGCCATTGTTAGATTTTTCTATTACTTGCAGCCAAAAAGCATTCCAAACTAATGCAGGTATAAATTACATGCATGCATATACACACACTTTCTCTCTCACTTGCATGTTTGTATATATAGTTAACTTTATTGTTCATGCCTAAGCAAAGCTTGAGACTAATTTTAGACTTCAATTTTGGTGAACAATAAGGAAAAGTAGAAAATGGCTTTCTTTGTTATCACCAATTCTGGCTTACTTTCCCTTGCATTCATTCCCTTGCATCCATTCTGCCCTCACCTATATTTTAAATGGAAAAAAAATGAAGGCAAGAGAGGAGAAAATGATTGAGAAGAAAGATAAATGCTGACGAGGATCATGCTGGAGGTTGAAACAGGGCAAGACTGAGAATCAGTTGGTTGTGGCCTGCAGAGCACTGTTAAGAAGGGTACCCAGCTAGCAACAGTGCCTAGTCATGTGATGGAAATAAAATTTTATATCTTAATCCATCACTACATTCTTATGTATTTAGGACCAAGAACAACATTATCTGTGTCCATTTGGCAAACCAGGTTTCCCTAACAGCCAAGAGATTGTTCTCTCCCGCTTACCATCTCCGTTTAGGAAGATGAGAGTAGAAACCATTCTTTCTCATGAGAGATTAAAACAGCTTTGGCTGGGTGTGGTGACTCATGCCTTTAATCACAATACTTTGGGAGGTCAAGGTGGGCAGATCACTTGAGGCCAGCAGTTCGAGACCAGCCTGGCTAACATGGTGAAACCCCGTCTTATACGCAAATTAGCCCAGTGTGGTGGCACGTACCTATAATCCAAGCTACTCTGGAGGCTGAGGCAGGAGAATCACTTGGACCTGGGAGGCGGAGGTTATGGTGAGCCAAGATGGCACCACTGTACTTCAGCCTGAGCAACAGAGCAAGACTCCATCTCAAAATAAATAAATAATAAAAATAATAACAGCTTTCCCCAGAGCCCATTGGTTGTGTTTGGTCTTATGGTACAAGACAATATCTAATGAGCAAGAGATCTTTGAGTCTGATCTTCCCCTACACAAATGTGGAACTATGTGAAAAACATTCAACTTGTTCTTCCTTGCAGAGACTAATACTATCACTTTGTTGTTCTTTTCCTCTTGGTTTCTAATTGTGTATACATTTCCTGACACTGCTTCAAATTACAATTTAATAGTGTTAACATGTAACCTCACTGTTTTTAAACAGGTCAGCAAGATTGCATCTTCACTATGGTAGTCTCCCATAGCTGTTTGTATGTTTTTTTTTTTTTTTTTTTTTTTTTTTTTAGAATGCCTGTCCTTTTTAACTGACTTTTTTTTTTTTTTTTTTTTTTTTTTGAGATGGAGTCTCGCTCTCTTGCCCAGGCTGGAGTGCAGTGGCACGATCTCAGCTCACCTGCAACCCCTGCCTCCCCAGTTCAAGAGGTTCTCCTGCCTCAGCCTCCCGAGTAGCTAGAATTACAGGCACACACCACCATGCCCAGCTGCTTTCTTGTATTTTTAGTGGAGACGTGGTTTCACCATATTGGCCAGGCTGGTCTTGAGCTCCTGACCTTAAGTGATCCGCCAGCCTTGGCCTCCCAAAGTGCTGGGATTACAGGCGTGAGCCACCGTGCCCAGGCTGTTTTTAACTGACTTTGGATTTTACTCCCCTTCTATGCAAATTTATTTTAGAATCTGTTCCTTACCTTAGGGGTTGGGTTAGACAGTTTCAGGGAGCCTCAGTGTAATGCCTAAAGACTGCATGAAAGTCAAGGATATTTCAGAAAACTCAATGGGATAGTTGGAATTTACACCAAAGTCCATGAATTATCATTTAGTCTCTGATTTTAAAACATATACACACTTCAATTTTTTGTTTTTAAAGAATATGAACGGATTTTTAAAACATTTCTACCACTAATTTTTTTCAGAATCTTCAGCTACTTGGAGCAACAGCCATTGAGGATAAATTACAAGATCAAGTGCCTGAAACCATAGAAACGCTAATGAAAGCAGACATCAAAATCTGGATCCTTACAGGGGACAAGCAAGAAACTGCCATTAACATCGGTAATTCACCTAGTTCACATTTTACATGTTGGTGCTTTTTAATAAGTTAATGTAGTTCAGAAGATGGATTTGAGACATTTCAAGATCTAAAAGATTTGATATGTCAAGATTGGAATATTCCAATCTTTTTTCACCATTGCATCTCTGCCTCCCATCCATAAGTGGCACATGTGGATAACATTTCTGCAGTTGTCTGGAGATTGGGCTTATGGAAGATTTATGTATTGATACTTGATTATGTGACCAAAGGTTATTTTAAGATAATAGGAAAGAAGAAGGTTGCTAATTTGCATTCATACTATGTTAATCCCCATGTTTTGGAAAGAGTTTATAATAGCTCGGGCTTCCATAAGAGCGTACCACACACTGGGTGGCTTAGGCAACAGAAATTTATTTTCACACAGTTCTAGAAGCTGGAAGTTCAAGATCGGCTGTCCTCACGTGGCTCCTCTTCTGTGTACTACTCCTTATGTCTCTTCCTCCTAAAACATCAGTCCTATTGCATTACAGTGCTGTCTTAGTCCGTTCTGGCTACCATAACAAAATACCACGAGCTGGGTGGCTTATAAACAACAAATTTATATCTCATCGTTCTGAAGGCTGAGAAGCCCAAGGTTAAGGCACCAGCAGATTTGGTGTCTGATGACCACTGGCCTTCTGGTTCATAGATAGCACCTTCTTAACTGTGTTCTCACATGGTAGAAGGGGCAAGGCAGCCCTCTGAGGCCTCTTTTATAAGGGCACCAGTCCTATTCATGAGCTCTCTGCTCTCATGACCTAATCATCTCCCAAAGACCCCACCTCCTACTGTCACCATACTAGTGACTGGGTTTCAGCATATGAATTTGGGGGGAACACAAACATTCAGACCATAGCAGGCCTCACCCTTATGGTCTCATTGAAACCTAATTACCTCCTTAAAGACTATGTCCAAATGTAGTGTCACTGGCGGTTAGGAGTTCAGCATAGGAATTGGGATGAGTGGTGGTAGGGAGATCAATTGAGTCCCTAACAGAGATCTTACACAGGGAAAGTTGTTTGGCATTGGAAGCCTGTAGTACCAGCAATATGCCAAAAAAGAAAAAAAAAGTTTTTTCACCAAATTTAGTAAAAGTAGGTAGCTTGAGCACTATAAACCCTGACATGGATTTATCCTCTTGATAGTAATCATATATATTACATACAAAACTCCACCCAAGTTGAAGGAAGTATTTTAGAGGAGTTCACAGCATGAAACCACATTTTTTAGAAAGCCATTTTAAAATATTGTGTATTTTTTAAAATTTAGCTAACATTTATTTTAGAAGTATTAGCAGTCAGCCTAACATATCCTGTAAATATAAAACTCTACTTCAAATTTATAGCAAATTGATGTTATTAATAGAAAATTCAGTTTATTTTTTAAAAACTAGTAGAACTTTACAAACCACACAAGTTGTTAATTTTGATTGTAAAAATTATCGCTGCTATTAGAGAGAAAATGGAAAGAATATATATGAGAAGGAAAATAATGGTGAAATGCAGAACATATTGAAATTGGGAGACCTAAAAACACAAATATGATAAAACAGACTACAAATAGAAAATATATGGCAATAAAGGGCAGTAAATGTGGAAAATAGGAAAATGTCAAGTTCAGGATATGTTCACCATTATGAATGTTCCTATGAAAAAAGAGTATAGTAGTGGTTTCTGGTAACATTTAACATTTAGAATCTTGAGCCATGATTGATTCCTAGAAAAACTTAGGGAAGATTCACCCATTCAGCATAATTGTGGTATATACAGTGCCAGGTACTGGTTAAGTGCAAGGAACAGAGCAGGGAACGAAAGAACCCAAAATCTCTGCCCTTGTGGAGCTCAGATACTAGTCAGAGAAACGCACAGTAAAGTAAATTAGAAAAGCACATAGTATAATAGCTATCAATGATTGCTATAAAGAAAACTAAAATGGGAGGGAAACACAGGGCATTGCACAGAGGGATTCAGTTTTAAATAGCACAGTCAGGAAGAACTTATTGAGAAGGTGACATCTGAGGAACAACCTAAAAGAGGAGAGGGAGCTTGTCGCATGATGATTAGAGAAAAGCTGTCTTCTGTTACAGAGAGAAACAGCACAAAAATAAAAGAAAGAATAGTAGCAGAAGAGATCTTCAGCATAGCAGTGTCCAGGGTGGACGGGGCCTCCCAGGCCACTGTCAGGACTCTGCATTTACTGCAAGTAAACAGGGACATCACTTGATGGTTCTCAGCAGAGGAAAGACATGCTCTGACTTTCCTGTAAAAACAGTCACTCTGGCTGCTAGGCTGAAAATGGACTCAGAGGGAAGCAAGTGTAGAATCAGGGAGACCAGTGAATAGGCTTATTGCATTAATCCAGGGGAAATATGATGGAGACTTGGACCAAGGTGGTAACAAGGGAAAGGGTAAGAAGTGGTTGGCTTCTTGATGTGTTTTAATGGTAAGAAGTTGTTAGGTTCTTGATGTGTTTTAAAGGTAGAGACAACAAGATTGACTGATAGATGTAGAGTATGAGAGAAAGAAATAGATCAGGTAACTTCGAGGTTTTTGGCCTTAGCATCCGAAGGATGGAATTACCATTAACCCAAATGATGAAAACTGAAGGGAAAGTAGGTTTTCTTGATGGGGGCTGGAGGAGTGTGGTCAGGAGCCTGGTTTTTGAGTAGGCTGACTTTGAGATGATGGAAATGCCTACTTCCTATGTAAGTGTCTGCGGTTAAGTAAGTACTTGGATATGAGAGTCTGGAGTTCAGGAAGGAGGGCTGAGTTGAACATAGGAGTTTCAAAATGGTCAACATTTAGATGATACATGAAATCATGAGACGGAATGAGATCACAAAGGCAGTGTACTCACATAGTGGAATTATTTTAAATAGGATGGTATTTTTAAAATGTGACATCAGCAGAGTTGCCTCTTTAGACACAGTCGGCTGTAGCAAACAGGTACAGAGTAGGCCAAGTTGAATTGAACAAAGGGAGGATTTTTGCCCTGCAGTAAGTGCAACAAAGCAAGAGAGGGTAGGAAGGTAGAGGATGTACTGATTCTCCCAGGAAGGGAGATGGTGATGGGATCAGCGGATCCAAGAGACAGCCACCTGCACCTTCCCTAGGTGTCTAGAGAAGGGTTCTGTTATTCTATTTTCTAGAAACAATCGTTGGCCTGTCTTTTGCTCTTCATGTTGGTTATCATGAAGTGTATTACAAATCCATTTGTCAGCTTCAGGACATCGAGAATCCTTACCACCATCTTTTTCCAGATGTCTTTGTAGCCTTAACAGGCCAGATGTACTTGTTGCATATCCCTCCTATGGCAAGCAAGAGCATTTCATGTTTAACTTCCTACAAACCTGGAAAACAACTGGTTGCCCTCAGTCATTATAAAATCATCTTTAGATATTTTCATAGTACATATCATTGTTTTAACATCTTTACATATTCTCTGGAGAAATTAATTTTAATATACTCTGTGTTTGGATACAGGACACTCCTGCAAACTGTTGAAGAAGAACATGGGAATGATTGTTATAAATGAAGGCTCTCTTGATGTAAGTAAAATTATGTATTTTTAAAACTCCTTTAATAATATATTCATGCTATAGTATTTTATATTCAGATAGCTATGGAAATATTTTATCTTTCTGTGGTTCAAGGTACCTTATCACTGTTGTTCTGTTTTAACATAATGTACTCTGTTTTGAGTCACATTGATGTAAATTGATTCAAGCTTTACATCTGTGACAGCTAAAAGAAATTGCAAAATGATTTGCGTAATATTGTGAGACAGAAAAGTTGTTTTACAAAAGCATTATGTCAAGAGGTTGCTGAGTGACTGCAACTTGCTCATATCCAAGTATTCTGTATGTTAAACATTTTACATCTGCTTTAACTTCCAGTATTCATATATATTTTACCTCTTCTAAAAAAATGTGAAAGCTATTGAACAACACAAAACAACCATTCCTAGTAGGACGGACTTTCTTTAATGTCCTAACATCTGGAATGAAATGTAAATCCCTAGGATGTCTTTTTTCATGGCTGTGATCACTTGATGTTTTATTTGGGAAATGAGGAAAGATTTGTTAGGAATACAGTGTAAAATAGTTAGCAAAATAATATGTAGGTCAAGTGACCTGTTAATATTAAAGTAAAGGAGACTATTTGTTATTTTAGGTGGAAGACAGAGCCGTAGAGGTGATTATACAACTTCTTAAAATAGTCATTATGACGCAAAGAACAGAGAAAACCTTGGTAATTAGGGATGTTGACGAAGCTGAGAGGCCACATGCGTGGAAGGGATGGTGAAGAAATGACTGCAGAAGGGATGGTGTTGATGTCTTTGTCAGTAACATGGGTTACAGGTGGTGCACAGTTTTTCTTAATACCTGAAGGAAATCAGAGCTGTCTCTGTGATGCAGAAGCAAAAGCAGGGCAAGCCACGCGTCATTTGATCTGGTATCCTTTCTGTCTGGCTTTGGGCATTTACCTTCCGTAGCGTATGGTAGCCTTGCTTCTTTTGTCTTATTCTTGCCATCATCTTTCTCCAGTTCTTGGATAAGCATGTTCTTTAAATGTTTTAAGTATCAAGCAGAGAATAGTAATCTCAAGAAAGAGAAGTGAAATATCAAAAATATTCATTGTGTTGTACCAGTGTATTGTTAAGACACTGGCATTTATTTTCATTTTTGAGGTTTCTAAGATGGTAACTCAAAATTAATAAACACTTCAAAGGTACTTGGACTGCCTGTTTCTACCAGAGCAAACATTGGTAGGAGTCTCAAGTTGAATACTAAATTTCAGTAAAAGCAGGAACTATGTCTGTCTTTTCTGGTTTATCATTCTTTTTCAGTGCCCTGCAAATGGCCTAGCACATAGTAAGTACACTATAAATATTTGAGAAGTGAGTCACTGAGTAATTTTTAATTAAGGGCTTCTTTTTTGAAAAAAAAAAAGTATATCAGTTTTAAATTTGGTTGTTGTTGATCATATCTGATATTTTTTAAGTAAAGTGGCTAAAAGTCTCCTTAGCAGTTCGAGTAGCAGTTTAAAGATCACAGGCAAACACTGTGGCTGAATGGATTAACACTAATTTGTCCAGCTCCAGACTGCCAGGCATTCTAACACTGCTGTCTGGGGAAGGCTTTTCTCCCAGGGAGTTAAGTGGTGACTTTACAAATCTGACTGTTTAGGGTCAGACCTGCTGCAGTGTACTCATTTGTTTCTCAGCAGGAAAGGAAACATCACTTCGCGTAGCTCCTTCCGATCTTGTGTCATAAAACCCATGGCTGAGATTTCAGGCAAATCATTAGATGTGCTAGAGTGCCTGTAGGTAAATCATTATTTTTTCGTTGATATGGAAATGGAACGCATCCAATCTGTGTTCAAATTGTACTGATCAGTAGTGAATAGAATTATTTTATCAGCACAAAGAATAATTAGCATTTAAGTAATGAACTTAGGAATATAATGTCTTAGGAAATGTGAATGTGTGTTTTGTCAAGTGACAATTTTAATGAGTGCACTCAAATCATTCTGTGAAATAGCACAGGGTGAAGAGCACAGTTCTGTCCCAATCTGACTGTGGGACCGTCAGCAAATTAAAATCAGCTTCTCTGAGCCAGTTCTGCTGCCTACAAAGTAAGGAGAATGTAACCTTTGGCATAGGATTAGCATAGTTAGCACAGTACATGGCACATGTAAAAAATGAGATGTTATAAAATTTTGTAGAGAGAATATTATTTCAGTAGCTTGTAAGTTGTTTTGCATAGTGATCATTTTTGTTATAAGAAAATACTATTTCCTCATCTTTTACTTTTTTCCCTAAGGTGGCAAGTTACAACTGTAGGTTCTCTTTCACATAAGTGATACATATTGAGCATTTTTCTGTTCAGATTTTCTACTAAAATATTGTTCCTAAAGCTGATAAAATCCAAAAGCTGAATCTTTTTCTTGTGTTGAACTTCTATAATGTATCATATTTGAAGCTCTTAAAATTTCAGATAGAAAACCCTTTCTCCTAGTGATTATGATAATAGAAATCTTTGTCTTCCATAATCTAGATCACCACCGAAGAAATTCCACTGGGCTTTCTAATTTTTTCTTTTTGAGTTTCAATATGAGTATCCTTCTTAAAAAAAATAACTCTTCAGCATTTTTAATAAAAACATTTAAATAAATACATAAGACCAAACTACAGTTGAAAATACAATCATAATGGAAGTCTCACTCTACAGACCTGATAGGGAAACCTGACAGGTCTTTCTGCCTTGGTTCATTCTTGACTCCTTTCATAGCAAGAGCAGCAGCCCCGGCTAGAATGTCGTCCAAAAGCAAAGCCAGGTGTTCTCACCCAGTTACCCACCAGGCTCTTGTAAAATTGCCAGGATCAGCAGAAAGCTTGATTTTTTTTTTCTTTTTAGAAAAAAATTTCATGGATAAATGTAATTAAGAATCATGTAAAGTTGATCAAAACCTATTAGGTATTTCTGATAAATAATTTTTTAAATTTGAATAACTTTCTATAGTGCTGCTGTGAACTACTTTACTAGGAGTTCTGATTGTGTTCTCAATATGAGATTTCTGTTTTTGTTTTGTTTTGTTTTGTTTTGTTTTGTTTTGTTTTGTTTTGTTTTTGAGACCGAGTCTCGCTGTGTCACCCAGGCTGGAGTGCAGTGGCACGATCTCGGCTCACCGCAACCTCCGCCTTCTGGGTTCAAGCGATTCTCCTGACTCAGCCTCCCGAGTAGCTGGGATCACAGGCATTCACCACCACACCCAGCTAATTTTTGTATTTTTAGTAGAGATGGGGTTTCACCATGTTGGCCAGGCTGGTCTTGAACTCCTGACCTCAACTGATCCACCCAGCTCGGCCTCCCAAAGTGTTGGGATTACAGGCATGAGCCACTGCGCCCAGCCAAGACATTTCTTTAAGCATCTGCAAAGGCAGAAATTTCAAAATACTGATTTGAAAGGGGAATATTTTACTTCTCTAACTCCACAGCAATGCCCAGGAAATGTCCCACAGACTTCTAATTAATGATAAACCCTTATACCTAGTGATACTTTTGCATCTCTTTTATATCGTTTAGTTTGTTTTAATTTTTTAAAGTCTGTCTGTTAAATCTGGAAACATCTAGAATGTGAGCTAAGCACTAGAGAATCTCATACTGTGGCCCATCTTTGGCTCCCAGTTTCTAATTAAACTCTTTCGAAATGCACTGAAACAGTTCTGGAAGGATTGGGTTTATGCGATATTATTTATATCCTCCATGGCACATCAACTCCAAATCTCTGGAAATACTTTCAGGCAACCTAACATATTATATTTTTGTATAGGTTTGGTCTAAGTTTCCTCTTGTGGGAGAAAAATTTTGAAGACATGTTTCATTGAGATAGCTCAGGATTTCACCACAATTTCATCTAAATCTAGAGTGGGTGGGAGGGGCCATCATTTTTTAAGCCATTAACTGTGTGACTTAAACAGATTTTTTAGAGGTATCAAAATTGACTGTCTTGAGTCTCTCGTGATATACCCTTAACCTTGATCTCTCCTTCTGGCATCTCTTTTATGTGAGGAGTTGTGGGATCTGTCCCCAGAGGTAGAGCTACATCTCAAATCCATTTTTTCTATTTTTCATCCTCCTTTCTGTACTGCCAGGCTTTCCTAGAAAACAAAAGTGGGGTAGAAAGGGAAAATATACACTATACATTTATTAAATCAACAGGCATGATGTTTGGAGACATAAATTTCCTACCCTCAAAAGCTTGCAGTCAGTGTTCCCAAGCTTAACTCCTGAGAAGCCCTGCCACCTCTCCTTCTGATCATCCTGGCAGTTTTTCTAGATTGTCTCTGCTGTTGTTGATGTTCACCTTCAGCCTGATCAGGAGCCACCACCTAATGTATGAGAAGTAGTGTTTGGATCCTGCAGGAAAATGCAGCTTTCTGTGTATTTTGTACCAGGTACTAGATTGAGGACTTTATAGGGACAATCACATTTATACCTGAAACTATTAATTTATATGTTATAAGTAGATACTAGTATGCCCATTTTACAGATAAAGAATCTAGAAGGATAACTGGACCAAGCTCAGGTAGCTCGGCGGCACTGGGGGATACATCTAAGGAATTTGATTCCAGAGTGTGGGAAGCAAATAGGTTTTTCTAGCCTTCATCTACTACATTTGTAAAACAAGAATAATGAAAATGTCCATCTCATTTAGGGGTGGAGTTGTGAGGATTAAATACAACAATACCTGTTAAGTACTTAGAAACAATGCTGGACATCATCATCATTTTTTTTTTTAGTATTATTATTTCTAGAGGAGAGTTCTTCACTGCTGTCCGATGTAACAGATGACTTTGAACAGCCATTCTACTCTTAAATTACTTAAAGTTCTCTACTTAATTTGAGAATATGACCCCAAACCAGCTGTAGGTTTGATTATGGATACCAGTGTTTCACTTCACTTACATATTTTACAGAAAATGAATTGTTAGCCACATTGGATATTAAGTTAACAAGCATTAGAATATATATTTTTCAACACTGTGGTAAAAGAAAACCCTTCATGGAATTGCTAACTTTTTTCTAGCTGAATTTGACATTCTAACACCATGTAAGTTTTGACTATAACTTATAGGACATTCAGGACATAAAGGCTGAAGTTGTCATCTGTACCCTTTTAAGCTCAACTTACATGTATTATGCGGACAGACCTCACTGTTTTGGGAACGGGCCACTGTTGAATGGCTTCTGAAAGAAATCCAGAATAAGCAAGTTATTGACTCAACTCCAGAAAAGAAGGGAAAAAAGAGAATTTGGGCTACTTCAGGTTTTGTTTTGATATGTCCCATGAGTCTCATACAATATATTTTGTATTGCTTTGAAAATAGTTTAGGCAAGTTTTAAACCACACTGAGTTTTCCTCCACTGCCAGCATTGGTGCTTCAGTACTGTGAATTTTCTTTTACCATTAGCAAAGCTGTTTCAGCTTTTTGGCTTGAAATTTTAAGATCAAAGTTTAACTTTGAAGGTGTTAATGTATCCCTATCAGAAGCAAAGATATTTTTTTATAATGTCCTAATGCAAAAAGATTGTTCGAATATTGTCTGGCACACTGCTTACTCCAAGTAGCTCTCAGTAAAGAAAGCCAACTTTGTTACATTTGAAATAAATGGGTTAGTAAAAAGTGTAAACATTACCAAAAAATGAAAATAACATATGAACAAATAATCTGTTCTCCTTTTCCTGGATTTAAGACAGTGTCTGCTGCAAGCCAAAGTACGTGGTTGAAAAAGTTCCATCAAACCCATTGTCTGGGCTCATAGAATTAAATGTGTCCTTTTTTTTTAAACAAAATTCAGCGAGGCTGGCTTGTGCTGAGAACCTTAAGTGAGGTTGTTCACAAATTTATAGTGTGTCTGTTTTGAGAAGTTCTTCCACCCCTCAACCCTGAATATTCTTTGCCTCATTTTTGGCTAAATTTCTGAACTCTTCCAAGAGCTCCCTGAGACCTAGAATTGCAGATAAATGCTTTCTAACTAGTCTGCCCCCTTGCCATTCTCCCCCACAAGTTTGTTGACATTTCTGAGAGGCGCACGCCATGCCTCGTGCCCTCTTTGCATCTCTGCCACCAATACCTTCTGATGAGTCAGCACACGCATAAAATGACAGTTTTTAGGAAACCTACTATGTGCCAGTACGCCTGGTGTATCTGTAATCTGTGCTCCTTTAGAGCTGGTGGTGTTTGTCTCAGTTCCAGATAGAGACTTTGAGTTCCCATGTCTAGCAAGTGCTGGAATCTTAAATGTGAACCTTGATTGCTTGAAGTCCCAAACTGTTTTTGTTTGATTTTGGTTTTAAATAACCGTACCTTCTCCAGTGGCAGCAGTAACTCATTTGCAGAAAGAAATATTCCAGCAGCTATCTCCCAAACTTATTAACTTGTTTCATTTTCATTCTCCATCCAACACTTATCCCCCTTTCCCATTTTCCTACCTCCTTTACCACTCACCACCAGGACCACAGAACCCCTGAAAGAGGGAGACTCTTCTGGAATATGACAATGCCCAAATCTTGTGATTATGGAATTCTGAAAAGACCTCATATTTAATTTTGCTAATACAACTGTACATAAGATGTTATTGACTGTGTGTGTGTGTATATATATGTACGTATATATGTGTGGGGGGGGGTATATGTGCATATATGTGTATGTGTATATATGTGCGTATATATATGTGTGTATATGTGTGTATATATCTATATAAAATAATGGAAATTGTGTGCGTTTGGGATTTGCACTGAGAAAATATGGCAGATCATGATTCTTCTATTTTCTTACATTAATTAATTTAAATTATTTAGAAAATGGGCCCAACATTAGCTTTCTCTGTGGTTCTGGGTAACAATTTCTCACAGGCCCTAGTTGTTACCTTCTCCAAACTGTTGATTTGTAATTTGCTTATTTTGAGAAAGCCAGTTGTGTATTCTGAGCAGCCTCTTCCTGGCTGAATTGAAGGTAATGAGAGAGACTGGATGTCTGCCTACCCAGTTCCTCCCCGCGTGCTTTGCTTCTGCATTCACTGCTGCCACTGGAGAATATTTAATACCAAAGTCAAAATAAGTGTTTAGGAGGCTTTCAGTGGTGGTTTAAAATAATTACCATGGGGGCTTTGGTAAAAGCCTTTATCCAGAAAACTCTTTAAATTATATAATTATATCCCTTATCCCACTCTTCCTTCCTTTCCCTGGATTTGTCTGTCTTTGCTACATGTCCCCACCCCCGTGCTGAAACACAGACTGGACACAGATTCAGCACTTTGCTGCCTCTCTCTGCATTGTACCCTAAGTGAGACTAGATGCCTCGCAAGCACTTATTTGCCTGATGGAACCTATCATAATCCCAAATCTCAAACCTCTGTTGAGGGGCCAAGAGCAATTTACCCAGCACTACAACTTCCTCTTCCTACCTGCCTCCATTTTGTGACCCTTGACCTTTGTCAGATGGCATGACCCTTCTGGGAGATTGGACCACTTCCTCAATTACAGTATTCCATATCTACCCCCGTCCTGGGAAACCTATATTTGTGTATTAGCAAAGCATGGAATTTTTTTTCTCTTTTCCTCTCCCCATTATCTTTAGCAATATATATTGATTAAATGCGTTCGTTGGGCCGCCTTCCTCTAAGCTGTTTGGAGGACCTCTTTGACCATGTGTTTTTAATGACTTCACCTTCTGTCTGCCTTACCCGTTTTGGAAAAATTACTTTATATTGGTTTGATTCTATACACATATGTTTTTCAACATTATGTTCTAGTACAGGCTACGAGTTTGGAAACACCAAAGCTTTTTGATCAAAAACTACATCAAAAAAAAAAAACCAATAAATACAATTTTTTAAAATAAGTTTTGATTTTATAATGTGTCAGGGGGTTGCAGGGGAACCACGTCAAAGAGAGCTAGTGATCCTGACTGGGATGAATACTAAATGGGCCAGTTGTACATAAATGTAGTTTCTCCCTACTCTCAGGCATACGTTCTTTTACTACCACCTGCAGTAGCTGGAGGAGTATTGATATATGTGTTGCGTAGGAGTATATGGAATGCCCAGTGTTCCACTGAATCAATAACACATTGTAGAAAAGCAAGTAATACCCAATGGTTTATCCATATGTTATTATGGGAGCCATAACTCACTCTTTAAGAACGTGCTAACATTGTCCATACTTGATATGGTCATAATGTATTATTAAGAATGTTTCTAGAATGTTCCGTTAATTCATAATTTTAAAGTGTGAACATTTGGAGAGTGTAAGAGTAGAGACAGAATGAAACATGATTTGACCATAAATTTGTAAATACCTCACGTCTTAAATGATGATGAGGTGGAGCCTCAAACCACCAAAACAGCTAATAAAATATGTGTTAGTTTAAGATTCTTATATATATCCTCTTATTTGACATTTTAAATTAATTTATAGTAGATTTTAAAAGGTAGAGCCTTAGCAAACTAAAGTAAGGTGCTGGTGGTGTTTTTGTTTTTTACTCCCAGTAAACATTTATTTCTCTGCTTTAAAAACAAAACCTAAGAATGAACTCAGTGGTGTTGTGTCTGAAGAACATGTCAGCAAAACAAACCCTGGGTGTCGTCTTTATAATTAATTATTTTAAACCAAATACATACATTGATGTGGTCACCTATGCAGAACTATACAGATAATAAAAGAGAAATGCCACATCAGTTTATAACTTTCCAATTATTTTCAGTTAAGAATTCTATCAGGTTGGAGACAGAAATTAAGAGAGAAAATCAGTGGTTAGTTATATAAATATTTGTCCTCCTACCATGTACCAAGAGCTATATGTCACATGAGACTAGATAATGCCATCTTTCCTAGATTGAGAAGACAGGTTTCCAGAAGTAGCTGATAGTATTGAATGTTGGCAGTCAAAAGGTAAATTGAAATAAAATTGCCATTGGGAGATTTCATAAGAAAACTTAAAATTATCCCAGTCACATGAGATGGAGTCTCACTCTGTCGCCCAGTCTGGAGTGCAGTGGCGTGATCTCGGCTCACTGCAACCTTCACCTCCCAGGTTCAAGCGATTCTCGTGCCTTAGCTTCCCAAGTAGCTGGGATTACAGGCACCTGTCATGTCATATCCAGTTAATTTTTGTATTTTTAGTACAGACAGAGTTTCACCATATTGGCCAGGCTGGTGTCGAACTCCTGACCTCAGGTGATCCACCCGCCTCGGCCTCCCAAAGTGCTGGGATTACAGACATGAGCCACCAAGCCTGACCTCTTTTTTTTTTTTTTTTTTTTTTTTTTGTGGCATGATCTTGGCTCACTGCAACCTCTGCCTCCTGGGTTCAAGAAATTCTCCTGCCTCAGCCTCCTGAGTAGCTGGGATTACAGACATGTGCCACCACACCCGGCTAATTTTTTTGTTTTAGTAGAGAAGGGGTTTCACCATGTTGGCCAGGCTGGTCTCAAACTCCTGACCTCAAGTGATCTGCCTTCCTCGGCCTCCCAAAGTATTGGGATTACAGGTGGGAGCCACCGGACCTGGCGCGTTTCGTGTTAGTACCTTTGTTAGACCTGATACCAGAGGAAGGGCAGAACTAACCTTTCCTGGATGTCACTTCATGCCAGGCACTGGACAGGGCACTTTATTCACAAATAAAGGAGTTAGCACATCTTATCACTATAATCTCTCTACAAAATAGATAGTAACCCAATCTTATGAATGAGAAAAATGTGATTCAGAGAAGTTAAGTCACCTGCCTGAGGAAAGACAGCCAGTACGCGGCAGAGCAAGGATTCGGAGGAAACCTTTCCAATACCACACAGTTGGCCTTCTAGAGTCAGTCAAACCAAAAAAATTACATTAAATCATGAGGAGGTACATTGAAATACATACATAACTCTGGCGAAGAGTTTATGATAGGCCATGAAATGAATTTACCCATAATACTTTTTGATATGTGTGATATAATCCTTTGTAGAACTCTAAGCTCACGTAGCTGCCCAAGATCCAAAAGGGTTTTGGAGTTCTTGCTGTCTTAAGTAAGTGGTTGAAACTATTTATTATTTCCTGTTTAACTTTTATCATTCATTAGGGAATTTTTTTCAAAATAACATTTAATTTTCCCTTTTCCAAGAAGGTGAATAATGTTTGATTAGTTTATCTTTACCATACTGTACATCCACCTGAAGTTGACGAAAACCTGGAGTTCTGAGCCATAGGGTATGTTTCGACCTTTGGAACTTAGTTCTTTACAGTGTGACGTCATTTTATTTTCAAATGTTATCAGTGTCCAGAGCCATTGTATGCACCCTCACGGGCCAGCCTGGACTTTCTCACATCTCACTTTTTTATGACTGCACGTTTGTATGATACAGGCAGACCACTGCTTTCTCTACACTCTGGTAATTCGCATGTGTCTGCTGACCAGCTATGAAGAGTTGTGTCACAGTGGCTCTGCCTCCAGTTACCTCGTTTCAGTAGAGTCACCATCTTTGTTCAGCAAGATTTCTGAAGGTGTTTTAATAACATTCTGTTGCATTTTTTCCTTTCTAAGGAAGGGAAGTAAAAACAGAAACTTGTGTTGCTGATACTGTAGAGGGAAGCACAGGCTTCCTGAACTTATGTTCATTCTGACAAAGGTGAAAGTTGTATATCTTCCAAAAGTGATTTGTTGTTAGTTCCGATCATATGCTTATTTGTTTAACTGGTGGTGAACTCATGAAGAAAAATAACAAATCCAAGAATAACGAAATTGTCTTAGTTCATTCAGGCTAACAAAAGTACCATAGACTGTGGGGCTTAAACACCAAGTCTGTTTCCCACATTTCTGGAGACCAAGGAATTCAAGATCAAGGTGGCAGCAGATTTGGTGTCTCTTGAGAGCCTTCTTCCTGGTTCATAGACAGTGTCTTCTTGTGTCTGTGCATGATGGAAGAAGAAGGGAGCCCTCCAGAAATGCTTTAAGGACCCTAATCCCATTCATGAGGTCTCCACCCTCACGACCTAATCACTTCCAAAGACCCTACCTCTTAACGCCATCAAAATAGGAGTTAGGATTTCAACATATGAATTTTGGTGGGATACAGACCCTCATTCCATAATAGAAATACATTATTAAATGATGTATCTGAAACTCAAAGTATAATGCAGAATTTTGATTTTTTTTTCCTTTCTGGGAATAGAATCCTCCTTGTAACATAAGTTTATCATTTGACCTGCACACATTTAACAGATTCCTAAGAATAAGTATAGATGCTGGATACTTGTTTTTGTTTGGACCTAAATGCCAAAGTATACTTTAGATAAGTATAGACAGGCTTTTTCCTTTTACTTTTTTGTTTGGGGTTAGTCTTACTGATAGACACCCTCTGGGACATATATGAGAGAGCACATGTTATTTACTGAAGCCACAAATAAGTAATTGCAGCCTCAGAGCAAGATCTGGAAGCCACTACCATTAGCTGCTTCATGTCGGACTATTTACCCATAATTTTCACCTCGTCTCTGCTCTGTGAACCCCTGGCTAACGAGTCATGGAGTCAAATTCTAGAGGCTATGCTTTTCCTTTCCTTAGGGATGTTTCCACATTCTCTACTAGGGTGTTGCTTGGATTTGTTCCTGAGTAATACTGTCTTTCCTGTAAACCTCGGCTAGAAAGCTGAAAAGGACCATTTTTATGCAGGTGCTTTCTGCAGCATTACTTTAGGGGCCATCAAAAACACAGTCCTTAGGTGGCCTCACATGTTCTTTGCACATCTGGCCTGTGGGTTCGTTAGCTTGTTCCAAGCAGAGTTTTGCCAAAATGAAAATGACAACTTGCATGCTATGATACTTTCCAAACAAATCAGGGCTTTTAATTTATTTCACTATGAAACTGTGTCAGATTTCATTGTCTAGGGCACCCTCACATCTCACTTTTTTATGACTGCACGTTTATGATATAGGCCTGTTTTTTTATCAAGGGTTTTTATCAAGGGTTTCCTCAATATTAATGAAAAAGATTGCCATAAAGCTGCTAGTCTCTAATTTCTCAAAGATTGCTGTTACATTATTTTATTAGAGTTTATTATATGAACATATTACCTGTTTGGGAAGGTTATATCTTAATGATTCAAAGTGAGGAATTCTACTTGGCCTCATTATCTGCCAAGCATGTTTCTTTATTTTTATTTCCCAAGCATGTTTCTTGTAAACCAAATAAATATTATTTCTCCTTGGCCCACTGTTTTACAACCAAGGTTGATGACTAAGTAGCTGATCTAAATATACATTGTATTACATTCACTAGACAATTTAAAATATTTGAGGCCAAAGTAGATACTAGATCATGACTACCTCTTTTTCATTTTCTCTATGAGATAAGCACATTAGCATTTTCTTTATTCTAAATCAGAGTATTTAAGAGTATACAGGAGTTTTACAGGCAGCAGACAACAATCCTTAAAATGGTCACACAAGAAAACCACTTTAACTTCCTATAAGATATTCTCCAATCATTAATAATTTGGTTATTCTGTTATTACCTTTTCATCAAAGACCTCTGTTCCAAAGGGAATATAGACATATAAATAGATAAGCTACTCAACATCATGCTACCTTGTATAAGTATACTGTAAATGAAGTATTTCAGGGATCCAAAAGATAGAGGTATTGATGTCACCTGGAGGACTCAGGGAAAGTAGGGTCAAGGGAATGTGTCTTGGTTTATTTGTTCATTATTTTTAGAATAAGAAAATTGTGACCTTTTAGGTAGGCTTAAAGGAAAAGGAAATAGTGCCAATGGGGAGAATGAAGATGCAAAGAGAAGTGAAAGAAACAAAAGGTGAGAAGGCAGGTGTTACCCCAGCTCAAGAACTAGAGGGGATTAGGTAAAGGGAAGTTTTGAGGTTAAGGAAGGAAAGTTGAGGGAATTCTTTCTGCTATAAATGTATAAATGTTCTCAGTAAAACAGGCCGATGTTTGCCGAAGTGACAGGGGCCAAATTTGGACTCTTGAGGAGAGAAGAAAAGGTCTGGAGTAGCCTCTGGGAAACATGGAATCCACTAGACATGGATAAAAGACTAGACCAGCAGTGATGAGCAGCCACATAAGAAGAGGGAGCTGGAGTAGATCCTGCCCTCGCAGTGAGGTGGCTTTTTCCTTTCTGTGTTAACGAGACAGAACCTAGAGGTTGTGTTGGGTGTGGCCTAAATGGTGAATTTGCAAGGCAAGAAAGCATAGTAGGAGGTTCAGGCTAAGGGCTTCCAGTGAGCACTGGGCTCTGTCTGTGTGGTGCTGTGGGTATGGGAAGAGCAGAGCAGAATGGTTGTCCAGAATGACCACACAGGCTGCAGGTCAGGGAAGGGGCACGAGAATCTCACTTTCCACTGTGGCTCCCTCCCTTGCCTGGCTGAGTGTTTGAACCCCAGCCTTTCCTCTTACCTGTCCATCTCCCCAGATTGCCTTTACCTTGCAATGTCTCTGATGCTCCTGGACTTTCAGCCCACGAGTGAAAATATGCAGAACAAGGAAATAGAGATCTTTTATTTCATTGAGCCTGTGGTCTTTGATCCTTTTTCTGATTTAGCTTCTCATTGCTATATTTTCACTTTTACAAGTCACTAAGTTTCAATATTTAAAAATTTCCCCCTTCAGTAGCCAAAAAAACAAAACAACAGCTAATATAGTAATAAATTTATCCTTAGCTACAGGAGATAAGCTTCAATGCAATGCAGCCATAAAGTATGGCTCCTGGACTTAGGGGAGAAGCAATAAAGTTTCATAAATAAAAGAATTTGAAAATACTCCCGGCAGTAAATAAGGATAAAATATAACTTGTAACTGGCAGCACACAGCTAACAACAGAGCTTACAAAAGAAAACTATAAACTAAAATGAGAAAATGTTTGCAGCTTTTTTTGTTGTTGTTACCTTGCACCCTAGGTGGGCTGACGAGTGAATTCACTGTGAGAAGTTTTTGACTCACCTTCTGAAATGTTATTTCTATCACATCTCTTGACACCTTCTGATTTGCCAGAGATCTGTGATAGTCACCAACAAAACCTAGGGATACTGATGTCACGAATTTAGAGAATTTTCAATAAATTTTAAGGTGTTAGAGAATGCCTTATAAAGGAGGGAGAGCGGGGACCACAGGACTGCATACCCTATGTTGGTTCATGAGGGCGTTTCACAGTTCTGGGGTTTACTTGACTTTCGGTCTTGTTTTGCAGCTGAGCTTTCAAGAAATTCGAAGTCCTCCTGAGGTCCGTCTCAGGTTTCATTTCAGGTTTTCAGCTCAGAAATCACTTGGGCAATAGCTTAAAAGAAAATACAGAGGCTTTTTAGTGAGCAATGCCTTTGTTTGAAAGTCTGTTAAAGTAATGGATTATTTGTTCCCTGGAAAATTAGGGAGCAAAGAGAAGACCTCTCTCTGTGTGTGTCTCTCTCTTACTCTCTCTCTTTCTCTAATCAGAAGTGATAATAAAGGGGGAAATGGAGCATTGCCAACGGGATGAAATCAGAATTTATCAATGCTCTCATTCAATAAATATGTATTTCATGAGCATCTGTAATTGCAGACACTGCCTTTGTTGCTGGGAAACAGGTTTAACGCGGTCTTTCCTGTCAAGAAACTCAGGGTTTTGCTGCAGTAGAATGAGTTACACTTGGTAGCGTGGACTGAACCTGGGAGGGCTTACAGGGTAAGCTTGGTTTTTGAAGGCAGCAGATGATCCTCTGGAGAGGAGGACATTCCAGGAAGAGGGAAACAAAAGAAACCAAGATTGTGAAGGGCACTGGGAAGGAAAGTTAGGCTCAGAATGTAGGAAGCCTTACATGCCATTTTAAGGAGTTTAGACTTTATTGTGTCAGCTGTAGAAAGCCCTAGAAAATTTTTAAAGCAAGAAGAGACAAGATTTGTGTTTTAAATTTGTTTTATAAAGAGATGTCTCTGTTGGTGGTAAAGACAAGATGAGAGACAGATGATGAGGGCTCAAGGGAAGCAACAGAGGGACTGGTGTGGGCATTCCATTTCTAACTTGCTGCGCCTGGTACTGTCTGAAGTTTGGTTTGTTGTTTTTTTTTTTGCTGGATTGCATAGAAAAAGACAGGCTACCGCAGAAATTTCATTCTCACTTTGATGTCACTACTTAATAGCCACATATTTTTAAGCAAGGAACTGAAACACTCTCATCTGCAGAATGGAGATAACAGTAGTGCCTCCTGCTCAGGATGGTAGCAAGTGTTAACTTAAATGCTGCATCTCTGTGTTGCATCTCAGAACTGTGCTTAGTGTGTAGTATGTGCTAAATATTTTGTATCAGTTCATTGACTTATTTGTTCATTTAATCTATATGAATTTGCTGTTAAGATAATCCAGGGGATATCTATTATAGATTGTCATTAGTAAATTTTGCTTGTGGAATTTATTACCAACATTTTTCACTTCTTTAAGTCCTCTTGGGCCAAAAATTTCCAGCAGGAAACAGGAGGGTGAGGCTTGTAAATTAAAACAGCTACTCTCCCCCCATCCCTGATGTAAAGTGTGAACAGAAAATTTTGCAAAGAATGCTGCTATATGGTGGTCCTTTGTGTCACTGTGTGTAATGGGGAACAGGGCAACTGTTAAGTGAAGCTTCAGCATTAGGAAAGTTGGGCAGTCTTTCTTTATAGTACAACTTGGTTCTATTATTTTGGTAAAAGGATTCTGATATTCCAGAACATAGTGTGAACCGCATTTGCATACAAATGTAAAAACACTTTCAAAAATCCCCAACATAAAATTTTAATTACCTATGCCTTTGCTTCTCTGTGAAATAACTACAAAATGACCATATATATATAAAACGACATGCTTAAATTGGAACAATAATTGTAAATCCCATGAACATAATAAAAATTGTTATATAAGTGTACTGTATTTTTATTGTAGGTATATTTTATTATATAAATATGTATATTTGTATTTATTTTATAAATAACTGTAGGCTTAGCACTCAGAACAGAAATCTGATAGGAGGGGAATTACTCATTATATTTCCTTGTGCCAGGCCAGTGTTGTGTTTCTTCACCACGGTAGGGCTCTTGTGAAATAGGAAATTGGCTCCATTAGGTTATAGGAAGAATCTATAGGATGTGGGGAGAAAAACTAAATGTATTGAAACTTTATCCCTTTGAAGAGCTGGGAAAGCAGTTCTTGACAAAGGGAGACAAATAGTTGAGGTGAACAAAGCTGTCTTGACACTAAAGGCTTTTATTGTCCCTGAAAGTGAACTCTTCATTGATAGAAGGCGTTCTTTTATTTGATCCATCAAGATTACCAAGTCACAGGTCACCATCCCCAACTAAATACAACATCATGAAATCATGATTAAAATTACAAAAGCCAGTTCATAAAAGAGGCAAGAGTTTACAGATTGTGCATTTCCTCCTCTTAGTTACTAGGAGTTAAATTCAATAGCATTGAGGATTTTTGAAAGAATGCCTGTAAATTATTTAAATTACAGTTTGCTTAATGAAATGATACATTCTGAGAAACATGACATTAGGCAATTTTGTCATTGTATGAACATCATAGAGGGTACTTGCACAAACCTAGATGGCATAGCCTATTCCAGACTCAGGCTACACAAGATAGCCTATTGCTCCTAGGCTACAAGCCCTTATAGCCTGTTATTGTACTGAATACTGTAGGCGGTTGTAACACAGTGGTATTTGTATATCTAAACACAGAAAAGGCACAGTAAAAATATGGTCTCACAATCTTATGGGCCCACCATGGGATATTCAGTCTGTTGACCAAAACATAGTTAAGTGATGCATATATTCCCCAACTTCTTCCCTTCATTCATGGAGTAGCAACTTTGACTAGCTCATAAATTAACACGATTTTTAACAAAAGAATTTACTGAAAATATGTTTGCCGTATTGTGATTGCATGGTCGTGTAAAAAGTAAAGTAGAGGTTCCTCTTCAAAGACTTTCCTCCCCGTCTAATTAGGAATAAATAGTAATTTCTCTTAAAAGCAAAATTTATTCAAAGACCTGTGCTAGCCATAATAAAGAAATCAATGTACTTTATGTTCCTAGCTCCCACAATTTAGCCTAAATATTTGCCCCGACATGCTTATACTGGTCCAAGCAAGATTAGGTCATAGCCTGTTCCTCTTCCTTATTTAAAAGTGTTTTTACCTTTCTCAGCATTCCACAAGTTACTTCCGCCTTCCTTTGTTCTCCTTTACCTTTGCCTCTTTTAAAAGGTTCTAAGTTGCTAGCCAATCGGGACAAATACAGAATGTGAGGTCCCATTCCAGCCAATGGAAACCGGACACAGCGGTGGGGTGAACGCGTCAGGTTATAAATGACCCTGTCTCCTTTGTTCAGTGTACTCTCGTGGCAAAACTGCTGGCGAGTGTACCCTTTCTGCAAAAAGTAAAAATGGCCTTACTAAATAAATTAAATTTATGTTCAAGTGCTATTTCTTTACAGCACCGGGGAACAAGCATTTCAAACAATGATGGTTAGAATAATGAGCAAAGACTACAGAATCACCTGAGAAACAGGTGACTTATAGTCTAGTCCCAACCCTGCTAGGAACAGATGTGTGACTTCAATCAAGTAACTAACTTTTTCTGATAACAATTGTGCAGGCTCCTGAGGGGCTAGTAAGAATCAAATGACTGAAAGTATGTGAAAGCAATTTGAAACATAAAAAGCACTAAAAATAACTAAATGTAGTTGCCAAATATCCTTAAGGCATCCTAGTAGAACAAATGGGAGTAAATGTTGATGGCATTTTTGCTTGTTTAATATTCCAGGGAACAAGGGAAACTCTCAGTCGTCACTGTACTACCCTTGGTGATGCTCTCCGGAAAGAGAATGATTTTGCTCTTATAATTGATGGGAAAACCCTCAAATATGCCTTAACCTTTGGAGTACGACAGTATTTCCTGGACTTAGCTTTGTCATGCAAAGCTGTCATTTGCTGTCGGTAAGTTCTCCTTATCATTGTCAGATTTTAGTAAAGAATGACTTGATCTAAGTTCTTGATTTATAAACGTCAATGAAAGTAATCCAGAGTTTACAAAAGTTAGGTTACTTACTAATGTGTTCACTCAAGACTTGAGGTTCACAAACTGGGATGGAATTTGTTAGTTTTAAAAAGTGAGTCCTAACAATCATTAACAAGTATTTTTCCTCATTTGAATCGACAGGTTTCTTGCCATTATCTTTGTTTAAAATTCATTATCTACCTGCATTTCCACCTAGGTCCTTTCTTTAAAGGTCCTGTTGTCTATATTTAAATCTTTGATCCAGCTGCTAAGACTTATTTTGGGGGAATAGCATGATGAAAGATGCAAACTGAATCATTTTCCAAATAGCTGGGCATTTTTCTGAGAGGTATTTATTGACTATACATTCCTTTGCCCTCTAATTTATAAAATTGCCTATATCCTAAATTAAAATCTCTTTTGAGTTATCAAGGCCTAATTCATAGAAAGGCATTTTTGTAAACGACATAGCTCCAGTCCTTCCTGAGTTTCTTGTCAAGGAATCTTCCCCATATTTACGTATAAATTGTTTAAACTCCGTCTTCCTAAGACCTAAAGTAGGTTCATGAATATGATGAATATGCCCAGTCTCCTCTTTTGTGATCACCATGAAAACTAAGGATTTCCCCTTTGTCATTCACTATTGAATCTTAGGAGTTGATCAGTCTAGATCCTGGGTAGCAATTTCTCAAATTGCCTTCTCTTCCTGGGACATAAAATGTTAGCAGAGATTCTGAAAGATTTCTCAGTATCTGTGCTTTTGGTATTATCTTTAAAACTATTCTATGTGCTTTTATCGTTTTCTTTAAAAAGACATTTACTAATAAAGTTATGCTTTTTATACCTCTTTTGTCTGGGTTTATTCACTTAAATATTTTGTATATGGTATTATTTATGAATTATAAGCTATACCTTATAGACATTTCCTAAATTTCAGTTGAGACATACTTTCTGAAATATAATTTAAACTATTCTCAATATCCTTTATAAGCATCATTTTAGCCTATAAAATTATACCATATTCAGAGAATTAAGAGTTGCTTATCTTTCCCAGGAGTCTAATTATTTTAGTCATATAATTTCTTTTTCTTTTCTGTGGTATGTATTAACAAATAATATTACTATAAAGTTCTTGGACAATATATTGTACAGATGTTTAATATTAGTCATCCGGCTCTTTGCTTAATCATAAAGAGACTGGAAATTATTTTGACTCATTTTTACTTTGGTATTCTCATGCTTTTTAAAATTTACTTTTACAGTGATTTTGCTGGATTCCTTGCAAATGTCTTGACTAAGTGTGACTAATGTTCAACTTTGACACTTTTCATCAGAATAATGTGGCAGATTTGGTCACTTAATCACTTTAACTAATGGGATCATAAGGATCAACAAAAGATTGCTCAAAAGCACAAGTGTTATGATTGCTGGCTCCTAGTTGGAAACAACATGAAACAGAATACAGAAGTATTAAGATAAAATGGCCAGTTCCCTAGAGTCATCTGTTATGTGCCTACTTTGTGTGTGCTGGGCGCAGTGCGACACATAAAAGATGAGTAACACTTGATACCTGCTCTCCTTCATGTATCTTTCTTTCTAAGTCAAATCACAGTTTGGTTGGAAAGATGTGGGAGGCCAATTTTCATATTGCAGTGATTGCAGCTGAGCCTCATTCTTAAAGCATTGCTTAACACAGTACCTCCCACCATTCTTCAAAAAGTCGAACCACAAAATTAAACAATAGCAGAGGGAGAGAAAAAACTAGAAAGCAGAGTCAAGGGAGAAAAAATATGTTCTGTGCTTGTGAAATTCCCTCCCGAAATCCTTGTTCTGGATGCTCACAAGTCACATGGACCTCTGGGCTTCTCCAGGCACCAGGTCCCTAGAAGGGAATCACACCCTGCCGTGCACGTGCGGCTCAGCTCTGAAACTGAGCTTATAAAGATGTGTGTGGCCCCTTCCTCCCTCGGTTCTGTTTTATGCATGTTTCAAGACCATGAGGTCCCTACGCAGACACTGAGTTTTATTTCCAGTTTTAAGGTTTTTTTTTTTTTTTTCTTAAGTCACATATCTTTCCTCAGCTTTTTTCTTCTAACTACCTTCATACTCTCTCTTTTCCCATAAGGACTGTGGTTCAGCTTCTGGCATGTTTGAGAATTGGTCTAAGCCCATAATTACATCAGTGCCACTGCCGGATTTATGTCTGTGCACCTTCTTGGCCTGGTGCCTCTTGGCATTTAAACTATTGGCACAGACCATCTTCTTGTCATTTTGCTTACTGACCTCAGAATATAATTTCCATGATAATGCTTCTATCCCTGGATAGGAATAGGTGGGCCATTCTGTGTATCATTCTTTCCAATTAAACCCAAGTGTCACTCCTCGTTTCTCAGATGATTACAATCTCCCGGCCTCAGGAAATTCTCTATTTTACTCCATTAGAAGATAGACGCTCCAGATAAATACTGATTATTATTTCTAAATACAGTTTGGTACTGTTTCCCAAATTCGTTTATGTTCATACTGGCTTTATGGGCTTTTCTCTCAAATTTAAACTATTTTCCAATCTACTGCTTGTCATTCCACACACATGCAGATAATTCAGAATCTGATCTTCCTCTGCAGTCTTCTCTTTAGCCCTAGGTGGAGTGGAAGTAGAGGGGAAAGCCTTCCTATAACAGATAATGAGTCTCCATGTTAGTTCCATCATCAGGATTGCATCAGCCACTTTCTTCCCAGATACTATCAGCATACAGGGCAGAATGAGGCAGATTTTAGTGTTTGCCTCATTGACACAGTTATAAAGATGAGTGTTGTCCCTCCAGAGTCTTCAGCTGAATTGAAAGAAACAGTTGTTCCCAGGCAGCAGACATTATGTCTCTCTCACCACTGTTTTCTGAAGGAAATTTTCAGAGACAGAACTAATCCCCCCACCCCAAATTTATTCAGGGCTCTGGAGTCCTGGTGGTTTTGGTTTCTAAAGTATAGGTTGAATGTTGTGCCTCAAATATTTTTCTTAAGTATATAAAACCCAAGAAGTGGAATGAAACCTGTTTGTATCAGTCTAACAGCACTGTATTTTCTTTTCTTTTTTTTTTTTGTTTGTTTGTTTGTTTGTTTTTTTGTTTTTGGAGACAGAATCTCACTCTGTCACCCAGGGTGGAGAGTGCAGTGGCGCGATCTCAGCTCACTGCAACCCCCACCTCCTGGGTTCAAGCGATTCTTGTGCCTCAGCTCCCGAGTAGCTGGAATTACAGGCATGTACCACCATGCCCAGCTAATTTTTTGTATTTTTAGTAGAGCCTGGCTTTTGCCACGTTGCCCAGGTTGATCTCAAACTCCTGAGTTCAGGCAGTCCACACACTCGGCCTCCCAAAGTGCTGGGATTACAGACATGAGCCACCGCACCTGGCCAACTACTGTTCTTTCATAGATACTGTGCAGCTTCTGTTTTTAACATTGTGAGTATTTACCTGCATAACCTGAATGCATCTAATTTATAGATAGTTTCTGATTCATTTTCCCAGTTATAAACTGCTCCTTTATGGTTCTTCTTCCCCTCTACTCCCTCACACAAGTCCACTGATTCTCATGATTTGGTGTGATCACGGATACTTTTGGAGAATAAATGAAAGTTATAGACCATTCCTTCCAGAAGAAGTACACATGCACACAAACATGTAAAATTTCATGAAGCCCTTCAGGGGTTTTACAGACTCACTGAAACTCCTTGGAGAGGTAGACGTAGGGAAAAAAGCTTGTTCTAAGACTCATGGAGATTTATGGATACAGCTGAAATCAAGCACTATCCCAGGGAGTAACTGTACTAAATAAGTAATTCTTAGTCTCAGGGACCAGTGCTTTATGCCCCCTGGTCCTACAGTCTGTATAATTGGTATAAAAGCATTTTATCTAGAGATTCACAGAATGCTTGTTCTAGCTCTACTGATTTGGCAGTTTGGGTATCTGATGGAATCTCTCTGGCCTTGGTTTTGTGACCTACAAAATGAAGAGATTGGAATATCAGTGATTCCTATCTTCCAGGGAACCCAGATATAGGAAGCAAATAAAAGTGGACCAGCTTCGTCATAGCAGGGTGGGAAATACACACATGCCCCCTTCCTGGGTTATCTTGTCCTGGTTGGAAAGCTGCTGGGCCAGAGGACCTCTCATAGCCCTTTTAGGTTGTGGATGGACCTTCCTTCTGTTGGCCACTCTGCTGGGAACAGTCTTTCTACTGCTGGGATCAGCTTAATTTGGGGAAGCATCTGTTCTACCTCTTTTAATATTCCCTCCAGAAGAGAGTGGGAATGTTGCAGTGAAGTATTACTGTGTGTTAAATAGCATGTGGTTTCTGAGGTCCTCATCAGTTCACATAACCCAGCCTTTCAAAGAATTTTACATTTTTCTGTAGTTGTCAGTTTAGTTTAAACATATTTTGAAACTTATGTTCTGTGACAGTTGGTTGAAAATTGGCTTAGAGCCTCCAGCTTTTAGACTGTCTAGTAATCATCGTTCTACATAATTTATGTACTCATGTCTTCTGAAAAGCAAAAGTTAAATTGAAGTAAGCATTTTTTCCTACTTGCAACATCTCTAATCAAAGTTTAACCCCCTTTTAGGCCATTTTCCTCATAGTGTATAAAAAAACACTTGACTTCAGTGAGTGTTGTCATTTGGGAGTGGCATTCCAGGCAAAACCTTTCACCTTACTCCTATCAAGGGGTCCTGCAAGAAGTCTAAAGGGACACTGAATATTTGCTGTCATAGCATGAGTGCATTAAATAAAGGCACATCTACTTCTTAAATCTTTAGAGATTGTCTTTAGCTTTAAGAATTTCTCTAAATATATGTTCTACTTAAAAAGTAGTCATAAAGCACAAATGAAGCTAATAAATGCTCAACAGACATTCCTTTAAGGAAAAAAATTTGTGAACACCATTGGATGCCAAGCAGATGTTTGGCTTTGAAAAGACTTTTACAAACTGTTAATGAATGTCAACCCTATATTTGCTTCCAAGAAAATATGAATAAATGTTGGAAATGTTGAGAGAATATTTCTTTCATACGTGTACAGCTAAAAGAGGACACACTGAATACACTTTATAACTTCATAAAATGCCAATAGTTTGCTTTAACATAATAATCATCTGCTCAGCCCTGTCCATCTCCTTTGCTATTCCACCTTGACTGAGTAGTATTAAAGGAACTGCAATGGCTATATTACAGCCTATTAGCCAATTATGATGACCACCACCAGGTAAGTCTATATTTGACAATAAAATGTCTAAAAATATATAAGAAATCTAAATGCTACAGAAGCCTACTGTAATTCAACATTTTACAGTTTTAGGTGTGACTCCTTTTAGGTAAACCATCATCACCATTGCCACCATCACCAGTACACACACACACACACACACACACACACACACACAAGCAGAACTGCAGATTACATAATTCTAATGAGGTAGGTAACACGTAATGGAGAGTACATAAAGTATAAATGCACCCGCTTGGGATTTTCGCAAAGTGCACACACTCCTGTGACAAGCACCCAAGCAGGACCAGCCCCCAAGAAGCCCCTCATGCTCCCTTTAGTTGAGGAGCCTCCCAAAGATAACTGCTACCTTGATTTCCATCACCATCCCTCTTATTCATTTTACTGTTTTGTTTCATACTAACTTTGAATAAACATATATACCTTCCACAACCACATCCAAATTCTTGATGACTCTTTTCTGTTCCACAAATTTTAAATGCAGTGCTCTGTAGCTTTCTACTGAAGGCCTCCCCAAAGCTTTACAAAATCAGTCATCAGTACATCAGCACTCTCCTCTGTTCTTCAGTGAAATACAAATCTGCCTAATGGATTGCTTACGGTTCTCTGACAGTTCTGATTTGCTAAGAACATGATGTGTGGAACCTATGGCATTTCTCTGACCTGTCAGCCTACTGACCTCATTGTGTGGGAAAGGGAAGCAGAGTTAGCTTTGTGTAACTGGTTCTCCCTGAACCCATGATGGTTTCCAGTGATTACTTCCTTTTCAGTAAACGGATCTGAGCCATTTTGACTTAGGACAAGTTAAAGAAGGGCTTGGTGTTTTGAGCAAGGTGGGGCATATATTTTCTGTGCAGGGACAGATAGTAAGTATCTGTAGGCTTTGCAGGCCATGCAGCTTTCTCCCTTACAGCTACTCAACTCTGCAGTTGTAGCATGAAAGCAGCTCTAGATGATTTGTGAATGAATGGGTGTGGCCATGTTCCAATAAGACTATAAGTAACAAAAACCACTGCTGCTTAAATTTAGCCCTGGGGCCATAATAAAGTGTCTGTAGCTCATGAATGAACATGGAAGGAGGTAGTTAAAACAGAACTTTCCTGCAATACTGATGGAATTCATGCTAAGCTCTCCTAGTCTCTCCAAGGAGAGTAATTTCTAGACTGTTCCTTTCTTTTCTCAAAAATTGAAACATTTCCTCATCTCTCCTCACTGGCTTTCTCCACAATTCCTTGAAAAAATGGACATTCTTTTTATGGTGCCAGCTGCACAATCTGGTGGCTCCATTAAACTTATCCATGCCATCAGAACCAAGAAAATCCCTAAAAATAAGGACATGAATTTGTTTTACAATGAGGTGTCAATACATACTTACACATAGCAGCAGGACAGAAAGGAAGAACCCAGGGCCATAAATATCTGACCCTGCTCGGTCACTGCGGTGCCTTCCCTCTGTTCTAGGAAAACCCCCAGCAAGGTGCTAGAGGACATGCTAGCAAAAGAATGAGGAAGATTTGCAAGCTAGCCATCTCCCTAGAGTCTTGAACTAAAGCAAGTGGCTCTTTGATTTTTTTATGTGGTTTTTTTTTTGTGTGTGTATTCCCCTTATCCCCAGTCCCATTCTATTTCACCTTAGAAAAAATATTCTCAAGTGTTTCATATGTTCCCATCCATTTGCTGTACTTTAGTTGTATATATGTGATTCTGTGAAAAATATCTATCATATGTGTATTGAATTGAAGAAAAGCTTTGTGTTTATAATGACACTCCAGTAAATAATTTTTTTTGAGATGGAGTCTCTGTCACCCAGGCTGGACTGCAGTGGTGCAGTCTTGGCTCACTGCAACCTCTACGTACGCCATCCCCCAGCCCCAGACTCAAGTGATCCTCCTACCTCAGCCTCCCAAGTAGCTGGGACCACAGATGCGTGCCACCACACCCAGCTAAGTTTTTGTATTTTCAGTAGAGATGGGGTTTTATCATGTTGCCCAGGCTGGTCTCAAACTCCTGAGCTCAAGGGATCCACCTGCCTCAGTCTCCCAAAGGGCTGGGATTACAGGCATGAGCCGCCCGCCAAAAAAATTTTTTACCTTTATTTTTCTACATGTTTTTGAGACATATCCATGTCACTATATGTAGAACGAATTTATTTTTTGTTTGTTTTTGTTTTTGAGAAGGTAGAGTCTTGCTCTGTTGCCCAGGCTGGAGTGCAGCCTGATCTTAGCTCACCGAAGCTTCGACCTCCAAGGCTCAAGCTGTCCTCTCACATCAGCCTCCTGAGTAGCTGGGATAACAGGCCTGCGCCACTACTCCCAGCTAATTTTTAAACTTTTTTTTTTTTTTTTTTAGAGACAGGGTCTGCCTTTGTTGCCCAGGCTGTTCTCAAACTCCTGGGCTCAAGTGATCCTCCCACCTAGACCTCCCAAAGTGCAGTGATTACAGGCGTGAGCCACTGCGCCTAGCCAAGTTTGTTTATTCTTATCACTGCTTGTTATTACACTAATGCATATACATCATTTTATTTATCTCTTCTCATAGGGATACCACAGAGGTTTCCTCCAAATCTTTGCTACAATGAAAAGTACTGCAATCTATATCCTCTGTATGCCCCCAGGCAAGAGTTTTTCTAGGAGAAAACTCTTACATGGGGAGAGAGAGAAAGAGAGGGGGATGGGTATGGGATTGCTTGGCTGTGGCGTATATGTATAATTCTTTCCCATCAGAATTGCCACATTATTCCAAAACAACTCTACTAGTGTGCCATCCCAGATCCATGGAATAGAGTTGCTGTTTCCCTACCTTAATAACAATACATAGTATTACTGAATTTATAACTTGGCCAATTTGATGGTTGTGAAATGACGCCTTGTTGTTTTGATTTTAATTTCTCTGATTACTAGAGAGGTTGAACATCTCACAGGAGTATTTACCTTTCTCAGTTTCTGCTTTTGAAATTTATTCATTCACTTATTCATTCAGCAAGTGTTTTTTGAGTGCTCCCTGTGTGCCAGTAACCTTAATAAGTACTAGAAATAGAGCGGTGAACAATGGGAAAAAAATAATCCCAGCCTTCACATCATAGCTGTTGTTCAATAACATCAGTAAATATACACACAAATATTCAAAAGACAATAATTGCTGTGTGTGTGCTTGTGTATGTGTGAATGGTAATAATTGATATATATCAAACAGACATATATAAAATCAGTGGTAATATTGCTATGAAGAAAAGTAGTACGCTGAAGAAGGGAAAGGGATACTGAAATTTCTGTTGGGTTTCTTCTCTTTTTTCCTGCTTGTATATGAGAACTCTTTGTGTATTCTGGACATTGATTTTTTGTTGTTGTTGATTATTGATGTAGCAGGTGTCTTCTAGGCTGGCTCCCTTCTTAATTTTGCCTGTGATACCCTTCCTTAAACAGAAATCATTGGCTTTGACATAGTCAAACTCCACTAATTTTTTCCTTTTATGGTTTGCACTTTTGGGATATAAAGGACTTCCCACTCCTGCATGTTCTTCTGTTAACTTTTTTTTTTTTTTTAATCTCACCCTGTGGCCCAGGCTGGAGTGCGATGGCACGATCTCAGCTGACTGCAACCTCTGCCTCCCAGGTTCAAGCAATTCTTCTGCCTCAGCCTCCCGAGTAGCTGGGACTACAGGCATCCACCACCACGCATGGCTAATTTTTGTATTTTTAGTAAAGATAGGGTTTCACCATATTGGCCAGGCTGGTCTCAAACTCCTGACCTCAAGAGATCCGCCCGACTCAGCCTCAGCCTCCCAAAGTGCTGGGATGACAGGCATGACCCACTGCACCCCGCCTCTTCTGTTAACTTTACAGCTTTAGTTTTTTCATGTAGGTCTTTTACACATATGGAGTTTATTTTTGTATATGCTAGGAAGGAGGGGGGATCCTTTGTTATTCATTTCTGCATCATGAGCAAATTCTTTCAATAGCATTTACTAAACAATCCACTCTTCTTCCCTCTGCTGGTATGCCCTGTGCTGTAGTGCTCAGGAACTGAGGCCAGACTTTCCAGAGCCTAGACTCTACCTCTTAGTAGCTGAACAACAGGTTACTTCTCTGGTTTTAGTATTTTAATCTTTTTTTTTGAGATGGAGTCTCACTCTGTCGCCCAGGCTGGGGTGCAATGGTGTGATCTCAGCTCACTGCAACCTCTGCCTCCCCGGGTTCAAGTGATTCTCCTGCCTCACCCTCCCGAGTAGCTGGGATTACAGGCGCCCGCCACCACACCCAGCTAACTTTTGTATTTTCAGTAGAGACCTATATTTTACCAAGTTGGCCAGGCTGGTCTCAAACTCCTGACCTCAGGTGATCTACCCACCTCGGCCTCCCAAAGCGCTGGGATTACAAGCATGAGCCACCCAGCCCGGCCCTGGTTTTTTAATCTTTAAAATAGAGATAGAAATTGTTCTTCTCATAGAGTTATGAAGAATAAATGAGCTAATACGTGGCACCTATTATTCAAATGTTTGTTGCTCTTATAAATTATATCTAATTTTCTCTTATATAGCCTAATTGAATATTTCAGGTGAAATATATATTTTGCCTGACAGTATATATTATATACTGTCATATATAAAGATTTCTCTCTGACCGTTATGGCCTTTTCTATGTCCTGAATTTTTTTTTTTTTTTTGTCTGATATTTAATTTGCTAACCTGGCTTTCCTTTGTTTCATTATGTGTCTTGTCTTTTGTTTTTTCTCCAAATCCTTATGTTCAATCCTTCTGTATAATATAGTGGTTAACAATGCTGTGTCTGTCCAGCCTGAGCAACAAAGTAAGACCTTGAGTCTCCAAAAAAATTACAAATTAGCCAGGTGTGGTGGCATACACCTATGGTCCTGAGACAGGAGGATCACTTGAGCCCAGGAGGTCAAGGCTACAATGAGCCATGTTGGCACCACTGCAGTCCAGCCTGGCGACAGAGTGAGACCTTGTTCCAAAAAATAAAAGAATGCTGTGTCTGAATCCACACTGCTTGGGATTGAATCCTAGCTTCATCATTTGCCATTTTACCTTAAACCTTAATAAATATTGTTTGTGCCTTGGATTCCTCGTTTGTAAAATGGTGACAATAATAACTTATGGGATTGTTCTGAGAATTCAATGTGTTGGGTGCAAATAAACATTATATTGTTATTATAATTGTTGCTATATTGGACCTCATTTCTTCCCATTTATTTTGGTTTCCATCTATTATGATTTTGTTTCTTTTTTTTTTCTCCCCCTAACTTTCACTCTCTAGGTCAGATTTTCCTATGCTGGTTTGAAACTTTTGTACTCTATTCTGTGAGGGACCCTTTCCCCTATTGTTTCTAACAGGCATTAATGTCCCTTTGGAGGAACAGCAAAAGCTAGGTCCTGATTAGGTAAATTTGGAGGCAGGGCCCAATCTCAGTTCATTAAATCCCTGTTTTCCCCTAGTGCCTTTACCTGAGCTCTCCTCTTGTTAGAGGCAGCTGCACTCTGATGGAATTCCCCGTGTGAGGTGGCATTCGGGGGTCTGTCAGCACAGCCATATTACTGGCACCTGTCCCTGCCTGGCTCTGTGCCTTCAGGTTGACCAAAAGATCTGGCTTTCCTGTTCCAAGGCATGCGTAGGAATTCTTTCTGCAGTTTTAGCTTTAGGGCACTGAGGATGTACTCCTGGAATTGGAGTGTTTTGTTTTTTAAGCATGTTATTTTGGGTTTGATTTCATAAGCTCCAAACCTAAGCCAAACTCTACAGTTGGAATGAGTGAGGCTCCATCCAGCCCAGTCTCACCCCACTCATGCTGGTCAGCTCAAACAGGGTGCCATGGGCAGGGAACAATGCAGCCAGAAACCTTGCCCATCTGTGTGTTCTTCCATTATCCCTCACATGCCACTCTTTTCCTCCATGCCGCTCAGCTTCTCCCAAGTATTCACCACTTCCTGTCGCCCCAAAGGTTTCTCTTGAATTTGTAGTTGATAATTATGACCCTGAACTTTACTGGCCTCCTTTTTTAACTCCTGACATCTTCAGAGTTGTATTTTAGTTTCTGTCAATAGTCTGTGCGACCAATTGTTCCACCTTCCACTAGGTAGTTTTAAGGTGAGAGAAGGTTCCTTGGAGAAACTTATCCACACAACATAGGAAGGTCATGAGGCAGAGAAGAGCAAGCTGATTTTCTTCCAGCCTAAACAAGCTCTGGGCTGTGCATGATGGCTCACACCTGTAATCCTAGCACTTTGGGAGGCTGAGGTGGAAGGATTGCTTGAGGCCAGGAGTTCGAGACCAGCCTGGGCAGCATAGTGAGACTCCATCTCTACAAAAAAAAAAAAAACACAAAAATTAGCCATGCATGGTGGCGTACATTTTTAGTCCCAGCTACTCGGGAGGCTGAGGTAGGAGGATCACTTGAGCCCAAGAGGTTGAGGCTACAGTGAGCCAAGATTGTGCCACTGCATTCCAGCCTGGGCGACAGAGCAAGACCTCATCTCAAAAAATTAATTTATCAATTTAATTAAATAAATAAAAAAACTTTATCCCTTCCTTACCTCCCCAGAGTCATAGGAAAAGAGATCACAGGGCATGTGTGCTCCAGTCAGACACTGGGAATGGGAAGGGAATGGAGGCCACTCTGAGACCAAGCTCACAACAGGGTAGAGCTGAAAGGGGAAGCACTCTAGGCCTTCTTGAATAGAAGTGCTTCCCAGTTGAGAGCACACCAGTCCCATTGGCAAGGCTCCCTAAATAGAGAGGTGGCATGGCGTTGATCCATGCAGGAAAAATTTCTGTCTCTTCAGAGCAGGTGTACAGAGAGGGACTACTATCATATAGGCTGTCAATATTTAACTCCCGGGACAGTACCTCAATAAAAGTCCTTAAATTAATAACTCTTGGGGGCAGAAGAAAGATCCTGAGATCTGCTTTATTCTCCTTGTGTTCTTCCGCAGAGCTTTAATCACATACTAAAGGATCACTTAATACTTAAGTAAATACTTGAATCAATGACACCTGGAGGCACATTCCCAACTCTACACTCTTTTCCAAGTCCAATTCCAACTTTTCAGTCAGCATGCTTAAATGAGTCTGCCAGAGTATCCCACTACTATCTAAACTTCTGAGTATCTAGAACTTCCCTGATACTTTTCCGCTGTCAATATTCTTCTTGCCTTTTCCATTTACGTTTAGACCCTCATTCTCCCAGTAACCCAAATTTGAAACCTCAGGGTCATTTTTGAAACCACTTTTATTTGGGGCCCTCTGTGTTTTTATTTTCATTTTCATTGTCCTTTTCCTAGATCATATTCAGATATATATAAAACATACTTTGGTCAATCCAAATTAATGTTTTTAGGAACTGCCTCAACCATGCTCTTTTTTTTCTTTTTCTCTCTTTTTTTTTTTTTTTTTGAGACAGTCTCGCACTGTCACCTGAGCTGGAGTGCGATGGCGCGATCTCAGCTCACTGCAACTGCAACCTCCATCTCCCAGGTTCACGCAATTCTCCTGGCTTAGCATCCCGAGTAGCTGGGATTATGGGCGCACATCACCACACTCAGCTAATTTTTTTTTGTATTTTTAGTAGAGACAGGTATGTTGGCCCGACTGGTCTTGAACTCCTGACCTCGTGATCCGCCCACCTCGGCTTCCCAAAGTGCTGGGATTACAGGCGTGAGCCACTGCTCCTGGCCAAATTTCTCTTTCTTGTAACATTTCCATTTATTTGGTTCCACTACCTTTTTTTTTTTTTAACTGTGAATTTACTAGCCATTTTTGTTTACAATGGAAACTCTGGGAATTCAAAATTAACATCCTCGCCTGTGAGCTGCTTATAGACACCAGAAAAAGTTTCAGCCTTGCTTTCCATGTTGTTCTCCTATGCTTTGTCCAAATGAACCTTTATGAGCCGGCTGTCATCCAGTTTCACACAGATTCTCTTGCCCACAATTTCACTTGGGAAGATCAAGTCCTCAAGAATTGTGTCATATACAGCTCCTAGGATGTTTTTGCTTATTTTTTGTATGGCTTTTTCAAGCTGGCTTAGGCAGAATTCTCCTCTGAGCAATAAAGACAGCATGCTTCCCACTGAACTTTTTCTCCAATTCACGTACTAGCCAGAGTTGGATTTTCTGGAAAGATTTCAGTTGAGGAACAGGAACAAAGATTATGATAGCTTTCTGGACACCACCAACTTAGGCTCTTTGGCTGCTGTAATACTCAGCTTCCTGAGCTGAGCCTTGAGGTCCGAGTTTATCTCCAGCTCCAGAAGAGCCTGAAAGATGCCGGACTCTTAACTCGTTTGGCGTCTCGCTGTTGGGCTTCACAGTCTTGGTGCTTGAAATGAACATGGCCTTCTCCTTGCTAAGCGCCAGCCTAGGAAGAGCTTGCTACCATTTTTAATTCTGCCTTGTGCTGAGTACAGTGCTAGGTTCAATATAACTAGATGATATTTTCTGAAGAGAAAATGAACAGCAATATTGTAGATAAACTAAGCTTTCTTGTGTGAACACCATAATAAATATCTATACTAGGCGGAGTTCTCTTTTTAGTGCCTTTCATAGGTCTATTTGCTAATTAGTGCACACATGCACATACATGCATAATCAAATACACACCATCAATAGAAACGGTCCCTATTTAAACTACTTATCTGAATCATTGAAGCAGAAGGCAGTACGTTTACCTATAACCACATAAATTCTACAAAAGAGAGGTTTTATATCTAAAATGCATTGCAGAAAGGAAATCTTTTTTAAATTTGCTTTCCTTTTTTGTCCTATGGAAAGGCTATCTGTATTTTATTTCTGTAGACTCAGTCTCTATATTGTAAGGTCTCCTGAATGCCTATGACTGCACAGTATATCAACAGATGTTGGTTTTGGAGGCTAGGAGAGCTCTCACTCATCAGTCATTTGAATAGCGCACTTCTAGGTAAGAAGTGGTTGAATGTTTCATTATGTACCATATTGCTAAGTATCATTTTTAAGACTTGCTATGTAAGCTGCTGTTTTCATTCCAAGTAACAAGTTGATGGTGAGCTTCTAGAGGAGTTAACAATATTTTGTAGTTTTTGTACATCAGGTTTTTTTTTGCTGTATCTTAATTTTTTCTCAATGTGAAATTTTATAAATGAACCTGCCAAATTTTAGTTCAGAAGGATTCAAGTAAGATCTTCTAGTTTACGTTTTTCTCTCCTTTTGTAATTTCTGTAAATAGTCAACAAAATATGAGTCAGTTGGAAATACACTGATATTCACAGGAGAAATCTTAGGAAGTTTGTTGCAAAGAAAAGCACAGCAGATCCCCTCACTAATGATTCTGACCTCTAAATAGGCACCTGGAGCAGACCTCAAATTTAAAGTTTGAGGAAGTTAAAGAAATTTAGTAAATACTGGGCTTGGTCACTATATAAAACACTTCAGGAGAACTAGAAAATACTATGTTCCTTCATATTCTTCTAAAAAGTTTTCTAGATTTACCTTCTAAAGGCAACTTCATAGTAATTTTTAAGTTTCCAGTATAAGTCTTTGAGATCATATTATATTATCAGTATAATTTTGTGTATATGTAAGAATTTTTTAGGTTATTAATCCCAAAACACAATCCAGTGGATAAATTATTGTATTCCTTTTGGCTACCTATAAAAAATTCCTTAAATTATCCTTTATTATACATCTATTATATATATGTACATATATTCTTCATATTTCATTTAGAAAGGTGATTCATTTAGCTAATCCCATTAAGAGTGCAAAACAAGCTTCATGTAAGATGGACCACCTATATACTTCTTAGCTTAAATGGTAAAAATTTCCAGTGCTCTGATCTAACGTTCACAGGGCAGTGAGAGTTACTGCATAGAAAATAAGAAAAATAATGAATAACATGTGCAGAAACTACAGCCAAAATAATATCTGAAAAGCATATTGCACTCAGTGCACGTCTAGGTTGTATCAGAAAGGACCACCCTCTGTTTGTGGAGCCACAGGGAAGAGAAAGGGACGTTTACAGTACACATTGGATACGTAGTCTTTTTCCATGGAGTCTCTTCTACCAAAGAAGAAAAAGCAACGGTGGAACAGAAGATAACTGTGAATAATTTAAATCCTGGATGCAGACCCACAAATGGTTAAAATAAAACAATCTCAGGGAAGAAAACAGTGCCTTTATGATGTTTCAGAATTATACGTTGAGTCACTATTGGCATTTGTTTAGGTTTTAGATATTCTCAGCCATGGATATGTGATTTTTTTTATAGACATAGGAAGAATTAAGTTGTTGTGTGGTAAGGTAGTTCTAGACTCATGGAAATTGTATGAATCTAGAAGCAAGTGTACTGACAATCAAGAAAGTAAATAAACTCTGAGTAGAGTAATCTTTTAACAGGTGGAGACACAGCAGTAGAAAATAATATATTCTGGAGAATTTTGAGTGTGAAGTTAAAATTTATTATGTGCTATTTCTGTTACCTGAAGTGAACTCTCCTCTCCTTTCAAAGGCCAAGTCAAATTCTAACTTATCAAGGGAGGCCTCTTAAAGCCCATGTTGATTTCTGAAATTATCAAAGAGGGGCAATCATATCAAAGCTTTATGCTACATTCATTTTTAATGTCTTATAATTTTGTTTTGCTATATTGTAACCCCCTTGTAGCAAGGAACCATTTTTTAAATGGATGCTATAAAAATAGTGGATCTTTTTTACTGACTTCAGCTTGACAAACCTGAATCCCTTTCAGCCACATTCCTTCCCTACAGCCTTCTGCCAGGTACTCACAGCACACTATGCTCACACCCAGAGGCTCTTGGGTGTGTACATGCTCTTCGGCTTCCATGAATTGACTTGGTGCATTGTAAGTGGGGCTCGTTCCCTAGTATGTTTATTCCTGTTGTACTTCTTGAAATAATCATTTAATTAAATATCTCATAACTTCATTCAAATAACTGAGTAAAAATTATTGCTAGTAAATCCAGGTATAATGCTCTAAAAGACTTTTTGAGTTGCTAAAAAATATTGCTGTCAAATTTTGGAGTAAACTAACTATAAACTGGGGTAAAAGGAATCAGTACATTCTGGTCTCCATTTTAGTGAGGCAAACCATTGACTATGCCTGAGTGAGATTTCTGCTACAAAAACATGCAGTTTCAAACAGCAGACCCCTATGCAAAGTAAGGTTCTTTGACCTGCATCACAGTTTGTACATTTATATTTTGAGTTAAATATTTTAAGAATGTATATTTTATTTTGTATGAATCTCCACTTAAATCTGACATCTTTGTTTAGCAACCAACTGATGTTTCAGAATCATAAGAAAAGGCTTCCATTATGTCTTTTGTTTTAATTTTTTATTTCCATAGGTTTTGAGGGAACAGGTAGTATTTGGTTACATGAATAAGTTCTTCAATGGTGATTTGTGAGATTTTGTGTACCCATCACCCGAGCAGTATACACTGTACCCAATTTGTAGTCCCCCTCCCACCCTTTCCCCTGAGTCCCCAAAGTCCATTGTATCATTCTTATGCCTCTTCATCCTCACAGCTTAACTCCCACATATGAGTAAGAACATACAATGTTTGTCCATTCCTGAGTTACTTCACTTACAATAATAGTCTTCAGTTCCATCCAGGTTGCTATGAATGCCATTCATTCATTCCTTTTATGGTTGAGTAGTATTCCATCTCATTCATATATGTGTATGTGTGTGTCTGTGTGTGTGTGTGTGTGTGTGTATAAAATATATAAAATATGTATATATAAAATATATACACACACATACATATATATACACACATACCACAGTTTCTTTATCCGCTTGTTGATTGATGGGCATTTGGGCTGGTCCCATATTTTTGCAATTGCAAATTGTGCTGCTATAAACATGCATGTCCCAGTAGCTTTTTTGTATAATGACTTATTTTCCTCTGGGTAGATACCCCATAGTGGGATTGCTGGATCAAATGGTAGTTCTACTTTTAGTTCTTTAAGGAATCTCCACACTGTTTTCCATAGTGATTATACTAGTTTACATTCCCACCAGCGGTGTAGAAGTGTTCCCTGATCACCGTATCCACACCAACATCTATTCTTTTTTGATTTTTTTATTATGGCCATTCTTGCAGGAGTAAGGTGGTATCGCATTGTGGTTTTGATTTGCATTTCTAAAGAGCTTCTGCACAGCAAAAGGATCAGTCAGCAGAGTAAACAGACAACCCACAGAGTGGAAGAAAATCTTCACAATCTGTATATCCAACAAAGAACAAATATCCAGAGTCTACAAGGAACTCAAACAAATTAGCAAGAGAAAAAACAATCCCATCAAAAAATGGGCTAAGGACATGAATAAACAATTCTCAAGATATACAGATGGCCAACAAACATATGAAAAAATGCTTGACATCACTAATGGTCAGGGAAATCCATTATGTCTTCAATCTTATTCCAAGAGGGTCATCCACTTTTGTTTTCCCGAGATGGAGTCCCGCTCTGTCACCCAGGCTGGAGTGCAGTGGCGCCATCTCAGCTCACTGCAACCTCCACTTCCTGGGTTCAAGCGATTCTCCTGACTCAGCTTCCCGAGTAGCTGGGACTACAGGCACGCGCCCCTATCCCTAGCTAATTTTTTGTATTTTTATTTGAGATTGGATTTTACCATGTTGCCCAGGCTGGTCTCGATCTCCTGACCTCGTGATCCGCTCACCTCAGCCTCCCAAAGTGCTGGAATTACAGGCATGAGCCACTACGCCCAGCCAGTCATCCACTTTTAAAGCTTGGTAATGGAAGCAGATGCTCTGGCTAGTAGCAGCTGCAGTGTGCTTTTGAAATGTCTCTCACTATATCATTTTCTTTTTTCTTAAATGGGCATTGTTGCTAAGGGCAATCCTACTCTTTAACACCTCATTTAACCATACAGAATTGAATGAAAATCCTCAGCCAATTTTAATTTGGGTGTTGAAAATTACAGTATCAAGCAGAGAAAGCAGTGGTTGGTTGTGATCACCATGAAGAAAACTAAATTTAGTCCAACTCTTTTCTGATGCTTTTTAAAAATCACTAATGTCAGCTCACCTTGCAGAGATTTCTCCTTTATTACAAGTTTAGTTATGGAAAAAGTACCACTGTTTCCTAGTTCTGTTGAACCCTTGGTGTAACTTCATAATGTATTCATACTGTTAGACTATTAAAGAGAATTTGATAAAGCTTTCAAATGCTTCTCTCTATTCATGCCCATTTCCCATTCTAGATCATTTATTGGTGAGCATTCCTTTTTGACATTTACTAAATGTCAACTATAGTCCAGGTTTAAACATTGGCCTACAGCCAGTGGACTTACCAGTTTATATTAGCCTGGTAAGAAAAATTAAATAAAATGTGAAAATGAAATGAAAATTGCTTTGAAGAAAAATCAAGCTAACAGTGAAATAGCCTGCTAATGGCCTGATAGGCATTCATTTCCTTGCTGAGTTCACAGTTGTGTCATTTTGTACTATTGCCAGACTGTAAAAGGAAATCCAAAGAAAAAATTAAAAATGGTTTTTTCGTATAGCAACCATGTATTGAGTATCTATTTTGGATCAGGCACTAAAAATACAAAGAAGAGGAGACCAATTGACTTTACAGGCAGCTCACAGTCTAATGCAATGATTCTCAGACTTGAAATAAAAACCAGAGCTGCTCTGGCTGAAGCAGTTCATAAGGGCAGTGGGGCCTCCTGAAGGCACATATTTGTGCAGAGTATCTACCACTAAAAATTTTTCCTATGGAATGATCAGGAAAATGGACAAAGTTGTATCGATTCTCTCAAAGTGGTGATCTTCATTTTTAAATAGAATAGTAAATGATTTTTCAGATGTTTTAGCAGATATTTATTATTAGTCATCTATGCCACATAACCTTGATAAATAATTTAGCTCTGAGATGTTTTTCTTGTTTGAACATTGTGTACATAAGTTGTTTCTTACTATCTAATTATTAGCTTAACTGTTTGTTAGAACAATTTATTGTGTAGTTTTCCTGTCTTTCTCTATAGTTTCCAATACAGTGTAGACAGTGTGTTATGCATTCTGTCTTTGAACCCTTCTGTCCTTGTCCTAGTGTTTATTCCTTTTTTTTTTTTTTTTTTTTTTTTTTTGAGACGGAGTCTTGCTCTGTCGCCCAGGCTGGAGTGCAGTGGCACGATCTCGGCTCACTGCAAGCTCCGCCTCCTGGGTTCACTCCATTCTCCTGCCTCAGCCTCCCAAGTAGCTGGGACTACAGGCGCCCGCCACCACGCCCGGCTAATTTTTTGTATTTTTAGTAGAGACGGGGTTTCACCGTGTTAGCCAGGATGGTCTCAATCTCCTGACCTCGTGATCCACCTGCCTTGGCCTCCCAAAGTGCTGGGATTACAGGCATGAGCCACCTCACCCGGCCAGTCCTAGTGTTTATTTCTTAAATGGCTTTAGAAAGTCTGTGAAAAGTAACTCCAAATCTAATACCAGATATGATTTTAATAGAGATACTGGTGTTTTCTGTTCCTGGTCCACATTTGTATAAGAGGTTGCTTGATTTTTACTTGACCCTTAGTGGCTTTGGAAGAAAATGAAGCCCATGAACTATAATCAGATACTTGGCATTTTCCATGGTGTCTGAGAATTAATTTAAGTAGAGTTTTAAGTGTATAGTACATTATCTAAGATCAGATTGCAGAAGCTCAAAACTTTTACTTTCCAGCTACTATGTAGGATTTAGTTAGTGTTTGGCAGCATTTATGACATTGTTTTTAATTTGTAAGTGAAGAATTAGAAATTCTGATGTTTGTTAGGAAGTAAAGGCATTCTGGCAGGCTAATGTTTAACAAAGCATTCTCTCTTCTAGATGTCACCTAGGGGTTTGCCTCTGAGGCTTGTTTTTATTTATTTTAATTTTCCTTAATACAGTAACCAGGTTAACAGATGAGTAAACATTTGCAAACCTAAAACTTTATCATAAGGTTTCTTCAGAGAACTATTCATTTAGGTCTTTTGCATCTTTTATCCTTCAACACGATGGCATTTCAAAATTCCTTTTTTCAGAAAACAGTAATTGATAATGTGTTTCAATTTCAGGGTTTCTCCTCTTCAAAAATCTGAAGTTGTTGAGATGGTTAAGAAACAAGTCAAAGTCGTAACGCTTGCAATCGGTGATGGAGCAAATGATGTCAGCATGATACAGACAGCGCACGTTGGTGTTGGTATCAGTGGCAATGAAGGCCTGCAGGCAGCTAATTCCTCTGACTACTCCATAGCTCAGGTAAAGCGTCATTTCTGCAAAACACATCATTCCTCTCAGTCAACTGATGCTTTGAAAAGGAAAATACTAATTTTTTCCCACTCTTGTTTTAGTTCAAATATTTGAAGAATTTACTGATGATTCATGGTGCCTGGAACTATAACAGAGTCTCCAAGTGCATCTTATACTGCTTCTACAAGAATATAGTGCTCTATATTATCGAGGTAATAGCAGGTTAAATTTTAAATCCTTGTCATTTGCATACATATTTAAAGAAATTTTCTTTATGGAGACGTTTTCTCATGGTTTTAATTAATATTTTATTTGCCAACTCTTTATAAATTCTAAATGTATTAAAACAAAAAGGTGGCCTGTAATCCCAGCACTCTGGGAGGCCGAGATAGGCGGATCACTTGAGGTCGGGAGTTCGAGACCAGCTTAGCCAACATGGTGAAACCTCGTCTCTACTAAAAATACAAAAATTAGCCAGGCGTGGTAGCAGGCACCTGTAATTCCAGCTACTAGGAGGCTAAGGCAGGAGAATCACTTGAACCCAGGAGGCAGAGGTTGTGGTGAGCTGAGATTGTGCCACTGTCCTCCAGCCTGGGCAACAGAGTGAGACTCCACCCCAAAAAAAAAAAAAAAAAAGTTTGTCAGCCATGGAGAATTATGTTTAAATTCTAGCTAAAAATGTTATGTTGCTTTGATAAGAAGTGTTGAATTAGAGATGCTAATGAGATAATAATGTATTTAATGTAAAAAATACATTATTAATAATGTATAAAAGTCTATAAACTTGACTGCATTTTTAATAAAGCTCAAAAACATGCAAAAGAAAGCAATACACCATGGAGGGATAACACACATGTAGAAAAGCTATTTTTTAAAAAAGGTGAGGGAATGAGAAACATCAACTGAAGCTAGCACCTCTAATTCTGGGAGGAGACAAAGAAGTGCAATCAGGAAGAATATGCAGGTAGCTTTGCTGGTATTGTTGCCTTGTTGTTCCTATTATGTTTCAAAACTTAGATCTTTGTTACATACAAGCATCCCTCTCTATCCAGATCTGTTTTTGTTTCCGTGTTTGGTGAGTAGCAAGAGTTCAGATGATGAAAAATTTGTCTAAAAATTATCAGAATATTTAGTTTCTGTCTGGATAGCAAGGGATTTCTATAATCCGTTTTATGTGTCAAACATAACATCATTTTAAAAATGAAAACCTGAGTCAGGAATACCACTTTTAAAAGGATGCATTTTGTTCTGTAAACAATTTTGTAGCACCTACTGAGCCCAGACACCAGGCTTAGTCCAACAACTACAAAGTAAATCAAGCATGGTTCCTGTCCTCCAGGAACTTGCTGTATTACTGTTCTCACACTGTGGATAAAGACATACCCAAGGCTGGGCAATTTACAAAAGGAAGAGGTTTAATGGACTTACAGTTCCACATGGCTGGGGAGGCCTCACAATCATGGAGGAAGGCAAGGAGGAGCGAGTCGCATCTTACATGGATGGCAGTGGGCAAAGAGAGCTTGTGCAGGGGAACTCCTCTTTATAAAACCATCAGACCTCAAGATGGTTATTCACTATCACGAGAACATCACAGGAAAGACTTGCCCCCATGATTCAATTACCTCCCACTGGGTCCCTCCCACAACACATGGGAATTCAAGATGAGATTTGAGCCAAACCATATCATTCTGCCCCTGGCCCCTTCCAAATCTCATGTCTTCACATTTCCAAACCAATCATTCCTTCCCAACAATACCCTAAAGTCTTAACTCATTTCAGCATTAGTTCAGAAGTCCACAGTCCAAAGTCTCATCTGAGACAAGGCAAGTCCCTTCCGCCTATGAGCCTGTAAAATCAAAAGCAAGTTAGTTACTTCCTAGATCCAATGGATGTACAAGCAATGGGTAAATACAGCTACTCCAAGTGAGAGAAACTGGCCAAAATAAAGGGACCACAGGCCCCAGGCAAGTCCGAAATCCAGCAGGGCAGTAAAACCTTAAAGCTCCAAAATGATCTCCTTTGACTCCACGTCTCACATCCAGGTCAAGCATGCAAGAGGTAGGGTCCCATGGTCTTGGGCCGCTCTGCCCCGTGGCTTTACAGGATACAGCCTCCCTCCCAGCTGCCTTCACAGGCTGGCATCAGGTGCACAATGCAGTCAGTGGATCTACCATTCTGAGGTCTGGAGGACAGTGGCCCTCTTCTCACAGCTCCACTAGGTGGTGCCCCAGGGGGAACTCTGTGTGGGGGCTCTGACCTCACATTTTCCTTCTCCACTGCCCTAACAGTGGTTCGCCATGAGAGCCCTGCCCCTGCAGCAAACTTATGCCTGGGCATCCAGGCATTTCCATACATCTTCAGAAATCTAGGCAGAGGTTCCCAAACCCCAGTTCTTGACTTTTGTGCACTCTCAGGCTCAACACCACATGGAAGCTGCCAAGGCTTGGGGCTTGCACCCTGTGAAGCCACTGCCCGAACTCTATGTTGGCCCCTTTCAGCCATGTCTGGAGCAACTGGGATGCAGAGCACCAAGTCTCTTGGCTGCACACAGCACGAGTGTACCCTGGGCCTGGCCCAGAAAACCACTTTTTCCTTGTAGGCCTCTGGGCCTGTGATGGAAGGGGCTGCCATGAAAACTCTGACATACCCTGGAGACATTTTCCCCGTTGTCTTGAGGATTAACATTTGGCTTCTCATTACTTAGGCGAATTTCTGCAGCCTGCTTCCATTTCTCCTCAGAAAATGAGATTTTTCTTTTCTATTGCATTGTCAGGCTGCAAATTTTTTGAACTTTTATGCTCTGCTTCCCTTACAAAACTGAATGCCTTTAACAGCACCCAAGTCACCTCTTGAATGCTTTGCTGCTTAGAAACTTCTTCCACCAGATACTCTAAATCATCTCTCTCAAGTTCAAAGTTCCACAGATCTCTAGGGAAGGGGCAAAATGCTGCCAGTCTCTTTGCTAAAACATACCAAGAGTCGCCTTTGCTCCAGTTACCAGCAAGTTCTTCATCTCCATCTGAAACCACCTCAGCCTGGATCTTATTGTCCATAGCATTATCAGCATTTTGGTCAAAGCCATTCAACAAGTCTCTAGGGAGTTCCAAACTTTCGCACGTTTTCTTGTCTTTTTATGAGCTCTCCAAACTCTTCCAACCTCTGCCTGTTACCCAGTTCCAAAGTCACCTCCATGTTTTTGGGTATCTTTTCAGCAGCACCCCACTCTACTGGTACCAATTTATTGTATTAGTCTGTTCTCACGCTGCTGATGAAGACATACCCAAAACTGGGCAATTTACAAAAGAAAGAGGTTTAATGGACTTACAGTTCCACATGGCTGGGGATGCCTCACAATCATGATGGAAGGCAAGGAGGAACAAGTCACGTCTTACATGGGTGGCAGCAGGCAAAGCAAGAGAACTTGTGCAGGGGAACTCCCCTTTTCAAAACCATCAAATCTCTTGAGACTTATTCACTATCACAAGAACAGCATTGGAAAGACTTGGCCCCATGACTCAATTACCTCCCACCAGTCCCTCCCACAACACATGGGAATTCAAGATGAGATTTGGCTGGGGACACAGCCAAACCATATCACTTGCCAACAGAAATACAATGCAAGCCACATTAGCAAAAAGCAAAAAAAAAAAAAAGAAAGAAAAAATTGATCTCAGTATATTTTATCTAGCTCAATGTATTCAAAAGATTATCATTGTCACCTGTAATCACTGTCAAAAATTATTAATGAGACATTTTACATCCTTCATCCTAAGTTTTCAAAATCTGGAGTATATTTTACATTTATACCACGTCTCAATTTGGACTAATCACATTTAAGTGTTCAAGAGCACGTGTGGCCAGTCTCTACCATGCTGGGCAGCACAGCAGTGGTAGATAAATAAGTGAACTGAATGGTTAATCAAGGCATGATAAATATGTTATTTGCCTTTTTTTAAAAAGTTGCCTTCTTATTGTCAGAAGCTATATGTGTAGTAATTCTAGGTGTTATCAGTTTCATGTCCCTGTTGGAGCTCTGCAGATCATGACAATGGCCTTCCCATTGTTAAGAAAACCTCATTCTCCCACTCCTGTCAAGGACCCACCATGGTCTCATAAATCTGCTGAGGGTTCCCTTACAGATAGATGTTTGTTTCTGCCACTTTACCATTTAATCTGTTGACTGTTTCTACACGTCTGTCAAAAAAGATACAGCCAGGCTGGGTGCGTTGGCTCACGCCTGTAATCCCAGCACTTTGGGAGGCTGAGGCGGGCAGATCACAAGGTCGGGAGTTCGAGACCAACCTGGCCAACATGGTGAAACCCCGTCCCTACTAAAAATACAAAAAATTAGCTGGGCATGGTGGCAGTTGCCTGTAATCCCAGCTACTTAGGAGGCTGAGGCAGGAGACTCATTTGAACCAGGGAGGCAGAGGTTGCAGTGAGCCAAGACTGTGCCACTGCACTCCAGCCTGGGCAACAAAGCAAGACTCCATCTCAGAAAAAAAAAAAAAAAAAAAAAAAAGATCCATCCATTTGCTATATGGAAATCATATTCTATCCTTTACTCTGAGAAGTAACAGTATAAACAAAGTCAGTACGTTGACACTTTCGTTGGGGGCTGGTGTATATTTGCTTCACCTGTTCTTTGTGCCTCTGTCAGAATGCTTATCTCCTTGTTAAATGTTGACTGAGCATAGTTCTTATTATGAGTCAGGCTAGTAAAATTGAAACTTAGTTTTGAAGTGTACAGGCAGTTTGGTGTAATGGTCACTAAAAAGGTTACAACCTATTAGATAAAATAACCTAATACAGGCCAGGCGCAGTGGCTCACGCCTGTAATCCTAGCACTTTGGGAGGCCGAGGGGGGTGGATCACGAGGACAGGAGATCGAGACCATCCTGGCTAACATGGTGAAACTCTGTCTCTACTAAAAATACAAAAAATTAGCCAGGCGTGGTGGCAGGCGCCTGTAGTCCCAGCTACTTGGGAGGCTGAGGCAGGAGAATGGCGTGAACCCGGGAGGTGGAGCTTGCAGTGAGCAGAGACCACGCGCCATTGCACTCCAGCCTGGGTGACAGAGCGAGACTCTGTCTCAAAAAAATAAATAAATAAAAATTAAAAAAATAACCTAATATGTGGAAATATAAACAAGATACGTAAATGAACTTACTCGTTCATTACTGCTAGATTTGGTCTGGAATAGTGTGTGTTTTGAAGCAAAATGCACTTCTAAAATAGTTTATAAGATTCAAAAAAATATTCTTTGTTGTTTATATAAATGTGTAGTTCTTTTCTAAAGTAATTATTTTTCTATTCTCAATCCCTTCTATATATCTAGCTTTTCTATTTATATGTTCTTCTCATTCCAGAACACTGACATTCAAGCAAATAACAATTTATACAGTTTATTTACATAGATTTATCAAGATACCAGGAATTTAAAGCCACTGCCAGCAATAAATCTGCTTATAAAAAGTTAATTTTATAAAATAAGAATGTCCAACTTGTCGCTTTTTAAATCTAAATTGACAGCAATAAAGTAGACAAAATTTATGTACTAATGAGAAAATAAAAACATTAAAATCAAATGAAAACAATCTTCATGCCCTGTCCTGTTTCAAACCCAGAATTATGTGATTTGTGGTTGATTAACCCTAAACTTCACTTGCCTTTGATTTTAAAACCTGTTCATGAGATATTTGACACTGATCAAATTCTTTACACAGTGAAAAGGAAGTGAGTTCTAAACTTTACTGGAAATCTCATTTTTATTTTTCTCAAGAGTTTGTGGAAATGTATTTTGAATATGATTCAACTGTCTTGGTAATGACCTTTTAAATCAATTCCCAGATACCCAACTTTTGCCAGCTAAAACAAGTTCTGCAGATGTTAATGGCTCATGTCAATACTGTGAATGAATAGACAGAAAACACATCATTGAATGTCTCTAGTGAGGACAACTGCCAGTCTCGAATCTCTCCTTTCAGTTTTTTGTGCTGATCAGGCGTGGGAGCAGAGGACTCATTGACTGTTTGTAAGCTGCTGTTTAATATGCAGAAATGCTCCATCAGGAAAATGAATGTGAAGCTTTAGCTGCCACGCCTCTACTGGGAGGTGGAATTTAGAAAATAATGCCAGGAGAAGCAGGTCTGAAATTTCTATGCTAATAAAGGAATAGTCTTGAACACTATGTGTTTTATAGATTTAAAACTACAAACACTGCTTTTCTCCTTGCTATATTGCTTAGGAAAGTCACTATCTAGATATTCCATTGCTGTAAATTACAGCCAGACGAATACAGATTTGGCAGATGGTGGTATAAAGCTCTTTCTTACAGGAGCTGCCCAGGAGCAGCTCTAGGTGTTCATTTAAATTATTGGCTCCTTTTAAAGAGAGATTTTTTTTTATTTCTCTGATATGTCTGACTCCTTCCTCATAAAATAAGACCTTTCCTTTCAAATGATTGGTCACATCCAAGTTTTCTGGGAAGATCTCAAAACCAAGTTGTGTTTCTAATTTCCAGAAGCTTTGATAAAAGTCAATAAGGTGATACTGTCCCAGCAAGTGGTGCTGGGAGTTGAATTCCCTGTGAATTTAAATAAACTAGACACCTCCCCAGAGGGACCGGTGTTTTCTTTCTGAATCTGTGGCTCTGGTTGAATTAGAGGAGGTACTTTTATGTGTTTGGGATAATTTAGATGTTGTTTTATTTTGCACGGGATATGTTCCCAATATTAACTACAATCTCAGCCTAACTTGAAATCGGCCTGCTGGTAGGCTACTTCACTGTTAAAGACCTTCTCTTTCTCCTTTAAGATATGTAAACTTGAATATTAAAATATTAGAGTGAAAATCTAAGGTACTCTATTGAAAGTTTCTGTTCTTACCTAGTCATTTCTTCTTTAAAAATAAATTAAAATGTTAACCCTTAAAAATCCAGGAAATACATTTTCTAAAAACATGTTCACCTACCTTTCAGTAGGAAAAATAAAATGATAAAAATGTGTTGATACCTTTCCACTTAAAAATTGTCGTAAAGTATAAAGCAGGTCATGCATTTTAAAATACACTTTGGAAACAAACATGTTAGTTTACTTGCAAATTATTTCAAATTTGAAACTTACTGTAAATATTGATTTGAGGGAGAATCTTAAATTTCAAGCTCGTAGTAGCCTTTGAATCAGCACCAAATATTAGGTACACAGAAGCTAGGGGACCATTCGTATTTACTAATGTTTGCCCACATATAAACTTACTAACATAAACTTCTCATTGTACGGTATTGATGATTGCAAATGCATTTAGAACTACAACTTTTGAGCCAAATCTTGTCCGTTAGACGAATTTGGTATGCAGAGCGCTTCGGCTTTCTTCAGACCAACAAAGGTTAGACTGTGTCTTCATAGATTAGAGAGGCCATAATTGGAAGTTTGTTTTGAAATTCCTTATATTTCCATCATACCTTAAGAAATCTGAAAGAGCTTTTTAGAATGAATTACTACAATAGATCACAGTTGCCTTCATGGAAAATAGCCCCATCACTCTGAGTATCCCAAATATGTATTTACATAATCCACATCTCAGGCCAAATGTGAAAACACAATAGAGAGCATTAATGTCTGTTTTGTCAATTTGTGTATACTCACCAGGAAAGAATAAACTTCACTTCATGTGAAGATGCTCAGTTCTTTTAAAGTTTGCATGCATCAATGATCTGGCTGTTTGTTTAGGGCAAATTATCAAAAATTTTCCATAAATATGTGTAGCAAAGCAAGTAAGAATTTCAGATTTGACTCTGATTTCTCTGCTTTTGTTGTGGTTAATATGTGTTACAGCTCTAACACAATTTGGACTTATTTTTAATGTGCTATTGCTACTTTGTTTTCTTTTCCATCTCATAAAGCAGACATTAGTTTTTATACATGCTCAATCATTCCTTTCCACTGTAAAAAGGAAGATCAGTGTGGCTACAGAACCTGTTCATAGGGAGGCCAGCCTGGGTATATATTGATAAATGGTGAATTTGTAGTAATTCATGCTTCCATAATGAGGTTAAATGAAACGTGAAGTGTAGCAAATTCCCTGCAACTCTGATTCAAAAATTCAGTTGAGCCGCATGTCAAGACCGCTCTCCTCTAACAGTTTTGTAGTTGTCGGTGTTGTTAGGTTTTGTTTTTGTATTTGTGCTTATGTAATCTCATTGCTGGACCAGCCTTTGTACTCTCCCAGATCCATTTGATATTTGATTTTTAATTATACTTCAGGTCTGCTTTTTAAAAACAATAACGTAGGTACTATTGTTTACTAATTGTCACTTTAATTTTTCTTATGTTTTAAACATGCTAGAGAAAAATTTGTCCATATTGTCCCTTAATTTTGTTTCCAAAGTTAAGATTTCTGTTTTAAAGAGAATTGTAAAATATATAAGAACATTATGCTCTAGTCAAGATGGGATTTTATCAATGAATAAAATTTAAGTTAAAATATTTTAATATATAAACTCAAATTTAAGATTCCATTGGCAGTGGTTATCAAGAACTATTAAGAAGACTCATGTACTTTGACCTATTCCACCTTAAGAATTCACCCTAAGGAAAAAAGAGAGATATATGGTTTCAGTTTAGAGTTATTTATAATAGCAAACAACTGGAAGCCAGCTAAATGTCCAAAATAGTTACATCCACATTGTAGAGGTTACATATCCATTAACATCATTTTAAAGGATATGTGACAACTTAAGAAAATGCATATTACATAATATTAAGGGGGTGGAGCAGAGTATGACACTCTCTATATGCAGGTTTCCAGTAAGGTAAATTTGTGAATTTGAATGAACTATACAACCAGTGCAGACAAAAATGGTGATTGTACTATTGCAGGAAACTATTTCCTAAATAAACAAGTGTTACTTTTATAATTTTAAAAAACAATCTTTAAATAACTACAATCCTGATATTTTAAAAGGGAATTGAAGCTGTAAAAATTTAATGGCATATAAATATATTCTCTGAAAGTACCGTTAAGAAAAACAAGATTATTTATCATTTTTAAATCGTGATTGCCTGTTCATATATTTCTTTTTTGATTCAGCAAGCAGGACCAATTCTGACATAAATAACAAATACCCTATGAAAGCATCTCTTTCAATCAGAAAGTAAACCAAAGAAATGTCATTTTCAAAAGAGTCATGAGTATAATATGTTAATGCTGCTATTATGCAGCAGTTGAGTATACAACAGATTCTAAGCAATGCATTTATGCTTTTGTATTCTAATTTGGGGGTTTTGGGTTTTTTTTCCTAGATCTGGTTTGCCTTTGTTAATGGCTTTTCTGGACAGATCCTCTTTGAAAGATGGTGTATAGGTCTCTATAACGTGGTAAGTTTAGGACATTTGATAATTCCTGTTTCATTGAATACTTGGGAGATAAAGGTTCACCCTGCATTTGGCTGCTTGACATAATGACCAGTTTGTGCGCTTTAGATGTTTACAGCAATGCCTCCTTTAACTCTTGGAATATTTGAGAGATCATGCAGAAAAGAGAACATGTTGAAGTACCCTGAATTATACAAAACATCTCAGAATGCCCTGGACTTCAACACCAAGGTAGGACACAGTGCCCTGGCTGGGACATGTTTGGTGGGTCTGTGTTTACTGCCCTCATTATATGGGGTATGTGGTTTTCAAAGGCCAAGGATACACTAGCCTGAGACAACTCCAGGGTACCGACTATGGCAAGTCATATTTCTTAAGGTTCTGATACAGGCAGAGAAGGTTTTTTGTTGGTTGGTTGAGTTTGGGGTTTTTTGTGTGTTTTATTATTAAAATGTAACCAAATTCACTTGGGTTTGTAAGGCAGCAATAAAGCTGGCCTGACGTATAAAAATCATTGTCCTTTTGGTTCTCTGGCCTTCTGTCTTTGCAGTGTTGTGGTGACATGCTCACTCCTCACAGGGGTTAGTCATCTAGGACTGGTAAGGACTGGCTTTATGTGTGTAAAGGAGTGAGAGAGGTATTTTATTGTTCCTTAACTGATTTTCCATTTTGTGAAATAACTTTGTCCTCATTAGAATTTTAGATTGATTGTGTCAGGCATTAAAATTACAGTCTCTGGGAAATAGTACTCAGTATTTCCAAGCTCTAAAATTAAAAATACAAGATAAAATATCCAACAGTTTATCTAAAATCACATTCTGGGTGTGATCCAATAGTATTTATCCCAGACACACACACACACACACCTCATTTTCTATATAGTTTACTTTCCTGCAAGTATATATTCTAAAGTGTTTCCATTGGTATTTGTTAATAATTCAATTTCTTGTTTAATGTGAGTGAGGAGGAAAAAATTTAATATTACAACAATCAAGTTAGGTGTCATTTTGAAACTAACATTTGTATATTAGTGTTATGAAAGCAACAAATAAAATACACTTTCACAGAATTGTTTTTGTTTAATATAGTGCATGTTTATTAGCATGTTACTGATAATTAGATGTAACCTTAACTCAGAATCTTGAATTCAGGACAGTTAATGTAGGATATTTTAAATATTTAGGAATTCATAAAGCTTTTCAATGGCATTTTCCATATGCCAAGAGAATAAAGTGAAACAGGTGTTTTGGTGCCTCTAACCTCACAGCATAAACGATAGTGCTAGGTTTATGGGCAAGACATTATTCTTCTGAGACGTGATCTTCACGAACACAGCGTGCCTATGTATCCAGCTGTACACATGCATACAACTTGGTGGCACTGTTTTAAATAAATGAATTTGGTTAGCTCAGGACAGACAGACTGAAGGATTCTTTAACTTATGCCATTGGTTCTGAAAAGTATTTTTAGTGGACTCTCTTAAAACTAATACTATTAATGTGCAGTTATCTCTGCTTTCATTTTTAAATCTTTTACTTCTAGATTTTTAAATTTATTTGTGATGCCCAGTTTGTATTAAATTTCATCACATTGCTGTAATGTTTTTCATTACCTATGGTGAGCATTCACAAATGATGGCAAGCCACAATCAGACTATGGCCTCTGGTTCCCCTGAAAAAGTGATCTGAGAGCTGGGGAAGTTCCAGGTCTACTGGTTGGTATACTAACAATAATTCTCACCAACCAACCTCAGCCACAGGCCTCGTCTACCATAGTGTGGGCTCCATGGTACTGTCTCTGAATTTAGCCTCTAACCACAAATTTGGCCATGCCATTCTTGCTTAAAAACATAAATTGATCCTCACAGAATTACCCCAAATCATTCCTGCAAAGGCACATTCTTCTGTACATGGCAACTTGGACACATTTTTGTGGCCAGGAAAAGGGTATAGCGGGTAGTATATTGTTTTAATGTGGGAGCATCATTCCTCGTATCTTTTATTGTTGAAAAAAGTCTTTTCATTATCTGTAGAGCCCAGGAGTTCAGACAAGTCATCAGATCAACCCAAATGGGTTATACAATTTCTATACCCATTTGAGTGTTTATAGTTTTTATACACGAGTTGCCAACCCTGTTTTACAGGGTTTATGGATTTTTCTAGTGATTTCAGTGAAAAGTATTTGATTCAATCTCATATAAGTGTTTGAAAATTCAGGGACAAATGGCTACAAAATGCACAGTTGTATACACAGCAGTTGCTGGGGGTTCCAAGTGCGGGAGCATTGTTGCCCTGAATGATGATGCTTATGTTTGTTATGGTAAAAAGGGTCGGAGGTTCTGAGGTCGTGACAGGGGTTAAAGGATTAGCATGTGACAATAAGTATCAGTCAGGAAAATGGAAAAGTAGAACTAATTTTTCTTGCACCCACCTGTGCTTTCTGTCAAATAAAAACTTGTGGTAATGACACAGTGAGGAGAAGAGACAAAGGTTAATGAGTAACACAAGTTCAAATGTGTAATGTATTGGAGCGTAAATTGGATCATACAATCCAGTGTGGCTGGGAGAACTAACAAAAGAGATTGAGCTCACAGTGGAAAATTTTGGGAGGCAGGCAACTTAATTTCTGTTGTTTGAACAGCTTAAAACTATTAATACATGCCAGTTTTATTTAGCATAAGTTTTGTTTGCAAGAAGCACTTTTAAATGACAAAACTACAACTGTTCAGAGGGGCCATAAGAATTCTAAACAGTTTTTCTATAACTTAATCTTTCACATCCATGTTACAAAGAAAGTACCAGTGACGCTTGCTCTCTTGTTCTTAAAATACAATAGATATAAAAAGTAGTAACTATTATATGATGTTATAATTATACAAAACTTGGTATTAACACTGTTAAATTGTGAAAGCCTTTAGTAAAGTCATAGTCACAGTGCTTTATTTGTATGATTATATAATACTGGCTATAACGAGTATATATCTTGATACCCTGCAGAGAATAGTATAGAGTATCTTTATATCTCTTGATAAGAGAAAGCATTACATCTTTAGCATTGGAAAGCTTACAGTTATATGTGGGGAATATAAAGGGATTTCCCCAAATTATAATCTTTTAAAAGTCTATTCTTCTGGAATTATGAAAATAGTCCCACTTAAGGAATTTCAGAATTCTGCATTTTTTTATTTTAAATTTTATTTTCTTTTTCAGGCAGAAATTTAAATTTGGTTTTTGAGAAGCAGAAAAAAAAATTCAAGTGAAGCTGAAAAAACATTTTGAGAAACATAAAAATAAATAAATGACCCATGAAAGTCTAAGAGGCAGAAAGTGTCTGTCAGTTCTATTAATTCACAGTGGTGGCCCGACAGAAACACATTTTGTGAATCTAGCTCATAGATAAAAAGAAAGGTCAGAGTTCACAGAGCTAGTTTATCGCAAATGGTTCTCATGGATTTTTGTTTTCCCTCAGGTTTTCTGGGTTCATTGTTTAAATGGCCTCTTCCACTCAGTTATTCTGTTTTGGTTTCCACTAAAAGCCCTTCAGTATGGTAAGTAGAAGGGATATGAATGCAAAGAGATGACTTTTTACTTTTTTAGAAAAATAACTCATTGTCAATGTATGTTTAAAAGTATAGCAGTTTCATTGTATGATATTTCTCTTAACCTAAAATGCATGCACCCAAAAATTGTACACACTTTGAAGATTTTTATTATTCCTTTGGGAGCAAAGTGATTTAATATATGCAAAGCCTTTCTTCTTTACGTCTCATGTTTTCCAAACTTGCAGAGAGTTAAATTTTAGGGCTTTTTTTCCCTCTGTTGATGTATAGTTTGAGGACAATAAGTGCTAATATTTTATGTAGCCTATTTATTATACCTATGAGGCTTGTATCAAGCCCTTTATACTGAACTTAATCAGACATGCTGGTATTTTGAAGTATACTTGAGCCAATGTTTTGGATGAGGTTTTTAATATGTTTTTATGTTCATCTTGGAGTGTTAGCTTTTACTCTGCTCATTTTGAGGGAAGTGATTTTATTCTCTCGGTTTGGAGAAAGAGGATCATGGTGCATTTCCTATACACATAAAAGTCATTAAATAGCTACTTTAGAAAAGAGATCCCTGTGATTCTTAAGCTGGTGCTGCTCTGTCTTGGAGCCGACTTTGCCTTGAGATCCTCGGGAAGACACCAACCATTCAGCGTGCCTGCTTCAATACTACGGTAATCAAAAACACAACACATAGTACACCCAAGGAATTGTCAGTCCTTTATAAGTACAGGCCATACCTACGTCTATCAATTAATGGTTGCCAACAGAAGAGAGTGCTGCCTGCTGCTGCCCACTGATGATCTCCTCTCCATAGGTAGCCAGAGTGATCCCTGCAGAACATGAATCAGGCCAGGTGCTTCCCTCCTCAGAATTCCATAAAGATTTAGCATACTTAGAACAAAATCCTCCACCTCCAAATTGTTCCCCATTCTTCACAGATATTCGAATTGGCTCTCTCCCCTCCGATGCCTCAGGTCTGTGCTCAAGAAGCCTTCCCCGATCATCCTGTCCAAAAGAGCAGCCACCACCTGCCCCCACTGCTCCTAGGCTCTATTCCCTTGTCAGCCTGTATGTCTTCATGGTACTTGTCAATCAGGTTTTGATATGTTTGTTTCTTTTGTATGATCTTTCTCAAAACTCTTTTAAAATTGAAGCTTCAGATGGGCAGGTAATTAGTAGTTTCGTTGCATTCACAGTGCTTAGAACAGTGCGTAGCTTGTAGTAGGCACTCAGCAAATTGTGAATGAATTACCAAGAGCTTGTGGCATAAGCGAGGTGAGTATTACAAAGAAGGCAGTGGTTTCATATTCTAGCTAAGATTTTAATCTCCTTTTTTAATTGCTCAGTAAATTACAACAGTAAATACTTTTCAATGTCTAGGCTGTGGAATGAGCATGGTAAGAATATTTAATTAAAGTGTAGAATATTGACCCTGGAGGCCAGGAGAATTACAGTGAGTTAGTTTGTTGCTTGCTTGTTTGGCTTTGACATATAATTCACATACCATAAAAGTTAACTCTTTTAAAGTGTACAATTCAGTAGTTTTTTAGTATATTCACTGAATTATGCAGATGTCACCACTATCTGATGCCCGACATTCATATCATCCAATAGAGAAGCCCCATATCCATTGGCAATCACTCCCTGTTTCTCCACACCTTCCCTACCAGACCCTGGCAACTACTTACATTTTTTTTATCTCTATGGATTTACCTATTCTAGACATTTTATATAAATGGAATCATTATGTGACCGTGGTTCATCCATGTTGCAGCTGGAATCAATACTTCCTTTTTATGGCTGAATAATATTCCATGGTATAGATATGCCACATTTTTTAATCTGTTCATCAGTTGATGGACCTTCAGATTGTTTCCACTTTTTGGAGCAACAGGATATGGAGGTCCAGGGTACAATTCAAGATACCCTGACCTCAGACAAGCTCTCCAAGTAAAATTTATTTTCAAAATGCAAAATTGATATAGGTTTGAAAGATAAGGTATGCCCGTCTTCTAAACTGCTATTTCAACCTTCTAAATTAGAAAAAAAGAAATTGAATATCAAAAGTCACTTAAACCAGATAGCATCCAAAACACCTTAGCAATGACAGGGTTTGAAAGGAATTCCCAAGTGACTTCATCTTCCAGAGAAGCAGTTCCTAGATCCATCATTACGTCTCTCTGGAAAGCTGCGCAGCTCTCCAGCTTCAGTCAAGGCAGTTCACGGGAGTGCTGCTTATAGAGACCAAAACTAGCCAAGACTAGGGAACATTTGCTTTCTTTTTTTAAGGGGTGAATTGACGTTTAGCATAAACTACTTTATGGTTTTGATGTTGAGAGATTTGTAGTTGTTGTTTCGCCTTGTTTTCATTTTTAAATAAGGAATGTTTTAGTGGGGAGGGTTCTTTTGTTTTTTGATTTCTGAAAGGATGGGGATACTGAAGAACTTTACACATGCTGTGTAATATATAGCTACATATTCATCTATTCCTTTGCCTCAGCAGTTCTGAAAGAGTAGTCTGTAGACCCTGGGAATACCCAAGACCCTTTTGCCATCCACAAACAGTGGTACCACTGTGCTAGTAGTCATTATATTCTTCACCGTCATGCACTAGGTTTCATTTAAGAATGTGCATGAAGACACCATAAAACTAATGCTTTTATTAAAACTTGAACCATCTTAATAATATTTTGTATTTGACAAAATGGGAAGTATTAACATACATATAAAGCAGTTCTGCATACCAAAGTGCAGTGATTGTCTCAAGGAATGGTGCCTTCTGGATTGAACCAGAGACTGCAGAATCATGCATGGGTAAAAGATCCATTCAAAGTGCAAAGTAGGCTGGGCATGGTGGCTCACACCTGTAATCCCAGCACTTTGGGAGCCCAATGCAGGTGGATCACATGAGGTCAGGAGTTCGAGACCAGCCTGGCCAACATGGCAAAACTCCGTCTCTACTAAGAATACAAAAATTAGCCAGGTGTGGAGGCGCATGCCTGTGGTCCCAGCTACTCAGGAGGCTGAGGCAGGAAAATCGCTTGAACCTAGGAGGTGGAGGTTGCAGTGAGCCAAGATCATGCCACTGCACTCCAGCCTGGGCGACAGAACAAGACTCCATCTCAAAAAAAAAAAAAAAAAAAAAAAAACGCAAAGTACAAAGTAGACTGATGGATTTTAATGCAATAAAGTACAGAAAGTTCATTGATATAGTTTCAGATTCCACACTGGCAACCAACCTTTAAGAAACTACCTCTACCACTTTGAGAAACTACTTGTTGGCCAGGCTTAGTAGCTCACACCTGTAATCCCAGCACTTCGGGAGCCCAAGGTGGGTGGACCACTTGAGGTCAGGAGTTCGAGACCAGCCTGGCCAACCTGGTGAAACCCCGTCTCTACCAAAAATACAAAAATTAGCTGGGCATGGTGACGTGTGCCTGTAACCCCAACTACTCAAGAGGCTGAAGCAGGAGAATTGCTTGAACCCAGGAGGTGGAGGTTGCGGTGAGCTGAGGTCACATCACTGCACTCCAGCCTGGACAACAGAGTGAGACTCCATCTCAAAAAAAAAAAAAAGAAAAGAAAGAGAAGGAGGGAGGGAGGCTACTTGTTGAGTTTTGATGTAGTATCAAAGACTATCCACAATTATTGGAAAAGATTATTAAAATAGTCTTCTTCTTTGTAACTCCATATCACTGTGCAGCTGGATTTCCTTTTATATTTCAACCAAAACGTGAGAATCCAGCTGCTTTCTATTAAGCCAGAAATAAGAGATTGTGAAAACCCAAACAATACCATTTTTCTCACTTATTTTTTTGTTTGCTTTGGAAAATACTTTTCAGAAAACCTGTCATTTATATTACCATGTGTTAGGTTTTATATTTATGATAATCAATACATAATTTTAAATTTTCTGTTTTAATTTCTAATTTGGTAAATATTGATAGACATAAACCACATAAAAACTTTTTGAGACCCTCAATAATTTTTTAGTGTAAAGAGATCCATAGACCAGGAAGTATGAGAATGAGTGATTTACCCAAATTATTCAAATGCTGAACATGCCTTGCCCTGATACTGCTTGGTGATTTACATACAGAACTTCATTGTCACTTCAAAACCCCCTCAGGTTAAATAGCTTCACTCGTTTTAGCTAAACAGAGTTCCATAGGGATTGATTATAAATAACCCAAAATGACACAACTGTTAATAGTAATAGAACTAAACTTCGGTGTCTCCAAAGCTCACCAGTACCACTCTCTGTGTTTCATCCCATACTTTATTCTAATACAGTTTGCCCTTACATATTTGACTCTGAATAAACGTTGAATATGTGCATGCATCACTGTATTATATATACCGTGGATTTTTAATTTTTCAATGGTATCAATGATTTAATTATTCAGCTCTTGCTTATTTTCACTTGATTTTATCAGTACTAGAAATTTTTGTGCATCAGCTACCACTTCCTTCGTCTAAAGCCACATTTGAAGGCGGCCAGGTGCAGTGGCTCACTCTTGTAATCCCAGCGCTTTGGGAGGCCAAAGCCAGCAGATCACTTGAGGCCAGGAGTTCGAGACCAGCCTGGTCAACATGGTGAAACCCCGTCTCTACTAAAAATAACAAAATTAGCTGGGCATGGGGGCGCACACCTATAATCCCAGCTACTCCGGAGGCTGAGGCACGATAATTACTAGAACCCGGGAGCGGAGGTTGCAGTGAGCCGAGATCACGCCACTGCACTCCAACCTGGATGACAAAGTAAGACCGTCTAAAAAAAATAAATAAATAGAAATAAAGCCACGTTTGTTAGTCATTGCTAAAATAACAAAATACTTTAAAATATGCCCCTATACTCAGCCAGATCCTCAAAGAACCACATGCCTGAAACCATACTGGTGTTCCTTGGCCCTCTGTGAGTTGCTTTTATGAATCCCTTTTGGCCCAATGCCAACAACTTTATTGAGAGATAGTGAGAAGATTCCCTATGACTCTCATCCATATTGTTAACAGAGTTCTTTATTACGATCCAGAATGCCCTTTCCTGCTTTGTTTGAACAATTTGTTGGATTTTTTTTTTTTAATCTTGTGGACTCTGAAAATTCGTTAACAAGTCGGATTTCCTTCTTCAATGTTGTCTTTTGTGGCCTATCTTTACAGCAGCTTTGTTAGCACTCAAGAGTGTTTGGGGTTGTTTTTTTTTTTAATCTCATTTCTGGCTCCATTGTGTATCCCTTGATTTCCCTTCCTTCGTTCAAACTTTCTGAATATCTTTGAAAAGATTCTGAAAGAATCTCATTTTCCTTTCTAATAGGCCTCTCCTTTTCGTACAGGTACTGCATTTGGAAATGGGAAAACCTCGGATTATCTGCTACTGGGAAACTTTGTGTACACTGTGAGTGCGGGATGTCGGTCTCGTTTGCGTGTAAAATCAAAACCTTTCATCTGTCCTCATTTTATTTTTAAATTTAAACGTGATATGAGTGTTTCTGGATTTAAGGGTTGTTTACGGTTCCCTTTAAAAATTAAGTAAGACCCAGGGCTTATAATGGGGTCTTATTTCATTTTTATCAAATAATGAAATAAAATAACTGAATGATAGGAAATCAGTGCCGTTAAGTAGCAGAAGGAATGAGGTTTTGCCAAATCTGGGGGGTCTCCTTTCTCTTGGCATCAACCCACCGAAGTAGTAAAAGACAAGCAAAAGTATGTTTGCAGGGGCTGGTGGCTCCTTCTCATATGACATGAATGCGAAAGCAGAGCAGTGGGTAGAAATAGATCAGAGCGTATGTCATGGATGTCTCCTGGGGACACTTTACAGTATCCAGGTCTCAGGAGAGTATTTTTCTTTAATTTATTTCAAACTATATCTCTTCTCTTTTTTTTTTTTTTTTTTTGAGAGGGCGTTTCACTCTTGTCGCCCAGGCTGGAGTGCAGTGGCATGACCTTGGCTCACTGCAGCCTCTGCCTCATGGGTTCATGTGATTCTCCTGCCTCAGCCTCCTGAGTAGCTGGAATTACAGGCGTGTGCCATCACGCCCAGCTAATTTTTGTATTTTTAGTAGAGACAAGGTTTCACCATGTTGGCCAGGCTGGTCTCAAACCCCTGACCTCAGGTGATCCACCCACCTCAGCCTCCCAAAGTGCTGGGATTAAAGGCATGAGCCACCACACCTGGCCTATATCTCTTCTTTTAGAATGTTTGGATCACATAAATTAATTTTTGCATTTAGTAAGTTTTATTTTAACAAATAACCTAAATTGCCATTAGCTATCCTGCTGAGAAAGCTCAACTGTTCTTACTGTAACCTGACTTTACAACCCCACTGGGAAGTGTCTTATCACATGCTGTGTGCAAACCCTTAATGTGCCTTAAAGTAGAACTGGGCACTTCAAGCATTTATTGATCAAGTGCTAGCAAACATCACTTCCATCACCACAACTATCAAAGGTGCCTAGGGTTTCCTTGACGACTAACAATATTTAAGATTGTATTATTATAAATAAATAATATTCCATGTTAATCACTGTTCTGAGTATTTTAGAGTTTTACTCTCAAGAAAAGAAAAAAAAAATCTCTGTAAGATTGGTAAGCTTTATCAGTCCCAGTTTACAAGTATAGGAGTCGAGACACAGAGACGTGAAGTAACTTGCTTTGTTCATTAACCACAATAGCTAAGTGATAACGTCTTGGGCACAGGTAGTCTGACTCCATGGCAAGTACACTTCATAATTATGTTACACTGTGGAAAACACAGAGCAATTAATCCAACCCCAGTTTCCTTTTTCAGAATGACTAGCGTAAGCCCCAGCGATGGGTGCATATATCATGGAGAAATGTCTCATGTCCTACTCAGCAAGGTTTTAAGTAAAGTTCCAGAGTAAGCATTTAGATTTCTAAATGTCTGGTTATTTTATTCATTAAAATTTGTCTTTAAAATTCAGAAAGTTGGACTTTTAATATGAAAGGAGATTTAAAATAAAGGTAAAGTAAGCTTGAAAACTCAAATTAACCCAGGCATGTGCTGTTGCTGTTCATGAATTGTACAAAAAGCAGAAAACACATACAGAGGAACTCGTGGATGGAGGGTCAGGCTGTGCAGGTGAGGGAGAGGCAAGGAAGCCGGAAGTGCAGTGCTGCCCTGGGCACCTCTGACCTATCACAGTCCCGTCAGCTGCCCAGCTAATTTACCTGTCTCTTTGCTGGTTGGATATACAAAGCAAGCAGCAGTCTCCTAGTCCCATAGTTACATTCAGAGATCTCTGTTCTTTATAAATCCTTCAGTCATTTGATGAACTTTCATGTTTATGAGGTAAAATAACATTTTCCCCTTCTGTTTTAGTTTGTGGTGATAACTGTGTGTTTGAAAGCTGGATTGGAGACATCATATTGGACATGGGTAAGAAAATATCTAACCACAACCAAGAAATGTCACATTTACTTGTGCATTATCTCCAGTCTTGGTGGTGGTCTTCACTCTAACTTGATATGTCCCAGGTTAATATGTCCTAGTCCACAGGTTTTCAATTGTGGGGTGTCAGGGGTAGGGGAAGGAGAACTGGAGGTTTTAGTTGGGAAATACTGAGTTAAACAAACTTAAACAAGTGCATTACCACAAGACTTCTCAGAGCCTTTAAAGTATTGTCATATATTATGAGTATCCCAGGAAGTGGTGAGACTTTAAACTTACGGATTACAAGTCTTTTCTTAGAGGTGTCACTGGACTGGTGTTCTGCAGCAAACCCATTGGAAAGTGATTCTGAAGACTGAAAATATTAAAGATTTGTCCTCAGACATTGACAAATACCCAGTCTTGTTCCATTTTAGATACGTTAGTTTTGCGGTGTACCCCCGTCCAGTAGAGACCCCGGAAACAAAAAGACATTAAAGTTTCATGTCCCTGGGAAAGATTGCCACAAGGCGTTTGGATTTAACAGCCATCAGCATACATATAATATTCTCACAAGGGTCTGACATGTTTCGGTGAGAGCATGCAGACCAAGAGTAAGGCAGGCTTCCAAATGTTCAGGGGTAAAAAAGGTAAGCGTAAGAGGAGAAAACTACCAAAAAAGCTAGAGGAGGAACAGTTCGAAATTCCAGTACCACAAACATTGCAACTGTTGTAGAAGAGATTAGCACTTAAAGATCCAATTAAAAAACACACACAATTAGGTAGAAACTCCTATAGATAATATTTTTATGGATATAATAAAAAGTTAATAAGGGAATTTGAGAGAGTTTCATTAGTATTTGTGTACTCGGTCTACATAAAACTTTTTTGACTCAGATTTCCTTGCTCTACAGTTCAGCCACATAGCGATATGGGGGAGCATCGCACTCTGGGTGGTGTTTTTTGGAATCTACTCATCTCTGTGGCCTGCCATTCCGATGGCCCCTGATATGTCAGGAGAGGTAATGTGCGCTAATAACTCACAATCCAACAAAACCTTAAAAACTGGTATTTTTTAGCAAACCTTAATCGTTTAGCATAATTTTCCATCTTGTTGATTTATATTAAAATAGGATTTGACCATTTAAAAGCTGTTTTTAAATTCCACAGTTTCGAGTGATTAATCTTGAGAGAATATTTTAAACTTGAACATTTTACTTAAATCTGACTTACCTTTTCATAAACATAACCAAGACAATAAAATATGGTTGTCGGGAGCTTGAATCTCGTTAAGAATATCCATATAGAAGATGCCATTTTAAAATTACACCATAAAGCCACAAATACATTTTGATTAAAGATTTGGGGAAATGGTGAGTTTCTGTCTGGGGACAGTCTATCATTTCTTCTGTTATCTCTTATTCCAGAGAAAAATCTGCTGTCACTAGATTAAATGCACTTTTTGAGTTGTCCTAATGACATCAGTTTGGTTTTCATTTTGAAAGAATTAGGGCATCTGACATTTCAGCCTTATCATAGTCCATTTTCAATTCTGTCTTTCAGTTTCTTGTTACACGGGTAGGAATTGAGTTATTAGGTGTTCATGGGGGAGTGTCAAAAGATCTCCTTTCCTTCTGAAGAGATTCCAGCAGTAGGAGGGTTTATGATTTCAATTGCAGGAAATTTGACATAAAATGTATAAAAGTAAATGTGGAAAACATTTTGGGATTTCCTGTGACCTCACAGTAACTTGCAAATCAAGGTAATGTGAGCTCCGTGACAGTACATTGTTTTACCGCAGTCCCAGGAACCCTTTCCAGTGGTTTTCATGTATTTGTTGCCCCTAAGTACTGCCTGAGTACCTTTCACTTTTGACAGTCTGGTTTATAGATCATTTTCATGAAATTTTATCTGACAGCATCCTGCTTTTTATAAATTAGCAGAATGCAGACACATTTTTAAAAATTTGTGGTTAAATTTATTAGAGAGAGGCATTATATACTATTACAGCAAAACCAGACATATCAAGGAGTATATACTTCCTTCTACAAAAAGTGAAGGCTTCTTTTGAAACATATATTGTGAAAACTAGAAATTTTAACAGCATGTATTCTAAGCAGAACAGGGAGAATGCCGTGAGTGGGTCTCCTCTTTACCTTGGTTTCTGAGTCCTTTTCCTGAAATAAAGGAATACAACTGAAGGAAAAAAAGTATGTGCATGTGTATGTATCTGATTATGACATTTGGAAAATTTAATTCTATTCTTTGTTTTTATCTGATGTGCTCTGTCTCATTGGACCTGCCTTTCCCTTAGGTCGATTTTAACTTGATATCTTTTTCATTAGACATAAGTCTTTGCCTTCCTTTATCTCATTTCTTAATGTTTATTTTATTTTCAAAATGAATAACACAAAAGATTTGAGACCCAGATGGTTTAAGCAAGTGTGGCCAATAGGTTTGATGACAAGAACTGAGGTTTTGACCACCTACTTCTAGGACAAGTGTGAAGTTTGACTGGCTTTTTGCCCACCAAATATAATTCTACCCTTGCCTGTAGAATTCCCAGTATTACCCAAACACAAAACTTAATATCGTCTCTTGAGACTCATGGTGATGCTGTGTTTAATTCAAAGTGAAATGAATGTCAGTACTCCATCACATTTCTGTTCACTTCAGATACAGTGGGAATGCTAACAGAGGTTCTTTTCTTGTTGTTTTATTACTACTGCTACTCTGAATATAGTGTTTAAATAGCTGGTGCTCCACTGAAAATATGAAAATGGATTAATTCAGCTGTAGGGTAGGCTTGACTAGCACGTCCAAAATGTCTGTTTATTCAAACAAAAGAAGAATACTTTAAGTTTATGTAGCACTTTAGTGCTCCCAAAGCATTTTGGTGTGGGTATGGATGTGGGTGTGGTGGGATGTGGGTGTGTGTGCGTGTAAATGAGCCTCACAATAATGCCAATATAAGGATATAGTGAGAATGCCACTCAGATTCTCCGAGGTAAATCATCTCCATTTACTGTTTCTTGGGCATTAGGCTAATAAGTCCCAAAAAATGTTGTAGCTGTATTCAATTTCTAACATTTTTATTATAGATATAGGGTCACTAGTTATGTTACATTACAACTCAGTTAATTTCAACAAGTAGTGACTACTCTTAGGTCTATATTTTTCTAATCTTAAAATTCTTATCTCAATCAAGAATATAGCCAAATATATACATATATATACATACATATATAAATGTGAAAGATTCATGTATGTGCCAATATTTATATCTGTAGGCATATACATAATTGGCCAACTGTCTTAAAGCTTATTCAACTGTTAACTTTCATAGCAATATATTATTGTAATATATTGTACATTACATATATTATCTATTGCATATAGTAATATATTGTAAGTAATGCCAGCATAAGTTAAATGTTAGCATCTGCTGCCTTGACATGTTTATGATATCCACGTAATGAAACACGGCCCAGAGCAGCCCCGAGAACTTGAGGCCGTTCTGCAGGATTCCTGATGCAGGGTGTAGGTAATTTCTGTCACCACCACTAACAGGGTCATAAGTATCTAATCCAAAGATCATATCCCCAGGATCCCAGTCCTTTCCTGTGTTGATTTGGCAGCAATTCCTTCCACACTAAATAATTAATTATGTACGTAAGTGTGTTTTGGTTGCCCAAAAGCTTAATAAGGGTCTCCAGGATGGTACCTTGTAGAGGTGGAGCAGACAGAGAATAGCAGCCCTGTTCTGCTCTGTGCTGGTTCAGGAGGTATTTTGGAGAGTGAGACACTGTGTGGTTCTAAAGGGACGTTGACTGAATAGAGGAGCTCTATAAAAAGGCAACCAAGATCTGGGAAGAATAACACCAATAATACCTCATGAATATTGAACGCTTACTTTATCCCAGGTAGTTCTGTAAGGACTATATATATATTTTTTTTCAATCAATCAATCCAACAGCTATTGAGATTCTTCTGTGTGTCTGACGCTATTCTAGGCACTGTGGATTCAGTCCTGAATGAAACAGACAGAAACCCATGCCCTCCCATAGCTCACTTTTCTAGTGCAAGGGGGCAGACCATAAATACAATGAGTAATGAAATATGGAAATGTTTAAGTGCCTAGAGAAAAGTACAGCAGGTAAGGGGAACCAAGAGCCATATTTTCAGTTGTGTTTCCCATAAAGCCTTGTGGCATTTACTCATAGTCAGATTAAAAAAAAAAAAAAAAAAAAACTGGAGGAGCTTGAGAGGGAAGTGTCATGACCTGATTTATATTTTCGCTGTAGGACTCTGACTGTTGTATTGCAAGCCGCTTAGGAGGCTATTCCAGTAAAACAGGTGAGAGATCATGGTGTGTGGGGCCCGGAGGGCAGCAGTGGTAAGAAGTGGTTGGATTCTGAATACAGTTTGAGGGCAGAGCCAATAGGATTGATGGACAGGTTGGATGTGAGGAGACAGAGGAGAAGTCAGGGCAGACTCCGTTGTGTTTGCCATGAACATCAGGAGAGAGTGCTTGTCGGTAACTCACATGATCCTCACACCAAATGGGTTGCCATGATCACCACTTTACAGATGTGGAAATTGAGGCACAGAGAAGTTAGGAACCTTATCTGACATCACTATCTGACTCATAGTGGCAGAGATAAGGTTTCAACTTCGATGTCTGATCCCCAGGTCTGCTACCTTAAACGTTGCCCTGTGCTCCTTCTCTGATAATAGTTGCTAAGAGGAATGCATGGTATTTGATCTGGAAATTAGAAGTCTAAAGGGACCCTCAGTCCTCGCAGGTATTTCAGGGATTTGTAAAGGAAAGGAAATCTCTGTATTCTGTTTTACTGGCAGCACTACCTCCTCCATGTTCTTCTCTCTGCCATTTCCTCTCTATAGACATTGCAGCGGTCTTGTTCTTCCTCAGTCCTTCTTCCACATCAGTGCCACAGTAACCATTTCAGAATGCTTAAACTGCTTCTCGAGCGATGACTGTATCTTCATTTCTTTCCTCATTCACTCAGACCTAATGGTGCGGGGCCCCTAGTGCCCCATAAATGAGTGTTAAGTGATTGGCAAATAACATTTTTTGCTTGCTTCCGTGTTTTAGACAAACAAATGAGAAACAGTGAAATAGAGGTTATAGAGAAGCAGCTTTCAGCTCACATAAGTACATCTTTCCAACATCTTGTGATTTCCAACACATGAAGATTTTCAGCAGCAGAACAGGATGCTGGTCTCATTTAACTAATCCTTCCCAGGCCAGGCAGATGAGCTCCCAGCCACTGTGATACTTAAGCAGCACTACATTCTATGCCTCTGAGTTTGTCTTCCAATTCCTAAGAGTTTCTCTTGTATGCCTCTCTTTACTGCGTCCACTTCAGAGAACTATCTTAAAAGGGCACAGATATTTTGCTCTAGTTAACAGGATCTCGGGGTGCAAATTATACAAATTCAGCAACTTACAGGTACAGGTCTCATGCTTCTATATTCAGCTTCATGCAGATTCACACAATCAGGACTTTATAGTCATTTCCAACTTACATTCTTGGGTCATCTTTGCAGCAAAGACAGAGCCATTTCTCTCAATGTGTTGAAAGAAAATCCTTGCTCCCTAAGTTGGGGAGGGAAGGGAACCAACATTTATTGTGTACCTACTGAGTTCTCCAGGCGCTATGTTTAATGCCAGATACTCCTTGTTTTCGCTAAACTCATGTTCCAAATCTGTGTAGTAAGCAAAGAAATAGCCAGTGACCCAGAGAATTTAACCCAGGTCATTCTTTTCAATCCCATTGGTTTCTGCTAGCATCCTGAGGAATTCAGTACCTTCTTTTTGGGGCCCATTGCTGTTCCGTACTCTCAGGTGATAACTCTTTTTGTCTTGTAGCCATCCTCCTTGCATTCAGTCCATCTGCCATTTCCCCGCTTTTCCCAGGGCCCTGAACAATTTCTATAAGCTAGCCAGATATGAAAGTGCTCCCATCTCTTTAAAAAAGTGCCCAGAGTTATAATTCCCCCTTCTCAACACCCACCTGACTCCCTCAACCCTATTTAGAGAAATTCCATCTCACTTCATATCCTAGCCTCTTGCCTCTTCTTAACAGCAATATTAGCATAAATAATACCCATTTTGTTAAAAAAAATTTAAAAAAACTATTAAATAGAAAACCCAGTCATCCTACATCATCAGAAAACGAATGGTTGCCACTCAGCTATAATAGGGCCCCATTGATGAAGGGCCAGTCACTGTTAGAGGCACTTTTCATGTAGTCACTCATTTAATGTTCACAGCCACACTGTAAGGTAAATCCTTTTAGACATTTCACAGACACAAAGTGAAGACACACTTTCTGAAGGTCAAACAGCTCCAGAGTATCTGAACTACAGTGTGAACCCAGCCTGATTCTGTCCCCTGATGCACCGTGCACACTCCTGTCTGTTCCTTTTCCATTTCTTCTCTCATCTTTTCTTTCCCCTTCCCTGTGGCTTTTCTCCCAGACTTATCAACTTTAATTTAATGCCCTTCTAGCATCAGTGCCACCCATCGAAGTACTTAGTTCCATCTGGTTGATGAACTGACCAGTCATGATGTGCATATACTATTTCCATCTTCAGCTGTCCTTAGCTGCCTTTGTCTCTGCCCAGAAGTTCTTTTCAGGGCATCAGATAGCTTTTCCCCTTTTGCTTCCGCTCATTCTGCATGCCTGAAGTGACCAGAAAGCTATTCCTCAAATATCTCAGAGTTTAGTGCAGACTTGGTTACTGTAGACCCAGCCGAGAGTTGGTTGTTCTCAGTTGGTGGGCAGGGTGTTCTCATTTGGAAAACATTCCCACCTATAGTTTTGCACTTTGTTTCCACTACAGTAATTCGACATCTCTACCCATGATAATGATTCAAATGATAATGATTAACAAGTGTCCCACAACCATAAATTATTGAAATATTTAACTGTTCAAAAGGAATTACGATATCGGGGGTTAGGGGCAGTGGGGGTAAGGTAGACAATTGGAAAATGCAACAATAAGAAATCATTTAGGAAAGGAAAAAGAAACTAGTGTGACGAACTTGGCTGTCGCTTTAAATAAGTTGCTGTCTTCCTCTCCTCTCACAAATATGGTTGTGATTTAAGAGGAGAACTTTTTTTCAGACCTGACTTGTATTTTTTCACACCAGTACAACAATTTATGGGGCAAGGTAGGCCCTGGGGAAAAGTGCTATGTTATATAAACATATGTTGGCCTGCTTTTCCGACTCGTCTAAATGATGTTACTGAGTATTTTTTGAATTTCTAGGAGAAAATAGTTTAGCCAATGATTAATAAACCAGATTAAAAAATAAAAAACCAGCTACAGCAGGGATCGTTTCATATCAGGATTAATAACAGAAGCTTAGTATCAGCAAAACCTTTAAATTTATTGTGGCATTGCAGACAGGCACTGTAAAGTCCTCCCGAGCACCATCTGTTTCTGCTCTCCCTGGCCTAAGGGATCTATAAAACTACTGAAGGAAATTGAAGTTAAGGAACGAGCATGTGTTTTACAGAATTTCAGATCTCTTGATTGAGGTTTGTAAAGGCTTTCTGAAAAACAATAAAAATCTTTGTTGAACCCTTTGGTGTCAGCCCTGTAGGAAAGGTATTAATAAACTACATTAGTGATATGATTTTCCTAAATTGTGCTGTTGCCTATTTTATCCAACATAATAAATTACTTTTCATATGAGGAATTTCCTGGTTAAAAGAGTCTTTATTGATCTATCAGCTTTTAATTACCTCCGTAGCATGTGGTAATTTATTGGTCTTAAGACCAACCCTTGTTGCTGAGGTGGGGCAGTGTTATGATATGATGGAGTTTCATCTGAGATTACTGTGTTTAGCCAAGTAGCCTGGAGGGAACAACTATGCAAAATTCTGTCAGATGTTCTTCAATGAGCCAATGACTGTGAGTCCATCCAGTAAAACCTGCCATTGGTCACAGTCCTCATGCCCCCAACAGTAAATGAAACAGGTAGACCTTCATTCACTGTTCTAAAGGCAGCTGGCCAAGAGCCACTTCCAAGCCCATTTTGTAAAGAGAAGTATATATGGAAATGCTGAGAGGAAAAGGGAGACATGGGTATGACAAACGTAATCGTGAATCAGGACCTCTGAACATCTGCATACACTTTACAGTGAGAGCTCTCCTTAGAGCCATTACGAGAACCAGCATTGTGTTTTGTAACCACAGCACCTTTGCCTGCAATATACGGCAAGTGTAGATCGAGCGTCTAATGTGTGCCAGGGCCTGTGTTAGGCACTGGAGGATGCAAGGATGAATGGAATTGGCCTTGTCCTCAAGGATCCCTTTGTTTAATGGTGGGGCATTGATGTCATAAACGAGAGAGAGGCCATGGTGTACCCGTATGCTACAGTGATGAGCAACGTATGAAAGCTGAACGAAGCCTGCTCCTGGTACGGCACAGCTTTAACTATTCAGCCCTAGAGTCAATTCATTGTCGCATTCATTCATTCCATAAATATGTGTTGAGGACTTAATTGGTGCCAGGCACTGTTCCTCAATACCAAGTTAATTGGGCAGGATCCCCATTGCCTAATTGAGGGGGCCAGGGAATGGGAAGGAGAAACAGGTACTAAACCAGTTAACAAATGACTAAATGAAGAATAAGTAAAGATAATTTGACAAAGTGATAAGTGACGGGAGGAACACAGAACAGATATGATAGGGGACAGGATTATAATGGGTGTTCCAGGAAGGTCTTTCTGAAGTTGGGACGGTTAAGCTGAAACTCACATGATGCAGGAATGAATACCTGTCATATGAAGAAGAGCATTTCACGCTCAAGGAGTAGCAGGTGCCCATTCTCCAAGGTGGCAACGGGATTTTCCATCCAAACACAAGGCCCGTGACTGCAGCAGAGAGAGCTGGAGAGAGCACTGTGAGGTGGGGTCAGTGAGGTGGGCAGAGGGCGGACTGCCTCTCTGCCCTCCAGGCCCAGCATTCTAGTGTGGGAACCACCACAGTTTTTGTTTGAATGACAGGCCAGAAATACTCATGAAAGAAAGTATGAAAGTCGTTGTGCCATCTGTTTCAATAAAGCTCATAACTGGAGATAGTTTGTTTTTTTTTTTTTGTTTTTTTTTTTTTTTTTTTTTTTGAGATGAAGTCTCGCTCTTGTCCCCCAGGCTGGAGTACAATGGCGTGATCTCAGCTCACTGCAACCTCCACTTCCTGGGTTCAAGCTATTGTCCTGCCTCAGCCTCCTGAGTAGCTGGGATTACAGGTGCCCGCCACCACGCCCAGCCAATTTTTGTATTTTTAGTAGAGATGGGTTTTTGCCGTGTTGGCCAGGCTGGTCTCGAACTCCTGACCTCAGGTGATCCACCCATCTTGGCCTCCCAAAGTGCTGGGATTACAGGCGTGAGCCACCACGCCCAGCCAACTGGACATAATTCTTGCATTCCATCATATGGTAAGGTAAAGGGCTCGTCAATGACTGGTGTTAAGCTGCTTTGTTCAAAGTTGTCACTTAAGCTCCCTAGCATGCATCATCCAAAGCAAGTTACTTTATGGCATATTTTTCAGCATTTAAAAAAGTAACTGGATTAAACAAGATAAAAACGTATTTATCTTCCATGTAATAGAAGTCAATTGGGAGACAGGCAGTCCAGGACTGGTATGGAATCTGCACAGTCGTCAGAGACTAGGTTGCCTTTAACTTACTGTACTGCCAACCTTAGTGTACTTCCTCAGTCTAGAATGGCTGTCTGAGCTCTAGCCATTTTACCAACCTTCCAGCTAGCAAGAGAGGGAAGAAGGAGTAACCCTTTCTATTTGAGGCTCCTTCTTAGACATTACCAATACGTTTCTACTTAGATCTCATTGACCAAAAGCTAATCATATAGCCAAAGTAGCTGCAACAAGAGAGCCAGAGGGATGTAGCCTTTGAGCTGGAGGAAAAGGTGTCCAGCCAAGGACCAAAGTGATTGCATCTAAAGAAGATAGAGAAAGGAGATAGATTTGATAGAATGAAGGGCAACTAAAAGTCTCAGCCATGTAAGTCAGTTTTTCTATGTAAGCCATATAACAGCTGTTTTTCTTTAGCTAAGTGCTTTTTGAAGTTTTGAGGTATTTAAAAATCATTTTCTACAGTCTTGAAATGCAGGTTATTGTGTTTTACAGACTGATTTGTAATCAAACAACTGATGCTTTATGAGATGGCTTTTTAAAGATTTTTTTAAAAAGGTAAAATGCAGAACCATCACAAAATTATAAAAATCTGTAAGAATGGTGTAACAAGTAAATATATTGAACACTGAGATATCATACCCTGTCTCATACAACTTACTTAATAACATCATAGTATTTTAAAATTTTGTTTCTCTTAATGAAAAAAATTTTTTTTACTAATACTGTCCTCATTTTTCTGCGACTTTTAAGTTTTTAAATAGGACAATAATGAAGATTAAAATAAAACGAATTATGTTTTTAATTATCTTCACTATTCTGGGAACTATATTCCTAGAGAATAGTTTCAGAACTGCACATTTTCTAGTGCTCTTGATGCCTTTTTAGAAAGACTATTTTCTTTTGCATGTTTAGTTCTCAGTATGCATTGATATATAGTCAAAAAATTTTTTATAAAAATTAACTTCTAGTTTATCCAGGTCCCAACTAGCTCTTCCTCCTTTCCCTCTAAACACCTTTTTTAATCGTTTTTTTTTTTTATTACTCTCTTGCCAGAGAACAGAGATGCAAAGTTTCTTTCTTGTATCATATGGCTAGATTGAGTATTGGTTCTTAGCCCCCACGAGATGATAACCCCTTTTTCAGCTCCTCATCACCCCAGAGAAATGTCCAAAGGAAAGAAGCACATAAATGCTGTGAGCTGGTATCTAATTTGCATATTTTCTAAGATTTGTGTTTGTTTGTTTGTTTGTTTGTTTGTTTGGGATAACCCAAGCCAAGAGTTTTCTTTGTCTCTGAGTAATCAAAAGCTGCTGAGAATAATTGTAAACATATTGGGGTTTATCTGAAACACCCTTTAGTTATTTTCTGGGTGTTCTGCCCTGTCTAGTTTCGTGGAGAAAGTAACCATCCCATGTAAGAGCCCAATTCAGTTCAATTAAACTGAGATTTATGGAGTGCCTATGTCTCAGGACCTATACCGGGTTCAGTGGATCAAAAGTTTCAAAAAGAGTCCATTCTGAAGAGCTAGTTTGTCATGGAGTAGTCCCACAGACAATTAGGATGTAAGACGCTAGCTGTTATGCTCATAATGCACAGGGACTAACAGAGAAGAGAGCGCTGGACGCCCAAGCTGTTGTTTGGAAAAGTGTCTTGGTACTACTGTTCCCCAAGCTGTCCAGGAAGGTGGGTGTGAAAAGAGTTTTCCAGGTACAGAACAGCCCAAGCAAGGAGCAAGTGTGGTGTTACCAAGGCAGAAAATGATTGGAGCTAGAACCAGAAAGTTGAGCAAAGACCAGGTCACAAAAAGTTACCTGAATGTCATTAACATCATTACTGTAAGTCATGGCAGACATCTTTTCATTACAGAATATACAGTATTCCAGAGAGTACCAGAAGCCATAGAATAAAGATTTGAGTCAGAGGAAGTGATAAATGCTATTGATAAACTAGGAAGTCATGAAGATAATTATATTTTGATGTGAATATATATACCATATAATTGAAATTTGCAAGAATTTTTTTCAGCTAAAATGAAAGACAGTAAAGTTAGTTCTTAATGATAAGGCCCAGAACAGAGAATTTGGCATTTGCACTCCTTTGTCTGTAGGCTTTCTCAGAGGGAAGTGTTGAGCCAGACTACCCAAGATGTGCAGCTACTGAAGGATTCAGTGGGACTTCTCTTCATGCCAAGGTTCATATGAACTTAGAATTTGTCTCTGGTTAAAGTACAAGGTGGCAAATTCACCACTTACTGCTCATCCAGGGATGCTTGCGTACCACCCAGTTCAACCCCATGCCCAACTACCATAATGAATTCAGACTGGAAGGCTCGGGCCTCTGAGAAAGAGTCCAACAACTTTATGACCTCTGCAGTGTCCCACCATGGTATTTCACCAGCCTGGAACACAAAGACACTTTCAGAAGTGTTTGCAAGTTCAGATTCTAATGACACTTTTCAGTGTCTGAAAGCAGAGTTGATTTTGATAGTCGATGTGAAGTTCCCATACATCAGTGGTAGCATTGCCAGCAGAGAGGACTCTAGCATTCTACTGATATATTTCTACCTTGCCATAAAAATATAGATATTAATATTGTGGATTTTAGCTTTTAAGATACTCTAGAGTATCTTTGCTGTAAAAATATAGATGTTAAAGTTGTGGATTTCTCCAGTTTTCGGGGTACTCTAGAGTAACCCTGGAGTCTCAGGTTTCATGAATAAGATCTTCCAGTCCACTGAGATTGGGTGACTGAGAAAAGGAAGTGGAGGAGAAAAGAGCCTATTATGGGTAACTGAGATTGGGTGAGATGAGACTGAAATGGGAATACAGCAACACAAAATGCACCTTCTCCGAAGAGATACCTCGCTAATAGAGCATAGACAAAGCACTGCGGTATAGCAAGGAGGAAAGAGCCACAATGCGGTTGGAAAGATCAAGAAAACTTGCATGAAAAGAAACAATACCTGCAAACTTGAAGCTAAGCATTGAAGATTTTTATTGATGATGATTTCACGAAGAAGATGCTTCCTGAGAAGACCAAAAGAGTTAACTGAGACCTAGGAGGAGACAAGAGAAACTAAATGACCTCAGACCATGGCAGATAGGTTTTAAAAAGAGAAATGTGAGAGGTGTATATGTTTCGGGGGATCATGGTACAAATCATCTCTGAAGAGTTATGCTACCAGGATGTTTCAGAGGGGTCAGAGCCAGAAAGAACCATTGACTTCTTGGATTTGGCAAAATCCTAGGAAATACATAATGGATTTGCCACTTTTGGAGTTTTCTCTAACTTGTTAACTCCCTTGGAAAGGGCCTAAATCTTTAAAGATAAAATAGCCTTTTTACACAAAGAAAAATGAAAGATTCCATTCACAGCAACAAGAAGAAACCTTACCAGTTATGTGAATGGTTAGTAGGAGAAAAACTAGAAAATTTGACAAAAATGAGAGAAATATTTTAAAAGTTGAATAAATAAACATACCATTCTCTGAATAGAAGGATCATTAAATTGTAAGTTCTTCCCAATTTGTGAGCCATTTGGGGGAACAAAAAAAAATACACCTTCTCCTCTTGATTGTAATCTAGTCTAGGAAAATAATTATAAATGCAGAGAAAGAGATTAGAGTCTGACTGAAAATAGAGGCATTATTATACTATTTTGAGTGCTTCTCATATCAGTAAAAATTAAAGTTTTTTCCTCTTTAAATTTTATAATAAAAATTTTTCAATAACTTAGTAACTTAGTCGTTAAATCAATAATATATTTCAACAAATATATGTCAAAGCGCTATTCTAGTTTCTGGGAATACAACCATGAAAGAAAATCTCTGCCTTTGGGAGGTTATAATCTAGAGAAGAAAAACATACAAACATAAGTCTATTATACAGCAGGCTGGACTGTGTTAAATGCTCTGGAGGACTTGAGTGCAGGGGAGAGGATGGGGTGGGGTGGGGTGCTGTTTTCAATGGGGTGGTCACACAAGGCCTCACTGTACCTGAAGTGTTGTGACCAGGACCTGTGGCTATCTGGAAGAAAATTCCAGATGGAAATAGACAAATGCTGAGAGCCTGAAGACTGCAGGGTGGTGGAAGCTGAATGAGGGAGGGGGTGACTAGTAAAAGCACTATTATTCCTAACAAACTAATGCAGGAACAGAAAACTAAATACCACATGTTCTCACTTATAAGCGGGAGCTAAATGATGACAACACATGGACACGTAGAGGGGAGCAACACACACTGGGGCCCACCGGAGGGTGGAAGGTGGGAGAAGAGAGAGGATCAGGGAAAATATCTAAGCTCAATACCTGGGTGAGGAAATAATCTGCATGTCAAACCCCCATGACACAAGTTTACCTATGTAACAAACCTGCACGTGTACTCCTAAACTTAAAAGTTGGAGAAAAAAAAAAAAGGCACTAGCGAGCTGGCCTTCGGAGACAGGGCTGGGGCAGAACACCCAGGGCCATGAGACAATTGTAAAGACTCTCGATTTTTCTCCAAGTCTCTGGAGGGTTGAGCCAAGGAGTCACGATCTGACTTCTAAAAGGACTGCTCTGGGGGCTCTGTTAAGAATAGTATGTACAGGGAACAGGCAGGAGGCCAGGGGACCCCTAGCAGGCTGTTGTAGCACTCCAGACAGAAGATGATGGGGGCCTAGGCAAACGTGGAAGGGCGTGAAGTGGGTAGATTCTGGATTTGGGGTGGGGAGAGGATTTGCTCTAAGAATCTTTTTTTTTTCTTTTTCATTTAAATGTTTTTGTTATGGTAGAATATACATAATGTATTTATCATTTTAAGTGTAAATTCAATGGCATTAAGCGTATTCACATTATTGTGCAACCATCACCACTGTCCATCTCTAGAACTTTTTCATCTTTCCCTACTGAAACCTCATACCTGTTAAACAATCCCCATTCTCCTTTTCCCCTAACCCCTAGCAGTCACCATTGGGCTTGCTGTTTCTGAATTTGACTATTCCAGGCACTGCATCTAAGTAGAATCACACATTTGTCCTTTTATGTCTGGTTTGTTTTATTTGGCAAAATGTATTCAGGGTTCATCCATGTTGTAACGTGGGCCAGAATTTCATGTCTTTGAAAGCTGAATGATATTCCATTGTATGGATATGCCACATTTTCCTTGTCCACTCATCTGTTGATGTTGTTTCCACCCTTTGGCTATAGTGAACAGTACTGCTGTGAACATTGGTGTATGGATTTTTTTAAGTCAAGCCAATAAGATTTGCCAGTAAATTGAATGCACAGTTTCAAAGAAAAGGGGAAACAAAGATGACTTGAGGATTTTGGCCAGGGCAGCCAGAAGGATAAAGTTTGTATTTGCCTAGAGGAGGAAGACTGGAATTTTATATTCTGCTTCTTTTTCTTTAACTTAGCAAAGTGTTCATACTGTGTAGTTAATTAAAATCTTTGTTAATGCTGGTACTTCCTTCTCTTCCTGCCTATTCTACAGCTCTTCCTCACCTCCCCACAACCACAAAAAAAAAAACAAAACACTTTTATTTCCAGGTATCATACCTTTCTTGGATTCATTGAAATACTTCTGATGATTCAGACTGGGAGCTGGGGATAGTTTAACATATTTAGCTTTTAATGCACACTCGTCAACCTTCAACAGAAAAGGCAGCCTACATTGGAAAAGGATAGTCATGGAGCTGAATCAACTCCTCTCCCCAAAATACGTAATTATCTGGCAATAACTCTCCCTAGAATAACTCCATGTCAGAGCACAAGAAAACCAAGCAAACCATAACCACCACATCTCAAGAACAGGGTCCCCAGGCTCTGTTTTTCATAGTTTCTACAACACTAGGTTGTGAGAACATATTTATCCAGCAATTATTTATTGAACATCTGCTTGGTGGTTAAGCACTTGGATCATGAGAATTAAGAGAGTATATAGTCTAACAAGAGGATGAATGAGCAACTAGAAAATGGGTGATAGGTGCCAACATAACGGAAGCCCAAGTAGTGTCCTCTGAGTCTAAGAAAGGAAAATTGAAGGACGAGTAGGCATCACAGGTGCAAAGGCCTGAGGACAAGAGTGAGCATGGGCGCTTTCCAGGCATCAAAACATGTTATGTGTAGCAAGAGATGGGCCTGGCTTGAGAGATGATACTGGGAAAGCAATCAGAAGTCAGATAGGAAAGGTCTTGAAATTGTATTAAAGATTTTGTATTCTATTCTGAGGACATTCTGAAGCCACAGAAAGGGTTTAATCCAGGAACTGCTAACATCGAATTTGCCTTTTGGAAATATCTCTCAGGCTGCAGTGTGAACAGCTAGAAGCAGAGTATTTCTGAAGTCAGTACAGCTAGGAGGACAGGCAAATTATTTGGACTGGGATAAGCAAAGTTGGCCAGAGATGGATAAATGTGAAGATGCTAAAGCACAACAGAACCTGGTGAAATATTGGACACAGGGTAAAAAGCCAATTCAGGAATAGGGCCCAGGTTTCTGTCTTGGGCAGCCAGGGATGATGCCATTCCCTGAATAGCTTGTACCAAGGAAGAGCAGCCTTTGGAGGGAAGACAGTGTGTGTTCAGTGTGGGATGTGTGAGGTTTGAGGTGCCTGTGCGACCCACAAGTTAGGAGCTCAGTAGTCTAGCCTGTGCTTCAAGTTCAGGTGAGAAATCTAAGCCACAGGTGATTAGTGGCTGATTTCCATATGAATGATGATACAAACTGCAAACCCTTCCAGGGAGGGTGTTTGTATGCTAACAGAAGGCTCCTGGGAGAATACCAGGGTAGTTTACGTTTCCCTCCAGGACTCTTCTAAACTATCAGTCTTCTGATAATTACAATCTGTGAACAGCATCTTCACAGCTTGGATAACATTCAGACCGAGGGATGCACATTTGCCTAATGAGCCACATAGTGCCCTGTTAGCTTTAACTAGTATTTTGTTATTTATAACAACCCACAACGAATATTTGCATTCCCCAAAATTAGTTGTGTGGGATGTTTGTAAGAAGGATGTAGGGGAAAGTGTTCCATAATCAATCAATACCTTTAGGAAACCTGGGTTTAAAAAACTATTCAGTAGGGTGCTTTACTCTGACTTCTTGAAGCCTTACGCTGCTCTGCGCTGTGACTCTCCAAGAGGATGCTGCCATGGTTTCTTTTCACCTTTACTAAATCTCTGGCCATGGGCCCTTTTCAGGGGATGCTTTCAGGACTAGCAACCACAGGACAGTTTCATGAGATACTGATAAGCAAAAGCTGGACTTCATTTTAACACATAGTTCAGAAATTGAATTATCGAATTAAAAGGAATAAATGTTTGTGGTGTTGGTGCACATTGCCAAATACCTTTTCCAAAGGCTAGTTCATTGCTGGTGGGAATATAAATTGCTACAAATACCTATTCCACCATACACCTCTCACTCCACCAAACTGATGGTGAATTTTTAAAATCTGATCTAATTTGTCAGTGTTCTCTAAGACTGCAGAGTGACTTAACACTTTTCCATGTTGTTAATTACTTGCTGCTGCTTTTATGAATACCTTTCCAGGTCTCTTGCCTATCTCTTGAGATTGCAGCTATTCTTATGAAGATAAATGGGCTATTTTTCTGGTCAGATATTAACCCAGAATTTCATGTATTTGTAGTAGTCATTCTCCCAGTTTTTTATTGTTTACTTTTTTAGTTATGTTTCTTTGAACACGTGGAAGTTCTACGTTTTCGTAAATCAGTTCTTTAAAGCATCCTTTCATAGTTTTTTTTCACTGTTTTTAAGCTTTGGAAGCCTTTTATATAAAGCTTTGTCCAGACACTTAATAAATAATCACTTCTTGGTTTTTTGTTGTTGTTCCCAGCGTTAACGCAACTACTCTGGAAGTTATTCATTTCTCTTACTGCACTCCCCTCCAAAAAAATGTTTTGAAGCACTATTTTCCAAATAATTTTCCCTTCCAAAATTAATATATTATGCCGGTGTAGTCAATAATTTCTATGACAAAATTATTTTTCTCCATTTTCTAAATTGGCAAATTGAGATGAATGGCACTTTATTAGGGATCTCTTACTTTGGCCTATGTTTCATCATTGCGTTTTAAAAATAGCAGATAAGACAAGCGTGTGCTGTGATATTATTGAGATGAACATCATAAAATTTATAAATTGATTTACAGTTAATTTGATATTGTCATAAAAATTTGCTTCCATGAAGCTCATGGGACAGATCACTGGAAAGAACCAGAGACAAGAGCATTTAAAGAAATTTGACAATTGAAATGAAGAAAGTTTGTTAATAATCAATGTTATGCAGCCACTTTACAAACATTATTGAGTTTAATTCCTACAATCCACTGTACAGCTGAGGAAACTGAGACTGAGAAGTTTCTTCCCGAGTGTCTGATTAGCTGGGAAGGGCCGTGCCAGGACCACTTCCAGGCCTATCACCAGACCTGCTCCAACTGGGGTCCATGGAGACAGTCTTAGAGTTCTGCAAAGGGCCTTCTGTTTTAGATGTCTATACATTTCCATGAGTAAGAGTCACAGCATGCCACTCTGATATTAATAGTGTAAACACATAGAGGTAGACTGAAGAACCATGCCGTTAGTTTGTAGGCAGGTGGCACACTTGAATTCTCTCTCCTATGAGACTGAACATGGGCACATTGAAGGTGAAGAAGGGTTTCTGTCTGGCGTGGGAACGTAGGTGCTAACAGATCATGCCGTTGTGGGTCAGAAGGTAAACCCCTCTTATCGGTCATGCCCCCTGACTTGGCCAAATGCACATAAACTCGTATTTTCTCAAAGGTTTGTTCCCTGAAAGTTCACATAGAAATTTCAGAACAATTCCTCTTCTGCAAGTTGTGTTTTCAGGCAGCGTTGGTTTATTTTTGAAGCCCCAGTGGTTCGATTTTGAGCCGGCATCACTCTGCAGAGACAAGCAGTTGCTTGTTCGCCACACACGGCCTGTGCCCTCCTGTTACCAGCTTTGCAGCTTCCTCAGCTGATCCCTTCTCAAGGCCCCCGGGAGCCACTTTCGTGGCAAATTCCATTTGGTTTCACAGTGCCTTGAGAAGGGGCAGTGGGGGCCACTTGGCCTGGTGCACCAGTCTCCCACATTAGGAGAAATTTGCAAACCGCTCTCGGAGGGAACCGGAGCTCGGCCCGAACAGGCTGCTCCTGTTCGGAGCAATCCACCATTGTCTCAGGATCCCTTCGCCTTTTCCCAGCTGACCTGCCTGTGAGTGGGGAAATGTGAAAAGTTAGAGACAAAACTGGTTTCTTCAGAGTGAGGGGGAGCTTTCTTATACAGAAAGGAAGGAAATACCTCTGTGGGATTTTATTTTTCCCCCCCTCTTCATCCAAAAAATACAAAGAGACTCTCTGTCTTTAATGCGAATGTCGGCTTTAAATCTTTTAGGTTTGGATTAACTCTGCAAAAGAAAAAAAAACTGACAGGCTTTCAGATATGACGCAGAAAAACTTTTTTCCCCTCAATTCATGTTGTTCATTTGTAATGCCAAAGGCTGGTAGACTGAATGGTGGGGCGCCAGTCACTCCTCCATTCATCGTTAGCATCACAATGGTCAGAATTAGCAGCCTTGAATCTCCACCACTTTTGCCTTTTCCACTGGTGGACATTTAATACAAGGTGGTGAAGGCAAGAATAAATCCTCCTTCTCTTGCCCCCCCCCAACCAAATTAAAATATATTAAAATTAAGCCAAGTAAATGTATTTTCAGTTGCATGCCTTGGAATTCTTACCTTACCTTTCCCCCCAGAAGGAGAAAGAAATTGGTTTTTTACAGTTGTTACCTTACTAGAAAGCTTCTTTCAATCTAAAGAAAATCTACTGACTTGATAGACATTTCCTATTACACAGTTATTGTTGGTTTTCACCATTGAGGATGTCAGCAAACATGTCAAAGATCATGTTTTGCTTATTAAATAAAGTGACTTTTATGTGAGTATTTTTCATCTTGTTGGTGTCTCGAATATTGGTGCTATTTCATTGAACCCATGTGGCAAAACTTATTTTCTGGAATTTTTTGTAATAGCATGTTTTTATTTTAAAAGTATTCAGAGCTATTCACTTCTACATAGCGAAAAATCTTAGCGTCCCTGAACCTGCGGTCTGTATCGATAAGCTCATGTCAATGCAGAAAAAATTTAAACAGCAGTTCCTAGTCCTTAATCGAGAGTCCAAATGAATAAGTAATCTGAAATATAATTTAAAATTAGAAATGTTTATGTTTGATAAGGACTGATTGATTAGGACTATTTATGTGTAATTTTGAAATTGCCTAGAATAATTAAACTCTAGGTTATTTTTAATTCCTGAACCATACCTGATTCTTTTTAATTTTGCATGATTTTTAGTAGAATCTAAATGTGCATGCGTTAGTTGGCTACTTTTTAATGGAATTAGAACAATACATATATGGATTTAAATAGGTACTAAAAATTTCCTCTTGATAAAAAGATTAAAAGAAGTGAAACCAAAATATTTCTTTTGCTTTTATTGTATAATACTATTCCTTTTAAGTTCTGTGTAATCTAATTATATTACAAAGATATTTTTTATTATAATTGCAAATAAATAATAGAATTTATTACTTTTTAAATTACAGAATCATTTTTTTTTGCAACCCAAAAGGCTCTAATACAGCAATTTGGTATTTATTACAAAGAAATTATTAAAGTTATTTTTAATACACTTTTATTTGGCTTTTACATACAAGATATTTGGTTTGACTTTAGCAATAACAGGTATGCACCAATACCAGTTATATAAATCATTGAACAAAAATTAAGATTATTACTACCTAATGTTAGCCAAAAATAATCAAATTGTTGTTTTTGTAGGTATCTTAATTTGATTATACAGTAGTCATGATTTATCTGGATAATTTTTAATATCCTATAATTTTACAAAAGTAATTTTCATTTGCCAGAAATAGTAAATTTAGTTTCTAATTATGATTTATTTTACACCATATCTTATAAGAGAATTTAATCCAGAGTATATTTTAAATTTGCTCAAAGATTTATTTTGATATTCTAAGTTAATTTCATAAGTTCGAATTCAGAGTTGTATACTCTCTTACAGAATGATATTCTTAAAATTGTTTCACTTAAAAATACATAAAAACTAAACACAAATCATGTATTTTTTGGTTTTAAAGTAATGTTTTTTCTGACGATTTACACAGGCAGCCATGTTGTTCAGTTCTGGAGTCTTTTGGATGGGCTTGTTATTCATCCCTGTGGCATCTCTGCTCCTTGATGTGGTGTACAAGGTGTAAGTATATACTCAGTTATATACGGAGAAATATAGATGCATATTCATCCTCAGATTTCTCTCTTGGTAACATCAACTCAAGCATGTAGAGCTTGCAGGATAGGGACTGGTAATATTACTTAATTTTAAATAAGGAAGGGGTGATTCAGGAACTAGAAAACTAGTTTAAAAGACGAAATGAGTAGTAAAGCGGGTAGTTTCAGTTAACAGAGAAAAGTAAATGGCACTGGAGAAAATTACATCGGGGAGTATGTTTTTTAGAAACAGCCCCAAAACTCATATAAAAGTAAAAGAAAAATTGTACTATTTCCAAAAACATTTTTTATTATAAAAAGAAATGTTTTGCTTGCCTGATTCCAAACATATATAAAATATAAAATGAAAGAAAAGAAAACCTTACTAATTTTTTTCAAGGGTTATAAATTTTAAAATCTTATGTCTTCCCACAAAAAAGATAGCATTTAATTTAATTACATGATATTTATTTAAATAACTATGGGAGTTTCAATATTGTAAACCTAAACCATCATTTATTTTTAAAACTATAATTTCTATATTCTCAAAATTACGGTAATTTTTAAGATTCTTTTGAAAAACTGCTTGTACTCTTGTTACCATTGTGCTTTATCAACCGCGTGATAATAAGCCAGACATCTAGTTTTGTAAAATCTTCACAGAAGTATTTCCATGCAAATCCCTTTTTTTTTCTTTTTGCAGTATCAAGAGGACTGCTTTTAAAACATTGGTCGATGAAGTTCAGGAGCTGGAGGCAAAATCTCAAGACCCAGGAGCAGTTGTACTTGGAAAAAGGTAAAATACACAGTGAATATATTCTTTTCCAAATGAACTTTAAATTTATCTTGTACTAGTGGTTGGAAATAAGTGATAAGACTTGTATTTGTCAGCATCAAGCTGGCAGTGTCATTGGCAGGTTTGGGAGTCAGAGACATGTGGATTTAAATCTGTCGCTTTCTAAACTGTGCCCTTGGCTACGTTGCTTAATCCTACTGAGCCTCAATTTCCTCATCAATAAAATGGGGGCAATAATACCTACCTCATGGTTAGTTGTAAGAGTTGAATGAAGTATTATAAAGAACTTAGCATAGTGCAAAGTCTTTAATGAGCATTAAATAAATGGCAGTTACAAACATTATTGTATTATTAAACTGCAAGAGAAGAAAAAGACTTTTAGCTTGAAATAGTATCCATAATAAAATGTATGTAATTGGCCAGGCGTGGTGGCTCACACTTGTAATCCCAGCACTTTAGGAGGCCGAGGCGGGCAGATAACAAGGTCAGGAGTTCGAGACCAGCCTGACCAACATTGTGAAATTCCATCTCTACTAAGAATACAAAAACTAGCCAGGCATGGTGACGGGCACTTGTAATCCCAGCTACTCAGGAGGCTGAGGCAAGAGAATAGCTTGAACCTGGGAGGCAGAGGTTGTAGTGAGCCGAAATCAAGCCACTGCACTCCAGCCTGGGCAACAGAGCGCGAGACTCCATCTCAGAAAAAAAAATAGTATGTAATCAAAATCATAGTTTGATATAAGGCAAATTACCTTGTATAATTGCATTTGTGGTTCAGTAGTTATTAGGAACTGACCTAGATATGTATCATATATGAAGTGAATTACCTATCCCAAGTTCTCTTCCTTACACCACCCCCTCCAAAAAAAAAAGGAAAGTTAGAAAGCTAATCAAATCCACTAAATTCACAAAGCATTGTAAGAAAGAAATTATAATTAGTTGCAGTCTATAATAAAAGACAATTATTAAGATAGGAGGAGGAATTTATTTTTTTTCTTCATTTTTATCATACTAAAGCTGAGGTTTTGGCTAAACTATAGGAAATATTTTACCCTAGTATATGTCACCTTAATCATGATTCACTGTTGTTATCCATTTTGACACAATGGAGTAGTTGTCAGAACTCAGTGAGACCTTGGCTTCCAGCTCTCTTGCTCTCATTATGCTGAAGGAACACATCACACACCAGTGTGTGCCACTTTTTTGAAAATAATAGCACTGACCTTTGTTGAGCGCTCACTTCGTGCCAGGTGCTTCCCTTGCATTTTACGTGTACTATCTCACTGAATCCCAGTAACAACCCTATACAGATCCATCATCTCCATTTTTTTCCAGATGAGGAAACTGGGGCTTCGAGAGATGAAGTTCCCAAAGTTGTTAGTGACAGATCTGGGCCTGGAGTCCATGCCAGCTGATCCCAGAGCTCCTGCTCTGAACCATTCACAATTCTGCCTCCTTTTGCTGTTTGTTCAAAAATATAATAGAGCTGCAAAAAACAGCCTACTACTAACTTGACAAAGTACTTAATCTCTGACTCAGCATCCCAGTGTACAGGATGGGAATGATAATACCTACTTTCAGGGTTGTGTCCTCCTCCCTCCACCTTTTTCTTCATCTAAAAATTTGCATCACAGGATTCCTCATAGGAAAGTACCTGCAGTTTGTCAGTAAATTCAGCTAGTAAATTAATTATGTCAGTTCTCTTTCTCTAGCGATAAAAAGAATACAGTAAGAGTTCTGGCCAGGCGCGGTGGCTCACACCTGTAATCCCAGCACTTTGGGAGGCCGAGGCGGGCAGATCACGAGGTCAGGAGATCGAGACCATCCTGGCTAACACAGTGAAAACCCGTCTCTACTAACAATACAAAAAATTAGCCAGGCGTGGTGGCGGGCGCCTGTAGTCCCAGCTACTCGGGAGGCTGAGGCAGGAGAATGGCGTGAATCCTGGAGGCAGAGCTTGCAGTGAGCAGAGATCATGCCACTGCACTCCAGCCTGGGTGACAGAGCGAGACTCTGTCTCAAAAAAAAAAAAAAAAGAGTTCTAGCTCATGAAATTGTGAATAAAACAATGTATTCGTAATTATTAGGGAAAGGCCACTGTTAATACTGTTACTATCCTTAGTAGTAAATTTCCAGATTTGTAAGTATGTTAATAAAATCACATTAAGCCCTTCCACGTGATACTTAGTTTGTCTTTTTGTTGTCTACCAATGACTTCAATTCATAAATCAGGCCAGTGTAATGACCCCCAGGTCCTAAACATTCAGTGATTCCGTAATATATGTAGCTCCTTCTGTTAAATAAAATAAGCCAGAGAGCCCAAAAAGGAAAGAAGTGAATTCCAGCATAAATGACCACCAACTTCTCCATAGGAAATGCATCAGATAAATTCCCTGCTGCTGCCTCGCTCATTTGCCTAAAATAGCTATTTAGTTTTTCCTAAGAACTCAGGAATGTGTTAGCTATCAGCTGAATACCAGACAAAAAACCCTGGACCAGCATGTGCTCCATGTTGCCACTGCCGCCCACTGGTGATCAGAAGGTTAATGATCAGTGTAACCATAGTGGCTTCGTGCTTGATGGCAGGTGCCCGGAGGAGGGAGGCAAGGGGAAGATCTGTGAAAGGAGAAAAATAGCAACTGGATGGAAACATCTTCATGCTTAAAGTAATGGCACTCTAAGGTTAAAGAATTGTTGGATTGATTTTACCCCCTGGATTATTTTAGGAATCTTGGAGAATGACATTGATTTCAGATTTCAAAAAAAGTTAGCAGTTTTTTTTTTTTGTTTGTTTGTTTTTTTTTGAGACGGAGTCTTGCACTGTCACCCGGGCTGGAGTGCAATGGCACAATCTCGGCTCACTGCAACCTCTGCCTCCCAGATTCACACCATTCTCCTGCCTCAGCCTCCCTAGTAGCTGGGATTACAGGCACACGCCATCACACCCGGCTAATTTTTTGTAATTTTAGTAGAGACGGGGTTTCACTATGTTGGCCAGACTGGTCTCGAACTCCTGACCTCGTGATCCACCCGCCTCAGCCTCCCAAAGTGCTGGGATTACAGGCGTGGGCCACTGCACCCAGCCAAAACTTAGCAAATTTTATATCTACTTTATCAAAAGGGAAGAAATTGTGATTCTTGTGAATTCTAATGATACCAGACTTTCTTTGGTTCCAAAACACCATGTTATTTTATATCTTCCAGTCTTTGCATTTGCTGTTCCCCTGTTTGGGAGCCCCTTCTTACAGACTAGGCACTCCAATTCCCAGCTTTCCAAACCCAATGTAGATTCAATTTTTTCAGCTGTTTGCATTCACAATATTTAATTCCTAGCCTACTATCTCTGTACTATTATACTCTGTTTATACTCTGTATAAACTTCTATAGGTACACTGATCGCATTGCATTATAAAGTATTAGTTTACTCTATGTATGTTTTTATTTTCCCCCTACTAGATTGAGCTTCTAGAGAGGCCCATGTCTTAGTCATAGCTGCAATGCAACACCTGGTACAGCACCAGGAACTTAGTAGCACTCAGTAAATACTTGTTGAGTGGATGAACGGAATAGTTAAGAGAATAAACTAAAGAATGGATGAAAGAAAGAGTGGGCGAAAGGATTGCTGAGTAGGAGAAAGGATTGTTGAATTGATGGTTGACCTGTGGGCTGTGAAACAGAAATCTGATTCATAAAAACATAGAATTGTATAATTTGTACTTCCCAAACTAGGTAATATCCAAAGCAACCATCATTTACTTTTTTGTCATACAATGATGCAGTTCTTAAGAAAGATCTTGTGAGTTGATCATCCCCAATTTTTTTAATCTTCAGTAAGTATGACTATTAAACTCAAGTTGTGTATAAAATGCAAATGTCAGAAAAACAAATTGTAAGCACTTAAGGAAGATTAATATTTACAATAATTTCTCATCTTTGTTCATTTTCAGAAAAAATCATCTTGGTTAAAACAGCCATTTTTAGTGGAAATAGTATGCCACCTACCATATTACCCTGCAAATTAGATTCATTTTATTACATTTTAGGGGAAAAATATGTTTAATCAATCTAAGTATGTTCTAAATACGCATGCTTTTGAGCCATGGGTTATGGTAGAAATAAATGCAAGTCTACAATGATGAGAGAATAACCTAAACCTTACTCCTGAAGGTTTAAAATAACCCAAACCTTGCTGCCTCATGACTTCTACCAAAGTCCATGTGAGGAGCTGAGTTCTTAAGAACTGAGGAAAAACCGTCCACTGGAGAAAAATAAAACGGAAATTGTACTTTAAAAAAAGTAAAATAACCCAAATCTTAGTCCTGAACATTTAAACCTTATCCAAAAGTTTACAGTAAGAAATGATGGACACTGTGGGCTCATTGGAGGCAGGACAATTATTTTTGGATATCATTGGAGTATGTGTGAAGCAGTGCATTTCATAGGCAAATACAATAATGAGACTCATAATTCTTTTTTATTTCTCACTGTAGATATTAGCCAGCATATCATCATTGGCCATTACTAAATAGAATTTTAGCCTAGGATCTTCAGGTCAGTCCTCACTGATTTGCCTGGCACTACCGTTTGGCCATTGTTTACAGCTTTTGCATGCAGGGAGAGTAGGGAATATGAGGTGTCAGAGAACTCGGTGGTGTAGATGGTGACAGTGCTCTCTCTAACCTTTCTGATGTATTGTTCATCTTAATGAAAAGCAGTTTTAACCTTGCTCCAGAACTAGTAGAAAGGAAATTTTATTTCTCAGTGTTCACACTCGATTTTATATCAGTATGACTTAAATACTTTGGTGGGGATTGAGGACACAGGGATCTGTCAAATGTTTCCTTCAGCCTTCTCTCATCACTGTGGTAATGGTTCTGTCCAACATTCAGAAAGAAAAGTGACAGAACACTGAAATGTTTTCAGCTCCAGGGCAGAGATAGGCCTGTTATATTCATTGTTTGTTTCTCCGCCACCACAGCTACCCTAGTGTAGGACAGCTATTGCATGCTATACATTAAACATTCCATGAATGGATAGTTACGTACTTTTTGGAGATTTATTTTAATGAGTCAACCTAAATAGCTTATCAACTCAATATGTAGACAAATGCAAATTTATTCCTCTTCAAGTTTCCCACTGAAAATTCCTTAAGACAACACGTTCCAACACATTCCAGAACCATGAATTGGTTTTTACCAACACTGACATTTTTTAGTATTTGAAATATTATTTTAAACATGTTATCTTTATATTCACCTCCACCAAATGTTTAAATTGCAACATTTTAGTGGGTTTGGAAATAAGGTAACAATATTTAGTAGTAGTTGTGTGATTGCATTAAACAAACTCAAAATTTACATAGCTTGGTATGTAAATGAAAGACTATAAGAGACTACGTAAAACTGCTAGTCAAGAGTTGTGAATAAAATGTGGTTTTAGTGAGAAGGTATCTTTAGTGTTTTTTTTTTTTGTCTTTTCACACTGTTAAGCTGTTCCACTAAAACTGAACTTTTAATATATCTATTAGTGTTAGCATAAATATATTTTATAATGTGCCTTAATAGTAGTATCAGTATCTATAAACATTGATGGCCCAGAATTGCATAGATGTTGAAATGAGTAGTTCCCCAAAGGTGTAAGATAAGACTAGAGAAATACAACTCATCATCACTTATTTATTTAGCAACCTCCTGTGAATGGCATTTATATTCTGAAGGAGGGACTCTGCTCTACAGGACTAAAGCAAGAAGTTCAAAATAGCTAAGGAAAAACAAAACAACAAAAATCTAGTCATTTTCTTAGTAAAGAGGTAGAATGAGAACATTATAAACTAAAACCCATGTGCAGCAACACACATCTCACCTTGCGCTTATGTTGACTAGAAACCAAGGCATCAAAAATACTCCTTACAAAGTACCTTTTGTTTGGTGATGATCTCTGTTCTAGTTGATTTTTTATAATAAATTCTCAGCATCTTGGGGGTAAAGGTGGGAGGGCCCAGCATTTGTTGAGTGCTTCCTAAGTGTCAGTCATTGTGCTGACAGCTCCCTGCATCCTCACAGTCTGCCTGAGAGTTAAGTACTGCCCTCCTGATATATAGGAGATGACAGAGAAAAGCTTGCCTGTGGTGACCCAGCTAATAAGCAGCCAACGCAAAATTAAACCAAAGCCCTACTCCAGAGCCCATGATCTTTCCTGAGTAATGTGCTTCTTTCTTAAGAAAGAGACTTTCTTACTGCTTTGTTTTAATGCTGTACGTTAACTTGATATAAAAGAAGAGCTAATGAGAGCCTTTATATGAACTGTACAAAACGGAATTATGTTACCTTATGTATTTCAGTTGCTGTAATATGAAAGACTAAATTCTCATGTCTGCCTTCTTACCACTTTAATATTGTAATATTAAAGTATTATGCATTTAGGAAGGCCAGCCTGAAACCTGGAAAATGTCTTTTGGGAAGAAGATGCTGCATAATGATACATTGCCATCCTCTAGTCTCCCGTAGTCATTTCGGTTTGAAACACCAAAGACTTTCCAGCACCCCATCCACAAGGCTCTGCTAAGGAAGTCAGACCACCTGCTGCTAAAGCTGCGACTTCCTCAAAGCAGTTACATATTTTAGTGTCCCTCAGGGTCCATGGGTCTGTAATGCTAGATCATTTAAAGAGTAGAGTAAGAAAGCAACTCTGTAAAAATGGCCCTTTCTCATTTCTCATATCTGTTTATTTCACTGACAGAAACAAGTTTTACAACTATTTGCAGAACTGCTGGAGTTTTAGATTAATTAGTTTTCTTGCCTTCATGTAGCTAATTTCCAATGACAATAAAATATGTCCAATAATACCAGTTAACCTCCCTAGACTTTAAAATATATATGTGGAAGATTACTACAAATGTTAACATTTCTAAATATTTTTTCTTCGGTTTTTGCCTAAATGTTTGCATAATTCATTTACACAATGAGTTCATTTTGCAGAGGATCCTTTTTTTGTATATGATATTGTTTCATTTCAGGGTCTTAGAAAAATTGGCAAAATACAGAACTAACATAACACAGCAATTTAACTAAAGCTTTTATAGTGGGAAAAACACAAGATGGAAATTTTTCAGCTGAATCAGTTCCAGTTATTAAAATTGCATAAACATTTGCTGCAACACATATGGATTACTTATTTGTTTCTCATGCCTATTATGTTCTTTAATATCAAAACAATTTTATAAAACAATGAAGAAATGGCATGATTTGGAAGATGGATGATGTCTATAAGTACATTTCAGAATTATTACTCAACTTCACGTATTCAACAAATATTTGAGTTTCTACTGTGTGAGACACTTTTATGGGAAGTTGGGGGAGAAGATGCCTTATTTTTTACAATGTGCTTTTAGAAGTTACATAATTATCTGGATTTGTATCTGAGGAGACAACTATTCTAAACACTTCCTGAAAAATACTTTCCTTGTTATTTCACCTACCATAATTATTTTTCTGAAAATAGTTTATTTTAAAATAAAATTAAGGAACACATGTCATACCATATTAGTGGTAGTGAACTTCTAGTTAAAAAGTCTATGAAATGTCTTCTTTGTGTAATGTTAGTTAATATTTACTTTAATATTTTTAACTAAAAAATAGTTTATACCAAAACGTGCCAAATGTGAAAAAAATAGTAATAACTAATTTTTTATTCTAAAAATTGCCATGCTTAGAATATATGTAGTCAGTTTTTAAAAGTGAATAACACTACTGTTGTTTTGTATTTTTTTATTTTAATTGTGTTATACTGGCTCTGTGTTGCCATTTGACTTAAATATAACTGAGTGGGGGGTGGTGAGGAGATCCTACTTTTTACTGGGAGAAGGATTATTGGGGACCAAACTCCTTAGGGAGAAAATGGCCTCAAAAGTCTGTCTAAATACTTGAAATTTCATTCGCTATCTGAGAAAATGTGTAAAAAGAATCACTAGGCTACGGATTTCTCGAGCAATCTTTTGTTTAAGTCTAACTCTCTTTGGTGGTCCTGTGGGCACACTGGGGTCTCTGCCGAGTTGATAATTCATTTCACACATTTGCACCTGCTCTGCAGCCTGACCGAGAGGGCGCAACTGCTCAAGAACGTCTTTAAGAAGAACCACGTGAACTTGTACCGCTCTGAATCCTTGCAACAAAATCTGCTCCGTGAGTATTTGAGTTTCTTATTTTTAAATAAATTCTCTGCCATTGCTGTATCATAGCATTTATACAGTATCCTGACTTTAGGGATATTTATTTAAAACTAATGTCTAAAATAAGTTTTGCATATTTGTAACCTGTAAATAACAGAAAATCCATTGGTCAGAACCATTTCACTTTCAACAGAAGAGATAGTTAATTTTAAAATCTTGCTGTTTCACTTAAAGAAAAACAGTATTTCCACATTCCTTGCTTCCTCAAATCTTTTTCTTTAAAGCCAGTAAATCTTAATTCTTAAAAGCTGCCCCTGTCTTGTTATCTTTTCTACTTGAATAACTTTGCAAGAGCCTTTCAGCTTTCATACAACACAAGGAAGCATATATTTTCCCCTTCAGAAATATTTATGAATATTTAGAGTTGTAAGACATTATTAGATATTGTGCCCTCTTAACATTTCAAGATCTAAAAAAGAATATAAAATGTAAAGCCCTGTAGTAAATGTATTTGTGTGAGTAATATATCTTTTGTTTCATGTTGTTTCCACTTATAATTTATTTTCACTTACGTATACTCATGTCTAATGCTTTTGCTCTTTATACTTCAAGAGGCCTTTTCTAAAGATGTGATCCCCTTGGGGGCCATTCCTTATGCCCATGCCATGTCGGGGCGTGAGTGAGTTTATTTGTGATGCTGAGAGCCAAGGGGAATGTCCTCTGAAGGAAGGAGACCACTTGCCACCATGAGCAGCTATTTGTGTTTATCTCCTCCTCCTCGCCTTTTTAAATTGACAAACAATAATTGTCTATATTTATGGAGTACAAGGTGATGTTTTGATGTACAGTTGGCCCTTTCTATCAGTGGGTTCCACATCTGTGGATTCAGCCCGCTGTGAGTCAAGTATATTCAAGGGGGAAAAAAAAATTCACAAAATTCCTAAAAGCAAAACTTGAACTTGCCATGGACGAAATACTACATTGAATCCACTAGAATGAACTGATGTGAGGGCATTGTATTAAGTATTATAAGTAATCTAGAAATGATTTTAAGTCTACGAGAGAATGTGTGTAGGTTATATGCAAATACTGTGCCATTTTATATAAAGGATTTAAGCATCCGTGGATTTTGATATTTAAGGGGGTCCCTGAAGCCATTCCCACAGATACCAAGGGACCGTACATGGTGGGATGGTTGAATCAATTACATTATTCACCACCTCACCTACATATCACTTTTCCTTTCCTCTCATCCACCTGACCTATGTGGAAATATGTGAGCCCACTTGACTCAACTCCCTCACCCCCTCCAGAATTGGGGAAGCAAAAATTAGAAGAGTTGGAGTTGACTTACGGGACAGAGGATTTAGGGGAATTGAGGGTGCCTACTCAGTCTTCTAGAGAGAAGAATACCTAGAATCTAAACTGGCAACCTAAGATCATCCCACTCTTTATTTTGAAGTTAAGTCTGTATCTTTTCTAGGCATTAAAAATCAGTGTCTCCATGCTTTTGAATGTGGGAAGGCTGCATTTGTTCCCCAGGCTAGAAAATGAATACCCAAAAGTCAGAATAACGGTGGTTTCCAGTGCCTTTGTGAGAATTTCTGTTTTATCATTAACCTACAGATGGGTATGCGTTCTCTCAAGATGAAAATGGAATCGTTTCACAGTCTGAAGTGATAAGAGCATATGATACCACGAAACAGAGGCCCGACGAATGGTGATGGGGAGAGCCTGAAAGGCAGGCTCTGTTACCTCTCTAAGGAGAGCTACCAGGTTGTCACCGCAGTCTGCTAACCAATTCCAGTCTGGTCCATGAAGAGGAAAGGTAGATCTGAGCTCATCTCGCTGATGGACATTCAGATTCATGTATATTATAGACATAAGCACTGTGCAACTGTACTGTAACACCATCTCTTTTGGATTTTTTTAAGGTATTTGCTAAGTCTTTGTAAACGGAAATTGAAAATGACCTGGTATCTTGCCAGAGGGCTTTCTTAAACGGAGAATAAGTCAGTATTCTTATGCCATTACTGTGGGGCTGTAACTGACTGTCAGTTTATTGGCTGTACCACAAGGTAACCAACCATTAAAAAACTCTAAATGATATTTAGTTAAAGGGACTCTTGGTATCCAGACTTAGATTTCAGGATATGCTGAAACAAACCAGCATTCTTAAGGAACTGACTCACCTTCCTGAGCAAAATTTCTAAACAAGCATTTGTGTCCAAAATTGTCTTGATAAATGTTTGCCAAAGAGGTTCAGTAAGTGTTTTTCTAGTTCAGTAGTCATATGCCCAGAAATGTAAGAGAAAGTTTACTTCCAGTTCCGCTGTAAGATCTGCATGCCTGACTTTCCAAATGTAAGAGTGATTTACAAAAATGAATATTTCAAGGCATTTGCTACTAAAATCGGTGATGTTGCACCTTTGGCCTTACAAATGCTTCTTTGTTGTTTGTCGTGTTTATTTGTTAGAGGACACACGTGTTAATGTGACTCTGTTGTTATGACACTGATTTTTCAAACTATGTATGTTTCAGGTATTTCTGATGAAGTTTCATCATCATTTAGATTTTTCTAAAAATCTGGCTAATGCAGTAGATTGAGTGATGTCATTTTGTCTTAAAGTTTTTCCTCTTAAGAAACATATGCTACGTATTTACGTGGGATTTCCAAAGCTTCTGTTGCAATATTTGGAATAACATGTCAGATAAATGCATGGGCTTTTGTCCTGTGTTCCAGTTCCCACTAGAGATGCCTGTGTCTTGTGTAGCACACCCAGTGTTATGGTGACTGCCCCCTATACTGAAGACTGAAAATTATTTCACAGTTCACTCATCAAATAGTTCCCAAAATTCGTCACATGCTGCTTATTGGGACAAATAGGTAGTACATTTTCCCCATTTAAAAAATGCGGATTTTACTCAGGCCGGTAACTTTACAGTCAGAGGACACGTTCATCATGAGTAGCTTTTGTTAGTATGTTTTAAAATGTATCTTCAGTTCAATTATTTTCAGCATTTACAAGACATCTGAAAATGGCTATTTTGCTACCAACAGTAAATGAAGGGGCTGTTTAAAAACCACAACCAGTTTTCTACACTATTTTTTAAATAATACTTTCATTTGAAAAAAAGGAATTAGTTTTCAGATACACTTCAGAGATTGAAGCAAACTATTTGCCTTTTACTCAAAAGCCTGCTTGCCTTTACATGGACTTACCAGCAAAATAGGTAGAACTTTCTCTTTTAAAAAAAGTCAACTAGAATTGAGAAGAGGTGATTTTTTTTCAGATCGCTTCTCGAGTTTAATATTTTCACATTCTTTTCACCCTTTTTCTCAATCTAGATTTAAAATTAGGATATATGTCATTTCCTTGTCTGTATTTGTAGCTCCTTAGTTACCAGTATGCCTCTCCATTTTCTACAAATAAGAGGTTATAACACATATACATAATTCTAACCTTAAGGGAACACACGTTTACATACTTTACTTCCCAAGCCCTTCCTGTTTGGGGTACAGATTGAGAGAGTCATGAATCAACACATCTAGCAAGACCACAGGTGTAAGAGTCTAAGATCGTCTTCAAAATTCTGAAGTCCCAGTCTTTACCTGTCCAGTGAATGAATATTCAGAGCAGCTTTTCCTGGGCTTCCCAGTGGTGATAGCTGAGGTCAAACCACAAAAAATAAGAAAGCAAGAGTGAAATGCACCCCTCCAGAGAAACACTTTGTAGTGTTTAATTCTGTTAATAGAGAAGAGCTGCTTCTGTTTGCGCTCACTTCATCAGTGGCACCCTTCTGCAGAATTTTAATATAAAAACATTATGGATATAATAGAACTGGATTTTCTGACTTAAAAATGTAAGTTTTATTTTAATCTTGAAACGTGGATTGTTTCTGTGGAGCTCTTAAACATGAGAAGAATACTTACGGTTGATAATGTGTAACATGATCTGAAATGTGACTAATTTGAGCCTCTTTGTCCCATCGTCCTGTTTTTGAATTATTGACATTGTCAGTCTCTTTGCTTCCTGGGTGAGACTTGGGGTTTGAGGGACAGGGAATGACCTTCTTGGTGAAACTTAAAATATAACATTGCAATTGCAGTGACTTTACAGTGTTAAATTAGAGAAAATAGTCTGATTTTTTAAACCTTCCTTAACTGGAAAAAAGTCACATGGTTTTACCAGGATTGAAATAAACAGTCAATGTGACTTTTAACATGTGTTTTTTTGAAATAAAGGGCACGTACTCTTCAATTAAAAAGTTCCTTATAGGGACTCTGGCAAATGCTAACACAGTTGCTTTACAATGTTTACAATTCAGACAATACGACTTATAATAGAAAATCCTCATTCATTTAGCATTGAAAAGCTGGAAGTTGCTTCTTTAATGTTGAATAGTATACAGTGGTATTGAGCATGGACTTTCTAAATGTTTTATATATACATATAAAAATATATTGGTGTCTCACACCCAGAAAGATGTTATATTGTAGATATTATTAGGAAAACAGTGTTTCTCAGGAACGTTGTAAATTTTAAATGATATATGTACTTCCCGTCCTCCCACCTCCACTCTGTGCTCTAATGTGAGACTGCTTCAGCAGTGTTGCTAAGTTAATGGAAAACTTTTTCTAATCAAGTCAGGTGAATGTGTATTCTGCTAAATAATGTTAGCCATTTACATGAATTGTATGGTCATTAAATGGAATCAGTGATTCCTCTTTAATTTCCAGAGGGGAAATGAATTATGGAAATCAGTCAGCATTCTGATCATTAAATTTTATACTTTAATTTTGCCGTTCAGCATTCTAAATATCCAATGTGAAAGTCACATGATAATTTGTTTTGCATTGCGTGCACTGTACAACACTTACAACTTGTCATTTAAAATGTTTTCTCGGGAAATGAATGCTAGTCAGAAAGTAATAGATTGTATTATTCATAGTTTTAAAATTATGACAATGTCATAATTACTACAAAGCTAAATAATCGTGTTTATTTTTGTGCAGTTGCCCTTTGATAGTTCCTGGTTTTAAAACCTATTAAGTGTATAATCTTACAAATAGTCATCTACAAAATTTATGGAGAAAGTGCCCAGCCCATTCACATCACATGGACCAGGAATTCTTTTGTAAATGACTTAAGGTAACATCATGCAGTTCAGTGCCTAATAAATGCTTTTTAATGATGAACATTTCTATAATGACTCGTAAGATACCATAGTCTGATTTTTCTCACATTAAAATAACTGAAGTCACTTGTGTAACGTAGTTATACTTTGCTGCATTTTAATTAACCTTCAACAGCTATTAAAGTGGAATGTAAGTTAAATTTTGAAGGAAAGGAAATAAATGTTTTCCATATTTCGTCTTGATTTACTTTCTGTATGAGAACAGCTGTGTTTTTGATAGGTTTATGGTTTGCATGAGTTCATATTTAAAGTGATCCAGGCCAATGCATGGCTATTGCTGTAAATCTTGATGTTTATTTCTGCCTTGTAAAGTTCTATCACGGCCTACCTGGAATTTAAAATTCAGTAGACAAATTAATTGGTCCTCTGCACAACTTTTTTAATAAGTAGATTATTTTACAAAGAAATTTGAACAAATTTAATTGAATCTTTTGTTTAGCTTGCCTCTAAGAACTTTTCTTAATAAAGCTCCCAAAACTTCTCAGCAAATAAATCTCCCTTAAGTAGGAAAGCTAGATTTCATATTTGCTTACTTTGAATTAACAGCAACTTTCCACAGGTAAATCTGTTCTTGCAAAGATGTGAGCAGAATAGTTAAAAATAATATTTTTATGTTTCATGGTTCTAAATGGAAGCCATAAATGCAGTAAATACTATCTGTTGTTTAACTACTTTAATCGTCATTTTTTACATTTTCAAGTTTATTAGGTTAAGAAAAACAGGGCAGCCTTGGAAGGCAGCTACTACAGAAAACTGCAGTTTTGCGTTAAAGATAAAGTAGTATTTTCAGCTCCCTGAAAAACCATTCCTGCTGAAACTGCTGTAGAAATTGTGAAGCTGCATGAGTGGAGAGTATTGAATCTGTGGTTATAGTAGTTTTCTCAGGTTTGTTTATCTTGATGTTTGATGCACTGTGTTTTATAGTTATTAAAATTGAGTAATATTATTTCTATGCAGTGTTATGTGTCATTGGCCTTTTGTGAATGTGCATGTTTTAAACTGCAAATTTTAAACATTTTGTCCTCTAATTGTTATTAAAAATGAAATAAACTTTACCATTACTTAAAATTGTTGAAGTTTTGATTGCTAGTTCTAGAAATTATATTGCTTTCTAAAACCTTCAAATCCAGCAGTAACTAGTCTGAGAAGGTGTATCCCAGTGATTTATAAAATATCCCTTCATTTTAATCCAGCTAAATAAAACATGAAATGGAGTGTATTAACTCTAGTTTGGTAAGATGGGTAGTTTTTATAATTAGCAGAATTTTTTAATAAAATTACTGTGTTTTGTCACTTCAGTACGAAAAGCCTCCCAGGATTGTCCCTGTTGCATATTTAAATCAGCTTGCAAGTAAACAGCCTATTCATGGTTTCAACCTTTTATGTTGGATGAATTTGTTTTCTAAACCAACTAAACTGTTTTAAGTTCATGAGAAAGTGCTCAAGTTTAGCCAATAACATTTGAAGGCAGTAACCAGAAAATAATAAAATTGAGCACATGAGACAAAAGTATAGACAGCATCAGAAATAAGAACAATCACTTCAGCAAAAATAAGTGTCCTTTGGTAAAAGAGAAACAACTGAAGATACAATTAGGTAAATTACTAGAATAGGATTAGTTCTCAAAGAGGCGCTGGAGAGGCAATTTGAGGAGCATCTGATTTTATTAGACTGAGACCATGCGTGCTTACCTGCCTGGAGCCCCATGTCCTCTCCCACAGTCTTCCCAGGGACGACAATTGGGTGGGGACCTCCATGCAAAACCACAGCAAAACAGTTCATGGATATGTTACCTCTGAATTCTATCAAATAATTTTCACATTCAACTCCATTCTCCTTAAAATAAGCACGTGCTTCCACTGACCTGTATTTTAAGATGCCTTCTAATACTACCATAAGCAAAAAGCAAACTGGAAATACATTTCCATAAATTCAATATGTCATCTCCATTTAAATTTTGTTTTTGTATGCATAGGGCGTCTCTAAAGTTTTCAGTAACACAGAACTGCCTCACTTTAATGAAGAAAGGTCTTCCTAACCTGGATAATTTCATGAATAGGCTAATAAAATTTGTTGGAAAATATGAAATACCTCTTGCCATTCAGTTTTTATTACTTTCAAGTCATGAAACTAGCAATTTAAATAAGGATTTCCTGTCAGAATAATGTCATTAACTACTGTTTAATTGCAATTTTAAAATAGCCATGTACATACAAAAATATGTTAACAGTTTGTTCCCTTAATAGTTTAACATGCCTGTAAATTATTAGTTTTCCTGAACGTATACTAAATAAATATTTTAGATTATGCAAAGGTAAAATGATGCCAACCCAGTGAAATTTGTCAGATTCCTGGTTGTGACTGTATCTACTTTCAGGAAGTTTTTTGATTATCTCAGTTTAGAAAATTTCCTATGGATTCAAGTCAACCTGGTAAATTCTCCACCATGAGAAGTAGCTAATAATAACAAAAATAAAACAGCTGGGGAAAATAAGGAATTATCCATTTGGACAAGTGTACAATCTGTTCACTTTGGAACATAACCATTTTAAAGCAAATTTACTATGTCAAATGTGCTTTTTTTTGGTTAGAAAAGCACATTTATTTTAAAATAAATTTGTCTCAAAGGAACAGTTATTTTTTTGTTTGTTTCTGAGACGGAGTCTCACTGTGACACATAGGCTGGAGTGCAATGGCACGATCTCAGTTCACTGCAACCTCCGCTTCCCAGGTTCAAGCGATTCCCCTGCCTCAGCCTCCCAAGTAGCTGGGATTACAGGCGCCTGCCACCACACCTGGCTACGAATGTGCTCTCTAAAGCAGATGATGAAAGAAAGGTACAGACCATGAGTACCCAACAGGATGAGAGGATGCCCTATTCCAGACGAGCAGGAAGTTGGCCAAGTACCAAAGGGGCCCATGGGTTATCAAGGACTTACTTGATCAAACTGTAGGACCATTTTCTCTGTTCCCTACCCCTAATCAACAGTGATATCTGCCCTCCCGCAGTACTTAGCCTTTCATTTTTATTCTAAAGTATTTCATCTGCTTTCTGTTATTTATCCTTACTACACAGCTTTCTGCCCACTAGAATGCAAGTGACCTGAGACAGTGTCTGTAACTTCTTCTCAAGGCAACCATAAGCAAAAAGGTAGTACTAATGTCTCTATTTTACAAATGAGAAGACTGAGACACAGTGAATTTAAGTGGCCCAAAGTCACTCCACTTTTAAGTGACAGAGCCAGAAAACTAACCCAAGCATTACAGCTTCAAAATCCATGCTCAATCACCCTCTGGAATCCCATTTCTCATGTGTAAAGGGAGAAATATTTATCATCTAGTGTTTTTATTCATGCTTTATTTTATTCCACATTTTCATAATGCAGCATAAGCTCTCCGTGACTTACAATCCCCTGATATCAATAGGATATGTATAATATGATGCAATTGATCACTATTTCCCCAATAGATTTTCTGAAAAGTACATTGGATATTTTTGTTTTCCTCACAAAATTAGACCTCCTAGGTCTAATGTCACACAGAATGTAGAATTTCCAAGTAGACCACCTGGGTTCAGATCTGTCCCCTATGGTATTATCCGTCCTTGGGCACAGTGTTTAACCTTCTCGCCTTGATTTCTTCATCCGCAGGATAGGCATGATGATAATCCCTTCTTCAGGGTTGTGAAGATTCAGTGATACAATTCATAAAGCACTTGGGACACACATGGCGCTTAATAAATGTTATCCATTATTGGCATAACGACCTTTCAAAATGCAGAACTTCTATTTTTCACAATAATCGTGGCATGAGGATGTTGGATTCAAATTCTTTCTGAAAGTAACAAAAGCAGACAAGTTTCTGCTGTATTTTGGTGGTTTAGCAGATTGTGATGAGCAGCTCCTTGGAAACTCCAAAAGATTTTATTTGACCTTTGCAGCCTAATCTTTCTAAAATGGAGATATGATCCCATCCCCTCCCCTGTAAAATCCTTCCAGACTCCCTCTTGCATTTGACATCTATTCAAATACCATGGTGTTCAAGATCTCTAATCTGCCCCCACTTCTCTCTCCAGCCTCACTCTTCTTCTGGATTCTTTTTTTTGTTTGTTTGTTTTTGTTTTTGAGACGGAGTCTCGCTCTGTCACCCAGGCTGGAGTGCGGTAGCGCAATCTCAGTTCACTGCAAGCTCTGCCTCCTGCGTTCATGCCATTCTCCTGCCTCAGCCTCCCGAGTAGCTGGGACTACAGGCACCCACTACGCCCGGCTAATTTTTTGTATTTTAGTAGAGACGAGGTTTCACCATGTTGGCCAGGATGGTCTCAGTCTCCTGACCTCATGATCCACCCACCTCTGCCTCCCAAAGTGTGAGGATTACAGGCATGAGCCACAGTTCCTGGCCTTCTTCTGGGTTCTTAAATGTTCCTTGTTCTTTCAGGCTCATGGGTGGGTGCTTCTGTGCCTCTCTATGAATTCTTTACTCTGCCTGATATATTTTTTCCCTTATTTCCAGCCCCCTTCTCTTTCTTTCTCTGCCCTGTCTTCTTCATTCAAGTTCTACATGTCTTTCAAGGCTCAGGTCCAATGTCAACACCTCCAGGATGAACAGTGTCCTTTGTAAGTGCTGCCAGGGTATCCTGCACTCCCCTGTAATCGCAGTTACCACAAAGAGCAGGAAAAGATAACATGCTTCTTTTATAAAGCATCTATAACATTTTATCACAAGTATTTGTCTTTGTCATGATGCTGGGGGCTCCTTGAGTTGGAAGTGCATTTTAATCATCTTTTATTCATCTCACTCAGCACCTGACCCATAAGTGGTGTTCAGCAAAGAATTGTTGAATGGGACAATATCTAGAAATCTGCCACAAGATAGGCTTTTTACCTAAAATTGTGAATAATAATATCAGCTACCTGGCTTCCAGAGAGAAGGTCAAAGGCATGTACTGCATATCAATAATTACTTCGTGATATGATTTGATCTAGTATCACTGAATGCCATATTGCAATGAGGTACACAACATCTCTCTAATTTTAAACAATTTATGGCCAGTTAAATTGACTGGGGCATCCTGCTCAGGAAGGGAAATTTGCAGATGTGAACTCTCTATGAATTCCTTAGCATTAACTTGTCTAATGGACATAAACTGTTCTCCAAAGGGATGACAAATAAAAGTACAGCTACTAGAGAAATCTGGCAACTAGATGGTATTCAGTGGGGACAGTTCCACCCTCTAGGGGACGTGGTGGAATTGCATGGGGGAATCTTCCGCATTAGAGCGTTGGGGCGGAGGTGGATGTGCTACTGGCATTCACTGAGGGGGACTCAGTTGTAACCAAGATCCTACAATGCATGGAAGCAGCCCGCACAACAAAAAAGACTTGATGTCCATCGGCATGACTTTGGAATGTCCACCATTACTACTGGTGAAAAAAAAAACGTAATCCCATTTTACCTATATTTGTTGCACTGCCTTAGTATACACTGAATTCTTCAGATATACAGCCACTGTGCAAATCAAAGGATGATCAAACTTTGCTGGGAAAAAATCACATTAATGAAATCAGTGCGATTGTGTTTGAGTTGCCAGAATTACCAACTGCATCCGTCTGGATTTGAAGCTGTCACATCATGGTGATTTTGAATAAGGGGTTAGCATCTGTCTTTTTTAAGTCTGCCCAAACCTTTACATTTAGAAATAAGTTACTTCCCTTTCTTTCTTCTATTCACCATTGGGGCATTGTATTGATTTTTAAAAATTATGTGTGTAGTGAGTTATCTATAAATTTCATTTTAGGACTCATAAAGGGATGTCACAAAATATTTGTTCTAAGGAGAGCTCATTTTGGGGTCCAACAGGGCTGAGAATCACTGCCTTCGAAACTTAGGCTTATGCTCTTAAAATCTCCGATGAATTTTGTGCACAGAACCATCAAAATCTCAAAGCAGGTCTTCCGTTGCTGTTTGGATCTGTTTGTTTATGCATATCAACTCCAGTACAGACTAGCTGCAGGACCTTGGGCAAGTTGCTTCATTCCTTTGTGCCTCAGCTTTCGAATCTTTAAAATAGGAATTGTAATACTTTTCTGTTGGGGTTGTTTAGAGCATAAAATAAGTTAATACATACTAATACTTAATGCTTGGCTCATAATAAGAGCTTTAATAAGGTAACCTTAAAACCATTAAAAGGACCAAAATACTACAAACATAAATAAAACTAGTCTAATCGTATAGGAGTGCGCCCAAGATTATGTGTATAAATGTTCATCCTTTTACATGCAGCTGTTTCTTTCCTTAATTATTTTGAACAATTTGGGATACCCGGAAGTCAGGCCACTTTTAGATACAGGATAAAGCAGGAGACTAGAAGTCAGAGCCCCTCTGCCTTTAGACTGAGCAGAGGCCGAATATCTTTGAACTTGTTTCCTTAACTAGAAAATGAAGAGACAAGGCCAAACAACTCTCTTAGGACAGAATTCTGCCTCTAACTAATTGTGTTTGAAAACTGAGAGTGACATATGATAGTATGAATTCCTATAAATCTGGGCTTTCAAACCACACCTGCAGGGGCCAGGTAGGTAGCATAGCAAAAATAGATGGGCCAGGTGGGGAGACCAGGCAGGAGGCTGGCAAATGGCAGGTGTCCTGTCTGAAGAGGATTGACCTGACCCCAAGGCAGTGCAGGACCCCTGGTGCCACGTCCTCTATGTCATGAGAAGCCAGAAATCCAGATTCTTATGAGAAACGTCCTAATGATGAATTCTCTACAGGCCAAACACATCGGAGGGCTGTAGACTGAGACCTCCATAAAAATTCACTTCCTTTGCTGCTTTCACGAGCCCTGATATGGAATTTTTTTTTAATTTTAAAATATGAAGTATGTGTTAAAAACATTTCCTTTTTTTTAAAGAAGGATCGCTAAAGAGATAAAATGAATCACATTAAAATTTAAATAGAGTTCATGAAAATATAAAGTGTTTTATTTATTCTAATCCAACAAGATATATGCCCAAATATATAGTCATCAAACATAAAATTCAGGGGCACTGGAGATATATATAATATTAGATGATTATACCAATAGCTAGACTTTGAACTCCAGTTATTATTAACATAAAAATTACAGTATGACTACTAAATAATTAGTACAGTCAATGTGGTAAATACATTAAATTACAAATATTTACATTTGAACATAGCTCATTTTACAAATAAATGTTTTAAGCCCCAACTGTCCAACTTTCACTGAAACACTAAATGTTGCTGAACAAAAAGTCTGCAATAAATACTCCCTCCAGTGAGTGGGGGAAATGATTTTACATACACTCTGTGTTACAATGAATGTCTGAGTATATATTTAAAACTTTAAACTCCTCATGTGATTATTGAAACCTTGTATTCTGGAAAAACTCATATTGTAAACAAAATTTAGTTATTTATTTAAAAAGTAAATGTTCTCATTATGCTAATATTATTCATGGTTAGGTTACTCCCGAAATCATAAATAGATTTTTCACTGCCCCCTTAAGTTTACCTAATAGTTAATTTTTTAAGTGAACCTTTGATAATTACAATTAGGTATTTTTCTTTGCTTATTTATGAATATATTCCTATCATAACTCAATGAACAACTTATATGAAAAAGAAACATGTAGCCCTTTTCTAAGCAATATAGCTGAATGTCCAGTAAAACGTTTTTAGCCAGTTTGCAACTTTAAAGTCAAACTGCTGCATATTTTGAATAAAAGTAGCATAGATTGAAATGTAATGATCACATGTTTGCAAAACCAGAAAACAGTTCTCTGGTTTAGCCTTTCTGTGATTGGAGACAGGAACTTTCAAATTAGAAGGTGCTGTGTTTTCCTAGCATGCTCCTCCATGACACTGATCAGTTACAAGGGAAATTTTCTCAGAATTGCATGTGGCAATGGGAGCAGGGCTCCACCTGTCTGCCATCTGACTGAGTTGTGGATTCATGGCCTGGGCGTGTCAACTGGAACTGAAGTCTGGACAGCTCTTCCCAGGCAGTGGGGGCTCCTGCTGGAGGGGGTAAGCGAAATACTGGGGTGACACCAGGAAACCAGATGGCTGAGCCAGGTGGATTGAGTGGCTGGTGGTGTATGGCGGGGGCGGTGAGGGCACCAGGCAGCCCGGCTCAGCCCTGGCAAAGGAGAACCTGCGGATGGAGCCGCCTGTGGAGCTGGAGCTCGTGGCTGTGCTGGACTGCCGGGAGGGTGCCCTGGGGCTGGTGGAGGTCAGGATCATGGGCAGGGTCTCTGTCTGATAGCTGCGGAGTGAGAAGCGGATTGGCTGCTGCGAGGGCTCCTTGGGTCTCAAACAGGTGCAACAATAAATAGCCACTACAGAGCCCAGGATGATGAACGCAATGAAGATGGAGCCGACGATGAGAAAGGGGACGTAGACAGGCTCTAAAAGGCAAAAACAGACATAAACAGATGCTCAGATGAGGATCTCCCAGATTCTGAACTCTGCTTGGGCAGCTGAGGGTTGAGAGGTGGGAGACTCAGTTACTATCACTGCTGTCAGCTCAGTTTTTCAGAGCTTGTTAATGGTAACCTCCAAAATGCAATGCAAACCGTGATGATGGAATATTCTCGCTACTCCTAGCAGGGAGGAAGCAAACGGATACCGTAGCCTCTGTTAGCAATTAACTATCATATTGCACATCTGGAAGTCAGAAAAAAAAAACGGAATCTGTTCTCCTGTTCAGGCACTAGAGGGAAAGGGTGAGTTTTAGGGGTTAAAATAATTCTAGGTTTAAATGCAGGTTTTAGTAGTTTGATCACGGTGAGCAGTAAGAGACTTGTCCCCTCTCTTAGGCTGGCAATCCATCTCCCATTCAATAATCTCCAGTCTAAGCAAAGGGAGCCAGGCCTATTAAATGAGATTCCCCTCTACACACAGACCCAGGATTTTATGAGACTCCAGAAAGAACAGTATAAAGAAATTCACAGAGGGCCCCAATCGACTGTGTCTCCTACCATACACCACAAATTGCCAGCTCTGGCTGCTTCTTTCCAGGAAAGATTTGGAATACCCACTCCAGCTGCCGTGCCTCTCAATTCCCATCCAAGCCTGGGAAGTCAGACTGAACTTTAGATAGATCACCAGGCAATTCTTGGTGTCCACGGCCCAGACTTTCTATAAAAGCATCCCTCAAACAGAGCAAACTCCAATTTCCTTCTCTCTCTACAAGGCAGACATAAAATTCCCAAGCCCGGAGGCATCCCCTTGGGCAGTTCTCCAGGTCTCTCCCCTGATAGAGCCGTGCTAAGACGCAGCCTCCAGCTTACAGGTAGAAGAAAGAAAGCCTGCATTGACTAAGTCCCTACTGTGTGCCTGGCTCTTTCTTATTCATTATCTGATTAAAGTCTCTTGGAGACCCTGTGAGATGGACATGATAAGCTCCATTTTCCAGATGTGGAAATACATCAGAGAAGTTTGCGCATTCCCACAGACAGAGCTAGTGAGGGACAGGTAACTATCAATTATTTGTGGGCTACTAGGCGTAAGCTCTTCTGTGTCCCTCCCATTCTCCCTTGTTTACTAGCACCAGCGTGCAAGGCAAGGCAAAGGTAAGTAACTACCATTTACTGAGCCCTGCGCTCCAGCATTCATACACTCTCACGTCACCAACAACTTAACTCCTTTGAGAGCAATATGCCCACTTTAGAACTGAGAAGAGGTATCCAGAGCAGTTAAGTAACTTGCCCAAGTTACACCGCCGGCAAGTGACAGAGCCAAGGTCCATCAGGGTTTGCCTGATCCCAGACTCAGTGAGTGTGGAGACTGCCTCTCCCTTCTGCTGTCCTCTGGCATCCGAGCCGAGTAGGGAGCGCAGAGGAAGCCCGTGCTGCAGACTGGGCAATTGCACTTACTCCCAGAGGGCAGCTGGGTCCCCCAGGGTGAGCGAGTGAAGCCGTGGGGAAGAGTCTATATTTTTCTAACAGGCCAGGAGGGCCTAGATTTCCCTACTTTCCGCTGAGCATCTTTTCTCCAGAACTACTTCCAGAATCCTCTAGATTGGAAATGTTGACCCCCAACATTCACCCTCTAGTGGAGCACTAATGGAGGGCAGACTCCCCTGTCCTCTGGGTTATCAGTTTGCGGGGAGGGGCCGTTGGGGAACCCTTAATGATCTCTCCAGCCTCTCTTCCCTTTCCCGGCGACCTTCTCTTGCGGGCTCCAGACCTCGGCTCTCTGGAGTCCTGGGGTGTCACCCGCTCTCAGCTCCGCCCGCTTCTCCGGTTTCCCTGGCCATAAAACCCTCGCCTCAAGCTCTAAAGCGTTTCCCTGATGTTCCGATTCAGGTGGAAAACTTTTTTTCAAGGTGTAAATTTTCTCTGCTGGGGTCGTGATTTATTCCGCTCTGAAGTCAGCGGAAATTTGACCCGTGTTTTCCGAAGTGAGAATAGGGGGCGGGGAAGCCCCTTCGACCCTTGTTTCTAAATCTCCACCTCGAAGACCTGGGCATTTCTGAAAGGCGTGACAATAGGGGGTGGGCCGGAGAGGGTAATTCGATGCAGAGAATTGAAAGGAAGTCTGCAGAACGGGGCCGTGGCTTAGAAACGCTATCATTAAGACAGAAAAAAAAAGTGACTGGGGTTTCTTAGCCCTGAAGGGCTGCAAATGAGCGCGCGACAAGAGTCGCGATTCCCTGCATTCGGCACTTCCCGAAGCTCCCGAAGTGACAAGGGCGAGCAATGGGACACCCTCGGCCCCTCCACCAAAACCCAAGTCTACCCTGGCTTTACCCGCACTACCCTTCTCCCGGGAGCTCCAGCTGTCTTCCCCCCGGCTACCAGGCACAAGCCCCGCGCTCCTCACTGTCCCTGGCAAACTTTCCCTGCGGGCCGACCCGCAGAGACCGCAAGTGGCGGGAAGCGGGACTGCAAATGAATAGAGGACCATGATCTGAAACGCGACCACCCACTCATCCCTTGATTCCCCCACCCGGCCGCGTCCCCCTGGCGCACAGACCCAGGAAGGCGCATAGACCTGCCTGGGTCTGTGCATCCTCCCGCGCACACATGCAGCCGCCGCCGTTAGGCGGGCGGGGATATGTCCCCGAGGGCCCCGCACTTACGCGCAGTGATGCCTGGGTGCTCCAGTTCGCGGCGGTCGTTGGTGCAGCCGCCCTGCTCCAGCCTGGCGTCGGCCGCGGCGCAACAGTAGCGGAGCGCGCAGGAGCCGCAGCAGATGGTAGCGTCCAGCGTGTCGAAGTCCTCTGGGCACTGGAAGCCCTCGTGGTAGTTGCCCTGCACGTCCACCCAGCCGTGGCAGTACTCTCCGGACTGCTGGGCGCCCGCCGGGCCCCAGCGCAGCCAGCCAAGGAGAAGGCAAAGCGCCAGCAGTGCCCTCATCGCCACTGGGCTCCCTGGGCGGCCGGGAGCAGGACGCAGCTGGAAAGCGAAGGGCTGAGCCCGGGCTCAGGGCGCACAGCGATTCCGCCTCCCCAGGGACACGTCGCAAGCTGCTGGCCCCGGCGGCCGAAGCCAGTCCTGCGTGGGATAGCAGGGGCCGGGGAGGCGACAGGGGCTGCACTACGAGTTCCGCAGGCCGGGAGTCAGCATGGTGCGCGGGGCGAGTTGGCGAGGGCCTGCGGGAGGCGCCGGCAGAGGCAGTTGCTGGGGCTGTCGCTGCCGCCCTTCGCCCGGCTCATAGCGCTCCCCGCGCGAGGGGCGCGCCAACCCCCCGGCCACCTCCCTCCCCACTCCTCAAGGGAGCCATAGCGCCCGGGGCTGCCAACTCCAGCGCCGCACAGAGTCCCAACCTGTGGCGATCGCCGGGTCCCGAGAGGAGCCGGAGGAAAAGAATTTGTTCCCCACGTGCGAGTACCCCAGACAGGCGGCCGCTCAGCCCCAGCCCCTATCTGTCACAGGAGCAGGAGTCAGCTCCGCCGCGGCCAAGTACAAACGGCCGCGGGGTTGCTGACAGCTCTGCCCGCAAGGCGTCTTTTAAAAAGGAAGAGGGAGGAGGAGACAATGAGGGTTAAGAAAGAGTCCGCCCTCCCGGATCGCGCCTCTGGAGCTAATCACAGCGGGTGCGGCGCGGGCCGAGGGTCCTCTGCGCTTTCTGGTTCGCGCTCCATCCTCCGCCTCCCCCCGGCCACCCCCGCCCATGCCGCTCCCCCAGGACTTGACTCTCAACCTGAAGATATCAGACCCTCCCCTCCCCCGCCGCACACCCCAACTCTCTCACAGCCCGGAAATCTCTGCAGAGTGACGTTGAGGGCTGCCGAATTCCCGCGTTTATCCACGCACGTGGGCGCGCGAGTGGAGACGCTGGATTTACTTTTCAATGGATATAATGCATGAATGCGGTGCAGTCATTGAAGTTTGTCGAATCATCTGTGCCCTGTTGCACAGACTCAGACTCGTTCCTGGGATACCGCTTCTAAAGGTTCAGGACCGAGAACATGGTTTTTAGGTGTCGCCAACATGTGCTGAGCTTTCCACCTACGTTTCCACTTTTTCTGGGAGGAACGGCACATTTTCACAAGCACACACACACACACACTCGCACTTTTTCCGCCGGCTGAAGGATTGCCGGTCACCTCTGCCAGCCAAGGCCAGCTCGCAAAACCTCAAAGAGCACGACTTCTCCGTTCACGCCCGCAAAGGAAATAAAGGAGCAAAATTAATGATAATTGAGCAGAACTGAACTTCTGTTCAGGGAAAGAAACACATTTATTTAAATGATGTGTCCCCTGTGGGCTATTTTCAGGGGCACTGCTCCGTTAGCGGCCTAAGTGCCTTATGAAACTGGTGTTATGTGAAACCTGGGCCAAACGCAAGCATTTATTTTGACTGCATCCTGAACTTCCAATCATCGTCTATTGGTATGTGTGAATATGTTCGGTGTATCTCGGCTTATTTGTCAAACAAGCTGCATACCCGTGTCCCTGAGTTAGATGTCGGCAAGTTGAGTGAAACAAAAGGAACAAAGTGTTCTCAGCTCCAGCGACACAAGGTGCGCGGTCAAACGCATTTATCACGTTCGCAGCTTCCTGATGAACCGAGTCGATTCCGGAGAAACTTTTTTAAAAATCTCCTATTAAAACGATTTCTTTTTTTTTTTTTTTTATCTAAGTTAAAGTATATTCCAATTAAATAATTACTTCTGATTTCTAATTTTAGGTATTGGGATTAGCATTTAGTTATGTGGCTGCTGAAAATACATGTCCATTTCACACGTTAAGTGGGACCGTGTAAATATTTAACTTTATTGCTCTCTTAGAGTTACATATTTCTTAGGACAATACGAAGCTATTAAGTAAAAACAAATTAAGTTGGAGCTTTCAATAACAAACAATGAAACAGTTTTTTAGTTAAATAGTTTAAGCATATGGGAAATTGTTTTGCAGAAATTTCTTAGATATTGGGTTTTTTATTTACAAAAAAAAGGTCTTGCCAGACTTAATCTTTTTTTTAACTCTAGTTGTTTTTTAGGAGTGTTGTTTCAATTGTATATATATCCTGAGCAATTACAGGAAAATGTCACTTAGAAACACAGCAAAAATGAGATATAGTGATTATAATCAGATGATAAAAATTATGACATGTTTACTGCTAATAACTTTCCCAGAACCACACCTTTTAATATTAGTTTTTGTTAAAATTTAGAGGAATTTCATTACGTCATAACTGCATAAAGTTCTGCTGCAGCAGCAACCTTTGCTGGTCCCCCAAGGGTCAAGTTTCTCTCATTATCCAGCTGTTCTTTGATAGCATTAATATTTTAAGGAGTGATTTGTTGGCACTTACCTCCCATTAATTACATTCTCCATGCCACAGTGGGATTCTTTTTCCTGGAGACACCAGCTATAATTAATTCCCTCATTCAAAGCTCCTGTCTACTTGACTTATTTAGAGGGCATTTTACCCAAATTTAGTTGGATGATGTTTACTAATGGAAAGTAACCAAACCTCCAAATTACTTGATCCTTCGTAGATCTGACTTGTGTGAACAGTAAACAACTGTGCACCATGCTTCAGATCTAGGTCCTCATCCTAAGCACCTTTAAAACCATTACAACAATCAGCTTCAGGAGTTTGCCTGGGCGAGGGGTTGGGGGGAGGCAGTGATATGTTTGGTTTCTTGTCATAGAAGATCTCTGCAAACTTTCCATTGTCAAATTTTAACTTCAAAACTGATGCCCTGAGAATCCTTTTCACCAACAGAAAGAGAATATTCACCTCTTTTTAGATATATAAACATCCAAAGTTTTTGTTATTCTGTTACTAGTTTAATAGTAAAGGAAGATGAAAAAGTTCTCATAGACACCCCTGAAAGACTCTAGGGGGAAGACATAGAGATAGAAAATAAAGTCCACAATATCTGGGGTATTATGAAGAGGTTTTGGAAATTCTTTATTGTTTCTTATCTCAGTAACACAAATTCCTTATTTTGGTCAAGAACATAATCATAAGAGATCATTTCCCCAGCCTACATACATTCTCTTGTGGCCCTGCCTCAAGGAAACTCTGTAGGAAGTGAGTTAATTGACATGATGTCTGGACTATGCTTTAATAAACACCAGCAAGAAAGAAAGAGAGGAGAGAAAGGCAGAAAGAAAGGGAAAGAAAAGAGGGAGGGTAGGAGGAAAAAGAAAAGATAGGTGAGCAATAGGGATGAGAAGATGGGCTAGGCAGAACTGAAACACAACTGGCAACATGTAGATAACTGTAGCTGGCTGAAGGGAACTTATAAAATCGAAATGCAACTCTTTTTTTCTTTTCTTTTCCTTTTGTTTGAGACGGAGTCTCACTCTGTTGCCCAGGCTGGAGTGCAATGGCATGATCTCGGCTCACTGCAACCCCCATTTCCTGGGTTCAAGCAATTCTCCTGCCTCAGCCTCCCAAGTAACTGGGACTACAGGCACCCACCACCATGCCCGGCTAATTTTTGTATTTTTAGTAGAGATGGGGTTTCACCATGTTGGCCAGGCTGGTCTCGAACTTCTGACCTCAGGTGATCCGCCCACCTCAGCTTCCCAAAGTGCTGGGATTACAGGCGTGAGCCACTGCGCCCAGCCGATGCATTTAATATTCTTAGGACATATTTGCTGACCATATTTTTAAACTTTGTTCTGGCCAGACATGGTGGCTCATGCCTATAATCCCAGCACTTTGGGAGGGCGAGGAGGGAGGATCCCTTGAGCTCAGGAGTTCAAGACCAGCCTGGGCAACATGGTGAGACCCTATCTCTACTAATAAAAATATAATTAGCTGGGCATGGCGGCACATGTCTGTAGGCCCAGCTACTGGGGTAGCTGAGGTGGCAGGATCACTTGAACCCAAGAGGTGGAAGCTGCAGTGTGCAGCGGTGGCACCACTGCGCTCCAGCTTGGGTGAACAGTGATGCCGTGTCTCAAAAAAAATAAAAAAGAAAAAAATTGTTCTGTTGACTTATCTTTTTTATATTCTTTGGAGCTGAGTGAATGATTTGAGAAAACCAAAAGCAGGGAGGTGAAGGGCCACATGGATCAGAAAGGTTTGGGAACTAAAATATACTGAGGAAAAAGGAGGAAGGCTAAAGGAATGCAGAAAACAAAAACAAAAACAAAAAAGGGCAGTTCACTGGACTATGGAAGAGTCTACTCCAGCTCATTTGCATTGGCCTCAGAAACAAAATGAAAAACAAGAGTTCCTCAACCCTCCCTCAAGTTTGCTTGTGCAATGACTTGTTTTCACTCTCCTTTAATTCAGAAAAAAACACTTTAATTTAATTTTCCTTTAATTACCTTGCCCATGACTTCATGGAATTCTCTTCCTTGGATCGCTTGTTGTAAATCTCTTACTCCAGGCCCCTCTCAATCTGAGTTACTCGAAAGGTGTTTTCTCTGAAATTTGCTGTGGCACATGTTTACCCTAGAGAATAGCAAGGTGCCTAGAAGGACACTCTCAGACCTGGGCAACCCAGCCCCAGGCCAGGCCCCTCTTCCTGCCCTGTGTTTCGGGCAGCCTCAGTCTCTTCATTTACCAAAAGAGGGGCTTAAGCTAGGGCCCTTAGAGAGTGTTTCTCAAAAGGCCATGAAATACCTGGGAATCTTGTTAAAATGCAGATCTGGCCGGGCACAGTGGCTCTCACGTCTGTAATCCCAGCACTTTGGGAGGCCGAAGCGGGCGGATCGCCTGAGGTCAAGAGTTTGAGACCAGCCTGGCCAACATGGTGAAACCTCATCTCTACTAAAAATACAAAAATTGACCGGGCGTGGTGGCGTGCACCTGTAACCCCAGCTACTCAGGAGGCTGAGGAAGGAGAATTGCTTGAACCCGGGAGGCAGAAGTTGCAATGAGCTGAGATCACGCCACTGCACTCCAGCTTGGGTGACAGAGCAAGAGTCCATCTCAAAAAAAAAAAAAAAGCAGACCTGACTCTCACAAAGTCTGCAGTGGGGCCTGTGATTCTGCATTTCTAATGAGTTTCCAGGTGATGCCAAGTGGCTGCATTGAGGACCATACTCTGAGGCCCTCTGGCCTTCCTCTGCCCTGTCTGCAGCCACAGGGGAAAGAGTGAATAGAGCCAGAGGGCAGTGCCCACCCAAAGCCCATTCCCTCCCTTTTTGTACCACTCTCTGGGTCCTGGATCCCAGCACTCCCTACTCAAAGAGGCCAAAAGTTGCTTCTAGGCTGCACAGAAGCCTCTTCCTGATGTTAAGAGGTTCTGGCGGGAGGTGTTTCAAAATTTGTACACATAGGCTGGGATGCCCAGACACATACATGGGAGGCCCCTTGCAGTGCAAGATGAAGTCAGGTATGGGAAGAAAGAGGAAGTCAGAAGAACAGACTCAGGCTGATGGCTTTCATGACTTTTCCTGCCCTGGCTTGAAAATGTGAGAACGGGCCTGTTGTCCAGTATGTTATAGAGACTCTGTAAGTGTTCATACAGGGTATAAGGATTGATTGAATAAACAACAAAAGGAACGTTAGCAATTCCGTGGTATTAAACCACACACACTGCAATTTTGTGTTAGGGCATCTGTCTTCCCCATTAGTCTGACCTCCTTTTACTTTATTGGATCCTAGGACCTAGCACATAGTGGGTGCTTAGTGAATGGTGAATAAATAACTGGCTAAAACAATGAGTGGCTACTCGAGAACTTGTTGCAACTGAGTGACATCCGTTTCACGACTATACAGAACTGCAGCAGAGGAGAGCAGGATGAATTCCCAGGCAGGGGGTATTACAGAGTCATCTCCTGGTGATTTAATCATCACTGTAGTGCATGAAGAACTCTCCAGTGTGTCAGCACTGCCAGAATAGGGCAGTCACCAGCCCATCCCCCATGGAGAGAGTGCTGACACTTGTCCTAGAGAACAGAGATATGATGCAAAGACAATCGGCCAGGACAGGAGAGTGTGCGTCTTACTAATCACATGACCTTGAGCAAGGTCATTTCTGTGTACTGCACTTCAGCTTTTGTGTCTCTAAAATGAGGGATGTGGGAAGGAGTAATCCTTACCCTGAAAGATTATTGTAAGGATTCAAAATAAAACACATAGCAAGGATGCAAAATAAAACATGGAGTGTGGCACAGAGTTGGCACTTCATAACCAGTAGGTATTATTATTACCCACCACCAGCTGATTTGAATCTGTAATCAAATAATCATGGCAAGTTTCCTGCTAACCAGAGTAGGCCTGTTCCCCGATTAATTTGAATAGATTATTTACAGTTCCCCTTCATTCATTCCCTTATTCATTAAATATGCCCATTCATAACGACTGGCAATTGAATGTTGATTATTCATTTTTACAGTTGTTCTCCTGAGACATGCCCAAAGCTAGGAGAAGAGGAGGATGAGAGAGGGTGTCAGATGATCACAGTGTAAGGACAGGCCTTACTGGACAGACCTTATTTCAGCTGGATTTCTACAAGGTGTAGCCCCAAGCACAGGTGGGCATTTAATAAGTATCCGATTAGTCTGTGATTCCACATTATGTCGGTAGAGCTGTAATTTATTAACTTGGGCTCCTGGCATCCTTCCAGTGCATGTATAATAGAATGACATTTTTCATGCAGAAATATAAATTAAATTAATTGGCATCCATATTTAATTGAAATTTCCTTGACAGTAGATGGATTCTCCCCTAACACCACCCCTTTCTCAGCAAGGGGCATTTCCTTCTGAGTGCTTGCAGACTGAAGAGAGGCCAGCCCCCATTCCTGGGGCTCCCCGAGGAGCTGGCTTTCAGCAGGGTTTAGAGCAGCACGAAAAGTGAACTGACCCTGGAAAAATGGTAAGTTGCTGCTCAGCGGCCATGTGTGCTTTTGGTGGGGGAAATATTTTATGGAGGAGAAAGAAAACACAGAGGGTTCTTGTCTTGTTTCTGTCTTCTTACTTCCCTTTTCACTTTTACCAGCCATAACAGAATGTTTTGAGAATTTTTAAGTCACCTTTAAAGTTTGTAAATCATGTGGAAATGATTTACATTTTTGCAGCGTTCTTTTTTGAAAGCTGTTATGTAATTGCTTGCCAAAGGTATCTTTTATTTTAATTTTTCTCCTTCTCAGGTAGTCTGGGTTTGGTTAGCTCTGTTGGTAACTTAAAGGGCCAGTAAGGCAAAGGTCTTGATTTCCGTTCCTGTGGGTCAACGACGTTTCCTCTGTATCGGGAGTACAGAATGCACACTTGACCCTGGCTTGCAAACACCTGCTGTGAGTTATTCAAGGACATCAGCCAGAAAAGTTGGATGTAATAGATACAATCAGATTATGCAGTGTGGCAAGTGAAGTCAACGTGATACCCTCCCACAGCAAATGGGTCAATAGTGCTGTCTTCATTAATGACGATTCAAAACACTTAACACCTGGCATGCCCTTCATCCTATCATAATTGTACTTTGAGGATGCTTTCTGCTTCATATTTCCACCTGCTGATTTTGTTCAACCACTCATTCTGTAATCACCCTCATTTTGTACTTCTTTAATGTACTTTTTATCATCAAAGGCAAAAAGAAATCTTGTTCTTAGCATCTTTCTTGGTTTCTCTACTTGAATTGGAATTGAAGTAGCAACCAAAGTTGTAGCTGTCTGCAATGCTATTCCAGTTAAGCATGTCAAAGACTGAGATTCAGTCACTCTTCTTTTTTTTTTTTTTTTGAGACAGAGCTTTGCTCTGTCACCCACGCTGGAGTTCTATGGCGCAATCTCAGCTCACCACAACCTCCGCCTCCCAGGTTCAAGTGATTCTCCTGCCTCAGCCTCCCGAGTAGCTGGGATTACAGGCATGCACCACCATGCCCGGCTAATTTTTGTATTTTTAATAGAGATAGGGTTTCTCCATGTTGGTCAGGCTGGTCTCGAACTCCCGACCTTAGGTGATCCACCCGCCTCAGCCTCCCAAAGTGCTGGGATTACAGGCGTGAGCCACTGCACTTAGCCGAGATTCAGTAACTCTTTAGTGTATATGCTACACCCCTCCCCTCGTCCTAAAAAGAGTCTCACTCCATCACGCAGGGTGGAGTGCAGTTGGTGCCATCTTGGCTCATTGCAACCTCTACCTCCCGGGCTCAAGCAATCCTCCCATTTAAGCCTACCAAGTAGCTGGCACTACAGGCACGCAACACCAAGCCCGCCCAGCTAATTTTTTGCATTTTTGGTGGCGACAGGGTTTTGCCACATTTCCCAGACTGGTCTCAAACTCCTGAGCTCAAATAATCTACCTGCCTTGGCCTTCCAAAGTGCTGAGATTACAGGTGTGAGCCACCGTGCCAGGCCTACTGTCAGGTTCTAAATTTAAGTTACTTTATTGATAAGAGAATGATTTACATCTGCCATACAGGACCTATCTTTCTAATCTATCTTGCTTGATTTTTCTCCTGGTCTGAGCAGAATTCCTCTCCCTTACTTTAATAAGAGTACCCGACTTTCTCCCATTCTGTGTTGGCTTAGAGAGACTGTCAATCAGTGCTTCACTCCTGGCCAAGGGTTGGGCCTGAGATCTTGCTGAAGAAATCAGAATTCCTTATCTCTCTGGGCCCATCTGTCCACAAGCTGTCTTATGTGGACAGTGGGGTTGGGTGGGGCTTCTCCTTCTACATTGTGAACTGTGTGCTTGGGGGAGTCAAAGACATGCTCCCTGCCTTGTAGACTAGGCCTAAGTGAGAATAAGACCAACTCAGAGGCAAGAGAAGCAAAAGAGAGAGACCTAAAATGTTGGACCCAGTTGCACTTGCAGGTAACACTGTGCTGCTCATCCCTATGACATAAGACAATACACTGACTTTCAGCTTAATTCAGTCTGGATTGGAGTTTGAGGGGCTTTTTTTGCTTGTTTGTTTGTTTATTTGTTTGTTGAGACAGGGTCACCCAAGCTAGAGTGCAATGTTGCGATCATAGCTCACTGCAGCTTCTACCTCCCAGGCTCAAGTGATCCTGCCATCTCAGCCTCCGAAGTAGTTGAAACCACAGGCACATGCCACCACACCTAGCTAATTTTTAAATTTTTTTGTGGAGACAGGATCTCACTATGTTGCCCAGGCTGCTCTCAAACTCCTGAGCTCAAGCGATCCTCCCACCTTGGCTTCGCAAAGTGCTGGAATTACAGGTGTGAGCCACTGTGACTCGCCTTGGATTGGGTTTTGATCACATATAACTGAAGGCATCTTGACTGCTATGATAAATATTATGGAGAGAGCTTTAATAAATGGCTGCTGCCTGTAGTTGTTGGGACAGTGAAGCTATGAAAACAGAAGGATGTGAAAGCACAGCATCCGGAACTGTATAATGTATAATGAGATGTTCCATCCACCTCATTAGGCCTTTGGGGCAGTGTGTTTCAGGCTGTAGGTCACAAACACATCAGATGGGTCATGAAATCAATTTAATGGGACATAAATGGCATTTTTTCAAACCTAGAGAACACTAGAAAATAGAGAGTACATCACACAACAAATTAAAGGTAGATTCGATTTCATGATGTTTTATTTCAGGCATGTGTGTATGAACATATGTTCTTGGTAGTGATATAAAATTTGTTTTTTACTGAGGGACATGATCAAAACATTTGAAAGTCACTGCTTAGAACAAAACTGCATGACAAATTTGAATAGAGTAGAAGGGTCAAAAGTTTAGCATATTACTATTCATAGGTTCTTTAAAAAAAAAATTTTTTTTCTACTGCTGATATTTTGTCCCTTCTTGCTAGGCATTCGAGTATACGAGAGATGGTTGGGACGCATGCTTGGAATTAAAGTAGTTAATTAAAAGTGTATCAGGCCGGGCGCGGTGGCTCATGCCTGTAATCCCAAGACTTTGGGAGGCCGAGGCAGGTGGATCACAAGGTCAAGAGATTGAGACCATCCAGGCCAACATAACCTGTCTCTACTAAAAATACAAAAATCAACCCGGGGAGGTGGCGCATGCCTGTAGTCCCAGCTACTCAAGAGACTGAGGCAGGAGAATCGCTTTAACTTGTGAGGCGGAGGTTACAATGAGCTGAGATCGCGCCACTGCACTCCAGCCTGGTGATACAGCGAGACTCCGTCTCAAAAAAAAAAAAGAAAAAAAAAAAGTGTATCAGACTCTTCTACTTTAAGAGAGTTTCTCTGGATTATTTATTCAGTTAGTTTGAGGCTCATCTCTTTAGGAGGGCTGTTTTGCCCCCTGGTCTTCACCCCTGAGTGTAAGGGGTAGGGGAGAGAAGTAGCTTACCTTGCCCTGGGAGGGCAAGAGAGTCTGACTGCCCTCGCTGTTCTCCGGATCTCACTGTTGCCTGTGCAGGGGCGCTAGTCTGACCCAGTTTCTGGGAGGAATCCTCTGAAGAAGTCTGTGGTTGGCAAGCACTTGGTTTATTTCGAGGCTTGGAAAGGGCCCATGACCCTCCCTTCCCAGGCTGCCCCACTCTGGCTTTCATGGGTGCTGTGGACATTGCTATCCTCCCTGCACCCCTGTCTAGCTTGTAATGAGCAGTTGACCCCTTGTCATTGACCACAGGGTAAATCACCCTCACCATGTGATATGGTTTGGCTGTGTCTCCACCCAAATCTCATCTTCAATTGTAACTCCCACAATTCGCACATGTTGTAGGAGGGACCCGGTGGGAGGTAATTGAATCATGGGGGTGGGTCATTCTCATGACAGTGAATAAGTCTCACAAGATCTGATGGTTTTATAAAGGGGAGTTCCCCTGCACAAGCTCTTTTCTCTTGTCTCCTGCCAAGTGAGACATGCCTTTCACCTTCTGCCATGATTGTGAGGCCTCCCCAGCCATGTGGAACTGTGAGTCCATTAAATCTATTTTTCTTCCCATTCTCAGGCATGTCTTTATCAGCAGCATGAAAATGTACTAATACACCATGGCAAAGCCACCAGCCGGCACATCAGCTATCTTCCATGCTTCCCCATACAGCTTGAGGAACCCTTCAAATCCCTCCACAATCCACACAGACCTAGACAGGTTCCAAAGTGCTAGTTGAATCTCTTTATCTTCTTGGCCACCTCTCACTGCCATTTTAACTGGTTTCCTCACTTGGCAGCAAGCAGGGCCCACATCATGGCTGACTCCCGCGAGAGCTGAAACAGAGAAAGAGGCAAACCCCACTCTGCTTTTGACCTTACCATGAAGTTTCCGCTACCCTCCCGTCTCACATGGACTTGGAAAGAAGTAACCAGAATACACTTGTCTCACCAATTGCTTCTTAACTTTCTACCCCTTCTTTTACCACACACTCCACTGGGGCCAACAGGAACAGGCTTTCCCTTTTCTTCCATGAATCAGGAACTTCACTGACATCATTTACTGAGTTCTTATGACTTTTTTTTTTTTTTTTTTGGACATGGAGTCTCCGTAGCTCAGGCTGGAGTGCAGTGGCACGATCTCAGCTCACTGCAACCTCTGCTTCCCTGGTTCAAGTGATTCTTCTGCCTCAGCCCCCCGAGTAGCTGAGACTACAGATGCATGCCACCACACCTGGCTAATTTTGTATTTTTAGTAGAGACAGGTTTTCACCATGCTGGCCAAGCTGGTCTCAAACTACTGACCTTACATGATCTGCCCACCTCAACATCCCAAAGTGCTGGGATTACAGGCATGCTAACTATCACTTTTAATAAACCAAAGTCACACAGGCATAGCTCTTAATACATAAAGGAGAGCTTAAGGAATTGAGAAAATGTTCAACTGTCTCAAGACCATTGTCTCCCTATGAACTTACAAAAGAAATTCCAAATTGGTAGCCAAAACGTGAGCATTGACCTTTTCTTCCTCTTTCCTGTTTTAACAAATTCTAAACATCTGGAGGCAAGTGGATGCCCTTGATTGAATAGGGGGAAGGTTATGAAAATTGTATTGTTAAAATTTTTGACTTAATTTAATAAACATTATCCTTTCACAAGAATAATTTATGTTAATAATTATCATCACATGTGATGGTCAGATTGAAATACACTTAGGTATTGTAAATACTTAGTGCCTGTATACATAAACACACACATGCACAAATATACTTGGTATTTCAACCATGTGATGTGAAGACAGTTGTTCACCATTATTTATAAGAGTGGATGAGCCTGTATAAGCATGGAAATAGCCCTACTTCTCAGTCCAAAAAAGGAATTTCTAAGCAGAAAACAAAGAAAATTTATTCTTCTAGACCAGTAGTCAGCAAACTTTCTGTAAAAAGCCAAAGAGTAAATATTTTAGGCCTTGCCAGCCATATGGTCTCTGTCACAATCACTCAACTCTGAGGTTATGGTATGAAAGCAGCCATGGAGGATACATAAGTGAATGGACATGGCTGTGGTCCAATAAAACTTTATTTATGGATACTGAAACTTGAATTTCATGTAATTTTCACTTATCACAATTTTTTTTTTTTTTTTTTTTTTTTAGACAGAGTCTCACTTTGTCACCCAGGCTAGAGTGCAGTGGCGCAAGCTTAGCTCATTGCAAGCTCAGCTCACTGCAACCTCTGCCTCCCGGGCTCAAGCAATTATCCTGCCTCAGCCTCCCAGGTAGCTGGGACTACAGGTGCTCGCCACCATGCCCAGCTGATTTTTTGTATTTTTAGTAGATACAGAGTTTCACCATGTTGGCCAGGCTGGTCTCGAACACCTGACCTCAAGTGATCCAGTCGCCTCAGCCTGCCAAAGTGCTGGGATTACAGACATGAGCCACCGCGCCCGTCCCCAAAACATTATTCTTATTTTAAGTTTTTTTCAACCATTTAAAAATGTAAAAATCATTCATAACTTGTGGGCAATGTGAAACAGGTAGCAGGCTGGGTTTGGCCCAGAAGCCACAGTTTTCAAACTCATGTCCTAGATCCCTTTTAAACGTTTAGGTATTTTCATTTATCTGTCCTTCTTACTCATTTATGATGCAAGTTAATGTAGCAATGGCAGGAACCAAGGCCAGTTCTAACATACTGACTCTGCCACCACACCCAGCTTGCTAGCACTTAGAGGAGAAATGGCATCATACATCTAAGCTAAACAATGAATATGTGACCTGGGCATTTTGAGTGAGATCCTTCCAGATTTGCAAAATACATTCAACTGACCAGAAGAAATTGGTGAAGACAAGGACCATGGTTCTTTATGCCCCCTCCCCAGTCCCCTGAGTTCTTTTTCTGGTTGAACACTGTATGAACACAGAGACCAGATTACAGACTCTGGATAAATGACAAGAGGAGAAGTTGGTGTGTGATGGACCTGCTCTAGCCGCCATCTTTGTGGACCTGGGTAGTATTGCTGCCAAAACAACACCCTGTGACAAGTCATTGGAATTAATGTCTTGTGCTTTTGGCAAATCCATAAGAAGAAAAGTGAACCCATGAGTGACATGGAGGGACTAATTCAACTACCAAGATCAAGGTCTGATTCCTTAACATCCAGGCCAAAAAAGGATACATCATGAGTCATCCAGAAAAACTTGCATTATAATCCATATATGATCTGTCTAATAATTAAAAAAAATAGATTGGGTGCAGTGGCTTATGCCTGTAATCCCAGCACTTTGGGAGGCTGAGGCAGGAGGATTGCTTGAGCCCAGGAGTTCAAGACCAGACTAGGCAATATAGTAAGACCCTGTCTCTACAAAAATAAACATAAAAAATAAAAATTAAAAAAATCAGCTGGGTGTGGTGGTGTGTGCCTGTAGTCCCAGCTACTTGGGAGGCTGAGGGAGTAAGGATCCCTTGAGCCCAGGAGGTTGAAGCTGCAGTGAGCTATGATTCTGTCACTGTATACTCCAGCCTAGGTGATAGAGCAAGACCCTGTCTCAAAAAAGAAAAGAAGAAAGAAAGAAAGAGAGAGAGAGAGGGAGGGAGAGAGGGAAGGAAGGAAGGAAGGAAGAGAGGAAGGAAGGGAGGAAGGAAGGAAGGAAGGAAGGAAGGAAGGAAGGAAGGAAGGAAGGAAGGAAGGGAAGGAAGGAAGGGGAGAAAAGAAAAGAGGTTGGGCAAGACCCCGTCTCAGAAAAGAGAAAGAAAAAGAAAGAGAGAGAGAGAGAGAAAGAAAGAGAGAGAGAGAGAGAGAGAGAGAGAAAGAAAGAAGAAAGAAAGAAAGAAAGAAAGAAAGAAAGAAAGAAAGAAAGAAAGAAAGAAAGAAAAGAAAGAAAGAGAAGAGAAGAGAAAAGAAAAAAGGACAGAGGGAAAAGAAAATAGGCTGGGCGCAGTGGCTCATGCCTGTAATCCCAGCACTTTGGGAGACCAACGCAGGCGGATCAGAAGGTCAGGAGTTCAAGACCAGCCTGGCCAACCTGGTGAAACCCCCATCTCTACTAAAGATACAAAAAATTAGCTGGGTGTGGTGGTGCGTGCCTGTAATCCCAGCTACTCAGGAGGCTGAGGCAGGAGAATCGCTTGAACCTGGAAGGCAGAGGTTGCAGTGAGCTGAGATCGTGCCATTGCACTCCAGCCTGGCAACAGGGTGAGACTGTGTCTCAAAAAAGAAAAGAAAAGAAAGAAATGTATGATACAGTTAGAAAATATTCCAATCCAAATAAAGTATTCATTGTTTTGATATTTTATATCAGCTATCTGGAGCCTTCAGTCATCCACAACAACTCATTCTCACCATGTCTTGGGTAGCCCTGGTTTACTGTAAAATTGCCTTCCGTGGGATTTGTCACAGTTGCTCAGGATGTTGAACTTGCAAGAGTCATTTATGGCAGTCTACATGAGGTTAGATAAAACTAATTTTTATATAACACTAATTTTATTACCCAAAGAAAATTCTAACTAAATAAACCAATGTGTGCAACATAATTTCTCACCAGAATTACACTGGCCATCAGTCTCCTGGCCATCATTCATTTTCACATTACATAATTTAACTGAATGAAAATATTTTAACATTTTGATGGTATGGCTAGACCTCAGAGGTTTCATTATAAGAAATAAAAATAACTTATTCATACAAGAAACACTCTTTTTAGAAGAACTTCATATAAAATGGTGATAATTAGTGAACACTGGTGTTTTTGATTCATTAACGGTAACCTCGTGATCGCTTTTTAAATTTGCATCCAGCCGAGTTGTTTCTACGGTTTTTTAAAAAATTATTTCCCTCCAAACAGAGGTCACAAAATGGCAGTTAATTTTGTATTACACTCTTTGGTGTGGAAGTTTTCTAAATCTTTTTTGTTTTTTTTTAATTATTTGAGACAGAGTCTCCCTCTGTTGCCCAGGCTGGAGTGCAGTGGCACAATCTCTGCTTGCTGCAACCTCTGCCTCCTGGGTTCAAGTGATTATCCTGCCTCAGCCTCCTGAGTAGCTGGGGTTACAGGTGCCCGCCACCTCATCCAGTTAATTTTTTTTTTAATAGAGAGGAGTTTTCACCATTTGGCTAGGCTGGTCTTGAACTCCAGACTTCAAGTGATCCCCCCCTCCTCGGCCTCCCAAAGTGCTGGGATTACAGGTGCGAGCCACTCCGCCAGTCTTTTAAATCATTTTTAAGTTCCTACTTTGTGTTAGATACTATGGTAGGTGTTTGCTATGTGTTACCTTGTTTAATTGCCACCATCAACTCTATGAGAAGACTTAGAATATAAGTAACTAGCCCAAGGTCATAAGGCCAAATCTACTGATTCTGTGCTCTTGTTCTCATGACTCCAGAGTCCAAATCCGTCGCCTGAGTTGTCTATTCACTCTGAGACCACTGCACAATGAGAACAATGGGAAATATCTAATCAATCGATTGTTTTATTTATGTGATACAAAAATTCAAGTTGATAGATTTTTCTCAAAAAATAATCTATTTTGTTTTTACTCAATTGACCAAACATTCTTATTAAATCTAACTAAGTTTTAGATTTAATATATTGATTACCTTCTACTTTGGGGAGACCAGGAGCCCACAGTTTTTAACTTACTTGACAGATTTGCAGTAAGCAAAAGAATTACACATCTCAAACAGCCCCTTCACACTGAACATTACACACAACTTACCCTGGCTGACAGTCTAAAATGTGTGAGTGTTGGAGAGAGTGTTATTCTACAGTTTCATTTTTTTAATTAAAAAGCTCAGGCTTCCAGGATCACAATTTAATTAAGCTTTCATCCTTGGATAGTTCTTCCCGCAATTAGAATTTTTTTCCGTAATAAATTGGTTATAGAGTATATTAAAATTGTCTTTGGGGATTTCTTCTTTCATTCCCACTTGTGTAATATTCAGCTTTCACAAATGTTGTGAGTTGAAAGATAATTGGTCTTCAAAGCAGAGTCATTACTTAGGAGGAAGAATAAACAGACTTTTAAACAAAGGGATCTGATAACTTACAGCTAATGAGAAGTCATTTTGCCCTGGAAGAGGGCAGAGACCATTCTGGAAAGGCTACGAGGTTGGTAATGCTGGGTCAAGGGGTGTATGAGACACATGATGTTACCAAAATGGCAGGGTTTCAGTCTAGGTCCCGTCGCTTGCCACACAAAGCCAATGCCTGAGACAATGAGTATTGCCAGGGAAGAAGGCTTTAATTGGATGCTACAGCTGAGGAGATGGGAGATCAGTCTCAAATCCATCTCTTTCACCGACTAAATTCAGGAGTTTATATAGCAGGGAAGAAATGTAACCATGTGTGGGAAAACAGAAATTAGGGAGGAGTAAGGAAGATGAGCTGGTCAACAAGAAGCAGGTGGTCGGATAGGCAATCATGAAGAGTGAGGGGTCTGGCATCTCGTTGTCCAGATGCAGTGATCTGGTGAGTTTCAGTTGCTTGATATGATCTGGGAGATCTGACGATTGGTTTCCTGAGAAAGGAATTCAGATAAAGCAAATGTAAGTTTCTTAGGTTTTCATACTGTGTGAGTTAATTTCTATGTTTATTGAAAGAAACCATAAACATCAGTTCTACTGGATGATTGAAATCAGTTCTATGGGACAATTGGGCCAGTTTTAATGGGAGGCTAGAGAGAGACGATGACCTGGGGACCATGCTGAGAAATTTTATCTTTATTTAGAATGTGATGGGAAGCCATGGAATGATATTTATCAGGGAAATGGCATGATGAGGTTTATATTTTTTAAAAGGTCAGTATAGTCCCTAAGTCTAGTGACATTGTAGAGGGTACATTAGAAGGCATAGAGTCAGAAAATCAGAGTCTAGATGGAAGATTCTGAGTGATCCATGAGAAATTGCTTAGGCCAGACCTGGAAAAGCTGAGGTAGATATGTTTGTAAGTATTTCTAGACTAACATCCAGATTGAGTGGCATTTCCTGAAAAAGGAAATGCAAGTCCATGTCCTATATAGTGTGTCTAATACTCTGCAAGGTCCTCCACTACAAACAAGTAGATCAGACATGAAAACAAAATGCTTCATGCATTACTGGGATCTCAGGATGAAGGACTATTCTCAAAAGCAAGAAAAGAAAACTTTGGCATAACCACATGCAAATTTCACCGTGATGTACTGTCTTGGTGAATTCAAGCCTTGGGCTAGCTGCAGGGTGTTGGAGCTGAACGTGAAACTCTCACAACAGGCCAGGGAAACTGGAAGGATGCGAATTTGTCACAGGGAATTCAGATGCCCTAGTAACTAGAAGAAGCAAATACCCTGTCTTCTCAGAAATAATGTCTTCAAACAAATAAGAACTCACAATCAAAGATAAACAAACACATTGCGGGGAAAATGCCATAAATGAGAGACAGCAGACATGTAAAATATAGATTTAAAATCCCAAAGACTTCAGAAGTTGAAATTATCTGATGCAGGGTGGTATTAAAACATTGTGTATGATAGCTTAAAAAAAAGAAAGATGGAATAAAAAAATGAGCACGTGGCCAGGCGCGGTGGCTCACGCCTGTAATCCCAGCACTTCGGGAGGCTGAGACGGGCAGATCACCTAAGGTTAGGAGTTCTAGACCACCCTGACCAACATAGAGAAACCCCGTCTCTACTAAAAATACAAAATTAGCTGGGCATGGTGGCAGGTGCCTGTAATCCCAGCTACTAGGGAGGCTGAGGCAGAGAATCACTTGAATCCAGGAGGCGGAGGTTGCGGTGAGGCAAGATTGCACCATTGCACTCCAGACTAAGCAACTAGAGCAAAACTGCATCTCAAAGAAAAAAAAAAAATGAGCATGCATGAAGAGAAAAGTGTATTAAAATTATTAAGTGAAATTAAATAACCAAATAACTTTTTTAAAGTGAAAATTACAATTGTCAAAATATAAAACATAATACATGTATTCAATAGTAGAGTAGACACAGGTGAAGAGAAAATAATAAACTGGAACGTGGATTTTTCTTTTTTTCTTTTTTTGAGACAATCTCGCTCTGTAGCCTAGACTGGAGTGCAGTGGTGTGATCATGAGCTCATTGCAGCCTCAACCTACGGGGTTCAAGTGATCCTCCCTCCTCAGCCTCCCGAGTAGCTGGGACTACAAGCATGCACCACCACACCTGACTAATTTTTGTATTTTTTGTACAGAAGGGGTTTTGCCATGTTGCCCAGGATGGTCTCAAACTTCTGGGCTCAAGCAATCTGCCCACTTCAGCCTCCCAAAGTGCTAAGATTACAGATGTGAGCCACTGTGCCTGGCCAGGAAGATGGATTTTAAAACATTTTTTAGAATATAGTACAGAGAGATAAAGAGATGATAATATGAACAAAAGTTTAAGATACATTAAAGATAGAATGAGAGATGTTACATATACCTATTTTGAGTTCCAGAAAGAAAAACTAGAAATAATGAAAGAGAGGCAATATTTAAAGATGTAAAGGGTGAGAATTTCCAGAAAGATAATGAAAGATATAAGTTCACATGTACAAAAAACTAAAACACATGCTAAGCAAAATAAATAAACAAAAATCAGCCATGCACGGTGGCTCACGCCTGTAATCCTAGCACTTTGGGAGGCCAAGGCAGGTGGATCACTTGAGGTCAGGAGTTCAAGACCAGCCTGACCAACATGGTGAAACCCCGTCTCTACTAAAAATACAAAAATTAGCTGGGCGTGGTGGCGGGCACCTGTAATCCAAGCTACCTGGGAGGCTGAGGCAGGAGAATTGCTTGAACTTGGGAGGCAGAGGTTGTGGTGAGCCGAGATCATTCCACTGCACTCCAGCCTGGGTAACAGAGCGAGACTCCATCTCAAAAAAAAAAAAAAAAAAAAAGAATCAATACTGACATATATGGTAATGGTGCTGCAGAACTCAAAAGAAAAAGAGGGCTTAAAAGCAAGCAGAGAGAAAAACCAGATAACCTACAAAGAAAGGACAATTGAACTTACAGCCAACTTCTCAACAGCAATAATAGAAGCCAAAAGACAGCAAAGTAAAATCTCAAAGATATCTAGAGAAAATTACTGTCAATCTAAAGTTATATAGCCAGCAAAAGTATACTTCAAGAATAAGGAAGAATCAAGACATCCTAAGAAAAAGAAAATTGGGTGATTGAAATCAAAATGTCCTAAATTAATCTTATTGTTCAGGAGATGGGCTAAGACATGAACTTTGCCACTACTTATTCATGCTTGTTAAATATGAGTAATAATATTTCAAATACACTATCTAAAAAATAGAAATTGTGTCTGTACTTTCAATCCAGTAGGTGGGGAAGAAATGAAATAGAACACTGTAATAAAACAAAATTCAATCAATTTTTAAAAGAAAAGCAGAAAAAATAATGATAAAAACAAGTTCAAGGCCAGGCACAGTGGCTCAGGCCTGTAATCCCAGCATTTTGGGGAGGCTGAGGCAGGCAGATTGCTCGAGGCCAGGAGTTCAAGACCAGCCTTGGCAACATGGCAAAACCCCATCTCTACAAAAAAATACAAAAATTAGCCAGGCATGATGTCATGCACCTGTGGTCCCAGCTACTCTGGGAGGCTGAGGTGAGAGAATCAGTTGATCCCTGAAGGTGGAGGTTGCAGTTAGCTAAGATCACACCACTGCATACATATGTCAGTAATCACAATAAATGTAAATTGATTAAACAAATCGAAGATTTTCTGACCAGAAGAAAAACAGAAAAAAAAAATATATAGGCTCCTTTATAAGAGACACACTTAAAACACAAGGACTCAGAAATATTGAATGTAAAAGGAAAAAAAAAGGTGAGACAAATGTTAATTTTAAAAAGCTGATAAGCTGATATATTGATAGCAGAAAAATAAACTCAGAGACAAAAGGCATTATTCAGGATTGAAAGGATCACTAAATTATAAGAAATTCACCCAAGATAAAGAATAATTTTAAACTTGTATGCACTCAATAATGAAACCTTCACATATAGAGAGAAAAATCAATAGAATCACAGAGAAATATTACGAAATAGCAAACATACTGAGATATTTCAATGCATCTATCTCAATTATTCATAAGTTAAGAACACAATAAATCTTCGTGAAGATTTGTGAAGTAAAAATTTGAAAAATACAAGATTGATCAGCTTGATTTATTAGACGGTTATAGAACTCTGCCTCTAATAGCTAAAGAATACAGTCTTCAAGATACCTATTGTACAACACGGTGACTATAGTTAATAATAATGTATTGTACATGTGAAAATTGCTAAGAAAATAGATTTTAAGTATTTTCACCGCAAAAAAAGGTATGTGAGGTAATGCATATGTAAATTAGCTTGATTAGCCATTCTACAATGTCTACATATCTCAAAATACATTGTATACCATAAATATATACAATTTGTATTTGTCAATTAAAAAGTAAATTAATAATAACCTTTGGAAAGAATACGCAATCTTACCAAACACAAATGAAATATTTCAAATCTTGACCACAAACTAATTCATAAAGCAAGTCCCCAAATGTTGTCTATTTCAAATATTGGGTATCATATAGATTACAGTCTCAAAAAAAAAGATTTCATAAAATTCCACAAATGTTGCTGAGACAATTGGTTACAAGTAGAGAAAAAAACACATTGGATTCTTCCCTTACATCACACATATTAATCAAAGACATTGGGAAATAAAGGGTTAAGCAGCAGGGCTGCAATCCATTATCTCCAGCTGGAGAATGGGGAGCAGGGACCAGGAAAGATGGCCTACTCTTGTCAACATGCGACTGACAGACATCTTGGCAAACGAATGGAATTTGTGAATAGAATGCTCCTTATCTATGGGGTGCTTTTAGCAGGATGTATCTGGCTATCTAGAACTAATCATGGTAAACAAAATTTGAGATTTATAGATTTGTGGTGCATCATTGGGTACATTTTATTTTCCAAATAGCCTCCTTCTATATGAGAGAGGTGAATCTCACACATTGCTTAGAGACCTCATATATTAATTATGGGCACAGAGTGCATCCGGTGGGGCAGTTAAGGATCTGAAGAGTGACACTGATGGTTCCAGACCTCCCTTGCTTCATCTCAAAATTACCTGTATCCTGTATTAGTAAAGCTTAATACTGGGTAAGACTCTGACTCGTGTGAGTCTGATTTGACAATCTGATTCTTTGTGTTATTTCAGACACTATAAAAAATTAAAAAAAAAAAGACAAGCCACAGTCTGGCTGTTTATTCATAATACAACCAACCAATGAAGGATTTATCTAATAAATATATAAAGAAGGCCTAAAAGTGGGAAAATAGGCAAACTACATGAATAAGCACTTATCCAAAGAGGAATCACAATTGGCTGAAAACATATGAAAAGATACTTACTCCCATAAGTAATAGAAATGTTCAAATTTTAAAAATGAAATGACTTACTATACAGTAATGACTTACTCTATTGCTTGTTGGCAAAGATATGGAAAAACTGTAACATTTATAGTACTGTGTTGGGAGTGTCAAATAACTGAAAAAGTAATTTGCCACTATTTTATCCTTTAGTATAACTTATAACCCAGAAATTCCACTCCTAGATATAAACTCTAGAGAAACCCATGCGCATTCCTTCTCCAGGAGAAACAAGAATATTCGTAACGTACTACTTATATCAACTACAGAATGGGTGAATAATTTTAGGTACATTAACAGCATGTTTTAAACAGTAATACAAATACATGAACTACATGTAATGTGAGTGAATCTTAGAGTAATAATATTAAGTAAGCAGATAGAAGATTACATAATATATTTTATCATTTTTATGAAGTTCTAAAACAAAAGGTAATAATAAAATGTTAAGATACATCCCTATTTGGCGATGCTATCTTAAACAAAGAAATTGTAACACAATTCAGGATAGTGGTAATTACTATGTGTAGTAAGAGAATAATGACTCTCCAAAGATGTCCATGTCCAAATCCCCAGAACTTGTGACTATGTTACCTTACATGGCAAACGGACATTGCATATGTGATTAAGTTAAGGATCTTGAGATGGGAGGATTATCCTGGATTACATGGGTGAACCCATTGTAATCTAAGAGGGAGGCAGGATGGTCAGAGTCAGAGAGGATAGATGATCATGCAAGTGTTACTGAAATGCTGGGGGTTCAGTCTAGGTCCTGCTGCTCACCACACAAAAAGCCAATCACTGAGACAATGAATATTGCCAGGGAAAAAGGTTTTAATTGGGTGCTGCAGCCAAGGAGACAGGAGATCAGTGTGAAGTCCATCTCCTGATAGGTCCAAATCCAAATCCATCCCAAAGAGATGGGAAATGAGAGCCTGAAATCTATCTTCCTGACCGACTAAAATTAGGGGTTTATATAGCAGGGAAGAAATGTAAGCATGTATGGAAAACAGGAATTAGGGAGAGGTAAGGAAGAAGTTGTCAACAGGCAGCAGGTGGTTGGTCAGGCAACCATCACAGGTGGGGGGTCTGGCGTTTCATTGTCCAGATGCAGTGATTTGGTCAATTTCAGCTCCCTGATATTATCTGGGAGGCCTGATGCTTGGTTTCCTGAGAAAGCAACGCAGGTGAGAAAAATGTAACTTTCGCAAGTTTTAAGACTGGGAGGGTCAATTTCTATGTTTATTCAAAAGAAACCATAAACATCAGTTCTATGGGAAAACTGGGCTTGTTTCAGAAGCAAAGGTCAGAGATAGAGAAAGAGCGATTTGAAGATGTGATGCTGGCTTTGAAGATGGCGGAAGGGGCAATGAGCCAAGGAATGCTTCAGCCTGGAAAGCTAGAAAAGGCAAGGAAATGGCTTCTCCCCCACATATAAACTCCAGAGCCCCCAGAAGGAATGCAGCCCTGCTGACCCACTTTACACTTCTGCTCTCCAGTACTGCAAGATAATAAATTTCTGCAGTTTTAAGCCATTAAATTTGTGGGAATTTGTTACAGAGGCAATAGGAAACTAATATGCTATGAGAAGGAGTCAAAAGGTTGAGGGAGTGAAGCTCTACACAGATGCAATCATATTGGTTAATGTGTTCATTCCAAAGTTGAGGGAAGTCTTCATGAGTATCTGTTTTATAATTATGCATCTTAACTTACCTAAGTTATGGTCTTTTTTAAAGTAAAAATATGATACTGGAAACCTTTCAAATACAGTGCGTACACAAGAAAGGTCAATTCAAAAAAGCAGTAGGTGCGGGAAGTGAATGATGAGGTGTTTTTCCCTCATGTATACTGCATTTGAAATACTAATGGAACACTTAGGAAGAGAGGTTCAGGTGCTAGAGAGAGGAGGTGGTAGCTCAGGAAAGAAGGCTAGAATCTTCATAGCAACTTAGTCAATGGGTGAATTAGAGTAGACTGGTGACCAATCCCTGGGTGGGCCCCCAATAAAAGAAAGATAGGCAAAGCCCACAAAGGCAATTGAGGAGTGTACTCAGGTAGAAGAGAACATGGAGAGAATATCTAAGCCATCATTTAAATGTTTAGTCATTTATGGGCATACATTTGAAAGTTCAGAGTGGTGTTAGTCTCAAGAAATTCACTGATAACCCTACTGGCAAAGTATGTGCTATATCACACATACTGAGAGATGAAGCCAGCTGGGCTTCTGGGTCAGGTGGGGACTTGGAGAACTTTTCTGTTTAGCTAAAGGATTGTAAACACACCAATCAGGGCTCTGTGTCTAGCTAAAGGTTTGTAGATGCACCAATCAGCACTCTGTAAAAATGGACCAATCAGCACTCTGTAAAATGGGCCAATCAGCAGGATGTGGGTGGGGCCAGATAAGGGAATAAAAGCTGGCCACCCCAGTCAGCAGCCAGTGACCCACTCGGGTCGCCTTCCACGCTGTGGAAGGTATTTGTTCTTTTGCTTTTCATAATAAATCTTGCTGCTGCTCACTCTTTGGGTCCACACTACCTTTACGAGTTTTAACACTCACAGGGAGGGTCTGTCATTCCTGAAGTCAGCAAGACCACGAACCCACTGGAAGGAAGAAACTCTGGACACATCTGAACATCTGAAGGAACAAACTCCAGACACACCATCTTTTTTTTTTTTTTTTTTTTGAGAGGGAGTCTTGCTTTGTCACCCAGGCTGGAGTGCAGTGGCATGATCTCTACTCACCGCAAGCTCCGCCTCCCAGGTTCACGCAATTCTCCTGCCTCAGCCTCCCGAGTAGCTGGGACTACAGGCGCCCGCCACCACGCCTGGCTAATTTTTGTATTTTTAGTAGAGACGGGGTTTGTGTTAGCCAGGATGGTCTCGATCTCCTGACCTCATGATCTGCCCGCCTCGGCCTCCCAAAGTGCTGGGATTACAGGTGTGAGCCACCTTGCCCGGCCCAGACACACCCATCTTTAAGAGCTGTAACACACTGTGAAGGTATGCAGCCTCATTCCTGAAGTCAGCAAGACCACAAACCCACTAGAGGAAGAAACTCCCGACACATCTGAAGAAACAAACTCCTGACACACCATCTTTAAGAACCGTAGCATTCACCGCGAGGGTCTGCGGCTTCATTCTTGAAGTCAGCGAGACCAAGAACTCACCAGAAGGAACCAATCCCGGACACAATACCAGTACCTAAGTAGACCTTACTAACCCTCCATGGGGGCCCAGACTGGCCCTGCTTGAGTTTTCCTGAAACCTCAGTCACCAGGCTCACAAAGGAAGAGAGAGCAAGGAGGGACCAGGAACTCTGGGTATCTCCTGTCTTGCTCCATTGTGGCAGGGCCAGCCAATTCAAAAGCACCTACTTTCTTAGCTTTGGCCAGTTGCATTTATCTGCAGATTGTATCTGCATCTGAGATAGAGACTTCATGATGAGACTAAATAGATTAGATAGATACATAGGTACATAGATAACATAGATAGGGCCACGCGTGGTGGCTCACGCCTGTAATCCCAGCACTTTGGGAGGCTGAGGCGGGTGGATCACGAGGTCAGGAAATAGAGACCATCTTGGCTAACACGGTGAAACCCCTTCTTTACTAAAAAATACAAAAAATTAGCCAGGCATGGTGGTGCGTGCCGGTTGTCCCAGCTACTCAGGAGGCTGAGGCAGGAGAACTGCTTGAACCCAACAGGTGGAAGTTGCAGTGAGCTGAGATCGCGCCATTGCACTCCAGACTGGGCGATAGAGTGAGACTCCATCTCAAAAAACAAAAAAAAAAAAGATGATAGATAGATAGATAGATGATAGATAGATAGATAGATAGATAGATAGATAGATAGATAGATAGATTAGATAGATAAAGTGGCAGCAGGCACTCTTCTCAAATGGTTAAGTAAATGATTAATACTGTAAGGTTGCTCATGCCACGGCTGTTGCCCTGTCTATCCTGTGTGTGACTCTCCATGCTATAGGAGCTGCCAAGCTGTGGCCTTTTCACCACACTGTTGTCTTAAAACACATCCATCCACTTCTCAGACCTGCAGGTTAAATAAAGGGCATAGAAAATTATGAAAGTCATAATTACTTCTACAGAAAAGGTAATGAGGGTCACAGTGGGAGCTCTATTTACATGTGGCCCTCCAGGGAATATTTTACACATGGTATGTGAAGACCATATTGGTTTGTCTAGCACACTGAGTGTTTAGGTTGGTCCTTGTCACCTCCAGTCTACACTGGAACTGCAAAATGCAACATTTGCTCTCTAAAGCATCATGCCCGTGCTCTGATGTATGCAAAACATCCTTGTTTTTACTGCCATTGAAGGAGTTTAATCTCTCAGGGAGAATGGATTGTGCAACTCGACTTCTTAGTATTCACAAATATTTTAATAATAATAACCTGTGGGTATTTTCTTTATCTGATCTACAAATCAATCTCATTTTCTTTTCAAGCTCTGACCTAAGGAAAGGGCCTTAGATAATTTAGCTATTTATAAGAAAAAAAAAACATATGAACATGCTTTAATAATTCAGCTATAAAATTTAAAGTAGTAAAATATATTCTTGAGGATTCCATTTCTACCCCTAACCAGCACTTGAAATTGGAACTGAATGTCATATTAACATTGTTTCTATATAAGCTCTTATGGGAAACAGCATGGTGCCATCTGTTGGTGAATTCTTGGGTACTGCTAGGCTCTTTGGTATTTCAGATGCTGAGATTGTCTTCATTCATTCAATTATATTAAGCACTTTTTATGTGCCATGAGCTACACTAAGTACTGTTAAGATTAATAAGATATGATGATTCATCAAAATGTAATACAAGAAGTCTGGCATTTATGTTCTATTCCAAAGTTCAGGAATTTCACACACTTGCCCTGCAACACAGATAATGTCACAGTTCTATGTTTTAGGGAACTGTGTGCAATCCATTGTGGTAGTAATGTTAGTAACCCTAAAAACAGATTTTTGTAATCCTAGACCACTTTGTTCACAATGATTTTGTGGGCCAAACCAAATACGGGTACTCCTTTAAAATTCTTAGCATTTCTTATTTCTGATAAAATAAAATAGAAGATGCCTGTGAGCTAATAGATATTTGCAAGATGATTTACTTAGGTCAAAATCTTAATAGAGAATAAAAAGTAGCTACTTTAAAATATATGTTTCCCTTAAACAAACAATATTTCCCTTGAACCCCTATTCCTTGGCACCTCCATTATTCTGCTCCTCTGGAGGGCCAAATTTCTATAACTGATGCTCTAATCCCTACCTAAATTCCCTTTTTAGTCAACTCTGATGAGTTTTTCATGCCATTCCTATTCCCACCCCGCCCTCCCACATACATACACACTGAAACCAACAAGGACACCAACAACTTCCACATTGCTAAATCCAACGGTCAGTTTCCAGTCCACATTGTACATCACCTTACAGCAGTCTCTGAACTGCTGGCTCCCTCTTTTTTCACTTGGTTTCCAGAACACAACATCCTCCCCGGTGTTTTCCCTCTGAGGCTGCTTCCTTTAGAGTCCTTTTTACACCTAGGTCCCCCTCTTCACAAGTGCTACATCATGGAATGCCCCATCCGTTGAATCCTCAAAAAGTTTCTTTTTTTACTATACTCACTTTTTGTCTAAAGCCAGGCGCTACCCAGTAGAAATGCAACGTGAGCCACATATGTAATTTTTAGTTTTCTACTAGCCACATTTAAAAAAAAAAGAACAAGTGAGATTAATTTAATTAGTGTATTATTATTATTTGAGATATGGTTTTGCTCCCATTGCTCAGGTTTTACTCCCATAGCTCAGGGTGGAGTGCAATGGCATTGTATCCGGAATTTGTGGGTTCTTGGTCTCGCTGACTTCAAGAATGAAGCCTCGGACCTTCACGGTGAGTGTTACAGCTCTTAAAGGCGACGCATCTGGAGTTATTTGTTCCTTCCAGTGGGTTCGTGGTCTCGCTAGCCGCAGGAGTGAAGCTGCAGACTTTCTTGGTGAGTGTTACAACTCCTAAACGCAGCGCAGACCCAAAAAGTGAGCAGCAGCAAGACTTAGTGCAAAGACCAAAAGAACAAAGCTTCCACAGTGGGGAACGGCAACCCAGCAGGTTGCCACTACTGGCTCAGGTGGCCTGCTTTTATTCCCTTATCTGGCCCCACCCACATCCTACTGATTGGTCCATTTTACAGAGAGCTAATTGGTCCATTTTGACAGAGTGCTGATTGGTGCATTTACAATCCTTTAGCTAGACACAAAAGTTCTCCCAAGTCCCCTACCAGATTAGCTATACACAGAGCGCTGATTGGTGCATTTACAAACCTTTAGCTAGACACAGAGTGCTGACTGGTGCATTTACAATCCTTTAGCTAGACACAGAGAGCTTATTGGTGCATTTACAAACCTTTAGCTAGACAGAAAAGTTCTCCAAGTGCCCACCCATCCCAGAAGCCCAGCCAGCTTCACCTCTCAATGGCACTCGCAGCCGGGACTTTGCGGCACCTAACCCCAACTTTGCGGCAGCCCAGAGAGAGCTCGTCCCCTGATCAAGCCCAGCAGGCGCCAGCCGGCTGGGACGAGTGCGGGGCCCGCCAATCCCGGGCCCACCCGGAATCGGGCAGGCCGCGAGTTTCCCGCGCAGCCCCGGCTCCAACTGGCATCTCTCCCTCCATACCTCCCCGCAAGCAGAGGGAGCCGGCTCTGGCCGGCTCCTCCAGCACGGCCAGAGCGGAGACGAGGCCGAGGAAGCGCCAAGAGTGAGCCAGGGCTGCTAGCACGTTGTCAGCTCTCAGCATGGTCTTGACTGACTGCAACCTCTGCTTCCCAGGCTCAAGCAATCCTCCTGCCTCAGCTTCCCTAATAGCTGGGACTACAGGCACGTGCCACCATGCACAGGTAATTTTTGTGTTTTCTGTACAGACAGGGTTTTGCCATGTTGCCCAGGCTGGTTTCAAACTCCTGAACTCAAGTGATCCACCCAACTTGGCCTCTCAAAGTGCTGGGATTATAGGCGTGAGCCATCGCGTCTGGCCTAATTTTAATAATATATTTATTAACCAAGGTTATCAAAAGTACTATCTTTTCAACATTTTAATCAATATTAAAAACTATTAATGAGATATTTTACTGTGTTAGTTTGTTTTTTGAGAAGGAGTCTCGCCCTGTCGCCCAGGCTGGAGTGCAGTGTCGCGATCTCGGCTCACTGTAACTTCCGCCTCTAGGGTTCAAGCAATTCTCCTGCCTCAGCCTCCCAAGTAGCTAGGATTATAGGCGAATGCCACCACGCCTGGCAAATTTTTTGTATATTTAGAGACGGGGGTCACCATGTTGGCCAGGCTGGTCTCGAACTCCTGACCTAGTGATCCGCCCGCCTTGGCCTCCCAAAGTGCTGGGATTACAGGTGTGAGTCACCGTGCCCGGCTGATATTTTACATTTTTTATGCCAAGTCTTTGTAAGCTAGGATATATTTTACATTTACAGTACATCTCAATTCAGATGGTACATTTTCATAGGAAATGTAGCTACTGGTAGCTACTGTGTTGGACGGCGCAGCTCCAAATGACTGTTTATTTCCATGGATTTAAATAACATATATATGCTGGTAAACCCCAATTAGACTTTCAGCATGGAGCTCTCCCCTGACTCATTTATTCAATGAGACATCTTACTTAGATATCTAATAAGGCAAATTTAATATTTTCTTTTGTTTTGACATTTTACTGCCTCCTGTGCCTACCCTTGAAGGGGGAAAAGCAGAAGTCTTCTTTGCTTTCTTTCTCTCCCACCCCACAACCAATCCATCAACTCCACTTTCAAAATTACATTCTAAATCTGACCATTTTTCACCCCTTACATTGCCGCCTGGTCAAGCCCCCATCATCTTTCTGCAGCAGCTCCTAACCAGCCTCCCAGCCTGTCTTGCTCCCGTCCTAGGGTCTGTCTTCCACATGGCTCCATAATGGGTGTTGACAATGAAAATTCAAGAATATATCTCTTGCTGATTCAAAATCCTTGTCACTGAGAGCCCAGTGCAGTGGCTTACGCCTGTAATCCCAGTTACTCGGGAGGCTGAGGTGGGAGGATCGCTTCAGCCTAGGAGTTAGAGACCAGCTGGGCAACATAATGAGACATCTCGCACCCCCGACGATCCTCCAAGACTCCTCACCCTCTTCTCAAGGAAAAAAAAAAAAATCCATCACTGTCTTCCTGTCCTGCCTTGAATAACACATTCAGGCCCCGCGTGACCTGGCCCCTGTCTTGTGTCCAGCATCATCACCTCTGATCACTCTACACCTTACCTGTTCCTTATTAGTTGCACTGGCTTTCTTTTTCTTTTTTCTTTTTTTTTTTTTTTTTTTTTTTTTTGAGACAGAGTCTCGCTCTATCCCAGGCTGGAGTGCAGTGGCGTGATCTTGGCTCACTGCAACCTCCGCCTCCTGGGTTCAAGCGATTCTCCTGCCTCAGCCTCTGGAGTAACTGGGACTACAGGCACACGCCACGACGCCCAGCTAATTTTTGTATTTTTAGTAGAGATGGGGTTTCGCCATGTTGGCCAGGATGGTCTCTATCTCTTGACCTCATGATCCTCCCACCTCGGCCTCCCAAAGTGTTGGAATTACAGGCGTGAGCCACCACACCTGGCCCACACTGGCTTTCTTGATGACACCAAGCTCTCACTATCCCCACAGCTTCCCTCTTCTGTCCCCACCCCAATCCACTCAGTCTTCTTGCCGCTGCTTTTTCTTCCTAGCAGCGATCACTGCCTGAGAGTCTAGCCTATGTATGTTTGATTTTGTCTGGCTTCCCCTTCAGGATGTAAACTCCATGAGGGCAGAACTTGGCAAGTTTCTTTAGTTCATCTGTTTACAAAATGTGGTGTCTCCAGCACACAGAACCATGCCTGGCACATGGACTCTCTAAGTAATTATTGAACAAATAATTATTCATGAGTGATATTTAAATAATATATATAATAATGACATGAATAACATTTTTTAATGAGTATTTTGAATCATTTTGTCAGCATTTAAATAACACTTGGTCTGATCATTCCTCTGGTTTGGAGAATGTCACTCTTCATATCAGTTAACAGCTGATGAGAAAGGGAAGCAGGAACGCCCATTCCTTCCCCTAGATGCCAGAGGCAGCCAAGGGACACTGCCTGCCTCCAGCTTCTAGTCAGAGCTAGACAAAGTGCCAGGCAGCTACACAATGCCTGGGGTGCCAGTCTTTAAAGGGTGCTCACATATCAGCAAAGAAAAGTCAGAAATCAGGTGCTAAATAACTCAGGTCTGCAAACAGGACTTCAGATCTAACTAGCAATATGTAATGTATCCTCTTCCCTCAGAAACAGATAGTGCTCTAGAGTAGAAATAACAGGACATTCTTTGCTGATCTCATCTAACACAGCTAAATCAATGCAGGAGAAGCACCTAAAGAGTAGGTGCTTTCCTTAGAAGGGGCACCAAATGATTACCCGTCACCCATGCAACACAGGTTGACCCCACTCCTAGACCCCTCAGAAATGGAGACTCCCACTACCACCATACCCACTTCTCCTTTTTGGCCTTTTAAGAGTCAGCATGACTTTGGGAGGCCGAGGCGGGCAGATCACAAGGTCGGGAGATCGAGACCATCCTGGCAGACATGGTATACCATGTCTCTACTAAAAACAATGAAAAAAATTAGCTGGGTATGGTGGCACTTGCCTGTAGTCCCAGCTACTTGGGAGGCTGAGGCAGAAGAATTGCTTGAACCCAGGAGGCGGAGGTTGCAGTGAGCTGAGATCGCACCACTGTACTCCAGCCTGGGTGACAGAGCCAGACTCCATCTCAAAAAAAAAAAAAAAAAAGAGTCAACATGGTAGAAGGGCTAAGAATACAGACTTCAGGAGTGATGCTACCCTAACTGAAATCCCAGCTTTGCCACTTATTAGCTGTGTGGACTTGGGCAAGTTACTTGGTCTCTCTGTGCCTCAGTTTCATTCTAAGAGTACCTACCTAATATGCTTTCTGTGAGGATTAAATGAATTAATGTATGTCAAACGCTTTCATGGCACATTAAAATGCTACATCAGTGTTGCTTACATTATGGTTGATATCTTCACTTTTAGCAGAGAACAGGATGGGGAAGGGCATCCATTTAGATAGGAAGTGTTTAAAGATAACTTTCATCTCATCACTATACATTATATGTATCACATCATCACTACGTACCACATAAATATGTACACTTATGTGTTGATTTAAAATTTTAATTTAAAAACCTTAATTAAAAGAAAGATAACTTTCATCAGCTTCCAACTTTTAATTTTCATTCAAGTTATTTTTCCAGCACCTACTCTCAATGATTCTTACACATTTATTTTAAAAAAGGAAATAAGGCCGGGCACAGTGTCTCATGCCTGTAATCTCAGCACTTTGGGAGGCTGAGGCAGGTGGATCACCTGTGGTCAGGAGTTCAAGACCAGCCTGGCTAACATGGTGAAACTCTGTCTCTACTAAAAATACAAAAAAAATTAGCCAGGCATGGTGTGTGCACCTGTAATCCCAGCTACTTGGGAGGCTGAGGAGTGAGAATCACTTGAACCTGGGAGGTGGAGGTTGCAGTGAACGAAGATTGCACCACTGCACTCCAGCCTGGGCAAGACTCTGTCTCAAAAAGGAATGATAATAATAAGGAGAATAAAAGCATAATATAATCTTGTGCCAAAATTGTGGTGCCAAACCCAGGAGATGAAAAAGATACACTGTATTTACAGGGGTCAGAGTGGTGTGACTCACGGTGTTTTTATCAGTGACCCATGTGAAATACTAAATTTCATTTAAAAATCAACTCATAGAAGAATATTTCATAATATGAAGGAATATCAATAGTGTATTATTTAGAATAACAAGGAAATGATGAAACGGAATGTATGGTGAGATCCAATTTGAATTTTAAAATGTATAGAGATGCATGAAAGTCCAGCACAGTGGCTCACGCCTGTAATCCCAGCACTTTGGGAGGCCGAGGTGGGTGGATTGCTTGAACCCAGAAATTCGAGACCAGGCTGGGCAACATGGCGAAACCGTCTCTACAAAAAATACAAAATTAACTGGCCGTGGTGGTACACACCTTTAGTCCTAGCCACTTGGGAGGCCAAGGCAAGCAGATTGCTTGAGTCCGGAAAGTCAAAGCTGTAGTGAGCCAAGATCCTGCCATTGCACTCCAGCCTGGGTGACAGAGCGAGATCCTGTCTCAAAAAAAGAAAAAAAGAAAAAAAAAAAAGAAAGAAAGAAAAAGAAAGGAGAAGAGGAGAGGGAGGGGAGAAGAGGGAAGTGGAGGGGAGGGGAGGGAGGAAGGAAGGAAGGAAGGGGAAAAAGAGAGAGAGAGAGGGAGGGAAAGAGAAAGAGGAAGGAAGGAAGGAAAAAAGAAAAAGAAAGAAAGAGAAAGAGGAAGGAAGGAGGAGAAAGAAAAGAAAGAAAAAGAGAAAGAAAGAGAAAGGAAGGAAGAAAAAAGAAAGAAAGAAAGAGAAAGAAAGAAAAGAGAGGAAGGAAGGGGAAAGAAAGAAAGAGAGAAAGGAAGGAAGGAGGAAAGAGAAAGAAAGAAGAGAGAGAGACTGGAGGGATAATATCAAAATGCTGGCAGCAATTATCTTGGGTTATTTTCTTTCTTGTTGGTACTCAAAACTGTTTTTCAATATTTATTTAACTGGCATGACATGCATTACTTCTAAACTGGGGAGACTCTTATTCATAAATATAGTATTCTGTTTTAAATAGTATTCTGTTTTAAAGGCATCTGAGAGATGTTCTATTTCAGTGGCTCTCTCTGTGAAGTGTGGGTGAGGGTTTTCATCTTGACCAGGCATTTAGGGCCAGATATGCTAATGATATTGAAGTCCTTCAGAGCAAAGAATTTTCCCACCCAAACTGTTCTGGCAGCCTTATTGACAAAGTTGCATCTGACTCACCTGTTTTACATCAAGGAAACTGAGGTCCAAAGAAGTGACAGCCCAGGGTAAAAAAGCAAGTTAGTTCTAAGTCAAAACTGGAGGCTAGCTCCCTGATTCCTAGTTCAGGACTGTCTCCATTTTCCTACTTCATGGAAAAGCTGAGACTTGAGGTGGGTTAGGAGAATGGTAGTATAGTAGGCTGAAAAATGACCACCCAAAGACATCAGGTCCTAATTCCTATAAACTTTACCCTTTACCTTATAAAGGAAAAAGGCTTTTGCAGATGAGATCAAGGATTGTGTTACTCAGTTTGGGCTGCTGTAACAAAATACCATAAACTGGGTGGCTTAAACAACAAACATCTATTTCTCACAGGTTTAGGGGTTGGGAGGTCCAAGATCAAGGTGCTAGTAGAATTGGTGTCTGGTAAGGGCCCTCTTCCTGGTTTGCAGATGGCTGCCTTCTTGATTTATCCTCAGGTGGTGGAGAGAGATCTCCCGTCTCTTTCTCTCTTTATAAGAGCACTAATCCCATCATGAGGCACCCATCTTCATGACGTCATCTAACCCTAATTATTTCCAAAGGCCCCACCCCAAATACCGTTACACTGGGGATTGGGTTTCAACATATGAATTTGGGGGAGACACAAACATTCAGTCCATAGCAAGGATCCTAACATTGAGAGATTATCCTGGATTATCTGGGTGGGCTCTAATTCTAATCACAACTGTCCTATAAGAGACAGGGAGAGATAGATGATACAGACAGAAGAGGAGGAGGCAAGGTGACCATGGAGGCAGAGATTGGAGTGGTGCAGCCACAAGCCAAGGATGGCTGACAGCCACCAGCAGTTGGAAAAAGCAAAGGAACAGATTCTCCACTAAGCCTCCAGAGAGAACACAGCCCTTCTGACCTCTTGATTCAGCCCAGTGAAAAGGATTTCAGATTTCTGGCCTCCAGAACTGTGAGAGAATACATTTTTGTTGTTTTAAGCCACTGGGTTTGTGGTAACTTGTTACAGCAGCCACAGGATACTAATAGAAGTAGGATTGAACAAGGCCCCATGAAGCATATTCTGAGATGGGCATGGGGTCTGAAGAGTCATCATGAGCAAAGGAAGGATGCTGCGAATGCCTGTGCCCTCAGGGAACATAAAAAAGATGAGTTTACTACTGAAACTGGTGTACACAGAGCACGATGGGAAAATACACCCTTCTTAAATTGTCTCTTTTAATTTTTCAGCATTTCTGAAAGTTAACAAATTCGGGGCATTTAATTCAAAATTGTCAGAAAGCTTGGTACAATATGCTGATTTCTATTGCTTTTCTGTATTTGCTTTCTGTGAAATATAAACAAACTACATACACTAAATATATAAGAAATAACAAGTTTAAACCTCATGTATACATTTCTTCCCCACTGAAAGGCAATTTACATAAATCATAAGCATAAACAACATCTGTGTATATCTCCAGTAATATATTAAGTGATGACGATGTTCTCTTTAACCAAAAATGTACTTATGCATTCAAAATTACCATTTACATAGCATTTGGGAATAAAATACACGTTTTTGAATGGAAATTATCCTAGTGTGCTTAAAAATATGTAAACATGCCCTAGATCTATCAGAGTGGTATTTCTGAAATATCACACATGTTCAAAACTTACCCAAGTAATTATGTTTTACAGCTTTTAAAATGGTATGTATCTCTGAACACACACACCACATACACACACGCCACATACACACATATTCCACATATACACACATACTCCACATACACACACATACACATGCACATGCACACACACACACACACACACATACTCCACATGCATATGTACAGAGTCCAGAGTTCAGGTTTGAATATAGTATTTGTGTGATTCCTTCTTTAGATGATTAAGACACTGAGAAGTTTAATCAACTCTTCCAGGAATACAACGTGCATCTTTCAGCAGTGGTGAAGTGGTACAGGTTTCTTGCACACTATCTGAACCCCAGGGACTAAATATCTTACTCATTCAGGTTTCTGAGGCCTGTATGCAAGGATATAGAAGGAGCAGGCTTGGAGACACCAGTCTCACCATTCACAAAGCCATCTTCCTGGAATGAACACCTTCAATTATAGATGGCATCAAACCACAAGGGTGAGAGGCTGCTTACCTGGAGTATTTCTCTTACTTAAAAAGAATTTTCTCCATTCTCTTCCACCTCTTCTACACCTACCCTGTCCGAGTAAATTATCAATACTCTTTCTTCTCCAAAGACCATCTTCTTGGAAGAGGCAGGGTAGTGTAAGCATCCTGGTTAAGTGCACAGGCTCTGAAGATGTATGGACCTGCGTTCAGGACCTGGCCATCTCACTTATTAGCAGCGCGACCTTGGGCAGGTTATTTACCATGTTGAAACCTCAGTTTCCTCATTTATGAAATGGAGAAAACTACTATAGAGCCAAACTTGCCCTGTGTTGTTATAAGGCTTTAATGAAGAGTTAGCACAAAATATGTGTATAGTGTGAGGGAAGGGTCCAAGAGCAGCTGGGTGCCTCCCCTCTGTCTCCAAGAAGAATCTTGTACTCAATACAGGATGTGCTGGCAGGTGCACAAATAGCATTACATGCAAAGAGCTCAGAGCACAGCCAGTGTGGCCGGTTCCTGCTGCGTTCGGCACATGCAAACCTCTCCTGGAACTGCTTAGCTACGCATGCTTCAGTGGCCCTCCGGCATGCACCCAGCTTTCTGTATTTCAGACCACAGGGGACAAGCGTTTCGGTCCTTCTACTGCAGCATGAAGTTGAAGTTGGCTGCAGAACATATCTGCTAGCCACGGGGGACCAAAGCATTGCAAGGGGCTGGATCTTGTGCACAGCCTCTTTCCTCTTGCTGTAAGTAAATGCTATACTAATTGAGCCTGGTTTGCATGTTGTCAGTTCTCAGCAACCTGAATCATGCACTGGTCTCTTCCCTGGTTGGTACTGATCTGCCTTTCGACCTTGGCCTCACCCACTTTCTCTGCTAAAGCGCAGACTGACCACTCAGTGAAACACAGCATAACTACTGAATAAGTGAGAAATATTTGTGAACTACATCACATCTAAATGGCAACAATGGTAAGAAGCATCACTGTTTTAGGTATCAATAATAAAAACACCCCAATTATACTATGACAAACTATTGATTTTAAGGTACATTCTGACTTCAGATACTAAAATGTGAAAGTAGTATGCAGCCTAGAACCCATGAAGTACAGTATTATTATAAGGAAAATAGATACCTGCATGAAAAGGCACTTAGTGCTTTCTCCAATTACATAGAAAAAGAGTTTTCTTACGGATGTGGACGTGCATTTAAATATGAGTATGCATGAACTTGTAAATGGCATCCAATTCTTAAATCCCCTCAAAACTATCCCTATGTCGTCACTTCCCACGATCACTCACTGTCATTTTTCCTATTTCCATTTGGTGACTGACTTTTGGTGCTATCAGCATTTAATTTCCCTTTGGACACCTTTTATCCAAATCATCTCCATTATTTCTCCCTTGCTCTACCTGTACTGTACCTTCTTCCTCCTACTTCAATGGGATTCCAAGACCAAAATCTCATTTTTGAAAAAGTCTTTGCAGTAAAAGCAAGTTACCAGATGATCAGCTTGTCCTCTAATGCTAGAATTTGTTCTATGTGATTAATTCCAGGGACTTGAGCCTTGAGTTCAGGCCTCCAAACACAGTGGGCAGGGCCCCCATCTTCTGTTCACTTTCCCCAGGAGCATCCCTGCCAGCTTCTCTTGGGGCTGCTTCTTCTCAAAGACGCCCCTTCACTAATAGGGGCTTTTTTGGGCAGTGGCTTTGCCTATGATTAATGATAATGAACCCAACTTGGACCTTTGGCTTTCTGGCTCTTAGCAGAGTAGCCAAGATATTTCTCTAAACTGAGATAGTTGGCTTCAGTTCTAATTAATGATCAGTTGTTATCAGCTTAGTTTAGACTGTTTGCTCTCTGACTTTTTGGCTGGGTAGCCTAAACACTTCCCAGATCCAAAGGGCTGGCTGAAATTTATGTTCCTTTTTTTGGCACTGTCTTGATAATTCTGATGCTTTCCCGGATCTGGAAAAAGATTTTAATTGTTTACAGTCTTGATTAATGGGTTTGCTGTTGCTTTGATAGTCCATCATTTATAATGATAAGAAACCAAAAACAAATGGGCATTTTATATTGCTCTTCTGGGATATTTTGGTCAATCCTTTTTAAGGAGTTACTGTTTTGTTTCCTTCCCTATTACCATTAAGTTACTAATAATTTCATTTTAATTGAACTTTAAACTATCACTATTTCCAACTCCCTTTCTCCCTGCAGTATTTCTTATGCTGTAGAATTTCTCACTGTTGTTTCAGCGAAGTCCTTTCTCAGAGTCTTCTGCTTGTATATCTGAAGTTAGCAGCTCACTGAGACAGTTTGGTTTCGGTTTGCTTGCAAACACAGGGCGTTCTTATCGCTTCTTTAACATCTATCACTAAGCTCAGTGAACCTTGTCTTCTTACTATCAAATAAATTAATTCCTTAGACTCCTTAATCATTCTTTGGTTAATTACCTCATTTGGCCAAGTAAATAATCCCGGTTTTAAAATGGAACCCCAAGTTCACTTTTACTAACAAGTTTTATTTCTGTACTATCAGCTTGTTATCTAAGTTCTAGTTCATGTCAGAGGTTCTTCTTGATATCCAGCTATTATTTATGAGGCTGCTGCTGTTATGAATTAAGGCAATTCTAACCTAGTCTAGATGGCCTCAGCTTTCCAAATACTTCACTTAGAAGGAAATATATGTTTTCTCTGCTAGAATTCTCTGCATCTGTTTTATTTGCTACCACAGAGAAAAGAATGAAAAAAGAAACAATACAGAGCATTAGAGTGAAGTGACAGTGTCAATTTTTTTTCTATTTCTAAGGTGATTTTTGCCCATCCAGTTCCATAGGACATTTTCTTGACAATGACACTAAAAGCCAAAGTTTGCTCTCAGTTATGTTTGATGCCTTCAATCAGCCGTCACCTGCCTTTACATTGATTGATTTCTGTATCCTGATTCAAATATCTGTATATATTTTTTGTTAGATGTTAATAGATATTTCAAACATGGAAGAAAGCATCTCTCTCTAAGTTCACCAATGACTTCCTTTTGGGAGAAATTCTAGGTGTTTTCCTCTAACTCATTCTTTTTGACCTCTCTACTGCAATTGATACTATTGATCCTTCACCCCTTCTGGAAGCCCTTTCCTCCCTTAGCTTCCATGATCCTACGAGGTCCTAGCTCTCCTCCTCCCTCTTCAATCATTTTTTTTCTGTCTCCTCCACAGATCCCCTCTTCATTCTCCCATCCTCTAGCCCTAGGCCACCCCAAAAGCCTGTCTTAGCCTTTTATTCCTCTGTCCCTACACTTTTCCCTCCAGAATGCATGGCCTCCTACAGGTTTACCCATCACCTCTATACTGATTGATTCCATTATCTCTAAGTTTTGTTCTCCCACCTGAGTTCTGATTCACATTTTTGTTTAGAGAATTTCCTCCTGAATACCCTGTTATCATCTCATATTTCACTTATCCACTTATTTTGCAAATATTTATTGCATGTCTATGAGGTGCCAGGTACTATGCTCAGCCCTGAAGTGATGATCAAAATATACCATTTCTCTCAAAGAGCTGAAAGCTCAGTAGAACTTGAGAATTCTATCAAATTATTTGTAAAGCAAAGCAAACAAAGCAGAACAAAAACATGCTGCACTTCTTTGTCCCCCAAAGGTGCTCTGTTCCTCTCTTTCCCAACTTTTTCCCTCTTTCTAATTAGTCCTTCATTCTCCCAGCCATCCAAGTTGTAATGCTTCATCTCAATTTTTGTGTATTAGATTTCTTCTGTAATAATCTTTCTAATGAACATCTCCAAATTTCAACAGCTTACAACAAGCATTGATTTCATATTTATGGGTCTGTCAATGAGTTGCAGCTCAGCTGGCCTCATCTGGAATGGGGTAGAGGAGGCAGGGCTTCATGTTGAGTTTGAGTCTTCAACTTAGATCTTCATTCTTGGACCCAGGGTGAAGGAATATGGCTACTGGGAGCAGGCTCTTCTCATGGCAGAGGGTGGAAGCTTCAGAAATGTGGGTAGACATTTGGCATGGTTTTCAAAGCCTCCTTTTTAGAGCCAGTTACAAGGTCAAGCCCAGGATCAATGGCACTTTGCCCCTTTACCCCCATGAAGTGAAAAAGAAGGAAAAGAGTGAATATTTGGTGAACAATCAATCATTTAATCTAACCCATATTTCTTTCTTTCATCATCAATAACAACTAACCAGCTAATAAGTCCTGTCAGTTCTTGCATCTGTGTGTCTTCTCTATTTATCACTTCCTTAGCCATCTATTATTCCTGCAGTTGTACAACGGGGCTTAATGCCTCGCCACATCTCTCTCCTTTTGATCTTTTTCTTTTCTTTTTCTTTCTTTTTTTTTTTTTTTTGAGATGAGGTTTCACTTTTGTTGCCCAGGCTGGAGTGCAATGGCGTTATCTCGGCTCACTGCAACCTCCGCCTCCCAGGTTCAAGCGATTCTCCTGCCTCAGCCTCCCGAATAGCTAGGATTACAGGCATGTGCCACCACACCCGGTTAATTTTTTGTATTTTTAGTAGAGATGGGACTTCACCATGTTGGTCACAGGCTGGTCTTGAACTCCTGACCTCAGGTGATCTGCCCGCTTCAGCCTCCCAAAGTGCTGAGATTATAGGCATGAGCCGCCGTGCCCTGCCACATCTCTCTCCTTCTAAAACAGAAACTGACAACTGTTCTCCAAAATGACTGTACCATTTTGTGGTATGTTTGTGGTGTACATTCCCACCACAAAGGTATCTTCACCAGCAGTCAGTCCGTCCTTCCTTCCTTCCTTCTTCTCTCTCTCTCCCCATCCCTCCCTCTCTCTCTCTTTCATTTCTTTCTTCTTTCTTTCCCTTCCTTCCTTTCTTTCTTCTTTCCTTTCTTCCTTTCTCCTCTCCTTCCCCTCCTCTCCCTTCTTCTCCCCTCCCTCCCCTTCCCTTTCCTTCCCTGCCCGCCTCCCTCCCTCCCCCTCTCCTCTCCCTCCCTCTCTCTCCTTTCTTTATCTTTCTTTTTTCTTTCTTTCTCTCTTTCTTTCTTTTCTTTTCCTTCCTTCCTTTCTCTCTCTCTCTTTCTTCTTTCTGTCTTCTTTGTCTGCCTGCCTTCCCATTCTAATAGATATGTAGTAGTATCTCACTTTGGTTTTAATGTTTTATTTTGTTTTGTTTTTTGAGACGGAGTCTTGCTCTGTCACCTAAGCTAGAGTGCAGTAGCATGCTCACAGCTCATTGCAGCCTCAAACTCCCAGGCTCAAGCGATCCTCCCATCTAAGCCTCCCTAGTAGCTGGGACTATAGGAGTGCGCCACCATGCCTGGCTAATTTTTGTACTTTTTGTAGAAAAAATATAAAACATCAGTTTCCCTATGTTGCCCTGGCTGGTCTCCAACTCCTGGGCTCTGGTGATTTGCCCGCCTCGGCCTCCCAAAGTGCTGGAATTACAGGTATGAGCCACCGTGGCCAGCCTCAATTTGGTTTTAATTTACATAACTCTAGTGAGTAAAAATGGTGTCTTTTCATAGATGCTTATTTACTATTCATGTTTATCTCCTTTGGGGAAATGTCTGTTCAGTCTTTTACTCATTTTTTAAATTCAGTTGCTTGTCTCTTTATTATAGAGTTTTGAGAAATTTGTATATGTGATAGATACAAATCTTTTGCCAGGTATGTGTTTGCAAATACTTCCTCAAATCCTGTGGCTTTTCTTTACTTTCTTTTAGTGACTTCTGTGGAGCAGAAATGTTTTATTTTGACAAAGTCCAATGTATCAATTTTTTTCTTTTATGGATCTTATTTTTGGTGTCATAGATAAGAAACAATTTGCATAACACAAGGCCACAAAAGCTTGTTCTTATTTGTTTTTCCTAGAAGTTGTATAGTTTTAAGTTTTACCTTCAGGTCTATGATCCATTTTGAGTTAATTTTTGTATAAAGTGAGACATATGAGCCAAGGTTCTTTTTTTTTTTTGCATGTGGACATCCAATTAGTTCTTCCTCTAATAAAACCTGCATACTTCTGCCAAAATTAGCTTCCCAAGCATCGGAATCTTCCTATGAGATGCCTGAACACAAAATTCAGAAGATGATCGAAGAGGTCTTGACTCATTTCTTTGTTTTTATCCTTGTCCTTCTGGTTTCCTTCACTCTCCTCCTCCCTCTGTAGTCCCTTAGGTCTTTTGGCTCTCCTCCTCCATCCCTGGCTTTTTCTATTTTCCTTCAACCCTCCTCCCCACTCTTCTCACACTGGCTTCCATTCAGGTTTCCCCTGATGAAGCTGGGGCAGGGAGCTACATAACCTGTGCTTATGAGGAAAGAATGAAAGGAAACATACTCTGCTGTGCAGACTTCAGAGTGAACCTTCTACAGACAAACAAACCTCATGAAACAGCTGAGAATTTCCTCCAACATCACATTATTTTAATAAATCAAATTAAATCTGAGTCCCAGGCTACATGCTATAAGATGGGAGAAATCTAATTAAAACAGTGTAATTAGAACAGTAGAGAGGAAGACAATACAGTCTAAATTTGCAGCATTTGAGAGTTTGGCTTGATTAAAAGGGCATTTGGAAATTAAGTCACAGGGATCTTTAGGTGACTGGACTGTAATGGCCAGCTCAAATCCGGCTTGTTGCTGGTGAAAAAAAAACATATAAAGAAAGTCACGCGGCTCCTTCCTGAGCCCAGCCATCTAATGTCAGCAACCACAGTGGAGATTACAGCTTATAACTTTCCTCTTATACATGCATCTGATTGGTGAGTAACTGAAAGAAACCCTGCTCCCCTTTCCTCCTGGACCATTGGTAAAATCTTCTTCTACCTGAACCTCTCATCTGCCCCTGGCAATCGGAACTCACCCTATTAAAACCTCTAATGAGGTTTACAGATTGGATGAATCACAAGATTGACATCTTGTCCTGGCCAGAGTAAGGAGATGCCCTTTTCTTGATTTTTTTTTTTTTTTGTCTTCTACTCTTATAATTAATTTGAAAACTCTTGTATAAATGTATGCCAATATGAACAATTGGACTGTTCCATACATGATCTTTTCAGGACTCTGGCTGAGGGGACATTATGTGACAAGACCCCTCCCTGCCTTCATTCCATGGAAAACAATTTCATTGCTGGGATTTTAGTGGAAGTTGACATGAAATGTAATTCTTCATTTTGAGAGAGGAAAAGAAATCTAAGTAGATTAAGAGCTGACTCATAATTGTGATTTACTTTGGCTTTTTAATTTGAACGTTTTAATTGCTTACTTTACAAATTGAGCTTTAAGAAAGTAAAATAATAAAATGAGATTTATAACTCTGTGTCTACCTTCAAAGGGCTGTGCTTGTGATTTCTCTAAGACAAAGAAGCCATATGCCCCTCTGCTTCCAATTATTCTTGCCCGCCTTCTCTCCTCATCTCTAATTTTCTTTTTCATCCTTTGTCTCCCCATGTGTGCACTTGAAGATCTTTCAGTGACTTATAATAAGTGTATCTAAAACAAGACTCAAAGGGAGAAGTACAGGTTGCTAGAGAAAGAGAAGCTATTCCAACTCTAGATCCTCAGGCAATTTAACGGCTTGCACAGCAGCCCCTCTGCCCTGAGACGGCCCAATCCTTAATCCTCAGATGCTGCCCCATCACCTTCTCCCCATTGTCCCTCACACTGTCTTTCCTTCCCTTCCTGAAACTTGCAACCCTTTCCCAGCCTCTGAGCACCCTGTTCTTTCTACCAGGACACCTCACTGCTGGCTCTCAGCCTGGCTGCCTCCTTCTTAACCTTTAAGCTTCAGCTCAAATTTTGCCTCCTCTTAGAGGCTTTCTAAGGAAGGTCTGTACCCACTACCCTGGTTTTTCTCTGTAAGTATCCTGTTTGTTTCCTTCACAGCTCATGTCACAATGTGTAATTGTCTCCTTTACTTTCTGGGTCTTGATTTCCCTTTCTGTTTGCCTTTGGTTTTTCTTCTGGTCTGTCTTCCATTCTGATTGTGAGCAAAGTGGGTAGGGACCAGGCCTTACCAGTAGAAACCATAGCTCCAGGGATAATACCTGGTGCATGATAGGTACTTAATAAACATCCATTTAGTGAGTGAATGTATGAATGAATGAATGAACTATCCTCTCCAGAATGACCCAGTCCACGAAGTTGCTCTGAGTAACTCTTCCCTGCTTTGATTCCAAACCCTACTCATCAAGAGTTCCAGAGAGGACTATTTCTAAGGTCAGACCCAGAAGAAGTTACCCCAAGGAAAACACAGGACAGAGTGAAACAATGCCTGGATCTTTTTTTAGTGAAAGGAATTTACTCAAATTGAATCAGGTGTCTAATATAGATAGCTCAACGCAAACCACTTTGGTTAAACAAAAAATAAATGATCCATAACCCATGCACAGGAAACCCTGGAGGCATCATGCCAACCTTAGCAAGATGGGGCACTGCCCTTAGCCTAGAATAAAAAAGAAAAAAATTAATGTTAAATATTCTTGAGGCCAAGTCTCTGAACAGCTGCAAAAGACAATGGTTTTCCCCTTATTGAACATTTGTAATTTTTGTTACTATTTTAATTGGTATGTAATAATTTTACATATTTATGGGGTACCGAGTGATATTTAATACATAGATACAATGTGTAATGATCACACCAGGGTAATTGGCATACCATCACTGCAAACATTTATCACTTCTTTGTGCTGTGAGCATTCAAAGTCTTCTCTTTCAGCCATTTTTTTAAATCTTGAGTTTCTGAAAGGTAGCTACTTTAAAATATTCATCTTTATTTCTCTATCACAATCCCTAGCATAGGAGTATATGCATAAGAAAATACAGATATTATAAAAATACTTGGCCCTTTAGTTGTATTTGTAGGTATGCTCCATTACTAGAAACAAATTCTTATTATTAGCTGATATACACAAAGTCCAGAGGATGGTGAGAAGTAATCCGTGTTTTCTTTATGGAGTTAGCCCATAAAGAGTTCATCTTGGATGAATATCTGAGAATGACCCTGTATCTCTGGTCTCACCAGAGATCTCGCCACTGATCTTTCCATCTGTTGTTCCCCTAGCCTTTCCTCCTGGGTTTATGCCTCAATCTGGAGAGTGATACCCCATCTTTACCATATGTTGCTAGAATAGGCTTTTATAGCTTAAGTTTTTTTCAGAGTATTGTATTTATAAGATGTGTTAGAATTGGGTTCAACTGCATATAGCATAAAGCCCCACAGTGGCTTAAAGAGAGACATTTATTTCTTTTCTAAAGAAATTGGAGGAAGGAGGTGCCAGGCTGATGGGGCAGCACCACATTATTAGGGGCCGAGGCTCCTTCAATCTCTCTGCTCTCTCACCTTCAGCCTTAGACCTTGTGATCCAAGATGGCTGCTGGACCTCCAGTTCCAAGCAGGAAGTACAGGAAGCGGGCAAAGGCAACAAGGGTGTGATGAACATGAAGCCAGCCCCCTTCGCTGAGATTTCCCAGAAACCTCACCCCCTGATTTCTGCTTGCACTCACTGGCCAATTCTATCTGCAAGGATGATAAGAAATATTTTATTTTAGCTGAGCACATTGCTGCCCAGTGTTCTATTACCATGAAAATAAGAGGAAAATGGATGTTGTGTAACCCAGAGGCTTGGTGCATGCATCAGAATCTTCTGGTGGCCTTATTAAGACACGGTAGTTCCCCCTTATTCACGGGAGATCCATTCCAAGACCCCCAATGGATGCCTAAAACCACAGATAGTACTGAACGATATATATTCTGTTTTCTATGTTTTATCCTAGACATACATACTTATGGTAAAGTTTAATTTATAAATTAGGCACAATAAGAGATGAACAAAAATAAGTAATAAAATGAGCAATTATAACAATATTCACAATGGCACATAATTTAAAACTTATGAATTGTTTATGTCTGGAATTTTTCATTTAATGTTTTCAGACTGTGGTTGAGCATGGGTAACCAAAACCACAGAAAGCAAAACCTTGGCTAAAAGGGGGACGACTATACAGACTGCTGTGTCCCTAGAGTTTCTGACCGAGTAGGTCTGGGGAGGATCCTGAGAATTTGTATGTCTAGTGAGCCTCCAGGTTATGCCGAAGCTGCTAGAAGGGGGACCATGTGTCCAGAATTTGGAGATCCACTAGTATGTCCTTCAGAAAAACTTTTTTTTGTTTGTTTGTTGTTGTTGTTGTGTTGTTGTTGTTTAAGACAGAGTCTCACTCTGTTGCTCAGGCACAACACCGTGTACAGTGGCACATTCTTAGCTCACTTCGACCTCGGCCTCCTGGGTTCAAGCGATCCTCCCACCTCAGCCTCCCAAGTATCTAGGATTACAGGCATGCACCACCATGCCCAGCTAATTTTTGTATTTTCAGTAGGGACGGGGTTTCACCATGTTGGCCAGGCTGGTCTTGAACTCTTGGCTTCAAGTGATCTGCCCACCACAGGCTCCCAAAGTGCTGGGATTACAGGCGTGAGCCTCCGTGCCCAGCCTGAAAAGCTTTTTTTCCCCCTGCTAATGTTGACCATCTACTTATTTTAACTTCAGTGTATTATTTTACTAACAAATCTCCAGACTTTTTATTCCACCAAAGAGACCCTTCCCGTCAAATGTATAGAGAGAAAGAAAAGCAGGGTAAGGGAGAGAGGAAATCAAGTTTTGTCATAACTTTCATGGCTGGAAATCATGAAATCAGAAAGTTGAGAAATAGACTGAACGGGGTTGGGCTTTAGCAGTGTTCATTACTGATGCTCAAGTGAATGAAACAAGAGCTATCACTAGAAGCTAAAAGCCAGCCCAGTAGCAGATCCCAGAGGATTAGGGGACTTCCTAAAGACCACATAACTGGCCTTCCTCTGCCGTTGGTGGTGCAGGATAATTGGGTGGACTAAGCCTTAAGCAGGAAGACAATGTTATAGACCAGCTAAAGACAGGAGGAGGGAGAGGACCAGGGTCTATGGGCTGGCCAGCAGTTCCAGCCAGCCTGGGGTCGGGATTGAATTGCCTGGGAAAAAGAGGCCTATATGCTGACAGTTCAGCCAGGTGGTACTCACTCCCCATCCTCCATTTCTCCCTTGCTCTCTCCCAGTTTTTTTGTTTTCCAGAAATTTGCTGAGCAAAGGGAGGAAAAGAAAAGAATTTTTGTCTGTGCCTCAGCCTAAAGAAATAAAAATCTACAAATCCTTGGAGACTGAGTGTAGTAGGGAGAGTGAAAGAAAAACTTAAAGAAACCCAAAGGAGAAGTGAAAACTTGGGCCAGGAAAGTCAGAGGCCACTTACACAGAAGTACTTGCCCCTTCTGGGGTTGTTTACCACACAAGCTCTTTTTTTCTTGTCACTTGGGGAATTTTTGTGTTTTATTTTATAGTGTAATTCCCACACAAAGCATTCTCCTGGTGGAGTTTGATTTGAAAATGATGCTCTATAGTTTCAATCTGATTGTGTGTGAGAGAGAGTGTGTGTGTATGCACACGTGCACGCACGCGCACATCTCTTCAAAATTGTTCATTGTCAAAAGGAGGAGGAACATGAGTTCCTGTGCCTTGTTTCCTTCTTTAAGGTTTGGGCCCCCAGAAAGCATGGACTAGCACTTCTAAAGTATATATATTTGGAGAAGTAGAGAAGCTTTACTGGGAAAACAGAAACTCAAAATTCATTTTATTTGTTCATTTAAAAAATTTTTAGGATGGGCGCAGTGGCTCATGCCTATAATCCCAGCACTTTGGGAGGCCGAGGCGGGTGGATCACCTGAGGTGAGGAGTTAGAGACCAGCATGACCAACATGGAGAAACCCCATCTCTACTAAAAATACAAAAAATTAGGCTGGCATGGTGGCACATGCCTGTAATCCCAGCTACTCAGGAGGCTGAGGTAGGAGAATCGCTTGAACACGGGAGGCGGAGGTTGTGGTGAGCCAAGATCGTGCCATTGCACTCCAGCCTGGGCAACAAGAGTGAAACTCCATCTCAAAATAATAATAATAACAATAATATAATAAATTTATTAGAGACGGGATCTTGCTATGTGGCCCAAACTGGTCTTGAACTCCTGACTTCAAGCTACCCTCCCGCCTTGGCCTCCCAAAGTGCTGGGATTATAAGCATGAACCACTGTGCCTGGCCTCAACATTCACTTTAAGATTCATTTAATTGACTTATAATACAATTTAGACCTTGAACTTCTTCCACCCTTCAAAAAGGCACTTCAAAAACAGGAATCCTGCAGAACTCATCATAATCTATAGAAACATATCACGTTAGCCATAGAACATCCTTTGCTAGGTCAACTCTCGCACTTGAGGACAAGGAAGCTGAGGTTTTAAGTGGAGAAGTGGCTTGGCTGATGGTCACTAGCAGTGACTTTCCAATGTATGTATTCTGTTATTCCCACATTTTTTTTTTGAGACAGGGTCTTACTTGTTGCCCAGGCTGGAATGCAGTGGCACCATCTTGGCTGACAGCAACCTTGACCTCCGGGTTCAAACGATCCTCCCACCTCAGTCTCCTAAGTACCTGGGACTATAGGTGCTTGCTACCACACCCAGCTAATTTTTGGATTTTTTTTTTTTTTTTTTTTTGGTAGAGAAGGGTTTTCACCATGTTGCCCAGGCTGGTTGCGAACTCCTGGGCTCAAGCGAGCCACTCACCTCGGCCTCCCAAAGTGCTGGGATGACAGGTGTGAGCCACCACGCCCGGCCTACTCCCACATTGGTAGGCATTCCTTTTCTACCCTTACTTCACTTTTAGCATTTTATGTCTTCATAAAGCTCTGAAACTTCTAAGTATCTTGGTAGCTTGAGTTTTCATTTCTTGTTTCTTTTTTGTTTTTTTGAGACGGAGTCTCGCTCTGTCACCCAGGCTGGAGTGCCTGTCGCCCAGGCTGGAGTGCAGTGGTGTGATCTCGGCTCACTGCAAGCTCTGCCTCCTGGGTTCACGCCATTTTCCTGCCTCAGACTCCCAAGCAGTTGGGACTACAGTCACACGCCACCACGCCCAGCTAATTTTTTTGTATTTTTAGTAGAGACGGGGTTTCACTGTGTTAGCCAGGATGGTCTCGATCTCCTGACCTCGTGATCCACCTGCCTCGGCCTCCCAAAGTGCTGGGATTACAGGCGTGAGCCACCGCACCCAGCCAGTTTTCATTTTTAATTAATTGAAACAATTCTTACTTTGTGTCAGGCATTGAGCCAGAGGTTAGGTTAGGAGGATAATAAATACAAACACCACTTTTCCTGTCCACAAGGATTCTTAGTCCAGCATAAAGATAAGTTGTACCCGATAGCTGACACACAGGGTAGAGGGAGCTCCTGTCATAGAAATGCAGAGATGAAAGGGTGGGGGTTCCGAAGAGACTCGCTTCCAGTGGGAGGCAGTACTCACAGAGGATGTGGCTTTTGGCCACTGCGGGGAATAACTGCAGATGTGACCATGATCCAGGGTCATGCAGGGAGAGGCCACCCATGTGGAAGAGACAGAATAAAGGGAGGCTGTGAAAGATTCACCAAGGACAGCAGAGTGTTTGGTCTCAATGGAGAATACGACATGTGAAGGGGATTAGAGTGATGGAAACACCCTGCCAATGGCACTTAAAGGCAGCTTTCTTAAAATATAGGAACACCTATTAGTTTGCTAGAGCTACCATAACAAAATACCACAGACTAGGTGGCTTAAGTAGCAGAAACTTATCTCCTCACCCTTCTGAGGCTAAGATCGAGATACCAGTGGTCCTGGCTTCTCCTGAGGCCTCTGTCCTTGGCTTCCAGATGTCCTCAGTGTCCTCACATGGCCTTTCCTCTGTACACACATCCTGGGTGTATCCTGCTCTTCTTATGAGAACATCAGTCATACTGAATTAAAGCTCCACCCATATGACCTCGTTTAACCTTAATCACCTCTTTAAAGGCCATTTTAAAAGCCCAGTCTCCAAATACAGTCACATCCTTGAGGTATTAGGGGTTAGGGCTTCAACCTATGAATTTGTCACATTTTGAGATATTAAGTAGATAGAACTTCAACATATGAATTTTTTGGGGGGGGCATAATTTAGTTCATAACAGATCCTTATTTATGATTATAAACTGTATAGTCTTACTTTAAGACTGATAACACTTTTATAAAAGCCACCAGGTGGCCGGGCACGGTGGCTCATGCCTGTAATCCCAGCATTTTGGGAGGCCGAGGTGGGCGGATCACCTGAGGTCAGGAGCTCAAGACCAGCCTGGTCAACATGGCAAAATCCCGTCTCTACTAAAAATACAAAAATTAGCTGGGCATGGTGGCACACGCCTGTAATACCAGCTACTCAGGAGGCTGAGGCAGGAGAATCATTTGAACCCGAGAGGTGGAGGTTGCAGTGAGCCCAGATCACACCATTGCACTCCAGCAGCCTGGGCAACAAGAGTGAAACGCCATCTCAGAAAAAAAAAAGCCATCAGGTATAATACAAGCAAATTATGTATTTACTTGTCCCACACATTTTTCTATGGATCTTTTATTCAAGTATAAAAATTAAAGGTGGAGATTCAAACACTGCATAAGACCTTAAAAAAACAATCTGCATTTCCACTCTTAGGAATTTACCCAGGAGAAATGAAAAAATATATATATGTCTATGCAGACACGTGTACACAAATGTTTATAGCAGCATTACTCATAATATCTAAAATGTGGAATCAGCTGAACTATTTATCAGCTGATATGCAAATAAGTGAAATGTGGTATATCCATGCAGTAGAATATTGTTGGGCCATAAAAAGGAAGTAAGTCTGTGTGTCACAGGATTCTTCGGGTGTTGCTTTTCCAGCCAGAAACCTCTGTGGCCAGTGGTGCTTTTCCCTGAGTTTTGCTCCGGCCTGCTGGGCTCATTCCGCCCACCAGGCCTGGCAGGCTGTACTTGGCTAGCGCTATCAACCCAGATCCCATGCCTGCCAAGGGGCAGCCAGGCCCGGAGTGGTGAAGGGTGCGTGAAGGAGCAAGCACAGGGTCTGGCCACTGCAGGCAGCCAGGCACTCCGGCTGCTGCAGTGGGGCATGCAGCTCCAGGTGACAGCACGGGCACCAGCTTCGTGCAAGCCTGCAACTGGATCTGATGCACCACAAGTGGCTTCCACTGTGGGCACACATGTCTGGACGAGGGGAGTGCAGTGGTGCCTGGAAGTTTGGAGACACCAAAATCCAGAGCCCCAAAGATGGTGTCACAGCCATGGTTCAGGGAGCCTCTAGGTCTGGGTCCCCAAAGGGCCACAGCTCTTCCCTCCTTCTTGTAGCCCACAACATGGCAAGTGGGGGAGCGTGTTTCAGCCCTGTTTGTGTTACAGCTCTTTCAGTCCCGCCAGTTGGCAGATCCTGAGTTCTTCTCCTTCCTCCACGAAGAATAAGGTACATGGATAACTGGAGGTGAGCAAGCTGAAGGAGCTTCATTGAGCCACAGAACAGCTCTCAGGAAACCCAGAGTGGGTAGCTCCTTTCCGCAGGCAAGTGGTCCTGAGGAGTGTCCAGTTCTCAGTGGACAGGAGACCCAGAGTGGGGAGCTCCTATCCATAGGCAGGTCGTCCCAAAGAGTTGAGGAGAACTGAATTGGGTAGCTCCTTCCTGCAGCTGATAGTCCTGAAGCCTCTGTGAGTGCGGCTGTGTCTGGGGGGTTTTATGGGATTCAGGAGGGAGGAAGTGTGTGCTGACTGGTCCATGGGCAGCCATGTGTGGGCCTGGAAAAAGCACCATAAGTTCTTAATCTGGGCCTCAGATTCCATCCAGAAATGAGAGCCTGGCCCCCATACTTCAGGCCGTACCTGAGTTGAAGGTGGGGCTTCGCCCGGACCTGCCCCTTTCTGCCCAGAAGCCTGTCTGCCTCCTGCTGCCATCATGGGACCCAAGCTGCTACAGCTGAGGAGCCGGCAGGCCCTCCCTTGGCCTACCTTCTGTGATAGTGCTCAAAGTCAGGAGGGGGCCGAGGTGGCAAAGGGCTGGCGTGTCAGCCCCACCCCGAGCGCACGCATACCCGGCCAGGTTACCACAGCACCCGGACTCGGCCTCAACTTTTCTCCGAAATCGGAGCGGGCGCCAAGAACAGATACAGGCCAGGTAGCAGGAGCAGGCATTTCCGAGCCTGTGGGGGAGGCTGCACCCAGGCGGGCAGGGCTCGTGCCACGCCAGCTCCGACCCGGGCAGGGCTCCCGCCTGTTCCCGGCTCCTGCCAACTCCATGGAGTTACAGCCTTGGCCGTGCCTCCCCTGCTGCTGCCAGCGTCTTCACAGTGGCCGCTCCTGACGGCTGCCGCTGCCATCACTTGGAATGCTACGTTTAAAAGCCAGATGGAAAGGACTACATACTCTATGACTCCGTTTATATGAAAGGCCCCAAAAAGGCAAATTTATAGAGACAGAAAGCAGCTTGGTGGTTGCCTGGGGCTGGAGAAGGGGATGGAGACTAATGTAAACGGATACAAAGGAACTTTTTGGGGTGAAGAAAATGCTCTAAACCTAGATAGTGATGATGACTGCACAACTCCATACATTTACTGAAAGCGTTGATTTACGTGATTACAATGGGTGAATTTTATGGTATGTAAATTACACTTCAATAAAGCTGGAAAACGTTAATGAAAAAATACATAGGAGGAATTGAAAATTACAAGAAAATAAAATGAACTTCAGAAATTTCCTGCAATCAGACAGGAAAGCTCATTCCTTCCATCTGTAGCCTGCTGAAGGAAAAAGTCTACACTCCCCGCCATCCCAAGTGAGCCCTTGGTTCTGCACTGTGTGGGGCAGAGGACAGGGAAGGACTTTGTGGCCCAGGGGTCTTGTATTCTGTTTCCCATCCACTGACTAATTCCTGGTGAAGTCAGGTAAGTGGTAAAATCTTGTAACAGTAACACTGGGAGGGTCTCAAGGACCCACCCCCTTGTGCAAATCTCTCATTTAACTGAAGCTGAGGTGGAGGCTCAGAAAGCTTTATGTAACTGACTTGCTCAAGATGTGCTCAAGACATCTGGTGAATGGCCAGATGGAATCTATCCCAAGTCCCCTGGTTTTTAGTCCAGAGTCCTCCATTGGTCTGTCTCTCCACCTCTCTTAACCTCTGTCAGCCCCCGTTACCTCATCTGTAAAATGGGCAGACATATCTTCCCCTGCCTGTGTCACAGGGCCATGTGAAGATCAAATGAGAAAAGTAATGTGGAAATGCTTTCAAAAACAGAAAGTTCTCTACTAATGCAAAGTGCTATTGTAGTAGTAATTACCGGTTAATTGTGAGTCAGTCCAGCTCAGAACTCAGACCAAAGTTCTACGAGAATGCACTTCCAGGAAATGCATTCTTCTATCCTGATGTGAGTGTGAACCTCTGGTTAAAGCTGCCCCCCCTGTAACATGGAGGGTATTGGGGGTGAGGGGTGGAAAGCAGTCTGGGCACCATTCCCTTAATTTTCCAGAACATTCCCTGATTCCAGAATATCATTATCTTCCTGTTGCCCATCCATGACACTTTAATGAATTTGAAGACAATTAAATTAAGTCTCTGTGCATTCAACTATGATTCCTCAAGTAACAAAGATGAAAATGAGGATCCGGTTTAGATATCTATGACCTAAAACTTGTTTATCTTACCCCCCCACCTTTGAAAACTTATCCATCCCTGTTGGGATACCATAAAGAACTCTCTGTGTCTAGTAACACCTGGAAATCCCCACGACTGTAAACTAAGTGTATTTTGGAGTGTATTAATCTCTGCTAAAGGAGCCCTTCCACCCAGCCTCCTTCTCTGAACCCCCTGCCGCCCACACAGGCGCAGGTCTCACTGGGAACCCTCAGCGAAATGAGAGCCCGGCAAACCAGTCGTTGCTGCCCGCCCAGGGAAAACACCAGGTGCAGAGTCCAGTGCAAAATGTGAACTGGGAAAACACTTATAAATCAAGCAGGTCCCCAGGAGTAAAAGTACAAGTTAGCAAAAAATAACAACAAAGTGGCCATGAAATGTTAAATCAGACCAACCCAACAGCAAGCTAATTACAGTGGCCCTTACAGAAAGCCCAGAAGTGAAGACTGAAATGATAAACTAAGAAAAAACTAGAGAAGCATTCTCACCTCCCACATCCTGCTACTTTTTATATTTTAAGAGTATTGGCCCTATGTGATATATGTTACAAATGTTTTTTTTTCCCAATTGTCAGTTATCTTATGACTTTGCCATTATTTTTTTTTAATTTCCCATGCAAATAGGTCTTACTTTTAGGTGGTTCAAATGATCGGTTTTTTGTTGCATCTGGATTTTGAGTTGTATTTAGATAGCATCTCCCCACATCTCTGCTATAAAGTCACCCGTATTTTCTCCTAACACTGGTGGATTTCATTATTTCCTTCTTCTTCCTCTTCTTCTTCGAGACAGGGTCTTGCTCTGTGGCTCAGGCTGGAGTGCAGTGGCATGCTCGTTGCAGCCGTGATCTCCCAGGCTCAAGCAATTCTCCCACCTCAGCCTCTCGAGTAGCTGGGTCTACAGGCATGCATCGCGCCTGGCTAATTTTGTTTTTATTTTTTTTTTAAATAGAGACGAGGTCTCCCTATGTTGCCCAGGCTGGTCTTAAACTTCTGAGCTGAAGCAATCATCCCTCCTTGGCCTCCCAAAGTGCTGGGATTACAGGCGTGAGCCATCACACCTGGCCAGGTTTCATTTTGGATCCATGTGGAGTTTATTCTTGTATATGGTTGTCTAGTGGTCCCCACACCATTTGTTTAAAAGTCAATTTTTGCCTCAGTGATTGTAGATACCACCTTTGTCATGTACTAAATTTCCACACATATGTGGGTCTATTCCTGGGCTTTCTGTTCTATTTTGTTGGTCTGAATGTGTATGCATGTGCCAGAACGACACCTTGAATTACAGAAGTTTTATATCGTACATTATAATAGATGTTAGGTAGCATTTTTTTTTCCCCTGTGTTTCCCCAAATATTCTTGCATGCTTTTTAGATTTTGTTTTGTTTTGCTCTATGAACTTTAATATCAGCTTGTCTGGCTCCAGAAAAAGGCTTATTTGTATTTTTGCTGGGATCACATTAACTTGGGAAGAACTGATATCTTTATGATATTTATGATACTAAGTCATTCTATCAAGACAGGGATATGTTCCTGAACATCTTTCCATATGTTCGAGTCTATTTTTGTGCCTTTCAGAGTGTTTTAAAGTTTGTTTTTTTCCCTATATAAAACGTACATATTTATTGTTAATTTTACTCTTAAGTATTGCGTCTTTTTTGTTGCTGCATCCTATTACTTTTTGAAGCCAAGCTGATCTCAGCACTTGATTTCTGGTTCTATTTAAAGAGTAATATATTCTTTTCCACCTTCATTTTGGTTTCCTTTTACCCAATCCACTAGTCTCTTTGTCAGGCTTTGAGGGTATCTATACTGACCACTTTGGAAGAACAAGAGACAATATTAAGTCCAGGGTTTAAGACAGATGACATAAGACAGTGGCGAATAAGGTCTTTGGATCTTAGCAAGAAAAAAATTTGCATGTGTCTGGGGGCAAAGATAAGAAGTTGTAGGACTCACATATTTTAAAGTCCGCTTTTCTCAGTCAAGTAAACTCTATCAATCATTATGCCATCTTGGACAATCTTCCAAATCTTCTTTCCTCTTCTTGGTCTGATATAATACAGTATACTTATGAGTAATAGTATTGAGTTGATTAATCTCTACTATAAATTCTCCTTTCCTAATATTTTCCTAATACTTTCATAATCCAAACTCCATGTGGCCACAAGAATCTCTGACAGATAGTTGTCTCCAAGGCTATCTGTGCAGCCAAGTTAGAGGCGGGCCCCATGAACGAGATCCACAGCGGGATCCACATCTCCAATTGTACATTTCTGTCTGATTTCAGACTCGGGGTATTTAGCTAGTTTTCTCAGGTGGTTGGTACATGGTCCTGCTGAGACCAAGACCACTGGTTGGATTTTACCGAAAACCAGCCAGCTCTCCTTTCCCAATGCCTCTCTTCCAATAGCACTTTAATCCCTCAGACCCAAAGAGGAACGAGTGAGAAATCTAGTCAGGTCATGGGAAATGCAATGCTGAATAGCAACTGGAAACTTTAAGCCTTTGGCAGGAATGAGAAGAAAGACCCCTACTGGGTCCTTTCCTGTAATACCTCTTTCTCCACCACTTTCACTGTTGAACTTCTAAACACCCCTCAAGGTCAAGCTTAACCGTCACCTTCGATACATAATTTTTCATGAGAGCCCTCTACCTCTTAAAAAAGTAATCGCTCTCTCATCTGTTTTCCTACTAAATTTTAAACATGTTTCTATTATCATTTTAATCATATTTTATTACTGTTCCATCATTAATTGTTTATATCTCTGTCTACCAACTACGCTTCAGATTCCTGGAGGGCAGAACTATGTTTCATTCATCTCAGCACCCTCAAGATCTAGCAATTTAATTGAGTTAAATTGACCAGAGGAAGAGATTTGAACTTTTTTTTCTATTCACTGTTTGAGATCTATTAGTCATAGCCTCAGCGGGAAGCAGTGATATAAATATTAGCTGGCTCACATTTATCCCAAGATACCCTAGCTAGAGCTCCCTTGTGAAAGTATGGAATGTCCTCCATACACTACCTCCCTTTCAGCCTATTAATGAACCTTTTTTTTCTTTATTTCTTTTTTTTTTTTTTTTTTTTTTGAGATGGAGTCTGGCTCTGTCACCCAGGCTGGAGTGCAATGGCACGATCTCGGCTCACTGCAACCTCCGCCTCCTGGGTTCAAGCAATTCTCCTGCCTCAGCCTCCCGAGTAGCTGGGATTACAGGCACCCGCCACCACGCCCAGCTAATTTTTTGTATTTTTAGTAGAGACGGGGTTTCACCATGTTAGCCAGGATGGTCTTGATCTCCTGACCTCATGATCTGCCTGCCTCAGCCTCCCAAAGTGCTGGGATTACAGGCATGAGCCACAGCACCCGGCCAATGAACTCTTAATTAGTACAATGGGAATTGTTTTAAGGATTAAATAAGAAGATGCAACTAAGGCACTTATTGGTGAAATATTAGTAATTTTATTACTACACAGACTGATGAGAAAATTTGGATGACAAATAGTAGAGCTACCAAGTCAAGAGCATTCCCTTAATGGATTGTTATGTGATCCAACAATAGCTCTCCAGCTTTTTTCTACCACTACATATAGATAAGTGATAGCACATGTGGTACATGCTCCCAGGGTCACTTCTATGGACTGGTATATGGATTCATGCAGCTTATGGGCAAATTGTGGTGCATTTGCTGGACCGCCCTATCTCCTTTACCTCTATCTCAAGAAAGCACACTGGAATGTCTGTGAGTAAGAATGGCATAATTATAAAAACAGCACATCTACTCTTGTTAGTTTTGTTTTTAATAAAAAACATTTTTTCATTGTTACGAATGAAAACTCAATTCTTCATTATTACTAATAAATCACTCTAGCTTACCTCTGTTTTGGCACAGTGGTGTTTTGTAAAACTCAGTTGCTAAGATCCACTATTGTAGACCATGGGGTTCTAAAGCTGACCACTGTCGCACTATGAAATGCTTGCAAACTTTCTACTCACCATAATGATTATGAAACATGAGCTCCGTCAAATGTGCCATCAGGATATTCTCATAGGTAGACATGACACAGGATGAAGCTGAACTGTGCCATAAGGATTTTAAAGCTCAGGGTCCTGGCAGGAAAGAGATGGCAAATTCAAAAGGAGAAATTAAAGAGAGTTTGAGAAAAGGACAATTTACAAAGGTTTGGTGAGGTTTAAGGGAAATCAACAAGGGATGGTAAAGCACCCAGGGGCCAGCACCACCCAGAAGCTGCTGCTAAGCACGAAGGGAAGGGCCAGGAGTCAGTCGCTGGAGCCCAGAGAGAATTGCAGCTGTTGGAAAAGGCTGTCTACAGGATAAAGCCGCTGACAAGCCCCAGCCCAGCATGTAGTGAGCCAGGGGAATAATATGTCAAGGCCCTTCCGTTTCTCCTGCCCATGGCTCCCACTGGCCAAACCGAACTGGAATTTAGAGGCAGAGGCCTAGATGCAGTTCAGAATGGCCAGTCTTCTTGGACAGAGGGCAGAGTGAGAGATGTAAAGTGTATCTGGAGAGACAAGCAGAAAACATCCAGCACCGATGTCAGCCAGCTGTTTTCTTCTTGATACCGTGTTGTGAATTCTATCCTATCTTTTAGATGTACTGGACAAGGTTTGAGTCATTTCCTATTTGGTGGAAAAGAGAAAGCTCTTTTTTTTTTAATCAGCTAAAGCTAGAAACAACTAGACTCACAGAGGTCCAACTAAACTCTAGAACTACACAGCTTCATCTCAAACCTAAATAGAAAGAGATTTCAGTCATGCCTTCCCCAGGCCATTTTAATTCACTTTCTTGGGAAAATTCTGAATGTCTCAGTCTCTTTATCTTCATTTTCAGATTATCAATTGGACAGAAGGTAAAGATAAAACTTAACAGAATTTAAACTGACGGGGAGTGAAAAAAACTTGAAAAAGAGCAGAAATATTAGAAGGGGATTTTTTTCCCACCCTCTTCCTTTTAAATTCTTGTCGTGCATATTCAAGAGAATTTTGATGGTTGACAGAACTAGAAGTCCTGTGTGTTCACTTTGATGATGCCTCTCCTGCTCCAGCTGGAATTTCTCCTGGAGAAAGGAGCAGAGGTCGGAATGACCTCTCCCTCCTTGCTGGGCAGGTAGGGGCTCCATTTGCATTCAAAGCTAGCTCAGTTGAAAGTGTTCTTGAGAACACCAAATATTTACTCTTTTTAAAATTACGTTTTTATTAGGCTGGGTGCAGTGGCTCATGCATGTAATTCCAGCACTTTTAGAGGTGCAGGTGGGAGGATCGCTTGAGGCCAGGGGTTTGAGACCATCCTCGACAACATAGCAAGACCCCATCTCTACAAAATAAAAATTAGCAGTGCGTGGTGACACGTGCCTGTAATCCAAGTTCCTGAGGCAGGAGGATCACTTGAGCCCAGGAGTTCAAGGCTGCAATGAGCTGTGATCACGCCACTGCACTCCAGCCTGGGCAACAGAGAAAGACCCTATCTCTAAAAAATAAATAAATAAATAAAATTACTTTTTATTAATTGTTGAAATAATGTGTACATGTTAATTATATGTAATTTCTGTAATTTGGAAAACACAAAAATATATAAAGAAAATGGAAGCAGTGAATATTCTTACCACACAGTGGTAACAATCTTTAATGTTATATTCTCTTCACTCTTTCTATATGTAGATTTCCTAGGTAGGCTTTCCACACTGTGTGCAGTTTTGCATCTTCCTTTATTATAACTAACATTATAGAACAAGATTCTCCATGTTATTAAATACAGTTCAAAATAATAAAATGTAAACACTGTATAACATGTTAAATATAAATAACTATATCCCAAGTTATTTAATTATTCCCCTATTATTGAACATTTAGGTTTTTCCCATCTTCTTTATGATAAATAAGATTGCAATGAACATCTTCATTCACTCATGACTTTTAGAATCTATGATGAATTTCTTAGAACAAATTTCTAGAAGCAGAGTTACAAAGTTAAAGTTTTACTTTAGATCTGGCCAAAGTCACTATCCAAAAAGATTATACCAATTTACATTCCCACCCACAGGGTAGAAGAGTGCCTATTTTTACAGAACCTAGCTGACACTGAGTGTTGGAATTTACTTTTATCCCCATCGATGGCGTTTTGTTGTTGTTTTCGCTGACATTACTTTGTTCAGCGAAGCTGAATATCTTTTTCACACATGTAGGCCCTTGAACTCCCTTCCTTGTGAGTTCTCTGTTTCTGCAGTTTGGCAGCTAAGTTTTCTTCCAAACTTTTGTTCCTCTCCTGAGGATCACAAAACTTTGTACAACTTTATTCCAATTCATTGAGTGTTTTCAGATGGTTGGTTGCTTTTAACAGAGTGAGTTGATTCCAAAAATGTCATTTCAGTTGGTTTTTGACAGAGAGGGCCTATATGTTCAGTTGAAGGCTGCCCAGACTGTTTTCCAAAACCATAACTAAAGTTATCTTAATTGTCTCTCTGAATATATTAAAATACACAGTAGCCTACAGTTTTCAGTCCATAAATCCACAGCTCTTGGAAACAACTTTCTTTTGTGGGCCTCTCTAGGCCTAATTAGGACTATATGATCCTTTTTAGGTACTGGGAAGAGTGAGAAAAAAGAGTTTGGTCAAGCACAGGCCTTTTGACATGCATTTTCAACTTGATGTGAAGCCCAGAAATGTTACTACGAGTGTGTCCTTGAGTGCCTGTGTGCTCTCCCACTGTTTCTATGGTAGGTGATGATGAGATTATTTCTATGCTTGGGCACACCTTGCTGTGGCTACTAGAAGTTAGTGATCCCAAAGGAGAGACCAGGGAAGCCAAAGGGATTTAAGGACACAGAATCATTTTCCATTGCAAGTTGACCAATAATCTCAAGTAGTATTTGTGCAGTGCTTTCCGTTTTACAAGCACTTCCTTATACATAATCTCATTTAATATAACAACCACATGGGTTGTTTAACACCGTCACCTCTGGTTTGCAGGGATGATTAAATGACTGGCTCAAAGTCACATAGCTAATAACTGGCAGTGCTCAAACTCCTGGTTTCCGTCAGTAAACGTGACTTCAACTCTATTCTCCTGTCACCCTGGTACTTTGTTTCCTGAGTTTTAGAAATGTAATAGGATCATGGAACTAGAATTTTAAAAAAAGAACAGCAGCAACAACAAAAGTAGAAGGTGCAACAACAAAAGCAGAAGGTACAACAAAGCTGCTCATCATCTTACTCAGTGGTCCGGAGTAAAGAAATAAGGGAGATGTTGTGTAATCTGTTCAATGAACAGTTGCATTCTTGGTCTTTGCATATGCCTCACATTGTGGGCTTATCTCTGAGTGATCATATTCCCTGTGTCCTGTTGGAGACAGTGCTTTTTTTCCTGTCAATCCAGCTTGGGCTTTTACAGTGTTACAGTCATTGTTGACTCTACAAGATGCTGTAAGCTCTACACAGGCCATTGTGTGCAGGTAGACGGCTAGATGAGAAGACCTGAGTAGCCACATTGCGGTGAAATGTGCTGCTTCTCCTGGAAGAGTCTGCTAGGAATTTCAAATGTAAAAGTGCATTTTTCCTACACTTGGCGCCAATGGTGGCCCCAGTGGTGGATTTGGAAGTTATCTTTCACAACTTGACCATGTTCACCGGGGACTTGGATGCTGAATGGTGAGTGAAGATAGGCAGCATTTTTTTATTAACATATAGGCATGTGCCTGTACAGATTTCCTAAAATGGTTGAACTTCCTGGGAGAAAAGGAATTTAGACCCCAAGTCCCTGTTCTCATTATCAGGAAACAACAAAACAAGGGACTAGTCTCAGTGCTGACTGAAACCAGCTTATTGGAAGCCGCTATGTAGTTTCTGCTCAGAAAGCTTCCACCCGAATGTCAGAGTCCCCACCAAAATCTGAGGGATCAGAAGTCTCTGAATAAGCTGACCCCAAAACCCAACACAGCCATCAGGAGTGGGCATTTCCTCTGGTGTAATTGACTGTGGGCATGTGATTATTGAGTGGGGGTTAGCACTTTGGGACCCAGGCAGCTTTCCTCTGATTGCCACTGGGAATCAGAACCCAGACTGTTGTAGCACCTGGCTCCTATTCTCATGCTCTTTCCACATCACCCGTCACCCACTCTCTCTCATTAACTCGTAAGGGTTTTATCTGTCCTCAGCAAAGTGTGTGCAAAATGGAGTCTTTAGATTTGGCTGTTTCAAATTCCATGATTCTAAAAAAAGAAAAATATCTTTACTTGAGAAAGGAATTTTTCCCCCATCAAACAACAATATCTACCTATTAGCTCACACCTCCCCATCTTAATCTACAGCATGGAAGTTAGGCCTCATTCCAGCATGTGGGGACATAAATGTAAAACTCATACCACCTTAATGGGACATTCATCAGCCTAGGAGGAAGGTAGAGAGAGGAGGCCTTCTCTTGCCCACAAGAGTTCAATATGTCAGTAAAACGCCTTCAAAGAATTATGTAATTCAAATGTAATCCCATCAAAGCTGGCCATTTTCAGACACATGATGAGGGTCAAGTACTATCTGGGGACGTCATGGATATTTTATTTGGAAGTGCTAGAGTTCTTCAGTTAACTTTGTATCCATTTCCTATTCTTCTTAGGAGTTCAGGATAAAATAACCTTTATGAGCAAATTTGAAAGTTTTCCAATTTAAAAATGCCCCCCCAGACACTCAAAGGCAACCAACATGTTTATGGTAATGTAAAAATGACACAAAATCAACAATCTATATCTTTGAGCTGTCATTCATTCACTGACATTGGGTGGTTTCAAACTCTTATAATCTAAGGACAACATATGGGAAACTATGAAGTTTAGACTTATTTTATTTTATTTTATTTTATTTTATTTTTTTGAGATGGAGTCTGGCTCTGTTGCCCAGGCTGGAGTGCAGTGGCATGATCTCAGCTCACTGCAACCCCCGCCTCCCGGGTTCAAGCGATTCTCCTGCCTCAGCCTCCAGAGTAGCTGGGACTACAGGCGTCCGCCACCATGCCCAGCTAATTTTTTGTATTTTTAGTAGAGACAGGATTTCACTGTGTTGGCCCAGCTGGCCTCGAACTCCTGACCTCAGGCCATCTGCCCGCCTTGGCCTCCCAAAATGCTGGGATTACAGGCATGAGCCACCGTGCCTGGCCAAAGTTTAGGTTTATATTCACTCTTTTTTTTTTTTTTTAGATGGGGTCTCACTCTGTCGCCGAGGCTGGAATGCAGTGGCGCTATCATGGCTCACTACAGCCTCAACCTCCCGGGATTAAGCCATCGTCCACCTAAGCCTCCTGAGTAGCTGGGACTAGAGGTGTGCACCATCACACCAGACTAATTTTTTAAATTTTTTGTAGAAATATGGTCTCACCATGTTGCCCAGGCTGGTCTCGAATTCTTGGGTTCAAGTGATCCTCCTGCCTGGGCTTCCTGAAGTGCTGGAGTTACAGATGTGAACTGCTGCACTCGGTCCACACCACATTTTTAACATCAACAGGTGAGACTGGTTTTGTTCTGGGTTCATACATTCATCTTTATTGACTAATAGAGATCATACTAGACTTTGCAATTAGGTGACTTTTAAAATCCCTCCCACTTTTTAAGCTGTTTAATTTAAGATTCTGATATTTGCATCCAATTGAGATCTGATTAATAGAGTGTCTCAGAAAATGTGTTGACCAGGAAATTAGAAAATAACCCTTTTGATTATCTAGTAAGTAACTTTTATAATGAATCAGTGCCAAAATTATAATTATAATTTTCTCAAGTAATTCTAGTTATAAGGTTTCAAAAGCTTTCTTTATAAAAGAAAAAAACTTATTTTGTACATTCACTTACCATGATTATACTCCTTATTCTGAACAAAACATTTATGGAGGAAAAAGGGAGTAGGGAGGGCCATCTTCATCAATCCAAAAAGTGTGGTTATTTGATTTCTGGGGAATTGTTTCTCTCATCATCCCTATTTTTAATTTGTAAAAGTTAGTGACTTTACTAAAACATAAATCTCTCATTCTGATTTACTGATTTCCCCTCAATTTCATTTCCATCCTGCTAATCTGTAATCGAATAGCCCCATTAATACCTCCCTTCATCCAGCTGGGAGAAAAGATGCATTTTAAATCTTCTAATATTATTTAACAAAGAAAATATAGCACACCTCTGCACATTTTTAAAAAATTCTGAACCATGGTTATAAGTAACATAACATTTCAACTTAATGCCACAGGCAACCCATAAATATAACCAACTAACTAATGAATATGTCTCAAAGATTCATTAGCAAGTCAGTTATGTGAAACTCAGAGCACATTTTCCTAAACACATGGTCTTATTATTGGTAGATAGATTCCTAGACCAACCCTCTACAACTCCTTTACCCATAAGAAGCTATACTTTAGTATGACTTACAATTCCCAGTTGTGATGGTCAATATTGAGTGTCAACTTGATTGGATTGAAGGATGCAAAGTATTGTTCCTGGGTGTGTCTGTGAGGGTGTTGTCAAAGGAGGTTAACATTTGAGTCAGCGGACTGGGAGAGGAAGACCCACCCTCAATCTGGGTGGGCACCATCTAATCAGCTGCCAGCACGGCTAGGATAAAAGCAGGCAGAGGAACGTGGAAGGACTAGACTGGCGAAGTCTTCTGGCCTCCATCTTTCTCCTATGCTGGGTGCTTCCTGTCCTTGAACATCAGAGTCCAGGTTCTTCAGCTTTTGGACTATTGGACCTACACTGCACTGTGGGCTTCCCTACTTTTGAGGTTTTGGGACTCTGACTGGCTTCCTTGCTCCTCAGCTTGCAGATGACCAATTGTGGGACTTTATCTTGTGATCATGTGGGTCAATACTCCTTAATAAACTCCCTTTCCTGTATACATCTATCCTATTAGTCATGTCTCTCTAGAGAACCCTGACTAATATACCAGTCCTTCAGAAGCCCCTAAGCCAGGATCCTGAGCCCCCCAGCATAGTTAAAACTCAAGTCTCATCATTAATCAGATGGGTGATCCCAATGTACTCTCTCCTATAAAATGGGTATACAGTTGGCTACTTTTTAAGAAATATATGAAATAATGAAAGTAATGCTATTAATACAGAGTTTGGCAGAAAATAAATCATAATAGTGACTATGGTGATAGTAATGGCAAACACTTTTGAGATCTAGGCCCCTCTGCACCTAAGATAAAGAAAGGCCCTAAAAAGTAAAAGATAAAATTAAAAATAAAAATTAAAAAAAAAAAGAAAGGCCTAAGAAGTAGTTTCTCATCCCAAGTATGTGTTCACCTCCTATTTACTGAGAAAATGCATGCTGAGTGTATTGGTTTCCTGATGCTGCCATAATGAAGTCCTGGGTGGCTTAAACAATAGGAGTTCATCATCTCACAGTTCTGGAGGCTGGAAGTCTGATGTCAAGGTATTAACACTGTTGGTTCCTTCTGAGGGCGGTGAAAGAGAATCTGTTCCCTGTCTTTCTCCTAGCTTATGATAGAATTCCTTGGCTTGTAGATGGCGTTCTCACTGCATCTTCACCTCATCCTCCCTCTGTACCTGTCTGTCTCTCTGACCACATTTTCTACTTTTGTAAGAAATACATCATGTTGGATTAGGACCCAACCTAATGGCCTCACCTTGACTTGATCATCTGCAAAAACCCTGTTTTCAAATAAGGTCACATTCACTGGTACTGGGAGTTAGCATTTCAATATCTTTTGAGGGGACACAATTCAACACGAAACATAAATGAAAATTTTCACTGAGCATCTCCCATTGAAATGTCGGGACAGGCTTCAGGAAGGGGAGGGAGAGAACATCTCAGCATCTCTAGGTCCATGGAAGGAGAAATGGGGGCTCCAGCATAGCCCCTGCTGTCTCAGAGGGCAGCAGCTCTGAGAATGCTCCAGGGTAGTGGTGATACACTCAGGAACCATCCTTCTCAAAAGTAAGGCAAATCATCCACCATTTTACCCAAGCAGATATCCAAATGCCAGCCTCACCTTTTCTTTTTCAGAGGTTTTCTTGTTTCAGATCATTAGCTTGCCTCCCTTTCTGAACAACAGAAACATCTTAAGAAACTAGTTTTTCTTTCTGGCTATTAGGATCCTGAACGAATCGACGTATTATTTAATGCCTAACAATGGGTTTCCAACACCTGGGGTTTCATCAGTTTTTCAAAACTCCTCAAAGTAAAATGAATTTTATGACCAGTTAAATGTTTAAAACAAGCACATTTGTCTCATAGCACTTTTGGAGGATGAGGTCATCAAGAAATCTAACAAATGACATGAGGGTGTCCCAGTTCTCCCAAGTTGGGAATCACAGCGCTCAATAGCATGCCTGACCTCTGGAAGGAAAACCAACACCCCCTGGTGACTCATTTACAAGCAGGAAGTAATTTTTCCATTGGGAGACTGTGTATCAACAAAGTGAGTTCTTGGTGTTCTCCCAGGGTTGTAATGAACCAGGCAGGGAGTGATCTGGGCTCACTCTTCCCATGGGCAGAACACTCCCCGGGTTCCCCCAGGGGGTCTACGGAGGGGAGGGTTCTTCTGAAATAAAGCCACTCAATTATTCAAGACAATACTTCAACTCTCAAAACATCACAACTAGCTAGTCTCATGCACTATTTTAAGAGACAAAAGTTCAGGTTTTGGGGTTTTTTTTTAGACAGTCTCGCTCTGTTGCCCAGGCTGGAGTGCAGTGGTGCGATCTCAGCTCGCTGCAATCTCTGCCTCCTGGGTTCAAGCGATTTCTCATGCCTCAGACTCCCAAGAGGCTGGGGTTACAGGCGTGCACCAGCATGCCTGGCTAATTTTTGTATTTTTTAGTAGAGATGGGGTCTTGCCATGTTGGCCAGGCTAGTCTTGAACTCCTGGCCTCAAGTGATCCACCCACCTCAGCCTCCCAAAGTGTTGGGATTACAGGTGTGAGCCACCATGCTGGGTCAAAAGTTCAGGTTTCTAACATTCCAGTGGATAAAAAAAACCATGGGCAATTGTCCAGCAATACTAAGACGAAGGACGGGTCCTTTGCCTGGATCACTTCTCCCCTCTGACCCCTTTGGCTACTTATTCTACAGGTTCAGCTGAATTTTTTTTTTTTTTTTTTTTTTTGTAGAGACCCATTCACTGACCATCCTCATCTTCATTAATCTTTATTACACCATCTTAGCTATTTCCTTCATAGTTCTACTATCTATCCATTACTATTTTATATGTTTGGTCCATCTTCTTCATACAAATAGAAGCTTCAGAAGACCAAGAGCCTTGCCCATCCTCTTCTCTGCGTTAGCCCCCATTCTGATACTGTGCCTGGCAAAGAGTAGATACCCAATAAAATATGTGTCAAATGATTAATGTTCTAAATGACAAGCAGGTGAACCTTTATCCTCAGAGCCCTGTTGACTGGTATTCAAGGTGTGGTGCATACTGTAGGTTGGATTGAGCAATAAAAGATTGACCTGCAAAATATTATGTTCTTGAATATTCACTCTGGCCTAAATAAACAGAAGGAGCCCTGAGGAATTATCCTGCAAGGCTGATATAGTAGAATCATTGGCACTTGTGTAAAATTTTGGAGAATAATGTCCTAAGCACAGATGCTATTTTTAAGAACTTAACACCGGGAAAAACCTTCTGGGGCTAACTCTGTGGGAATGAGGCCCTTTTTATGTCATAGGTGATGTATGAACTGATGGCTCATGAAAGGTGAAGCTCAGACTAAGTTATCGGACTTTTTCCTTCTGAATTATAGCACAGCAAGCAGACTTGACCGATTACAGTCACTGACGAGAGTGAGCAGTCTGTGGGCTTGTTTATATTACCAAAGAGAAGTGACAATACGGCCCAATTTAGTGCCTACAGCCCAGCATAACTAAACAAATTCTCTTTCCAATCCAAGTTGAAGCTCATCTAAGGAGAGCTGGATTTATGGGAAACAAATACCCAAGAGAGTCGATCAGTCTACGGTGCTTGTTTTGGGACAAATTACTTTAAAAGCCACAAATTAGGACCCTCTAGAAACTAAACAAGAAGAAACTAAATGGCACAACTAGGTTTCTGACATCTGGTGCTCGTGCATGTTGGGCAAGGCTGTTTGCAGTAGTAAGGGAAGTTCATGGGGTCACCCAGCGCCACCTAACCAGTCACCAGCTCACAGAGGCTTGGAGACTCCATAACTCAGAGTCCAGGAGGGCTTCTGCTCAGCTGCGGACTTTTAATGACAACATCCATCAACAAGTTAAGGGTTTCAAGGACAAAGGTCTTCTAGAAAAGGCAAGTTTACCTGCTCTGTGGACAGGTCCAGAGATGGGGGTTCAGTGACACAGAGGAGCTAAAGACACAGGACTTCCTCCCCAGAAAGCAAAGATAAATACTTAGGGAAAGAAACTGCACAAAAGATTTACATCTTTTTTACTGCTACAACTTCTGTGTTAGGGAAAGCGGGAAAAGTTCCAAGGAAATCTGCCTCCCATCCTTTTGCGGAAATAAATTGTGCTTAGGCCCCAAATGGAGTAGCATTTCTGCATCGTTCTTCTCTCAGAACAATGTTTCTTAACCTTTGTGTGGGAGGGAGGGTCGTGGAGCCTTGTGACTGTGTGGACCCCCTAACTGAGGAAATGTAACACCATTTCAGGGGTGTCATACACCCCATTTAAAACTCATTCAGGGACCCACTAGAGATCCTTGTATTCTTTGAATAAAAGTGGCCCACCATTGAGTCAAAACTGGTGGGTGTTGTCAAGAGGTGATTTTACAGAGAGAAAGATGGGAGAGAAGGGAAGAGAGACTTTCCTGGAAGAAAACTCTGTCCTCCTCAAAACCTAGCCTTGCCAAGTCACATTACAAAGGTTAAGTACATGTCAATATGTAGGAATGACGTTAACAAAGGGGAAACTGGAAAAGCTCCCCCACTGTTTGGCTACTAGAGTGATTCTCCAATGGGGTCCAGTCACTGTCATTCCCTTCCCTCCTTGTGTAACTATAAGTGATTTAACAAGGTTTATAGTTAAAAATAATAGCAATAAAGGGTCCAGTGAACACTGGGATAGATGTTTATCTGTTGCAGACCTTGGGAGATGAATATCATGACTGCTAGCTGACTCATAAAGCTATAGCCTATAAGGTTAGAGAAAGCTAGCTTTATTTTAACACTCTCTACATTCATTAGCACATCAAATGTTGACAGTCCTAAGAGACGTGCGTCAAAATTCCAATTTTATTAGTGAAAAAGCTGAATTGAGAAAGCTTAGGTGATTCTCCAAGGTCACCCATAAGGGATAGAGGTAAGAATTGAACCCAGAGCTGACTGACTCCTAAGTCCCTGAACTTTCAGCTGCACCACTCAGCCAGGGAGCTCATCTTCAGCTCTCAAGGGAATGTGCCCATCCCAGAGCACACCTCCTGATTCCTAACCTCCATATGGTGCATCCTCTGGGAATGTCCCTTCTCTTAGTCAATGGTTTGACCCATCCAGATTAGCTGTATATTATCTCCTTCAGCCTCTATAAACACCCTATAAGGGCTGGGTGTGGTGGCTCACACCTGTAATTCCAGCACTTAGGGAGGCCGAGGCGGGTGGATCACCTGAGGTCAAGAGTTCAAGAAGAGCCTGGCCAGCATGGTGAAACCCCATCTCTACCAAAAATACAAAAAAAATTAGCTGGGCATGGTGGTGGCTGCCTGTAATCCCAGCTACTCAGGAGGCTGAGGCAGGAGATTCTCTTGAACCCAGGAGGCAGAGGTTGCAGTGAGCTGAGATCACGCCATTGCACTCCAGTCTTGGCAACAAGAGCAAAACTAAACTCCGTCTCAATAAAAAAATAAAAAATAAACACCCTGTGAGAAGGTATTATCCACTCCATTCTGCAGACAAGGAAACCAGGCTTGGAGAGATAAATTACTTACCCAAGGTCACACAGCTGAGTCTCTGACTCCAAAACTTGTGTTTTTTCCATCATACGAGTTGCCTTTTGCAAGAAATGGAGGAATTCCTTCAAGCAGCCCATCTCTTTAATGAGCATTAAGCATGTATTTGCCATCTGGGGGTTCGTGTTTTGGGTTTGTGCAAATCCCCACACCAGGCATCCCTGCAATCCCTGCAGATAAATCCACCAGCTCCAAAGTGCTTAGGTATTTGCTCCCCCAAAGTGTGACCAAATTAGACTGTGCCTGGCACCCTTTTACTCAGCAGGAGGACTTAGAGTGTGCTGAGCCTCCAAAAAGCAAGCCTTCAGTGCTCAAGCTGTGGCTGCTTTTGTAATGCTCTGTGCATCTGTCAGATGACACCAAAAGTTGCAGCTCTGAAAGCCAGAGCCACAGAAGGACTTCTGTTGGACTTTCTATGTCTTCACTCCATATTCTATCCAGTGGTAAACATGGAGGGACAGCAGAGTGTGATGATTAGAAAAGACTTAGAATGAGATTAGAACACTAGATTGCCTGGTAGCACCTCTTCCAGGCTGCGTTACCTGGGCCAAGTTACTCAACCTCTCTGTGCCTCAGCTTCCTTATCTATACAATGGGATAGATAGCACAGGAGGTTGATACAATAGGAGTTAAAATGTATAAAACACTTAGAAAAGGGTCTGTCTCATAGCTAGTGCTGGTTGGTTAAATAAAATTGCGTAAAGCTGGCAACTAGCTGCTCTGGCAGTGTGGATATTTTTTACTCTCTGAGTGTGTCAATCATCTGTGGTCAAGAACTCTCTTCAGTCCTACAGTCCCAAAAGGCAGAAACTTAATCTAGAACTTGGCACCCGCTGAGGCAGAGGCTGTATCCGGAGGTTCTCAGGCCTCCTGAAATGCAGCCCAGGCGAAGCCTACCTTTTCTATGGGCCAAGCAGTTAACACACATCTCAGCCCTGGTGGTGTGTTCTAAAAGGGTTTCATTCCAAACATCCCCTCATTCTAAGCCCCACAATGGCCATCCTATTTCAAGGGAAAACTGAGGAGACTGAAACCCTGATAGCCTTTGAGCCTGAGGTTCCCTGGGCTGCCTGAGAGCCATGATCTGTAAGGGCCTCTGGGAAGGCTGCGGGCATGGCCTTTCACCGAAGCCCGTCTCCTCCTCCATGCATCTGCTTGCTGTCCTGCTGACAGGCCTTATCCCAGGCAGGAGGAGTCCTCCGATGAGCATTTCCACACTTGCAGGGAAAGGTCACTGCCTTAGATTAACAACTTCTCATTACCCTCCCACCTCACCAGGCTCAAAAACTGCTCTGCTGTGGAGTTTAGAGTCTGTGGGTCCTGAGCTGGTTCCAACAGCACTGAAACCCAGGCAGGAAAAGGGAGCCAGCTATTCTTGAGAATAGGCATAGGGCTCGAGGCAAAGGCTTGTTTTAAGATGAGTTTGACACCAGCCACAAGTGCCCAGATGGAATCTTCTCAGGCATGGCCCCAGATTTGTTTTGTTTTTATTTATTTTTTGAGACGGAGTCTCATTCTGTCACCCAGGCTGGAGTGCGGTGGCATGATCTCGGCTCACTGCAATCTCCGCCTCCCGGGTTCAAGTGATTCTCCTGCCTCAGTCTCCCAAGTAACTGGGATTACAGGTGCACGCCACCACGCCAAGCTGATTTTTGTATTTTTAGTAGAGACGGAGCACCATGTTGGCCAGGCTGGTCTCGAACTCCTGACTTCAGGTGATCCGCCTGCCTCTGCCTCCCAAAGTGCTGGGATTACAGGCATGAGCCACCACACCAGGCCCAAGATTTGCGTATGACCTCTGAGCAGCCTATGCACAGAAGAAAAAACAGGGCAAGTTACTACTCCCATAATGCCGAGGTCTCCCAGAGCCCTTCTCCAGATTCTTTCTTTCTTCTTTCTTTGTTTCTTTCTTTCTTTCTCTTTTTCTTTCTTTCTTCCTTCCTTTCTTCTTTCCTTTCTTTCTTTCCCTTTCTTTCCCTTTCCCTTTCTTCCTTCCTTCATTCATCCTTCCTTCCATCCCTCCTTCCTTCCCTTGTTCCTCCTTCCTTCCTTCTTCCTTCCTCCCTTCCTTCTTTCCTTCAACATTCCCTCCTTCCTCCTTCCTTCCTCTGTCCTTCCTTCCTTCCATTCTTTCTTCATCCTTCTTTCCTTCTTTCCGTCCTTCCTTCATTTTTCCTCCTTGCTTTGTCCTTCCTTTATCCTTCCTTCGTTTCTTTGTCCTAACTTTCCTTCCTTCCTTCCGTCCCTCCCTCCCTCCCTCCCTCCTCCCTTTCTTGTATTTCTCTCTCCTTTTAGTCCCAAGCACTGCAACATATTTGTAAAAATAAAATTCTGGAAAAGTAGAGCAGAGAAGCGAGTTCTGAAGGGGAGAAATATTGCCATTGTCATGTGCAGCAACAGCCAGACCATGAGCACAGACAGAAGAAAGGTGTGAACAAGGTCAGCCAACATCAGACCGTCCCATGCACTTCACTGAGGTTGTCACACAGCCTGCCAACAAGATTGCGCAGGGAGGTTTTACTACAGTGCTACCTTCTCTCCACTTGATTCTTGGCTCTGATTACAAAACACATGCAGTGGTGGGCTGGGCGCCCATGGGACGGCCACTTAGAACTCCCTCACTCATCCCTTCAAAGAAAGAGTTTGAGAAAAATAAAGTAGCATGAAATCCCCCATAGGTATTTCATCAGCTCTTCCTTCTCGGCAATTTCCCTTTGGTTCCATTTTTTTTCCTTTATTACTCTTTTTTAGTTTATGTTGTCTTCCAAATGCTAAGCATTGCTTTGCTCCTATGAAGTCCAAACACAAAGGTAAGCTTTTATTTTCCTAAGAAGACATACTGATGAAAAGCTTGAAGGTTTGAATTAAACGTCCAGACAAGATTCCAAACCATTCCTTTTTTTTTTTTAGTATACTTGAATACTGTTTATTGCTTTAACTTATTTTTTTAATTATACTTTAAGTTCTAGGGTACATGTGCACAACGTGCAGGTTTGTTACATAGGTATACATGTGCCATGTTTGTTTCCTGCACCCATTAACTCGTCATTTACATTAGGTATTTCTCCTAATGCTATCCCTCCCCCTGCCCCCGAGCCCATGACAGGCCCCTGTGTGTGATGCTCCCCACCATGTCCAAGTGTTCTCACTGTTCAATTCCCATCTATGAGTGAGAACATGCGGTGTTTCGTTTTCTGTCCTTGTGATAGTTTGCTCAGAATGATGGTTTCCAGCTTCATCCATGTCCCTGCAAAGGGACATGAACTCATCCTTTTTTATGGTTGCATAGTATTCCATGGTGTATGTGTGCTACATTTTCTTAATCCAGTCTATCATTGTTGGACATTTGGGTTGGTTCCAAGTTTTTGCTGTTGTGAATAGTGCTGCAGTAAACATACGTGTGCATGTGTCTTTAGAGTAGCATGATTTATAATCCTATGGGTATATACCCAGTAATGGGATGGCTGGGTCAAATGGTATTTCTAGTTCTAGATCCTTGAGGAATCGCCACACTATCTTCCACAATGGTTGAACTAGTTTACACTCCCACCAACAGTGTAAAAGCATTCCTATTTCTCCACATCCTCTCCAGCACCTGTTGTTTCCTGACTTTTTAATGATCGCCATTCTAACTGGTGTGAGATGGTATCTCATTGTGGTTTTGATTTGCATTTCTCTAATGACCAGTAGTGAGCATTTTTTCACGTGTCTCTTGGCTGCATAAATGTCTTCTTTTGAGAAGTGTCTGCTCATATCCTTTGCCCACTTTTTGATGGGGTTGTTTTTTTCTTGTAAATTTGTTTAAGTTATTTGTAGATTCTGGATATTAGCCCTTTGTCAGATGGATAGATGGCAAAAATTTTCTCCCATTCTGTAGGTTGCCTGTTCACTCTGATGGTAGTTTCTTTTGCTGTGCAGAAGCTCTTTAGTTTTATTAGATCCCATTTGTCAATTTTGGCTGTTGTTGCTATTGCTTTTGGTGTTTTAGACATGAAGTCCTTGCCCATGCCTATGTCCTGAATGGTATTGCCTAGGTTTTCTTCTAGGGTTTTTATGGTTTTAGGTCTAACATTTAAGTCTTTAATCCATCCTGACTTAATTTTTGTATCAGGTGTAAGGAAGGGATCCAGTTTCAGCTTTCTACATATGGCCAGCCAGTTTCCCCAGCACCATTTATTAAATAGGGAATCCTTTCCCCATTTCTTGTTTTTGTCAGCCAAATCATCCCTTAATTCTTGGTCTCTACAGATCTAACTTGGCAAACTATCCATCAGGAATGCATTCATTCACTTATGCAGTCAGTCACTTGTTCAGCAGGTATTTATTGAATATCTACTGTGCCTCAGGCACCGTCTAGGTTCTGGAGGCACAATTGTCTGCTTTTCTGAGACAATGACAGAAATGTTCTGGGAGTGTACGTTTAAAAATGTATGATAACACGTAGAAGAGACTCTATTTTTATGTTGGGGAGGATTCCAGATTAAAGTATTGTTCCTAATTCTTTACACTTGCCTGCATTTATACCTTTGTCATGGCTTCATCATGGCTTTGGGCTTGATTATGTGACATGCTATGGCCAGTGACACGTGGGCAGAAGCGAGAGGAGGCCAGTTCTGAGCCTAGGACTTCAGAAGCATCACATATTTCCACTTGTCTTCTTGCACCTTTACCATGGCAATGAGAACATGCCCTGGCTTGCCCACTGCTCTAAGGAGTGGAGCCACCCGGGCCTGCAGTGGCACTGCAGCCACCATGTCCTGGAGCAGAGCCACCCAGCCTTTCAGCAGAACCCCAGTCAACCCATGGACCTGTGAGCAGTCATAAGTAATTATTGTTTTAAGCCACAAGTTTTGGAGTGGTTTATTATTCAGCAATATCAAACGTTTACAGAAATTGGTACCACAGCAAAATCCTAAAATATGTGGTATTGGTTTTGGGCCTAGGAGGCAGATAGAGGCTGAAGAAAGGAAACAGTTATAGGAGGCAGGAAAATTGTGACCTATGTTATGTAGTGACAAAATATCTGGTAAAATTGTCACCTGAGCTAACCTGAAAGATAGAAAATGTGCCTAATGAACCTATGAACTTGAGCAAGAAGATTGCCAGGCAGAAGGTTACAATTGGAAGACTTCATCACATATGATATAGTATAGCTTAGAGGAGAACTGGTTAGCTTGCAAGCAGAATTTAGAGGGAATACACAGAGTCCAAACTAGCTGGGTTGGAAAATAGAACTGTTTTTTATCCCCAGCCCTTCGAGCCAGTAAAAGACTCCCAAATAAAATACAGTGCAGAGACAAAGACCAAGTCAAGGTGTGGCCATTAAGATACAGCTTGGAAACAACCAACCCAGGGCACTGCCAGTTAAGCCAAGTCCCCAGGTTAAAGACCAGACTCCAGGAGAAATAAGATAGTACCCTGTCATTTCTCAAACTTTTGCGTGCTTCAGAATCATCCAGAGGCTTGTTAACACAGATACCCAAGCACCACCTCCAGAGATTCCGATTCCACAGTTACAGGAAAAGGCCCAAGAGCTTGTACTTTGAACTGGCTCCCAGGTGATGCTGATGTTACGTCTTTGAGTAGCCCTGGTCTAGGAAAGCCTTCCAGCTGTGCAACCAGGTACCTAGAAAACTTAAAGGCATAGTCCCACGACAACCTGTTATACCCCAATTAATAGCAACTATGGAGTGACAGACACACAGAGAGGTATATCCCAAATGAATTTTGACACATGGGTAGACTAGAATAAAATACGTTAAAACTCATGATGGCATCAGGAAAAATAGCTAATGCCTACCCGGCTTAACACCTAGGTGACTATGGCTCACATTTACCTATGTAACAAATCTGCACATCCTGCACATGTACCCCAGAACTTAAAATAAAATAAAGACAAAAAAAACTCATAAAGGATTTTCCCCAAATTTTATTCCTTCTGTTTTCTTGTTTGTGCTGAGAAATTGTGTCCTTATATGTAAGTAAATGAAAATGGAAGGAATTTGGTCTCGTCTACATCACTCAGTTCTTTGAACCTCTTCTTAGGAAAATGCTAAAATCACAGAATAAGCATTTATCATCTTTAATTTTAAAAGTTCCATCAATTTAAAACTCAAATAAATCCTATTACAATTTTTTAAAATACGAACAATTAGAAACCATCAGACTTGCATAAAGGTTGAACTCAGACATCATAATCATTCACTTTCTCAATGTACAAGTCTTTGAAAAAGACTTTCTCAAAAGTTATGCATTAACCACTAAATATACAAATTATATTTTCACTGAAAAACACCCTGTTTAATCTGCCATCCTCACAAAGATTTGGGGAAATTAAAATATCAATTTCAATACACTACTACCAAGCTAATATTTGTTATACATTAGTTTATATATATTTTGGTCCAAATCTTGAATTACTTATCCGTAAAACTATCTATAAGGAAATATGTATGGGATACATTCCTATTCAATCTTTTTGACCACATCTTCAAAATTGTTTTTTTAGATAGTCATTAAGAAAAATTTGTTCCTTTAGCTCACCTTTCTAGGGCAACAAAAAAAAATGTGTTTTCTTGCCACTTTTAAAATTCCTTGTTTTTAATTTGTAAAACTCAGAAAGTTTTTTCGAAAGTATTATTGACAAAAATACTTCTGGCCTTGAATATAAAGGACTGTGGCTCTTTGAAATGTAAAAAGACCTCTGAGCCCCCAGCTTTTTCCAGGCTGAAAGCATTCTGAGAAACTTGCTCAGATGAAAAAAAGGGCATTTTTCTAAAGCCCGTTTCAGAAGTGGTGGTCAAGGCAGATGATATAAATGGAAGAACAACCATCCTTCCATTTCTGTTTATACTGGGGTAAAGTATTGTCCCCAATTCTGTATCCCTACTGTGTCATGGCCTCATCATGAGTATCCCTTGGCTTTAGTTTTGGCCATGTGACTTGCTGTGACCAGTGGCATGTGAAAAGAAATAGGAGAATGTGAGATGGAAGTTTTTATTTTGGTTATTTCCTTCCTGTTCTGCCTCTGAGTGTTGGGTATTTAAGGTGCAAACGACTTGCCATTTTAGTCTACAGGTCTCCATGACATCCTGCAGATCCAATCAAGCCCTTTGGGACCCTGGGTTGGGGGTAAGGACATTTGCATGTTAGAGGAAAGTTATGATCAAAGTAGTGCACTGTGGTGGATTGACTTGTTGGTCTTAATTCTTCTCTCGTCCCCATCATGCATCCACATCCTTGCTATGGCCTCATACTGCCCCTTGAATTTGGAGTTGGCCCTGTGACTTACTGTAACTAATTGCAGGTATGTCTCAGTGAGTCCAGACTTTAAGAAATGTCATGTTTCCACTCACCCTGTTGTGCCTCTGCCTTTGTCGTGAGAACATATGATGGCAGATACGCTTAAAGAAGGTTGGAGGCCTATGGAACAGAGTCACCTAGCAGACCCAGCAGACCCAGGAGACCCACAAGCCCAAAGCTGGGCCAACCAGCGCAACCCTGCCTAATCAGCTGAACTCCACGTGACCCACAGATATATGATTGCTATTTTCAGCTACCAAGTTTTGAAGTCATCTATTACACAGCAAAGGCTATCTGACACAATGGGGGAGAGAGCTTTCCTGCAGAAAGCATCAACTAAGCCGTTAAAACTGGAGCAGAAGTGGCACCTAAGCAAATGAAAAGATGTTCAATGGCATATGTCATTAGGGAACTGAAACATTAAAACAACAAGGAGACACCACTGCACACTGTTATAAATAAAGTTTCGGTGCTGCATTAGAAATAGCACTCAAAGGCCCTGTGCAGTGGCTCACGCCTGTAACCCCAGCACTTTGGGAGGCCAAGGCGGGTGGATCAAGACGTCAGGAGATCGAGACCATCCTGGCTAACACAGTGAAACCCTGTCTCTACTAAAAATACAAAAAATTAGCCAGGCGTGGTGGCGGGCACCTGTAGTCCCAGCTACTCAGAAGGCTGAGGCAGGAGAATGGCGTGAATCCTGGAGGCGGAGCTTGCAGTGAGCCGAGATCGTGCCACTGCACTCCAGCCTGGGCGACAGAGCGAGACTCCATCTCAAAAAAAAAAAAATGCAAAAGAAAAGAAAAGCAAAAAAAAGAAATAGCACTCAAATATAAAATTTTCTTTTTAATTCTCAGCAAGGCAATGTACTTCTATAGAAGGGTGTGCCCTTTCAGATACAGCAAGGGCAAGCATGCACTTGGACAAGGTAGGGGAAGGGGTTCTTATCCCTGACTCACATGGCCCCTGCTGCTGTGTCATTCCCCTATTGGCTAGGGTTAGACCGCACAGACAAACTAATTCCAATTGGCTGATTTAAAGAGAGTGATGGGGTGAGTGGTTTGGCAGGAAAACTGGTTATGGCAGAGCAGGAAATTGGAATGAGTCAGGGTGGAGAATGAGCAGGTAATCGGAATGAGTCAGGGTGGAGTAGGTAATCGAAAAATGTTGCTTTACGAGGAAGTTAAGTTTAAAAGTAGAAGGCAAAGAATTGAACATACTGACAAATTTCTTGGAAGAGAAATTTAGAACTCATATCTAACAATTTGTCTTCTTGCATTTCCTTATAGCGCTTTCTCTTCAAACTTCTTTAACATGTCTTGGCTTAGTTGTTCTGCTTGATTTTCCAAAAGAAGAAGCTTCTCTGGATAAGGTGGAGGATAGTTAAGGGAGGTTTTAGTAAGTGCCGTTTTTATGAGCCTTTGCACCAACCCACAGATGCATGGTGTGACACAGCACCTGACAAGAATAAGTACACCCATTATGGCTGCGAGGGAAGTAAGAATCGAGGCTATTATTCTTTTCCATCTACCAAACCACTTTTCTAGCCATCCTGTAAAGGGGTCATTTTCCCCTGAGTTGTTGGCTAACTCATTGGACAGAGCAGTCAGACCTTGCAATGCCTTTGTTATACTTCCATCAGGGGCAGTGTTGTTTGGGATGAAGATACAACGTTGAGTTTTAATCACGATGCAAACTCCTCCTCTTTCTGCTAATATCATGTCTAAGGCTATCCTATTTTCCCAAGCCATCTGGCTAGTAGCCCCTAATTGCTCAGCTATTCCTTTAACAGCATCTCTAGTGTAGTTAATAAATTGCTGTTGTTGTAGTAGATGTAGTTTATCCAATATACATTTTTATTAATTGTCACCCACCAAAATATTGACTCAAATCCTGCAGCTATTTGATTTCGGGATTTAAATTGATCTGGTATTCCCCATGGAACTCCAATTGCATTTAAATAGACGTGAGAGTCGAAAGACACATGAGGGGCTTCTCTCGCTTTATGATGTCTTATTTTTCCTTCCTCTGGTTGATGAAATGCCAGGGTGAAAGGGATAGCCAATTGGACTAAAGCACAAGTGCCACTCCAGTTATTGGCCAGAGTGTCCAGTAAAGGTCCACCACAATACCACCACACCTCCACTCAGGGATGAACAAGGGCTGACTGATTGATAAGCTGTTGAAAATTCTTAAGCTCACTGCATCCCTTCAGGTCTCCAAGGAACGCTAAGTTTTCTCCCTGTTGTGGGAGACATGAAGTGAACTTAGTGTTGGGAGATGGAAGCTGGATGGCCCTCAGGGGCTGACCCGCAGGGTGCCAGACTTTGGGATATAGCAGAGAGAGAGAGTGGCACAACTTGTTACTCCAGGCTGTAGAATCCTGGAAAAGAGCTACCATGCAGCCCACACCCGGTCTACTGGAGGACCACCCTAGTGGAAAGAGGACAATCTGGGCCTCTGGACTGCCGTGTGCACAAGCATAACAATTGCTTTTAACGTGTAGATGGAATATTTGATCCATTTCAACCAGGCATTTGCATCTTGGTATCCTGTCTTAATTGCCAAAGTTTGTTTTAAGTCTTTAACTTCTACAATAGCTATTTTGGTCTTGTCGTTAGATGGAGGAGGAGCAATTGTTTCATTGTGAGAGGTTTTGGAAGAAGGCTTAGAGGAAGGTGCAGGTGGCAGGGGATCAAAGAAATGCATTTCAAAGAATCCATTAGGTTCTGTCCCTGAAACCTCAGCCCCCATACCATAAAACTAGCTTAAAGAAGGGAACTGGCTTAGAAAAGGGGAAGAACTTAGAGGGTTTGAGATAATAACCTGCATAGGATTGCACTGGTTTAGCTGACAGTTGGCAGAGGGGTGGCGGTGGTGGGGGCTGTCCCTCTAGTAAAATGAATGTATGGTTTTAGGAAATTACAAAAATCAGTTGGAGCAGTCCACCCTTGCTCTTCAGTGGTCACAGAACATTGGATCGACTATGGCACAAAAGCTCTACATCAGGGGGCAAGACTGCTGGTTGACACTGGGGTCTTTATCAAAATCTCCCCAGATTAAATGGTCCCAATTCACTAATGTCCAGTCTGAGGAGAGTCAGGAGGGACAGAGGTACTTTTCTGAAGTAGAGAGCTGTCTTTGACTTGACAAGCCCCCACAGGGTATAACAAGGCAAGCATCAAATGCAATAGTTTGAGGTGAAATTGACTTGGTTATGTTAATAGTTAGATGGTCAGCAATAGAGTGAGGAAAGAAGAAGGATTAATAGAATAGAAGAGAGTTAAATTTTTCTTAGCTTTAGTTTGGTAGGCTTTTCCCTGGGACTATGGCCCACGTCTCTGGAGGGGGCTGCACTTTCTTGACTCGGGTGTGATGAGTCCATCCCCTTTCCGGTGTACGAACAGCAGTCTCGGTGGTCAGCAGCACAAGGTAGGGTCCTTCTCAGGCTGGCTCAAGTTTTCCTTCTTTCCACCCTTTGATGAGAACGTGATCCTCAGGCTGGCACTGGTTTACCAGAAGTTCTAGGGGTGGTATCCGTGCTAAAAGACTTTTAGTTTTGAGGGAAAGGAAAGTGGAAGATAAACCAGCTATATAATTTCTAAGAAATTGATCTTTTGTTTTAAATGTGGGGACATCAGCAGTGGACTTTATAGTCCTTGGTGCCTTCTTACTAAGAAATTTCCTTTAGCACCTATTTTTACTAGTTTTTAGACCAAAGAAAGCCAAACACCATTTTATATTTGACAATGCATCCTGTATTATTTTATACCAGATAAGCTAAATTTCACCTTTATATTAGTGTTATTAATAACTTAATTTTAATAAAAGCTTGTAGACATATTTATCCAATTTTTAATGTCTGACCATAAAGTAAGATTTTTGTAGACTCTTTTTAACCTTTTATAATTTTTGTTAAAGAGCAGGTTAGAGAAAAACCTGTTGTGCTTTTATTTTAATGTCCAGTTCACAGAAAAACTGGATACCCCTTTAACTTTAGCCAATATGTTTACACTCAGAATTTCCTTTACAATTAACGTTTCAAAACTTGCTTAAACCTTTAAAACAAAATATTTTTTAACCTTTTAATGTAGGTAAAAATCCACATTCTTATGCCTCTTTATAACCCTTTTACCAAAGGGATATTTTACTTTCCTTACACGCCTTGCACATAAACTGTTTCTTCAATAGTTTTACATTCAGGAGGCCTAATTACTTTTACATTATACAATATTTCTTGCATAAATTCCCTTTTATAACTTTTTTTTTCTCATGACTTTCACAGACACTTCTTCGACATGTCTCAACTTTCTGATTTGTTGCAAACATCCCTTTCTTTAAACAAACAGTTAATTTATTTTAGGACAAGAATTTACCATGTAACATTCCTCTTTACATAAATTCTCCACCCCCCACAACCCCCGCTGGCCTTTTTTTTTCTCAAAGATGATAACCACTCTTTTCCAAAGTGAACTTCCTTCATGTCTGTGGAGTAGACTGTCTAAGGCCACAAGATTAGAAGTTAGGATAATACATGTTACACTGTTAACTTTCAGCAAACTTTTGTTGAAAACCTTGTAAGTTTGAGATTTCAATTATTCTTTGCTATTAATAAGACCTTGTTCAATCCATATTTACTTAGAATTGGTATAGATGGCTCCTTCCTGATTCTGTAAGTACTTTAAGGCTTGGCTGAGTGCAAACAGCTCACACATTTGAGCAGACCAATTATTAGGCAATTTTCCTAACTCTGCTTCTACAAGAGTTTCCTTATCACTTACCGAATACCCATTGTGTCTTTTTTCCCTCAATCACCCAGGAGGAACCATCTATCGTCCTGTCCTGAAGGGAGTTCCTCCTAGATCTGATCAGACCTTTGTATGGTAATTAAGATTTAGATCCTGATTTAGATTAAGATTTAGGAAACCTGATGGGTTAAGGGAATTTTCAGTGGTTAATGTTAAATCATCTTTTTCTAACAGAATAGCCTCATACTTTAAGGTTCTTGAGTCAGGAAGCTACCTTTTTGCTTTTTTTGTTTGTTTGTTTGTTTTGTTTTGTTTTGACTTAGAATAGTTCTGACCTGAGGAGGTGTTCTCACAATGAGAGTTCCTCTAAAAGTTATTGTTCTACTTTCTTCTGTTAGCAAAGCAGTTGCTGCTACAGATTGAATGCATTTGGGCCATCCACGGGTTTACTGGGTTAAGGATTTTTGATTTGGAAAGCTACAGGTTGTCAGTGGCCTCAGTGCTTTTGGGCTACACCCTTGTTTACACTGACAACAAGGTGGTTTTGGAGAGTTATAAGGTCATGGAGAAGACCTTCAATTATTAATTATGGTTTTAAATTTACCCTGGCTTTTAAAAGAATACGATACACTCTTTACTACTTCTCTCTCTCTCTCTCTTTGACTCTCTCTGTCTCTGTCTTTCTCTCTCTCTGACTCCCTCTTTGTCTTTTTCTCTCTCTGCCTCTCTCTTTCTCTCTCTCTTTGACTCTGTCTCTTTGTCTTTCTCTCTAACTTCCTCTCTCAGTTTCTCTTTCCTCTTTGCTGGTCTTTCCCTGCCTCTGCCAGCTGCTTATGCTGTTGTTCTCCCCTCTCCTTCCCCTTTCCCTAGGGGAGGGACCGGTGGAAGTGGAGCTACTCTTTCTTCCCTTGAGAAGAAAGGAAAGGGAGTTCTGAATATCCTTCTTACTAGCAGAGGTTTCTGTGAGGTTCAACCCCCTGAAATTTGTGGAAGGCTCAACCCCTCAAACCAGGGATGGCTCTCCTTGCCTGCCCCGGAAGGCTCAATCCCTCAAACTGAGAGGTGACAACGTGCTAGTAGCCCTCGCTCGCTCTCGGCGTCTCCTAGGCCTCGGTGTTGCTCTGGCCACGCTCCAGGAGCCCCTCATCCCGCCGCTGCGCTGTGGGGGCCCCTCTCTCGGGCTGGCTGAGGCCAGAGTCGGCTCCCTCTGCTCGCGGGGAGGTGTGGAGGGAGAGGCACCAGGAGCCGGGGCTGCACACGGCCCTTGTGGGCCGGCGCAGGTTCCAGGTGGGCACGGGCTAAGTGGGCCCCGCAGTCGGTGCGGCCGGTGGGCGCCTGCTGGGCTTGATCTGGGGACGAGCTCCCTCTGGGCTGCAGGAGTGCCCGAGCTAGGTGCCACAAAGTACCCCAGCGAGTGCCATTGAGAGGTGAAGCCGGCTGGACTTCTGGGTCGGGTGGGGACTTGGAGAACTTTTCTGTCTAGCTAAAGGATTGTAAATGCAACAATCAGCACTCTGCCTCTAGCTAAAGGTTGGTAAACGCACCAATTGGCGCTCTGTGTCTAGCTAATCTGGTGGGGACTTGGAGAACTTGTCCAGCTAAAGGATTGAAAATGCACCAATCAGCACTCTGTGTCTAGCTAAAGGTTTGTAAACGCACCAATCAGCACTCTGTCAAAACGGACCAATCAGCTCTCTGTAAAACGGACCAATCGGCTCTCAGTAAAATGGACCAATCAGCAGGATGTGGGTGGGGCCAGATAAGGGTTATTCCCACCTGAGCCAGCAGTGGCAACCCGCTCGGGTCCTCTTCCATGCTGTGAAAGCTTTGTTCTTTCGCTCTTCGAAATAAATCTTGCTGCTATTCACTCTTTGGGTCTGCGCTGCCTTTAAGAGCTGTAACACTCACTGCGAAGGTCTGCAGCTTCACTCCTGAAGCCAGCAAGACCACGAACCCACCGGGAGGAATGAACAACTCCGGACAGGAGGAACGAACAACTCCAGACACACCATCTTTAAGAACTGTAACACTCACTTCGAGGGTCCACGGCTTCATTCTTGAAGTCAGTGACACCAAGAACCCACCAATTCCAGACAGAAAACCAGGGGGTGACTTGCCTTGCTGCTCTGGAAGGTTGACCTGTTTCCTCCCTTTCCCCCTCTAAAGGTCACTTGTACATTTCCTACTTGTGTTGTCCTCTCTGGCTGCTCTCCCAAGGGAGAATTAGGCCCCTCTTAGTGTTGGCATGCCAGTATAAATCCAATGGCAGGATCTGCCCTAAGCCATATGAGGTAGCTATGGAACCACAGAGAGGACTCACTCACTCCGTCCAGCAGTAGGACTTGTCACCATCCACACAAACAACACTGCAAGTAGGGTTGTTTGTGATCTTTCACACACGCACATTTTTAGCCCTCCAGAATTTGACCACCAAGGAAGTACTTTACCGGCTCCCACAGCTGCTCCTTCCTTGGTCTGTGCAGAGTCGTCGCGGTAGTATGTGAGGATCCTTTAAGCTAGGTTGCTGGCAAGTTTCTTTCCGCGTTGCTGAGAGCTCGGGTTATTCCTCGCACTGCATGGGTCCTGATTTCTCACCGCTGAGACCGCCACAGGGGGGCGGGGCACGCCGCCTCACTAGAGAGAACCAGAGACCGCCCCCAGAGGGGAATGTAATCCCCAGCGAGCCCTCAAATTGTTATAAATAAAGTTTTGGTGCCACAAAAGAAATAGCACTTGACTATAACATTTTCTTTTTCATTCTCAGCAAGGCAATGTACTTCTATAGAAGGGTGCTTCCTTACAGATGGAGAAATGGTGAGCCCACACTTGGACAAGGGAGGGGAAGGGGTTCTTATCCCTGACTCACACGGCCCCTGCTGCTGTGTCATTCCCCTATTGGCTAGGGTTAGACCGCACAGGCTAAACTAATTCTGATTGACTAATTTAAAGAGAGTGACGCAGTGAGTGGTTTGTCAGGAAAAATGGTTATGGCAGAGCAGGAAATCAGAATGTGTCAGGGTGTAAAATGAGCAGGTCATCGGAATGAGTGAGGGTGCAGTAGGTAATCTGAATGAGTGAGGGTGGAGTAGGTAATCTGAATGAGTCAGGATGGAGCATGTAATCGGAATGAGTCAGGGTGGAGCAGGTAATCGAAAAAGGTTGCTTTACAAGGAAGTTAAGTTTAAAAGTAGAAGGAAAAGAATTGAACATATTGACATACTGATTCTTTGAAGAGAAATTTAGGACTCATATGTAACAACACCCATTAGAATGGCCAAAATCCAAGACCCAGCACCAAATGCTGGTGAGGATATGGAGCTACGGGATCTCTCACACATTGCTGGTGGGAATGCAAAATGGTACAGCACTTTGGAAGTCAGACAATTTCTTGCAAAGCTGAACACGGTCTTACCATACATTCTAGCAATCATACTCCTTGGTATTTCTCCAAATGGGTTGAAAACTTAACAATCCCCTAAAAAACCCTCACACAAATGTTTATTGCAGCTGTATCCATAATTGCTCAAACTTGGAAGCAACCAAGATGTCCTTCAATAGGAGAATGGATAAACAAACTGAAGTGCATCCATATCATGGAATATTATTGGCAATAAAAAAAGAGTTTTCAAGCCATGGAAAGATATGCATGCATATTGCTAAAAGAAAGAAGCCAGTCTGAAAAAAGACACATACTGTATGACTGCAACTATATGACACTCTGAAAAAGGCAAAACTATGAAGACAGTTGAAAAAAAAAATCAGTGGTTGCCACAGGTTTAAGGGGAGGGAAGGTTAGAGAAACAGGTTAAACACGGGATTTTTAGGGCAGTGAAACTATTCTTTAAGATGCTATAATGGTGGATACTTGACATTATGCATTTATTAAAACCACAGAACTATACAACATAAAGGGTGAGCCCTAATGTAAACTATGGACTTTGGTTAATAAGAACGTATATTGATTCATCAATAGTAACAAAGGTACTAAGGGAGGAGACCACCCCTCATATTGTCTTATGCCCAATTTCTGCCTCCAAAGAAAGAAAAAGTAAAAACTAAAAGGCAGAAGTGAAATCCACAAGCAGACAGTCCGGCACCACACCCTGGGCCTGGTAGTTAAAGATTGACCCCTGACCTAATTGGTTATGTTATCTATAGATTACAGACATTGTATAAAAAGCACTGTGAAAATCCCTATCCTGTTTTGTTCCGATCTAATTGCCAGTGCATGCAGCCCCCAGTCACATACCCCCTGCTTGCTCAATTGATCACGACCCTCTCACGCGCACCCCCTTAGAGTTATGAGCCCTTAAAAGGGACAGGAATTGCTCTCTTGGGGAGCACGGCTCTTGAGACAGGAGTCTTGCCGATGCCCCCGGCCGAATAAACCCCTTCCTTCTTTGACTCAGTGTCTGAGGAGTTTTGTCTGCAGCTCGTCCTGCTACAGTACCACCACACTAATATGTTAATAACAAGTGCAACAACTGTGGAGGGGGTATAAAGGAAGAACATGAGAACTCTATACTTCCTGCTTGATTTTTCTATAAACCTAAAGTTGCTAGAAAAAATAAAGTTGCTAGAAAAAATAAAGTCTATTTAAAAACTAAAAAAAAAAAAAAAAGGGAAGAAACCTATGCAGTCTTAAAATAAAAACCAAACAAAACAAAAGGTGAGGGAGCAGAATTTAGCCAGCTGGGGAAAAGGCATGGAGAGTAAGGCACAATGGAATAAAAAAAATATTGCAGGCAGAGGGCGTGGCTAAGCAGGGGCTAAGGTGGGTGATAAGAGAGAGGTTCATGTTCCCAGCATTGTATGGAGTGCAAAGGAATTGTGGGGTGGATAGAGATGCGGCTCACAGGACATTGGACACCATGCTGGGGAGTACTAATTTTATCCTGGGAGCAATGGGAAGTCACTCAACGGTTGTAAGAAGGGAGTGACCTGGAGATTTTTGCTTTAGAAAGAGCATTCTTGTCACATTATGGAGAATCTTTAGGAGAGAAAACAAGCCTGAAGGCAGGGAAGCCTTTAAGAGGCTACTGCAATAGTTCAAGTGCAGGGGGGTGATTGCTGTGCTAGTTATTCTTCATTTGAGCCTCCAGACCCACTCTGCTGTCTCTGCCCTACCCTGTGCAGAGAAACTGTTGTGATCAAGTTTGAGCAATTATGGATAAAACTGCTAGAAACATTCCTCTGAGGATTTTTGTGTGGATGTAAGTTTTCAACCCACTGGAGAAATATCAAGGAGTATGATTGCTGGAATGTATGATAAGATCACGTTCAGCTCTGTGAAAAACAATCTGTCTTCCAAAGTGCTTTACCTTTTGCATTCCCACCAGCAACGAATGAGAGATCCTATTGCTCCACACCCTCACCAGCATTTGGTGCTTAGTGCAGGAGAGAGGAGCCTGAGGACTGCATCTCCTGGGCTCCCTTGCCCTTTGGTGTCAGTTGGGTTTGGCCAGTAGGAGGTACCGACAAGACTAGAAGACAGGAGGAGGAAGGGTTGGTGTTTTTATCCCTTCACCCCAACTTCGGTGCTACACAGGCCACAGCCTCTTCCACATGCTCTCTTTGACCATGGCAACCACTGGGTGATCACAGCCCATAGCCTCTTCCATTGGCCCTCACTGGGTCTTGGGAACACAGTATCCTCCCACTGCCCCAGCCCTAGGAGTAGGAAGGGCATCACTCTTCTTGTCACCCAGGTGCCCCACTGCTCCTTGCTTTTCCATTCTCCTCCGCTACGCTTCTCAAATAGTGTCCTCATTAAAGTCTCTTCACTTCACCCATCTGGGGTGCATGTAGTTTTCTACCAGGCCTAATAGATACGGTTGTTATAGGAGTTATTAAGAAATTATTTTAGGCAGATAGAGAGGAAAAGGGGTCCTTGGGAAGTTTTTGTTTCTTTTAAAGCAGCTCCAGAAATGCTTCTTGTCTAGCAGGAAAGCCCCAGCTCTTAGAGCCGGGCTGGCAAGCTTTGATATGCAAATGCAGGCCATTAGAAACCGGGTCCACCCAAACATGGCAATTCCCACCCTTGTCCTCTTGCCCTTGCCCCTACATGTGCCTGGCAACATGACCACCCCCACATATCTCCACGTGTGTAGAACATCATGGCACCCTGCATTTGCATATTAAAAGGCTAGGGTGGGAGGGCCAGTTTTTCCATAGGCTACGTGAATGACATGCCTGGTCAAACCAATCCCCTGAGCCCTACCCAAGTCAGACACCACCTCCTCCAGCCTACTCATATAAGCAGCCACTTTTCTGCGGCACATGGGGTTTCCTCTCTTGGCTTGGAGCCCCCCCTCCAGTCTCTGTATGGGGGAGCTTCTTCCTTCTTTCTTACCTATTAAACTCTCCGCTCCTTAAAACCACTCTATATGTGTCCGTGTTGTTTTATCTAAATCAGCATGAGACTAAGGACCCTGGTGCTCCTCCAGTCACCGAAGCCATATCACAGTTGTCTTAACATAAGCGGTGGTAGGAACAGACACAGGAGACACCTGGAGAGATACTGCTCTTAGGCAATGAACTTGAGAATGACAACGGGGCTTGGACAGAGCAGGAATGAGGGAGAGAAGTACAGGCAGGAAGAAGTTGTGAGTGATTATTGGATTTTCAGCCTAGTCCCCTGGGTCGATGGTGATGCCATTTACTACCATTATCTTGCAGCTGCTTCTAGATGCTGGTAGGTTTAGGACAAACCACAATTATGGTGACTATAACTTGAATATTAGTAAAAATCATTTTTTGCTGGCATGTTACTTGTAAAAAACATACAGTTCAATGATTCACTTCAGAGTCAATAACTCTCTAGGCCTATTTAAAAGGTTTTCAAAAACATCTGTCCTCGATTAAACAACAGATACCACTTACAGACCATGTCTGTTTTCAAGGGTTTCAGAGCAGTAATTAATCAAGCAAATGAAAAAGCACAGGCCTCATCTTTTTATCCAATTAGGAGAAATCTCTGTGAGTCTCGATCACCAAACTGTTTGGTTTTGTTGAAATGCATTGTGATGAGTGACTGCTTTTATATCTTAGAAAATATCAATATTTACCTTAAACTTACAGTTTAACTAAAGGAAAACAAAATTGATGAATTAACTGTCACAGAATACATGGAGGCTGCTGTTGCGTTCCTACCACACAGCCCCATGAATGGGAAAAGGGGCCTATGACGCTTTATACTCTCCCCAGCTGGGAGACATTTCTGGCTTCCTCTTCGTGTTTTTGATTTTTTGTGTCCCATCCATTGACCACATGGGATGGGCTTGTAGACACTAGTAGTAGACACTAGACCATCTTCTTTCCTTCCTATCCCATGTGGGTTCTTCTCTACAAATATGCCAATTAGACTGGGCACGGCGGCTCACACCTGTAAGCCCAGAACTTTGGGAGGCCGAGGCAAGGCAAGCGGATCGCTTGAGGTCAGGAGTTAGAGACCAGCCTGGTCAACATGGTGAAATCCCATCTCCACTAAAACTATGAAAATTAGCCGGGCATGGTGGCAGGTACCTGTAATCCCAGCAACTCAGGAGGCTGAGGCATGAGAATCACTTGAACCCAGCAAGCGGAGGTTGCAGTGAACCAAGATTGTGCCACTGCACTCCAGCCTGGGCAACAGAGCAAGACTCCAACTCAAAAAAAAAAAAAAAAACCAAGTAGGCCAGGCATGGTGGCTCACCTGTGTAATCCCAGCACTTTGGGAGACAAAGGCGGACAGATCGCTTGAGTCTAGGAGTTCAAGACCAGCCTGGGCAACATGACGAAAATCGGTCTCTACAAAAACAAAAACAAAAAAAACCAGGTGTGGTGGCGCATGCCTGTAGTGCCAACTACTTGAGAGGCTGAGGTGGGAGTTTGAGGTTGCAGTGAGCTATGATCGCACCACTGCACTCTAGTCGGGAGCTGGCCTCTTCTCCCAAGTGAGCCAATCAAATTAAATACTCTTCTTTTTAACACCCAAGGAAGGGCACGTACAGTGGAGTTCTGGTCTGCGTGGGTAGAGGGAGGGCTTTCTGATGAGAGGAAAAACGCTAGGTCTGAGTCTGAGGGTGTGCTGGTGGCAGTGGGAGTGATGGGAGGGAAGATGTGGCACCAGGCTTGAGGGACATCCAGGCCAGGACTGGACTGCACTGAGTGCCAGGGCAACAGCTTTGGATGTATGCAACTTATTCCCAAATAGTTCAGAAAAATTTACATATATAAATATATGTATGTATGTGTACATACATACATACATATATGTGTACATAAAAAGAGGAGAGAGAAATCTGAGCCCAGGATGTCAAGGCTGCAGTGAGCTATGATTGTGCCACTGCACTCCAGCGTGGGTGACAGAGTGAGACCCCACCTCAAAAAAAAAAAAAACACGTCAAGTACAGTTCCAGGAAAAGCCAGCCAGATTGCTACTACTTCAGTTTTCTTCCTTTGCTCAGCACCAGAAGAACCATTCTCATACTTAATTTGAACTACCAGGATCTTCAAGTATTTAAATCGTTATATTCTAACAAAGTCAGCTGTAGGCTAATTGTTGCCCTATTTTCCAGCTGATTTCCACAAGACAGCAAAGATTCACTGAGGTTCAGGCCTGGAAGAGATGGCAGAGGCCATGGAGTCTAAGTGGCTTTACCAATGAAAAGACTGCCAGGTACGGTGGCTCACACCTGTAATCCCAGCACTTTGGGAGGCCGAGGTGGGTGGATCGCTTGAGGTCAGGAGTTTGAGTTCAGCCTGGCCAACATGGTGAAACCCCATCTCTACTAAAAATACAAGAATTAGCCAGGCGTGGTGGCACGCGCCTGCAATCCCAGCTACTTGGGAGACTGAGGCAGGAGAAACGCTTGAACCCGGGAGGCAGAGGTTGCAGTGAGCCGAGATCGCGCCACTGAACTCCAGCCTGGGTGACAGAGTGTGACTCTGTCTCAAAAAAAAAAAAAAAAAGACCAAGGAGCTCAATGTTTGGTGGAGCCAGAAGGAGGACTCACCCTTCTGACTCTTGGTTCAAAGCTCTTTCCATCTGTATGAGAAGTTGCCTGAGTCTGTACTTTTGGTTTCTAGTCCACTTACTCCTTAGCAGAACAGATCCATCCTAGAGAAATTTTAGGGAGCAAAATGGAGTAAAAAAAAAAATACCATGCCTACTTGAAATAAAGTTGCACTATAGTTTGCACTAGATAGAATAAAAATATTGAAAGAGGCAACTAATCTAAAAAAAAAACCCATACAAACAAAATCTACTTCCTTTCATATCATTAAAAACAGAACATTCTTACTGCGAAGTACAGAGAAGAAAATTAAATTAACCCATAATCGCATCACCCACAGACTTGTTAGCATTTTACTTTATTTCCTCGAAGGATTTTTTTTTAAATCCATGCATGACCAAAAAATGTAACTTTATATATATATATATGAAAAAAGTAACATCTCAATTTTGGAAATCCCTAACATATTAAAAATATTACTGTACTATACTCAAAAAGTTATAAAATAGAGGGATGGAAAAGAAAAGATAATATCTCACAGTTTCAGGGATGAGATGTAGGTACATCGGTTTTCTGCAAAGGAAGGAAGGATTAAGAGAAGAGGCTTGCTAATGTGTGGGGACTCATATGGGATTCTGGAAAGGTGTCCTTTCAGTATGGGGTGGTCGCTCCGGTGTTCCAGGAGCACATGGCTGTGTCTGGTCATTGAACGTTCCCAGGGCTTGTGGGTCATTTGGACAGCAGCCAGTGACAGCAGCCGGCAGATGGGCAGCTAATAGCCTTCCTTCTCCAGTGGCCCAGTGCCAGGGGACCATTACCCACACCTGAGTCTCCCCCCAGCTGGAGAGAAGGCAGGTCATCCCATTGCACTGTGGACTTCAGTTTGGGTCAGAGACAAGGACAGGCTCAACAGAAGGTCAAAGTGAGCACTGACTTGGCTAAGAGGTTCTCTGTGTTCTCATCTGTAAAAACATGACTCAAGAAAGGAACTGCTAAGCCAATCATCCAGAACACTAAAAATAGAATTCTCTACTGAGTCCTAAGCCAGAGCCAGGTCCTGGGCAAGTATGCTTTATATCCAAAACACAGTGTCCCTAGGCTGAGGAAGTGATGTATCCCATTAACACAGATTTCAGTGAGTTGGGGATCATGGGCTTATGCAGCAGTTGAGCTCCTCCCCGCTCCCGGTGACCCCAGGGATAGGAGTAGGGGGCTCACCCATGTCAGGAACAGTTCCAGTTTCCCTGATGAGGAGGAAATATGGCGTCATGGCTAAAAGTAGCGACTCTGGCATCTGACCGTCTGGATTCAAATCCCAGCTCTACTCTCTGTAGCATCGGGAGAAGTTCCTTAATTTCTCTTTGCCTCTATTTCCCATCTGTAGACTGGGGATAATAAAAGTACTAGTGGTAATTGTCACAGGGTTGTTGTGACCATTAAAAATGATAATGTGTATAAAGTGTTTGGCAAAGTACCTGGAGCTAAATGCTCTATAATTTCTAGCTATTACAGTAATTAAGGGTCACCGCCACCCACATACCATCCATGTTCCTCTCCTCTCAGCATGTGCACGTGCACACACACACACACACACACACACACACTAATGTCCCCAAATCCCATGAGAAGGCTGATCGCCAGGCACAGCCATCTCCCACAGAGCACTGTGGGATCCAGGGCACAAACTACAGCACTAGGGGAAAAGAGGCTCTCCCGGGCCTCAACTGCTGTTCTGGTACCTAGAGTCTCACAAAACCCTCCACACACATAGGAACTTCAGGGTTTGCGCTCAGTCTCTCTCTTCTCTTTCATTTCTACTGAGTCTCAACTGAGTCCTTCTTTCATGTGACACCTCTGAGCGGCTCTCATGGCTCCTCGGTGTGAATTAGAAAAGATACTCATGCCACCCAAGCAAATGCAACCCTGTGGCCAGATGTCAGCCCACTTGTCCCTTTGGCCAGGCCCTCTTGTACTCTGAACACCTGGACCTTGTGGCCTGAATGGCAGAATGGAGCCCACGACATGGCCTCTCCTTCATTTCTCTTCTCTTCCTCTCCCCTTCATCAGCACCCTACCCAGAACAACTTCTCCCTTCTCCCTGAGCCCCCTCCTGAAACAACATCAACAAAAAGCCTTAATGTGTATCAGCTCATGCAAATAGATATTTGGGTGGAGTAGGGGATATCATCCGTCTACACATGAGAATTATCTAGAATGTCAGTTAGGGACCAGCCAGAATACCCTACTAATACATGATTATCTTATTTAATCCACCAGGCACCCTCATGAGTAACTTTTATCATCTTCCATTTTAGAGATGGGGAAACTAAAGGCCAGAGAGGTTAAGTGACCTACCCAATGTCACACAGTATAAGTAATGGGGAACATCAAACCCAGGTATGTTTTACTGTAAAATCTACCCTCATAACCACTAGTAGGTTCATCATAGCTAATATGATCCAACTTCCCAACGGTTAAAACAAGAGCTACTCAAAGCAATCAAATATTAAGATGTAATCAGATATTATCAAAGCAGTTATACAAAGAATACTGTGAAGTAAATAAAAAATGAATCAATATATTTATCAAAAGTGATCAAAGTATAATTATGATGGGTAATCAAATCAATCAAGTATTAATATGCATTAGCATTTTCAACATCTAATTATAGAGCATATAATCAAAATATAATGGTGACAAGGGTAATAACAGTCACTCTTTAAAATTGCTCATCTAAAAATTCAACATTCTTATCCAACCGGAGACAAATCCGAACTCTAATGAATCTGATGGGCATCACTCAGAATCCTTCCCTGGTCCCACGAGGACCCCTCTAATTAGAGTGCTCGTATCATTTATCCTTTACATTTTGAAACTGAAAGAGGACTCTATTAATAATTACATCAGATCAGTCGGTCCAGGCAGACACAAACATATGAACACCTTACCTGTAATAAGCTCTGTTCCCAAAATTTAAAAAAATTGAACCCAAATTTTAAAAAATAATTATTAAGTCCATATTTTGTGTGGAACCGATGCTAGATATTAGAAATACAATTGGCAGCAAAATATCATTTCAGGCTTCATATTTTCTGTTAGGAAACACAGACAAGTAGATCTTAGAAGTTAAGCTCCAATGCAATAAACTTCACAAAACAGAATGCTATGGAAGCACATAGAGAGAATTGTTGCAGTTATCTATTGCTACACAAAATACCATCCCAGAACATACTGGCTTAAAGCAATAACAATTTTATTACATCTCATAAATGTTGTGGGTCACAAATTCAGGCATGGTTCAGCTGGGTGATTTTTGTGTTAACCGTGGCATCAATGGGGGTCACTCAGTGTCATCCATTTTGTGGGTGGGCTGGTCTGGAGAGTACAAGATAACCCAGTTACATGTCTTGCTCCCTGGCAGAGATGGCTGGAATGCTGGATCTAATTGGAATTGTCCCCTAGAGCACTTACATATGGCCTCTCTACCATGGTGGCCTTGGGTATTTGGATTTCTTACACAGCAGCTCAGGGCTCCAAAAGTGAGCATTCCAGCAAATAAGGTGGAAGCTGCATGACCTTTGATGACCTGGCTTTGGAAGTCACACCATTTCACTTCCACCATACTTTATTGGTTGAAGTAGTCATGAGTACACATCAAGGAGACGTGACATAGTTTCTACCTCTTTGGAGTGAGTGTCAAATAACTTGCAGCCCAATTTAAAAATTGCCTCAAGAACCAAAGCCAGATTTTGAGGATAGAGGCAGGATTCTATAGCTGAAGGATGACTAGGAATTAGCTCACAGAGAGAGGGGAAAAGGATAGGTGGAGTTTTGCAAAGGTCCCCAAGATGAAAGAAGGCATGGATTGTTTAGGAAAGTGAAAGTGGTGAAGCAGGGCGTGTAAGGAGAATGGAGAAAGAATTTGCACTGAACAAATGCGTGAGATGATGATACCGAATTCAAAATCTGGCGATGTTTGAGTTCAGGATCTGGCACATAAAAGATGTTCAATAAATGAGAATGAATGAAGAAATGAATGAAAGAATAAACAGAGTGAAAAGAGAAGGTGGTCTAACATAATGCTTTCAGACTTATTATTTTTTTTTTTTTTGGAGATGGAGTCTCACTCTGCACTCATCACCCAGGCTGTAGTGCAGTGGTGTGATCTTGGCTCACCGCAATCTCCGCCTCCCGGGTTCAAGCGATTCTCCTGCCTCAGCTTCCCGAGTAGCTGGGATTACAGGTACCCGCCACCATGCCCGGCTAATCTTTTTGTATTTTTAGTAGAGACGGGGTTTTGCCATGTTATCCAGGCTGGTCTCGAACTCCTGACATCAATAGATCCACCCGCCTCGGCCTCCCAAAGTGCTGGGATTACAGGCGTGAGCCACTCTGCCTGGCCTGGACTTTCTTTAACAGAAACCTTAGGAAGAAATACCTGTTGTATTTTTTATGTGTATAGTTGTGATATAGTACATCACAGCCTAATACACAAAAGCACATACACACATTTATATGTGTTAAAGTTTCAAGAAACAATATTAACCTGTATTATGGGTAATACACTGTGACATCCAATCTGTTCCCTTCAATTCTATTTCATTATTTTCCAAATGCGGGTCATAATCCACGGAATTGGTTCAAGGCTCACCAAGGCTTTGAGACCAGTGAAAGACACTCGTCTAAAAGAAAGAGAAAAGCTTAGAGACATGAGGGTCAAGTCAAGTCCTGATTCCATTCATTGTGATTTGAGCAAGACACACTTACCTACTTAGTTCCATAATATGTATTTCACAAAGTTGTTTTGAGATAAACAAAAGGTGCAAAAATGTCACTGAAATCTACAGAGCATAAAGTATAAAAGTGTCCTTTATTTTCTATCTTTCTTTTTTTAATATCCTGCAAATCTGACTTTCTGCGAGCGTCATGATTTTCAAGCAGGGAATGGGGCTGGGGGTCTCCAGGAACTGGATGGGAGGAGAGTAGACAGCCAGTTATTCTCTTCGCCTGTCAGGTCAATTCCCCACCCTTCTCTTCCTCTCCCCTTCTCTGTGGATTGCATCACCCAGCCTGCCTGGTCTTTGGCTTCCATTTTTATTTGACCACTGGGTGGCACCGGCGGGAAATCAAAGGACAGGAAGAAAAAGACATTGGAGTGCTGAGCCCTCTGTTTTCTCCCGGCCTGGCCACATCTTGGCAGTGGCTGCATTCTAATATGACCACAGCTTCTGCCTTCCCAATTCTGTAACATCATCCCCCACCTCAGCTTCTTCAGGCCTAGGAAAGCAGTAGCCCCACTGTGGCTAAACCTGGAGAGCTTCATACCCCCACTCCTCTCAGTAAATAACCTCGTCACTAAACCCTTTTCCATTAGACCCTCTGAGAGTGCCAGGTGTCTCCTGTGTGGTCTGACTGACCCAAAAGGTCACGTGAAAATGGGCCTAGGACCCTTTGTATTTGTGGACATGGGAACCAAGGGAGAGAATCAAAAGGCTGGGGTGACATCATTGTTGGGCATCCTAGACCTTCAAAACGTGTTTATCCTTCAGGTCATCCTATACTGACTATGATGTCAAAGCCAAAGGTTAAGTCCTGCTTCTCTCAAAACTCCCAAATATCTCCCACCTCTGAACTATTACCTAAAATTCCTTTAACCAAAGACCAAGTGTTTAATGGGGTAAACAGACATTAAAAACTTTAAAATATGAACTTCTTCCAGAGGAAACCCATTGAAGTGAACATGTTCTGGTTTCAGTTGGGGTTAAACCTCTCGTCTCGGTGCTTTTGCTCCCTGAATGATCATGACCTTGAGAAGGATGTGTGTGTGTGTGTTGGGGTAGGGGGGGGCGGGTGCTGTGGGGCAGGGGATAATAAGAGACACTGTGATGTTGCGATATAATAAGAAATATATATATATTGGTCTTTCTCTCTTTCCTGGCACACAGCTCCTAAAACCCTTGGAATCTGGGAAGAAATAAGGGTTTATTTGTGTGCTAAGGAGAAGACTGATGGCTGGGAGCTCCTGGATTCCTTCGGGATGGGGGCTGGTTGGATAGGAATCAACCATGTGATTAGAGGGCTGGAACTTTCAACCCCATCCCCAGACCTCGGAGGAGGAGAGAGTAGCTAAAGGTTGAGATGATCACCAATGGCCAGTGATTTAACCAATCATGTCTAAGTGATGAAGCCTCTATAAAAACCCAAAAGTACAGGATTCTGAGAAATTACAGGTTGCTGAACATGTGGAGGTGGTGGAGGGTGGTGCATCCAGAGAGGGCATGGGAGAGCTGTGCCCCTACCCCTGTAACTTGTCCCATTCATCTCTTCCATCTGGCTGGTCCTGAGATGTATCTGTTGGGGCTCACAAAACAATGCCCCAAAGTATGGTGTTTTGGCATGCTGAGTGCTTTGAACTACAGGAGAATCTCTCTGACCTCCTGATCCCCTGCCTCTCACCCCTCCTTCCCTCCCGAGGCCCTCTTGAAGCACAGGGAGGTGTTTTCTCTGCAATTTTCCGTCTCTGACTAAGGGAAGTTCCTCCAGAATGAATGTGGTTGCCGTGAACCTCCTCCCTGATCTCTACATTAACCAGAGAAGATTAATTCACACAGCAGGAGACTAGAGGACTCATCTCCCAAGACACCACGCCTGGACAGACTTTTCACCTGTTCTTCTGAGGGCAGCTACCTGAGAGATTTTATCTGCACAATGAGACAATCTTTATTCAAAATGCAGTCTCTCCCCTCACCGTCCAATAGTTTTTCACCACCACCCTCCAGGAACCTCCAAGCTTCGATTTCTTTCTGTAGTTCAAGCTGTTATTTAAGCTTCAAGTATCTTGCCCTTTTTTGAATCTCATACTTTGAGATTCTCCCATGCATATGCATGTTATAAATTTGCGTGCCTTTTCTCCTGTTCATTTGTCTATTGTCAGTTGATTTTCATAGATTCAACTTATCAAACCTTCAGAGAATAGAGGAAAATTTAAAACTCCCCTACATATCCTTTTATAATAAATGGGTAATACTAAGTCAATCACTTTCCTGAGTTCTGTGAGCAGTGGCAGCAAATGATTAAAACTTAGGAGGGGGTCATGGGGATCCCTGATTTATAGCAAGTATGTCAGAAACACAGGTAACAGTCCAGGCACCGTGGCTCACATCTGTAATCCCAGCACTTTGGGAGGCCGAGGCAGGTGATTCACGAGGTCAGGAGTTTGAGACCAGCCTGGCCAAGAGACCAGCCTGGCCAATATGGTGAAACCCTGTCTCTACTAAAAATACAAAAATTAGCCTGGCGTGGTGGCATGTGCCTGTAATCCCAGCTACTTGGGAGGCTGAGGAAGGAGAACTGCTTGAACCAGGAAGGTGGAGGTTACAGTGAGCCGAGATTGTGCCATTGCACTCCAGCCTGGGCAACAGAGTGAGACTCTGTCTCAAAAAAGAAAGAGAGAGAGACAGAAAGGAAGGAAGGAAGGAAGGAAAAGAAAGAAGAAAGAAAGAAAGAAAGAAAGAGGGAGAAAGAAAGAGGAGGGAGGGGAGGAAGAAAGGAAGGAAGGGAGGGAGGGAGGGAAGGAGAAAAGAAAGAAAAAGAAAGAAAGCAAGAAAGAAAGAAAGAAAGAAAAGAAAGAAAGAGGGAGGGGAGGAAGGAAGGAAGGAAGGGAGGGATGGAGGGAGGGAGGGGGAGGAAGGAAGGAAGGAAAGAAAGAAAGAAGCACAGGTAACAACTTGGACTTGTGTCTGAAGTGAGGGCAGTCTTGTGGGACTGAGCCCCTAACCTGTGGGATCTGACACTATTTCTAGGTGGATAGCATCCTTTCTCTTGGTTCCTTTTTTTTTTTTTTTTGAGCCAGGGTCTTGCTCTGTCACCCAGGCTGGAGTGCACTGGCACCATCATAGCTCACTGCAGCCTCAAGTCCCCAGGTTGAAGCGATTCTGCCACCTTAGCCTCCCAAGTAGCTGGGACCACAAGTGCACATCATCACACCTGGCTAATTTTTAAAAAAATTTTTGTAGAAACAGGATCTTGCTATGTTGCCCAGGCTGTTCTTGAACACCCAGGTTTAAGCAATTCTCCTGCCTCAGCCTCCTGAACTGCTGGGATTACGGATATGAGCCACCATGCCCAGCCAATAGCATCAAATTGAGTTACATTGTATGACAATTCAGTCAGTGTCTTCCACAAAGTGGAGAATTGCATGGTGTGGAGGGAAAGCACATACATTTTGGTGACCAGAATTGCAACAGTATAGGAGAGGAAAAGTTTTTTTTCCCAGCAAGCATTGAAGACAAAAAGATATCAAAACAAAGCTAGACTCTGGGAAGACAACCAGATGATGATACAATTCTGCCTCCTACCCAGGTAATCTTCTCATCTGTGAGGATATGGAACCCCAACCTCTTCCTGGACACCTGATGATCTGCTTGTGATGGGCTCAGAGTCTTGAAACACAGAACTATGAGCTCATCTCATATCCCAATCCAGCAGCATGGAAACCTCAGACTGCAAGGCCCAAGACTGGCACTTGTTCTCTCCCAACTCTTTTCTTTCTCTCTCTCCTTTCTTTTATCCCTTAATTCCTTCTTGCTTCCTTCCAAGATTTATACTATTACCTTTTAGGCAAAACATCCTGAACATGTAAAATAAACTAATTAAAATCAAGTCAATTTCCCAACTGTTATTTGTTAAGCCTATGCAAGATGTCAAATTTTAGTCATTTGCATACCTAGTATGCAATTTTTTCTATTCTGTGGGCCACGAGTATTCTTTTCTCTAAGTCAACTAATTCTTTAACTTAAACCCTGTTTAAGCTTCATCCTGGCTGGGTGTGGTGGCTCACGCCTGTGATCCTAGCACTTTGGGAGGCCAAGGCAGGTGGATCACTTGAGCTCAGGAGTTTGACACCAGCCTAGCCAACATGGTAAAACCTCGTCTTTACTAAAAACACAAAAATCAGCCAAGCATGGTGGCATGCACCTGTAATCCCAGCTACTCAGGAGGCTGAGGTAGGAGGATCACTTGAACCTGGGAGGTGGAGGTTGCAGTGAGCCAAGATCGCACCACTGTACTCCAGCCTGGGCAACACAGCAAGTCTCCATCTAAAAAAAAATAAAAAATAAAAAGTTCATCCTAAATAAACACATGAGTAAAATCACAGATTTGGTTAACTTGTATTTTTTTCTTATTACACATTAAAATAAATATATTAAATATATTTGTAAAACATATAATACTGTGAATATATAAAAAGAAAAATATTTGTTGTGTGCTACTTAAAATCACCTCACTTATCACAGATGGTGCATATGCCACACTTTAGAATTGTTGCCCAGTGAGATATTTTTTAGGAGTACAAGGCACAATCTTTGCTGTCACAGAGCTTTACATCTGGTAAGAGATAAAGGGAGAGGAAGATTTCACAGCAGATGGATACATAGTGAAAAGGCAGACTATAGTTAAATCCCAAAGCGTGTGGCCAAGGCAGGAAAGAAAATGAGAGGTCAGAAAAATAGAGATGCCAGTGGGGGAGAGAAGGGCTGCAGGCCAGGAAGGGTGAATCCATGCTAAATGTATTGATTTAGAGTTTACATTTAAATCTCCAAAGGTTCCCCAGAGCTACAGGACAAATGGCCAATTTCTCAGCACATCTGCCCCCTCATGATTGGCCTCTGACCATCCTTGTGGGCTAATCTCCCAGCATGTTCCTGGACAGTCTCTTTTGCAAACTGCTTATTCTTCTCCAAATTCACCATCTTCTCCCTCCACAGTACATCCACTCACACTCTTCCTTTTACCTAGAAAACTCTCCAAAACCTCTGTCTTTTTTGGTCGATTTCTTTATTATTATTATTGTTATTATTATTATTATTATTTTAGTAGAGACGGGGTCTAATGATGTTGCCCAGGCTGACCTCAAACTCTCGCCCTCAAGAGATCCTCCCACCTTGGCATCCCAACGTGCTGGGATTACAGGAATGAGACACTGCACCCAGCCCTTATGGTCAATTTTCTTTCTTTTTTTTTTTTTTTTGAAATGGAGTTTTGCTCTCTTTGCCCAGGCTGGAGTGCAATGGTGCAATCTTGGCGTGCTGCAACCTCCACCTCCTGGGTTCAAGCGATTCTCCTGCCTCAGCCTCCCAAGTAGCTGGGATTACAGGCATGCACCACCACGCCTGGCTAATTTTTGTATTTTTAGTAGAGACAGGGTTTCTCCATGTTGGTCAGGCTGGTCTTGAACTCCCGACCTCAGGTGATCCACCTGCCTCAGCCTCCCAAAGTGCTGGGATTACAGGTGTGAGCCACCATGCCCAGTCTGGCCAATTTCTTTTCTTTTCTTTCTTTTTTTTTTTTTTTGAGACAGGGTCTCTGTCACCCAGGCTGGAGTGCAGTGGCACGATCTTAGCTCACTGGAGTGTTGACCTCCCGGGCTCAAGCAATCCTCCTGTCTCAGCCACCCAAGTAGCTGGGACTACAGGCATGCACCACCATGCCTGGCTAATTTTTAAATTTTTCTGGAGAGACAAGGTCTCATTGTGTTGCCCAGGTTGGTCTCTAATTCCTGGGCTCAATCAATCCTTCCACCTCGGCCTCACAAAGTGCTAGGATTACAGGCATGAGCCACCTGTGCGTGGTCCTTTTGACCAATTTCTTTTAAACTCAGTTCAACCATCCCATTTTCTCTTATGAATGCTTGTCAGATTTCACAGCACTCTTTTGCAAATGAGGAAATGTTACTTCCTCTGGCTAGTCCAATGGATGGAGAGCCTCAGTGCCTGGTGAGCAAATGGCACCTTGTGTAAACAGAAATGCAATGTTTCCCCTGGATGTATGCAGCCCTATGCCAGGGCCCATGAGCTAGGTTTCTGCCCTTCTGGCCTGACACCGTGTGCAGTGCACACCCTGTGCAACATAACTGGCAGACCTGCCTTGTCTGCACAAACTCAGGCCGAGTTAGCTTCATTCCCTCCTCATGTTTATTGATTTATTCATATTCCACCAGTAAACAGTCAGCAGATTGAAAGGTCTTCATCTATCTATCTCGGAATCTTTGGCAACTAATAGAGAACCTATAAACTGGTGCAGAATAAACATTTGCTAGACAAATGATGATCAATCATGAATATATGTTGAAATGGTTCAGAAAGCCATAGGCACTGGGAAACTTTACAGAAAGAGAATGAATTCAAACTAGAATGAATTTTAACTCAGCACCTGACCACATTGCCCAATACACAAATTGTACTAACTTCTTATATGATGTGGGCAGGAAATACCTCCAAGCGGCCACAGAGTGCAATGAACAATGACAAATCTTCATCTGGACAGAAACATGACCTGCCTCCCTTATCCCAAAGACTAACCACTGCTTAGGGAAGAGATCATGCCGGTCTTGTTCCACGCTATACCACTAGAGCCCACTTAATAGTACTTGTTCAACAAATATTGATTGAACAAGTAAGTCAAAGTATACACTCCTTGGCTACCTTGTTTTGTATATACATATGTGTATGCGTGCATATACATATGTATATATTATATTTATATATATATATATATATTTTTTTTTTTAGAAGGAGTCTCGCTTTGTCGCCAGGCTGGAGTGCAGTGGCGCGATCTTGGCTCACTGCAAGCTCTGCACCCCGGGTTCACGCCATTCTCCTGCCTCAGCCTCCCAAGTAGCTGGGACTACAGGCGCCCGTCACCACGCCCGGCTAATTGTATTTTTAGCAGAGACGGGGCTTCATTGTGTTAGCCAGGATGGTCTCGATCTCCTTACCTCGTGATCTGCCCACCTCGGCCTCCCAAAGTGCTGGGATTACAGGCGTGAGCCACTGCGCCTGGCCATATATTTTTAAATGATGGGTGGAATGGTGTGGGCTTAGTAGACCCAATACTATGATAAAAGCACAGTGAACACAATGGTTCAGATGTGCAAAAAAAGGGGAGGGGTATTTTGTCACCCTAACTGTTCACATCACATTCTTAAGTCCCACTCCTGTGGACGGTGGAAAAGAAACTTAAACTTGAAAACTAAAGATAATTCAATTTCTTCTAATTTAAAACAGACCCTTTGGGTCTAACTCAGTCTCCTCTGAGTAAATGTTCACTTGGTTCAGGCTGGGTGCAGTGGCTCATGCCTGTAATCCCAACACTTTGGGAGGCCAAGGCGGGTGGATCGCCTGAGGTCAGGAGTTCGAGACCAGCCTGGCCAACAGAGTGAAACTCCGTCTTTACTAAAAATACAAAAAATTAGCTGGGCTTGGTGGCAGGCGCCTGTAATCCCAGCTACTTGGGAGGCTGAGGCAGGAGAATTGCTTGAACCTGGGAGGTGGAGGTTGCAGTGAGCCGAGATCGTGCCCATTGCACTCCAGCCTGCACAACAAGAGCAAAACTCTGTCTCAAAAAAAAAAAAAAAAAAAAGAAGTTCACTTGGTTCAACTATCAAATTCCTTCTCAAGGCTATTTCTCTTCTCCAAAAGGTCCCCCTTGGGTACAAGGGAAAAGCTCATACATCTTCATAATGGCCATGGTCTCTGCAGGTCCCTGATGTCGTGTGGCTGGTCTACTCTTGTCCCTGCAGGTCCTGCATGGGTCCTCACTGAGGTATAGCTGGTCCCACCTGGTTATCTTGAGTATGGTGTGGCCCCAACTGCTGCAGACCCATTCTGACCCCAGACTCTTCTTCATCCCTCTACAGCAGCATCTAAGAACTTATGGATACCCTGCACACATTCCCTGGTTTCTCAGGCCCATCACCTGAGTACCTCACTTAGACATTTTCAAATTACCCCTCGAGGGCTCCATGAAGTTCCAGCTCCAGGCTAAATTCAGGGCTACTCTTAAGGGGCTGACAATTTCCCAAATTATCCCTCAGAAACAAGAGCTAAGCCCTGCCACAGTAGGATGCCACACACCCATCTGTACTTTATTCACCACCCCTTGCTCATCTCCTCCTCCCCTGGGGAGCACAGATTCCTTCCCATGGAATCTGTAGCTTTTCTAGTTCTCTCACTTTTCTCGTATTCCTTGCCTGTCCCCTACCCCCACAAGGCTGGAAGGGACTTTTCTTACTGCATACCCTGAGTCTCTATCTTTGGTTTCTCATAAAACACTCTGTTCAGATCACCAATTCAAATGCATTCCCCTTCTGCTCTTGACATGTAAAAGAGGCTTTTGTAATTTATAAATCCTTATTTTCTTTTCACAAAGCCTGGATTTCAAGACTATTGTTTCATTATGGAATTCAAAAACCTGTTTTAAAGTCAACACTGAAGACTGAGTCTTTCTTTTTGGAATCCTGCTAAGATGCTTCTGGCTGAATATGAGAAGGCCCTATTCAAGGACATTCATACATTTCAACAAGTAGAATCTCTGTTACATCAGCAAGTTTGACTGTCCAAACCATAAAACCTTCACAGTCTGCTCCCTCCTGGAGCCCTTGCTGGGAGGGGAAAACTGCAGGTGACCAAAACCCCTGTACAGATAGCATCGAAACAAATCCCTCTCCAGCCAGCCTGGACTCCAGCCTTCACTACTGGCTGGTCAGTGATTAATCAGGGGTTCTCATGAGTATGATCCAAACATGTGGAGATTAGAGCCAGCTATTGGTAGATACTGGTCCCACAATGCCAAGTAGAGTGAGGGACAAAGTCAGCATCATGGCAAGATAAAGCTATGAGCAGCTACCCTGGAACCAAAACAAAGTGGAGGAAGCGTGGAATAGATGTACAAAGAAAAGCAAAACCCAAAGGCCACATGGTCTTAGGGAGCAAGATATGGTCTGAATAGCTGTTTAGTAACTTTCCAGGTTCCTTGAGGCCTGGATGTACTTCTTGACTGACTTTAGTTTTCAAGAGATTCCCTTTCATATTTTCAATAAAGCTAGTTAGATGAACCCATGTCCCTTCTTAATGATCCCTGACTGAAACACTGGAAAAAGACATGGGCCAGGTGAGTGGGTGAGTAAAGTTTGAATTCAGAATTCAAACACCCAAATCCAGGCAAACTGCTCTCCAGAAGTTCAATAAAGTTCATCATACTTTCTTAAGGAGGAAGTGTTACAGGAAAGGGGTCCAGATCCAGACTCCAAAGAGAGGGTTCTTGGATCTCATGCCAGAAAGAATTCAGAGTGAGTCCATAGAGTAAAGTGAAAGCAAGTTTATTAGGAAAATAAAGGAATAAAAGAATGGTTACTCATAGAGCAGCCCTGAGGGCTACTGGTTGCCCATTTTTATGGTTATTTCTTGATGATATGCTAAACAAGGGGTGGATTATTTATGTCTCCCCTTTTTAGACCATATAGAGTAACTTCCTGACATTGCCATGATATTTATAAATTGTGGTGCTGGTGGGAGTGTAGCAATAAGGACAACCGGAGGTCACTCTTGTGGCCACCTTAATTTTGGTGGGATTTGGCCAGCTTCTTTACTGCAACCTGTTTTAACAGCAAGGTCTTTATGACCTGTATCTTGTGCTGACCACTATCTCATCCTGTGACTTAGAATGCCTTAAACGTCTGATAATGCAGCCCAGGAGGTCTCAGCCCCATTTTACCCAGCTCCTATTCAGGATGATGTTGCTCTGGTTCAAACGCCTCTGACAGAAGCACCCGGCTCTCCTGACTACTGAGCGCGTCAGAAGCCGGCTCCCCAACATCACTAACACAACCTGTTAGACAAAGCTGAATTTACGCTAAGGGAGAATGCCACCTTGCAAAGTTTAGCAGTATCTCCAAGGTCGGTAACATAGGTAAAAATTTGGGTAAGTATCATGATACTGAGAAACAGGACTAGTTAGATTTCCTAGGCCAACTAAGAATCCCTAAGCCTAGCTGGGAAGGTGATCGCATCCACCTTTAAACACGGGCTTGCAACTTAGCTCACACCTGACCAATCAGGTAGTAAAGAGAGCTCACTAAAATGCTAATTAGGCAAAAACAGGAGGTAAAGAAATAGCCAATCATCTATTGCCTGACACCACACGGGGAGGGACAATGATTGGGATATAAACCCAGGAATTCGAGCTGGCAACGGCAACTCCCTTTGGGTCTCCTCTCATTGTATGGGAGCTCTGTTTTCACTCTATTAAATCTTGCAACTGCACACTCTTCTGGTCTGTGTTTGTTATGGCTTGAGCTGAGCTTTTGCTGGCTGTCCACCACTGCTGTTTGCTGCCGTCGCAGACCCCTTGCTGACTCCCACCCCTGCGGATCTGGCAGGGTGTCTGCTGCGCTCCTGATCCAGCCAGGCACCCACTGCTGCTCCCAATCAGGCTAAAGGCTTGCCATTGTTCCTGCATGGCTAAGTGCCCGGGTTCGTGCTAATTGAGCTGAACACTAGTCGCTGGGTTCCACAGTTCTCTTCCGTGACCCACAGCTTCTAATAGAGCTATAACACTCACTGCATGGCCCAACATTCCATTCCTTGGAATCTGTGAGGCCAAGAACCCCCGGTCAGAGAACAAGAAGCTTGCCACCATCTTGGAAGCAGCCCGCCACCATTTTGGGAGCTCTAAGAACAAGGACCCCCCAGTAACATTTTGGTGACCACGAAGGGACCTCCAAAGCAGTGAGTAATATTGAACCACTTCCGCTTGCTATTCTGTCCTAACCTTCCTTAGAATTGGAGGAAAATACCGGGCACCTGTCGGCCAGTTAAGAACGATTAGCGTGGCCGCCAGACTTAAGACTCTGGTGTGAGGCTGTCTGGGAAAGGGCTTTCTAACAACCCCCAACCCTTCCGGGTTGGGAGCTTTGGTCTGCCTGGAACCAGCTTCCACTTTCAATTTTCCTGGGGAATCCAAGGGCTGACTAGAGGCAGAAAGCTGTCATCCCGAACTCCTGGCATTAGACAGTTGAGATCGTGGCGCAGCCAGAAGTCTCTACTCAACAGTCACCCATGCGTGCACCCCTACCTTTCCTTCTAACCCATACCTCCCGGGTCCCAACCATGACTTTCTTGAAAGTGTAGCCCCTAAATTCTCTTTACCTCTAAATCTACTTCTTCTCATCCCTGCTTCCTAGGTACTAATGGTTCAGACTTTCATTTCCTCTAGCAAGTTCTATCTCCAGAGGGATCTAAGGAAGGGATCTATGCTGTGTCCTTAGGCCCCTAGGCTATGAACCCAGAGAGTCTTCTCCCTGTTATCTCTCCCCATTTAGGCATACAGCTCTCAACATGGACAGTTATGTGGGACCCATTCCCTACCACCCTTGCCAGGGCCCCAAGTTTTCAAAGGGCTAGAAGAAAAAAGAGAGAAAGAGAGAGAGAGGCAGAGGGGAGAGAAAGAGAGAGAGACAAAGAGGGAGTCAAAGAGAGATAGAAAGAGAAAGATAGAACTAGTAAAGAAAAAAAGTATGCCCCATTCCTTTAAAAGCCAGGGTAAATTTAAAACCTATAATTGATAATTGAAGGTCTTCTCCATGACCCTATAACACTCCAATACCACCTTGTTTTCAGTGTAAACAAGGGTGTAGCCCGAAAACACTGAGACCACTGACAACCCATAGCCTTCCTATCAAAAATCCTTAACCCAGGAACCCATGGATGGCCCAAATGCATTCAATCTGTAGCAGCAACTGCTTTGCTAACAGAAGAAAGTAGAAAAGTAACTTTTAGAGAAAACCTCATTGTGAGCACACCTCACCAGTTCAGAATTATTCTAAGTCAAAAAAGCAAAAAGGTAGCTTACTAACTCAAAAATCTTAAAGTATGGGGTTATTCTGTTAGAAAAAGGTGATTTAACATTAACCACTGAAAATTCCCTTAACCCAGCAGGTTTCCTAATGGGATTTAAATCTTCATTACCATACAAAGGTCCGACCAGACCCAGCAGGAACTCCCTTTAGGACAGGATGATAGATGGTTCCTCCTGGGTGATTGAGGGGGTGAAAAACCACAATGGGTGTTCAGTAATTGATAGGGAGACTCTTGTGGAAGGAGAGTTAGGAAAATTGCCTAATAATTGGTCTGCTCAAATGTGCGAGCTGTTTGCACTCAGCCAAGCCTTAAAGTACTTACAGAATCAAAAAGACTCTATCTCAATCCTGACTCAAAATGTTACCTACACCATCTCTGACATGAATTTGCATAAGAACTGTTGTTTATGGGAATGCATCTTGATGGGGCAGCTGGGTTGTTATGAAATACTCAGGAACCCAGCCCAGGTCTAGAATTCACCTCTGAGCGCAAAGGCAATGTTGGCCATGCTGGTAAAGGACCACTAGAATCCAGGAGCCTGGACCCCTTTCTTTGTGGTCAAGAAAGGCGGGAAAACAGGTGCAGGACTGCTACATCAGAGAGCATAACAAATCCGATAAGCAGAGTTCCATGAGTGGTTAAGCACCCTGGAAAGGAACTCACCTCTGAGTGCAAAGGCAATGTTAGGCACACCAGTAAAGGACCACTAGAATCCAGCAGCCCAGACCCCTTTCTTTGTGATCAAGAAAGGCGGGAAAAGGGGTGCAGGACTGCTACATCAGTGAGCGTAACTAATCTGATAAGCAGAAGTCCATGGGTGGTTACGCACCCTGGAAAGGAATAAGCATTAGGACCACAGAGGACACTCTAAGACTAATGCTCATTGGAAAATGACTAGGGGTGCTGGCATCCCTATGTTTTTTTTTCAGATGGGAAACATTCCCCCCAAGGCAAAAACGCCCATAAGATATATTCTGGAGAATTCGGCCCAGAGTGTATGTATCTTTTTTCCCTGTCAGACTTGAAGCAAACCTAGGTAAATTATCAGATAGCCCTGATGGCTATATTGATGCTTTACAAGGGTTAGGACAATCCTTTGATCTAACATGGAGAGATATACTGTTACTGCTAGATCAGACACTAATCCCAAATGAAAGAAGTGCCACCATAACTGCAGCCAGAGAGTTTGATGATCTCTGGTATCTCAGTCAGGTCAATGATAGGATGACAACAGAAGAAAGAAAACAATTCCCCACAGGCCAGCAGGCAGTTCCCAGCGTAGACCTTCATTGGGACACAGAATCAGAACATGGAGATTGGTGCCGCAGACATTTACTAACTTGCGCGCTAGAAGCACTAAGGAAAACTAGGAAGAAGCCTATGAATTATTCAATGATGTCCACTATAACACAGGGAAAGGAAGAAAATCCTACTGCCTTTCTGGAGAGACTAAGGGAGGCATTGAGAAAGCATACCTCTCTGTCACCTGACTCTATTGAAGGCCAACTAATCTTAAAGGATAAGTTTTCCACTCAGTCAGCTGCAGACATTAGAAAAAAACTTCAAAAGTCTGCGTTAGGCCGGGAGCAAAACTTAGAAACCCTATTGAACTTGGCAACCTCAGTTTTTTATGATAGAGATCAGGAGGATCAGGTGGAATGGACAAATGAGATTTTAAAAAAAGGCCACCACTTTAGTCATGGCCCTCAGGCAAGCAGACTTTGGACACTCTGGAAAAGGGAAAAGCTGGGCAAATCGAATGCCTAATAAGACTTGCTTCCAGTGTGGTCTACAAGGACACTTTAAAAAAGATTGTCCAAATAGAAATAAGCCACCCCCTCGTCCATGCTCCTTATGTCAAGGGAATCACTGGAAGGCCTACTGCCCCAGGGGATGAAGGTCCTCTGAGTCAGAAGCCACTAACCAGATGATTCAGCCCCAGGACTCAGGGTGCCCAGGGCAAGCGCCAGCCTATGCCATCACCCTCACAGAGCCCTGGGTATGCTTGACCATTGAGGGTCAGGAGGTTAACTATCTCCTGGACACTGGCGTGGCCTTCTCAGTCTTACTCTCCTGTCCCGGACAACTGTCCTCCAGATCTGTCACTATCCGAGGGTTTCTACGACAGCCAGCCACTAGATACTTCTCCCAGCCACTAAGTTGTGACTGGGGAACTCTACTCTTTTCACATGTTTTTCTAATTATGCCTGAAAGCCCCACTCCTTTGTTAGGGAAAGACATTCTAGCAAAAGCAGGGGCCATTATACACCTGAACATAGGAGAAGGAACACCTGTTTGTTGTCCCCTGCTTGAAGAAGGAATTAATCCTGAAGTCTGGACAACAGAAGGACAATACAGATGAGCAACAAATGCCTGTCCTGTTCAAGTTAAACTAAAGGATTATGCCTCCTTTCCCTACCAAAGGCAGTACCCCCTTAGACCCGAGGCCCAACAAGGACTCCAAAAGATTGTTAAGGACCTAAAAGCTCAAAGCCTAGCAAAACCATGCAGTAGCCCCTGCAATACTCCAATTTTAGGAGTACAGAAAACCAACAGACAGTGGAGGTTAGTGCAAGATCTCAGGATTATCAATGAGGCTGTTGTTCCTAACCCTTATACTCTGCTTTCCCAAATACCAGAAGAAGCAGAGTGGTTTACAGTCCTGGACCTTAAGGATGGCTTTTTCTGCATCCCTGTACATCCTGACTCTCAATTCTTGTTTGCCTTTGGAGATCCTTCGAACCCAATGTCTCAACTCAGCTTGACTGTTTTACCCCAAGGGTTCAGGGATAGCCCCCATCTAGTTGGCCAAGCATTAGCCGAGCCAGTTCTCCTACCTGGACACTCTTGTCCTCTGGTACATGGATGATTTATTTTTAGCTGCCCGTTCAGAAACCTTGTGCCATCAAGCCACCCAAGTGCTCTTAAATTTCCTCGCCACCTGTGGCTACAAGGTTTCCAAACCAAAGGCTCAGCTCTGCTCACAGCAGGTTAAATACTTAGGGCTAAAATTATCCAAAGGCACCAGGGCCCTCAGTGAGGAATGTATCCAGCCTGTATTGGCTTATCCTCATCCCAAAACCCTAAAGCAACTAAGAGGGTTCCTTGGCATAACAGGTTTCTGCCAAATGTGGATTCCCAGGTACGGTGAAATAGCCAGGCCATTATATACCCTAATTAAGGAAACTCAGAAAGCCAACACCCATTTATTAAGATGGACACCTGAAGCAGAAGCAGCTTTCCAGGCCCTAAAGAAGGCCCTAACCCAAGCCCCAGTGTTAAGCTTGCCAACGGGGAAGACTTTTCTTTATATGTCACAGAAAAAACAGGAATAGCTCTAGGAGTCCTTAGACAGGTCCAAGGGATGAGCTTGCAACCTGTGGCATACCTGAGTAAGGAAATTGATGTAGTTGCAAAGGGTTGACCTCATTGTTTACAGGTAGTGGCGGCAGTAGCAGTCTTAGTATCTGAAGCAGTTAAAATAATACAGGGAAGAGATCTTACTGTGTGGACATCTCATGATGTAAACGGCGTACTCACTTCTAAAGGAGACTTGTGGCTGTCAGACAACCGTTTACTTAAATATCAGGCTCTATTACTTGAAGGGCCAGTGCTGCGACTGCCCACTTGTTCAACTCTTAACCCAGCCACATTTCTTTCAGACAATGAAGAAAAGATAGAACATAACTGTCAACAGGTGATTGCTCAAACCTACGGCGCTCGAGGGGACCTTCTAGAGGTTCCCTTGACTGATCCCAACCTCAACTTGTATACTGATGGAAGCTCCTTTGTAGAAAAAGGACTTTGAAAGGTGGGGTATGCAGTGGTCAGTGATAATGGAATACTTGAAAGTAATTCCTTCACTCCAGGAACTAGTGCTCAGCTGGCAGAACTAATAGCCCTCACTCAGGCACTAGAATTAGGAGAAGGAAAAAGGGTAAATATATATGCAGACTCTAAGTATGCTTACCCAGTCCTCCACGCCCACACAGCAATATGGAGAGATAGGAAATTCCTAACTTCTGAGGGAACACCGATCAAACATCAGGAAGCCATTAGGAGATTATTATTGGCTGTACAGAAACCTAAAGAGGTGGCAGTCTTACACTGCTGGGGTCATCAGAAAGGAAAGGAAAAGGAAATAGAAAGGAACCACCAAGTGGATATTGAAGCCAAAAGAGCCACAAGGCAGGCCCTCCATTAGAAATGCTTATAGAAGGATCCCTAGTATGGGGTAATCCCCTCCGGGAAACCAAGCCCCAGTACTCAGCAGGAGAAATAGACACGAGGACATAGTTTCCTCCCCTCAGGATGGCTAGCCACCGAAAAAGGGAAAATACTTTTGCCTGCAGCTAATCAATGGAAATTACTTAAAACCCTTCACCAAACCTTTCACTTGGGCATGGATAGCATCTATCAGATGGCCAATTTATTATTTACTGGACCAGGCCTTTTCAAAACTATCAAGCAGATAGTCAGGGCCTGTGAAATGTGCCAAAGAAATAATCCCCTGCACTTCAAGCCATACATTTCAATCCCTGTATCTTTAACCTCCTGTTGTTTGTCTCTTCCAGACTCAAAGCTGTAAAACTGCAAATGGTTCCTCATATGGAGCCCCAGATGCAGTCCATGACTAAGATCTACCACAGAGCCCTAGACCGGCCTGTTAGCCCATGCTCCGATGTTGATGACATCAAAGGCACACCTTCCGAGGAAATCTCAACTGCACGACCCCTACTAAGCCCCAATTCAGCAGGAAGCAGTTAAGAGCAGTCGTTGGCTAACATCCCCAATAGTATGTGGGTTTTCCTGTTGAGAGGGGGGACTGAGAGACAGGACTAGCTGGATTTCCTAGGCCAACTAAGAATCCCTAAGCCTAGTTGGGAAGGTGACCGCATCCACCTTTAAACACGGGGCTTGCAACTTAGCTCACACCCGACCAATCAGGTAGTAAAGAGAGCTCACTAAAATGCTAATTAGGCAAAAACAAGAGGTAAAGAAATAGCCAATCATCTATCGCCTGAGAGCACAGTGGGGAGGGACAATGATCGGGATATAAACCCAGGCATTCGGGCCGGCAACGGCAACCCCCATTGCGTCCCCTCCCATTGTATGGGAGCTCTGTTTTCATTCTATTAAATCTTGCAACTGCACACTCTTCTGGTCTATGTTTGTTATGGCTCGAGCTGAGCTTTCGCTCGCTGTCCACCACTGCTGTTTGCCGCCATCGCAGACCCACCACTGACTTCCACCTCTGCAGATCTGGCAGGGTGTCCGCTGTGCTCCTGACCCAGCGAGCCACCCATTGCTGCTCCCAATCAGGCTAAAGGCTTGCCATTGTTCCTGCATGGCTAAGAGCCCAGGGTTCGTCCTAATCGAGCTGAACGCTAGTAGCTGGGTTCCACAGTTCTCTTCCGTGACCCACGGCTCCTAATAGAGCTATAACACTCACCACATGGCCCAAGGTTCCATTCATTGGAATCCGTGAGGCCAAGAACCCCCGGTCAGAGAACAAGAAGCTTGCCACCATCTTGGAAGCTCTAAAAACAGAGACACCCCAGTAACAATAGAACAGTCCAGAATTGGTGGAAACAGCAAGGCAAGAATTTGGAAGCAAAGGATTCAGAGATTTAGGGCACAAATTGTCTGTTGATGCTTTCCACTGAAGAGTTTGGAAGAGTCTTTTGCAAGTTCCTGTAACGAACAATCAATCCATTTGCCTCGATAGGCAGGTTCTGGGAAAATAAAGTCATGCTAATGAAGACAGAAGAGTGGTGCAAAGTTCTGCTAATGTAGACAGAAAGCTGTGGATTGTATGGCTGGGTGCAGTGGCTCATGCCTCTAATCCCAGCACTTAGGGAGGCTGAGGCAGGCAGATTACTTGGGGTCAGGGGTTCAAGACCAGCCTGGCCAACATGGTGAAACCCCCATCTCTACTAAAAATCACAAAAATTAGCCAGGCCTGGTGGTGCTGCCTGTAATCCCAGCTACTCAGGAGGCCGAGGCACAAGAATCGCTTGAACCTGGGAGGCGGAGGTTGCAGTTGCAGTGAGCTAGAGCATGCCAGCACCACTGCACTCCAGCCTGGGCAGCAAAGCAAGACTCTGTCTAGAAAAAAGAGAAGAAAAGAAGAGAAGAGGATTATTAAAAGAAAAACTTTAAACAGATTAAATTTAATAGAGTTTATTTGAGCAAAGGATTCGCAAATCATGCAGTCCTCAGAAGCAGAAGAGGTTAGGAGAGCCCCCCTCTGCAAAGCGGGCACTTTGCAGGGAATATTTATAGACAGAAAAATGGAAGTGAGGTACACAAACAGCTGGATTGGTTACATCCTGGCGTTTGCTTAATTTGGACGTGGTCTTTCAGATGGCAGCCTGTGATTGGCAGAAGCTGGACACCCAGCTATTTGCTATAAAATATACTCCTCATTGGATTTTCATTTGTTTACATACTAAGTTAGGTTGCAGTTTATTACTTAGTGATACTCAAGGTATGGGAGGTGGTCTTAGGCCAAATTTAGGATAATTTAATAGGTTCCAGGATTGGTGTTCTGCCTGATAAAAGAAAAACTTCAGTGGAATTAAATTTAAAGGAGTTTAATTGAGCAATGAACAATTAGGCTCAGAGACTCCAGCACAGCCACATGTTGGAGAAGATTTATGGACAGAAAAAGGAAAGTGATGTACAGAAAACGGAAGTGAGGAACAGAAACAGCCGGATTGGTTACAGCTCAGTATTTGCCTTATTTGAACAGGTTCAAACAGTTAGCTACATTTGACTGGCCAAAACTCGGGTGATTGGCACATGTGTAGGCTCTGGTCTGTTTACACTTTCACTTGTTACAGTTCATAATGTACAGAGAAACCTTTAGACCTAACTTAAAATATGTAAGGAGGCAGCTTTAGACTAAACTTGATTTAACAAGGTTGAGCGTCCGGATGGGCAGTTTGGGTTCTCAGGTAGATTAAAAACTTTCTGAACTTCATTCTCAATGGACTTGAACATTCAGACAGCACTACCAGACATCCTCGTGGACGCCTTTCAGCTTCTAAGAACAAACTCTGTGTCTCCAGGGCTAAGGATAGAACAGAATGCTAAGATAACATAAGAAGGGGCACCTCGTTCAGTCTTTAAGAGTTGGGTAAGGCTTCTCAGAGGAAGAAGCACCTATGCCGAGACCTAAAGGATGAAAAACATCAGCCAGGCAAGGAGTGTGCAAGTCAGCCCAGAGGCTGTGTTCTAGGCATAAGGGGCAGCATGGGCCTGGAAATGAGAGAGACAGAGTGTGTGCATTGGAGAGCTGCCTGTCATCCAGGAGGAAGGGCTGAGGTTGTAGGACAGACTGTAACAAGCCTTGTAAGTTGTGTGTGCTAAGGAGTTTGGACATTTTCATGAAGGGCAATGTGGAGCCACTGAAGAGTTTTTAGCAGAAAAGAAAACCATAATCCAATGCACATTTGTAAAGGATCATCCTGGTGCTGGCGAATGATCTGGGGAGGGGCATGACTAGAGGCAGGGAAAGCAGTTATACCATTTACAAGGCTGAAGTCACACTGATTCATATTTATGTTCTTCTCACTTCAGAATCCACACGTTCATGGAGTCATAGAACCTAAGGGTTGAAAAGAACCCTTAAGGCCAGGCACGGTGGCTCACCTCTGTAATCCCAGCACTTTGGGAGACCGAGGCAGGCGGATCACGAGGTCAGTAGATCAAGACCATCCTGACTAACATGGTTAAACCGTCTCTACTAAAAATACAAAAAATTAGCCGGGCGTGGTGGCGGGCGCCTGTAGTCCCAGCTACTCGGGAGGCTGAGGCAGGAGAATGACGTGAACCCAGGAGGCGGAGCTTGCAGTGAGCCGAGACCGCGCCATAGCGCTCCAGCCTGGGCGACAGAGCGAGACTCTGTCTCAAAAAAGGAAAAGAAAAGAACCCTTAAAATCACCCAAACCCATGCCTCCCTTGCAAATTATACCAGCTACTCGAGAGGTTGAGGTGGGAAGATCTCCTGAGCCCAGGAAGCTGAGGTTGCAGACTCAGCCCTCTCTCCCTAATCCTGGGCTGGAAGGGGAGGAAGGGGAGGAAGGGGAGGAAGAGAAGGGCCCAGCGGGGCCAGGCAGGCACCCTGTCACTGGGGGAGGCTGAGAGGCAGAGCAGGTCTTGGGAAACAGCATTCTAGTCCAACCACCCACCCAAGCTGTGATTGACTCCCCTACATGCTGATCTGATCCAAGGAAAACACACGCTTTTCAAAACATAGAGAAATGTGTACCCAGAGTGTGCTTTAACAACTCCAAAGCCAATTATGGTCCATCTGATCTAACCAAAGCTGATTTCCTCAGGTGGCTGAATGAGAGGTCAAATAGCCATTCCCCAGGATTTCCACAGAGCTCAGCCAGAACATGAAGTTCCCGGCATGTCCCCAGGGCCGACAGCTCAACCGCTGAAGAGTAAAGCAGTCAAATCTTTTAATTTCCCTCCTTCTCCTGATAATTATAAATATGACACTGCAGTGAACTACAGCAAACTCCCCTAGAGGTGAGGGTTCACTATTCATTCACAAAGGAAACAAAAAGAAATCCTCCATATTTCACTTTCCCACATGTGCATGATTTTCACTGATGCTGATCAGAAAGAAAAACAAAGAGGCATTATTTGCAGATGAAAAAAATTGCATATCCACATCCATCTATTTATATAAATCCCCTTTCGCTCCCGTGCAGTCTGCGCCATTTGTGGAGAACTGCATTTCACCAGCACTCCATTCATGAAGAATCTACGAGCGCCCTCTAGAGGAATTTTCTCTCTTTCACATCTACACACGGTGAAAAGGGCCAACTAGGGCTGCTCTTGTCCGGGCTGAATTCTGGAAAGCATCAATTTCTCAGGATATATATGCAGCGTTTAAGTACATTTTCTGCGAGAAGCAGATGCATTGGTTTGCAAGTCAGAGCGAAAGCCAGTGCTGCTGTTCAGAGTCAGAGCTGGGCAGGATGAAGTTTAATGAACATTATTAACCATTGAGAAGATGCATTTCTTGCTGAGTAGCCCCCAGGGCAGACGACAGCTCAGTCACCCTGGAAGAATTCAACCAGAAAAAGACCTCACAAACCGACAGTTCTGTGCTAGTGAGAACCATTATTGCCGGGAAGGTGAATCTCTGAAACTACCACAAAACATCCTCACTGCCCTTCCCCTGAGGTTTCACAAACCACAGCAAAAGTCCAGTCAGTACCATTCAGGCCACCAGCAAGCCACGTGACCCCAGGCAAGTCATGTAACTTCTTAAAATGAAGGCTGACGAACTCCTGGAAATTTTGCTTCAGTCGTTATGAGGTCAGGGGTCATACACCTGCAAAATCTTGCTATAAATGCCCTTTGAACTCTTTCTTTTTTGCAAGTATGATGATGAGGGTTGAGAACAACTGGGTTATCCCGAAGTGTGAAAACTCACTTCAAATAGATGAATGATTCATATGTGAGAAGCTCTCATGTATGGGATGACTGGAAGTATGCCTTATCTTGAAGTCATTCATGTCTTCGTGATTTTTTACTTACAGAGTGCCTTTTTTGTTTAAGACACTGAAAATATTTGAAAAGAGATCCCTGGATCCCTGATGATTTGCCTTAATGTAATACTGAGTAAAATCTCATTAAATTGAGTGGAAATGAGTGGGGAAAATGAACCTTGAATTAAATGGGTTTGAACAGTGCAATTTAAAAAATATATATTAGGCATCTAGATAATACGGAGATAACAGTTGCTAAAATTATGTTGACTTCTTGATTTAACAGTGCCGCTTCCTCCGGGTGCAGTGAAATGAGCAGTTTGGGGAGGCAGAAAAACCTGGGGTCAATGCTGCTTCAGGGTACAGATCCCCATCCACAAACCTAAAACCAAAACTTTTTTTTTATTAAAAAGTAAACTTTAATGTCGAAAATGCAAACTTGGGGAAAACAGAAAAGATCACACACAAGGCTGTCACTTCACACTTCCAAGGTTGCACAGTGGTGGGGCAGAGGCGCTCCTCACTTCCCAAACGCTAAAACCGAAACTTTAAAGTTTCCCTAACTCGCCAGGTGGTGGCTCACGCCGGTAATCCCAGGACTTTGGAAAGCCAAAGCAGGAGGATCACTTGAGCACAGCAGTTTGAGACCAGCCTGGGCAGCATAGTGAGACCTCCTCTACAAAAAATTTTAAAACGAGCCAAATGTGATGGTACACGTCTGTAGTCCCAGCTACTCTGGAGGTTGAGGTGGGAAGATCACTTGAGCCCAGGAAGCAGAGGTTGCAGTGAATTGAGTTTGACCACTGCACTCCAGCCTGGGCGACAGAGCAATACCCTATCTCAAAAATAAATAAGTCAATAATTACAAAAATTGAAGTTTCCCTAACTTAACTCAATTTCTGTAGTGAGTCCCCATTCCACTAGGGGGCAGAAAGGTTAGCTGAGTCAATCATGGTTCCTCCTCGTTTCACCATATTGGCACATATTGGCACATATTGGGCTATGTGGGGTCACAGTGTTGCAGACTGGCATCTGACTTGATTTTTTTCTTCTTTGGAAAATGAAAATATTTATTTAGAACCACTCTGGGTTTTCTAATAGGTCAGTAATTTTATTTAATATATGTAATGATAGATAGATCAAAGGTATTTTCAAGTAATGACGACATTTTCTTAATCAGGGATTACTAAGCCCCCCCTAAGATGCTAAAATGTTATGCATTTGCCTAGAACCCTTTTTTGTCAGCAAACTGTGGTCCTGCATTTGGCAGCAGCCGTGATTCAGAGCAAGGCGGACTGGAAGGAGCTGTGGTCTGGATCTTTCCCTCTGCGCTATTCCCCTTCCCAGCTTGTCCTCAGCTGCGCCACCTGAGAAGTCTGGAGGAACATTCGCTGGAGTCTCCACGGTTCCTTCCGGCTGGGGTTCTTCTGCTGTGGCTTGGGCCTCTCCTGAGCTGCAGAGGCTGCCCCAGGCCCCACTGGGAGCCACACCAGCCACGCTCCTCAGGACGTCTCTGCCCTCTAAAACCAGCTGGGCTTTCATTTCCACCCGATCCTAGCCCCTAGCCCACCCCGGAAGGTGAGGCATATGGGCCTCCCTCTCTCAGAGACCCACAATGTCTCCTTGCAGCGGCTCCTTCTGCAGCTTCTCTCACTCTGATGGAGACACTGTCTGTCTGGTCCGGGAGGACTGGGGTGGGGAGTTCGCCTTGCCCTGAGTCATCAAAGTTTTCTATGTTCTGAGACCTCTTTAGAGTTCCTGTAACCACCCTTTCCAGAGGTCATGGATCCACATGACACCAGGGAATTTAAACGCCGCAGAAATTTGGAAGGGTCAAGAGTTACAGGAAATATTGAGTGAAAAGGGTCCATTGCTGTTCTGAAAACTTCCTGTGGACGTTCGGCAAGCTCCTGATTCTCCCTGAGCCTCGGTTGCTTCATCTAGCCAAAGGGAAAATGCTGTCTACCACATAGGGTTGTGGCGAAGGGTAAAGGTTAAACTCCTGGCTCGGAGGCTTATACAATAACCCCCACTCCCAAGGCCCCACTCCTGCTGTCTCTTAGCACTCCTGGATAGAAAAGAAATCAAGAGGGCTGAGTGTCCACAGCAACTGCTCTGGAATAAAGAAAAAAGGCAGTAGGAAAAGTGCATGGACACCCTCCCAGGGGACCCCATGGCTGGCAGAGGAATCTTGGAGATCGAACGTGGGAAGAAGAGGACGCGGGCACACAACCGGGAAAAGTCAAGATGTAGCCCAAGAACAAAAGTGCAAAGTGGCCGGGCCCCCCCACCCATAATGCTTGGGCAGCCACAGGGGCAGGGTTTAGAAGACAGATCATGGCTCCGCAGGCCCACGCACCTGATCTGGAACCTTCGCTTCTGCCATCTGCTGGGCAAAGTCCTAAGACGTGGCTTCTGTGATGTTCTACGCTGGTCCAATTGATTGCATTAGTAAAATCCTGCCATACATTTCACCGTTCCCCTACAGAAACCTGTTTCATTTTAAAATGAAACTTCTCACTTCTTGATTTCATACATCTTTCGCAACACTATCTCACCCAGCCAATTAGACGATAATTAAAGAATTTCCCAAAGCTCTGATTCCTTGATGTCAGAAAGCCATTTGCTTTTCTCCAACGCATCTATTAGCCTATTATTTCCATTTAGCCTATTTGTACACAGCACTCCACTGCTCCAGACTCTCAAATTGCTGATTTTTATGCTTCTTCCTTAGCACTTAATGCAGTTCATAAATTTTACTCTAAAAGTTTAGGCATAAATCACACTAAAAGCCCAAGTTACTGAGGAAAACTAGCAGCAAATCAAGATTGGAATACCAAGCCACCAGCATCAATTCTACATTTACACACTTCAAATTAAGAGTTCCCTCCCCATTATTTAAATGCAAACTTTTCTTACAACTTTTCCTTACTTTATATTAAGCTCCAAACCAAAAAAAAAAGGAAAATTCAAAATGTTCACTTGCTTTTTTGTTGCTGTTGTTATGCAATATTGAACTTTCTGTGGTATAGTCATAAAAATCACCTTTGTAAGGAAACAAACAAATGAAAAAAAGATACTCCTAAGAAACCATTATTCATTCCTGGCCAAGATGAAAAGCTGTAAGTTCAGAGTATTCTGGAAGGAAGAAAAACAATTATATATACAGCGTATATATACAGTCATCCAATACTCTGCGTATGATCTAGGTTGATGTCAGAAGCATTTGAGGTGACATTTGGCTTACAAAAGGCAACCCCATTTTTTACCATCAGTGCCCCTGGATAAGGGGGCAAACCCCTTGCTGACACAAGGCCTAGACATCAACCTTAACCATGTTGCCCAAATTACATTCCATGATGGTAATTCAGTTCCATCTTTTAAAAACAGATGAATGGGCTTCAAGGAGCTATTCTATGTAGAGACATTTTTCTTTATTGGTAAATAAATATTCCACCTGTGAGATGTAGCGCATTAAAATTAAATGTCAGTGACCATTCTATGGCTCCCTTTCAAAGGCAGGGAATTTCTCTTAGACAACATAATAATAATAATCAGCACTTTTCATCCTCCAAGCAATTTTTGAACACTAACTAATCAATCTGTCCAACATCTGTGTGAGGTAGATGAATAAGAATCATTATTTCCATCGAGGAGAGAAATGATGGGAAAAGTTGAGTGGCTGAGGCTTAGCTGAGGTCAAGACAATCCTGAACTGAGAAGCCTCACTTCACAACCATTCTAGCTTTGGGACTTTTGGCAAAAGAATAGAGACTGCAGAATCAGTTAGGAGGATATTGCAATATTCCAACTGTGACTTCTGCTCTCCGTGTGATGGGGACAGTGGTAGAAATGAAGGAGAAGTCTTTAATTGCTTTGGAGGACCATCAGAAACTAACCAGGAAATAGTCATTTGATTTATTAACTCATTCACTGATTCATTTCTTGACTCATTCACTTAGCTCCTGGCTGAAGATGTGTTTGCTAAACAATGGAATTTATCCATTTACCAAGTGTTGAGTGTCTGCCAAGAACTGTGTTCGATTTGGGAGATACTAAATGAAAAAGAACCCCTGATCTTGATTTCCTAATCTAGACATTAGGATCAAAGGAGCTGCTGTCTATCATGGAGACCATGAACTCCCATCAGTTCTGCCTCTCAGCCCTCTCTCCAGTCTATTCTGTCTTCTTGATCAGCACTGCAGCTACCCTTGCTCGGGTCCTTGTCATCTCTGCCCTCCAGTGTCTGTCCTCAGATCCTGTTTCTTTTTCGTTGCTAGAGTATTTCTCTGAACTTCAGATGGGATGCTAACATGCTCTTGCTTAAAGGCCTTCAGTTATGGTTCATCCATTTATTCTTTATTCCAGAATAAAGACCAAATAAGGCCCCTCCCTCTCAGGCCCATGCCTCTCTCTCCATTTCATCTTCCTTGCTCCTTATACTTCAGCCATATGGAACTGCTTTCATTTCCCTGAACACAATATGATAGGGTGTTTTGCCACTCTGACTTTGCACACATTTTTCTCTCTGCCTAAAATGCCCTCCACTCTGCCTCTCCACCTGGCCTGTCTAGTGAACTATCATCCTGCAGATCTTCCTTGCTCCTCTCTCCCTTCTGCACAATCTTCCCCAACCTTTCTTTTATTATTATTATTATTATTATTATTATTATTATACTTTAAGTTTTAGGGTACATGTGCACAACGTGCAGGTTTGTTACATATGTATACATGTGCCATGTTGGTGTGCTGCACCCATTAACTAGTCATTTAGCATTAGGTATATCTCCTAATGCTATCCCTCCCCCCTCCCCCCACCCCACAACAGTCCCTGGTGTGTGATGTTCCCCTTCCTGTGTCCATGTGTTCTCATTGTTCAATTCCCACCTATAAGTGAGAACATGCAGTGTTTGGTTTTTTGTCCTTGCGATAGTTTGCTGAGAATGATGGTTTCCAGTTTCATCCATGTCCCTACAAAGGACATGAATTCATCATTTTTTATGGCTGCATAGTATTCCATGGTGTATATGTGCCACATTTTCTTAATCCAGTCTATCGTTGTTGGACATTTAGGTTGGTTCCAAGTCTTTGCTATTGTGAATAGTGCCACTATAAACATACGTGTGCATGTGTCTTTATAGCAGCATGATTTATAATCCTTTGGGTATATACCCAGTAATAGGATGGCTGGGTCAAATGTTATTTCTAGTTCTAGATCCCTGAGGAATCGCCACACTGACTTCCACAATGGTTGAACTAGTTTGCAGTCCCACCAACAGTGTAAAAGTGTTCCTATTTCTCCACATCCTCTCCAGCACCTGTTGTTTCCTGACTTTTTAATGATCGCCATTCTAACTGCTGTGAGATGGTATCTCATTGTGGTTTTGATTTGCATTTCTCTGATGGCCAGTGATGATGAGCATTTTTTCATGTGTTTTTTGGCTGCATAAATGTCTTCTTGTGAGAAGTGTCTGTTCATATCCTTAGCCCACTTTCTGATGGGTTTGTCTTTTTCTTGTAAATTTGTTTGAGTTCATTGTAGATTCTGGATATTAGCCCTTTGTCAGATGAGTAGGTTGCAAAAATTTTCTCCCATTCTGTAGGTTGCCTGTTCACTCTGATGGTAGTTTCTTTTGCTGTGCAGAAGCTCTTTAGTTTAATTAGGTCCCATTTGTCAATTTTGGCTTTTGTTGCCATTGCTTTTGGTGTTTTAGACATGATGTCATTGCCCATGCCTATGTCCTGAATGGTATTGCCTAGGTTTTCTTCTACAGTTTTTATGGTTTTAGGTCTAACATGTAAGTCTTTAATCCATCTTGAATTAATTTTTGTATAAGGTGTAAGGAAGGGATCCAGTTTCAGCTTTCTGCATATGGCTATTCAGTTTTTCCAGCACCATTTATTAAATAGGGAATCATTTCCCCATTGCTTGTTTTTCTCAGGTTTGTCATAGATCAGATAGTTGTATATATGAGGCATTATTTCTGAGGGCTCTTTTCTGTTCCACTGGTCTATATCTCTGTTTTGGTACCAGTACCATGCTGTTTTGGTTACTGTAGCCTTATAGTATAGTTTGAAGTCAGGTAGCGTGATGCCTCCAGCTTTGTTCTTTTGGCTTAGGATTGACTTGGCGATGCGGGCTCTTTTTTGGTTCCATATGAACTTTAAAGTAGTTTTTTCCAATTCTGTGAAGAAAGTCATTGGTAGCTTGATGGGGATGGCATTGAATCTATAAATTACCTTGGGCAGTATGGCCATTTTCACAATATTGATTCTTCCTACCCATGAGCATGGAATGTTCTTCCATTTGTTTGTATCCTCTTTTATTTCATTGAGCAGTGGTTTGTAGTTCTCCTTGAAGAGGTCCTTCACATCCCTTGTAAGTTGGATTCCTAGGTATTTTATTCTCTTTGAAGCAATTATGAATGGGAATTCACTCATGATTTGGCTCTCTGTCTGCTATTGGTGTACAAGAATGCTTGTGATTTTTGTACATTGATTTTGTATCCTGAGACTTTGCTGAAGTTGCCTATCAGCTTAAGGAGATTTTGGGCTGAGACGATGGAATCTTCCCCAACCTTTCTAAACAGAGTTCATCACTCTGTGTGACCACATTACTTTATGCTCACCCCTCTTGAAAGTATGGATATCCTCTGTTATCTGAGGACTCAATTTATAAACATTTGCTATAATGACTTGCACAATTTTTCACCCAATAATCTTTATCCAAATCAGAAATCCATTACAATAGATCTGCATATTTAGGATGCATGCAAATCCAGGCAAAAACGTAGAGTGCCCTGCATTTTACTCTATGTCAGCTGTTCTTCCAAAAGGACATTATCTCAAGCTTCTGTTTTTCCATATCATGCATTATCACTCACAGAGATCTCACAATGGTAAGTGAAAATGTCTACCAAAAATGCATCCGAAGCCAGATGCGGTGGCTCACGCCTGTAATCCCAACGTTTTGGGAGGCCAAGGCAGGCTGATCACTTGAGGTAAGGAATTTGAGTCCCAGCTACTCTGGAGGCTGAGCCAGGAGAATCGCTTGAACCCGGGAGGCAGAAGTCACAGTGAGCCGAGATTGTGCCACCGCACTCCAGCAGCATGGATGACAGAGTGAGACCCTGTCTCAAAAAAAAAAAAGATGAATGTAAGGCAGATGAATATAAGATGTCTGGGAAAGTCTGTACTTTAGAGGTGACAGAGTGCACTGAGAAAGGTAAACATTCAAAAGACCCAGCTTGGCCATGTATTCATCTCCATCTACTTTTTTTATGCAAGAGAAAATGCAGAAAAATTTCAAAAGTGCTGTTGGTTCTGGAAAGCTTCACTGGACATGACATATTAGAGAAATACTGTGCATAGTCAATTGATAAGCAAAATCAGAGTGGGATGCGTTGAGGCAGTGTTCCTGGCAACAGAAGTAAAACATAATTCATACGCAGTACTCTTCAGTATCTTCATATGCTGTGCAAAACCATACGGCATTCATTAAATGCTTAAAAAATCAGATAATTCGTGTTTAAAATTTTTATATATGTTAAACAATAGTCTTTGGTGGCTAGTTGTATAGGTGTTTACAAGTGTTTTGAAAGATTCTTAGATAAATTGGTTGGAATTTTTGGGTGGGATGGGGACACATTATTTTTCCAATTTAAAACAATAGAGTGGGCTGGGCACAGTTGTTCATACCTGTAATCCCAGCACTTTGGGAGGCCGAAATAGGATGATCACCTGAGGTCAGAAGTTGGAGACCAGCCTGGCCAACATGGTGAAACCCTGTATCTACTAAAAATACAAAAATTTGCCAGGTGTGGTGGTGGGCACCTCTAATCCCAGCTACTCTGGAGGCTGGGGCAGAAGAATCGTTTGAACCTGGGAGGCGGAGGTTGCAATGAGCCAAGATCGCATCACTCCAGCCTGGGCAACAGAATGAGACTGTTTCAAAAATAAATAAGTAAACAAACAAACAATAGAGTATAGGTTATTGTATCTGAAAATATGCAATCCAACATTTTGGGAGGATTTTTTTTTTTTTTTTTTTTTTTTAGTGTAGGTTCGCGCCACCACACCCAGCTAATTTTTGTATTTTTAGTAGAGACGAGGTTTCACCATGTTGGCCAGGCTGGTCTCGATCTCTTGACCTCATAATCCTCCTGCCTCAGCCTCCCCAAGTGGTGGGATTATAGGCATGAGACACCGAGCCCGGCCCTGGGGGGATTTTTTAAAAAGACTATATTTGGATGATAAGAATGCCTACATTTGCTCACATGGCTGTCTTTCCTTCTCCCCTATAAGACTGTGAGCTTCTAAGCCAGGGGCTTGTGTTTTGTTTATCTATGTATCTGCAGATGCAAACACAGGGCTGGCACTCAGCAAATGTACAATGGATGTGTGGATGAATGGATGTTCCAATTCCAGTATCACTAGGTATCTGTTCCACTGGAATACACCAATGGATTCAGCCTCCTTCTGTTCGCATGCACAGCCAAGAATATGACTTTGCTGTCTCCCTCATGACACGACAGTGATAGAAAAAAAGAAGATCTTGAAAGGCTATTTTGTGAGCAATGGATATTAAATAAATGCAAGTGACTTAACAATTGCTGCTGATTGAACAGAAATATAAGCACAATACCACAAACCATCATATTCACTCTTGTCCCTGGTTTTTGCATTTGATCCTATTTAGAATGAAGCAGGAATTTCCAGAGCTGTATTCCCCTCCTTCCAGAAGAAAAATCAACATGGTTTCCTTTCCAACAGCACACTCATTGGGAGAATTTCCTTTTGCATTATTAATTTCCCAGTAGGGAATCATGTTTGCTCAGGATTGTTTCTGTAGCCACCTATAGGTTTTGAGCTCTGTTAATCAGGACTGAAAATCAATAATCACCAAGCCATAGGCCACACTGCATTCTCCATCAATTATTTGTAAATAAAAATAACAAGATCTCCCAAAGGTTGGTTGAGTTTCTTAAAAAAAAGTATTCTGTAGGCTTATTTATAAGAACTCCTACTACCTATTATATGAGCTAAGAATACAGACACCAGCTACCAGGAATCAATATGTACTCAAATTGCTCCATCAATATGCATGTTCATTTATTCCCTTCAAGGTTATCTTGGCTGTTCAGGGCAGACACTCATTTTCTCTATTATAGCCGTGCCCTTTAGGTTGAGTGAGACAAGCAGAAGGAAGAAGCCTCTCATACAAGGACATCAGTTTGTGTATTTGCAGCCTTGGAAATCAGGCAGACCACTCTGGTAAGAGGGGTGAGAGCCTGTGGCTGGTATCTCCACCTGCTTTTCTTGTTTACTCAGAAAATTTACTCTGTGTTTATTCAGGAGTGTAATGTGTGAATTCAGGAAACATAGCCCCTCTAGGATTTCCCCAGATAAACAGTGAAGGGTGGTGGAATATGTCACCCCAAAAGATGCCACTTTGGCATATAAATTATTTTGAGTTAGAGGCACTTTTTTTTTTTTTTTTTTTTTTTTGAGATGGAGTTTCACTCTGTCACCCAGGCTGGAGTGCAGTGGTGCAATCTTGGCTCGCTGTAAACTCTGCCTCCTGGGTTCAAGCAAGTAGTTGGGATTACAGGCACACAAGAGCAAGCACAAGAAGACTGCACTCTTTTCCCTTTGTTTTCCCAAAAGCAGGAGACAAAATCTCCATGTGAAAAATGTCCTCCATACACAAAGGAAAGCAACATTCCCGTCACTGTAAGAATGAAGGGAGTTTTTTCCCCACCCCTCTGAAAGTTCGATAATTTGAGTCTATAAGACAAACTGATAGCTGGGTGCAGTGGTTCATGCCTGTAATCCCAGCACTTTGGAAGGCCAAGGCAAGAGGATCACTTGAGCCCAGGAGTCTGGGACCAGCCTGGGCAAAAAAGTGAGACCTCATCTCTCTTTTTAATTAAGAAAAAAAAAACAAACTGACAATAGAAAGACTAACCAAAAATAAGGCATAAAAATGTATTACATCCGTAAGCATGGGAGTCACACAGAATATGAGAACTCAAAGAAGAGCCAGGTGACTGAAGTTTTTACACCGTACACAAGGAAATAGAGCCTGTAGCTCCTGAGGGGAGGTGGTGACAGGTTATAGGAGGGTGAAGGGAAGAAACTCACAGTGAGCAAAGGCTGGCTTGTTATGCAGATGAAGCCTTTCAGGTAGCAGCCCTCAGAGAGAATAGATGGTAGCCCATGGTAAAGATTTCCCTTTCAAACCTTAGGTCTTCTTTTCCTGCAAGTTGATCTTTCCTAGATCCGGATAAGAGGACCTCAGAGAAAGCCTCTTCCTGCATCCCCCATTTGCTTCACTAATTTGGGTAAATGTAAATTTTTCTTTTACAAAAGGATAGTTTTTCTGAGCTATTTCTTTCTACAGTTTCTCTGAATAACCAACTCAAAATATGCCAAAGAAGTATATTTTGGGGTGGCATATTTTGGTTTCCCACATCATCAAGAACGGGAAGTTGAGACCAAGAGAATTCTGAACAAACAGACCTTGTTAAAATAATCCTTATATTCCGTTAGCCTCCTCACATAGTTTAGTTACTTTTCCACAATTGCATTTCTTTTTTTTTTTTTTTTCGAGATGGAGTCTTGCTCTGTCACCCAGAGCTGGAGTGCAATGGCACCATCTCAGCTCACTGCAACCTCTGCCTCCCGGGTTCAAATAATTCTCCTGCCTCAGCCTCCCAGGTAGCTGAGATTATAGGCCCGTGCCACCACACCTGGCTAATTTTTGTATTTTTAGTAGAAATGGGGTTTCACCATGTTGGCCAGGCTGGTCTCAAACTCCTGACCTTGTGATCCACCCACCTCGGCCTCCCAAAGTGCTGGGATTTACAGGCATGAGCCACCACACCAGCCCCAAAATTGCATTTCTTTGCTCAACCTGGTATAAAAGCATTTAGATTTTGCCACTTCTTTGGGTCTTCATTTTCTTATGAGGGTCCCTATGGCACATAAAACTTATATTAAATAAATTTGTATGTGTTTATGCTGTTAATCTGTCTCATGTTAGTTTAGTTTTAAATTTTTTTATTTTTTTATTTTTATTTTTAGAGATAGGGGTCTCGCTCTGTTGTTCAGGCTGAAGTGCAGGGGCATGATCATAACCTACTACATCCTTGAACTTCCGGGTTCACATGATCCTCCTGCCTCATTATGTCAGTTTAATTCTCAGGCCCAGCCAAAACAGCCCTAAGAGAGTAGAGGTAAAATTTTGCCTACCTAACATCAAGGTCACCAACCATGCAGATAAGGTAAAAGCATAACCATTTTAACCTATTTTGTATCAAAGAGCTTGGAACTTATGGTACATAATGAATAAATGGCCATTGTATAAATAAAACATGTTATGTGGAGAGACAACCTGGCTCCAAAACAAACCTCTGCTACTTACTAAATGCATGTTAGTTAACTTCTCTGGGCTCCAGTTTCCTTATCTGAAAAATGAGGACAATAAAATCTGCCATATTAGATTGTAGTAAAGATTAAATAAAAGAGCTTAATAAAGCACCTAGCACAGTACCTGGTAGACAGTTGGTAAAGGAAACCAAAATATGCCACCCAAAAATATATTTGTTTGGGAGGCTGAGGCAGGTGGATCACTTGAGGTCAGGAGTTCAAGACCTGCCTGACCAACATGATGAAACCTCGTCTGTACTAAAAATACAAAAAACTTAGCTGGGTGTGATGGCACATGCCTGTAGTCCCAGCTACTTGGGAGGCTGAGGCAAGAGAATTGCTTGAACCCAGGAGACAGAGGTTGCAGTGAGCCAAGATTATGCCACTGCACTCCAGCCTGGGAGACAGAGCAAGACTCTGTCTCAAAAAAAAATATATATATATATAATATATATATATATATTTTAAATATATATTTTAAATATATATATTTTAAATATATATTTTAAATATATATATTTTAAATATATATTTTAAATATATATATTTAAATATATTTTAAATATATATATTTTAAATATATATATTTAAATATATATGTTATATATATTTTTTAATATATATATTTAAAATATATATTTTTAATATATATTTCAAAATATGTATTTTAAAATATATATATTTCAAAAATATACATACATATATATATATTTCTCTGCTATATTTCAATGTGGCTTTACAGGGGCTGCAGACACTGAAATAGCTCTGAAAATCTGTCTTTTTTGGGGGAGATTTGCATCCATGAGGAAATCTACATTAGTGAAAGAAACAGCAATGCAAACAGGCTTTCTCCAAGAACCCCCTTTTCTGCATTATCTGGATCTAGGAAAGATGAACTCACAGGAAAAAGGGACTAAAAGTCTGCCAATTTTAAAGGTCTGAAAGAGAAACTTTGACCACAGGCTACCATCTGTTCTCTGTGAGGACACCTCTGAGATTACCTGGGAGATTTTCATTTGCATAACAAGACGGCCTTTGCTTGTCATGCCTTTCCAACCTTCTCCTTCCCATAACCTGTTGCCGCACTCCATGCTTCTTTATCTTTCTGCATAGTATAAACATTTTAGTCATCTGGCTCTTCTTTGAGTCCCATATTTGCAGGACTCCTATGTCCATGTTCATGTTAATACATTTGTATAACTTTGTTTCCTGCTAATCTGTCTATTGTCAATTCATTTCAATAGTCTTCAATTCTAACCTCAGTGTAGGGAGGAAATTCTCCTTGCTTCTAAATTGGCCAGGATGACAAATAAGTTTTAGCAAGAGTGCCAACGAGAATCAATTATTGGTGACATTAGAGTGCTGTTACAGGGAGGAATCTGAAGTCATCAGGCCTGCTACTGAATGACCACTGCACTTGAGTCACAATGTCTGCTTTAGGCAGTAGAAAGGGAGGCAGGGTCCAAGAGCCATGTATTTTCTGACCCTATAGTAGGTGTTCAAAAACTGTAAGTTATGAATTTCAAGTAAAGGCTAAATGGAAAAAAAGGGTAACCTATGATTGTCAGTTCATCTATATTACATTACATTTAGAAAGAATTTTCCAGGTTGCAGACCACTTTGAGAGACATTTTCCTTGAAGCCTATAATGATCCTGAGGCAAAGGTGAGGTATCAGAAACTCTTGTTTTTACAAAAGAAACTAATAGTCAGAGAGGCTAAGTAACTTGACCAAGGTCATCTAGTTCATAAGCAATAGAGTCAGGACCCAGACAATTAAAATAATAATAAGCCATCTGACATCAACTTTAGCATTCTCTCTAATATATCAGTGATTCTCAATTCCCCCTATGTCAAACTTTTTGGCTACAAAATGTCATCAATACAACCCATTGACAAGACAAGGCTGAGTTTATTGTTTACTGCGCTAAGAGAAAGCAATATTTGACAGTGCTTTGGAAGCATCTCGGATGGAGGAAAAGTGAGGTCAGAATTCATAAAGAATTGGAAATTTGATTCAGATGTGTCAACAAAAAGAGTCAAACTCTGTAAAATACCTGAAGAGTTTCATTCTGAGTCAAATATGAGTGACCACGGCCTCTGACACAGCCCTCAAGAGATCCTGAGAACAATGTGCCCAAGGTCAGGGTGAAGCTTGGTTTTACACATTTTAGGGAGACATGAGATTTCAATCAAGTACATTCAAGAAATACATTGGCTCATTCCAGAAAGGTGGGACAGCTATCAGGGTTGGGGGGGTCAGCTGAACCCAGGTTATAGGTAGATTTAAATTTTTTCTAATTGGCAATTGGTTGACAGAGTTACTAATGGGAAGGAATGTCTGGGCTGTGGAAACCAAAGGTTTCCCATGCGGATGAAGCCTTCAGGTAGCAGGTTTTAGAGCAAATAGATTGTAAATGTTTCTCATCAGACTTAAAGTCTGTTGATGTTAATGCGGAAGAGGTATAATGATGCATTTCAACTCCCACTTCCCATAATGGCCTGAACCAGTCTTTCAGGTTAAATTTTAGAGTGCCCTGACCTAAGAGAAAGTCCCTGCAGGTGGCCGGGAGACCTTGGGATCTTATTTTTGGTTTACAGATCAGTTCTTCATAATAGGGAGTTAGTATCAGGTAAGGATTGTGAAATAAAAGCCCAACATTAATGGAAACAGCAAGGCAAAGATTTTGAGGTACAGGATTCAAAGGCTCTTACTGTGTCCAGAATTGGTGTGTTCTTGGTCTCACTGACTTCAAGAATGAAGCCGTGGACCCTCACGGTGAGTGTTACAGTTTTTAAAGGCGGCGTATCCGGAGTTTGTTCGTTCCTCCCGTCCGGAGTTGTTCATTCCTCCCGGTGGGTTCGTGGTCTCGCTGGCCTCAGCAGTGAAGCTGCAGACCTTTGCAGTGAGTGTTACAGCTCACAAAGGCAGTGCGGACCCAAAGAGTCAACAGCAGCAAGATTTACTGCAAAGAGCAAAAGAACAAAGCTTCCACAGTGTGGAAGAGGACCCCAGCTGGTTGCCGCTGCTGGCTGGGGCAGCCTGCTTTTATTCCCTTATCTGACCCCACCCACATCCTGCTGATTGGTCCATTTTACAGAGAGCTGATTGGTCCGTTTTGACAGGGTGCTGATTGGTGCGTTTACAATCCCTGAGCTAGACACAGAGTGCTGATTGATGTATTTACAATCCTCTAGCTAGACGTTAAAGTTCTCCAAGTCCCCACTAGATTAACTAGACACAGAGCACTGACTGGTGCGTTTACAAACCTTGAGCTAGACACAGAGTGCTGATTGGTGTATTTACAAACCTTGAGCTAGACACAGAGTGCTGATTGATGTATTTACAATCTTTTAGCTAGACATAAAAGTTCTCCAAGTCCCCACTAGATTAGCTAGACACAGAGCACTGATTGATGCATTTACAAACCTTGAGCTAGACACAGGATGCTGATTGGTGTATTTACAAACCTTGAGTTAGACACAGAGTGCTGATTGGTGCATTTATAATCCTCTGGCTAGACATAAAAGTTCTCCAAGTCCCCACCTGAGGCAGGAGCCCAGCTGGCTTTGCCTAGTGGATCCCGTGTGGGTGCCTTGGGCAGAGCTGCACACCAGTCCCGTGCTGCATGCCTGCACTCCTCAGCCCTTGGGTGGTTGATGGGACTAGGCTTGGTGGAGCAGGGGGTGGCGCCCGTCGGGGAGGCTTGGGCCTCGCGAGAGCCCATGGGTGGGGGGAAGGAAGGTGGGGGGGAAGGTTGGGAGGGGAAGGTGGGGAGTGGAAGGTGGTGGGGGGAAGATAGGGAGGAGGGGTTGGGGGCTCGGGCATGGAGGGCTGCAGGTCACAAGCCCTGCCCCACGTGGAGGTGGCTGAGGCCCAGTGAGAATTCAAGTGCAGCACGGATGGGCCAGCAGTGCTGGGGTACCCAGCGCACCCTCCGCAGCTGCTGGCCCAGTGCTAAGCCCCTCACTGCCTGGGGCTGGCAGTGCTGGCCAGCTGCTCCCAGTGTGGGGCCCACTGAGCCCACACCCACCCGGAACTCGCACTGGCCTGCAAGCGCCGTGCACAGCCCCAGTTCCCACCTGCGCCTCTTCCTCCACACCTCCTCGCAAGCAGAGGGAGCCGGCTCCGGCCTTGTCCAGCCCAGAGAGGGGCTCCCACAGTGCAGTGGGGAGGCTGAAGGGCTCCTCAAATGCCACCAAAGTGGGAGCCCAGGCAGGGGAGGTGCAGAGAGCAAGTGAGGGCTCTGAGGACTGCCAGCATGCTGTCACCTCTCACCGTCTCTACTAAAAAATACAAAAAATTAGCCAGGCATGGTGGCGGGCGCCTGTAGTCCCAGCTACTTGGGAGGCTGAGGCAGGAGAATGGCGTGAACCTGGGAGGCGGAACTTGCAGTGAGCCAAGATCACGCCACTGCACTCCAGCCTGGGCGACAGAGCGACTCCACCTCAAAAAAAAAAAAAAAAAATAGAACAAGCTTATCCAACCCACAGCCCATGGGCTGCCTACAGCCCAGGACAGCTTTAAATGTGGCCCAACACAAAATTCATAAACTTTCTTTAAATATTATGAGTTTTTTTTTTTAAGCTCATCAGCTATCATTAGTGTTAGTGTATTTTATGTGTGGCCCAAGACAATTCTTCTTTTTTCAATGTGGCCCAGGGAAGCCAGAAGATTGGATAACCCTGCATTAGAATAAACCAAGAAAATTTAAGATATACTGATACCTGGCACCTACTCCAGACCAATAGAACCAGAATATCTGGAATATGACCTATGAATCACAATAAGATTTGTTTTTAAAAAATACCCCAGTCATTTCAATGTACTCCCAGGGTTGACAGCCACTGCTCTATAGCTCTAGTTCTTAAACTTTAGTATTTATAAAACTTATCTGAGGAGTCAATTTAATATCACTAAGGATTACCCAAAAAACTGTAAAATGCAGGTAAGTAGAAGGACCTAGGGATCTGTATTTTAAACAAAAGCTCCCAGAGTGATTCTGAGCAGATGGATTAGGGACCACACTTGGAGAAAAGGGTCTCTATAGCACACTGTTTAAGGAAAGACACAAACACCACCCACATGTCTCACCCAGAAATCATGAGGCCCACCATCTTATCTAGGAAGTCCTAACAATATATCTGGCCTTGGAGACAATCAGGGCCTCCTACATTGTGCAATTGTGGAGGTGGCAGGAAATCTCCATTAGCCCCAAATGCCCAACAGTAAGAATTCCCAAATCCCCAACATTAGAAATACATACTTTTAGATCTTCAAAAGTCCAAAAGTCTAAAAAAATGTAAATATGCCTTGGAGTTAACTTTTTTTTTTTTCTTTAGACAGAGTCTCGCCCAGGCTGGAATGCAATGGTGCCATCTCGGCTCACTGCAACCTCCGCCTCCTGGGTTCAAGTGATTTTTCGTGCCTCAGCCTCCCAGGTAGCTGGCATTACAGGCAGACGCCACCATGCCTGGCTAATTTTTGTATTTTTGGTAGAGATGGGGTTTCACCATGTTGCCCAGGCTGGTCTTGAACTCCCGACCTAAGATGATCCACCCGCCTCGACCTCCCAAAGTACTGAGATTATAGCCATCACACCCAGCTGCCTTGGAGTTAACATTCTAATCGCTATTATCTATTATTAACAAACGCCTTAATGAGGTGCCTGTCCTGTCGGGAATGGGAACAAGAGTAATGATGCAGTTAAGAAAGGGGGAAGGGGCTGGATGGGAGGGACCAGGCACTAGAAATGACTGAAAGAGGACTTTGAGGGCACCACAGGCAAACTTCATTGCTTCACCGTCTCTTAAGGCTAACTCTGCCGAAAGGTGTTTTTGTTAATTACCTCACAATGCAGGGTGGGTTCCTCTATGGCTTACTTTCTCTCCCACGATTTTCCTCCTTCCCTGTGAAAATCAAAAGTTGCCTTGATCATGGCTAAGATACATGGATTTCGTTTTCATATACCTGAATCAAGGTTTTTAAGTGAAACATTATATGTAATTTAGGACCCATGTCTTTTACTGAAGGGCAATTTGCGACATGTATCAGAATTTTTTATTTATTTATTTTATTGATTTTTTTATTTTTTGAGACCAAGTCTCGCTCTGTTGCCCAGGCTGGAGTGCAGTGGTGCAATCACGGCTCACTGCAACCTCCGCCTCCCAGGTTCAGGCGATTCTCATGCCACAGCCTTCTGAGTAGCTGAGTAGCTGGGATTACAGGTGCCCACCACCACACCAGGCTAATTTTTGTATTTTTAGTAGAGGCGGGGTTTCACCATGTTGGCCAGGCTGGTCTTGAACTCCTGACTTCAAGTGATTCGCCCGCCTTGGCCTCCCAAAGTGCTGGGATTACAGACGTGATCCACCGCACCCGGCCTATCAGAAAATTTTTAAAACCAAATTATTTTGTTCTAACAAATCTACGTCCAGGAATTAAGGCTAAAGGAATTGTAGCAGACATGATTTTTAACAACTAATAAACTTTATTTTTTAGAGCAGTTTTAGGTTCACAGCAAAGTTGAACATAAAGTCCAGAGAGGTCCCGTATACCACTTGTTCCCCACCCTGATCCCTTCCCCCACTACTGACCTCCTATGTCAGAGGCCTTCCAACCAGAGCGACTCCATCTTGAATGGAGGCTGGATAAAATGAGGCTGAGACTTACTGAGCTACATTCCCAGGAGGTTAGGCATAATCTTAGTCACAAAATGTTTACAGTTAAGGGAACAGATTAATTATGTTTACTGAACAGACCCAGGACTTAATAGACCTAGTAAACATCCTGATGTTCCGATATCTTAAGGACAAAAACATTCTTCGTTTGAGACTGTTTCACTTTAAAGATAAATAATATAGATTCTTGCAAAAGTCAGTAGTTAAACAAAGATTAAGAATCCTGTCACGAGCCCTAGTAAAGCACACCTCCCGCATGATTTTTTTTTCTTTTTCTTAAGAACAAAAACATTCTTCATTTGAGACTAAATTTCACTTTAAAGATAATAATACAGATTCTTGCAAAAGTCAGTAGTTACACAAAGGTTAAGAATCCTTTCTCACAATCCCTAGTAGTAGAGCACACCTCCCCCATGACTTTTTTCCTTTGTTATGTATAAACATTGTACCTAAAGGGCAGTTTCTTCCTCTTGCTTTTGGGAACATCCTGTTTTTCCTATGGAGTAGTCATTCTTTTGTTTCTTTACTTCTCTAATAAACTTGCTTTCACTTTACTCTGTAGACTTGTGCCAAATTCTTTCTTGTGCACGAGGAAAGATCCAAGAACTTTCTTTTGTGGTCTGGATCTAGAACCCTTTCCCGGAACACCTGCACCACGTTGGTACATTTGTTACAATCAATGAACCTACACTGACACATCATTACCATCTAAAGTCCATAGTTTGTTTACATGAGGGTTCACAGTGTTGTACATTGTATGGGTTTTTACAAATGTATGACATGTATCCATTATTGTATAATTATACAAAATAGTTTCATTGCCCTAACAATTCTCTATGCCCTAAAAATTCATACCCCTCTCTGCTCACTGATCGTTTTCCTGTCTCCATATTTTGCCTTTTCCAGAGTGTCACACAGTTGGACTCATAACACATGTAGCCTTTTCAGATTGGATTCTTTCACTTAGTAATACGCATTTAAGGTTCCCCTGTGTCTTTTCAGGGCTTGAGAGCTCATTTCATTTTGTACTGAATAATATTCCACTTTCTGGATGTATCACAGTTTGTTTATTCATTCTCCTATTGAAGGACATCTTGGTTGCTTCCAAGTTTGGACAATTATGAATAAACTTGCTATAAGCATCCATGTGCATGTTTTGTGTGGACATAGTTTTCAATTCATTTGGATAAATATCAAGGAGCATGAATGCTGGATTGTACGGTAAGACTACATTGCCATACAATTGTACATGATAAATTTTTTGTTTAGTTTTGTGAGAAACTGCCAAACTGTTTTCTAAAATGTCTATTCCATTTTGCATTCTCACCAGCAATGAATGAGAGTTACTATTGCTTCACATCCTCAGCATCATTTGGTGTTGTCAATGTTTTAGATTTTGTCCATTCTAATAGTTGTGTAGTACTCTATTATTTTTTCATTATTATTATTTTTTGAGACGCAGTCTTGCTCTGTTGCCCAGGCTGGGGTGCAGTGGAGCGATCTTGGCTCACTGCAAGTTCTGCCTCCTCGGTTCAAGCCATTCTCCTGCCTCGGCCTCCCGAGTAGCTGGGACTACAGGTATCCACCACCACGCCCAGCTAACACAGTGAGGCGGGGTTTCACCGTGTTAGCCAGGATGATCTTGATCTCCTGACCTCGTGATCTGCCTGCCTCAGCCTCCCAAAGTGCTGGGATTACAGGTGTGAGCCACCACGCCCGGCCCGCTACAAGACTTCTTGAAATCTCCCCCTCAATTAAGCTTGGTGGTGGGTGGAGAATACACTCCCGTCCTAATCCCACAGAGAAGAGTGGAAATCTTGTCATCACCAACACTATACTCTCCAGATTGAGGAATCTGGCGACTCCTCTCACCTCCCCAAAACCTGGACTGTGCCACACACCCAGAGATCCATCCAAAACCAAAGACTGCAGCTTTAATTCCAAATGCCAGAGATGGACATTTTCAGCCTTGCTAAGGGAACGCCTTCATCTTTGAACCTTTATTGTGTTTTGTACAGGTCATTCTCTGAACTAGTTTGTTGTGGTTATAAAACAGCTAGCAAAGCAGCTTACATTTGTATTTATTTTCTGTTACATACTTCTGCCCCATATTGTTACCTCTCAAAATCCATCCCTTTAAAAAAATAAATCTGGGCCGGGTATGGTGGCTCACGCCTGTAATCCCAGCACTTTGGGAGGCCGAGGCAAGTGGATCACTTGAGGTCAGGAGTTTGAGACCAACCTGGCCAACATGGTGAAATCCCGTCTCTACTGAAAATACAAAAATTACCCAGCTGTTGTGGCAGATGCCTGTAGTCCCAGCTACTCGGGAGGCTGAGGCAGGCGAATCACTTGAACCTGGGAGGCGGAGGTTGCAGTGAGCCAAGATCGCACCACTGCACTCCAGCCTGGGCAACAGAGCCAGATTCCATCTCAAAAAAAATAAATAAAATAAAATAAATCTGTTGCAGATGTCAAACACACACACAAAAAGACCCTGAGAGCACAACAGTGGTAGGTGCTGCTTCACGCTGCCAACCTTGTAAGGGACCGTCAGGGTTACTATGCTCACCTGTGGCACTGATACCCACTGAGCCCACTGAGGGCATTTTCTACACAAAAGGGAGGGGTAAAGAGGGAGACACACATTTCCCCATCATTCTATGAGTATATAAGATGAAGCAATTGAGGCTGGGAACTTGCCCCATTTTCAAACACTAGCCTATTTCTGAAACTTTCCTTTTAGCACAACCCGGCTTCCTGTGAGGGTGAACCCACCGACCCAGGGAGAGCCTGGAAAAGCCCAGGATGATGTGACTTAATCATAGAAGAGTTTTTATATAATTGGCTCATGTTGCTATTAAACTTCAGTGTTGATGTTAAACATGTTACGTCTGCATATCTTATCTCCCTAATTAAATTATAATTTCTATGAAATCAGAAATGTATTGATCCCTTTTTCCTCCTGTGGTAGTTACAGCAGTGTCTTATGATCTTATAGTGAAAGCTTCACATTATTTGTTGAATAAGGAAATGAGTCGGGCGCTGTGGCTCACGTTTGTAATCCCAGCACTTTGGGAGGCCGAGGCAGACAGATCACCTGAGGTCAGGAGTTTGAGGCCAGCCTGGCCAACATGGTGAAGCCTCATTTCTATTAAAAATACAAAAATTAGCCAGGTGTGCTGATGGGCATCTGTAGTCCCAGCTACTCGGGAGGTTGAGGCAGGAGAATTCCTTGAACCCAGGAGGCAGAGGTTGCAGTGAGCTGAGACTGCGCCACTGCACTCCAGCCTGGGCAACAAGAGTGAAACACCATCTCAAAAAAAACAACAACAACAACAAATGACTAGAAAACAAAATATTGCATCCAAATACCTTGACTCCTGTGATGTGATCATAATGCTAGCACAATTAGAATAGAAAATATTCAGTAAGCTTTTGTAGAATTAAATAAATTGAGTAGAGTCTTACGTATGCAGCAGCTTTATGTCAACAGTAGGCGTCTTGGATGACACAGATATGGAGTCCACTGAAAAACAGAACTGAAAAACAGAACATGGAGACTAAGACATAGGAAAAAATCAGGTAAAGTTTTAACAGAAATGAAATCGAATATTTTTTTGTAAGTCTTCTCTAGACCAGCCTGTTTCTTTCCAACATTTTCAATGGCAACAATTAGTTTTATAGTAGGAAATGAAGTTATAATTCTTCATAACAAGTATGTGTTCAAGTCTGACTGCAACTCAGTCATTTCAAATTGTTATTTGTGAAGGATGATCATAAAATAATGAACCTGGTATTTATGTATGTCTTATAGAATCAGTTTTGTTGTTTTATAGCTGCACATCATATTTTCTTTTCTTTTTTTTTTCTCGGCTCACTGCAACCTCCGCCTCCTGGGTTCAAGCAATTCTCCTGCCTCAGCCTCCCAAGTAACTGGGACTACAGGCACACGCTGCCACACCTGGCTAATTTTTTGTGTTTTAGTAGAGATAGGGTTTGACCATGTTGCCCAGGCTGGTCTCGAACTCCTGAGCTCAGGCAATCCGCCCACCTCTGCCTCCCAAAGTGCTGGGATTACAGGCGGGAGCCACCGCTCCCAGCCCTGCACATCATATTTTCAAAAGGTTTTTTTTTTTTTTTAACTTGAAGCAATGGCAAGGGATCAATATTCAATCAGTTTGTGCAGAGTATGATGATGGATTTGAGATCACTAGGGTCTGGACTCGTTTGATGCCAAAAAAAGTCAATAAATCTCATTTATTCATTCAACAAATAGCTATTGTATGTTTACTGGGCACTAGGCGCTGAAATATAAAGATAAAAGACACAGGTCTTTTCTTTAAGATGCTTCAGCTGTTGGGAATTCAGATGATGAGTAGACAGCCAGTTTCAGTGCAGTAGGGTAAGTGTCATGGTAGAGGTGATATCTTGGGAGCACACATGGTGGGACCTAGCCCAGACTTTGGGGGTGTCAGGAAAGGCTTCCTTGAAGAGGTGATAGATGAGGAGCATTTTGAAAGATGAATGATTGGTTAGATGAAGGGGGAGAAGGTATGCTTTAGGCAGAAGAGGGTGACATACACACAGCATATACACATATCAACGCATCATGTTCTATACAGTAAATAGATTCATTCAATTTTTATTTGTCAGTTGTACTTCAAATAAAGCTGGAAAAAATATAATTTATAGTGATTTATTTTCTCATTCTAAATATTCAGTTTCATGCCAATTCTATTTTATTTTACTTATTTATTTTTTTAGGGACTGGGTATCCTTATGTCACCTAGGCTGGAGTGCAGTGGCACAATCATAGCTCCCTGTGGCCTCAAACTTTTAGGCTCAGGCAATCCTCCCATCTCAGCCTCTCAAGTGGGTAGGACTAGAGGCATGTGCCACCATGCCTGGCTAATTTTTTTACTTTTATTTTTGTAGAGAACAGGGTCTTGCTATGTTGCTCAGGCTGGCCACAGACTCCTGGACTCAAGCAATCCTCCTGCTTCAGACTCCCAAAGTGCTGGGATTACAGGCATGAGCCATTGGGCCCGGCCTCATGCCTAATTTCATGTGGATGATTTTGTATTCCTTTTTCAAAGGGGGCTTCCAATTTTATAAGCTTCAGGTTCCACAAAACTGGATCTGCCCCTACTACCTAGTTATTGTGATGCCAATTTGTCATATCCAATTTGCTTGATCATGTCTACAAATACTTAATAAGTACTTATTATGTGCCAAGCACTGCGTGAAGTGCTTAGAAATTTTTATTTGCTTTTCAGGGTTAGTTCTGTTTAGACTATCAGAACATTTTCTGGGTGCATCTGAGAAATAATGCCAACATCTAGAGTTCAGTACATTAGAAATATAGGTTCGTGTGGTGGCTCACGCTTTTAATTCCAGCTCTTTGGGAGGCCAAGGTCAGTGCATCAGTTGAGCTCAGGAGTTCAAGACCAGCCTGGGCAACATGGCAAAACCCCGTCTCTGCAAAATAAATAAATAAATAAATAAATAAATAAATAAATAAATAAATACAGCCAAATGTGGTGGTGTGCGCCTGTAGTCCCAGCTACTTGGGAGGCTGAGGTGGGAGGATCTCTTGAGCCCGGAAGGTCAGGCTATAATGAGCCATATTCACGCCACTACACTCCAACCTGGGTGACAAAGTGAGACCCTGTCTCAAAACAAAACAAAACAAAAAACCCCCAAACAACAAAAAAAGCCAGAACTATATTTTTAAAAATTGTGAATTCCTTGGAAACACTTTTAACTATAAGAAGGTATCAAGTAGAACTATAGAGCTTCCTTGTGTTTTCCTCAAAGTTGGAATTTCTCTAGGTTGTATATGTTAAATCCACCTTTTTGCAAATCAATTTTAATTTGGTTGACCATGTATAAGGAACTAAATTTTCTTTTTCTTTCTTTTTTTTTGAGATGGAGTCTCACTCTGTTGCCAGGCTGGAGTGCAGTGGCGTGATCTCGGCTCCCTGCAACCTCCATCTCCTGGTTCAAGGGATTCGCCTGCCTCAGCCTCCCGAGTAGCTGGGACTACAGGGGCCTGCCACCACGCCCAGCTAATTTTTGTATTTTTAGTAGAGACGGGGTTTCACCATGTTGGCCAGGATGGTCTCTATCTCTTGACCTTGTGATCCGCCCGCCTTCGCCTCCCAAAGTGCTGGGATTACTGGCGTGAGCCACCGCGCCCAGCCGAACCTAAATTTTCTTGAAAAACTAAGTGAACAAACTTCTGGGAATGTGCAAAGGTTAAATATTACATTTTTTAAAAGAAGCACACTTGGCAGGGCGCGGTGGCTCACGCCTGTAATCCCAGCACTTTGGGAGGCCGAGGCGGGCGGATCACGAGGTCAGGAAATTGAGACCATCCTGGCTAACTCGGTGAAACCCCGTCTCTACTAAAAAAATACAAAAAAATTAGCCGGGCGTGGTGGCGGGCGCCTATAATCCCAGCTACTCGGGAGGCTGAGGCAGGAGAATGGCATGAACCCCAGGAGGCAGAGCTTGCAGTGAGCCGAGATCGCGCCACTGCACTCCAGCCTGGGCGACAGAGCGAGACTCCGTCTTAAAACAAACAAACAAACAAACAAAAAAAAAGCACACTCAGTCAATTAGATACCACTTTCATGCAAAAGAAATTTAAAGTTTGACTATATTTACATGACACATGATGGTATTTAATAGTGGCAATATTATTAGACATCTCTTCTTCATAAAATTTATGGGTGTTTTTTACGTATAGTCAATCCAACTGTCACAAAATAATATTTTTTCTCTCTGGGCCTTTGCTGGACCTCAGCTCTGCGATTTGTCTTGTTTGCTAGTATATTCTTCATACCTCGACAGTGCCTGGCACATAGCATACACTCAACAAATATTTGTGGATGAATGAACCATTTCATAACTTTCTATTCAGGAAATAAGAGTGTTTTCCACTCTCCCAGCCAGAAACCTTTGGTTGTTCCAAAACACTAACTACCAGATCTGTTAGACTATTTGTTTCTTTTCTTCATGCCTAATGTCAGCTTCACAAGCATTATCCCAACACAGGGTGCCTAGATAATGTATGGGCATTACGATGTTTTTTTACTCTCTGTCGATGTTCAATTCGCAAATGATAGCCTTACAGTTTTGTAAACATCCAGCCAATTTGTCCCTACAAATCTGTGAATTTCAGCAAGCCTCATAATGCAGCATGATAAGTTCTGATTGTGAAATTCCAGCCACACAAATAATGATGGAAGCGATCAATTGCTTTAACAATGCCTAATAGCTCTCTCCTGGTGCTCAGTAGTTTCTGGCTGAAGTACTTAGAGTTTGACTATAGTAAGCGATTATTACCTTATCAAGAATCATCTTATGTCTGCAATGCATTTCTTCTGGACAGAAAAAGCCCCCATTAATCCTCAAATCACCCACACCTCATTTTTCTTTCATTTACATCCACTGTGACTGTCTTTGCTTCACCCTTTCTGACTTAGAGTGCTCTTTCTGATCCAGAACACTCATATGGTGACCGTATTTCTAGAGCCCAAATTTGACTTCATGTTCTGACAAGTTATACTTTTAATTTGTGAATTTATTTTTAGAAAGCCTCAAAAATTACAAAATCAAATTTTATGAGTTATACATTCGACCATCACCTTTTATTGACAAGAATATAGGTACATGAGAATAAGTACAAAATTCTGCCAAAAATTACAGAGGGGTTGATGCAATTTTTGTCTTGTCATTTTCATCATTCTTGTTGAAGCAGATGGCAGGGTGTTCCACTTTTGTGTTCATTTGTAGAATTCAATTTATAAATTGAGAATTTGTTCTTTATTTTTTCCAAGCATGTCTTGGAAAGTTTGAGTAATTCATTTGGATTATTGAGTGAGATTTTGTATCAATTTCTTTAGTAATCCCCAAAAGTTGTTAGTAAAAATGATCCGATAAATCAGTCATACCAGGTGGTATGAAATATTGGAATAGTAACATATTTTTTCATGAAAATCTTTATAGAGGATTTTGTTTTCTTCTGCTTTGACTTGGTAAGCAAATATTTAAATAATAAGAATTTTGTTTTTAAAAGTCTCCATAACAACAGAAAATAAAATATCCTAGAAATGATTCCAGGCCTTCTTCAGATCATCCTTTTCACAGCCTTTTAACAAATCTTTGTTTGTTGGCTTGTTTGTTTCAAATAAAGCAAAACTGTTAAAGACTTTTCAATATATGCCTCTACAGGTAGGTAATTCAATTCCCATCCCCTTTATTAGTTTCACTAAATCTACATCACAATGAATATTTAACATTATTAGCAATTGTATTCTAAAAAATTATTTTATTTTTAGAGTGAAACCATTCACATTTTTATCTTTCTCCTCAATTCTGATTAAAATGCAAAGATTCACATGGAGAAATATTCTGTCCCTCCATTTTGGAAAAAGTGTCATGGAAAATTGCAATGGCATTGTTTTGATTTAATGTCATTGGAAAATGTCTTGACAATCAACTTTTTCAGCTGATAAAAACTAAGCATGTGATGGTCGAAACATTATTAGTATTCTTCTGAGAACAGGCATCTGTATCAGAAATCTTATGTTTGAATAGGACCAAATTTGTCTTTGATAACATCGCAGGATTATTTCAGTGTCTTCACTCATATTATAGAAATGTAACAAATTTTGAATAATTTTACAATAACATCTTCTACATCAATTGAAAAAATCTGATGAATTATTAATACAATTGTGCAAATCTGTACCATGCAACTGATCCCTACCAAGATTCTGATATTGCCATTATTGGAAAAGACTCTCAAAGCTAGCATTAGAAATACTGGATGAAAAAAAAAAAAGAAATATTGGATGACACACTGACAAGATAATCCGCAAGCCTGCTGAGGCTTAGACGAGTGGAAAGATGGTCATTTAATTGGGCACGTTAGTCACCTGGAGGGATGTCACCTTCAAGAATTTTTAATTTCCGTGTTTTCATTAAAAATATCTTATTATTTGTATATCATAAACTATGTCAGCATATTCAGAAAATATTTTTATTAGTAGTATATACTGGAGAGGTAGCAGAGGATAGTGGTTGAGAACACAGAATCTGGAATGAAATAGGTGGGGTTCAAATCCCAGTTCAGTCAGTTATTAGTCAGGAGATATTGGCCAACTGTGCTCAGCGTCTCAGTTTTCTTATCAAGGATGATATATAATAATGCTGTCTTTAAAAGGCTATTATAAGGTTTGAACAAATTAATATTTGTATTGTGCCTGTCAGATAGACAAGCACCATTTTTTTTTTTTTTTTTTGAGACAGAGTTTCGCTCTTGTTGCCCAGGCTGGAGTGCAATGGCGCAATCTTGGCTCACTGCAGCCTCTGCCTCCTAGGTTCAAGTGATTCTCCTGCCTCAGTCTCCCGAGTAGCTAGGATTACGGCGACCGCCACCACACCTGGCTAATTTTTGTATTTTTAGTAGAGATGGTGTTTCTCCATGTTGGCCAGGTTGGTCTCGAACTCCTGGCCTCAGGTGATCCACGCGCCTCAGCCTCCCAAAGTACTGGGATTACAGGCGTGAGCCACTGCGCCCAGCCCAGACTTTCTTAAACAGAAGCCTTAGGAAGAAATACATGCCGCAAGCATCATTTTAACATTGTTCAAATACATTTGTGGCTAGACAAATATATTATGATTCTAATATCTAATGTTACACACAATAGTATTAAGGATTTTTTGCGCTCCTGGAACAAGGATGTTTTTCACTGTTGTTAATCTTTTTATTTGTGCTGTCGAAAATTTTGATTTAAATAATATGAAAATTAGCCTGGATGTACAATACAAATATCTGAAATTATGATTGTACCTTGTGATATGAAAAGCAATGGTTGCTCTTAATGGTTGTTCCTAAATTCTGTTTCTGCAGAATTACATTTCCAGTAAAACTAAAGAACATTCTCATCTTTGATTGACTATTTGAAGTTGCACAGCCCCATAGAGGATTCGTTTGTAGGCTTGAAGAAAATAAGCACTGGAACAAATAAATGCAAAGAAGCTGCAGCTTGCATCAATAAGCACAAAGATGACAACTTCAGAAAGCATCTGGGGGCTTTCCAGCTGGGGTATGTTTGGTGAGAACAGCTTCCTAGATGTCCCCATGTCCTCATACAGGAGATGCCTTTAGGTCAGTGACCTTGGTCTCCTGTCTATTCAAGGTTAAATCCTGCCAGGTCACAGGAAGCAACTTGCAAGAGAAGCTATCCTTAAACTTCAGCATTGCTCCCACGTTGCAGAGCCATGTCATCTGGATCTAACATCTGGTTATGGGACCTACTTCTTACCAGGCAATCTGGGCTATCTTCTTCCATTTTTCAGGTTATATCAGGGGATGGCAAACTACAGCCCACAATTAAAATACAGCCTAGTGCATGGTTTGTTGTTTTTTTTCCCCAAGCCCGCAAATTAAGAATGGTTATAACATTTTAAAATAATTGGAAAATAATCAAAACAAGAAAATAGTTTTGTGACAGGTGAAAAATTATCTGCTATTCACATTTCAGTATCCATTTGTTGTTTTATTTGAACACCGATGTGGCAGACAGAATTCTAAGGTAGCCCCAATATTCCCATGGCCTGGTATAGACACTCTGTATAATCTCTCCTCTACTCAAGTGTGGGTGGGACTGAGAATATGATGGGGTGTCACTCCCGTGATTATGTTACTTTTTATAGCAAAGGTGACAAGATTTTGCAGATAGAATTAAAGTTCATAACCAGTTGATTTTGAGTAACCAAAGAAAAATAATTCTGAGTGGGCCTGACCTAATCAGGTGAGCCCGTAAAAGATGGGCGGCTGGGACCTATCTGAGCCTCCTGCTGAGGTGTGCTCTCCTGAGGGTTATAAAGAAGCAAGGTATCACAAGTTAACCAGCTGCAAGGAAATAAATTCTGCAGTAAGCCCTGGAGTTTGGAAGAGGATCACAAACATCAGATGAGACTGCAGCCCTTACTGACACCTTGACTACAGACTTGAGAGACCCTGAGTAGAGGACTCAGCTAAACTGACTCTTGGCCATGGAAACTGTGAGATAAGTGGATGTTGTTTTAAGCCACTAAGTTTGTGGTAACTTACTATACAGCAATAAAATCAATACAACAGCCATGCTCATTTGTTTAAGTATTGTCTACGGATACTGTGGGACTACAGTGGTGGAGCTGACTAGTTGTGAAACATACTCAACATAGCCCACAAAATGCAAAATATTTACCAAAAAAATTGTAAACACTTAGGTTATATAATTATGATGTAGAATCACACATACTCAACCGTCCTGCATCTGTATAATAAGAATGAGCCTGTGGTTACACACAATTGGACAAAGGCTGAAGAAATAAGATTTCTTGCAATAAGCAAAGCTTTTCTTACTGATGTAGGTACACAAACTTGCCTGCAGATTGTGATGGCTCCTCAAGGAGACATACTCCATTAAATAGTCTCATGAAGAGGCTCCTTTTCTAGTACCTGTATTCATTTTGCAACAAATCAGATTTTAAGTAATTTTGTACTTCTTTTATTTATTTATTTTTTTTTGAGACGGAGTCTCACTCTGTCGTCCAAGCTGGAGTGCATTGGAGTGATCTCAGCTCACTGCAACCTCCGCCTCCTGGGCTCAAGTGATTCTCATGCCTTAGCCTCCCAAGTAGCTGGGACTACAGGCACGTGCCACCACGCCTGGCTAATTTTTTTTTTTTTTTTTTGAGACGGGGTCTTACTCTGTCGCCCAGGCTGGACTGCAGTGGTGCGATCTCAGCTCACTGCAAGATCCACCTCCCGGGTTCATGCCATTCTCCTGCCTCAGCCTCCCGAGTAGCTGGGACTACAGGCGCCCGCTACCATGCCCGGCTAATTTTTTTGTATTTTTTAGTAGAGACAGGGTTTCACCGTGTTAGCCAGGATGGTCTCGATATCCTGACCTCGTGATCTGCCTGCCTCGGCCTCCCAAAATGTTGGGATTACAGGCGTGAGCCACCATGCCTAGCTGTAATTTTGCACTTCAATCACCTTTAAAATACAAACAAAATATGCTTGATGACACGAGAAACACTCACTATTGTTATAACCTTACATTTAATCACCTTTGCTTCGCAGCAACAGTTCATGGGCTTTTCCGTAGATGCTGTTTGGTGAGTTCATCTAGGGGTGCAGAGCACGCACACACAGCCACGGACCGACACAGTTGCAGCAGCGTGGCATGGTGTTCCAGGTCACTGCACTGTTCCTTCATCCTGTGACCTCCCTTACACATGATGGTCTGATTGATGCATTTGCTCCAAAAATATTGTGAAATGACTACTTTCTGCCAGCTGGGATTCAGTAGTAAACAGGATAGATGTGGCCCCGACAAGCTTACAATCTAGTAGGAAGACATGCATTCTGTAAGAAATTAGAAGTAAAGGTAGTGAGTAAGTACAGTGCTATAGGACCATACATCCAGGGGCCTAACTTAATGGGTGCCCTGGATGGTCTTCTCTAAGGAAGTGCTGTCTAAGCTGTGACCTAAGCATCTACAAAAACCCTAAGCAGACCTGTTTCTAACCCAGTGAAAACCTTGGAGGCTTGGTTATTCATTAGAACCATCTGGGAGAGCTTGTTTAAAATCCTGACATCCAGGCAGTAAGGCAGATCAATTAAAGTAGAATCTTAGGGCTGAGAGCAGGCAACAGTATATACATTTTTAAGCTTCCTAGGTGATTCTAGTGAGCACCCCAAAACCATTATTTCCTCTTTCCCTCCTTTGATGATGAAGGAGTGTTCCCCTGTTGAGCTAGAGCAAACCCTTCCAAAGTGTTCTCAATATTCCATCCCCTCCTGTCTTCTCAGGAAATCTAGTGAGGATCTCTTGTCTTCTCTTTCTTCAACTTCTCCTTCCTATTAGCACTTAATCATTTTCCAGTCTCACTTACATTTTTAAAAAGTTGCGGGGGGAGGGCGGAGGGATAGCATTAGGAGATATACCTAATGTTAAATAACGAGTTAATGGGTGCAGCACACCAACATGGCACATGTATACATATGTAACTAACCTGCACGTTGTGCACATGCACCCTAAAACTTAAAGAATTAAAAAAAAAAAAGTTCCTCTGATCACACCCCACCCACTTCAGGTACCTCCCTCTCTCCTCTTCTTTACATCCAAACATCCTTGAAGAATGGTCCACACAGGTGGTCTATTCCCACCCACTCTTCAACAAACAGGACCTGGTGTCCAGCTCCTGCTAAGGTTATGGGTAACTTCCTTGTCATTAAAGACAATGCATCCAGCTGGGCATGGTGGCTCACGCCTGTAATCCCAGCAGTTTGGGTGGCCGAGGCGGAGGGACTACGAGGTCAGGAGTTCGAGACCAGCCTGGACAACATGCTGAAACCCCATCTCTACTAAAAATACGAAAATTAGCTGGGCGTGGTGGCATGCGCCTGTAATCCCAGCTACTCAGAAGGCTGAGGCAGGAGAATTGCTTGAACCCGGGAGGCGGAGGTTGCAGTGAGCTGAGATCGCACCACTGCACTCCATCCTGGGCGACAGAGCAAGACTCTGTCTCAGGGGGGAAAAAAGGCAATGCATCCTTTTCAGTCCTCATCTTACAAGACCTCTCAGCAGCATTTGCCGTAAATGGGCAGCCCACCCTAATTCTTGAAACAGACTCACCCCTTGGTATTTCCCAGGCCTCAGTCTGCTCCTTTTCCTTTTCTCACCCCGCTCTCTTCTTTCCATAGATGATTGCCTCTCCCTGAGTGGCAGCTAGAACCATCCATGTAATGCCAAATTTTCTAGACAAGTGTTTATCAAATTATGGTCTCTACAGAGTCTGGAAATTCAGATTCCAGAGCCTCACTCCAGACCTACTGAATTAGAATCTCTGAGTTGGACTGAAGAAACTGAATCTTTTACAGTGTCCTGGAGATGAGTCTTATGCACCAACATGTTTGAGATGTGCCATTGCAGACCCATCTATCCAACTGCCTAGGGGATAGTTCTACCTGGATATTTCACAGATACTGTAAATGCACCATTTATGTGATGGACATTCTTAGTGCTCACTAACATCCAGCTGTCTTCCTTCCTGAACACAGAGAATAACACCACAAGCCCTCTTGCAGTTATGCAAAGTCACGTGACTAGCCCTGCACAATGGACTGTGAATAAGAGAGATATACGTCCCTTCCATGCAAAGGCTGTGAATGCCAAGGATCTCACAGCTCCGGGCAATCTGGCAGCCCTGGTGAGGGTAGCAGAACCACAAGATGAAAGTGAGTGGATTTATTTCACTGCTTGGAAGGCTGCTGCAAATGCATTAACAGACATCGTGTGCACAAGAAGTAAGAACTAAACCTTTGTGGGGTTAAGTCCCTGAGATTTTGGGATGAATGTATTACGGTACCAGGATGTAGCTCATCCAAAATAGAAATTCATCCCCTCTCTGGCTCACTCCAACCTACTCCTCTTTCTAGTGTTCTCTCTCTACTCAATTGATGAGCCAGAAGCTTGATGTTAGCAGTGAGTGGAGGTTCTCATGGATTCTTCATGTTTTCTTAGAAAGAAGCAGTTATCCACTCCACACTCCAGGAAGGAGAAATGTGGGAGCATTCTTCTCCCTTTCTTTCCATTGTCACTACCATCTGTCTCTCTCTTTAGGGAAGAATGAATTTCTTATCTTATTAGTGAGATTCATTGAACTACCTTTACTGTCACTTGTCTTACATGTCCTGACATGGTACTTTAATCCTCAGCTAGTTCTTGGCATCTGAGCTCAACTAACATAGAATTAAGAGGGAAGGAAATAAGAGGTTAATAACATCCCTAAATCCACACTATAAAAGAGACGACAGCTATATTGTTTTCTACTGTATTCCTAGCACATGGCATACAGAAAACATAAGTATATGTTGTTGACTTGCTGAAATACTGGAATTTCCATGATAGTTCAACTGTTACAGAGAAAAGAGTACAGAATATTTGGAAGCAAGACTGTCATCTAAATCTGTATTAGAGAGGGATCATTCTGTCTTTACCGCCCAGACTTCTCTATGCCCATCAAATACTTAAGTTTTCAAGGATGAGAGAAGTAGAATATGGCCCACTATATTCCTTCCTCTTCCCCATCTCCTTTTATTTTATACGGTTGGGGTGGTAAAGGGCACAGTCTGCTCATGCCTGTGCCTTATGTCAGTCTAAATGTTCATATTTCCATGTTTGTGAAGTTTTCTGAATCTTATTACATGGTGCATTATTCTATTCTAGAATCCCTCTGTTCTTACCCTTTACAATTTTAAATTAAACTAAAAGCTGACAATGTGGCATTTCTCTCCTTGTTTTAAATTCCCTTCATTCTGTTTTTGTAAGGTCTTGTAACAATAGTTACATATTTGCTGATTTCAATTATTTATTCAAATTATTTCACAAGAGCCTGTAAGATGCCAGGCATAGGGCTAGGTGGAGGGGATAAAATGGTGAATAAAACAAATCCATTGCCTGCCCTGAAGGAATTTACAGTCTAGTAAGGGCAGGAGACAGGCTAATTAATTGATTCCACGAATGAAAGCAAAATTACAAGTAGAGACAAGAGCTTTGGAGAAAAAAATATGATTGTATGACAGCATTTTCACAAAGTCATTTGACAAGGGACTGGAAACCACTAGCAAATGCTTCCTGAGGCAGACAGAAAGGAGAAAGGAGGTATGAATGGGGCATCTCCAAGGACTGACGAAGGAGAATGGAGCTGAAGGAAGGTTAGTGCCTGAAGGCCAGAGAGGCAGGAGAGTGGTTCAAGGAAGGCTCAGGGGCACTGGGGCGGGGATACCACCAGACATGTATTTTGGAAGGAATTCCTGGACATCAGAATGAAGAATAGATGGCAGGGAGCTGTGGCTAGTGAATGTGGGGAGGCCAAGTGAGGAGGCTAATACATTTCTCCAGGCAAAGGTGATGAAAAACTTGTCTAAGGTGTGGCAGTGGAGAAAAAGAGAATCAATCAATTTTTAAAAATTGGAAGGTAAAATAATAGTTAACCCTCCTATAACACTCTCCATGTGCCTCTGCTAGGGCAGCCACCAGCCAAATGTGGCTACTAGGCATATGCAATGAGACTTGTGCAAATTGAGGCATGTTTTGAGTGTGAAATGCACACCAGATTCCAAAAACTCGGCACAAAACAAGAACAAGAATCTAAAATACCTCATTAATTTTTTTTTTTAAGGTGGAGTCTTGGTCTGTTGCCCGGGCTGGAGTGCAGTGGCAGGAGCTCTGCACACTGCAACCTCCACCACCAGGGTTCAAGCGATTCTCCTGCCTCAGCCTCCCAAGTAGCTGGGATTACAGGCACCCACCAACACACCTGGTTAATTTTTGTATTTTTAGTAGAGACGGGGTTTCACCATGTTGTCCAGGCTAGTCTCGGACTCCTGGCCTCAAGTGATCTGCCTGCCTTAGCCTCCCAAAGTGCTGGGATTACAGGGGTGAGCCACTGTGCCTGGCTTCGTTAATAACTTTATATTAATTATGCATCATCGATATGATAGTATTTCATATATACAGGCATACCTCAGAGATATTGCAGGTTTGGTTCCAGACCACCACAATAAAGTGAATATTGCAATAAAGCAAGTCACATAAATTTTTTGGTTTCCCACTGCATATAAACATTGTTTATACTATACTAGTCTAGTGTAAAGCAGTGGCAGTCTATACCTTGCCACTGCTTTATCAACTATCGCCTATTAAGTGTGCAATAGCATTATGTTTTAAAAAAACAATGTACATACTTTAATGTAAAAAATACTTTAGGCTGGGAACAGTGGCTCACGCCTGTAATCCCAACACTTTGGGAGGCCAAGGCAGGCGGATTACTTAAGGTCAGGAGTTCTAGATCAGCCCGACCAACATGGTGAAACCCTGTCTCCACTAAAAACACAAAAATTAGCCAGGCGTGGTGGCAGGTGCCTGTAATCCCAGCTACTTGGGAGGCTGAGGCAGGAGACTTGCTTGAACCCAGGGGAGTGGATGTTGCAGTGAGCCGAGATCACGCCACTGCACTTCAGCCTGGACAACAGAGTGAAACTCTGTCTCAAAAAAAAAAAAAAAATGTACATACCTTAATGTAAAAAATACTTTATTGCTAAAAAAGTGCTAACTATCATCTGAGTCTTCACCAAGTCAAATTTTTTGCTGGTAGAGGACCTTCTCTTGATGTTGATGGCTGCTGACTCATCAGGGTGGTGGTTGCTGAAGGTTGAGGTGGCTTTGGCAATTTCTTGAATTAAGACAACAATGGGGCCAGGCATGGTGGCTCATGCCTGTAATCCCAGCACCTTGGGAGGCTGAGGCGGGCAGATCACGAGGTCAGGAGTTCCAGACCAGCGTGGCCAACGTGGTGAAACCCTGTCTCTACTAAAAATACAAAAAATAGCTGGGTGTGGAGGCGGGCACCTATAATCCCAGCTACTCAGGAGGCTGGGGCAGGAGAATCATTGAACCCAAGAGGTGGAGGTTGCAGTGAGCCGGGAGAATGCCATTGCACTCCAGCCTGGGCTACAGGGCAAGACTCCGTCTCAAAAAAAAAAAAAAAAGACAAAAATGAATTTGTTGCATCAACTGACTCTGCTTTCACACAAGATTTCTCTGTAGCATGTGATGCTGTTTGATAGCGTTTTACTCACAGTGGAACTTCTTCCAAATTTGTAGTCATTTTTCTCAAACCCTGTCACTACTTTATCAACTAAGTTTATGAAATATCCTAAATCCTTCATTGTCATTTCAACAATGTTCACAGCATCTTCATCAGGAGTAGATTTCATCTCAAGAAACCACTTCCTTTGCTCATCTATAAGAAGCAACTCCTAATCTGTTCAAGTTTGATCATGAGATTACAGCAATTCAGTCTCATCTTCGGGCTCCACTTCTAATTCTAGTTCTCTTGCTATTTCCACCACATCTGCAGTTACTTCCTCCACTAAAGTCTTGAACCCCTCAAAGTCATCCTTGAGGACTGGAATTAACTTCTTCCAAACTTCTCTTAATGTTGATATTTTGACTTCCTCCCATGATTCACAAGTGTTCTTAATGGCATCGAGAATGGTAAACCATTTCCAGAAGGTTTTCAATTTACTATGTCCAGAGCTATCAGAGGAATCATGATCTGTGATAGCTACGGCCTTACGAAATGTATTTCTTTTTTTTTTTTTTGAGATGGAGTCTTGCTCTGTCACCCAGGCTGGAGTACAGTGTCGCGATCTCGGCTCACTGCAACCTCTGCCTCCTGGGTTCAAGCAATTCTTCTGCCTCAGCCTCCTGAGTAGCTAGAACTACAGGTGTGCGCCACCACGCCTGGCTACTTTTTGTATTTTTAGTAGAGATGGGTTTTCACCATGTTGGCCAGGCTGTTCTCAAACTCCTGACCTTGTGATTTGCCTGCCTTGGCCTCCCAAGGTGCTGGGATTACAGGCGTGAGCCACCATGCCCAGCCACGAAATGTATTTCTTAAATAATAAGACTTGAAAATCAAAATGACTTCTTGATCCGTGGGCTGAAGAATGGATGTTATATTTGCAGGCGTGAAAACAACATTAATCTCCCTGTATACCTTCATGAGAACTTTTGGGTGACTAAGTACATTGTCAATGACTAGTAATATTTTGAAAGCAATCTTTTCTTCTGAGTGGTAGGTCTCAACAGTGGGCTTAAATTCAGTAAACAATGCCATAAATAGATGTTTTGTCATCTAAGCTATTTGTTCCGTTTATACAGCACAGGCAAAGTAGATTTAGCATTATTCCTAAGGGCCATAGGATTTTTGCAATAGCAACTGAGCATTGGCTTCAACGTAAAGTCACCAGCTGCGTTAGCCCCTAACAAGAGAGTCAGCATGTCCTTTGAAACTTTGAAAACACTCACTGACTTCTCCACTCTAGCTGTGAAAGTCCTGGATGGCATTTTTTTCCAATAGAAGGCTGATTTGTGTACATTGGAAATCTGTTGTTTAGTGTAGCCACCTTCATCATTGTTTTTTTTTTTTTTTTTTTTTTTTTTTTGGTGACAAAGTCTCACTCTGTTGCCCAGGCTGGAGTGCAATGGTGCGATCTCTGCTCACTGCAACCTCTGCCTCCTGGGTTCAAGCGATTCTTGTGCCTCAGCCTCCTAAATAGCTAAGATTACAGGCGCCCGCCACCACGCCCAGCTAATTTTTGTATTTTTAGTAGAGACGGGGTTTCACCATGTTGGACAGTCTGGTCTCCTGACCTCAGGTGATCTGCCTGCCTCAGCCTCCAAAAGTGCTGGGATTACAGGCATGAGCCACCACGCCCGGCCCATCATTGATCTTAGCTAGATCTTCTGGATAACTTGCTGCTGCTTCTACATCAGCACTTGCTGCTTCCCTTGCACTTCTATGGTATAGAGACAGCTTCTTTTCTAAAACCTTATTAACCAACCTCCAAACTTTTCTTCTGCAGCTTCCTCACCTCTCTTAGCCTTCATAGAATTGAAGAGTTAGGATGTTGTTCTAGATTAGGCTTTGTCTTAAGGGAATGTTGTGACTAGTTTGATCTTCTATCCAGACCACTCAAACTTTCTCCGTATCAGCAATAAGCGTGTTTGACTTTGTTATCATTCATGTATTCACTGGAGTAGCACTTTCAATTTCTTCAAGAACTTTTTCTTTGCATTAACATCTTGACTGACTGGCACAGGGGGCCTCACTTTTGGCCTATCCTGGCTTTTGACATGCCTTCCTCACTAAGCCTAATTATTTCTAGATTTTGATTTAAAGTAAGAGACATGCAACTCTTCCTTTCACTTAAACACTCAGAGGCCATTGTAGGGTTATTAATTAGACTAATTTCAATTTTGTTGTATCTCAAGGAATAGAGAGGCCCAAGGTAAAGGATAGAGAGATGGAGGAATGGCCAGTTGGTGGAGCAGTCACAACACACATAACATTGATCAATTAGGTTTCCCATCTTATGAGAGTACGGTTCGTGGTGCTCTCAAACAATTATAATAGTGGCCGGGTGTGGTGGCTTATGCCTGTAATCCCAGCACTTTGGGAGGCTGACGTGGGTGAATCACTTGAGGTCAGGAGTTCGAGACCAGCCTGGCCAACATGGTGAAACCCCGTCTCTACTAAAAATACAAAAATTAGCAGGGTGTGGTGTCACACGCCTGTAATCCCAGCTACTCGAGAGGCTGAGGCAGGAGACTCACTTGAACCTGGGAGATGCAGGTTGCAGTGAGCTGAGATTGCAGCACTGCACTCCAGCCTGGGCGACAGAGTAAGACGATGTCTCAAAAAAAAAAAAAATACAATAGTAACATCAAAGATCACTGATCACAAATCACCATAACAGATATAATAATAGTGAAAAGGTTAGAAATATTATGAGAATTACCAAAATGTGACGCAGAGTTGCTAAGTAAGTATGTGCTGTTAGAAAAATGGTGCCAATAGAGTTGTGTGATGCAGGGTTGCCATAAACCTTCAGTTTGCAACAAAACACAGTATCTGTGAAGCACAATAAAATGAGGTAGGCCTATATTGGGTTAAGTAAAACCTATTATAATTCATTTCACCTGTTTCTTTTTCCTTCTTTTTTTTTTAATGTAGCTACTTCAGAAAATTTTAAATTACATCTACACCTCACGCACTGCTTTTATTTGACAGTGTGTCTCTAGACATACCAATTCTCTTAATTCTGCCAACAACCCTTTAGGCTAAATATTAACACTACTTACTGGAAACTGAGATGGTGGAACCCTAGCTATAAATGGCCACCCAGCTAGTAGAAGGTGAGCTGAGATTTGCTCTCATATAGTCCAGTTCCAGAATCTATGCTCTTAACCACTACACTCGCGCTGTCTTTCAGAAGGATTTGATACTAAACAAGTAAAATTTTTAGATTTTGCTACAATGACCTAAAAGCTGTTTTGGAAATTGGCACACTGTAATAGGTTCTTTGGAAAGAACCAAAATTATATACATATATTATATATAATATATATGCATGTACATATTATAGAATATATAGAATATATGCATATACATATACATATTGTTAATGAAGAATTGTCTCATATAATTATGGAGGCTGAGACATCCCATAATCTGCTGTCTATGAGCTGGAGACCCAGGAAACTAATGGTGTAATTTCAGTCTGAGTCTAAAGGCCCAAGAACCAGGGGGACCAATGGTGTAAGTCCCACTCTAAGGACAGGAGAAGAGCAAGGTCCTAGCTCAAGCAAGAAGGCAGGAATGAAAAATATCCTCCCTCCTTCTGCCTTTTGTTCTATTTAGGCCCCTCAGTGGATTGGATGTTGTTCGCCCGCGTTGGAGAAGGCAATAGGCTCCACTAAGTCTGATTCAGATGCTATTATTTTCCAAAAACCCCTCACAGACACACCCAGAAATAGTGCCTAACAAGACACTTGAGCATCCCACGTTTGTCAAGTTGACACATAAAATTAACCATCACATACCCATAGAGTGCTAATTAGGAAAAGCAGCTTGATATCTTTTTACTATATTTGTTACTGATGCACTCTTTGGCATCCAAGTGCAGGTTATCTCTCTCTGTCTCCATTTGCTCATCTTTACAATGCTAATAATAAATGAACTTATTGTGCCAGGCGTGATGGCTCACGCCTGTAATCCCAGCACTTTGGGAGGCCGAGGCGGGCGGATCATGAGGTCAGAAGTCTGAGACCAGCCTGGCCAATATAGTGAAACCCCGTCTCTAATAAAAAAAAAAATACGAAAATTAGCAGGGCATGGTGGTGCGCACCTGTAGTCCCAGCTACTTGGGAGGCTAAGGCAGGAGAATCACTTGAACCCGGGAGACAGAGGTTGCCGTGAGCTGAGAGCGCACCACTGCACTCCAGCCTGGGCGACAGAGCAAGACTCCATTTCAAAAATAATAATAATAATAATAAAATAAATGAACTTATAGTATTGTTGCAAGGATTAAATGAGATCATTCATGTCAAGTACCTGGAACAGTACTTGGCACATAATAATCTATTATTATCATTAAAAGGGAACCAAGTTTATGGTATTTGTACTAAATAACATGTTAATATTTTGCTTTTCATTTTGTATTTGTTTCATTTTATTCTTTATCTACCTTTTGCTTCTCATTTTAGTTCTTATGTTGTGCTCTTTTTTAGGTAAGGGTAGTTTGGCTACAAATAGTTAGAATGCACATCTAAAGTCTGTGTAAAAATATACCAGGACTTTTCTGATTGTCTTAGAATTGCAGCTAAGGCCTAACGCTTAGGACCAAAGGTACTTAATCTGTCACATTCTAAGTATGCCATTATTTCGGGCTGGTCATCCCACTCCAGAGCTTACGAGAAGTACCAAGAAATACCTCTGGACTTGCCCTATCACTAACTGCCTCCCTTGCAATCCCCCAGTCAGTATAAAGTGGGTATTTAGAGCAAGGATGTGGCTAGGGGAGTGAAGTGTTTGAGACTATCCCCTCTGCTCATCCAATCAGGGGCCTCAAGAGACTCACTGGTCAAGACAGGAATGACTGAAGGAAGAGGAGATCAGCCTTTCATTCCTTGGTTAGATGACTGCATAGCTAGAAGATGTGATGATCTGTCATCAGTGCTTGTGACCATGTAAAAGAGAATTACGGAGATGTGACATGACAGGGCAGGAGAGGCAAGCATGAGACTGCCAGGGAAGAGGAAGCCAAGAATTTCTGGAGGAGAAAGGTATAGAGGATGGATCTTGCACTGGGTTAGCTCCAGATGATAGCAAAGATTAGGTACTGTCACCGCAGGAAGGACAATGAGAAATGCAGTGGAACAGAACCAGCCAGGGGTCTGCTGCAAGATCCAGCTGTATCTTGAAAGGACCTGCTAATACTTGGGGAACTACTTGAAAGCGAGTCCCTGGTCAGTGGAAAATGACAATGACCATCATCCATATCACTCCTACACAGACACTGAGAAAAAAGAGCAACACAGCCAATCAAGTGGAGCATGCAAACTTGTGCAGGACGGCAGAGAGATGTTCGCCCTTTTCTTCCCCCTCCCCCAGTTCCTGGGAGAAGTTAGTTCTTAGAAGAGGGAGGAGATGTCTGAAAACCAGACCAACTCCTGGCCATAAATACATAGTCACGTGCACACATACCTACACCTATACAAAGTTACACAGTTATACACATGTATACCAACACACACATATGCACATTTACACACACACATCATGTGTATCGACAGACACAGACACACATACACACACTTGAAGTCATTAAAGCCACAGCTGTAGCTGTCTTAATCTTTTTGAGCTGCTCTGGCAAATGGGTAATTTTTTTTTTTTTTTTTTTTTGAGACGGAGTCTTGCTCTGTCGCCTAGGCTGGAGTGCAGTGGCCCAATCTCGGCTCACTGCAAGCTTCGCCTCCCAAGTTCATACCATTCTTCTGCCTCAGCCTCCCCAGCAGCTGGGACTACAGGCACCTGCCACCATGCTCGGCTAATTTTTTGTATTTTTAGTGGAGACGGGGTTTCACCATGTTAGCCAGGATGGTCTTGATCTCCTGACCTCATGATCCGCCTGCCTTAGCCTTCCAAAGTGCTGGGATTACAGCTGTGAGCCACTGCGCCCTGCCCACAAATGGGTAATTTATAAACAACAGCAATTTATTGCTCATAGTTCTGGAGGCTGGGAAGTCCAAGATCAAGAGGTCAGCAAATTTGGTGTCCAGTGAGGGCTCACTCTCTGCTTCATAAATGGTGCCTGTAGCTGTGTCCTCACATGGGGAAAGGGGCAAATGAACTCCTCCTAAAGACCCTACTCCTTAATACTGTTGCATTGGAGATTAGGTTTCAACATACGAGTTTCAGGAGGACACAAACATTTAGAACACAGCACTAGCCTGTGCTGGAGAGAGGGGAGGGCTCAAGATCTGAATCACACACAAAACTGAATTTTAAAAATGAAGAGGCATGAGTCTTAAATAATAGAATAGGAACCATTCTTGTAATCAAAAATGGATGACAAGTTACAGAATCTAGACAAAAATTCTTTATGGGAGACACTACTGCATGGGAAAAGGAGGGTTCCAACTATGTAGTTGAGAGTATCCAATAAGCCAGGTATAGAAAGAACTGAAAGGGACCAAACAATTTAATCCATGAGCACCAGAGCTGCAAGGGGACAGAGAGGCCCATCCTTTGGTGATATACAAAGCCACCATCTGACAGCTATTCATGAAGCACCTACTGTTGTTCTATACAATTCACTGTAGATGCAGAAAGGATTAAGATCTGCCTCCTATCTTCAAGGAGCCTAAAGGAGACTATTATAGCTCTTGGCTAAGGATTTATGTCACTGCCCAAACCTTGCCTGAAATGAGTGGTACCGGCTTTGAACTCTCACTCGTCAACTGTCTAATCACCTTGAATCTTTCCAGAATTCTAAGATAACTTCCTGCTCTAAGTCACTTGATGCTGCACAGATTTCAGTAACAACAGTTAAATCAAAGAGCTCCTCCAGCTGCATTCTCTGCATTATGAGTGCAGCTTCTTTGCAGCCTGGCAGGGTCTTCACAGACGATCCAGCTCCATTCTTCTCCTCTGGTTTCGTTTCTTCTTGCTGTCTGTCTAAAGTAGGGAAATGGGCAGGGATTGTGGATGGGAGAAAAGAAGAGAAAAATTTATCTAAACATACATTTTTTTAAGTTCCACTTAAAAAAAAAAGATTAAGATCTCCACATTACCTGCTAGCAGTTTGCAATTATTTATGTAAACAGCTAATGATTTTCTAATGGAATTGACCAAAGGGAACCAAGGAGAGTCCTGGTAAAAACCCATTTTTAATAAACCGGTGACTTTTTATACTACCAAATTTCAACCATTTTAACCTCACATGGCTAAAAGGCATTCATAACCCAAATTTGAAATCACCAAATTTTATTCCATGATCCTCACTAGAATCCTGAAACATCAGTAATTCTATTCCCAGATTCAGGCTCCTCAGTGACAAGTTGATTTTTAATGGTATGTCCTATACACAGTGCATATCAGTATAGACATAACAATTTTGCCTTGAAGAGAATGCACAGTAAAACTATAAAAGTGCTCAGTGCATTTCTAGCAATAAAACCCAAGAACACAGAGTTACATGAGAGGCTGCCTGCTACAGCAACAAAGTAAAATCAACTGACAAAGAATCCAAGATGCTAATAAGAGTGGATACTGAACTCTTGTAGTTTAAACGACAATATATCACCTAAAGGAGGAAGAGAATTAACATATCTATTGCTTCTATATATTAACCTAAATAAAAGAGACATCTGGCATCAAGTAAAAGTTTATTGATGTTAGAGGTTACCAATTTCTTTTGTCTCATTATGAGTTTTTTCTAAATCAAATAATGAAAAGTAGAGGGGAAATGTTATCCAATATTTTAAACCTTTTGAATAATCTGTAAATATGACATTTGCAGTGGTCACATTATCCGAAGGTCACATGTGAGATAAAAGGATGAGAATGGACAACCAAAATATTTTATTTTAGTTCTCTATGAAGACTGTTTAACAGACCACCAGGCAAGATCAAAAGAATTTGGCCTTATCTGCTGGAACTATTATTCATACCCGCACAACACTGGGAGGAGTGCAGAGCAGGGAGTGAGGGTGTGGGTGCTGCGGTCCAACTGGCTTGGTTTCGCATCTAATCTTAACTTTCTATTTGTGTGTCCTTGAGAAAGTAACCTCTCCTAAGCCTCAGCATCTTCGTCTATAAAATGGACAATGTTTCATGCATAGCAAGTGCTCAATAAATGTTAGCAATTACCATTATTATGAACGTTTATTGAGAAAATGATCCCAAAGAGCCACCTGTCCCCACTTCTTCCTTTCTCTGCTGATAAAACCATGTTGAGGCGATGCCACTTTTCTAAGCCAAATGAAAATCAGAAAATGCCGAACTTCTAGAAACAAAATTGTTTGACATATGAACTTCTTTATGACAATCAATTAGACTTCAAGAAGCAGCTTTGCATCCAAATGAGGTTCACAGATCTCCTGGCTGCCATTCTGAGAGCCACGATGTGGCATGGGCACTGTGTGGTACAGTGTGGTTTGTGGTGAGCCATCGTCAGGCCTACCCATGCGTAGTGGATGTAAGTGGAGAATCCTCAGACCCTGCAGCAAAGGTCCCATAACCCAGACATTAGGCCTGGGAGATGCAGCTTGCAGAGGGACAGAATGAAAGCCTTAGTAGGTCGCATGAGTTGTCTCTAAGTGCTGATGTAGCCAGGGCATAAGAGACATAGGCCCACAGTTCTCTGTACTCTGTGTGACCTGGGGTCATCTTCCTGCATGCAGGCTGCCAAGGCCACCAGACTGAATTGATCCTCCATGAGAAAGCAAGGCAGAGAGAAGCCATTTCTTTCCATCTAAACCTTTATCAAGAGTAAATCCTTTACATTGCTATTTAGCAGCTTTGATTGTAAGTCAGAACAAGAGCAACCTTGAACTGAGTCCAAACTGCCCTCTTCACTAACCCTCACACCTGGTCAGGCCTAGCCTACATACGTGCCACCCACTCCCTTCCCCTCCCAGGGGCAGACATTGCTAATGGATCACAGCAGTCTGTCCTGCTGAGTCCAAATGAGCCCCACAGTTCTCATCACTGGACTTCAGGCGGCTACTGTCATCCTACTACGGTTAGCAAATAAGTTCAACCCAATTTGCCAACCCTGATGGACACTGAGTTTTATGAGGTAGACTGAGAAATACTAAACAACTCCATATTTAAGGAGTTAGAAAAGCATAATCTGTTTGTGCACCACTATTTTTCAAACCAGAGAGAGTATATGATAAAAATAAAGACTATTGGCTGGGTGTGGTGGCTCACACCTGTAATCCCAGCACTTTGGGAGGGCAAGGCAGGCAGATCACGAAGTCAGGAGATCAAGACCATCCTGACCAACATGGTGAAACCACATCTCTACTAAAAATACAAAAATTAGCCAGGCGAAGTGGCATGCGCCTGTAGTCCCAGCTATTCAGGAGCCTGAGGCAGAAGAATCACCTGAACCAGGGAGTCAAAGATTGCAGTGAGCCGAGATCGCGCCACTGCACTTCAGCCTGGGTGACAGAGTGAGACTCTGTCTTGAAAAATTAAAAAAAAAATAAAAATAAAAAAAATAAAAATAAATAAATAAATAAAGACTATTGCCAGATATTGGCCCATCTTATTTAGATTTTTATTGTTTTCACAGCTTTCTAATCGCACATCTATTTTAAAGTTTCCTCTCTGTTTCCAAAGTGTTTCTGACTCCTTTCTCTCTCACACCCTCTTAAATGTGGTGGCCATTCAGCAACTGGATCTGGCCTCTCCATCTAAGAGCACTTCTGCTCCCTTTTAGACCTTTCAACATTTAATACCCTCTCAGTGTCACTATCAACAGAGCTATGAGTGAGCTCAACCTTTCCCTAGAAGTGGTGATTTAATGTGTGAATTATATGGTTATTAGAATGGGTGTCAGGGAAACAGTGTAATATATGTAATGTGGGGGCTGATGGGGCTGGAGAAGCTGAATCCATCTGGATGATTTCTGGCACTTCTTTTAATGCTATGTCAATTATTCTTATGACCAATCACTCAAAGCTGTCTATTACCTTCTAATAATAATAATAATATTTTTCACTTAATGTTGCACCTTTCACCAGAGTATTTCAAAGAGCTTTGCAAACATTCATTAACATTTTATGAAGTGGGCAGGTAATATATAAATACCAAGTCACATGTCCCTGAATAGCAGCCGTTAATAGTTCCCTTGACACCACATTCAGGTTAGGGCAGAAACTAAAAGAGACCGTGTAAATGAGAAGTCACGCGCCATCATTACCGGCATTTACTGGGTGTCCACAGGGGCCTGCCAGAGATGCAAATATAAGTCTTATTTTCTTGTCTTTCAGTGTGGTGGGAAAGGTGGGCTGTCCTTCCTCTTACTACCTCTCATACACACGAACCCCTCTTCCGGAGACACAATGTAGACAATCCAGAATACTAGATTCTTTCAGCCTCAAGCTCTCAGATCCCATGCTAAGAGGAAGCTATCTTCACAGGGGGATAATTCTGGTTGTCCTATCCATGATCCTGACACAGGAATCGTAAGTTCTTCCACCCTATCCTCAGAACAAAATGGAATGGCTGACAGCGCACAGCAAGGGCTGGGAAGGACATGCTGTCATACTCTGGGTAAGGGGAGCTTGAACATTGAGTGCCAATGAGATTGAGTGTGAGCAGTGACCTAAGAGGCAACCACAAGGGGTCCCTAAGAGCCAAGGTTACAAGTGCCCCAGTTGAGTAGCTGGTGGGGACAGGCAGAGAAGAGGAGTCACCCTTGAACTCCTATTCTCTCTCTTTTTTTTTTTTTTTTTTTTTTGAGACATAGTCTCACTCTGTCGCCTAGGCTGGAGTACAGTGGCATGATCATGGGTCACTGCAACCTCCGCCTCCTGGGTTCAAGCTATTCTTGTGCCTCAGCCTCCCAAGTAGCTGGGATTACAGGTGTGCACCACCAGGCCTGGCTGATTTTTTTTGTACTTTTAGTAGAGACAGGGTTTCTCCATGTTGGCCAGGCTGGTCTCAAACTCCTGACCTCACATGATCCGCCTGCCTCGGCCTCCCAAAGTGCTGTAATTACAGGTGTGAGCCACTGCGCCAGGCCTGAACTCCTATTCTCTATGTAATTTGTCTATATTGGAAGATATAATAGAATTAGAATGAGAACCAACAGCACATTTTGTTCATTCCTCTTGACTTTCTCTGGGAATGTAAGCGTGTATTTACCCACATACTGGTATTAGTCAAGATATGCTAAATTAGGCTGGGCATCATCATCAAATAATCTCGAGGTGTTGACACCACAATCGTTTACTTGTTGTTCACACTAAATCCATTTCAGCCTCATATCAGACTCCCTACTAAGAGGAAGCCATCTTCATGGGGAAGAGGTGAAATTCTGGTTGCCTCTAAATGATCCTGACACGGGAATTGTAAGTACCTCAACCCCAGCTTCAGAACAGGCTCAGGTTGTTCTTGGGGACACTCGTCCTCCATGTGGTGGCTCACCATTCCAGGCTTCAATCTCGGGCGTCTCCATCCCTGCATGATCCTTCCTGGTTCACCATGGTGGGGAAAATAAGATGGAAGGTAACATACCAGCTCTTAAATGCTTTCCCCAGAGGTGACACACGTCATTTTTATTCCCAGCCTGTTGGCTAGAACGAGTCACGTCGTGCCATCCAACTAGTGGAGGGGCAGGAAATCACAGTCCTCTGTATGTTTTAGGAGGGGAGAACTGGAAACATTAGCAATGTCTGCTGCAACTATTAAGTGCTGGCTTAGTTTGGGACCAGAGGAATCTTCTTCTTTTTTCTTTTTGGAGACAGACTCTCGCTCTGTTGCCCAGGCTGGAGTGCAGCAGTGTGATTTCCGCTCACTGCAACCTCCACCTCCTGGGTTCAAGAGATTTTCCTGCCTCCGCCTCCTGAGTAGCTGGGATTACAGGGGTGCGCCACCATATCCAGCTAATTTTTGTATTTTTAGTAGAGATGGGGTTTCACCATGTTGGCCAGGCTGGTCTCGAAATCCTGACCTCAGGTGATCCACCCGCCTGGGCCTACCAAAGTCCTGGGATTACAGGCGTGAGCCACCGTGCCCAGCCGGAATCTTCTTTAGACTTCAAAGGCAATGTGGTAGAGCATAGAACAAGAGTGTCATGACAAGTGAGTTGGCTTCCCTTGCCTTGTGCTCTGTGGACACTGTCAGACTGTAGATAAATGCATCCTCAACATTAGATATCATTCAGATACGTCTAACGGTGCCATTGTGTTTCTTTCTGCACAGACCTAAGCTTTCTCCCAGTAGGTTTTCCTCTCATGCTTTCTTTCTCCTTTTCATCCATTAATTTAGAAAGGTCTTGGGTCAGCATATTCCTCTCCTACCCCACCCCCAGTTTCCTTTACACAAAGGGTGTTTTCTGACTGCAAAAACATCATGCAATGGGGAGAATCCTGTGAGCCAATATTTCTGTGTTCACTAAGATAGCCGGGCGCGGTGGCTCACGCCTGTAATCCCAGCACTTTGGGAGGCTGAGGCGGGCGGATCATGAGGTCAGGAGATCGAGACCATCCTGGCTAACACGGTGAAACCCTGTCTCTAATAAAAATACAAAAAATTAGCTGGGCGTGGTGGCAGGCGCCTATAGTCCCAGCTACTCGGGAGGCTGAGGGAGGAGAATGGCGTGAACCCGGGAGGCGGAGCTTGCAGTGAGCCGAGATCGCGCCACCGCACTCCATCCTGGGAGACAGAGTGAGACTGTCTCAAAAAAAAAAAGGAATGTTCTCTCCTGTCTCCTTTTTGAAATTTAAGAAATGATGATCATTCCGGTGATTTATGCAATATTCACTCTTGATTACCCACCAGTGCATTATCCATATTGTTTCCTAAACATTGTTGACATAATTGGGTTAGGAAGATATTTTTCACCCTAATTCACTATCCCTTCTTTAAAAGCAGAAAATTTTCTTAAGATTTTTCTTAAACCCAAAACAGATTTCATGTTCTTCATATTAGAAAGAGTATGAAGCCAAAAGGTACCGGCTCCCTTCGCTACTCACAGCCAGAAGTCTCTCCCTTCCTCCCCGACCTTCTGGGCTCAGTGGCCCCATCAGTCCTTCATTTTCTTTTGGAAGCTGGTTCAGGGAATAGTCTACTGTAGCAGAGGAAAGTCAAGGCAAAGGGGAAGGAAAGGAAAATTCCTCCATGTCACAATCAAGTTCCCGGCACCCTTTCATTCCAATTCTTTATAGCTAATCTAATTTTTTCTAGTGGGAAAAAAGGATTTGAGAGGTATAAGCGTAGGGGCAGGGGACTTTTCCACAACTTCTCAGCTATGTGATTTGGACAACATACTTAATCCCTTGGGTCTCCGTCTACCAATCTCTAGAAAGGAAACAATAATACTGCCAACATCGTAAGATTGTTGTAAGGAAAAATGAAAATACATACATGAAATAGCACAAAGAAGACATGTAAAATTTATCTCCCCTTCCTGAAAAGGTTGTTCCATCTCCCTCTTCCCCTCCTCTCTCCTTTTTCCTCTCTTCCCAGCCCATCATTTCTAACCTTTTCCCAGGCAAAGACTGAGATGCCCACAATGAACCTTTCTTTGCCCAAGAAAGGTTCCATTAGGCCTCTGTCTGTGACAAAGCTCCATTAGACATTGCCCAGGTGAAATTCCATTAGATCTTAAACAAAAGGACAAGTCTCTCATTAAATCTATTGGGAAGCATCAAGAGGAATTCCTAATAACAAATCTGCATATGATATTTATTATCCCTTAATGAAAGTATGCATGCAGTGACCCTTGGCATATCATCATGAATAAAAATGGTTTTAGGCTGGGTGCAGTGGCTCACACCTGTAATTCCAGCACTTGGGAGGCCGAGGCAGGCGAATCACAAGGTCAAGAGATCCAGACCATCCTGGCCAACATGGTGAAACTCCGTCTCTACTAAAAACACAAAAATTAGCTGGTGGTGAGCGCCTGTAGTCCCACCTACTCAGGAGGCTGAGGCAGGAGAATCTCTTGAACCTGGGAGGCAGAGATTGCAGTGAGCTGAGATCGCGCTACTGCACTCCATCCTGGTGACAAAGCGATACTTCGTCTCACCAAAAAAAAAAAAAAAAGGTTTTAATGTTAATAGCCTCTCTCCTGACTTAAAAGAAAAAGTCTTCGCCAGGCATGGTGGCTCACCCCTGTAATCCCGGCACTCTGGGAGGCCGAGGTGGTGGATCACGAGGTCAGGAGATCGAGACCATCCTGGCTAACACAGTGAAACCCCGTCTCTACTAAAAATACAAAAAATTAGCTGGGGGTGGTGGCTGGCGCCTGTAGTCCCAGCTACTCCGGAGGCTGAGGCAGGAGAATGGCGTGAACCCAGGAGGCGGGGCTTGCAGTGAGCCGAGATAGCGCCACTGCACTCTGGCCTGGGCGAAAGAGCGAGACTCCGTCTCAAAAAAAAAGAAAAAAAAAGAGAAAGTATTGCATAACAGGCTGTTAAAAGGTTTCAGGTGCCCCATCCAGAGGTTCATACGAGAAGTTAAATTTTTCCTGGGGTCCAGGTGCAGTGGCTCACACCTATAATCCCAGGCTGAGGCGGGCAGATCACTTGAGGTGAGGAGTTCGAGACCAGCCTGGACAACATGGGGAAACCCCATCTCTACTAAAAATACAAAAATTAGCCGGGCGTGGTGGCAGGCACCTGTAATCCCAGCTACTCAGGAGGCTGAGGGACGAGAATTGCTTGAACCTCCGAGGTGGAGGTTGCAGTGAACCGAGATTGTGCCACTGTACTCCAGCCTGGGTAACAGAGCAAGACTCCATCTCAAAAGAAAATCTTTCCTGGGAACCTTCTATCCTCAGGTTTGCACATTCCTGTTAAAGTACCTCCTTCATGCTTCCATCTCATGAATCTCAACCCATCTTTTGGGAAACTTCAGCCCCTCTTCTTGGAAATTGCTCTCAATCCCAAATCAATCCCCTCTCACGCCCCAATCTAAGGTATATTTCTGCAAGTCTCAGTAGTTAAGTACACAGCAACACCTCAGCCAGGAGGAGGGCTGGAAGGGAGAGACTCCTAGGTGCTTTTTTTTTTTTTCTTTTTTGAGACAAGAGTTTCACTCTTGTTGCCCAGGCTGGAGTGCAATGGCACAATCTCAGCTCACCACAACCTCCGCTCCCAGGTTCAAGTGATTCTTTTGCCTCAGCCTCCCAAATAGCTGGGATTACAGGCATGTGCCACCACGCCTAGCTAATTTTGTATTTTTAGTAGAGACGGGGTTTCTCCATGTTGGTCAGGCTGGTCTCGAACTCCCGACCTCAGGTGATCCACCCGCCTCAGCCTCCCAAAGTGCTGGGATTACAGGTGTGAGCCACCACGCCCAGCCCCTAGGTGCACACTAATAGCACAGCCCAGGATAGGGAGGGCGCAGACCTTGCAAAGCAAGTCCCTGTGTGACCTCACCAACCCCATCAGTGTAAACTGAAGGCACATCTATTTATTCTCCCAACTTTATAGCTAATAACTGTTGGGCTAAGTAAACACATCCCCCAAAGACAAAAAAAAAAAAAAATCTCATCTGTTCCTTCATTTATTCTGCAAATATGTATTGGGTTATCATTATTATTATTTTGAGATAGAGTCTCACTCTGTTGCCCAGGCTAGAGTGCAGTGGCACAATCTCTGCTCACTGCAACCTGTGCTTCCCGGGTTCAAGAGATCCTCCCACCTCAGCCTCCCAAGTAGCTGGGATTACAGGTGTGTGCCATCATACCTGGCTAATTTTTTACTTTTAGTAGAGACAGCGTTTTGCCATGTTGGCGAGTCTGGTCTTGAACTCCTGGCCTCAAGTGATCTACCCACCTAGGCCTCCCAAAGTGCTGGGATTATAGGCATGAGCCACCACGCCCAGCCTGTATTGGGTTACTTATTATTTATTTATTTATTTATTTATTTATTTATTTATTTTTGAGACAGAGTCTCCCTGTGTCGCTCAGACTGGCCTGCAGTGGCGCAATCTCAGCTCACTGCAACCTCCGCCTCCTGGGTTCACGCCATTCTCCTGCCTCAGCCTCCCGAGTAGCTGGGACTACAGGCGCCCACCACCATGCCCAGCTAATTTTTTTTTTTTTTTGTAGAGACGGGGTTTCACTGTGTTAGCCAGGATGGTCACAATCTCCTGACCTCGTGATCCCCCTGCCTCAGCCTCCCAAAGTGGTGGGATTACATGCGTGAGCCACTGCGCCCAGCCCTGTATTGTGTTATTATGTGTGTCAAGAACTCTCCTAGACTTTTTTTTTTTTTTTTTTTGAGACGGAGTCTTGCTGTGTCGCCCAGGCTGGAGTGCAGTGGTGTGATCTGTGATCTGGGCTCACTGCAAGCTCCGCCTCCTGGGTTCATGCTATTCTCCTGCCTCAGCCTCCCGAGTAGCTGGGACTACAGGTGCCCGCCACCACGCCTAGCTAATCTTTTGTATTTTTAGTAGAGACGGGGTTTCACCATGTTGGTCAGGCTGGTCTCTATCTCCTGACCTCGTGATCTGCCTGCCTCGGCCTCCCAAGAACTCTCCTAGACTTTGTGGACTGTTGCTCCTCTTGTGAAGCTTGCATTCTAGTAGAGGTGTGTGCTGGATATCTTCTGTGTGCTTGGCCAGATCCCCTCTCCACTCTTTGCAACCCTACTCTGTGTCTTGGGAGACTGATCTTTATGAACTATATCCATTGGCAGCCTTGCCCTTTGGTCTCTGGTTGGGTAAGGCCAATGAGAAGCACTAGCAGAAGACTGGATTGAAGCAGGAGCGTGAGGTCTGCATGTTTATTCCCCCACACCCTCCCTGCTAGGTCACAGCCCTGGCAGGTGAGCTCTCTTATAAACTGTAGCTATTCTCTCCAGGCTCACGTAGCTGCTCACTGCCCCTCCCCGTTCAGGCCTAGGGTGGTAAGAGTTTCTTGTTATTGTTAAAAGGAGCATCATCAGCCCTCGATGGGTTCCCTTACCTGCCCACATCTTTGTGAACAGGCACTTTACCAGCCTCTCCTCAACTGTCCCATTTGAGTGGGTTGTTTTCTACTGGAACTTCATTGATGTAGGGAGGTAGATGTATAATCAAAATGATCCATAATACTGCTTATAAAATCTAGTTATTGTAAGAGAAGATAGATTGTGGAGGGGAAGGCACTGTAAGAGTGGTTAGGAAAGGTTCTTTGAGTAGGTTACCTGACTAATAAACAGGGGTCAGCAATTCTCTGAGGGAGATCATTCCAGACAGAAGGAAAAGCAAGCGCAAAAGACCAGAAGCAGGATGAGCTCTGCATCATCTAAGAAGGAAAATGAGGCCAATGCAGAGAAGGAGGAGGAGTGTGATATGTGATGAAGTGGAGAAGCAGGCAAGAGCCAGCCCAGGTGGATTCTCACACTGCTATACAAAACTACCTGAGACTGGATAACTTAGAAAGAAAAGAGGTTTAATTGGCTCAAGGTTCTGCAGGCTGTACAGGCTTCTTCTGGTGAGGCCTCAGAAAACTTACAATCATGACTTACAATCATGGCAGAAGGGGAAGCTAGCCCATCTTACACGGCCGGAGCAGGAGGAAAAGAGCGAAGGGGGAGGTGCTACAAACTTTTAAACAACCAGATCTCATGGGAACTCAATCACTATCAAGAGAACAGCAAAGAGAAAATCCACCTCCGTGATCCAATCACCTCCCACCAGTCCTCTCCTCCAACACTGGGGATTACAATTCAACCTCAGATTTGGGCGGGGACACAAATCCAAACCATCTCAGAAGGAGTTTAGATTTTGTTGTGGGGCAATGTGAAGATGTGAAAGGGATTTCGGTAGGAAGGTGGCATGATCAGCTTTACATCTCTGAAAGCACTCCCTCGGGCCGATCTGTGAGAATGGATTCTTGGGGACAAGAGAGGAAGCGGGAAGATCCATTGGAGCCTCTGGGAGCATCCAGAGTGGAGAAGATGGGGACCTGGAGTTGGCTGGAGACTGACAGTGAACAACAGTGTTGGGTGTAGTATATGTTGGAGGAAGAACTCACAGGACTTGCCAGGGAGTGAGATGTGAAGAATGGAAACAAGAGGAATCAAGGATGACAGGGAGGTTTGGTACTTGAGCAGTTGCATATGCAACGGCACCATTGACAGGGATGCTTAAGACTAGGGCAGCAGCAGGGGGTGAGGGAGAGGAGGGAAGATTAGAGAAGACATCCAAGTGCAGCTGCCAGCATCAGCGATACCATGTAGAGAGGGACTTACCGCAGAGGAGCTGGGCAAGCTGGTGGAGGGAGGGAATGCAGTTCATCTGCACCATCTAAACCTGGGAAGGTGATGGGACATCATTTTCTAACTGCTCATACATTTCAAAGTGCTGCTCTCTCAACAGAGTCAGCGTGTCACATTAATATGCAGAACACTGCTTACTTTCTTTCCTTCATTTCATACTTCCAAATTGTACGTCTTGAGGCCTGCAGAAAATAAGAAAGAGGCCCAGCTCTGAGCCACATCCCTTTAATAGCTGTTCCTTTAGACATGCAAAGAAAAGTCTGGAGCTCACAGGGATGACCTGATTTTTTTTCCCGTGGAACCCCTCTCTCCTCAACTTCTATGTATGGGAAAGAAAGGAATAGCTTTATTCATTCATATATTCAACAAGTATTTACTGATTACCCACTCTGGGCCAGTTTCTAGGTGCTGGGGTAGAAAACAGACAAAAATTGCTGCCCTTATAGAACCTACCTTCGAGGTGGGGGAGACAGAAAATAAATAACAGACATCATTTTAAAAATTAAATGATAAAATGTCTTAGAAACTGAAAAGGCTCGGGGCGGAGAGACAGGAAACAAACAACAAACATCATTTTAAAAATTAAATGAGCCGGGCGCAGTGGCTCTTGCCTGTAATCCCAGCACTTTGGGAGGCCAAGGCAGGTGGATCACCAGAGGTCAGGAGTTCAAGACTAGTCTGGCCAACATGGTGAAATCCCGTCTCTACTACAAACACAAAATTAGCTGGGCGTGGTGGCACATGCCTGTAATCCCAGCTACTTGGGAGGCTGAGGCAGGAGAATTGCTTGAACCTGGGAGGTGGAGGTTGCAGTGAACCAAGATGGCACCACTGCACTCCAGCCTGGGCAACACGAGCAAAACTCTATTTCAAAAAAAAAAAAAAAATTAAATAATACATCTTAGAAACTAAAAAAAAAAAGCAGAATAAGGGATATTTGGAGCACAGAGGGGGATTCCATTTTTAAATAGGATGGTCAGAATAAGTCTCATGGAGCAGGTGGCATTAGAATAGTGACTCAGAGGTGAGGCATAAGCTAGGCAGATATGGGGATAACATCCAGGCAGAGGCAGCAGCCGGAGTCAGGAATGAGCCTGGTGTGGGAGAAATAGCAAGGAGGCCGGTGTGACTTACATAGCCGTGCCTAGGACACCGGCCCTCTCCAGCACCTGCTGAACACCACCTGTCCTTCAAAGCCCAGTCCAAATGCTGCCTCCTCCACGAAGCTCTCCCCAGATACTCCAGTCCACATTCATCTTTCCACTCTCTGGACTACCTCAGTACCCACAGTCAAGGCCACACAGTTCAGAAGTTATTTTCAAATGGTTTTATTCATTTTGCCTACCCAGCTAAACTCTTTCAAGGTTTCTAAATTCAGTGAACCCTTCTTTGTACTTCTTTGTGTCAACCTTGGCACACAATAAATGAATAATAAATGCGATTGATTTATTGACTAAATGAGGAATTCTTAAATCATTATATTGGACTTTGAAATTACAGGCACACAAATGTACATCCACATATGCCTAAAATCTTCCCCTCATGTAGTGCTAACCTCTCTTCACAACCTGGCTGAGAGGACCTTGCTGGAATATCAAAAGACTGGGACCAAGGAGGAAAGGAGGGATGGAAGGGTGAAGAGGCTCCAGGCGATCATGATGTGTTTGAAAGATGAATGCTTGAGGCACAGATACTTGGGAATAGATTTGTTAAAATGGCAGAGGGCAAGAAACAGTTAACTTTGGTGCCTCAGAGCAGCAGAGGAAAAAGCTGAAAATCATTTTTTTGTAAAATTTGTAACTTTAAAAATCTATGTTTTAAAAAAGACAAAAAACAGTGCAGGAGAGACTGTCTCAGTAACTGTCTAACGAGGTTGGCAAAGTGACAAATGTTTCTCTCTTCAATGGTTTTTCCATAGTTAAAAAGGGAAGTTAACATCCATGGTAATTTGCAGCATTCAACAGAAAGATGACCTCACTTTGCAAATAGACTTCTTATTTTCCTTCCCACTTGGTGTGTCCCAAGAAATAAATGTGGGCAATGTCATAGGAAGAGCACTTTTCCTTCCACCCCCATGTTCTTAACCTAAACCACAGAGAAGACACCATCTCCTGTCTGCTAGGTGAGAGAATTGAGAACACCTGTACTTTCTCTCTCTCCTCTGTCACTGGCTCATTCCATGTGACAGAGAGATGGGAAAGGGCAGGGCAGGCACAGGCCATGTTATCCGGGAGGCAGGACCTCCTCCAGGAAGCAGAGACCAGCTTTGGTTCACTCCTTCACATTTGCACTCAGCTCAGCTTCACAAATCTGCATGTGCCCAACGAGATGAATAACTGTTTTCCTCTCCCAGCTAATAAACAGTCAAATCGGGCCTTCTTCGGGCAGGCCTGGTCAGGTCTTCACCTTTACAAGATGGGCTGAGAATGGTTAGGTCAGGAATGGGAGGGTAAGGAAGGTTGTGTTTTGGAGGGGGAGGCAGAAGGCTTAGCCACATTCTCCAGCATTGCTACTAATAAAGCTGATCAGCATCTCAATTGGTCAAGAGCCTGTAGAAGAGGAAGGGTCATTAATTAGCCCCCTCAGATATCCAACACAATTGAATTCTCCTGATAACAAAGACTCTTAGAGAAGTACCTGAGATATTGAAACATTCAAGCACATCAGCACCATTGTATTTTGTGATAAAGACTAGAAAGCTGAATCTAGAATCTATGATCATTTTCCAAAAAACATGGCAGGTTTTAGGGCTCTATTGTTTCATGTAGTAAGATTTTCAAGGAGAATTTCCAAGTAAGAAATTCTCTGTAGTCTTCATTTTAACAAATAAGAAGGAAAACAATGAAAGATATATTCTAATGCCCATGAACATTTTCGAACTGACATTGCATATTCCCTCCAAAGTGGCACTGAGAAGGACACATCTTTTCCGTGGTATTCCTGGCAAGAATGCATAACTTGAAACGAATCATAAGAAAACAATCAGACAAACCAAAATTGGGGGAACATCAGGGGCTTGTACTCTACAAAACTGTCAATCTCATGAAATACTATAAAAGAAAGACCAAGGAATGGTTGCAGATTAAAGGAGACTAAAGAATGTATGATCCTGGGGCCTGGCACGGTGGCTCACCTCTTTAATCCCAGTACTTTGGCAGGCCAAGGCATTTGGATCACTTGAGGTCAGGAGTTTGAGACCAGCCTGACCAATATGGCGAAACCCCATCTCTACTAAAAATACAAAAATTAGTCAGGCATGGTGGTGCATGCCTGTAATCCCAGCTACATGGGAACCTGAGGCAGGAGACTCGCTTGAACCCGGAAGGCAGAGGTTGCAGTGAGCTGAGTTTACGCCACTGCACTCCAGCCTGAGTGACAGAGGGAAACTCTGTCTCAAAAAAAAATAGAAAGAAAAAAAAAGTATGACCCTGGAATGGAAAAAAACATTTGCTAGAAAGGACACTTCTGGCATAACTGGTAAAAATTTGAATATGGAAGGTATATTTAAAAATAGCCTTGACTGGGCACGGTGGCTCACGCCTATAATCCCAGCACTTTGGGAGGCCAAGGTGGGTGGATCATCAGATCAGGAGTTCAAGACCATCCTGGCTAATACGGTGAAACCCCGTCTCTACTAAAAATACAAAAAATTAGCTGGGTGTGGTGCTGGCCGCCTGTAGTCCCAGCTACTTGGGAGGCTGAAGCAGGAGAATGGTGTGAACTCGGGAGGCGGAGCTTGCAGTGAGCCGAGATGGCACCACTGCACTCCAGCCTGGGCCACAGAGCAAGACTCTGTCTCAAAAAAAAAAAAAAAAAAAAAAAAGAATAGCCTTGAATCAATGTGAAATATCCCAGATTTGATAAGTTTATGATGTTGATGCACTTAATATTCTTTTTTTTTTTTTTTGAAATGGAGTTTCACCCTTGTTGCCCAGGCTGGAGTGCAATGGCTCAATCTCAGCTCACTGCAACCTCCCCCTCCCACGTTCAAGCAATTCTCCTGCCTCAGCCTCCCAAGTAGCTGGGATTACAGGTGCCCACCACCACACCTGGCTAATTTTTGTATTTGTAGTAGAGATGGGGTTTCACCATGTTAGCCAGGCTGGTCTCGAACTCCTGATCTCAGTGGATCTCAGGTGATCTGCCCGCTTCAGTCTCCGAAAGTGCTGGGATTACAGCATGCCCAGCCAAGGCACTTAATATTATTAGAAAATATTTGCTGACACCATTATGATCTCTGCAACTTATTCTCAAAGGGTTCTGCAAAAAATAGAATTTGTTACATATCATGTATCATATCATAGACATGCATTTATAGAGCAAATGTGGCAAAATACTAACAATGGATCAATCTAGGTAAAGACAACTGATTTTATCACTCTTGCAACTTTTCAGTAGGGCTGAAAAAATTCAAATTAAAAGGTTAAATTTTAAAAAAGAGATCCTCCCCAACAAGATACCATAATTCTTATGTATTCTTGAAACTTTGAGAGAGGATTAAATAAGTCTTGAGGATGTCATAAGAGATAGAAAATAATTTTGTAACAAATCCCCTGTGTCTCAGCACACTGAGGCTGTAATTTAGGTCACCTCACAAGGGGGATCTAACGGTCTGAGTGACTGCTTTCCAATCTGCCTGTCAAAAACAGACCTACCTGATGTGCAGGGTGGAGAGTGGTGGCCCATAAAGTGAGGCTTGCTTTAACTGGTTCCATTTTGGAGCCACGTGCAGCCCTCCTCACTTTCCACCCCTCCCTGGGCTTGCATCCCCCCCATCTCATCCCTGTTCCAGTCTACAGCTACACTGAAAACACAGCTGTGCCTTCATAGTGGAAAAAAAGAGAGAGAGAATCATCCAACGCTCAGACTCACCTAGATCACAGATTGTGTTTTTAAAATATATTCACACTGCTCTCAAGCATTTGCCATAGAAACAGACATGCATAAATCCGCTTTATGATAAGGTCTTTTTGTTAAACCAGTTTAACAATATTTCCTTGAAAACGGTCCAAGACAGACATGCCTTATACTAAATAGTGTTAGGGTGAGGTTTCAAGGTATAATTATGACCATTTCAAATAAGCTATTTCCATCATAAATGTCAGATAATTTGCAAATCTTGTTTTAGTTACACAGCCAGGATTCCTTTACCTCCTCTGTATCAGCCCATTTACAGGCCCTCAGTAGGTGTCAGAGATTGCGCTCGATAAATATTATCTTACTGGATCCTCACTACGTTTTTAGGTATAACGTATTATACCTAATACCTACATTTGTGTCTCTGTTTTACAGACAAGAAAATTGCGGCACAAATGGTTAAGTCAATGGCCCAAGGACACACAACTTATATTAACAAGCAGAGCCAGCGCTTGAGCCCAGATCTACCTAATTCCAAGATCCAGACCTTAACATTACTCCATACCTATGTCTCATTCACTGCAAAGTAACCCCTGTATTGGATTCCATCAGACCAATATGAAGCCATGGAGAGACCTCAGAACCTCAAGAAAACTCTAGGACAAGCCAAGCAAGAAAACAAGGACATTTCTTTTCTTTTTTTTTTTAGACGGAGTCTCGCTCAGGCTGGAGGGCAGTGGCATGATCTTGGCTCACTGCAAGCTCCACTTCCCGGGTTCACGCCATTCTCCTGCCTCAGCCTCCCGAATAGCTGGGACTACAGGCGACCGCCACCACGCCCAGCTAATTTTTTGTTGTTGTTGTATTTTTAGTAGAGACGGGGTTTCACCTTGTTAGCCAGGATGGTCTCGATCTCCTGACCTCGTGATCCACCCGCCTTGGCCTCCCAAAGTGCTGGGATTACAGGCGTGAGCCACCGCGCCCAGACATTTTTTTTTTTCTTTCTTTTTTTTTTTTTTTTTTTTGAGACGAGTTTCGCTCTGTCACCCAGGCTGGAGTGCAGTGGCGCGATCTCTGCTCACTGCAAGCTCCGCCTCCCGCGTTCACGCCATTCTCCTGCCTCAGCCTCCGAAGTAGCTGGGACTACAGGCACCCACCACCACGCCCGGCTAATTTTTTTTTTTTGTATATTTTTTTAGTGGAGACGAGGTTTCACCGTGTCAGCTAGGATGGTGTCTATCTCCTGCCTCGTGATCAGACCCCCTCGGCCTCCCAGAGTGCTGGGATTACAGGCATGAGCCACTGCGCCCGTCAAGGATGCTTCTTATCGCAGGAAGAATAGAAGACTTTTCTGTTCAGCTCCCACTTTTTTGCCTGGATTGCTTGAACTTCTCACTCATAGAAAAAAAAAAGGCCAAGTTTTGTTTTGTTTTTTTTTTGCCATTTATTCTCTTCTTGAAATTGTGTAGACAACTTAGAATGACGTTTTGAATCAGAATCAAGTTCTTCTGCCACTCATCCAAAAGTTCAAAACGTCTGTTTTATATAGATGGCACCAAAAGCTTCAGGACATAATTCACATGCAAAAAAGTACAATGCTGAATATGAAAATCTGAAATACATACTGCATAAGTAATAGTAGTAAAAAGCCAATGACATTTTAAAGATATTTTAAAGATTTAGTATTTATCATTGTAACACAGCTTTTATGTTTGATGTTATAGGAAGCTATGAGTTCACTTTGGAATCAATGCTATTTTATTGCTTGCTGTTATATTTATGGAATGTTACTGTGAACAAAGCGGAGCAGGCCAAGTCTATTCCCAACATAACTTATAAATAATGTAAGTAAATAAACTAAGCAAATCTTCATGAAGCAATACATTATTTACTATTCTTTGTTGCTGAAATATGAGTTTAAGTTTTGGTTACATATTAATGTAAAATCTTAGCTTTTCCTAGGTCTCCCTGGGGAGTCAGATTCTAAAGCTTAACTCAGGATTAACCTTGCAGGCCTTCCCAACTCGGCTAGCTAAAAGCCACACTTCTCTCCAGAGTGAGGAACCAGAAGCTGGACTTTGGAAGTACCATCTCCCTCCATCACAGGCCAGTTATTGACAACGATCCCAAGAAAGTTCACATCAGCATCACAGTGTAACTAATCCAAGTGGGTGTTCTGTGGTTTATGGCCAGTTGGGTTTTGCAAGAAAATCACTTGTCTAAGAATTTATCTCACTAATTAAGGCTATTTTAACTTTCATATACTATACCCCAAGTGGGAGTCACTCAAACTTTCTTCAACCTTTAGAGTGTATTTAATGACTCATTTGCTCATTTAAAGAACATTGGCCAGGCACAGTAGCTCACACCTGTAACTCCAACTTTGGGAGGCTGAGGTGGGAGGATCACTTGAGGCCAGGAGTTTAAGGCCAGTCTGGGAAACATAGCAAGACTCCATCTCTATAAAAAATAAAAAATTGGCTGGGTGTGGTGGTTCATGCCTGTGGTCCCAGCTACTTGGAGGCTAAGATGGGAGGCTTGCTGGAGTCTAGGAGTTTGAGGTTGCAGTGAGTGGCAACTGCAATTGTGCCACTGGCCGTGCAGCCTGGGTGACAGAGCAAAACCTTGTCTCAAAAAAAAAGGAACATTAATTGAGTCCTATCATGGTGCAAAGTCCTGTTCACATTAGCATATTACAGTGAATAAGATAGGTAAGGCTTTCTTCACAGAGATGACATTCGTGAGGAAGTAGAGAATTAGACAGCAAACGTAAACAAATAAGATCATTTCAGTAGTAATTAGGAAAAGAAACAAAGGTGATATGATGAAAATGATGAACTCACTTTAGAAAGGGAGGTTAGAGAGTGTTCTAGAAGGAAGTAACATTTGAACTGAGGCATGCTAAAGAAAGACTAGCACTTTTTTTTTAATGAGAAAATGTATTCTTTTCTTTCTTTCTTTCTTTTTTTTTTGAGACAGGGTCTCACTCTGTCGCCCAGGCTGGAGTGTAGTGGTGCAATCTCGGCTCACTGCAACCTCCACCTGGTTCAAGCAATTCTCATGCCTCAGCCTCCCAAGTAGCTGGGATTACAGATGTATGCCACCACGCCCGTTTAATTTTTGTATTTTAGTAGAGAGGGGGTTTCGCCATGTTGGCCGGGCTGGTGGCAAACTCCTGACCTCAAGTAATCTGCCCTCCTCCGCCTCCCAAAGGGATGGAATTACAGGCATGAGCCACTGCGCCTGGCCTTTCTTTGTCCTTTTAAGGCCAGCTAAGAGTCAGTGATCCATGGAAAAGAGGCAGTAAGATCGCTAGTTAGGAAACTTTTCAAGGTAATCTGAGATAGAGTCTTCTTGGAGAAAGGAGACACGGTAACGTAAGGGAAGTGCTAAATGGTGGATGCCATCCCTCAAAGAGAGAAGTGGTCCAAAATGGCACCTGGGAATGAAATGCAGTGGCAAGAGATGGTTTGGTCCAGGGAGTGGGTACTAGGAGATCACAACAGAAATGGGGGTGAAATAAGAGATTTGTGTGGCCATGAGCAGCGGGGGTGGCCTCAGGAGGAAGGTGGGGGGACAGGAACTGAAAAGACGCCACCGAGCCTGAAGATGTTCTGAGGGGCCAACCATGCAGATTGCATCTTCGTTCATCCCCGTGTAATCTCTGCTTTGTCCCTGCTCCTGAAGAACAAGCAGCAGTGGTCTCACTAGCAGCCCCAGGAGGCTGAAGGTCTTACTTGTTTGAGAACATTGTCCCATCTCCTAACCATGCTTGAAAAGTTGTATGGCTTGGCTATTCATATGTATCACCCCTAATAGACTTAATTATCTGAAACCAAAAGGCCAGAAAAGATCTCCAGAGGTTTCCCAATCAATGTTCTGCCTCTAAACAGAATAAACGAACAAACTACCCACGACAGAGATTAAACGCCTGGTTAGATGACCAGGCCTCCACAAATTTGTGAAGAGGGTGAAAGTCGACTTTTTACTTATAATTACACCACCCTTCACTGTGTGGGGTTAATGGGCCTTATTTTCCTAATGCCTAACATTTATTTCAAACTCTCTGCACCTGTTCTATCAGGCTGTCCCTCAGTAAATATTAGGTAGAAAAGACTATAATAAATGAACTCTCTCTAAGCAGTCAAGGTCTCCAGTTTAATATTAATCAATTATAGCCCTTATTAAAGGTTTACCCATAGGATGGAAGTGGGATGGAGGAGGAAGAATGTTTGCCATCTACCAGGGACACTTGATGCCAATTAAAGGAACAGAAGGTACGAAGGGCACAATAAATTGATTTTTTTTGTTTTTACTTTTTATTGACATACATAAGAAAAGTATACTCACCAAAAGTGTACAGGCTGATGAGATTTTTAAAAACTGAACATGCGGCCGGGCATAGTGGCTCATGCCTGTAATCCCAGCACTTTGGGAGGCTGAGGTGGGCGGATCACGAGTTCAGGAGATCGAAACCATCCTGGCTAACATGGTGAAACCCCTTCTCTACTAAAAAATACAAAAAATTAGCCGGGCGTGGTGGTGCGTGCCTGTAGACCCAGCTACTCGGGAGGCTGAGGCAGGACAATGGCGTGAACCCGGGAGGCAGAACTTGCAGTGAGCCGAGATCGTGCCACTGCACTCCAGCCTGGGCGACAGAGCGAGACTCCGTCTCAAAACAACAACAAAAATAAATAATAATAAAAAAAACTGAACATGCTCATGTACTCAGCACCTCGATCAAGAAATTGGCAGGATGTGGTGGTTCATGCCTGTAATCCCAGCACTTTGGGAGGCCAAGATGGGCAGATCACTTGAGGTCAGGAGTTTGAGATCAGCCTGGCCAACATGATGAAACTCCATCTCTACTAAAAATACAAAACTTAGCCGGGCATGGTGGTGGGCACCTGTAATCCCAGCTGCTCGGGAGGCTGAGACAGGAGAATTGCTTGAACTCAGGAGGCAGAGGTTGCAGTGAGCCGGGATTGTGCCACTGCACTCCAGCCTGGGCAACAGAGCAAGACTCCGTCTCAAAAAAAAAAAAAAGAAAGAAAGAAAAAGAAATTGATCACATTCAGCTGTCCAGCACCTCTAGCTCTCCCTGTTCCTTCCTGTGTCACTCCTGACCCCGTGGGCAATCATTTTCCTGACTTCTCACACCATTGATGAGTTTTGCCTGTTTTGGGATGTTATGTAAATAGAATCACAGAATGTACTCTTTTGCGTCTGGCTTCTTTGGCTAAACATTATCTTTACGAGATTTGTTCCAACTGTCGTGTGCAGTTAGAGTCACTCATTCTCATTGACATATAGTATAAGAAGTCATCTTGTAAATGTCAATATTTGACTCCCAGGACTGAATTCCAAGCATGCTTAAAGAGAAAAAAATATAAACTCATCCCCAGAGTAAAATTAACTCCGTTGACTGCAATAATTTTTATTTTGTTCATTGAGCACTGAGTTCATAATGCATTCTCTTAGACGTTCTTATTTAATTTGAAATTTACATCTGAGCTACTCTTAACAGGATACAGACAGATGAGTTCAAGACACAACCCTTTCCCAGCACCAAAGGAATGAAGCCAAGTTGTTCTCTTGCTCCAATTTTATTTCTTCTATCACAAGTAACTATGCATGAAGATACACCAGGAACAGCTGCCAGCGACTCATCCTCTGGGGGACCCATCCAGCTCAGCCAGTCAGTCAGTTGCTGGCATTTGTTCACAGGTTGCAAACAACAGAAAGTGCTTGTGATCATTATCTACACACTTCTAAGCCTTGCAAACAGAGACACACAAAGTCATAAGCTACAGCTGCTCCCTAATTCCTAAGTGTGTGCTTTGTCCATTCCACCAGCTTGCCTCTCCTAAATAACTTGCCTTCCGTCAGACACCTAGGGAACAGTGGCATTGGACCAGGAGGCTTCTAGTTCACACTGGACTGCAAACTGTTCCTAATTTTTGCTTGGATGGCAGTAAAATGTAAAATGGAATGGGTAGAAGTTGACATCAGTTTGACTTTAAGAGTCATGCCAGGTCTTGCAGGATGTGGTCATTACAAGCCTATGAAAATTTCTGTTTACTCTATCTTGAAAACTAAGAGTTTAAAACAGCAGAACATTTTCAGGGCTGTGTGATACTTACGGTTCATTACAATAGCCTGTAAATAAATTCATAGGTGAAAAAAACATTTCCATTTGGAATAAGCTTAGCCTCTTTTGCCTGTATTGTGAGGTAGCGTGGGGGCAGTGGAACGAGAGCTGAGTTTTAATTCGGGAGATGTGAGTCTCCTTACATCACAGCATCACAAGCTGTGAGACTGGTGTGTCCTTTAAGAATTTCATAGGTCCTAAGTTTCTTCCCTGTGGAGGCTAACTTCACATCCAAGGGGCTTGGATCACATCACTTCACAACCAAGGGGCTTTTTAATTTAAGTTTCATAAATTGTTCTCATTGTCTAATGTGATTTTTTTTTTGACATTGATCATTTGAGTCTGAAGAGAAATACTTGGGATGTGAAGATCTGGACATTTAGGACTCTGAAGTCTTAGTTCCTGGAGTATATTTGGAAAAATATTACCTGATTAGAGGAGCCTGTTGCTCAGGCTGGAGTGCAGTGGTGCGATCTTGGCTCACCGCAACCTCCGCCTCCCGGGTTCAAGCGATTCTTCTGCCTCAGCCTCCCAAGTAGCTGGGATTACACGCATGCGCCACTACACCCAGCTAATTTTGTATTTTTAGTAGAGACAAGTTTTCTCCATGTTGGTCAGGCTGGTCTCGAACTCTCAATCTCAAGTGATCCACCACCTCGGCCTCCCAAAGTGCTGGGATTACAGGTGTGAGCCACCGCGCCCGGCCCTAAAGTTACTTTTATCCAGTAAGGTATTTCTTATTCCTCTTTTGCATAATTTTCTCAACTATTTTAAGATTTCCATTAAGATTTTCAATGTAACTGCAAATATGTATTTACTGATTTTGAAAAAACGGAAAATTTTACAGTTTTGAGTGATTCATGTCAATGATTATACATTTCTCCATTTATCCAATATGATTTTTAAAGGTTTTTTTAGAAGGGTACAAATCTTTTTTTTTTTTAACTTTTTCTTTTTCTTTTTTTTCTTTTCTTTTTTTTTTTTTTTTTTTGAGACAGAGTTTCGCTCTTGTTGCCCAGGCTGGAATTCAATGGTGTGATCTTGGTTCACTGCAACCTCCTCCTCCCAAGGTTCAAGCAATTCTCCTGCCTCAGCCTCCTGAGTAGCCGGGATTACAGGCGCCTGCCACCACGCCTGGCTAATATTTTGCATTTTTAGTAGAGGCGGGGTTTCACCATGTTGGCCAGGCTGGTCTTGAACTCCTGACCTCAGGTGATCCACCCGCCTCAGCCTCCCAAAGTGCTGGGATTACAGGTGTGAGCCACGGTACCTGGCCAGGGGTTATGAATCTTATCAAATTATTCCTACGAATTTTGTCAGGTGTGGTGGCTCATGTCTGTAATCTCAGCACTTTGGGAGGCTGAGGCAGGAGGATCCCTTGAGCCCAGGCGTTCAAGACCAGCCTGGGCAACATGGCAAAACTCCATCTCTATCAAAAAATAAATACAAAAATTAGCTGGATGCGGTGGCACGCACCTGTAGTCCTAGCTACTAGGGAGGCTAAGGTGGGATGATCGTTTGAGCCCGGGAAGGGAAGATTGCAGTAAATTGAGATCACATCACTGGCACTCCAGCCTGGGCAATGGAGTAAGACCCTGCGTCAAAAAAACAAAAATAAAAATAAAAAATCTGACCAGGCACAGTAGTTCATGCCTGTAATCCAAGCACTTTGGGAGGCCGAGGCAGGTAGATCACCTGAGGTCAGGAGTTTGAGACCAGCCTGACCAATATGATGAAACCCATCTCTAATAAAATTACAAAAATTGTAATGGTGGCACGCACCTGTAGTCCCAGATGCTCAGGAGGCTGAGGCAGGAGAATCTCTTGAACCTGGGAGGCAGAGGTTGCTGTGAGCCAAGATCGTGCCACTGCACTCCAGCCTGGGTGACAGAGCCAGACTCCATCTCAAAAAGAAAAAGAAAAAAATCTAATACCCAGAATCTGTAAAGAACTTAAACAAATCGACAAGAAAAAAAAAAAAAAACCCAAATAACCCCATTTAAAAATGGTCAACATTTCCTCTCTCATATAACTGGGAAAGAGGGGGATAAAAAGGGCAATAGAAATAAACAGACACTTCTGAAAAGAAGACATACAAGTGGCCAAAAAACATATAAAAAAATGTTCAACATCACTAATCATCAGAGAAATGAACATCAAAACCGCAAGGAGATACAATCTCACACTAGTCAGGAAATGCCTATACACTGTTGGTGGGAATGTAAATTTGTTCAGTCACTGTGGAAATCAGTTTGGAGATTTCTTAAAGAACTTAAAATAGAACTACTATTTGACCTAGCAATTCCATTACTGGCTATTATCCAAAATAAAATAAATCATTCTATCAAAAAGACACATGCACACATATGTTCATTGTGGCACTATTCATGATAGCAATGACATGGAATCAACCTAGGTGCCCATACACGGTGGATTAAAGAAAATATGGCACATTTTTGCCATGGAATACTGCACAGCCATGAAAAAGAACAAAATCATGTCCTTTACAGCAACGTGGATGCAGCTGGAGGCCACTGTCCTAAGCAAATTAACTCAGGAACAGAAAATCAAAATACCACATATTCTCACTTATAAGTGGGAGCTAAACATTGAGTCCACATGGACATAAAGATGGCAACAAGGAACACTGAGGACTACTAGAGGGAGAAGAGAGGGAGGGGGGATTGGGCTGAAAAACTACCGATTGGCTATGATGCCCACTACCTGGGTGACAGGATCATCCATATCCCAAACCTCAGCATCACACAATGTAGCCATGCAACAAACCTGCACATGTACCCCTAAAATCTAAAATAAAAGGTGAAATATTTTTTTAAAAAAAGAATGGCTATTTAATTTTACAAAATTATATTATAGCATCTAATGATTTAATCCTATTACTCTTTTTCCTCTTTTAGTTTAATTTGAAGAATTATTAACTTGTAGATTTTCTTATATCAAAATAGCTTTACTTACAAAAATAAGCCCTCCTAGTCACGGTGTGCCATTCATTTTATACAATGCTACATTCAATAAACTAATGTTTTAGTCAGACTTTTTCCATCCACATTTATAAGTGAACATACAATTATCAGATTATCCTAGCTTTGTAAAGTGAACAAATGAACTGTCCTTTGTTTTCCCTGTGGCATGAAATTATTTAAATAATTTATGAATTTTCATTTTACTTCATAATAACTTAGAGAGTTATTACTAGATATTATTAGAGAAGGTATTGTTGTTACATACCTTTTAATCATGACAAGGAGCTGGTATTCTGAAAAGAATATAACTTGACTAAAGTCAGGCACCCATTAAGAAATAAAGCTGGGAGTGGAACACCAGGCTTCTGATTTGAGGCCTGGTGCGTGGTCTATCATTTACTACTACTTCATCTTTCTAGGGAGGATCTTGAAATCCTGACTTCAACAAGGGTGAGCAGAAGTCCTGTAGCAGAACCAATAGAAGAAAGCTGCCCTTTGGAGAACACACAATAGAGCAGCCACAAGCCCTGCAAAGAAGAAATATGAATTGCTGGAAAGCTACAACTACAGAATAATCTCCTCGGTATTTGATCCTTTGAAATGGGATGGTCCAGATGGAGCAAACAGACCACTGCCAGTGATTTAAGATGGCAGACTCACAAGGGGCAACTGTGTGTTGGTTGACAACACCTAAAGTAATGATAATTCATGCACACATATTTCTTTATAATTTACACATGATAAATTTAGGTACGTTAAATCATTTGTCGAAGATTATACTCTATTATCCCAGGGGTACTGGACCACTCCATAACCCCTTGAATTATGCTCCTTGTGTATTTCCTTCACAGCATTTATCATTCTTATTGCAATTATTTTATTTATTTGTGCTACTTGTTCTTTGCTTGCCAGCCCCACTCCCCAACTACAATGGAGGCAACATAAGAGCAGGGGCCATATTGCATTATTGTTTTATCCACAGGCCTGAACACAATGAAAAGACACTCAAAACATATTTGTTCTATGACTGAAAAAAATAAATATCATAAACCATTTACGCCTAAAGTGATCCCTGCTTGAATCCTATGTAGAAAGGACACCATCTTTTTCTCCGGGATGGTGGTCCCATTGCACACAAGTTTAGTAATCACACTGTTTGCTGCTGCCTCTCTAAATATAAAATGTGCTGTACATCCAAGTCCAAGTTCTCCATATCAATCTTACACAATCACCTTATTTGACAGTGACATTCTTTTTAAAGGCAAATCAGTGTGAACTCCCAATATCCCAAATTAGATCAAGCACACAAGTTCAAATGAGTTGGCCATTAATTACTCACCACCACTGGCCTAAGTTTGAAACCACCAGATCTCATTTTTCATGGAGCTGACATCCTGAAAGGCACCATTTGTCAGGAGACCTCCCTTGTATTTTTTTCTTTTTCTCCATTGTTTCACTGAATTAACCAAAGCAATATTAAAGAAGTTGCTAAATACAGATATTAGTTCATTTGTAGCTAATTATTATAGGTAAATGGTGCAGTAAACGAAGCACCCTACTACACCCTCCCTGGCTTTTTTTTTTCCTGAAGCTTTTGTGATGTTCTCCAGGTAAATCCCATGCATAATGTAAGAGTGGCAATGTTGTTTGCATAATAAGCTATTTTCTACCACAGAAGCAGAAACATTTTATCGCTATAGAGAAAGCTCAAATTATGAATACATTTTCATATAAGTTGATTTATGTGAAAATTACAAATAAAAGCAGAGCCGAGCTGCAAGTGAATTGTTTGTTCCCAGTTCAAGGAGTGGTGTTATTTGAAATTAAAAAAGAAAACAACCCCACCGCATCCTGCTAAGAGAAATATTTTTAATGTTATTCAGACTGAAGCACACAACATGGAATCCAAGAAGGAAAGCATTACCTGGCCTGGCAGTGGGACCTGAGGTTGCAAAAACTAACATAAACTTGTCCACTGATTTCTGAAACCATTTTATCCGTGATATAATGTGTTTTTACTTGAACTTGGACTACAAAGATTCTCAACAAACTCTATAGTAGATCTATTTCTTTCAATAGTCAAAGGAAGTTGAAGGAGCGAATGGCAGCCCATTATCATCTCTGCATAAGTAAAAGATAAATCTGTGTTGAAGATATGAGAATGGTTTTGTACGGGACCCAACGCTTCCCAGACACCTGCAAAATTCTCAAAGTGGAGTTCACATTTCTAATTCCAGGCCAAATCATTGGGAGTAGAGAGCACATCTTGCAAAAGTTCCCACAGGTACACTGTTTGGCATCCAGGTGGTTGATCTGTAATCAGGATACCAGCCTGGCCACAAAGTTTTGGCCAACATCTAAGATATGGAGGAAGCAGGTTTTAGGGAAAGAAGATCGTGACAAATCTACACAGTTAAATCTACATAGTCTACATGAACAAATCTATATAGTCAAATAAATGCAATCAGTTTAGCCATTTGCACAAAGTATGTCTTCCTATGCCTAGTCCTTTAAGCCTGTTGGTATGGCCCATACCTAGGCCATGGTCACAAACACCCCAGGCCTGGCTCTTGTCCCAGACCTCTGCCTGCTTATGCTTGAACTGCTGCTTGCTAATCCCTTACTTTTCAAATTACTGGTTCCAATAATGATCTGCATCCCTCCTTAAATTTTGCACCCCTTCCCATGTCCCAAACTAGGTTGCAAGACTTGGGGTCTTAGTTCTTTGCTCTGCATGCTCCTCAGAATCTGGTGATGCTTAAAGCCTCAAAGGAGACTCCCATTTTAGCCCCTGGCCATGTTGCTAAGCCACCATGAACACTTCTACCTCTCCCCCTCCTCCTCCCTGCAACACACAGGAGGATCATTTGAGTCGTATTGATAGTAATCTGAATATTTGTCTCAGAAATCTTACTGTACAGCTGTTAGTTGCCAATTCACTGACCTGCCAAGAGATGTTGCATGTGCGGATCTGAATTTTTGCAAGGCCTCTCCCTCTCTGTTGCCTCCAAACCATCAAGATTCATTGTTTGTTTGTTTGGTGAGTATCTTCCAGCTAAAGCAGAGACAGAAATCATGTAAATTGACCAGGCTTGTTAGGTCAGAGACTAGAGCCAGTCCCTTCACTGTGACCCAGATTCAGGTATTAAATGGCCACCCGAGGATGTCTGCCACATTCATCCTGTTTTTATTTCTTATTTGTGTGTCTTGGGTTGATTCTGCGCTTTCCCTCCAATACTACACTGGCAGCCTTGATAAGATGTGAAAATAAGTAATGTTTAGGTGAACCACTGTCTTAATCGCATTGCCTTGGATTACCACATTCTGTGTGTTGACAGACAGGGGGAAATACTGGGTTCACCATTCCTGCACCATTTGAATTTCAGTCTAGCAATAAATCTTATACTTGGGACTTAAAAGTCTGAAGTAGATGATCTGTTACATCTCTTCCTCATCTATTAATCTCTGATTCTGTAAATACAAATAGGCCAAGAATAACCAGAGTTCTCTTTGAATCAGAGTCTTAAGAACCTCACTCTACCAAACAAGACCACATAAGTTTGTGTCCCTTACCAATTCAGAAAGATAAAAGGCCTTTAAAGAAAAAACACTGTGGCCAGGTACCTGTAATCCCAGAACTTTGCGAGGCCGAGGTGAGTGGATCACTTGAGGTCAAGAGTTCAAGACCAGCCTGGCCAACTTGAGGAAACCCCGTCTCTACTAAAAAATACAAAAAATTAGCTGGGCGTGGTGGTGGGTGCCTGTAATCCCAGCAACTCAGGAGGAGGCTGAGGCACGAGAATCGCTTGAACCCAGGAGGCAGAGGTTGCAGTGAACTGAGATGGCGCCACTGGACTCCAGCCTGGGTGACAGAGCAAGACTCCATCTCAAAAAAAAAAAAAAAAGGAAAAGAAAATTAAAAATACTGTATGATTCCACTTACATGCGGTACCTAGAGTATTCAAATTCATAGAGACAGAAAGAAAGTAGAATGATGGTTGCCAGGGGCTGGGAGGAGAAGGAAATGGGGAGTTATTTTGTAATACGTACAGAGTGTCAGTTTTGGAAAATGAAAAAAGTTCTATGGGTGAATGGTAGTGATGGTTGCACAACAATGTGAGTGTACTCAGTATCACCAAACTGTATGCTTTAAAATAGTGAAGATGGTAAATTTTATGTTATGTATGTTTTACCACATACAAAAAATAATAATAATAAAAGAGATTTATCGCACCACATTTAAAATGGGTAAAAATGTACTTTAAAAAATATCAGATGTTGGGCCGGGCACGTGGCTCACGCCTTTAATCCCAGCACTTTGGGAGACTGAGGTGGGTGGATCACTTGAGGTCAGGAGTTCGAGACCAGCCTGGCCAACATGGTGAAACCCCATCTCTACTAAAAATTTTAAAAATTGGCTGGGCGCAGTGGCTCACACCTGTAATCCCAGCACTCTGGGAGGCTGAGGCGAGTGGATCACGAAGTCAGGAGATCGAAACCATCCTGGCTAACATGGTGAAACCCCGTCTCTACTAAAAATACAAAAAATTAGCTGGGCGTGGTTGCGGTTGCCTGTAGTCCCAGCTACTCAGGAGGCTGAGGCAGGAGAATGGTGTGAACCCAGGAGGTGGAGCTTGCAGTGAGCAGAGATTGCGCCACTGCCCTCCAGCCTTGGCGACAGAACAAGACTCCGTTTCAAAAAAAAATTAACCAGGCGTGGTGGCAGGTGCCTGTAATCCCAGCTACTCGGGAGGCTGAGGCAGGAGAATCTCTTGAATCCGGGAGGTGGAAGTGAGCCGAGACTGCACCATTGCTCTCCAGCCTGAGCGACAGAGTAAGACTCTGTCTCAAAAAAAAAAAAAAAAAAAAAAAAAAAAAAAAAAAAAATCTGATGTTTATATGTGAATAGCATGACTATTGAATCATTGACGTAACACTCTAAGCACCTACTATATGCCTCGCACTCTGCTAGATCCTGGGGATACAGCATTTATTACAAGAGACACAGGCTCTACCCTCACAGAGCCGAGAGTTAGGAGAGACAGAGGGATATAAAAAACCCATTACAATTGGATGAGGGCTTTGAAGGAAAAACGAACGCTGCGCAGGAACATTTAGCAGACACCGATTCTGATTCTCCTAACCAGATCTGGATCAGAAAAGCCTTCTTTGAGGAAGGGACATTTAGGCTAAAACTGGAGGGACAATGGAGAGTTTACTAGAAGAGACGCTTTGGGGCGATGCTTCGTTTCGGATTTTTCTTTTCTTTTTCTTTTGAGACAGGGTCTTGCTCTGTCCACCCAGGCTGAAGTGTAATGGTGCAATGACAGCTTATGGTAGCCTTGACCTCCCAGGGCTCAGGTGATCCTGCCACCTCCGCCTTCTGAGTAGCTGGGACTACAGGCATGCACCACCATGTTCAGCTAGTTTTTTGTATTTTTTGTAGAGATGGGGGTTTTGCCATGTTGCTCAGGTCGGTCTTGAACTCCTGGCCTCAAGTGATCCACCCACCTGGCCTCCTAAAGTGCTGGGATTACAGGAGTGAGCCACTGTGCCTGGTCAGTTTCAGATTTTTCAATGTACCATCTCTCCACTAAGAACTCTCTGGGCTCTTGAATTTCTGTAATACTTGTCACCAAGAAGTTTTCTGGAGACCAACCTCACACAGAAGACAAGTATCTTTCTTTTAATTCAATCTGAATACCTAAGAGAGTGGGACCTAGATACTAGGCCAAGGTCAGTGATAAAAGAGATGGCATTTTAATCTCTTGCTTTACCTTTTCTTTCCAAAGCTCTTATTGGCATACAGGGAATAATAGAATTCTCTAAGGGCCCTATAAGTTTTTTTTTAAAATAAGGTTGGAAGAAATTTTAAAGAGGCAAAGTGGTTGGCTAAAAGTTTGTCATTAACAGTTCAATAGCATGTTATATATTTGTATCTGTTTCCATGCCCTCACTTCTAAAAATTATCCAGTTGCTTAGAGTTAACAGCAATTTTCCATCATCCTTAATGTCTGCATTATCCCAACAAAAAAGCTTGCAAGCAATATCTCCTGCCTCAAAATACACACATACACACACACATAAATTTTCCATCTCCATTAGATTATAAACTTAACAAAGCAGGGCCCAGTTCTGTTTTATTCCCTAATGCATATTCTCAGGGGTTCTTACAACGTCATAGGTCCTCAACAAATATTTCCTAACTAAACCCCTCTCTTGGCCCCAGCTTCTGAAATCTCTGTCACTCATAGCTATGATACAGCCCTTTTCATACTGTATATGAAATAACATGGCTTTGGGAATCGGACAGACCTAGGTTTAAATCCTGGATCTGCTGTTTAATAAAATATGAATTTAGGCCAATTACATAAACACTCCAAATGTCAGTGTCCATATGTGTGCAATGGGAATAATAATATACTCAGTGATGTTAGAAGATGCGAAAGTATTATATACACATGTGGCGTGTAAAAACACTGTAATGGTGCCCAGGTTGTTAGCTCCTGTTTACAAATAAACACAGTGTGGCCCACTGAGGTTAAGTAACTTCCCCAAGGGACCAACTTCATCAGCTTCATATGCTTGATTTTAAGGAAGGTGGAAAGAGTAAACAATGGAATTGCTAAGACTGGGGCTGAATCCCTGATTTTTTAGGTAAACACAAAGTCTCGCCCCTCTGAGAAAGATCTAAAAATCAAATTGTATAGGATAATATAAAATAAACCCAGCAATGCATCTCAAACTTTAACGTGCATCCAAATCATCTGGGATTTTGTTACAATGCGGACTCAGATTCACTGGGGTGAGGCCTGAGACTCTGCATTTCTAAGAAGCTCCTAGATGCTCCCCCATGCTCCTGCTGTCTGCAGACTTATACCCTGGGTAGCAGAGGTTTAAAGCACTATGCAAGATATTGGTTATTATCACTCCAAGGGCCACACTGTTGTAATGATAGTGTAGAAGCATCTCATTTCTGTGCTCCATGCAGTGACTTCCCCCAAGTACTGTGATTTTCTCTTGATGTCTTTTAAATGCCACAAAAGTCATTCTTTGACTCCAATAATGATTGTGATAAATCCATCTGAATAAGGATCCCCACGCTTCTGCTAGGCAGTGTCTTGAAGCTCAGCACCATATTGTTTGTAGTTGCCTTAGTTTTTCTCCTCTCCAATCTGTTGTCAAGTCAGTGAACCAGACTCACATCAAAGTCAATCTGAATTCATTTGGTACAATTTCAACTGATTCTATTTCAAAAGGCTCTGCTAACTTCAAAAATAATATTCATTACCTGGTCGTTGAAGGAAACTGCTCTCAGGATATTGTATCCCGCCATCCCTTAATTTGGTAATTCTATCAGGAAAAGCAATTAAGTTTGTCTGACATGACTTGTTTTTATAAATCCATGATGCTTACTGCTCTTAATTTAATTCTCCTCTTACCACTTATAATTTCATTCTCATCTGACAGTTCATATTTTCTCTCTGAATGATTTTTCCCCCTTTATGTTACTAATCACAGAAAATGCAGTGAATAACATCAGCCTCTGGGTAGGAAAGAGACTGGAAAGGGATGGGTAGTGCACAGGCTTCCCTCAGGAAGAGCAGGAATTTTGTCCCTTATAGTTTCCACATACCCTAGAGCAGTCCTTGGCACACAAATGGTGCTCAATCAACACTTAGTATCAGGCACCATGCCAGGCACTGTGGAGACAAAGACTCTGACCCAGGCCTTTCCCCACACATCATATTAATGGGAAGGCAGACATTTAAAGAAATAATTATGAAGCAATCTGGAAAAAAAAAATGATACTATGACAGGATTTCTGGAGGCTGGACCTTACAATTTTATTTTGTTTTCAATGCTGGAAAAACTTCCATTTAAAATGCTGTCAGCAGTTTCTACCTTATTGATTGGAGACCTGGATTAACTATGATAATGTACACGTAGCAGTAGCACAAATGAGCAGCTGGTCAGCCATCCTGGAAAATCTGAGGTCAGGAAAGGTGATGGGTAACAGAAGTCATAGAAACTCAATCAATGGGCCATAGGGAGCCACTGAAGGGTTTGTAAGCAGGGAACAGAGATCATAAGATATATGCTATGAGAAAAATTAATAGTGATTGAAGGAATTTAAGGTATGGGTTTAATGGGGGATACGACTGGAAGCATGAGAACAGGAGACAATTCCTGACAGTATAGGTGAATGGTAACAAGGGTTTGGAGCAACTGCTAATAGCAGGAACAGCTGTCATGTATGCTGTAGGTACCATGTGCCAGGCACAGGGCCAACACCTTGCAAGCATTACCTTACTGAACTCAGAGACCAAGGGCAAGAGAGGAGAAGGGGTTTGAAAGACATAAAGGAGGCAGGGTCAATATCCCTAGTGGCTGACTGGATGTGGAGAGGCGAGGGAGAGAAAGGAATGGAGGATGATTTCCCTGTCTTGTGACTTGTAGATGGCAGTGTCTTTTATCAATTTAGAAATGATTTGAGGTGAAATATTTTTGGGTTGGTGGAATATCATGAGTTCAATTTTAGATAGGGTGAGTTGAGGGGCTTGTGAGACCTCCAGGGAAAAATGAACAGCTGGATAAATGAGTCTGGAACTCAGAACAGAGTTTTTGGCAAGAGACAGTTTCAGGAATTCGCCATATACAAATGGAAGTAGAAATGGCAGGCATGGGGGGAAGAGGGTGCAGATGAAAAAATCACAAAAGCAGAGATAGAAAACGTCAATATTCAACAGGTAGGCAAAGAATAAGGAAAAAGGTTTAGAAGGAATCTTAGAAAGGTAGGATGAGAACCAGAAGAGGTTGGTGTCAGGACAGCCAAAGGAAATGAAAGATTAATAAAGAATGGAATGGTCAGCGTTGTCCAGTGCTGCTCAAAGTATATTCATTAAGTTTATTCTGGGAATAAAAGTGTCATTTATTCATTCAACATGGGGGGTCCTTACTGAAAGCGTTCTTGCCCATCAGAATATGGCAACAAGCCGGATGAAGCTTTGTTTGCAGACAAGTTTATCCACTTAAAGTCTATAAAATTCAAGAAGTGTAATACAAGTCAGCAACATTGTGTAGATGCCAGAAATTCACCTTAGAAGTACAATATCTATGTCGGCTGGGTGCAGTGGCTCACTACTGTAATCCCAGCACTTTGGGAGGCTGAGGTGGGCAGATCACCTGAGATTGGGAGTTTGAGACCAGCCTGACCAACATGGAGAAACCCCACCTCTACTAAAAATAAAAAATTAGCCAGGCGTGGTAGTGCATGCCTGCAATCCCAGCTACTAGGGAGGCTGAGGCAGGAGAATCACTTGAACCCAGGAAGCAGAGGTTGTGGTGAGCTGAGGTCACGCCATTGCACTCCAGCCTGGGCAAAAAGAGCAAAACTGCGCCTCAAAAAAAAAATATATATATATAGATATATAAAAATATATATATATATATAGATATATAAAAAATATATATATATATATATAATATCTATGTCAAGAGAGGTGAGTATTCCTGGGAGTCTCCTTTGCTGATTAGGCTGCACCTGGGGTTCAGGTATGAACATTATGCATTGGAAGGGGTATATATTAATCAGACATGACCATCAGAGGAAGACAGTGATGATGAAAAAACTTGAATCTGCATCATGGAAGCAATGGCTAAGAGCAGATCTTCCGTGTGCCTTGGCATCCTGGTGTGCTCTGAATTGTTAAGAGCTTTGCCTGGAGCTGCAGGATACCTCAGCCCTTCAGTAGGACCTGGGACAACCAAAGACCCCATGCCGGCCAGCTTTGGCCCAGGTAGCCTTAGTAGGGGTTCTACAAAACATTATCCAAGCATAGTGAGGTCTGAGGATGCCCTTCATGGTTCTCCAAGGGGAAAACACCTGCTCCACTTGCATGTACTGAACATGGACAAGAAGATGCTCTACCATCTGAAACACAAACCTTCACAAACAGCAGCATGGGACACTCCTGCCCATCTTGAAAGTGGGGTCAAGGAGCTGTTACTGAAATAGTTCATATTCCAGGGGCCCAAAGAGCACAGTGTGTCACCTTAGGTGTTGCTGGTTGGAGGGTGCAGGTGGGGAAAGGAAACTGGGCAGAAATGTGATTCTGGTGCTGCCCAGAGCCTCTTTCTTCACATATATCAAATATCTCTCTCCATGTTGCAGGACAAGTCCCCTTAGAAACCCAGCTCTTTCCCCACTTTCTGGCCTTTGGTTTTCAGAATAACTGCAAAATATGCGGGGAACACAACATCTTGAGATAAGGTGTAACTGTCCAGAACAGCCTGGGTTCTGTTCATGTCCCCACTAAAATAGGGTTTCCTGCAAAATTTTAGCTGAGCAAGATCTATTGTCTCCAGGTATAAAACCCAGAATCGACTGCTTTTGGAGTCCCTCAGCTGTAATGTCATGTAGAGACCATGCAGACAAGATTCCATCCATCCTCTGCAGATTTCCTAAGCCTTGGGGGACTGGTTCACCGTGAATGCTAGGCTTAGGATCTTGCTGCCTAACTGTAAGTGATAAAGTTGCTTTGCATAGTGGGCCCAGTAGCTCATGCCTGTAATCCCAGCTACTCAGCAAGCTGAGGCAGGAGGATTGCTTGGGCCTAGTAGTTCAAGGCCACAGTGAGCTACAATTGTGCTACTGCACTCCAATCTGGGCTACAGAGCAAGACACTCTCTCTAAAATAAATAAATAAATGAAGTTGCTTTGCTTAACTTGTGTAAGTGTTCTGTCTCACTAGACTTGTGCAAGTAGTAGAAGTTGCTGCCCAAGATGCAACGGGCTAAAGAGGTAACCAATGCACAGTAAATCTGCTTCTGACATATGTGGCTGATGCAGCCATACAGAAGGCATCCATACGGCTGCTTTAACAACATGCACGCATTCTGCAAAACAGAGCTTCAACATATTTGGGAACTCCCCTCCCCTCCTCTCCCCTCCCCTCCCTTGCTCTGCTCTTCTCTTCTCTTTTCTTTTCAGAAAGGGTCTCATTCTGTCACCCAGACTGGAGTACAGTGGTGCCATCTCAGCTCACAGCAACCTCTGTGAAATGGTTTGGCTCTGTGTCCCCACTCAAATCTCATCTTGAATTGTACTCCCATAATTCTCACATCTTGTGGGAGTGACCAGGTGGGACATAATTGAATCACGGGGGCAGTTTCTTCCATACTGTCCTTGTGGTAGTGAATAAGTCTCACAAGATCTGATGGGTTTATAAGGGGTTTCTGCTTTCGCTTCTGCCTCATTCTCTCTTGCTGCTGCCATGTAAGAAGCACCTTTCACCTTCAGCCATGATTGTGAGTCCTCCCCAGCCACGTAGAACTGTGAGTCCATTAAACCTATTTTTCTTCCAAGTCTTGGGTATGTCTTTATCAGTAGTGTGAAAATGGACTAACACACTTCGCCTTCTGGACTCCAGCAATCTTTCCACCTCAGCCTTCTGAGTACCTTGGGACTACAGGCGCCGCATCACCATGCCCAACTAATTTTTGTTTTTTTGGTTTTTTTGTACAGATGAGGTTTTGCCATGTTGCCTAAGCTGGTCTCAAATCTTGAGCTCAAATGATCCGCCCACCTCAGCCTTCCAAAGTGCTGGGATTATAGACATGAGCTACCGTGCTTGGCCTTGGACTACTTAATATTAAAAAGTTCAGTTGGGTTAGAAATCCTTTCTTATAAACACTAGAAATTTCAACATTACATTTGTCAATGAAAGTAAAGAAAGAGTGATTAGAGTCTTTAACTATAACTTCAACTACTACACATTTTTGAAAAGTTGTAAAAATGGTAATGTTATTTTTAATCATAGTTCCTTGACCATCATGGCTATCAAGAATTTGAATAAATCTTCATTAACAAGTCTGGATCAGGAATTTCATGCAGCCATTTCAAGCATAAAACCTGGTATTAAAAGTTATGTTCATGGAAGCAAGCTAAATTTTGCTTTCAAACATTTGAAAAGATTTTATTTGGAAGTTTAATACAAATTCAATATTTAACATCTTTCATAATATTTTGTATTTTATTTTCTTATAATTATACACTATAAAGAGAAGTGTAATAATTTTCGCCAAGCCCCAGACAGACATCCTTAACTCCCCTCTGGTTTACCCCAGGGCGCCATGCAAATATCATCATTTTCAATGTCTGCCTTGGTGTTCAAAAGACTGAGAAACACGGGTTAAAAGACTTGTTAACGGAGAAGGAGAAACATCATGAAAACCTAAATTGGAACTGGCATGGAGGCCAGGAATTCAGTTGTTCTGAGTATCTCCACGGTGGTGGACTTGGAACCTCAAATGGGTTCCAGTCAAAACCCAAGTGTCAACACTACCCAACGACAGAGGCCATGAAGGTTCTAACAGAGTCTGGCTGACCATTTTTTGTAGGTGAAGATTTAAACTTCAGAGCATGACTGGCCTCAGGAAGCTGTAAACTCTCCCTGGCCTTTAGATTCTATGATTCTGTCCCAACCAGTTCAGGAAGACTTCCAGCCTCTCCCGCAATGATATCTCTTAAATTCTCAGCATGGAGAGACAGAAGTCATCATCAAGCAATGTAAATAAGAAGATACACATGCCATGCCTGGCAGAAAGACTAGGACATCAGATCAAGATTATGTACACAGCAGCATCTCTACTGTCTTTACCTGTAAGAAAAACATATGAGGGTTGGCATGGTGGCTCACGCCTGTAATCCCAGCACTTTGGGAGGCTGAGGCAGGAGAATTTTTTATGTCAGGGGTTCAGGACCAACCTGGGCAACATGGCAAGACACCCTCTCTACAAGAAATTTTTTAAATAATTAGCTGGGCATGGTAGCACATACCTGTAATTCCAGCTACTCAGAAGACTGAGGCAGAAGGATCACTTGAGCCAAGAGTTTGAGGTTACAGTGAGCTACAATTGTGCTAATGCATTCCAGCCTGAGTGACACAGCAAGACTGTCTCTAAATTTAATAAATTTTTTTTTGAGACAGAGTCTCACTCTGTTGCCCAGGCTGGAGTACAGTAGTGCAATCTTGGCTCACTGCAAGCTCCGTCTTCTGGGTTCACACCATTCTCCTGCCTCAGCCTCCCAAGTAGCTGGGACTATAGGCACCCGCCACCACACCTGGCTAATTTTTTGTATTTTTTAGTGGAGACAGGGTTTCACCGTGTTAGCCAGGATGGTCTCGATCTTCTGATCTTGTGATCTGACTGCCTCGGCCTCCCAAAGTGCTGGGATTACAGGTGTGAGCCACTGCGGCCGGCCAATAAATATTTTTAAAAAAGAAAAACATGTGAAGAGACAGACACTGACCACAACTCAGAGTTCCAGTGTTTAGTAAACTACCCACTAACTACTAGATACTGGAAAAGTTGATTCACCTCTTACTTAATTTTCTTCTGAATACAAACAATGGGAATGCGGGGGAGGCTTAGTTGATCTCTAAGCATCTTCTCAGCTGCACACTTTTATCAACCTAAAATTGTGGATGTAACTTTTCTTGGTTGTACTGCTCCTCAGATATACAATGAATACAGAAGGGCCTCTCTCTTGCAGGGTAGTTTCCTTCATTTCAACATTGTCTAAGCACTTACTGTATGCCAGGCTCTGTGCTGGACACAAATGTATCAAACTGTAATAGCAAGGACAGACTACAAAAAGGAAAGGAGAAAGGACAGGATTCCCAGAAAGGCCCTTGAAGACCCAAAGGGCACTGAAGTAACTCTCAGGTTATATGGAAAATGAGGGTGTAGAAGAATAAAAGCAAGATGGTGACAATCAGAAAAATGAAATAAAGTCTCCCACCAATCTTGTCCCCCATAGCACCACAGCAACAGGATATTTAGATCACTGTGTGTACCTTGAACAAAAAGCAGGCTGGACAGGCAATAGCTGCTTCATGACCCAGGGCTTCCCTAGAGGTACAGAAAAGAAGAGGTTGGAGATTGAGCAAAAAATAAGAATGGTGGCACTAAGAGGAGAGGAACCATTCGGTTCACCTTCACAGAAAACTGAAGAAGGAATTCCTGAAAGCTTACCAATGGAGTTCCAGGAAGCCAAGTGGTTTGATAAAGACACACACATACTTGCCAAGACCTTGTTAGCCTACTTGGATAATGGAATACAGGGACAGTGGTTGAAGGTGAGTTTTGCAGACTATGGCCATCCAAGAATTCCAATGCCATCCAAATACTATCCACCCATGTTAATATGTTATGTGGTATATTTTATTCATTCATTTATCAACTTAATATAATTATGTAATTTTGCCATAATGGTGCTTGTTCTATATGCCAGGTAATCCTAGAAATGCTGAAAAAAGGATGTCTGCCATCTGGCAATGTTGTTTGAAACAAATTGCCTAAGAGAATTCATGAACAATTAAATGGAAAGAGGGGGTGTTTCATAAAAGGAATAAGACTTCAGTTCCTGCAGTCATGGAATTCAGAAGCTAACTGGGTGCACAAACATGTATGCAACTATCAATGTGAAAAAACCATCAGGATCAAATGGATAACACATATGAAAAGGTGCTGTAAACCATAAATCATGATACCCACCACACAGAAGGCATATTGGTGTTAGCGCTAGAAGTAGTGGTATTGTCACAGTGCAGTTCCAGATTTAGACTAACTTCCCTATAACGAAGAGGTATAATCCTTCTCTCTGATCATTTGAGTAGCATCTAAACAGTGTCTGTTTCTTTCTTTCTTTCTTTTTTCCAAGTCTCGCTCTGTCGCCCAGGCTGGAGTGCAGTGGCGTGATCTGGGCTCACTGCAACCTCTGTCTCCCGGGTTCCAGCCGTTCTCCTGCCTCAGCCTCTGAGTAGCTGGGACTACAGGCACGTGCTACCACGCCTGGCTACTTTTTGTATTTTTTAGTAGAGATGGGGTTTCACCACGTTGGCCAGGCTGGTCTCAAACTCCTGACCTCATGATCCACCCACCTTGGCCTCCCAAAGTGCTGGGATTACAGGCATGAGCCACCACAACCAGCCGAACAGTGTCTGTTTCTAAAAATCATTATTCTATGCAAGTCTATGTTTGTCACTCAGCTGTGCATTAATGTTTTAACCAAGCACTCTGATACCAGTTTAGTCAGTTATATAATCCTCAATTTTTTTCCCGCATTTTGAATATCTCTTTGTTGTTTATTGCTCTGCTTTCACATAGAACTTGTCTGAACGGTCTGGGTGCTTTCAATTGGGCCTTATCAGAGATCATGGTTATTGGAACTCTGCATTTTACAGCTTCCATCTCATTAATGCCAGCACTAATTTGTGGTCCAATCCAATACCACCCCCATAAGATCTGCATGAATACACACTGAATTTCAATCTGCCATTCAGCAAGCATGAAGTCCTTTATGTTCATTATTAGCCAATCAAAGAGCCCCCGTTTCTTTTCTCTGCATTTTTTCCATAGCAAAATCATTTTGTTATTATCCCAAAGCAGTTGCTTGGTAGGAAATATTAGAAAAAACAATGACAACAATAACAGCCCTTCCTCCTCTTCCTTCTCTCTAGCAAATGCAACTGCTTCAACCTGGAAACTCTGGATCAAATTGAGTCACCAACTTGTTTGTTAAAATCCTCCTTCCCTAAAATAGTTCACCCTAAAATATTTTGTGGTATATTGAAAAATGGGCCTATTTTCTCACCCTTCAAGGAGCAAAAGGACTGTTGAGATGAAAACCAACTTATGCTCTGGCAGAGAATCAAACCAGGTTGCCAAACCAAAGCAAACTGATAGATGCAATGCCACATGCGTCAGGGTGACCTCATTCCAATGCCCACCATTTTCTTTTCCTGAATACTAGGGCCTGGGGTCATTATCACGGAATTCTCCTTTGTTCAATTTACATGGTTAAATGATTTCCCTTTCACATCATTTCAGTCCCATGCATCATTACCAAAAGTACTCCACTCTGCTATAATGTTCTGCATTTCCTGTTCCAACAAATGCCTCGTCCTTCAAGTTCCTCACGTAATTTTCTGTTCTGCAACAAATTTCAATTGCAAAATTGGTTCAAGTAGGCTTGGCTATTCACATTTTGAGACAAATTAAAACTAGAGTGAACGTTAGTAAATAAAGGGAAATAACAAATGGCAGACTGTCTCGTTCAGCAAAAGAATGTAGTGAATTTCAAAGGAGGTCAATTTTTTGGGATTTCCTTTTTAAGGATCAAAGAAAGAAGATCTCAAAGGTGAGTATTTTCTCACAAAATAAAGACCTGAGAACAACCTCCTTTCTACCTCACACTGAGACCTAGTTTTGCAAGTTGGACTCAGATGATTTCTGTGCAGAGGTGTGCTGGGGAGTGTTCTTGATTCAACACCAGTGGAGCAGAGGAAAGGAAGTGGCAGTGAGAGAGGCTGGACTGCAGTGCCACCACAACACGGTCTCAGCCAACCCCACAGGGAGGTCTGGAGCAGGCATGGCTCTTCAGAGTTGTCCCGGGTCTGGACAAAGGGGCTGGGCTTTTATACCTCAGTAGTGGCCAATCATTGGGCGTGGGCTGCCCCAAGACGGGGGCAGGGGCGGGGGCGGGGGCGGGGGCGGGGGGTGGGGAGACGGGGATGACCTTGAACAAGAATGCTCTCTCTCCACCTGATGGTAATTTCCAGAGAAAGACGTCAGCCAACAACCTTCCTGGCAGTTAAGGGAATTAAGTCCCTCAGTCCTAAAAGGGGAATCTGAGTGATGCCTCACAGCACCCCAGACACATGGAAACTCTTTGCAATGGGAAATATCTGATTAACTGCCTTAAGCTGCAACACGTTCCTTGAGGAGATCTTCTGCCAGAGCTATTTAAATGCTATCTGATGGTTGATACCAATCACTACTAAACAGTTTATTCCTATGGCTTTTATTAAAAAGTATATTCACCCCTATTTTCATAAGGTGCAAACCTCTATTACTCGAGGCGCAGAAGAAAGTAAAGAAGTGGGTTTTTGTCCCAGGTCAGCTACTTCTGTACCTTAAAGGGACACTTAAACTCTGTAAGACTTTGCTTCTTCCCCAGTAAAACATGGATAACAATATGTTCTACCTTCCTCGTAGGGTTATTAAAAGAGGCAATGCACATGAAACACTGCCTAAACAATAAAATGCTATACAGAAAGTTTATAATACTTAGCAAAGAGTAAGTGCTCAAAAAATATGTTGAATGGATATAAGAATATGATCATTCCCCCCATTTCACCAAGAGTCTATGGCCCCTGGCTTCCTTCCAGCACATTGTCAGTCTGGGTCTCTCATACTAGCAGCTTGTGTAAGGAACAAGTAGGATTTAGTGTGATGTGGGGGCACACTCCCTGCTGTGATAAGCAGCACAGCAAGAATTCTCTCCACCCTGATGTCATGGCTTTAGTCTCAAAAACCCAGGGAAGTCTCCAAAGCAACTGATGTCGTCGCCTAATTGAGTCTAAAAAATAGCTCTTTATCAATTAGGCCTAAACAAAAATTATTTTTATGATAGACATGCTCCAGTGTTGAAGTGTGAAATGTTAACTAGGCTCACCCAGCAAGCTAACTTGTTTTCAGGTGTCTTGAAAGCATAACCGCATGATGCAAGTCTGCAATCCCTTATCTACAACTCCAAAATCCAGAAAGCTCTCAAAACCAAGTTTCTCCCTAACTCATTTGGTAGCAAAACCTGACCTGAACCCCTATGAGGTTGTTTATGGTGTTTCCTTGGCTCTCCTAGTGCATTTCACTGCATACATATGACTGTGTGTGATTATCAGGGGCTACCAAGAACCCGATGGTAGTGTTACATAGATATAGTACATGCTCCTTAAGGCTTCAGACATGAGATTATGTGAACCTCTGATAATAGCCAACATTTATTTATTTATTTATTTATTTATTTATTTTTGAGACGGAGTCTAGCTCTGTCGCCCAGGCTAGAGTGCAGTGGCGTGATCTTGGCTCACTGCAAGCTCTGCCTCCTGGGTTCATGCCATTCTCCTGCCTCAGCCTCCCGAGTAGCTGGGACTACAGGCGCCTGCCACCACGCCCAGCTAATTTTTTGTATTTTTTTAGTAGAGATGGGGTTTCACCGTGTTAGCCAGGATGGCCTCGATCTCCTGACCTCGTGATTGGCCCTCGGCCTCCCAAAGTGCTGGGATTACAAGCGTGAGCCCTGCGCCCGGCCAATAGCCAACATTTATTGGAATTGCTATGTATCAGAAACTATTCTAAATGCTCTGCGTCTAATATCTCAATTAATTCTCATATAATCTTATGAGATACATGCCAACTTCTGTCCCATTTTACAAATGAGGAAGTTGAGGCACACAGAGGATATGTAAATTGCCCATCATACAGAAAGTAAGTCATGAAGCTGGGGATTGAAACCAGGCAGTCTGACTCCAGAATCTGCCTCTTTTCTTTGCCACAAATTCATCTTGGTGGATCCTATAGAGGTCAGCAACAGAGAGAGAAAGAGAGAGAGAGAAACAGAAAGAAAGAGAAAGAGAGAGGGATTAAGTTTAAGGAATTGGTTCATGTGATTGTGGGGGCTGGCAAATCCAAAATCTGCAGGACAGATCAGCAGGCTGGACACCCAGAGAAGAGTTGATGTTGCAGCTCAAGTCCAAGGGCAGCCTTCAGGCAGAATACCCTTGTCCTTGGTAGAGTCAGTCTTTTTTCTCTTAAGGCCTTTAACTGATTGGATGAGGCCCATCCACATTAAGGAGAGTAATCTGCTTTACTCAAAGTCCACTGATTTAAGTGTTAATCACATCTTCAAAATACCTTCACAGTGACATGGAGACTAGTGTTTTACCAAACACCTGGGTACCATAGCCTAGCCAAGTTGACAATAAAATTAACCATCATACTAATCTTAAAATTATCCAGTCTAGGCCGGGCACGGTGGCTCACGCCTGTAATCCCAGCACTTTGGGAGGCCAAGGCGGGTGGATCACGAGGTCAGGAGATCGAGACCATCCTGGCTAACACTGTGAAACCCCTACTAAAAATACAAAAAATTAGCCGGGCGTAGTGGCGGGCGGCTGTAGTCCCAGCTACGTGGGAGGCTGAGGCAGGAGAATGGCGTGAACCCCGGGGGGCGGAGCCTGCAGTGAGCCGAGATCGCGCCACTGCACTCCAGCCTGGGCGACAGCGAGACTCGGTCTCAAAAAAAAAAAAAAAAAGAATCCTAAACTGCAACCACTTTATTCCAAATCTGAAAAGCAGTGACTTGAGGATATACCTTTACATTTTCAGTTGGGAAAGAAGAGAAATGGCTTGTAAGTAGAGATAGATGACATGGGAGGAGATACCAGAGGCCCATTTTTCTCTGCCAGAAATGAAGGTTTCAAGGCCATTCAGTGAATCCAGGGCTGCGGGTTGGGTGAGGGGGTATGGGGTAATCTGGAGCCTGGGGACTCCGGCACATGAGAATATGATCCACCGCAATTAGCTGGGGTAAATTCTCATAGAAGACACTTGATAAAATCAGAACACTGAACAGAGTGTGGGTCTTCTGCTGGTCTCCCAGAGCTTCGGCTGCCTCTTCCCCATCTTCCCTCTGCTTTACCCATTCCCAAGGATCAATCAAAAAACAAAAAGAAAACAAAACATCCAGTCTTCTAACAACTCAGAGTAGGAAAAGATGAGGGCTCAGATACAGTGGAAGGGTCAACAGGGATTCATCTACACTCTATTAGAGCAGACAGTTTGTAAAATCTGCTCACAGAAAGCATAAGAAAAAGGAAACGAGATGACAAGAAACCATCCAAACATACTACAGCAAAGGAGGAGGCAGAAGAAATGCAAAGGAAGAAGGGAAAAAAGGAGGAAGGAAGGAGAGATAAGGAGAGAGAAAGAGAGGGAGAGAGTGCCCAGTGGGTGGGCCCTGGGTGTGGCCTAACCAGAGAATCACATGGCAGGTCTCCAGGGGAGTTTTCCCACTGCTTAGTCGCCCTTGGTTCCCTCCCATCTTCTGAATAGGATTCCCTGGTCTTCCCACTTGTGAACCACCAATATCCTCTGATCAATTCCTTTTCTAAGTTAACCAAAGTTGGTTTTCATTGCATAAAACCAAGAACCTAAATGTATACAGATGGTAAGCAATTAATCCATTTAAATAGAAAATTAAGATTAAGCCATTAAGGGAATAAGAGCTGCAAAACAGGTGTTAATGTTATACACTTTGCCAATATTTAATAAAATAATATAACAAAAACAGGAGAGGAGGAAAGTGGAAGGAAGTGGGAGTACTAATTTCCTCATTTTCCCTAGCAGGGAATTAATAGGTACTAATTAAAATGGAAACACATGGTTTTAAAAACACAATGACTCGTAACACTTCTTATATCATTTTATTAATCTTAGAGTGATACTTCAGGTAATCCAGGTGAGGAAGCTAAAGTCCAGAAGTAATAACGGACCTAACCAAAATGTAACAAGTTTATTCAATAAAAAATTTAGCAAATGTGCCTGCTAGGTGCTAAGCATTATGCTAAGTGTTGGGCTTACAGTGGAGGACAACCCAACATGGTACCGGCCTTCATGGGGCTGCCAGTCTAGTGGGAGAACCAGGCATAAACAAATGAACAAAGAAATAAACATGAAAGTGTAATAGTGATAAGGGCTGTGAAGAAAAAGAACAGGGCACTAGGAGAGAGAGAGAATATCACCCACTTGACACAGGGTGGACAGGAAAGGTGAAATTTAAAAGAAGACCCCGGCTGGGCGCAGTGGCTCACACCTGTAATCCCAGCACTTTGGGAAGCCAAGGCAGGTGGATCACAAGGTCAGGAGTTCCAGACCAGCCTAGCCAATGTGATGAAACCCCGTCTCTACTAAAACTACAAAAATTAGCCGGGCATGGTGGTGCACGCCCGTAATCTCAGCCAATCAGGAGGCTGAAACCAGAAGGCGGAGATTGCAGTGAGCCAAGGTTGTGCCATTGCACTCCAGCCTGGGCAACAAGAGCGAAACTCCATCTCAAAAAATAAATAAATAAAAATAAATAAATAAGTAAAAGAAAACCCCAAAGTTACCAGCCTTACAAAGATTAAAGGAAGAAAATTCCAAATAGAGGGCATGTACAAAAGCCCCAAGGAAGGAGAAGACTTGGCATGTAGAGGAAAATGGAAAAGGATATAAGAACAGTGAGTGAGGGGCAGGGGGGATGAAATGAGGGCGGAAAGATGAAAAGAGATAAACTATACAGGGCTGGCTTGTGTGGACACGAAATGGTATTCAGCTTTTATTCCAAGAGCAATGGAAAATCTCTGAACAGTCTTCATCAAGGAAATGGCACAGTGAGATTTGCACTGTATAACAACTACCATGGCTGCTGGGTGGAATGTGGTTTGAAAGGCCACAAGAGGCCAGGCGCGGTGGCTCACGCCTGTAATCCCAGCACTTTGGGAGGCCGAGGCGGGCGGATCACGAGGTCAGGAGATCGAGACCATCCTGGATAACACGGTGAAACCCCGTCTCTACTAAAAATACAAAAAATTAGCTGGGTGTGGTGGCGGGCGCCTGTAGTCCCAGCTACTTGGGAGGCTGAGGCAGGAGAATGGCGTGAACCCGGGAGGCGGAGCCTGCAGTGAGCCAAGATAGCGCCACTGCACTCCGGTCCAGGCAAAAGAGCGAGACTCCGTCTCAAAAAAAAAAGAAAGGCCACAAGAGTCGAATTGGGAAGTCAGGTTAGGAGCAGTTGCCTAGGAAAGCGATGATGTTGATTGAACCTGGTTGATGGCAGTAGAAATGGAGAGAAGTGCATGAACTGGAAACATATTTTGGAAGTAAAGTCCAAAATGTTCGTGATGGATTAGATCTGAGAGGTAAGGGAGAGGGAAAAATGAAGGATGACTCTCGGGTTTCTGGCTTGGGCTACGGGATGATCCCATTTACTAAAATGGTGAAGGCTTTGGGATAAACATTTTGGGAAGTGAAGTGATTATTGAGAATTTTATAGACATTTCATGCCTAAGATATCTGTTAAACATTCAAGCAGAGATGTTAAGTAAGCCATTCAATCTTTTTCTTTTTCTTTTTTTTGCAATTGCTTCTCCTCCTCTTCCTTTGACATCCCAGGATATCACCATAGGCCTCTAAAGCATTTACATTGTTTACATGGAAGCTGCTCTGTGTAGTCATCCATGTAGTAAAACTTGAGGGTGGCCTAATACCTGTGTATGCAAAACTGATCACCATACATGACCTAATTTCTTGTCATTATCACATTTTTTAGTCATGGATAAATCAGCCAAATATGTTTGGTTTTCTACTCTTCAAGGCACATGGTAGGATCGTTCTTACTCCCTCTCCTGTGGTTGGGTGTAGCCATGTGACTGGCCGGGCTGGGGAAGCCACTAGATCTTTAGCTCAGAAGAGAAGTTGGGGTGGAATCATCATTGCACAGGGGGTATTTTAAAACATGGGAATGTCGAGAATGACCTAAAGAGAGTGTTGAAAAAAGAGGCCTATAACAAACCCATGAGAAAATCCAATACTTAGAGGTAGAATAGAACAGAAGGATGTAGGAAGGTAGCTATAAAACTAGGAGAGGGTGGTGCCCCAGAAGCCAAAAGAAGAAAGTGCTTTAAGAAGAGGGAGTTTCCTACTTTGTTGACTGCTGCTACCAAGCTAATTAAAATGAGGACTGAATAGGGTCCGTCGTGTTGGGCAGTCAGTGAAAACTGACAAGAGTAAAATACTCTTTTTCTGTAGAGATAAAAGCCAGAAAGCTCTTTTAAGAAGTTTGACAATGATGAGAAGCAGAGAAATGGAGCAATTACTAAAAAAAGATTGGATCAGGGGAGGAATTTGAGGATGCTTGTATGATCCAGTAGCAAGGGTGGTGGTGGGGATGACAGTAAGGTAAGGAAAAAGGAGAAGGCACAAAGACAACATGTGAAGGGGGGATGTTCTAGAAGAGAACAGCAAAGAGGTGAATGAAGACACAGGAAGGCCTGTAGATACCGAGATGGAAAGATGAAGGTGTTCCCACCATATGGCTTCTGTTTTCTCAAAGAAGATAAGTTCGTCAGCTGAAAATCAGTTGAGAGAAATGAAGGAAGGGGTGGGAAGTTTGACAAGCAAGTCATACAAAAGTCACTGGGACAGTGGGAAACTAAGCTTGTCTGAGGTCTGAGGTAGGACTGCAACACAGTATAAATGTGGCAACGCCCAGGTGCTCAGGTGAATGCTGTTTCATCCTGGGTTAGGATTTTGCCAGGTAAATGCGACAAAAGGTGAGAGAATCAAGGGAATTCCAGTTATCTATAATACACCAATTATAATAATGTGATATGAACACTGAGTTGGATAATGAGGGAAGGAAAGGGCAGAAGGGGGCTGTAAGATACAGAGAAAAGAGGATGGTTAGTGGACCAGAAATCTTAATGACACCAAGGAGTTGTTACAGTAGAGAATTGAACAAGACAACTGGAAGCAGAGGTTTCAATTGAAGAGTGGGGTGAGTGGAGCAGTGATTTTGAAAATGTTGCAATATTTGTTGATGAGTATGGTAGCTGCAATAGAATGGAGATGAAAGTCACTGAGCCGTGTGTTAGACGGGTCAAATCTGCAAGGTTTTTTTTTTTGAGACGGAGTCTCGCTCTGTCACCCAGGCTGGAGTGCAGTGGCGCAATCTTGGCTCACTGCAAGCTCCACCGCCCGGGTTCACGCCATTCTCCTGCCTCAGCCTCCTGAGTAGCTGGGACTACAGGCACCCACCACCATGCCCGGCTAATTTTTTTCATTTTTAGTAGAGACGGGATTTTACCGTGTTAGGCAGGAAGGTCTTGAACTCCTGACCTCGTGATCCGCCCATCTCGGCCTCCCAAAGTGCTGGGATTACAGGCGTGAGCCACCATGCCTGGCCAACTCTTGCAAGTTGAAGTCATCAATTATGTGCGCAAACATTGGGGTGACTAGGAGGCTGTTGGCCATGGACATGTGATATGAACACTGAGTTGGATAATGAGGGAAGGAAAGGGCAGAAGGGGGCTGTAAGATACAGAGAAAAGAGGATAAGGAGGGATCGCGGAAGTAAGATTAAACGGCAGACTCGGTAGCACTCGTCCAGCCTCACTTCGCCTTTGCCCGACTGCTTCCCCATTTAGCTACTCTAGCCCAGCGTTCAGCTGCCTTTTTATACTGAGGAGCTCCTTTTGATTTCCTCAGGTTTCACAGTCTTGAGGAGATAAAAAGGTGGTGGGCTAATGAGAAACAGCATGGATATGTCAACCCTGAGTAAGGGTGGGGACTGGAAAAGTCAATTACTGAAGGGGTACAGTCTTGATAACTTCTGCTCCCCATGGAGACCCTTTATTAGGAGTTGTGGCAACACCATTTAGGATGCAGACTGCCCAGGTAAAGTTGTAAGATCTGCCAATGGGAGTGCCCTGGCTGTAAAAATAAAGGAAGACAGAGATAGAAAGAGGAAGAGAGGAGAGGAGGAAATATGCATTAAACCATCACCTATTATGTGCCATATTTTGGGGCTGTTTGCCATTTAAGTCTCTGCAGGTTGTGTACTGCACAAAGGAACCACATTCCACATTTAGACACCAGAGATTTGACTTTTGTTTGTTTTTAATTTTTATGGGTACATAGTAGGTGCATATATTTATGAGATACATGAGATATTTTGATACCAGCATACAACATGTAATAATCACATCAGGATAAATGGGGTATCCATCACCTATAGCATTTGTCATTTCTTTGTGTTACAAACATGCCGATTCGATTTTTAGTTATTTAAAAATGTACAATAAATTACCGCTGACTGTAATCACCCTGTTGTGCTATCAAATACTAGATCTTATTCATCCTATCTAACTATATTTTTGTACCCATTAACAATCCCCACTCCCTGTCGCCCCACTATTTTCCCCAGCCTCTGGTAACCATGATTCTACTCTTCTCCATGAGTTCAATTGTCTTCATGTTTAGCTTCCACAAATGAGTGAGAATATGTAAAGTTTGTCTTTCTGTGCCTGACTTATTTCACTTAACATTAAGTCCATATTTTCATCTATGTTGTTGTAAATGGCAGGATCTCATTCTTTTTTATGGCTGAATTGGCTCCATTATGTATACGTACCACATTTTTTGTATCCATTCGTCCGTTGATGGATACTTAGGTTACTTCTTGATTTGTACATATATTTTGACAGTTTTCTGGCAGATGGCAGTTAAGTGTCTTGTTCCAATTTTCAGTATATTAGGACAATTTTCTAATAAGCAGAAGTAAAATCACTGGAAGAAAGAGTGGATTTTTGGCTGGGCGCGGTGGCTCATGCCTGTAATCCCAGCACTTTGGGAGGCCGAGGCAGGCAGATCACGAGGTCAGGAGATTGAGACCATCCTGGCTAACATGTTGAAACCCCGTCTTTACTAAAAAAATACAAAAAATTAGCCAGGTGTGGTGGCAGGCGCCTGTGGTCCCAGCTACTTGAGAGGCTGAGGCAGGAGAATGGCATGAACCCGAGAGGCGGAGCTTGCAGTGAGCCGAGATCGCGCCACTGCACTCTAGCCTGGGCGACGGAGTGAGACTCTGCCTCAAAAAAAAAAAAAAAAAAAAAGGAGTGTATTTTCGTAATTCACATAAAGTTACCATATAGACCAGTAGTGGCCGTAATAGTCACAATGCCAGATGCTTTATGTTATCTCATTGAATCACCATAAAACCTTACAAAATCATAAGATGAAGAAAACGAAGCTCAGGGAAGTTCACTAACTGATTAACAGTCAACCACACACTGGCAAGAAGCTAAGCTGAAATTTGCTTCCAGATCAGTGTGTACCAAAATCCAGGTTTCTCACTCCACCACGTTGCTTCTCACTGCAAATCCCGATCTAAAAGAGACACCACTAACATCAATTGTGCTTTGACTTTGCCTCAGACACTCTTCCAGGTGCTTTCACATACAACAGTGAGCTAGGTCTTACTAACTCTGTTAGAGAGCAGGAAATGGGCCTGAAAGGTTTACCCAAGGCCACACAGCTTAAGTTGTCCATTTACTGCCTCTTTCCTACTTTCTCCTTCTCCTCACACCACACTCCATCATCGAACGTTCCCACGTCTTATATCCACTTATCCTAGGCAATCCATAAACAAAAAACAGCCTTTCTCCCATTTACCATATAACTTATATCCCTTTAGCACAATCAACATCATCTAAAATCATTTACAAAGTGAATAAGATAGCAATTGTCTGATGATGCATTTGCTCTCAAAAAACAAATAAATGAAGATCAAGTTAGAAGTAAGCAAAAGCTTCATTTCAGGGAACAAATTTCTAGCTCTTCTTGATATATATAGTTTTTATTGGGTTGATTTATGTATTTCACCCTAAAGATGAATTTGACCCTCTATAAAGAACATACAAATTAATATTCACCCAAGATATGAATCTTTTTTCATTTTCATATTAGTGGAAATCAATTTGTTAAACTATTGTTGAGTGCAATTTGTTAATTTTTCACTCCTACTTTTCTGCCTAAGTTGAGGTATTTGGAAATATCTATATAAACACTTTCTGTCAATACTACCAAGATTTATATTGCCAAGTTACTGTAACTGTTGGCTCTGAGAGCACTATGAACTATGCCTTGCGATGTTAGATTCTATTGAACTTATGTAATAGAGAAGTGATCCATTTTTTTAAAAAGCTCACAATGATTTTTGTCTCCAGCAGGCAGTGTGTAGCAATGACTTCTAGGTTGAAGAGATACAACTAAAAAACTGGATGTGACCCTCTTAATAGGTACCTAGTCTAGTGTGCTGACATTTCCATGTATTCTTTTTTTTTTTTTTTGAGACGGAGTCTCGACCTGTTGCCCAGGGTGGAGTGCAGTGGTGCGATCTTCGCTCACTGCAAGCTCCGCCTCCTGGGTTCACGCCATTCTCCTGTCTCAGCCTCCTGAGTAGCTGGGACTACAGGCGCCCGCCACCACGCCTGGCTAATTTTTTGTATTTTTAGTAGAGACGGGGATTCGCTGTGTTAGCCAGGATGGTCTCGATCTCCTGACATCGTGATCTGCCCGCCTCGGCCTCCCAAAGTGCTGGGATTATAGGCTTGAGCCACCGCGCCTGGCCTCCACGTCGTCTTTAACCCATTTCCTATGGTGGTCACTAAGCAGCTCGCTGCACCAACAACCCCACTTAGTTAGAGCCTAAGAATTGGGATTTATTCAGAAGTCTCTCTCTCTCTCTCTCTCATAGTTGGCTAGGGCTGCTGTAACAAAGTATTGCAAATGGAGTGGCTTAAACATCAGAAATGTATTGTCTCACAGTTCTGGAGACTAAAAGAAAATCAAGACATCAGCAAGGCCAAGTTCCCTCTGAAGGTGCCAGGGAAGGGTGTCTTCCAGGCCTCTCTCCTGGCTCCTGGTGGTTGCTGGCAATCTTTGGCCTTCCTTGGCTTCTAGACACATCACTCTGAGTTCTGCCTTCATGTTCATATGGCCTTCTCTCTGTTTGCATGTCTGTGTCCAAATTTTTCTTTTTTATAAGAACAGCAGTCATGTTGAATTAGAGGCCTACCCCATTCCAGTTTCACCTCATCTCAACTAATCACATCTGCAAAGACTTTATTTCCAAATAAGGTCATATTCTGAGGTACCAGGGGTTAAGACTTCAACAAATGAATTTTGGGTGACACCATTCAACCCACGCACTTTCATAATCTTCAACATACAAACATACTCTTCCGTCTCCTTTCTTATAAATGCAGTCGTGCGTCACTTAAGGATGAGGATATGTTCTGAGAAATGCATCATTAGGTGATTTAATCGTACTTACACAAACCTAAATGTAGAGTCCGCTACACACCTAGGCTATATAATACAGCCTACGGTATCTAAGCTGCAAACCTGTACCGCAGGTGACTGTACTGAATACTGCAGACAACTGTAACAAATCATAAGTATTTGTATATTTAAATATTATATTAGTCTGTTCTCCCATTGTTATAAAGCAATTACCAAAACTGGGTAATTTATAAAGAAAAGAGGTTTAATTGGCTCATGGTTCTGGAGGCTGTCCAGGAAGCATAATGGCTTCTGCTACTGGGGTGGCCTCAGGAAACTTACAATCATGGCGGAAGGTGAAGGGGAAGCAGGCACGTCTCACAAGGCTGCAGCCATGAGAGAGATGAGATAGAGAGATGGGGAAGGTGCTCACACTTTTAAATAACCAGATCTCACAATAACTCACTATCATGAGAACAGCAGCAAATGGTGCTAAAACCATTCATGAAGGACCACCGCCATGAGCCAATCACCTCCCACCAGGCCCCACCTCCAACAATGGGGATTACAATTCAACATGAGATTTGATGGGGACACAGAAAACCATATCAAACATAAAAAGGTACCGTAAAAATACAGTATTATAATCTTATGGGACCAATGTTTTATATGTGGTCTGTCACTGACTGAGATGTCGTCATGCAGTACGTGACTATAAAGCTAAAGAATAGTAACATTTACTATAACCTTGATACTTTCTTCCCTTTCACAGCCAGCTTCTGAAAAGAGCACCTTTTCTCTTTATTTCTCTGTCCATTTATTCCTAAACACACTTTAATCTGGCTTGGCACCAAATGTTCTCAGTAAGTTCAGCAACAGCTGCTTAACTTTTAAATCATCTTACTTTTTAATCTTGATCTTGATAAACCTCCGTATGGCTTTTGAAACTGCAAATCACATCCTTCTTCAGAAACTGCATCCTTTCTTGGTGTCAGCATTACTATCTTGAGGTTTTCCTCTTCTCTGCTGCCAGGTCTCCTTGGCCACATCTTCTGAAAGTGTTCCGGGAATCCTGGCTCCTGCCACCTCCCTTCACTCATCCATGCTCATGGTATCAGGCACTTCCTGCCCATGGATGTCCTAAGTCCACCAATCGAGGATACACCTCTCCCCTGAGTTCTAGAACATCCCCAGGGCTTTATTTCCCACCTCCTCCATGTGCTCAAGTCACCTACAATTCAAATAATCTAAATAGAAATTTTCCTCCATGACCTATACATTGGAGAATGGTCCCACCACTGACCCGGATGCCCTTGTCAGAAACCTGGGAGTCACCTTGCCTCTTGTTAAGCCCTCTTACCCCCAAACAGAGAGTCACAGAGATTTCTAACATGCCTTCCCATAAAAGGACTTGGAAATGTGACGCACAAATGAGAGCAGGGTTTGACAACGACTCCCTAGTAACCTGAAATTTGATTGTTCTCACAAGGATGCACAATAAACAACAGCTGCTCAAGGCCACTGACGGAGTAGATGGCATTGTTCCATCCTGCCTTCTAGAATCCTACCCCTCCACTGTGGTATCTCCTCAACCCCTGGCCTGTCCCTGAGCCTCCCACCTGGGCCCACAGCCAACTACTCCACATGGCCTGGTTAGTACAGCGCCTAGGCCATCCTCCTTTTAGGAGTCCACAAAAAGGTTTTAAATTAATTTATTTTAAAATCAGAAGAAAAAATAAATATAACTCAGCCTGGATTATACTGATCTATATGCCAACACGGTTGTAAAATATAACTTTTGATTTTTTGTTGTTGTTTGGAGGAGGCGGCCCACAAAAGCAAAAGTGCTCAGAGGATAAAGCAGCCTGCCTAGATCTGCCCCTCCCTCATTACCTTGTCAATGGCCCTTCCCTTAGCTACAAAGGAAAAGATACACGAACTCACTCACACTGCAGCACCAAAGGTTGACCATTTAACTAGGTAGCCTACCAAAGATGATTTGCTTTAAATTTGTCTGAAGTTGGCCAGGTGTGGTGGCTCACGCCTGTAATCCCAGCACTTTGGGAGGCCGAGGCGGACAGATCACGAGGTCAGGAGATCGAGACCATCCTGGCTAACACAGTGAAACCCCGTCTCTACTAAAAATACAAAAAATTAGCTGGGCATGGTGGCGGGTGCCTGTAGTCCCAGCTACTAGGGAGGCTGAGGCAGGAGAATGGCGTGAACCCAGGAGGCGGAGTGTGCAGTGAGCTGAGATTACGCCACTGCACTCCAGCCTGGGCGACAGAGGGAGACTCCGTCTCGAACAAAACAAAACAATTCGATGTATTTTCTTTCTGTATCTGTATGTATTTGTTGATACACGTATATATGTTCTTTTAAAACACTTTATTGAGGTATAATTGATATATATTTTCTCTTAATCAAAATTGAGATCATCTTTGTTTACTTATAATTTTATCATAAGCAATTTCCTATAGCATTAAATATTTTATTGTTAGTGCCATAACTAATATTATTGTACAAAAGTTTTTGTCTGTATTTCCAGTGATTTCCTTAGAGTAAATACTTTAAGTGAAACAACTGGCTCCAAAGCTATAAACATTTTCAGTTTCTGATGCCCATTGCTAAATTTTTTTACCAGAAAAGTATAACCCTCTCATGCCAATTTCCCTATACCCTACTCAGGACTTTTGGGGTGCTTTGTAATCTCTGAAAGTCTAATATGAAAAAAAAGGCACTTCTTTGTTTCACTATGTATGTATTTGATTAATTGTGACATTAAAGGTGTTTTTTTTAAATAATTACTAAACAGTTATGTTTCTTCAGTGAACTGTCTATTCATGTGCTTCACTTATGATCTTGGGGTGATGACCTTTTCTATTTGTAAGTCCTTTCTATTTAATAGAGTTATTAACTCTTTATATATGACTGCACATTTTGGTCCAAGTTTATAAACCTTTCAATTGGGTATTATATCTTTAATCATACAGAAGTTCTTAGTTAAAATTTAATAAAATCAGCCAACCCTTCTTATTTCTGCTTTAGAATTATGCTTTGAAAACCTCTATGTCATCCTAAGATTATCATTTTTGTTCTAGTATTTTATGGAATTTTGTTTTTACGTTAAAATCTTAATCTACATAGAATTTATTTTGACATAGGCAGTGAGGGAATACTTTGGTCTTCTTCTTTTCTAAGTAATTAGAAAATTATACAAAAATTAGTTTTTGAATAATCCATCCAGTCTCTCCCAAATTGATTATGTTTCCCTTTATTAATGAGAAGCAAGTCTGTTATTTGACCTTCTAGTCTGATTCATCATCTGCTGCCTAATTGTTGGCCAAGTACTGTTTGAATATTTGTAAACTTACAATATGTTTTAAAATCTGCTGAGTTAAGACTACACTTTTAATCCTACTTTTCCGAAATGTTGTTTGTTACCCTACTGCCTTTATTTTTTTCAGAGTAAGGGAGAGCAACACAGAGAGACAGAAAGAGCAAGAAGGCAAAGAGAACACACTGAAGACAAACTTGGCCATTTAAGTTCCTCCTTAGCCTCATTTTCTCCAGCTGAAGATCTTTAGATTCCATTATCATTTATGGAATGCATTGTAAGTGACCTAAGCACATTCACATAAATTATGTCAGTTTCTTCCCGTTTAGTGTCAATATCCAACTTTTAATCAATTACAATTTTTTTACACTTTAATATCCAAAGAGTACAGACAAAGCTTTTATGTGTTCAGAACTACAAAATAAATTTATTAGTGATCATCCTAAGGATTAATATTCCTAGACTTTCCATTCCTTGAGAAGAAAAAAGACTTTAATAAATATCTTATAATCAGGGATTCACATCCAGAAACACACTTTGCTGAAAAGCACCACTTATATTATTTTATGGATATCAAAGTTTTGAAGTTTTATTATGTAATTAAAAATATATATATTTCAAGTAGTAAATCCATTCCCAAAAGAACACAGAAATGCAAATAAATTAAAGTTCTGTAATTCACAGCATTAGGAACAGTTTCTGTGGGGTGGCCAGACGATGGGCTCAAGTATAAAGTAGATGTGTTTTCACAGAAGGGGTAAAGGATATGAAATTTCTCTTCGCTACCTAGATGTAGACTTCCACCTAGATCATTCCAGATAAACCACCTTCCTTCCGCACCCTGGATGATGGTTTCCCTTCCCCACAGCAGCCAAAGAGCAGGCCTTGAAACCAAAAGATCCACCTGCCAAGCTCAGCTCTTCCATTTGCTTTATGACGCTGAGTCAACTGCTTCACTATCTGTGATTCAGTTTCCTTACCTATGAAATCGGTAAAATAATGCCAGGTTTTGGAGTTGTTGTGGGGATTAAAAGAGTAAATGCATGCAAAATGCTCAACATAGAGCATTCACATAATTTTACTGAAGTTTTGAGGTTGTTTTGTTGTTGTTGTTGTTTTAGCTACATCTGCTGGAATAGGACGAGGTTTTGAGTTTTAAAGGAATAATGATTTTTAAATAAATCCTATTTTTAAAAATCATTTTAAGATAATTTTAAAATAAATCATATTTAAAATCAAAGCCCTAGCACATTGTCGTCATTGAATAAATGTCAGGCAACAACTTAATAAGGTAATGCCCCTGTGGAGTAAAGAATTTTAAGATTCATGAAAACTTCTAACAATATCAATTCTTAAAAATTCAAACATTTTATATATATACATATACATACATATATATAAACATATACACATATATATACACATATATATGTGTATATATATATATTTCCCATTCACCAATGTAATGCAAAGGGAAAGAAGCAAAAATAAAAAGTTTCACTTAAAATGGTAAATAAATTTACAATATATGCTTTTCAACCTCAGTTTTGCATTGTACAAGAAATGCTGGCTTGACTATACAACATGTTCTGAAAGATGGGTGTGAATAATACACCACTTTGAACAGACTTCTATTTCCATCCAACTAAAAAGTACTATAAATTCCCAAATGATCCTCATCTTTAATTTTGCCCTTTTCCTTTCTAGTTAACACAAAAGAAGAATTCAACTAGCTTAAACACAGATGGTCCAGCTGAGGTTAAGATTTACCACCTCTTGCCCTATTGTGGTTTCCATCTTTGTCTCAATGGAGTAAAATTTATGAAATAATTATTTCCTATCACTTTAATTTTTCCACCTCCCACTGGTTTTAATAAATATAACCGGCAATATAAAACAGTGATTTTCCAAAGTTTTTAAAGTTGTGGAAATCTTTCTTTAAAAAAAAAAATCAGCCGAGCGTGGTGGCTCACGCCTGTAATCCCAGCACTTTGGAAGCCTGAGGGCGGGCGGATCACGAGGTCAGGATATCAAGACTATCCTAGCTAACACGGTGAAACCCCGTCTCTACTAAAAATACAAAAAATTAGCCAGGCGTGGTGGCCGGCGCCTGTAGTCCCAGCTACTGGAGAGGCTGAGGCAGGAGAATCTCTTGAACCCAGGAGGCTGAGGTTGCAGTGAGCCGAGATCGCGCCACTGCACTCCAGCATGGGTGACAGGCGAGACTCCGACTTAAAAAAAAAAACAAAACAAAAAACTATCCAGAAGCCCAATATGCAAAATAGATCAAGGTGAAGCTGCCCAGATTGAAAGGAGATGGGAAACCTAGAAGCCTTCTAGTAGCAACCAACCCCAGCCCAACAGCTAAGGTCTCTGCCACCACCAAGATCTCTGAAATAAAACAGATCAAATCATGTCACACCTGGCTCAAGACCCTCCAATGGCTTCCCATCACACAGAGATTAAAATCCAAAATCCATGCCTTGCCCAACTTGTTCTGGACTCCTGCTACCCCTCAATCTTTGATGTCCTAAAGATATTCCTTCCCACCCACTGCCATCCCATTCCTGCCACCATCCTGACACCTCACACTGAGGCAGGAGATAGGGTCTGGAGGCAGGGAACCTAAGGCCATTTCACCCTGACTTTCTAGAACTAAATCAAAAGGAATCCCCCCACCCCCACCAACTTTCCACACGTAAGTAACAAAAGGACCAGAGACTACTCCCTTTGCAAACCTCCTTTTCTGCGTGACACATGGAAAATTGAAAGTACCTCTGATTGGTTGCATAGGAGTGTAACTTTGTAACTTCACTTCAGCCTTTGATTGGTGGCAGACAGCAACCAATCAGACTGATTGCAGGCCAAGTCTTCATCTGCGTAAGAGTGCAAGTTTGTAACTTCACTTTAGCATCTGATTGGTTGCTTTCCGCAACCAATCAGATGTTTGCATAGGGGTGTAACCTTTGTAACTTCACTTCAACCTCTGATTGGTTGTAAGCAGCAACCAGTCAGACTGATTGCAAGCCATCACTTCATTTTCAGGGGATGAACACCAAGTGACCAATGGGAAACTTCTAGGAGGGTATCTGGACCCCAGAAGAATCTGTATCAGGGTCCTTGAGCTGCTGCTCGGCCGGCTCCCACACTATGGAGTGTACTTTAATTTTCAATAAATCTCTGCTTTCATTGCTTCATTCTTTCCTTGCTTTGCTATGCGTTTTGTTCAATTCTTTGTTTGAAATGCCAAGAGCCTCAACAACTTGCAGTCAAGACCCTCTACAAGTAACAATACCGCTACTGCTACTGCCCTAATTATACCTTGAATAAGACAAACATTCCTGTTCCTCAGACCCTTTGCATTTGCTGTTACCTCTACCTAACGGCTCTTCCACTGCAAAACCCATGGTTCCTTCCCTTATTTCTTTTATATCTCTAAGAAAATGTTATTTCCTTAGAAAAGTTATCCTGGCTGGCTGCACAGTGCAAAGTAGTACACTCCCATCCCCATTACTCCACCCCTTACCAATTTTTCTTTTTGGCACTATTATTGAAACATTTCTCTATTTACACATACCTACTTTTTCATGGCCTGTTTCTCCCAGTTCCCTGTGAACTCCCTAGGATAGAAAATGTTTGTTCACCACCTACTCAAATACAATACCTGACACATAGTACTGCTCAATAAATAGTGCAGGTTGAATAAACGAATGAGATAGCTATGCATGGTTCTCGAGGCAGTTCTAAATCTCTACAATGAAAACTGTGGTATGTGTGTAAGTGAATGCAGGTACACCTCATCGCATTGTGATTTGCTTTATTGCACTTTAAAGATAATGCATTTGTTATGAATTGAAGATTTGTGGCAACCCTGCATTAGGCAAGTCTATTAGTCCCATTTTTCCAACGGTATGTGCTCATTTCATGACTCTGGGTCACATTTTGGTATTCCTGCAGTATTTTAAATGTTTTCATTATTATTATATCTGTTATAGTGATCTGTGATCAGTGATCTTTGATATTAATATTGTTATTGTTTTGAGGTAACACAAACCATGCCCATATAAGATGACAAACTTAATTGATAAATGTTGTGTTCTGACTGCTCCACTGACTGGCCCATCTCTCTCCCTCTCCTTGGACCTCCCTACTCCCTGAGACACAGTATTTGAAATTAGGCCAATTAATAACCATTCAATGGCCTCTAAGTGCTCAAGTGAAAGGAAGAATCTCATATCTCTCACTTTAAAACAAAAGCTAGAAATGATTAGCTTAATGAGGAAAATATGTCAAAAGCCAAGACAGGCCAAAAGCTAGGCCTCTTGCACCAGTTAGACAAGTTGTGAATGTAAAGAAAAAGTTCTTGAAGGAAATTAAAAGTGCTACTCTAGGGAACACATGATTATAGGAAAGCAAAACAGTCTTATTGCTGCTATGGAGAAAGTTTGAGTGGCCTGGATGGAAGTTCAGACAAGCCACAACATTCTCTAAAGCCAAAGCCTAATCCAGGGCAAGGCCCTAACCCACTTCAATTCCATGAAAGATGAGAGAGGTGAGGAAGCTGCAGAAGAAAAGTGTGAAGCTACCAGAGGTTGGTTTATGAGGTTTAAGAAAAGAAACGATCTCCATAACATAAAAGTACAAGGTAAGGCATTAAGTCCTGATGAAAAAGTTACAGCAAGTTATCCAGAAGATCTAGCGAAGGTCACTGATGAAGGTGGCTGCACTAAACAATGCGTTTTTCAATGTAGATGAAACAGCTTCTATCAGAAGAAGAAGATACCATCTAGGACTTTCCTAGCTAGAGAGGAGAAGTCAATGACTTCAAAGCTTCAAAGGACAGGCTGACTCTCTGTTAGGGGTGAATTTAAGTTGAAGACAGTGCTCAGTTACTATTGCAAAAATCTTACGGCCCTTAAGAATTACGTTAAATCTACTGTGCCTGTGCTCCAAAAGTGGAACCACAAAGCCTGGATGACAGCACCTCTACTGATAGCTTGGTTTACTAAATATTTTAAGCCCACTGTTGAGACCTACTTCTCAGAAAAAAAAGACTCCTTTCAAAATATTACTGCTCATTGACAATGCACCTAGTTTCCCAAGAGTTCTGATGGAGATGTACAAGGAGATTAATGTTTTCATGCCTGCTAACACAATACCCATTATATAAGCCATGGATCAAGGGGTAATTTTGACTTTTGAGTCTTATTATTTAAGAAACACATTTTGTAAGGCTGTAGCTGCCATAGATAGTGATTCCTCTGATGGATCTTGGCAAACTAAATTGAAAACCTTCTGGAAAGGATTCACCATTCTAGATGCCATTAAGAACATTTGTGATTAATGAAAGGAGGTAAAAATATCAACATTAAGAGAAGTTTGGAATAAGTTAATTCCAATCCTCAAGGATGACTTTGAGGGGTTCAAGTCTTCAGTGGAGGAAGTTACTGCAAATGTGTAAATAGCAAGAGAACTAGATTTGGAAGACAAGTCTGAAGATGGGACAGAACTGCTGTAATCTCATGATAAAACTGTAAAGCATGAAGTCTTGCTTCTTATGGAATAGCAAAGAAAGTTTTTTTGTTGTTGTTGTTGTTGTTTTTTTAGAGACAGGGTCTCGCTATGTTGCTCAGGCTAATCTCAAACTCCTGGGTTCAAGCAGTTCTCCCACCTCGGCCTGCCAAGTAGCTGGGACTACAGGTATGTACCACCATACTCAGCTTGAAAATGGTTTCTTGAGATGGAATCTACTCCTGGTGAAGATACTGTGAACACTGTTGAAATGACACAAATAATTTAGAATATTATATAAACTTAGTTTATAAAGCAGTGGCAGGGTTTAAGGGGATTGATTCCACATTTGAAAGAAGTTCTACTGTGGGTAAAATGCTATCAAACAGCATCTCATGCTACAGAGAATCTTTCATGAAAGGAAGAGTCAATTGATGCAGCAAATTTCATTGTCTTACTATAAGATATTACCACAGCCACTCCAACCTTTAGCAACCACCACCCTGATCATTCAGCAGCCATCAACATTGAGGCAAGATCCTCCACCAGCAAAAAGATTATGACTTACTAAAGGCTCAGATGATTGTTAGTATTTTTTAGCAATCAGGTAAAATTTTTTTGAGATGGGGTCTCACCGTGTTGTTCAGGCTGGTCTCAAACTCCTGGGCTCCAGGGATCCTCCTGGTTCAGCTTCCTGAGTAGCTGGGACTACAGACACGTGCCACTGCACCTGGCAGTTTTTTTTTTTTTTTTTTTTTTGAGACAGATTCTCACTCTGTTACCCAGGCTGGAGTGCAGTGGCACAATCAGGGCTCACTGCAGCCTCGACCTTCCCAGGTTCAAGTGATTCTCCTGCCTCAGCCTCCCAAGTAGCTGGAACCACAGGTGCACACCACCATGCCCAGCTAATTTTTCTATTTTTGTAGAGATGGGATTTTACCATGTTGCCCAGGCCGTCTCAAACTCCTAGGCTCTTGCAATCCACTCACCTAGGTCTCCCAAAGTACTGGGATTACAGGTGTGAGCCACTGTGTCTGGCCCATATTTTTTAAATTAAGAATGTACATTGCTTTTTTTAGACATAAGGCTATTGCACACTTAATAGACTATAGTGTTAACATGACTTTTACATGCACTAGGAAACCAAAAAATTCATGTGATTCACTTTATTGCAACATTTGCTTCATTGCAGTGGTCTGGAACTGAACCCAAAATATGAGGTATGCCTGTATTCCATAGACAATTATGGGAACAGTGTCAAAACTGACATAAAAAAGGGTGACTGAAGGTTTCAGATAACACCCAAAAGTACAAGTTGTTTGAACATACAAATTTTGTGTCTTAGGCCTAGATTCAGGAGAAGCACAGGTGAGTTTGTGAACGGATTATGAAATTGATCTCATAAATGCAGATTATTTGTAATCACAAGCTTCACAGGGCCTCAAAAAGGACAAAAGAATGACAGATTCGTAGGCTACTGCTAGGTGTGTCTTCCTGGTATCCTCCAAGACTGTGGTCCATGAGGTATGAAAAATCCACCAGGTCCAAAGATCCCCACACAAAGAGGGTCCCTAGCTTCTTGCTTCTACCCCATTCCCTGCCAGATAGGTCATGTGATGCTATGGTCTGCATGTTTGTAATCTCTCAAAATTTATATGTTGAAATCCTAAACCCCAAGGTGATGGCATTAGGAGGTGGGGTCTTGGGGAGGTGATTGGATTATAAGGACAAAGCTCTTATGAATGAGATTAGTGTCATTATAGAAGGAGACCCCAGAGAGCTAGCTAGCCCCTTACACTATATGAGGTCACAGTGAAAAGGCACCATCTATGAACCAGAAAGTGGGCCCTCATCAGACACCAAATTTGCCAGTGCCTTGATCTTGGACTTCCTAGCCTCTAGAGCTATGAGAAATAAATGTTGATTGTTTATAAGCCACCTTGTTTATGGTATTTTGTTATAGCAGCCCAAATAAACTACATGTTAGCTCCCAGAAACAGTTTATATCATGTATAGAACATTAATTATGGTCACCATCAATCTGCATCCCTCAGGCCTGACATACAGAGTCTCCATCCTGAAATTCTTGCTGCATCATTCTCATGCAATATATTTTTTCTTTCCCCTGTGTCTCAGGATCCACGGATCAACCTTATATATACATTTAGGGGCTATCCATTGACTGATCCAGTCCACCAAAGCATGAAGCTGAGGACTACTTTGAAAACACACAGAGATACCAGAAAATGCCATGGCTTAAGCAAAAAACTGCTTCTGGAAATGATTTAAATAAACAAAATTAGATACACAAAAATGGCTCCGCAAAGGAGTCCTGGTGGGCATATTAACATTCACTTAATACAGGTCTTACCAGAGCAGGAATCAGGTCCAAAGAAATGTGGCCAGAGTCACTGGGAATAAGATGGGTTATTTTGGACATTACTACAACTCATGTTTAAATTGAAGTTAACATGCCGGAGTTTACCATTTTGCTATTGATAAATCAAGGTTTTGGGGTTTTTTGGGGACGGAGTCTTGGTCTGTTGCCCAGGCTGGAGTGCACCATCATGAATACTTGTAGACACCAGCTTTGTTAGAGGAAAAAAAAAAAAAGAAACAGGGCAGGGCGCGGTGGCTCACGCCTGTAATCCCAGCACTTTGGGAGGCCGAGGCGGGCAGATCACGAGGTCAGGAGATCGAGACCGTCCTGGTTAACACGATGAAACCCCATCTCTACTAAAAATACAAAAAATTAGCCTGGCGTGGTGGTGGGCACCTGTAGTCCCAGCTACTCAGAAGAATGGCATGAACCCGGGAGGTGGAGCAAGCAGAGAGCCAAGATCGCGCCACTGCACTCCAGCCTGGGCGACAGAGCGAGATTCTGACTCACAGAAAAAAAAATAAAAAAGAAAAGAAAAGAAAAAAAAAAACAGAAACAGAAAAGAACAGTGATCCTTGCAGCAAGATGTGGATCATTTTCTCAAGATTCCCATTCCCAAACCTCCCGCCGGGGAAAATTCCAATCCTTGCAGCAGTAACCCATGGAATCCTCGGCTAGAGTACTAATCAAAACTTGACCTTGAGATTTTTGAAACCTTGGTAGAAATGGTAGAAGTCAACTGTCATTCCAAAGCTTCAGAAAGACGATAAACAATCAAAAAGAAAACAAGCAGTGCTGCTCCTCTATGCCCAGAGGACCAAATGCAGCAATGCACTTGGCACTGGGACTTTTGTCCTTCTCTCAGAGTGATGTCTGGAGAACTGGCAGCCTTGGGAGCATCAGGAGATGGCACCCTTAGCCTATAACGCTATGGCATGCTCCCAGTAGACAGCCACCACCACTGATAATGATGAGAGCCTTCAGGTGGTGTTTTGGCACTGGGTACCAACTAAGCAGGAGAAAAAGAGCATGGCGGACACCAAATGGTGTCCGTAGGTGACATTCAAGTTGTGGGGCCCTTTGAGGACTCCAAGAAATCTTTGTTAGGTGAGGTATTTTCAGGGCAAGAGATGCTGCAGGGCCTGAGGATAAAACAGGATATCTGCATTTCTAATGTTCTGACTTCATTTGTATTTGTAAGGTGGTGTGCTTTGTAACCTTTTGATAATAGCATTACACATTAGGCACAAGGAGAAGGAAAAGAGAAAGAGGTTCAGAACATTGTTGAGTGTGGAGTAAGGGGATCCTGGCATTTAAAAAAAAAGCCTCCTTGGAAACCAAGATAGGGGCTGCAATGTTACAAAGCAGCAGGAACTGATAGGTGAATGCCAAGGCAGCAAGTATACAGCATGACAATGACGCCCGGAATGTTATAGGTTTGGAAGTTTTCCTAATCCTTGTTTAATCTCCTGGGAGTTTTTTTTTTTTTTCTTTCATAGAAATGCATCTTTAATTCCATAATGAAAATCAAGAGACAAATAGATTTTATGTTACGGCCAACTTATATCTATTGCGTTAATGAGTGGGCATCTGTACTTAAAAGGAGAAGGAGTTCTAGATGATGATTATTTAGCCTCTGAGGAAATTGCCTTCAATTTATTTATTTGACAAATATTTATCAAGCCTGGCACTCTTGTCTGCAATGGAGATACTGCAGTGAGCAAAAGTCTCTGCCTCCACAGAATCTACATTCTAGTGAGAGGTAGACAATGAACAAAGGAAACAAGCAGAAGGGATACTGCAAAGTGATGAAGGCTGCAGAGAGAAAGTGGAGGGTGTTAGTGAGTGTAAGGGCAGGGCAGGGTAGGAGGGTCTCACTGAGAAGGCAACCTTTGATCTCTCCCTCAGGGCATGCTTGCTCACACTGAGAATTTGATCAGAGACATAAAGGAGCTGAAGGAGCAACCCCATGGATCTGAGGGGAAGAGAGTTCCAGGCAGAGAGAACAGCAAGCTCAGAGACCCTGAAACAAGGCTGCTCCTTGAGGGCTCCAGAAACAGCCAGACTGGTGTGGATGGAGTGGGGTAAGCGCAGGAGGGTGAGGTCACACGGTGGGGAAAAGAGATGTGATCATAAGGGCCTCTGCGGTGTGTGTGAGCTTTAGCCCGAGTGAGAGGGGAATCCACTGATGGATTTGAGCAGAGAACTGACAAGAGCTGACTCACTTTTAAAAAGGATCACTCTGGTGGTAGCACTACCAGTGCTGGATATTATTTGACCCGAAGCCACAAAAAAAAAAAAAAAAAAAAAGATTAAGACTTAAACTTCCACAGAGTTCTTATCCATCTACTGACTCACCTTCAACATGGCCACTGACATTTTCAAAACTGGGCTGAGAGATCATTTTGTGAAAATGCATAAAACAGCATTTCTGTCACTTTAAACATACAACAGAGATGCACAGCAGAGATGCACGAGGAAGTGCGGGATGGGATGAAGTACTGTCTCCCCAAGACAGGTCAGGTTATGCATATTGGCCAAGTCTGCAGCTTCTGGCCCATGCTCCAAACTCAGTTTTCGTCCTATTGGAGGTTTGGGGGTACCATGGCCAGAGGAACATGAGGGGAGAAGAAAGGAAGAAACAAAAAAACTGTCCTGACCCCAATCCTAAAATTCAGTCTTCATGAAAGAACCTGGAGTTATTGCCCACAGACCCAAGTGTGGGGTCGCCATCAGACATCAGACTAAGTGTTTAGGTCCTGGTCCAGAGAGGATCTGTCAGGATCTAAACACTTACTCTGATGTCTGATGGTGACCTCTGGTCCTGGAGATTCCAGGACAGTTGTGATTTCATATATTATGTCCCATTGGTCCCACAAACCATCAAAATGTTCATGAAGAACTTCCCATAAGGCTGAAAACAGGAGTCTCTGTCACAGAGAGAAGAAAGAGAAGGGAGGCTGGAAGAAGAGGGTTTCTATCAAGAGGAATCAACCCTCAGGATGATGAGGAGGGGGACAAGGGAAGGTTTGGGTAGTTCAAGGGCATCAAGTTCTGGGCTGGGACCACTATTTCTATGTTTCTGGGTTGGTAATCCTGATTTTAAAAGAGAATTCGTGCACATAATGCTCCCCAGGGCCCAGGCACTCAAAAAGGCCAACTCCCTGGCCTCACCCCTGAGCCATCCATTATCAACTTTTAGGAAGGCAGGAGGAGAAAAGCAGGCTTTAGACAACTCGCATAATATAATTCCATGTTTCAAACACATACAAACATACATGCATATACTAAACATACACACACACATGCATACACACAAACACACATGCATATACTAAAACACAAACATATACACAAACACACATGCATATACTAAAACACACACACATGCATACACACAAACACACATCATGTACTAAAAAAGAACATTAAGAAGAATGTAAGTCAAAGTGTTGACAGTCACCATCTCTGGATATTTTTATTGTTGTTCACCTGTATTTTTTTCCTTTTCAAACAATGAATGTGGATTGCTCGTATTTCTTTCAAGGCAGGGAAGTATGCGTTATATGGTAAAAAGGATATTTGGACCAATATGAATGGTCCAAATGAGAAAGTTCTTCCTGAAAAGCTAATGTTTTGTCACCTAAATGACATGCGTGGAAGCAGTTCTTGAATCTCTAGTCAGACTTGAAGTCTGGTTTCGGTTTTGGAATACATGACCTGCACGGCACCCACCCCTAAACAGACTGGTTTGAGCATGGCATGGGCATCAGGGATGGGAGCATGTCTTCCACATCTTCTTAAGAAAATGTGCTATGTCCGTCCTGTTGTTTCATTATAAGCTTGCCAGTAAAACCACTTCAAATCAAGTGACTAGATTTTTGGAGGGGTTTCACTGCTAGAGAAAGGGCTCTTTGCTATCCCTGTCTAGCAAGATACAGAAAAGTTGATTGCTACATTTTGCTTTCCATCTGCCCCTTTTTCTAACTTTTCTTTTTTTTTTTTTTTCCCCCGAGACAGGGCCTTGTTCTCTCATCCACGCTGGAATGCAGTGGTGCAATCACGACTCACTGCCGTCTTGACCTCGTGGGCTCAAGCAGTCCTCCCACCTCAGCCTCCTGAGTAGCTGGGATCACAGGCACATGCCACCACACGTAGCTAAATATTTTGGTTTTTGGTAGAGACGAGGTCTCACTATGTTCCCCAGGCATTTAAAAAAAAAGTGTTTTTTTGAGACAAAGTCTCACTCTGTTGCCCAGGCTGGAGTGCAGTGTGGCGCAATCACTGCCCACTGCAGCCTCGACCTCCTAGGCTCAAGGGATCCTTCCGCTTCATGCTCCCAAGTAGCTAGGACTACAGGCAAGCACCATCACACTCGGCTATTTTTTGTAGAGATGAGGTCTCACTATGTTGCACAGAGTGGTCTCAAACTCCTGGGCCCAAATGATCCTCCCTCCTCGGCCTCCCAAAGTGCTGGGATTACAGGCATGAGCCACTGCACTGAGGCCTAACTGGGGGATTAATTGCATTTATCCTCCTTTACCTCCATTATTATATGCTGGATATTTTGGAGATAGATAATTAGGCATAGGTTGGTGGACCATAAAGAGCCACATTTGAACTTGACCAAGAGGAAAAGGCATTGCCCAGAAATCCTATCCTTGGAGCTAGATGCAATAACTGGATGTGAAATTAAGTTGTTACTCTGATAGGAAACGGGTGAGTGTGTTTTGGCTGAACATGGGGCAGTTAGAAGAAATGAATCCATTCTTCTGATTGTATGCATATGTGTGTCAGGCAGCCAAGGGATGGACTGCCCTGGTCTCTAATGACAACTATCACATCCCCTCCTTCGGAAATACACCCTCTGCCCTGGCTGTAGTGGTAAACGTTGGACTCAGATCAATCAATCACAATATCCATCCTTTGGCAGCAGAGATTGATTGGTCCCAGGGTAGTCAAATGTCCCAAAGTAAAGCAAATCAGTGTCCTTCCCTAGGATTTATATACAAGCTTGTGATGAAAGAACTCTCTTGTGCTAGGCTACTAAGTTGAAGCTGTGGGCTCTGACGTGTGGACAGGGTCAATCTGCAGTAGGAGAGGCTGAGATGGATTCTCAAAGATAAACTGAGGCAAGCAGGGAGGAAGAGTGGATGCCAGCACCAAGTCTTGGTTCCAGTTGCTACGGCCTTGACTGCTATAGTGATTGTTAGCCACACATTTATCCCAGTTATGTCAGTCAATACATTCCTCTTCTCAAGGTGGTCTGAGTTGGTGTAATGGTTAGTTTTACATGTCGACCTGACTAGGCCACAGGGTGCCCAGATATTTGGTTAAACATTATTCTGGGTGTGTCTGTGAGGATGTTTCTCGCTGAGATTAGCATTTGAGTCAAGAGACTGAGTAAAGCAGATTGTTCTCCCTAACATGGGTGGGCCCCATCCAATCCATTGGAGGTCTCAATAGAATAAAAATGGGGAGTAAGGAAGAATTCACTCTCTGCCTGTTTTTGGGCTCTGACACTCGTCTTCTTTTGCACTTGAACTGGAACTTACACCATTGGTTTTCCTGGTTCTCAAGCCTATGGACTTATATTGGAACTACACCACCAGCTTTCCTGAGTCTTCAGCTTACAGACAGCAGATCACGAAACTACTCAATTTCATTATCATGTGAGCCCATTGCTTATAATAGATGTATCTATCTAACTATCTATGTTCTATTTCTCTAGAAAGCCTAGAAAGCTCTGACTAATGCAGTTGGGTTCACTGATGACACTTGTACCCAACGATTCAGCTACAATAAACATTACCAAAGAGTCAATGGATCCCAACTCATGTTTCTTTGTCATAAAAGAAGCCTAACAAGTTTATTTTTCATTCAACTCCATGCTGATCTTCCATGGTCGCCTGTTCTTTTTTTTTTTTTTTTTGAGACAGTCTTGCTCTGTCACCCAGGCTGGAGTGCAGTGGCGCTATCTCGGCTCACTGCAAGCTCTGCCTCCCAGGTTCACGCCATTCTCCTGCCTCAGCCTCCTGAGTAGCTGGGACTACAGGTGCCCGCCACCACGCCCGGCTAATTTTTTTGTATTTTTTAGTAGAGACAAGGTTTCGCCATGTTAGCCAGGATGGTCTCCATCTCCTGACCTTGTGATCCGCCCACTTCGGCCTCCCAAAGTGCTGGGATTACAGGCGTGAGCCACCACGCCCGGCCGGCTGCCTGTTCTTAATTTACCTTTGATTGGTGTTGAAAGGCCTCAGGATTACAATGGGGTGTCAAATAAAGAATGTAAACATTTTGCCATTGGGCCCCCCACTTGAACAACATTTCTCAAAGCAACAACTGTTGTTAAGATAGACTCATGTTTCCCCTGTGGAATTCCCTGGCAACTTAACATAAATAAAGAAATCAGCCATAGGAAGGGGATGTCCTGGGGCAACTGAGGTGGGGAGAAATGGAATTCAAGGCTCAGATGAGAACGGCATTTCCTGCGCTACCTCAAAGACCCCAGCACCTGAGAGAAGTGCAACCGTGACAAATATGCAGAGTGTAGTCTCTCACCACAGGAATTACCAAAGAAACTAAAAACAGAAACATGCACTGCATAATCTCTAACCTCAGGGGACAACAAAACAGAGAATTGCTGTGTCAATCTCATTTCCTTGTTAGGTGCATTATCATAAGTGGGGAACTTTCGTTTTGAATGCCACACTTCAGTAACATTTACCCGGCTCCAGCTTCTGAAATATTGAATTCCATAGTAATTTTATTTTTTGCTTTTGATCTTTAATGTTTTGCTCATTTATCCATAAACATGAGCTACTGAGCCAACTTCAAATTAAACAGCTAAAGTCTGACGCCATCCAGCTAGGACTAAACCAGTAGCCCAAGGAGGACCTTACGTTGGTGTGCGTAATAATAAATTTTAAATGTCTATTTTTGGATACCTCCATGTAAGATTCTTCGGTGATGATCCACGTCTTGATTTACCTGCTGCTCTGGTTTAGGAAGAAAGATGTATACAACATTGGGATCTTCCTGGATATGGATGGTAAAAGTCGTTCTCATAATGTGAATTTTAGAAATCCTCCCATTTTGTCAAAACATTCTATTATAGGACGGTTCTGAGGAGGGGAATTGCTAGAACCACTGTGCAAAGCAGTACTTTGTATCAGTTGATTAATTTTAAAAGTAGCTCATTCAACCAGTTTTGGCAACCAAACTATTTCTGAAATCCAGAATAGCAAAAACCTGAGAATGAGACAGGGAAAAAAACAGGCGAGTTAAGAATAAGTCACAGTGAATTTACTGAATCATTGTCAGCGGGGGGAAAGACAGACTGGGGTGCATCCGAGCCACTCCTCGGCTAGTTCACCTTCCCTGTGCTTCCCCATCAATGCCAAGCTCGGGCCTGGGGCAGCTGGCAAACCTGGCCTGCCTGATCTGCCCACCTGGCAGAGGAGTGAGTTAGTCGTGATTATCCTGTTTTTACAGCTGGGGAAAATGGGACTCAGAGGTCACAGCTTGCCTAGGGTCTCATACATAACAGTGGAACAAAAATTTGGATCCAGGGAGCTGGGTGCAGTGGCTCACGCCTGTAATCCCAGCACTTTGGGAGGCCGAGGAGGGCAGATCACGAGGTCAGGAGATGGAGACCATCCTGGCTAACACGGTGAAACCCTGTCTCAACTAAAAATACAAAAAATTAGCCGGGCGTGGTGGCAGGCGCCTGTAGTCCCAGCTACCCGAGAGGCTGAGGCAGGAGAATGGCGTGAACCCGGGAGGTGGAGCTTGTAGTGAGCCAAGATTGCACCACTGCACTCCAGCCTGGGCAACAGAGTGAGACTGTGTCTCCAAAAAAAAAAAAAAAAAAAATTTGGATCCAGGGTTCCAAGGTCTGTGCTCTTCATGTGGCTTGGGGAGAGGCCAACAGAGAACACTAAGCTCTGAAGATCCCTCTAGTGGGTAGTTGCTAATTTTGGATTAAGATATATACAGAGGGGCCAGGCATGGTGGCTCACGTTTGTAATCCCAGCATTTTGGGAGGCTGAGCTGGGTGAATCACTTGAGGTCAGGAGTTCCAGACCAGCCTGGCCAATGTGGCAAAACGCTGTCTCTACTAAAAATACAAAAATCAGTTGGGCATGATGGTGTGCGTCTGTAATCCCAGCTACTTGGGAGGCTGACACATGAGAATTGCTTGAACCAGGGAGGTGGAGGTTGCAGTGAGCCGAGATCGCACCACTGGACTCCAGCCCGGGTGACACAGCAAGACTCTCTCTGGAAAAGAAAAAAAAGATATATACAGAGGACTTAATCTGATTCTATCTAATGATGATGGTAAAAGCCAATCTTTACCAAGTGTTTCCTGTGTGCCAGGCATGGTTTGTATACACACATTAATCCTTTTATTTCTCAGAGCAATGCTGCTAAGTGGGCACTATTATTATCCCCATTCTTTAGATGGGGAAGCCCACTTACTGACACAGGGATACACAAATGGTAGGTGAAAGAGTCAACATAAAACCCAACAACTAGGCTATAATTACAGCACTTTGGTTAGAACCGAGGTGGGAAAATCACTTGAGCCTAGGAGTTTGAGACCAGCCTGGGCAACATAGGAGAACCACCATCTCTATAAAAATAAAAAAATTAGCTGGACACAGTGGCATGTGCCTGTGCTCCTAGCTACTCAGGAGGCTGGAGCAGGAGGATTGCTTGAGACCAGGAGGTCAAGGCTGCCGTGAGCTATGATCACACCACTGCACTCCAGCCTGGGTGACAGAATGAGACTCTGCCTCAAAAAAAAAAAACCATCAAAAATCCAAGCAACTGGCTCCAGAGCCCATGCCCTTAACCTCTAAGTCTTCCTGTTTCTCAGGCACATCTATAATTAGTAGTTAACACAGTCCACAACCTTGTAATTCTAGATTGCACGACCTGGACTTTCATTCAGAAAAACATTCATGTTGCCCTCCTATTGGCAATAACGAGACACTTGGGACATAAGCAGCTTACAAGTTTCTAAAAAAAAAAAAAAAAAAGGGATCTTTCTCAACTTTACTCAATTGAAAAAAATCTATATTTGAAACCAGATCTGTGTTCTTAGACATCCAGAATAGTTGTGATTATTTCAATAGGCTGAAAATACAAGCCCTCATAGGTTCAAGGAGTGGGCTCACCATGGAAAGGGTCATACCCATGGGTCTGTCCTTATCTCCCAAATTCATGGATGACCATCCTTGGAAAGCCTGGAGTCCACTTGGGAAAAAAATAAAAACTAGATCTTTCATTAAAGGGAAAGTAACCTAAGTAAAGCTATTGTCATACATATCATAGAAAATACATGACTTGATTCATAGAGCACGGTGTGTCTCAAGTCACTGTTGCAGGTAAGTCTGTCCAGAGCAATCCTTCTAAATTTTGCCAACTAGAAAAGAGAGATAGCAAAGCATAAAGTCATCTATCACTTTTGATATTCAAGATTGTGTGTCTGACTTTGTCCTTTCATTTTTCCCTTCCAATTTCACAGAAGGTTTTATAGTTGACTTAGGAATATTTTTATCCCACAAAAATGGCTTTTATTAAAAGGTTGAAAGAGGAGCTATTAGTTAACTCACTCTTAAAGATGCAAAAGAGAGCAGTTGCTCTTGTCTACTCAGCATCCCTTCCTTAGAGAACCATTTCCTCCTATATGCGGTTCTGGAGGTGTCTTATGGCCCAAGCGTAGCTCATAACAGGACCTACTCTCCCAGGCAATGATGCCTGGTCCAAGGATAGCATGTGAGAGTCATCTTTCTGTTGTGAGTTTTAAGCTGGGAAGATGACACTTTATGGCTGCTGGAGGCCATCTTTTTTGCAACACGGAGAGGTGAGAATTGGATGGAGAGAGAGAAAATTCTGGAATCAGTGAACCCATTTTTCATCCCAAAAACTCTTAATTCCTGCAGTCCTCCTTTCCTGTGAGAAAGCTTGGCATTCTTCCAAGTTGAATGAGCCAATAAATTTCCCTTTGTACTTAATCTGGTTTGAGTTGGATTTCTGTCTCTTGCAACCAAGAGTCAGAATGTAAAAGACTAAAACTTTAAATCTCTTCCTTAACCTCTCACAGAAGGTGTCTGCATAAGTTAAATGTATTTCCCTCTCTTAAAAAGGACTATTTCTTTTATACCCAGTAAACTTGTCATCTTGCTAGCCTCAGTCCTCTTCACATTAAATCCATTTCTTTCGTTTTCACTTCCCACTTAGCCCAGACTTCAAGCAGATGTGATTGCTTTCTAACTGCAGTAACTTACTTTGTCTTTGGGGAGACAGGAAGATACTCAGTTTGCTCATAAATAGCAAAATGCTCAGGCATCCCAATGTGTACTTGTTTTCCATGTGGTAACCTTCATACCATGATGTGTTTATTCTAGTGACATTGCCAGTGCTTCAAGCAATCGTTTTCAAGATAGTTGTATATTAAAATCACCTGAAGATATATGTTTAAATCACCAATAACAAGGTCTCACCTCAGAAATTCTGTGTTAATTGCTCAAGAGAGGGGACCAAGTATCAGTATTTTTCAAAATTCTTCCAGCCAAGGTTAAGTCAGCCAAGGTTAAGATTGGCTGACTAAAAATATGTTCATATATGTCTTTAATAATTTTTATGAGTGATTCAACTAGAATAACTTGTTCTCTGTCCATGCTTTTTGTGGTAGTGTCAGAAAAAGCTTGGAGGCATTAGCCCTATGTAACTGTCCTTCACCATTTCCTGGGATGTGCTTGAATTCATTAAGGCATATTGGACATTTCCAGAGATGTGATGGAAATGAGCAAGGGACCCTGTTCTTTTTTTTCTGAGACAGGGTCTCACTCTGTTTCCCAGGCTGGTGTGCAGTGGAGTGATCACAAGTCACTGTAGCCTCGGACTCCTGGGCTCAAGTGATCCTCCCATCTCAGTCTGCGAGTAGCCAGGACCAAGGTGCATGTCACCATGCCCAGCTAACTTTTTTTATTTTTTGTAGAGGCAGTGTTTTGCCATGTTGCCCAGGCTAGCTGAGCTCCTGAGCTCAAGCAATCTGCCCACCTCAGCCTCCCAAAGTGCAGACCCTATTCTTAATAGCCACACATTGGCCCTTTGTTCTGTGGCCTCCTAAGAACTCACTGTTCATGCCCAAGTGTACATATCTGTTGTGTATATTTAAGTCTTCTGTCAATATGTATGAAATCATACAAGTTCTGATAGACTTGCAAAAAAATCAAATACTTGACCTTTTTGGCATAACTCATTCTGATAGAGATTATCATATAATCTACATATGGTATATGATTATCATATATGTATATATACCATACACCTACATATATGGCATATGTATTAGCTTGCTAATGCCGTAATAAGTACCACGTATATGCATTAGTTTGCTAATGCTGCAATAAGTACCATGTATATGTATTAGTTTGCTAATGCTGCAATAAGTACCACGCTGGGCATGGTGGCTCATGTCCAAAGTCCTATAATCCTAGCACTTTGGGAGGCCGAGGCAGGTGGATCACCTAAAGTCAGGAGTTCGAGGCCAGCCAGGCCAACATGGTGAAACCCCATCTCTACTAAAAATACAAAAATTAGCCAGGAGTGGTGGCAGGCAATTGTAATCCCAGCTACTCGGGAGGCTGAGGCAGAAGAATCACTTGAACCCAGGAGGTGGAGGTTGCAGTGAGCTAAGATCACGCCACTGCACTCCAGCCTCGGCAGCAAGAGTGAAACTCCATCTAAAAAAAAAAAAGAAGTACCACAAACTGGGTGGCTGAAACAACAGAAATTTGAACAGAGACAGGGACGTAGGGAGAATGTCATGGAAGATGAAGATGGAGATTGAAGTGGTATTTCTACAAACTGAGGAACACCAGAGATTGCTAGCCAACCAACACCAGAGGGTAAGAAAGAGTCATGGAATGGATTCCTTCTCATGGCCCTCAGAAGGAACCAATCCTGCTGACACCATTTGGTTGAATCTTGGTTGGATCTTGGATTTGTAGCCTCTAGAACTCTGAGGCAATAAATTTCTGGGTAAGCCATTCCGTTTGTGATATGGCAGCCTTTTCTTTTCCCTTATGGAAAAGAAAAATCTGACTTTGCAGTCATTCACTTTTGATGCTGGAGTGGTGGGGAGAAAGACCCACAAGTTTGAATTACCTGAAAACAATAAGTTAAAGGATCACTGTTGGTCTTCACGCAATATATAAAGTCTGTTACCAGCTACTTTTTGGAGACCAAAGAAGAGGTTAAAAAAAAATAAAAGTCCTTGTTCTTTCCTAGCCTAGAAAACAGATCCAAAAAGTCCAGCTGCCTGGACATTTCTTATATAAGTCAGTTAGACACTTATCACAATTTTAGAAGCGAAATCATATTTCTATTGGTTTCCAAAAACTAGTGCTTACAGAAGCTTTGTTAGTAAACCATGAAATACTCCAGACAACCAGAACACCAGACAAATCCAGCTGCTTTCTTGGCTGGGGGCAAATGGCATGCATTAATTTATAAAAATTCTAATAAAGTGTATAATGTGTGATGTTACAAAACTGCAAGTTGCCAATATTTAAGATTATATTTCAGTGGCTCATTTCAGAAGCTTCTCTGTGGAAGTGGCCCTCCTGTGATGGTATGGAATAAAACCTTGACTTAAACACCAATAACCATTATGAACCGATCATTTCCTGTCGTAGCACAGTACCCAGAGAAAGTTAAGAGTGGCCAGGATGGAAATGGATCTTGCTGGAAAAGACTGCAAACTCTTCTTAGGAATTAAATCCCCAACAGTTTGACTTGCTGTTATCGTATATTCTCAACTTTCTCTTCCTAACTCTTTTCTCCTTTTTTCTTCCTGGCTTTAGTATCCAATTTTATTCTCTTAAATATCTCAAGTGGCTGGGTGCAGTGGCTCATGCCTGTAATTCCAGCACTTTGGGAGGCCAAACCAGGAAGATCACTTGAGCCCAGGAGTTCAAGACCACGCTGGGCAATGAAGTGAGACCCTATCTCTCCAAAAACAAACAAACAAACAAACAAACAAACAAACAAGAAAAAAAGCTGAGCGTGGTGGCTGAAACCTGTGATCCCAGCTATATGTAAGGCTGAAGCAGGAGGACTGCCTGAGCCCAGGAGGTCAAGGCTTCAGTGAGCCAGGTTTGCACCACTGCACTCCAGCCTGGGTGACAGAGCGAGACCCTGTCTCCAATAATAATAATAATAATGAAATTAAAAAAAAATTAAATATCTTAAGCTCATACTTATGTCCATGGTGCTTTCAGCTCTTTGGGAGGAATGTTTCTTTAGGAGTTGGAAGAAAGTGAAGAATAGAGAATAAAAGGTTAAATTTATGAAACTTGACAAGGTACATTTGCTACACTGATAAAGAGAAGAATATTGGGCTAACTTCTTCAATGATTTGCTTGGTGACTTTGGGGAAATTTCTTCAGTTCTCTGAAGGGAAATAGCCACAACGTCATAATATTGGAAGGGTCAATGGACAAATAAACTAATCCATTATCAAGACCCAATTAGCCAATAGTCAATTCTGGAGCTGATGGGAAAGAGATAATCTCTTGCACACAGTTGACAACTGCTGGTGGCCAGATAGACACTGTAAAGGAAAGACCTGCCAGAGAATGAATCAACACAAAGAAAACTGGAGGCAAGAATGGACAGGGGTAGATTACTAATAACACCATGTGAGCACCCATGCCTGCAGATATATCTCTGCATTATTCAAGCTATAAACATATTTGCTTAAGTCCATTTGAGTGGATTTCTGTCACTTGCTACTAAAAGAGTCTTAATGATTCTAGGATTCTATTAGTGAAAAAAAAAATGGTAATTAGATCAAAGATGACTGTCCTCTTCTACTCTTTAAAAGGATTCCAAAAACGTCTTAGAAACCATCATAGAAAGGTGTAGTGTTACGATATATATTGGTTTTCATCCACTGTTCCTGGCTCACAACTCTCATAGCCCTTGTTACAATCTTTTGTGACAATGTTGAGTATGTTAGGCCTCAGGTGCAAGCCTGAGGAAACGCAAACTCTGCCCCGCCCTCCTCTCACCTGCCCCAAGGCTGAACTTTAATCTTCCCCCCACCTTTCTGACTGTGGGTCTTTTTTTTTTTTTCTTTCAAATCTCCTATTCTGAGAAGCAGGACTGTGGGTCTTAATACCCGTGCCAGAGAGGGCCCCACTCTATACACTGGGAGAAGGAATGCTGACATCATGAAGCTTCTATAAAAACCCAAAAGGAACTGGGTTCCAAAGTCTTCTGGATAGCTGAGCACGTGGAGGTTCCTGGAGGGTGGCATGCCCAGGCAGGGCATGGAAGCCCTGAGCCTTTTCCCTCATATCTCACCCTACACGTTTCTTCATCTATACCTTTTGGAATATCCTTTATAGTAAACTGGCAAAGGTAAGTAACGGTTCCCCTGAGTTCTGTGAGCTGCTCCAGCAAATTAACTGAACCCAAAGAGGGGGTCATAGGAACCCCAACGTGAAGCCAGTAGGTCTGAAGTTCCGGAGGCCCGCACTTGCGACTGGTGTCTGTGGAGGGGGCAGTCTTGGGGACTGAGCCTTCATCCTGTGTGATCTGATGCTATCTCCAGGTAGATGGTGTCAGAACTGAAGTGGCACCAGCTGGTGTCCAGTGCTTGGTGGTGGAGAAAACCCCCATGTTTGGTCACAGAAGTCTTCTATGTTGATGAGTGTTGTGGTGTGAGAGCAGAGGAAAAATGCAGTTAGAGTTTTTCCCAACCCAGAAGGAAAGATAAAACTGTTGTAGATTTCATTCCAAAGAGAGGATGGAGGGGATTAAGCTTCCTCTGAATAGCCACAAGGGCCAACAGTTCTGAGAAGCAAAGACGTAAATTTGTGTTCAACACAAGGAAAAAATTTCCACTGTTGAGAGCTATATAAAGCAGAACAGGTTGCTTCTTAAATGCATTCCGGATCTGCCCACTTCCTTCCATCGTCACTGCCGCTACACTGGTCCAAGCAGTCTTGGCTCTCATTTAGACTGCTGCCAGGGCTTCATCATGTCACTCAGTCAGAAAATATTTATTGAGCCTCTTTTATGTGCTAAGCATTATTTTAGATGCTGTGGACTCTGTAGAGAACAAAACAGATAAAATCTCTGCCCTGAGGGAGTTTGCATTCTAGTCAATGGAAGCAAATAATAAACAAGTAAATATACAGCATGACAGATGGTGATAGGTGCCAGACAGGAAAGGATATGGGGGGCGGGGGCAGGGAGGGGCAGGTAAGTCAGCTGTAAATAGGTGATCAGTGCAGGCCTCACTGAGAAAGGGATACAAGAGCAAAGACCCAAAGGAGATGAGGGCGAGAGCTATACAGGTATCTGGGGAAACAGTATTTCAAGAAGAAGGAGTACTGACAGCAAGAATCCTGCATGAGACAGGACATTTTTAGCCTGTTCAAGACCAGTAGGGCTGGAGAGGAGTGAGGGAGGGAAGGAGTGAGAGACAAGACTAGCTGGATTTCCTAGGCCAACTAAGAATCCCTAAGCCTAGCTGGGAAAGTGATCACTTCCACCTTTAAACATGGGGCTTGCAACTTAGCTCACACCCGACCAATCAGATAGTAAAGAGAGCTCACTAAAATGCTAATTAGGCAAAAACAGGGGTAAAGAAATAGCCAATCATCTATTGCCTGAGAGCACAGCTGGAGGGACAACTATCAGGATATAAACCCAGGCATTCGAGCTGGCAATGGCTACCCTCTTTGGGTCCCCTCCCTTTGTACGGGGGCTCTGTTTTCACTCTATTAAATCTTGCAACCGCACTCTCTTCTGGTCCATGTTTGTTACAGCTCGAGCTGAGCTTTCGCTTGCCGTCCACCACTGCTGTTTGCCGCCGTCGCAGACCTGCCACTGACTTCCATCCCTCTGGATCTGGCAGGGTGTCTGCTGTGCTCCTGATCCAGCAAGGCGCCCATTGCCACTCCCGATCGGACTAAAGGCTTGCCATTGTTCCTGCATGGCTAAGTGCCCAGGTTCGTCCTAATCGAGCTGAACGCTAGTCACTGGGTTCCACAGTTCTCTTCCGTGACCCACAGCTTCTAATAGAGCTATAACACTCACCACATGTCCCAAGATTCCATTCCTTGGAATCCATGAGGCCAAGAACCCCAGGTCAGAGAACCCAAGGCTTGCTACCATCTTGGAAATGGCCTGCCACCATCTTGGGAGCTCTGGGAGCAAGGACCCAACCACTCCCACCACCGTAACAGGAGTACAAGAAATGAGGTCCCAGAGGCAAGGGGTAGTGACAGATCATGAGAGGCCTTAAGCTGTCAATTTTAAGGACTCTGCATTTTACTCTAAGGAGGAAGACAAGAAAAGGCAGAGTGGAGACCACATTTTACACACACACACACACACACACACACACACACACACACACACACACATATATATTTTTTTGAGACGGAATCTCGCTCTGTCGCCCAGACTGGAGTGCAATGGTGTGATCTCGGCTCACTGAAAGCTCCGTCTCCCGGGTTCCAGTGATTCTTCTGCCTCAGCCTGCCAAGCAGCTGGGACCACAGGTGCATGCCACCACACCCAGCTAATTTTTGTATTTTTAGTAGAGATGGGGTTTCACCATATTGGCCAGGCTGGTCTTGAACTCCTGACCTCGTGATCTGCCCGCCTCGGCCTCCCAAAGTGCTGGGATTACAGGCGTGAGCCACCGCGCCCGGCCCATGATTATATTTTAAAAGGATCACTCAGCCGCTGTTTTGAAAATAAATTGTCTCCCTGCTGCCAATCTGATCCTCTAAAGTTCATTGTCCACAAAGCAGAATGAATCTTTTAAAATACTATGAAATGACCCAGCAATCCACTCCCAGACATTTATTCCCCCAAAAATAAAACTCATGTCCACATAAAAACCTGTGTTTGTTCAGAGCAGCAAGAGTTGTTAACAGTTCAACACTGAAAGCAACCAAAATGTCTTCCAATAGGTGAATGGTTAAAGAGCCTGTGGTACATCCATACCATGGAATCTACTCAGTAATTAAAAGGAACAAACTACCGATGCACACAACAACACAGGTGGATCTCAAGGGCATTCAATTAAGTGAAAAATTTCAAAGGATCACATAATTGCATGATTCCATTCACATAACTCTAGTGACATAAGATGTACCCATCGGAGGATACAGATGAAGGGTACCTGGGACCTCTCTGCAACTTCCTGTGAATCTGTACTTACTTCAAAATAGAAAGTTGTTTTAAAGAAAGCACTGTAGAAAATAAATTGTGTTTCATTGGAAAACTGCACTGCCTACAAGCAACACACCCTTCCCAGTTATCTGATTCTACTCTTTCATTGTCTTTGAACTATTTTTACAAGTTCTAAACTCTGCAAGTTTAGGCAACTGACAGACATGCAAACTGTCCCATCTGGTATAGGTTCCCTTTCCTCCACCTGCATGCCTCCATGGAAAAACCATTTACACATTCAATTCAACATTCCTTTATTCCATACCAATCTGTGCTTCCCTTTGAACAGTGTAAGGGCCCTGAATAATTATGTTTAATACAATCTTTAACACGTGCTCATTTTTATGTCCGTATGAGAGTCATGATTTTACCTTTTCTGAAAACATCATTTTTTAAGAACATGAATCTGGTCATGTTGTTACCTCTGTGTAACTACCTCCAAGACTTCCCGCTGCCTTTAGAATAAATCCCCCAAGTGTCCCGTGATGTACAAGGACCTGCACAGCCTGGGCCCAGCCCGCCTCTCTCCTCTCCTCCTTGCTCTGCCCCTTGCCAGGGCAATTCCCATGGCTTCCCCTCTTTCAGCTCCCTGAGAACATCAAGCTTGTTCCCATCTTATGGCTCTTGCACCTATTGTCCCTTAGCCTGGACTGCTCTTCTCATGGGTGGCTTTTTCTCATGAGTGAACTCTCAGCTCTATTGTTCCACCTCAGAGAGATCCTCTCAGTCACATTCTATCAAAAGTAACAGCCTCACCCTATTTTTTTTTTTTTTTTTGAGAAAGGGTCTCACTCTGTTGCTTAGGCTGAGTGCAGTGGCACCATCTTGGCCCACTGCAGCCTCAACCTCCTAGGCTCAAGTGATCTTCCGGCCTCAGCCTCCTGAGGAGCTGAGACTACAGGTGCTATTAGCCACCGTACCTGGCTAATTTTTTATTTTCTGTACAGATAGGGTGTGACTATGCTGCCCAGGCTGGTCTCAAACTCCTGGATGCAAGGAATTCTCCCACCTTGGCCTTCCAAAGTGCTGGGATTACAGGCATGAGCCACTGTGCCCAGTCTCCCACCCTGGTTTTTCATCATAGTTTGTTTAGAGACGGGCCTGGCTCTGTCCTCCAGGTTGGAGTACAATGGCACAATCACAGTTCACTACAGCCTTGGACTCCTGGGCTCAAGTGATCCTCCTGTCTTAGCCTCCCAAGAAGCTAGAAGCACAGATGCACAACATCATGCTCAGTTATTATTATTTTTTTGTAGAGACGGGCTCTCACTATGTTGTTCAGGCTGGTCTCAAACTCCTGGGCTCAAGTGATCCTCCCCATTCAGCCTCCCAAAGTGCTGAGATTACCAGCATGAACCACTGTGCCTGTCCCTCATCATAGTTATTTCTATTTGAAATAATATTTTTCAGTTAGTTACTGGTTTATTTGTTTACCTGCTCCCCCCAAATCCATAATAGTAGGACCTTGTGATCTGGGTAACATTATATCCCCCAGTGCTTAGAAAGGTACCTAGCACATGGTAGACACTCAATAAATATTTGTGGAATAAATACCTGGGGGAATAAGGTCCCTGAAGGTAGCAAGATCCCCATCAGTGGAGGCATTTAAACATGGTTTGCACAACCACTTGCCAGGGCCATCGAAAACTATGGGCAGAGGCTTAGTCACAAGAATAAAAGACTGCATAGGTCCCTTCTAGTCCTATGTACCTACGATTATATGGCCACCACACCTTTTTTGCTATGCAATGGGAAAAGCAAAGGAGTATTCCTCAGTCATTTTGTACCAAATGATAGTATGCATACTCCTGTTCCTGCTGCAATATCATCTTGGCATTAAAATGTTGAAGCTAATCAGACATTTAATTTCAAAGTGGAAGGTCATTATCTTGTCACAAAATTTTATTCCAATTACTTTTTTTTCTATTATACGAAATGAATTAAAAGTAGCACAAAACATTGGGAGATCAAACAGTCAATCAGAAGCTCATTAAATATCATTGAAATTGGTGCAATAAAAAGCATTTCCCATGGCTGAGCTATTATTTAAAAGCTATATTCTGGATGGCTCAAGGAATTGACATGCTGCCAATCAAAAAATCACCCTGTCCATAAATAGCCACTTGGCTTTTCAAAATTCACTCTCACTCTCTCTCTCTCTTTTTTTTTTTTTTGAGATAAGAGTAAATATCTAAAAAGATTTAAAGCATGGGTATAATTACTATTCTATCAGCTCCTATGAGACCCCTAAGAGAAGATATCAGCAAAGTCACTATCTGATAATTTAGGCCACAATTTAGAGCAAGATGCTCACAGAGTGCTACCAGTAATTTTATGAACACTTAAATACATTACATCTATGTACAATACTCAGTTAAATACAATCTCAGGCAGGGGTTAGTGGTCAGCTATAATTTTAAAATTGCCTTCAACTCCACACTTAGAGTAAATGCTCATTTTATTTTTAAAAGGGTGATTCTTAAGTACTTCACTTTTCTATGAACTCAGGACGCAGACATAGGTGACTGCCCACATGAAAATCTGAAAGCTGATCATTTAAAACTTTTAAATATTTTTCCTCTGGGCACCTTCCCCTCCCCCTTCCCCCCACTTTTAAAAGCTAAATGACTAATTTGATTATTTCAGTTTTATAGAAATAATCACTTTTTGATGTAAAGGACAGCATGTCCTTTTCAATAGAAAATATACAATAGAAGTATTGTTCCCAGTCTCTTAAGGTGTTTAAGTGGTGAGGAGGATATACATTTAAAACTACATAGAAGAGGAAGCCCCCAGGTACAGGAAATTACTTCTTCAGAAGAACTAAAAGATTTCTCTCCTCTTAACTCCCCACACTGCCACCACCCCAATTTCTTTTCAAAAGCCAGGACTTATTGGCAAATTATCTGGGAGTAAAGTGGGAGGAAAACATTTCAATGCAAAATTCAGAACTGCTTTATAGAAAGGAAAGTGTGGGGAGGTTTGTTATCATTTATTTCCTCCAGTATATCATTCAATTTCAGCTGTCTCACGTCTCAGAAGTAGCTCCCCCATTTCTCACTTACGTGCCTAAGAAACATCTCCCTGGCATCTCATTCTCTTTCTCTTTCACCAGCATTTCATTATTTCTTAACTGTCCCTCTCATGCTTGTCTCCTTTTCCTAGTGATCCACGTGTCCTCATTTAGCAGTTTTCAGAAGCCAGGGAGAAACATTGCAAATAATGTTAAATATGATTAATATCTTGAATTCCTTGAAATATGACATGCATGAGTTACAATGAAACCTCTTTTATTTCCCCATGAAATGCTTTTGCATAATGAGAAAGAAAATGTCCTCTATGCCCTAATCAGCCCTGACAGTTCCTGGACTCCCAAATACTTATATTTATGGCATTATTTATTTCATCTCTAATAAATGGATTGGGGGGGGGACACAGCACCATCTGAGGAAGCTGCAGGAGAGAGGGAGACAATCTAGGGGGGAATAATACAGAAGCTGAACCAGCAAGGCAGAGAGAAAAAGCTTCCAAAGGGAAGGAGACCAGGGAAAGAGAGGCCAAAAGATGTGAACCCCCAGAAGAAAATGGGTCACCTTCCTAAGAATAAAAGGAAGGCTCTGAAAAGGAAACAAACTTCAGAGTGCAGAGATGAGGGTCCTACATCAAGGAGCATCCAGAACTCTGACCTGGAGAACGAAAAAGGAAGGCTGAAAAGCAAACCTGGGGCAGGGTATGCTGGTTGGCCTAGAAGAGGGGTGATTTGGGATAGGGAGCAATGGACCCTCTGCCCCAAAAAGTGGCTGGGAGAGACCAGGACATCTGCATCCCATGGAGGATCTTCCTCCCAACGACTGAGATCTCTCATTCAAACGGCTACTGAAATTGGGCACCCTCCAGACCCTCGCCGGATGGCGCCAGTTGCAGTGAGTAAAACAATGCAAGGAGTGAGTTCTCGTGTTTCCCTGGGCTTGCAAGTACATATACATATATTAAAAATGACACTGTTGAAAGTAATCATCACCTCAAAGGGAGGTATCAGGACATTTCCCCACTCAATTGCACAGAGGCTACTGGCTATGGGAAGTGAGGAGTTGACTTCAAATAACCTGGATGCGTCAGTGCAACACAGCCGCACACTCCCGAGTGTCTGACTTTGGGCAATTCCCTTCAACCTCTCAGAGCCTCGGTTTTCTCATCTTTATAATGGGGGGGAAATCATGGTGTCATGCACGTTCTCGGGGCCCCTACGGGAAACAAATGAAAACGTGAAAAAGTTCTACGCCTTGCGAGCTTTTATGTTCCGCATGAGCTCAGAGGCCGCGATGCTCGGGGAAAGCAGGACCCCAAAGCCCCGTAAACACCGCGCGACCACCCGGGCCAAGATCTTCAAGAGGTTCTTTTCAGAAGGATCGGAGAGCAATTCCCGATTGGTAGAAGAACTTGCTGTAATACACACGTACTCTGACGACCCCGCCCCAACGACTAGCCCCTCCTCTGTGCAACCCCGAGAGTTTGGGGTCATGCAGGGGGCGCCACGAGCTCGTTTCGGAAGCCGGACCCCGCCCGCAGCCGCAGAAGCCTCGAGTCCACATCTGGGTCTCTAAAGTCTCGCCGTAGCCAGATCCCGGATCCCCACCTTCTTCACCAGTTCCCGGGCGTCCTCCAGGTCCTCGCTTTCCCCCTTCCCCCGCTCCCCGTCGGAGGCGCGGAGCCGCCAGGCAGACCCCGCGGGCGGCTGCGGCGCCAGGCCCCGCCCCGCCCCCATTATCATTAGCAGATATTACCCTAAACACTTGCTCTTTACCTCCTTTCTCCCTCCAGGCATTGGCGAGGCAGCCTGTCAATCAGGAGCTCGGGCGGCAGCCCCCCGCGCGGGGGCTCGGCGATGCCAGCCTCAGCGACAGGCGGCGGCGGCGGCGGCCACGGCACAGACACACACCCTCCCACACGCGCGCACCAGGGCAGACCCGGCGGGCAGGCGGCGGAGGCACCCTCGGAGCCCGGCGCCCGGCGGGGAGGGGACGTGCTCCGAGGGACCGGCCCCGAGGCGCCGGATGGAGGAAGAGATGCAGCCGGCAGAGGAGGGGCCCAGCGTCCCCAAAATCTACAAGCAGCGCAGCCCCTACAGCGTCCTCAAGACGTTCCCCAGCAAGAGACCGGCGCTGGCCAAGCGCTACGAGCGACCCACCCTGGTGGAGCTGCCGCACGTGCGGGCGCCCCCGCCGCCCCCGCCGCCCTTCGCGCCGCACGCCGCCGTCTCCATCAGCAGCAGCGAGCCGCCGCCGCAGCAGTTCCAGGCGCAGAGCTCCTACCCCCCCGGGCCCGGCCGGGCCGCCGCCGCCGCTTCGTCGTCGTCGCCGTCCTGCACGCCCGCCACATCCCAGGGCCACTTGAGGACTCCGGCGCAGCCGCCGCCCGCGTCCCCCGCCGCCTCCTCGTCGTCTTCGTTCGCCGCTGTCGTCAGGTATGGCCCAGGCGCGGCGGCGGCCGCCGGCACCGGCGGCACGGGTAGCGACAGCGCCAGCCTGGAGCTCAGCGCAGGTACCAACTCTCCGCACAACTTTCCTTCCCGCCACGGCCGGGGGCAGCGGGAGGGGACCCAGGAAGGAGAAGCGGGGGGCCGCCGACACTTACCCGTGCTGGGCCGTGTCGGGATGTCGGGGCGCACCTGGGGCCTCCCCGCGCACCCGGAAACTTCGAGAGGATTCTCCAGCGCCGCCGCGCCTGGGCTTCCGACGGCGCGCGCCTAACAGGTGGCTCCGCGGCTTGGATCCCGCGCCGGGAAGCACGGCTGTGGCAGTCGGCGACCAGGATCGCTCGGGCGTGGTCCGGAGTGGGGCCAGACGCCCCCCCGGGGGATAGCGGCGGCCGCTCGGGAAGAAGCTGGAGCTTCTCGGGCCGCCCCGCTGGGACGCCCTCGTACTACTTCACTTTTTCCGTCTGCTTTTTCCCTTTCTCCTTCTTCCTCCATTTGTTTCTTCTTCTCTCCACTTCTCCTTTGCCTTCTAGTGCTTTCTTCGCCACCTCTTTGATGCACTCTCACGCTGTCGCAGTCCATGCTGGCTGGCTCTCAGTTCCGTTTTTCCTTCTGTCTTTTTTTGTGCGCCTGTGTTTCTCGGGGGCGCTCTGTCTCGCTCTGTCCCTTTTCCTTCCCACCCCTTGGTTGTGAGACTCGGGGCTCCTCCGCGTCCGCCACGCCGTGGATTTCGGGCGCGGGGAACCATCCCGCCCCTCCTTCCTGCCCCGGGAGTCGCAGGCACTCTGCTCCCACCGCCCACGTCGTCGTCCCCGCCATCCCCTCGTCCCCGTCCGTGGCACGCTGCCGCGCCGCGGGGTCCTGCCCCTCCCGAGCATCTCGGCCCGAGCCTTACAGAAACGCCTCGTGGGAGGCACCCACTCTGGGGTCCGCGACTCCTCTCCTTTATCTCGAGTCTGCGGGCGCTGCCCGGCAAAGCAGCCCACTGCCTGCCTGCAGGGAGCGAGATGGGCTGGTTGCGAGGCCACAGCCTGAGGCCTGCGCCCAAGGGACCTCTCCACCAGCTCCCAGTGGGTGCAGCCACGTTTATCCACTCATTAGAACTAAAAGTTCCTGCCAAGGCCTTTTATGGCACTTTGAAGCCCCCCAAATCCTGCATGTCAGTGAATCTTGAGACTTATTTTTTTCTCCTGTGGAAAATAGAAGTGTTGTGTCTAAATGAGTTATAGATGCCTCCAGTAATAATTCTGTTGTTTGTCAATATTTTGACACATGAAGGATTGGTTTTGGAAAAGAAAACCTAATTACAGGTTATAGTGAAGACTTGATCTGTTGCATCTCTCACTGATTTGAAGATGTTTGATTGCTTTCAGTGGGGTTCTTAGGTGGACTTCCTTATTGTTTGTGGGGTATGTTTTTTTTCAGTTGCTCTTGCCCCAATATTCCATTGTGTTTTTATATTCTTTGTTAGGCAGTTGGCTCACTTGATTTTCCTCCTTACTTTTTTTCTTTTTCCCCCCTTCTTAAGGAGGTTCATTTTCTTTCTTTCTGGCTTGAGATCTTATTTTCTCCTAAACTACTTCTTGTTCAGGCATGTGTTTATTTCTAGGCTCAGCTTTATCATCCTGTATTTTTATGTTCTTTGCCAGCAATTTGGGTCCTTTTCCCATTTTCTGTGTTTTGCTTTTACTCTTTTGCGTAGCCTCAGTTCCATCATTTTCATTGACGTTTTCCCCTCTATCTGCCCAGGTCAGTCTTTGATCTCCTCTTGCTTCTCCTTCCAGCCTTTGTTGATTGTCTTTCCATATTTTACTTCCTGTTATACACTGTAAATTTACCCCCTTCTCATTTCCATTTTCATCCATAGTTTTAGCCGGCTATATATTTCCTGTATTGCTTCTTTTTTTCTGCACCAGTCACTTGCTGTTCTTTCCTTGGTTACTTCTACCCTGGCAGTTTCCTTGCTGTCCTTCCTTCATGTGGGTTTTTTTTTTCCTTCCTTTTCTCACCTTGTTCTAAATGTTCTTTTTCAGTGTTCCTTCTGATGTCCTGTTTAGTTTATTTTGTCTCTGTTCCCAGATGGAAATTATAACATCACTAAATCTAAAGGAGTGAAGAGGGGCTTTTTTGATGCCCTTCGAATTTCTCCATATTTCCTTTTATTCTCACGGTTGCTTTTGTTGTTTTTAAGGAGGTCATAGAGAGGGGTAAGCTTGATAGCACCAAGGGCTGGATCCCTCGTGCTTGTTGGAAAGATGGGAATTGGATGGTAGGCTTCTTCCATACAGTGAGGGAAATAGTCTGGGGGGAAGAAAGCCATAGAACTAGACATCATGAATTGTGGTCATAATATTAATCACTGATGGACAAAGCCATCTCTTAACAGGCACAGTGATGTGAGTGGCCATCAGAGAACAGCCACCTGAAGAGCTGATTGGTTCTCTGAGAAACTAGTCGTTCCACTTTGAACCAATAAGCATGTGTGCACAGACCCGTGGCCATTTAAGCATACTGGGTGGGGTGGGGGGGGTGGGAGCGGCGCTTTGCCTGTTGCACCCTCGCAGAAGTGTAATTGCTGTGTTTCAGGCTACCTAGTAAACTGAAAATAGTCAAAACATTCATGTTACGAAATGAGTCAAGGACAGAAGAAGAGACGTAACTGAGTGTCCAGAGTAAATGGAGTGAAAAGATGAAAGGGTTGAAGTGAATCTTATTTGCCATTAAGGGCTATAACTAAGAAGAGAAATATGTGATTAAAAATAGATTTTTTCAACATTTTTATAAAATCTCATGAAGAGTATAATTTTCCTTAAAAGGGGTAATACACCATGGTTTTAAAAGCATATTTTTCCTCTGTGGGAGGCTTAGAGTTAAAACCCACGTAGATCTTGATATGCAGCCTAAATTTGGCATTAGGAAATGGGAAATTGCATCTTTAAGCAGAGTACAATCAAAAATGAATTATAATAAATCCTATATAATTGCATAGGTCATTCTCTTTAATGAGATTTTATTAACCTGACTGTCAAGCTTTTGAGTCAGGCAGATATTTTATCTTCTTCAACTGATAAAAGTGTCAGCTATAAACCACCATATAAATATTCATAAATCTACACATCTGTGGCAGCCTATCAGCATCATTCTTTTGGACATTAAAAGCATTCTAATTACTTTCTGTCTAGCAGAGCTGAAATGCTGCCTGTTATAGTATGTGCTTGGCAGGCATGATTGCTTTTGTTTGCCATCACAAATAGCAGCATCCTATTTTATATACCGATGGTCCAGAAAATATTCAGGGATTGACTGAGCAGGATGAATATTAGGAAGCACCATCTGGTTTTGATAGCACCGAGTATATTAACTCATCTGTTAATTTTTGACACATCATTGATTTATTTATTTAGAAAAATTCCATCCTGTTTTGCTGTGTTGATGTTTGCCATTATGAAAAAAATTGGATGGCATTTTTTAAAAAAGACATAGTTCATTGATTTAAGACAAGGGTGGTGCTTCCAAAGATGCTTTGATTTTCTAACTTCTATTTTCTATGCCATGAAGCCCTCTTTTAAAAATAAGTTAAATTAATGTTTTAAGGAAATCATCTATTTTGAACTAGTTAGAAATCGTTGGGTAGATATAACATATGAATACATGATAGTAGGTCACTAAAAAAAATTTCTGCTTCTGCATTTTTAATATTAATATATTTCACCCTTCGCTGGGCTAAAATCAAAAGGTTACCACTAATCTTGACTACTGTGATCTCCTTCATAGAAGCAGAATTCTCTTGGGGATCTGCTGTGATGGGCAAATTCCATTCAAGGCTTTACTTACAAAGAGGGGCGGTAAAGTAGGGAGACTATTTGATTGCCTACTTCCCATCCCTCTTCTTATTCACTTATCAGATATAGGATGGATTAAACCTCTTAAATTCAGACGAATTTCCCAAAATGAATTTTTTAATTAAAAAAATAATCATGGGTTCAGATTTTGGAATCGGACAAGGCACAATTTGCAGCATAATATTATCTCCCAGTAGGCTGCACAATAAAGCAAAATAAATTAGAGAGAAGTGGGCATTTTAGAGGGCTTTGTGATTGTGATTTATTAACATTTTATGGTGTTTAATTTTAGGGAAGTTAGGGATAAAGTAGCCCTTCTGTAAACTGTTGATTTTCTCTTTCCCTGCCATCACTTGAGTGGAGCATTCTATGACTTAACAAAAAAAAAAAAAAAAAAAGTTAAAAAAATCATAATACGTGTTCACAGTTTGCTGAGTTAAGAATCATAGATCAGTAGCCATTCAATTGTGTTTGTATGAAAACAGAACTTCATTTCTTAGTGATAATGGGCATCACACAGTACTTGGATTTATAATTATATTCTGTCTAGAAGGCTAAAACTATTGCTGCATGCAATGTGTATTAAGTGGAAAGATTTGCTGTTTTCCACCGAATGTAATGGTAATATTTTTCATCACAATCTTCCATGTATCAATGTTAAAATAATATTCAAATAATTCAAGGTAATGAAAAGAGAAAAAATTCTACTCTAAGGGTGACAATAGCCATTTTTGTACATATCATTTCTGAAAGCAAATTCAGAATGAAGCATTTAAAAAACTGCAGGCAAGAACTACTTTATGATTGTAACTATTCTCTCATATTCTGAGTGCACTTTAATAGATTATCTTCATAATGTAGTATATTACATAATGATTTTTTCTCAGCATGTTACAAGTTTATCCTTCAGTTAAGAAAACAAATCACGCTTGTCCCTAAGTCAGATTTTTTTCCCTTAAAATCTATACTCTAATGTGATTTATCAATGTGATTAAAACTACTGAGTGTGTTGTAGGACACTGAACAAATACATTCAAGCAGTTCTTACTAGCCAGTTCTGTTTTAGACTTTCATATTTTGTCCCTTTCATCAAGGTTATGTTAAAGGTGTATAGGGGAAATCAATTGGGACTATGCTGATTAAAATGCAAACAGTAAATACAACTTCAGGTCTAGAATGGGATTATAGGATTAAAATGAATGAAAACTGCTGTTGTGCTAGAATTGAAAATTCCCAATCAATATCATCCTTTGATTTTACTAATAAAAGAACAGAAACCAGGAAGTAAAAAAATGAGTGTAGCATCTTAAACCTCTTACTTGTATAGTTCAGCTGTTGGCTTTCTTATTATTTGGTTTTGGCCATTGTAAATAAATGGCACCCAAATATTTTTGTGAGACTCCGGATAAGAGTACAAATAGTGCCTCACAGAGCATATATCAGATAATTACAAAGTATAAATCAAGCTAACAAATTGTTTAACAAAATATGTTCTGTCCACCTACCTTGGCAAATACACCTTCACAGTAACCAGGTTTGGAATTTACAACCAACCCATGTCTTTCTCTCTCCACTCCTAGCTTTATCTTCCACTAGGAGGGACCTCACATACACATATGTGGAGGTCCCAGTCCACACTTCCAGGATCTGACACCATGGTCTCTGTCTTTGGATTGATGGCTCAGAGAAGATGGCAGCATAGATCTTTAAAGCAGTTTGAGTGGGGAATTCTTGGATCTTGGGGTACTTGGCCATGTGGACAGGATTGGCTGGAGAAGGAGGGTCAGGTGGCGGTCCTGCTGCCAAGGTCTGAGGGTAATACTGCTCCTAAGAGTAAGAAAGTACTATTCTAAGAAGAAAATAGTCCTGTGGACTCTCAACCAGCCTAGGGTGGACTTGCTACCCCTACCTCAGTCAAGTAAATCTGAAAATGCTATAAACTAAGATGCTCTTATGTATGTACAGGAGTACCTGCTGTGTGTTCAGTAACTATTTCTCAAGGTGTTGTGCTGGCCTCTGACACTCCAGTGCAGTTTATGATCCTCTACTGAGTAGAAGAGATCTGGCCTCTGTTCTGACTTGCAGTTTTTCAGCGGGATTCAGGATTTGGGAGATGTAAGGCATGCTTCCTATGTGCCAAACACTGTGCTATATGGGCTTTACATATATATTCTTTTTTTTTTTTTTTTTGAGATGGAGTCTTCACTGTCGCCAGGTTGGAGTGCAGCGGCACCATCTTGGCTCACTGCAACCTCTGTCTTCTGGGTTCAAGCGATTCTCCTGCCTCAGCCCCCCGAGTAGCTGGGACTACAGGTGCGCGCCACCATGTCCAGCTAATTTTTGTATTTGTAGTAGAGACGGGGTTTCACCGTGTTGGCCAGGATGGTCTCGATCTCCCACCTCGTGATCTGCCCACCTTGGCCTCCCAAAGTGCTGAGATTACAGGTGTGAGCCACTGCACCCAGCTGTTTTACATGTATATTCTTATTAAAAAGTTGGAAAAGAGCACTTGGACCCCTCTCCTCTGACTATCTTAGTTATTTCATGAAAGGATAATAAGAAAAAAGAACACAGTGGAACGTTGAGCACTGCATGGAGTTCTCCTGTAGTGTGGTTTCCTTGGTCTTACATCCTGGGTGTGTTCTAGGGGATTTCTTATTGAAGCTGTTCTAGCTTATTTTTCCCATAGCAGCCCTTGAACATCTCACCATTTTTTATTCTGAAAGTTTTCTTTCCTCCAGAAAAAAATGCAGCTAGTCAACATTTTCAGAGAGAGCTAGTGCTAGTTGCATTTTTATCTTAAACAATAGTTATAGGCATCTACAATCTAGAATATTTTGTTTATTGCCATTATTCTGGGAAAGGGGAGAGGAAATAAGAGACATCCTCATGCTTCTGTGTCAGCTCTGAAAAGTGCCCCTCTCTGTATTTATAATAGCCCATTCTAGGTGGCAATCAGGAAAGAAGCGAATCTACCCTGTGACATTTATATTTGGGGTAAATTTTCAAGACCCTTCGATATCATTAAATTACATTTTCTTTTTACAGTGGGTTGATTGCTTTTGTTTGCTTTTTGCTTTCAATGGTTGACAATATGCTTTAGAATTCATGTACATGGGCTAACAGGCACCCATGCCTCGTGCCATTTTAGGATATTTGGCAATCTACTGGAAGAGGTTCTAAGAAGTGATACTACTGATTTTCAAATGATACACGTCAGCCTAAACATTGGCCTTGACAAGAAGTCCAAGTTAGCAAATAAATGAAAAGAAGGAATAGTGAACACTGATGTTAGAAGACACATACAGTTTTGTGCTCATCCTGTGCCCATAGGCCTACTCTTTGTTTTACCTTAAATTTCTAGTGAGCTCTTCAAAAAGACTTATCTTTCTTCCCCAGTTTGCATCTGGGAGCTATGTACTCTCTGCAGGGATTGTATCAGCTGATTAATAGCAAGGGCATGAGGGCACTCCAGAAATAGAAGTAATGATTGCTTTAAGCCCTCCTATCAATGAGGAATTGAGTCTGCAGTGGCTGGCTCGATTCCTTAGAGTAAGGATATTAATGAAACCAAAGGTGTGAGTTCAGACCTGTGCAGCCAGTTAATGCCACAGAGAGGGAAATCTCTATATGGTGCCCAAAGTCACAGTCCAGCCGTTTCCTAGAGCAAGAGACTGCGTGTGACTCAGCAAGCATCCCGCAGTCGCAGAACAACAGGAAGCTATGCGTTCTATTCACAGTGGATTTATTGTGTCATCTTGGTTTATGACAGACAGTAGAAATACATATTTTTAACATGTTTGAATGTTAAGCTGAAAATTGAGGACTTTATTTATCTTTTGCCGTTGGCTGTTGGTCACTGATGTGTCCTTTCATTTGTTTCAGAGAGTCGAATGATCTTGGATGCCTTTGCCCAGCAGTGCAGTCGAGTTCTTAGCCTCTTAAATTGTGGAGGAAAACTCCTGGACTCCAACCATTCTCAGTCCATGATTTCTTGCGTAAAGCAGGAAGGCTCAAGTTACAACGAAAGACAGGAGCACTGTCACATTGGGAAAGGGGTCCACAGTCAGACCTCAGACAATGTAGACATAGAGATGCAGTATATGCAAAGGAAACAACAAACTTCTGCCTTTTTGAGGGTTTTCACTGACTCTCTACAAAATTACCTGCTCTCGGGAAGCTTTCCAACTCCAAACCCCTCGTCAGCCAGTGAATATGGCCATCTGGCCGACGTGGATCCTCTGTCAACCTCTCCTGTGCATACATTAGGTGGCTGGACTTCCCCAGCAACGTCCGAATCCCATGGCCACCCATCTTCATCTACACTGCCAGAAGAGGAGGAGGAGGAGGACGAGGAAGGCTATTGTCCTCGATGCCAAGAGCTGGAGCAGGAGGTTATTTCACTGCAACAAGAAAATGAAGAGCTCAGAAGGAAATTAGAGAGCATCCCAGGTATCCTGCCATATTCCTTGCAAGACAACTGCAACCCTTCTTTCTTTCACTTGTCTCATCTGTCTGTGTATTTCTGTACTCATGTATGTGTATGTGTATATGTATGTGTGGGCTTTTTTTGTTTTTTGGCCAGTGATGTAGAAAAGTTGGAAAAAACAGACATGCTCAAGAGCTTCTCAGCCCGTCCAGTGCCAAACAGAAATTTTAGGAGGAGCCACTAGCCTGTTTACTTCCAGCCACCGTGTTCTTGTGTATAGGCCTGAACACCATAGTCCTATTAAAAGGTGTGTCTGTCAATATAAAAATAATTTCTTGATGTGCTGCTTTGACATTGAAATAGGTCAAGTGCTATAAGCCTGTTTTCTTAAAAGGTGGTCCTCTTCCTTTAAAATGGGTTTTGAATTTTTAAAAACTTTGATCCTATGCATTTTATTAGTCAATGATAGAAATTAAAGTGAAATACTTTGAGAGGCAGGACTCAAGTAGTACTGAACAAATGAAATGGTCTCTTCTATTTCATTAATTTTCCCTGCCTTTCCTTTGAAGTTTCAACAAGCATAACGTCTTTAGCATATACACTGTCCTAATAGGTCAAAGATAGACCAGTAATTAAGCCGGCCCCAAACCGTTTCTTGGCCCTGACTAAACATGAGGCATTTCCTGCCTGTTAGAGACACTAGATTTTCAGAGTAGTAAAATCATCTTTCTGGCAAGACATTCTCTGGGTTGAAAAGTCTTTTTTTTTTTTTTAAACTGGTAAGGTACTGATTTTACTTTTTTTTTTTTTTTTTGAGACGGAGTCTCTCTCACTCTGTCACTGAGTCTGGAGTACAGTGGCACCGTGTGGGCTCACTGCAACCTCCGTCTCCTGGGTACAAGCAATTCTTGTGCCTCAGCCTCCCGAGTAGCTGGGATTACAGGCACCCACCACCACGCCTGGCAAGTTTATATATATATATATATTTTTTTTAGTAGAGATAGGGTTTCACCATGTTGGCCAGACTGGTCTCAAACTCCTGACCTCAGGTGATCCACCCATCTCGGCCTCCCAAAGTGCTGGGATTACAGGCATGAGCCACTGCGCCAGCCGTGATTTTACTTTTATCTTTGAATTCATTCCTGTACGTCTGTAGCTTACAGAAGACATTAAGATCATTAACAGGAACAATCTCTTCAAACCTTTTTAATTGCGTGGTCATTGCTAAAAAGTGTTTAAGCTTGAGGCCGGGCGCAGTGGCTCACGCCTGTAATCCCAGCACTTTGGGAGGCCGAGGGGGGGCGGATCACAAGGTCAGGTGATCGAGACCATCCTGGCTAACATGGTGAAACCCCGTCTCTACTAAAAAAATACACAAAAGTCGCCAGGCATGGTGGCAGGTGCCTGTAGTCCCAGCTACTCGGGAGGCTGAGGCAGGAGAATGACGTGAACCCAGGAGGCAGAGGTTCGGTGAGCTGAGATTATGCCTCTGCACTCCAGCCTGGGTGACAGAGGGAGACTGGGTCTCAAAAAAAAAAATGTTTAAGCTTGTGCCCACAAATATACACATTTATTGGCTAACTGCATACATGTACTACTATTCTAATATATTGGGGTTCAAAATAAATCATACATAAGAAATTTTAAAATTTTAATGCTGATACATATGCATAAATATAAGTTATATCCTTTTTTTTGTTTGTTTTAATTGAGACGGAGTCTTGCTCTGCTGCCCAGGCTGGTGTGCAGTGGTGCCGTCTTGGCTCACTGCAGCTTCTGCTGCCTGAGTTCAAGCGATTCTCCTGCCTCAGCCTCCTGAGTAGCTAGGAGTACAGGCATGCACCACCACGCCTGGCTAATTTTTTTTTTAATTGTATTTTTAGTAGAGACAGCGTTTCGCCACATTGGCCAGGCTGGTCTCGAACTCCTGACTTCAGGTGATCCGCCGGCCTTGGCCCCCCAAAGTGCTGGGACTACAGGCATTAGCCACAGCACCCGGCCAATATAAGCTATATTCTTTGCCTAGTACAGTATCTTTGTATCACTCAATTTGGCAGCTGATCTAGAAAGAAGGAAATGTTAAAGAAAGCTACCCACTTGTTTATTAGTAGACCAAGGAAACAAAAAGAAGGTTTATCATTTAAAATAATTCTCCAAATAGAGCTGAGGCTTGGTTCAGAACATTTTGGAATTAGATTAAGTGCAATTGTCCTGTGGAGGGGAGGAAGTAAGAGGTGCAGCAAATCCGTTTTCTCCTTTTACATTGGAGCCCTGGGGTTAGATGCAGACGAGTAGTGTTTTCCCACGCCAGGCAGGCACCGACTGCAAGACAGACACTGGGTAGAACCCAGAAGAATGTAATGGAACCAGATCATTCCTGGTTTCCCCAAGTCCGAGACATGGTTGCAGCTAGCACACTGTGGGATTTTACAAGTCTCACAGCTGTGTAACCAGTGCTTAGTTCACTGTGGGTTTATCTCATAGGGGTATTTCTGTTGTCACCCCCACTGCCCTCTTTAGCTGGGGCAGAAAATCGTGTCGTAGAGATCATCCAGCTACAGAGACTTTCATCAGCCACTCAGAACCATAACCAAAGGAGCCTTCCTAGCTTCTGAAGTGCTTAGTGGCACTCCTTGATCTCATCTTGGGAAAGAGTTTCAGAGTGCAAGGACAGGTGACACAAATGTCCCAAGTATTATTGTCTAATTCCTGATCCTAAATATTTGGCAAGCTGTATGTCCTTGATGTGCCCTAAGCAAACTTGGGGTTCAGTCCGCCTCTCACTTACCGAACCCATAGCAGGTCAGGTTCCTGTGGTAGGAGTTAACTCAGTGTTGGCTTGCCACTAATCATTGTCTTTTGTACTTCCCAGAAAGTTGGAGATGCTGCCATTTCTTGAGCCTTCTTGATGATCAAACATTGAATTGACACTGGTTGAAATTAGGCTAATCATCAGTCCTATTACTGTAAACATTCAACCCTGTTGACAATCCCGTCCCCGAACTTGAACCAGCAACCATTTCACATGGATAACCATGATTATGTTAAGAAATACATCCAACAATATGGATGAAAAGCCAGTTTATTAATTATGCATTGTAAAAATAGTATACAATGAAGAAAATATTAGCTTATTTGTGATTACTTATTACGTGTTCATGACCTAGGGACACCTTAATATTGGAAAACAGGTTAAAGTGTCACTTGGAGATGAAAACTTGATCAAAGGAAAATATTAGCTTATTTGTGATTACTTACCATGTGTTCATGACCTAGGGACACCTTAATATTGGAAAACAGGTTAAAGTGTCACTGGGAGATGAAAACTTGATCAAAGGGAGAAGTCACTGCCCTCTTGCCCTTACCTCTCAATGCCCATTTTTACCTAAACAATAAACTAGCCTGTGAGTGACACCCAAGAATCCACTTTTTACTTGATTAGCTGTGCATTTTGGGTGGAGGGGTATCTGTTATCATTTGAAGAAAAGTGCAGTACATGGTACACTGGTTTTGCATAGAATAAAAATGTTTTGTCATACTGTAACCCTCCTACATAATTTGGGATGGATTTTCCCTAAGCAGTGGTCTCAACAGGACCCCATCGTTCTAGAGGCTAGTACATTTCTGTGGAAGGACCTGGGGCTTTCTTCTAGTAGAATCTACCTGTGTTGTGGGAGTCACTTTTTTACAGCCAAGCAGGATGGATGAATACAAAGGAGAACGCAACGCTCAGCAGTTAGCACAGAAAATAAGGTTGAAAAGGAGATGGGTCAGCTACTGCAGGTCAGAGCCCAGGTAGCGTTCCTCGGTCATTTGTCTGCCTTTCCGGAGGAGTGCTGTTGAGGATTTTTTTTTTTTTCTGAAATAAAGCCTTTATACCTGGGAGCAGTTCTTGAAATGAGAGTTAAAAATAAACAAGCCTATCAGTCTACAAGAAAAAATGATTTCACTTGGGCACCTGTCAAGGAAAAAGGTGAAAGACCATACCAAAAAAAAAAAGAAGTTGTGGGCAGGCACTATTTCTGGCACTACTCTGAGAGGGGCAGTGTTACGGTATTATTTATAAAATATCCAACACAGTCTTTTGATGATCAGCTACATGCAAGGCAGGGGCTTCTGGAAAATTCTCTCTAACTTTTCAGAGTCAGTTGCAGGTGTAGGGAATTCAAATTTTATCCCAATGAAATAGCATTAGCACATTTTCTTTTGTATTAGATCACCACACTAGAAAATTAGAAAGTCTGTTTAGAAGTTAAATTTTTTGAAAAGAGTGAAATTTTATAAGCAAAAACCACAAAAGCAGAAGACTTTTGGATCAGGAATGTGAAGGGATGAGAGGTTTTTAAAAGAAGGAAAATAGTGCATAGAACTTCTCATTGGACAGAGTGTCAGCTTAGAGTAGTCACATTTACTTAGGAAGCTTAGTCAACACTAAGGAGAACTCATAAAAGAGGGCAAATATAAAATACCATATTTCATCTAATCTAAGACGCCAGTGGATGTAAGCTACACCAATCTTTATGTTCCACTAAGAAGAAATCATAATTGTACATAATAATTATCTTTGAACACAAAGTCCATAGATACTAAATGTGAAAAACTCTGGGTCTTAGAATCATAAAATATAGTAATTTTTGCTAAGAAAAGTCCAAAGTAAAATAATTATAACACATTAAAAATACCTTGAAATTTTCTAAGTGTCAAATATAGGGAGGATCTGTTTATTGTTGATATTTTAAATAAACTTTGTTTTGTAAAGTTTGAGTATACAAAATGAAGTTAGAGGATATATAGTTAAAAGGTTACTGTAGTGAAGCTGTATCTATCATCTCACATAGTTACACATTTTTCTGTTGTTGTTCTTGTAGCAAGAGCTGCTACAATCTGTTCGATAGCCTTAATCTCAAGTACGGTACAAATTTGTCACGTGTATTCCTCATGTTGTGTTGAATCTCTAGACCTATTCATCCTACATAGTGCTACTTCGTAACCTCTGAGCTATATCCCTCCGTTTCCACTCCCACTCCCCACCCCTTGTAGCTACTATTTTGTTCTCTAGCTCTGTATATTTGAATTTGAATTTATTTTAGGTTCCACATGTAGGTGAAATCTTACAATATTTTTCTTTCTGTGTCTGGCTTAACATAATGGCCTTCGGACTCACCCAAGTTGTGGCAGTGGCAAAATCTTGTTCTTTTTTAGGTCAGGATAATACTCTATCCAATAATATACCACAGTTTCTTTATCCACTTGTCTGTTGACAGACAAGGTTGTTTCCATGTCTTGGCTATTGGGAATAATGCTGCAATGAACGTGGGAGTGCAGACATCTTTACAAGATGTTGATTTCATTTCCTTTGGGTATATGTCCAGGAGAAGTTTTGCTGGGTCATATTTTTAATTTTCTAGGAAAATTCCAATACTGTTTTCCATAATGTCTGTACCATTCTACATTCCCACCAATGGTGTACAAGGGTTTCCTTTTTCCCATACACTCACCAACACTTGTTATCTTTTGATCTTTTGCCAACAGCCATCCTAACTGGTGTCAAGTGGTGTCTTATAGTGGTTTTGATTTGCATTTCCCTGATGATTAATGATGTTGAGTACATTTTTATATACGTGTTGGTATTCTTTGGAGAAGTATCTATTCAGGTCTTTTGTGCATTTTGTAATTGGGTTATTTGTTTTTCCACTGTGGAGGAGTATGAGTTCTTTAGATATTAACCCCATGGTTTGCAAAATTTTTTTTTCAGACCATAGATTGCTGTTTCATTTTGTTGATTGCTATGCAGAGACTTTTTAGTGTGATGCAGTTCCATGTTTAAAATTTTTGCTTTTGTGGCCTGAAAATTTTGTGGTTGTTCTTGTAGTACGAGCTGCTAAAATCGACTCAATATCCTTAATCTAAAGAACAGTACAAATTTGTTACATTGAGTTATTTGTTTTTGCTTTTGTGGTGTGAGCTTTTATGATACCTAAAAAATTATTTCCAAGGCCAGTGTCCAGGAGCATTCCCCTGTGTTCTTTGTCTTCCAGGACTTTTATAGTTTCTGGTCTTGTATTTGGGTCTTTTATCCATTTTGAGTTTATTTTTGTGTATGCTGTAAGGCAAGGGTCTAATTTCATTCTTTTGCATGTAGAAATCCAGTTTTCCCACACCCTTAGTTGAAGAGTATTGTTAATATTTTTGTAGGACCCTCTACTTTATAAAAAGTGCATTTTTTTATTATCTCATTTTATCCTCATAACTCCATGGGGCCACAGCAAATATTAATATCATTCCTATTTTATAGACAAGGAGGTTGAGACCTGGACAGTGAGGTCAGTTGGAAATTTAGGATTATAATCCAAGCCTCTGACTCCAGATCTAGTTTGTTACCCCTCGCCACCCTCAAAACAGCTGATTCTCATTATTCACCATCGTTATGTTCTATAAAGTCACTGTGAGTACCACATAGAGAATATTAAAGCATTCCTCCTAGGGGAAATACAGAGCTAGGTTCCTAAGAGCCTCTGCTCACAACAGTTTCATCAGCTGATCAATATATAACTTGTTTTATGTGCATGTTTATTTAAAGAGATCTTATTTAATAATTAACGCTGGTTGAGTAACAGCACTATAACTCATGCCCGAATGAGGCGTATCTAACATGCTTGTTTTCTCTGTAAGGCACATCACAGTCTTCTTGTACTTAGGAACAGTAGACAGCACTTCAGTGCTACAACTGGGGCCATTTGAAACAGTGAGATCACCAACAAAAGTCACAAAAATACAAAAACTGTAGCACTAAATAATAGACCATGGTGAGGACACTTGTTTACAGTTACGAGAGCTGAAACAAGAATGCAAAGCATCCCGTTGTTAAGCTTCAGCTGGGAATGTATGCATGTCAGGATTTCAGTGCTCTGCATATGTCTGTGAATGACTGCAAAAGCACCACAAGTTCTGATTTGGGGGTTACAAATACATTTTGGTAAGTAAAGCAAATTTGCAAATACCGAATCCATGAATGATGAGGACCCACTGTACCAACTCCAGAGGCTACAAACTAGAGAACTAACCTTGGATTCTGCAGTTCTGATCATGTTAGTCCACTGTTGACATTTTCTAATTAAGAAGGTTTTAAAATGATCAATCATGTCAGTTTTTGGATAACAGGAATTTTGCAAGAACAAAACGCCCTTAGAGTAGATGCAGTGTAGATGAGTGCTAGTATGCTCCAGTGCCCTCACCAACCTCCAAACTTGAAAATACCCACAAGGGCCTGTGGGAGGGAAAATGCTTAGGTCGGTTTCTGATCCTGAGAAGCTCACGGATCATATGTAAAGTGGGGGCTCTGAGGTGGATGAAAAGACCTTAATACATTCTGAGTATTACAGCGAATGATAGGGAAAGAGGAATAAAGAACTGAGTTCTTTCACTGAGAATTTGGTGAACATCATCATGGCTCTTGGTTACAACTATCAGTGACACTGAGGGAGACAGAGCAACAGAAGGTAAAGAGAATGGATTCGGAGTCAAAGCCGTGTTTGAATCTCTTCTCCTGCTACTTGGTATCTGTGATTGTTTTGCCAAATCGCTTTAATCATGCCAAATCTGTTTCCCTTTCTCTAAAGTGAGGTTAATAATACTCTAGGAATGTTTTTTTTGTATGTTTGTTTGGTTGGTTTTTTTAGACGGAGTCTTGCTCTGTCGCCCAGGCTGGAGTGCAGTGGCACAATCTCGGCTCACTGCAAGCTCTGCCTCCCGGGTTCATGCCATTCTCCTGCCTCAGCCTCCCAAGTAGCTGGGGGTACAGGCGCCCCTCACCACGCCTGGCTAATTTTTTGTATTTTTTTTAGTAGAGACGGGGTTTCACTGTGTTAGCCAGGATGGTCTCGATCTCCTGACCTCATGATCTGCCTGCCTCGGCCTCCCAAAGTCCTGGGATTACAGGTGTGAGCCACTGCGCCCAGCCATAATACTGTAGGAATGTTGAAAGTACCAAATACAATAAGGCATGGTTGGGATACCTACTGATCTTCCAGTAAGCACTCAATAAGTGGAAACTTTAAGAAAAAGAGGAAATTATTCTGTGCCTAGTGCTCCAGAAATCATAAGTTGTTTTCCTTATGATAAGTGGTATTCTTACCTTACAAAGGTGTCACCATTCAATTAGTTGGCCAGGTAGGGGACCTCAGATCCATCCAGAGCTCATCTCTCCTTCCGACTCCCAATCAGCCTCCGTTCTTCTGGGTGCTACCTCTTACACACCCATCAGTGGGACCTCTGCTTTCTCTCCACTGGTGTCAACCAGGCTCATCTCATAACTGGAGCTGTTGCAAGAGTCACTAAGCTTCCCTCCCAGACTCCAGTCCCTCCCATACCAGACTCTGGTCTCTCCCCCAAACAGCCCCAGGTCACCCACTGCCAAAGAGCCTCTAAGGGCTTCAAATAGTCTATGGAGTAAATTCTAGCATCCTCAGTGTGACACACAAGGTTCTTCAATTCCTGGATCTTTTCCTGTCTGTCTTTGGAGACTGAGCCCTCAGTGCCCACCAGACACCAAGTGTTCCAACCCCATTGGACAGTTTGTGAATCCCTGAACAGTCAAACACTTCCATACTTCTGGCCTTCCTTTACTCCAGCTATTCCTTTCAACCTAAGAACATACTCCTTTTCTCTCCACTTGAGAAACTCCTATTCATCCTTTAGTACCCAGCTCAGGTGACACTGTAACAAATGCTTCCCACAGTTCGCAAGCAAGCACTTTTCATAGCACGTCATGCAGATTCTGTTATCGTTACCGTGGGAAATTGTTACTCTATATGCGTCTGTGTCTCCTGATGTCCTGATATGAAGAGAGGCCATGGAGGTCTTTGAGGACAGAGACGCAAAGTCATCTTTGTGTCCCCTCTTTCCTAGCCCACTGTTAGGCATGTTGTAACATCTGCATGTCAATTGAATTGAATTAATGGAATGAGGATATTGACATGAACAAAAATATAACAATGCATCTGTAGGCTAATACTTAAAGCTCATTGTTTATTTCTAGATATTTACAATTCAGGAGCTTATACTTTACAGAGATGATGTGAATAGGGCACGTAAAGATGATTAAACACACACATGGCCATGGTTATCAGAGGACAGTAAATAATTCAGTTGCCCTATGAAAGTGTATGTGGAGTATTTTGAGATGTTTTAAGTCCTTGAAAACAACTACATAGCAAGATAGATTAAGTAGTGCTTGAAGGGTGAAGAGAGAAACTCTCATCAAGATTTTAATGCAATGAAAATTAGGAACTAGAGACCCAAGCACCCTTAAGATGGGCAAAACCAGAATCTGAGCAGTTTCCCCCAAGGAAAACTATTTACGAAGACCATTTCAGTAGTCTTATTTACCAGCTGCTCATACAAGACAGCACAGTCAACAGAGTCAATTAAGTGGCCTCAATGAAGAATTCACTAGACTCCCAATCTTAAAATGACAGTAGCTTACAATAGGCAATATTTATTGGATGCCCATTGCTTTACATGTATTATTTTAAGTAATCCTCACAATAACTGTATACAGTAGGTCATTTTCCCAGTTTGTTTGTTTGTTTGTTTTTTGAGACGAAGTCTCGCTCTGTTGCCCAGGCTGGAGTGCAGTGGCACTATCTCGGCTCACTGTAAGCTCCACCTCCCGGGTCATGCCATTCTCCTGCCTCAGCCTCCCAAGTAGCTGGGACTACAGGCGCCCACCACCACACCCAGCTAATTTTTTGTATTTTTAGTAGAGACGGGGTTTCACCATGTTAGCCCAGGATGGTCTCGATCTCCTGACCACGTGATCTACCCGCCTCAGCATCCCAAAGTGCTGGGATTACGGGCATGAGCCACGGCGCCTCGCCCATTTTCCCAGTTGTACAGGTGAGATCATAGAGGCTGGGAGAGGTTAAGTAACCTGCCCAGGATCACATGGTTAATAAGTGTCAGAGTCAGTACACTGAAAAATAATAGTATCCAAGAGTTACTTTAGGACTAATATCCAAGGCTTTTTTGTCAGTTAATTGGTGTCTACTAGTGTTACCATAGAATGTCTTAAAGACCCTATGTGTGTGGCTTTAAATAACATCCCTGGGGGCTTTCGTTTTCTTGAGCAGGACATCCATCTAGATATCCTGCATACCCAGTGGAACATTTGTAACCCATCCCTCTCCATGTTTACTTTGCTTAGACAATATTGTCTATTGCTGCTTAGACAGTACAGCTGCCAAGGTGGCACAGTCAACAGAATCATGTAAGTGGCCTCTGTGGATAATTCATAGACAACCAATCTTAAAATGACAATAGTTTACACTAGGCAGTATTATTGGGTGCCTTTGGCTTTACATGTATTATTTACACAAAAGACCTTCCTTATTTCCTTTCTTCCTCTTAAGTATTTTACTGTTTCCAGGATTATACAAGATGCATTTTGAGATTTTGTTACATAGAGGAGAAAAAAATTATAAATATCAATATCAGGATAGGTAGTAGGTACGTTTTAGCTGCCTTTATAGCCATTCTTCCTTGTAATAGAAGTTTCATTTTTGGTTCCTCATGTATTTTCTCATTACACCTACTAGATTCATCAGACTTTGTTCTGTAGAATGGACAAATGAATGAGTAAAACATGCCCAATGGGTCTGAAGTAGTAGTTTCACCGTGAGAGTGACTTGTTTAAAATTCCTAATTTAGGCTGGGTGCGGTGGCTCACACCTGTAATCCTAGCACTTTGGGAGGCTGAGGCGGGTGGATCACTCAGGTAAGGAGTTCCAGACCCCCCTGGTCAACATGGTAAAACTCCCTCTCTACTGAAAATAGAAAAAATTAGTGGGGCATGGTGGCGGACGCCTGTAATCCCAGCTACTTGGGAGGCTGAGGCAAGAGAATCTCTTGAACCTGGGAGGCGGAGGTTGCAGTGAGCCGAGGTCACACCATTGCACTCCAGCTTTGGCAACAGCACTGAAACTCCATCTCAATAAATAAATAAATAAATAATAAAATAAAAAATTTCTAATTTGCACGAGGAGGCAGTTGGCTGTGAAGGCCTCTGGGGGCATCAGCAGCTCCTCAACGATCCCCTGACCTCTTGCTGCTGAAAGCCAAGACTCACTCTCTCTTCCCTTGGGGGCCAAGGGAGTGGTGTGGTGGCCTGGACTCCACACAGCTACACCTGCAGCACTGGCTGCTTACCCCACCCGTGAAGGCCAGTCCTCACTCGGAAACTCCACAGTCCCCCACAGAACCTTAGGTTAACAGAACCGAGGGACACGAGGACAGGAGGTTTTCCACAATTTCCTTTTCAGTGCCCATGCACCTCCGGGCAGGCAGTGTGGTGTAGCTGTGGGTCAGGATCATAAATTTCACTCCCACTTTTCTAGACGCACCTGTCTCCGTTTTCCAGATTGACTTTTTTTTTTCACAGAAAATATTTCACTTGATTCCACAGCTTCCCTGTGTAAATCTAGGCATCTATCCAGAGAGCCCCCAGTCAAGAGTGATTTTCCAAATCCTTTGCAGCAGGCCTTGGCTGGGGGTGCTTCAAGGTCCCTGCCTTGTAGGACCAGGAGTGGGAGGATGGGAGGACATTTGGTGAAGGGAGGCACTCAGAACACCTGGGGCAGTTTTGGCTATTTTTTTTTTTTTAACAATTGACCAAATATGAGCCTTGTCTTCAGTCTTACTGGTCCTTAGCCTGTGCCCAGGTATCAATGTACAGGACCCATTTGCCTTAAATAGAGCCACCTGTGGCCAGTAAATATGCATAACACTGCATTTCCTTCCATCCTGTGTGCATCCACCGGCTTGGGTCATAGCTTAGCACTGCTGCCTAAATGTTGTGCATGGAAAGAAAGAAAGAGCCAGCCTGTAAGCCCTTCCAGGACTGTCCCCTCCACACTGAAGTAATAGCAAGGAAGGGGAGACAACGGTGATGTAGACATTTTTCAAACAACTTTTAAATTAGTATAAAACTATTATACCCACTGTAAACACTTTTTACAATTGAGTTTTTAAAAGGTCTTAACTACCCTAATCCCACAATTAAAATGTAATCATTGTTAACTATTATCGTTAACACTTTGGCTTATATTCTTTCCTATCTCTTTTCTATGCATATAATTATATTTAACATGGTCAAGGTCATGGTGAACAGTTTTATATGCTGCCTTGTAAACATTTTGGGACTTAATGTAAATTTATTTTATTTTATATATTTTAAGTTCCGGGATACATGTGCAGGATGTGCAGGTTTGTTACATAGGTAAACATGTGCCGTTGTGGTTTGCTGCACCTGTCAACCCATCACCTACGCAATAAGCTCAGCCTGCATTAGCTGTTTTCCCTGATGCTCTCACCCACTGCCCCCCCTCCCCAATAGGCCCCAGTGTGTATTGTTTCCCTCCATGTGTCCACGTATTCTCGTTGTTTAGCTCACACTTATGAGTGAGAACATGCAGTGTTTGGTTTTCTGTTCCTGCATTAGTTTGCTGAGGATAATGGCTTCCAGCTTCATCCATGTCCCTGCAAAGGCCATGATCTCTCGTTTCCTTTTTGTGGCTGCATAGTATTCTATGGTGTTTGTGCACCACATTTTCTTTATCCAGTCTATCACTGATGAGCATTTGGGTTGATTCCATGTCTTTGCTATTGTGAATAGTGCTGCAGTGAACATACACGTGCATGTATCTTTGTAATAGAATGATTTATATTCCTTTGGGTATATACCCAGTAATGGGATTGCTGGGTCAAATGGTATTTCTCGTTCTAGGTCTTTGAGGAGTTGCCAGATTGTCTTCCATAATGGTTGAACTAATTTGCTTTCCCACCAACAGTGTAAAAACGTTTCTGTTTCTCCACAGCCTCGCCAGCATCTGTTGTTTCTTGACTTTTTAATAATTGTCATTCTGATTATCATGAGATGGTATCTCATTGTGGTATTTTTTTTTTTTTTTTTTTTTGAGACGGACTCTTGCTCTGTCGCCCAGACTGGAGTGCAATGGCGTGATCTCGGCTCACTGCAAGCTCCGCCTCCCAGGTTGATGCCATTTTCTTGCCTCAGCCTCCCGAGTAGCTGGGACCATAGGTGTCCGCCACCACGCCTGGCTAATTTTTTGTATTTTTAGTAGAGATGGGGTTTCACCGTGTTAGCTGGGATGGTCTCGATCTCCTGACCTTGTGATCCGCCCGCCTCGGCCTCCCAAAGTGCTGGGATTACAGGCGTGAACCACTGCGCCCAGCCTCATTGTGGTTTTGATTTGCATTTCTCTAATGATCAGTGTTGTTGAACTTTTTTTCATATGTTTGTTGGCCACATAAATGTCTTCTTTTGAGAAGTGTCTGTTCATGTCCTTTGCCCACTTTTTAATGGGGTTGTTTGTTTTTCTCTTATGAATTTGTTTAAGTTCCTTGTAGATTCTGGATGTTAGACCTTTGTCAGATGGATAGATTGCAGAAATTTTCTCCCATTCTGTAGATTGTTTGTTGACTCTGATAATAGTTTCTTTTGCTGTGCAGAAGCTTTTACTTGGATCCTATCTGTCAATTTTTGCTTTTGTGGCAATTGCTTTTGACATTTTCATCATGAAATCTTTGCTTGTGCCTATGTCCTGAATGGTATTGCCTAGATTTTCTTGTAGGATTTTCATAGTTTTGGGTTTTACATTTAAGTCTTTCATCCATTCTGAGTTAATTTAAGTCTTTAATCCACCTTGAGTTACTTTTTGTATAAGGTATAAGGAAGGGGTATAGTTTCAGTTTTCTGCATATGGCTAGCCAGTTCTCCCAGGATTCCCTATTCTTTCCCCATTGCTTGTTCTTGTCAGGTTTTTTGAAGATCAGATGGTTGTAGATGTGCAGTCTTATTTGAGTTCTCTGTTCTGTTCCATTGGTCTGTGTGTCTGTTTTTGTACCAGTAGCATGCTGTTTTGCCTACTGTAGCCTCCAGTTGTGTTCTTTTTGCTTAGATTGTCATGGCTATATGGGCTCTTTTTTTTGTTCCATAAGAATTTGAAAGTAGTTTTTTCTAATTCTGTGAAGAATGTCAATGGTAGGTTAATGGGAATAGTATTGAATCTGTAAATCACTTTGGGCAGTATGGCCATTTTCATGATATTGATTCTTCCTATCCATGAGCATGGAATAGTTTTTCCATTTGTTTGTGTCCTCTCTGATTTTCTTAAGCAGTGGTTTGTAGTTCTCCTTGAAGAGGTCCTTCACTTCCCTTGTTAGTTGTTTTCCTCGGTATTTTATTCTCTTTGTGGCAGTTGTGAATGGGAGTTCACTCATGATTTGGCTGTCTGTTATTGGTGTATAGGAATGCTTGTTTGATTTTTGCACATTGATTTTGTGTCCTGAGACTTTGCTGAAGTTTCTTATCAGCTTAAGAAGCTTTTGGGCTGAGACAGTGGGATTTTCTAGATACAGGATCATGTTATCTGCAAACAGAGACAGTTTGGCTTCCTCTCTTCCTATTTGAATAAGCTTTCTTTTTCTTTTTTTTTGGGAGATGGAGTCTCATTCAGTCGCCCAAGCTGGAGTGCGGTGGCACAGTCTCGGCTCACTGCAAGCTCCGCCTCCCGAGTTCACGCCGTTTTCCTGTCTCAGCCTCCCGAGTAGCTGGGACTACAGGCGCCCACCACCACGCCCGGCTGTTTGTTTGTTTGTTTGTTTGTATTTTTAGTAGAGACGGGGTTTCATCCCAAAGTGCTGGGATTACGGGCATGAGCCACCGCACCCGGCCTTGAATACCCATTATTTCTTTCTCTTGCTTAATGGCACTGGCCAGAACTTTCTTTTTTTTCTTTTCTGTTTTTTTGAGACGGAGTCTTGCTCTGTCGCCTAGGCTGGAGTGCAGTGGTGCGATCTTGGCTCACTGCAAGCTCCGCCTCCCGGGTTCATGCCATTCTTCTGCCTCAGCCTCCTGAGTAGCTGGGATTACAGGCGCCCACCACCACACCCGGCTAATTTTTTGTGTTTTTTAATAGAAACGGGGTTTCACCGTGTTAGCCAGGATGGTCTTGATCTCCTGACCTCGTGATCGGCCTGCCTTGGGCTCCCAGAGTGCTGGGATAACAGGCGTGAGCCACTGTGCCTGGCCCAGAACTTTCAATACTGTGTTGAATAGGAGTGGTGAGAGAGGACATCCTTGTTTCGTGCCAGTTTTCAAGGGGAACGCTTCCAGCTTTTGCACATTCAGTATGATATTGGCTGTGGATTTGTCGTGAATGACTCTTATTATAAAAATTTTTTCATATGCGTCTTTTTGTTTGTTTGTTTTAGAGAGCGAGTGTTGCTTTGTTGCCCAGGCTTGAGTGCAGTGGCACAGTCATGGCTTGTTGCAGCCCTGAAATGCTGGACTCAAGTGATCCTCCCAGCTTATTCTGGGTAGCTGGGATTACAGGCACAGGTCACCACACCCAGCTAATGGTTTGATTTTTTTGTAAAGATATGTTCTTGCTGTGTTTCCGAGGCTAGTCTCAATCTCCTGGGCTCAAGCGATCCTCCCACCTTTGCCTCTCAAATTTTGGGATTAGAGGCATGAGCCACCATGCCTGGCAACATCTTAATGACTCTAAAATATGGGTGAGGGATCAGAAAAAAGTTCATTCAAATCCTGGTCAGTGAGTCTTTACAATTTCTCTAAAACTTCCAAGCAAAATCCAAGGTAGTACCTTGCACATGTCACTTGACAAAGCAGTGACATATGTACCCTTGCATTTTATTCTAACCATAAACTGTGAAGAACAGAATGCTGCTTTGGAGCCTCATACTCAGCACTGTGTAGAAGGGATTCATACGTAGAAAGTAAATGAAGTCCCCAAGGTCACACAATCAGTGAAAAACCCGGAACTAAAATGCAGACCTGTTTCCTGTCTCCATTTGTTTCTCAAGACTTAGGGTTTTTTCCAGCAATTAATGCTCAGTGTCAGGAGACACATTCTTCCTCACTGTGGCATCAGTAAAAAGGGTTGGACTTTTAAGAAGCTGGTGAAATTAGGGCCATTTGACAGGTTTATTGAACTTTGGTTTAATAACAGGCCTACTTCTGATACACGTGACTTATTTTGGTTGACCTCTTATTGTTCAGCAAGTGCTTCGTCAATTTGGAGAATATATCCATATAACTGTTCACAAGTGGCCACAGCCCAGGTCTGTAAGAATGATGACTATTTAAGAAAATACTTCTTTGGCAAGAAGAAAAATTTTCTAACCTACTCCTACTTCCTGTTATTCAAATTCTTCAAAAGGATGTTGAAGTAGTTTTTGATTTATTATGTTACATTGTGATGTCACCTAAAAAATCCAAAGCTATTATATTAGCATTGCATAAAATGATAATTCCTGTTTGCTATCTTAAAAAAAATGGGTGAGAAACACGAAATTTAGAAAGCTTGGTGGTGATACTTTAAAATTAGGGCTTAGGTTAAATATTTATTATTTTCTTGAACGTGACAAGAACATCTTAAGAAAACACACAGCTAAGAAATACAGTGGAAACAATTCATATAAATTAGGTTATTAACTAAGCTACCAAGACCTTTATCTTTTGTTCTTTTTGTTTTGTTTTGTTTTGTTTTGTTTTTCCTTTTTCTGGAGAACAGGGTCTCGCTATATTGCCCAGGCAGGTCTCCAACTCCTGGGCTTAAGCTATTCTCCCGCCTTTTGCCTCCCTGAGCTGGGATTACAGGTGTAAGCCACCACGCCCGGCCTAAGCTACCAAGACCTTTAAAGGCAATTAGTTACTACTCCTGAAAGGACTGTAATGTAAATCTTCAGATGTAGGCATTATTTATGTAGTGGTACAAAAAAATGTCATGCTCTATGTTAGGTTGGTATCTATTCACTTTTATTGTGATTATTCAATGAGTCTATAAGACTAAGCCTCAAAAAATAGTTTAATAGTAAAATGTATAACCAAAGGGATCAAATCAATTGAGCTTCTTTTTGGGACACTTAGGGAAGAACTGTGTGGCCAAGTGTGTATGCATTGAGAAGCAAGTCTAATTGTATGGAATTCTGCTTACTGAAGAACTAGGAATGAATCCATCATTAGAAACACTTATATTATTGATTAATAATTAGCAAAACCTTACTTTTCAGTACCTTAATTTTTAAAAGCATCATTGGGTGCTACTGCTGCAACCTGAGTCAAATAAGTCAAGACATGTCTCTTCTGTGAGTTCTTTGTGATCATGATTGTTGACCCAAATTCATCTTGGAGTAAGTTTGACTTGAAAGTTCTCAGTGAATTGTGCTGAGCCTAAAAATTCTTTCCAAACTATAGCATCTGTTCTGTATTTACAAACTGAAATAACTACGGATGTCAAATGAAAGAAGATTCTATTTCCTTTAGAAAATATTTTTTTTTTTGGAAGTTTGCATCAAAAATCTTTTTAGAGGCTGGGTGCGGTGGCTTGCGCCTGTGAACCCAGCACTTTGGGAGGCCAAAGCAGGAGGATCACTTGAGGCCAGGAGCTCAAGACCATCCTGGGCAACATAGCAAGACCCTATCTCTGCAAAAAAATTAACATAATTAGCTGGGTGCAGTGGTGCGCACCTGTAGTCCCAGCTACTGGGGAGGCTGAAGTGGGAGAATCACTTGAGCCTGGGAGTTCAAGGTTGCAGTGAGCTGAGATCACCACACTGCACTCCAGTATGGGTGCCAGTAAGACCTCTGTTTAAAAAAAAAAAAACTTTAAAAAATTTATTTATTTTCATGTTACGGGATAGCCAATGTGTAATTGTTGCCATTTCTTCCACCCAGTGCCCTGCCAGACCGTTTTAGATTACTTGAAGATGGTTCTGCAGCACCACAACCAACTCCTGATACCACAGCCAGCTGACCAGCCGACAGAGGTAGGTCTCTGGTAAAAAGGTGAATGTTCCATTTGGAATTCTCTTAAGTATCTTGATTAACTTATCAGTGTATACCAGAACAGACTGGCTAGCAAAATAGTTTTTGACTGAGGTTTATGGGTCTGTTGCCTGTAAGTATGTAATTTGTGGAGAAAGATCACGCATGTATTTAACTACAGAGATTCAGCTGCATGTACTAAGTGGGGAAAGACAGAGCTAATGACAATTTAAATAGCATGGGCAATTTTTCCACCATTCTGTTTGCACAGAGATGCCTGGAATGAGAGACACCAACTTGTCATTCCCTCAGACAGAGCCTGTGTTCCACATGCCCCTCACTCTGGGCACCTCACACACTGGGCATGATTCTTCAGTGTGCAGATAGGCATTTTCCAGAAGTCAGGGCCCCTGCACATGGGTTATTTTTTTCACCTGGACTTAAATGGAAGAAACCACAGTCTCTCCCAATCTGTAGAAGAAATGGTGTGTTTTAATAGTAATAAAGATGGTACATACTTATAAGATGTTCAAGACTCAGTTTTGAATATATGACTTTCATACGAGACTTGAGAACCATGGACAATCCCCATGAGAATCCCCTGGGGAAGCTCTCAGGTTTCCCCCAGCCTAAAAAGAAGCCTTCCTTGGATTCTCCTTCTCTTCTGCTGTCATTGCTCTCCTTTCTACTTCCATCTCCTTCCAGGCTCCCAAAGTATCCTGGGTCAGCACCTTCATTCTACACTACAGCACATCTTGCTTCTTGAAAGTTGGGCCCGGGTCTCATCTCTAGTGTCATAGAAGACACTCAATTCATGATTGCTGAATGGTGACCTCATTTTTTTCTAATGATTAAACATTTGAAAAGCTGGTCTATATTCGTTATCTTCTGTCTTTTAATTTCCATTTGCTCTTCCACCCTGTAATCTGGCTTCACTTCCACCGCTACCAGAGTTTTCTGCAAGAGGCCCCTGGTGACTCTCCAGTTGTCTGGTCCAGTGACCCTTTTTCCACTCTGGTCACCCCAGGCCCTCACCTCTCCTCCTCCGTGCTCTCTCTTGTCCTTAGCCTTAGTGTCAGTACTTTCTCCTGGTTCCTTGCCCCTCTTCCTATGACGCCTTCATGAGTTTTTCCATCTACTGTTCTCCAGAGTTCATGCTTTGTCTTTTTCTCTCACTCTCTACTGCCTTTTCTCATCAGTTATGTTTCCTATTTATTTGTTCACTTATTTTTGAGACAGGGTCTCGCTTTCTTGCCCAAGCTTGAGTATAGTGGCATGATCATGGCTCACTGCATCTTCGACCTCCCAGGCGCAGGTGATCCTCCCACCTCAGCCCCGCAAATAGCCGAGACTACAGGTGTGCACCACCACGCCCAGCTAACTTTTAGTTTTTATAGAGATGGGGTGTCACTATGTTGCCCAGGCTGGTCTTGAACTCCTGAGCTCAAGTGATTGTCCTGCCTCAGCCTCCCAAAGTGTTGGGATTACAGGCATGAGCCTGTGCCCAGTTATGTTTCTTATAACATTGACTACATGTGTGTTAACAAGTCCCACATGCATACCTAGAGCATCAGTCCCTGTGGCTTCACTGTAGACCACCGTGCCAAATACCTGGCCCACAGTGGTTTGCCCATACATCGCTTGATCTCACCACACCTATTCTGAATACCCATCTGCAGTTCCTCCTGTTTTCAGTAAAGGCCCCACCAACCCCAGGTAGAAGTTTCTGACATATCACTGACCCCCTTACTTCCTACGTCTAAGAATTCTACAGCCATGTTGAACTGCCTCTCTTTTCCTAGGTTGACTCTCTCACCTGACTATTGCAGCAGCTTCTTTCTTCTCTGTTCTCCACCCTGGAAAGTTGTTTTTTTTTTTTTTTTTTTTTTTCTGAATTACAGATCCAAAGTAAATATATGCTTAAAATCCTTTGCTCCCTAGAATTAAATCCATATTTCCTAACTTGACAATACTGTCATATAAAAAGCACCGCTGAAAAGCCCACTTCTTCCAGGAAGCTCTCCCTGACTGCCACACCCCTGCTTTGTGCCTGTGTGGCACAAAGCAGTCTAATTCAGAACTAGTTTCCTTGCTTAATAGTAAATGTACACCTGTGTCTTCCATTTGATGATGACTCTTAAGTAACCCATTAATTAAGGGTGATTTGTTCTGTTTTTTTTTCAGTGACTCAACAATAGGTCAATGTTTAATAACCTGTGGGTGGCTAATTGAAAATATACAACCAGAATTCTACAAAAATGAAAAGATAGGGGAAATATCTACATAAGACTACTTAAACTTTATGACTCATCATCATTATGACTCTTTATATTGTCATTTCAGGCACATGAGCATTTTCTCGTTTTTATTATTTATCATATTTTACTTATTAACTATGCTAAAACAGGTTTATAGATCTCATCCATAACCCAGAGAGCATTCTGAATTGTGCTTTGGGCTATAAATTGCTTTCTTTTTCTTTCCCTTTTTCTTGATGAAAATTACCTCCAAATGGTATTCCTACATTTTATGAGACCAACATTTTATGTAGAGCTGCTGCATTCAGTGGATTTTTTCAAAGGTTTTGAGAAAGCTCTTTTCCTGGATTGTCAGCTGCCAGATCACTAGTCCATCCCATCTTGAAATAGACCATTTTCAGGGGCACAGCAAAGCATCGCTTACAGGGTGAACTCTGAACTTGAGGATGGCATCCGCAGCCCCGTCCCTTTGAGTTGTGAGGCCTTGGAAATGGATTTGACCTCCTTGGTAAGATAAAGCTGTAATCCTGGCTTACCAGGTAAGCTCACTCTCCTGAGCAAAACAGCTTTTAAAAATTATATGGTGTTAAATAAACAGCTTAAAAAGCAGCTAGACAGTCTTTTTTAAGGCTGACGAATATTTACAGGGACCATAACTAAGAGGATGGTGCACGTCTCATTTTTTAAATTAAGGATGGTAGAAGTCTCCTTTTTAGTGGCTCCTCATCTATGTTGCTCTCCTTAAAGTTCTTTAACTTTGCGAATTTATATTCAGTGGTTAAAAAAAGTAAGAATTCTTCATTGTAGCCACCATTACTGGGTGTCTGCTGTGTGCCAGCCACAGAGGCCCGTGCTCTACTGCGTCAGCCATTCAGCAAATGTTTATTGCACCTGCATTGTGTGAGGAGCTGTACTCCACCCTGAGAGTCTGGCATTGAATAAACAGGTAACAGTCCCAGCCCTCATAAGCTTTTTTTCTGGTGGGAGACGGCTGGTCTCCTCACCACAAACCACCAAGCTGGGATTATCATCTGTATTTTAACACAAAGGAGCAAAGTTTAGAAAAGTCACCTGCCCAAGGCTGAACCCAGAGCCCAGCTGAGGAATAGACCTAGTACCTCCACCTGTGAGGAGAAAGGAGGGAAGTGTGCAAAGTGCTTGGGGCAGGTGCTTCGGGCTGGTCATCAGTTGCTCAATAAATGGTGACAGTTACTAAGCTTAAGCTTCCTCCGCAAAAGTACTGGTGACACAGTGAGTGGTTTTGAGTTAGCCAGCCCCCCGATTTCACCCCCGCTCCCGGCCCACCCAGCCTCCCTGAGGGCTGGGGGTCAACCATTCAGAGCCCTTAGGAGCCTGTTCCTCTCAGTGCTTGGGAAGCAATGGATTTATTTTCCCTCCTGCTGCTTTCCTCCCAGCCGTAGCCTCTGTTCCTCATTTTTGTGAAAGACACCGCTGTTTGACCTGGGGATCATCTTGCTTCCTCAGTCTCCCGTACATACCCTGGCCCATGGAATTGGTTGCCTAGCCCTCTCAGTTCGACAGCTTTCACTCCCACCTCTCTCTGTCCTGCACAGACTTGATTCAGACCTCCGTCTCTCATCTCCTGCCATGAAACTGCAACCGGGGCTGAAGGACTTTTTGGGAGCTCTGGGCCCCTGCCCATCTTTTGATTGTCTCTTATACACAGGGTCCACCACTGTACCCAGCCAAGGCTTGGCTCATGCTCCCAAATAGTCATATCTTGTACTCATGATAATTCAGTTCCTTTCAGTTGTACAGATGAGGAAACTTTGGTCCAACAACTTGAAGTAACTAGCTCGTTAGTCTAATAAGACACAGAACCAAGATTCAATTAAAACCCAGCCTGACTAAATTCAGAGCACAAACTAGGTGCCTCAGTTGCCTTCCTTAGGAAAGGAAACCACATCACGCCGTTGCTTGTTGAGGAGAGTATGAATGCTGCCGTGATGAGTCTCCACGCGCAGAACTCCGTGCCGGTTTCCTAGCCGCATCGGGCTGCCTCCCTCTTGTTGGTTCCTATGCCATTTCCCCTTCTCAGTGTTTAACTCAACAGAGCACTTTTTGAAATAAAACCCTATCAGATCCAAATGGTGCCAAATTTATAACCTGTAGTAAATTTGCCGAGTTGTAAAATGAATGAGTTTTCCCTTTGTTTTGTACACCTTAATTACTGGGGAAGGAGTATATTAAAACTAAGATCATGGGTTAATTAATTTGTCCTGGACTGTAGAATTTTATGGACAACCAGAACTAAAGTAATGGTTGTGTAGGTGCAATTGATTAAACATGGCTTATAAATGTTACGGAAATTCCCGTAATTAGTCCCACTGCAGCTATTTAGCCCGGGAATTTTATAGCAGACGTAAATTATGAAGGTGAAAAGTAAGAAAAATTTTGAGTTGACATAGTGGCATTTGCAGAAGCTATAATTTGAGGAAACCTGTTTTGCATGATTATTAGTGATTTTTTTTTTCAGTTTCCACAATTCTCCCTTCTTAAAATTTGCTTTTTAATGTTTCTGTTGTAATGCAGTGACTACCAGGTGTTGGGTGCGTTAAACACAAGTAAAACCTTATTAAAATAGATCACCAGCATCATTTCTAAAAGTACTTAAAAGTAACCAAAGAATTGAAGAGACCTGTTTGATCACACTCTTCAAAGTTTTGCATATTTTAATAGATTGAAAAGGAAAGTTACAGGTTAGATTTAAATAGTGTTCCCTGTCATTGGATCTTGACACATTTTAACCTACCTGTTAAAATGTAAGTTATAAATAGCTCCCCTTTCAAAGGTGTTCATTATACCTCATTGGCTCTTGTTATAGAAAATGCAAATGTAATTTGAAAAGTGCCCCTTCTAAGTCTGAGCAATTATTTGCGCACTTCAATACCTGGTTCATTGTCAGCATAGCCACTTGGTTAAAAAAAGCATGTTTGCCTTTGAAATGGAGATCACTTCTGCTTCTGGCTGGCTGGCTCGGTGGGTAATGAGAAAATATTTCGCTTTTCCAGGGAAGCAAGCAGCTGTTGAACAACTATCCTGTCTACATAACGAGCAAACAGTGGGATGAGGCTGTAAATTCTTCAAAGAAAGATGGGAGACGGCTCCTTCGATACCTCATCAGATTTGTTTTCACAACCGATGAGCTTAAGTACTCATGCGGCCTTGGGAAAAGGAAAAGGTCAGTGCAGTCAGGAGAGACAGGTCCCGAAAGACGCCCTCTGGATCCAGTTAAAGTAACATGCCTCCGAGGTACTGCATCCTTCCGCTCAGTGTCACCATCTGTGATCTCATTTCACCGCATTGGCTGTGGCTCTCCCCGTACAAGTGTTCAGCCTTCTGTATTTTGATTTCTTTCTGCTGAGAACGTCTAGGCTTCATGTGGCCCATCTACTCAGTCTTGAGAAGCTCTTTTAAAAACCTCCGTTTGCCTTAGCGTTGTTGTTCTCTCTTAGTGGTACATAAGCATCGCATAGCACCTCATGTTTCACGCTTCAAATTCAGATTTTCTTTGCTGCCAGAGAAGGCCACCTCCAGCAAAACTGGAGCATAGGGGAACACACAGAAGAAGGGAAGGTGTGGAAAATTTTTTTAATGGGTACAATGTTACCTCATTTCCAGTTCTAGTTTGTGTCCCCTTCTAATACCTTCTCAAGAATACTTGGCCCAACTCCTTAAATTTGTTTAGGATTAATTCTCCTTAATGCTAAAATACACCTTGCCCAGTAGAACATTTCTCTTTTGGTTAAAAAAAAAAAGTTTCTATTAAGTGTACTGCAGAGATAATACGACTTCAGCAGTATTAATAGCTGATTACTTTGCAGTTGATCTGCACTATTGTAGGCCAGGCAGAGGGGTGGGAAGGAGGAATCAGGAGGTATCCAGTTGATTCAGCAAGTGCAAATACAGACCTAGACAAATAGAAGTGTTATAGTGCCAACAAAACATTGTTCACACCTGAAAAATCCATATCAAAAAGCTCAATATTAACCTATACAGTTCAGTGGCAGTTTTATTGGCTGGAAAGACTTAATATTGATTTACTGAAATAGGGATAAAAATTTTTCCTGGTGAGGAAATCACAGTAAAAAAAAAAGCCGGATTATCACTGCTAAGGCCCTAGTTATTGGAAAGAATACTCTACTTCTGCACTCCCTCCTGAGATGCTCACAGTGATTCTGGACATTATGTGCCTAGGATGCATATGTAGTTTTTGTTAGCAGCTGAGATTCCCTAGGCCTACCCCCAGACATTCTGATTCAGAAGGGATGGGGCAGGCATGCGTGGTTCCTAGATCAAGACAACCTTAGGGGCGTATGCACACATGGCCCACGATTCAGGAAGCCACCTGAGACGAAAATGCCTGTATTTACTAGGCACAAGTGCTCCAGCACACCTCCTATTAGTTGGTCTGAATATTCCACTTACTCAGAGTGACTAAGTGGCAGAAATTTCCAGGGTCTGTCCTGCCAAACTAGCCATAGTTTTCTGTATTCCCTGACATCATCAGAGATGATGGAGTTACTCTCCAAGGGGCAGTGTTGAGCTTGGGGGCTTGACTGAGTGCCCTGTCTGTGTGTACTCAAGGGAGTTGCCTTTGGGCTTATAAAGGAGCCAAATAAGGGGTCTCATCGCTGTATCATTTTCCAGAAATTCTTACTCAACATTTTACATTTCTATAGCAAGTCAGTAGAACTGATGGATTAAAATACATCCCAGAGAACTAGTGCTGCTGCTCTGGAAACACTGCAGGAGCCACTGTCACACTGATGCCTGATGCAGTCCAGGCTGCCTAACCAGAGACTGCTGTCTCTAGCTCATTTTTCACTTAGGGCCACAATGCGTGGACCTCCATCCCGCTTTTGGTTGGGAAATACGTAGGCAAGATATGGTGATTATCTGTGTTGGAGGCAGCTGCGACAGTTCACTCTTCTGGGCATGTTAATTGCTTTTTGGTAAAATTAAATATTTAGAGGAGATAACACGTAAAAAATATTTGTCAGCCCATGTATAGAAATGACATTTTCAGAAATAAGTATAGCTAATCACACAACATTCTAAGAACATGGGTACCTTTTCTGAACTAACACTTAGGCACCTCCTCAGTCATTAAGACTGTTATTTTATTGTACTCTATCTTCAAATTAGTAGCTGGTTAAAGAATACCATGCTAATGGTATTTGCTGTGCTTCTGGAGATAGTAACATTCTCAAAATGTGAGCAGGTAACAACTTGGGTTTTGAAATCTGTCTCCTTGACTTACACCAGACATGGTGCATCCCATGCCTTACAAATCAAATTTACCTTTTATTTCAACAGCAAATGTTCCTTAGAGGGATTACCCTCTATATCTGTGTAATTTTTTTTTTTTACTTTTGCACATGAGAAGAAAATTTGTATGGAATAAATTGGGTCTAATGAGTGACATCATCATGGCATTGCGTTGGATTTCCCATAAAGCTTTTCTTATAGAGCTTCTGTTAAAGTTTAAGCAGCCTGCCCTGTCATCTTCTGCAAAAACCAGCTGTTTTTTTCTCTCTCTCTTTTTGATGTTGTATATATTCCTGCAGAATTCATTAGGATGCATTGTACCTCCAACCCCGATTGGTGGATGCCCTCGGAAGAGCAGATAAACAAAGTGTTCAGCGACGCTGTCGGTCACGCCCGACAGGGGCGGGCGGTGGGGACTTTCCTGCACAACGGTGGCTCATTTTATGAAGGGATCGATCACCAGGCTTCTCAGGATGAAGTCTTCAATAAAAGTTCCCAGGATGGATCTGGGGATTAGTGGACAGAATCTTCCTGTTGTAGCAGCTGGTCCTCTCAAGAGTTCCAATTGTGAATGTCCTGTTCCTGTCACCTGAGAGTCCAAAGCCTGTCATTCTGCCATAGTCTACACATTCTCAGCTGCCACAGTACCCAAATAGAAATCCATTTTAGGGTTGTTTGGGAAGTCTGTGGCACCTACAACAGACTTTTGGAATATTATATTATAAAAAGAAAAAACTACATCTGATTTTTAAATGATTACTAGCTAGATCATGAGGGTGAAAAAATAGGTGAGCTCCTAGTTACCTTTCTGAAATCTTCAAACTCTGCTACCTGGGCAGAGATAGTCCCCAAGGTAGGCTGGGGTAGTGTTTCTGCCCATGGGAGAAGGTGGAGACATGGAGTTGTGTTAAGGGACAAGAAGCAAACATTCTCTTAATTCAAATAAGTTGTCTTTATGTTTTCCAAAGACTTGACTTCATATTTCTCGGCAAAGACATAGGATAGATGACATCATATACCATTTTGACATTAATAATGTCTATTACTAAAAGGAAACCAGAGAACAGAGGCAACATCTGCAGACAGTGATTAATTACAGGTCAACTGTTTTTCTGTTGTTTAAAAACCACTGTGTTGATCAAGAAGGCACTATTTGATCTCTGGAGTTTACAAACAGTAGTCATTTTTCATTGTTAGTCAAGAAACATCCAAAGATCCAAAACCATTTTCAAATGCTCAGTTTTGTAGGTTAATAAATCCGCAGTTTCCATAGCCTTAAATCAGGCTTTGTTGACACAATGCCAAAGTGATGGGTAGAACAATGAAAATTTAAAGCAATTAGTTGTTTGGTGCACTGAAGACCAAACAAGTGGTGTGACTGATGGTATTCGCTGAATTGACTAGATGTTCTGGCATTGTATACACACAGCTTCAAGGCGATTCTGACAACTATGCAATGGGCTTGTCAGTAATTGCTCTGAAATTTGAGGGTCTTTCTCTGCTGAGCTGATCTTTAGAATTTGTATGAAACTTGTTTCCCATTGTCCTTGATGAAAACATTTCATCCCCTCCGTGCCTCCTTTACCCCAATGTACCCCTTAGCTATGGCTAAGTCAGCACTGTGCCGCTATCCCCTGGTTAATTTGTTGAGTTCCATATGTGAAATTAGTGGTATCTTTGGAAACTTTCCATATTGGCAAATGCTATAGAGGTGCTAGAGTCATCATTTCTGAGGGCTTCCTGTTTGGACTCAGGAGAGGCTTTCTTTACCAAACTAGTCCAGATTACTACATTCTTTGTAGAGCAAAGGGCTAAATGGACAGCGTTTATTGAAGGCTACTAATGTCATCTACAGACATGACCAAGGGTTTTTGAAAATTGGTTGGAGATTCAGGTTAATGAGCATCCATTGATAAAGGGTTTTTGGGCTATTTTTGTCAACATAAACTCATAAATTGTCCTTTAGATTTAATATTTAGTTTGTATTCACTATATACAAAGTCCTAGAAACAGGTCTTTCTGTAGCTTTTGTTTATTAGCTTTTTTGTATTACTAGAATTCATCCATTGAAAAGTTTAATGTTTATGGAGGTGGTCATCTGTCAGATCTGCTCAATGATGTAGTGGGCACTAATATTTCAATCCTGTTTTGAGAAAATTAACTAAAATTTGTCATATCATTCAATGGAATAGGGAGAACCAATATTCAATTCTATTTGGGGCAAATTAGCTAAAATTTGGAAGTAAAAGAAATGATATGGGCAAATGCCATGTTCTTACGGCAGCCATGAGACCAGTCTCTTTGGCTCTCCAAGGAAGAAAGATACCTCTTAAAGCATTTTTTAGAGGTCCGAGAAGTCAGTGTCTGTCTTATAAGATTCTTTGACAACATGACATCTTCGCTAGAAGAAAAACACCACCATAGCCTCATCTGTTTTTCCATCTTACCTTAATTTTTCATTGGCCTTAAGTTGTCCTTACTGCTGAATACATCGTTCTGTTTTTCTAAAGCAACAATATTTGATCACTGCTTTTAAGAAAAACAGACTAGCCCTTCTTGTTTTTCTGGAAGTTTGAGAGTCCTGAATATTTCTTCATATCCAAATATCATCTTGGAGCCCTATCGTGCTGGTCTTCGCTGAGGCTGATGAGAGCACTTTCTGCACCCCTGCTCCATGGCCGTACATGACAACGCACCTGCACCACTGCTGCAAGGGCGGGGGGCAGCAGCCTGTGTTTTGGCTGTCACTGTTACCTCCTGAGAAGGCTGCTGTCCCAGGTTTGCACACCACTTTTGTTCCAAAGTTACACATGGTCTCTTCCTCCCTCGCACCCATTCCAGGTTAATCATTTCTCTATCAGCTGTTTCTCCATCCACAGATTCTGAATGTTGAGACTAATTGTTGGGCATCTCTTTTGCACAAGGCTGACAGACTCCATACTCAGCATCGCACAGCCAGTTCTAACTCCTCTGCTGGGTCTCGGACCTACAGCTTTTGCCTGAGTGAAATGTTCCTACGACTTTTGCTCCTGAGTGAGATATTCCATTGTACTTCTACTGTTTGTGTATCTGCTGGGTTCCTTTAGCCAAGCCTAGCGTCTGACGCAGGCACTAGCCGCCACTGAGGCCGTGATACAGCATCACTGTGGACACTGCTGGCTCCTCTCCTTGGGACATATCCACACTGCCCCTTGAGCTTCACCTTTAAGGCTGGTATGTACGTAAGTTCACGGTGGTCGTCTGCATGGTCTCCTCTTGTTTAAATCAGGACCAACAAAGGATGTTCATTTGTATTTTGGCAAGGCCCATTGGGCCTCTGTGTAGCCAGGTTAAAAGCTCACTCACTAGGATCGGATGCTGTCATTGCTCTGTGAGCCTTTCAGTTGAAATCCTTGGAGACTTGAAGGTGTTGCTTATTATTTTGATTTGATTTTCTGCATCTTTATCTGGCAAATGGACAGATTGCTCTCACAAGAAACTTAGTCATGTCAGCTTTTAGAGTCCTTCTTGAGTCATGTTAGCATTGGTAGTGTAAAATAGATTGAGTTAAAACAGCTCAGGATGCAGCTGTGCCCCCACTTAATTGGTGAGAGGAGGAGGTCACGGGGCTGGCTTGACAACAAAGACTAAATGTGGCTTTTTTGTCGGTGACTAGGTGTGGTCCATAAGCAGAAGAGCCATACCTACAAAAAGTGACAACTGTCCTGTGTTTTCCAAATTAAAATCTTGTTACAAAGATCATGCCGGCTTTTCGCAGTGAGTTGAAGCCCCAAGCTCAGTTCCAGCCAGGCTCAGGATGACCCTCAAATGATATGTATTGGATAGTGTAGGTCAGGAGCCTGTGGAGGGGACCAGTATTTTGCAAGCAGTTACTAAAGTCACATTTCTCACTGACTCTTGACGGTGCATTGTTCAAAATCTCATGGCTTAACCTTAGTGTTAAATGCTTTCAAGAAAAACTGTAACCATTTCAATTTTACAAGTACTTTCTCATTTTACTTGAACATTTTACAAGTACTTTCTGTATTTACTTGTAAATATTTCCTCTAGCCCTTGAACCCGCGCATCACTTTTTTGGTTTTCCTCATTCCACCACAGCATTTAGGTGACCGTTACCATTTATGTTTCATTAAGCTTCACTAGGAATGTAAGGATAATATTAGAGCATTTGCAGAAAATTGTTATCTCCTTTTGTAGGGGATTCGAGACATATTTGTAGCTACTTCACGGCTGTAGAGTTAGTGGGTGATCGGGTATTCTGCATTGTTCCTTATCCCTTTGTCAGTGACAGACACATTGACATAAGAGATTCCTACAGGATTATAAGGAGAGATAAATTATTAACCATTTTTTTACTTGATCCAACTACTCCATGTCCCATCAACTAGTGGTAACTGATGTTGATAGGATTTTTTTTAAGTCCAGTAACTATTCTTGCAGTATCAGATGTTTACCCCAAATTAGGCAATAACCCAGACTTCGAATCTGTAGGTTTATGATTCCTACATTCCCCTGCCGCTCTCAATGGCTTGTTGCCTCCCTTCTGTTGCTCTCAGAAAACAGATGGAGATCAGGTAAAGATGAAACGTGCACTATATGTTCAGAAAAGCAAACATCCATTGTCCTCATTTAGATTCCATCCTTCAATTTATGCTCTAGAACCTAAACCTAATACCCATTGACTACCTCCTGAGTTTCTTAGGTTTCAATTATTTTTTTGAAATGTCATCCATGGATAATAGCTTCAATTTTAGGAAAGATTTAAATGTATAACTTTCCTCATTCAGTGCTGTGTCATTTCACAGTACAGATCTGCGTTAATTTTTGACAGCTCATATATACAGATTTTTAGAAATGTAATAGAAAATGATTTTGCACATATGGTGCAAGTCTTGCTGGTGTATGTTTAATGTGGCAACACGTGCCAGAACTGTTTGGCAAAACATGTCAAATGGAGTGCTTGAGTCAGAACTCTAATGTAAATGTGTCTAAACAGCAGTATGTATCATTATGATGTATTTTTGTAAACATAGTGATGGCTGCTTTCAGTCATGTAAGTGCTGGATAAAAATAACCACTTCAGTTGGAGTAATGTAGGAAAACGTCACCCAGCAGATGGGTAGTCCTCTGCAAAGTTACACTGTCAGCCAGTGGCACTGGTTCTTTTATTTATGTTGGGTTTTTGTTTTTTTTTTAGAGGAGAGTGAAGAATTGACATCAGACAACATGGAGTGCAAAAATAATAACCCATCAATATTTGCCTTCTAAATGTAAAATGTAAAAGTTTAACTGATCTGTGTACACATTAGAGACCACTTTCACACGCCACAATATGTTCAGTTGCAGGTTAACACTGAGAGGTTGAGACTTCCCTCATCTGATGACCAGCTTGGTTAATTTGACTTCTGAAGGCACTAAATTACCAAGTATTTGCAGTAATGGGGACCGGATTAATTTTCCTCACAATTCTCTATAGCTGTCTGATATAAGGGCTGTGTTTTTATTGAATCACAGATCCTCAAATTACAGTGAAAGCATGTCTTGCTAGTAAGACTCATTTGAAAACCTCTTTATTCTTGGAATAATTGGGCCAGTACAAGTGGCCAGATGTATCCTGGCCACATTGGAAAACTATTTGGGCCCGTTCAGAACCACTTAACTGCAACAACAGTAGTAACTATAGTTAATATCTATCTATTGAGTTATTGTGTGACAGTTACTTGGATAAGTACTTTAATGCATTCTCATTTTAATCCTCACAGCTACCCTATGAGGCTGTTACTGTTCTTATCCCCATTGTATTGATAAGGAAACTGCCCAGGGTACTCAGCTAAGAAGAGGATTGCTTTGGGCATAGGAAGCAGAATGACGAGTTCAGTCTTCCTCAGTAGTTGGAGCACAGTTCTCAAAGCCCATCAACACTTTGGAATGGATTTGTTGTTTTATTTATGCCATCAAGGGAGAGTTGATATTTGTGTATTGCTAAAAACTACTAAAGTATGTCGATGCTTAGGTAGGAACATACAAACCATATATCCTCTGGGATCTGCCCAGGTTTCTGTATAAGGCTTGACCTACGTAAGATCCTATGATGAAGACCAGAAAACTTTTTTTAAAAGTAGGTAAATTAAAATTAAAATCACGAGTTTGTTCACATTTGTCCCATAGGTTCCTAGTGCAAAAATGCAGGGAGATAAAAGCAAACATTTGAACTCAGTGAAGTGAGAGTCTTTGGGAACTCCTAGATGTTAGAAATAGCACCGGGGCATCAGGTAGCCAACGTTCAATTCACTTTTCACGTTTGTGTCTTTGTAGCTTTAGAGCTGATGAGTCTGATTGGTTTGGAAGAGAGAGTTTTAATTTATGATGTCACTGTGAGAACTGTTGTGAAAATTTTGTAAGAAAATACAGTAATCTGTTGATTTTTTCCTGTAGTTTTGGCTTTCACATCCCTTTGGCTGTGTTTAAGTTCAAGAGCATGCCAAGGCCATGAGGGTCCTGGCTTGCACTTCTTGGGAACAGGGCATGCTAGAGGTGGGTCATGAAGCTTTCAAGGTCACTGTTCCAGCCCGACCCTGCGCAATTTAGGCATTGCCTTTATGTCTCTCCTCTCTGGAACTTCATGTAGCAGCCTAACACCGGGGCCGAGTTGCCTTTACTCTATTTTCTATGATGAATACTTGTGGAGAAACTGTGACAAATCCATTGATCCTGATATTTTTATTGTTGGAGTCTTGTTGATTCTCTATGAATAATTTCTATTTGATTGTACTGTGTAGAGTTAATACCCACTAGGGATATGTTAATAAAGCTACAAATGCATAGTGTAATATAGAATAGCAAGATTTTTTTGTGAACAATTTATATAGAAGAGTAAGTTGTTTTTTAAGTGTTAGGCTCATTTCTTTTAGAAACTTAAAATGTTATAAAAGTTTTTTAAACATTCAATATTTTTAATTATAAGAGACATTTGTTACTAGAGCCAATTATTTCAGGTGTTCTAATTGGAGTGTTGATTTTATTACCTCATATACCTCTAGAATGCCACGTGTTCTGTTGGGGATAAAATTGCACAATAAATGTCAAGTCTCTGTTAAGTGTTTTAACTTGGTTTTTGCATCTTTCTAATTCATTGTAAATACTTTTCTGTTTCTTTGAATACATAACTTTTCTCTCCCTGAAGCTAAGAGTTTTGCTTGTCTCTGAACATCAGGAAAATGTTACATGCTTAATATCCAAATACAAGATGCTCAGTTTTGTCAGGAAAGTGACCAGAAATCATCCAGAAATTCATTTGATCTAATGAATGAAAGGGACGGCCAGTGACAAGCTCAGAGTGATATGTAGTCCAAGAGGATTTTCATACGGTATTTTACACATTCACACGTAAAGCACACATGCTTGCTATTCGTGGTACCATTCCATCAGGAAGAAGAAAAAAACCTATAGCTGCTACCCATGACTTTAAAAAATAAACAGATACTGATTATTTATGGTTTTTGAGCAGCGTTCTGCGTACAAAGGCAGAATAGCTGTGGCTAAATAAGGGGACATGGTTGTGGCTTCCCACTTCTAGTTATTACATAAAATGTAAATCTGACATAATCATTATCAAACAGCATAATTGAGTAACTGTTAAGTCAGACTAAGTAAAAGCTAAGATGACACAGTCTTTCATTTTAGGGAAAACATAAAGGTATTTTATTTTTGCCCTAGAAGATGCAAACTTTTTTAAGAGTTCTTGTTTTTGTTTTTTGTTTTGAGACAGGGTTTCACTCTGTTGCCAGTGGCTCAATCATGGCTCACTGCATCCTTGACCTTCCTGGGCTCAAGTGATCCTCCCACCTCAGCTTCCCGAGTAGTTGGGACCACAGGTGCACACCACCACACCCAGCTAATTTTTGTATTTTTTGTAGAGACGGGGTTTCACCATGTTGCCTGAGCTGGTCTTGAACTCCTGGGTTCAAGCAGTCCTGCCGCCTCAGCATCCCAAAGTGTTGGGATTACAGGCATGAGCCACCATGCCCAGTGTAGACAGTGATTTTGGATGGAAAAGGAATACTTTAGTCCAAATAATTTTTGTTAGAATCGGAATATCAGTTAAAAAGAAATTAAAGTTTTTCTGAAGCATTAAAAGAGGATTATTAATATGAGCTGTTGGATATTTTGTAGCAAAGCACACATAGGGTAAAGCTACCAATTAAAAAGTGTTAGAAACAGGCTGGGTGGGGTGGCTGACACATGTAATTCCAGCACTTTGGGAGGCCAAGGCGGGTGGATCACTTGAGGCCAGGAGTTTGAGACCAGCCTGGGCAACATGGCAAAACTCCATCTCCACTAAAAATATTAATATAAAAATTAGCTGGGCAAGGTGATGCATGCCTGTAGTCCCAGATACTCTGGAGGCTGAGGTGGGAGGAGCACTTGAGCCTGGGCAGTGGAGGTTGCAGTGAGCCGCAATGGTACGACTGCACTCCAGCCTGGAGGACAGAATGAGACCCTCTTTCAGAAAAAAAAAAAAAAAAAAAAAAAGTATTGGAAACAAGTTCAGTTAGGCTGCAGAACACAAAATCAATATGCAAAAATCGCTTGTACCTTTATACACTAGTGGTACACAATCTGAATGATTAAGAAAACAATTCCATTTACAATTGCATCAGAAAGAATAAAATAGGAATAAATTTAACAAAATAAGTGCCAAACTTGTATACTGAAAAACTACAAAATATTATTGGAAAAAATTTTAAACAACCCAAATAATGGAAAGACATCCCATGATAGTGGAGTGGAAGACTTAATATTGTTAAGATGGCAATATTCCCCGAATTGATTTACAGATTCAATGCAATTTTTATCAGAATCTCAGCTGGCTTCTTTGCAGAAATTGACAAGATGATCCTAAAATTTATATGGAAATACAAGGAACTCAGATAGCCAACAGAAATAAACTCTTACATTTATGATCAATTGACATTTATCAAGAGTGCCAGGACAATTCAATGGGAAAGAATAGTCTTCAACAAATGGTACTGGGACAACAAGATATTCATATCCTGAAGAATGAAGTTGGATTCCTACCTCAACCTCAAAAAGTAACTCAAAATTGATCATTGTTCTAAGAGCTAAAACTATAAAACCGTTAGACACAGGAGTAAGTCTTCATCTTGGCTCAGGCAAGATTTCTTCAATATGACACCAAACGCTTTAGTGACAAAAGAAAAACATAGATCAATTGGATTTCAACAAAATGAAAAACTTGTATGCTTCAAAGAACACCATGAAAAATGAAAAAGACAACCCACAGAATGGAAGAAAATACTTACAGATTATATACCTGATAAGAGACTGATGCCAGAGTATATAGAACTTACGACTCAACAATAAGAACAAAAAGCCCCATTAGAAACAGGCAAAAGATCTGAGCGTGTATGCCCCAAGGAAGATATGCAAATGGCCAATACGCACAAGAAAAGATGCTCAACATTATTAATCACTAGGGTTATGTAAATCAAATTGCAATGAGATGCCACTTCACTAGGATGGCTAAAATGAAAAAGACGGTAACCAATGTTGAGGATGTGGAGAGAGTTGAAACCCTCAAACATTGCTGGTAGGAATGTAAAGTGGCACAGTCACTTTGGAAAACGCATTGGCAGTTCCTTAACAAGTTAATCATAGAGTTATTATAGGATCCAGCAATGCTTCTCATGGGTACATACTCAAAAGAAATAAAAATACGTCTACACAAAAAGTTGTACTCAAATGCTTATAGGAATATTATTTATAATAGTCAAAAAGTGGAAATAACCCAAATGTCCATCAATTGAATGAATAAACAAAATGCATGTCCAAACAATGGAATATTATTCAGCCATTAAAAAGGAATGAAGTATTAATACGTATTACAACATGAATGAACCTTCAAAATTTATGGTAAGTAAAAGAAGCCAGACAAAAAGCCATGCATTGTATGATTCCATTTATATAAAGTCCAGAAGAGTCAAAATACTATGTAGGCAGTTTTAGAGAGTGCTGCTCAGTGCATGGTTTACATAATGAAGGAACCAAATATAGGATGATATAATCACTTCTAAATTTATTATACATTCATAAAATATATTTATTAAGAGCCTGATGTGCCTGGCATTGTTACCAGGCGCCATGGCCTAAGAAGCAAAGTAATACAGCCAATGGCTTGGCAACTATTTGAAGAAAAATGACAAAAGAGCTGTTAATTACGAGAAAATCCCGAGCTTTACTGGGCAACTTGTTCCCGCATATAAACCTGTATTCAGAAAGGTGAATCGGGTTGAGTGTGGTGACTCATGCCTATAATCCCAGTGAGGTTGAGCTAGGAGGATTGCTTGAGGCCAGGAGTTTGAGATTATCCTGGACAACACAGTGAGACTCAATCTCTTAAAAAAATTTTTTTTAAGCAGAATCAGATATAAAATGAGAAAAATACGTGCCAGTGAATCAGTGTCTCTATTAGATGAAGCCGTCTGTTAGATGTGGCCATCTCTTGGTTCTGATTCAGCTCTGTAGAGATACAGTCTCAGTGCCTGTAATCATTGGTCCTAATGTTTAAGAAACATGCCTGCATTTTATCTGTAAATTAAAAAAGATACAAAATTGATGTGAAAGAAGAGAAATACACTTGCAGCCTTAAATAAAAAGCTGCAGTAGAATAAAATACATCTAAAGTAGAATATCTTAGTGCTTGTACTTACCAGTTGTATATTTTTCACAAATTGGGTTAAACCATGGTTTTGAAATACAGCTTTAAGATTAAACATTTATTGTCATTTCACAAACATTTTATAGACCAAATTGATGCAAATTTTTTAAACCTTTTTTTAGTATTAAAATTAAAAATGCATTGAGGCATGAGAATGCTTAAGAACATTCTCGTTTAAGAATGCTTAACATAATAAAAATGAAATACAGGCTGGGCGCAGTGGCTCACGCCTATAATCCCAGCACTTTGTGAGGCTGAGGTGGACAGATCAGTTGAGACTAGGAGTTCAAAACCAGCCTGGTCAACATAGCGAGGCCCCTGTCTCTACAAAAAAAAGGAAAAAAAAAAAAAAGCCAGACATGGTGGCAGACACCTGTAGACCCATTTACTCTGGAGGCTGAAGTGGGAGGATCACTTGAGCCCAGGAGTTTGAGGTTGCAGTAGCGCATGATCAGGGCACTGCACTTCAGCCTGGGCAATAGAGAGAGACTGCCTCAAAAAAAAAAAAGGAAGAGGAAGAAAGGGAAGAAATATAGTCATGTACCACGTGGTGACATTTTATTCAATAACAGACTGTATGGTATGTATGACAGTGGTCCCATAAGATTCTGATACTGTATTTTTACTGTACTTTTTCTTTGTTGAGATACATAAATACCACTGTGTTACAGTTCCCTACACTGTTCAGCACAGTCACAGGTGGTACGGCAGAGATGTCCAATCCTTTGGCTTCTTTGAGCCACGTCGGAAGAAGAATTGTCTTGGGCCACACATAAAATACACTAATGAGGTTGGGCGCGGTGGCTTACGCTTGTAATCCCAGCACCTTGGGAGGCTGAGGCGGGCAGATCACGAGGTCAGGAGATCGAGACCACGGTGAAACCCCGTCTCTACTAAAAATACAAAAAAATTAGCCGGGCGTGGTGGTGGGTGCCTGTAGTCCCAGCTACTCGGAGAGGCTGAGGCAGGAGAACGGCATGAGCCCGGGAGGCGGAGGTTGCCGTGAGCCGAGATCGTACTACTGCACTCCAGCCTGGGTGACAGACTACGTCTCAAAAAACAAAAAAAAAAAAAAGAAAAGAAAAAAATACACTAATGATAGCTGATGAGCTAAAAAAAAAAAAAATCTCATAGTGTTTTAAGAAAGTTTACAAATTTGTGTTGGGCCGCATTCAAAGCCGTCATTCAAAGCCCCATGGGCCACGGGGGAGAAGCTTGCTGTACAGATTTGCAGCCTAGGAGCAACACTCTGTACATAGAGTCTGGGTATGCAGTAGGCGACACCATCCAGGTTTGCGTCAGTGCTCCCTGTGATATTTGTACTACAGAATCACCTAATGACACAGTTCTCAGAACCTGTCCTCATCATTGAGCAACGCACGACTGATGAAGAGTAGGCTGTGTGATTGAATAGAAGCAGGGGGACCAGCCAATGTAACTGGAGATACAGGCGTTTTTTTAAACCCAGGGTTTGCTTCCAGATAAGGGCTTAAATAGTGACTTTTCACGCTCCACCAGATGCTGGGGAGAAACGCAGGCCCTGCCAAGAGATGAGGAAAGGGGTATAAACGTGTATTCTAGTCTTGTTTTATTTATTTATTTTTTTTGGTACCAGTGACAATGATTCTTTCTCCTTCCTAGCAACACAGAAGCATTTTCAATTCAATATAAAAATATAATAATGCTGTTTGATTGTGGCTTAAGTTGTGTTTTCTATTAACATTTTGTGCTAAATAATTACCCATTCACTCTGTGGTGTATATTTGGGTAGACTTTGTGTGTTTCTGTGTTTTGAGACAGGGTCTTGCTCTATTGCCCAGGCTGGAGTGCAGTGGTATGATCATAGCTCACTGCAGCCTCGAACTCCTGGGCTTAAGTGATCTTCTCACCTCAGCCCCGAAGAGCTGGGACTATAGGTGTGTGCCACCATGCCTGGTTAATTTTTTTCCTTTTGATAGAGACAAGGTCTCACTATGTTACCCAGGGTGGTTTCAACCTCCTGTCCTCAAGTGATCTTCCTGCCCTGGCCTCCTGAAGTACTGGGATTACAGGTATGAGCCACTACACCCAGTGGATGGACTTTTTTTTTGCAGAAGTATTTCTATGATAGCTTTAAAATAGGTAAAGATTGGGGCTTTTCCTAGTCCTTTCACATTTCTCTTTAAGGATACATGATGAGGAAAATCCTCATGAATCTACGGGGAACTACAAACATTTGTTTAATGAAGGATTTTTAATACTGGTGAAAAGTATAAAGGATGCCATTTCTTTGAAGTATCAGTAATTGAGAAGTTATCACTGTTTATCAAGTTTGATTATGATCTGCCTTGGTGTGGTTTTATCTAAATTTCTTCTACTGGGGTTTGTTGAACTCTTGGATCTGTGAGTTTATATTTTTCATCATATTTGGAAAATTTTTCAGTCACTATTTCTTCAAATATAATTTCTGTCTTCCTTCTTCCTCTTCTTTTTCTGGCACTCGAATTACATATTGTGGAAGGCAGAATAATGACTCACCAACGATGTCCACACATGTTAATCCCCAGAATTTGTGAGTATGTTAGATTGCAGGGCAGAAGGGATCTTACAGGAAGATTATCTTGGATCATCTGGGAGGGCCCAAAGTAATCACAAGGGTCTTAAAAAGAGTAGGTTTGAGTGATGCAGTGTGAGGACCCCATGCTGGTTTTGAAGATGGAGGAAGGAAGCCACAAGCCACAGAATACTGGAGTCTCTAAAAGCTGGAGAAGACAAGGAAATTGGTTCTTTCTTAGACCCTCCTGCAATAAATGCAGCCCTGTGGACAGCAGTGAGGCCCTAATTGGACTTCTGACCTACAGAAGTATAAAATAAATTTGTGTTATTTTAAGGGGCTAAGTTTGTTGTAATTTTTTACAGTAGCCGTAGCAAACTAGTACACACACATATTAGACTGATTGATATTTTCCCATAGATCACATGGACTCTGTTTATTTCTTTTCTGTCTTTGCTTTATTTTGGATAGGGTGTATTGCTTCAAGTTCACTGATCTTGTCTTTTGCTGTGCCTAATCTGCTGTTCTATCCAGTGTATGACAGAGTGTCACATCTGTCCTTATTATGTTTATATCTTCATTTACATTCTTGAGCAAATTTATATTTATATGGCTTTGTTAAGGTCATCATGTATTCTATCAGAAAAAAGTTTTCTCATCTTCAATAGTTGTTTCGTTGGTGTTATAAATTATGTCTCTTCATAAGATTAGCAAGAGCTCTCTGTTCCTCAAATTTTAACCTGCTTATAAATCACCTGCAAATCTTGTTAAACACAGATTTTCTGATTCAATAGGTATGGAGTGGAGTCTGAGATCCTATGTTTCTGACAAACTCACTGAATGTTAAGAACTAAGATTATTTTCAAATGTGTGGATATCCAGCCTGCTGGCTCAAGAAAAGCTCATCTTTTACAAGAGATGCATCTCTAATGATGTAGGGATAGTTATTGTGGTTGTAAAACGGAAACAACTTTTTAAAGAAAGATCACTATGAATTATCTTGTAAAGGAATACATTCTTACCTACTTTATTTCTTGGGTACATCTGTAGTTGTAGCCAAAGTATGATCATAAAATAACATCAGTTGTATTTTTAACAAACATTGAAGAGCAACTAAGTATTCCTTTAAAAATAATCTCTTATGAGGCTATCATCTTTTTCTAACAATGTCATCATCTTTAGGATATGTTTGAAATACTGCTTGGGAGTTACCTGAGGTATGTGGGACCAATTTTTAAAATAGGCTTGATGGAATAATGGATATCTTTATCTTTTGAAGATAAATTTGATTTTTTGGAAGCAGTCAAAACTAGTTGGATTGACAACTGATGAATATGGTAGATTGATTAACTGGCTATTATTATTTTGGGTTAAAAATAAGGAAAACTATAATAAAATTTATTTTGTGTTTGTGACTCACCAGTGCATTTTGTAGGAGAAGCCCTAACCATTCTATGAACATTTTTAAGATAATGTTCTTACTTCATGTTCTTCAGAATATACTATAAAGCTACTATAGTAGCCAAAACAGCACGGTACTTGCATAAAAACAGTACAGAAATAAATCCACATATCTACAGCCAACTGATTTTCAACAAAGGTGCCAAGAACACACCTTGGGGAAAGGATAGTCTCTTCAATAAATGGTGCTGGGAAAATTAGATACCCACATGCAGAAGGATGAAACTGGACCCCTATCTTTCACCATATAACATAGTCCCCCCCTTATCCCAGTTTTCCTTTCTTTCTTTCTTTTTTTTTTTTTTTTTTTTTTTTTTTTTTGAGACAGAGTCTCACCCTGTCGCCCAGGCTGGAGTACAGTGGTGTGATCATGGCTCACTGCAACCTCCACCTCTCGGGTTCAAGCAATTATCTGCCTCAGCCTCCTGAGTAGCTGGGATTACAGGCACCACCACCATGCCCAGCTAATTTTTGTATTTTTAGTAGAGACGGGGTTTTACCATGTTGGCCAGGCTGGTCTTGAACTCCTGACCTCATGATCCACTCGCCTTGGCCTTCCAAAGTGCTGGGACTACAGGCAGGAGCCACCACGCCCAGCCTCCAGTTTTCTTTTCTGAGGTTTCAGTTACTCACGGTTAACCACAGTCTGAAAATATTACATGGAAAATTTCAGAAATAAGTAATTCATAAGTTTTAAATTGCACACCCTTCTTTTTTTTATTATACTTTAAGTTCTGGGATACATGTGCAGAACGTGCAGGTTTGTTACATAAGTACACATGTGCCATGGTGGTTTGCTGCACCCATCAACCTGTCATCTAGGTTTTAAGCCCTGCACGCATTAGGTATTTATCCTAATGCTATCCCTCCCCTTGCCCCCCACCCCCCCGATAGGCCCCGGTGTGTGATGTTCCCCTCCCTGTGTCCATGTGTTCTCATTGTTCAACTCCCACTTATGAGTGAGAACAAGCAGTGTTTGATTTTCTGTTCCTGTGTTAGTTTGCTGAGAATGATGCTTTCCAGCTTCATCCATGTCCCTGCAAAGGACGTGAAATCATTCTTTTTTATGGCTGCATAGTATTCCATGGTATGTGTATGTATATATATATATATGCCACATTTTCTTCATCTAGTCTGTCATTGATGGGCATTTGGGTTGGTTCCAAGTCTTTGCTATTGTAAACTGTGCTGCAATAAACATAGTGTGCATGCATCTTTATAGTAGAATGATTTATAATCCTTTGGGTATATACTCAGTAATGGGATTGCTGGGTGAAATGGTATTTCCGGGTGAAATGGTATTTCCGGTTCTAGATCCTTGAGGAATCGCCACACTGTCTTCCACAATGGTTGAACTAATTTACACTCCCACTAACAATGTAAAAGCATTCCTATTTTTCCACATCCTCTCCAGCATCTTGTTTCCTGACTTTGTAATGATCGCCATTCTAACTGGTGTGAGATGGTATCTCATTGTGGTTTTGATTTAATTGCTCACCCTTCTGAGTAGTATGATGAAATCTCATTCCCTCCTTCAGGAACATGAATCATCCCTTTGTCCAGTGTATCTGTACTGTATATGCTACCTGCCTATTTGTCATCAACATCATCGTGGCTCAGTGATCCAGGATCAGTGAAGCAGATGGTCTTCCTTCTGACCTATCATCGAGGGTCTTGTCCAGTGTATCTGTACTGTATATGCTGCCTGCCTATTTGTCATCAACATCATCGTGGCTCAGTGGTCCAGGATCAGTGAAGCAGATGGTCTTCCTTCTGACCTATCATCGAGGGTCAGTAATAGCCTAATGCTACGGCACAATGCCTACGTCATTTACTGCACTTCATCTCATCATGTAGGCCCTTTATCATTGCACATTGTCTCAAGAAGGGTGAGTACAGCACAGTAAGATATTTTGAAAGAGTCCACATTCACATGACTTTTATTACAGTATATTTTCATAATTGGTTGATTTTATTATAGTTAATCTCTTGCTGTGCCTCATTTATAAATTAAATGTTATTATAGGCATGTACATATAGGAAAAAGCTTAGTATAAATAGGATTTAGTACTATCCATGGTTTAAGCATCCACTGGGAGTTTTGGAATGTATCCCGTATGGAAAAGAGGGGATTACTGTATAAAAACTAACTCGAAATGGATTAAAGACTTAACTGTAAGACCTGAAACTATGAAACTAATAGAAGAAAACAGGAGAAATGTTTCATGACATTGGTCTGGGCAAGGAGTTTTTTTTTTACCTCAAAAGTACAGGCAACAAAAGCAAACTAAAAAGCTTCTGCACGGCAAAGGAAACAATCAACAGAGTGAAGAGACAACCTACAGAATGGAAGAAAACATTTGTAAATGTTTGTGACAAGAGGTTAATATCTAGAATATATAAGGAACCCAAACTGTTGAGTTCAATAGCAAAAAAACCAAATAATCCAATTAAAAATGGGCAAAAAACCTGAATAGACATTTCTTGAAACAAGACATAAAATTGCCAACAAGTATATGAAAAAATACTCAGCATCACTAGTCATCAGGGAACTGCAAGTCAAAATCACAATATCACCTAACTCGAGTAAGAATGGCTATTATCAAAAAGACAAAAAATAACAAGTGTTCGTGAGGATGTGAAGAAGAAAAAACCCTTACACACTGTTGGTGGGAATGTAAATTATTATAGTAATTATGGAAAACAGTTTGGAGGTTTATCAAAAAAATAGAAATATAACTACCACATGACCCAGCAATCCCAACACTAGCTATTTATCCAAAGGAATTGGAATCAGTATGTGAAACAGACATCTGCATGCTCCTGTTTATTGCACCACTATTCACAATAGCTAAGGTAAGGAATCAGCTTAAGTACCCATCATCAGATGAAGAGATAAAATGTGGTGTATATGCACAATAGAGTACTATTTCACCATAACAAAACAGGAAATGCTGTCATTTGCAACAACATGGATGAAACTAGACGACATGATGTTAAGCGTAATAAGCCAGATAGAGAAAGACAAATACCACATGATGTCATTCGTATGTGGAATCTAAAAAACTTGATTTCATAGCAGTAGAGAGTAGAACCTTGGTTATCAGAGGCTGGGGGAGAAGGGTGGGAGGTAGAGGAGAGGAGGAGATGGGGAGAAATTGGCCAACAGATGCAAAGTTACAGTTAGGAGGAATAAGTTCTGGTGTCCTATTGCAAGTAGGGTAACTACAGTTAGCTATGTATGTTTCAAAATCGCTAGAAGAGGATTTTGAATGTTCTCACCACCAAGAAACAATAAATGTTTGAGGTGATGGGTAAGGTAATTACCCTGATTTGATCATTACACAATGTATACATGTATTGAAACATCATATAGTACCCCATGAATGTGTACAATTATGAGTTGATTAAAAATAAAAATTTAAAAAATAGTGAAGCTTATTTTATTAAGGAAAAATTAATTCTGGAATTAAGTGTTTAGGAATGTAAATCTTCAAAAATATTGTAGCTAAGTTTATTTGGATTGGAGATAGGTATCAAGAAATTAAGTAAAGAAAATTGAACTCTAATCTGAAAACACTGCCAAGCCTCGATAGGAGGTCGTGTTGCAACATTGGGCCTGTCTTCTGTACACAGAAAGTCCTCAGAGGAGTGGAGGTAGCTGGAGACCCCTGGAGGAATCTTGCAGGGCTGGGGACGTAAGACAGTCCCATGGAACAAATAAGATGGAAACAGCTGCAACATATATTTTTTCCTTTTAGAGATCCAACCTTATTCCATTTATAATAAACTGAGAAGTTCTATATCAAATATAACTGCCTGTAACATTTTAAATTGCTTCAATCTGAGTTTAACACCCACCTTTCCTTTCATCTCTTAGCAAATAATCTTAAAGCTGTATCTAAAATGCAGTAAGAAAAATTACAATAAAAATGGGTTTTGGAGTTTTTTCAGATTTATTTAATATTTCTACAGAGAATGGATAAATCACAATTTACAATTCCAGCATGAAACAATATCTTGAAGTCACACTTATGAGGAAACAAGTTAAATATACTGAACCCCCAGAGACTCTATACCATTTTGAAATAGGCATGAGACTCATCCATTGTGATTCTTCAGATTTGGCAGAAATGTAGCAAAAGGGAATTTATTTCGTACTGAAGGCTAGAGATAATTTGTTTCAACACCAGGGAAAGGGTCCTCAGGAATGAACGCACTCTGATACTCTTGCTAGAATAAGATGGTATTCACCTAATTAGACATAGTTATCAACTGAAAATCAGTAGCCATCTATTTGTACATGTCCTCTACCTATTACCTAGCACACTCTTTACCCTCCTTTTTCTCTGTGCCTGGCCTTACAAAGGGTACTTCCCCAAGGAGGATTCCCTACCCCGACTGCCTAGGTAGTTACAAGGTAGTACAGTGCCCAGTGACACAGACACTCAAAAAGTATTTGTCATATGAATGCAATAATGGAAGTCTGTTTTTAAATTTTCTTTTTCAGTTTTCCAATTTAATAGGACAATTGTCCTACTCTTCTCTGACAAATAGGTTGTTTTTATGATGCTCCACAGTGAGATTTAATATCATTTCAGATTATATCAACAAAAAGTTAAGCAAACGACCACGTTGAGTTCCAACAGCATATTCCATATTACTAGGGTTGGAAATTTAGAGTCTAGTGGTATTAAACCCAAGTTTTATAATTCAAAGAAACATGCTCATCTTCAGTCTTTTCCCTTTAAAACTTTTGGTTCTTACCTCCTCTTGAAAGTAGGTATTAAAATTAAAATTCTAATTCAAAAATTCTCACATCTTAGTTTTATGACACTCCAATCAATGTCTTCATTTATCCCAAGATTGAAGAATTGCTTGTCCTTTTCTTTTCTTTTCTTTTCTTTTCTTTTCTTTTGACATAGAGTCTCGCCGTGTCGCCCAGGCTGGAGTGCAGTGGTGTGATCTCAGCTCACTGCAATCTCCGCCTCCTGGGTTCAAGTGATTCTCCTGCCTCAGCCTCCCGAGTAGTTGGGATTACAGGTGTCCACCACCATGCCCGGCTAATTTTTGTATTTTTAGTAGAGATGGGGTTTCACCATGTTGGCCAGGCTGGTCTTGAACTCTTCACCACAGGTGATCCACCCACCTCAGCCTCCCAAAGTTCTGGGATTACAGGTGTGTGCCACTGCGCCCAGCCTGAATTGCTTGTCCTTTTAAATTAACTTTTTATTATAAAAGACAAACTCATTGTGGAAAATCTGTAAATGACAGAAAAAGAGAGAAGATAAAAATTATCCACGTATGAAATTGTTAATAGTGTATTTGCTTTCAATCCTTTCTCTATGTACACAACTTTGAAATTATTCTGAATATAGTTATGTATCCTGTTTTTTCACTAGAAAATGAATCTTAAGCACTTTTTAAAATTTAAAAAAGTAATACCTGTTCATAAAAATGTTTTTTATGTCCCACTCCAATCTCAAACCTTAGCAGTAACAACTTGAACTGCAAGATGTATATTCTTTTCTTTTCTTTTTCAGACAGGGTCTTCCTCTGTTGTTCAGGGTGGAGTGCAGTGGCATCATCTTGGCTCACTGCAACCTCCACCTCCTCCCACCTCAAGTGATCCTCCCACCCCAGCCTCCCAAATAGTTGGGACTACAGGTGCGTGCCACCACGCCCGGCTGATTTTTGTATGTCTTTGTCTTAGAGGCCGGGTTTCACCATGTTGGCCAGGCTGGTCTCGAACTCCCGGGCTCAAGCAATCCTCCTGCCTTGGCCTCCCAAAGTTCTGGGATGACAGGCGTGAGCCACCACGCTCAGCCCAAGATGTATATTTTTACATTTTTCTCTATCTATCATAAGCATTTTACTGTATTAAATATCCTGCCAAAAATGCCTCCAAAGACTGTATTATTAGGCTGTATTTCTAGAAGTGGAATAAATAGGTCAAAGGACATGGCTATTTTCCAGACTCTTTTTTTTTTTTTTTTTTTTTTTGAGACAAAGCGTTGCTATATTGACCAGGCTGGTAACTTCTGGCCGCAAGCAAACAATCCACCCACCACCTCCTCCCAAAGTGCTAGACCTGCAGGCATGGGTCACCATGCCCAGACATATTTTTCCAGACTCATTTAACATCTTCGGCTATAGTACCCCCCACATAGCTAGGCCTACTTCACACTCCCATCGGCAGCATATTGGAATGCCTATCTCACAAACCTGGAGATGTCAAGTAGGCAACTGGACATTTGAGTCTGGGATTCAAGGTAGAGAATCAAGGTTTCAATAAATGTTTTTTTTTTTTTGGAAAGCCATGGGACTGAATCACTCAGTGAATGAATATAGACAAAGAAAAGACATAGTCCTGGGATATGCCAATGTTTGGAGGTAATGGAAATGAGGAGAAACCTACAAAAAGAGACTGAAGGCCGGGCATGGTGGCTCACACCTGTAATCTGAGCACTTTGGGAGGCCGAGGCAGATAGATCACTTGAGGCCAGGAGTTCGAGACCAGCCTGGCCAACATGGTGAAACCCCGTCTCTACTAAAAATACAAAAATTAAGTGATGCACACCTGTAGTCCCAGCTACCAGGGAGGCTAAGGTGGAAGAATCGCTTGAACTCGGGAGGTGGAGGTTGCAGTGAGCCAAGATTATGCCACTGCACTGTAGCCAGCCTGGCAACAGAGCGAGACTCTCTCAACAAAAAAAAAAAAAAAAAAAAAAAAAGACTGAAAAGGAGTGGCCACAGAGGTTGGTGGAGAACCCAGAAAGTAGAATTCTGGAAGCCAGATTCACTGTGTCAAATGCTGCTGACAGATCAAGTAAGATGACAACCTAAGATTGACAATTGTATTTAGTGGTATGGAAGTCAAGGACAGGGTTAGTGGAGAGAGTGACAAAAGCCTGATTGGAATGGGTTTCAGAGAAAAGGAAAGAGAGGCAGCAAATATAGACAACTCCTTTGAGTTTTGCTGTGAAGGGAAGTAAAGAAATAAGAAACTAAGTGAAGGATTTTTTTGTTTTTACGCATTTTGTGTGTGGGGGCGTGGTTGTGATGTTTTAGTCTGTTTTTCTAAGATGGGAGAAATAACAGCATGTTTACAAAAATTTAGGAATTCTGTAAATATCTTATACATTATGAAACTTAGGAAGCTTAAGGAAACCTGGAAAAGCAAACACAAATTAATTATGGGCATTTCCCAGGATACCTCCCATTAAGTGGACTCAAATTAGGGTCCCAGCATCTTCTATACTTGAAATCACTGGCCCATGATGGATAAACAATTGCTTGGTTCTGATCAAGGCAGGCCTTATTGACCTCAGGAAGGACAAGATACCACAGCCATGAGTAATTCTGTCCTGGTTATTGGATGAGGGGATTATCAGGACGGGACATCCCCCACCTTGACCATCAGGAATGATTATCTGGTTGACAACACTGCCATCATCTTCCTTCTTCTAAGAAGGGCCTCACGGGCATCTAGTATATCATAGCTTGTATATAGTAAATATTCAATAATTGACATGGGCTGTCAATCCATATAGAAAATGTCATAAGGAAATTGGATCAGTTTGAGTAATTCCTTGGAACTTCAAGCAGTGATGATATTAGACCATCTATCATCCAATCCCTTAATGCTCTTTTAACCTCAACATGATCTGCCATAGTTCCAGGAGTAATCTAGAAGTCATCTTATAAAATCTCTTTTAAATAGGATTTAACAAAATATAAATAATCATACATTACAGGAGGATTTCTTTAAATTGTGAACTCTTCTAGTGCATCTAAAAATAGATTTAGAAATATTTAATTTATAGATTTAGAAATATTTAATTTACACAATGTCCAGGAACTTATTTTTCTTTCTTTTTTTTTTTTTTTTGAGACGGAGCCTCGCTCTGTCACCCAGGCTGGAGTGCAGTGGCGCAATCTCGGCTCACTGCAACCTCCGCCTGCTGGGTTCAAGCGATTCTCCTGCCTCAGCCTCCTGAGTAGCTGGGACTGCAGGCACGTGCCACCACGCCCGGCTAATTTTTTGTGTTTTTACCAGAGACGGGGTTTCACCGTGTTAGCCAGGATGGTCTCCATCTCCTGACCTCGTGATCCGCCCTCCTTGGCCTCTCAAAGTGCTGGGATTACAGGTGTAAACCACCGCGCCTGGCCCAGGAACTTACTTCTTGTATAAAGTGTGATAAACCCGCAACTCCTTCCTTTCTCACCACCTGGGCCCACCAATCCCATATTTTGTTCTCTGAGACCTTTATGTGATGAATGGTATCATACTTATTTAGCCCTTTGCTGGGCCACAAGATAAACTGACATGAACATTCAGAAACATAATTTATGAACTTGGGTAAGAAATTTTGATGGTTCAAGAACACTTTTGTATGATTCAATTGTTCCCTAATGTTCAGAATGTATATTATGCATTTGAATGAGAGGAAGTCAAATTCAAACTCTTCATTTTGAACATGAGAAATTTATTTGCTGAAAGTAACACTTACCAGTTGGTAGCCTTAAGTTATAGCCCAAGAGCTATTTGTATTGATACATTTCTAAGAGCTAAGCCAGAATTTTATCCTCCTGCCTCCAACAACAGAAACCAGGCACTCTTATGCTGTACACTGTAAAGACACTCTCAAATATTAAAGAGAGACTAGGATTACTTTAATCCACCATATTAGGACTGTCCAAAACAACTTGCTGTGATAATGAAAATGTTCTATATCTGAATTGTACAACACAGTCACTGGCCACATGTGGCTACTGAGCACATGAAAATGTGGCTAATGCAACTGAGGAACTGAATTTATTTTATGTAATTAATTTAAATTTAAATATCCCCATGTCACTAGTGGCTACCATATGGTAAAGCACATTATGTGTTATGTCCTGTTGATGTAGTAATTTTCAGTAAACACAACTCTGGAAAATGGCTGTGTACTTACATTATGAGAAGGTTCATTAATATATATACTATTTTATCATCTTTGTAGAACAGGGGAAATATATATAATAAACATGTATATATGTGAATATATACATCAAATATCTCTATAAGGATATATCACAAGCTTATAACATTAGTTGCCTCTGGGAAAAGAAAATGGATAGCTGTGAGCAAGGTTGAGAGAAAGAATGTTTCCTATAAATCTGTTTGAGCATTCTGAATTTAGAATCATGTGAATGTTTTATCTATTCAAGCACAATTTAAAAATATAGTCAGATTTTCGTATCCATGGGTTCGCATCTCTGATTCAACCAACGTATCGAAAATACTCAATAAATAAAAAATTGTGTCTGTGCTAAACGTGAACAGGCTTTTTTCCTTGTCATTGTCTCCTAAATACAGTATGACAACTACTTACATAACATTTACAATGTGTTAGGTATTATAATAGAGATTATTTAAAGTATACTTGAGGATGTGTGTAGGTTATATACAAATATGCCATTTTATATAGGAAACTTCAACATCCTTGAATTTTGGTATCCCAGGGATATCCCCACAGGGTATTTCCACAGATACCAAGAGATGACTATATATATAAATTTTTTTTTTTGAGACAGATCTTGCTCTGTCGCCCAGGCTGGAGTGCAGTGGCATGATCTTGGCTCACTGCAACCTCCGCCTCCCAGGTTCAAGCAATTCTCCTGCCTCAGTCTCCCAAGTAGCTGGGACTACAGGTGCCCGCCACCATGCTGGGCTAATTTTTGTATTTTCAATAGAGACAGGGTTTCACCATGTTGGCCAGGCTGGTCTTGAACTCCTGACCGTGTGATCCACCCGCCTCAGCCTCCCAAAGTGCTGGGATTACAGGCGTGAGCCACCGTGCCTGGCCGGGATAACTATATCTTTAAAACTTCTGACTAATTCTAATTTTCACACCTCTCCCTGAATTTCTTTCCTACGTGGTTCACATCAATGACTGACATTTGAACAAAATATTGTCTTCTGGATATGTTTATCCAGTGGTAGTAATAGTTAAAAATAAATATCATTTAAAAAATAGGCCGGCTCGGTGGCTCACGCCTGTAATCCCAGCACTTTGGGAGGCCGAGGTGGGCAGATCACAAGGTCAGGAGTTCGTGACCAGCCTGGCCAATAAGGTGAAACCCCATCTCTACCAAAAATACAAAAATTATCTGGTCAAGGTGGCAGGTGCCTGTAGTCTCAGCTACTTGGGGGGCTGAGGCAAGAGAATCGCTTGAACCTGGGAGGCAAAGGTTGCAGTGAGCCAAGATCGCGCCATTGCAATCCAGCCTGGAAGACAGCCAGACTCCATCTCAAAAAAAAAAAAATAAATAAATAAATAAATAAAAAATAGCCTAACGAAACAGACAAGACCTCAGCGTCCATAAAAACCTTAATGAGGGCCGGGCACGGTGGCTCACTCCTATAATCCCAACACTTTGGGAGGCCGAGGGGGTGGATCATCAAGTCAAGAGATCGAGATCATCCTGGCCAACATGGTGAAACGCTGTTTCTACTAAAAATACAAAAATTAGCTGGGTGTGGTGGCACACACCTGTAGTCTCAGCTACTCGGGAGGCTGAGGCAGGAGAATGGCTTGAACCCAGGAGGCGGAGGTTGCAGTGAGCCGAGATCGCGCCACTGCACTCCAGCCTGGGCGACAGAGCGAGACTCCGTCTCAAAAGAAAACAAACAAACCAAAAAAACCCAAACACCGCCCCCCGCCCCGCAAAAAAAAACAACTCATTGATCCACGCCCTACCCCAACCGTCATCCCCCTGTCCCAAGCAGTCTGAGTTAGATTTAGCTAATTGTTCTGACTACTGAATATAAATTAGGTTACTGTATAACAATATAATGAATATTTCCTTTCTAATTTTATACAGTGTTACTTCTCTTGGGCTTTTCTGTTTAGCAGAATGCTTCCTTGTGAGTTCAAATCCTGACTCTGCCTTTTATTGGATGAGTAGTCTCAGACACTAATATTAACTACTGTATCTGTTTCCTCATCTGCAAAAATGTGAATTACAGACCACATTTCACTGGCTCTTTGTGGGGATTAAATGTGTACATGTAGGCATGTACAGGCATGGTGGCTCATGCCTGTAATCCCAGCACTTTGGGAGGCGGAGGCTGGCAGATCACGAGGTCAGGAGATCGAGACCATCCTGGCTAACACGGTGAAACCCCGTCTCTACTAAAAATACAAAAAAAATCAGCTGGGCATGGTGGCGGGCGCCTGTAGTCCTAGGTACTTGGGAGGCTGAGGCAGGAGAATGGCGTGAACCCGGGAGGCGGAGCTTGCACTGAGCCGAGATCGCGCCACTGCACCCCAGCCTGGGCGACACAGCGAGACTCCGTCTCAAAAACAACAACAAAAAAGTGTACATGTAAAACAGTACCTGGCAAACAGACCTCAAAATATTCTGTTAATAGCTGTTATAATACTAGCAAGTATATATTTTAGTCTATTTAAAAACTTTTTTTTTTTTTTTTTTTTTTTTTGAGACAGAGTCTTGCTGTCTCCCAGGCTGGAGTTCAGTGGCACAATCTCGGCTCACTGCAAGCTCTGCCTCCCGGGTTCTTGCTATTCTCCTGCCTCAGCCTCCCCAGTAGCTGGGACTACAGGTGCCTGCCACCACGCCCTGCTAATTTTTTGTATTTTTAGTGGAGACGGGGTTTCACCGTGTTAGCCAGGATGGTCTCGATCTCCTGACCTCGTGATCCGCCCACCTCGGCCTCCCAAAGTGCTGGGAATACAGGCGTGAGCCACCGCGCCCGGCCGTTTAAAAACCTTTTAAAAGGGTTGTATTTTGGGCCCTAATGACACATACAATTCTTTATTTTCCTGTGCAAATCATAAACTGTAGTGGTTCTACTTTCAATAGGTTTTGAATTTTGGGAGGGAATTTTACCCTCTCAAAATACCAAATTACTTTGGTTTAGTTTCTCATGAAAAAGAAAATACAGTTGGAATTCCCACAGGATTAGTATAGAGTTCAATTTAGATCACAGTGCAGGCTGGCCTTAGGTTGAGGGTTTTGATGTTTCCATGTTTTGTATTTTTTTCTCTAAACATACTCTTGTAGACACATCTGAAACAAAACAGCCTAATTAAAATGTTAAATAATCTAGTTATGTCAAAATGTACTGAAAATATATATCACTAAGGAATATAACTTTCCAAATTTTGTTTTACCAAACATATTAATGTTAATATGTTAATAAACAGTATATTAATAGTTCTTTTTAAACTGAAACCGATTATAAAATGATTAAGTTATTATAGTTTGGTTTTATAAAACCAAAAAATGAATAGTTCTCTTTAAAGTGAAACCGATTATAAAATGATTAAGAGTTATTATAGTTAGGTTTTGTACGACCAAAAAGAAATCCTAAAAACTAACAGGCGGCCGGGCACGGTGGCTCACGCCTGTAATCCCAACACTTTGGGAGGCAGAGGCGGGTGGATCACGAGGTCAGGAGATCGAGACCATCCTGGCTAACATGGTGAAACCCCGTCTCTACTAAAAATACAAAAAATTAGCTGGGCGTGGTGGCGGGAGCCTGTAGTCCCAGCTACTCGGGAGGCTGAGGCAGGAGAATGGCGTGAACCTGGGAGGCGGAGCTTGCAGTGAGCGGATCTCCAGCCTGGGCGACAGATCGAGACTCCGTCTCAAAAAAAAAAAAAAAAAAAAACTAACAGGCACACTGAATGAGTAACAAATTCTGTTCAAAAACATAGGCATAAAAAATATATCAGATTATATAGTTTAGTTCTTAGCACATGAGGTAAAGAAGAATTTATGTTCAACAAACATTTATTTCTCAAGGGAAAAAAAATCCCAAACTAATAAATGAGTTGCCTTTATTTACATATGACATTTATTAAGGGAAAAAGTATCCTGAGGGACCAGGACCATCTTAATGTGCCAGGGAAATCAGACAGATGAAATACAATATAACGAATAAAAATTTTCTTTTTGCATAAAGCCAAGTCTAAGGATGCAAGTAAACTTACATGCAAATATAAAGGCTGTCAGACTAATCTATATAAATGGCTTCCAAAGTTCCATTTCAGAGAAAGAAATGAAGGATTTAGGGGAGACAATCTTTGAATCAACATTTTACCTTCGATTCTTTGCTTCACTGACTTCTGACAGTTTGGCAAATTGGGGTTCATCACATTTAAAAGAAATGCTGCCAAAGCTTGACAAATGCAGTCTAAGAAGATAATACAAATTCTAAATGCCTATGCAGTTTTCTGTAGTTCCCAGCATTCTTCCTCAAAAAGTTACGAGACTTAAAACTTAGGCACTCTTTAGATGGTTATCATTTTAGCAAAAATCATTACCTAAATTATGAGATAAGGTAACACTGAAAGCCATATACCAAAAACTCAAGCCTTATGACATTTTGTTATTCACTTTGCACTATGTGTGTGTGTGTAGGAGGATGTATGCAGGGATTACCTTTGCTTTTGAAAAAATTTGAAAATTTTTCCGTCTGATCTTATCTCACAGGTTCTTTAGTGTATGTTCAGGAACTTACCTCTTTGGAGTTGGATACTATAGGCCCCCAGGATACTCCACTTAAAAACAGATCACCGGAGCAGTGGCTCACACCTGTAATCCCAGCACTTTGGGAAGCCGAGGAGGGCGGATCACCTGAGGTCGGCAGTTCAAGACCAGCCTGACCAACATGGAGAAACCTTGTCTAAACCAGAAATACAAAATTAGCCGGGTGTGGTGGCGCATGCCTGTAATCCCAGCTACTCAGGAGGCAGGAGAATCACTTGAATCGGGAGGTGAAGGTTGCGGTGAGCTGCAATTGTGCCAGTGCACTCCAGCCTGGGCAACAAGAACGAAACTCTGTCTCAAAAAAAAACAAAAAAAACAAAAACACTCCACCCCTCATCCTCCCACTGCCATGATGAAAACTGTGCCACCTTATATAGTTTGGGGACTGCTACTTACAGTGAATTAGAGATCCATTCTCAGCCAAAGCTAAAAGTAGGTACAGATGCTTTTTACTTATTATTGGGTTATGTGCCAATAAACCCATCATAAAAATTCTTAAGTGCAACCATTATAAGTCAGGGACCACTGTATACCTCACCTTTGATAAATCCTAGATTTTAGTTTTGGGCAAGAAGGAATCAATCATGGACCCTTGACTGCCCCTCCTCTGTCCAGTATTATTTTTGTAATTATTCTCCTGCAGAGAATATTTTCCTTAAAAATGATTTATATGCTTTAATACTCAAATGCTATATGCCAAAGTAGATACAAAGTAAGAAACATTAATTTGGTAAAATAACAAGAAACCTGAAAAACTAAATATAGCCTTATTTTTGGAGAAAGAGACCCAAATTCTCTTTTTGAGACAGGATCTCACTCTGTCATTCAGGCTGGAGTGGCATGATCATAGCTCATTGCAGCCTCGACCTCTGGGGCTCAAGTGATCCTCCCACCTCGGCCTCCCAAGTAGCTGTGACTACAGATGCTGATATGCTTTGGATCTTTGTCCCCACCAAATCTCATGTCGAATTGTAATCCCATGTTGGAGGTAGGGCCTGGTGGGAGATGACTGGATCACGGGGGTGGAGTTCTCATGAATACTTTAGCACCTTCCCCTCTTGGTACTGTATAGTGAGTTCTCATGAGATCTGGTTGTTTACAAGAGTGTGGCACCTACCCCCAATCCCCGCCTCTTGCTCTTCCTCTGGCTATGACTGCTTCCCCTTCGTATTCTGCCATGAATGAAGTTTCCCGAGGCCTCCCCAGAAGCAGAAGCTGCTATGTTTCCTGTTCAGTCTGCAGAACCATGAGCCAATTAAAGCTCTTTTTTTGATTACTCAGTCTCAGGTATTTCTTTATAGCAGTGTGAGAATGGACTAACACAGGTGAGCACCACCACACCCGGCTAACTTTTTTTAGTAGAGATGAGGTCTCGCTGTGTTGCCCAGGCTGGTCTTGACCTCCTGAGCTCAAGCAATCCTCCTGCCTCGGCCTCCCAAAGTGCTGGGATTACAGGCATAAGCCACCATATCCAGCCCAAATTCTCTGATTTGAAAATTCAGTGACTCTAGAAAAATTTCCTGATTCCACATAAATACTCAAATTCCTTGATATGTTGTACTCCTTTATGTCTTATTTTACATAAACAAACTTTATGTAAGTTTATCAGTGCAAAACAGAATTAGAAAAGATGGCAACATAAACCTTCAATTATTATTTAAGAATGGTATGACCTCAACCAAAATCAGATTTAAAAAGAAATATCAGAATTTTTTTTTTTTTTATTAGGGAATCCTAAAAAAAAAAAATTACCATTTGGAATACCTGCTGCACATTAACTTTGAGGGTCGTCTTGGGAAAAAAAATGAGTAATTATTCTTGTCTGGCTTTGTGAAATTTTTCAGAGTAATATCACTAGGAGGAAACTGGATATAATTTGGTACTTTCTCATATGGCAATGACATGAAGTAATAAATGGCAAGTGGGAAAGGGGAAGGAAGAAGAAAAAAGTATAGAATAAATCATAACAGGTAAAAAAAAAGTTTTTTTTGTAAAGAAGGGATAAGGAATTTGAAACTGTAAGAATAGAGTATCAAATTATATATATATATAACAATTTTCTATCTTAAAAATAAAACTGGAATGTTATTTCACTTAAAATGTACAGCATGCAAAATACTCTGTAATAGTAAAAAAAAAAAAAAGAAAAATACACCAACGTAAAGTCTCACAATTTTCCAGTAAATGAGATTTCTGGGTCAAAAATCACCATTACAAACCCTTTAACCAAGGATTTATTTTTTGTTTCCAGCATTACAATTTGCAATAATTCATAGATTTCCATTCCAGTAAGTTTTAAGACACAGATCTCACACAGGCAGTTGGGTCCACATGTTAAGAACTCATTAATTCAGCAAAGAGATCACCCAGCCGCCATTCTCATATGAACAATGCTCACTGCTACCTGAACATTTTAAAGTATGTTATGAGTTGTTTTGATGATGACAGCTGCAGCTTTTCACCACATTTTCAATTACTGAATTGCATGTTTTTTTTCCACCTTGATAACTTAGGGTCAGTAGAAAGCTATTTACTTACATGTTATAGTCAATATAACTATACTAAATGCCCATTTGTAACTGAAGAAACTCACAGACACAGTATGAACTATATTATACAAAATCATGACCATGAGTTTCAGTGAGAGATTCTGTCTCTCTCTTAAAGCAAGAAATATCCCACAGCTCAGATTTACATAAGTAGTGCCGCCTTTTAAATAAAAGTCAAATGCTGTCCTGCCTGTAAAATTATAAATATTTCTAACCCACTTTACAGAATTTTAAAATGCTTATAAATGCATTATCTTCCAGTAAATAAACATTATGGTACTGAACCTCATTTAAAAAAAAGTCATCACACTGGCCCATGGAAATATCTAGGACTATATCTCCTAACATTAGAAAAATTAAACCAAATAAGGGGAAAAAAGCAAAGAAGAAAAAAGAAATTTTACAAAATGGCAACTACTATGACCTAAAAGAGTGTACTGAGATGTCTTCATTCAATTCAGTAACTAAACATTTCTGGAATGAACATTTGTAGATAACTAGGTAAGGAGAGTGATTCTCTTAGCACTCAGGTCAAAATCACAAGGTATGGAGAAATAATTTCCACATTCTATAAGGAAAGACAGACTTTGAAACGGAGTGACTGTTTAAAAACCACATACCAAGATTTAGCCAGAATATTGAAGATTGGCAGATCTTGATGGAGTGAAATCTTCAGAGGCAACAAATTAAAAATCATGATCCTATGGATGCCACTTATTTTTACCAATGTGAAAAAAGGAAAGATGATTGCAAAGTACAGTATACACTGAACAGGTGAAATATGGGACATTATGAACAATTTAAATAACCAAAATGTTCCCTATGGAAGCATAAAAACATGATTTTCAAATTGATTCAACTTGTAGTGTGTCTGTTAGATGTAAGTAGTAGTTTTAGTTCTGTGTCCTGCTGAGTTGCTCTTTACATAAAATATTTCCTTCATCTTAAAAAAAAGGCTTCTGCATGGCACTGAGTCTTTCAGTGTAGGAGAGGAGGAAACTTTGTAGAGTGGACGGACAAACTTGTTTCCAAGGTCCCCACCCAGGTGATTCATTCCATCAAACTCACAGTATCTCCAAATCTACATGTCGAACTTCAGGATTTCGTTTCTGGAAAGAAAAATCACCACCACATTATTTGTAGCAAAATAAAATCTTGTTTCTTTTTATTCCTTTTGGTCATTAGAGCCAATGAAAACATTTGCAAACTATTTCACTATAGCATACTAATGAGAGAAATAGTTGCATAAGAAAAAAAGTAAGATCAATAGGTAAATAGACATACTATAAACAGTACAATAAGTAGTATCACATTCCTAAGTTTGTTCATGTGTTTGTTAATACAAAAGTGCATTAAGGATCTAGTACATGCCAAGCATTGCGAAGCACTGGAAATACACATTTTTGTGTGGTGAAAACAAAATCACTGCAAAACAATAATAATCAAAAAGAGTAAATTGACAACCACTCATTTTATATACTTTAGCAACAATCCATATATTCTTGGGCCGGGCCCTGTGCTAGAAAACAGAGCTATGATTATTAAATAAGACTCTGTTCCTGACCCTGAGTGACTCAGTTTAGCTAGGGAGACCAGCATAGCAGTAATCATCTACAAGTTAAAGTATTAGAGCTAATAATAAAAAGTTAACATTTATTGCTTACTCACTCATGTATCAAGTACTGTGTTACATGAGCACATGTATGTGTGTTTTAAAAGCCTCATAACCTAATTACTATTTCCATCTTATACATACATCAGGGAAAACTGAAGTACGAAGAAATTAACTAACCTGTCTGAAGTCACACTGCTAGTAAGTGATGGAGCCAGGATTGATTCCAGGCCTGACTCCAGGCCTGATTCCAGATCCCAAGCTCCTATTACACTGTACTAAATAATAACACTGGGAGCAAAAATGAGACAGCCATTTTGCTCATGAGATCTAGAAAATTTCACTGAGGATATAATATCTAAGGTAGGTCTGCATATGATGAGCCTTCCAGGTAGATAATGAAGAGTGTCTAGACAGAAAACACAACATCAGCAAAGTCAGACAGCCTGCAAAGTGTGCACTGGCACTATGGTATAGCTAGCACAGAAGCTGCAAAAAGGGTAGGGTTGGTAATGAGGCTGGAAAGACAGGCAGAAATCAGGTTGTTAAAAATCTTATATGCTAGCTTAAGGAACTTCAATTCAATAACAACCAATACTGTCTACTATTACATGCCTACTCTGTGCCAGGCATTGAAGTGTATATGACAATGAGCTGGGAACAAACAGTATTTGCCTTCAGTGGACTTACGTTTGGTAGTGAGGTGATATAGGTAAATTAAGTAGGCAATTACAACACTCGGCTACCACAGAGCAAAGTAAAGATTTTGGGTTTCTTTTTCCTGTGAGTGCACAAAGGAAGGGCACCTGGCCGGGCGCGGTGGCTCACGCCTGTAATCCCAGCACTCTGGGAGGCCGAGGCGGGCGGATCACAAGGTCAAGAGATCAAGACCATCCTGGCCAACATGATGAAACCCCATCTCTATTAAAAAGTACAAAAATTAGCTGGGCATAGTGGCGCATGCCTGTAATCCTAGCTACTCGGGAGGCTGAGGCAGGAGAATCGCTTGAACCCGGGAGGCAGAGGTTGCAGTGAGCCGGGATTGTGCCACTGCACTCCAGCCTGGCGACAGAGCGGGACTCCATCTCAAAAAAATAAAAAAATAAAAAATAAAATAAAATAAAGGAAGGGCACCTAAATCAACTTAAGGGGAATTACAAATATAATAAAATGTAACATATTAATACTGTGAGAAGGGAGGACAGAAAGTAGTGTATAAAAGAACTAAATCTACACCTATCGTAGAGGAAATACTGTTAAATCAAGAGAAGTAGTATAAGACTTTTATGCAGAAATATGGCAATAAATAAAGACATACTAAAAGTATTAAAAATGGTTATCTCTTAAAATATAAGTACTGAGGCAGGTGAGGCAGTGATAGTTATTTCTGTTATAATCTTTTCAGTTCTATTTGACTTTATAAACTTTGTGCATTATTGATAAAAATTGCAAAAATAAAAAGGGGAGAAAAGTTCCTGTAAATGATTCAGTTAGGATTCCTAGCTTAAAAATATCCTAGGACCATGTGCATATTACTTGTATTAAAGGCATCCAGTTATAAAAACAAAATCTGGCAGAATATTGGAGTTTTGCTCCAGCAAGAACACTCTACTGAGTGCACACAGGGATTTTTCTTATAACTAGTGTCGCTCAGGTGTGCCTGGGGGTACTTTCCTCTTAGATCCTAATGTGGGAATGACCAGGGACCTTTTAACAAGGAGGGCACACTTTTGTTCCCAACTTTTTCCTTATTTAAAACTATTCCCTGTCTCTAGAACTCCTTAAACTCAATATAGAATTAAAAAAAAATTCTCCAAACAGAAATGAAACTAAATTGTATCTTCCTACTCCAATCAACCCTTACCTATCCTAATATGACTTGAAAAATTTACCTGTTCATTAAGTTTGACATTATTCTGTCTAAAAAGCATGATATAAATAAATGTGTACTAATAAAAGCTTTATCTTAAAAAAAAGCCTAAAAATTTGCTCTGCTTTTTAAAATCAAGTTTTCAGAGTAAACTAATCAAATTTGTAAAAGTATATGTGCACAATACAAAGCACACAATATATGCTGAATGAATAAATATGATTAATATCCTTAAAATTCAATGTTTACTGCTTAACAAGATATCATGTGTATAGTAGAAACTAATATTTATTGAACAGAACTGAAAATCAATAATTGGTATCCAATTTAAAATTTTCACCCACTTATTCAACAAATACTTTAAAATCTATATTCCTTGCATTGCTCAATACCGATTAGGCTATTTTACACACCATGAGGATTTTATTCCAATACTTGCAGAGAGTTAAAGCCCAAATTACATAATTTATTTTACAATGCTGCAGATTCATTAAAAACAATGCTTTAAGAGAAACTGGAGAAACAAAGGCAAAGTAAAGAACAGAGCATTTAATTCAGCCATTATTTATAAGGAATTTATGAATGCTACAGCAGCCTCCCAATGAACTAATTTCCATTAATCATCATAAACAAAAAACTTAATGGAGGGATAGGAGAAAGGTTTATCTATACTCTGAAATACAGAGATAAGACAAAAAATGTTTAACAGGTCAAAGAACTTCAAAATAATAACAAGATATATTTTATATTAATTTTGTAGTTCCTATCTTGTAATATGGGAATCTATGAATTAGTCTCTATTATTTTTAACACCTTTACAGATAACTATACAAAAGTTCTAGAATTTTTTTTTTTTTTTTTGAGATGGAGTCTTGCTCTGTCACCCAGGCTGAAGTGCAGTGGCACAATCTCGGCTCACTGCAACCTCCACCTCCCAGGTTCAAGCAATTCTCCTGTCTCAGACTCCTAAGTAGCTGGGACTAGAAGGGCCCGCCACCATACCAAGCTAATTTTTCTATTTTTAGTAGAGATGGGGTTTCACCATATTGGTCAGGCTGGTCTTGAACTCCTGACCTCAGGTGATCCACCCGCCTTGGCCTCCCAAAGTGCTGGGATGACAGGCGTGAGCCACTGCGCCCAGCCACAAGTTCTGGAATTTTAAGCCAAAAATATAATCTATTTCAACACTCAATGGCATTACTCAACAGAGATGACTCCACTGGTACAGAATTATATAAATGAGTGTGACCTCCCAAAATAATCCAATAATAATTACAATTTAAACTGAGATACTAAAAATGAAGGAATATGCCAGTGAACAAAGTTTTAGTTTTCAAAAGGAAATCACCTTATTTTCATGACTAAGAAAAACAATTACATTCATGCATTCCCTTTTGGTTTGGCACCTCAACTATGAACATGTCCTTTGACTTAAGATTAATTATGCTTTATTATCTTTATTTTATTTTATTTATTTATTTTTTTTTTTTTTGAGACGGAGTCTCGGTTTGTCACCCAGGCTGGAGTGCAGTGGCTCGAACTCGGCTCACTGCAAGCTCTGCCTCCTGGGTTCATGCCATTCTCCTGCCTCAGCCTCCGGAGTAGCTGAGACTACAGGTGCCTGCCACCACGCCCGGCTAATATTTTGTATTTTTAGTAGAGACGGGGTTTCGTCATTTTAGCCAGGATGGTCTCGATCTCCTGACCTCGTGATCCACCCGCCTCGGCCTCCCAAAGTGCTGGGATTACAGGCATGAGCAACCGCACGCGCCCGGCCATGCTTTATTATCTTAGCCAAAGACGTTTCCACCTGAATGTATGGATTATACTTACCTTCCTGGTTTGAAAGACTTACATAATTCAAAAACATTATTAATGATTTAATAGCCTCTAGTTAAAGTACAAAGTTAGCTAAACAAAAACAATAAGGTCTGATTGTTGTAAGAGTAAATGTAGGTGACAAGGACCAATTTGGTGATTATTCTTAAATCTGGCTTCTGATTTCTTGTATCTACTAAAATGTAAAGCAAATATTTAGTCCATTATTTTCCTTGCCAGCAAAATAAAAACAAGTAGAATAAAGAGCAAAGTTTATTCAATCTTGTGCTACCTTGCACAAAAATAACCATTGTCTCACATTTTATACAGATTAGTTGTTTGCAAAGTGCGGTTCAAGGACTGCTGGGGTCCTGAGACCTTTTTAGGGGGACTCTAAGGTCACAACTATTTTCACAGTAACTGTAAGACATTCTTTGCTTTTTTTACTATGCTGACATTTCCTGATGGCATAAAAACAATGGTGGGTAAAACTGCTTGCACCTTTGCACAATTCAACACAAATGGCATCAAACAATACCAGTAGTCATTGTCTCTACTGTCCCACACTTGACATTAAAAAAAAAGCCAGTTTCATTTAAAAAAGTCTTTCATGAAATAGCAAATATATCCATTTTATTAAACCTAAACCCTTGAGTTCACTTTTAAAAATACTGTGACAAAATGGAAAGTACGTAAAAGTACTTCTTTGATTGCTTAAGTTGTGAGCTGAATAAACTGCTTTTTAATCTAGAGTACATTTTTATTTGAAAGATTAACAAACTCGGTTTATTCAAATTTGGGTATTTGGCAGGCATCTCCTAAAAAATGAACAAAATGAGTCTTATTTCAAGGAAAACAACAGTATTTGTTGCTAATGATAAAATGCAAGCTTTTAAGTGGAAATTTAAGTTGAAAAACATATCCACCCCATCAGCCTGAGAGTGTACCCATATTTAGAAATGTATCAACATCTGAAAGATCTAAGTACTTCTGTGAACCAGTATTTTCCAAAATACTAATTCATAATGTTATAGAATCATGCATGGGTAAAAGATTCATTCAGAGTATAAAAATAGACCAACAGATTTTAATATAACAGTGTATAGTAGAGAATTAATCTTACCCAAAGGGAGGTTTGGCTTTTGTTCTCCATAACCGGGAGGGAATTTCTAGGCCCTTGACATGTCCTGCCTAAGAGTGTCTTTGTTTATCTGGGGGCATTAACTTTAGAATGTGATATATGATGGGGGCCTTTGGCCACACAGTATCTGCTCTACCTCTAGAAGGGCTAGAGACAAAAGGTCAGCTACTTATGCAGTCAACTATGGAGCCTCAATAAAATCTCTGGTCATCAAGTCTCAGATGAGCTTCCCGGTTGGCAACACGTCATGCTACTGTCACACTTCATTGCCAGGAGAGTAATACTATGCATTACAGAGAAAAGACAACTGAAACTTCATGTTTGGAACTTTCCTGGACCCTGCCCTATGCACTTCTTCTGCCCTTGGCTGATTTCAAGCAGTATCCTTTCCCTGTAATAAACCAAACCATGATGGGTATAACATGATTCGGTGAGTTCTAAGAGTCCTAGTGAGTTATTAAATCTGAAGGTGCTCTAGGGAACCTCCTGAACTCACAGTTGGTATTAGAAGGAAGGACAGTCTTGTAGACTGTGCCCCCTACCTTCACAAGTAGCATATGAGAAGTTCATTCATTGATTTGGTTTCTACCAGCTGTTATAACACCAAAAGAGAGTATCACAATTATCTCAAAAGGCTATAGGAACAGTTCTCCCTTTCCTTCATGTTCTTCGGCCAAACAATCAAATCACTACAACTGAAGGCAGAAGCAGATATGGGAATGTAGCTGTCTTCTACTAAGCCAGGCATAAGAGACTTTTGCAAAAATGTGAAATATCACTCTTCTAACTACGTTTTTTCATTTTGGAAAATATAACTATTTATATAAAAATGTGGGCTTGGCATGGTGGCTCACGCTTGTAATCCCAGCACTTTGGGAGGCTGAGGTGGGCACATCACAAGGTCAGGAGTTCAAGACCAGCCTGGCCAACATAGTGAAACCCTGTCTCTACTAAAAGTACAAAACAAAACAAAAATTAGCCAGGCGTGGTGGTGGGTGCCTGTTATCCCAGCTACTTGGGAGGCTGAGGCAGGAGAATCCCTTGAACCTGGAAGGCGGAGGCTGCGGTGAGCTGAGATCGTGCCACTGCACTCCAGCACGGGTGACAGTGCGAGACTCCGTCTCAGTTAAAAAAAAAAAAAAATGTGACTGGGTGGGGTGGCTCACTCCTGTAATCCCAGCACTTCACAGCACTTTGGGAGGCCAAGGCAGGCAGATCACTTGAGGTCAGGAGTTCGAGACCAGCCTGGCCAACATGGTGAAACCTCATCTCTGCTAAAAATACAAAAATTAGCTGGGCATGGTGGCAGGCACCTGTAGTCCCAGCTACTCAGGAGGCAGAGGCAGGAGAACTGCTTGAACCCAGGAGACGGAGGTTACAGTGAGCCCAGATCGTGCCACTGCACTCCAGCCTAGGCAACAGAGTGAGATTCTTAGTTAAAAAAAAAAAAAAAGTTATTTATATTAAATAGGTGTATGTTTTTAAAAGTAAATGATAAATATTTTAAAATTTATCTACTTTCATGCATGATTTGGTAAATATCAATAACTATAACTCAAATAAATAAAATCTCTTTGAGGTCTGCAATAATTTTTAAGAATGAAAGCGTCTTAAGACCAAAATATCATCTAGAAAATTCAAAAATTATGTCAGATAAAGCTCATGAACTATAATATTAACAAAATCTTATTTGAAGTACTTGTATTAATCTAATCGGATATCCAGATTCTCAAAGGAAAACTTGAAAAGTAGAGATGGAAGTTTTTTTCTTCAATTTTTTACAAAATTAAAGAATGGTCAATATCAACTGCAGAAAAAGCACTGCCTTCAACAAATTATATACATTAAAGATCATTTACAAGTTTTTATTCATTGCAAACAGAATTCAAATGTCAATAAATGGCAATTTGAGAACACTGAGACATTTTAAAAGACAACCTGATCAGGATCAGGTAATATTTCAGTAACATAATCAATAAATTACAATAACATCCAACTGAATAGAAACAAACAAAAACAGAAAATAATTTCAAATGGGCTAAAAGCAAGATATACATTCTATTTTTTCTAACTTTTGACCACAGTCTAAAGTTTCCTTTTCATCTTTCTCTAGGAACTTTCAAAATGCTTATTTATTAACAAACAAAAAAACCCCCTTTGACTATTTTAGAAACTAAGCAGGCTGCATAAAATAGTGTTTAAAAGTAAAGAATCTGGTTCAAATCACAATTTCCCTATTTCCTTGGGTAAATTATTCAACTTATCTAACCCAGTCATTTTCTTGCTTATAAATACCTACACACTGTGGAGTTATGAGTGGGTTAAAGCATGCATGTGATGGATGCACTTAGTGTCTGCTGTAGAGTAAGTACTCAAAAAAATAGCTGCCATTATCATTATGTTATTTTTATGAATACATCTTACTTTCAGTTCCTTCTCAAGTCTATCTACTTCAGCTCCTAAAGTATCAATAATATTTTCTCCATGTTTAAGCATAAAGGTCTCTAGTTCTTCAGGAGTTTTCACTTCTTGAATTTCCTATAAAGAAAATGAAAACAGGAAAATAAATTTTTAAAAAACCATAGTGGTACACTTATGACTCCTTAAAAAAAAACAAACCTATAACAAACGCCATTAAGTTTAATGAACATTTTTAAAACTTTAAGCCACAGGCAATGGATTACCTATTTCCAAAACAATTCGGATCAAGAAAACTGAGTATAATACTACACAGAGGTAGCACTACAAAATTACTGGGGAAATAATATAGTCAATAAATAGTGTTAGAATATTTTCCCTTAAGAAAAAAAAATTGAATCCCTATGTCAGACCATTAAAATAATTCAAAGTGGATGAAAGACATAAGGGTAAAAAACAAACCACAAAACTACTAGATGAGAAGAGAATATTTTTATGATAATGGGATATGGAAGGATTTTTCATGCAAAAGAATAAAAAGCACAGAGGAAAAGATTACAAATCTCACATTAAAATTAAAAATCATATTAAATATTTTGTATAACAACAAAAAGAAAAGGAAGTTATAAACTAGAAAAAAATAATTGCATATATACAAGTAAGAATTAGCATCCAGGATATTAAAAATAAAGACCTTTCCAGGAGTTCAAGACCAGCCTGGCCAAGATGGTGAAACCCCATCTCTACTAAAAATAGAAAAATTAACCGGGTGTGGTCACAGGCACCTGTAATCCTAGCTACTTGGGAGGCTGAGGTAGATAATTGCTTGAACCTGGGGGGCGGAGGTTGCAGTGAGCCAAGATCGCGCCACTGCACTCCAGCCTGGGTGACAGAGCGAGACTCTGTCTCAAAAAATAATAATACAATGCAATAAAATAAAGACCTTTCAAATCTATAAGTGTAATGCAAATGAACTTAAAACATGAAAAATCAGGGAGCAATGTAGAGGAAATCCCACTGGTCAATGAACTTCAATGTTTATTAACCTCAATGCTCCAAGAAATAAAATTAGAACAAGATACTATTTCACACCTATCAAACTGGCAAAAATTTAATAACTCTATTAATACAATCATGTAAGAATAGGAAGCAAGAACCTTGATATACAATGATGGAAGTTAAATTGACACACTTTGGAAAATAACTTGGTAAGACCTAGGCAAGCTGAAGGTAAGTACACCCAATGGCCCACCTATTTAAAATCTAGCTATCTATATATACACCATACTAAAGAAATTTTCATATATGTGAACAAGGAAACGTGTGAGAATGCAATCATGGCATTGTTTCTTTCTTTTTTTTTTTTTTTTGAGACGGAGTCTCGCTCTGTCGCCCAGGCTGGAGTGCAGTGGCACGATCTAGGCTCACTGCAACCTCCAACTCCCAGGTTCAAGCGATTCTACTGCCTCAGCCTGCCGAGTAGCTGGGACTACAGGCACGCACCACCACACCCAGCTAATTTTTGTATTTTTAGTAGATACGGGTTTTCACCATGTGGGCCAGGATGGGATCGATCTCTTGACCTCGTGATCCGCCCACCTCGGCCTCCCAAAGTGCTGGGATTACAGACGTGAGCCACCGCGCCCGGCCATGGCATTGTTTCTAACAGTAATATAAATGTCCATCAACTGGAGACAAAATAAATAAATTACAGCATATTCATAGGATGAAATGCTCTATAACAATGAAGGTAAACTGACTAGAGATATATAAATTAACACGGAAGAATCTAAAAAATATGTTGTTATGCCAATTGTAGAGACGCATACAGTAGGATACCATTTATACCAATTTTTAAACATTCAAAATGTTACATATTACACTAAAAAATGCTGAAAAGTATAAAAATCTGAATGGAAAAGACAGGTACCAAATTCAGCATAATGTTTAATTCTAGGGATGGAAGAAGAAGAATGAGATATAGAAAGAGAAAATGGGGGCTTGAATTGTTTTTGTAATTATTTCTTTTTTTAAGACCTTAAGCAAATACACTATAGCAAAATGTTAAGATTTGACAGGGGCAAGTGGTAACATCTGTGCTGTTCATTATATTCTGTTTTATAAATTCTCTTTTAAACTATTCTTAATAAAAAAATGGATTCTGGAGTCAGGCAGATCTCGATTCATATATGACTCCATCTCTGTGGCACTACAACTTAAGGCAAATTACTTAATCTCTGTCTTTCAATTTCTATATATGTTAAAATAAAAATGTTATTTCATTGTTGAAATAACAGGGTTGTTGAGGGTAAATTAGATAAAAAAAGATTAAATGCACATAGCAAGCATGAAATAGTAAGTTTGTTCTTTTGCTGTCTCCTCTGAACCCCTCCATAGTAAATATAAAGGTCTCTGTTAAATTTTGGAACCTAAGAAGTTGAGAGCTAAAGTGCCTTTAAGATCTATAAAAAAAAATTTCATTTTGTTTACCTTAAAAGCATTTTTCTAACCCTCAGTTATGTAAGAAAACAACAAATAAACTTACTTGTAACATTTGGTCAAAATCTTGTTTTTCCAAATATGATCTTGTAACAACTCGCCCATCAAAATCTACTTCTGCCTTAAATCTTACTTTACCTAATCCCAGATCTGTGGCTTTAACATCATGAATTGCCCTGCAATCAATAACAATGCATACAAATTTATTTATACATACATACACATATATATACTTTAATAGCACAAAGGCTTGAATTATTGTTTTTTTCCCCACTAGTTACGAGAATGGACTAAGATGGCTTCAGAGTATTCACCATTAAGTACCACCTATCATTTTCCAAGGCCTGTCCGTTTAGCTTTTTTTTTGGCATGATATCATACAAAGGTGCAAACTTAACAAATATTATTTTATGGTAATTTATGAATTATAAAGCTCATGTATTAAAAGTTCATTAACTCTGCTGGGCGCAGTGGCTCATGCCTGTAATCCCAACACTTTCGGAGGCCGAGCAGGGAGGATCACCTGAGGTCAGGAGTTTGAGACCAGCCTGGCCAATATGGTGAAACCCTGTCTCTACTAAAACTACAAAAATTAGCCAGGCATGGTGGTGCATGCCTGTAATCCCAGCTACTCAGGAGGCTGAGACAGGAGAATTGCTTGAACCTGGGAGGCAGAGGTTGCAGTGAACCCAGATTGTGCCACTGCACTCCAGCCTGGGCAACAGAGTAAGACTCTGTCTCAAAAAAAAAAAAAAAAAAAAAAAAAAAAAAAATATATATATATATATATATATATATATATATATATATATTCATTAACTCTAAATCAATTTTCTAAAATGTCATGTTATCTCATAAGCCTTTGTCTCCATATATCTACTTATCAATTTCCTAAATGCCATATAAAAATTTGTTTTAATTTATAATGGTGTTGTAGAGTATATTAACCAATTGTATGTTCACTAGCTTCTTTAAAAGTCTTCATACAATGCTGTGAAGTTCTCTATTAGAATGAGGTTAATAATAACTGCCACATGGGACTTGATGTGAGGAATAATGAGCTAATACATATATAAAATGTTTAATACAGTAAGAACTATAAGGCAGGCATTTAATGGATGGCTTTCATAAGTGGATAGGGTGACATCTTTATTTTATACATGATAAAACCATCCTAGAGTGGCATAAGTGACTTGCTCAAGGTAATTTAGCTAGTAAACAGCAGATTAGGACTCCCCAGCCCAGCTCTTCAGAAATGCAAGCCCAGTGGTATTTGCATCATACCCTTTTGCCTCCCAGACAGGAAAGCAGATACTCAAGCATAACTACTTTTCACCCCTCCTGCTCTAACCCTCAGTAAACAATCTTCCCTAGAAACTGCTGAGAAATTCTCTTCTTTCTACAGTGATCACTGTAAGATCTTTTCTGTACAGCACATATAAGAAATAACAAAACACTCTGAATTCTGAGGACATGGAGATTTACTAGAAAAACAAGCCTACGTAAGACTCCAAGTATTCTTACAACATTAGACCCTAATTTCTGAGGGATCCTGAGCAGGTTACTAAACACTGAGTCCAAAATTTTTTATCCATATAAGGAAGCTATATTTTAATCAACCATCAAGGATGAAATAAGAATTAATGTTTTAATATTTATAGTTACATGTGCTCAAGTTAAAACAAAACTTTTTCAGATTGGCAAAAGGCTATATCATTTATTCTTTTTTTTTTCTCTCCTGGTAACTCACAGAACATATTTATTCATTTTCAAAAATCATTTCTACTTTAGTCTTCACAGAGTATAAACACATTTCATTATTTGGCTGGTATGTGAGTAGCAACTAATAAATATATTTAGATATACTTTTTCCTTATGTTCTTACATATAACTAACTACAGACAGAAAACTGTTTGGAGGGCTCCCATATGATCAATCCCTGCCACCTATACGCAAGCCCTTGTGTGATCTCCTCTCACTGAATGTGGGCTATAACTACCAAATATGGCAAAGTGATGAGATGTCATTTCCAAGACCAGGTGACTAACCTGTGACTTTTGTCTTGTTCACACTCGCTCTCTATTGCCTTATCAATTTGCACGCTTTGATTAAGCAAGCTGCCATGTTGAAGAGGCCCATTTGGCAAGGAGCTAAATCTTGCGAACAATCATGTGAGTAAGGTTAGAAGCAGCCCCTTCCCCAGGAGATGACTATAATCCCAGTCAACACCTTGATTACAGTCTATGAGAAACCCTGAAGTCGAAGACCCAGATAAGCTGTGCCCTGATTCCTGACTCACAGAAACTGTAAGATGGTAATATGTTGTTTAAACCACTAAGTTTTGGGCCAATTTGTCACACAGCAGTAGGTAACTAATATACTGTTTAAAAAAATTGTATGAATTTTCTGGATTACTAACGTATTTTTTCCAATAATTGAATCCACAGATATTCACTCTTCCACAAAATTTCGAATTTGCCAGTCTTTCAGTTTATAGCTCTTTTTTAGACATTACTTATTAAACAATATATACAAAATTATAAACATGTATGTAGCAACAACAGAGCACCAAAATATATGATGCCAAAACCAAGAAGAAATGAAGGGAGGAAGAGCTAATACAACAACAATAACTAGAGACTTCGATACTTTCAGTAACGGATACAGAGGCCGGGCACGGTGCTCACACCTAGCACTTTGGGAGACCGAGGCGGGTGGATCACCTGAGGTCAGGAGTTTGAGACCAGCCTGGCCAACATGGCCAGTGATGAAACCTCGTCTCTCAGGAGTTTGAGACCAGCCTGGCCAACATGGCCAGTGGTGAAACCTCGTCTCTACTAAAAATACAAAAATTAGCTGGTCATGGTGGTGAGCACCTGTAATCCCAGCTACTTGGGAGGGTAAGGCAGGAGAATCACTTGAATCTGGGAGGCGGAGGTTCCAGTGAGCCAAGATCGTGCCACTGCACTCCAGCCTGGGCAACAAGAACAAAACTCCATCTAAAAAAAAAAAAAAAAAAAGGATAGAACAATAGAGCAAGAAGATAATTAGGGAAATTGAAGTCACTATAAACCAATTAAACCTAACAAACATCTACAGAACACTCTACAACAACAGCAGAATATACATTCTTCTCAAGTGCACATGAATATTATCCAAGACTATATGTAAGGCCATAAAACAAACCTTGGTAAATTTAAAAGGACAGAACTAATATAAAACATATTCTTTGACCACAATAGAACAAAATAATAAATCAATAATGGAAAGAAATCTGTGCAACTCACAAATACGTAAAAATTAAGTGACATACTCCCCTAAATAACTGAAAAGAATAAAAAAAGAAATTAGAAAATACTATTAGATAATGAAAATGGCACAATATATGGAAATGTGTGGAATGCAGAGAAAGCAATACTTAAAGGAAAATTTGTAGCTGTAATTGTCTATTTTAAAAAAGAAGAAACATCAAATTAAAAGCTTAACCTTAAGACAGTGGAAAAAGAGCAAACTAAACTGAAAGCACGCAGAAGGAAAAAAATAATAAAGATTAAAGGAGAAAGTCATGAAAAAGAAAATAGAAAAACAACAGAGAAAGTCAATTAAACCAAAAGCTGGTTCTTTAGAAAGATCAAGAAAATGAACAAACCTTTAGCTACACTGACCAAGAAAAGGAGAGATTCAAATTACAGAAATGAAAGATGAGACATTTGTACCAACACTAAAGAAATAAAATGGATTACAAAGGAATATTATAAATAGCTGTATACCAACAAATTAGGTAAATTAGAAGTAAAAGACAAATTCCTAGAATACAAGCTACTTAAACTAAGTCAAGAAGAAACAGACAATCTGAACAGATCCATAACAAGAGATATAATTACTAATCAAAAAACTACCCACACAGCAAAGCTCATATCCAGATACTTGAATTCTACCATTTAAAGAAGCTAACACCAATTATTCACAAACTCTTCCAAAAAAATAGGAGAGAACATTTCCCAACTCATTCTCTGAAGCCAGTATTATCTTAATACCAAAACCAGACAAAAACATCACAAAGAAAGGATATTAATTTGGATTATCTCACATTATGTTAATAACTCTAATACTGACTTTCATAATGCTCAACTTCTAATCTTTTTTTTTTTTTTTTTGAGACAGGGTTTTGCTATGCTGCCCAGAATATAGTACAGTGAGTGGCTATTCACAGACATGATCATTGCACACTAGCCTCAAACTCGTGGCCTCAAGTGATCCTCCTGCCTCAGCTTCCCAAGTAGCTGGAACTATAGGCATGTGCCACTGTGCCCATCTCTCATTTTCTAATCTTGTTCCAATAAGATAGTTACTTTTCAAGATTAAACATATAGGGCATAGAATATAAATCTAGTAATCATTAATATATTTTACTAATTCAGATATACGGGTCATTTTAAAAAGATTTAACTTAAAGATTTCAAGTACAATACACAAAAAAATCTTATTTTAAAGTTTGAAAAAATATAGAGCGAGTTAGTAGAAAACTGGGTTTTTAAAGGTTTGTTCTTTTATTTCATTATAAAACCACAATGCTGCTAGAATTTCACTGAAAAGCACTATTAGAATTCTGTATCTCTTCTGCTGATTATCTCCTAAGTCTCCAGTTCTTTAGTTTTACATAATTTAAAAGATAAAGATTATAAGAAAAATACTTAAAATAAGCTAAAACAAAGTCTATTTTCAAAGTAAATATAAATTATATTTAATTTGGTAATCATTGCCCAATGAACAAAAATCTTTTTAAATTTAATATATTCAATTTGTAATTGCAATGCGAATATAAGGCAACTCTACAGGTTCCATATTAAGTATTTCCACTAAGAAGACAACTACTTTGCAAACTTCCATTCTCATTATATCAACTTGACTCTTCCTTACTCTAAAAATTAGAAGTATAGAAAATTTAAAAGGAAACTTAGAAGGAGTTTCCTAAGTGTATTCTTTCTTACTTCCAGGATTATAATTCTGAAAAGTTACAGACTAAAACGTTCTGAAGACGAGGAATCCAAAACTTCCTCTGGAAGTATTTACAAACCAGGCATTTCTGTTTTTTAATATGTTTTTGTAAGCCTTAACAGGATTACTGGAATAAGGCTGACCTTACTGATGGGTCATTCTCCAGGAGTTCAGTGAGCCGTTGTACTTGTTCTGGCTGGATGGACCGCCCTAAGAGTGCTTCTGTGTTAGTGTAGATGAGGAATGCTGAGACCATGCCTAATAAGGTGCCCACACCCAAAGAACCTAGGCTGTCATACAGTGGATTGCCTAAATGAAGCACATAAAAAAATCAGTAAATTAACAGTTTATATTATTTCAGTGAACTTTATAGAGAGCAAAGAACCAGAACGAGTAAATCAAGGCACTTGAAATTTATTCCTAATTTCTTTAATTACTTCCTTTAACAACTCCTAATAGTTTTAATATACCACAAAATGAGGATGCTACAACTTGCTTTCATAAGAGTACTATGTGACATAATTAAGATCTCTTACTTGTACCTGTCATTACATATGTGAAGTTTCTGAGCACATTTAGATTAGAGACACCAATACAAAAAAATGACATAATGAAGAGTCCATTTCTTTTAGATATATCCATAGCACTTTTCCTACACCAGATAGACAAAATAACAGTGGAATCAAAAGCTGAAAGAAACCTTTTTCCGTATCTTCTTCCTACTAATGTTCTGTAAGAGAATTAAGCCCTACAGAAAATAATATGGGTGACTCTCTTCTCATCCAACCAAGGATGATATATAGCTAGTATCATTCTAGATAAAAAGGAGAGAACTTAATTCATTACATGCCATAGGTGCCTCAAGGTGGTGCTTCTCAAAGTGTGGTTCCTGGACCAGCAGCCATCACTTGAAAACTTGGTAGAAAAGCAAATTCTCAGACCTCATTTCAGGCCCCTGAATAAAAAATTCTGGATGTGGGTTTCAGCATTCTGTGTTTCCCCAAGCCCTTCAGGTGATTCTGATTCTAATATTTGCCTTAGGTTGTCAGGGCTTCTCTCCCAGAACCAATGAGAAAGGCTGATTTATCATCTATGAATGTATAGGTAATATTTATATAATAGACACCAATAAATACGTTTTAAATCTTTATAATAAATTTTACACATGGCTTTTATGACTACAAGTCTTTTTATCCCAAAGATGAAATGTCATCAATATATTTAACTCTTCTTAATGCTTGATAAAACATATATTTTGCTAAGCTGTAACACTAAAAAGCAAACTTGTTAATCTATACTAAGTGTTAAAAATGATCCGCTTGTAAAACATTATCCATTAGAAGTTTTGTAATTATAGAGCTCAAAATCAAATACTGCTCTTTAGAAATCCAAATGTGAAGAGTTATTTTTATTTAAATATATACATTCATGTACTCTTAAAGAAATTACAGGAATATTAGCTGAAAGAAAATACCTTTTTTAAGAAAACTTTTATTTCTTGGCATGTTATTTAATTTAATTTGAATAAATTAGCTAATTAAGAAAAATTTAATTCATGTAAAACACATTACATATTTTTGTAAATTTGATTTGATTGGTTTCTATTATTATGTAAAAGAAAATAAATTATTCAAAGTTGACATCTGCATCAAGTCACACTTTTCTTAAGCCTAAAATTTTGCTAGTAATTTATGTTCAAAAACAGTCTAAAACTATATGGTCAACCAGAAAAACAATCAACATTTTTACAAATATTTTGGATCACAATAAACATCAGAGAATGCTAGTTTGGTATTAAAATGCACACTCAGAATGAGAAAGAAGTATTCATATTTCAGACTATTTGAAGAAACACTGCAGAACTGTGGAAGCTCGTCACCTAAAATTATTTTAAATATGTAAGGACAAATAGAGAAGTATGGAAGAAGTTCCTTTCCAAGAGAATTCCAACTTCATAAATTGAGTCTTTTCATGCTAAATGGTTGTTTTCGAAAATAAAAATAAAATAGAATTGTCTTTTCATTTACTTGTATTTTATTGGCCCTCAAAACACTTAATTAGCTACCAAAATAAGGACACAAACAACTTAGAATTAAAGAAATAGGAAGGCAACAGTAGTTATTATTGGCATTAAGTGTGGAAAAAGACAAATGAACAAGAGCCACAATATACGGTTAAGTCCTCATTCATGTTGTCAATAGGTTCTTAGAAACTGCGACTTTATAGGGAACAACATATAACAAAACCAATTTTACCATAAGCTAACTGATACAAACAAGAGTTAAGTTCCGGCCGGGCGTGGTGGCTCATGCCTGTAATCCCAGCACTTTGGGAGGCCAAGGTGGGAGGATCACCCCCGAGGTCGGGAGTTTGAGATCAGCCTGACCAATATGGAGAAACCCCGTCTCTAATGAAAATACAAAACTAGCCGGGCGTGGTGGCGCATGCCTGTAATCCCAGCTACTCGGGAGGCTGAGGCAGGAGAATTGCTTGAACCTGGGAGGTGGAGGTTGCAGTGAGCCGACATGGCACCATTGCATTCCAGCCTGGGCAACAAGAGCAAAACTCTGTCTCAAAAAAAAAAAAAAAGAGTTAAGTTCCTATGGCATATTTCTGGTCACAAAAACATCACTCAACTTCTAAGACCCAAAACATGTCTAATATTGAACACTGAAATAAATGTGGGCTACATATACATTTTTAAAAATTAATAAAAACTATGTAAAATAATTATTTACCCAATTTTTGGTGAATCAGTGAGTATCAGCAATAGTAGGGGTGGTGAGTTAAATCAAAGAATAAATGTTTGCAAAGTGAAAATTGTAAGGAACACCTATCACCACATAATTCAAAAATAAACAACCACAAATATGTAGGCTTGCTGAGCGCTTTCATACATCAGTTATTGTCCTGCATTTGTCTGATTATCATCTACTTGAGCCTATCCTAGCAGTTCAGGACACAGGAAGGAACCAGACCTGGCCAGGATGCCATCCCATGGCAGGGCACACTTACACACACCCCCACACTCACTCAGATTGGGACTATTTAGACACCCCAATTCACTGACCATGTACGGCATTGTGATGTGGGAGGAAGTTGGGGTGCCCAAAGAAAACCTATGTAGATAAAAGGAGAATGAGCAAACTCCACAGAGATGGTAGCTCCAGTTAGGAATTGATATTTTTCGCAACAATGTTATAACAAAATCAAGTTGAACAAAACAATGTTATTTGAGGACCTATGTATATTTATTTGGAACTTTAGAGTTTATTAAAACTCTCATATTTTCTTAATAAACCTAAGAGGTTACCAAGGTAAATATTATCCACACTTTTATAGGTAAATAAAAAGTTCAGAGTGATTGCACAATTTTTTAAGTCACAGCTAGAAAGACGTACAGCATTACAGAAATCCTTTACAAATAGCCTTCCTTATTTCTAATTTAGAGACATTTTTAATTCAAATAAACCTGAATACTTCTGCTGACCAAATGTCTTACATAAGTCAATGATTAGTAGGAATTAACATTTAACAATTTGTTGGTTTAATATTATTCAATGATATAAGAGAAAATTCCCACATATTAGAGAATTATTTAAGTAGGACAAATAAATCACCTGTAATTTAAGGAATATTTACCTGTTATAGAAGTAAGGCCCATGCAAGTGGCTGCTATTATAACTCCCAAGACTGCAGCAGTATCCTCCAATAATATCACATTTGTACTAGGATCACGACTTTCCATTACTAGTCATTGGGGAAGAGACAAGACAAGAAAATTTCTAAAATCTTAACTTGATACTATCAGGTAACATTTTAATAAGTATCCATTTAAAATCAAGATATAAGTTAAGATAAAAAAGTGTATGAGAGATTATGATTTTAAAAACCTTGCTCAATGCAAACATAATTTCTTGGCTTAAATGTCAACAATAACTGATACATAAAGTCAAATTACTTTCTCAAGTTATATAACCATATAAAGAAATACCTTAGTTCACTTAAGTCAAATCCAAATATAAAGTATCCATGTTCAAATTTCTATACTACATTTCTTTTTAATAAGGGCTGAAGGATATGTAAGAGCCACACAGGGATGATATTCAGATATATTTTGTACATTTCTATTAGGAACAAAGCAATAACAGTACTAAGTAATTTTAAGCAAATAAGGGAGGTGAAACAAACACTTGGTTTCTAAAATACATACCATACTTGTAAAATGACATTCCTTTAGCCCGAGCATTCCTACGAAGTTCATTTACAGCAACAAGAAGTGTTGCTAAAAGAAAAGCATTCATATCAGCAAGACAGAAACTTCATGCCTCCAAACTTTAAAGATGGCATCTCAAAAGATAAACAAATAAGCACAACATTTTAAAACTAGGGTTGGCAATAAGGACAAGTTCTATGTTAATTAGTTGTTATCAATTAATCATTATAATAAAATGAACCCCATAGTTCTAAACCATAATAATTAAATATAATTACTAATAACAACAGCTTTAGTTTATTGAAGAGCTGCTATTTGGCAGCACCACACTAACCACATTCATTTCTGAGCCTCCCAATCTTTTGAAGCAGGTTGTGTTATAACCATTTCATAGACTTTCAAAGATGAGGGGCCCCATAAACATATACAATTAGGATCTGTCAATAAAAAATGTTAATTTTAAAAATAGATGAAGGGAACATTATACATAGAAAGTTACAATGTTTCAGAAGTAAACATGAGCACAGCAGTGAATCAGGCAGTTTTATACTGATATTAGCAGTTCTCTGTCATCATACTGCTATAGCTGTGTATTTCAAAAACTTTGAAATATTTGTCTCACAAGAGCCAGTAAATAATATTCTTCTGGTGAATATTATTAAACTCTAATTTTAAAAGTTCAGTTTAATTATGTTTTTTATACTCCATTTCAAATGTTTTGAGTATTATGGTATGATACTCAAAAATGAAACATACTTTCCCTTTTAAATAAGTAAAATAATTATTTATCCAATTTTTAGTGAATCGGCAAGTAACAGCGATAGTAGTGGTGGTGGGTTCAATCAAGGAATAATGCTTGCAAAGTGAAAACTGTAAGGAACACCTCTTACCACCACATAGTTTAAAAATAACCACAAATATGGTGGGCTTGCTAAGCGCTTTCATGCCACATCAGTTACTGTCTTCCATCTATCTGATAGTCACCTACTTGAGCCTATCCTAGCAGCTCAGGACACAAAGAGAAATGAGGCCTTGCCAGGATGCCATCCCATGGCAGGGCGCAGTTACACACCCCCCCACAGCTATCCATTACAGAACAACCACAGTACATTATGCAAAGACTTTACTCCCTAAAAGTAGAGAAAGCTTAGATGCCTATTCCCACACTTGCTTTTCTTTAATCAACAGAACTTAGCAAACTATAATAATGGACAGCTGAATATATATTACTAAATTAAGAATAGAGACATACTTTGTGACAGTACATACCTCCTTCAGATACTAATGATCCTGCTAAAATACAATATGCCTAGAAAAGAAATATTAAAATAAAGCATAAATTAAGTACTTCCAATCACAATTGTTCATATATAAAGTCCGTAATGTCTAAAACAAAAACACGAATTCAAATTTAAGCCAGACAGTAAGGTTACTAATGGGAAACAACTCAAATGAGGAGGACAATGAGATATGAATACAATATTTGATATCAGGAGTGGTAGACACCAGATACAGTAAGATCCACACCCAAACTCAAGTAACTTCTGGATTTTGCTTCCATGCCTAATACCAAGAAAATCCTGATTCAGAAAGATAAGTAGTTACAAACAGTAACCAATGTTTGTTTTTTGGTAATACCACATTCCCTGCAATCCCAGGACACTCTTCAATTAAAGATGGTAAAAAAAGCTTTAGACAGGGGTGTATCAAAAAAAAAAAGTTAACCTAGCAACACATTTTTTTTATTTTAATGAAATTCAAACCAAACATCTACAGAATTTTCAACAATGTTTAGAACCCTAGGCTTTCCTAAAATAGAGGTCTGAAAACTTTGAACCTAGTCCAACACTATTTTAAAAAGGGCCATAGTCTAATGGAAACCCATTTAGTTACTGAAAGACACAAGAGCTTTTAGAAGTTTTAAAACTTATACACAACTGAAAATTTAACTAATTACCTAATCTCTAACTACAGAGAGTGCTTTGCCCCTATAAAGTGACACTATACAAATTAGAAGAACGCTAGAACAATGAAGTACCCATAAAGTGGCCAAATCTTTTCAGAATGGAGGAAACACATTTGTTTGTTTTAATTATATGAAATGTATTATGGTAAGAAACTAGTCAATCAAAACTATAGAAAACTAGAGAATAACAAATAAGCCTAGTTTAATGTGCTTGTTATTAAGTAGATTTGCATGATATAACAGGATATTAAAAAAGTAGACAGATTGATTCTGTCTAGTTCTGACTACAACTCAAAATAGAGAAGAAAATAGGTACAAGTATCCCCACATTCCAAAAGGAGGTGTTATACCATCTATTCAGGCCTTGCACAGAAGGTAGCCCAAACCTGGGGCCTCTACCCACTAGACTACATGCTAGCTCCACATCCTCTAGACCACATAAGAAGAGCTGAAATTGAGGAGGCCAAAAATGAAGATTTCTTTGGTGAAAGCTGTTGAGCTACTAAGATTGTTCAGTAGCCTTGATGTGTGTCCCCCGGGATATTGGATATCACAGCAAACTGTCTGATGCATACCTGAGTGATACATCCATACGCAAGCCTACTAACTGATATTGGCTGTATCAGCAGAGTAGATCATTGGGCTTGAGAGAAAAACCTGCACTCCCACAGAAAGTGTGTTAAAGATGTCTGTTTTAACACACAGGTCCCTAGGAGTCTTTTATAAGGAGATCAGCTGCTCAAAGGGCATTCTTTCCAAATGCAAGACAACTTCAGCACTGTCTGGAAACCACACCATGAGATGCAGAAGCTGAGAGGGTAGGCTATGTGATCAATTTGGGCAGCCATAGCCAGAGCAGCCAAGCAGGGTAATCTCCAAGAAGTGCCCATGAGAAAAAAAAAGACAGTTTTAAACATCTACAAAGGCCAGAGGAAACCAATGCAAAATAACACTGTAGTCAGTAAAGTGGTATGTTTTTATCCCTTATCCAAACCCTCAACACTTTCCAGGGAATAGGAGAGAGGGGCAGAAGCCCCAGAGGGGATCATACGGGTGATCATCCTGCTATCCTCCCATTCCCCCAGTGCAGGCTTCCTACCTGAAGGAAGCCCAGGATGCGGGAAAAGAGAAGCTTTAACTTCAAATATAGTTCCAACTTATGACTATTACATGGGTCTGAATATTTTAATTACTGAAATGAGACTATTCTTGGGACCAAAAGTGAACAGAGGTTTTCTTGTTCTTCAACAGTAACTGGAGAAATTAGTGGAACTGCCCAAGATTTTAACCAAGGAGCAGGGCTTGATAATTGGTACCTACAGAGATCTTGTTCAACATCATTGAATCTTATGGATTTAGAGGTTATGTCCAGTCACGTTCTAAAAATTAAACTATAGATATATAACCCTACAATACACAGTCAAGAAGGTGTATGTCATTCTCCTTTAACACCAATATGACAAAGGCCTTCTACTGTACACAATCACTATGTCATAAGACATCAAAACTGAGGAGAAAAAAAGAGGATTACCCATAGAAGGGATTCTATTGGTTGAGGATGAAGCAATCCCATGACTCCATGGTACCAAGATAGTCCTGCACCCATCATGAAAATACCAACACCACTAATTAGCGAAGAAATATAGCGCATATTTGAAAATCCGTACCTGAAAAATAGAAAAGAATATAGTTCGCAAGAAATACAAATGGTTTCTTTTAAAATATATGTGCTTAATAGGTCAATGAAAAAGACTAACAATATCAAGATGTTATAATTTTATATTTAAGTAAGATGTTAAGTGCCAAACTTGAAAAGCAATATGTAAAGTGGAAAAAACTGTAAGAATTTTGAAAATACATAAAGTGAATACCATTTAATTCAGGTATTTTCTGATCTCTTTTCCAAATAGCCTATTTTGATTTAGAGAGCTACTTTACTATTATGTACCACAGATCCTGGTAAAATTAATCTTTTAAAAAATGCATTCAGATGTTTAATGAACAGGATAACATTTAAATTTCCTTGTAATGCAGCTTCTAATTGAATATTTTCATCTTTGTGTGCAGCCAGTCTATTATTTATAATACCTATAATTTGATGCTGGATACAGAAGTTTACAACACATAATTTATTGCTGGTTCTGAATAGGTTAGCACACAGCAACTTTCAACTATTACTAGAACTAAGACCTTCAGTTTTCTGGGTGTTTTCATGGTGCTAAAATCTCAATTATTTTTCAAGCATGCTTCATCAATATGTACATTATTTTGTATTATTGTTAGTACTGACACAATACTTAGTATTAAAGGTGCTCAAAAATATATTAATAACATACTAGAGGAGGAAAAGAATCACTCATTAATAAAAATATTTCCTGGAAAATTTAGTCCCAAACCCAAACTCAGTGGCACTCTTCTGAGAAATACAAATTTAAACAAGAATTCTTTTTTTTTTTTTTTGAGACGGAGTTTTGCTCGTTGCTCAGGCTGGAGTGCAATGGCAGGATCTTGGCTCACTGCAACCTCCACCTCCCGAGTACAAATGATTCTCCTGCCTCAGCCTCCCAAGTAGCTAGGATTATAGGCATGCACCACCACACCCAGCTAATTTTGTATTTTTAGTAGAGACGGGGCTTCTCCACGTTGGTCAGGCTGGTCTCGAACTCTCAACCTCAGGTGATCTGCCTTCCTCGGCCTCCCAAAGTGCTGGGATTACAGGCGTGGGCCACCGCGCCCGACATTTTTTTTTTTTGAAACGGAGTTTCGCTCTTGTTGAACAGGCTGGAGTGCAATGGCGTGATCTTGGCTCACCACAACCTCCGCCTCCTGAGTTCAAGCGACTCTCCTGCCTCAGCTTCCCGAGTAGCTGGGATTACAGGCATGCGCCACCACACCCGGCTAATTTTTTTGTTTTGTCAGTAGAGATGGGGTTTCTCCATGTTGGTCAGGCTGGTCTCGAACTCCCGACCTTAGGTGATCCACCTGCCTCAGCCTCCCAAAGTGCTGGGATTACAGGCATGAGCCACTGCACCCGGCTTTCAACAAGAATTCTTAATCAAGCTGCTCTTGGAATTCCTTTTTGCAAAGAGTAATCCTGCCATGGGGAATTCCCAGTTTATAGATGTGACAATGTGACAATCAGCTCACTCAGAAAAATTTACTTTCTTCTAAAGTAACATGAATATATATTCACGTTAAAGTAAATTAAGATCTAAAATAAATGGTATTACTTCAGGTGATTTCAAGGAATTATTAACTTATTGAAAATTTTGATTATGTAGGTCTAAACTGCCCAATATGATGAGCCACTAGCCACATGTGGCAATTTAAATTTAAATAAATTAAAACTAAATATAGTTTAAAATCTAGTTCTTCAGTTGCACTGGCCACATTTCAAGTGCTCAATAGCTACATGTAGTTAGCTACTACCATACTGGACAGATATAAAATATTTCCATCATTGCAGAAAATTCTGTTGGGCAGCACTAAAGTAGACTATAAAAATACCTTGAGAAGAAATCTTCACAACCTAAAATTTAAAATTTGTACCTTCTGTTTTTAAATCTTTTGTACATAAAACTGGCCATGAAAAAAAAATTTTTCTTAAGATGGTAAAACACTGTAATGATGGGTAATTAACACACTAGAGAGCTATTCTCTATACTAGCTTGACAGTTACAAAACATTCAAATATGTTATTTATGGGAAAACAGTAGTATTGCTTTCAAGTAAAGAAAGGCATTTCTAAAGAATAGAGGTAGACTCCTTTACAGAAATAAAAGTGCACTTTTTTTGGTCTTAAGATTTATCAAATTATATTACTGAAGCTAGTCTTAAAATGATGTTTGTGGAATTCAAAAGTGTTAGATGGTTATGTTAATAGAAGCAATAGAAAAAAATCTCTGTATCAAATAATGGCTATGATTCAAAATAATACATTCTAAAAAGTATACTCATTTTACAAATAAATAATTCTGAAATATTAACAAAATACATTTCCAAATCACAACAGGAGGATTAAAATAAGTGTGTATCTAATAGAAGTTATCATCAAAATTTTAGATTGGGCAGCCTATGAGTCTAAATCTAGAATATATGTTTCCTTGGACCAAATAAAACAGACCTCTAAGATCAAAATATGTGCTTTATTATTATCAAATATGGAGAAAACAAGATCTCCATGCCGTGCTACAAAGCATAAAAATAACTTGAACTCCATTTTCAAATTATACCTTGAATTTACTTTGACACAGTGGGAAGTTCTGCATTTTAGATACTACAGTGGAAGAAATGACCAAATCTTGAACAAACTGCAGGTACATAAATTGCAGGAGATTTCTGATATTTAGTTATTTCAATGACTTATCGCCAAAACAAACAAAAACAAAATAAGGCAATGTCCTTACGGATGAGAAGGATCTGGTGTTTGAACAGACTTACTGATGCCCAATGCTAGTAAACCCTATGAAGAAGAAGAAAAAAAGGTGAATAATCATTAGCAAGATGGAGAGTATAATATGGTAAAGCCAATGTGGAGGGTGCAGGCTAACAATGACAAAGAAACACTCAACATATGCATGTCCAATGACCCAGCAATTCTGGTTTCTAGTACTTACCTTAAAAAATAAAGATGAACTCAAAGGGGTTCAAAACACCATTGTTTATAAAGATGAGAAACATGAAAGCAACCTAAAAAAAATCCATCAATTGGGAATGACAAAATAAATGATAAACCATAAATTACTTCTACAGTAGGTTAAAAAAATAGGGTTAGAGTAGAGCTTTCTATACTGACATGGATAAAGCTCCTAGACATACCATTAAGTGGAAGAAGAGAAAAAAGCAAGTTAGGAACAGTATGTACAGTACAGAACTTATGCTTTGTAGTTTTATAAACTACATATAATGTAAAGCACAGAAAAGGTTTAAAAGAACATGCAAGTAACTATGTTTGTATCTCTGAAGAGAGGCAGAATTAAGGTAGTCTAATATTTGACTTTTTACAGGAAGAATAACTTGTATAGCTTTACAAGTAAAAGATAATAACAACTTTAAACAATATATATATATTGTGTATGGGCACACACATTTCTATTAAAACTGCAAAACCATGCACAGGAATTATATATCATATTCTTTTCTTTCCTTCCTTTCTGACTGCCTCTCCTCTGTCTCACTTGCCTTCATCATTTCTTCCTTCTTTCTTTCATTTCCACTTAGGTGGTTTTTAAAGTTTTGCCCTTTGTTAAAGAGTTATCCACTGGAACTTCTCAATAGTAGTATGCTTGTCCCTAGTAAGTCCTTTCCATCCTAATTTGATGTGAATCTAGAAATCACATCATAAGACTACCTTATTAGAACTATTTGATAAAAATATAAAGCCTCTGAGTGAATTCCCTATGTAATTTTAGTTGATTAATCTGAGGCTTTTCCTTTTTCCAGCATCATATCAAATAATCAGATAAGTGAAGTTTCTAGATAATGACTTCTTCACAGATGAGGTTTCCCTTAGGTTACAAGAAATTTAATAGACACATTTTTTCTAATAAAAAATAGAGATTAAAGAAACTTGAAAATACTTAATACAAATATATTTTTAGGTCTTAATATTGGAAACCCTACCCTAAATACACAGAATATTATAAGCTTTTACCACTGGATTCCATGGGAAAAGGGAGCAAACCACCTAAAATATACATGATTTTTCAGGGAATTAAACTAAGAGAATGACAGGAAATTCAAAGGAAGATATAACTCTTTTACACCCTGATATGGTTTGACTGTGTCCCCACCCAAATCTCATTTTGAATTCCCAAGTGTTGTGGGATCTGGTGGGAGGTAACTGAATAATCAGGGCAGGTCTTTCCCATGCTGTTCTTGTGCTAGTGAATACGTCTTATGAGATCTGATTGTTTTAAAAAGGGGAGTTTCCCCGCACAAGCTCTCTTCTCTTGTGTTGCCACCATGTGAGACGTGCCTTTCACCTTCTGCCATGATTGTGAGGCTTCCCTAGCCATGTGAAATTGTAAGTCCATTAAACCTCCTTTTTCTGTAAATTGCCCAGTCTTGGGCATGTCTTTATCAGCAGCATGAAAACAGAATAATACAGTAAATTGGTACCAGTAGAGTGGGGTGCTGCTCTAGATACCCGAAAATGTGGAAGCAACTTTGGAACTGGGTAACAGGCAGGGGTTGGAACAGTTTGGAGGGCTCAGAAAAAGATAGGAAAATGTGAGAAAGTTTGGAATTTCCTAGAGACTTGTTGAATGGCTTTGCCCAAAATGCTGACAGCAATACGGACAATAAAGTCCAGGCTGAGGTGGTCTCAGATGGAAATGAGGAACTTGTTGGAAACTGGGGCAAAGGTGACTCTTGTTATGTTTTAAGCAAAGAGACTGGTAGCATTTTGCCCCTGCCCTAGAGATTTGTGAACTTTGAACTTGAGAGAGATGATTTAGAGTGTCTGGCTGGAGAAATTTCTAAGCAGCAAAGCATTCAAGAGGTGATTTGGGTGCTATTAAAGGAATTCAGTTTTTTTTTTTTTTTTTTTTTGAGACAAAGTCTCACTCTGTCGCCAGGCTGGAATGCAGTGGCACGATCTTGGCTTACTGTAACCTCTGCTTCCCAGGTTCAAGCGATTATCCTGCCTCAGCCTCCCGAGTAGCTGGGACTACAGGCAAGTGCCACCACACCCAGCTAATTTTTGTATTTTTAGTAGAGATGGGGTTTCACCATGTTGGCCAGGATGGTCTCGATTTCTTCACCTCGTGATCCGCCCGCCTCAGCCTCCCAAAGTGCTGGGATTACAGGCATGAGCCACTGTGCCCAGCCCCGGCATTCAGTTTTAAAAGGGAAACAGAGCATAAAAGTTTCAAAAATTTGCAGCCTTACAATGCAATAGAAAAGAAAATTCCATTTTCTGAGGAGAAATTCAAGCCAGCTGCAGAAATTTGCATAAGTAATGAGGAACTGAATGTTAATCACCAAGAAAAGGGGGAAAATGTCTCTAGGGCATGTCAAAGACCTTTGTGGCAGCCCCTTGAATCACAGGCCTGGAGGTTTAGGAAGAAAAGTGGTTTTGTGGGCTGGGCCTAGGGTCCCTCTGCTGTGTGCAGTCTGGGAGCTTAGTGCCTTGCATCCCAGCTGCTCCAGCTGTGATTAAAAGGGGCCAAGGTACAGCTCCAGCTATTGCTTCAGTAGGTGGAAGCCCCAAGCCTTGGCAGCTTCCACGTGGTGTTGGGCCTGTGGGTGCACAGAAGTCAAGAACTGAGGTTTGGAAATCTCTGCCTAGATTTCAGAGGATGTATGGGAAACACCTGGATGCCCAGGTAGAAGTTTGCTGCACAGGCGGGGCTCTCATGGACAACCTCTGCTAGGGCAGTGCTTAAGGGAAATGTGGGGTGGGAGCCCCCACACAGAAAACCTACTGGGACACCACCTAGTGGAGCTGTGAGCAGAGGGCGGCCATTGCCCTCCATATCCCAGAATGATAGATCCACTGACAGCTTGCACAGTGCACCTGGAAAAGCCACAGACACTCAATGCCAGCCCCTGAAAGCAGCCAAAAGTGGGCTATATCCTGCAGAGCTAAAGAGGTGGAGTTGCCCATGGCTGTGGGAGCCCACCTTTTGCATCAGCGTGACCTGGAGGTGAGACATGGAGCGAAAGGAGATCATTTTGGAGCTTTACGAATTGACTGCCCCGCTGGATTCTGGACTTGCATGGGGCCTGTAGCCCCTTTGTTTTGGCCAATGTCTCCCTTTTGGAGACATTTACCCAATGTCGCCAAATGGAGACATGGTATTTACCCAATGTCTGTATTTACCCAATGCCTGTACCCTCATTGTATCCAGGAAATAACTAACCTGCTTTTGATTTTACAGGTTCATAGGCAGAAGGGACTTGCCTTGTCTTAGATGACACCTTGGATGGACTTTTGAGTTAATGCTGAAATGAGTTAAGACTTTGGGGGACTGTTGGGAAGGCATGACTGGTTTTGAAATGTGAGGACATGAGATTCGGGAGGGGCTGGGGCGGGAAGATATGGTTTGGCTGTGTCCCCACCCAAATCTCATCTTGAATTCCCACATGTTGTGGGAGGGACCTAGTGGGAGGTAACTGAATCATGGAGGCAAGTCTTTCCTCGGCTGTTCTCGTGATAGTGAATAAGTCTCACAAGATCTGATGGTTTTAAAAAGGGGAGTTTCCCTGCACAAGCCCTCTTCTCTTGTCTGCTGCCATGTGAGACATGCCTTTCACCTTCCACCATGATTGTGAGCCTGCCCTAGTCACAATTAAACCTCTTTTTTTTGTAAATTGCCCAGTCTTGGGTATGTTTTTATCAGCAGTGTGAAAATGGAATAATACACACCTGTACATTAAAAGTGACAGTCATTATTCACATTATGTGTATATATGTATACATATATATGTATTTATATTATTTTTAAAATATTCAATAAACATTCAACTATTTAAAAATCCTTAATATTCAGTTGGCTGTGCAATGAAGTGTGAGATACCGTCAACTATTTTATAAAATGAATATGGACCATATTTATTAGTTCTAACAAAAATGAGACCACCCCAACCAGCTCTCCTCAGAGGTAAGACAGAATCACAGTTATATTTGATATGTATCCTTCCAGACCTTTTTCTACACATTTACAACATAAATCTCTATCAGTACGTATATATAACCTACAGAGCATTTGTTTAGTTTGCAGCATAACGAACATTAACATCTAGTGGCTAAGAAGTACTGTAAATGCTCTCTACTCCATGATCACCCTTCACGTTTCTGGTGTTCCTTAAGTATCATACTATCCAGCACCTGCATAAATGGTACCTTAGAAGATCTTTCTAGTTGTTTTATGTGCATATAACCGCATATAACCTGTTTAAAGAAGACAGAGAAAGAACCATGTCTTCTTCTAAACACTTGCTACATTGCAAACTCAGGTGCTCAATAAATTCATCTCAGTTGATATTAAATGATACGATGTGCAATATTTAACAGAAAAGTTTTCCAACATGAACTGTAACAGAAATTGTAAGGCTAACATGGTGAAACCCTGTCTGTACTGCAAATACAAAAAACTAGCCGGGCGTGGTGGCGGGCGCCTGTAGTCCCAGCTATTCGGGAAGCTGAGGCAGGAGAATGGCGTGAACCTGGGAGATGGAGCTTGCAGTAAGCCGAGATTGTGCCACTGCATTCCAGCCTGGGCAAGACAGCGAGACTCTGTCTCAAAAAATAAGTAATAAATAAATAAAAAACTACATTATAATTAGAGACACAGGTCTAATTTAAAAGTTGGAGGTACTTAAGTCTCTCAAGAAGTGAGGGAAAACATATGGCATAAAAATATTACAATGAATTAAAATTTTAAAAATATTATAGGTCTCGAAAGAAACAACTTTCTGAAATACAATTTCCATCTATTCAGAAAGGTCCAGTTGAAATATTTTTAACTGAAGTCTTTTTGAAAACTCTAAGAGACGGGGTTTTGCCATGTTGGTCAGGCTGGTCTTGAACTCCTGACCTCAGGTGATCTGCCTGCTTCGGCCTCCCAAAGTGCTGGGATTACAGGCATGAGCCACCATGCCCGGCCCTGATAGAACATTTTTAAAAACTCAAATCATCCATCATTAAGCTTTAACAATTATAAATATGTAACCAAATATGTTTTATTTCATCCATATCTACTCCCTCATGAATATTTTGAAGTAAATTCCAAGCATCGTACCATTTCATCTTTAAATATTTTGGATGAATCTCTTTAAAAACTAGGCTTTTTAGAAAATACAGCCACAAGACTATTATCAGACTTTTAAAAATCGATACTAATTCCTGGCCGGGTGCGGTGGCTCATGTCTGTAATCCCAGCACTTTGGGAGGCCGAGGCAGGTGGATCACAAGGTCAGGAGATCAAGACCATATCGAAACCATCCTGGCTAACACGGTGAAACCCCGTCTCTACTAAAAATACAAAAAATTAGCTGGGCGTGATGGCAGGCACCTGTAGTCCCAGCTACTCGGGAGGCTGAGGCAGGAGAATGGTGTGAACCTGGGAGGCGGAGCTTGCAGTGAGCTGAGATCATGCCATTGCACTCCAGCCTGGGTGACAGAGCGAGACTCTGTCTCAAAAAAAAAAAAAAATCAATACTAATTCCTTACTATTATCAAATATCTACTAAGTAATCACATTTCCACATAGGGAGAATTTTTTTGAGGTAAAATTCACATACAATGAAATGCACAAATCCTGAATGTACAGTTTTGTTTTTGTTTTTGTTTTGAGATGTCTAGTTCTGTCGCCCAGGCTGGAGTACAGTGGTGCCATCTTGACTCACTGCAACCTCTGCCTCCCGGGTTCAAGTGATTCTCCTGTCTCCATCTCCTGAGTAGCTGGGATTACAGGCATGTACCACCACGCTCAGCTAATGTTTTTGTATTTTTAGTAGAGATGCGGGTTTCACCGTATTGGCCAGGCTGGCCTCGAACTCCTGACCTCCAGTGATCCGCCCACCTCGGCCTCCCAATGTGCTGGAATTACAGGCATGAGCCACCGTACCTGGCCCAGAATGTACAGTTCTGGTTGTTAACAAATACACATACCCTTGAAACATATATTCCTATGAAGACACAGAACCTTTCCATCATTCCCAAAAAGCTCCCTGTGCCTCTTTCCTCCCCGACATCAGACGCAACCATTTTTCCCAATTTTTTTAAACTATTAAAAATTAAAGTTCCTTGCTGGAGATACATCTATGTTGCCAGTCAGAAAAGTACTTCATTCCCTTTTATTGCCAGATAATATTCCATTGTATGAGTATACCACAATTTGTTTATCTGCTGTACTGCTGATAAACATTTGGGTTGATTCCAATTTTTTCAGCCATTATAAGTAAAGCTGCTATAACATTCCTTTTTTTTTTTTTTTTTTTTTTTTTTTTTGGAGACCGAGTCACTCTTGTCATCCAGGCTGGAGTGCAGTGGTGCAATCTCGGATCTTGGCTCACTGTAACCCCCGCCTCCCGGGTTCAAGCGATTCTCCTGCCTTAGCCTCCCGAGTAGCTGGGATTACATGGGCCCATCACCATGCCCAGCTATTTTGTACTTTTAGCAGAGATGGAATTTCACCATCTTGGCCAGGCTGGTCTCGAATTCCTGACCTCAGATGATCTGCCTGCCTTGGCCTCCCAAAGTGCTCGGATTACAGACGTGAGCCACCGCGCCCAGCCAACATTCTTATACAAATCTTTTGGGACCATTCATTCCCACTTCCCTTGGGTAAATACTTAGAAGTGGAATTGGTGGGTCACAGGATAAGTATATGTTTATAGGAGGCTGCCAAATATTTTCCAGAGTGGTTGTACCATTTTAGTAATACACCAGCAATGACTGGGAGATCTGGCTGCTCCACATCTTCACCAACATTTGGCTGTCAGGTTTTTACTTGTAGCCATTATAGTGGATATGCAGAGATGTCTTGTGGTATTAATATACATTTCCTGATCATTAACGGTGTTAGCACATTTTCAGGTGTCCACTGGCCACCATTCATGTTTCCTTATTTGTGAAGTACCTGCCCAAATCTTTATCCTTGGGGGGAAAAAACTGGTTCTCATTTTATTACTGAATCGTGGAATTTCTTAATCCTGGATACCAGTCCCTTGTCAGAATGCTTTGTGACTATTTTCTCCCAATCTATGCGTATTTATTTCCTTAAGGATGTCTTTCAATGAGCAAAAGTTTTTAATTTTGATGAAGTTGAATTTGTAAATCTTATTTTATGATATTGTTTCTGTGTCCTATTTATGAAATCTTTGCCTACCAGGTCTAAAAGATATTCTCCTAGGTTTTCTTCTAGAATCTTCATAGTTTTAACTTTTATATTTGGACTATGATCCATTTCAAACTTGTATACAGTGTGTGAAGTAGGAGTCAAGGTCCTTTTTCTCCCCATATGGATCCAATTTTTCCAACATTATTTGTTTTAAAAAGTTTCATTTCCTCACTCAATTGCTTTGATACCTTTGCCGAAAGGCACGGGCCATGTAAATGTGGCTCTGTTGTTGGATCCTCAATTTTGTTCCATTGATTTGTCAATCCTTATGCCAGTAACTCACTGTCCTAATTTCTATATAAGTTTATAATGTCTTGAAGTTCTCCAAATTTCTTGTTTCAAGATTGCTTTGAATATTCCAGGTTCTTTGCATGTCCGTATGAATTTTGGAATTTATTCGGTTTGTCAATTGTACAGAGAAGTCTGTTCATATTATGAATGGAACTCCATTATATCTGTAAATCAATTTAGGGAGATTTGACAGATCTATGACATCCAATCTATGAACGCGGTATTGTATCTCTCCATTTCTTTAGGTCTTCTTTGATTTCTCTCAGCAACATTTTATGATTTTCAGCGTAAAGGTCTTGTATGTCTTTTGCTAGATTTATCTCTAAGTATTTAATATTTTGTGATACTACTTATGGAATTTATTAAAATTTCCTTCCCCATTTATTTGCTGATAGTAGAAATGCAATTAATTTCTTCATATTAACCTTCTATACTTACTGATTTTGAATGTTAAACCAACTTTACACTCCTGAAATCTTACTCACTTATGATATAATATCATTTTTATATATATCATATTTATATATTTATATAATAAAATCTGATTATATTTTAAGGAGTTTTATATCTGTGTTCATGAGGAATAACTGGTCTGTAGGGTTTTTTCCCTCTCATAATGACTTCGTAAAATTTTGGCATCAGGGTTATACTAGCCTCATTAAAGCAGTAGAAAAACATTTCATTCTCTATTTCTGAAAGTCTGTGTACTCAGCATTGTTTCTTCCCTAAATGCTTGACAGAATACTCTTGATATTGTTCCATAGGTTACCAAGGCTTCCTCCATTTTTTTCAATCTTTTTTGTCTGTGGCTTTAGTAAGAATATTTTCTGCTGTTACATATTCAGGTTCACTGACTGTTTTACCTGCAGTGTCTAATGTGCTGTTAATTCTATACAGTGAATTTTTCACACCAGATATATTTTTTTAGCTCTAAAAGTTTCATTTGGTTTATTTTTTATACCTTTGATTTATCTTCTTATGTTCATATTTTCCTTTCAATACATGACTGTACTTGAAATAGCTGTTTAATATCCTTGTCTGCTAATTCTATCATCTGTTTAGTCTGCTTCCGACTGATTTTTCTCCTGGTTATGAGTCAAATTTTCCTGCTTCTTATACTGGCGATTAGTCTTTTTTATTGGATGCTAAACACTGTGAATGTTATACTGAGTGTTTGGATTTTGCTGCCTTTATTAAAGAATGTGAGGCTTTGTTCTGGCAAGTGATTAAATTATTTGAAGATCAGCTTGATCCTTTAGAACTTTTAGGAAGATTTGTTAGGGAGGGTTCTAGAACAGCCTTTACGTTAAGAATAATTTAGCCCTACTCCTAAGGTGAGCCTTCCATTGGCCTCGATAATCAATGAGAACTCTCTTACGTCAGCTAGTCAGAACCTGAATGTAACCTAGCTTTGTGTGAGCAGTGGGAATTAGTCAGTTACTGCTCCCTGCTGGTTCTCTGCCCAGATTGATGCTCACATCTTACACATGTGTAACTTAACATTCAGCAAACATTCAATTCAAGGAAATCCCTATGTAGACTTCTATAGCTTTTTGTCCTTGTAGCTCCTTCCTCTGTGGAACTCTTCCTTGTAAGTTCTAGCCACCTCAGACACCCTGAACACTGATTTCTGTCTTCTCAACTCAATGAGACTGTTATTTCCCATCCTGCTCCACTATCCCAAATATGTGTTCAAGCAAAAAGCCAGAGAGATCAGAGAGTTCAAATAATTTGTTTCTTATCTCTCAGAGATCATGGTCTTATGCTGCTATTATCCAATATACTGTCTAGCTTTTAGTTGTCTATGGCAAAAGATTAAACTCAATCCCTGTTAGTCTGTCATGGGTGAAAGCAGAAGTTCTGAACATAGTATTTTGCAACTTGATTTTTTACTCAATTTATCATGGTTATCATTCCAGGTCAGTACACAGATATCTACTACATTCTTTTTAAATGCCTGAATAGCATAGAGAATGAACACTTAAACACTGTCTTCAATGTTTGAAATAAAAACTAATATTGAAACTAATAACATCATACATATCTCCTTGCCATATGGACAAATATTTCTGTATTTCAACTTTCCTCGATAAGCTTACAAGAAAATAGAGATTATAAGTTATATATCTCTCCCTATCCCCTCTCCTCCCACTGCATACCACAGTTGAATGGTAAAATTTTATAGAGACAGTATTTAAGTATATATTGAGTATAAAAATTAAGTTCAAGGTAAATACTTAGTACTAATGGCAAACGCTTGTCTTCTTTCCTTACTTTTATGAAGGGTTTTAATCCATCTGATTTGACAGTGAGTGAGACAAGTTCACAGGCTTAATTTTTAATTAATATTGCTCTCCTTGCTCCTTATCTTCACGTTATTTTTATCCTTGTCTTAAATATTCTTATTTTACCTGTGTCTCTCATTGAAGTTCTCCCAAATCAGTTTTTACATAACAGGACTAAAAATAAGTAAATATTGAAAAGGTATCCTCTTAATATACCACACTCTTTAAAATGTAATAGGATGCACACACAGAAATTTTTATTATATTCTTAGAAAAGTTTTGGGTTTCTAGTTTTCACAATTTGGGCCACAGGGGGTTTAGAAGGTCTTTTAATTGTATTAATACAAAAATTTTTCTCCATTTGCAAAGCCAAGGAAAGTAATTCAAATTATGAATCTAATGTGAAAGCATTTTAACCAATTACATATGATTTTACATCTTTATTCCAAAAGTTTAAATTCATTGACTATTACAGTCATTGAGAATTCATATTCAGAGACCAGATTTCTGCTCAGTGACTGACAATGTTATACTTCACATTCCATTGTCAGAGGTTCTTAAAGCATAACAATCTGCTTTAAAATACTATGATTAAATTTCTATGCACTTCATTGCTGAAAAGTAAACTTTTATTTTATCCCACAAGCCAACTACTGGAATCATTCAGTTTTAAAATAGATCAACTTTTAGATTAAAGCCTACAACTATTACTTTAAAATTGACTTATAAAAAAAGCTTTAGTCCTCACCTGATTACAAGTATCAGATAATGAGTGTATAGCTTCTGAGAACATACTTGCTGAACCGGTATAAATCCAGGCAAGAAATTTAAAGAAGCAGTTTAATCCATTGCTAGAAGAGAAAGAGAAAACAATTTAGCATAGGTTTGGACAAAAATTTAAGCCAAAAGCATACTCAATCAGCTGTATATCTCTACACTAGATTCTGTTGAAAGTAAAATTAGGCTAAGCACAATGGCTCACACCTATAATGCCAACATTTTGGGAGGCTGAGGTGGGAGGATGGCTTGAGGACAGGAGTTCAAGACCAGTCTGGGCAACAAAGTAAGACCCCATCTCTACAAAAAATTTTTTAAAAACTTAGTCTGGTGTGGTAGTGCACGCCTTTAGTCCCAGCTACTGAGAGGCTGAGGTGGGAAGATCATCTGAGCCCAGGAGTTTGAGGCCGAAGTGAGCTATGATCGTGCCACTGCACTCCAGCCTAGGCAAGAGAGTGAGACCCCATCGCTAAAACAACAACAACAATAACAAAAAAAACAAGTACAATTAAAAGAATCCCTAGCCTTAAAAAACTTTGTTTAGGTAACAAGAGTAAAAATTTGAAAAAATATAGATTATGTACTGTTAAGAGGCATGCTATGTGTAAGCAAATTACTTAAGTATATTTTGAAAACTGGTGAGAAAAGATGGTCTTCTATATGTGGACAAGATAAAATGTAAAAGAAAATTATGTGTTTTAGGTAGATAAAAGCAGATCTGCACCTGATACTGTCCATTGGGCCAGTGTCAAAGGCAAGACTTCAGTGAAAATCTGTTTACTTAAGGAGGCAGATGCCAGAGGTGACTCTAAGCAGTCTCAGAGTCATACTAGAAGCAGCTAGATGCCAAAATAAACAGTTAACTCTGAGGAAACTAGCTGCTCAGATACTAACAGTAATGACTAATATGATTTATCTCAGACGTTATGCTAGTGAGTTACCATGTTATATTACAAGTCTGTTATACAAATATTAACACCCCCATTTTATAAATGAGAGAACTGTATGTCCCCTTTTAGCTACCCTTTTCCCATCTCCTCCACCTCAGATAACTTCTTAAAAACATCATATTTATTCTGTCTGTCACAGTTTTCATCTTATCAATACCACCTACCATTCCATACTACTAAATTCCTGGAAATATTTTAGCATTTCTCTTAACCTCCTGGGAGCATCTGACACTATTTTCTTCTTTTTTTAAACAATGTTTATTTATTTTTTAAATTTATAATTTAAGTTTTGGGATATATGTGCAGAATGTGCAGGTTTGTTACATAGGTATACATGTGCCATGGTGGTTTGCTGCACCCATCAACCCGTCATCTACATTAGGTATTTCTCCTAATGCTATCCCTCCCCTAGCCACCCACCCCCCAATAGGCCCCAGTGTGTGATATTCCCCTCTCTGTGTCCATGTGTTTTCATTGTTCAGCTCTCACTTATGAGTGAGAACATGTGGTGTTTGATTTTCTGTTCTTGTGCTAGTCTGCTGAGAATGATGGTTTCCAGCTTCATCCATGTCCCTGCAAAGGACATGAACTCATCCTTTTTTATGGCTGCATATTATCCCATGGTGTATATGTGCCACATTTTCTTTATCCAGTCTATCATTGATGGGCATCTGGGTTGGCTCCAAGTCTGCTAATATGAATAGTGCTACAAAAAACATACACGTGCATGTGTCTTTATAGTAGAATGATTTATAATCTATTGGATATATACACAGTAATGGGACTGCTGGATCAAATGGTATTTCCGGTTCTAGATCCTGGAGGAATCGCCACACTGTCTTCCACAATGGTTGAACTAATTTACACTCTCACCAACAGTGTAAAAGTGTTCCTATTTCTCCACATCCTCTCCAGCATCTGCTGTTTCCTGACTTTTAAATGATCGCCAATCTAACTGGCGTGAGATAGAATCTCATTGTGGTTTCGATTTGCATTTCTCTAATGACCAGTGATGATGAGCTTTTTTCCATATGTTTGTTGGCTGCATAAATATCTTCTTTTGAGAAGTGTCTGTTCATATCCTTCACCCACTTTTTGATGCAGTTGTTTGTTTTTCTTGTAAATTTGTTTAAGTTCCTTGTAGATTCTGGATATTAGCCCTTTGTCAGATGGATAGATTGCAAAAATTTTCTCCCATTCTATAGATTACCTGTTCACTCGGATAATAGTTTATTTTGCTGTGCAGAAGTTCTTTAGCTTAATTAGATCCCATTTGTCAATTTTGGCTTTTGTTCCCATTGCTTTTGGTGTGAAAGTCATGAAGTCTTTGCCCATGCCTATGTCCTGAATGGTATTGCCTAGGTTTTCTTCTAGGGTTTTTATGGTTTTAGGTCTTACGTTTAAGTCTTTAATCCATCTTGAGTTAATTTTTGTATAAGGTATAAAGACAGGGTCCAGTTTCAGTTTTCTGCATATGGCTTGCCAGTTTTCCCAGCACCATTTATTAAATCGGGAATCCTTTCCCCATTGCTTTTGTCAGGTTTGTCAAAGATCAGATGGTTGTAGATGTTTGGTGTTATTTCTAAGGCCTCAGTTCTGTTACATTGGTCTATATATCTGTTTTGGTACCAGTACCATGCTGTTTTGGTTACCGCAGCCTTGTAGTATAGTTTGAAGTCAGGCAGCATGATGCCTCCAGCTTTGTTCTTTTTGCTTAGGATTATCTTGGCTATACAGGCTCTTTTTTGGTTCCATATGAAATTTAAAGAAGTTTTTTTTCTAATTCTGTGAAGAAAGTCAATGGTAGCTTGATGGGGATATCATTGATTCCATTAATTACTTTGCGCAGTACGGCCATTTTCATGATATTGATTATTCCTATCCACGAGCATGGAATGTTTTTCCATTTCTTTGTGTCCTCTCTTATTTCCTTGAGCAGTGGTTTGTAGTTCTCCTTGAAGAGGTCCTTCACATCCCTTGTAAGTTGTATTCCTAGGTATTTTATTCTCTTTGTAGCAACTGTGAATGGGAGTTCACTCATGATTTGGCTGTTTGTCTATTATTGGTATGTAAGAATGCTTGTGATTTTTGTACATTGATTTTGTATCCTGAGACTTTGCTCAAGTTGCTTATCAGCTTAAGGAGATTTTGGGCTGAGATTATGGGGTTTTCTAAATATACAATCATGTCATCTGCAAACAGAGACAACTTGACTTCCTCTCTTCCTATTTGAATACCCTTTATTTCTTTCTCTTGCCTGATTGCCCTGGCCAGAGCTTCCAATACTATGTTGAATAGGAGTGGTGAGAGACAGCATCCTTGTCTTGTGCTGGTTTTCAAAGGGAATGCTTCCAGCTACTGCCCATTCAGTATGATATTGGCTGTGGGTTTGTCATAAATAGCTCTTTTTATTTTGAGATACGTTCTGCCAATACCTAGTTTAAGGTGAGAGTTTTTAGCATGAGGCGGTGTTGAATTTTATTGAAGGGCTTTTCTGCAACTACTGAGATAATCATTTGGTTTTTGTATTGGTTCTGTTTATTTAATGGATTACATTTATTATTTTGCATATGTTGATGCATATGTTGAACCAGCCTTGCATCCCAGGGATGAAACCAACTTGATGGTGGTGATAAGCTTTTTGACATGCTGCTGGATTTGCTTTGCCAGTATTTTATTGAGGATTTCTGCATCGATGTTCATCAAGGATTTTGGTCTGAAATTTTCTTTTTTTTGTGTGTCTCTGCCAGGTTTTGGTATCAGGATGATGCTGGCCTCATAAAACGAGTTGAGGAGGAGTCCTTCTTTTCCTATTGTTTGGAATAGTTTCAGAAGAAATGGTACCAGCTCCTCTTTGCACCTCTGGTAGAATTTGGCTGTGAATCCGTCTAGTCCTGGGCTTTTTTTTTTTTTTTTAGTTGATAGGCTATTAATTACTGCCTCAATTTCAGAACTTGTTATTGGTCTACTCAGGAATTCAACTTCTTCCTGGTTTAGTCTTGGGAGGGTGTGTGTGTCCAGGAATTTATCCATTTCTTCTAGATCTTCTAGTTTATTTGCGTAGAGGTGTTTATATTATTCTCTGATGGTACTTTGTATTTCTGTGGGATCAGTGGTGACATCCCCTTTATCATTTTTCATTGTTGTCTATTTGATTCTCCTCTCTTTTCTTTTTTATTAGTCTGGCTAGTGGTCTATGTATTTTGTGAATCTTTTAAAAAAACCAGCTCCTGGATTCACTGGTTTTTTGAAGGGTTTTTGGTGTCTCTATCTCTTTCAGTTCTGCTCTGATCTTAGTTATTTCTTGTCTTCTGCTAGCATTTGAATTTGTTTACTCTTGTTTCTCTAGTTCTTTTCATTGTGATGTTAGGGTATCGATTTTAGATCTTTCCGACTTTCTCCTGTGGGTATTTAGTGCTATAAATTTCCCTCTAAACACTGCTTTAGCTATGTTCCAGAGATTCTGGTACACTGTGTCTTTGTTCTCATTGGTGTCAAGGAACTTATTTATTTCTGCCTTAATTTAGTTATTTACCCAGTAGTCACTCAGAAGCAGGTTGTTCAGTTTCCATGTAGTTGCGCGGTTTTGAGTGAGTTTCTTAATCTTGAGTTCTCATTTGATTGCACTGTGGTCTGAGAGACTGTTTTGATTTCTGTTCTTCTGCATTTGCTGAGGAGTGTTTTACATCCAATTATGTGGTCAATATTAGAATAAGAGTGACAGGGTGCTGAGAAGAATGTAAATTCTGTTGACTTGGGGTTGAGAGTTCTGTAGATGTCTATTAGTCTGCTTGGTCCAGAGCTGAGTTCAAGTCCTGAATATCCTTGTTAATTTTCTGTCTTGTTGATCTGTCTAATATTGACAATGAGGGGTTAAAGTGTCCCACTATTCCTGTGTGGGAGTCTAAGTCTCTTTGTAGGTCTCTAAGAACTTGCTTTATGAATCTGGGTGCTCCTCTATTGGGTGCATATATATTTAGGACAGTTAGCTCTTCTTGTTGCATTGATCCCTTTACCACTATGTAATGACCTTTGTCTTTTTTGATCTTTGTCGGTTTAAAATCTTTTTTGTCAGAGACTAGGATTGCAACCCTGCTTTTTTTTTTTTTTTTTTGCTTTCCATTTACTTGGTAAATATTCCTCCATTCCTTTATTTTGAGCCTATGTGTGTCTTTGCACGTCAGATGGGTCTCCTGCATGCAGCACACCAATGGGTCTTGACTCTTTATCCAATTTGCCAGTCTGTGTCTTTTAACAGGGGCATTTAGCCTGTTTCTATTTAAGGTTAATATTGTTATGTGTGAATCTGATCCTGTCATTATGATGCTAGTTGGTTATTTTGCTCATTAGTTGATGCAGTTTCTTTATAGTGTCAATGGTCTTTACAATTTGGTATGTTTTTGCAGTGGCTGGTACCAGTTTTTCCTTTCCATATTTAGTACTTCCTTCAGGAGCTCTTGTAAGGCAGGACTGGTGGTTATAAAATCTCTCAATATTTGCTTGTCTTTTCTTCTCCTTCGCTTATGAAGCTTAGTTTGGCTGGATATGAAATTCTGGGTTAAAAATTCTTTTCTTTAAGAATGTTGAATATTGGCCCCCACTCTCTTCTGGCTTGTAGGGTTTCTGCAGAGAGATCTGCTGTTAGTCTGGTGGGCTTCCCTTTGTGGGTAACCCGACCTTTCTCTCTGGCTGCCCTTAACATTTTTTCCTTCATTTCAACCTTGGTGAATCTGATGATTATGTGACTTGAGGTTGCTCTTCTCGAGGACTGTCTTTGTGGTGTTCTCTGTATTTCCTGAATTTGAATATTAGCCTGTCTTGCTAGGTTGGGGAAGTTCTCCTGGATAATCTCCTGAAGAGTGTTTTCCAACTTGGTTCCATTCTCCCAGTCACTTTCAGGTACACCAACCAAATGTGGGTTTGGTCTTTTCACATAGTCCCATCTTTCTTGCAGGCTTTGTTCATTCTTTTTCATTTTTTTCTCTAATCTTACCTTTATGCTTTATTTCATTAAGTTGATCTTCAATCTCTTATATCCTTTCTTCCACTTGATTGATTTGGCTATTGATACTTGTGTATGCTTCACAAAGTTCTCATGCTGTGTTTTTCAGCTCCATCAGGTCATTTATGTTCTTCTCTAAACTGGTTATTCTAGTTAGCAATTTCTCTTACCTTTTTTCAAGGTTCTTAGCTTTCTTGCGTTGGGTTGGAACATGCTCCTTTAGCTTGGAGGAGTTTGTTATTACCCACTTTCTGAAGCCTACTTCGTCAAACTCATTCTCCGTCCAGTTTTGTTCCCTTGCTGGCGAGGAGTTGTGATCCTTTGGAGGAGAAGAGGTGTTCTGGTTTTTGGAATTTTCAGCCTTTTTGCACTGGTTTTTCCTCATCTTCATGGATTTATCTACCTTTGGTCTTTGATGTTGGTGACTTTTGGATGGGGTTTTTGTGTGGACATCCTTTTTGTTGATGTTGATGCTATTCCTTTCTGTTTGTTAGTTTTCTTTCTAACAGTCAGGCCTCTCTGCTGCAGGTCTGCTGGAGTTTGCTGGAGGTCCACTCCAGACCCTGTTTACCTGGGTATCAACAGCAGGGGCTGCAGAACAGCAAACATTGCTGCCTGTTCCTTCCTCTGGAAGCTTCATCCCAGAGGAGCACCTGCCAGATGTCAGCTGGAGCTCTCCTGTATGAGGTGTCTGTTGATCCCTGCTGGGAGGTATCTCCCCATCAGGAGGCATGGGGGTCAAGGACCCACTTGAGGAGGCAGTCTGTCCCTTAGCAGACCTCGAGCGCTGTGCTGGGAGATCCGCTGCTCTCTTCAGAGCCAGCAGACAGGAACGTTTAAGTCTGCTGAAGCTGCGCCCACAGCCGCCCCTACCCCCAAGTTTTCTGTCCCAGAGAGATGAGAGTTTTATCTATAAGCCCCTGACCGGGACTGCTGGGCCTTTCTTTCAGAGATGCCCTGCCCAGAGAGAAGAAATCTAGAGAGGCAGTCTGGCTACAGTGGCTTTGCTGAGCTACGGTGGGTTCTGTCCAGTTCGAACTTCCTGATGGCTTTGTTTACACTGTGAGGGGAAAACTGCCTACTCAAGCCTCAGTAATGGTGGTCCCCAACCCCCAACTCCCCAACACACACCAAACTCAAGCATCCCATGTCAACTTCAGACAGCTGTGCTGGCAGCCAGAATTTCAAGCCAGTGGATCTTAGCTTTCTGGGCTCTCTGGAGGTGGGATCTGCTGAGCTAGACCACTTAGCTCCCTGGTTTCAGCCCCCTTTCCAAGGGATTAAAAGGTTCTGTCTCACTGGCATTCGAGGCACCACTGGAGTATGAAAAAAAACTAGTCTAGCTAGCTTGGTGTCTGCCCAAATGGCCGCCCAGTTTTGTGCTTGAAACCCAAGGCCCTGGCGGTGTAGGCACCCGAGGGAATCTCCTGGTCTGTGGGTTGTGAAGACCATGGGAAAAGCGTAGTATCTGGGCTGGAATGCACCGTTCCTCACAGCACAGTCCCTCATGGCTTCCCTTGGCTAGGGGAGGGAGTTCCCCGACCCCTTGCACTACCCCGGTGAGGCAATGCCCCACCCTGCTTCGGGTCACCCTCCATGGGCTGCACCCACTGTCTGACCAGTCCCAATGAGATGAGCCAGGTACCTCAGCTGGAAATGCAGAAGTTATCCACCTTCTGCATGGATCTCACTGGGAGCTGCAGACAGGATCTGTTCCTATCCAGCCATCTTGCCCGCCACCCCCTAGCTGGCTATTTATTTTTTAAAGACAGGGTCTTGTTCTTGCCCACGTTGGAGTGCAGTGGTATAATCACAGCTTACTGTAGCCTTAAACTCCTGGGCTCAAATGATTCTCCTGCCTCAGCTTCCTGAGTAGGTCTACAGGCGCACATCACCCACCATGCCCAGCTAATTAAAAAAATTTTTTTGTAGGTACAAGGTCTCACTATGTTGCCCAAGGTGGTCTGAAATTCCTGAGCTCAAGTAATCCTCCTGCTTCAGCCTCCCAAAGTGCTGAGATTCCAGGTGTGTGCCTGTACCAGGCCTGCTATTTCCTTAAAACATGTGTGCCTGTAGTCCCAGCTACTCAGGAGGCTGAGGCAAGGAGAATCGCTTGAACCTGGGAGGCGGAGGTTGCAGTGAGCCGAGATTGCACCACTGCACTCCAGCCTGGCGACAGAGTGAGATTCCGTCTCACAAAAAAAAAACAAACGCTTCTTCCCTTGGCTTTCTTGACACTCCTTGATATGGTTTGGCTCTGTGTCTCCCACAAAATCTCATCTTGTAGCTCCTATAATTCCCACATGTTTTGGGAGGGACGCAGTGGGAGATGACTGAAGCATGAGGGTGGGTCTTTCCCATGTTGTTCTTGTGATAGTGAATGAGCTCATGAGATGTGATGGTTTTTAAAAATGGGAGTTACCCTGCACAAGCTCTATTTGCCTGCTGCCATCCATGTAAGACATAACTTGCTCCTCCTTGCCTTCCACCATGATTGTGAGGCTTCCCTAGCCACGGGAACTGTAAGTCCAATTAAACCTCTTTCTTTTGTAAATTGCCCAGTCTTGGGTATGTCTTTATCAGCAGCGTGAAAATGGACTAATACACTCCTGGTTTTCTTTCTACTTTTCTCCTTACTCCTCCTCAATCTCCTCTGCAGGCACTTTTTCCTCCACCTTTTTCTTTTTCTTTTTTTTTTTTTTTGAGACAGAGTCTGGCTCTGTCGCCCAGACTGGAGTGCAGTGGCGCAATCTTGGCTCACTGCAAGCTCCACCTCCCGGGTTCACACCATTCTCCTGCCTCAGCCTCTCAAGTAGCTGGGACTACAGGCGCCCACCACTACGCCCAGCTAATTTTTGTATTTTTAGTAGAGACGGGGTTTCACCGTGTTAGCCAGGATGGTCTCAATCTCCTGACCTCGGATCACGAGGTCTCCCAAAGCCTCCACCTTTTTCTTAATGTTAACATTCTTCAAGGAATTTTTCCTGAGGACTTTTTATTCCTGATACTATATATACATACATTCCTCAGGTGATCTTTACTTTTATGGCTTTAGTTATCATCTATATACTAAAAACTATCAAACCTCTAACTCAGATTTCTCTCCTGAGCTTCAGACCAATATATATTAACAATAATACTTCTTAAGTACATATCTTAGAGCAGGTACTATGTTAAGCACTTTTCACACATACATCCCTCCAATGAGAAAAGCTATAATCACTATCCCTGTATTACTGGTGGAAAGAACCCTGTTGACTTATCTCCACCTGGGTGCCCTAAACATACCACCAGCTCAAAAATGAACTCATCATTTTCTCTGCTCCCACCCTGCTCCTCCTTCCAGTACTCTCCTCAGTGAATGGTACATTATTTACACAATTGTACAGCCAGAAACCTGGTCACTATCCTTGAACATACCTTCTAAGAAGTTGAAACTGTCTACGTCTATCTGTACCACCACTATTGTAGTTATGACAGCATTATTCCTTGTCTGTATTATAAATGTCTTCCTCTAGTTTAGTGTCCCTCCAATCCTTAAAGAATTATGTATTATATCTTTATATTTTCATATCCTATCACACTGATACATATTTTACATATATATATTTAAGAATAAAAGAACTAATGAATTATTGAATGATTTCATCCATCCTAAAATAGATTAGTCAGAAAAACAGACAAAAGGTGAACAAAACAATAGGAATCAAGAAGATAGAGGGAAAAAGGGGAAGGCAAGGCCGGGCTCAGTGGCTCACACCTGTAATCCCAGCACTTTGGGAGGCCGAGGTGGGCAGATCACGAGGTCAGGAGATTGAGACCATCCTGGCCAACGTAGTGAAACCCCATCTCTACTAAAAATACAAAAATTAGCTGGGCATGATGGCGCGCACCTATAATCCTAGCTACTTGGGAGGCTGTTGCAGGAGAATGGCTTGAACCCGGGAGGCAGAGATTGCAGTGAGCTGAGATTGAGCCACTGCACTCCAGCCTGGCGACAGAGCAAGACTCTGTCTCAAAAAAAAAAAAAAAGAGGAGGCAAAAATAACAAGAACAAATAATTATGTTCTTCCAAGATAAGTGGAATAAAGATAATAAGCACAAAGATATTCTTCAGTAGCTGTAACCCAGGTTGGTTTAGCTAACTTCTTTAAAAAAGACTTCTATCAACTCCAATAAAAACAAGAAAGGATTTTCAGGTAGCAACTATTCTTAGATCTAACTACATCAAAAATATACAGAGAATGAGCATGGTTATCTATATGAATTCATGCTCTTTCCCCACCACTTTACTGACAATAATAAAGACTTATTCAATTTCCTCCTAAAACAAAATAAACCTCAAACTCTATAGCTAGCTACCATGTAATAAATTTACATATTTAAGGATATACATATTTAAAAGAATATATTCTATTTCACAAAGCTTATTTTTCAGTACTTACATGCAAATTGCAACCATCACCACTTTTCCTGGTCCCTTAAAAAACACTGATGCTGTTCTGGAGCGTGGCTGTAAAAAAACAAAAACTTTTTTTAATACCTCCAAAATTTTGCAGAGAAGCACTGTAACTGGTGGCTTTGACAGACCAGAACATTTTCCTCTATCAAAACTTCTGAATTAGATTTACTTATTTTTCTCTAGAAGTTCTTGTTTAGAAAGTGGAAAGATTAAAACCGAAAGCATATCTGGGTCTCTTTCCAGAAACTTGTTTGTTTTGTTTCCTTGTAATTCATGTCCTGCCTACTTCCAGAAAGGATCTGAGCTGGCTACATAAAAACTAGTAATAAAGTAGAAAAATGCACTGTGCTGAAATTCATATGCTCTAAGAATGTGTGAAATCAGACACCCAAAATTCTGTATTGACCTGCCTTCAGAGCTAAGAGAAGGAACTACACAGGGATAAACCTTGTCCATGTGATCTCAACTTTTACTTCGATTTGTAAGCCATAAACTCTGACTATGGGTCTAGATTTCTGAATTATACTGTTTATTGATAACAAACAGAATGTATGTTTTATTAAAATAAGAATATATTGTATTATTTGGATGAATAGAGAAAAAACTCAATGAAATTATTATGGGAACAATAGAATGCTGCTTACGGTGAAAAATAAGATTTCTTTAGAAGAAAGGTTTGGGAACTCATGGGAGGGGCAAAACAGGGAAAGGAAATGAGATCTTTAAGATCAGAATAAGAAATAATAAGAAAAATAAGGAAAAAGATTCACTCGGCCCAAACCACTCTAATAAAGAAGGCTGTAGAAAACGGGAAGATGTGTTGGTAGAAACTAGAAATAATGATAAGGTCCAAGGAACTCTAACAAGAGAATAAAAATCTAGAAAAACAAGAGATCACAAGGAGCCAGGATCCACAACCTGCTTGGGAAGCTTCCTGTAAAAGCTACTCAAAAATTCCATAATCAGGTCGGGCGCAGTGGCTCACGCTTGTAATCCTAGCACTTTGGGAGGCCAAGATGGGCAGACTGCTTGAGCTCAGGAGTTTGAGACCAGTGTGGACAACATGGTAAAACCCCGTCTCTACTAAAATACAAAAAAATCAGCCGGCTGTGGTAGTGGGTGCCCGTAATCCCAGCTACTCAGGAGGCTGAGGCATGAGAATCTCTTGAACCCGGGAGGCGGAGGTTGCAGTGAGCTGAGATCGTGGGCAACACAGCAATACTCTGTCTCAAAAATAAAATAAAATAAAATATTAAAAAATTCCATAATCAGAGCAATTGGAGAACTGCCCCTTTTTGAAGACCAGGACAGCAAAATGTTAGAAATTAATGAAACTGGATAGCCAATATCTATTTTTCTATTTTTATATATCTTTGAGAACATTCACAATAAACAAGGTTCTTTAATATTGGGACAAGTGCAGAAAATTTGGATAGATTTCAGAGAGAACTACCAGGAAAAGGAGCATAAATTGTTCAAAGCATTATTGGTGCATTTCAAGGTGATACTATTGTGGAGTTAAATATATTAAGCAGAGATAAAGGTACTTCCAATTCTCTGAAGTACTATATCAAGAAACCCATGAATTAGAAATAGAAGGGAAGGCATGGGAAAGTAGAAAGGTATTAAAGGGGAAATTATTATATAAGAAATTAAATACCAGAGGAGCAGACCCAGAACACTGTGATTTCATATATCTCATTATTGGAGTTCTCATGAGATAAGAATATATTGGAAAAACAAGTGTCTGGGTCAGAAATAACAAAAAAAAAAAAAAAAAAAAAAAAAAAAAAAAAAGAAGGCATTTAATTTTTGCAAACAGGATTAGCCCTATGTTTTAGAGAAGGAAAGCAACCATCTTCAGTGAGAGAACAACCATTCCTAAAGGGAATAGGGGTACAGTAGAGGGAAATGAAATACTAGTTTTATCCTAATGTCCCAGCAAAAAAACGTTGTAATAGCAAAAAAAAATCATTTCAAAACATGGAATATTCAAAAGTTGACCAGTATTAATCTTCTGAAGTAACAAAGATTTCATAAGTCAACAGCTACTATTAGAAAATCTGGTGAGGATGATTCTCCATGTGAAACAGATGTGAAGGCGAGGAGTGAATCTTCCCAGGAGGCAGGTCTCACCAGCCTAAGTTATCCCAGCACAAGAGGCAATGGCAATAGCCCTTGAGGCATGAGAGTGAAAATGCTGGCTCATAAGACATATGAAGGCTCTACCAGAGGAGAGTCCACATCTTCAGGGCAGTACTGGGGTGCCAGAAATGCAGTGATCAAAGGGGAAATGGAAATTAAGAGGTCTTGAAGATAATAAATGGAAAAGGAAAGCATATCAAATAAGATTTGGCTAAAATTATCATCACTGCCAATGTCTAAACTTTGCAAAATGGGTGCAATGTCTCAAATGCCACCAGAGAGAAGAAAATGTGCATAGGTAGCCTTTTATCCAAATATGACATTAACTTCTTGATAGGAGATTCCTCCCAGCCAAGTTTAAATGGAAAGTCAACTTGGCCACAGACTGCTTGGCATCTTAAAGGTGCTGGGGACTTTGGTAAGTCATTTCAGTGGGGTGGTGGGGTTGAAAGCCCAATTGGATTAGGTTCAGGAGAAAATAAGAGGTAGAACAGTAGAGGCAAACTTTCTACATGTGTCCCAATATTAATTTCCTTCTAGTAGGAAGGAAAGCAGAGTATTTTGTCACATGTGTAGATGAGTTAGTAAATTTGGTGATGAAAAGATGAGGTGATGAAAAAGATGAGGTACTTTTATGAAATTACACCTATTTTTTCAATAAAATATGAAGCAAAGTCAACAGCTGAAGAGTAAAGAGTGAGGCTGTTGGCAAGAAAGAAAAAGATATGCAATAGCTATTTCAAAGAGTGGGAAGGTGAACATACTCTGGAAGTTTAGTAAGACTGTCAAATAATATTGAGTATCCATTGATTTTGTATAGTCATATAAGGAAGAAAGAACAATCACACTGGCTGTGTAATTTTCTTCTCCAAGGGCTAAGCTTCTTGGATACAAGCACAGAGTTGGCAGTCTGAATGTTGAACCAGAGTTAGGAGCAGAAAGAGAGAGGCTAAAGAAAATTAAGAGTGTGTATGACGGATATAAATCTCACTAAAACCTAAGAAAATAAAGTCTTCCTCATCTATATCTACATGCTTAAGGTTCATAACATGGTTATGACTTTAAAGAAAACTTATGTACAAATGTTTTAAATTTCAAGAAAATCAGGCCGGGCACGCTTGTAATCCCAACACTTTGGGAGGCCGAGGCAGGCGCATCACCTGAGGTCAGGAGTTCAAGACCCACCTAGCCAACATGGTGAAACTCTGTCTCTACTAAAAACACAAAAATTAACTGGGCATGGTGGCATGCCTGTGGTCCCAGCTGCTCGGGAGGCTGAGGCAGGAGAATTGCTCAAACCCGGGAGGCGGAGATTGCAGTGAGCCGAGATTACACTACTGCACTCCAGCCTGGGCAACAAGAGCAAAACTCTGTCTCAAAAAAAAAAAAAAAGGAAAATCAGACGGAAATGAATGAATTGACTATAATTCAGTGAACTACAATGTACTCAAGAAAATCTTAGATTGAGATCACAGACATGCTAGAATTTTACAATGGACTGATATTAGAATTTTGCTGTGCAACACAAACACACACATTATTACAAAGATATCCATACCTTGGTATTTCCCAAGAAATCTCTGTATTCTCTTAATATTTTTTGGTTTCTAAATAGCCCTGTAAGAATAACAAAATAAATTTAGGTCATAGATATTCTTACCAGTCACAGTTTAGATGAACATGATATTCTCTTCAGGACTATGTTAAATATGCGCTACTAGCTAACAGCAAAAATATTAAGTTATAAAAAATTTGGATTTGTAAACTGATTAAAAAATGGGGAGAGGATTTCAATAGACATTTCTCCAAAGATTATATAGAAACCACCAACAAGCATATGGAAAGATACTCAACATCACTAATCATCAGAGAAATACATATGAAAACCACAATGAGATATCACCTCACATCCATTAGGATGGCTACTATTAAAAAAACAAGAAACAGAAAATAACAAGGATTGGCAATGTGTCAAAACTGGAACCTTTTTGCACTGATGGTAGGAATGTAAAATGGTGCAATTGTTATGGAAAAAAATATGAAGGTTCCTAAAAAAAACTGTAACATAGAATTACCATATAATCCAGCAATCCTACTTCTGGACATACGTCCAAAGAATAGCAAGTGGGGCCTCAAAAAGCTATTTACATGCCCATGTTCATAGCAGCAGTACTCACAACAGTCAAGAGGTGAAGCAACCCAAATGTCCATGGATGGATGAATGAATGGATAAACAAAATGTGGTATATACATATGATGATGGAGTATTATTTAGCCTTGAAAAAGGAAATCCTGTCACATGCAACAACATGGATAAACCTTGACGACACTATGCTAAGTGAAATAAGCCCATCTCAAAAGGACATACACTGTATGACTCCACTTATATGAGGTATCTAAAGTATTCAAATTAATAGAAACAAAAAGCAGAATGGTGGTTGCCAGGGACCGGGGGGTGGCAGGGAAATGGGGGGTAGTTATTTAATGGGTATAGTGTTTCAGTTTTGCAATATGAAAAACCTCTGAAGATCTGTTTCACAACAATGTGAATATACTTACACACTTATGAACTGTACCTTTAAAAATGGTTAAGATGGTAAATTTTGGGCTATGTGTTTTTTACAATAAAAAAGGAGGCAGGAAAATCTGGATTTGCAATGAGATAAAGACAGTTTGGTAAGATTCTTTTCTCAATATTACCTTTATAAAAGTTAACTAAGCCTGATACAAAAACAAGTCCTTCATTTTTACCTCAAAGTTGAAAAATATGAGAGAGTATTTTTCTATTACTGTGTTTTCTCAAATTTTTGTATTACAAAAAATTCTTTTAACTTTTATTTACAAGGCTTCTCATGGTATCGTTTTAATAGCAAAACACTAGAAACGTCCTATGGGGGAATGATTGAATACATTACGGTATATCAAAAAACAGAGTATTATAAAATAAATGAAGAAATGTCTCTATTTACCGCTATAGCATAGTCCTCATGACAGAGTTAAGTAAAAAAAGCAAGAGCAGCCGGGCACGGTGGCTCATGCCTGTAATCCCAGCACTTTGGGAGGCCAAGGCGGGTGGATCACAAGGTCAGATCATCGAGACCATCCTGGCTAACATGGTGAAACCCCGTCTCTACTAAAAATACAAAAAATTAGCCAGGCATGGTGGCATGTGCCTATAGTCCCAGCTACTTGAGAAGTTGAGGCAGGAGAATTGCTTGAACCCAGGAGGCGGAGGTTGCAGTGAGCCAAGATCGTGCCACTGCACTCCAGCCTGGGCCACAGAGCGAGACTCCGCCTCAAAAAAAAAGCAAGACCAGAAAGTATGTATAGTATGCCTTATTTATGAAGGGTATGGCGTTTAATACAAATGTGTACGTTTTTTTAAAAAATATTATTTTTATTTTTAAATTTTTGGTAAGGAAAATGGTCTCGCTAATGTTGCCCAGGCTGGTCTCAAACTCCTGGTCTCAAGTGATCCTCCCACCTCAGCCTCCCAAAGTCCCGGGATTATAGGCATGAGCCATGGAGCCTGGCTTTATTTTCTTATATTTTAAGTATTAAAAAAAAAACCCAAAAACTTTAAAACAGTTACTTATACAAGAGAGAGGACTTAGAGTGGAAAGGACAGAGATGGAAGCTAGAGTTCTCTGAAATATCTGTTCTGTAGGTTTGACTAAGAAATCATGTAAATTTTTAGGCAATTATAAAATAAAAACAAAATTATTTTTAAAAATCAGAAGCAAAATGAAACAAATGAGCCTAACTGTATATCTACTGATGATATTTCTATATAGAAAAATTTTAAGTGACTTTAACACACAGAAATTGAACTATACATCTCTAGTGGGATATATATACTAAAGATACAAAGAAAAGCAAAGAAATCTTAAATTACATTGTTAGTATTAATACTGCTATTTGAAACTACACTTTATTCTCTATGTGTGTAGAGACATAGAATAAATCAAGTATGTAATTACTTTAACTTGATTTTATTTTCCAGTAAAAAGAAAAGTGGCTCCTTTTAGAAATAGTTGATTACCAACCCAGGACAGGAAACGTACAAGATGAATCTGAAACATATTATTCCTGAAAGTAAGGACGCCATGATACTAGAGTTATGACAAAGGGACTTAGGAGCCAACTGAGGTGCTTCCATTGACCAACATTAGGACAGTTTGAGCACTGCTACTTTGTTCTTTCCTTGCATATCTTCTTCTCCCTCTTCCCTCTTCCTTGATCTTCCTATCCCACTGCTCCCCTCCTGGTAATGAACTCCTATACTCTCAAGAAACTCCCTCCATCCCTTTTCTTCCTGGGTTATTGACCATAATTGTCTCACAATTTCCACTTTGAAATTTTGCCAACTCATCTGGAGAAGGAAATATTGTCATTTCTAAGCCTTGGTCCTGTGCAGAACTGAGATAGTCAAATAATTTAGAATCCTCCTAAATATTTATACTCCAAGGCTTCTAGTTACATCCTTCCAGTTTCATAGCTTCTTTCCAGGTTACTAATAACAAAAATAAATAAAATGGGGTGGAATCCTAACGAAACCATTGAAATAGGGTTGGCAAACTTTTTTCGAAGAGGGCTGGTGACATGGTTTGGACCTGTGTCCCCATCCAAATCTCATGTCAAATTGAAATCCAATTGTTGGAGGTGGGGCCTGGTGGGGGGGTAACTGGGTCATGGGGGTGAATTCTCATGAATGATTTAGCAATATCCCTCTTGGTACTGTCCTCACGACTGGTGAGTTCGTTCTCATGAGATCTGGTCATTTAAAAGTGTGAGGCACCTCCCCCATCTCTCTCTTGCTCCTGCTATGTAAGATACCTGTTCCATCTTTGCCTTCCGCCAAGACTGGAAGCTTCCTGAGGCTCCCCAGAAGCTTCTATGCTTTCTATACAGCCTGCAGAACTGTGAGCTAATTAAACCTCTTTTCTTTATAAATCACCCAGTCTCAGGTATTTCTTTATAGCAATACGAGAACTGACTAAACAGCTAGATAGCAAATATTTCATGCTTTGGAGGCCAAGAGGTAATATAAAGGACATGATGAAGGTATAGCAAGAAATAACTACAAATTTCCATGAAATTTTTTGACAAAATTTAAAATATAATAAAAATATGTGAGTGCAATTCTTTGTAATACAGGTCTACTAATGAGAAGAACAGAATTCTTTTTGGGGGGATAGGATAAAATATTTCACTTAATTGGGATTCAGTTAGTATTCCTTATCATCAAAATTAATTGTAAATGTTCATCTATTGATGATGATCTGATATGTTACTATTTCATATTCAAAATCTTATAGATAGGTACTGCCAAATGCTGATATAAATCTATAAACATAATTTTAAATAACTATATTCATTGCTTTGAAAGCATTTATAGAATTCTATGAAATTCTTGTTGATATTTGCCTTTTAGCATCTTCTTACATTGACGACTAATCACTTCCAATTGAAGTCAGGAGAAAGCTGCTCAACTGCACTATTTAATGGATTTTGAAATATGTAAATTTCCTCTGCACTTGCATGGAAATCTGAAAAACACTTCTGGAACTATAGGTTGGGCTTGGAAAATATATCTGCTGCAGATGTCTTCTGTTTTTTTTTTTTCATGTATTCATTCTTTTATTGTCCATTGTTTTAACTTGACTGAATACATGATCAACAAGAGCACTGTACTCCTGGCAATTATTAGAACATGGACTTTGCATAGTAGAAAACATTTTACACCAGTCTATGGAGTACTGCATTGCTTTGTATAAAGTTCAAAATAAAGATTTATTTTCAAACAAGTGACTGTGGTTTATTTCATACACTACACTTTTTCTTGCAGAAAAAAATAAAACTGTACAACTGCATAAATAAAAAATTCTTCCACCATGAAAATGGTTAAAACACTCATAAAGACACACCATCAGCATGATGCCCCCAGAAAGGAAAAAAGGAAAGTAAAAGAAAATGTACAAAGCAAATTTATTAGGCCTGTCACTAGCCAAAGTGATGGGCAAATCCAGATCTCAGACACAGCTTTAGAACATACTAGAGGACAAGGGAAGAGATGTCAAGACAGCATTCAAAACAAGCACAACACAACCCATCACCTTTTTGTGTTTTTCTGTAGTGTCACTTAAAATTTAAAGGGCAGTTCCCCCATGACAAATCCCTGTCCCATTCCCAGGAGAAAAAATAATAATAAAGTAAGACCTAACACCACAGGAAAAGACTATAGAATATGTTAAAGATGCTCATTGATGGGCCATTATCTTTGAAAGAGCCCAAAAAAAAAAAAAAAAAAGACCATGCCAGTTTCATTCCCATTGAATATTTACACCTTGGACAGCAAAACCTGCTCACATAAAGTACAAAACAGATACGATAACACATGGCTTGAAAAAGGACCAGAGTATGCACCTATAGTACTATACATTAAATAAAATATAGGAGGCAATACTTAGGGGCCAGAAACACTGCTTACAAGTCACTTATGGAATCATAATTTACAGTAAAAATGAGCACATCCCAAGGCTCAATTTTTCTTTTGTCATTTACAGTAGAATATTTTGTTGCTATTGCTACACTTTAGTTTACATTAATTACATTCTAACCAATTAAATGCAGAAAGCAAGTGTAAAGCATATAGATTATGCTTTAAGTGTAGGTCCCATACATATGACAGTTTGTTCAAGACTAACAGGCTTTTGTATCTTTTTTTAAACTTATTAAATGGCTAGCGGGAAAGATTTGTGCTTGTGATCAGCTCTTAACTTCAATTTTTACATCAAAGGATCCCTGAAAACCATCTTTCTCACTGTGCCCAATGTTCTCACCATCTGCTTTACACTAGGCGAATTTCAGTGTCCATGGTAAGGTTGGTGAACTGTACAACAAGCAGAGGCTGCAGGTATTTGGGCTGCAGGAGTTTGCCATAGTAGGGATAATTCTGCAGAGGAAAACCAAGGTAGGTGCCCAGTCCAAAATACTCCACATTTCTATTTTTATCCTTATCTTCATCTTGCTAGCCAGTGCACTGAACAGGAAACACAGATGCGTTATACTTCATCACTGGGTAAGTCTCCAAGGACTCATTCTCGGGAGACTTAGGTTTGAAGCCTAGAACTCACTTGAGCTTTATAATAACATGTGGTTTGCCCTCTTCGTAGCTGTAAGTTTTGTCATTTAATCCAGAGCAATTTCCCAGCCACTCAAGCTTGAATCTGCAGACTTTCGCTCACCTCATTCTTGATTAAAGTCTCCTCGTTCTTTGGGTTCACTGGGCACATTGTCACAATTTTCAAAAATCATGTCATCCTTCTGGGCTGAATCTTTGTACTTTTCCAGGAACCTAACTACGTTCAGCACATATGCCTCACAGTGCTTGGGATCATTAGGATGAAAGGCAATTTCAGTCTGCTGGATCTGAGAAATCTGTGTTAATCCTGGTGGGGGTCCTGATATGTGGTTCTGATATGTGGGTTTAAATTCACTGATGGTGAGCAGCACCACTTGGATCATTCCGATGAAGATGCCAGTCAGGCAGCCATAAAATATTATGTAGAATAGAATGATCTTAAACCAACTGCCACCAGTCCTGCCTAAAAACTCCTTCTTCTCTGAGTTCCAGAAGAATTTCTTCCAACTGCCCTCCTCATTGGCTTTCCTGCAGGTCATGGCAACAGCGGGTCAGCAGCTGCCGCAGTCGGAAGGGTGGGTGGCTTCGGGGCACGCCCTCGTGTTCTCTGAGGTGTTGCTCATTGTCTCTGGCCTGGCTCTCCGCAGACAGGACACACCACTGCCACTGCGGATCTGAGTGCTTGTGTTAAACTTTTAACAGCATGGGAAGTACATAAAGCTGACTGACATTACTTTGATTCAAATAATGTATCTACTGTTGAAATGACTTCACAGCAGAGTAAGTTTTGTATTTAAGCACTGTTTTCCCCTGTAATTTTACACTGAATGCATTAAGAAAAATAACGTCTGCAGCAAAACCTAATTTTCTAAGCCACTCAGTGTTTGATAATAGTGGTTGACAGGTGGGTCTTCTTATTCAGAAAAATTTCCATTTTGAATTTTTCAATCCTGAGCTCAAAAAATGGCAGTAAAACTGCTAAACCACTGAAATGCAGTGTAGAAGGACAAGTCAGGATTATCAGCTTCTATTTCTTTCAGTGGTTAAGTCCACAAGTTCAAAGGTGATACTATTGGTTCAACAGCAAACAAGATTTAAGCATTTTCCACAAAGTTCCTACTCATGACAAATATTTTCTGGGAAGTATCTACTGATGAAAAGGCTTTAAATATCTTATGTTTTCACAAACTTTATAAATTTGTCCAACTAAGGCTTTTTCTGCTCCACATGTATTTTTACCACCATCATCTATATAAGACATCTTAGCAGATTCCACATCAGGTTTACTGAATTAGTATTTTCACATCTTCTTTGAAAATATTCTCACGTGGCTGGGCGCAGTGGCTCATGCCTATAATCCCAGCACTTTGAGAGGACAAGGAGGGAGGATCACAAGATCAGGAGATGGAGACCATCCTGGCTAACATGGTGAAACCCCATCTCTACTAAAAATACAAAAAAAATTAGCCGGGCATGGTAGCACGCACCTGTAATCCCAACTACTCGGGAGGCTGAGGCAGGAGAATCACTTGAACCCAGGAGGCGGAGGTTGCAGTGTGCTGAGATCATGCCACTGCACTCCAGCCTGGTGACAGAGTGAGACTCCGTCTCAAAAATAAAATAAAATAAAATAAATTCTTGCCTGTGGTTGCTCCACATACACTATTCACAAAGGGTAATTCTCCAGTCTCTTCAAACTCAGCACTCACTCCTCAAATAGTATTGGTACACAGGTCAACTTATCAAGAGCCAAGGAACATCATTCAAAATAATTTGCCTTGCTTTTTAATTGACTACTGATGTCTGTCCTCAGTGTCCTCAACTCTTGAAGCAACTAGTCTTGCCTAAAGACTACTAGTCCTGGATACATTTCTTCAGCTGCTTAAATTAAACAGGACTTAATTTACTTGCCATTAGAAACCCACTTTCTTTGCTTGACTAATAAGCCACTCAGAAACCAAACTTTGGTTGCAGCCTCATTTTCATTTTCTATTTTTGTGAACAAATTCTGCTGTAATATATTCCATCTTAAATTCTCTAGTTTTTCTGATTGTTACACTCCTGTGAGTTGGGAATACTGTGATGATTGATTAATCTAGTAATGTCAACATATATTGTATTCCTTTAACTCAGCTATGGTGTCACTGCATAGTAGACACAGTACTTTGCCATCTAATTCAATAAAAAATAATCCATGCTCAACTGTGACTTAAAAGCACAACACTAGATGTCTACTTTTCTTACTCACCAGACAGGTATGCACTCATACTAAAAAAAAAAAAGGTCATGTACAAGGATACCTATGACATTTGAAATACTGTTGAATTATAACTGTTACTGAATTGTAACTGAGTAGCAGTGCAAAGTGACAGGAGCACCACACGCAGTCTCTGTCGGAGCTACTCAACTCTGCTGTTGGTAGTGCAAAGGCAGCCACAGACAATATGTAAATAAAAGATCATGGCTACGTCCCAATAAAATTTTATTTGTGGACTCTGAAATTTAAATTTCATTTAATTTTCATCTGTCACAAAATATTGTTACTCTTTTGCTTTTTTGTCAGTCATTAAAAATATGAAAACCACTCTTGGCTTATAAACTATACAAAAACAGGCAGCAGACCAATTTGTTCCACGGGCCATAGTTAGCCAACTCTGGCTACTGAAGACAGATGCCGTAACACCGGCAAAAGTTATTTATTAAGAGCCAGGGACATAGGTTGTTGTAAGCTATCCAGGAAGCCATCCTCTATTAAAATTGATTACACTAAGATCCAAAACTATAAACAAAAAAAACCCCACAGAATTAATAGGTAAATTTAGAATTAGACTTCTAGAAATAAACAATTTGTGGACACTGACCCTGATGTAGAATGCCAAGGGACCCTTTATGCTCTCTTTGGTTAAAGGGCCTTAAATTAAAAATAGGGTGGTAAGAAAGATTAAAATGAACTGGCAGTTAGTTCACGTTGGAAAAACTAAATTGCAATGCACTGTCAAGAAACCAAAAGAGAAGATGAAAAGAAAAAAAAAAAGGAACAAACTTAGGGCTTTTAACAGCCATACAAGGCAAAATTTATTAACTTCTCAAACCCTAAGCAAGTGCAGTCCCTTTCTAATACTAATAAAAATCAGTGTCATTGATAAGAAGTAGGAACACTAAAAAATAAATTGTTCTATCAAACCAGAAAGGGAATAGCAGCAATGATATTCTTCTGAGAAACCTCACGATGCTTAATAAAATCTGTTAGTCGTTTAACAGATAACAATAAAGTCAGCCTGATTATCAAAGAAAAATATGTATACATTTTTCATAAATACTAGTACATCGATCTCTACTTTAATCCTGATACATTACCATATATAAGTGCCCAAGAGTAAAAGAACTATATAACTGCACTGGCAATATCTAATTCCCCAATGGAATATGCCCTATCTGATTGCATCCTGTGTTAGTACCTGTATTACCTATAAAGAAACTCAATGGAAACCATTAACTGAATAGTACACCAGAATTTCCAGGACTATCTGTCCCCAGTATGTATTTCTTCCATTGAAAGTAAATACTTCACTTCTGTTAATTTAAGTGCAGTCCTCTTTATAATATCTGTGGATTGTCAGCTAGACACGGTGGCACACACCTGTAGTCCTGGCTACTCAGGAAGCTGAGGCAGGAGGATCACTTGAGCCCAGGAGTTCAAGGCTATAATTCACTATGATTGCACCTGAGAATAGCCACTGTATTCCAGCCTGGGCAACATAGTGAGACCTCATCTCTTAAAAAAAAACAGATAATCGCCAGGTGCGGTGGCTCACGCCTGTAATCCCAGCACTTTGGGAGGCTGAGGTGGGCGGATGACGAGGTCAGGAGATCGAGACCACGGTGAAACCCTGTCTCTACTAAAAATACAAAAAATTAGTTGGGCGCGGTGGCGGGTGCCTGTAGTCCTAGCTACTTGGGAGGCTGAGGCAGGAGAATGGCATGAACCCGGAAGGCAGAGCTTACAGTGAGCTGAGATTGCGCCACTGCACTCCAGCCTGGGTGACACAGCAAGACTCTGTCTCGAAAAATAAAATAAAATAAAAATAATCAACAACTTTTTCTGAGGCCAAAAATCCTTTGATACTAGGATTCACTGTCTCCTTCAAACTTTTGAAAATGCCAAACCAATGATTTAAAGAACTTGGATTTTACAAGGAAAACTATACTTATTCAACAACTAGATGATTTAATATTATATATTCCAGGTCACACAAATATACTCCTTATTCCTCCTGACTAGGTTAGCTGAAAAGAGACATACTATTTTCAGTTTTGTCAAGAAAAGGAATCATCAACAGAAGGTCAATCACTTTCTTTGTCAGAATTAAAGCTATTTGAGAACATCCTAGACCTTCAACCAAAGGGCAAATGAGAGGATTACTAAGACTGACAGCTTACTACAGGCAATGGATAGTTAACTTTTCTAAAACAGTTCAACCATCACCATCACATGAACTGACTAAAACAAACATCCTGACCTTTTAATATATACTGGAATATTTATAAATAAAATGATATAATGTCTGGACCTGGTTTCAAAGTAATCCAGTAGAGTGAAGGTTAGTGAGAGGGATATACATTAAACAAGGCTGGCCATGTTGTTGGTAGCTGTAAAGCCAGATGATGGGCATTAAAAGGTTATTATGTTTTTCTCTGCACTTCTGAATATGTTTGAAATTTCCCTACTAAAAAGAGGAGAAACCAAATTTCAAGATAGACTGTTAGAAAATATTTAGAACATATGAAACTAACTTGGTTAGATTTTGGTTAAAATCCACCAAAAACTTATTTAAATCAATTTTAAGAGACACACAATCTAATAGAAAAGTGAACAAAACATATAAAAATTATTACAGAAGAACTAAGAAAAACCACTATACATAGAAGATAACCTCAGTAGTAGTCAGAGATATTCAAAATTAAACGAGGTACCATCTGTTGCCCATCAAATACACAAAAAAGTTAAAATCTTGTTAATATCCAGCATGGGCAAGGGTATGAAAAAATAGTCTCCCTCATACACTGTGATTGTAAATGTAAATTGGTACCATATTTCCTTCAGAGAGTAATTCTTTAGGATCTATCAAATTTTTAAATGCCTATGCCATTTGATCCTAAAATTGTATTATTAACACTCAATCCTATGTAAATATTCACAATTATCTCACGTTAAAAAAATAAAAATATTTATTGATGTATTCTTTCTAACAGTGAAAAACTGAAGAACATAAATCTTGCTACATCCATACAATGGGGTACTATACAACTGTTAAAAAGAATGAGGTAGATTTCTATATGTAGATATGGAAAACGGTTATGATTATACCACTATCTATAAAGAGCAAGATGTACAATATGTATGGTATCACCCCATTTATGTCTATGTTGCCCAGGGTGGTCTCAAACTCCTGGGCTCAAGTGATCCTCCCACCTCAGCCTCCTGAGTAGCTGGGATTACAGGCAAGTAGCTGGGACTATAGACATGTGCCACCACACCTGGCTCCTAAGAGTCTTACTTGCATATACATTTCAAACACCAAGCACAGCTTCTTGTTCATAGCGGGTATTGGATAAATATCTGCTGAATTAATTAATGTAGCTGAGTTAATAGACCCTTCTGTAAAAAAGTAATTGATATGATTTGGCTCTGTGTCCCCACCCAAATCTCATCTCGAATTATAATAGCCATAATCCCCATGTGCCGAGGACAGGCCATGGTGGGAGGTGACTGGATCATGGGGATGGTCTCCCCCATACTGTTCTCATGATACTGAGTTCTCGAGATCTGATGGTTTTATAAGTGTTTGACAGTTCCTCCTACACACACGCTGTCTCTCGCCTGACACCATGTTAAGATGCGCCTGCTTCCCCTTGCGCCATGATTGTATGCTTCCTGAGGCCTCTCCAGCCATGCGGAACTGTGAGTCAGTTAAATCTCCTTTGTTTATAAACTACCCAGTCTTGGGTAGTATCTTTATAGCAGTGTGAAAACAGACTAATACAGCAATTACTTCCTATTCTATCACTTTTATAACAAGTATAATCTTTAAATCAGATAAGTTTTGATAGTTATATGTCTTATAAAAATGATAAACTGTAGCTTCTCTTCCTCTCATCATCTTCAAAAAGCTATACAGGAGAAAACAAAAATACAGTTCCTGTTTTTGTGAAATAATTGAATCCCAAAACGGAAACTAGCATTTGCTGGAAGCAACAGAGCCTAGGCCAACAGGTATGCTAGCACTAGAGAGTTCTTACAGATACAGTTCTCATCTACAAGTTATTTTTCAATTAACTTGACTTTAAATTGAATATACTTACTTTCTCTGTATTCTATTTCTGCTTCCTTACGCAATTTTTTCTCTCTGGCAAGAGCTTCAGGGCTTCCCCAAACTTCCAAAGATCTGTGCATACACACATGGTCACCACAATGAACAATTTTAATGACTTTATTGACATCACATTTAAATCTAAATTCTCTAATGAGAATCTTACAACAAAGTGTAAGGTGCTTTTGGAGAAACATAAAGGACTTAGGAACTTTTCCAAATGAAATCTAAACAACTAGAGTAAATTCAACAGCAAATTTTCTTACACATTATGACATATATTTAGTTAAGGAGTACATATTAGTAACTCACAAATAAACAGATTTGCAAATACAAAAATATTGTTTTTAAAAAGTCATTTAAAAAATTCTGACTCTGTCTAAAATGTATTTTTATTAATCCAAAATTTGGTTTGCACTTTTATTCTGAAAGAACTATGTTCTTACTTTGCTTCCACATCTGATCTCAAGTATACAGTAAAAGACTCAGTATCTTCATGGGGACTTCGTCGTCTGATTTTTCGAAGTTGTTCTAGATCACTAGAGAAAGAAACATGTTGAATTTATTCAGACAAAGTGCATATAGTTTATATACTTAAAGAGGATTACTAAGGGCAGATAAAAGCAACAACACTGATCCCCATCTTAGAGAAATATTGATGTGAATGGCTTTTAAAGATCAGTTTAAAGATGACATTTTGTATACAAAAAATAGAGACAGTGAAAAAAAATTACTCTTGATGCTCAGTGTAGACACCACAATATAATATGTAGAGATTCACTTCCCTCACCAGTACTTGTATTTGTATCTGCTATGGGCACACCACTGCCATCTCTAATATATGGGGAAAAAAGTGAAAAGTTAGGTAATGCGTGGTGGCTCACTCCCAGCGCTTTGAGAGGCCGAGGTGGGTGGTCAGGAGTTCGAGACCAGCCTGGTCAACATGGTGAAACCCCGTCTCTACTAAAAAAAAATACAAAAATTAGCTGGGTTTGGTGGTGCCTGCCTGTAATCCCAGCTACTCAGGAGGCTGAGGCAGAAGAATCACTTGAACCCGGGAGGCAGAGGTTACAGTGAGCCAAGATCACGCCACTGTACTTCGGCCTAGGAGATAAAGCAAAAAAAAAAAAAAGTGAAAAATAAGCAAGGTGCGGTAGCTCACACCTGTAATCCCAGCACTTTGGGAGGCTGAGGTGGGTGGATCACTTGATGTCAGGAGTTCGAGACTAGACTGTGCAACCTGCAAAACCCTGTCTCTACTAAAAATACAAAAATTAGCCGGGCGTGGTGGCGGGCGCCTGTAGTCCCAGCTACTCGGGAGGCTGAGGCAGGAGAATGGCGTGAACCCGGGAAGCGGAGCTTGCAGTGAGCCGAGATTGTGCCACTGCAGTCCGCAGTCCGGCCTGGGCAACAGAGCGAGACTCCGTCTCAAAAAAAAAAAAAAAAAAAAAAAAAAAAATTAGCCAGGCGTGGTGGCGCACAGCCATAGTCCCAGTTACTCAGGAGGCTGAGGTGGAAGAATCACTGGAGCCTAGGGAGGTAGAGGCTGCAGTAAGCCATGATTGTGCCACTGCACTCCAGCCTGGGCAGCAGAGTGAGACCCTGTCTCAAAAAAAAACAAACAAAAAAAACGAAAAGAAGAAAGAACATGGATTAGAATATCATCCCTCTACTTAAGAATTTAAGTTAAAAATTTACAGTCATTATTTGTTTATATGTAGATTAATACTAAGTGGTAATATCCATTCAAAGGAATGATGTCATAAAGAGTTTGTGTCAATTACATGTTATTTATTTTCCTTTCTCTTAAATTCTGAAAGGCTTATATATTCATCAAGTCACTGCTAAATAGTCATTCTATATTTAATCATGGATCTTCCTATGGAAATTTTGTTAAAGCAATGAAACAATCTATAAATAAAAAGTCTGTGACTATGTAATGTTATCAAGTTCTAGAAATTAAACCTAGATTTAAAAAACATCAATAACCATCACATGTTAGTAAAAATGTATGGATCAGCTTTCAAAAGATATATATTCTAGTTCTCCCTGTCACTGACTCACTTAAATGAGCTGGGTCAATCACTAACATCTTGTATTATGCTCATCCTGGTCTATTAAAGTGGAGACAGCAATGCCTAATCCACTTAATTCACAAAATTTGTGTCAGAACTAAATCAATATTATAATTGGTTGTTGATGTAATAGTTATAAAAGTTAAAAATTATAGGAATACCTATTTCTTGATATATACCAAAGTGGCTGTGACAATGAGGAAGACTGAAAAAAAGATAGATCATCTGATTTCTCTAATTCGTGCACAAAGGAGGGAGAAAAGTTTAAATCTGTGACTAACATAATTTCAATAAATATAAATATGAGAAAATTAATAATAACAGATATTGGAAAGTAGTAAAAATAATTTATACTCAACAGAAATCACAGTTGGGAGCATGAACATAAATTTAACTCACTAAATTAAGTACTCAACTCTGCTGGCCAAAAAACCAAAACAGTCAAACATACAAATACGCAAATAATCTTATTGAGAATTCTGTCACATACCAATGACTTAACAATTTAACTCCTAAGATTCTTGTGTGATGGAAAGCTTTTGAAGAATTTACCATTGTGGGTTTAAGAAACTAAGAAAGACTAGAATTGCTAATGCTGGGGCAGGATTCAGTTTAGTTTGCTAACAATTTTTAACATTTTTGACTGAATAAAAATATCTCTTCATTTTAAGGAGCCAGTAGCAAATTTTCCATATATGGATGGTAGCAGGTAACACACTCTAAGAAAGGAATAGTTATTTAGATTATTTAGATATGACACACGGCTACATTTTTTAAAAAAATTACCTGGATTTGAGGCAGAACTCATTTATCGCTCTGACTCCAGTGATGAAATTATTCTGAGTGTACTTTGAGCCATACTCCCTTTTCTTAAGGACTGCTTTAACTAAACAAAAAACAGGAAAACATAATAAATATGCACATTGAAAGTCACATGTGAAGATGAATATAGGCTGATACTTAAGAGGCTTCACTAATGAATTTCACAGAAAACTGATCTTTTTCACTGAATGACATCAGAGAAAAAATTATCCAAGTGCAGAATAGGATGAAATTGCATTTGTAGCCATCTAGCTTTTGTCTCTATATGTCATCTATAACTGATCCCAAAATGTCAACCTTTGTCTAATGAACACCTTGAACAGGTATTACTGGTCTGTCTAAATCATATTGGTATAATTTAAATTGCTTAGGGTCTAAATGAAAATGAACTGAAGTTTTGATAAAAAATTACAGAGTATTGGGAGGCCAAGGCAGGTGGATCACTTGAGGTCAAGAGTTTGAGACCAGCCTGGCCAACATGGTGAAACCCTGTCTCTACTAAAAAAAAAATACAAAAAATTGGCCAGGTGTGGTGGTGGGTGCCTGTAATCCCAGCTTCTCAGGAGGCTGAGGCATGAGAACCACTTGAACTTGGGAGGCAGAGGTTGCAGTGAGCCAGATCATGCCACTGCACTCCAGCCTGGGCTACAAAGTCAGACTCTGTCCAAAAAAAATAATAAATAAATAAATAAATAAAATAACAGAGTAGTTGAGTGCTTTTCAAACTGTGAGGTGAAATCAGCATTTCATACAAAGTAGAAATATAAAGTAATCAAAGACTACTACATATAATTATTTTTTTGTGAAAACCTTTGTTTCATTTACATATACTAATCTATGTGTATACTAGTTGCTAATTAGTATTTCTTATGTGGGTTACAGTCAAAAAAGTTTAAAGCCACTAGACCATTTCACATAATGTAATAAAACTGAAGAAAAGTACAGAATAATTTCATCAGTTAAAAATTACAAAAAAAATTATTATAGATTATAGGTTAAATATTGCCTTCTAATAAATTGTTTTTCTATTGTCAAGTATCAAACTGCTCATAAAAAGGCCAGCGACACCAATACCAATACCAATTTGGCATCAATTATAGTCTGTGAGTTAAAAATTACAGAACATTGGTCTATGTTAATAAATCATTATAAGGTGAGACTTTTGGTCATATGATAGAGATAAATAAGCAAATACCTGAAGTGCAAGAGCAAAATAACAAACTTATGTGTTCTATTTCGAATTGTCATCTATTCACTTCATGTTCTATTCTCATATTTATTATTTCACAATTTTCTGTTCTACTTCCAAGTTGAAAGAGCAAATTCAGCCTAAGATTACCTATCACTACAGTGGGTAAAAAGATTCCTAAAATAATACATACTTACATTAAATGCACAAATATTATGTAATAAGAATATTTGAAAAATAAAGTTCAATTAAAAAATCAAAACCTTATCTGAAAAAAAATATAAGGAAATACAGATTTTTTTTTTGCGTGAGTTTCATGTCTCTAAACCGCCTTTTAAATTTTTAAAAAATTTTTAAAAAAATTTCTTCCAAATAGCTAAAAAACCCTGGCCCAGGTTATTAATGATGAAGGTGAGGATGATAATGATAATGATGGCTGCTATAACAACATTAATTGTTATTAATTGTCTACCATGTGTTAATCAAAGTTACCCTAGAAAAGAAGTCTCATTTTCAGCACCACGTTATAGGGGAGAAAACTAAGCCTCAGAGAAGTCAAGTAAATTGCCCAAGGTCAGCCAGCTGGTAAGCACTGGAGCCACAAATTTAATCCAGTTTTATCTGATGCCAAAGCCACAGTGCTGTTAATCATAGAGTTGCTGCCTCCATGAAACAGCTGCTTTGGAGATGGGAACCACAGCTTGTTATACAGAAGAGAGCTACAAACAGGAATTCCTTCAATTTCTCCTAGAAAATAAAGTCAGACAATAACGGCCAAACTCTACCTGGATTTGAATAAGCAGTAGCTGAAAAGTGTGGGCCTCTTGTTCTTTAATTGCCTTACTCTTCTAAAAATGATAATGCAATTGATGATTCTTATTTGCCATTATTCCTTTCTTGGGCTTTTGAAAAAATTTGTGACAAAAATGCAAAATAAATTTAATAGAAAATTAGTTTATATGTAAGAGAATAAATCCTTATGGTCAATCTATTTAAATAAAAGTAAAAAATAAACTATACTCTTAGAATAATATAACTATAAAGAGCTCTACATAAACCAATGTTATATATTTAATTCAAAACATCTTTATAATACAAAAATAGGATAAAATATATTTACCTCTTACTTGGAGAGGTTCTTGCTTAAGTGGAGCTTTGAGTTCTGTGCCTATACCTTCTGCTGTAAAGTTTATTAAAAGAAGTTTACATTAAACAACTGCTTTCATAAATCTATAAACTTAATTAATATTAGCCAATGTAATATAGCAATGCATAAAAACGACAATGTATCAGACCATGTTGGATTCATCTTAAGAATGTAAGAGTAGTTAAACATTACAAAAGCTATTTATCTCATTAACAGATTAAAGAAGAGAAACTATACAATCATTTCAGAAGCTAAAGAAAAAGCATTTAATACAATTCAACATCCATGCAAATCTCAAACCCTTTTAGAAAATTAGGACAAATAGGAATTTCTTTAAAGGGTAAAACAAACCTACAACAAACATTGTCTTTAATGGTGAATGTTTAAATGCATTTTTAAATTAAGGAACAAAAGAATGCACAGTTCTTCTATTTAAAACTGTACCAGAGATACCATTCAATCAATAAAGAATGATTATTAAGTGGGACTGGGACAACTGTACAACCCTACACCTACCAAAAAACACATTAAATTTAAAAAATTTGAATCTACCTCCCACCATAAAGAAAAAACAATTACAGGTAGATTAATTAATTATTTAAATGTTAAGGTATTTACATGCCTTATAGTAGATAATACAGAATACTTTTATGGTACAGAAAGATTTCTTAAACAAGATATAAACAACACAAGAAAAACTGGATAAATTTCTGCCAAATTAAAACTCAGAAAAACTGTTCATCAAGTAATCCCATAAAAAAAAAAAAACAGAGAAAAAAGAAAGGCCGCAAACTGAGAGAAGATATTTCCAACAAATAGAATCAACAAAAGTAATCAAGAATATTTAAATAAGTCCTCTAGATCAAAAAAATGACAATCCATTAGAAAAAATAGGAAGGACAATCTTGCACAGAAAAGGATATACAAATAACCAATAAACATTTGAAAAAATGTCTGCCCCATTATTAATAGAATCCAAATGAAATCATAAGATGCTATTTTATAACCATCAGATCAAGAAAAAGGAAAATATGAGAATACCTAATGTTGGCAAGGGTATGGAACAATGAAAATGCATACACTGCTGGTGGAAATATAAATGGGCACAATACCTTGGTAAACAAGTTGGCATTATCTACTATAGTTGAACACAAGCATAATTTATGACCCAGCAATTCTTCTAGGTCAATATATTTGGCTTCAAGAAACTCTTGCACGAGGGCACAAGGACAGAGGTACATGAGTGTTCAGAGCAGGACTCTGTTCTGTTGTTGTAAACTGGCAACAACCCAAATGCCCATTAGCAAGAGAACAGATAGATAGATAGATAGATAGATAGATAGATAGACCATGTTATATTCACACAACATTTCATACAGCAGTGCATAGTAACAAACATAATAATGGCCATCTTTCTTTGAGCTTTTACTGTGTGCTAAGTACTACTCTAAGCATGTATCAACTCATTTAACTCATACAACATCCCTGAACAGTATGTGCTATAATTATCTCCAAGAACATTAATGAACCAGACACACACACCAATCAATAAGATAAATCTTAGCAACTAAATTTAATGAAAAAAGTAAATCACAAAAGAATATATACAATAAGCTATCACAACGAAGTTCACAAACAAGCAAAAGTAAATAATCAGGGCTATATACAAATGTATAAAGCTATTTCCTCTTTTTTTTCACATGGATACATAGGACAAATGGAGATAGGAGGATGTGATCAAGACAGTGAAGTTCTTAGCTTGAGTAGTAAATTCCAAGGTTTGATTTTATTATGTTGTTAACTTACATATGTATTATAATATCCTTTTGTATGTATCAAATATATTGTAAAAATCTCACCCTTAAAACATTTTCCATTATATTTATATCCTCATTCAATAACATTTCAGAGTTTATGAAGAATGGCTATATATACTAAGCATTTAACATGTGCCATGTACTGTCCTATGCACTTTACAAATTATTTCATTTAATTGTCACAAAATTGCTCTGAGGAAAATACTATTATCTTCATCTTATGAGAAAACTGAGGCACAGAGATTATTATAACTTCCCCCAAAGTCACAGAGCCAGTTTTCCTTGTTATGAGGAAACTGGGGCATAGAAAGGTTTTGTAAATTCTCCCAAAGTCACGCAGCTAGTATTTTAAACATGGAGGCACAGTTATTTTGATTACTCTACACTCTTAACCACCTTCCTGTATTGCCTGTGTTTAGAACAATATTTAATTTTATGTGTAGGTATTTGTGTATTTTTCTAGGTGGTAAAAAAAAGAATAGATACTAGATTACCAACATGAAGATCACTGGAACCTCCTGAAAACAGCAGTTTCTGGACAAGAATGGGAATGGACACAATAGTTGAGGAGAAAATAGGAGATTAAATGGAAGCGGTATTTGGACTTTCAGCAGGAGCTGAAGAGAATGAATCAAGGAAAGGTTGACTGCATTTTACATAGAGATAGGAATGATGCAATAACCACGAAGAAAATATAAAGTAGGCTAACAGGATAATCCCAAAAGCAAAGTCCTTGAGCAGATGGGGTAGTAGGGGATCCAGAATATAAGTCTCTGAAAACATGGAATGAAACAGAAATTAACTAATTCCACATATTTAGATTATGAGTTCATTTAAATGATATGGAACACCACTAAGTCTGACTACTTAACTGTGGTACATTTGTACTTCTGCCATCTTATTGTTTTCAGTTTACCATCTTGTTTTCTTTGCTTTTATTTTTATTTCGCTTTTCCTGCCGTCTCCATCTCTTAGATTGAAAAAGTTTTCTATATTCGCCTCCCATCCAATCCCCCAATTGCTATTTGGAATTTATAAGACTGTATTTCTATTGTTTAACATTATTTTTCTTTAAAAAAAACTTTTTATTATTTTTTGGGTTTTTGTTTAAATTTGCTTTTATATTTTAATTTTTTATGGGTACACATTAAACATTTATGGGGTACATGAGGTATTTTGAAACAGGCATACAAAGTGTAATAATCATATCAGGGTAAATGGAGCATCGATCATCTCAAATATTTATCGTTTGTGTTACAAAGAACCCAATTATACTCTTTTAGTTATTTTTAAATGTACAATAAATTATCGCTGACTGTAGTCACCCTGTTGTGCTATCAAATACTAGCTCTTATTCATTCTATCTAACTGCAGTTTTGTACCCATTAACCATCCTCACTCTCCACCTCCCACTATTCTTCCCAGCCCCTAGTAACCATCATTCTACTCTCTCTCTCTCCATGAATTTACTTGTTTTAATTTTAGCTCCATAAATAAGTGAGAACGTGCTGTTTTTCTTTCTGTGCCTGCCTTATTTCACTTAACGTAACAACCTCCAGTTCCATCCGTATTGCTGCAAATGACAGGATCTCATTCTTTTTTATGCTTAAATAATACTCCATTGTATATATAGACCATATCTTCTTTATCCATTCATTTGCTGATGGACACTTAGCTTGCTTCCAAACCTTGGCTATTGTGAACAGTGCTGCAATAAACATGGGAATGCAGATAGCTCTTCTGATATACCGATTTCCTTTTTTTTTTTTTTGCGACGGAGTCTCGCTCTGTCGCCAGGCTGGAGTGCAGCAGCACGATCTCAGCTCACTGCAACCTCCGCCTCCTGGGTTCAAGCAATTCTCCTGCCTCAGCCTCCCGAGTAGCTGGGACTACAGGCACATGCCACCACACCCAGCTAATTTTTTTGTATGTTTTCCTTTCTTTTGGGAATATACCTAGCAGTGGGATTGCTGGTAGTTCTATTTTTGGTTTTTTGAGGGTCCTCCAAATTGTTCTTCATAGTAGCTGCACTAATTTACATTCCCACCAACAATGTACAAGGGTTCCCTTTTCTCCACATGTTCACTAGCATTTGTTATTGCCTGTCTTTTGGATAAAAGCCTTTTGAACTGGAGTGAGATGATATCTTATTATAGTTTTGATTTGCACTTCTCTGATGATCAATGATGTTAAGCACTTTTTCATACACCTTTTTTTGCCACTTGCATGTCTTCTTTTGAAAACGTCTCTTGAGATATTTTGTCCACATTTTAATCAGATTATTAGATTTTTCCCCCATAGAGTTATTTAAGCTTCTTATATATTCTGGTGAGATCAATAGTTTGCAAATACTTTCTCCCATTTTATGGGTTGTCTCTTCATTTTGTTGACTGTTTCCTTTGTTGTGCAGAAGCCTTTTAACTTAATGTGATCCCATTTGTCCATTTTTGCTCTGGTTGCCTGTGCTTGTGGGATCTAACTCAAGAAATCTGCCCAGTCCAATATCCTGGAGAGTTTCCCCAATGTTTTCTTTAAATAGTTTCATCATTTGAGGTCTTAGATTTCAGTCTTTACTCCATTTTGATTTGATTTTTGTAAATGGCGAGAGAAGGGGTCTAGTTTCATGCTTCTGCATATGGATATCCAGTTTTCCCCAGCACCATTTACTGAATAGACAGTCCTTTCCCCAATGTATGTTTTTGGCACATCTGTTGAAAATGAGCTCACTGTATATCTATGGATTCACTTATGGGCTCTGTATTCTGTTCCATTGGTTTATGTGTCTGTCTTTATAACAGTAAAACAGCATAAAGGATTTAGGTTTAGTAACCTAAACCTATGCTGTTTAGATTATTAAAGCCCTGTAGTATAATTTGAAATCTGGTAATATTCCTCCACAGTTTTTTTCTTGTTGCCCAGAAAGCAAAGGTGGGTAGGGGGTGATTTGCAGTAGTATCTGAGAAAGAGTAAGACGAAAAATAAATGTTACTCTAGAATTTCATAGTGATCTAAATGTCTTCCATCATACTATTATTATTATTTTTTTAGGAGTCAGGATCTTGCTATGTCACCCAGGCTGTAGTGCAGTGGTGAGATCATAGCTCACTGCCACCTCCAACTCCTGGGCTCAAGTGATCCCACCTCAGCTTCTCTAGTAGCTGGGACCAGAGGTGAACACTATCACATCAAAGTTAATTTTTAAATTTTTTGTAGAGATGAAGTCTCACTATGTTGCCCAGACTGGTCTCAAACTCCTGGGCTCAAGTGATCCTCCCACCTCAGCTTCTCAAAGTGCTCAGAGTACAGGCCTGAGTCACTGAGCCTGGTTATAGTATCAGGCCTCAGCCACTGAGCCTGGTTGATTATAGTTTTAGCATTTAATATTAAAAAAAAGTTTACTGTTTTATTATCAATAGTTTTACCAGGACATTTTATCCATTTCTTGTTCTTTGTTGTCTCTTGGATATTTCATCCTTTCCCTTCTGTAACTCCAGGTTTCTTCTGCATCTTGCAGAAGTACATGCTTTAATAGTTTTTTTTGTTTGTTTGTTTTTTAATGTGGAGGGGTTGTTTAGTAAAATGACTCTCATCTTTGAGAGATGAAGATGGTTAATGGATTAAAAAAATAGAAAAAGATCTACTATTTGATAGCACAATAGGGTGACTATAGTCAGTAATAACTTAATTGTATATTTTAAAATAACTTACAGAATGTAATTGGTTTATAAACCAAAGGATAAATACTTGAGGGGATGGATACCCCATTCTCCATCACGCGCTTATTTCACATTGCATGCCCGTATCACAACATCTCATGTACTCCATATATACACCTACTATGTACCTCCCAAAATTTTAGAAAATAAGCTTTTTTTAAAATGACATTCATCTTTATATGTATGATAACATTCCTATTTTTGCCTTCACTCTACAATGATTATTTAGATCACTATGAAATTCCAGAGTAGCATTTATTTTTCCTCTTACTCTTTCCTGGATATTATTCCAAATCACTCCCCCATCTTTGCTTTCTGCATATTTTTGCAGGTAAAAAGTCTACTTCAGTAGAACAACAATTAGGCTGATAGTATTCTGATTTTTCTCTTTGTCAGCTTTTAAGTTGGGTTGTTTCGTGTTTTGGTTTTTAAATCTGTGGTGTCTCTACAAAGTGTCAGGGGTAGATTTCTTTTTATTTATCCTGCTTGGTACTCAAAACATATTTCTGATCTGAGAAGTCCTGTTTTTCTCAAATTCTGAAAAATTCTCATCTCTCTTTATATATTGATTCCTCACCATTTCTCTACCTATTAAATGTAGGCTAGAGCTGCAAGTTCTTAAATGCTTTCAATTTTTGGAATATCTTTTTGCCTTCCTATGTGCCTTCAGACTGAATTTGAATTTACTAACTCTCCTACTGACAATGACTATTTAGTCTACTACATTTTTACTTTAGTGGCTACACTTTCATTTCTAAGATTTCTAATTGTCTCCTTTTCCTAATTATTTGCTCTGGTTTTATTTCTGCAAGTTTGTGTTTCAAAATTCCCTGTCATTTTTAATGAATATGAGTCCTTCATTTAACCTTTTGAGAACATTAAACTTATTTTAAAGCAATTGAAGCTGTTATTTTAGCTTCAACTGGAATTAATTCACATTTATTGATTCTATTGGCTTTCGTAGCATTAGGATTCTTCATGTATTTTGAAATTTTAGAGTTCACCATCTTACCCTGAATAGGGTATATCCTTTCATTCTCCTCTTCACATTCTTGTGCTCAGAGTTCATTCTAATACCTCTATGCAAAACTCATATTGCCAGTTTGATCTCATATTGCCAGTTTGAAATTCCTTCCCCTCAATCCAGTCTCTAAGCCAGGAAACAGCAAGTTTCAGTTCCTGGTTGATATGGTTTGGCTCTGTGTCCCCATCCAAATCTCACCTTGAATTATAATCCCCATAATCCCCATGTGTCAAGGGCAGGACCAGGAGGAGGTAATCAGATCACGCAGCAGTTTCCCCCATGCTGTTCTCATGATAGTGAGTGAATCTCACCAGATCTGATGGTTTTATAAGTGTCTTGCATTTCCCCTGTTTGCACTTATTCTCTCTCCTGCCACCCTGTGAAGAGGTGCCTTCTGCCACATGAGGCCTCTCCAGTCATATGGAACTGTGAGTCAATTAAACCTCTTTTCTTCATAAATTACCCAGGCTCAGGTATTTCCTCATAGCAGCATGAAAATGGACTAGTACACTGGTCTTCTCCTTGCCTCCCTAGGCCTACAGCTTCCTGTAAGACACAGCCTCAGGTAGCAACTGGAATTAGCTATTTTCAGTCTCCTTCTGTGGGGGTGGGTGGATAAGTTCAAATAGTGAGTCTGACTCCAGTACCTTGCTATTCAAATAGCACATGTAGCATATTACTCCAAACAAGCCAAACTCCTAGCTGCCACTCCCAGATTACAGACCCAGAGTCCAGATGCTTCTGTTCCATTTCTTTGATATAACATGTCTTTTTTTAGTCCAACTATGTCTTCAATTTTCTCTTTTTATACTTTATCTATTATTCCAATGAGTGGTTAGTAGAACACATGCCTCAAAGTATGTATTCACAATACCACTGTGATCAGAAGTTCTGCCTATCCATTGAGTTACCTCTTTCAAAGCTTATATGAAGCAATTAAATGCCAATATATTAAGCACTAACAAAAGCAAAGCCCTATTTGAAATAAAAGCAAAATATTTTACAGGTAATTTTTAGTATATTTCTTGGCAATTGTTTTTCAGTGAAAACCACTAGGAAAATGACCAAATACTGTGTGTGTGTTTATTTTATTTTATTTTATTTTATTTTGAGACAGGATCTTGCTGTGTCGCCCAGGCTGGAGTGTAGTGGCACAATCAGGGCTCACTGCAGCCTCAACCTGTTGGGCTCAAGTGATCCTCCCGTCTCGGCCTCCCAAGTAGCTGGGACTACAAGCACATGCCACCACACCTGGATAATTCTTTTATTTTTTGTAGAGACAGGGTCTCCCTCCCCATGTTACCCAGGCTGGTCTCAAACTCCTGACCTCAAGGGATCCTTCACCTTGGCCTCCCAAAGTGCTAGATTACAGGTGTGAGCCACTTCACTTGACCAAAATACAGTACGTTTTGATACCTAAAGCATGTACAGAAAATCTAAAAAGGCTTTAAGTGTTTGCCAAATCCTAAGTAGGTTATGATGTCATACTAGTAAATTGAAGATAAGCTTAAAAACACTTCTATTTAGTAACTACATTTGACCTTAAAAAATTAAATTATTATGATTTTATTTTTGTCTCGCTACACAGCAAGCAAATTCTAAAGTATCTTTATCTATAGAACCTACACATCCATTTCTTACAATTTAGCTTTGGGAAACAGAGAGCAGGGCAGAGAGGAGTGAAGGGAAAAAGGTGGAATAATACATTTTCAAAACTTACCTAATGTCCAAACAACTGATATCTACTGTCAAAAGTTTCAGAAACAACCCTAGTTTCTACAATGCTCAACATTATTGAACTTAATCACATAAAATGAGTTGCTTTAAGCTGTATATTTCTGGATATTCTTCTCACTACAAACTGTCTAGATGTTACTAAATATATAGTGTTATACAGCACAAACAAGAATGCTAGTAAATGGCTTAAACACATGTATGAATACTTATTTTACATAGCACCAACTTAATAAACTCACACTGCATCACTGCAGTAGAATCTTTATGATTTCAATCAGTAACCAAACATTCTATCCATGAATATCGCTAGACATTTGTTTTAAGCTCAAACCCTGGCTGTTTGCCACACATCTGCTGTCATTAGCAAAATTAAAACTAATTTTACTAAAATTTAACAAATCTGAATGCTCCTTAAAAACTTAAGGATTCCTTAGCAAGTCTCTGCTTCTTAATGAGCTGTTCCTGACTTTATCATGTGATTTGAATTATTCAAAACTCAATCTCAAATCTTTAAATATACAAATTATCTTTCAATCAAGCAATTACTTGCACTCTGTCTGATGGCTAACAAGGTCTAATGTGGCCTAAGCAAGTACTGAAAAATTGAGCCCAAAATAAAACTGTCAATAAACAATGTATTTCTAATATAAGAAAATAAACTAACATTTTTATTCCAGTCAGCAGAGAAAAAAGAAACTTAATCATGGATTTCAATTTGAAAGATTCTGAATGGTGGAACCATATTAAATATTTTCCCCTGAGTCTGTGTTCACCTCTGCAGAGCATTGTAACATATTTTACCCTTAATTATATTATTTCATCACTATTTCTTTTCCCTTAACTGTGTTCTAATAAACATGCTTATTTCTGGAACTTAGGGACTCATTACACTCTGCATTCTTTCATTGCATAAAATCAAACTCTCAATCAATATTTACCCCAGCAGTTCTCCATCACCACAAAAGAAAGAGAAGAAATTGCACAGGTAAACCCAAAGGGAGGATGAGGCTTAGGAAAAAGAATGAAAACAAGGAGCCATTAAATGTATACAGGTTTCTCAAGGAATCTGTAAAATCTTCCCCTGTGAAAGACATCTAACTAAAGGAAAAATGGTCTTGAAATGTTTATTATTCTTCAAACACTGTCTTCTCCTGACACCAGATAGTCTGGATTTTCTCCAGCCACTCCTTCTCAAGTCTGCTTTGCAGGCTCCTCTTCTACCTGTCCCTCACCCATGTGGGGGATTTTGTACTAGAAGATCTCTCCTCACTCTAAACACTGTCCCTGCACTGTCCCAAACAGACCCATGGCTTCAGTTCCATCTATGTATAGGTAAAAACTCCTAAATCTTTAGTTCCAGGTTAGAACTCTAAGCATTCACTCACTTATAAATATTTATTATGTCCCTACTATCAGCAAGACACTGAGGTTCATGCTGTCATGGAGCTTGCAAACATGTAGGTGATGAGGAAATAAAATATGGAAAACATCAATCAGGAGTAAGTGCTACCTATGCCAAAAATTAAATTAGGGTAGTATTAAAGACTTACTGGGTGGCTACTTTAGGTTGAGTGATTTTAAAATGTCTCTATGCAGAGCTGACATTTAAACTGAGATATGAATGACCAGAAGAGGCTGAGCCATGTGGAGAAGGGCACCTTGGAAAGAGAACGCAACTAGAGCAAAGGCCCTATAACAACAAGCTTGCCATTTTCTCCGAACCAAAAGGAGAGTGCTTTGGCTGAAACATAATGAACAAGCAAGAGAGTAGCAGAAGAAAATAAAGAGGAATACGGAAGCCAGATCAGCTAGAAAGAACTTTGAGAGTCAGAATAGTAAATTTTAATTTTATTCTAGCAGTCTTGGCTTTGTTCTATGGGTAACTAGAAGCCAATGGAGAGTTTTAATTAAAAAAGTGACATGATCTGTTTTTAAAAAGACCACACTTGTTACGTGAAAAATGAACTACAGAAGGACAAGAATGGAAGCAGAGATCCCAGGGAGAATACTACCACAGTAAATCAGACAAGAGATAATGATATCTTGAAGTAGGATAGTAGTTGTGTTAAGATGTGTGACATCTTTTGTTTTTTGAGATGGAGTCTTGCTCTGTCGCCCAGGCTGGAGTGCAGTGGCGCGATCTCAGCTCACTGCAACCTCTCCCTCCTGGGTTCGAGCGATTCTCCTGCCTCAGCCTCCCGAGTAGCTGGGACTACAGGTGCGTGCCACCATGCCCGGCTCCGGCTAATTTTTTGTATTTTTAGTAGAGATGGGGTTTCACCGGGTTAGCCAGGATGGTCTTGATCTCATGACCTCGTGATCAGCCTGCCTCGGCCTCCCAAAGTGCTGAGATTACAGGCATGAGCCACTGCACCCGACCTGATGTGTGACATTTTAACAGACGATGCAGTGACTAGTAGATTCACTGGATAACCAACTGCCTATTGGTCACTGCATCATCTGTTAAGACCTTCCATAGGCACCTATAATTCAGATGTGCAAACCAAGCCATCATCTCATTAAAATATACTCCAGCTCTGGTACTCCTAATTTTAGAAATCAATGAAATCATCTAGACAGCTGGCCAAACAGTAACCAAGCATTGCCCTTGGCTTGACCCTCTTCTTCATCCCCCAGATTCAATTACTAAGTCCTAATTATTCAGCTCCTAGATCTCTTAAGGTCATCTACTCCTTTAAAAAAAAGCATTATTATTACCCTACTCCAGACCTTCATTTGTACTACTACTTTCAATCTCCCTCCTTTGCAACCTGTTTGACATTTTGCAACTAGTTATCTTTCTAAAACCTTAAATCTGATCAAGTACCTCCCCTACTTGTATTAATAATACTCTGTTATTCCCACTACCTACAAAACAAAGTCCAAACTCCCAAACAAGACCCCGATCTGACTAGTGCTTAACTCTTGCCATTTTCTCAGAACATGGCTGAGAAAAAGGGAGACTGCTTTGGCTGAAACATAGTGAGCAAGCAAGAGAGCAGTAGAAAAAAATTAAAAGGAATATGGAAGCTGGATCACCGTCTCTTGTACTTTCAACACTACCAACCCCACCGCCAAATCCTCTACTCACTATTCCAGGAATTTTACCTCCTTTTTCCACCATTCACCACACATCCATACCTACTTTTTTTTTTTTTTTTTTGAGACAGGGTCTCACTCTGTTGCCCAGGCTAGAGTGCAGTGGCACTATCATGGCTCACTGCAACCTTGACTTCTCAGGCTAAGGTGACCCTCCTACCTCAACATCTTGAGTAGCTGGGACTATAGGTGCACACCACTATGCCCAGCTAATTTTTGTATCTTTTGTAGAGACAGAGTTTCACCACGTTGCTCAGGCTGGTCTCGAACTCCTGGGCTCAAGTGATCCACACACTTGGTCTCCCAAAGTGCTAGAATTTCAGGTGTGAGCCACCACACCTGGCCAATACCTACTTTTCTTTCATGTCTCCAAGGAGGTATCATTTCCTTATGGAAATCTTTCCTAACCACTCAAGACTCAGTTAAGTGCCTCTCCTATGTGCCCCTGCAGCACCATTAATGAATTTCCCCTATCACAGTATGGTTATCCCTCAGTATTTGTTGGGGATTGGTTCCAGGACCTCCCTGTAGATACCAAAATCCATGGATGCTCAAGTCCATCTTATAAAATGGTGCAGTATTTGCATATAACCTATGCACATCCTCCCATGTACTTTAAATCATCTCTAGATTACTTATAATACCGAATTCAATGCAAATGCTAAGTAAACCGTTGTTACACTGTATTGTTTAGGAAATAATGACAAGAAAAAAATGTCTGTATATGTTCAGTACAGATGCAGCCATCCATTTTCCCCCCAAATCTTTTAATCCTTGTTTGGTTGAATCCACAGATGCTGAACACATGAATACAGGGCTAAATGTTACAATACAATATTTGTTTGCTTAATTTTCTGCTTTAGTAATCAACTCTGAGTCATTCTCATTTGCTGCCATATAAAAAGTGCTCAATAAATATTTCTTGAGTAAATTAATGAATAAATGAATAAAGGACTTCCTTTAATGCTTCCTTTTATTGTACCCCAAGCAAAATCTTTTTAAATGCATTGTTAGTCTAGCAAAAAATGATACGAAAAGGCCAAAAATGAAGTGAAAGCAGAATCTCTACAGAACAAATGAACATATCAAAGCCAGCTTTCCCCGGATTTCTATTGAAGCTTGGATTCTTTGAGCTTATTTCTACCTCCAGAGCTACAACGGGCATGGAAGACCAGAGAATAAGACTAGGTTCTGCCAAGATAAGGAGTCTAACAGGGGACACTGAGGTAAAAAGCCACAGCCATGGGATCACTATGAACTAGAAATAAATAATACACATAGAAGGGAACAGCAAGTAAGCTGGCCTATCTGTATTTTGGTGTTAAATAGTGGGGAAGAAAAAAATACTCCTCTGAAAATCCTACAGACAAGTGAACCCTAACACAAGTTACAGTCTGAATTCACAATGTAAATCTAAAGCAGAGAACTGAATTTAATGTGGTCCCAATAATGCTACTGGAGAGTAGCACACAAAAGCAAAAACAAACCCTTCCAGGCAGAAAGTCATTTTCAGTCCAGATAAACATCAAATACTTTCAAGATACAAAAACATCATGGAAAATGAAGAACTCACAGTTATAAAACACAGGTACGACATCATGAATAAGAGCAAAAAAGGGAAGAAAAGTCTCATATAGTGAGAAACAAAAAGATTTCATATAGCAGAATTTTCTGTTAAAAATATAAAATAGCTATGTTTAACGTATCTAATGTAATAAAAGGTAAGTCTGAAAATACAACCAAGGAATTAAAGACCAACCAAGCAAGGTAAAAAACAATTTCTAGAAATGAAAAATATGGCCGGTATAGTGGCTCACCCCTGTAATCCCAGCACTTTGGAAGGCTGAGGCAGGAGGATTGCTTGAGCCCAGGAGTTCAAGACCAGCCTGGGCAACACAGGGAGACCTTGTCTCTACAAAATATAAAAATAAATTAGCTGGGCGTGGCAGCACACACCTGTTTTCTCAGCTACTTAGGGGGCTAAGGTAGGTCGAGCCCCGGAGGTCAAGGCTGCAGTGAACCATGATCACACCACTGCATTCTAGCCTGGGCAACAGAATGAGACTTGGTCTCAAAAAAAAAAAAAGAAAAAGAAAAAAAAAAGGAAAATATAATCATTTAAGTTAAAAACCCAACATACATAATCAACCAGCATATTAGAGGCAACTAAAGAGGAAATTAGTGATCCTGGTAGACCTGAGGAAATAATACAGAATGCAGGCCAGAAAGGTAAAGAAATAGAAAATACGATAGAGAGGTTTAAAGACATGAAAAACATAAGATGATGTAACATATTTCTAATTGAAGTTCCAGAAGGAGATAATACAGAAATGGGAAGATGTAATATATGAAGGGATAATAAGAGAATTGTAGAATTCCAGAACTGTAGAAAAATATCAATCCTCAGATCCAGGAAGCCCAACAAATCTCAAGTAGAATAAATACAAAGAAATACATACCTAGTTACTTCATAATAAAACTGCCATTTATACCAAAGAAAAAGACTTTCAAATTAAAGCTAATCAAATTTAAAATGCTGTCAAATAGAAAAAATATACAAACAAAGGCATAATATCTGACTTCTCAACAATTAGTGGAAGCCAAAAAACAATCGAGTAACATCTTAAATGTGCCTTTCCCACAAAAGATCCTCAGCTAAACGAACTTGTATAGGATGTACATCAGACAGAAAGATCAGACATAAGAAAAGGTGGCTAACAAAGATTCTGAATAAATCTAAGCAAGCAACAATGCATACTTTATAGCAGAGAAAGAGCAGAATAGACAGAAAATATTAGCCAACAAATAGCACATAAGTTGGAGGCGGTGATCAGAATTAAAGCACTCTAAAGCTTTTGTGTTTTTCAGAAGGAAAGTAAATTTATCAATTAACTTTAGGCTTTGAAGTACAGACACAGAGTCTAAAACTTTCAAATGAGAGAAAGAGAATAGAGGAGAAAGGATGACGGAATGAGAAAAAAAATTAAAGGCAAAAAAGGAATTTAAGAAAACAGGACAAGGAAACATGATAAAATGGTAGAAATATGTTTAACTATATCAGTGATTACAGTAAATGCACACTGCCTAAACTTCCAGTTAAAAGACAGAGATGATCATATTAAGACAAAATTAAGTTAAAATCAAAGGATGGGAAAATAGTAACCAAAAGAAATGTAGTGGAGAGCTCACTAAAGAAAAACAGTAGCTGCACAATGATAGAGGGAATAATTCATCAGTGTTAGGTAATAATTCTAAATATGTATGTATCTAATGACAGCCTCAAATTATAAAAAGCAAAAATTTACAGAACCATAAAAAAAGACCATCAAATCTACCATCAGAGTGTGATACTCCAACATCTCCCTTGGTAATAATGAATTTTTAAAACAGGACAAAGATCTGTACTGAACAACTAAAAATAAGAATTGATGTGTATAAACACCACACCAGCAATTAAAAATACACATTATTTTCAAGCACAGGAAAACCATTTAGAAAAACTGACCAATTGCTAAACTAAAATGTTACACTCAACAAATTTCAAGACTGAATCAATACAGACCACATTTTGTGAAATACATTAAATACAAAAAGATAAACAAAAATTCCATCTATCTGTAAATTTACAATGATGCTTTAACAACTAAAAAGTCATAGAAGAATCACAATAGAAATAAGAATACATTTAGATTTACAAATAATAAAAATATTATATATCAAAACTGTGGGATGTGTTATCATGGCTTAAATGTCTACTTCAGAAAGGAAGGAAGGGTTAATAAACTAAGTGTCTAACTGACAATTAATAACAGAATGACAGAACCAGAAAACAAGAGATGCTAGTGAGACTGCAGAGAAAAGTCAATACTTAATACACTGCTGGTGGGAATGTAAGTTAGTTCAGCCACTGTGGAAAGCAGTTTGGAGATTTCTCAAAGAACTCCAGCCAATCCCATCAGGGAGTGTATATCAAAAAGAAATAAATTATTCTACCAAAAAGACACATGCACTCATATGTTCATTGCAGCACTATTCACAATAGCAAAGACTTAGAATCAACCTAGGTGTCCATCAATGGGGTACTGGATAAAGTAAATATGGTACATATACACCATGGAATACCATGCAGCCACAAAAAGGAATGAATTATGTCCTTTGCAACAACATGGATGTAGCTAGAGGCCATTATCCTAAGCAAATTAACACAGAAAACAAAAAACCAAGTACCACATATTCTCACTTATAACTAGGAGCTAAACACTAGGTACACATGAACATAAAGATAGCAAAAATAGGCAATGGGGACTACTAGATGAGGGAGAGAGAGAGAGGGCAGCAATGGTTGAAAAACTATTTGGTACTATGCTGACTATCTGGGTGATGAGATCACGTGTACCTCATACCTCATCATCACACAAAATACCATGTAACAAACCCTCACATGTACCCTCCTGAATCTAAACAAAAGTTGAAGTTATAAAACAAAACAAAAAATAATGACTGAACAAACCCAAAAAAAGGCAGAAAGGAGGCTATAATTAAAAAGTAAAAATTGACGAAATAGGATACAAACATATAATGGTTCAAAGTAAAAAAAAATTACTTGGAAAAATAATAAAACACAAACCTCTGGGAAGACTAGCCAAGAAAATAAGACAAATATTAGGAATGAAAAAAGGACATAACTACATATGCTATTGGGAGTAAACAGGGAACATTATTATACACTTTATACCAATAAATTAAAATTTTAGTTTAAGTAGATAAGTAGATAGTTTTTCGTAGAAAACTGAGTCAAAAAGAAATAGAAAAAATAAAGAAATTAAATAAGTGCTTTAATAGTTCCCACAAAGAAAACATCAGTCCAGACAGTATTATAAGTAAGTTCTATCAAACATCCAGGGAACAAATAATTTTACACAAACTATTCCAGTATACAGAAAAAAGTACATTAAAAAAATTACACATACCTGTTTCAAATGATGGTACTTTTTCCACTCTGAGTGTTTGTGATCCCTGTCCTTCTTTCTGAACATTTGTGGAGTACAACTTTACTTGACTCAGGGTACCAATATATGGATGACTACAGGGAACCATGTTTGAAAAGCTTCCAAATGTCACTAAATTCTGCCACTCTAAAAGAAAAAATATATATACTTTAATTTCAAACCAAGTCCTAGCTGCATAATTAATTGCCAAGCCACCCTCTCCAGAGGTGTTTCACTGCTTCTAGGTACACATGAAATACCATTTTGTAAAGAAAAATTAGTGACAACATTCTAATTTTCTCTAACTTGTAAACTTATTTGGAAATTTTTAAAAATATAAAAAATCAAATAAAATATTTATGCTATTCAGCTATTTTGAAAGGTATATAGTACATAATAGATACTCTTTATTTTGCATGTTGGTTGCAAGCTAAAAAAATGTTGGCATAATTACTTTTCAGAATAAAGGACTCTGGGAGGGAAGGTCAGGAAGACTTCCTACACAAAATTATCCTGTGTCCTTCTTCCACTAGCTAAAGATTTATTCCTCTTTCATTTCACAATCAAGTGAATTATATTAATCATTCATTCATACTGTCACCGATTTTTTAATCAGATAATTAGATCAACATTTGGTGAGATGCCTCAGTAAATGGGGAATTTTAATTGAGTGAAGAATAGAAGACTAATTACAAAGCACTTCAGCTGCTTCATCTGGGTTGACTGTGAGCTTTGAAGGGCTCAAATACAGAAGGAAAGTATATTCCACAATTTACCCAAGTACTAGAAAACCAAATTTGTTCCTATTTTCCTGTGACCCTCCTTCTCTTTTTTTACCATGAGTACTGATAATTCCTCTTTTTGAAAGAACCCAAAAACCCTATATAGATATCATTCATATATTTTGTAAAGTTTTAGGTGAAATCAAATTACATCATTACAGATAGTCAAGTTTTTCCAAGGATGGAGGGTTAAGCATTTAAGAGTTGAAACTTTTGTAAGTGCTTAATAATGATCTTCCAAAAATGTTAATTCATGGATTGTGTGTGCAGATATATGCATTCTGAAAGAAAAGCCATTTCTTAATGGCTCAGAGAATTCATCAGGAACATAAATTATTATGAATGTTGAAAATAATATGAAGAGCACAAAGGACATAAGGGAACATAAGTATTCACTCAAGTTTCCGGCCTAGAACTTATTTTCTTGAAAAACTTTCTGATGTGAACTGATTCTTTTACTTATTTGAGAAACTGTTGAAGGCCTATAATGTTTTTGGTCATTTGTGTCTATTTTTTAAAGGGTCAGTAAAGCAAATATAACAGCAGAAGATTCCTACACATTAAAATATGCTGCCTACTAGCAAAAATAATTAGTAAATATGGGCTAAAGCAGATTTTCATAGGAAACACACTCCAGAAAAGCATCTTCTTCATCCTGGCCACTGGTGTTCTGACTGTTCAGCCCTATTCAAAATATCTTCTGTAATTATTACCTGACAAAGACAATATGCCACTAACTTTTTTTTCATACACTGATGAAATATTTTCATAGAATTTGTGCTAAGATGTTTAAAGAGGGATTACTCCACAGTTTAAAAGTCCTTCCTTGGAAGACGACCCATTTCCATGACTTGATGCTAGATTTTTTTCAGTGTTCTCTTTTGTTTTTAAAATGCTACAGAAAATCTCAAACGTATGCAAAGGTAGAAAAACCAGCACAATAAACTGCCACGTACCCATTGCCTACTTTCAACAATGATCAACTCATGGACAATTTCATCTCATCTCTACCTGCACCAATATTAATTTGAAGCAAATCTCAGATATAATTTCATCCATAAATATTTCAGTATGTATTTATAAGAGACAAAAACTTTAACACAACCATAACACCATTACCAGAAATTAAAAAAAAACCTTAATATCAAATATTCTCAATTTCAAATTTCCAGTTGTTACAAATGTTACAATTTTTTTCCAGTTTCTATGTGAATAGATCCAGATAAAGTCCACATATTGGGACTAATTGAGATGTCTTTTAAGTCTCTTTTAAGCTACAGAATGTCTTTTTTTTTTTTAACTGCAATTTTTATGTTGAAAAAGCCAGGTTGTTTGTCCTGAATTTTTGTCCTGGTAGTTTCCCAGGCTGAATTTTGCTGACTGAATTCCTATGGTATTGTTTAGCCCATTCTTCTGTATGTTCTATAAATCAATGGCTGTAAAGGCTTTATCTAACTTCAGGCTATTTTTATTAGGTCAACACTACTTTGTTAAGTGGTGATGAGTTCTTTCATCAGGAACCACACAGTAACTGGTTGATTTATTTGTGATCATAGTGTCTACTGTTCTTCAATGCTTAGAATCATTTATTCATTAGGTGGTTACAAAGTGATGATACCAATTTTATTACTCCTTCATTTACTACTCAGAATATTTCTACAAAGAGAAAATATCCATCATTTATTGGTTATTCAGAAAAGTAGTTCATATAGGAAAGTCAGACTAAATGCTTCTTTCCCTTTATTTACCAGTTCTCAAAATAATACGTTAATTACCCAAGGTCCTGTAATAGTGACACATTTTTAATTTGTGTGTATATCATTACAACTTCATAAATTTAAACATTACTTGGCATTTTTCAATCTAGTTTAGTCATTATCCTGACTAATGCTCAAACTGTTCTATTTTGGGCCAGTAGAGGCCTCTTAAAATTGACTCCTAAGTGCTTTTGACACTATCTTCATAATCTTTGATAGCTTTTTCTTGCTGGCTGTTTTGAAAAGTCCTTAATTTTTAACACCAGTAGAAATTCAGGTAACAGCAACTTTAAAAGTACACATTTGGCATTCATACGAGACAGAAAATGGCACATACATTTACCACCTAATATTGTATATTATAAAAACTATACTGAAGCACATTTAACTCAATAAAACAAATATAATACCTAACACATAGCAATAGAAACACAACCACTGGTTAAAGAATTACTGAATTCCGCAGGGTGCATGGCTCATGCCTGTAATCCCAACACTTTAGGAGGCCAAGCTGGGCAGGTCACGAGGTCAGGAGTTCGAGATCAGCCTGGCCAACATAGTGAAACCCCATCTCTACTAAAAATACAAAAAAATCAGCCAGACGTGGCGGTGGGCGCCTATAATCCTAGCTATGCGGGAGGCTGAGGCAGGAGAATCGCTTGAACCCGGGAGGCGGAGGTTGCAGTGAACCAAGATCGCGCCATTGCATTCCAGCCAGGGTGACGGTGTAAAACTCCATCTCAAAAACAAACAAAAAAAAAGAATTACTGAATTCATTAATTCCAGTAAGCAAAGAGATAGTGAAAAATATTACCCACCATTAATATTCTTTTTTCAAGGTGACTTCTAAACAAGCTACATATCGAAGTCTTTACTCTGGCACTTACTATTCTACTGGCCTGGACAAGAACTTCCTTATGGCTGTGTATATAAGGGCTGTGTCTTCAAGACTGCAGAGTTACTGGTATCCTATCAGCAGTCTACTCAGAACAGCCACACTTCTCCGTCTTTATTTTACTCTCATGGCCTCTGTAGCTAGTGACCTAATGGCCACTGCCAGTGATCACTACTTGTCCTCTCTCTCTCCAATCTGGTTTGTCACCTACCACTACTCTGGCTTCCAGAGAAAATCTGGCCATCATTTTTAGGCTACGAATAACAACAAAAAGACACTCTTTTTCTCTCACACAAACTGACAACTCAGTCTACTGTATACGTTGCTTCCGCAACAACAACTAAAAATAAACAAAAAGATTTCTTGCAACGTGAGTTTATTTCCGGCTAATTTCAGAGCCAGAGTCAAGCTTGCAGCCTGTCTTCTAGATTTCAGTCTCCTTACTTAAGAGACTATTTCAATAATTCTTTTCCAAAATTTCTAAGGCAGTAATATATGAAAGCTAAATAACTGTTAAAGAGGTTACTAAGAGGTTATATAACCTTTTAAAGAGGTTATTAAGTGTGAATTTAAAATACATAATATAGAATGCAAAGATGATTCCTCATGGTATTATTTATCACAGGAAAAAACAAACAACTCAAATGTTCCCTAATAGAAGAATGATTAAATTACGGCAGGTAACTATACTTTTATTATGTATTCATTAAAAACTTTTAATAACAAGGAAAAACACTCATGTTATAATGTTGCATAAAAAAAGCGGAAGACTTATACAGTATGATTTCAACTACTAAAAATGTGGTGAAATATCTGAATTATGCATAGTTTTTACTTTATACCTTATACTTTCCCTGTATTAAAAAAAATGCCCATAATAATAAAAAAAAAACCTAAGAATGTGTCCATAGCTAAATTATCTGGAACTTCATCAAGGTCTTATTAACATCATTATCACAATTTGTAATATAGTCTACCATTAACAGATTGACTATCTCTGGTTTACTTTAATCCTTTCAGCTAGCCAAAACTACAGGAAAATCCTTTTTATCCTTAATCATGTAGCAAGCAAAAGTGTGACCTGGATGGAGTAGCTCAGTCTAGAAGACCACTGCTGATGTAACTTTTCGCCAGAGCAGAGTAAAAAACAGAGAATCTTTTTTTTTTTTGAGTTAGGAAACAATAGGAGATGATGACAACTTCCTAGACTGCATCTTGACATACCTCTCTACTGCCTTGCTTAATTCTATTTTTCTTTTTCATTTTTATTTATTTATTTATTTATTTATTTATTTGAGATGGAGTCCCACTCCGTCATCCAGGCTGGAGTGCAGTGGCGTGATCTCAGCTCACTGCAACCTCTACCTCCCGGGTTCAAGTGATTCTCCTGCCTCAGCCTCCCAAGTAGCTGGGATTACAGGCATGTGCCACCACGCCTGACTAATTTTTGTATTTTTAGCAGAGATGTGGTTTCACCATGTGGGCCAGACTGGTCTTGAACTCCTAACCTGAGGTAATCCACCCTCCTTGGCCTCCCAAAGTGCTGGGACTACAGGCATGAGCCACCGCACCCACCTGTGTTTTTCTGAGACAGGGTGTTGCTCTGTCACCCAGGCTGGGGCAGTGGTGCAATCATGGTTCACTGCAGCCTCAACCTCCCCAGCCTCAGGTGGTTTTCCCATCTCAGACTCCTGAGTAGCTGGGACCGCAGGCGTGTGCCACCCTACCTGGCTACATTTTTTAATTTTTTTTTGTAGAGATGGGATTTTGCCATGTTGCCCAGGCTGGTCTCAAACTCCTGGACTCAAGTTATCTACCTACCTTGGCCTCCCAAATTTTGCTGGGATTACAGGCATGAGCCACTACGACTGGGCCAGAGTGATATTTTAAAACACTCCTCTTTTTCTAAGCCTATGGCTTAAAATACTCAAATTTCGGCCAGGTGCAGTGGCTCACGCCTGTAATGGGACTTTGGGAGGCCAAGGCAGGTGGATCACCTGAGGTCAGGAGTTTGAGACCAGCCTGACCAACATGGAAAAACCCCATCTCTACTAAAAACACAAAAATCAGCCAGGCGTGGTGGCTAACACCTGTAATCCCAGCTACTTGGGAGGCTGAGGCAGGAGAATTGCTTGAACCCAGGAGGTGGAGGGTGCAGTCTGCCGAGATCCACCATTGCATTTCAGCCTGGGAAACAAGAGCAAAACTCCATCTCAAAAAAAACCACAAAAAATAAAAAAACTCAAATTTATTTTCATACCACCCCACCATACCCTAGACACAACAGGTTTCTTTCTGCTCCTTAAAACTATTTGTCTGGGCCAGGCGCAGTGGCTCACACCTAAAATCCCAGCACTTTGGGAGGCCGAGATGGGTGGAATGCTTGAGCTCAGGAGTTTGAGACCAGCCTGGATAACATGGTGAAACCCAGTCTCTAACAAAAATATAAAAATTAGCTGGGCATGGTGGCGCTAGCCTGTGGTCCCAGCTACTCAGAAGGCTGAAGTGGGAGGATCACTGGAGCCCAGGAAGTCAAGGCTGCGGTGAGCTGTGATCCTGTCAGTGCACTCTAGCCTGGGTGACAGAGCAAGACCCTTTCTCAAAAATACATACATATATACATACTAGTCTGATCTTTACAGTTCCTCTTTACTCTTCCCAAATTGCTCTTTCTCCCAGACCTTCACGTGGCTTGCTCATTTTCATCTTTCATGCCTAGGCTCAGTCATTACCTCAGAAAAGCTGGAGTCCTAGGCCATCTTATCGAATGAAATAGCCCATCCTGGCTACTTTCTAGCCCATCATCCTGCCTATCTCTTCTATGGCACTTTAAATATATTTATTTCTGGTGGAAGAAAGGTGGAAACCATCCACCTCGTTCAGCACTACACTATCAGCAACTATAATGCCTGGCATCCAATGCTGAATGATTCTCATTCACAAAAACTCTAGGAGGCACATACTACAGTTAGCTTCATTTTATACTTAAGTACAATAAATTCTATCATGAACTTGATCTGCATAGAATCTTCCTGTCTGCCTGCCTAAATGGTCTTTTTTTTGGTGGGGGGACGGAGTTTTGCTCTTGTTGCCCAGGCTGGAGTGCAATGGCACGATCTCGGCTCACTGCAGCCTCTGCCTCCTGGGTTCAAGCAATTCTCCCACCTCAGCCTCCCAAGTAGCTGGGATTACAGGCGCCTGCCACCATGCCCAGCTAATTTTTTTGTGTTTTTAGTAGAGACAGGTTTTTGCCATGTTGGCCAGGCTGGTCTAGAACTCCTGACCTCAGGTGATCCGCCCACCTTGGCCTCCCAAAGTGCTGGGATTACAGGTGTGAGCCACCACACCCAGCCCTAAATGGTCTTTTATAACTGTCAATGCTCTCTTAATCAGACTAAGAATTTAACTTTTATCCCCAGCAGAGGTCCCTCCTCCTCCCCAACCTCTTTAAACAACTAAGAGCATTGACAGTCTAAATGGTCTTTTTTTTTTTTTTTTTTTGAGACCACATCTGACGGGTTCAAGCAATTCTCCTGCCTCAGCCTCCTGAGTAGCTGTCATTACAGGCGCCCACCACCATGCCTAGCTAATTTTTGTATTTTTAGTAGAGATGAGGTTTCACGATGTTGGCCAGACTGGTCTTTTGTAACTGTCAATACTCTTAGTTATTTAAAGAGGTTGAGGAGGAGGAGGGACCTCTGCTGGGGATAAAAGTTAAATTCTCAGCCTACTTTTCTTATGACAATAAATACTAGCAGATTGGAGACAATAATAACATAGTATGTTTGATTTCTATTTTCTATTTAAAAATTACACTTTTATTAATTTCAGTGTTCATCTAGTATACTTAAGTGTCTTCCCCTCTCAAATTTTTGCCAAATGAGGCAAGGTATAAATACATGAAAAAAAGAAATATGTGCTCTATCCTAACCCAAAGAACTTTTTATAAAAAAGGATATACTTACTACAGAAACTAAGTAACATTTTTATTCTTTAGAAGTATATGTGTACTGTAGATCATTTGTAAAACACAAATAAAAAAATTTTTAGACAAACTCACTGTTAATATCACAGTATATATTTTCACTGTATTTTTCTACAGTTTTTACCTAATAACACAAGAGTATTTTCCATGTCACTATTCTTCTAAATTATAACTTTTTTTTTTCTTTTGAGATGGAGTTTCGCTCGTCGCCCAGGCTGGAGTGCAGTGGCGCAATCTCAGCTCACTGCAACCTCCACCTCCTGGGTTCAAGTGATTCTCCTGCCTCAGTCTCCCAAGTAGCTGGGATTACAGGCGCCCGCCACCATGCCCAGCTAGTTTTTGTATTTTTGGTAGAGATGGGGTTTCACCATGTTGGCCAGGCTGGTCTCGAACTCCTGACCTCAGGTGATCCCCCTACCTCGGCCTCCCAAAGTGTTGGGATTACAGACATGAGCCAACACACCCAGCCCTGAATTATAATTTTTTAAAAAAATGGTTGTATACATCACCAGCCCATAATAAAGGTATCATAATATATTTCAGTTTCCCACTCTCCATAACTATGAACTACCAATTTATTACTATAATAAACTTCTGCAAACATTTTAATATGTATTTTGATTATTTCTTTAAAGTAAATCCTTTTGAGTAAAAACTGTTAGGTCAGAGGGCATAAACCGTTTATGTTTTCAATCAGTAGTTAAGAGAGTTCCTGTTTTCCCACACCCTCAATATGGGGTATTATCATTATGAAAAATTCGGCCAAAATGAAATAGGCAGTGAGAAGTAAAACCCTTTAAAGTCTCTGTTTTTCAGTATGGAACATTTTTGCATTTTTATTGGCCACTTGAACAACTTTATGAACTTTGTATTCAATTCCTTTGTCCATTTTCCTACTGGAATGTATACTGGTTTGTAAAAATTCTTTATAACTTAGATACTAACTCTAACTACACTATCTAATTGAGTAGTCACTGTTTACTGAGCACTTAAAACGTGGTTAGTCTGAACTGTGATGTGCTGAAAGTGTAAAATACTCACTGGGTTTTAAAGACAGTACAAAAAGATGATGTAAAATACTTCAATAATTTTGATATTGATTACATGTTGAAATATTTTGAATATACTTAATAAAATAGTATTAAATTTTATATATTTTATTATTAAAATATATAAATTTCGTTATTAAAATTAATTCTAGGATATATTAAAATTAATTCATCTTTAATTTTACTTTTTTTAATGTGGCTATCAGACAACTCAAAATTACAAACAGGGCTCTCATATTTCTTTTAGACAGTTTCTATTTTGCCTTTAAAGGCATTCCTCATTTTTAAGTATTCAAGCAATCCCTCAAGGTTTCCTCCTCTCCTTATGCTTTATAAGCTTTTCCCAGCCACAGGCATTTTAGAAGCATAAACTAAACCTTACTTCTAGACAAATAAAAACAACTGTTTTTAGATTTTCTTTCTCCAAAAGTTCTTCAAATAGTCTTCTCACATGCATCCAATTTAAATAGTACTCTTTTTCTAAATGATTTTTAAATTTTGCCATAATAATGGTTGCCCTTTTAAGAAATGCTTCATTACTGAAACTAAATTTTCACAAAGTTATTTTTAAAAACCTACTAAGCATTTTTAAGTGTAAAAAAAATTTTAATTTTTTGTAGTAATAAACATTCCAAACAACTTTGCAAAGTCATTTTGACCACTAAGGTAGGTAATAATTATCTGTGTTTCACAGACAGATGAGACAAAGAATACATAATTTTCAACATAATGACAGCTACACAGAAGAGGGATTACAAATTACACTGTTTCTTCTCCTTTTTGCCAACACTTAAAGGGCAGTTTAGACTAAATTTAACAGCCACTGTAATTTCAGTGTAAAATGCCAAAATTGCTTGGTCAATAGAAACAATTGTGTTAGAAACTTACTTGGGGATTCTGGAGTACAGTATAAACGTATGATTCATTTTTCTTTTTCTTTTCTTTTTTTTTTTTTGAGACAGGTCTCACTCTGTCACCCAGGCTGGAGTGCACTGGCATGCTCAAGGCTCACTGCAGCCTCAATTTCCTGGGCTCAAGCGATCCTCCCACCTCAGCCTCCTGAGTACAGGCTAGGATTACAGGCGCGCGTCACCAAACCAGGCTAATTTTTTGTAGAGAGGCAGTTTTGCCATGTTGCCCGGGCTGGTCTTGGAACTCCTGGGCTGAAGCGATCCACCCACCTCAGCGTCCTAAGGTTTACAATCTTCCTGAGGATTAGCAGCATGAGCCACTGCACCCAGCCGATGATTCATTCTGTCCATAAGGGAACCTGGCAGTATATTGCCAATATGGAAAAACTCAACAGTTACACTTTTCTATCACTACCAAAAAAGCCCTGGGAATAGTGCTGTTAAAATTTATCCGTTTGAAATTCTAAGATTCAGCTTTACATTTATTGCAAATAAAAGATACGAATATATTCTAATTTATATCCACAGCATAGTTACTATAGCTTATATTACATAAAATCTCGAATGACTGCAACTTCCGACTTCTTTCAGGAGGTCACGAACATGTTACAGGTTTTTTCAAACCTATGTTTTTACAGACAGCTCACTATGTTGCCAAGGCTAGCCTAGAACTATTGGGCTCAAAAGATCTGCCTGCCTCAGTCTCCCGAGTAGCTGGACTACAGGAGCGCACCACCACACCTGGCTTCGAACATGAATGTTTCGGTAAATACTCTCTGCATCCCAAGAATGGAGGGATTAGGTTAAGGGTGGACTTAGTTCTGTCTTCTCCCTCAGAGATCCTATCAGTTCTCAGTGTCAAGCAATGTGTGTCAAGCTACGGCAAAAACGAAGGTAAGCCTGATTAGTTCAATGTTATTTTGGAAACTCTCAAACCATTTAAATTTGAGTCAGAAAAGAATGTTGAGAGAGACGAAAATTCTCTTCAACCACCTTTTTTTCTGGGTTACCACTACAACTGCCACCTTTTCACCAAAAAGACTGCTCAGCCGAACTGAAGAGTTTCTTTGTTTTTCGGACCCAAACTGGGTTCATTCAATGATTGTCGGATACTTTCGTACTTCTTCCAAAAGATCCGTAGTGAGTAGCACCCCTCCTTCCTTTTAGAAAATTTAAGAAAATAAGTTGGGAGAGTAAGAAAAAGAAGGCCAAGAAAATCTCAACCAAGTGCTAAATGAAGGTGCGCTGGAAAGCTCCAAAGACCCTGGAACTTTGCGGAGTCCGCAATTTCCAACCGCGGAGGTGAGTAACCGCGGGACACCGCGATGCGCACGTAACATTTTGTTTGGTACAAAGCGGTAGGCTTCAGAGGTGCAATCCGGCCCGCGAGGTGCCCACAAGTTCCCGCGGGGGCCATGCTAGGGCTGCAGAAGGCATCAGAGTCAGAGACCTGTCAGGACCCCCGCGGGCTGCGCAGGCTGAACTGGAAAGGCGGAGGCCAGAAAGGAAGGTTCTGAGGTTGGCGAAAGGCAAGTGGGCGAATTGCCCCAGGCGAGGCGCCGAGCCCAGCCTGGCCCTCCAGTTCGGCTTCTACGGAGCCAGCGGCCAGCGCGGGACACTCACCCTGGCGGTCGCTGGGATTACAGGCCGCCGCCCTGCATCGCAGACGGAGCCGGCACAGGGAGGACCAGCTACATCTGTGGGCCGCGGCGGCGGCCAAGCCGGGTAACATCCTGGTGGGGCAGAGGCCCCTACTCGGACACCGCCTTCTGCCTCCGCGCCGCCACCGGTACCAACTGACTCCATAGACTGGACATCAGCGAACACCGATGGCTTCGCCGCCACAAGCTGCCTGGGTGACCCGGAAACGGCAACGTCATTTAGCGACGCCTGCCGTGGAGGTAGCGGAAGTGACGTAACACGTTGAGCACCAATAGGGAGGCCTTCCTTCCCGGGGACCCAGACTCCCAAAGTGGGGAGGGCGTGGCTGCAGGGGAAGTTTGGTGTCTGCCGTCTTCTTTTGCACCTGTACTTTTGCGCTTGGTTGGAAATCACGTAAACTGTTTACATCTTGTTCAGCCAGGAAAGCTGTCCTTTGGGAGTTCTACTTATTCCTTTTTTTCTGGACTCGAAACCGGGGCCGTGGTTTCGGAAATGGGAGGAAAGATGGGAAGGATGGACGCAGGTTTTCTGAGCCTCTCTACCTAGAGCCTGCCAGGATAAACCCAAATTAGAACCAACATGTCCAGTACTCTCCGAACGTCTGCCACGTACATCGTTCTCCTTGTTAACACCAGTGTGTATCCAGTATCATAAAGGCAAGTACACACTTCGGAATCAGCTACTTGCCCTACTAATCTGTGAACCTCAGATTTTTGCCTGCAATATAAGAGGTTTTATGTTCATGACAAGTTAGGGTAAACGGAGGTATGCAGACTTCGAAACATTTTGGTCCCAGGGAGAAAGAAACCTGAACAGTATCCACGTTAACTGTTTCTCTCTGCCATGCTCATTCAGCTCTTAACTCAAACTCAAGAGAGGCCTTCCTTGACCACCCTAGCTATGGTAGTCCTGGTCATTCTCTACCCGGCTGTCCTATATACTTTTCTTCAAAACGCTTATCACTATTTGAGATTTTTTTTTCTATTTTGTGTCCTAGAATAGAAAATAAGCATCATGATGCTGGAATCTTGTCTATTTTGTACATGGCTGTATAAAGCCGCTAAAACAATGCCTGGCAAAAATAAATTGAATGGAATGTATGGTGGTTTGTTTTAAAGTTAATCTGAGTCGCTTATCTATATTACTGCAAAATAACTATCTCGGGGAAATTTAGTATGTCCTTAATTTTTAAAAAAATCAACAAGTCTCTTATACTAATTGAGATAAGTATAACCAAATGAGGAAAGAGATTATCGTTAAGAATGGTAAGCAAATTTAATTTCCTATGACAAACATAACTTAAAATATTCAGTGGACAAACATTAAAAAATGATGTCCCATAAATGTAGGCTCAATATTACTAAAAAATCTGAATATTACTGGAAAGTTACTTTCCCTTTCTTGTAATAGATTTTAATAGAAATTCAACTTTATGAAGTAAAAATACATAAAGGCTTACCTCTTATTTTATGGTAACTATGCAAACATCTATTAACTTTTATGGATAATTCTTTTTGAACAAAACTAATCTCATATTTTGGATTCTTAAAATGGCTTTGGTTTCAACTCGTTTTAGGCAAGCCTGATCAAAACTTCTCAGGTTTTATTTTTAATTTGTGCGATAGGATTATTATTTTTATTTTGTTTAGCTGTACTAATCATTTTTAGAAGAAAATGTTCCTTTCTTGATAAAACTTTTAAAAAAAATACATTTTGTGCAGAGTTCTTAATTTCCATAACAGCCCACCTGATGTGTAAAATATGTTGGTGCACAGTAAAATTTCACAGTGTGTGCTTTCCTGTCCTTCTTTTTCCTGGTATAGTTGGGGTGTAACTTGACTTAGACACTACTAATTGTTATAAACCTCCAGTACCCTTGATTTGCCAAATAAGTTTGAAGAACAAAGTGTATCATTTTCTGTTACCTTAACTCTCACAATGCTGTATCACATAATAAAGCCTCAACAGACTTGGATTAAAATAACTCTGCAGTTGTCTTGGTATTTATACCTACATATCATGATATACTTATCCTTTTGGAAAGTCTTTGAAACTTCCCCAAGTGCTAAAACTTAAGATAATGTCAGTTTTAGAGTTCCTTAGGGGAATTTCCTTTGACCCTAAATCCCATCCTTACCAAGAGACTTTGTTTTTATGCTCCATTTGAGACACATTCAGCGTTGCCTACCTATACATAACAGGTAAGATTCTAGTATCATAGGGCTTATTTTCTATTGGAAGAGGCAGCAAATTTATAAATAAATATATTGATAATTTAAAACTAATAGCAGCAGTAGTAATATTAATCATTTACTAATTGCCAGGCCCTCTGTGTACACTGTCTCATTCATAATACCTTAAATAAGTTATAGGTAGACGAAGAAACCAAGGCACAAAGATCTTGATCTTAAACACCACTCTTTCTAAGTCAATGGGTACTTGCCTTTGGAAGAAAATGTGATGTCTTCTCAAAAGACTTGAATGATAATATGGTGTTCCTATTTTTTTTTTCCTGGAATGTAGGTTAAGAGAGAATTTCCCCAGATATTTTTTACTCATGTGATCAACATGGTATAAAATTGTCCAAGTTTCATGAGGATACATGATATAAATAGATGCCTAAATATAGGGAACTATTAAGTCAGATAGATAGAAACAGAAGTAGGAAAGGAGTGAAGTGTCATTTGATTATTACCATACACCATAATTCCTGCAAGGTTTTCCATTAACTCTGAAGAAGTTCCAACATCTTTCAGAAATTTGCTTGTGCAATTGAGCTAACTACTATTGCTTGGTTTCATCCTGTCTATAGCTTTGGGAAAATAACTCTGATCTTGAGACAAACTTGACTGGTTATCTGGAAAACTGACTTAGATAATCCATTACAAAATAAAGTAAGTGGCTCTATCATGAGGCTTACCAAAAACACAAATTTAATTTTGAACACAGACATACTTGTTGTCATCACGTTTTGGCGATTTTTTTTTTCTTTGCCTCTAGGAGTGGGGGAGGAGGGAGCTTGCCCACCTGAACACTTCAATAAGAAAATGGCCCAGCCTGGCCAACATGGCAAAACTTTTTCTCTACTAAAAATACAAAAATTAACTGAGAGTGGTGGTGCACACCTGTAATCCCAGCTACTCGGGAGGCTGAGGAATAAGAATCACTTGAACCCAGAAAGTGGGGGTTGCAGCGAAACGAGATTATACCACTGCACTACAACCTGGGCAACAAAGTGAGACTCTGTCTTGAAAAAAAAAGAAGCAAGAAAGAAAATGGCTTATAGCCAGGTGCTAGTGGCTCATGCCTGTAATGCCAGCACTTTGGGAGGTTAAGGCAAGAGGCCAGAAGTTCAAGACCAGCCTGGGCAACACGATAAGATCCCATCTGTACCAAAAAAAAACAAACAGAAAACAAAACTGGCTTATACATGGGTAAAAAGAATTACCTGGTCACACCCCCTCTCCTGTACAACAATGGTCAGAAGCAATAAGGGTCTGCACAGACACATTTGGCCTGTAAAGGCAAACATGCAAAAGAAATGAAACATGCACTTGATGTGGTTTCTGACCAGGTCTGACCAGGTTGCTAATCCTCGTCTCCATTTTTCAGAGAGGTGAAAGGTTTTTTCTACAGTTCACTTAGCAAGAATGTCACAGAAGATGGAATCAGACTCAGGTCCTCTAACTCCAAATCAGTTTACATGGTTGAGTGAGCATTGCAGAGGAGGAGAGAAGGAAGGAGTGGCTTGTTCTTACAGGTTTTCCCTCTGACATTATCCTATGAAATTACTTGTGGGATTTTTTTTGTCACAATTATCTTGTCAAATAGCCATTTAGTAGTCCACTACCATTAAACTTACGTTCACTCTTTGCCACTTCCATCCAAGAAAAGGAGAATGATTTCTCCAATGATAACTGTATTCCTGGATCATAGCTCTCTTATTCAACACTTCTTAGCTTCTCCAATAAAAGCTCCTTCTCTGCAATTTACCTGGTATGGTGGAGAAAAAATTACACATACACACACTTTTCCTTAGAGGGTAGTGAACAAGATTCATATTACAGCTGGAATAATTGAGTTATTAAATACTCCTGGAGGCAAGAGACTGACTGTTTGATAACCTTTATCCTTGAGAAGAATTAAGCTGAGACAGAGCATGGAGGTGTAATATTTTTAGAGAGGGCAGCATTTGTGAAGAGTCAATTCCTTCCCCAAAGCCACAGGTGGGGGCAGCAAGAGAAAGTCTTACTAGGTTTTTTAAAATTTAACTTTTTATTGAAGTATAATACACACAAGACATATATTAAGGGCATAGCTCTAACAATTATCACTAGTGAACAAAAACTGTGTAGCCAGTACCCCGCTATAGAGAGGATGCACCTGACAGCAGTAACAACCATATCCTGAGAACGACCCTGTGATCTAAAACGAATGTGTGCTCAGAATCCCAAACTAAGGAAACAGGAGCGACTAACCCTGAGTTTCACTCCTTATCTATGAAGGACGTCTGAACCCCCAGCCCATCCCTTACAACACAGGCAATATAGGGGATCAAGGTCCTTTGCTTTGGGTTAAATGGAGGTTGCTAGGTGGAGTGTGCTAAATGAAAATGCTATATAAACTGCATGCTTTTTACAAACAGTAGTGGTTCTTCTGTCCAGCCTACTACCACTGGACCATCCCTATATATAAGTTCCCCCAATAAACCCAAGTCTTGTTCGCTGTCTACGCATCTTCTTTGGACTCTCGGACACAGTGCCATTACTATTGGAGTCACTAGGGGTCTGGCATGACACCAGCATTGCTAGCTTCCTAGAATCTTCTTCTGGTCACTACTCTTCTGCCCTACAAGTATACCATTAATCCTGCTTCTAAGAACATAGATTCATTTTGCCTGTTTAGGGACTTTATGTGCATTAGTTGTACAATATGTGCTCTTTTGTGTTTGGCATCTTTATTTCAACATTATGTTTGCAGGATTTGTCCATAGTGCTATGCTCATTCTCACTGCAAAAAGGATTCCATTGTGTTAATATCCCACAATTTATCCACTCTACTATTAATGAACATTTGGGTAGTTTCCAGTTGGAGCTATTAACAAATTATGGTGGACACAGGTATGCATTTCTGATTAATATATTCCTAGGACTGAAATGACTGGGTCATAGAGTATGCAAACTTCTAGCTTTAGCAATTACTAACTTTTCCAAGTGCTTGTACCAGTATACACTCAACAGTATATGAAAGTTCTATTTGCTCACAACTGCACCAACATTTGCTTCTCTTTTAATTCCCAACGTCACTCCACCTGATCTATTTTATTTTAACCATTATAGTGAAAGTGGTGTGGCATTGTGGTTTTAATTTGCATTTCCTTGACAATAAAAGAAGTTGGATGCCTTTTCAAATGTATATTAGCCATTTGGATCTCCTCTTTTTCTCCTATTCAAGACTATTGCCTCCCTTTCTTTTAGGTGTGTTTTTCTTACTGATTTTTTTTTTGCATTTGTTTTCTTTGCAAATGAGGATAAACAGTTTATCAAGTTATGTAGTCATTTTTTGTCAATTGCCAAATAAATGACATATCAGTATCAGACATATATATATATACATATATATGTCTGCAGCTAGTTCTTACTGAATGATTGCAATGTCTTTTCTTCATTAATTGTTTTGTTTTATTTTGAATGCTTACAATGTAAAAGGGACAAGATACATATCCTTTAACCCTGTATCTACTTTATCATTTAGTTTTATTATCTAAGACATTTTACACTGAAGAAACAACAGCAAGTAAAGCTTACACAATTTCTCATGTCACATATCAAGTTAGTATAAAAAACTGACTGAAAGGATTCCAAAAATCTGTGCCTAACCATACTCCCATATCTTCTCTATTGATCTACTCATCTTCTATCAATATGTAATTACATTAACCTCATCTATGTCATATAAAGCACATCTATCCCATCTATTTTAATTCTATGTATTGAAGTCACCAAATTTGTATTACCAGCCATGACATGACCCCTGATCTGCAGAATACTTTGTATCTCCAATTGGAGGTTTAGTAGATGTCTAAAACTCAGCATCATTCCCTTCACCTAAAGTTTTTTCTCCTCATCCTCCCCAGGTTAGTAAACGACACCATCATCTACCAGTTCTAAAGTTAACAAAAAAGCTGCCATCCTCAGAGCTTGCAGTGAGCCGAGATCGCGCCACTGCACTCCAGCCTGGGCGACAGAAGGAGACTCCGTCTCAAAAAAAAAAAAAAAAAAGCTGCCATCCTTTTTTCTTTCACTTTCTAGTTTACTCTCATCAGCAAGCCTTATCAATAATACTACCTTCGAATGATCTTCCAATGCAATCATTTCTGATCATTTCTACTTCTCACACATGCAGGTCCAAGGCATCATTGTCCCTTGCCTAACTACAATAGTGTCCTAATTGCTTATTTTTATTTTTTGAGGAATAACATATATACAGTAAACTATAAAAACGTGAAGCATATAGATATATGAATTACGTATGTATCAAGTGTCAAGATAAAGAAAACTCAGCATTCCTAAAGCTTCCCCATGTCACTTCTCAAACATCCTAAAAAGAAAAAGAAAAAAAAATCCTTTCTTTCTACAGAGGTACGTACTACTCTACCTTTAATCACCATAGACAAGTTTTTACTGCTTTTGAACTTTAGAATTGAATCATACAGTTTGTACTCATTTCTACCTAATTTCAGTCAACATGTTGAGATTGGTCCATACTGTTTCACATAGCAAGTGTGCCTTATTTTCTATTATTATGCAGTATCCGATTGTATGATTATATCACGAATTTTAGCATTTTCGAAATTCAGATCATTTCCAGGCTTTGGCTATTAAGAAGTAGCAACTAACCTTATTACACGTTTTTTTTCTTCCTTGCTTAGTAGAAAAACAGGCTCTTTAACATTTTTAATAAATCTCTCACAAACTGCTGCTCCTAGATTACAAAAAGTCAAAGCCAATTCCTTGAATCTGAACTTCAAGTCACCATAATAGAAACCGGAGCTGCTGTACCTTACATTCTGAAAGGTACCTCAACAAAAGCACATCAAGGACTGTTTAAAACTTCTAGTATTTAAAAAGATCCATCTTTCCTTCCAATGCCTATGGATGATAACAATAAAAGGAGAACCTTAAGAGATCTGCTATTGAGTTTGAGAAGGCCAAATTTAATGATTCCAAACTCCAGCCTTAAATATTTCTGTAGAGACTCTGAGAAATTACCTCTCCCTTGTCTCCACTCCCACTGGCTTCCTCAAGCGCAGATGCCTGGGACCCTGTATGATTAGTCAAACAGTCTTACCAGTACCATCATTATGCTTCTCTAAAGGGCTACTAGTGAAAGAAGCTGCTTTAATTTATTTTAGTTTTTGCCAATCTTCAGTCCTTAGAAAAGTCTTAATTATTTAAAAAAAAAAAGGGTTGGGGAGGTGGTTAACTGTTCTAAGGCATTCAACAAGAGGAAACAGGTACCTTTTATGAAAAGGACTTTCAAGTTAAGTCCACAGTTTAACTGAAATAACTTTACAAGAACGTCTCCACATAAAACTCTTAACACCTTACCCCTGGCAGCCGGATGGATGCGATCTATATACAACACGTCTCTTAAAATGCTCTCACAGAAACGGTAATAAGATACTCTTAACTTCCTTAAGTCAAATCCACATTCGGCCGCGCTGCCACCTGCAGAATTAGCTGAAGGGGAAACAATAAAGGTCCTGCCGGACAGCCATGAGCAGCCCTGGTGCTGCTCCCCGGATGCCCCCGAGCCGAGAAGCGAAGGCCACGCTGGGAATGTCGTCCTCGGAGGCAGAGTACGGGGAAGGGATGGTTCTGAGCAGGTGGGCATCATGGAGGCTCCAGATTCTCGTGTAGCAGTCCTGGCCCACTGCCACCACGATTCCCTCTTCCTCGTGCACATGCAGGGGCAGATAGGCGGACTCATTCACGTGACCTTCGTACTGCCTTACACATTTAGTGGCCCTCAGATCCCACAGCTTGATCTTTCCAGTCATGTCTGATGCCATCAGGCATTGCTCTTCTTGGAGGATTTGCACAGAGGTCACTGCTGAGTCATGGAACAGGCGAGTGGCCCTCCACCCCTTGCCTCGATTTCTACAACGCAGATCAATGGCAAAGATCTCCCCGGAGCGACAGCCATTAAACAGCAAAGGAGCCGTACTAGCAAACTGCTGGGCCAAGACATCACTGCTGGTATCAAATGACTGCTGGTGTCCCGTCGCCACGCTGGTCAACAGGACCTGCTGAGACAAGCCTGCACTAAAGCAGTGATATGCCCGGGTGTTGAGGGACCACGCACAGGACCAGGCCTCTGGGATCTGGAAACTGCAGAGCATGCCAGGCTGGTTAACTCTTGTGTGAACACTTAAGAACCGCGACGCTGGGAGCAGCACTGCACAGCTTGGAGCATCTGTGATTCCCTCGAAGCACAGCAGAACGTGAGAGTCCAACTGGTTCAGCGAGGCCCAGCACAGGGACTTCACCTTCCGGTTGGGGACGTAGAGGTTTCTGAGCACGTACACGTGGAACGAAGGGATCTTCAGAGTTCGCAGGCTGATGATGCCGTACTTGGAGCCTTCGACTTCGACCTGGTTCACTACGAAGAGCTGGTCGCTGTTGGTACTCGCCAGAATGAAGTTAAATCGGTCGCTCGCCAAAGAGGAGGGATCCAAGCTCCGAATTTGGACCTTTTTCCGCTCCATGCAGCTCACACGCAGCTCGTTGGCTAAACGGGAGTAACTGGTGACGTTGAGGAAACCTAGCTGGCTTTTTCGGAGCATGGAAGATGCATTAAATCCCATTCTGGCTACCTTTTTCAGCTTGGCCTCTTCCTCGAGGAGTCGCAGCCTTTCAGCCTCCATTTCCTCCTGCGGAATGTTCCTCGTGACAGGAAATTCTGCAGGATGTTCTTCTCCGTGACAGGATGTTCTTTTCCGTGACAGGAAGTTCCGTCCGGGTGCAAGCGGAAGTGTTGCTACTTTTTATCCTCTCTATTCTAGGAGGAAGTCCATTGTTACAGATGTGTATTACAAATCTCTTTTCCTACTCTGTGGGTTGTCGTATTCTCTCAGTGGTGTCTTGATGAAAGGAAGTTCTTGATGTTAAATTTTTTCCTTTCTCTTTTTGAGACAGGGTCTTGCTCTTTCACCCAGGCTGGAGTCCAGTGGCACGACCACGGCTCACTGCAGCCTGGAACTCCTGGGCTCAAGTGATTCTCCTACCTCTGCCCTACTTAGCTGGGACTATGGGCTCACAACACCATGCCAGGCTACTTTTTTTGTAAAGATGGGGTCTCCCTGCTTTGCCGATGCTAGTCTGGAACTCTTGAGCTCAAGCAGCCTGTCCGCCTCAGCCTCCCAAAGTGCTGGGATTACAAGCATGAGCCCACGCGCCCTGCCTGTATTTCTTATTTTTTTATTTTTTATTTTAAGACGGAGTCTCGCTCTGTCGGCCAGGCTGGAGTACAGTGGCGCGATCTCGGTTCACTGCAAGCTCTGCCTCCCACGTTCACGCCATTCTCCTGCCTCAGCCTCCCAAGTGGCTGGGACTACAGGCGCCCGCCACCACGCCTGGCTAATTTTTTTTGTATTTTTAGTAGAGACAGGGTTTCACCGTGTTAGCCAGATGGTCTCGATCTGCTGACCTCATGATCGGCCCGCCTCAGCCTCCTAAAGTTCCGGGATTACAAGCGTGAGCCACTGCGCCCGGCCGCCTGTATTTTTAAAATACAGTTAGAGACCAGCCTGGGCGGCATGGTGAAACTTTGTCTCTAAAAAAATACAAAGATTAGGCCGGGCGCAGTGGCTCACGCCTGTAATCCCAGCACTTTGGGAGGCGCAGGCAGGCGGATCACGAGGTCAAGAGATTGAGACCATCCCGGCTAACACGGTGAAACCCCGTCTCTACCAACAATTAAAAAAATTAGCCGGGCATCGTGGCGGGCGCCTGTAGACCCAGCTACTCTGGAGGCTGAGGCAAGAGAATGGCGTGAACCCGGGAGGCGGAGCTTGCAGTGAGCCGAGATCGCGCCACTGCATTCTAGCCTGGGCAACAGAGCAAGACTCTGTCTCAAAAAATAAATAAATAAATAAAATACAAAAATTAGCGGGGTATGGTGCACACCTGTAGACCCAGCTACTCAGGAGACTGGGAGGGAAAATCACTTGAGCCTAGGAGTCTTGGAGGGAAAATCACCTGAGCCCTGAAAGTTGAGGCTGCAGTGATCACCCCACTGCACTCCAGCCCAGCTGGGAGACAGAATAAGACCCTGTCTCAAAAAGAAAGAAAAATAAGTAAATAAATTATGAATTTATCCAAATTGTCCATTTGTTTCATTAATGGTTAGTGTCTTTCATGTTCTGTTCAGGACATTAGTACCTATTACATGATACTAGTAAAGTTTTGGGGTGTCTTCAAGAGGAGGCTGATATCTCCAGTCCCCATCTGGATGTTTCCTTTGCCACAAAGCTTGCTGACTCCCCTTACGCTATGAATTTCCAGGAATTTTGGAGGACTGGGGAGAGTTGGTAGGGACTACAGAGAAATCCGGTGATATCTGGACTATGGATCCTGTCGGAATCTACAGGCCCCAGAGCTGGGATCACAGAGAGCACAGGAGATTGAGGCCCACACACTTGCCATGGAACATAACATGGGACAAGGGATTTCTATGTATCAGAAGAATGTGTTTCACCACTGCCAAATGGAAGTCAGCTGACAGATGCAGAAGTCTTGCAAAGGGCTATCAAAGCATAGAGGACTGCTTGATACTGAGTTATCAGTGGGGCTGTTAGGAACCCCATATATTCTAACAATGACCTACAGAAAGCAGATAGCAACATGGCGGCAGTCAGACATTTAAGGCATTGCCTGTTTTCCTTCTTAAACCTCCTGACCCCACCATCGGAAGAGCAGGCACATGGAAAAAAAGGGGTGTGTATAAAGAAAGTTGGAACTACGGGTCTAGTCTGCTCTGGAAGGCATGGAGGAAGTTTTTGAAATAAATATGAGACTAATATTTTAAATCAGTAGGACCTAATCTTAATACCTAGAATGAAAGTTTTAATAACTAAGGAGGCTGATACTTTGAAGCAATGAAATCTGACAAAATACCAAGTGTAGAAATGATGAGACTTTCAAGCTTATGCCTCTTGAGGTGAGATTCTCAATCAAACTGATTACACATCTTTGTCTACCCTAGTATACTGTGGACATCTTTAGACAGGGATTGTTTCTTATCCATCTTTCTATCCTTACTGTCTAGTGTATAATATAGTACATGGGACATAGGATATAGATAAGTGAATGAAGGAATGAAAATTATAAGAACTACATGTTTAATTCTCCTTTATTTCATAGGCTCCTTCACTGAGAGGAATAAGGGATTAAGGTTATTTCTGCAAAATCTATCCAACTTCTACTCTACAGGGAGAGCTTTCAATCTATTTCCACTTCTTTTTTTCAATTTTTAATTCCCGTGGATATATAGTAGGTGTATATATTTATGGGGTACACGAGATGTTTTGATACAGGCATGTAATGTGAAATAAGCACATCAGGGTAAATGGGGTATCCATTCCCTTAACCATTTATCCTTTGAGTTACAAACAATCCAATTACACTCTTTAAGTTATTTTAAAACATACAATTAAGTTACTATTGACCATGATCACCCCGTTGTGCTATCAAATAGTAGGTCCTATTCGTTTTTTGTGTTTTGTGTTTTTTTTTGTGTGTGTGTGTGTCTTGCTCTGTTGCTCAGGCTGGAGTGCAGTCGTGCGATCTCGGCTCATTGTAACCTCTGCTTCCTGGGTTCAAGTGATTCTCCTGCCTCAGCCTCCCGAGTAGCTGGGACTACAGGCTCCCGCTACCATGCCAGGCTAATTTTTGTATTTTTAATAGAGATGGGGTTTCACCATATTGGACACACTGGTCTCGAACTCCTGACCTTGTGATCCGCCTGCCTCGGCCTCCCAAAGTGCTGGGATTACAGGCATGAGCCACCACGCCTGGCCAGTCCTATTCATTATTTAACTTTTTTTTTTTTTTAACTCATTTACCATCCCCACCTCCCCCTTCTTTTCTGATTAACTAACTTTCCTTCCCTCTCAATAAACATATAAATCAACCTTCTAGAAAAAATAAGTCTCCTTAAATGCTACATGACTTTTTATCTACTGTCTTAAAAAATTATTTCAGCCTTTAGGATTCTTTCCTTCTCTTTTAGGAATTTACATACTCCATTCCCACCATGCCACTCCATTTCCTTCATCCACCATCTCTTCCCATTTCTCCATAGAAGAAATTGGAAACGTTCCCCATAACTCTCACAACTCTGCCCCTCAGGTCTTACCCCAGCTCAAGGTCCCATACTCACCCTGCCCAACCACATCGTGTGACCTTTGCAGCAGTGGTTCTCATCCTGGGACAACTGTTGGCAATATCTGGAGACATTTTTAGCTGTCACAACTGGATACTACTGGCATCGAGTGGGTTGAGGCTGGAGATGCTGCTAAACATCCTACAACACATAGGGCAGCCTCTTACGACAGAGAATTATACCCCAAAAAACTCCTCTCCTCAGAGTTAAAATTCAGAACTGTGTATAAAAGGCAAGGCTTACCAGCTTCCACCATGTGTGTGTGTGTTTTAAATTCCTAAATCTTCACACATGCCACATGCCTCTTAATACTGACCGTTTTTCCCATCCCCCACCTCTGTTCATGTCTGAAGCCACTTCCTCACTTTAGCATCACTGTTGTGAGTCACAGAGAGAGGAACAAGAGGCAACATTCCTCATCTTTTTACTCCAATATCTATACAAGACGGATAGGGAGGTAAAAAGATAAACAGGGATAGATTCCTACTCTATTCTATTCTGAGCCTCTTGCAAAGTCATATTCCAAATGCTTCAGATAGGCTTCACTGCAGCTTATTTATTCTTACCAATTTCACTATACTTTTTCCCAATATCTCCAACATCCCTTTTCTTGTCTTTGAGAAGCTTCCTGGAAATAACTTTTGTCTGACATGAATCTAAACGTATTATATTTCTGTGACATTTTACACTAATTATTGCTCTTTCTAAAAATACCCAGGCCTTTACTTTTTAGCCAATTTTTTTGTTGTTGTTGTTTCTAAAACAGAAGGTGAACTGGGTCAATTCAGGTATTAATTTTAGCTATGCCATATCAACTTCTGGACACAAGCAGCTAAAGAGAAACTGGAATGGGAAGAAAATTCCATTCCTGCCCTGTTTCCTGGTTAGGAAGGAGCAGACTTTAGAGAAGGAAGGCCAAGCATGGTTTGTAACAGGCTGAAAACATGCCCTTGAAAGCTGAGGCCTCAAGTGTGCCTGTGAAATGGTAAACAAACCCGGTAATGGTAAATGAGCCATGGCTTTGGCTTATTTGCAATAAGGAACAAATCAATTGAAGTATTTCATATTCCTCTCAGAAGAGAACCATAAAGAGCCATGAGACTTCCCAAACAATTGGGATAAATGGGAGAATTTAATAAATAGAATGAAACAAACAGAAGGAAATAAAAAAATGAGCAAAATGCTTTTTAAAAAGCTAAAAACATTTTAGAAAGTGTGAGAATAATAATTACTAAACCCACATGTCTGTAACAAATGAATTGCAATGAAAGGCCAGAGTACAAATAAGAATTATTCATTAACTTGCACTGTAGCATCTGCTACTTGTTATTTCAGCAAATGAATTGTGCAGTAATGACAGTGAATTCTAAACTTGAATATCTAATAATTGAACAGTCATTCCTGCTTCCTACTTGCAAGAAAAAAAAAAGGAACTAAAAGAAAGGAAGAAAAAATAAAAGTTACTTAAAAATATGTTAAACTGATGCCAAGACTGGTCATATAATTCAATATACCATTCGAACTGGGCAGCAGGCTTCCCACTGACCCAGCTGCTGAGTACAGAGGTTTTTATGGTAACAGGTGAGCTCTAACATGGCAGCCCAATATTTTACACCCTTGCTGCATTTTCTGATAATGGACTCACACTCTTATTCCTTTTCCATAAACAAAGCATTCTGTTGCCTGTTCATCCCACTCTCCACCCAAGGAGTACCACATCACAATGGAAACCATTCTCCAGGCAATGGGTTTCAGCTATTAATCACTGGGATGTCAAATGAGAAAATATGTGATTGGTTAAGCTTAGAACAAGGTCAGGAATGAAGAATAATAAATTTGAAAGCAGACATTGTTTAACAATTGCTATGGGAAATGGATTCTGGATTACACATACAATTTTAAAATAACTTCAGGTCTCCTGAGCTAGATTTTTTTTTTAATGATAGCACTCAGTGCCAGTGAAGAGCATTTATATTTTGTGACTGCACAGCATATTTTGAACATACTTCCAATATCTGGGGAATGTCCTACCTGTGAGCCTACCTCCCCAAAGTAGAAGGCTGGAACTTGCTCTCCTGGGCTCCTTTGGAGCAAGGGCCCACGCATGTGACAAACCACCAACCAACCATCAGAACATCTATGAGAAGCTACAATTTGAAATAAAGTAATGGGAAAAGTAAGGCATCTCAAGGAACATATTCTGCAAGGGAAGAGGCGTAAGGCAAAATACAACCAGTGGAGGTGGTAAGGACACACGTCCAGGGGAGTGTCCCAGTAATAGTGGTGACTGTTCCCAATGGAAACTGCATTATTCCTGGTTAGACAGCTTCCAAGCCTGATTCCCTACTCCATCCAGACTTTTAAATACCTAATATCCTTTTAAAAAAAATTCTTCTTCTGTTTAACTAGAGTAAGTTTTGTTTCAAGCATTCAATGTGTATTTATTGAGTGCCTACTACGTTCCAGGAACTGGTTTTTAACAATGAATAAAACAAAAAATGATTCTTGTCCTAATGAAGCTTACACTCTGGTGGGGACACAAATGAGAAACAAAATAAACAAATGTGTGATAATGCTATGTGCATTATGATAGGCACTATATGGCAATAAGTACTATAGAGAAAAATCAAGCAGGAAAAAAGAAATGTCAGTGTGGAAGTGGGTGTAGTATATTTAAATAGGGAGGTGAGGAGAGGACTCACCAAGGTGACATTTGAATAAAGATCTGAAGGAGGTAAAGGAATGAGTCAAATTGATATCTAAGACAACATTCTAGGTAGGAGGAGTACTTTTGTACTTGGCAAATTCAAAAAAGAGCAAAAAGCCAGTGTGGCTGGAACACAGCAAATGAGGGAATAAGTAGTAGGAGATGAGGAACAAGAAGTGTGATCAAGAGGCGTTTGTTGGTCACTGCAAGAGCTCTGAGAGTAGAAGCCACAGAAGGGTTTTGTGCAAAGGAGACATATTCTGATGTATGATTTAACAGAATTATTGTGGTTGCTGTATCAAGACAAATTGGGGAGAGGCAGGCAAAAGCAGAAGAGAAAAGTGAGGAAGCTACTGGAATAATCGAGGTAAGACATGAAGGTTGTTTATTCACAGTGATAATTGAGCTGGGTGAAGAGAGAATCTGATTGTGGATATATGTTAGATTTGTTTGTTTGTTTGTTTGTTTTTTGTTTCTGTTTTTTTGAGATGGGGTCTCACCATGTTTCCCTACCTGGTCTTGAACTCCTGGGTTCAAGCAGTCCTCCTTCCTTAGCCTCCTAAGTAACTGGGATTACATGTGTGCAAACTGTGCCTGGGTATTTCTGAATATATTTTGAAGGTATAACTGACACAATTTGTTCATGGATTGTTTTGGGGACATTCTGATGACCTAATGCTTCTGACAACTAGAATTAGCATATATGATTTAATGTGGTTTCTAAGAATCAAAAGCCAGAAATATGTACTAAAACATTATTAGTGGTGCTATAAACCCCCAACATTGATATATTGATATAGAGCTTTAGAGTCAACACTATCTGATGCATGTAATAAAATATATCATCATTACCATGCCAAATTCATTTTTTAAAGTATTTATTTTCAGCACTATGTGCAAGACATAGTAATCTAGTAATATCGCCAAACATTTTAAATAGCACTAGAGTTTATAAAACACTTTAACATCCATCCTTGAACACAGCCAGATTCTGTAACTCACAAAGTGCTACATCACAACTATACTCTGAAGCAGGATTCCACCATCACCTAAGTTTCACTTTCTTAGTTATAAAATACTTTCTACATATGTTTCTTGAACACTAAGCCCATATGCTATGGACTGAGTAGGCCCCCACAAAATTCCTATGTTGAAGCCCTAACCTCTAGTATGTCTGTATTTGGAGAAAGGGCCTTTAGGAGGTAATTAAGGTTAAATGAAGTCAAAATGGCACTGTATTAGTCCATTTTCATGCTGCTGATAAAAGACGTACCCAAGACTGGGTAACTTATATAGGTAAAAGAGTTTAATGGACTTACAGTTCCATGTGGCTGGGGAGGCCTCACTATCATTGCAAAAGGCAAGGAGGAGCAAGTTCCATCTTACGTGGATGGCAGCAGGCAAAAAGAGAGCCTGTGCAGGGAAACTCCCGTTTTTTAAAACCATCAGATCTTATGAGACTTATTATCACAAGAACAGCACAGAAAAGACCCACCCCCATGATTCAAATATCTCCCACTGGGTTCCTCACACAACACATGGGAATTATGGGAGCTACAAGATGAGATTTGGGTGGGGACACAGAGCCAAACCATACCATTCCGCCTGGGCCCCTCCCAAATCTCATGTCTTCACACTTCAAAACCAATCATGCCTTTCCAGCAGTACCCCCAAAGTCTTAACTCATTACACCATTAACTCAAAAGTCCACAGTCCAACATCTCATCTGAGACAAGGAAAGTCCCTTCTGTCTATGAGCCTGTAAAATCAAAACCAAGTTAGTTACTTCCTAGATACAATGGGGGTACAGGCATTGGTAAATACAGCTGTTCCAAATGGGGAAATTAGCCAAAACAAAGGGGCTACAGGCCCCCCACACAAATCCAAAATCCAGCAGGGCACTCAAATCTTAAAGCTCCAAAATGATCTCCTTTGACTTCATGCCTTGCATCGGGTCACAATGATGCAAGAGGTGGGTTCCCATGGTCTTGGGCAGCTCTGCCCCTGTGGCTTTGCAGGTTACCGCCTCCCTCCTGGCTGCTTTCACGGGCTGGTTTTAAGTGTCTGCAGCTTTTCCAGGTGCAGGGTGCAAGCTGTCAGTGGACCTGCCATTCTGGGGTCTGGAGGATGGTGGCCCTCTTCTCACAGCTCCACTAGGCAGTGCCCCAGTAGGGACTCTGTGTGGGGGCTCCAACCCCATATTTCCCTTCCACACTGACCTAACAGAGGTTCTCTATGAGGGGTCCACCCCTGCAGCACACTTCTGCCTGGGCATCCAGGTGTTTCCATACATCTTCTGAAATCTAGGCAGAGGTTCCCAAACCCCCATTCCTGACTTCTGTGCACTCACAGGCTGAATACAACGTGGAAGCTGCCAAGGCTTTGGGCTTGCACCAACTGAAGCCAAGGTCCAAGATCTATGTTGGCCCCTTTCAGCCATGGCTGAGGCAGTTGGGAGGCAGGGCACCAAGTCCCCAGGCTACACACAGCACAAGGACCTTGGGCCTGGCCCACGAAACCACTTTTTCCTCCTAGGCCTGTGATGGGAGGGGCTACTGCAAAGGTCTCTGACATGCCCTGGAGACATTTTCCCCATTGTCTTGGTGATTAACATACGGTTCCTCATTACTTATGCAAATTTCTGCAGCCAACTTGAATTTCTCCTCAGAAAATAAGATTTTCTTTTCTATTGCATTGTCAGGCTGCAAATTTTCCAAAGTTTTATGCTCTGTTTTCCTTTTGAAACAGAATGCCTTTCAACAGCACCCAAGTCACCTCTTGAATGCTTTGGTGCTTAGAAATTTCTTCCACAAGATACCCTAAATCATGTCTCTCAAGTTCAAAGTTCCACAAATCTCTAGGGCAGGGGCAAAATGCTGCCAGTCTCTTTGCTAAAACATAACAAGAATCACCTTTGCTCCAGTTCCCAACAAGCTCCTCATCTCCATCCGAGACCACCTCAGCCTGGATTTCATTGTCCATAGCATTATCAGCATTTTGGTCAAAGCCACTGAACAAGTCTCAAGGGAATTCCAAACTTTCCCACATTTTCCTGTCTTCTGAGCCCTCCAAACAGTTCCAGCCTCTGCCTGTTACCCAGTTCCAAAGTCTCTTCCACATTTTTGGGTATATTTTCAACAACACCCCACTCTACTGGTACCAATTTACTGTATTAGTCTGTTTTCATGCAGCTGATAAAGACATACCCAAGAGTGGATAATTTATACAGAAAAAAGGGTTTAATGGACTTACAGCTACACATGGCTGGGGAGGCTTCACTCTCATGGCAAAAAGCGAGGAGGAGCAAGTCATATCTTACATGGATGGCAGCAGGCAAAGAGAGAGCTTGTGCAGGGAAACTCATTCTTTAAAACCATCAGATCTAGTGAGACTTATTCACTATCATAAGACCAGCACAGGAAAGAGCCACCCCTATGATTCAAATGACTCCCACCATGTTCCTCCCATAACACGTGGGAATTATGGGAGATACAAGATGAGATTTGGGTGGGGACGCACACCCATATTAGGCACCCTAATCCAATAGGACTAGTGGCCTTTTAAGAGGAAGACAGAGAGATATCTATTTATCTCTGCATACACACACACTGAGGAAAGGCCATGTGAGTGCACGGTGAGATGGTAACTCCCAACAAACCAAGGGAAGAGGCCTCAGAATGAAACCTATCTTGCTGGCACCTTGAACTTAGACTTCCTAGGTTCCAGAACTCTGGGAAAATACATTTTGGTTGTTAAACCATCCAGTCTGTGGCATTTTGTTATGGCAGCCCATGATGACCAATACACCACATTACAGAAGGAAAAGGTGGTCTTGATGTTGGCCAATTACATATACACACAAAATTCCAAGAATGTTCATTCACAATTTCATTCTCAGGCCATATAATCCAAACTACACAAGGTCCACAAATCCACAAGCCAATGAGCCTAGAATCACTCTTTTGATCTCTTCAACTTATCCCTAAGTTCCATTCACAGACACAGGGTGTTTGTCCTAGACTCTGGGGGAGCACTGTGAAATGACACCATGGTTACCAGAGAATCTCCAACAATCCCCTTCATACCCTCAATATTTGTACCGTCCAGTATCTTAGCTACTAGCCGTATGTACCTATGGAATATGTACATAAATATTTGATATATAGCTAGTCTAATATGATATAAGAATACCATACCAAATTTCAAAGACTTAGTATGAAAAAATGTGAAATATGTTAACTTTTATGTTAATTATTGCTGAAATATATTGTTGATATATTGGGTTTAATAAAATATATTATAAAAATTAACTTCACCTTTTTACTGTTTTTAATGTGGCTAATAGAAAATTTAAAATTACATATATGGCTCACATTAGTACCTTGCATTATATTTCTATTGGACAGTGCTAATTCACACACACACACACACACACACACACACACACACACACACAGTCTCTTAGTTCTTTTGATATACAGTACTCACTCCTTCCTTGAAGTCCCTGCTCCAGCTCTTCTTGAGTCTTGTCTCCAAAGGATGTTGTCAGTATTTCTCTACTCAGACTGGTTCTGCTATTCATAGCAGTCAGGTTTCAGAACATGAGTGTGCATGAGGCAGAGGGGAAAAGTTGTCATGGGGGTCTGCCCCCCATGTAAATATCTGATGCAATTAGATATTTTTCCTCATTACACTGATGCTTTTTCTGCTTTACTATCTTAGGCAATATCAAAACCCATCCTTTATTTATTTATATTTTTTAAATTGAGACAAGGTCTCACTCTGTCACCCAAGCTGAGTGCAGTGGTGCAATCACAGCTCAGTGCAGCCTTGACCTCCCAGGCTCAAGCAACCTTCCCACTTCAGCCTCCCCCAGTAGCTGGGACTATAGGCACATGCCACCATGCCCAACTAATTATTTATTTATTTTTGTACAGAACAGGGTCTTGCTATGTTGCACAGGCAGGTCTCAAACTCCTGGACTCAAGTACTCCTCCCACCTCAGACTCCCAAAGTGCTGGGATTACAGTTGTGAGACAACTGGGATTACAGTTGTGATTACAGTTGTGTTCTGGCCAAAAACACACCCTTCTATTAAGATAGCCTTGAGAGATTCAACATTCTAGAAAATGGAAGAGAGTGGTAGGGGAGAGAACCTTCCACCACACAAAATTATTTTCATTCAATATTACTCTCCAAATTTTACAAGAGGAAACAGATGTTCAGAGTGGTTAAATTTGTTACCCAAGGTCACAGAGCTGTATGTAATTAATACTGAAGTCTGGTATCTGATCTTTATTCATTCCTGTTATCATTATATCACAATATCATGTGTCTCCAAAATTTAAATTTTGACAATTCAAAATTTTAGACTATCTGGGAGGGAACAAGACAGGGGGTGGTCATCATTACAAACATCAATTACCAGAAAGTATCTGAAGAATAGTTATTTTCTAATCCTTTGGAATATAAATATGTGGGAAATTATGTTAACTACTCAATTTATTCAATAAAGCAATTCACAGAATTGTTCTAATTATAGATTGTATTAGTCTGTTCTCATGTTGCTATATAAAGACATACCCAAGACTGGTAATTTATAAAGAAAAGACATTTAATTGACTCACAGTTCAGCATGGCTGGGGAAGTCTCAGGAAACTCACAATCATGTCAGAAGGGGAAGTAAATACACCCTTCTTCACATGGAGGCAGCAAGGAGAAGTGCAGAGTGAAGGGGAGGAAAGCCCCTTATAAAACCATCAGGTCTCATGAGAACTCACTATCATGAGAACAGCATGGAGGTCAATTACCTTCTACCAGATCCCTCCATGATACATGTGGATTATGGGTGCTACAATTCAAGATGAGATTTGGGTGGGGAAGCAACCAAACTATATCATTCCAACCGTGGCCCCTCCCAAATTTCATGTCCTCACATTTCAAAACACAATCATGCCTTCCCAACAGACCCCCAAAGCCTTAACTCACTCCAGCATGAATTCAAAAGACCAAGTCTTAAGTCTCATCTGAGACAAGGCAAGTCCCTTCCACCTATGAGCCTCTAAAATCAAAAGCAAGTTACTTCCTAGATACAATGGAGGTACAGGCACTGGGTAAATACACCCATTCCAAATGGGAGAAATTGGCTAAAACAAAGGGGCTACAGGCCCCATGCAAGTCTGAAATCCAGTAGGGCAGTCATTAAACCTTAAAGTTCCAAAATGATCTCCTTTGACTTCATGTCTCACATTTGGGTCATGCTGATGCAAGAAGTGGACTCCCACAGCATTGGGCAGCTCCACCCCTGTGGCTTTGCAGGGTACAGCTCCCTCCTGGCTGCTGTCACAAGCTGGTGTTGAGTGTCTGTGGCTTTTCCAGGAGCATGGTGCAAGCTGTTAACAGATCTACCACTCTGGGGTCTGGAGGACAGTGGCCTTCTTCTCAGAGCTCCATGAGGCAGTGCCCCAGTGGGTACTCTTGTGTGGGGGCACCAACCACACATTTTCCTTCCACACTGCCCTAGCAGAGGTTCTGCATGAGGGTTCCACCCCTGCAGCAAACTTCTGCCTGGACATCCAGGCATTTCCATACATCCTCTGAAATCTAGGTGGAGGTTCCCAGATCTCAGTTCTTCTGCGCACCCACAGACTCAACACCACATGGAAGCTGCCAAAGCTTGTGGCCTGCATACTCTGAAGCCATGGCCTGAGCTGTACCTAGGCCCCTTTTAGCCATAGCTGGGACACAGAGCACCAAGTCCCCAAAACTGCACAAAGCAACAAGGTCCTGGGCCCAGCCCACAAAACCATTTTTAATTCCTAGGCCTCTGGGCCTGTGATGGGAGAGACTGCCAGAAGACCTCTGACATGCCCTGGAGACATTTTCCCCATTGTTTTGGCAATTAACCTTTGGCTCCTCTTTATGCAAATTTCTGCAGCCAGCTTGAATTTCTCCTCAGAAAATGGGTTTTTCTTTTCTATCACATCATCAGCCTGCAAATTTTATGCTCTACTTCCCTTTTAAACATAAGTTCCAATTCCAAACCATATCTTTGCGAATACATAAAACTCAAATGCTTTTAACAGCACCCAAGTCACCTCTTGAACACTTTGCTGCTTAGTAATTTCTTCTGCTGGATACCCTAAATCATCTCTCTCAAGTTCAAAGTTCCATAGATCTCTAGGGCAGGGGCAAAATGCCACCAATCTCTTTGCTAAAACATAGCAAGAGTCACCTTTATTCCAGTTCCCAGTAAGTTCCTCATCTCCATCTGAGACCACCTCAGCCTGGACTTCATTGTCTGTATTACTACTAGCATTTTGGTCAATGCCAAAATGCTCCAGGAAGTTCCAAACTTTCCAGCATCTTCCTGACTTCTGAGCTCTCCAAACTGTTCCAACCTCTACTTGTTACCCAGTCCCAAAGTTGCTTCTATATTTTGGGGTATCTCTACAGCAGTACCCCAGTACCTGGTACTAATTTACTGTATTAGTCTGTTCTCACACTGCTATAAAGAACTGCCCCAGACTGGGTAACTCACTCATTATCACAAGAACAGCAGCATGAGGGTAACCACCCTTATGATTCAATTACCTCCCACCAGGTCACTCCCACCAGGTCACTCAAATTGGATTATGAGAACTACAATTCAAGATTAAATTTGGGTGGGGACACAAGCCAAACCATACCATTGATGATGATGATGATGACAGCCAAAATTACTGAGCATTATGTGAAATACTATGCTAAACACTATATGTTTCAGCTCATTTTACCATTTCACAAAGTATGGGGTATTGTTATTCCCATTTTACAGAGGAAAAACAGGTCACACAGCTACAAAGTGATGGCAACCAGGTCTGTCATACTTCAGAGCCCTAGAGACTGGTCACATTATATAGTCATACATCGCTTAATGAAGGATTACATTCTGAGAAATACATCGTTAGGTGATTTAGTCATTGTGCAAACATCATAGTGTACTTACACAAACCTAGATGGTATAGAGTACTACACAAATAGGCTAGAGCCTATTGCTCACAGATTACAAAGCTGTACAGCATGTGACTCTACTGAAGACTGTAGGCAATTGAAACACAATGGTTATTTGTGTATCTAAACACAGAAAAAGTACAGTAAAAATACAGTATAAAAGATTTTTTTTAAAAAGGGTAGACCTGTATAGGGCACTTAACATGAATGGAGCTTGTAGGACTGGAAGTTGCCCTGGGTGAGTGAGTAGTGAGTGAATGTGAAGGCCTAGGACATATCTGTATACTACTGTAGACTTCATAAATACTATATATTTAGACTACACTAAATTTATTTTTAAACTTTTCTTCCTTCAATAATAAACCGTAGCTTTCTGTAACTTTTTTTACTTTAAAAACTTTTTGACTTTTCTTCCCCCCCACGAAGACAGTGTCTCTCTGTTGCCCAAGATGAAGTGCAGTGATGTTATCATGGCTCACTGCAACCACCAATTCCTGGGCTCAAGCAATACTCCCACCTCAGCCTTCCAGAGAGCTGAAACTACAAATGTGCACCACAACACCTGGCTTGTTTGTTTGTTTTAATTTTTGTAGCGACGAGTTTTCACTATGTTGCCCAGGCTGGTTTCCAAATCCCGGGCTCAAGCGATCCCTCTGCCTTGGCCTCCCATAGTGCTGGGATTACAGGTGTGAGCCATTGTACCCGGCCAACTTTTTAAACTCTTTTGTAATAACACTTAGCTTAAAACACAAGCACATTGTACAAACATACAAAAATATTTTCTTTCCTTTTATCCTCATATTCTATAAGCTTTTTTCTATTTTAAATTCTTGTTAACATTTTAAACTTTTTAAATTAAAAAGGAAGGCACAAACACACCCCATTAGCTTAGGCCTACACAGGTTTAGGATCATCAATATCACTGTCTTCTACCTCCAGGTTCCACTGGAAGGTCTTCAGGGGCGGTAACATGCATGGAGCTGTCATCTACGATAACACTGCCTTCTTCTGGATACCTCCTGAAAAAACTGCCGGAGGCTGTTTCACAGTTACTTTGTTATTGTTAAGTACGTGTACACTCTAACAATAACCGATAACATAAACCAGTGACATAGTTGTTTATTGTCATTTTCAAGTATTACCTGATGTACACAACTGTATCTGCTATACTTCCATACAACTGGCAGCACAGTAGATATGTTTATACCAATATCACCACAAACACAATACATTGCCCTGCAACATTAGAAGAGCTAAGGCACCTCTAGGAGATATGAATTTTTCAGCTCCATTTTAATTTTCTGGGACCACCATGATATATGCACCATTGTTGACTGAAAGTCGTTCTTCAGGTGTGACTGTAGTGACTTCCAATGATAATGGTTTTATCCCTGCTTCTTCCTAGGTGCCTCAGGATAAAAATCAAGTCTCTACCAATTTCTGGATAATCCCTAATAAAAACAGAATTGTAATTCTGGTCTGTATTTTCTAAACATTACGGATACATTTAGTTTTGAGCATTTCATAGACTGTGTTTGCATCCTTCTTATGTATTCATTTGGGAGGGTTTAGAAGGAGCATGGTTTTGAAGAGGACTTATAATCATTTCCTGATTTTGAAGATGTACTTCTGGAGAGTGCTCTCACAGTTACAGAAGTGAATCTGATTTTGCTAAGTAATAGCACTTTTGCTTTTTGTCCCTTGCAAAAGCCCCAAAATCTCACAAATCACTAAAGAACTTACTCATGTAACCAAACATCACCTGTTCCCCCAAAACCTATGGAAATAAAAGAAAAAGAGAGTAAAGTAATTCGACTGGTGACACAGATCCAAAGAATTTTTTCTCAGAAAGGTGACTTAAAATATGGTCACACAAATTTTAGCCAATACCAACTCATCAAGTATGGCCTTGGGGGACGTTCTTTTAAATTCCAAGAGTCCCAGAATCTCCAAAGGTAAAATGCGAAGCATAACATAATGTAAAATATAGCTGTTGGTTCATATAAATCTTTATAGTATACAAATACTTTCACATACACTACCTCAAATAATCCTTTCCTAGCCACATTCTACAAATGAAAAAATCGAGGCCCAGAGAAACTAAGAGAATGTCCACAGATTGGAACCACTATTTGAGGACTTCCTGCCATCACTCCTGATGCTATTATTTATAACTCCTTGATAATGTTTTAACACTTGGGCTGCTAAATTGGATCTAATGTGCGATTAGCACACGTTTTTAAAGTCTGAATGCTTTTAGGCAAACCATGTACTTTCCAGCTCAGTTCAGTCTTCCCACTACTACCAATATTATCAATTCATGTGTGTGTGACATCATCCTGTGTTTATTTTCCTTAGGTAATAGTGATCACCTACTTGAACACTTGGGGTCTTGGCCATTTGTTTTTTCTTAAAAGCCTGATCAATATTCAATAGCAACCATTTTTTAAAAATTCCTCAAAAGAGGCCGGGCGCGGTGGCTCACGCCTGTAATTGCACCACTTTGGGAGGCTGAGGCGGGCGGATCACAAGGTCAGGAGAGCGAGACCATCCAGGCTAATATGGTGAAACCCCGTCTCTATTAAGAATACAAAAAATTAGCCGGGTGTGGCCACTGCACTCCAGCCGGGTGACAGAGAGAGACTCCGTCTCAAGAAAAAAAAAAAAAAAAATTCCTCAAAAGAGTCTATGTGACTTTGTACTGTGATTTATAACCAGATTTACCAAGTGGTTAATTATGATAACCCAAACTTCTTTTGTATTCTTCAAAAAGGCTTTTTGCATACTCTATTTAATGGTGAAACCAAAAAGTGAAAATATAGATGGGCTAGACAGTCTATAAATTAAAAATTATTAGAAATAAAATAATTAACCAGTGTTAAGTTCTACTGATATCTGTAATAATGTATTGTTTCAAGGCAAAATAAATGGAATATTTGGTATATGGATTACGCAATACTTCTTTTCCCCTTGGCATGACATAAAAGATCCATTTATAAGAGACCCATTAATAGTCAAAAATGTTCATTTACAAGAGTAACTCTTAAGTATCTCCTCTTATCCTTGCTCAAAACTCTAAAGACATCTAAGAGTATCTGAAACCATTCTTCTGAGACTGTACCAATAGCAAATGTATTCCACAAATTCTATAAATTTTTAAAAAAGAACTAATCATGTGAATGCCCAAATTATGATGGCAACCCAAAGAACATTCATGGGCACATTTCTGACACTGTTACTTACCATACAAAAATGCACACTTCAATGGCTGGGCACGGCGGCTCACACCTGTAATCCCAGCACTTTGGGAGGCCAAGGCAGGTGGATCACAAAGTCGAGAGATCGAGATCATCTTGGCCAACATGATGAAACCCCATCTCTAGTAAAAATACAAAAATTAGCTGGGCGTGGTGGTGCACGCCTGTAGTCCCAACTACTTGGGAGGCTGAGGCAGGAGAATCGAACCCAGGAGGCAGAGGTTGCAGTGAGCTGAGATCACACCACTGCACTCCAGTCTGGCGACAGAGCGAGACTCTCAAAAAAAAAAAAAAAAAAAAAAAAAAAAAAAAAAGCACACTTCAGTGAACAGTATCTGAATGAGGACTGTATTCTAAAGCTTTCCTTCACAACTATCAATAAGAAATTCACTGACTTCTCAGTGGAATTTTAGTTTCTCAGTCTTAAATTGAAACCCTAAAACGTCCTTCTACTTGTTGCATAAATATAATGGAAAAAATTATTAGCTCACTTAGGCACCTTGAAAACTAGTAGTATGTATTAACAAATGATAATGGTCTAAATTTTTTTTTTTTTTTTTTTTTTTGAGACGGAGCCTCGCTCTGTCGCCCAGGCTGGAGTGCAGTGGCGCGATCTCGGCTCACTGCAAGCTCCGCCTCCCGGGTTCACGCCATTCTCCTGCCTCAGCCTCCCAAGTAGCTGGGACTACAGGCGCCAGCCACTACGCCCGGCTAATTTTTTGTATTTTTAGTAGAGACGGGGTTTCACCGTTTTAGCCGGGATGGTCTCGATCTCCTGACCTCGTGATCCGCCCGCCTCGGCCTCCCAAAGTGCTGGGATTACAGGCGTGAGCCACCGCGCCCGGCCTATTTTTTTTTATAGCATGAAAAGGTTAAAATCATGACCAAGAAGCCCTTTTGAACCTTGCTTAGATAGGTTAGTGTAAAAACCAGCTGGAACAGTCAAAACCTGTTTCCTTTTCCCCCAATTTTTTTAGTTACAAGCAAAATGAGAGCCACTAGAATTATTTTTCAGAAAAATTGCCACCAGGGGGCAGTTTACTTGTAATTAAGGTAAGATTCTAATGTTTCAAAATTTAAGGATGTGATAATTACCAGTAAGTAGAAAATGAACAAAGAATGATTTTATAAACCTGCTTTAAGGTTATTTGAGTATATTAATAGCAAAGATTTAAAAACATGATGCTACTGAAAGCATACTACTACTGTATGTATGTATAACATTATAGCAGCCAAAAAACCATTTCAGAATAAGTAAAATGAACACAAAAACCCAAATAGACTTGTAATAAGTCTCCTTACGTATAACTTTGCCATAATATTAAAAGGCAAACACCACCACCAAAAACCCCTCTGGTAGGTTATTAGGATGTTTACTTTGAAAAATTTTTTTTATTCCCAGCAATATATCCATATAATTAAGAACATAACTAAAAATATAAAATAGCACATATTAAAATATTTTCCTTGAAATGGTTTCAATATTTTTCTTTTGTTTCTTAAAGGGGATGAGGTCTTGCTGTTTTCCAGGCTGGTCTCAAACTCCTGGGCTCAAGCGATTCTCCCACCTCAGCCTCCCAAGTAGTTGGGATTACAGGCGTGCAACCACCATGCACAAAGTCCAGATTCAATATTTTTCCAAGAAATGTTTCTTTTGAAATTAAGGACTGTCCTCAGGACAGGAAAATATAAAGTTCATTAAAAAAATTAATTCAAAATAAGCCCAATAGCACAAGAGCCCAAAAAGGAAGTTTAGCCATCCAGATAAAGTGTTTTTGTTTTTGTTTTTAAAGCCCATTTCTAAACACTTCAAAAGATGAACTACATGCTTTGGATATTACTAAGTTGAACTGCCAAACACAATACTATGAATTCATAGTATCAAGACCCATTATTTTAAAGAAACCTAAGTATATGACTGTATCTTGTATAAATTAATGACAAAAAAAAAGAAATACCTATTTTATTCTGGATTACTACAAGTTTTATTTCTGTGTCTTCAGAGTCTTGGTTTGTTACTTAAGTGGAATGGTCTATTATTGTTGGAACACTAGGCAATAATGGTTGTAAAGCTCCAAATTTGTAGGATTTAAAAAAATGATACAAACTATTTTTTTAAAGTATATAAAATTTTAAAGTAAATCTGTGATTAAATTCACAAACTCACAATCTAATTACTTGATATTTATTAATATTTGTTTTAAGGGCAACTTAATGAAGACAATGGTACTAATATTAAATTTGTCTTAATTTAGTGGCATAGCCCCAACTTACCCCCGCCCCCTTCTTTGGTTAACAGGACTCCCTTCCTTTGCAGAACTTAACTGCCTCCTATTCTGTTTCTGGTGACAGCACCAACCCAAATCCCATATACTCAGGTTTTCAGGGAAAAATAGTTGGATACACGATCTCCACTGGGAGGGAGAGAGTAAAGAGTAGAATGGCAACATCTCTTTCTATAACTTCCCCAAGAGGGAGATGTTTATCTCTGCATTTTCCTGAGGGCAACAATATATGGAGACAAGTCTTCCCTTTACTAAAAAATGTTGGAATTTCCCCCTCCCTTCATAATATATTGCAATAAAATCACGTAAGCCTTTTTCCTATCAGGGCATTACTCTTAATCATTTCCAGTCATCCAACCTAAAAGACCTATGATAATTATCGTTAACGTTTTATATTGATCTTAAAAAGCATCTTAATATGTTAGAGATACATAATTAAAATTTTACTAAGTCATTTAAAATAACATGAAATGATTTAAACCAGGAGAAAGGAAAGTGAATAGGGATGAGGGTAGGGCACATTTGACCATAGCCAAGGATTGTGAGGGCTGGGAGATAAGAATATGGAGGTTCATTACACTATTCTATTTTTGTGCATGTTCAAAATTTGCCATGATAACATACACTTTTAAAAGATCTTTGTTGACACATCACCTGCTTAGACTGATAATTCTCAGGGATCTCAGTGCACCACTTTCTTGGAGTTTCTCCATTCGACCAGCCTTGAGTAATGAAATATTTTTCCCTTCACAAAGCTCAGAATTATTTTATAAACAGCTCCAAATATTTCCATATGCTAAAGGAAAGAGCATTATGAATCAATAATGCATATGTCCCTAAGACCTCACACTACTAAATCTTTAGGAAATCAATTTTCCTAACTCTACTTATTGCATTACCACTTTTCCCCTTATGTACATAACTCATTTACTAATTAATATTTATTCACCTGTCAGAATTGCCTTTATACAACTGATTTCCATAATGCTCTTAGATTACAATCTCCAAATGGACAAGGATTTAACTTCCTTGTACAGTGTATTGCTTAATGCCACTTGTCAAGAAGAGGCAGAAAATTCTAAACACCTATAAGAGAAATATATTTCTCTGTTATCCTGCGTTGACTGATGACTTTGTATATACTGTATGCTGTGAATCATTATAGGGCTATAACTCATCTCTAGAGTATAAATTTCACTAGATTAAAAAAAGTACAGAATCAAGCAAACAGCTGAGGCATCAATGTAATTTTTCTTTCCTTTTTTTTTCCAGTTACACCTTAGATCACATTTTTACCAGTTTCACATCAGACCTCAAAATCATGGCATCTCTATTATTTGTGATGGGCTGAGGATAAGAGGAGTGTGTTCAAATTCACCTTATTCTAACAAAAAGGCAATTAAGCTCAAAGGAAAGCTGATTTCTAACTACAAATGTTCTTAGTTCTTTTGCAAGATAACATTTTTGTATCTGCTAAATTCCAGAGAGATTTTTATTCCACAATTAGATTTTAACATCAATAAAATCTTAGATATAACAATACAGATGAAGGAACAATTGAATTTGCATTGAAATAAATATTAGACATACAAAGCATATACAGTGAAAAAGGGTCACAATAAATTACAAGTAGAGACATTATTTCCCTCAATCACCAAAGAAAGCCCTTGATACTTCCAATTTCACACCATCAAATTTATCATTCTTGCTGATTTAAGCAGAACACAAAACAAATATGGATCCCAGGGCTTACTTTCACAGGTACCAGCATGGATAATTTACTATCGTGATCCAATTTGGAAATCAGTAGGGACCAGTAAATCACTGCATAAAAGAAAGAGTGAATGAGGTCCTTTTTCCTTAGTGTCAGCAGGCTATGATTATTATGTTTATTAGATTTTCTTGAAAGGACTTCACATTTTCTCAAATATGCAGGAGAACTGTATTTCCCCTCTGAGCCCTACATTAGCATTTATGTGCTTTGGTCTTGAATACAGGGGAATGAATTTTTCAATTTATTTTATAAATTTATATAGTCTGGATAGTATTGGCCTGAAGAATGTAACTCCCCAACCTGTACAATATTAGATATTAAAAATGGATTCAAGAGAAGTTACTAAGAAATGCTGACATACTGTATATACAAATTTTTAGTTCAATATATGCCATTATATAAAGCACCAAAAGTAATGCCTTTATAAATCAAGCCATTTTTTATGACTCTGTTTCTAATCTTTGTAACCCTTTTACATTTGTTCCAATATACACACATCATAAATGTTACTTGCTCAACACTTCACCGATTTGGTCTCAACTTAAAAATATATATGTAGGCAAAAATTAATGTCAAAAGGAACTGTTCTAACAGTTACAAGAGAAAATAGTAAATATTTGGAATTAAACTGTCATGAACAAAGAAAGAAAAGGTTAGTTTCAAAGTGCTAGGCACATCAAGTGAGTAGCTTCAGAAGGCTAGGTAACATGAAATAATTCTTAGGCCACTCTTTCTCATGGAATATGAGCTAATTGTTAGATTTCAGCAAAGACATCCATCTATAATTTTTTCCTATTGTTTTCTAAGAAAGGAATCTGCTTTAGATTTTAAAATACTGTGCTTTCTTTATCTCTTGTCACATCAACTGACACTGCAGGTCAGATTTCCTACACGCACAAGAGGAGAAAGACTATATAGAGTTAATCCATCACACTTGACTATGTTCCTTCTAAAGAACCCATGTGAACATCACCTTAAAACATAAATATTTCCTAGAATAGTTACTACCAGTAAACCTCCCAAACCTTTAGAAGCTCCTTTGTTCTCCTTAACAGCAGATCCAATCATAACTTTCTACCCTGAATATAAGACTGCTCCTTAAAACAATCTCTGGAAATAACTCCTAGATTTACACGGGTATGCCTTTGGTATACTAAATGTTGAGCTATAATATCATATAGGCTCTGTGGAATTCTCCTAATCCTAGAGAATTCCAATGAGTTAAGGGAAACTAGTTGTCTCAGCCAGGCTTAGTGGCTCACACCTATAATCCCAGCACTCTGGGAGGTCGAGGCGGGCAGATCACTTGAGGCCAGGAGTTCAAGACCAGCCTGACCAACATGGTGAACATGGTGAAATCCTGTCTCTACTAAAAATACAAAAATTAGCTGGGCGTGGTGGTGCACGCCTGTAGTCTCAGCTACTAGGGAGGCTGAGGCATGAGAATCGCTTTAACCCAGGAGGCAGAGGTTGCAGTGAGCCAAGACTGCACCACTGCACTCCAGCCTGGGCAACTGAGTGAGAATCTGTCTCAAAAAAAAAAAAAAAAAAAAAAAAAAGAGCGAGAGAAACTAGTTGTCTCTACAAGCCAAGCATAATTTTCAAATCTAGGTGCCATTCCTCATATAATATCTACAAATTTCAATATGCTTTTATATTACTATCAAAAGTCTAAATTTTAAAAGAGGTTCAACGGGCTATATCTAGTCTACCTACAAAATGATCATGAAAACACTTTAAGTACCATTTTTTACACATCTGAAAATGAAGGAGAAAGGATAATTTTATATTAGTGTGTTTCGGTGATGTAGGCACTTAGCATGAAAAGAAAAAACTGGATAGACCTTGATCTGAATGGTGTCACTCCAAATTGTGGCCTATTTTACTGTTTTCCTAGAAAGCACATATTGACAGGGTACTTCTTTTGAATAATTCAGTATTTTAAAAATGCAAGCCAGGCACAGTGGCTCACGCCTGTAATCCAGCACTTTGGAAGGCCGAGGTGGGGGGATCACGAGGTCAGGAGTTCAAGACCAGCCTGGCCAACATGGTGAAACCTCATCTCTACTAAAAATACAAAAACTAGCTGGGCATGGTGGCGGGCACCTGTAACCCCAGCTACTTGGAGGGCTGAAGGAGAATTGCTTGAATCCGGGAGGCAGAGGTTGCAGTGAGCTGAGATGGCGCCATTGCACTCCAGCCTGGCCAACAAGAGTGAAACTCCGTCTCAAAAACAAACAAGCAAACAAACAAAAAATGCTTAATTTTTTTTTTCAATCTTGAATGATTACATATTTAAAAGGGCCATGGAATTCAGGGACTTAGTTTTATAGCTGACTCAGCACTTTTGGTGGCATTTAACCTTCAAACACATCATGTGAAAATGGGGGGCTACCTGAGGAAAGAGTGCCACCTACTGATTATAAACATAACTGTCCGTGGCTACTTCTTCCTTGAAGTTTTCATTTCAAAGTGTCAAAATTAGTCTAATTTGTGTGACAGCTTTGAGACTGTCAGATTCTAAGGAGATTAAGGAAGGAAGAGGTGGTGGTCAGAATAACCTATGTTAATCAAAATAAACTCCTTAGCATTAGTTAAGGTTCTTTACCTCAATCTCTCAAAATTAATGTTATTCTGAACTAAAACTTAAAAAAAAAAAAAACTAAATCTCTCAGTTCTACTTGTCTTATTACACATATACTCATCTTCTTTTCCAGAAAAAAATAATATTCATGTCCTAAACTTAGAAACCTAACCTGAAGTTTTGATCTGGATTTTTAGGAAGAAGGAAGTATTGATGGTTTCATCATTCTTAGCTCTATAAAAGAACCTATTAATTTTTCATAACTTTTAGCTTAGTATTATAGTTGGCCTTTTCTCTGTAAGGGACATTCTTAAATATTCAAGTCTAATTTTCTTTAAAAAGTTCGCTTGCTTTCTTTCTTCCAGGAGGATCTACCTCTGAACTTCATTCCAAAAAAAAAAAAAAAAACCTAAATACAAATTGCATAATAAATTTCTCTTTAGATTGATATTAGAGTTTAAATTAGTAAGGTACCAACTATACAAAAGGACAGAGAATCCTTGCTAAAATAAAGTAGATTTTGTATAAGGCTTCCATCTATCCAAAAAGGTTTAATATTTAAAAATGCCAGAAGAACAATGGTACTACACCACTTCCAGAAGAATTAGACACACTGGATGTTAAATGAACTTCTTTTAAACCTGTAACTAACAATAAGTTCAATGATGCAGTAAAGAGTTAATTTCTGTTACTACATTCATTCTATATATTGCTATTGTATTTCCTTAATTTTAATTTGATAGGTATACATGTAACACTATAATTTCAAATTCCAAATCAGCCGGTTGTAGATATTCCTATTGCAGAATTTCTAACTATGAGTTCATGCAAACTAAACATCTAGTAATGCTCAAATTGTAAAATTTACTTTTTCGTAAGTTTAAGATTACCTTTTTTTGTATATTAAACCTTCCTTTAAGAAACAAATCTGTTTCAACTTGTCAAACATGAGTATATCAGAAATATTATAATTCTGCTAAAATGACATAAAACCTCAATTTAAAGCACAGAGTGTTATTTTATACTGTAATATTTTTAATGTTAAAATGCTTTTTGTTAAAACCAACATGGATTATTGACCAATTATCTTGACCAACAGTACTTTTCAAAATAAACAGGAAAAACTCAAAACAGAGACACACAGATCTTTAAAAGACAATCATGATTTTAAAAAAATCATGGATCATGGTATAAACAGAGCACACAAAAGGAAAATAAGAAATGAAAAAAAAACTGTTGAAATTCAAATAAGTTTTATACTTCAGTTAGTAGTATTGTTCTGGGCTAATATCTTACTTTAGATAAATGTTCTACAGTTATGTAAAACGTTAACATGAGAGGACCTGAGTAAAGGGTATGCAAAAGAACTCTTCTTGGCAGGGCGCGGTGGCTCACACCTGTAATCCCGGCACTTTGGGAGGCCGAGGCAGGCAGATCACGAGGTCAGGAGATCGAGACCATCCTGGCCAACATGGTGAAACCCTGTCTCTACTAAAAATACTAAAATTTTGTATTTTTACAATACAGCTGGGACTACAGGCGTGGTGGCGTGCACCTGTAGTCCCAGCTACTCGGGAGGCTGAGGCAGGAGAAGCACTTGAACCCAGGAGGCAGAGGCTACAGTGAGCCAGGATTGCGCCACTGCACTCCAGCCTTGGCGACAGAGACAGACTCTGTCTCAAAAAACAAAAACAACAACAAAAAAACTCTCTTGTACATTTCTGACTCTTCTATAAATCTAAAAGATCTTTTTAAATTATAGGAAAAAACTAACAGCTTCAAAATAAACATGACTTCAGCTGCCAAAATTTCTTGATATAATTCAAGACTTCATTTTTTAAAACATAATTAGAAATCAACATTATGTTTACTTAACATTATAGTCATTTTATTGCTCTAGAAAGTTTAGTTTCTAAAACCATTGGATTACTTACATAGTGACAATAAGACTAGCCACATACACAAAATCAACTGTATGAGGCTGCTTCTCCAGCTTAGTGGACAAATATTACAAAAATACAAAAATAGCTGATTATAGTTAAGCTATCAAGTATAATTTTTCATGTATTTATCCTAAGAATATCCCCTTTTTATAGATAAGGAGATGAACAAAAATAAAACTAATGTTACTGATAAATTACTAATGAATGTATTTGAGAAATCCAAATTACATGCAGACAGAAACTGGTCACAAAAACCATTACATTTCTCTATACTAAAACTGTACAATGTTTTAAACATTTCCAATCATGCAACGGTAATGAAGATCAGCATGAATTTTATAAGAGTTGATGGGAGTTCAATGAACAGGATTTAACACATTTTACAACCCAAATCAAAGTTGAATAATACATCCAATTCCCCTAAATTTATCTATGCGTTGAGACTGAAATGCACATTATTCCCCCACAACTCCTCCCCCTACCCCATTCCCAATCAATTACCTTACCTATAAAACCTTCCATTTAACCTTTTAAGTCAGATTTGATGGGTAAACATGTAATCTACAGTATACTCTCCATTATTATTTCAGGATAGACACACATATAGTCAGATGCTGAATCTTCATTACATTCCTTTCAAAAGGCATCTAAACTGTTGCAATTGTCTATGAAAATTCAAGCCTAAGAAACCAAGAAAACTGGCAGTCAAGATTCTGAACTAGGTAGTTCTACAAACTATAATACGAATAATCTATATGTCCACATTAGTAAAAGAAGGATTTCCTGTTTGAGAAATGTTTCTCAATGGCTCTTTGAAGGGAAAGCTGTGTCACTACTGCTTTCTGCTTTCAATGGCTAGGTGACCCCAAATATTTATCCAACTGGCTAAGAGGCTTACAGTTGAGCCTTTTAAAAAATACTCAAGGCCACAGAAGTACTTACGGAAATAAAATTTTAGAAGATCATAGTTTAAGATACATAGAATTCTTCTTATAATGGTACATTCAAAACACATCTGTCCTAACAAAGCAGCATAAAACCAATTAAAAAAACAATTTGAAATTAAATACACTGAGAAGTGTTAAAATCATTAACCAAAATTACTGAATGGTAGAATACTGTCTCAAAATGTACTGAATTCACATATGTGTATCACCATAATGAATTCATGCCAGATATAAACTCAGGTTACCAATTAGGTTGAAACAAATTTTAGAGCTATTTTTTTTACATGAGAAATTAATGTACTTCATGATATAGGCACAACAGCATCTTTTTAAAAAAACTGGTATATTTATCACTAGATACAGACTTCTTTAACCATTAGCAACACAGCGCAGTAAAATTTTCTCAAAACTTTTTAAGCTTGATTTAACATGCCAAGAAAATGATTATTTTTCCACCGAGATGCATTTATGTAAATTATGTAAATTGGATTGAGGTCAGTGTAACACCTGGAATTTACAACCCCTAGCAGAAGTACCAGCTGCTAATAATGCTTATACTATATTTGTAGCTTAACTAGATGTTAAACTATGGAACTGTTGGTGCCAATCTGCTTATAAAGGCAATGCTCTGGAGACAAAGTCTTCTCACAAACAGTGGGCAAGCAGGTTTCATTATTATGTGTTCAACAACAATCCTCAGTTCATTAAATAAGGTCCTGCAAGACAAAATAGTTTTCTTTGAGAAACACAAGGAAAAAGCAATACACAGGCTTACCTCATTTTATTGTACTCCATAGATATTTCATTTTTTACAAATTGAAGGTTTGTTGCAACACCGCATACAGCAAGACTATCAGTGCCACTTTCCAACAGCATGTGCTCACTTCATGTCTCTGCGTCACACTTTGCCAATTCTTCCACTATTTCAAATGTTTTCATTATTAATCTATTATGGTGATCTGTGATCTGTTCTGTTACGGTGATCTCTTTGGTGTTACTATTGTAACTGTTTTGGGGCACCACAAACTGCACAAATATAAGATGAAGCAGTTCATGAAGGCCATTCCTGATTGGTCTCTTTCCCTCTCCTCAGACCTACCTATTCTTTGAGACACAATACTGAAATTAGGCCAATTAATAACCCTGTAATGGCCTCTAAGTGCTCAGGTGAAAGGAGGCCTCCCATGTCTGTTACTTTAGATGAAAACTAGAAATGATTAAGCTTAGTGAAAAAAGCATGGCTAAAGCTAAGACAGGCCAAAAGCTAGACCTCTTGTGCCAAATAGCCAAGCTGTGAATGCAAAGGAAAAGTTCCTGAAGAAAATTAAAAGCCCATTTCTGTGAACGGATGAATGATAAGAAAGCAGAACAGCCTTACTGCTGATGGTAATGCTATTGCGCACTTAGCAGACTACAGTAGAGTGTAAACATAACTTCTGTATGCACTGGAAAACCAAAAAATTCATCTGACAGCTTTGTGATATTCACTTTATTGTGGTAGTCTGGAACCACTCCCACAACATTTCTGAAGTATGCCTCTAATGCTAAACAAATACTCATGAAGGAATCTACCATAGCCATTAGAATTTGAAGTAAAAGAATAACTAGAATGCATTGTAGAGAAAACACAAAATACAATGAAATTCTCAAACAACACCTACATCTTTTATGGGTGGAAACACTCATTTAACAAAGGTATTTAATAAATGGCTATCTCTAAAACCTCAGATTAAATTTTAAAAATTATATATATATATTTTAGAGTCACATCATTTTCACATTTAACTTAGGCAATTTCAACTAGTTTTTTAAAACAGAACAAGAAAAAATATACTACATGGACAGTGTTTTTTATATATTTTAAAATATATAACATGGACAGTTATATTTATTCACCCACTATTTCCTTAAATGTACATATTGTCCCTCAGAGATTTCCTCTTCTGTAAAATAATTCTGAGTTGTGGTGAAATTTAAATGCAATATGGAAGATGCTCAATAAATGTTACTTCCCAGTTGGATCAATACACTGAACTATGACTCTTTTATGCCTTCCGACTAAAGCCCAAGTACTCGGTGTCACACCCAATACCCTCCACAATCTAGTCTCAATCTAATTTTCTGCCCCATCTCCTGCCACTCCCTGCCCTCGCTCCTATCATCAACTTATGTTGCATGTTTGTGCCCAAAACCATGTGGGCTTTGCCTATGTCTTAACTGTGCTCACTGCCTACAAAGTATTATTACATACTGTAGATATCACATATATTATACAGGCTAGTATACACAAAATCATGTATACTGTACTGACATTTATAAGTGATATGAAGGATCATCAAGGGTAATTTTAACCATTCACAATTTTCACCTTATGTGCTGACTCATCCTGTATAAAGATGCAACTACTATTCTACCTTTTTGTGTCCTGTTTTACTTCTATGGTTAGAAAAAAAGCAACAAATCTACTTTTCTAAACAAGTATTTAATATGCTTGCACAGAAAGACAGGAATAATAATATTTGGAGTAATGCATAATTTTCCAAAACCTGCCCTTCCTGTATCTCCTGTCTTCGTGAGAGCACCATTACAACTCTTAGGCTTCCAAGCCAGAAACCTGTGGGTCTTTAATTTACTCTTTTCTCTCAAGCCCTAATATCCTATCTCCTAATACCTTTCATATTTGTCCCCTTTTCCTTTTACCACTGGATTAATTCAGGCTCTAGACTACTCTAATAGTCTCCAAATTGATATTTTTCTTCTCTTGCTGAGCTTGCAATCCATTTTCTGGAATATTTCTAAATCAGATTTCATCATGGGGGTTCCCAGCCTCTCTATGTTACAATCTTCAAAGGCTCTCCTTACCTCAAAATAAAATCCAAACCCTTTCATGATCTAGTCCTTTCTACCATCTACCTTTGTGGACACAGATATTTATCAATTCTCTATATACTTCCTGAGCTCAAGTATGCTAAGCACTTTTCAGGCACCCATGTGTCAGAACTCAGGCTCATTCTTTAAAAGACTTGGCTTATGTTCCCACCTCCTCAGTGAATTCTTATTTGTCTCTGTCTGTTCTCTATGCTTTCAGAGCACCTTCATCATCACACTGACTTACATAGCTGTCTAATTTATTCAGCAGTGAGTACCTCTGAAAGAAGATATTTTAATTCCACATAAGTTCATCAACATACAATCACTGTTTTAACCAATCAGTCAAATGAATAAAGCTAGAAGACATGAGGACTAATGAAGTCAATCGCTTTCACTAAAGTCACATAGTTCTTTTATTACTGGCTGCATCGCTGGCACAGACCAAGTCAGAGTTCCTTAACAGCACGGACAACAGAACTTTGAACAATGATAAAATTTTTGCATATCTGTGCTGAAGGACCAGTCAGAGAGTTCCTTAATAGCACTGACAACAGAACTTTGAGTAATGACAAAATTTTTGCATATGTGTGCTGACCCACAGTTGCCATCAGCAACACATGGCTTTTGAGTACCCACCTGAACTGTGCTCAAAAGGAACCAAGTTCTAAGTTTTATGAATTTTATTTAAAGGTCAAATGTGGTTGCTGTGCTGTACTGGACAGCACAGCTATAGACAATCTGCACTAGAGATCCAAAAACAACTGAAACCACCAACTTGAGAATAAATATCGTAGGTGAAAATGGTACAAATTGTGAATAGAGATGGTCTCAAAACCTTTAATTAAAAAAAGTGTAGTACTGAAAATGTAGTTTTATAGCCTGTTTATCAATATTTACAAGCTGAAATATTTTCCATTACCTTTCCACTGGTTTGGTTAAAATGGGTGCTTATAAGACAGCTTTGAAGATGTTTACCAGCACATATTTGTGTTATCTTGATTCACTGCTATCCTTTCCTTTTCAGTCCACTGAAAACTGAATTCTAGATGTACTAATATGATTTAAGGGTATGTGAAGAAAATGGGAATGGAGAAGGAGGCACAAAGAAGCACAGAAAAACAAATATGCTGATTAAAATAACAGATGTCAGGGCAAGAGAATATAAGATAATGTCTGAAATGAATATAGGGACCAGAAAGAAAAAAGGCTAAAACTCAAGAAATCAAGTAAAAATGAATGTTAATTTGCTACTAGAGACTCACTAAGAACGAATGTCTAAAATAAGTTCTATTTTAGAAAGTATTATAAAAAAGACATTGTCTAATAGAGCATAAAAACGCTCTGAACAGAAAATCAGATCATAGAATAATGAAAATGAACTAGTAAGAACATAACAGTCTAAGTACTTTTAAAATATTACTTCGCTTCACCCCCAGAAGGAGTTATTTCCTCTACCAATGAAGAAATCCAAATAAATAACCTGCCTAGTCACACAACTAGTTAATGATGGGCCAGCATTCAAATTCAAGTTCTTTTTACTGTACTTATGAAAATATACAGATTGCTGTAATGCACTCATTGGATTTCTAGCTGAATTCTACATTATTTTAAACTTAAAAATAGATTATCTTAATATTAGTATTTGAGTATCATTTTAGTTTTACTCCAATGCTTGAGATCAGAATGCATAATTTAGTGTATATTAATTTAAGCCTCCATTCCTGAAAACTACAGTAATTCCCTAAAATTTCTCTGCTTCCCCATTTTTCTGCTTCAAACTCTTCTGGCACAAGGGTATCAGAAGAATATTCTGACGATGTCAAAACCATCATTCCCATTCACCTAAAAGATAAATTCCAAACTTCTTACCCTAAAACTCAAGAAGTTTTATAATATAGCTCCAATATACCTTTCTAATCTTAGCTCCAGCAATTAGCCATTCAGAATCTCCATTAGAGTCAAAACAGCTCTACATAAAGTTCCTCAAATATGGCTTGTGCTTCTCGTCTCTCTTGCCCCACCTAAAATGCTTTTCCCTATTCAAAAGCTTTACTCCTCCCACAATCTCAATTTTGTGAAACCTTCCTGGGCTCATCTATCTTCTGGCCCAATGATCTCTCCCTTCTGTGGACTGCAGTACTGATATAATAAAGCAAACATATGGCATTCATTATCTATTGGCTTGTGAATTCTGTATCCTAACCATTGTTTATCTAATTGACACGTGTTTTGTTTCTTCAACTAGGAAAGTTGAGAGTGGAATCTATGTCTTATACATTTTAAAATTTGCTAAGTTTTAGCAGTGCTTTAGAGGTGGCGTAGATAACTGCAGTCTCAGTTTCTAAGAACAAATACAACCACTTCCTCACCAACCCCAGTACATTCTAAGGCCTAGAACTTAAATTTACAAAAACACTGCTTGCTTCTAAAGTCTAACACATTAGCTAAGTAACTCTTAAGAATTGCGAATACTATATATTCACAATACTCTCAACAAATAAAACATGCCTAAAATAATCATCAGCTTACCGACAATATGGGTTTCTTCGAGACGAATATCGAAGGGTAAGAAATCTATAGTATATAAAAGGTTGGAGCAAACTTCCTTGACCACTGAAATAAACAAATACAAGCGTGATAAATATACATTTCAATTCATGTGTATACTCTCAAAACTTAAAAGCAATTCAACTGGAGAATATGTGTATCTTCATTCATCAAATGGTCATAGTGAAATCTATCATGTCTAAATCCAAGTTATCCTTAAAAAAGGATATAAAAGAATGTACATGATTGGTAAAGAGTAAAATGTTGTTTAATTTTTTTATAAATGTATTCTTATCTGTATTACTTTTGAAATTTTTTAAAATACTAAATAAATCAGAAAATGTTAAATAATTCCGTAATTACTAATTGATGAAATCAAGTTGTAAAGCTTCATAAAATATGCAAATGAAAAGTGACTTATTTTATATATATAAAAAGAAACAAACACTCCCCTCCACCAAAAAAATTACACTGGCTCATCAGTAAATCTAAACAGCCTATACTAATTATTGTTCTTGGTTAAAAAACACAATTACAATATCCCAAGAATTATATATATGTTTATGAAATACCAGGTCTGGAATTCTTCCCTAAGAAAAACTATCTGAATTAAGACATTCACTGAAATAACTACAAACAAAATGTGGCAACAACCTAATGTGAACTGTAAGGAAGTAGAATTGAACAACTTATATTATGGTTATTTAATGGATTTAATATGCAACTACCTAGAATCTTGGTTATGAAAATTACATAGCAACTCTGAAAAAAGCAGAATATAAAACTACACATATTATTACAATTGTATTTTTTTAAATTGGAAGAAATATATTAAGATGCCAAATGTGTTTTATTAGGTTTTTTAGCCTTTTCTTCTAAATTGTATCATTTTCATTAAAAAAAATTTACACGATTACGAACTTACCACTAAACAAATGCAACATCCATTTTCCCTAATAATTTGACAAATTTTTATCTTTTTAAAGTGAAAATGTAAGAGACACAACATAGAAAATATAAATAGAAAATATTCACTTAAAAAACAAGTTTCCCATCATCCAAGTTAGCCCCTTCCTCAAACTTATACCACAATCTCGAATATGTCCTTCCAGAAATGTATATATACAAGTGTATATAATGACTAACATTGATAGTGCTCACTTTATAATTCACTAAATCTGTTTAACAACTCTAGGACAGAGATGGTTTATCATTCCCAAAAAACTGAGACAGAAACGTCTATGTCCTTACACACATACACCCCACTAAATATAAATGGAGAACACCCTACACAACTAAGTTTAACTTATTATATCTTGGTGATTATCCCATATCACAACACATAAATTACCGCAATCTTTTTTACAGCTTCAAATATACCATCTAATGCTTGGACTATTATGTAACAAACTCCGTACTAATGAATATTTGGGTGGCTCCAGTCAATTAGAAGAAAAGCCACAATGATCCTTTTACCTGTCTTTGCACACATGTGCAACGCATGTGTAAGATAAACTCAGACAATGCATCAATTTTTAAATACAGAGCTTGAAGCATTACTGGCACAAATGTAACTTGATAAAGCCTCCTAATATTAGACTGTGTGTATACCAGAAAGGGTAGCATATTAAGAATAGCAGTAATGTAAGACTGTTCTTAATTTTATTGTTTAGGTCATATTCAAACTACCTACTTAAGGCATTAACAGCTTTTCCTAATAGGAATTAAGTACCACTTTATAAGCTGATTTTAATTTTTCAAACAAAATTATTTCTCTATTTAAACATTTCTGGTAAATTCTCATCTTTTTTACAGTAATCTTAAAAATTAAGATGGTAAGTTTGTACAAATAAATGTTTAAATTAAACATTTAAGGAGCACAATTGAATTAATGTACCAACGCAGTCAAAACCTGGTGCTCCTAACAAAAAATTCACTATAGTTCCAAAGTGAAGTTTTTGTCTAAGTTTGCATGGCATCTCAGAATTTCATTAAAATTATTTTAATCTGATTTAAGAGGAGCATAAGAAATTATTTTGCTTACTAAACAGAATCTGGAGGTTTCAGGATATAGACATCAATTATACCCATACAAAAAAACTAGTCTCGGTATCTATCTTTTTTTTTTTTTTTGAGAGGGAGTCTTGGTCTGTCGCCAGGCTGGAGCGCAGTGGCACGATCTCGGCTCACTGCAACCTCTGCCTCCAGGGTTCAAGCGATTCTCCTGCCTCAGCCTCCCGAGTAGCTGGGACTACAGGCACACACCACCAGGCCCAGCTAATTTTTGTATTTTTAGTAGAGACGGGGTTTCACCACATTGGCCAGGATGGTCTCGATCTCTTGACCTCATGCTCTGCCAGCTTTGGCTTCCCAAAGTGCTGGGTTTACAGGCTGTGAGCCACCGTGCTCGGCCTGGTATCTACCATTTTAACTTTCATCTAGTTACATGAAACAAATCACAGAACCTGTGATCCTGACCCAAAAGCAGGATTAAGTGACACAAAAACCCGAGAAAAATGAATAACAAAAGGGAGCAAAAAGTTCCTCTTACTAATTAATAATTAAAGTTTCTAAGTGTAGATCAGGATCACAAAAGAAAGAGGTGGAAAGAAAAACCTATAAATGATGGAAAAAATATTAGAATGTTGATGTTGTCCCTTTTTCTGCTGTCCCAGATTACATTACCCTTTTCTTTTATATGCTTTCAGCTTCTAGGATAAGAGGATGCTTTTATTAAATTTTAGGGTCAAGGTTTTAGAGTTAATTTACAAATACAACTGCATCAAATCTAGTTGGGACCATACAACTTAAGCAACACCAGCCAGTCCTGGAGTTCTCAGAAGAAAGCACTACTTAAAAGAATGAAACAGATATATATTTATAAGGAAATCTATAAAACTCTGTTCTTAGTTTGAAGAGACTGCTATAGAAAGAAGTAACTGTCAAGTACATGAAAACTTTACTAGTTAATCAAGGCAAGGTACATTTAAAATTATAAAATATAACTATATGATCAATAAGGACATTTGTTACAAACTAACAAAATTATGAAAAACAGGTAATACAGACATTTTAAAGAACAATTTAGCATGGTCCATTAAACACAAAAGGCACCTAGCTTGTACTAGCAAAATCAATTCTGGTATCTATGTTAAAGAAAACACTGGCATTAAGTATAAGCAGGTAAAAAATATTTACTGCATCAATATTTGGAAAACTGAAAATTTGGAAACATATTCCATGATCAGGAGATAAGTTGGAATGTTATACGGCTAAAAAAAAAAAAAAAACAGAACTGGATATGCCAAATCAATTAGGTTATGAAAACATACAAGTGGGAAAAAGGTACAGAATAACACTTTTTTTTTTCCTTTTCTTTTTTTTTTTTTTTTTTGGTGAGACAGAGTCTCACTCTGTTGCCCAGGCTGCAGTGCAGTGACGTGATATGGGCTCACTGCAACTTCCACCTCCCAGATTCAAACAATTCTCCTGTCTCAGCCTCCCGAGTAGCTGGGATTACAGGTGTGCACCACCATGCCTGGCTAATTTTTGTATTTTTAACAGAGACAGGGTTTCACTATGTTGGTCAGGCTGGTCTTGAACTCCTGACCTCAAGTGATCTGCCCACTTTGGCCTCCCAAAATGCTGGGATTACAGGCATGAGCCACTGTGCCCAGCCAGAATAACATCTTTGATGTAAAATAAGAACTAAACAAATTAACAAACAAAACTCCACATCCATAATATATATGTTCTACAAATTTGTATAAGTATTTTTAAAGGACTACATACATAGACACATATTAAACTCCTTACACCTTTGGGAAGAGGACAAAATTGCAGCAAGAATTCATATAGTCAAATGCTATTTTAGCTTTTATCTGTAATGTCTCATTACTTGTAAAACTAAAAATTGATAAAGCAATCATCTGGGTAGCAAGGTGTATTGTTTTAAAATGTAATGCAAAAATTTCAATGCAGAGGTCAATACTATTTTAATGTTCATACTTTTAAAAGGATGGCTTTCTTTATTCATGTATTACTTCTATAATTAAGATACAAACAAAATAAGGTGATAGTAGGCACTATTAATATAAGAACATAATTTTAAAAGTTTTTCTCTAGTGTAAGAAACATCATCTCAATAGTGACAGACTGGACTAGATTAGATTTCATAAGATTCTTTCAAAGGTGGTAACTATGAAAGTAATTTTTAAAATGTCAAATGATAAATCACAAGGAATAAGACAAATTCCTAGGTCTACTATATTTCAAGTTCTCTACTATAAATGACAAAGGTTAGATTAGGCAACTGCTAAGATTCATTTAGCTCTACATGTCAATACCTACCTTCAACAGATTTAAACAGAATAAAACTTGAGTTACTATCTTTATTACGTTCAGTCATCAGCCTCCCAAAACAAATATAATTTTTCCTTACCTAAAAAGCATAAAAACTGTCGCAGGCATCAGGAATATTTCATTGCAAGCAATGAATTTCAGAATATTTTGTTGATTAGCACTTAATTTGTCCAAGACAGATCTCAGCAGAGGTAAACTATTTGAGCCCCTTGCCTAAAACAAAAGAAAACCAACATTAGAAATAAGTGAAGCATTTCTGATAACAATATTTTCTTTCTGTAGGTAAACAGCCTATCCAACAGGCAATACAACCAAATATACTACTTTGGAAATGATGGTACGAAGTTCACAAACTATTTAAGGACAAATATAGTATATTTTCCTGCTTTTTTACATTTTTAGACTTAATATAAAAAACAACTTTAGTAAAAGTACTTTTCATTCTTAGCTGCTTTTTCTCAAGAATGATTATTTAACAAAAAATAGTGGTTATTTCTCTCTAACCACAACAAAATCTGACTATCCAGTAATACAGTTAAAATATCTGTGACTCCTTTCTTAGCTAATGTTAGAATTATACAGCAGTGTAATTACTGCTGTGACCAAAGAATTATAGGGATAAAGAAAAAGGCCAATACAAAGCATAAATCTGGCTATTTTAATTCAAATTTCTGTAAATGTGCTTGGTAAATGTGCCTGGATATTTTAATTCAAATTTCAGTATATGCTGTAAATGGCCTGGTGCCAAGTTAGGTTTAATGCTCCAACCTAGCAATAAGAAAGAATTTCAGGAAAGCAGCAGTTCTGAAAATTAGTGTACAAGAGATTCATTCAGTACACTCAACTTATCAGGTATGCCAGAATTAAACACTGACAGAACAAGAGATCTGACAACTCAACAAACTTTAGAGACACAGGTTTCAAAAAAACTGATCTATTTCAAACTTGAAAAATTCCCCTGGAGACTGGGGGGTGATTTTAAGTGCAATCCTTTATCTATAAAATGTTCTAGTTTGTGAAACTTCAACAATAAACACTTTTAAACTTAAAACTTTCAAATCACTAAATAATTCATAACAAGTTTGTAAGGTATAGAGGGACTTTTTGTGACAAATACCAAAATGTCTTAGAACTCAAATTCATGTCAATGATCTGTAATTCAGAAGTCAGACAAAGAGCAGTTTTACTTACGTCAAGGACCTTTTTCGTATATGTGGCAGCATGAAGCAAAGAGAATAACAAGACTGGGAAGATACTCACTAAAGAAAACAATTAAGGAAAACATTTAAAAGTCATCAAGTATTCTGCAAAACAGACTATGTATTATGTCCAAATATACAGATGTGAAACATCTGCTAAAATGAGTTCAGTGGAATGGCTTGTTTTACTGATACACTTTAAGCCAAATCAAATTTTGTTCACTATAAAGAAGAAAGTAAACTATTTCATTTTCTAAAATTCACAGTTCTTTTTTTTTTTTGAGACAAAGTCTCACTCTTCTCCCCCAGGCTGGAGTGCAATGGCGTAATCTTGGCTCACTGCAACCTCCACCTCCTGGGTTCAAGTGATTCTCCTGCCTCAGCCTCCCGAGTAGCTGGGATTATAGGCGCCTGCCACCACGCCCAGCTAATTTTTGTATTTTTAGTAGAGATGGGTTTTCACCATGTTGGCCAGGCTGGTCTCGAACTCCTTACCACAGGTGATATGCCCACCTCGGCCTCCCAAAGTGCTGGGATTACAGGTGTGAGTCACTGCGCCCGGCCAATTCACAGTTCTTTTCATGACAAAAATTAATAGTGAAAAAAAGGTTTTTCCTTCATTTCTACTGGGTAACAATGTAAACACTTGCTAAATTAAACTGAAATCTAGGCCACCCCAAAGGGTTGTAAGTATAGCTTCTAACCCTACAACGGCTTTCTTGGTCACTCTAACTTAGCCTTCAAACACAGTAGTTTTACAGTGCTTTCACAATCTCAAACGCTGAGGAAAGAGTCTAAGGTAACAGTTTAAAGAGTAATTCCCAAATTTTTAGTCCCAAAGACTAAAGATCTTTTATTACTTCTTTCCTACAAGGACTCCATTATTTTGAGATACTATACCTAACAAGTTGTCACAGTTATGCTCTCAATTTGTAAAAATTAACAAGGCAGTATGTATTTTGCTTTGTATATAGTCAATTGAAACTCTCATCAGCTTAATTACAGACATAAGGAAAGAATCCTTTTGAGTCCAACTGTTTGGCTTTATGCCATGGATAAACATACATTTTTCATTCAACTTTTTGAAAAATGGAAATTGTTCAAAAGACCCCATTCTCCACCCCAATTTCTGCCAGGTTGATTAAAAAAAAAAAATTGTCAAGTAGTTCCACAAAATGATATAGACTGTTAGTCAATCACAAATGGCAAAAATACTTGTCCTAAAAATATTACCAGTTCCTAAGAAATGAACCATTGTATTTTTCTATACTAACTGAAGGCCTAATATGACAGGAAATAGTGATTGCTGTAACATAATCTGAGTATCAAATTCATTATAACCATAACTCATTTAGGAATTCAAGGGTCCCAGTTTCCAATTGACAAGCAAGACACCAACCTATATCCAAGTATTAGAAGAACCCTAACTCCCTAATATAGTTCTCCAAATTAATATCCTGACCAACTCATTCCCACCTCTAACAAGAATTAAGAAAAATGTCCATTTCCTAAGTAGAGATCATATATGTATATAAAAAGTTTTAAATTTTTTAATGAATCATAGACTACTTTGAAACTGATGGAAGCTACAACCCTCTCCAAAAGTCACTATAAAACTCTGTCGATCCTTAAAGAATTCAATTTAAACTTTGACACATATCCAGACTGAATTCAATAAAAGGGGCAGTGTCAGGTAGTGAAAATAGAGCCCTGAATTGGGAGTCAAGATACCTGAGTTCCACTCCTGACTCTGTCACTAACCTAATTTTCCTAGGTCAAGTTTCATGCTCTGGCAAATGAGTATGCAGAGATCAAAGCTAGAAACTGCCAATGAGTCTTTTATGTCTAACATTCTATAGTTCACAAATCCTTGGTAAGAGATTCATAATCTTAGTCTTCAACATTACTCTTAAACTATTAATACAATGTATTTAGAAAAGATAAGAGGTGAAATGCCCTATCTGTTATTAATCAAGCAAGGACAAAATATCACTTTTATAAGAAGAAGGATCAGAACGCAAATCTGTAATATTACTTTGGGCCCGCTTTTATTTATTACCATATCACTTTAATAATCAGATTAGCATTTGCTGCCAATTACTAGTTTATGTTATTCCCACTGTTTACTACATTCCCTTTGTAAGAATTTAAGGAATATGAAATCCTTAATCTTCAACATTCCCAGGAAAGAGGGGCTACCAAATAACCAACTGTATAAAAAGGCAGAAAGGTTTTCTTCACCAGTCATGAGTCTCATTTGGCAAGACCTCAGGATTCACTCAACAAAACTTACTGAGTGCCTGATCTGTGTGAGGCACTGTTCCCAAAGTTATTGACGTATTCAGTTTACCCTACATTGAAACACATTTTCTGTCATTTCTATTTCTCCCTCCAAAGAAATTTTAAGCTACTAAAAGGCATGACCAAAAATCTCTACATAACTTCCCGTTATAGCTCAGAAAGGCTAGAATTTTAACATTGGTGACTGCAAAGCACTTCAATCAACAGAGGCTGGTCAAGCCAATAATATGCCAAACAAATGTGATTATCATTTACAGTTGTAGTATAGTAATCATTTAATGAGTTTTACCTAAAAATAAACCAATACAAATTATGATGGGACATTACAGACTCATGCATTGAAACAGGAAAAATTTTATCCTTACATTTCAAACTACCCACATTATCTCAGTGAAGTGAGTAATTTAAAGGGAATCTCCATATACTGAATATTTAAATGAAATTACCAGGTTTACCCACATACAGAAAGAAATATTTTTAATGTATACTTAAGTATTACTCACCCACTAACTGTAGATAAGGTAGAGCTTTTAAGTTAGAAAGACTTTTTCAGCATTACTACTTACTAGCCAATGTGTGGGAAGTGAATACTGACAATCAGCAAATCAGCATCTTTATTAAAAATATACCACAACAATTTTTTTCAGAGTGCTACAAAGATTAAATGTCAAGTTCTTTTTTTTTTTTTTTTTTTTTTTGAGAAGGAGTCTCGCTCTGTCGCCCAGGCTAGAGTGCAGTGGCACAATCTCAGTTCACTGCAACCTCCACTCCAGGGTTCAAACGATTCTCCTGCCTCAGCCTCCCGAGCAGCTGGGACTACAGGCACATGCCACCATGCCCAGCTAATTTTTTGTATTTTTAGTAGAGATGGGGTTTCGCCATATTAGCCAGGATGGTCTCAATCTCCTGACCTCATGATCCGCCCACCTCAGCCTCCCAAAGTGCCACCGCACGTGAGCCACCGCGCCTGGCCTAAATTCAAGTTCTTATACTGGCAAAATAGGTGCTCAGGAAATTTCGGTTTCCTCCTATTTCTTTTCCTTAAGACTTATAAAAATCTATTTAAAAATTTGATACTTCATGAGCATAGGTATCTAAATAGGTAATATTCAGTCTCAGAGGAATATTTTATTGTGCTTTACATAACATACAGATGTATCATAAATATTCAAAAGCTCTTAGACCAGCACTTCTCAATGCACAAAATGATTTGCAGAGATAATCTACAGGAAAAAAAACAACCACAAATTTAAGTTTAAAAAACCCTACTAACTCTCTTAGTTTCACAACACACGTTAGAATACCAAAGCCACTATAGTAAAGAACCCTATTTAAAAATGTTTGACCTGGCTGGGCGTGATGGCTCACGCCTATAATCCCAGCACTTTGGGAGGCAGAGGCAGGTGGCCTGGGCAACAGAGCAAGACTCTGTCTCAAAAAAAAAAAAAAAAAAAAAAAAGAAAGTTTAACCTAGTGTTCACTATAGAACCTCTTCCCCATTTTTCCCCTCCTTTATGGACTACCCAGTATCATCCCACAACACACCTTTGAAATGTGAAAACATACAAATTCCAAATGAATTATTTCTCATTAGCTTCACGGATTATCCATGTGTGTCCTTATTTTCTACTCTATACACAGCAAATATTAATTTCTTTGTATTGATTATCTCATTACCTGCTTAAATAAGTTGTTTCTTGGTTAAATTCCATTTGTATCTAGTTCACTGGGGTTAAGATGGAAAGAGCTGAGGACCTCTCTTTTTTAAAGCAAGACATCTGGACACTTTGCCAAAAACGTGAATTAAATGAAAAAAATGTAAATATTAAAGTAAGTTCTGCGTAAGGTTGTGCTTCGAAGGGGAATTTGAAAATATCCATTCTAATAGGGAAGCTTACAAGAGGCAAGAACAAAGATAGTTTAAAATTCCTAAATCAGCTCTTCAAAGTTTAGATTTCACATTTTAAAGTCAGAAATTCTTACACTAAACATATCTTCATTCAAATGAAGTGCCGAGAACAAACCCAGGCTTCATGGAATGCCTTCATTGCTGAAATAATCAGAAGAGATCTCCTATATGCTTAGTTGGCAATTTCATTGTTAACAAGGTAGAAAAGGATACTTGTAACTGGATAGGAATTTACAAAGATGAGTGAATACAACAGGTAGTGGCAGCTGTCCTCTAACAAAGCCTGGGCCAGGAATGCTCTGCTTAACTGGAAGTGTGGTAATCTTTGATGCAGCCTCAGAGCACTGGTAAGAGCATTTGCCAGCAAAGCACGTTGGTAAAAGCTTGCTGCTTCATGCAACCTGCAAATTACCAGAGGAGAGGTTATCATGAGACATAAACAACTGCAGTGTCTCTTCCTCCTTTGTGAATTGCATCATAATTGCACAACACCTAAATCACTTGTCAATAGAAAAAAATTACATGAACTTATTCTACCGTTTTAATAGCTTCACTTCATATATATGCCCAACTGAATTTCTTATAATCAATTTATAAAATTGAATTTTATAAAGCAGGACCTTCCTGTCAAGTAATAAGTAAAAATGAAAAAAACATGAACTTATCTCATTCCCACACATCAATTTTTCCTTGGATTTTCAATGTGTTAGTTTCACAAAGCACAAGATATAAAATATTCCTCTGATAATGTTATTAGGTTGTTAGTACCTGAAGGCTGGAACTTGTATTTTATTTGTCCCTAAACCCTTTACAGGTTAATAAGTCTTACACCTAAAAGGCACTCCATATAAACTGACTCAACAATTGAATATCAAAGGCAGCAATATGTATAATACATACCCAAGAAGAGGCAGAACAAACAGAGCAGAGCAGTAAACTGTGAACAAGCGAGAAAGCCACATTGCCGTGTCCAGTTTATTGGTCATCATGAATTGCTAAATTTAAAAAGAAAAATACTGTAAGCTATGCCTGCAAATCATGTTTTTAAGCATCAAGACTGTGTGGTTTTTATGTCTACTCAAAATATTTTAATCTTCCTCCATTTGTTTTTTTAGATCATTAGGTGAAAACTCTAAGGCAATTACATGTTTCATGTATATGCTTAATGAGAAGTCCAAACACCTTATAGTTTTCATGTGGAAAGCACAAGAAGTACTTAAACAGAAATAAATAGAAAAATATCAGCTGACATTTTAAAAAAATGCAAAGACTAATTAATTAGAAAAAATAATCTTAACAGAAATTCAACTACAATTGTCTGTGTTCCTTTAACACTTGCAATATTGGCTTCATCTATTTTAAAAGAACATTAAACAAAAACTAATTGCTCTCAAGAGATCCATATGCCTATTCTTAGCAAAAAATCTCAAATCCGAATAGGTAGGTCTCAGAGCTGAGTAAAACATCACATAAAGCCAGTTGGGATTAAAGAAACCTTTTGAAGAAGAAATATAAAACCATGATAGTAGTAACAACTAAACTCATTCGCCTTGTAATCTGCCTACATGCACAAGGGCCTGGCATACTCTAGGTGCTCAAAATGTGGCTGACAGGTATTAAATGGCCACCTGCCTCTCTGATTACACCACTCTCTTTATCACCTCCATGTTCCCCCACAAGTCTTACCCTAGTTTCGGTGGTCCTAGATTAAACTTTCCTATACCATTTTCTTCCCCCATTTTTTTCCCATTCTATCTTTCCTTTGCTGCTTTCCCCCCAATACTTATGTCTATTACCACTAAAGCAGAATCTTAAAATGTGTTTTCTCATTAAAATGTATCTTATATTCAAAAGTGGCTTTTACATTTTTTGTCTAGGATCTTCGTAATTTTAACATTGAGATCCATATACATGGATATATAAACAAAAGTTTCACAAATATTTACCCTACTGTATATAATGGATTTTGACATTTTCTATTTAATTTTTTAAAAATAGCTGGTGTTTACACTAAACTGACTTCTCAACTCACTAATGGGTCTACCTGAAGTCTAAAAACACTGCTCTATGTAATTTAATTTCATTATCTTTTGAAAAAAAAATATAAAAAATTTGAGGGAAAAATCCAAGTACATTGTAAAATTCCAGGCTGTTTTATTTTATGTCTTTTTAACCCACATGTAGGTAATTTCAGAAATATGAAATACAACTTTGATTTATCATTAAATCCAGACTTACCGTACTGTGACTCCAATAAACTGAAATGATTAGCAGTAATCAAGTGAAGGATGAATCCAGCTTACTGTGCTCAGTTTCTCAACAAATATTATGACTGGGCACCACAGCTTGAAAGTTAGTTTTAGAACATTCTCCTTAAAATCTATTTGTTCAGGTTGTTTATTCTGCAATAAATCATTGAGCTATGCGTTTCATTTTGTACACACTTATGTATATTATACAATTTTAAAAGTTTAAGAAAGTCTATTGGTATACATTTTTTAAGAGTAAACTGTCCAACCATCAGGCAAAAAAAAAAAAAAATCACTAGATCTTTGGGTGAAAAATTGTTGAGGAGCAATATTCACACAGTGTCACAGTATCATGCCAAAGAACACTTTTTAATTAGAAAGGAAAAAAGGTATCTTTACAATGGAGAAACTGGTGGACACCACCTTAATCAAATAATCAAACAAATTCTGCAATGATGGGATAAATCAATGTAAAATGCTTCCTGATATATAATATAGATATACATATTAGATGTACCTATATATGCTGCAAAACATGTCTGGACTCTTGAAAACTATCAGTATCTTAAAAGACAAAAAAGGGGAGGAGAGGGCAGAACTGTTCTAGATTAAAAGGCAGTAAACAAGATATGGCCAGTAAATTGAATGCATGCTTTCTGAGATAGGGTCTCGCTCTGTCACCCCAGGCTGGAGCGCAAAAGCACAACCCACCTCAGCCTCCTGAGTAGCTGGGACTATGCTGGGACTATAGGAGCGCACCTCCACGACCGGCTAATTTATGTTTGTTTGTTTGTTTGTTTGTTTTGAGAGAAGGTTTTGCTCTATCACCCAGGCTGGAGTGCAGTGGCGCGATCTTGGCTCACGGCAGCTTCAACTTCTCGGGCGCAAGCGATCCACCCGCCTTGGCCTCCCAAAGTGCTGAGATTACAGGCGTGAGCCACCACGCCCCGCCTAATTTCTTTGATTTCTAGTAGAGATGAGGTCTCGCTATGTTTCCAAGGCTGGTCTCTAACTCCTGAACTCAAGCGATCCTCCCGCCTTGGACTCCCAAAGTTCTGGGCTTACAGGAGTGAGCCACTGCGCCAGCCCATCGATGCATGCTTTTTGACAGAATCCCAGATGAAGAGAAAGCAGCTTTAAAGGACAATTATGGAAATTTGCACATGGATTTTATATTAGGTAATATTTCCCAAATGTGGTAACTGCATTGTGGTCACACAGAATAATACTTAACTACTTATGGATTAAAAAGTAGAGGACAGCAATGCTCCGGGCACAAATAACTTGTTAGCTCCAGATCAGCATCTTAAAAAAATTACAAAAGCATAATGATATTTCTCTTCATAAAGAACAAAGTGAAGAAGAAAAAGACCACCGCTCTCCTCCCTTTGCATAATTTCTATATACGATTGTATAAACTAGGCAGAAACGTTCTTTGCCGGCACTCGTGTGCTCCACGTGGTGTGTGTCATGGATCATGTGTGTCATGGCACAATCTCATGCGGCATCTTTAACCTTGGGGCCTACGGTAAACAAAAGACCGAGGTGGGAGAAGAGGAAAGAAGGCCCAATTTCCATGGCATACAGGTGGGGGCCACCAGCTCCAGGTCAGCCTATTGTCGCTTCAGAAACAAACTTGTAGTTCCCTCCATATCTTCGCTCAGGACCTCCCCTCTCCCCGCTCCAACTTCCCCACCCCAACTCATTAATCCCATTCCTGAATGCACTGAGCTTCTGGAACGCCTCGGGACTCGCAACGCTTCCTGCTTCTTCCTAACTCTTGCAAATCAAGCCAGACTACCCTGCCCTCGCACTTACCACAGCGCCCGCCCCTTGGGGGCCGTTCGGGGTCGTATCTGCCATGGGGGCTCACACTAGCGTCTGCGACGCCGCAACCGCGAAGAGAGAAGAAAGGGGAGAGAAAACGTCAGCGCTGGGGCCAGGACCCGGGTACCGGCTTCCCTGCCTCGCGCCACACACAGGCCGGATGCACCCTGCCGGAACTCTGAGCCTCCACCAGGGAAGGGTCTCGCTCGCCTGGTGCAGCCGACTGGATCCAGGGCACCCGCAGCAGCCGGGAGGTACCTGTCCCGCACCGCCGAGATCAAAGCGGTGTTTCCAGAAAGACGGGAGCGAAGGTGGAGCTTCGGGGTGAAGCCCTAAAGAGCCAACCTACGCCGCCGGCTCCAGGTTATTGCCGAACCCGGAAGTGCTCCTTTCATTTCCGTGGGGAAGAGGCGGTGACAAAGAGGGGGAAACGGGAGCGGTGCCCAGAGGCATGACGGGAAGTGTGGTTTTTTTCTCCTAATTTGAGCCCCACCTGTCCTTCCGCCGATTGGCCCAGTGAGCTAAGAAATCAGGATGGGGGAGCAACTTTTGCATTAAATACAGCTCACAAATGATCTTTCCTGCCCATTCTCAAACCATGAAATTTCCGCACTTCCTGATATAGAGGCCTCAGAAACATCTTTGATTCCTTTCTCCAGGGGCTTACTAAGCCCGTTGGTTCTACGTCTATTATTAATTCTTTCAATAAGTATTTATGAGGCCTGCTATGTGACAGGCTCCATACTTGGCACGGCGGATAAAAAGAGGAATATGACACAGATTGCAAAAGAGAAACAAGTAAACGGAAATCAGAGCATAGTGATTGTGTAATATGTGTAGAGGCTGATTTAATCACAGGGAGCACAGAGGACGGTACCTAAATCAGAAGGGATCTGGGGAGGTTTCCTGGAAAAGGTAAGTCCGGGCCTTGATCTTGAACGACAAAAAGTTGGCTGAAAGTGTTACTGGTGTAGGGTGTCCAAGTTCTTGGCGTTTTGAACATAGAATTGGACAAAACGCACAAAGCAAGGAAAGAATAAAGCAACAAAAGCAGAGATTTGTTGAAAATGAAAGTACACTCCAGAGTGTGGGAGAGTGAGACAGCAGCTCAAGGGCCCTGGATACAGAGTCTTCTCGGGTCCAAATACCCCCTAGAGGTTTCCCATTGGCCACTTGGAGTTCACTTCATGTAAATGAAGTGGTGGCCCGCAATCAGTCTGAATGGTTGCGCAAAGCAACCAATCAGAGGCTGAAGAAGTTACAAAGTTACACTTCTATGCAAACGTCTGATTGGTTACAAAAAGCAACCAATCAGAGGTACTTTCAATTTCCCAAATCTGCGCAGAACAGGTTGGGGCTTGCAAAGGGAGTAGTATCTGGCCCTTTATTCACTTAAGCGTGGACAGTAAGGATTTTCCTTCAATTTAGTTCTAGGAAGTCAGCGAGAAAGGGCATTAGGTTCCCTACCGCCATACCATATTCTTCTGCCTTAAAACGGGAAGGGAACTCCATACAGAGTAACAGAAAGTGCAAGAAGTAACAGGACAGCGAGAGGACTAGTTGAGTGTGACCAGAATGATGGTACCAGTCAGGGGATTGTGAAAGATTTGCGCTAGAGAGGCAGGCAGGGGTGTACTGAGGAAAGGATCTGAACTTGACCCTGAAATCCAGAGAACCATGGAACAATTTTAATCAGAAGTGTGACATCCTGAGATTTAGAAAGTTCTCTCTGGCAACAGGGTGGAGGATGAACAGAGGGGCAAATTAAAAGTCAGGAAATTCGTTGTGAAGCCATTTATATATATATAAACTAAAAATAAAATCCTAAGTAAGGGGTCTGTCGACTGACTGGATAGATCCCTTTCTTGGCCAAGGGGACCCCAGCCATGATGGGACAGGAGATCAGACATGCCTCATTATACCCCCTCCCTTTTGTAGTTTAGACACAACTGACTAGCAACTACTTAGGCGTGGAAAGTTAGGGTTTTCCTTTCAAATTAGTTCTAGGAAGTCAGCCTATGTTTAACATGTTAATGTTACAATAAAGATCATAACATTGACAGAACAAACTCTTTGTGGGAATAGGATACCAAATTATAAACAGGACCTAAGGCCATGCCAGGCAAGGGTTAAGTCATGCACCCCCTACACTTAAAAAATAAACTATGTTCTACCACAAGAGGTTTTTTTTTTCCCTCTGGCAGCTAAACAACCACTGGCCTAGAGAGAAGCAATATTAAAACAATTACAACTAATCCAGCTCACAGACACTAACTGAACCCCTGCTATACCAACCATAGCTACAGCTTTGATTGCACAAGAGACTGATTTCAGTAACGTTCTCCAGATAAGACCACTGACCATAGGCTGGTTCTGGCCACTTTACAGAGGCCATGCACTTGTGTGCCTTCGTCTCTGCTTCACCTTTTGAGGTACAGAGCCTAACTGTAATACATTAAATATTAAGTCTCCACCCCAAGGTGAACACAGGTTGTATGTAACATGCATGTTGTTCCATACGCATGTATCAGGACTACTTTTATGAATATTCATAGCTCTTCCTGTAACCTGTTGAATATGTATGTTTAGCCAACCTATTCAGCATAAAGCTCCTACCCCAGCTCCTCTTCCTTTAAAGTGCCTGTCTCTGGTCCTTGCTGGAGGCTGTGCTTCCCAGCCCATGAGAGGGCCACCTTGCAGGCTGTATCTCCTTATAAGAAATAAAGTCTCCTTTTCTGAACATATAGATCTTGTGAGTTTTAAGTTAACACATACGTGTAGGAAAGAAGTGATGAGATTCTGGATTGAGGCAGTGTTGTTGGGGAAAAGAAGAGGAAAGATGACTTGGAGGTGGCTTCTAAGATGTGGTGACTAACTAGGTATGGGTGTGTAGGAAGGGGAATGCCATCTGCTGAGACCTGAAGAAGTGTAGAAAAAAATGCATGAGAAGAGCAGTAGATTGAGAATCAAATATGAAGGGGCTAGGGAGAGGGAGTGGACTGGGGACCCACGGGAAAGCTGGCACCCTGTCGGAAAACCATGAGACTGTAATGCTCTTCCTCTGTCAGATGTGTGGTTATCCTCTAGTATCCATGGGCAGACCAGGTGCTAGTCAGATGCAGCCGAGAAATCAAATGGGGTTCTCTTGAAACAGTACAAACCTCTTTTTCTAAGGCCACTGCCCAAGTTCAGGTCCTTCAGATCTCTAGCCTGGATTACTCATCCTCCTAGCTGAGCTAAAATGCCACCTCCTCTGCACTCTTCCCATATCATTTACTCCATATTTTTATAGCAGTTACATTTTTTAACATTTCTTAGAATTATATGTCTCCTTGCCAGTGTGTGTGTTTGTGTGTGTCTATGGCAGTCAACTCAGGCTGTCATAACGAAATACCATAAAGTGGGTAGCATAAGCAACACAAATTTGTTTTCTCACAGTTCTGGAGACTGAGAGGTTTAAGATTAAGGTGCCAACAAGGTAAGTTTCATTTTAGCCGCTGGCAGCTGCCATTTTCTGTGTGCTCAATTTAGGAGGAGGTAAATGATCTCTGTCTTCCTCTCTTCCCCTTCTTATAAGGTCGCCAGTTCTATCGGATTAGGACCCCATCCTTATAACTTAAGTTAGCCTTAATTACTTCCTAAAGATCCTGTTTCCAAATATATACAGTCACATGAGGGTTAGGGTCTTGACATATGAATTTTGAGGGACACAATTCAGTCCATAGCTATATATATTTTATATATATGTATGTAAGTACATATTTTTTTACTGATTTAAAGGATCATCTTATTACAAAAATATTAAAATACAAAATGTTCTCTATTGTAAATTCCATATAGCTAATTAATCTCACAGATACTTCTTTTGATTTTGCTGAACTCTTATATCCATAGCAATATACAGTTGCCATTGATGAATGAGTGTAATTTCATGAATGTTTCTTGATATTTTTGTTAAAGAGTAAAATGAAAGTGAAACAACTAAGACACATATCTTCAACTTTGCATATTAAAATAATTGCAAGTTTACTCTCCTAAGTAGTTGTATTTAGTGTATGAGAATAGCCCTAATCCCTGCCAAAATTTGCTATTTTTAGTTCTTACCAAGATTAGGTATATAAAATGGTATGTCATTTTTTCAATTTGCATTTTCGTGAGTAGTAGTGAGGCTTAGCATCTTTTCACAACTTTATTGGCCATTCAGATTTTCTCTCCTGTTGGCTTTTTTTTTTGAGACACAGTCTTGAGCTGTCGCCCAGGCAGGAGTGCAATGGCGCAGTCTCGACTTGCTGCAGCCTCCACCTCCCAGGTTCAAATGATTATCCTGCCTCAGCCTCCTAAGTAGCTGGGATTACAGGTGCCTGCTACCACGCTGGGCTAATTTTTTGTATTTTTAGTAGAGATGGGGTTTCAGTATGTTGGCCAGGCTGGTCTCAAACTCCAGACCTCGTGATCTACCCGCCTCAGCCTCCCAAAGTGCTGGGATTATAGGCGTGAGCCGCTGTGCCTGGCCTCTGTTGCCTCTTTTCTATTGAGCTGTTTGTCTTTTGTTGTGGTCCATTATTATTGATTTGTCGGCATTTTAAAAAGTTTTGTTAAAATTGTGTTTTGATACTAGTTTTTTGTTATATTGTTACTGGTAGAGGGTCTTGACTGCAAGTTGTCCAGATTCTTGGCATTTTGAACAAAGAATTGGACAAAACGCCCAGCAAAACAAAGAAAGAATGAAGCAATGAAAGAACAAAAGCAGGGATTTGTTGAAAACGAAAGTATACTACACAATGTGGGAGCTGCCCGATACAGAATCTTCTCGGGTCCAAATACCCTCTGGGTTTCCAACTGGCCACTTCATGCTCACATCATGTAAATGAAGTGGTGGCCTGCAATCAGTTGCTTTGTGCAGCCAATCAGAGGCTGAAGTGGAGTTACAAAGGTCACACTCCTGTGCAAACATCTTCACCTTCCCTTTCCTCTCTTTCTCTTCTTATAATGCCACCAGTTTTATCTGATTAGGACCCCATCCTTATAACTTCAGTTCACCTTAATTACTTCTTGAAGATTCTGTCTCCAAATACATACAGTTGCCTGAGGGTTAGGGCTTTGACATATGAATTTTGGGGAACACAGTTTAGTCGGTAGCTATGTATGAAGTTACAAAGGTGAAGGCTAAGGTGAAGTTACAAAGTTGCACTTTCACACTAACAAATACTGAGTGAGCCTCAGTCAGTTAGATTGGTTGCGACAACCAATTTCCCATCTGCCACGCAGAAAAGGGGGGGTTTGCAAAGGGATAGCCTTTGGTCTGTTTATTACTTAGGCATGGAAAGTTAGGGTTTTCCTTTCAATTTAGTTCTAGGAAATCAGCATGAAATGGCCTTAGGTTCCCTGCCTCCAGACCCTATTCTCCTGCCTCAATATGAGTTGAAAAATTTCATTTCCCTTTCAAAGCTAAATAAAAATACTAAATGACTATACAGGAGAAGGATGGTGTGACAATCTGTCCTGCAACCTTAGACCCCAAGCTGAAGTAGAAACTGTTAGGCCATGACTCTGAATCTGCCAAATGAAGACAAATGAAAAAGGGGCACAAACCAGGTTGCTTTCCAAATGGTCCATAGTTTCCCTGCCTGATTATTGAAAGATGATACTCCCCATTAAAACTCTTTTTAATAGGTTGAGTTCCTTTTGCTGACTGAATCAACTTAATCATATTAGTCTAATAATGGAGTTCTTTTGAGTTCACTCTTTGCTTCTTCTGCATTCTCAGATGTGCTGAATATAGACTAATAAAGACCACAAGTGTGAGCCTATAATGGAGGTTTTAAAAAGGCTTCTAAGAAGTAATCATTTGTTTTGAATGAATAAAAATCAGAAGGTAACAACTTTGTTAGATTTGTACTACAGTTATCCTTACAGTGTTCAATTTTACCGACAGCTAGATTTTCTTCTTCTTTTGTTCTTCCCCTAAAGCATAAGCATTTCAAAGGCAGACTGTATTTTCCCCATTTCTGTGTCATTTCCCCAGGTTTCAACCAAAGCCATAAATGCTGATGTGGATATCAGGACAGTGTTTCAAGCAATTTAGATACAATATAAAATATACTGATGCCATAGTAGAAGAAGTTGAAGCCACTTTGCCAAGATATTTGGTTCTGGTAAGATATTTTAACGATTGGTTTTAACTGTTGAATGCAATGACATCTATCTTTTTTCCTGCAAAAAGTATCATTAATAGTTTTATGTTTTGTGTTCTGTTTAATGTATAGATAATATTTGAATCTCTTCTTTTATTGTTTTTAACCATTGGAATTTGTCTTTTTTCCTACTGTTTTCCTACTGTATTTCTTTCTTTTTTATTTTTTATTTTTTGAGATGGAGTTTTGCTCTTGTTACCCAGGCTGGAGTGCAATGGCACGATCTCAGCTCACTGCAACCTCCGCCTCCTTGGTTCCAGCAATTCTCCTGCCTCAGCCTCCCGAGTAGCTGGGATTATAGGCATGCGCCATCACACCTGGCTAATTTTATATTTTTAGTAGAGACAGGTTTTCTCCATGTTGGTCAGCCTGGTCTCGAACTCCTGACCTCAGGTGATCCACTCACCTCAGCCTCCCAAAGTGCTGGGATTACAGGCATGAGCCACTGCGCCTAGCCCCTACTGTGTTTCTTTACTTTCTTCCTTGATCATTCTTCTTGGTAATGAGATAACTTCTCAAGTATACATGGTTGTCTTAGTCAGGACTCTCTTGACTGCAGGTGACAGAAATTAAGCCCAAACAGACTTATAGGGGACAAAAGGCAAAATAATATGACTACTCTGAAAAGATCAGAGGTAGACAATCTTTTAGTAGACATGCGTATATTTAAGAGCCCAAATGACATCAAAGAAAACTGTGTTCTTATCTCTGCTTCTCTCTGAGTTGACTTCATTGTCAAGTTGATTCTTCTTCAACTTTAGTCCATATACCACCAGATTAGTAAGACTAGCCTGTAGAAAGTGCCTCTTACTTGATACTTTCAATTTAATGAGCCAGGCTTGATTCTCACTGGATCAAATTTGGTCCCATAAAAATTTCTACACCAATCATTTAGTTTAAGAGACAGATTGACCATGCTTGGGTCATTCACTCACTCTTGTTTGAATGGAGAGTTCTGAAGGGAATGTATGCAAGGTCATTACAGCAGATAGCTAGCATAGTATGAGGAGGACAGGAAAGGGCACCCCACCCCCATCCCCACACACACCAGGAGTGTTGGGTAAGCATCAGGGGATGGTTGGGCTGTTGTTTACTGTCTCTCTAGAGTAATAATTAGTTACAGTAAGCACCAGGGAAGGGCAGTCTCCTAGTAGATAGAAAATACCTGAAACTGGTGATCAGCAGCTTCCTGATAAGATCTCAGGAGTTGGGCGAGTAGGCTCAAGCAAGACAGCCCACCCCAGGGGAAGAATCAGGGGAGGAGTAATGCAACATCCCAGAAGTGTGCCAACATGCTAAGCCCCAGGTGAAAAGGTCAAACCATGCACTTGATCTCTCAAGTTGCCCACTTGGCCCTCCTCCAAGTATACTTTACTTCCTTTCATTCCTTTCTGCTATTTGCCTCTCGGTTGAATTCTTTCTTCTGAGGTGGCAAGAATTGAGGTTGCTGCAAACCTATACGGATAGAGATTCGCAGCTGGCAACTGGATGAACCTCATTTGACACTCTGTGTGTTGCTATAATAAGAACAATGTATGGACGCCAGGTACAGCAAAAAAAAAAAAAAAAAAAAAAAAAATTATTCTGCTACACTCCCTCCATAGGGTCAGGGTGAATTCCTAAGTGTTATCTAACTTATTTTAATTGAAGGTAAGAAAATCCAAATGTAACACAAACCCCGAAGCTGAAGCAATTGACTACCAAGAGGCCATTATTCCATTTGGCTAGAAATTGGCTGATGAAACAAGAATTGATTCCAGAGTTATTGATGACTTGGCTCTCCCCCCTGTTTTCAAGGGGGATTCTACTGAACCATCAAGTCATCAATTTGCTCATTTCTGCTTCCATCAGTGATTAATAATTCTGTAGTTGGATAGGGTATCTTTGCAATTGCTAAGTGCTAAGTCATTCATTTCATTAGTAATACATTCCTACTTTTATTTGCTGCCTGAAAAGTAAGCTCCATAAGCTCTGCAGTTATAGCTTGAGCATGAGGTCTTAACTAAGAAATGAAAATTATTGTTACCTTTAAAAATTGGTAATGTAAGAAAAACTATAAGACTTTAGAATAGGTGCACGTTCAGTGGAATGCTGAAGACTGGGTATTATCTGATGCTGTATCAGTGTATCTTTGTCTCTGACTAGGCTATGTTTTAAACTCTTTAAATTGTAAATAAATGATAGCAATGCAACTACTTCTTATCTATTACCTCTCTATTGATGATGTGACAAATTATGACAAGTTTCATGACTTAAAATAACACAAGTTTATTATCTTATAGTTCTGAAGGTCAGAAGTCCCACACAGGTCTCCCTGGGATAAAATCAAGGTCTGCAGGGCTCCACTCCTTTCTAGAGGCTCCAGTGGAGAATTAATTTTCTTCCCTTTTCCAACTTTAGAGCTCACCTTTGATTACTGGACTCCTTTCTCCGTTTTCAAAGCCAGCAATGTTTCATCTTTCTGAACATTTCTCTATAGGCACAACCCCCTCTGACTCTCTTCTGCCATCCTCTTCCCCATTTTTTTTTTTTTTAAGACAGAGTCTCACTCTGTCTCCCAGGCTGGAGTGCAGTGGCATGATCTCCACTCACTGCAACCTCCACATCCTAGGTTCAAGTGATTCTCCTGCCTCAGCTTCCTGAGTAGCTGGGAATACAGGCGTGTGCCACCATGCCTAACTAATTTTTTTTTTTTTTTTTTTTTGCATTTTTAGTAGAGATGGGGTTTCACCATGTTGGCCATGCTGGTCTCAAACTCCTGACCTTAGGTGATCCGCTCGCCTCAGCCTCCCATAGCGCTGGGTGAGCCACCATGCCTGGCCCAGCCTTTTCCACTTTTAAAGACTTGTGATTATTTTGGACCCACTTGGCTAGCCCAGGGTACTCTCCCTATAAGGTCAGATGATTAGTAATCTTAATTCCATCTGTAACCTTAATTCCCCTTTGTCATGTAATTTAAGAAATTCACAGGTTCTGAGGATTAGGATGTGGACTTCTTGGGATGAGAGGCAGGGAAGGGTGGTATTATTCTGCCTACCACATCTATAGACATGCAAATAAATTCTGCCAAATGGAGACTGAATTGACTTTTCTGCCTATCTACTCCTATATAAAAATCCAGTTTTGTTTCTATTTGTAAGTTCATTTCAATATTCCTTTATTCTATATAAATTTGTAGTCTTTGAATGGGGTGTGGTGGCTCACTACTGTAATCCCTGCACTTTGAGAGGCTGAGGCAGGAGGATCATTTGAGGCCAGTAGTTTAAGACCGGTCTGAGCAACCTAATGAGACTCCTGTCTCTTAAAAAAAAAAAAAAAATTTTTTTTTAACTAGCCAAGCATGGTGGTGCAAGCCTGTAGTCCTAACTAGGTTTGCTTGAACTCAGGAGTTCAAGGCTGTAGTGAGCTATGATTGTGCCACCGCATTCCAGCCTGGGCAAGAGAGCAAGACTCTCTCTCTTAAAAAAAAAAAAAGGAAAAAACTTGTAATCTTGACTTCTCCATTGAATCAGTGTTAACAGCCTTCCCAGTCCCCTCATTAATTAATGAGCTACACAAAATCTTTGACATGTATTTATTCTATAGATAAAATAAAATAATTACTTTATAAAGATTACATAATTATATTGTCAAATTTTACCTTTTTTGAAAATGTATCAGAGACTTAGCTACTAGACATAGAAAAAATATATGTTTACTAGAAATATATTCTAGAGCTTCAGAAAGTGAGTCTATCCCCCACTCTCTTCCATCTTCTTATAAATTTCAACAGGCACAGGAGATGGACCTCACTGGGACTGTAATGGCTAGTGGTTGAAAGTTGGAGATCAGATTGCTTCTCCCTGACACTTGAAACTCAACTTTGCACCATAATCAATTCAAGGGAATTGTTTAAAATCACCTTTTCATTTATCTAACTGGGTCCTGGAGAAATTTTACAATCTACTTTTTTCCCTGGTTTTCAAAGTTTCGTTTATTTGAGTAGTTTCTAGCCATTATCATGTTTGCTCCTGAGAGGCATGCTGAGAGAGAGGGAAAAAATTCTTGGGCTAATTACAGAGTCTAATACACTGAGGTGGAGGTGGACTCCTGGCAGGCTCAAGGTATAGCTAATAAAGATGACAGTTTTGAAGCTGCAGGAAGCAGTGGCCCAGGCAACAGCAGGCCCCAAAGCATGCCCCATCCAGCCATGCACAGAGAAGTGTGTCTCAGCATGGAGTGGGGGAAGGGGAGACACAGACAGATGCCTCCACAACAGTGCCTCCCACCCCACCTGGCCTGTACCCTCTTTCTTTTTTTTTTTTTTTTTTTGAGACAGTCTTGTTCTGTCACCCAGGCTGGAGTGCAGTGGCACGATCTCGGCTCATTGAAACCCCTGCCTCCAGGGTTCAAGAGATTCTCCTGCCTCAGCCTCCTGAGTAGCTGGGCTTACAGGTGTCCACCACCATGCCTGACTAATTTTTGTATTTTTTTTTAGTAGAGATGGGATTTCACCATCTTGGCCAGGCTGGTCTCAAACTCCTGACCTCGTGACCCACCTGCCTCGGCCTCCCAAAGTGCTGGGATTACAGGCATGAGCCACCTTGCCCGACCGCCTGTACGCTTGTAGCTATGCCTTTTCTAGTCCTCTGGCGAGCCTGCCGTCCTAACAATAGCCGAGATGGTGGCTCTCCTGTGCATGCATGTACATGTGTGTGTGTAGACATGCACACCTTCCTTGCCCACAGCTCCAGGAAAAGCAGCCCCAGCAGAGCCACAGTGGCTTTCTCTGTGGGTGGACAGTGCACCTGTACATACAAACCCCACTTAGGACTCAGATCCAAGCAGAAATACCTCCTGCAGCCTTGCCCATCACCAACACAGTAGGAGAAGGTCCTCCATGGGGGAGGGGGGTGCCCACTAGAGGCCTCAATTAGCTGGACATGTGGCAATGGCCCATGGCAGACTCACCAGTTGCCTTTCACTGCTTTGATGTCACTCAGGAGGTTCCAGGCCAGAAAGATGCCAAAGATCTGAAGGAAGGTGATACTCACAAAGACCTAGGTAATGACGATCAGGTTGTCCAGCAGCCGTTTCTCAAACTGACCCATGCAGCCTTTGGTGTGGATGGAGCCCTGCTGCTCCAGCTCCAGTTTAAGCCAGACATCACAGTGAAGTGGCGTCATTGTCTGGGGTAGCATCCGAGGTTCGTTGCCTCATGCCAAGGAAATCAAGGACATAGATACACAGGAGTCAGTTTAAGAGTGGAGGTTTAATAGGTGAAAGAAGGAGAAAAGAAAATAGCTTTCTTTTCTGCAGAGAGAGAGGGGCACCCAAGTGGGTCTTCTGGTCCCATGATGAAGTGCACAGGGGTTTTAAAGACTGGCTTGGGGAGGAGCTATCTGATCTACACAGGGCCCAAAGAATGGTTGGACCAGGTGAGACATTTACATAGTTCAAGAGGAAGCTGGCCATCCCACCCTAGTCTTCTATTATGCAAGTGGCTTCTCTACTTTACCAGCTCCGCATTGTCTGCTCCTTACTGTTCATGTGGTTGGCAAGGAAAAGGGAAGATGGAGCCGCCATGTTGAACATGCCTAGCCCCCTGGTAGGCTTCTCCTATTGGAACAGCTGCTAACATTCACCCATGCAAGCTTCCAGCTTGCTTATTTATGTCTGCAGCTCAATTTTACAGGCAGCTTTGTGTTAGAAACACATGTTGTAAAGGGAGGGGATGTTCATGGAAACTCAGAAAAAGGAAGTCATGTAGAGAGTGCTGCAGTGGCAGCAGTTGTAACCTCTGGTCGGGAAGGCAGCCATTCCTGCAGCATCCCTACAAGGAGGAAGCTGGGGTAAAAAACTCAACCTCAAAACTGGCTGCACCTATAGTCCCAGCTACTCGCAAGGCTGAACAAGGAGGACCACTTGAGCCCAGGAGTTTGAGGCTATAGTACACTATGATTGCCTTTGTGAAAAGCTACTGCACTCCAGCCTGAGGAATACAGGGAGACTTGTCTCTAAAAACAACAACAACAAAAACCCAACCTCTTTATTCCTACCTCCCTCTGATCTCCTACCAGGGATCCCCAATGGCCAAATCCAAATTGAAGCCAGAGAGCAAGTAAATTCATTGAAGCAGCCCAAGCAGGTCAAATTCCCAGGGTCAAGAACAGGATGGAGAAGTGTGGAGAATGAATCTGGAGAGGCAAACAGAAGATATTCAGCACAAACCCTATGAGATGGGTAGTATTATTGTGCCCATTTTATATATGTGGAAATTGAGATGCAGAGGGGTTAAATAATGCACCCATAGATAACAGGGGGATAAAAGTGGCATTGAAATCCAGAGTCTGTGTTTAATCACTGTCTATACTGCTACCACTTTTTTCTCCATGATATCTCCTGCATAGTGCCATATGGAATAGAGGTCCTCAACAAATACATTTTAAAAGAAAACAAAAGGAAAGAAGAGATTAAGTAAACTATTTATGAAGATTTTAAGTTAGTTCTCTAGAACAGTGGTCGCCAACTTTTTGGTATCAGGGATTGGTTTCATAGAAGACAATTTTTCCACAGACGGGAGTAGGGAATGGTTTTGGGATGAAACTGTTCCACCTGAGATTATCAGGCATTAGAGTCTCATAAAGAGCATGCAACCTAGATCCCTTGAATGTGCAGTCCGTAATACGGTTCGAGCTCCTATGGGAATCTATTGCCACTGCTGATCTGATAGGAGGTGGAGCTCAGGTGGTAATGCTTGCTCCCCCAGCACTCACCTCCTGCTATGAGGCCCAGTTCCTAACAGGTTAGTACTGGTCTGTGGGCTGGAGGGTGGGGACCCCTGCTATATTAGTCCATTCTCACACTGCTATAAAGAACTTCCCAAGACTGGGTAATTTATAAAGGAGAGACATTTTATTGACCCACAGTTCCATAGGGCTGGGGAGGCCTCAGGAAACTTGCAATCATGGCAGAAGGGGGAGCAAGCACGTCCTTCTTCACATGATGGCAAGAAGGAGAAATGCCAAGCAAAATGGGGGAAAGCATGTTATAAAACCATCGGATCTAATGAGAACTCAATACCATAAGAACAGCAGCATGGGGCTAACTGCCCCCATGATTCAATTACCACCCACCAGGTCACTCCCATGACATATAAGGATTATGGGAACTACAATTCAAGATGAGATTTGGATGGGAACACAGCCAAACCATATCATTCCAACTCTGGCCTCTCCTAAATCTCATGTTCTCACATTTTAAAACACAATCATGCCTTCCCAACAGTCCCCCAAAGTCTTAACTCATTCCAGCATTAACCCAAAAGTCCAAGTCCAAAGTCTCATCTGCGACAAGGCAAGTCCCTTCCACCTATGACCCTGTAAAATCAAAAGCAAGTTAGTTACTTCCTAGATACAATGGAGCTATAGGCATTGGGTAAATATGCTTGTTCCAAATGGGAGTGCCGAGTCCTACCCACAGACCCTGACCCAGTGACTGATGAACAAATGCACTCAGACACAGATATCCAATGAAGGAGCGGGCTAGGGGACGGGGCCACTCACAGACCCTGAGGAGGGTGCTGTGAAGAGTCAGCAGCCATGGCCTCAATTAGCCAGAGAAGTTCGCATTTATTTAGTACAGATTAAATGACAAAGGTCTTGAGTAAACACCACTAGAGGGTAATTAACATTGCCGACCTCCCAAGTAGAGAGCAGTTATGCACCACAGATGATCAAAGGATAGTCTTAGGACCACATGAGTAAACAAGCTATTTAGATAAACTCCTCTACATTCCTATGTAAGCTTTTAAGAGAATTCAGCTGCCTTCAGTCAAATCTTTTACTGAAGCTATGCAAAACTCCCAGCATTCCAAGAAGGTTTGTGTCTATTTCCTATAACTTTATCTTTATAATTTCTCCCACCACCCTGACTGATTCCATACAGAAATTGGCCAAAATGAGGGTGCTATAGGCCCCAAGCAAATCCAAAAATCCAGTGGGACAGTCAAATCTTAAAGCTCTGAAATGATCTCCTTTGACTTCATGTCTCACATCCAGGTTATGCTGATGCAAGAGGTGGGCACCCACAGTTTGGGCAGCTCCATCCCTGTGGATCTGCAGGGTACAGACCCCTCCCAGCTTCCATCATAGTCTGGCATTGAGTGTCTGCAGCTTTTCCAGGTGGAAGTTGCAAGCTGCTGGTGAATCTACCATGCCGGGATCTGGAGGATAGTGGGCCTCTTCTCACAGCTCCACTAGGCAGTGCCCCAGTGGAGACTCTGTGTGGGGACTCTAACCCCACATTTCCCTTCCACACTGCCCTAGCAGAGGTTCTCCATGAGGGCTCCACCCCTGTAGCAAACGTCAGCCTGGACATCCAGGCATTTCCATGCATCCTCTGAAATGTAGGCAGAGGTTCCCAAACCTCAATTTTTGACTTCTGTGCACCCACAGGCTCAACATCACATGGAAGCTGCCAAGGCTTGGGGCTTGCACACTCTGAAGCCACAGCCCAAGCTGTACCTTGGCCCCTTTCAGCCATGGCTAGAGCTGTTGGGACACAGGGCACCAAGACTGGGTAATTTATAAAAGAAAGAGGTTTAATTGACTCACACTTCCGCAGGGCTGTGGAGGCCTCAGGAAACTTACGATCATGGCAGAAGGGGAAGCAAACACATCCTTCTTCACATGGCAGCAACAAGGAGAAGTGCAGAGCAAAGAGGAGGAAACCCCCTTATAAAACCATCAGATCTCATGAGAACTCACTGTCATGAGAAGAGCAGCATGGGGGTAACTGCCTCAATGATTCAATTACCTCCCACCAGGTCCCTCCCACAACATGTGAGGATTATAGGAACTACAATTCAAGATAAGATTTGTGTGGGAGCACAGCCAAACCATATCACCTCCTCTAGAAGAATGTCCTAAGCATGGAGTCCTAATTAGGGAAAAGGAGTCAGGCTGGCAGGATCTGGGGAAAGCAAAGATATAAAGCAGATAAGCTATAGGTCTACCTTTCTTCATGGTCCAGGATGTGTAAACAAATAGAGGAAGAACATAAGCTGTAGGTCTGCTTTTTGTTGTTGTTGTTGCCCAGGATATGTAGTCCTCCTGCGCAGATAACATACCTAACTCACAAACTTCCTGCTTATCATCAAATTCCTCAATTTATCAAACAACTCAGCTGACAGAAGAATGCAAGTTAAGCTCCCTGCTACCTTGGCATTATCAATCAGCCCAAAAACCATTCTATAAAATCTCCAGCAAGCCTGTATTTCCTTGCAGTCACCTCCTCTTCTGAACGTATTTTCACATTTTTTTAAATCTTCCTTCCTTCCTTTCTTTCTTGCTTGCTCTGTCGCCCAGGCTGGAGTACAGTGGCATGATCTTGGCTCACTGCAACCTCCACCTTCCAGGTTCAAGTGATTTTCCTGCCTCAGCCTCTCAAGTAGCTGGGATTACAGGTGTACACCACCATGCCCAGCTAATTTTTGTATTTTTTTAGTAGAGACGGGGTTTCACCATGTTGGCCAGGCTGGAAATCTGCCTTTCTTTACCTACAACTGTCTTGGTAAATTATTTTACCCCCATGCCACCAGCCCAGATAGTCACCCCTCACCCAGGACATTTGGTTGACAACAGTAACAGATGCTCATTTCTGGCAAATTTTGTTAAACTTGATAAATCCTTGTTTTTAAGGATTGCTTAGGTATACTCTGCCTGAGGTGAGGCCTGTGAATTACAGAAGCTGTCTCCAAAGCCCTCTCCATGATTCTATGTAATCACATGGTTTCTTTTTTCTTTTTGGTGGTAAAATATACATAAGATTGACATGATAACCATTTTTCAAATGCCACACATTTCAGTTGCACTAAGTATATTCAATTGTTATGCAACCATCACCACTATTCATCTCCAGAACTTCTTCAATTTTCCAAACAGAAACTCTGTACCCATTAGATACTAACTCTCCTAATCCTCCTCCCCACACATTCTAGCATCTACCATTCTTCTTTCTGTCTCTATTGATAAAAGACATACTTTAGGTAAATTAAATCTGAAGGAGTTTAATCGAGCAATGAACAATTCATAAATCGGGCAGCCTTTCCAGCCAGAGTGGGCTCAGAGACTCCAGTGCAACCATGTGATAGAAGAAGATTTATGGACAGAAAAGGGAAAGTGATTTACAGAAAACAGAAGTGAGGCACAGAAACAGCCAGATTGGTTACAGCTTGGCATTTGGCTTATTTCAACTTGGTTCCAACCGTTGGCTACATTTGATCGGCCAAAACTCAGAGATTGGCTCAAGTATAGGTTATGGTCTGTTTACACCTCCACTTGTTATAGTTCACGATGTACAGAGAAACCCTTAGACCAAACTTAAAATATGTAAGGAGGCAGCTTTAGGCTAAACTTGATTTAACACTATGAATTTCACTACTCTAGTTACCTCATATGAATGGAGTCATACAATATTTGTCCTTTCGTGTCTGACTTATTTCACTTAGCATAATGTCTTCAAGATTCATCATTCAAGATTCATGTTAGGATTTTATTCCTTTTTAAGGCTGAATAATATTTCTTGTATGTATAGACCACAATTTCTATATTCATGCCTCCATCAAAGGGACATTCGAGTTGTTTCCACCTTTTGGCTATGGTGAATAATGCTGCTATGAACATGGGTGTACAAATATCTGTTTGCTAAGAATTAAAAACGCTCCTGCTTTTAACTCTTTTAGGTACATACTCAGAAGTGAAATTGCTGGATCATATGGTAATTCTGTTTAATTTTTTGAGCAAGCTTTATACTATCTTTGCATAGCAGCTGCACCATTTTACATTCCCATTAGTAATGCTCATGGATTCCAATTCCTCCATCTCTTCAACACTGTTATTTCCTGGAGATTGTTTTGCTTTGTTTATTATAGCCATCCTAATGGGTGTGAAGTGGTATCTCGTTGTGGTTTTGATTTGCATTTTCCCAGTGATTACTGATATTGGGCCTCTCTTCATGTGCCTACTCTGGCCATTTGTGTCTTCTTTGGAGAACTGTCTATGCAAGTCATTCACCCATTTTTTAATCAGATTGTTTGTTTTTTTGTTGTTGGATTGTATAAATTCTTTATATGTTGAGGGCATTAATCTCTTATCAGATATATGATGTGCACATATTTCCCCCACTCTGTGGGTTGTCTTTTCACTGTCAATAATGTCTTTTGATACACAAAAGTCTGTGTATCAAAAGTTTGATAAAGTCCTGTTTACCTATTTTTTCTTTTGTTGCCTGTGCTTTTGGTGTCATATGCCAACATCATTGGGTAATCCAGATTGAGGGCTCAATAAATACCTTTTGAGGATCAAACACCTAAACATTAAGAGCTAAAACTATAAAACTCTTAGAAGAAAATACAGGAAAAAACTTCTATTTACAGAATTAGGTACTGAGAGGGCAATGAAAAAAAATGCTAAATCTTCCTTTCAAATCCAGTAGGCAAACTGTGACACAGAAGCTAATGCAAACAAGAAAGTAACATGTGCTGTCAAAAATTACGTATCAAGTGCTTTTGGAAAGTTGAAAGTAATGGCAGATCAGGGAGAATTTCATGGATACCATTTGGGCAAGCTCTTGATGGGTATTTAGAACTTAGACTATGGACATAAATATAAATAGGCTGAAAGCATATTGTTTGCATGCATGGGAACTAGTGGTAGTTCCATAGCTAATATGTTGAGTATGTATGTATAAAGGAAGAGCAGGAGTTAAAGCTGAAAATACAAGCCTGATGCATGCATAGGAGAGAGAACACACCAGATAATACTTAAATCCAAGACATCCCTAGTACAAACATTCCAAATTACCTTTCTAGGGTATTAACATTTCTGTTAATAACCAGAAACCTGGGAAATCTATCCTTCTGTAGACTACTAAGAACATTTCCTCTTGCAAAGTGAAATTTTCCTAAAAGAAAAGGAAACTTACATAAATCCTTGTGGCCCACAGTTTCACCTCGTCCCATAGTAGGCTTGGGAAGGATCACCTGCCATGCTTTGGCCCCAAGCTGGTTTAGCAGCTCCTCTTAGGTCTAATAACCTTATGTTCCAGCTAAGCTGCCCCAGGAGGCTGAAACCTAACTGTATTGCTTTACTGGGGCCTAGATAGCTTTCCACAGCAAGTGAGGTGCTGAGGTTATGTAAGGTACATAATGTTATGTAGGCCGGGTGTGGCGGCTCACCCCTGTAATCCCAGCATTTTGGGAGGCTGAGGTGGGCAGATCATGAGGTCAGGAGTTCTAGACCAGCTTGGCCAACATGGTGAAACACCGTCTGTACTAAAAATATAAAAATTAGCTGGGCATGGTGGCAGGTGTCTGTAATCCCAGCTAATCGGGAGGTTGAGGCAAGAGAATTGCTTGAACCCGGGAGGTGGAGGTTGCAGTAAGCCGAGATCATGCCACTGCACTCCAGCCTGGGCAACAGAGCAAGACTCCATCTTGGAAAAAATTTTAAAAATAATAATAATAATATCATATACATCTAAAGTGAAATTTTCTAAATTATCAATAATAATTTTAAAAATCAGGGCTGGGCACGGTGGCTTATGCCTATAATCCCAGCACTTTGGGAGGCTGAGGGGGGTGGATTACTTGAGATCAGGAGTTTGAGACCAGTCTAGCCCACATGGTGAAACCCCATCTCTACTAAAAATACAAAAATTAGCCGGGCGTGGTGGCAGGTGCCTGTAGTCCCAGCTACTCAGGAGGCAGAGGCAGGAGAATCACTTGAACCCAAGAAGCAGAGGTTGCAGTGAACTGAGATCATGCCACTGCATTTCAGCCTGGGCAGCAGAGTGAGACTCCATCTCAAAAACAATTATAATAATAATAATTTAAAAAATCAATCATGCGGCCTTGTGTGGTGGTTCATGCCTATAATCCCAGCACTTTGAGAAACCAAGGCAGGCGGATCATTGAGGTCAGGAGTTCCAGCCCAGACTGGCCAACATGGTGAAACCTAGCCTCTACTAAAATTACAAAAATTAGCTGGGCATGGTGGCAGGTACCTGTCATCCCAGCTACTCGGGAGGCTGAGACATGAGAATAACTTGAACCTGGGAGGTGGAGGTTCCAGTGAGCTGAGATCACGCCACTGGACTCCAGCCTGGGCGACAGAGTGACTCTGTCTCAAAACAAAACAAAACAAAACAAAACAAAATCAGTCATGCTAAAGGAAAGACTGAATGATCTTTCTGATCTCTCTTTAGAAGATAAGATTGTATAAGCCTAGGAAGGGCTGAAAAAAAAGGAAAATATTCTAAAATTGTTGTCTCATGAAGAGAAGATCAAATAGTTTGGAGCTAAAACATGTAGGGAAAAAAGTATCATAGAGGTGAGTTAGGCAATTAATTAATAAACATGTTAATTAATAAGCATGTGTTACTTACCTACATTTGTATGATGTTTGTAGTATTTGTTATTCCAAAACTCTGCTAATATTTTGGATTTTAAACAAATTCTAGGCTGAACACGGTGGTTTACGCCTGTAATCCCAGCACTTTGGGAGGCCGAGGTGAGTGGATCACCTGAGGTCAGGAGTTCGAGACCAGCCTTGCCAACATGGTGAAACCCTGTCTCTACTAAAAATACAAAAATTAGCTGGGCATGGTAGCACGCATCTGTAGTCCTAGCTATGCGGGAGGCTGAGGCAGGAGAATTGCTTGAACCCAGGAGGTGTCGGTTGCAGTGAGCCGAAATCATGCTATTGCACTCCAACCTGGGCAACAGAGTAAGACCCTGTCTCAAAAAAAAAAAAAAAGAAATTCTAAATAAATTTTCATTTTTGTAACCTAACTTTGTATTAGTAATGTGAGTTTTTTGTTTTTTTTTTAAGAACATCCCCAAATATAGAAGAACTTCAAGCCATTCAAAATCGACATCTGCCTTTGGTCTTCATTCATTTATTCAACAAATGTTTGTTGAACTCCTACTGTGTGTCAGGCACTGTTTGGTCCTCGAACACAGCAGTGAGCAAATTAGATACAGATAGCCTTGTAGAACTGCCTGCAGTTCTGGAGTCCCTCCCAAAGACTTATATCAACTCCTGGCCCTCATCTGCCAAACTGTAGGAGCTTAAATGTGGTTTTGGGGCTCAAGGGAAAACAAACACCTTACTAGCTCCCACGTCCTCCTCTTTCTCTAGTTTTTGGCTTCTCTCTGGGGAAAGAGTTTCTTCTCTCTTGGAGTACATATCCCTCAAGGGTCTACTCCATGTTGTCTTTATTCCAGTGCCCAGGCTGAGGAAATTGTCCCCATATGGGACATGTGGTCTTGTGGCACAGGGAAAAGAGAGTGGACAGGCCACGTGAGGACTTTTAAAGCATCTGCTTGGAGTGGTATATATCACTGCCACTCACATTTCACTGGCTGGCCAAAGCAAGTCATGTGACCAAGCCCGAAGCCAATGTGGGAACTATAGTTCTCCAATAGGGAAGGACTCCAAATATAGCTGTACTTATTTGTAACAATAATGCAATCTACCTCATAAGCCCTCTGGGATTGATTAGAGATAAAGATATCTTTGGTTGGGACTGTGGCTCACGCCTGTAATCCCAGCACTTTGGGAGGCCGAGGCAGGCGGATCACCTGAGGTCGGGAGTTCGAGACCAGCCTGGCCAACATGGAGAAACCCCGTCTCTAGGAAAAATACAAAATATTAGATGGGCATGGTGGCGCATGCCTGTAATCCCAACTACTCGGGAGGCTGAGGCAGGAGAATCGCTTGAACTCGGGAGGTGGAGGTTGCAGTGAGCCGAGATGGCGCCATTGCACTCCAGCCTGGGCAACAAGAGCAGAAACCCTGTCTAAAAAAAAAAAAAACAAAAAAAAAACCCTTTGCTATCATTTCTTTATCTCTAAAGAAATGTTAGAGCCGTCTCCAGAATGTTGGCTTTCAAATGTCCATTTGTAGAATATGGATGAAAACTAACAATCACACTGACTTTGCTGAAGTACTTTAAAATAGATTATAAGTCAGAGCTGTCCAAAATAAATATTATGGAAGCCATGAATGTAACATATTTTAGTAGAGTGAAAAGAAACACATGACATTTCTTTTAATAATATATTTTACTTAACCAACATATCCAAAATAATATCATTTTATTATGTAATCCATATAACAAAATATTGAGGTATTCTACATTCTCTTTTTCATTTAAGTCTTCAAAATCCACTGTGTATTTTACACTTAAAACATATCTTAGTTTAGACTAGCCAAATTTCAAGTTCTCAATAGCCACCTGGACTTAGCAACTACCTTATGAGACAGTGAAAGTTTAGACAATCTAACCTTGTAGAAATAGACTGGTTCATTGCATGTGTGGGTTCACCTTGCCCGCTGCCTAGACAGAGTGGATTTATCAAGGTGGGGGAATTGCAATAGAGAAAGAGTTATTCATGCAGAGCCAGCTGTGGAGGAGACCAGAGTTTTATCATCACTCAAATCAGTCCCCCTGAGCATTTGGAGATCAGAGTTTTTAAGGATAATTTGGTGGGTGGGGAAAAGCCAGTGAGTTGAGAGCACTGATTGGTTGAGTTGGAGATGAAATCATGGGAAGTTGAAGATGTCCTCTTGTGCTGAGTCAGTTCCTGGGTGGGGACCACAAGATCAGATGAGCCAGTTTATTGATCTGGGTGTGCCAGCTGATTCATCAAGTGCAGGGTCTGCAAAATATCTGAAGCACTGATGTTAGGAGCAGTTTAGGGAGGGCCAGAATCTTGTAGCCTCCAGCTGCATTACTCTTAAACCATAATTTCTAATCTTGTGCCTAATTTGTTAGTCCTACAAAGGCATTCTTGTCCCCAGGCAAGAAGGTTTGTTTTGGGAGAGGAGTGTTATCATTTTTGTTTTAAACTATAAACTAAGTTCCTCCCAAAGTTAGTTCAGCAGATGCCCAGGAAGGAACAAGTACAGCTTAAAGTTTAGAAAAAAGATGGAGTCAGTTAGGTTAGATGTCTTTCGCTGTCTCAGTCATAACTTTGCAAAGGCCGTTTCAGATAGACCCTCAAAACTAGAAGTCAAAATCCTTTCTTGTAAAATGCAGCTTTAATACATTTCAGGAAAAGCAAGGTGATTTCAGATATAATTATTCTGCTATTGAATATTTAGCTATATCTTCTTTTATCTCATGAAGAAATATATCCAGGCAAATTAAAACTTTTTTCCAACTTTTATTCAGATTTTGATTTGGTGAGCAGGAGCCAGCTAGGCCAAGAGCATATGAACTTGACATGGATTTCTGATGAATAATGTTTCTGCCAAATCTATCTCCTAATTACCCATCTACAGAACTAGGGTGGGCAGAATGGCCTCTTGACAGACCACATTATTTTATTTGTGTTTATGAATGTCGTATGTTAGCACCAGTATTAGGCCGTTCTTGCATTGCTAGAAAGAAATACCTGAGACTGGGTAACTTATAAGAAAAGAGGTTTAATTGGCTCACAGTTCTGCAGGCTGTACAGGAAACAGTGCTGGCATCTGCTTCTGGGGAGGCCTCAGGAAGCTCTTACTCATGGCAGAAGGTGAAGTCGGAGCCGGCACTTCACATGGTGAGAGCAGGAACAAGATGGGGGTGGTGCCACACACATAAACAATCAGATCTCGTGAGAACTCACTCACTATCAGGAGGATAGCACCATGAGGGATTGACCCTCCTGACCCACCAGGCCCTACCTCCAACCAGGCCCAACTTCCAGCACTGGGGATTACAATTCAACTTGGGACTTGGTGGGGACATATATTCAAACCATATCTGCACCAATTCCTTTAATGTATATGTTTATAGTTTGGTTTTCACTTTTGGATGAAAGGAAAGAAATATCTATGTTTTCTCTTAACATTCTAAATAGAAGTGTCCTTCCTTGTAGATAATGACAAAATTGTTCTATTGTCATGAATCAGACAAAGCATTACACGACAAAGTTTCCAATGTCAGCAAGGTGAGGAAATTTTCATTAACTGTGGAAAAAAAAAAAAAGAAAATAATCTGAGGCACTGGTTTTCTAATTTTTAAGTGTTCAATGTTAAGCGAACCTACGCAGTAGGTCAATTTGTTTACATAACCCAGAGGAGTGCTTTGTGGTTAATTCATGTGGTAGGTCCCTAATTATATTGAAGATTATATCCCTAACACCCACCGCAGAGCTGGGCAGGTCATATGCATCCATGAATATTTGCTGAATTGAATTAAAGATGGCCATGTAGAAGCCTGTAGTGTATGGGGCTGTGTCAGAGGGAGAGTAGATGCTGGAGAAGATAGGGGAGTAAAAATTGGGCAAGGAGTGCTCAGCTCAGAATGGCAAGAGTCCTGGAGACATCCGCGCAAAATGCTGAGATGAGTTTAAAGGTCTCTCAGCAATTCTATACTTCAAAATACATACTATGAGCCAGGCGCAGTGGCTCACACCTGTAATCCCAGCACTTTGGGAGGCCGAGGCAGGTGGGTCACTTGAGGTCAGAAGTTCGAGACCAGCCTGTTCAACATGGTGAAACCCCATTTCTACCAAAAAATACAAAAATTAGTCAGGCATGGTGGCACACGCCTGTAATCCCAGCTACTTGGGAGGCTGGGGCAGGAGAATCGCTTGAACCTGGGAGGCAGAGGTTGCAGTGAGCTGCGATCACACCACGTACAACAGCCTGGGTGAAAGGATGAGAATTCGTCTCAAAAAAAAAAAAAAAGAAAGAAAATAAAATATACTATGTAGTAATAAGAAAGCCATTCCTAGTCAATAGAGTGGGCTTAAAAATCTTTAGTATTAAAACATTGTGTGTTTTATTTTGCAGATACAAAGGAAGTTTTTCTCGGCCTGGTCTTGACTTAACAGTGACTTTAGTACTATCCTGTTCAGACACCTCAAGTCTTCAGAAGAAAGCAGATGATGTGAAAGTATATCTAGGTCCCCAAGAGAGATGCAAATTACCAGCTGTATTCCCTCATGTCAGGAAAAAGAGGGTCCCATATATTTCTTGTCTAATACAAAATCGCAGAAGGCTGAAACACATTAACTAGAAAAGAGAATGCAATTTGGATTCAACTACCTGCTGTCATGAAAGGTAACAGTAGTTAATAATGTTTGCAATTCATGGGATGTTAGAGATAAAAGAGTCCTCAAATATCCTCCAGCAAAATCTCTCTCCTTTTACAAATGGACAAACTAAGGACAAGAGAAGAAAGATGAGTCAAGCCTTCAGTCTTATGCTGTGATCTGATGGTGAGCTATAAAATCACTGTCAAGAGAGCCCTTCCAACCACCTGTGCTCCTGGAATTCATGAGGGAAACACATTCCTAAAACAAAACTAGCAACATCAAGATATTACCAAATGCTAGGCCGGGCGCTGTGGCTCATGCCTGTAATCCCAGCAGTTTGGGAGGCCGAGGCGTGTGGATCATGAGGTCAGGAGATCGAGACCATGGCGAAACCCCGTCTCTACTGAAAATACAAAAATTAGCTGGGTGTGGTGGCGGGTGCCCATAGTCCCAGCTACTCGGGAGGCTGAGGCAGGAGAATGCCGTGAACCCGGGAGGCGGAGCTTGCAGTGAGCCGAGATCGCACCACTGCACTCCAGCCTGGGTGACAGAGCAAGACTCTGTCTCAAAAAAAAAAAAAAAAAAAAAAGAAATTACCAAATGCTCTTTTTCCACTCTTATTCTTCAATCTCCAGTAATTTAGCACTCTGTTAACTATATTATAATCTAAAAAGTTCAGGAATAAGCTGGGCACTGTGGTTCAAGCCTGTAGTCCCAGCACTTTGCAGATCACTTGAGCCAAGGAGTTCAAGACCAGCCTGGGCAACCTGATGAAAGCACGTCTCTACCAAAAAAAAAAAAAAAAAATTAGCCTGGTATGGTGGTGTGAGCCTGTAGTCGTAGCTACTCGGGAGGCTGAGGTGGGAGGATCACTTGAGCCCAGGAGCTGGAGGCTTCAGTGAGCCATGATTGCTCTACTGCACTGCAGCCTGGGCAAAAGAATGAGAGCCTGTCTCAAAAAAAAATCTACTGTAGGGGTGGCTGGCAAGATAGCCAAATAGGAAGAGCTTTGGCCTACACCTCCCAGCAGAAGGTAAGTGATTTCTGCATTTCCTTTTTTTTTTTTTTTTTTTTGAGATGGTGTTTCACTCTCGTTGCCCAGGCTGGAGTGCAGTGGTGTGATCTCGGCTCACTGCAACCTCTGCCTCCTAGGTTCAGGCAATTACCCTGCCTCAGCCTACCGAGTAGCTGGGATTACAGGCATGTGCCATCACGCCTGGCTAATTTTGTATTTTTAGGAGAGACGGGGTTTCACCATGTTGGCCGGCTAGTCTAGAACTCCTGACGTCAGGCCATCCACCCACATCATCCTCTCAAAATGTTGGGATTACAGGCATGAACCACCACACCTGGCCTGCATTTCCAGCTGAGGTACACAGCCCACCTCACTGGGACTGGTTACACAGTGGGTGCAGCCCACGGAGGGCAAGCTGAAGCAGGGTGGGGTGTCACCTCACCTGGGAAGTGCAAGGGGTCAGGGAACTCCTTCCCCTAGCCAAGGGAAGCCACGAGGGACTGTGCTGTGAGGAATGGTGCATTCCAGCCCAGATACTACACTTTTCCCATGGTCTTGGCAACCTGCAGACCAGGAGATTCCCTTGGGTGCCTATGCCACCAGGGCCCTGGGTTTCAAGCACAAAACTTGGAGACCATTTGGGCAGACACCGAGCTAGCTGCAGGAGTTTTTTTTTTTTTTTCGTACCTCAGTGGCACCTGGAATGCCAGCCAGACACAACCTTCACTCCCCAGGAAAGGGGGCTGAAGCCAGGGAGCCAAGTGGTCTAGCTCAGCAAATCTCACCACCATGGAGCCCAGAAAGCTGAGATCCACTGGCTTGAAATTCTCACTGCCAGCACAGGAGTCTGAAGTTGACCTGGGATGCTTGACCTTGGTTGGGGGAGGGGCATCCACCATTACTGAGGCATGAGTAGGTGGTTTTCCCCTCATAGTGTAAACAAAGCTGCTGGGAAGTTTGAACTGGGTGGAGCCCACTGCAGCTCGACAAAGCCTCTGTAGCTAGATTGCCTCTCCAGATTCCTCCTCTCTGGGCAGGGCATCTCTGAAAGAAAGGCAGCAGCCCCAGTCAGGGGCTTCTAGATAAAACTACCATCTCCCTGGGACAGAGCACCTGGGGGAAGGGGCTACTGCGGGCACAGCTTCAGCAGACTTAAATGTTCCTGCTTGCCAGCTCTGAAGAGAGCAGTGGATCTACCAAGCACAGTGCTCGAGCTCTGATAAGGGACAGACTGCCTCCTCAAGTGGGTCCCTGACCCCCGTGTCTCCTTATGGGGAGACACCTCCCAGCAGGGGTCAACAGACACCTCATACAGGAGAGCTCTGGCTGGCATCTGGCGGGTGACCCTCTGGGATGAAGTTTCCAGACAAGGAACAGGCAGCAATCTTTGCTGTTCTGCAGCATCCACTGTTGATACCCAGGCAAACAGGGTCTGGAGTGGACCTCCAGCAAACTCCAGCAGACCTGCAGCAGAGAGGCCTGACTGTTAGAAAGAAAACTAAAAAACAGAAAGGAATAGCATCAACATCAACAAAAAGGATGTCCACATAAAAACCCCATCCACAGGTCACTAACATCAAAGACCAAAGGTAGATAAATCCACGAAGATGAGGAAAAACCAGTGCAAAAAGGCTGAAAATTCCAAAAACCAGAACACCTCTTCCCTCCAAAGGATCACAACTTCTTGCCAGCAAGGGAACAAAACTGGACAGAGAATGAGTTTGACGAATTGACAGAAGAAAGTTTCAGCAGATGGGTAAAAAAAACTCCTGCAAGCTAAAGGAGCATGTTCTTTTTTTTTATTTTTTTATTTTTTATTTTATTTTATTATTATTATACTTTAAGTTTTAGGGTACATGTTCACAATGTGCCGGTTAGTTACATATGTATACATGTGCCATGCTGGTGTGCTGCACCCATTAACTCGTCATTTAGCATTAGGTATATCTCCTAATGCTATCCCTCCCCCCTCCCCCCACCCCAAAACAGTCCCCAGAGTGTGATGTTCCCCTTCCTGTGTCCATGTGTTCTCATTGTTCAATTCCCACCTGTGAGTGAGAACATGTGGTGTTTGGGTTTTTTGTCCTTGTGCTAGTTTACTGAGAATGATGATTTCCAATTTCATCCATGTCCCTACAAAGGACATGAACTCATCATTTTTCATGGCTGCATAGTATTCCATGGTGTATATGTGCCACATTTTCTTAATCCAGTCTATCATTGTTGGACATTTGGGTTGGTTCCAAGTCTTTGCTATTGTGAATAATGCTGCAATAAACATATGTGTGCATGTGTCTTTATAGCAGCATGATTTATAGTCCTTTGGGTATATACCCAGTAATGGGACGGCTGGGTCAAATGGTATTTCTAGTTCTAGATCCCTGAGGAATCGCCACACTGACTTCCACAATGGTTGAACTAGTTTACAGTCCCACCAACAGTGTAAAAGTGTTCCTATTTCTCCACATCCTCTCTAGCACCTGTTGTTTCCTGACTTTTTAATGATTACCATTCTAACTGGTGTGAGATGGTATCTCATTGCGGTTTTGATTTGCATTTCTCTGATGGCCAGTGACGGTGAGCATTTTTTCATGTGTTTTTTGGCTGCATAAATGTCTTCTTTTGAGAAGTGTCTGTTCATGTCCTTCGCCCACTTTTTGATGGGGTTGTTTGTTTTTTTCTTGTAAATTTGTTTGTGTTAATTGTAGATTCTGGATATTAGCCCTTTGTCAGATGAGTAGGTTGCAAAAATTTTCTCCCATGTTGTAGGTTGCCTGTTCACTCTGATGGTAGTTTCTTTTGCTGTGCAGAAGCTCTTCAGTTTAATTAGATCCCATTTGTCGATTTTGGCTTTTGTTGCCATTGCTTTTGGTGTTTTAGACATGAAGTCCTTGCCCATGCCTATGTCCTGAATGGTAATGCCTAGTTTTTCTTCTAGGGTTTTTATGGTTTTAGGTCTAACGTTTAAGTCTTTAATCCATCTTGAATTGATTTTTGTATAAGGTGTAAGGAAGGGATCCAGTTTCAGCTTTCTACATATGGCTAGCCAGTTTTCCCAGCACCATTTATTAAATAGGGAATCCTTTCCCCATTGCTTGTTTTTGTCAGGTTTGTCAAAGATCAGATAGTTGTAGATATGCGGCGTTATTTCTGAGGGCTCTGTTCTGTTCCATTGATCTATATCTCTGTTTTGGTACCAGTACCATGCTATTTTGGTTACTGTAGCCTTGTAGTATAGTTTGAAGTCAGGTAGCCTGATGCCTCCAGTTTTGTTCTTTTGGCTTAGGATTGACTTGGTGATGCGGGCTCTTTTTTGGTTCCATATGAAATTTAAAGTAGTTTTTTCCAATTCTGTGAAGAAAGTCATTGGTAGCTTGATGGGGATGGCATTGAATCTATAAATTACCTTGGGCAGTATGGCCATTTTCACGATATTGATTCTTCCTACCCATGAGCATGGAATGTTCTTCCATTTGTTTGTATCCTCTTTTATTTCATTGAGCAGTGGTTTATAGTTCTCCTTGAAGAGGTCCTTCACGTCCCTTGTAAGTTGGATTCCTAGGTATTGTATTCTCTTTGAAGCAATTGTGAATGGGAATTCACTCATGATTTGGCTCTCTGTTTGTCTGTTATTGGTGTATAGGAATGCTTGTGATTTTTGTACATTGATTTTGTATCCTGAGACTTTGCTGAAGTTGCTTATCAGCTTAAGGAGATTTTGGGCTGATACAATGGGGTTTTCTAGATATACAATCATGTCATCTGCAAACAGGGACAATTTGACTTCCTCTTTTCCTAATTGAATACCCTTTATTTCCTTCTCCTGCCTAATTGCCCTGGCCAGAACTTCCAACACTATGTTGAATAGGAGTGGTGAGAGAGGGCATCCCTGTCTTGTGCCAGTTTTCAAAGGGAATGCTTCCAGTTTTTTCCCATTCAGTATGATATTGGCTGTGGGCTTGTCATAGATAGCTCTTATTATTTTGAGATACGTCCCATCAATACCTAATTTACTGAGAGTTTTTAGCATGAAGCGTTGTTGAATTTTGTCAAAGGCCTTTTCTGCATCTATTGAGATAATCATGTGGTTTTTGTCTTTGGTTCTGTTTATATACTGGATTACATTTATTGATTTGCATATATTGAACCAGCCTTGCATCCCAGGGATGAAGCCCACTTGATCATGGTGGATAAGCTTTTTGATGTGCTGCTGGATTCGTTTTGCCAGTATTATATTGAGGATTTTTGCATCAATGTTCATCAAGGATATTGGTCTAAAATTCTCTTTTTTGGTTGTGTCTCTGCCAGGCTTTGGTATCAGGATGATGCTGGCCTCATAAAATGAGTTAGGGAGGATTCCCTCTTTTTCTATTGATTGGAATAGTTTCAGAAGGAATGGTACCAGTTCCTCCATGTACCTCTGGTAGAATTCGGCTGTGAATCCATCTGGTCCTGGACTCTTTTTGGTTGGTAAGCTATTGATTATTGCCTCAATTTCAGAGCCTGTTATTGGAGTATTCAGAGATTCAACTTCTTCCTGGTTTAGTCTTGGGAGGGTGTATGTGTCGAGGAATTTATCCATTTCTTCTAGATTTTCTAGTTTATTTGCGTAGAGGTGTTTGTAGTATTCTCTGATGGTAGTTTGTATTTCTGTGGGATCGGTGGTGATATCCCTAAAGGAGCATGTTCTAACCCAATGCAAGGAAGCTAAGAACCTTGAAAAAAGGTTAGAGAAATTGCTAACTAGAATAACCAGTTTAGAGAAGAACATAAATGACCTGATGGAGCCAAAAAACACAGCACAAGAACTTTCTGAAGCATACACAAGTATCAATAGCCAAATCAATCAAGTGGAAGAAAGGATATTAGAGATTGAAGATCAACTTAATGAGATAAAGCGTGAAGACAAGATTAAAGGAAGAAGAATGAAAAAGAATGAACAAAGTTTCCAAGAAATATGAGACTACGTGAAAAGACCAAACCTACGTTTGATTTCCCTGAAAATGATGGGGAGAATGGAACCTAGTTGTAAAACACTCTTCAGGAGATTATCCAGGAGAACTTCCCCAACCTAGCAACACAGGCCAATATTCAAATTCAGGAAATACAGAGAACACCACAAGGATACTCCAGGAGAAGAGCAACCTCAAGACACATAATCATCAGATTCACCAAGGTTGAAGTGAAGGAAAAAATGTTAAGGGCATCCAGAGAGACAGGTCGGGTTATCCACAAAGGGAAGCCCATCAGACTAACAGTGGATCTCTCTGAAGAAACCTACAAGCCAGAAGAGAGTGGGGGCCAATATTCAACATTCTTAAAGAAAAGAATTTTTAACCCAGAATTTCATATCCAGCCAAACTAAGCTTCATAAGTGAAGGAGAAATAAAATCCTTTACAGATAAGCAAATGCTGAGAGATTTTGTCACCACCAGTCCTGCCTTACAAGAGCTCCTGAAGGAAGCACTAAATATAGAAAGGACAATCAGTACCAGCCACTGCAAAAACATACCAAATTGTAAAGACCATTAACACTATGAAGAAACTGCATCAACTAATGGGCAAAATAACCAGCTAGCATCATAACGACAGGATCAAACTAACACATAACAATGTTAACCTTAAATGCAAATGGGCTAAATGCCCCAATTAAAAGACACAGACTGGCAGATTGGATAAAGAGTCAAGACCTATTGGTGTGCTGTATTCAGGAGACCCATCTCATGTGCAAAGACACATGTAAGCTCAAAATAAAAGAATGGAGGAATATTTACCAAGCAAATGGAAAGCAAAAGCAAACAAACAAAATAAAGCAGGGGTTGCAATCCTAGTCTCTGATAAAACAGACTTTAAACCAACAAAGATAAAAAAAGACAAAGAAGGGCATTACATAATGGTAAAGTGATCAATGCAACAAGAAGAGCTAACTATCCTAAATATATATGCACCCAATACAGGAGCACCCAGATTCATAGAGCAAGTTCTTAGAGACCTACAAAGAGACTTAGACTCCCACACAATAATAGTGGGAGACTTTAACACTCCACTGTCAATATTAGACAGATCAACGAGACAGAAAATTAACAAGGATATTCGAGACTTGAACTCACCTCTGGACCAAGCAGACCTAATAGACACCTACAGAACTCCCCACCCCAAATCGACAGAATATACGTTCTTCTCAGCACCACATAGCACTTATTCTAAAATTGATGACATAATTGGATGTAAAACATTCCTCAGCAAATGCAAAAGAACAGAAATCAAAACAAACAGTCTCTCAGACCACAGTGCAATCAAACTAGAACTCGGGATTAAGAAACTCACTCAAAACCACACAACTACATGGAAACTGAACAACCTGCTCCTGAATGACTACTGGGCAAATAATAAAATTAAGGCACAAATAAATATGTTATTTGAAACCAATGAGAACAAAGACACCATGTACCAGCATCTCTGGGACACAGCTAAAGCAGTGTTTAGAGGGAAATTTATAGCACTAAATGCCCACAGGAAAAAGGGAAAGATCTAAAGTTGACACCCTAACATCACAATTAACAGAACTAGAGAAGAAAGAGCAAACAAATTCAAAAGGTAGCAGAACACAAGAAGTAACTGAGATCAGAGCAGAACTGAAGGAGATAGAGACACGAAAAATCAAAAAATCAGTGAATCCAGGAGCTGGTTTTTGGAAAAGATTAACAAAATAGACCACTGGCCAGACTAATAAAGAAGAAAAGAGTGAAGAATCAAATAGACACAATAAAAAATGATAAAGGGGATATCACCACGGATCCCACAGAAACACAAACTACCATCAGAGAATACCATAAACACCTCTATGCAAATAAACTAGAAAATCTAAAAGAAATGGATAAATTCCTGGACACATACACCCTCTCAAGACTAAACCGGGAAGAAGTTGAATCCTTGAATAGACCAATAACAAGTTCTGAAATTGAGGCAGCAGTTAATAGTCTACCAACCAAAAAACGCCCAGGACCAGATGGATTCACAGCCAAATTCTACCAGAGGTACAAAGAGGAGCTGATGCGGTTCCTTCTGAAACTATTCCAAACAATAGAAAAACAGGGACTCCTCCCTAACTCATTTTATGAGGCTAGCATCATCCTGATACCAATCCCTGGCAGAGACACAACAAAAAAAGAAAATTTCAGGCCAATATCCCTAATGAACATTGATGCGAAAATCCTCAATGAAATACTGGCAAACCGAATCCAGCAGCACATCAAAAAACTTATCCATCATGATCAAGTCAGCTTCATCCTGAGGATGCAAGGCTGGTTCAACATACACAAATCAATAAACATAATCCATCACATAAACAGAACCAATAACAAAACCACATGATTATCTCAATAGATGCAGAGAAGGCCTTTGATAAAATTCAAAACCCCTTCATGCTAAAAATTCAATAAACTAGATATTGATGAAAGGTATCTCAAAATAATAAGAGCTATTTATGACAAACCCACAGCCAGTATCACACTGAATGGGCAAAAGCTGGAAGCATTCCCTTTGAAAACAAGCACAAGACAAGGATGCTTTCTCTCACCACTCCTATTCAACACAGTATTGCAAGTTCTGGCCAGGGCAATCAGGCAGGAGAAAGAATAAAGGGTATTCAAATAGGAAGAGAGGAAGTCAAATTGTCTGTGTTTGCAGATGACATGATTTTATATTTAGAAAACCCCATCATCTCAGCCCCAAATCTCCTTAAGCTGATAAGCAACTTCAGCAAAGTCTCAGGATACAAAATCAATGTGCAAAAATCACAGGCATTCCTATACAACAATAATAGACAAACAGAGAGCCAAATCATGAGTGAACTCCCATTCACAATTGCTACAAAGAGAATAAAATACCTAGGAATACAACTTACAGGGGATGTGAAGGATGTGTAGAATTACAAACCACTGCTCAAGGAAATAAGAGAGGACACAAACAAGTGGAAAAACTTTTCATGCTCATGGATAGGAAGAATCAATATCATGAAAATGGCCAAACTGCCCAAAGTATAAATTAAATGCTATCCCCACGAAGCTACCATTGTCTTCCTTCACAGAATTAGAAAAAACTACTTTAAATTTCATATGGAACCAAAAAAGAGCCTGTATAGCTAAGACAATCCTAAGCAAAAAAAAAAAAAAAAAAACAAAGCTGGATGTATCATGCTACCTGACTTCAAACTATACTACAAGGCTACAGTAACCAAAACAGCATGGTACTGGTACCAAAACAGATATATAGACCAATGGAACAGAACAGAGACCTCAGAAATAATGCCACACATTTACAACCATCAGATCTTTGACAAACCTGACAAAAACAAGCAATGGGGAAATATTCCCTATTTAATAAATGGTGTTGGGAAAACCTGGCTAGCCATATGCAGAACACTGGAACTAGACCCCTTCCTTATACCTTACACAAAAATTAACTCAAGATGGATTAAAGACTTAAACGTAAGACCTAAAACCGTAAAAACCCTAGAAGAAAACCTAGGCAGTACCATTCAGGGCATAGGCACGGGGAAGGACTTCATGACTATCACACCAAAAGCAATGGGAACAAAAGCCAAAATTGACAAATGGGATCTAATTAAACTAAAGAGCTTCTGCACAGCAAAAGAAACTGTCATCAGAGTGAACAGGCAACCTACAGAATGGGAGAAAACTTTTGCAATCTATCCGTCTGACAAAGGGCTAATATCCAGAATCTACAAGGAACTTAAACAAATTTACAAGAAAGAAACAAACAACCCCATTAAAAAGTGGGCAAAGGATATGAACAAGTGCTTCTCAAAAGAAGATATTTATGCAGCCAACAAATATATAACAAAAAGCTCATCATCACTGGTCATTAGAGAAATGCAAATCAAAAACACAGTGAGATACCATCTCACGCCAGTTACAATGCTAATCATTAAAAAGTCAGGAAACAACAGGTGCTGGAGAGGATGTGGAGAAATAGGAACGCATTTACACTGCTGGTGGGAGTGTAAATTAGTTCAACCATTGTGGAAGATAGCGTGGCGATTCCTCAAGGATCTAGAACCAGAAATACCATTTGACCCAGCAATCCCATTACTGGGTATATACCCAAAGGACTATAAATCATGCTGCTATAAAGACACATGCACACATATGTTTATTGAAGAACTGTCACACATATGTTTATTGAAGAACTGTTCACAATAGCAAAGACTTGGAGCCAACCCAAATGCCCATCAATGATAGACTGGATAAAGAAAATGTGGCACATATACACCATGGAATACTATGCAGCCATAAAAAAGGATAAGTTCATGTCCTTTGCAGGGACATGGATGAAACTGGAAACCATCATTCTCAGCAAACTAACACAGGAACAGAAAACCAAACACCACATGTTCTCACTCACAGGTGGGAATTGAACAATGAGAGCACATGGACACAGGGAGGGGAACATCACACACCAGGGCCTGTCAGGGGTTTGGGGGCTAGGGGAGGGAGAGCATTAGGAGAAATATCTAATGTAGATGACGGGTTGATCAGTGCAGCAAACCACCATGGCATGTGTATACCTGGGTAACAATCCTGCATGTTCTGCACATGTATTACAGAACTTAAACTATATATATATTAAAAAAAGTTCAGAAATTGTGCACACAATTCAGCCTCTTCAAAAACAGACATGAATGATAATAAATATGTGTATATACAATCTATGTGTGTACATATATACACACAAATATATGTTTATAAATATACACACATTTACAAATATCAGCTCATACATAAAGAGACATTATCAATAGTTAAACAGCATAAATAGAACACCTACATTCTAAAATACAACCACTGTTAAATGTATTGGAAAAGAGAAATACAGACACATTTTCTACTTATCAATATTTCAAAGTGTTTGTGAAAAATTTATCACTCTGTGCTTCTGGTAGGTTCAGTTGTCAATTCTGGGATTTTATACCATCTAGTAATAAGGCTTAAATCAATTATCATAAGGAACAATGATCTACCCTGAGATATTTGCTTAATATGGATAATCCAAAATTGTTTGTAAGAGAACATGAACTTTTTCTTAAAACATTTACAGTATTCATTTTTGTCAAATTTTAGCAATTTAGCTCTAACTTAATTCTTCTTCTAACGATTTTGTAAAGGGAAGTGGGTAGGTTCATACGCCTGTGCAGAATATCAAAGTCCAAGTGTAAACAATTATATATTTTTTTAACATTTGGACCAAAGTCCAAATTATCTTTACAATAATGTAAAGATGCTATCAGGAAATTAATTCCACTGGAATTGGATGTGTTTCAGAGTATTTAAATTATGATGATTTCTGGTGATATGTGTTTTTGACCTTTGGACTTCTGACACACACATACACACACACACACACATACACTGCTCTAAGTCAGTACATACTAGAATTTTGTATTATTACAAAAAGAACCATATTATTAAGGAAGTGCATTATTGCTTAGAGATTAGTGGTTTGATTCCTGAATATGAAACTTTATGGCAGCATAGCAGAGTAATTGCGAACATGGACTTGGGTTCTATTACTTCATAGCGGCAACCAGGGCAAATTATTTAATCTGTGCCTCAATTTCCTCATCTATAAAATGGGAAGAATCATAGTACCTACTTCATAGGGTTGCTAAGGTTTTTTAAAGTGCTTAGAATAGTGTCAAGTTCACAGTAAGTGCCTTGTGTGTGTTTGTCATTATTATTACAAGGTCATCCCCTGCAAAGATGATCAATAATTTGACTCTAAATCTCCTGGATGGTGGGGAAAGATATTGCCTAGTCATTGTATTCATGACCAGCAGGCAAAATCCTCTGTCCTCTGCACCCCTGACCAGTCTGTGGACCACTTTCCCTCAGCATTACTCATGTAGAATTGACTCTTGGCCCTGATATCTGCATTGCTTAGTTATTTGAAAACAACATTTTAATGCAAGATTTTATTGAATGAATCTGTTTTTGCATCCTTTTCTTAGTCAGTTTGAGCTGCCTTAACAAAATGCCATAAACTGGGTGGCTTAACCAGCAGAAACCTTTTTTCTTGCAGTTCTGAGGCTGAAATTCCAAGATCGGGTGCCTGTATGATCAGGGTCTGGTGAGACCTCTCTTCCTAGTTTGCAGATGGTCACCTTCTGACTGTGTCTTCACACAGAGGAGAGAGACAGACAGAGAGCAAGCTCTCTGGTGTTCTCTTCTTATCAGCACCTAATCCCAGGTCCCTTCACTCCCAGGACCTCATCTAAATGTAATTACTCATAAAGGCCTCATCTCCAAATACTATCATATTGGGGGTTAGGACTTCAACATATGAATTTTAGGGGATCACAATTCAGTCCATAGCAATTAGCAAACCCACATGTATCAGATTTTTCTTTCTTCCAGATGTTTGTAGATGATGACATGTCATGAACAAAAGGGGGAGAAATATGTCTACCTGCTCCCTAAACCTCTGTTCTTCTTGATGTGTCTTAACTCACATGACACTGCCTCTTCTCATGGTTTTGCTGAACCACATTCAAGTTTTCCTTTCAAATTGCTAGATCAAATTTTTCTTCTAAGAAATGCTTTTTATTTATTTATTTTTAGAAACAGAGCCTTGCTCTGTCACCCAGGCTGGAGTGTGCAGTGGTGCAATCCCCGCTCACGACAGCATCGACGTCCCAGGCTCAAGCAATCCTCCCACCTCTCAGCCTCTCGAGTAGCTGGGTAGCTGGGACTATAGGCATGAGCCACCACACCTGGCTAATGTTGTATATTTTGTAGAGGTGGGGTTTTGCCATGTTTCCCAGGCTGGTCTTGAACTCTGGGGCTCAAGCAATCCACACGCCTCAGCCTCCCAAAGTGCTGAGACTGCAGGTTATGAGCCACTGTCCCTGGCCAAGAAATACTTTTAATAATATAATTGGAATTAACCATACTATACAAATAATTGTTAGTTTTTTAAAGCAAAATAGTTGATATAGGTTGAATTGTGTCCCCTCAAAAGAGATATGTTGAAGCCACTAACTCCCATTATTTCAGATTGGGTCATTATTTGAAATAGGATCATTGCCCATCTAATTAGTCAAGAAGTTAAGACAAGCTTATACTGAAGAAGGGTGGGCTTATAGGAAGATGGCTGGAAATCAAGATTGGAGTGATGCATCTACCAGCCAAGGAAGGCCAAAGATTGCTGACAAACTGCCACAGCGAGGAAGAGGCAAAGAATGATTTCCCTGCAGGTTTTCCCCTACTGGGGTAAAATGGCCTTGCCAACCACACCTTGATTTCAGATGTCCAGCTTCCAGAGCTATGAGACAACACATTTCTGTTGTTTTAAGCCACCCAGTTTGAAGTACCTTGTTAGGACAGCCCTGGGAAACTAATACAATTGTCTGTCTTCTGGAATTGGAATGTAAATGTAATAGAATAGTTAGAGGCACTTTATGTTCTTGTTAAGTTTGTATTCAGTTTTTTTCTTTTTAAAAAATGGTGAGAAAACTAAAGATGACCAGAAACTACTATTTATTTTTAAAATTCAAGGTTAGCAGAGTGAGTCACAGCAATAAGTTGTTAAAAGTCAAACAAAAATGAAAGTAAATATGTTGTTTTATTTAATCCAAGAAAAAAACGAAAGCCTTTGCCACATAGTATGGCTTATTGCCAGAGTTGTTGGGAAAACAGTTTAAGTACATTAAAAATGACATTTACGGAAGCAACTATCAAATTATTTGTGGAATACATTTAAAATTAAATTCTCATTCCCAATCCCAATATGAAAGAACATTATTAATATTGTGTGTGATATTAGTTATGCAAAGTAGATGGAGGATGGCAGACTCATAAACAAATTGACAATTTAGATAGAAACTACTCTTGGCCAGGCATGGTGGCTGATGCCTGTAATCCCAACACTTTGAGAGGCCAAGGTGGGTGGCTCGCTTGAGTCCAAGAGTTTGAGACCAGCCTGGGCAACATGGTGAAACCTTGTTTCTACAAAATATACAAAAAAAATTAGCCATGTATGGTGGCTCATGACTGTAGTCCCAGCTACTCTGGAGGCTGAGATGGGAGGATTGCCTGAGCCCAGGAGGTCATTGAGGCTGCAGTAAACTGTGATTGCACCACTTCATTCCAGCCTGGGCAACAAAGCAAGACCCTGTCTCAAAAAAAAAAAAAAAAAAAAAGGAAAAAGAAGGAAACTCTCTCTGGAAAGTCTAAGAGCTATCTTTCAAGAGTTCTTCAATTGCTTAAAATAGAGGGAGAATATTAGAGATTCATAGAGGTTTCTAAACCCTTATACTTTACTAAAACTGTTTTCCAGATTTAAAACACTTCTTTACATTCTGTCACATCATCAAATAAAACATACTTTATACTGACTTATGTGGAGAAATCCAAGAGTGTCCAAGTCAAGTTCTTTTGTGTCTAACTAACTTCTCTTCAACAATGAAAACAGAAAGTCCTAAAAGAAGAAGTAATGTGTAGAACAAGCAAGACCTAACTGAGATATGACTTGTTAGTTAGCACTCATTTATGTAGGAATGAAAAGGAATAGAGACTAAACAGTAACCTGTTTTACCACCTAAAAATACTCATTGATAAAAGTGTGCTGCAAAGATATGGTCAGGAAAATAAACCATATATAATGCACTTTTCTTCACAAATTCTAAAGGAGTTATGAGTGCCTCTTCCCTCTAGTCAAGTTTGATTTAGCACCTACCATGTGTTGGGAGCACAGCATGGAAATGTACAAGGAAAGACCCTACTATCACAGAGCTTACATTATAGTAGAGGACACAAAAAAATAAATCTTTTTCTACAGTATGTTCTGTCAAGTTGTTTGAATACTTAATATTTCCGTTGAAATAATGATTTTCCTCATAGGAGTGAATTTGATGATTTCTCAAATTTATAAATTTAGGATTTTATTTTATTTTACTTTATTTTACTGAGACACGGTCTCACTCCATCGCCCAGGCTGGAGAGAGTGCAGTGGCACTATCATGGCTCACTGCAACCTCAACCTGCTGGGCTCAAGTGATCCTCCCAAATCAGCCTCCTGAGTTGCTGGGATCACAGGCGTGCAGCACCATGCCTGGCTAATTTTTGGATTTTTTCTAGAGACAGGGTCTCACTATGTTGCCCAGGCTGGTCTTGAACTCCTGGGCTCAAGTGATCTACCTGCCTTGGCCTCTCAAAATGCTGGGATTATAGGCATGAGCCACCGGGCTTAGCGGGACCATATTTTAAAGTCTATCTCTTCTGGGATCATTATGGCATAATACGGCGCTGTTACTGCTGGTACAGTTTAATTGGCAACTTAGCTTAAAAGAAAACACTCATCAATGTTCTTGAGCATTCTTTTTTGTCACACTGAAGTTTGTTTTACCTATAGCAAATGTAATCACCTGCTTTTGGTTTGGGGCCTCTCTGTTCACACCACTCCATACAATTCTGCTAATTTTGAGTAGATAAATTTTGGAGCCCCCAAAAGTCCTAAATGAATATGAGTTTAGCAATCAGTGTTCTTGTAACAGAACAAAATAATTTGGGCCTTTATTCTACCTCTTACAATTCCATGAAAGGCTCATAGGAGAAAACACCTTGGATTTGTGTAATTTCATACAAGGGTCTCCTCATCTTCCTTATGTTTCTTATTACAGCTGTTCTACAGGTTCCCACACTTTCAGTCCTAGCTCCGCACAATCTAGAGTATGAGGTCCAAATGTTATCATCAAATGATTTAGAAAATCAAGACAACACCAACATTAAAAAAAAAATTATGCCAGGCGCGGTGGCTCATGCCTGTAATCCTAGCACTTTGGAAGGCTGAGGTGGGTGGATCACTTGAGGTCAGGAGTTCGAGACCAGCCTGGCCAACATGGTGAAACCCTGTCTCTACTAAAAAGTACAAAAATTAGCTGGGTGTGATGGCGCACGTCTGTAATCCCAGCTACTCCAGAGGCTGAGGCAGGAGAATCACTTGAACTCAGGAGGTGGAGGTTACAATGAGCCAAGATTGCGCCACTGCACTCCAGCCTGGGCAACAGAGTGAAAGTCTGTCTCAAAAAAAAAAAAAAAAAAAAATTAAAATTACTTGTGCAAGATCACCTAGTCTGTATACAAAAGGAAGGGCTAAGTTCTGAAGTCCTTGTGGGCATGCAGTTTATTCTCTGACATACTGAAAGTATCAGTCACGATTCTCAGTTGCAAGCAAGATATAGCAAATCTGGCTGTTTTAAAGAGAACGGAAATTTATTAAAGAATACTGAACGGTTCATCTGGAGAAGTCTTACAGACTATACAGCCAGAAGGCACCAGTACATGTGTGTACGTGTGTGCCCCAGATCATGCTTTGAAACTGGCCCTGTGAAGCCAGCACTGCTGCTGTAGTAGGTCCAGATACACAACTTGAACGACCCCCACCACTCACACAGAACCGGGGACTCTTGCACTAAAACCACAGCCACTGACAGCTCTTCAAGCTGTATGTATCTGCCACCTCTGCTGCCACTGTCTTCTACATGGACTCTCCTCAGACAGTGACACTGATGCATCTCTGGTCCCAGCTGCAAGGGAAGCTGGGAAAGTGGGTAACTGACATTTTGAGATTCCAGGGTAGGCTCCAAAGTAGGAGTTGCCTCCGACCAGGGAAGGGGATTCCAACGCAATGGTAAATATGCCTCTTCCTGGCTAAACTGTAAGTTGAGTTACCATGCCTTGATGAACAAGCATGTGAATTAGAAATGAACTTAAGACTTTTGCTGTCTTTATTGTATAACACAGCAAAACAAGTCACCTCTGAGAGGGTGACTGCTCTTCCTATGCTCTCTCTCACTTGCCCCTCCAAGCAGCTGAACACAACTTTAGGTATGACTTAGCATTATCCAGTCCTATACCTTGACTGGCACTGTGCCCACTGCCTGGAGGGCCTTCTGCCCCTTAGCCAGCTGCATGACCCGCATGGCTTGACGAATGCCACTTCCTTCAGGAAGCCTAGAAATTAATTTGCAAAGTAGATTCATTTTGGCCCAGTTCCCTGATGGGCACTACCCTCTTGGCTCTCCAGGCTTCCATGGCACTCTGCTGTTACTTTCCACAGCACTTATCTGCCTTGCAGTGCTGTGGTTTCTATATACACCCAATCTCAGTGGAAATGGCAGTAGTTCCTTTGAAGAGAAATGAGTGCAGGAGTCAAGGCAGGGGTGGAACTTGGAAGCAGGAAACTGTGTTTGCTTCACACTTGACATGAAGATTAACACACTGTGAGATGGGGGTTTTGTGGGAGCTTCATGTGCTCCTCTTCCCCTAGCAGTCACCATCTAGTTTGCTCCCATTTTCCTATATGGTGATCCAGAGCACAACCTTTGCAGCCAACCCTCTGCCCCTTCCTAGTTGGGTGGCCTTTCCAGTTGTGTGGTGTTCAGCAAATGACTGTACATAACATATGCCACAGAGTTATTGTAAAGATGGACTGTGTTAATACTTGTAAGGTGCTAACAATGGGCCCTGGTACTTCTCAAGCCCCATCTTGGCTCAATTTTTTTAGAGACAGGACCTCACTCTTAACCCAGGCTGGAGAGCAGTGGCATGATCATGGCTCAATGTAGCCTCGAACTCCTGGGCTCAAGGTTCAACCTCCCAAGTAGCTGGGACTACTGGTGTGTGCCTTCATGCCTGGATCATTATTTTTTTAAAAACGTTTTTATAGAGATGAGGTCTTGCTATGTTTCCCAGGCTGGTCTCAAACTCCTGACCTCAAGTGATCCTCCCAAGTTGGCCTCCCAAAGTGCTGGGATTATAGGTGTGAGCCACCATCTCTGGCCCGCATCTTTGTTCTTATTGTCACAATCTTTTAGCAGGCAGAGTCCTTCTTGGTTCTCTTTTGCATCTGCCTCTTTCCAGCCCCTCTCCCAGGGCCTTGCTTATAGGAAAGACTCATCAAGTCTGTTGAAGTGAGACTTGGTGTCTGGAGGGAGGGAGGTGGGAGGGGAATTGGGAGAGGAAGAGCAGTGAACCATGGTGAAATACTGTCACGGCAATAAGAATCTTGAGATAGCCCAAGTTACAGGGCTATCCCAGGTTCAGGGGCAAAAGTTGGGGATAGAGCCCAGAATGATCATTTGTAGTAGTGTCAAATACATGATCTTAGAAGGAAAAGAAAAGTGTCTACCTTAGTCCATAGAACTTACTTGTTCATTTTGATGTTACATACAGCATGCTTAACTTTGCTGTGAGGAAACCTATACTCTTTCATTTATTGCTTTCTAAAAAAGGCTGTTGTTCACCACCTCCATCTTTCATATACTCAGGGATCACAAGGGATCTTGTTCACAGGGCAGATTGTAATTCAGTAGGTCAGGGCAGGGCCTTAGATTCTGTATTTCAAATAAACTTTCAGGTGATACTGATGCTACTGGTCCACAGACCACACTTTGAGAAGCTAGGATATACAAAATGGGTGAAGAGGGGAGAAAAAAAAGCACATACCATTTTCCCTATCATTGCAAAATAAGCAGATATCAAGGTCAATGATAGTCCATTCTAACTTGAGTTGTTTCAAGATATGTATGGCTGTGGTAGGGGGTTTTGTCACAATGCATTTCCTTTGCTCTCCCAGCTAGGTGACACTGAAGTGGTCATTTATAACTACGTTACTATGGAGACAGGAAAGATATATATTTATCCAAACCTGGGGATGAATTAATCTTAAAAAGATGAGTACAAGTACTTCAACAGATGAGGACGATCTGAAGGTTAGGTAGGTATTTCAAGTGGATTAAAAAGGGCTAAGTTATATTTCTTTTTAAAATGTATTTTTCTTTTCATTTTTAGTTGATATGTAATAGTTGTACTTTTTAAAAATTTTCTTTAAGAGTCAATCACAGGCTGGGCACAGTGACTTACACCTGTAATCCCAGCACTTTGGGAGGCCGAGGCAGGCAAATCGCTTGAGCCCAGGAGATTGAGACCAGCCTGGGCAACATGGTGAAAACCCATCTCTATAAAAAAGACAAAAATCAGCCGGGCATGGTGCTGCATGCCTGTAGTCCCAGCTACTTGGGAGGCTGAGGTGGAAGGATTGCTTGAGCCCAGGAGGTCAAGGCTGCAGTGAGCTGTGGGCATGCCACTACACTCCAGCCTGGGTGACACAGCGACATAGACCATTGCTGCAGAATCATCTGGTATATTTTTTCAGATGCGGGCTTCTGGGCCCCACTCTAGATATAATAAAATGATCTCTGAGGGAAATCTGAGAATCTGAATCTTTTATAAACACCTATCCAAGCAATTCTTACACCATTAAAATTCAAAAAGCACACGCTTAGAGCCTTTGAGGTCTCTGCTGAGACTTAAATATCATTTGATGAGCTTGCAATACAGTTAATGGATAATAGCGTGAGTGGTGATAGCCTCAATCCTTATCTTGCCATAAAATATTCCATGATTTCTACTTTGGTTTCTTACCTGAATCTTGCAGGAATCTTAGGGTTTGCATAAATATTCTTAGAATCCACTGACAATCTGGTCCAATCTTTGTGCTTTTTATTGATATTTGGTAAATACTATTGGTCCACATGTAATATAACCAGACCAATGTTATTTTCACAATTTGTACACACAATGGACTATTAAGTACTTTCTTCTTCAATATAGCAAGTACAGAATCAGCCAAATGAAGTAAATTTCCAGTCAAAACCTACGGTTATTTACTTGGAAATATCACCCCCGCCAACCCCCACCTTGCCCAAAAAAATGCTGAATTAAGATTACTTCCATGGTAACATAAGAGCATCTCACAGAGAAAGGAAAATAAATTCATGATATTGCTAGAATGAATACCATCCTTGACTAAGTGACTGTTCACTGAGAACAATTGCCATTTGGGGGTCTTTTTCTCCCTGGATAAGGTTGTAGTCTCTCTAGCACGGGCACCACTGAGCTACAATTGTATGTATAATTGTGTGGTATCTTAAAGGCATTTTCTGTGTAGTGTTTATCAGAAAACAGCAGAAGTATACCAGAACCAAAAATACTTTTCTTCACATTGTCAAGAGGACTTTCATGCTTTTCATCCATTCTTCAGAAAATGAAAAGCTAATGCCATGTAATCACAATTTCCTGGGATTCTGAAAAACCGTTAAAGAGGCACATTGATGGCCTCTGAATAGAAACACTGTAGCGCGTTTTGGATTGGCTCTGTTCTGGGGGTTCTTGACACTCATATGCTCAAATCAGAGTGGTCAAAGGTTTCTTTTGTGTCCAAAACACCCAGACGGTCTGATTTCAACCATGCATGTGCTTCTGGGTGAATGCAGATGGTAAGTTTTCTTTTTCTTTTTTTAGTGGGGAAAAAAAAAGAAACTTAATTAAAGCCCATGTTAATTATGTTGATAGTTGAAGCTTGATAATTATGAGAATTTCGTTTTGTAGGTATCTAAAATAGGGTGCTTTAAAGTTGTATTGTCAGATGAAGTGTTTTTCTTTCTGTGGTCTAGATTTATTAAAACCAACCAAACACCACATAAAGTTAGCTTTATTAGAAGCAGGAATAAACAGGAAGATTTCTGGCCATGTTAATATTTAATTTTAAGACAAAGTAGCACACCTGTGTTACTAAACACATTAGGCTGTATTTTAAAACCATGTTATGTTTCTTGAACCACTGGCACATCTTCCTCCTTCTCATATCTTCAAAAACATTGCTGCAGTGTGTGCTTGTATGTACTATCCTGAAGCAGTTTCCAAGAGCTGCATTGATTCCCAGGAAAATGGTTGTACAGAAACAAAACTGGCTCATGGTGTATTCCCAGGTACATTCAACAGCCAACTTAACGTATTACTACTTACTGTGTGCTGACCAGTGTGCCACAGAAACCCACACAGTGTCAGCCATAGTGATTAAACAAAGTGGCATGGGCAATGTCAACAGTCCATGTTTCTGTGTAACAGGACATCTGATTTTGGTTCTCCAAATAGGAAGTGGCTCTTCCTATCAAAAGGGAGCGTTTGCCTCTTGCAAAGATGATGAATTAACCTTGGCAGTCAGATGGGAGAGTCAGAGAGCTGCAGCCCCAGCAAGCCAGGCTCTGGATGAGTAAGGAAGTCCATAAGGACTTGAAACTAGAAGCAAGTATCTCAACTGCTAGGGACAAGAACAGCATGGATCACCCAGAAAAGGAGCACTGCAGGGCTGGGCATGCTCCCCGGCCACCTTTGAGAGGGTAAACTCACAGGATATTCAAGTTTGTTGTAAAGGTCTCATCTTAGATTATGAGTTCAGTTTTCAATAAAATTTTTTGTGCCTGTCTTAGTCTGTTTTGTGTTGCTATAACAGGATACCTGAGGATGAATAATTTATAAAGAAAAGAGGTTTATTTGATTCATGATTCTTGTGGCTGGAAGGTTCAAAATTGGGCAGCTGTATCTGGTGAGGGTCTCAAGCTGCTTCAACTCATTGTGGCAAGTGGAAGGGGAGCAGGTATGTGTGCAAAGAGACTGCATGGCAAGAGAGGAAGCAAGAGAGAGAAACAGAGGAAGTCATATGCTTTTTAACAATCCACTGTTGGGGAAACTAATCCATTCCCTGAAGGACTCACTCACCTCCTCAGGGGAGAGTATTAATCTATGTATGAGAGATCTGCCCCTATGACCTAAATACCTCCCACTAGGCCCCACCTCCCAACACTGCGAAATTGGGGATCAAATTTCAACATGAGTTTTGGCAGGGACAGACCATATCCAAACCATAGCAGTGACCTGCATTAAGTCCAGTGTCAAAGAAACCCTTTAACATGTTATATGCAGAAATGCAGATGTGGTTCATCTGGCATGAACAAGAAACTTTTTCTCAAAAGAATGAAAACAGATACATAGTCTTCTTTACTGAGTTGGGTAAAGCTTGCTTTGGTCAGGATATGCCACATATGAGTCTAACATGTGTGAAGAATCTTATATATTATCCTGAACGAAACAGTTAAATAATCATATTTTGGTTGTGTAGGATCCACCATGATTTTGTAAGAAAGAAATGAATAAAAATAAACTGAGAGCTGAGGTTTTCTGGGAAAAAAAAAGGCTTTGAATGATCCAAGTTCATAGATAAGAGATATTTACTGCACCTTTAATACGTGCAATGCTCTGATAGGTGTCACAGTGATAAGGGTAGTGGAAGGTGTGGAAAGGGAAAGGGGTTGGGTCTGACATAGGGTTAATTCTAATCCCCTACAACTTCTACACTGGTGAACAGCAATGCTCAGAAGAGAGATCCTGTGACATCCTAAAATGTTCTGTAACTCATAAGCAAGGCCATTTATCATAGGGTTGAAGTGCATGCTCTCTGGAAACTCATGACCTGGGTTTAAATTCCAGCTCTATCATTTTCTAGCTGTGTGACAGTTCTCAGCTGCCTCATCTTCACAAGAGCAATAGTAACCATACCTATTCATAGAAAAGGGGAAATTAAATGAACTTAAGTACCTGATGTACTTAGTATTATGTAAGTGTTCACTATTATTGTCAAGTACTACTGAAATTGACATTCAGCAGTCCATGTATTCCATTACACACTGTGTACTAATTCTTTGCAAATGATTAGCCTATGTAAGTTATATCAGCGACTGTAAGATAACCGAATTAGAATTCACAATTCCCCAGCCATTCTAGAAAAATGGAAATTTGCTGTACAAAGATTATGGCCCTGTCCTCATAATTGAGGGTATTCCAAGAATATCTGGAGGAATCTTAGAGTTCTGTTTTTTTATTGAATTTGACATATTATGAATTCAATTCTTATTGTTCATGGAATATAATTCATATTAATTGAAGAAAAATAATTCAGACTATGGCCTGAAATTACAAAAGCATGCTAACTTTCATGTGAGCTGACAGTTCTTGTCCACCAGGGGGCAGTCCACTCATTGAAACCAAGGACAGAAATAACTAGAATAAATAAAACCTGTAACTTAAAAATAAAACGCATTTTAAATAAGTTTCAGTTTCAATAAAACTTTTATAGAGATACAATGACATAGAAGAACCAGTCCTTGTTCCTGCCTTCTGGTAGACAGACAATCAAGAGACAGAATAAAGCAAAAGGTAGTACTAATCTACAATCCAGTCTCAGGGCCATCTAGATAAATGAGGGGCCTGGGGGCACTCTATGAAGTGAACTGAACCAAGGCCAAATTCACTGTACAGAACAGGATTTAAATGCAAGAGAACTAGTGACAATCAGAGGGAGTATTAAGTCTTCAATTACATAGATGTTCATCAAAGGGCATTTTATAATGCCTGCCTCCTCTAAAATGTGGTGAAAGCAGCAGTAGCTGTAATAGCAGAACTATGAGCTTCTCAGTTAAGAAATGCATCCCCAAGTTCAGGACTACTGGTCCTTATCTTGGCAAATCTAAAGGACTTCACATCCGAATAAATAAATGACTGTTTCATATGCCAAGAAATGACATTTAGCCTTAAAATAGATACATCCCACTGCCAGAATACAGAAACCATACTTCATGATAGAATAAAATCAAACATTTTAAACTCTGAGCTTTCTTTGCATCTTGGTGAAGCCGATTTGGTGGATTAGATTTTTCCTAGCAAGGAACTAAGGAACAGTTGAGTTCAAACATACTATTACATAATCTGCAATTATCCAGGAACCAGTGGAGTATAGTAGAAAGATCAATGACCTTGGTGTTAAAAGAGCCAGTCATAAATCTTAGTGTCTCTACTTTTCATTTATATACCCTTGGGCAATATATATGTAAGGGAGTTTTGCAAAACTATGTGGAGCACGATATCATACATTCACAAGGTTTTATTAATTACAAAGGACTTTTCAACACAGTGTTTCCTCATAAGATCTTCCTTAGATGGAATTTTGCAAGGGTTAAATGAGATAATTCACATAAAGCACTTGGAGGGTGCCTGAGAATCAGAATAAGAATGCAATGAATGGCAGTTATTATTAATAGTAGTAGTATTAGTTTGACCCTCATGCCAATCCCGTGTGCTAGAGATTGTCATCTCCACATTGCGAGATTTTAAACAACTGCAGCCCAAGAGAAATAAAGTGACTGGTCTAAAGTCACAAAACAGGAATATTAGAGCCTGGACTGAAGCTCATGCATGTTTTCCCTTTTCCAGCATACATTCAGGACACTATTTACAATGAGCTTGAGCAGTATCACAAGGAAGAGGGTTTTTTCCCTTTGAAGTGAAAGCCCAAGTGGATGCCCCACCATTGACTTTCCCACTCTTCTGGTCCTGGCCTCGTAGAGTCCCTGACCCCAAGAGCTCCTTCAATGCATCAGTATAGAACAGAGGCTCTTAACCTTCATTGCACATAAGAATGCTCTGGCGAGTTTTTAAAAGTACTGAGTCTCAGACCCCAAAGCAGTCTAATGAAATCGGAATGTTCTGTAGGACATTTCTTCCTCGTCCACTCTAGCCACAGTTACTATGCCTGAATCTGGAACTCAAAGTCATTTCCCCCAACTCCAAACACAGCACCCTTTCTGCTGCCACACGTGAACACTGTCAGCCCCAAGAAGGGAGCCACCAATTACAGAAAAACAAGACTTTAAAAAATGGAAGATGTCAAAGAGATGGATTGCCAGGAAAATATAAGGGGTTTAGGGGACAAGGTGCCTGAGGAGGGGTCAATCTAAAGAGAATGAATAGACATGCAGGTATTGGCTCACTTTTCCAGACATGGGGGATGCATGTAGCATGAATCATCCCCCTAAACTGGATACAAAAAAAAAAAGAACTAGTATACTGGTTGACTGCATCGTGTCTTTGTGGAAATAGGGCAGAATCAATCGGCATTGGCCAGGCTCAGTGGCTCACGCCTGTAATCCCAACACTTTGGGAGGCCGAGGCAGGCAGATCACCTGAGGCCAGGAGTTCAAGACCAGCTTGGCCAACATGGTGAAACCCATCTCTACTAAAAATACAAAAATTAGCTGGGTGTGGTGGTGAGTGCCTGTAATCCCAGCTACTCGGGAGACTGAGGCAGGAGAGTACTTGAACCTGGAGGCAGAGGTTGCAGTGAGCCAAGATCACACCACTGTATCCCAGCCTGGGTGAAAGAGTGAGACTCCATCTCAAAAAAAGAAAAAAAAAAAAGAATCAATTGGCATTCCAGGCAACTCTCAAATGAAACTTCCTTGATAGTGATTGCTATTGAACACAGATGTGTGCTTCTGAGGCGGAGAAGGGGTGGTAAATTTTTTGTACTTCATAAGAGTATAACAGAGTAATCAATCTGAATGTGAATGTCTAGTAGAATCCATTAACCAACATATTTTTACTAGTCAAGCTAATGGATATCCTTCTTAGCTCCAAACTCACCTTTGAGAAAATGCATGCCACTGAGGTCAAGTAATCCTGATAAATTGAGATCAGATTCATTGTCTAGATAACCATAAAATATGGAGATCTCTTCTCATGATCTTCCAATGACAGTCTACCAAGCCCTCTCCTTATCCCCCATCCCCAAATGCAGCAGGCACTGTTTCTTGCTGGCAGTGGGATCAGAACCACTGTCAAGAGATCAGAGGATTAGAGTGGCAAGCTCTGGTCAGAACAGTGAAGTTTTCCAGATGTCCAGGCTGCGAATGCTGGCAGGATTCTCACTTCTTTTCAGGGCTGATATTGGAGGTGGAATCCTCCTCCTTAATGTAATTTCTCCCCCAGATCTGGCAGCAAGTTCTCAAGTTTTGTCTCAAGTGGGAGAAGTCCAAGTTATGTCACTGTTCAAAAAATATTTATTTCTTCCCAAAACCCAACAAGAAAACTCTACTCTGTCGCCTCATAGGTATGTTTCCTTGCCCTGTGCCAGGCCTCAAATGTGTGGGCCCTTTTTCAGGTTGTAGTGCAGCTCCTGCTCGGCTTCTGGGGTCTGTAAGTTACTCTGTCTTGGGTTAGCCATTGCCTTTTTATGCAGAGTGCTGCCTTGTATGCGATCAGCTAGAAAAATCTTAAAAAAAAAAAAAAGGTTGGAGGGGGCATAGCATTCTCACTTCAGAGGGATAAAGACGAGAAGAACAAAAGTTTTAGGCAGATGACAATGGATCCTGTCAATTAGACTAGGTGAAGTTAAAGCAAATGAATGCTTTACTGAGGAAGATGGAACATGGGGAGGGAAAGAAAACGAGGCTGGAGGAATCCAACTACAATGGGAGTGACACTGATTATCCGAAGAGACCTTTAAGAGCACGTGCGCCAGTCCCAGCAATGCCCTGATAAAGAGCTACAATACAAAAGCCTGCGCCTTGCTCACCCAAGGATCACAAATAACCAGAATTCCCAGGAAAAACTCATGTTTCAATCTAGCAGGAGCCCAACTAAATACAACCAAATGCCAAGCTGGGCACTCTTCTGGGGGAAATCAAAGGGATGGGAACATGAGTGGCAAGAGGAACTCAGGGTCCCTTTTTAATGTCTCAATAGAAGAAAGGAAAAAATAGGCAGACCTAAGACACACCCTTGTTTTAAAATTTTTATCACAAAGGGCAGGATGGGATATGTCCATTCAGGGAGCATCACTTTGCTCCACTGGTTTCACCAGCAGGGGCTGCTTGTGTGTGCAAGGAGGGGCCTGAGATATATGGCTGTGCAGATCACATCATTTGTAGTGATTTATTGGTTAAGAAATAAAGCATGATGGGTGGGTGTGGCTACCATAGGGTAATCACACCCCCAGGGTGAGACTATACTACACACTACCAAATTCCCCCCAGGGGTGTGATTAGCTCATAAAACCCTGCCTCCCAGAACTGCCAGACTCTTTAATGTCATTTATTTATTAAAAAAGAGTGGGCCAGTTGAATCTGTTCCATACAGTGTGACTGTCACTGAGGCTGGTCTTTCTGTAAAACAAGAGAAACAAATAAATCCGAAGCCCAAGGATCTGCTATCTGCTAGTGCTTCCTGTTGAATTTTGAAATTCAGCCCGTGGAGACCAAAATAGCACAAAATCGACCTTACCAGTCCTTGTGGACTTTTGTGCTCAAGGCCAATAGCCATTCGGACTGGCCAGCAGAAAACTAGGAGATTTTATTGATTTCATGGTCTTTCACTTGCATAACATTATGTAGCCTTGGGGAGACGCAAACTAATAAAACATTTCAGGGCTGGTAATTTTTCATTTTTTGTGCTTATTTGTAAGACTGGCTTGAAGGATTTAAAGAATGATGAACTACAATAATGAAACTGGGTAAACTGAATAAAAGGCCCTTGGTCTGAACTCGTCATTCATTCAAAAGAGATTGCTATGGTTTATAACTGTAGCAGTGTTATATACAAGTATGGGACAGGGACTTAAGCTCTTCTAAAATAATTTTTATTATAGGCAGTTCTGTAGCCTCTATTTATTTGATTTTTTTTTTTTACCTTTAACACCTCAAATAATCTCTTTTGGGTCTCTTATTCTATTTTGCCCCTTTAAGGGATTATAAATATCCTTCTCCCTAATTGCTCTTTCTCCACCGTCCCACAGCTGTTTGCTTCATGTGAATAGGAGCAAAGCCCAAGGAGAGGACACCTTCACCCTCCAACCCTTCTGAGTAAAACGGAGATCCTATCCCTAAAGCAAGGCTCCAAGTCAATGGGCCTGTGCACAATAGAAGAACATCTGGCCTCGGGGACACGTTTACCTCTAGGCAAAGAGCAGGAGCGCAGTATTGAGTATTGTTGTAAACAATACCATTTGGAAACCTGGTTCCGCTCCTGTGAGTCCAGCAAACGCCTCAAAGACGCCCTTTTAGGATTTCTTTAAATTAATCTGAGACAACGTGGGAATACTCTCTATATAGTATCTAGCCTACTGGATATGTGGTTTTTGTTGTTGTTGTTGTTTGTTTTATTTTTATTTTTGGCACGGCACTGAAGTCTGTGTAAATAAAAGGCCCAGATAAACTCGGCGATGGGCCTTTCTGTCAAAACCAGGCTGGCTTTACATGGCAAAACCAGGGCCTTACGTGTTTGGACACCTGACTTTCCATGTCGCCCGTAAAATCGCTGGTAGGGAAACATTTTAATTTAGTAGGCACCTTATTTTTACCGAGATGCTTAAGGCTGTCACGAGCTACTACTCTTGATGGTAGTAGGAAATAAACACGAGCGATGAAAACAGCCAAAGGATGTCTAGAGGAAGCAGAGAGGCGGACGAGCCATGCGTGTTACCATTCATTTAACCACACCGGGAGGGCCCGGCCTGCTCCCCGCGCGCTCCAGCAGAGGGCGCGCGCCGCCCCGCGCTCCCTCCCTCCCCGGTAATTGATGGAGGCTGCCGAAAAAAGATAATTAGTTTTATGTATATAATATTTGATCATGAAAATATTCTTTGCCTTATTTTGGTATAGGAGATCTGTAATATATGTTAAAATAGTTAATTTTTTATTATCTCTTTGTTTGGCGGCAGCCCGGCCTATCCGAAATTACCGGAGCATCAACTGAAAATGTAGGCAATGTAAGCAATGTTAAATCTAATTTTTCTGTCCAAAACCTAATTAGCCATTTTAAAAAAGGTTAACGCCAGCGCCTGAGACGGTTTTTGTTTAATAATCCTATTACTGACGGCTCATCATGTATAAAATGGTGCAGTAGGATGCAAAATTTCCACTTGTTTATAAGTGTATCGCCGAGAAATGTATAAAATAATCGAGACCGGCGGAGGCAGGTCAGAGCCGTCTGGAATGCGCGCACCTTCAACGTAAGTAGCCGGCGCGGCCGCTCAGGGTTCGAGCCCCCACCTTGGCCGGGCAGGGGACACCTTGGCCGGGCACCTCCCGGGCTTCCGACAAAAAGGCCTCGGACTTTATTTGGGCCCGCGTTGGATTTCTGGCGGAATCGCCCTCGGGGTCGTTTGGGTTTGGAGGCTTCCGCCTTGCAGGGGGTTTCACAGGGTTGCAGCCTCGCTCGGGCCCAGGCCAGTGCGGATACTCGGGCCAGGGCAGCTTCGGGTTCAAGGAGGGTCGGCTTCTGAGCCGCTGCGACCGCCGCCCCCGCCCTGCACTGCACCCGCCTCCGGGGGTGGGGGAGGGGTACTTGCCGCGGAACGGGGTCTCCGAGGACCCTGGCCCGGAGAACGGAGGGAGAAGAAGGGACAGCAGTGAGGGCCGTGCAGGGCCACCCCTAAATGCCCCTCGACCGGCTCGCGTCCTGCCAAGGGCAATGTGCAGAAGCCCTGGGCGCGGGTGGAGTGGGACAGTTCTGGAAAATTCTGGCCCTTCTGGGGGTCTGGGATAGTTGGGAAAGGGAGAAAATGGGGCAGGGCGCCCAGGGGGCGGGGGCGGGCGCTGGGCTCGGTGGGGTCTCCGGGGAGCAGCCGTTACTCCTGGCGCCCCCCGTCCGCCTTTAGCGATGGTTTGGGAACCCGGGCGCTGGAAAGGCGCGGGTGCGGAGGGCGGCTGAGCCGCGCGGCTGCGGCACCGTGGGCGCGAGACCCCTGCGGAGAGGAGCGCGCGGACGCCGGGGGAAGCGCCTCGGGGCGGCTGGAGGCGCAGCACCCTGGGGGAGCCGGGGCGCGGGAGAGACAAAACTGTTCGAACCTTCTCTCCCTTCCCCACCCCCAGCGCCCAAACCCGGGGCGGGTGAGCGCGACCCTTGCAGCGACCCCTTGCCGAGCCCTGCCCGCGCGATTACTAAGGAGACGCGGCCTCCGGCACTGCCGTCCCCGCGCCGTTTGAAAACGGATCCATCAGCGGGTACCGGGCGTTTAAAGGGATCTTTCTGAAGGGACTTGTGGGAAAGGACAAAAGCAGGCGGCCCCATTCAGCTGACCAGTCAAAGGCGCTAAATGGGGACATCAAAAGGCGCCCTAACTGGGAATACGGATCCAATCGCAAGAGAAAAGAACCTGGTTTCTTTTCTTGGCCTCAACAAGGCTGAAAAGCCGTAAAGCAAATAGGCAAAGAATGCGGAGAGGGGCAGAAAGGAAAAATAAAGAAACAATCTCATGAATGCATTTTTCTGAGGCTTTAAATGAGAGGAGTGACAACTTCCTAGGCGCCGTTGGGGGCCGGGGTGCGGGGTCCGCCGCTGCGCGGACCCCCTCACCGAGGGAACCTCTCCCGCTCGGGCGCCCTTGCTGTTTCCACGCGCTCCTAGGCAAGGTTCTTTTTGTGGGTGTAATCTTTGTTCTTATTTAAATGCCTAGGAAGGGAAGGGAAGGGAATGGAGGATAAGGTAGAGAAGGGAAGGAAAGGGAAGGGAGATGGGAATGGAATGGGAAAGTAGGAAAAGCGGGACGCGGCGCGAAGCCCAGGTTTCCCATCAGCTTTTCTGCGGTCAGATTACGCTCACTAACACCCGAGCTTGTTATCTGACCTGGCCATCCCCGTCACATTCTTTCTACAAGTTATCTTTTCTCCAACCAGGGTATTTGGAGATTATTCGCACTGAATTTTCTGCCCGCCAAGAACGAATAGGATTGCCAAGCCACACCACTTTTTGGAGCCCGCTTATTCGCGCCTATCCACCCTCTCCTGTGCCCCAGGTTCCCTGAGCACGGGAATCCTTTCCGGGCATGGCCAAGTTTGTTCGGTGGCTCAGAGCGGGAAGGGAAGTGCAGTTCGACACCTGTCCAGCTGCTCCGCTTGGAGATCAAAGGCCGGCTATGGGCTGAGCGACAGATTTACGGGACGGTGGTACAGATTAAGGCGAGAACCCTGCCGGTCCTGGACTCGAGTTCGCACCCAAGGAAAGCGTACAGGTCCCTGGAAGCGGGTGGATGTCGGAGAGGCCGAGGCAGCCTGCGCTGTGGCCAGGCAGGCTTGGTGGGCTTTAGTCTCAGTATGTGTTCTTTAAAGTCTTGACAGGTTATTAGTAAAGGAAGGGGCACCCCAGGGTCATGAAGATGCTTCTCGCTCTGGCCCAAGCATGCTGAGGCTCGCTTATTCCTCGGCCAGGCCCAGTAAAACAGCTCAAGCACAGCCTGGAGTCTTCCCGCATCTGCGCGGGAGTAGAGTCTGGCTTTGGGCCCCGCGTACCCCGCAGTCGTCGGGGACCAGTTCGAGGCCACGGGAAGGGTTTCCGCGGCAGGGCGCGGAGTAAAGAGGGGAAGAAGGAATCCTCTCCGCGTGATCAGTAGGGCGGGCTTGTGATACTCTCACACCCAGGTTCCAGCTCAGCCCCCAAACTGCTGCCCCAAGAAAACAAGTTGGGGAGTGTGGATTTAGACATAACAACGGGTGTGAGCTGATGTCCTTACAACCAAAAATATTGAGACTAGAAATTCAGCTCCGAATCCACGACCCTCAGATTGATGCTTAATCGCACCCTCGACTCCAGAAAAGCTGCCGGGGACAGACATGGACAGGTTTTGCCAAGGGTTCATTAAAATAGTCTGCACTGGAATAACCGGGGTGCAAGAGATCACGTCTTCACTCAGGGCTTTGGGGATCCCCTCGTCGCCCCAGGTCAGTGGGTGGGGAGGAGGGCAAACTTCTGTCTTTTGTTTGTGGGTGAGGGATGCGAATTGTGGCAGCAGCCGAGAAAAGGGGGGAAATTAATTGCAGCCAATTAATAATTAATCCCCTTTAAACAGCTTTATTATCTCTTCTGGGCGACAGAGATTTGTCTGATAACCCCCTGAAGACCAAATGTCAAGTTTAACCAAATAGTTATTGCTTTATCAACCCGAGTCTGCAAATAAATTAATCAAAAGCAAATCTGTCCTTTGTGCGGCTCATTTGCTGGTAATGGATGGATATGAAGATTTGCCGATATTATTGTCTGTCATTCAATCTAACAAAGTGAACATTTATTGCATATATATTAAAAATTATCCCGGAATCGAGTGGCGCCGGGTTGCATTTATTGGAGTCTTCCCAGGGGTGAGGTCCCCTCGGATGGGGGCGCGTGGGATAGAAAGTGCAGGAGCGCGAGTCTCAAATCTCTTTAGGACTCTGTGCCTGCCTCTGTCCCCCTCCCCGCAGCGACCTCCCTCTATCCCCTTCCCTAGCCTTCGCCCCGGAGCCGCAGGACGTGCCTGCAGCCTCCTGTCGCGCGGCCAGGGCCAGCGGGGCGCGGGGAGCCCAGCTACTGTCAAAACAGAGTCCTTCAGCCTTAAGCACTCACAAGGGGTCCGGCCCTAGGAAATGTGGGGAGGGGGTGTGATTGAAGAGAGAGAAACGGGAGGGGGACAGCTTTCCTTTGTCTTCTCTCGAGTTACATCATTTTCTAATTAGGCATAAAATTGTCTTCATACACTGGTATTGCGGCCTTCATAAACATCGCCATTATGGTTTATAAGGACGCCATTGTGGTGAGGCTGTCCCAAAATAGAAAGAGCTGGGGAGGGAGAGGCCTGGAGTCCGGGAGGCCCCGCTTTGTCCTCCCCTGGGAGAAGATGGATGGCCAGTGTCACGCAGATGATGACTTGGGACTATTAAATTGTCAGAGGGGGGCAGAATCTTTACCAGCCCCCAGCGCTGGTGGAAAATTCTAGAGGCAGGAGCCGGGGGTTCTTGGATGGGAGGGGAAGGCCGGGCAGCTGGATTCGCTGGGCAGGTGGAAAAAGAGGTAAGTTAGTCGCTGGCAGAGGCAGAGCGGAGGGCAGTGGGGGCCGAGGCTTTGATCTCCTCCCGGGGCACCCTGACTTCGCTGCTCTCTGAGCTCAGGGCCACTGGATCTGGAGCTGACCTCCCACCCGATCCCCATCGCCAAGGTTGGGAAACAAGCAGGGCTAGAGAAATGAGAGGGGCAGCGAACCCGGAGGAGCGGCGGAGGGCTATGCCAGGCGGGGAGACAATTGTTCTCATTATTCGGAGCTGAGGCCCAAGCCCGGCCACCCGCCCGGTCGGGGGGCGCGTCGCTAACTGGATGGAGATGGATGGAGGCGCCCTGAGCCCCCGGCGTCGTGTCAGACCCGGGGCAATTACTGTCCCGCCAGGATGGACACACTGCCCTGCCATCCTGACCCCGGCGCGCAGGCCCACTGGCCCACTGGCTGCCTAAGCCGCCTGGGCGATTCTCTCTCTCGCCTTTACAATAACCCAACTTGACATAAATAACTCCCCTGAGCTTGTCTACATCTGCTTGACCTCCTGAACCCGCGGAAAATCTTTTGTTGCATTTAGCTAACTTACATTTTTCTATAGAAAAAAAACTTTTAAAACTGCATATTCTAGCCTCGGCTTATTCACCTCTAGTTCGGTCTCTGGTATATGTTGGAATTCACATTGCCCTTCCAAATCATGGAGGACAGTTCCCTCCTGCGAAGACAGGTTTCTCCCTGTTTATGCTGCGGGCACAAGTGTGCTGTTCCGGGTGTCCTGAGTTTTGCAAGGTGGCCTACAGACACTTGGTGCTCCAGGAAGTGGTCAGGTCTCCAAAATCCTCTCCCCTGGTAGCTGGGGTGGGAGTGGGGGCCAAAAGGGTGAAGAGGACAGCAGTTCTCAGGAGTGCTGATGCCCTGCTTGGTCCTGGCTGTCTAAGGGTGCAGCTAGGCGACAAGGCCAGTTGGCAGAAGCAGCCAGGTGCCCCACGTGTGCTCTCTCGCTGACCTGATCTGGCAGGGTTAGGAAGGGGCCAGCCCTGGAAGTGCCAAGCTGGCGCCATGCACTGCGGTCACCAGGTGCCAAGACAGGAGGGAGCTGATGGTGGAAAGAGGATGGGAATGATTCAGAGAATTCTGTGGAAATTGCCTGGTCTGGTCACTCCAGCTGGCATGGGCCTGGGGATGCCAGAGCCAGCTTTGCTCTCCAAGGCGTCCTCTAGGTGGGGGGTGGGTAGCATTGCCTGCAGCAGCCTTCCTACCTGCCATTTCCTGCCTACTTAGTCCCAGGTGGCTACAAGTCAGAAGATCAGGACAGTATCTCAGAATTTAGAGATGGAAGGGCTCTTAGAGGTCAGATGGCCAGAGTGACTCCCAAGTGTGATGGTACAGAGTCTTATCTACCCCTGATAGGTTTAGGACCCTAACTGTCCCTGATGTCTCCATCCGCAGAGGAATATGGGAGGAGCTGAGGCTGGGCCTGGCCAGAGTAAGCTCTGTTGAACACAGGCCCTGTGGCCTGGGCTTTCCTTGTTCATGGGTGAGGGAAGCAGCAGTTGCAGGAACAAGACCTTGACTTAGCAGCTGTATCAAATCAAATCAAAACAAACAGTAATTTCAGGATTCCAAAACTCTGGGGCCAGTTTTTCTTATAACACATTTTTTTCCTTTTTTTTTTTTTTTGAACGCGGTGGCTCATGCCTGTAATTCCAGCACTTTGGGAGGCCGAGGCAGGTGGATCACCTCAGGTCAGGAGTTCGAGACCAGCGTGACCAACATGGTGAAACCCGTCTCTACTAAAAATACAAAAAATTAGATGGGTATGGTGGCGCGTGCCTGTCTGCTACTCGGGAGGCTGAGGCAGGAGAACCTTGGAGGCAAAGGTTGCAGTGAGCTGAGATCAAGCCACCGCACTCCAGCCTGGGCGACAGCGCAAAACTTTGTCTCAAAAAAAAAAAAAAAAAAAAGTCCGCAGTATGGTTTTCACATTATCACTCTCAATGCCATTGGAGGTAGGTCCAAGCTGGTGTCTCTTTGATTAGTCTCCCTAAACCCATCTATTCATTTACTAGCCATTAGTTATTCTTTAATTGAGTCCAAAAATGTTTGTGAGGAGATAGTCCCATATGAGATTAAAAGAAAGAAAGAAAACAAAACAACAAACAAACAAACAAAACAGAAAATCAGGTGTAGTGGACACTGAAGAGTTTCTGCTGTAACTTGTTTGTGGTACTACGGGATTTTGGTTCAGCCTAGATTTACCAGCTCCTGACTTGGGGACCTCGGTCAGGCATTGAAGGACTCTGAGCCTCAGTTTTGTCTTCTGTGAAATGAGGGCATTGGACATTATGAAATGTCACATTTCTGTGAAATGAGGGCATTGGACATTAGGGGACATGCTCTGCAGTCCCCTAAGTCCTCTAGATGTACTAAAACAGGCACTATTCACAGCCCAGATAGGCATGAACATCAAGGTGCCTGCACAGGCTTGAGGGAGATAACAGTTTCTGACCATGCCTCTGTACTCCCAATTCCAAATCATGGAGGACAAAGTACAGGGAAGATGTAAAACACACACTAGGTTAGAAATCGGACTGTCATTGATAAGTTAGTTGGCTTATTTGATATTTCTGAATCTGCTTCCTCTCATAGACAATGGGACTAATAATGTCTGCACTATTCACTCTACAAAATAGTTGTGAGGATCAACTCGATAATGCATGTAAATGTGTTTTGAAAACTAACAAGTATCATGGAAATTAAAAAGACAAACAAGAAGCTATGACTCCACTCTGCAGAAGGCATTCCCAAATAACGAGTGCCAGGAAGATGGGTTTCCCCTTTCTTTTGGTGCAGCAACAATTAGAGTCTTGGGCACCAGATGTACACAATTGGAATGACATACCATTTGCTGTGCTGCTGTCAGCATAGGACATTCTCTCCTTGATTTTCAGCATCTACCTGTGGATACGAAAGAGACGGTCTTTTTCATGTACAGCTAAAGTCCCAGAGATATCTGGCACATACAGCAGAAGTACTTGCTTCAGTAAGCTTTAATGAATTTTAAGGACTCTGTTGCTTGGAAGATTCCTTGAAAATAAGATTTACTATTGATCGGAAAAAAGTGAGGAAAGTGAAAAAGTCTTTTGAAGCTTTTTGGCTGATCGTCCCTTCTGAAGAAATACATGTTTTTATTCATAGCAGGAAAAATAAAACAAAACCCAAACTATTCTTTTTATAATATACTCCTTGCTAAGAACTTTGTTAGCTTACTTAGGTTAGGGAGGTGAAGTTACTTTTAAAAGAAGCTTTATGTCCTTGCTCAAACAGGTGGAGGAAAATCACAATGTGTTTTGAGAGAAAGGACTTTGACTCTTAGAGAGAAAATGTGCGCCTCTCAGGGGGAAGCCTTGGAAGGGGGAAAAGTTGGGTGGTGAGGAAACCTCAAGAAAAATAAGGCCCACCTTTCTCCTGATGCTCAGAACATTGGCAAAGCAGCTAGCAAGGCATTCACCCCATTTGGCCTGTGGAAATCTTCCAGCAGGTTCTCAATTAAGGGAGCTGCCTTTCCTTTCATTCTCTTAACTTTTGTGTTCAATGTTAACAACCTGATGCTATCTATTATGGTGCCATTATCACAGAATGTTGACTGAACTGGTTCTTTTATCTCCATTATGGGGCTGCCTTCCTTGCAGATTTATGCATTTTTGATATTAAATTCTTTATCTCATTAAGCCTACACTCTTGTTGACTTTCATTGACCCTCTGCCCTGGTCCCCAATACTTTTCCATATTTAATATTGAAAGATTTTTCTCAATGCCCCTCTTGGCTTTGTTGCCATCCGTTTGACGGCTGTCCCTAATGGCCTGTGCTGTTTGCTCTGTTCTTGAACTTGGTGGGGTCACACATTTTTAAACAGTGATGTCCTCTGAATGTCCACCCTTGCTGTCCAGCTAAGTTGCCCTGTGTCACAAGCTCTGCCCTCTTCTCCGCCCCTAACTACCAACTGCTCCTAATTGCTTCAACAAACACCTTCCCTAGTGGTGCCCTAGGCCCCCTGAGCCTTTTGGGTTTTGTTTAGCTGCTAATGTTCTGCCTGGCCCACCGGCGGATTGGCCTTGCTGACCTGATACATCGCAGCTCTTCTCCTTGGAGCGCCTGTCTTGTCCAGCGCCCCCTGGGCCAAAGGCCAGGGTCTGGGCAGGATTGACCAGCTGCTTGAGGTGGCCACAAAAGACAACTTCAGCTTGAAACGGGCAAATGAATGTATTCATTTGTCTTTCTTTCCCCTTAAACCTATCCACAAACTCAATCTACTGCCTGGCTTGAAACAAAACAAAGGGATGATCTTGAGAAGGGGGGCAGGAGAGGCCCCTCTCGCACCAGAAATCTTAGCTCCCTTCTTGGGGGCCGTCTGTTCAGTTTCACAACACTTACAAGACCAATTTCCAGAATTGAAGTTGCCTGGTGTTTTGATTCTTCCTTTGCCTGTGCATTTGTGCCCTGAAGGTCCCTTCCAAATGGATACTAATTGTGGGGGCTGCACGCTGCTGGCTGCTCCAATGCCCCAGGGCCCGAGGACCTGCTTCTCAAAGCCTTAATTGACAAGGACCTGTCTGTATTTAGGAGCAGCTGGTCCAGAGCGTTGGCACATCAGTGCAATCTTAACGCAGCATCCCTAGCCTGGAGGAGGATGAGGGTAAATGTGGTTAAAATGAAGGAAGATTTATAGTCGGCCCCCTTGGGTAATAGGACAGAAGACAGCTCCCAAGATTTTCCCCTACGAGGGGGTTCATTCATCAGCTCCTGGGCCTGGTAACCGGGGAGGAAGAGCGTTTAAGCTATTATTACTAATGGGGGAGGGGCAGAGGCCCGCTTAGAACAATTAGGCAGGTGACAATATTCCACTATAATGCGTCGTCCTCGAAACTGGACCGGGTTTAGAAGACTATCAGGGCTGTCTCTTGCTTCCGCGGGCCTCGGCGCCGGGGCCTCCGCCTGGGTCTGGCTCCGGGTTAATGGTGGCGCCGCCGGGAGGCTGGGAAGGGAGAGGGGAGGGCACTCTGGCTGCCCTGCCCAGGAACAGGGAGGCTTTCAGTGGCCGCTCGGACTCCTCGTTAGGGCGTTTGAAAGCCCCAAATGGCCGGTGGCGGGGGCCATTGCGTCGATCAGTTTTTCCTTCCTGCGCCCCATCAGGCGCGCCCGGTTCCCCAACTACCCGCTCCTCCACCCTGCGAACGCCTTTCCGCAACCTACTGGCTCCGTAGATACAGCCATTCAGCCGGTTACAAAAAAGGTTTGTTGGTTCAAGAGGAACCCGGTTTTGTTGCGATGTGTGGGAAATACTTTGATGTCCTCCCAGTTCGCACGTGTGAACAGGGATAATGGGTTTGGGGATCTTCATTGAAATTTGAAGTTTTTAAAGCAGAAATTCCCTAACTTTTGCCTGTTTTTCTCAACATTTTCTTTTTCTTTTTTTTTATTCCTTCAGGAACAATGCCAACATTGAAGTCCTCGGTTGGAGTCTGCACAGTTGGAGATCTTTGGTGCCATTTTAGACATCTTTGGATTTCATCAATCAAACTGACTGCAATTTTCCATAAAAACCCTGAATTTGGGTCAGAAAGTGGGCAAAGTAGATAAAGATCATTCGAGCTGTCTTATAAGATGATAAATAGATATCCTTTCAGGCCAACAATGCCAAAGTGCAGTTTTGTGATTCCCTTCCATGGGTTCTGAATGCAGTGAGTCGAAACGATTTCTACATGTTTTCCCATGGTTTAGGAGGTGTCTTTACATACTTGTCAATAGTAGCCTGACCTTTTTCCCCATGGAGTTGCTAAGTGTGTTTTGTTTGTTGCTTTGAGTACTTTTTTCTTGTTGTTTGTGTGTGTGTTGCACAAAATACACAAGAAAATAAAGGTTTTTTTTCTTTTATTGCTCAAATCAATAGGATATGGGTCTGATCTAGATAATTCTCTGCATATAGACTGGTTTCAGTAGCCCTTGAGTTCATGTAGAAATTCCATTTGCTCTGCAGTTGCTCTTGAGGCACTTTGGACACCATTTTGGGCACCATGCTGGGATGTAAACTCACTTTCTTAACAACAACAACAACAACAACAACAGCCCACTGGCACTGTGTCCTTCCTATTCTTGAACTTGACAAATGGCCTTTTGTATAAGGTGAATAAAAGGAAATCCTAAAAAAAAAATATAGCAAAAAGAAATCCCAAAATGACATTTAACCTACTACCTCCAGAGATCTTTCAAAATGTTAGCTGAAATAATTTCTGAGTGAATAAGAACATTTTATGCTGTGTATTCAGCATATATCACATGCCACTTCCTACTGTCTTAGTTTAATTCCCCATCTTTTGAATCTTCTTGACCCTCCTCCTCAACATGTTTTCATACTGATAGTCCTTTCACTCAATGTCTGAGTTAACCAGGTATTTTAAAAGGCTCTTGAAGAATTACTGGTTCTTCATGGAGAAACTATGCTTGCCATTCTTGGTTATTTAAGAATTAATGATCTGCTGTGTTCTCATAAACTCATAGATCTTGTGGGGGCATACACAATTATGCAGCAAATATATTTATTTTTCTTGATATAAGATTCCCCCCCATATCCATCACACACACATCATCTCTTTTTCTGTGTTTTGCTTTTCCAAACTCCTTAAATATCAACTGTATGTTACAAAGCATCTATAGAAGAGAGTATAGTGCAGTGGGAGTTAATTACTGTTATTAACTTACTGGCTTTATTAGTTTTGAATGAAGCATGTAGCTGTGGCTACAGTTATTTAAACACTCTTTATTAGCTAAAATAATTTGCAATTTTTGGACATACACTCACCATGTAAGATTTAAAATAGCAATTGGAGATTCAGCAACAATTCTCACCTCTCATTTGTCTTTAGTAAATCTTGCTGTTAAGTACTAAACATTTTAACTTAACATACAGCTATCTGAATGACCCTTTATCTCATTCTTTCACTGCCATTTTATTATCAATTTTACATTTCATATGGTGAAAACATCTATTAAGTGACAATCTAATATTTGAAGCATTTTCTCTATTTCAAAAAGACCATTGCAAACAGCAAATTTATGAAGGTAGAAAGCACAATTATTATAATTATCTAAAACAAAACATATTTAAATATAGTTAATAGTCTTCCTATTGCCCTCTTTCTTTTTCACTCCTGATATTCATTTAATCACATCTATGGTATCCATGCAATCTATTTAGTAAGTAAGAGGGACGGGGGCAAGTAGAATAGAAAAACCAAAAGTTGAATTTTGTTAGTCACTTCCAATCAGGATAAATCATAAAAGCTTATCTGAAATCATTATATAGAAAAAGAAATGGTAGAATTTTGTTCACCATTGAAGTCTGTTTGACATAGCTTCTTTCAGGAATCAATTTACCACACTGAATAGTCACATAAAATTTTTGTTTTGGAATTTTAACATGTTTGGTACATACAGTAAGAGCCATTTGATTACTGTCATTGTTGGTGAGAGCAGAGGCCCTGTTAATTAACAGAAAAATGTCAAGCAGTTATATGCAGTGCACTGTGCTCTATAAATATAGTGCAAAGGACCAATAGTGAAGCATAAACTTAAAGCTTCAGATTTGAAATGACATTCTGGAAACATATATTTGAGTCTGTGACCAGGGATGAACTAATTTGGGCTCTGTCATGTGCTGGTTCTCCTATGCATCAGAAATGTAGGCCAGAGAAGGAATATCTGGATCGGTGTGACTTCCCATTTTTTAAATGAGAAAACAACCTGCACAGGTAAAATGGTGGTCATAATGTACTCATGGCAGTGCACCTGTAGCTTTTTCCCCTCCTCCTCTTCTGTTCCTTATCATCTGTAAGTTACTAAATCAGGGACTGCTTTCTTTAATTTTGTTTCCCATATCCACCAGAAACAAACAAACAACAAAAAACCAAAAGAAAGAAAGAAAGAAAAGAAAGAAAGAAAGAAAGAGAAAGACAAAAAAGATTCCCCAAAGGCATTTACATCCAGTTCTAGCGGCAACCTCCTCCCACTTACAGCATGCCTTTAATAAGCTAATGCCTGCACAGGCCAAAGGAAGCACAAGGTCAGTTAAATCAATGCCAACAGCCCATTTGGGGAGTTAGGCTACAGTTCTCCTTTCATGGTAGATTTTTGTTCTTGAGAATTATCTGGATAGTTCCCTGAGTATTTCCATTTCTATTTCCTTACTTACAATAAAATGAAGGAAATGAAAATGTTCCAAAATAACAGCAACAACAATAATAACAAAAAAACAAAAACAAAAAGACCCCAAAACCTGTGAGGTCTATGCCCTTACATACAAAGAGGGGAAATAAACAACCCAGGTGAGTGGAAAAGAAGGTATTTGGAGCCCCAGTTTTCCAGCCTGCCTGTAGATAAATCCTGACGTTATTACGTAATTCATGCCATCTTATGCTTCTCTCAGTAACTACCATGAACATCCTAAGCAATCCTTATAGGATTCGCTTCATATCCTAATATCCTAATACTTCATATCCTAAAATTCCAATATTTTAATCCATCACTTGACATAAATCCATAATTTTACGATTATCAATTATACTTTTCAAAAAAGTTTTAAAGCTTATGTTAACTTGGACAATAAGTAGTGATAATATTCTTCTTATTTTCAGTAATGACATTCATTAACTTGCTATCATCAACTCCTCTTTGAGGGTGATTATCTTGGTAGTTATTGTCACATCTTACAATTTCTCAAGATGATTTGGTTTGCTAAGACTTTTGAGAGGGTTTAAGAGGTAATAGAAAGTAAGTAATTTAAACCAAATCTATTTTCTCTTCTCATTTAGCTGCGTAATTCAAACAAAAGCTGTCTAGGTGGGTATCATGAATGTTCTGAGTGATTTGACCTCTGGTCCACATCCTACTATGTGTATAATTTTTAAAATTGCTTACTAAAAATGGCTGTTTATCACTTCTTTGCAAGTGCGCAATACAATTTTACTTCAGAACATTTTCAAGTTTTAATAAGGATTTAATAACCTCTGATTTAGAGGCAACCAGAGCAAAGTTGTTGAATTTAATAGAGACTAACATATGGGAAGGGTTTTAAAGAGCCATTCACATCCAAACCCCAAAATGGCTTCAATCAGCAGGTATCTTGATGTTTATTTAATGAAGAAATGTATGAGCAGCTGCTGTTTCCCAATTTCAGATGTAGTTATCTTTCATTGCTTTGCAACAAATCAGGAAGAACAGATTTTAGCTGTAATTTGGGATCATTCCATTAGATATGCAGGGCTACACCAGCAGATTCATAAACAAAAACAATGAGGCTGGTTTAAGGAATAAAATATAATAACTCTTGGGATGGAATCTGTGGGTTGTGTTTTCAGATCTATTGCTAGTTTCTAGGTCATAAATATTTTCAAGTTTAGACTAAGCCCTAAAGGCCTTTATAGATAAATAAAAACCCAATCTGACACTGATTCTTAACTGACCTTGTGGTATTATTGCAGATGAAGGCATGAGGTTAATTTCTGTTACCCAGTGCATGGTGGGCATTGCCAACACCATAATGTCCCTCTAACTATGACAAGGAAAAGTGTCATAGACAAATGGGGCTATGATATGGCCCAGAGGGTTTATGGGGCAATTGCTCGCAGGACAGATATTCATAGCAGGTATATCGAGCTGCAGATGCACTGTTTATTTGATTCCTACTTAAAAATTTGAGGCTTGTGTGTGTGTGTGTGTATATATATATATGTGTATATATATATGTGTATATATATGTGTATATATATATGTGTATATATATGTGTGTATATATATGTGTATATATATGTGTATATATGTGTATATATATGTGTATATGTATATATGTATATATGTATATGTATATATATATGTATATATGTATATGTGTATATATGTATATATGTGTATATATGTATATATGTGTATATATGTATATATATGTGTATATATGTATATATGTGTATATATGTATATATGTGTGTATATATGTATATATATGTGTATATATATGTATATATATGTATATATATATATTTGGTACTTGTCTACCTTTTGAACAAATACGAATTAGGGGAACATATACTGATTGTTCTCTTCTGTTATCAATACACATGCTGGGCCTCTTCAAAAGAAATAAAGTTTGTATTTGGCAACCTTAATAGCAGACTCTCTACTTAAGAGAGCAATTATGATAAACTTTTTATAACTTTGGCATTGGGTACAGAATTAACTACAGTCTTACAACTTTTCCATGATATTTCTTATGAACAATTTCCAAGTTTGATGGAGGGGATCATTTAAGAATGGTAGCCCGGAGTCTGCTATAACATGGCCTACTATATGTTAAGGTTAAGTTATAGTTATATTTTTAAATTCTCCATCCAGGGCCAATAAAAATGATGAGTTTATTTGGAAAGTTCTTTTATAATGCAGATTTTCTCCTTTTTTCTTTCTTTTTTTTTTAGTTTCACCATGATACATATTTATTAATTTTTAATGTGTTTATTGGTAACTAAGGCAAAGTATTTGTCTGATTTAGGCTCTCAGAGGCTCTAAGTATTTCATGCAAATTCCTACTGTGAAGCTGGAATAAAGAAGAGGGAAAAAGAGGTGATTTGAACTATTACCCAGTACCAGTCAGCTCTAATAACTTAGTAGAGGTGAGGACCACACATTTTGATTAATCTCTAATTGATCTGTTCCCTATTATGCATCTGGCAAATGAGCTTGCTGGTGAACTGACTGCTGTGGCCAAACACATAGCAGATATTAGGAAGTAGCCATTCGCTGAGTTAAAAACACAGGGACTCTGAGACCACCTGTTTTAAATGTGGACCCTCCCATTTAACAGTTGTGCGACCTTGGGCAAACTACTTAACCTCTCTGCTGTTCAGTTTCCTCATGACCAGGATTTAGCAATTAATACTTGCTAAGTGCTTAGAACAAAATAGTACACCTTACTCGTTGCAATGATGAGGCTCCCACTCAATGCCTGCCTTCGCTACAAACCCCTCACAGCAAGGGTCCCTTTGCTTCCGGACCCTTGGGAAAGCAGCCTCCACTCAGGTCGGAAGACTTCCAGCCCCCGACTGCTTCCGGAATGTTCTGCCCACATTTTAACACCTTGACCTTCCCTAAAGCCTGAGCTGGAGCGGAATGGAGTTTGACCAGGAGCAAGGCCAGGGACCTCGCACCCAGGCGGATGGCAGAGACTCGGAGGGGCGCAGAGAGGCCCGGAAGCAGCGGGAGCAGGCCAGGCGCACCCAGGGTGCATGCTAATAAGGGGCGCCGGCAGAGCCCGCCGCCGCCTGCGCGCCCGCAGTGCAGGAGCCGCGCCCCGGCAGGGGCACGCGGTGCCACTCAGGCCGGCGGGGGGCGCGCAGCTCGCAGCAGCCGCGCGCCCGGGCCTCTCAAAGCCCCTTTCAGCAGCTCTGCGGGCTCCTCACCGGAGGAGTCTGGCGCGACATAAAAGCGCATTATGAAAATTATAATATCAGCCACAGAGCATGTCCACCGAGGCAGCTCTGCATCTTTGAGGCATTGAGCCTCGTTCAGCTGGGCCGAGGAGGGAAATATCCATTTCAATTCGGTCCCTGAATGGGGGCAGCGGCTGCGGCAACCACAACAGTGCCTCCTTTATCCGTTCGGCCACTTCTCCTGCTTGCTCATTCCCTGGCTGTTGCACCTTGTCTCCTTATGGGCTGGGATGTGGAGCGGGAGGGGCGCAGGAAGGATAAGGGAGCAGAAGTGGGGGGCCCCGATTCACAGCCGTGCTGGGACAAGAAGCGTTGTCATTTGAGCCCCCACGAGAATGATAAATGAGGCTTTCTAGGGCCTGAGGAAATTTTCGTTCTGCTGGGGAGCGGAAGAGTGGAGGGTCAAGACCTGGGTGCATTTTTCGGAGGCTGGAAGGGAGTGGATTTGGGGGTCGTGCCCCATTTTCTTGCCTATGTGCTAAGCGAGAGATGCCAGCATTAGGGCGTTTTCCTATCAGAGCTCGGATTCCAGCATCTGGAGCTATAGGATTTCCCATAGGTAAGGGCCTAGGCTCTGGAATCCGGGTGCAGGCAGCTGGTTTCGTAGTGGGGACCGCACATATCTTGGACTCCAAAGCCGAAGCGAACACAGTAAGAGCATCAGAGATGAAGCCGAGGTCAAAGTGGATCCCGCACGTGGATCTCTCCTCTAGCCTGCAGGTCGCTCCATTTCCGCAGTCTTGACTCCCACTATGGCCACATCACGCCTGCCTGTTTTCCACTCCATGCGTTCGAACTCCTTCGCATCCCGGGGCGGAATTCGCACGCTGGGCCCCCGAGGCGGGTCTGATCTATTATAGCAGATGAGTTGCCCCAGCATTCAGAATCCTGTCCATTGTCTTGTTAATCACCTTTCATTACGGACTGCCCAGGACTGTCATAAAGCTTTTAATATTAATAAGGCCCAGCGCACCAGGCCCCGCACCGCGGTCCTGAGCGACCCAGCAGACAGCGCAGGTGTCGCGCTGCAACCTGTTCAGCCGGCCGGGGTGGGAGTGTCCCGGGGTTAGCTCGCTGCGCTGGGGTTGGGGAAGGCAGGTGGTACAGGGTTCCAAAACAAGTTCAATAAGAAAAACAAAAAACAAAACACAAAAACCGTATTCCACACAAAAGGGTTTGTTTAGTTCCAATGTGTGCGCCAGAAGAGTTGTTTAACTCCAGGGACAGGGGAGGTGAGAGCTGGGGGTGGGGAACGAAAGGGTCCGCTAGGGCTGGGACGTGACATTTCCTGTGGTGAAGCCTGCATTGGCTGCTAATAGAGATCTAATTGATGGGTGAAGTCCCATTTCCGCGCGCTCTCCTTTATTGCTCCATCCAGTCTGTTGCAAAATATAACCTTAATCCGATTTAGCAATTCCTCCAGGATTCAGTGCGAGCTTCCAGCCCAGAAAAAAAAAAATCGTTATTAAAAAAGTTAAAGTACAGACTTGGATTCGGTGTGTTGCCTTTTGAAATCTTGCCCCAGCTCCCGGGATTTAGCACTTTCTCTTTTTGTAATCGCCCAGTTTTTTATGATCATTAATACCCGCGTGCTCGGGGATCAGGGCAGCGCGCATTCGTTGGGGATGCAAATTGGTGCGGTGGCGCAAAGGCCCGGGGGTGTGTGGACTGCGGGCTGGAGCAGCCTGCCAGACGTGATTCGCGCGCAGCGGGAGTGGTTTAGGGTTTCGTAATCCCATCTCTGCCCCAGGATTCCCGTAGAGGCCACCCAGGGACTGCGGCGGCCGTGAGCTGGTGCTGTCTGTGCTAGGTGGTGTGCTGGTGGGGGAGACCAGGGCTGAGGAGGTGTCTTCACTGCCTCCTTAGCTTCCCCGTAAGTTTTAGAAGTAATAGCACAGGGCTTAGGGTGAAGTTCACTGCCATATACATGCCTGGTGCATAAAATAGTTGTTTGGGTGCAAGAGGAGGTCCAGGGGCTACTACTTTGGGCCCCCGGGTGGTGCTGTATGAGATGGAACTTGATTCTTATTTGTACCACAAACTGGATGTTAAGAGGCCAATCTAAGGTTATGGCTATCTTCCTCCCTTCCTCCCTCCTTGCCCTTCTCCCCTGCTCACAACCAGTGAAATGCACGTCCTTCTCTACAACTAATTGGTTCTAAGAGACTAATTTCACTCTATCAATAAGAGGATAACGGGGCTATGGTGGTTTTTTTGTTTGTTTTTACTTCTTATTTCTTTTCTTTCTTCTAATAGGCTGGGGAAGACCCTTAGGGAAGTACATTTGTATCTAGATATTTGATATCATATCCTAGACATTGTACCAAAGAGAAAATAATACATGAACAATAGTGCTGTCCTGGACTTCTCTTTTTTAAAGTTGTAAAGGAGAAACAATGAGGTGTAAACCCATCAATTACTAGCCATATGATCTTGGTTAAGTTCGATCTCTCTTAGCTTTGGCTTTTTTGCTTTTATAATGACATTGAAAATATGATCCCTGCTCTGGCTACCTCCAAAGGCTGTTGCAAGGTAGTGTGTGAGGAAAAACCCTTGTAATTTGATTATATGTATAAATAAAATAATCATAATGACAATCCAAAAATAGAAATCTGAGTGGCTACTCAGTAGAATAGCAGTTAGAAAATTTGTGGAAGTCTCTTTTCCCCAAATATAGAACTGGGTTGTGTCTAAGTTACCTGGATGGCACTTTGATGATTCATTTTGCCCTAGAAGCCCCTAAATTCAGTGTCAGATTCCAACCAGCATTTGCAGCTGTCAACCTGAAAACACTTCACTTTCTGTGAAACTGTGGTCTCCAATTTCACCAGCACACACATGAGTTTCTTAAGAAGACTGAGGCGTGCATGCTTGTCAGCCTGGGGTGATCACTTAATTTCCCAAGTGTACCTCTAAGAAATCTCCCGAAGTAGATCCTGGCCTGCAAGAAGAGTGAGGCCTGAACATCTGGTGGCCGTGCAAGTCATCCTGGGCACCCTCTCCCCCAGGTTTGTGCAGCCTTTTTCACGCCTGCAATGGGGAGGCATTCCTGGGCCCCACAGCCTCTCTGCAGTGCCCTTGATGGGTTTAATGAGGCGGAACACCATGAAGGAGATGTGAACTGGTCCAAATGATTGATGAAGCCAGGGGCAAAGCCCAGGCTTTTCCAGATAAAGCCCCATACAGCCTGTGATAAAGGCGGGATAGTGGCAGGGCTGGGCGCCTTCAAAAGCTGTGGCCCAAATGCATTGGGAGGAAACAGGGAGGGAAGGTGCTCTGTTGTTACCTAATCAGTTCATGCACTAAGCCACCAGCCGCAGAGAGCAGGGGAGGGCTGCAGAGGAAGTGGGGAGGGTGAAAGGCGAACCTACACACACACACACACACACACACACACACACACACACACACAAACACACACAGCTGCCTCTCTTCCTCCCTTCTGGCTTAGCAAGGGCTAGATCAGCATCAGCCACCACAGATGTCTGGGTACTCAGCATGGGACCCGGGTATTCCCTTCCACAGGGCAGAGAGAGAGGGAGCAAAGGCCCAAAAACAGCAAAAATAACTAGTCCATCGCTTGGCAGGCCTTACTCAGTGTTAGAGCATCTTTTGGCTGTCTTCCTACATATGAGAAGGCAATTATTAGAACTACAGGCACTAGTCATTGGAAGTGAGAGAAAGAGGAGGAAAAATCCCAAATCCACTCAGGAATTTCAATGAAAAATATTTGTTCTATTTCTTTGTTATGAGCAATGAAAATAAAAAATAAAAAACTCATTGGCTTACAGTAAAAACAAAATCAGGTGGGTATGGTGGCTCATGCCTGTAATCTTAGCATTTTGGGAGGACAAGGCAGGAGGATTGCTTGAGCTCAGGAGTTTGAGACCAGCCTGGGCAACATAGTAAGACTTCGTCTATTAAAACAAACAAACAGAAACAGCAACAACAAAAAATAAAACTAAGCATACATATATTTTCTACATATATTATTTTCTAAAGATGATGTACTATAGTTCTTACAATAAAGAAACAAAAAAAGATAATAATCATTTGGCCAGAAATAATTAGGGAATTAGAGTGTACAATGGCTGGAGAAGCAATAGTTGCAATCCTCCTGCCTTGTCCTCCCAAAGTGTTAGGATTACAGGCGTGAGCCACCATGCCCAGCTTGATTTTGTTTTCACTGTAAGCCAATGAGTCTTTTTAAATTTTCATTGTTCATAACAAAGAAATAGAACAAATATTTTTCATTGAAATTCCTGAGTGGATTTGGGATTTTTCCTCCTATTTCTCTCACTTTCAATGACTAGCGCCTGTTGCTCTACTAATTGTCTGTTCATACGTAGGAAGAGAGCAAGAAGATGCTCTAACACTGAGTAATAAATATACTTATAGCACGTGACACTCTCCAGTTAAGCTACTCAGGGCTATTAAATAGAGTGAGAGTTGGAAGAAATGTGGCCTTTTCTCCCTCCTGGGCATCAGGGGCTGGTGGGCAAACACAGTCTCTCTTTTCCACAACCCAGTGTCGATTCATAAGCACTTGTAGGTACAGAGGGATAAGGAACATTTCCATCCATGTAATGGAAATTTTGGTTTTTGGTAGTGGCATCACTTACACACAGCTGTTCATATGTAACTTCTACCTGTAAGTCTTAGTCGCTAACTGGAACTTGTTTTCAACTTTTCTTGCATGGTCATAGCTGTATCTTATTATATTCTGTGTTTTGAAGACTGTTGGTAATGGAGCAGCGGCCATGAAGCTGTGAGAGCCGTGTGGATGAAGGGCTCAAGAAAGACCACCTCTGCTGTTAAAAATAATTTACCTGAACGTTAGCTTCTACTATATCAAATAACATTTGCATAAAACAATAACTTATTCTATTTTCACTATTTATGCCTATCAACTGCAGGTTAGTTCTAGTTCTTTTGTCCCTGTGCTTTCAATTTAGAAGGCCAGCTTCTGAGGATAGTGTCCTGTCTATGGAAAGATTGTGTATTGCATTACAAGCAAGTAGAACTTAATAAATAAATTATGTGTTTATCATTTAAAAGAGAAAGGTGGAAAATGATGGCTTAGCACCTTTCAATGAGGAAAGATATTTTAAAATTAGCCTTTTCTCTGATTGTAAAGCAATACATATTATTTTAAAAAGGTTTTTGAATACACTATTGTATGCTTCTTTAGAAAAGAATATTTTATGATCGCATGTCTTAATATGTTCATGTCTGTGATGATTCCCTTGAAAATCTCCCTCAATATATTGTATAAAAGTTCATCCTTTTCTTTCTTTCTTGAGCTCCTACATACTATATGCTCCTGGAAATCTTTTGGGGGAAAATAAGACCAGGCCTGAAAAATTTAATCTTGAACACAATAATGGGCTCATTCGAGATCAGAGGGAGACCATAAACTTTTATAAGCAACATTTAACAGCAGTCAGTATCAACTACATAAAATCTCTGTGGCCACATCATTTGTGAAATTAGGTTGTAGAATTGAGATGATTATCCATACAATTTGGCTGAATGTCACACATTCTCCCTAAAAGTAATTTAACACTGACTAAATATTGTAAAGTATACATCTCTAATTGTGCATGTTTTTAAGAGAAAAAAGGAGAGATTTCAAGCCCAAACTCTCTAATTTATTCAACTAAATTGATTTTGCTGGTTAAATAACTGCTTAGCTCTCCCCTTCTTGTTGTCTATGAACAAAATATAAATGCAAGATTTTGGTATAAAAAGCCTGCTGTGTGTCTCTGAATCCTTGATATCAAGTTCAAGTATCTAATTTTGTTACTCTAAGGAGAGAGCAAATTGACTTTCCCCAAAGTTGGCCTAAATTTCTGATTGAGGGTCCCAGGAGCTTTGATGTAGAAGGAACTTCCACAGCTGTAATGAGAACCCTGTGGGCAATACACTTACAGAAATTACTCAAGACAAAAATATGGTTAACATTTTTTTGCATCAATTATTTTCTAATACATGTGGAAATAGATGCACTTACAAGGCAGACTTGAATTAGCTGTGATATAGAACAAGCTCTGCTTTTTAATAGTTTCAAGTTTATGGTTATCTGAATTTTAAAAAAAATTATAAGATAGGTTTTTGTAGATGGGTGAATCTACACTTTTGTACCGTAAACACTGGAAAGTGAATGATTTTAAAATAGGGAGAAGATAGAGGAAATATCCCAGATTCAATTTAAGTATATATGGTTATTTGGGTTTAGAGAATATAAGCACAAATGTATTATGTTGTAATCATAATAAAGATATTAAATATGAGAAAAATTTTCTGGAAATGAGGTTTTTTTTTTTTTTAAAAAAAACCCTCCTTGACATTGTAAAATATATCTCTATTCTCTTTCCTCTCCCCATCCAATGCAAATTTTGCTTTCTCACTAAAAAGTAAAATAGTTGATTATTACCTCCTCATTTACTTTGTTTTAAGGAAGGTCAAGGGAATGAGTCTAAAATTGCACTTAAACTTTTCAGGGGCTGGATTTTTACTTAATTTTCTTTTCATGATAAATAACATTATTATATTAGCTTATCCAAGTATTATTACTAAGGTTATATATATATATATATATATTTACATAGCTATTTCTTATGCTTATAACTTTCCAGAAATATTTTATTTACTTAAAAGTACACAGCGAAAAATTTTGCTCTTCCTCTGAAAACTGGCTGGCTGTAGAATAAAAATGATGAAACTTTTTATGTGCTTAGTCCTCGCTGGCTCTCTAGGGAAATCTGGAAAGAAATGACAAAATAACTAGCGATAGTGCATTTGTTCAAGTGTAGGATGGAATTTCATAAACATTGGGATTTACATAACTATTTATATGACTATAGAGTTTCATAAGCAGGAAGTATTGGTGTTTGATATTTACATGGCTATAGTTTTAGTTCATTTGTTTGATAGTAATGCTGGTGGATTTTGTATATATTTAAATGAGGCTATAGGTAGCTGCATTCATATTCTTTTTATTTTGATTCCTTATATCTTCTATGGTAAAAATAAATCAAAGAAACCTCAACCCATGGCCTTAAGTCAAGTCCATATACTTTGCACCGCTTGATAAGCTTTAAGGTTCATAAGTTAAACATACCAGCATGATATTAAAGTTTGGCTCTTAGAGTCAAACATGTTTATCTATATTATGAATAACAAGATTTCTTCCCAGCTATTAAAATGTACTCGCACATTAATTTATAAAAGAAGTTGGTCATTAGTAGTGCTTTACAAAGAACTTAGCTATGCAATTGTTTAAACATGGTTCATTCAAACTTGGAAGCTTAATGTTCATATGATTCATTTTTCTTTGCACATATAAAACATGCCCCATATTTTCAGACCATCTCTCTATTCATTGCTTTTTAAAACAAATGTCACTAACAGTCCAGAGTTCAAGTATCCCAGATACACTTTTCTAAGACTCTTTTTATTGTATAATTTTCCTGCAGGTCTTTATAAGAAACAGTATTTACCTCAATTTCTCCACATACTCTGTTCTCAGTAGGTCCTGCTCTATCATGAAAAATGTTGTCTTTATATAGTCCCAATCTTTCCTGTGATTTTCATTACATATTTTGGTTTAGAAATGTGTCTTTAAAAAATTTAAACAGTTATTTAAGAAGAAAAAGTGCCCACTGGAAGTAAATAAAATGCACAACAAAGATTAGCTGGGAAGTGTTCAATGTGCCTTGTTTGCCTGGCTTTCTTCCGAAGTCACTCCTGTCAGTGGTCAGTTATAATAAAGGAAGAGCAGAGTTCCTTGATGTGTACTGAAAAAAAGCTGCCTGCAGTTCCTTTCAATGGCTCCGTTGCCCAGGCAGGCCGGCCTCCAGCCAGAAGCCAGCAGGCAAAATTTAACAGCCACGCTTCAAAATGTTAGTAGCAGCTATCAATGCATCCATAACTCTTAGCCCTGTAGATATGGGGTCATCTTTCAATACTACCCCACTGTCATATACAACATTTGTCTTGTCCCACATTCAGCTGATTGTGTCAAACTATGGAGTGACTATATAATACACATGTACAATAGCACAATGAAAGCAATAATCTCCAACCCAGTTTCTTTATTTGTTTGAGTGCTGTTACAAAGTTTCCTGCAGCAAGGAGAAGCTGGGGAGGTGGCGATATGTTCCAACCCCGCAGTGGATTTTAGAGGAGTCGAAGCTCTGGAGGGCTGAAGTATAGAATGCAGTTGCTTTGCTTTTATCCAAGAAACCAGCTTTTCCATTACTTTGATGACCAATTTTGTTTTCCTAAATTCTAGTAGTCACTACTCACTTATGTAGAATCGATTTTCTTTTTTACTTAAAAATGTGTAAAATGCTCATGTTTGTATATTATGGCTAGAAAAATAATAGGTTATATAAACAGCCATTTAACTCACCTTGATTTGAAGTACTACTGGTTCTTTGACTGAAACAAATCCTATTTGCAAAAGTACATCTTACTTTGTTGTAACTGAATCCAGTTTACAAAATCATAATGAGATATTAAAGGGATGCTTACCTTAGAATTTTTTCAAGTTGCTTTATCCATGTATAAAAGCTTTCGGGGAAGAAAAAGTTGACTCTGGAGAATGACTGCACTTTTTCTTTTGAATCTACACCTGCCATAAGTAGTGAAATGTCAACAAGTCAATAGAGAGCATTTAATTATTTAGTCACTGGAAAGGTTGACGAGACATTTAGATACAAGCCTGAATGACTGGATAAAATAATATTGAGAAGGACTGCACTCCACTTAGCAATATTACATAAAGCAGAGATTTATTATGCTAAACAACAGTAAATATTTAAAAGCCATAATACAAACACTCTTGTAATTCAGATTTCTATGAAGCTAGTAGGTAAATATCATTGTTGATTTTTTAGACCATAATTTCCTTTTCTGATTATATTGCGGTATTTCTCAGCAATAAGGAGTCCACTTTTGCCATGGCAACCTTATGAGAAAGATGAGAGAAATAAAAGTGAGTTTCAGGAGAGAGGTGTTCTTTTCAGCAATCAGAGCATATGTTTTATTCAAGAATGTATGCCAGTATACGACTAATATGAAAATGACCATCAACAAACAAATTACATAGGGAGAGGAAAGAGGATCTTAACTCAGTTGTAACAAACAATTTGTAATTCTTATACACCATGGAGCACAGAAAAAGTCACTAGAAGCAGAGTTAGTCTCCTTCGGAGTATGTTCAAAAAGAAAATGAACCTTGTAAAATGTCCTTGCAAAAGTCAATTCTCTTTCAACAGCCAAACAATGCTCTTTGTAACACAGCTGCAAAGTACGTGGGGTTTTCAGCCACACTGTAATATTTTTATAGCCCCGCAGTCACCATCTATTCCATATACACAAACATCCGCGTACCCAGAAAATAATTGTGGATAATTCAATGTTCAGATTCGATAATGGATGCTCAAATAAATATGAGAATTCCAAGCAAATTTGTGCAAATGAAAAAAGATTTCCTCTGACATAATGGCATGGTGCAAGGCTGTGTGTAATGAGCTGTAATTTGTCTGGAAGAGCATTTTAAAGGGGTTGATCCATCCACTGGAAGGCCAGCAGCCGCTCCAAGTCTTGCAGCAGTGAGCCGGCCTGCCTCGTCTCAGAGGAAATTACACCACAAGCAAGCCAAATTTCTGACAACTTCCATAAATTATTTCAGATTTTCATATTTCAATTTTCATCTGCATTCATCATGTGAGTTTGACTGGAGAAAAATGTCTAGGAGGAGCTCTGCTAGCATTCAATGCAGCAGTCCCAGGAGCCTGCCCTGGGACTAGATAATTTAATTTCGTTTTGATTAGATTATTCTTGCTGCAGTCTACTGCCAATCTGAAGTATTGTGCCTTCTCTTCTACTTAACCTTCCTGCCCCATGCCTGCTCCAGCCTGCATGCAGCTCTCTGTATTGCAGAATATATTTGAACAATCAAAGTTAGGAGTTATTATTTTGCTTTCCATTGTCCATCCTTATAAAAGCACACATCTTTCACTGGGCTCCCTCTTCCCAGAAATCAGATTACTTCTTTTTTTTTAGTTTGTAATATTGTTTACCATTTTCAGCGGAAAGTGCCCTGTAATTTAGGTGGAAAATCTAAAATCATTACTAAATCTCAGGATGATGCAATAGACCATAAATAAGGATCATCTTTAAAACAACTATAATCATCACTAGGCGGTACACAAGAGACTGAGAACAGGTAAATAATGAATACACCCATCCATTAAACTACAAATCTATTGTAAACCAAAGTTATTTTTCAACCCTTTACCTAATGGTCAATGAAGAAAGCCCTCTGTAATCAGTCTTCAAGAGCAGGACATTAGAAATTCAGAATACACACTCTTTGTAAACAAGCAAAAGCATAAACGTGATTAATTTATAAAAAATACTGGCACAATAGCAAAATAATCTGGGAAACAGACTAAGTTTTTTAAAAATTCCCTTAAATTAAATTTGAATACATGAAATGACAATTAACAGTAAATATGAACCATGGGTATCTTGCAATGCATAATAACAATATTTTTCTATTTTTAGAAAATGACTGCATTTATGTGAGATTCAATAACCAAGGAACACCAAAAATGTTTGTCGCTGACTAAGTTAGAGGCAGGAATATTAGAAACATAGATAAATAAACAAAGCTAATGTTGTTCTTTAAGTAATATCTATCACTTCCCCCTTATTGAGTTATTTCTTTAAACAATATAAGTTTTTTTGATGCTGTGTGTCTAAACTGAGGACTTTAGCCTCTTTATTGTTCTCCATTTTGATGAAAAAAATTGAATTGGGGTCTGTTATATTGAATTTTGTTCAGTAAATATACTGAAATCATATTTTTGTTAGAAACTATCAATAAATCCAGTATAAGAAAAGTAATAAGATACAAATATGAACAGGACGTTTGCAAAGGAAATATTACAAACAGAGTGTGCCCAGAAAATATATTAGGGAATGTGATTTTTCCCTTGTGCTAGGAGAAAATACAGAAAGAAGGACAGGAAACTGTGTTATTTTTAATACAGATTCTGTGCTTGAAATAAAAACAATTCGAACCACTGTATCACATGGTTCAATAAAAACACTTTCCCAGTATTGCAGTTAAAGAAATACAAAAGGAGCACAACTAAACCTTTTTTTCTTTTTTCTTTCTTTTTTTTTTTTTTTTGAGACAGAGTCTCACTCTGCCACCCAGGCTGGAGTGCAGTGGCAAGATCATAGCCCACTGCAACCTCGAACATCCAGGTTCAAGTGATTCTATGGCCTCAGCCTCCCAGTGGAGCTAGGACTGCAGGTGCACACCACCATCCATGGCTAATTTTTTTAAAAACATTTTTTTTTGGTAGAGACAGTGTCTCACTATGCTGCCCAGGCTGGTCTCAAACTCCTAGGCTCAAGGGATCCTCCTGACTCAGCCTCCCAAAGTGCTGAGATTACAAGTGTGAGCCACCACACCTGGCCCCAAATCTTTTTTTCTACATGAAAATAAGTTACTAAAAATACATCACACTTGATAAATAATTATGATTTCATTGGACGTTTTGCTATGTTCTAATGGAGCATATGTAACAACGCCAATTCTTTCTTAAAATCAATTTAAACAACATATGTGGCTAAATCATCTATATTCAAAACTCCATTATATATTCTATCAGTAATATCCTAGCGAAAAAAAGTTACAAGGACTTAACAAAATGTAATTTATGATGGACAACTGTTTTGATGCAATAGGTAGTATTTATTCCCTCCAGTTTTTGGAGATATTGGGAGTCAAGGGGAAAACAATTGAACATGTGGAATGTTATTTTTTTCCCACTTGTTTAATTGAATTAATACTGTGGGAAAGGGGAAATGATGTAAAGTAAGCTGACTTGAGGCAACTTTGTTCTGTGAAGAGTCATAATTCATTAGTATAAATAATTGCTGTCTCTTATGAAGTCAGACACTGGGTGTTCACTAGTCACTTGGGGTGCTCAATGGTTCTGCAGCATCTTCACTTTCATATGTCCTCCTGGAAACAAGCACCTTAAGCCTAGACAACTTTAATGACATTCCCTATTGGTGTAGGCCCTTGAATAGTTATATATCCACTTGGATATCAGTTACAGTTGTTAAATAACTTCCCAATAAATAAAATGTGAAAAAAAATTGTAATTCAGTATTTGCAGTTTGTCTTAAGGTTCTAAAACTTGTTCTAATAAAATTAAACGTGTGCCCTTTTAAAGTTCTATCAAATCACTCTCTTGAAAGTCTCTGTGACTTAATGTTGGAGCCACTGGGCTGTTTGGCAAGAAGGACTGGCAATTAAGCTTTTGTACCCAGTATTCAAATTTGAGAATGTCACTTTATTACTTTGATTTTTAATTATGGACTATGTCAGCAGAAAGACTTCCACTGAGTACAGTAAAAGAAAAAAAAACCCTTCTTTCCTGGAAATGGTAGTCAATGAAGAGAAAAGCAGCATTCCTAGAAATGTATAATTTATGATTGAAGCAAGAGGCTCCTGTGGATTATCATAAAGGTAGTTTTAAGCAAGGATGGAGACTTGTAGGAGGCTTCATATGGCTGGGTGCCTCTGGCAGTAGAGTTTTGGCTTCTGATGCTGGGGAAGACTGTAACCACTTCAAGCCTTGTAAGCTGAGCTCTGGAAGAAATGAAATTAATTATGTGTCTACACTGTAGAAGGGCTAACTCATCCCTTAGATAGAGCAAGACTTCTGTTGCTGTTAAGAAGAGAAATCAAAGCCTTGCTTTGGTAGGCAATTTTCCCAAGGTAGAGGCATTCCATCTTTCATTTTAAAACTCTCATCCCTCTTCCCCAACCCCTGTCAATAATTTAGAGGTTGTTACGCTGCATAACTTCAGGGACCCCAGCCATATAATATGCTATGAAATTGTGCCCTTGAGGTCCATTTTCATAAAATACCTTGGGAATAGTGCCCTCTGGTGTTGTGGAACTTAGGGGCTCTTGTGAAAGCCATTATTTTCCATTATTTATTTATCTAACTTGTATTTTAGTTTCAGGGGTACATGTGCAGGTTTGTTCTACAGATAAATTGTGTGTGTCTCAGGGGTTTGGTGTCCACATTATTTTGTCACTCAGGTACCCAATAGGTAGTTTTTCGATCTTTACCCTCCCCCAACCCTCCATCTTCAAGTGGGCCCTGGTGTCTGTCATTCTTTTTTTTGTGTCCATGTGTACTCAATGTTTAGCTCCCACTTGTAAATGAGAACATGTAGTGTTTGGTTCATTTAGGGTAATGGCCTTCATTTAGGGTAATGGCCTTCAGCTTCATCCATGTCGCTGCAAAGGACATGTTCCCATTCTTTTTTATGGTCAAAGCCATTATTGAATGGTCTTTGTTATGTTCCTTTCTGCAAAGAAGAGAAGACAGTCATGGGAGACAGAAAGGAACAATTGGGTTCCATTCTTTTCTCCCTCAAGTGCAGCCCCTAACTTTCCCTTCTACTTCATGTGGGCTTTTCCAAGCCACTGTGGAGAAGTACTTGACTTACCAGTCTGGATCTGCCCAAATGAAGGACTGGTAGAATGGGAAAACAGCCTGGTTGTATTCTGAGGCTGTCTCCCATTTTGACCTCTTTCAGTAGTCAGAGAACCTTAGGTTGCAAAATCAGACAGGCATCTCTCCATGTGTCAGAGTGGCAATGCTGCATTAGAGATAAGACCCAAAGGCCAAATGGACTTGAACGTGTCCTCCATAGGTGACTCTTCTTGAGTCAAATGGAGGCTTTCTTACTCTGAGGGACCTATTTAGGCCAGAAAAACCTGGTTTCTATCATGCAGATTTTCATTATTGGTAGCATTCGTTCATTATTTGAAAAATTGTTACCTAAGAAAATGTGACAACTGGCTGAAAGACCAAATCCATCATGTTTTAATCTCTAATTGAGAAAAGAGGACATAGGACCTCGTGGCAGAGCATAGGAGGAAGATCAGAAAAATCAACTCTCTTGGGTTGATTTTTTCTTCTGTAAAATAGGGTGACTGGAATCGATTCTGTCTTAAGTTGTAAAATGTATTGAAAGTAATTTGAAATGTACAAATAAAGTATAAAAATTTATGAATTTAAATTTTATCTTAAAATAACCTAGAAAAAATTTCATTTGTGTGCTCTTGAAGACTCTTTCTTGAGTGGGGAGACATAGTTGTTTGTTAGAGCCAGTGCCCTGGGAATGGGGGTGTGTCAGCCTGACAGCATCATCTGTGAACAGTGTGGCAGTGTGAATGCAGTTGATCACTGCTGAACATGAAGACTCCTAAGGCAGCCTCTATCTGTGACAATCAGTGAACTTGGGTCAATTCCGAGGCACAGCTGTAAGTTAAGGAGGTTCATCTTTGGTATTTCCCTGCTCTTTGCTTTTTGCCATTCATCTTCCCCTTTTCCACATGTATCTACACTATTCCTTCTGTCGCTCCCCTCAGCCTGCACCTTGTCCTAGCCTGTTTCTTTCCCCCAAAAGAAATGCACCTATTCCAGTTGTTCTACTCCAAGCTAGTTTTTCTTTTTCTTAAACGAAAATAGGGTCTCCCTTTGTTGCCTAGGTAACTCCTGGGCTCAAGCAGTCCTCCCACCTCAGCCTCCTGAGTAGCTGGGACTACAGGCACACACCACCTACCTCTAGGTTAGTTTTGTATGGTGTAGTTCATGTAACCCTGGTAGTGTTTAAGATTGTTTTGCATAATACCTGGACAAATATTTGAAATGTTAGTCATTAAGTGTTTAAATTGTATTTGAAACACAAACACAACTTGTACATCATGGTTCTGAGATATTATCACTTAGGGCTAGGCTAAAGTAGGAATATACATTTTCTAAAAATAAATCGATTTTAAAAGAAATACTGAGTAAATAATAGCATAGTATATCATGAGATGGAAGTAATCATTAAGGAGGTATCTAAAGGTCTGAAATTGGAAAACATCTGAATAGAATAATTTTTGCCAAGGAAATAGAAAATCACTTAGTGAACTTTACTCTCACTCAAAGTACCAGAAAATCACAAAATAACGTGGTCTTGAGTGACAGAAATAGAAATTATTTGCCATGGAAACTCCAATGATATTATGTATAGTCAATTTTGTTTGGTAATTCCAATGCTGCTGTCTACTATTTCCAATAATTCTTGCTCGTGGTGTCTTGGTTTTTTGTGTGTTCTGTGATTTTTGACCAAGAACTCTTATTCCTTGGGTAATTACTTGGGAATTTATTTGAAGTCTGGCTTGAAGGGTTTTTTTCCCAGGTTCCTTGGGTAAGCCACCCATTCAAAACTACTTTAAATTCTAGGCTTGAGGTTTTTCAGATCTGTAAAGTAATAAGAATTTGAACTATGAGCTCTTTTTTTTTCTTTTCAGTTATCTTTCAGTGAATGGAATACAAACCATTTTGAAGGCCAGCTTTCACTACAATCTATGGTGGAGGTGGTGAAGGAGAGGTTTCTCTCTGCGCTCCTCTACTCAATGCCAAGGTTCAAGAAAGGAAGTTTTCTTGCCATCCTCTTGGAGAATGGGTTTATTTCCACTTCACTTTCACCCGAACACTTTGTCTCTCATCCTCCATGTCCCTTAAGGCCATGAAATCCCAAGTCCCAAATCATGTGGGCTCAGCAAATACTTCCTGATGGTAATTGACTTCAGTGCCCTACATACTTTTCTGGATTCCCGCTTTATTTAATTTTTGCCCTGTGGATATTTCTTACTTATTTTACTTACTCCTTGATGCATTTACAAAGTTTAAAAAATATAAAAGAACTCTCACAGATAGTTGTATGGGGAGGTAAATTTGTACAACCACTTTGGAAAACTGTTTGGCAGTATATACTAAGGCTAACCCTATGCACACCTATGATGCAACAATTTCATTCTTGGGTGTTTAACCAACAGAAAGATATATACAAATTCTCCAAAAGACACTTATAAGAATGTTCACAGCAGCTTTATTCATAGTAGCCTTAAAAGTAGAAACTATACAAACACCCATCAACAGAATGGCTAAATAAATTGTGGCATGTTTATATTACGTATAGTTTACACCACTATACCGAGATTGGGAATGAACAAAGTACAATTACATGTAATAACATGAATGTATTCCGCAAGCATAAATAAAGAACCCAGACACAAAAGAGAACATAGTTTGTGATTTCATTTACATAAAATTCAAAATCTATGCTGTTAGAAGTCAGCGTAGTGTTTATTCTTGGAGGATTAGTAACTGAAATGAAACTCAAGGGAGGCATTTGTGGTGCTGATAATTTGTTCTTTCTTTTTTTAAAACATGTATCTGCTGAGACATGTTCTGTCTTAGTCTGGGTGCTGGTTACACAAATCTGTCCAGTTTGCAAAAATTCATCAAGATAAACACAAGATATTTGCATTTCTCTGAATATACATTTTACCTTTCTAAGAAGGAAAAACACCTTTACATCATTTAAAAATGTTTCTAGTGGGAAGAGTTATCAGAATAAGTGGTTTGTCACATTTCACTTAACGAAAGTGGATTTTGTTTGCCATGACATTGAATTTCCAGCATCTAGCACATTATTTGGCACATAGTAAGTTCTCAATAAATATTGGTAGAACCATACATTTGGAACTTAATTTTTTTTTTTCTTTGAGACGGAGTATCTCTCTGCCGCCCAGGCTGGAGTGCAGCGGCGCCATCTCAGCTCACTGCAAGCTCCGCCTCCCGGGTTCACGCCATTCTCCTGCCTCAGCCTCCCGAGTAGCTGGGACTACAGGCATCCGCCACCACGCCCGGCTAATTTTTTTGTATTTTTGGTAGAGATGGGGTTTCACCGTGTTAGCCAGGATGGTCTTGATCTCCTGACCTGGTGATCTGCCTGCCTCGGCCTCCCAAAGTGCTGGGATTACGGGCTTGAGCCACCACGCCCGGCCTGGAACTTAATTTTTTTAAACACACAATTATTAGTTGACCAGTTTTTTAAATTTAAAAATAACAGGAAATAATTGATATGTACTTTTAGAAATATAATTGTCTTACTCTAAAAAATGTGAGTTGAACAGATTATTCCCCAAAAGCCACAGGAAAAGTGAAAGAGGCTCAAATTGTTCCTCAGTTTAAAGGTGGCCAAGTGTGGTGGCTCACACCTGTAATCCCAGCATTTTGGGAGGTGGGAGGATTGCTTGGGGTCAGGAGTTCAACATCAGCCTGGGTAACGTAGTGAGACCTGTCTCTACCCCAATTTTTTTTTTAACTTCAAATTTTATTTTAGATATAGGGGCTACATGTGCAGGTTTGCTACATGGGAGTATTGTGTAATGTTGAGGTTTGGGGTACAGATCCCATCACCCAGGTGAGAATGTGGTACCCAATAGGTAGTTTTTTTTAGCCTATCCTCCCTCACTCCACCCTTCAATAGTCTTCAGTGTCTATTGTTCCCATATTTATAACCATGTGTGCTCAATGTCTAGCTCCCACTTGTGAGAACATGTGATATTTGGTTTTCTGTTCCTGTGTTAATTTGCTTAGGATAATGGCCTCCAGCTCCACCCATGTTGCTGCAAAGGACATGATTTCATTATGTTTTATGGCTGCATAGTATTCCATGGTGTATATGTACTACATTTTCTTTATCCAATCTACCATTGATGGGCACCTGGGTGGATTTCACGTCTTTGCTATTGTGAATAGCACAGCAATGAAGCTGATATGATTCTATACCTAGAGAATCCTAAAGACTCTGCCAAAATGCTCCTAGAACTAGTCAACAACTTTAGTAAAGTTCCAGGATACAAAATCAATTGTACAAAAATCAGTAGCATTTCTATACACCAAACAGTGTCCAGACTTAGAGTGCAATCAAGAACAAAAAGTTTAAAAAATTAGCTGGGTATGGTTGCATGTGTCTGAAGTCCTGAGGTGGGAAGATTGCTTGAGCCCAGGAGTTCGAGATTACAGTGAGCTAAGATCATGCAACTACACTCTGGCCTGGGTGACAGAGTAAGACCCTGTCTCAAAAAAAAAAAAAAAAAAAAAAAAAAAAAAAAAAAAAATATATATATATATATATATATATATATATATATATATATATATATAAAATAAAATAAAAAGAACAGAATGTTCCTAGGATTGATGTATGGATACAAGGAATTCTTGCATTCTTTTTATTTTAGATGCTTGGTGTATCTCAAAGGGCAAAGAGTAAAAGTAATTTCCCCAATGAGAAGGAAAAAGAAAAAAAAAGAAGCATCTTTCCAAAAGTTCAAATTACATTTAGATGTGAGGACATTTTACTGGAGGAAGTTAAAGCTTATGCTGAAAACTGTGATCGCTCTGTAGAGAAGCCTCGGTGAGCAGCCATGTGACCTTGACCAAGCCTCCTATCCTCTGTTTCCACTATTTCACTTACAACATGAGAAACAAGTTTCCATCAAAACTAAAATTCTCTAATTGTGCAATTTCATCTCATTGTAGAAAAAACTGGCTTGAATTACCTTAAAAATAAGAATTATAAACCACTGAAAAGGAAAGGCAATTGTGTTAATTTTAAAGTAACAAGATACAATATTATGTATGATAAATTTTGTGTTGCTTAGTAGAGGTCTTTTGGGGGGCCTTGATTTAGGATTGAATAAGATTTGTAGTTAGAATATAGATTATTTAAAGTCTCTTCTGTGTTTTGGTAGACATCACCGTGGCAGACACATTGTGGCTGGCTGTCCACTGAGCCTGTTTCTTCTTCCTGGACACATACCTAGGCTCTCTTTCTCAGCCTCCTTTACAGTGAGGTGTGGTCACAAGTGTTCTGGTTGATGGGGCATCAGTGGAAGTGATATGTACCACTTCCAAGCCTGGCCCATGGACATCTCCCACCCAGGATCCTCCAGCCTCTTGCCCTTTGGCCGCATTTGGCAGCACTGTATCCTCATAAGTTTTATGTTAAAGATGGCAGAGCCACAGGTGGAGGGATTCTGGGTCCTGAGTTACCACTTGGAGGAGAGCTGCTGACCAATCAGGGACACCCGTTTTGGTCTTTTCCTGAGCGTGAAATAAGTATCTATCACATTTGATTCATTATATGGCTTGAATTTGAATTATATGCTATTAATGTGTATTTAACTAAACAGTCCTCACAAAATCAAAATGTGGCTTAAAAGAGAAACTGCAGATTGAAGAGAATGCTAATGAATGATTCAAGAAAAGCAAATAAGAATATGGCAGAACCAGTGTTTCTCCTATTCAGAATATCTTTAGGAAGAACGGGTTTGCTAATAAGAAAAAGTTTTATCCTCCCCCACATTCTCCAGGAACTGGGCCAATCACTACAATACTGACACTAGGAAGGCATCAGAGTATGGTGGAAAGAGTAGAGACTTTGGATTCAGTTAGCCTGAGTTTTACCACCCAGTGCCTCAATTTTTCTATTTGTACTTCAGTTTCTTCATCTGTAAGATGGGGATAACATATACTTCGGAGAGTTAATGTGAGAATACATGCAAAGTATTCAGAACAGTGCTTGACACAAAGATGTATGTAAGTGTTTATTAGTATTGTTATTGTTGCAAGGATTAACTGGAATATGGGTAAAGATTCCTCACATTGCAGACACTCATTAAATGACAATAATGCACGAGGCAAAGATGTTTGGCAATACTTGTTTGCACATAAAAATGGCAGAATCTTAGTTTGACACTTTCCACATACACAATACCCTATCGTTCAGACATTTTATTTTAATCCAGTTCAGTTTATCCAGTATGTGCTGGTCTGATGTGAAATAATTTGATTCCATGATTTAACAGTTATTGCACTGAGAAAAAAATACAGCCTATAGAAATAAATTTGTCCTTCAAGACCAAAAGTTGAGAGCTCATGTGTTATGCTGCCCTCTTCATATTGAGCTGCACAGCAAGTGCTGTACACCAGACTATGAAGAGTAAGGCCGGACATGCTTGCCCTGTTAGCTAGGCAAAGTGATAGACACATCGTTCAGATGGTAGAATATTATTTTGAATTGTGTCCTTTTACTAGTAAAACATTTTTGAGCAGGTACTCTCAAAATAAGTATATATTTATCTATAAACTATCTATACTTAATGTTCACATATGTAAGTATACATACTTATGTACTATACACTAGTATCCTTATATAGCATTAAATTATATACAGAAAAGTAGACATTTTAACAGGATGAAATAAACGAATTAAGTATAGTATAAAAGTTATTCCTAATTGTGATAGCTTCATACTATCAGTAGCTAATACCTCAAGGCTAAACATATAGGTAGGGTGAGTTTCATTGTTAATGAGAGTGTATGTTAATTCATATTTCAATTAGGATAATTTCTTGATAATTTCAAAATTGTTTGGCTGACTCATGTCAGATATGATTAGATCATCCTTTTTAAAAAACTTCATATTGTAGCTGAAGAGCCTTTCTAGGAGTAGAAGGGTAAATTCTACCTTTTTCTTTTCTTCCTTTCTTTCTTTTTTTTTTTCCCCCTGGGACAGAGTCTTGTTCTGTGGCCCAGGCTGGAGTGCAGTGGCACAATCTCGGCTCACTGCAACCTCCACCTCCTGGGTTCAAGCAATTCTCCCTGCCTCCGCCTCCCAATTAGCTGGGATTATAGGCGCCTGCCACCACGCCTGGCTAATTTTTGTATTTTTTAGTAGAGATGGGATTTCTCCATGTTAGCCAGGCTGGTCTTGAACTCCTGACCTCAGGTGATCTGCCCCCCTCAGCCTCCCAAAGTGCTGGGATTACAGGTGTGAACCACCGCTCCCTGCCGAATTCTACCATTTTCAAATTGCATTTGCTTCATGTATTAGTCTGTTCTGGAACTGCTATAAAGAAATACATAAACAGGGTAATTTATTTAAAAAGAGGTTTAATTCGTGTGTGGTTTTGCAGGTTCTACAGGAAGCATGCCTGGGGAGGCCTCAGGGAACTTGACAATCATGGCAGAAAGTGAAGGGGAAGCAGGCACTTCTCATATGGCCAGAGCAGGAGGAAGAGAAGGAAGGGGGAGGTGCTACACACTTTTAAACAACCAGATGTCATGAGAACTCACTATCATGAGAACAGCAAGGGGGAAATCCGCCCCCATGATCCAATCACCTCCCACCAAGCCCCTCTTGGTGGGCGGGGACACAACTCCAAACCACATCACTTCATTATTATGATATTCATTTGTGGTTTCTCCTCTTAAGTAACATTTCTACTTTTCTAGTTCAGTTAAAACTGCTAAACACAATTCTTATTTTTTATTTTATTTTATTTTTGAGACAGGGTCTCAGTCACACAGGCTGGAGTAAAATGGCTCAGTCATGGCTCACTGCAGCATCATCCTCCTGGGCTCAATCAATCTTACTGCCTCAGCATCCTGAGTTGCTGGGATTACAGGCACATGCCACTATACCCAATTAATTTTTTATTTTTTGTAGAGATCGGGTTTCGCCATGTTGCCCAGGCTGGTCTCAAACTCCTGGGCTCAAGTGATCTGCCAGCCTCAGCCTGACAAAGTGCTGGGGTTGCAGACGTGAGCCACTGTGCCCGGCCCTGCAAAACATAATTCTTAACCTATTAAACTGGGGCACAATCTAAATTGCACTGTTTCAATATGCCTCCAGCAAACAATCATGTGAAGAAGGCTGCAGATGCCCCTGCCCTTTCCTTGGGAGAGCCTTTTGGACACATGAATCTCTGACAGAGGGACTGAATGCAAAAATGTCAATCCACACATTTTTCAGGTTACTCAAGTTAGATTTTTGACTTTTAAGCCTAAAAGTGTAAACACAAGTAGAAGTTCTAATATTTTCTTACTGAATATCCAAAAGATCACTGGGGAACCTCACCTCACTTTAGTCTGCACGTGATGTAGACTGTTTCATTCATTCTCTTGCAACATCCTGGCTGTGGAAGTTGTTGACTATTTTTCTGAAGATCTCTGGCATGATCTGAATCTTCTTCAGATCTACCAGATCTTCCTCATGGGAAAGAGAATGTTATGTTCTGTAACATGACGTTTGTAATTGAAACCTTAGCAATGGAGGCAGGAGAAAATTGAGCAGCTGGTTTAAGGCCTGACCTTGGAGGCTGGTGAGCACAATGGGGAAGACACAGGTTTGGGGCATCAATCAGACCATGATCCAAGTCCTGGCTCTCCTGCCTACACATTGTGAGAACTTCTGGTAAGTTAAGCAATCTGAACTTCGACTTCCCCATCTGAAAAAGGTGGTAATACCTATGGCGTTAGTTAGGATAAAATTAGGTTGCTGTTAAAAGAGAGAGAAAGAGAAAGAGACCTCAAAATAGAGTGACATAAAAAGATACAGTTTTAGTTCTCTTTCATGTAAAAGTTAGGTAGGTGGTCCAGGGCTAGTATAGTGGTTCCACGGTGTCAGGAACCTAGCTTCTATGTTGTTTTTTATTCATCCTCTGCACTACTTGGCTTCCCTCTCATGTTAAAATGGCAGTTTCAGTTACTGCCATGATGTCTGATTCCAGACAGAGGGAAGAAGGAAAGGGAAAAGAAAAGACACACTGCTTTTCCTTTAAGGGCATGGCTTGGAAGTATTCAAATCCACCTTAGCTACATGGCCACACCTAACTGCAAAGGAGCATGGGAAATGTAGTATTTACTGGTAGTGTGTGTCTAGTTCTAGGTTTCTGTTACTAAAGCAAGACAGGGAGAATGGTTATTGGGGCACAACTGGTGGTCTCTGGAACACCTCCCTCTCAGGATAGTTGTAGGGATTAAATGGCACCATTTAGCATAGAACTGGGCCCATGGCTAAACAACAAACCTAAAGATCACCATGGTTATCATCATTAATCTCTGAGTCTTTTGTTTTCTCCTAAGCAAAGTGAATATTGATTGATTATTCCATTCTGTAAACAGGCATTGAGTAGTCTTGTGGCAGGAATCTTGTGGAAGGAATGTCCTGTCTATGCTAACACAGTGAATGGGTTCTGGAAAGTGTATACATTATTGTTCAATTGCAGGGGATAATTCTTATTACTTTCATGTTGGGATCTTCTGAGGGCCTTGTATCACAACTAAAAAAAAGGACGAGAGCCATTGCAGTACATTGAGCTCCATAAAGACAGCGTTGGGGAAAATGAGAACTGGATGGGCACTGGGGACTCTGTGCTTTGCTGAGGAAAAATAAATAAACATGGGCCAAACAGATGCTAAGAAGCCGAGAGTAAAAATGTCATAATATTCCCTCCCTGTGCAAACTTGTTGAGAGGAGCCCAAGATGAAGCACACAGATGCTTCAGTCAGCTTCTCAGAATATTCTAAGACATGCTCAGAGAGGTGAAATAACACGTCTGCTAAAAAGAAAGGAAAAGTTGAAGACACGGCAAAAGCAGGCAAGGCCATTATGAAAGAGAAATGAAAGCCTATATCCATCCATCTTCCTGAAAGAACATAAGCTCATTCTTTTTTATGGCTGCATAGTATTCCATGGTGTATATGTACCACCTTTTCTTTATCCACTCTACCATTGATGGACATTTAGGTTGATTTCATGTCTTTGCTATTGTGAAGAGTGCCTTGATGAACACAAATGTGCACGTGTCTTTATGATAGAATGATTTATATTCCTTTGGGTATATACTCAGTGATGAGATTGCTGGGTCAAATGGTGTTTCCGTTTTAGGTCTTTGAGGAATCATCACACTGCTTTCCACAATGGTTGAATGAATTTACACTTCCACCAACAGTGTGCAAGCATTCCTTTTTCTCTGTGACCTTGCCAGCAACTATTATTTTTTTACTTTTTTCTTTTTTTTTGAGACAGAGTCTCTCTCTTGTCACCCAGGCTGGAGTGCAGTTGGCTTGATCTTGGCTCACTGCAACCTTCACCTCCCAGGTTCAAGCCATTCTCCTGCCTCAGCCTCTGGAGTAGCTGGGATTACAGGCGCCCACTACCATGCCCAGTTAATTTTTATATTTTTAGTAGAGACACAGTTTCACAATGTTGGCCAGGCCAGTCTCAAACCCCTGACCTCAAATGATCTGCCCACCTCGGCCTCCCAAAGTGCTGGGATTACAGGCGTGAGCCACCATGTCCAGCCTATTTTTCGACTTTTTATTAATAGCTATTCCGACTGTTGTGAGATAGTATCTCACTGTGGTTTTAATATGCATTTCTCTAATGATCAGTGATGTTGAGATTTTAATTCATACAACAAATACCCACGACACAGGTTCACCTATATAACAAACCTGCATGTGTATCCCTGGACTTAAAAGTTTTTTTAAAAAAAAGAAAAAAAAACTTATTATAAACCAAAAAGCAAACAAACAGAAAAAAAAAGAAAGAAAAAAATAAGAAAACCTATATACCTCCTAAAGGAAGACAAAAAAGAAGTTCAAGGATCCCAGTGCCCCCAAGAGGCCTCATTTGGCTTTTTTCTTGTCCTGTTCTGAGTATTGCCCAAAAAATAAAGGAGAACATCCCAGCCTATACACTGTGATGTTGTGAAGAAACTGGGAGAGATGTGGAATAACACTGCTGCAGATGACAAGGAGCCTTATGAAAAGAAGGCTGTGTGGCTGGGTGCAGTAGCTCATACCTGTAATCCCAGCATTTTGGGAGGCTGAGGCGGGTGGCCAACATGGTGAAACCCCGTCTCTGCTAAAAATACAAAAATTAGCCAGGCGTGGTGGCAGGTGCCTATAATCCCAGCTACTTGGGAGGCTGAGGCAGGAGAGTTGCTTGAACCTGGGAGGTGGAGGTTGCAGTGAGCCAAGATCGCGCCACTGCACTTCAGCCTGGGCGATACAGCAAGACTCAGTCTCAAAAAAAAAAAAAAAAAAAAAAAAAGAAAGAAAGAAAAGAAGGCTGTGAAGCTGAATGAAGGAAAAATAGGAAAGGGTATTTCTGCGTGTTGAGCTATAGGAAAGCCTGATGCAGCAAAAAAGGGAGCCATCAAGGCTGAACAAAGCAAGGAAAAGAAGGAAGAGGAGGAAGATGAAGAGGATGAGGAGGAGGAAGAAAATGAGGAGGTAAAGATGAAGAAGAAAACAATGGTGACTAAGTTGGTTCTAGTGCAGTTTCTTTTCTTGTCTATAAAGCGTTTAATCCCCCTGTACACAACTCACACCTTTTAAAGAAAAAAAAAATAGAAAAGTAAGGCTGTGTAAGATTTGTTTTTAAACTGTACAGTGTATTTTTTTTGTATAGTTAACACACTACTAAATGTGTCTTTAGATAGTCCTGACCTGGTGGCATTTTCAGTATCCACTAACCTTTCCCGGTACAGTATGGGGGTTGTAAATTGCCATGGAAATTTAGAGTAAGTTCTTGTTGGTCCACAGCACAAATTAGTTATATATGGGGATGGTTGTTTTTTTCATCTTCAGCTGTCTCTGACGCAGCTTGTGGAAAACCATTTTTGTTCTGTTAATTGAATACCATTTTGTAATTGAAAAAACAGTTGCAGCTCCTTTGTTGACCTTCTCAATGCTTCTAAGTAAATAAAGTTTTTTATTAAAAAAATTAAAAAAGACAAAAAGAAAAGTTCAACTATTTTTATCATGAACGTAAAAAATTAAAATACCAGGAAAACAGACTGATGGGTAGATCTCCTTGAAGGACCGGGGATGAGAAGGAATACAGCAAAATGGGAAGTACCTGGACCGGGGAGGCAGACAGACCTAGTGTATTAGTCAGCTTATGCTGTAATAACTCTCAAAGTCAATGGTTTACAACAATACTTCTTACTCCCAGATCTGTGGGTTGGCTGTAGCTTTGCTTGGCTCTGCAAGCACTTTTCACCTCTTCACTTTTGCTGCACAGATCTTCATTCTGGTACCTCTGTCTAGGGCACATTCTTGCCGCTGATGGTGGGAGCCCACGAAGTCAAGCAATATCATGTCAGTGCATTTAGAGCCTGTATTTGGATGTTACCTGTAGCATACCCACTAACATTCCATTGACTAAAGCAAATTATATGTATTATTCGTTCACAAGTATTTATTCCTTTCTCACCCTTGCAGTGCTTACCTGTAAGATGGAAGTATTTTCATCTTTCTTTTACAGGTAAAAGAAAAGAGAAGTTCTACTATTTTTACCATGAATATGAAAAATTAAAATACCAGGAAAACAGACGGATGGGTAGAACTCCTTGAAGGGCTGGAGATGAGAGGCAATACAGCAAAACGGAAAGTACCTGGACAGGGGAGGCAGATAGACCTTGTGTATAGGTCAGCTTATGCTGTAATAACTCTCAAAGTCAGTGGAAGTTTTTTTCCATCTTACAGGTAAGCATTGCAAGGGTGGGAAAAGAATAAATATTAATATTTGTGAACAAGTAATACATATAATTTTCTTTAGTCAATGGAATCTTAGTGGGTATGCTACAGGTAACATCCAAATACAGACTGAAACATCCATTACAGTCTACACTACAGTTTGGATGCCTAACTACCTATGTGACCATAGGCAAGGTGCTTAGCCTTTCTGTGACTCATTTATAAATATGAGTCACGTAACCCACACAGTTGCATTTATTAAGTGAGATAATCCCTATAAAGCAGTTTTCCAATGGCATGTCACAGATAGATTATCTATGTGTTGTGATAGTATATTTCTCGGCCCACAGAGTAACTGGGTGAGGCTTGGGGCTTTCCAGACCCTCAGCCAGTGGCCTCCTGCCACAAGCAGCCTTGGTTGTGTACTGGGTGCACAAATAGTATCATTTCCTGTGTGCACGATGTGAAAAATGTGAGCAAGAACTGGAAAGTAAAGCACCTAGATGGTGCCTCACACTTAGTACGTTTTAAACCAGAAGCAACTGTCATGACTGATAGATGGAGCAGCAATGGGGAAAGCAGTTTTGATGGCAATGAGGCCACTGACAGAAGACAATTTCCCTTCCCAGCAGCTTCAAGAAAACTCCACTTGATTCTTGGCTGTTTTGCTCTCTGTGACCCTATAGGGGTCATGACCCCCTCCTCTGCAATTTGAGCAATCCCGGGGAAAGAGGATGCAGAGGACAATGTCCAGAGCCCCAGCTCTGGGTGACCAGAGTTGAAAGTTGAATCTAAAAATATGTCTTGCTATAGAACACCAATTGTGGAGCTTATTACAAATCTGCCGAAAAAGGAATTCCTGGAATTGTGCTCGTCTGTCATTTGCTGGAAGACACAGCACCATTCTTGATCTGGCACGTGGTTGAGGCTGACTTGGAGAAGTTGGAGCCTCTCACTGCCTCTCAGGCAGCCTGAGAACGTGAAGCCAGTGCTTTGGGACTTTCTCCATTGTTTTTTATTTTTATTTTTTTGAGACGGAATCTCACTCTGTCACCCGGGCTGGAGTGCAGTGGCCTGATCTCGGCTCACTGCAAACTCTGCCTCCTGGGCTCAAACAATTCTCCTGCCTCAGCCTCCCAAGTAGCTGGGATTACAGGTGCATGCCACCACGCCCAGCTAATTTTTGTATTTTTAGTAGAGACGGGGTTTCACCATGTTGACCAGGCTGGTCTCGAACTCCTGGCCTCAGGTGATCTGCCTGCCTCAGCCTCCCAAAATTCTGGGATTACAGGTGTGAGCCACTGTGCCCAGCCTTCTCCATTGCAATCTATGCTGGCTGCTGAAATAATCTTCTCTCACTACTACAGAGATGAATATTATTGTATAAACCAAAAACCTAGTGCAATAGCCCAAGACATTTGACAATGTTGCTAGTCTGTTGGCTAATTATACTGCTAGACAAAGCATATTTCCATGGCACACAGAGATATTTTCCTATTATTTTTCTCTTATGTTTTCCTACCATCCAGGTATAGTCAGGGTCTGGTATCCAAAAATATATATAACAGTTAAGATGAACATGGAGAACTGAAGTTTTTAAACTAAAAAAGTTGGATTCAATTTTCATCTTATTTTGGAAACTGCTTTAACTTAAATGATTTCCAAGCCATGACCATTTGGTTGGCATGGATTTAGCATTCTTGTATTCATTACTTTGATAGACATGTATTGAAAGCGTTTTATGTGTGAGATCCTTGAGATGCAATGATAAATAGGGCATTATCTCTGGCCTCAGGGAGCTACGTAGCAGAAGTTGAGTGTTTAACTAAAGACACGTTATTCTGAAATTTTACAACAACCATTCCTCTTCTAATACCTTGCACTGAGTAGAAATAAACTGCATAAAAATTCTCTGGTAATTAAACAGTACACATTTTTAAAGTGTTGTTCACTCAGTAAATCCCCTTCTCCAAATCATGTGTCATAATGAGAATCTCCTATTATTTTTCTGTGGAGGAGGAAAAAACACTTGGTCAGCAATGTTGTTAAGGGAACAGGGACATGGACATTCTCATATACTGCTGATAGGGCTGATAGGGACCTAAATTGGTTCAGGCTTTCAGGAATGGCAATCTGGCAATATGTAAATGCCCTTCAATGAAAGAATTCCTTAAATAAATTATGGAATCTCTGTGTAAGGGAATACTGTGTGCATCATTAAAAAGTGATGCTCCAGATAAATAATAAAATGGAATATGTTGCTGAGTGAGAAAAATACAAAACGGTAGATACACACTGATTCCGATTGTGTGTTTGTATGTGTACATGTGTGAAGTACCTTTTTTTTTTTTTTTTTTTTGTGACGGAGTCTTGCTCTGTCGCCTAGGCTGGAGTGCAGTGGTGCAATCTCAGCTCACTGCAAGCTCCGCCTCCTGGGTTTTAAGCAATTCTCTCTGCCTCAGCATCCTGAGTAGGTGGGATTACAGGCACCTGCCACCATGCCTAGCTAATTTTCGTCTTTTTAGTAGAGACGGGGTTAGGCTGGTCTTGAACTCCTGATCTCAGGTGATCCACCCGCCTTGGCCTCCCAAAGTGCTGAGATTACAGGTGTGAGCCACCACGCCCGACTTTTATGTATCTTTTATGCATAGAAAAAACTTGGAAAAAGATAATCCTGGCTGGGCGTGGTGGCTCATGCCTGTAATTCCAGCACTTTAGGAAGTCTAGATGGGAGGACTTCTTGTGCCCAGGAGTTTGAGACCAGCTTGGGCAATATGGTGAAATCCCATCTCTACAAAAAAATACAAAAATTGCTCAGGCATGGTGGCATGTGCCTGTAGTCTCAGCTCCTTAGGAAACTGAGGTGGGAGGATCGCTGGAGTCTGGGAAATCAAGGTTGCAGTGAGCTGAGCATTCCAGCTTGGGTGACAGAGGGAGACCCTGTCTCAAAAAAAAAAAAATAAATAAATAATAGAAATAAAAAAATTACAAATCAGTTTGTGTCAGCTCCAGGGGGTGAAAATGACTCCAACTAAAAACATCTACTTTACTTGGCATTACTGAAGATCAGGTGTGGTTAGTTGGTGGAATTTCTACCAATATAGAATTTTCCAACTAAGCCAATTGAAGAGGCAGCTTCAAATTTTTATTTTTGCAGGCAATGAAATTAATGGCAATGGGGCACACTCTCAGGAAGAACACAAGCTCAGCTCTCTTAAACAAATCATGCCATCTTTTGCAAATTGTTATTGGAAATCTGGAAAACAGGCAGCTGGGAGTGCTGCTTGCTGGAACACCATCCAGAGTTAGGCCTGGGTTAGGGCTATTGTTGGCGTGAGCTCATGTCTTCCCCATTTAGGTTGTTGAAATAACATAGTTCAAGAGAGCTGATGTCTAATCTCAGATTTTAAAATAAATGTTGGTTTTTAAATTTTAAATATTGTTTTAAAATATATTTTAAACATACTAAAACATAGAAAATTATATAGTGAACACCACTTTTATTACCTTATTTTCTTCAGATTTTTTCTCCCATCTTCAAACTTAAATATTATAGATACAGTTGAAGCCATCTCTGAATTCCCTCCTTTTTTCCATTCCCTGCTGTCCTCCTTAGAGATAACTACACAAATTGTGTTCATCATTTCCATGTTTGTTTTAGTAATTTTTCCACATATTTTGCATCAATGAACATAATACATGTATTAGTCGGTCCTCATGCTGCTAATAAAGACATATCCCAGACTGGGTAATTTATAAAGGAAAGAGGTTTAGTGGACTCACAGTTCCATATGGCTGGGGAGGCCTCAAAGTCATGGTAGTAGATGAAGGAAGAACAAAGGGATGTCTTACATGGTGGCAGGCAAAAGAGCTTGTGCAGGGGAACTCCCCTTTATAAAATCTTCAGATCTCATGAGACTTATTCACTATCATGAGAACAGTATGGGAAAGACCTGCCCCCATGGTTCAATTACCTCCTACCAGGTCCCTCCCAGGACACGTGGGAATTATGGGAGCTACAATTCAAGATCAGATTTGGGTGGGGACATAGCCAAACCATATCATTAAAGCATTACTTTCTAGACTCTTTTTGGGTATTTTCTAGATTTATGCAATTTGCTTTTTTTTGTTGATTTGTCTACATTGATAGTTATAATTTATTCAGTTTGACTGCTGTATAGTATTCCATTGTATAAATATGCAACAATGTACTTCTCCATTCTTTCATTGATGGACACTTAGAGTGTTTCCAATTTTGTTTCTGTTTTGCTATTTCCAACAATGCTGCAAGGAACATTCTTGAACTTGTAACCTTATCTAGGGTGTATGCCTAGGAGTGGGCTTGCTGGGTCACAGGGTAAGTGCATCTTCAACTTAACTGGGTACTTCTATAGCCAAATAGTTGTACCATTTTATAGTCCCACCTTAAGAGTATGAAGCTTCTCGCTAATCTTTGAAATTGTCATTAAGTTTTTTTTTTTTTCCAATCTGAAGGGTGTAAGATGATTTCTCATTGTAGTTTAATTTGTTTTTCCTAATTAATACTGAGGCCAAACACCTTTCTATATGTCTATTGGCCTTTCAGTTTTTCTTTCCCATTAGTGACTTTGATCATTTTCTTAATGGGTTGTTAATCTTTTTTCTTCTTGGCTTATTTTTATCTTATCTTTAAAAAATAAAAAAAAAGAAATCCATCTGTTCAACATATTTTTCTTGAGTAAAATTGAATGTTAAATGCTATGAAAGACACATGAAAAAGGTGTAGGCTCTTCCAGGCAAGTACCCAATTTATGCTATTTTTGATGGTAAGGAGAGAAAGTTCTCCTTTAACATTGTATGTGTTGCAGTAGGATGAAGCTTTACCTCATTTCTGTTTTTCTCTTAAGGGTTATATCAGACTATTCTTAATAAAAGTACAAAATTATCTGGTGATAATTATTGCTGTATTGCCCCTTGATTATCCCAAATAAAGCACAAATTCTAGACTCCAGAATCAGAAGATAAAGGAAGACAGCCATGTTCCCCCAAGGTTATCTTGTGCTCATGATGCAGCAGCACAGTGGGATGGTGAGGGGTTTGCAGAGAATGACTAATGCATTAATAAGCCTTACATGTACCTCCCACCCCCTTATAATTGCATTTCTTTCATTAGCTTTTACCCAGCTGGTCTGAGTTGCACAAACAAAATATTGTATAAGATCGGCCCATTGATGGTAAATTCGGAACAATTTTTGTAAAACTCTTGCCAAGTTACATACTGACCCCAGGGTCTTTAAACCAGCCAAAAAATGTTAAGTAAAAACTGAATTAAATCTATTATCACAAATTTGTGCCCCATAATCTGATGAGACTTCCAGATGTCCAGGCCGAGACCATCTGCTGAATGTCTGTGGGCACACACTCCCAGAACATGTGCACAGCTAAGGATTACAGGCTGAGCTTGGAGCTTGAAAACTGGGCAGTTCCTGCTTAGACAGAAAAGCAACAAAGGAAAAACAAATGAGGTTTTTCTTTTGAGAGTTCTTCTTTTTTAAAAAAGCAGACAATTTATTTTTTTAATGTCTCTATATTCTAATTTTTGTTTAAGTACTCCTTAAAATTATTTACTTTTTTATTGATATATAATAGTTGTACAAATTTGGGGGGTACATACCATCATTTGCTTTCTGTTTAACTGGTCAGTTGCTTTGTTCTTGAAGTCAAATGGCTTTTTCCAACATATAATGAGATGGGTTTATTTCTCTCAAAGAAAATAGACTGTATGATTTCGAATATTTTATTTTCTTTTTTTAAAATTTTGTAGTAGATATCTGAAGACCAGATTTTGAATATTTTAACAACTAAACTAACAACAAAATCTTTAGAAATCAGTTTCTCTTTTTGTTTGTTTGTTTTGTTTTTTTAGAGACAGGATTTCACTTGGTGGCCCAGGACGGACTGCAGTGGTATGGTCCTAACTCACTACAGCTTGATTATAGCTCACTGCAGCCTTGGCCTCCCAGCCTCAAGCAATCCTCCCGCCTCAGCCTCCTTAGTAGCTGGGACTACAGGCACATGCTGCCATGCCTGGCTAATTTTTTTCTTTCTCTTTTTATAGAGACAAGGTCTCGCTATGTTTCCCAGGCCGGTCTTGAACTCCTGGCCTCAAACAGTCCTCCTACCTTAGTTCCCCAAAGTGCTGGGATTACAGGCTGAGCCACTGTGCCTAGCCCAGGAGTCAGTTTCTGACTTAGACTTGGTAATAACTCTGAGTAGCATGTTTTGTTCATTACCGTATCTTTGTCTTGTGTCAGGATTCCAAGAAAACCGACTCTCAGAAGAAGATATAAGGGCAGGAGGTTTATTGGAGGGTGCTCTCAGGAAGAATGTGAGTGAGGGAGTGAGAGAGGCAGGACTGAGCAGGGGAGAAGTTGAAGAAGTTGGACTGAGAGGCAATGAGTATGGAGGCCTCAGCTTTGGAGCATGGATGGTGTGACAATTAATTTTATGTGTCAACTTGGCTAGGCTATGGAGCCCAGTTATTTGATCAAACACCACACTAGGTTTTGCTGTGATGGAGTATTTCAGATGTGACTAACACTTAAGTCAGTAACTTTCAGTAAAGCAGATTGCCCTCCATCATGTGTGGTCTTCACACAGTCAGTTAAAGGCTTTAAGCTCATAGACTGAAGTGTCCCAAAAAAGAGGGAATCCTCCTCCAGATTATCCCATTGACCTTGATGTAATTATTACATATTGTATGCCTGTATCAAAACATCTCATGTATGCTGTAAACATATACACCTACTATGTACCCAGAAAAATTAAAAATAAAATTATTATTTTAAAAAAGATTGCAACATCAATCTTAAGACCCTGCCTGAGTTTTCAGCCTGCTGCCCCATGAAAGTCAAACTCAAGACTATAACAGTCTCTTCCCTGGGTTTCCAGCCTGTCAACCTGTCCTAGATTTCAGATTAGCCAGCCCCCACAACTGGGTGAGCAAATTCCATAAAATCAATCCCTCTTGCTCCACCACCCCGTCCAGAAGTCTGTATTATGATTCTCCTACTGGAGTTTGCCATAAACTCTACACAGCTTCTGTTCTCATTATAGTGTCAAGAACTGTGAAGAGTCTGATATTTTACCCTTCTTGCAAGACAACAAGTTAGCCTACCACCATTTTATGGGTGCTGGTAGAAATCAAGGAGTCAGAGATGAATAGTTTATTACTCACAGCAATAGCAATAGCCAGAATATCAGAAATTCTGTACTCCTTCCCTAAACCCCAATTCTTATAGGGCGAGGCAAAGAGGGATACATCACACCTGCCTACACTGTGAATTGCATTACAGTAAATAAACTCTGAGCTTAGGGAGCTCAAATATTTTATAATGGGCAGTAAGCAAGCTTGCTCTTTGTTGCAGAGAGAGATGCTATCTCTATCATCCATAGTTATAAGAAAAACTGCCCTGTGTTCTGCAGGAAGATACTATTTATTCTGAAACTGTAAGAAAACCTGTCTCCTGGTCCAGAGAAAGACACTGCTATACAAACAAAACATCCTTGAAAAGATAGCTCAGAACAAAGGGCAGATGGCACTTCACTCACAAGACATGCAGAAATGCAAAAGACACACAGAATATTGTTTCTTAACACAAGAAGCCTCTGGCATGTGACCTACCAGGATATGACAGTCTAAAAGGAAGAGCTTCTTGCACAAGAGCCCCGGGTCTATTGAAGCCCTTTCCTGCTCTGGGATCTATGAAAAGCTGGCAGCCTTCCATGTCACTTGTAAATTAATTGGGATAAGACTTAAAAGTGTGGAATATGCTTCTTCCAGATCCCAGAAAGTCATGGGACTTTCTTCCTACAGGTAGAGGTATAAGAGGCATACTTTGTTTTTTTTTTGTTTTGTTTTGTTTTCGTTTTTTTGCTTTTTAAGATGGAGTCTTGCTCTGTTGCCCAGGCTGGACTGCAGTGGTGTGATCTTAGCTCACTGCAACCTTTTTACTCCTGGGTTCAAACAATCCTCCTGCCTCAGCCTCCCGAGTAACTGGGACTACAGGCATGTGCCACCACGCCCAGCTAATTAACAAGAGACATACTTTGGAGAGGATTTCCTCATATGCCCTAGATTACTGGACCCTTATTAAATTCACTTATGTGTTAGGCTTCTGAGTCTTCACAGGGTTTAGCTCCCACTGTCTGCAGTACATGGATCTTATAAAAGCCTGCAACATACTTGCTACTTCTTGCTTATCTAGTCTGATTAACATGATGTCATTGGTAGAGGGGACAAATGTGATACTTTGTGGAATATGCAGAGGTACAGATCCCTTTGGAATATATTATGACACAGGCAAGAGAGTTAACATAGCCCTGGGGCAAGTCTATAAAAATGTACTCTTGTCCATTTCATGTGAATGAAAACAAATTTTGATCCCTCTTCCTCATATGTATGGAACAGAATATATTAGCAAACTGGCTCCAGCAATGATGTCTCGTCTGGAGCAACAGCTGTAATTGGGGGTACTACTTGGTTGAGTTTGCATGTACTCACTGTCATCCACTAGGTTCCATCTGATTTTCATAGGGACCAAACTGGTAGGTTCTAGGGCAGCACTCATCTCTGCCATTCTTCCTGGAAACTGACACTGTTTTTGATTTACTCTCTTGATTGGTGAGCCAGTTTCAGAGGCTCCCATGTATTTTTCCCCACTACAATGGCTCTTGCATCATTGACCAAGCAACCCACATAGAATTCTGTCAACTACCAAGTGTATTCATTCCAAATACGCATATGGGAACCAGGGAAATAACAACCAGATGAGTCTGTGGACTCAGTGGATGGACTCACTGTAAGCCAGACTTGGGTCAGGACTTGGCTCCTATATGCTCCCACTCTAACAGGGCAGCTGTGATAATGTTTCAGGTCATCAGATATAGTCCACAAAATCTGGACCCTTTGTGTAACACTCCTCGAAAATCTGGATTTTTATCTTTTCTGCAGTATATGGTCACATAAGTAAATGGCCACACGTCCCCCTGGGTAAGGACTGAGGGAGTCATTACTGCGTGCACTTGCCATTTTGTTGCAGGGCTCTTCCTCATGGGAACTATGTCTTCTGTAGTCCATGGGCTCTAGACCTGAGAACTGGTTTAGGCAGAGCATCGTGACTATATATTAAGGCAGCTGACCCCAATCTCCTGATTATCCATCATTGATTTCTTTTGATTGTATAAATTCAGCAAAATCCTTGTGGGCGACCCATCTACCTTGCCTCTAGGTAGACTGTATTTTATTAACCATCTCCATACCTCCCTGCAGATCAGGCGCTACTGGCTGCCAATCTAATCTTGCTGCTCATTAGGATAACTATATTCACTTTGCTTCAGATTTTTAAGTGCCGCTGCCTGGCCTTTGTTATTTTAAGATTTTATCACCCTCAGTTCTATTGGTGAGCTCGGTTCTGTAAAAACATCTTCTACCGTCAGTCCTAACCTATCAATCAGAGATCGTTCATGTGCCAAATACAGCCTACCACCTGTTTTGTAAATAAAGTTTTATTGGAACACACAACCATGTTCATTCACTTGCATCTAGTCTATGGCTGCTTTTGTGCAACAAGAAGAGATTTGAACAGTTGTGACAGAGACCATATTGCCCACAAAGTCTAAAACATTTACTCTTGAGCCCTTTATAGAAAAAGTTAGTTGACCCTTGCTGTAGAGAACAGTCACGTCAGTAATGTATCTTCTCTGTTCACTGCTGTATTCCTTATTGCTTTGGGAAAAGGGTTTCCTCTGGTTCTCCCCCATGGAATGCAATTAGCTGGTATGCCATTCTATTTTATGTAGTGCGTCCACTTCTCTAGGCCTTTGATTCCCTTTCTTCACCATTTGTCATGGCAACAGAGTTTACTACGTTCTCCAAGCTTGCAAGAGTTATTCTAGCGGCATGATAGCAACATATCTCAGAGACTTTCCAGGGAGCCAATCACAGGAGAGTGCTCTCATATCAATAAACTCTCCCTTTCCCAGCCCTGCCCTTCCTCCCACACCCACCTCTGATCAACCCCTCCCTCCCATTTGATCCAGCATCCTCAGTATCCAGGCGCCTATGTGCTGTTCTGGCTCCTGACAGTACATGTTGGCCAGTCCTGCTTCTTCTTCAGTGGATAGCCCCTTTCCTCTCTTAGCAGCCTTAGCATATCCTTGACTGGGCCATGTTATCATTTTGTGTGCACATGGTCATGTGATCTTGGTCTGGGGGTCAGGTTGGAAAGTGTGGTAACTCCTGAGAGAGGCACATGTGTTTTGCAAGATGGAGGCTTCTGGATCATTTTTAGGTAAAGAGGGCATGGTTGCCTTTAACAGGGAGGAGTGGGCCACTTCTATAATAGGTCCAGATAGTTCAGGTGGATGTGGGGTTTCAAAGTTCTTGAGTGTCTGCACCATATATCGTCACATCAAATTTCAGGGTACTGCTCCTTCCAAACCAGGCCCTGGGCTTGATGCCACTGAATTCCTAGGGGTGAAAATTCAACCTTCTCTGGAGTTTCCCTGATGTTATAATTTCTGGGTCTGATCCTCAGCCTTTTCTATCTTTTGGCTACAGGAACTGATAGTCACTTAATAAGCTGCCAAGGAGAGACCCTTTGACTTTCACAATTCACTTAAATTTGTGTCTAATCACCCTTGGTCTTTCATTGTTTTCTCCAACTCATCAATAGGTTAACAACCAGCAATAGCCATCTGATTCCCTGGTGCTTGTATTTATCATTTCCCCCCAATCTCTTGAATGCCTTAATTGGCACCCACAAATGCATTCCCTTTCACCAATATCTCATCCCTCACCATTGTGAAAATCTTAACAATTGTAGTACAGATTGAGCATCCATAATCTGTAAAAGCTAAAATCCATATGCTCCAAAATCTGAAAGTTTTTGAGCACTGACATGATGCTGAAAGGAAATGCTTATTGGAGCATTTCAGATTTCAGACTTTTGGATTTGGGATGCTCAACTGGTAAGTATATAATACAAAAATTCCAAATTCAAAAAAATCCCAAATCCAAAACACTTCTGGTCCCAAGCATTTTGCATAAGGAATATGCAACCTGTATTACAGGATACTAGGGGCTATCAACAGCTTGCCTACACCAACTTTGGAGTCCTCATTGCCAGCCAGGTAGTGGGCTAGTCAACTCCAAAAATTCCATTTTAGCATTTGCTTCCTAGGACCACTCTTGGTACCAATTGACTTAGATTGGGTCCCCAGGAAACACACTGTGAGTTGGAGATTTGCATGAGAGAGGTTTATGGGAGACTATTCTCAAAACAATGTCTGTAAGAATAAGGGAAGCAAACTGGACAGGGGAGAAGTTAAACTGTGATGCAGTTGCAACAGAGATCTCAGCCAACCCTACAGGGAATTCTGGAGCTGGGTTATCCTTTCAGAATTGTCCCAAATGAAGGCAAGTTGAACAGGGCTTTAGACACTCTGAACTAACCAGTCATTTGAATGTGAGTGCTCCTGCGGAGGGGTTGCATGACCTTTGGTGAGGTAATTTCTTTTAATCAAGGCCAATTCTCAGAGAGGGAGACATCTAGGAGTCATCAGTAGCCATTACTCCTGGCAGTTGGAGAATAAGTATCTCAGTCTCAAAGAGGGCATCTGGGCAGGGCACCATATCATCCACTATAATCCTTTGATTGTTGAATGAATGCAAATGTTTTGTAAGCAATGGTAAGGGTCTTAGACTTGATCTTGAAAGCAATGGGATCTCAACACTGGATATTAAGCCCAAGAATGACACAGTCTGATTTGCATATCCAAAAGATCACACTGGCTGCCATGACAATGGATCCAAGAAGGATGTATCTGTGGAGATCCAGTCAAGAAATCAGAAACCACGCCAGTAAGTTTAACAGTGAGAATTTAATATAAGCAGTTGGTTGTACAAGTATTAGATCAAAAAAGAGGCAATAATGATAATTTGAGGGGTCTTCAACAACTTTATGAAAAATGCATATTATGAAAAAACTGTGCCTGGATTTCAAAATATTTTTGCACCAGAAAAATCCATACTCATTTGTTATGTCTGAACAGCATCTAGTTTGAGGCATTAAGAAGGATAAGACATCAGTTTAAAAAAATTCCTTATCAGAGCAACATGAATTCTGCTAAAATTGAAGCAAGAGCAAACATTAAATGTAAGGTGAAGCTTGGGTGGAAAAATGGTGAAATCACGAATGCTTCATAAAAAGTTTATGGGGACAATACACCAAAGATATCAGCCGTTTGAAATGGATAACTTAAAAAATATCCTCCAGATATGAAGGAGGATAACTTTTTTTTTTTTTTTTTTTTTTGAGACAGAGTTTTGCTCTTGTTGCCCAGGCTGGAGTGCAGTGGGGTGATCTCGGCTCACTGCAACCTCCACCTCCCAGGTTCAAGCGATTCTCCTGTCTCAGCCTCCCGAAGAGCTGGGATTACAGGCATGCACCACCACGCCCAGTTAATTTTGTATTTTTTTAGTAGAGATGGGGTTTCTCCATGTTGGTCAGGCTAGTCATGAACTCCCAACCTCAGGTGATCAGCTCGCCTCGGTCTCCAAAAGTGCTGGGATTACAGGCATGAGCCACCTCTCCTGGCCGAGGATAACTTTTTTTTTTTTTGAGACGGAGTCTCACACTGTTGCCTGGGCTGGAGTGCAATGGTGTGATCTCAGGTTACTGCAACCTTTGCCTCCCGGATTCAAGCGATTCTCCTCCCTCAGCCTCCCGAGTAGCTGGGATTACAGGCGCCTGCCACCACGCCCGGCTAATTATTTTATTTTTAGTAGAGATCTGGTTTCACTATGTTGGCAAGGCTGGTCTTGAACTCCTGACCTCATGATCCACCCTCCTCGGCCTCCCAAAGTGCTGGGATTACAGGAGTAAGCCACCATGCCCGGCCGATAACTTTTCTTAAGAAGGGATGAGATGATGTTGAAGATGAAGTCCCTCCCAGCAGACCAGCGACATCCATTTACAAGGAAAAAATTAATCTTGTTTGTGCCCTAATGGAAGAGGACTGATGATTAACAGCAGGAACAATAGCTAACACCATGGACATCTCAATTTGTTCAGCTTACACAATTCTGACTGAAATATTAAAGCTGAGTAAACTTCCCATTCAATGGTTGCCAAAACTAATGCACCCAGATCAGCTGCAGTCAAGAACAGAGCTTTCAATGAAAATTTTAAACAAGTGGGATCAAGATCCTGAAGCATTTCTTTGAAGAATTCTAACAGGAGATGAAACGTGGCCCTACCAGTAAGATACTGAAGACAAAGCACAATCAAAGCAATGGCTACCAAGAGGTGGAAGTGGTCCCATCAGGACAAAAGTGGACTGGTCAAGAGCAAAGGTCATGGCAAGAGTTTTTTGGGAGGCTCAAGGCATTTTGCTTGTTGGCTTTCCGGAGGGCCAAACAACAATTACATCTGCTTATTATGAGAGTGTTTTGAGGAAGTTAGCCAAAGCTTTAGCAGAAAAACACCTGGGAAAGCGTCACCGGAATCCTTCTCCACCATGTCAATCTCTTGCTCATTCCTCTCATCAAACAGAGGCAATTTTTTTGAGAGTTTTGATGGGAAATCATTAGGCATCCTACTTACAGTCCTGATTTGGCTCCTTCTGACTTCTTTTGGTTTCCTAATCTTAAAAAATCTTTAAAGGACACCCATTTTTCTTCAATTAGTAATGTAAAAAAGACTGTACTGACATGGTTAAATTCCCAGGACCCTCAGTTACTTAGGAATGGGCTAAGTAGCTGGTGTCTTGGCTTTGAAAAGTGTCTTGAACTTGATGAAGCTTTTGTTAAGAAAGAAAGTTTATATTTTTTATTTTGATCTTTTAATTACATTTTCCATGAACTATTTGAAGGTCCCTCCTAACAGCATAGTAACTTTGGGAGACAACTACCACTACTAAGGTTGAGGGAACACAGGAAAGAGGTTGGGGTTATAAGAACTTAGAAGCTTGGTGGCCTCGTGGAGCTGGGACTCTAACCCTGAGAACAGACACTCACCATCAAGTTAGTGTTGGTATCTTAAGAGTTCAGAGGAGCCCTGCAGAAGTGGACCTAGATCTCTGAAGACAGGGCATTCCCAGCTAGTGCTAGTACCTCTGAGCTAGTGTAATGAGCCCAGTTCTGGGATGGTGGGGAAAAAATCTGGAAACTGGAACCAATGGTTACTGAAACCCTCACTCCTGGTGGTCCCCTCATCATATGGTCATGCTGGCAGGAGCAGCAAGCAAGCAGCGAGGAGTAAGGCTCTTCCCATCTTCTTCCTTCACGGCTCCCTTTGGAGCCCCCTACTAGTACAACGGCAAAGCAGAAATGCAGTTTGCAGAGCCCTAGCCCTAGCAAACAAATTAGACATAGAAAGTGAGAAACAATAGATTAATAGGGAACCCAAAGACTGAGGATGTAAGTGGAGAGACAAGTTTAGAAAGTTTATTGCAGTAACTTGGGGAAGGTGATTGCTGTAGAGATAAGAGAGGGGAACAGATTCATGACACATTTGAAGTTTAATAGGGCTTTGTGCAGGAGATCACGGGAGGGTGGAGACCAGGGAACAAACTAACTGTATGATGGTGGCATTTACTGATGTGAGGAGCCCTGGAGGAGGAGCAAGTGGGTGGGTAAAGAGTTTTGTGGTCAGATTTGAGCTGATCTTGAAAGACAAAGATTGTTCACACAGGCAGAGGGCAGTGGGGAAGGCATTCCAAGATGGAGGCAAAATCAATCAAATAACAGATTTTTTAAAAAAACCCTGCAGGTTTGTTCAGGGGACAGTGGGTCCATCTGTTTGCCTGGGGAGAAGATGTGAGCAGGAAAGGAGGGAGAAACTACAATGTAACTACTTGAAATTGCAGCTCATTTAGCTGTGAGCCATTAGCATAGTGGGCCTTTAGGACTTGGAATTGACCATTACATATTTTGCTTTGAGATGTGTAAGTGTATGGCTATAACCAGGAGGAGAACAAAATTATATTTTGAGTTATTTCATCCAAAAAGTGTTTTTAAGTTTTCCTAACACCTATTCCTTTGAATTATCTACCACAAATGAAAACATGATACAAACATTTTAGCATTTTAGGAACTTTAAGTTAAGAACATGTTAACTATAAAATGGAGGGTAAGAGGAGAGGATTGAAGTCTAATTCCTGAGTTGTGCTTCATCTCGTTTTGATTAAGACATTGCTTTTTGGGAAAGTCTAAAAATTTGATCTTTAACTTTATGCTAAACTGCTCATTCCTTGTTTTGATCAGTTGATTAGTTGATTAAGAGTCAGACTGCCTGGGTTTGATCCTGACTCTGACACTTATTAGCTGTGTGACCCTGGGCAAATCACTTAACCTCTCTGTGTCTTAAAGTCTTAACTGTGACATGATGATAATAAAAGCACCATTTTCATAAGGTTGTTGTTAGGATTAAGTGAATTAATATATGTAAAGTACTTAGAACACTGCTTGACACAAAGAAACACTATGTTATTATTCAATGTCTTTGACATTTATGCTTAAGAAAACTATTTGCCCCTTTCTCTTCTACACCAGACAGGTATGTGGAAGAAATGAATAATCAGGCTAGATGAAGGAATCAATTCGTTTTCCTTTACAAATCTCTATTTCCTTTACAAAGCTCTATTCCTTTACAAATCTAATGTAGTAGATATTGCTATTGCCTAATACAATATGTATTTTACTTTCCTTAGTATTAGAACGTGAATTCCAGGCTTAGACAAAAGATAACATTTCCAATTCCTTCTTGAAGATAGGTGTGGCTGTATGACTACAATTTAGGTGCCAGCGTAAGTGGAATTGTTGTGGGACCTTCCAGGATGCTGAACAGTAGCTACCTCAGATTAAAGGGTCTCACCTTCTACCTCTCTGCCTTCCTATCTTCAACTTGGATGTGATGGTTGCAGTCCTAAATCATGAGGGTACAAACCACACTCTGAGAATAGCTGCAGAAAGACAAAAGCCTGTGTCTTGGAAGACATCATGGAACTGGAACTGCTGTCTATATCAGCCTCATATTGTTGGCCTCCAGAATTCTTTTACATGAGCGTGAAGTCAACTTTTCCTTGGTTCTCACTGTTATTTTGATTTCTGCTACCTCCAGCCAACCTCTCCTAACAGTGAGTTTCTATATCCATTAATTAATCAATTGATTCATTATTAATTTAGATATTTATTGAGTCCTACCCTATAGGCTCTGAAGAAATAAAGCAGTCCTTAAGACTATTTTCCTGTTCAGGTCACTGGGTCTCATGGCGATGAGTTGTGGCTCCAATAAACTCAAATGAAAAATTACGCATAATGATTGTTTTAAAAGATCTTCCTGGAGCAGTCTAATGATCTGCAAATTCATACAAGTCCAGAGAAAACAATGAAGCTGCACTGGAAGGCCCTTTGGTAGTGGTAGTTGTGGGATAGGGAGAGTTCTGGGAACTTATTTTGATTTTGCTTTCTGCCTCTGGGTTTTAAATTCTTCCTTGCCTCCCACCTTTTGTTGGAAATGATATCACCTCCCAGTCTTACCAGTCTAAAATGAGTTGCCCTTTATCTCTACATCTTTAAATGTTCTATCTATCTTTTCTATCTTTAAGAGGCAGGGGAAGAAGAAGCAAAAGTATGCAAGGGAATTGTGATAATAATACTCACATACTGCCCTTTAAAGCAAAAATCACCAGACAATCCAGCAGGCACACAAATCATTTGGTTATTGCTTGACAGGTCAAAGTTGCCATTAATAGGCTTATTTATGCTAGATCTATGTATTCAAAGTGTTCAAGTTATAAAGCTTTAGTCACTCATTCAGGTAAATGAACCTCAACTACAGACTTGGCACCAAGAACATAGGAGAGGCAGACGGCAAAATTAGCATGATTCTTGCTCTCATGTTGCTTTGAGTTGGTGACAGCTCCTTTCTTCTCCCTGACAAAAATCATTCATATCTTTATTTCAAACGTGCATGTGTGGTATGAAGTTAGACCCTTAATAGCTGCAGTTACGTGTAAAACTCCTCAATTCAACCTTTGATTCAGTATAGATTCACCCTTAAAAATAACAGATTTATTTTTCCAAAGAATGACCCACTTTTACTTTTTTTTTTTTTGAGACAGAGTTTAGTTCTGTTGCCCAGGCTGGAGTGCAGTGATGGGATCTCGGCTCACTGCAACCTCTGCCTCCTGGGTTCAAGTGATTCTCCTGCCTCAGCCTCCTGAGTAGTTGGGATATAGGTGCGCAACACCATGCCTGGCTAATTTTGTATTTTTAGTAGAGATGGGGTTTCACCATGTTGGCCAGGCTGGTCTCAAACTCCTGACCTCAAGCGGTCCACCCACCCAAGCCTCCCAAAGTGCTGGGATTACAGGTGTGAGCCACCATGCCCAGCCCTTTTTACTTTTATATAAGCCATATTTTTGGTATACTTATAGCAGTATGACATAGATAAGATGTGAGTCAACCTTGGAGAGTTCTACACAATTAACATTTTTTTTTACCTCTCCAGGAAAGCACACCCTCACCATGCAAATTAAACCTAATGTGCAACACTAGGGCAAATACTCAATAATCCTTTTTTCCTCCTTACCTTCAGAACATCCCCACATAATCAATGTAAATCATATTTACAAGGCAGGTTTTGTTGTTGTTGATTATTTTGCTTCTCAATATCTGGAATATAATTGAGATAAGATGTGGGTCACTGAATAAAAGGCCTGAGACTTCTATTTTTCCTTCAACTGACAGTCCCTTGATCTATTTAAATTTATCAATAATAGATTAAGCACATTGCCATTTTACATATTTTCTACAACCTCAAATCAGTTTGAAACATAAAAAAAACCCACACAACTATATTTGTGTTTGTATTTCTTTCAAATAGTATGAATTTGATAGGTTAGCATTCCTTGAGTTCTGATGGGGGGAAATTGCATTTAATTGATCTGATAAAAACAAAGAAAGTGGAGTTGAAAAGCTAAATAAAGAGTTTGCTTCTCTTTTAAGGCAAGAAGACTGGAAGTTATATCAACAGTTGTATTTTTCAGTCCATTTGGTTTCTCTTTCTCCCTCCCTGACCCCAGTTTAATTGATTTTTGAGTTAAATAATTCAGCTTCTCTCCCTTTGTAATGGGCTGTATTTGGGGAGATGAAGACAAACTGCTTAGACCTTGAAAAACACATGGGCTCCTCGGTTAGATGGCATCTGCGAGGACTCAGAACTCCCTCCACATTCTATAGGGAAAAAACAGAGCCAGGTGCATTTCTTCCCAAATCAAATTAGCTGCAAGATGCCACATCCAATTGTAGCAAATTGATGTGAGAGTTGGTGATGTCTGCAGCAGCTCTTACAGCAAAGGTCACCACTCAGAGACACAGACACCAGGCGGGGTGCAGCAACTTGTGGTAAAGCCACTCTGACAATAGCAGGGAAGACGTAAAATGCAATCAGCTTTTTGAAAATTGCAAGAGAATCCAGTTGTAGTATGTATTCTAATTGGATTTACCGTGCCATCATTTACCTCTTTAAGGATGTTAACATAACATTATGCTTAATTGAAAAAATGGGTAGTTAACTATTCAGAAGAGACTCTCCAGCCCCCCTTATAAGCCACAGTCTAATCAGGCACAAAATATAGGATGCCCTAATCATATCGCCAGACAGTTTTCAAATTTCTTAAATAAAATTTACTTATTCACCACTGAAGATTAACTAAAAATGTTGACATGTGACAAATTTGCCTATCTTGATAGTTGTTTTTAAAAATCTCCCCTGACATTAACAAGTTTACATCATGCATTATGACATTTAATTAGTTATTTTTTATTTAATTAGCATGGTAAGGCATCTAAAGCAATCCAAATGTTTTCTGCAATGCCCAAACAGGAGGCAGCAGTTCCATACATTGTATGAGACCAGGCAAGTGTCTGTTCAGATCACCTACCAGACAGTCTATTTACATTTTTGGTTCTATCTAGCAGGCTGCTCTAGGAGAGAAAGGGGAATATCTGAAGGTTTCAACAAACGATTTCAGGACCTTTGTCAAAATCTATCTATAAAAAGCACATAGGTTGCCAAGCCAACTTAACCCAAGATACGTCTCTGCTTGAAAGTTAAAATGCAGCTATCTGCTGCACCAGTTAGGCTTGTAATATAGCTGTATGTATGAAATAATGAATGGATAAATCAGTACGGTATCTTGGAAGGATCATTTTTGTGCAGTTGAAATTCTTTCTTCTCACAACTTTCTTCTATACTTCTCTTCTTCTCACATACTTTTTCTCATAACTACTGATGATTTTCAGGGCACTGAGGCTGTGCTAGAAATTCAAGTCTTGAAGATATTGAACATTATTGAGCACTTATTTTGTGCCAGGCATCATGCTAAGAGTTCTGGCATTTAGTCCCTCCCCAAACACTAGAAGGCAGGAGCCCTTATCACTCCCACTCATTAGATCATAAAACTGAGGCTCAGAGGGTTACTAACAGCTGGCAAATAAGTGGCAAAGTTAGGGGTCAAACCCAGTCTCAGGTCCCCTTGGCCACAGGGCAGATTTGTACTTGTGGGCAACGGGGTTGGCTTCAGCCCTGCTCAAATCTTGGCTGCTCTATTCTGAATCCAAAGCCTCAGCACTTAACCAGTCCAGATCTCAGCCTAACTCTGCTGTGGTTCATGGCAGCTGGTCCTACTCTTTTAAAAAATATATTAATTCTAAGCAATTCAAAACACTATGAATTATCCATAGTTAAAAGTACCAAACAAACAAACAAAAAACAAAACAAAACCAAACCCAAAACCCAAAAGCAACCCACTACGATTTGGTAGATTTTTTTTTTAACACCAAACTTTTGTTTCAATTTTAGAGTGTAAATTCTGCTTCCCTTACACTGTAGCCTGGTAATAAAACCAAGTCATCTATCTCACCCTATTTTGCCTAGCTGTAAGGTTTCATTTTAAATGCTATTATAAACTTGAGAGATGCCTCCAAATGCAATTACCTTTTTTTCTGTATAGACATAAGTTAGTTCAACTTTTTTTTAACTCCAGTAAGGAAAAGAATGACCTTTGTTTTATGCAAGGGAGTAAACTAAGATGTCCACAGTAAGGGGATCAGTGGTAGGAAAGGAATCAGAAACCTATGCCCCACTTTCACCTTGACCACACAAAAACCTCAGGGGAGATCTTTAAAAACATCCATGCAAATCTGTTTCGGATTTGGATTGCTTTACTCGAAAGTGAGACAAATATAACTTTAAAGCATTTTACTTAAATATTCCAAAGGACATGAACCCCACATATTGGTGGTTACTCCAACTACTTCAACCTCTTCCCCCTACAAATAGGGAATGCAGATATAGGTTTTATGCTAAAATAGCAGAGCTCTAAGTGCATTAAGAAAATCATTTCAATATAGCTTTTACTAATGCAGGCTATTTTTCAAATGAAACAAGGCAGCTACAATAGTTGAGGCGCCACAGATTGAATAAATATTACTTAACCAATTACCAATTATCCATGCTAATGAAGGATGAGGCAGAGCCTGATAAATTAAAACCCCAAATAAACTGAATGTTAGTTTAACCAGTGACTCTCTCCCTTTTGCAAGAATGTCTGAGGAATAGCTATGAAATGACTGATCTGAAATTTACTTCCTCCCCCTTCTTCCACCTTCCCACCCTCTGACTGTGGCTCTGATGGGCAGGAAAACGGTCAAAGGGCAGACAGCTGGAGGAAACTCAAAGAAAGTAGAGGGAACCCACAGAGTGGAGAATATGCCCCTGGATAAATGAGAGTTGATTGGATACACAATGGCTCCCTATTGTCCACTCCACATTTTGGATAAGAGGCCAAAGCTGAGCCTGACATAAGTCACTCTTCCCTGGACCTTCCTCTCTTGGCCAGCTGTGTGCATTCATAGGTGACAGCCATGTTCGGCACATTCCTTGCTTCACTTCTCTGTCCTTCTGAGTCACTGGGGATTGAGCTAGAAAACTCTGGCCATACCAGAGGTCTGATCCTTGCCATTTTGCGCAACCTCAGCCTAGGTCAAAGACTGGACAGGACTGAAGGAGGCTGCAGAGAAATATTTGCTAGTGATTTGATGCCAGGAGCTTCCAGCTGCAGCCTTTCACGGGGCTCCTGACTTCCATGATGTCTTCCTTTCTTCCATCACTCTTGCCCTACATTTCCCTACTCCACTCCATTAATGCTCTAGTATTCCTTCTTGATGCCCCCATCACTTGCCTTATCTCTACTTTGTTGGTGGCCTCACTCACCTCAGCATCATTAACATCTGCATGTGACTAGAATAATAGCTGACTATCTGATGCTCCATGGGTCCCCTGGCCCAGGGCTGACATAAAGCTAGCATGCAACTGTGTAGTTATATCATTTTCTAAAATATCTGAGCCCCCAGAGTGCACCCCTGCTAACCTGGCCTTCTGAATTCAACCCTTAAGATCCCCCCCCACCACCCCCTGCTAGCCTCTGGAGCTCCCCATGTTCTAGCAATTAAAGGCTTAAACGTGGACACTGCAGAGGATCTCCAGGAATCTATTCCAGCTGGCATCCAGTTGACATCCATTCTATTTGGTGGTGCCCTTACCGTGACCCATCAGAAAGATATTCTGCCTCATCATCCCATAGCCACGGGACTCAGAGATACCCCAGGAACCTACAAGACCAAGTGTTTATAGGTACTGGTAAGGGAATAAGTATAAAATGTTAAATATTTAGTCATTTGCAGACTGGGAGTTGCTTTCAGGTACCATGACCTGGACTCTGACTGGTCTATGGTCCAGTATAACTTGGAGAAAAGATATCTATTGACTTTGGAGTTCCAAAATGGTTTGTAGATCCATGCTTTTGTACATGCTCCTTTATCAGAATGCCCTTCCCAACCATGCCCATCTGGCAAACAGGCAAACAGCCACTGATCTTCTAAGACTCTGCTCATGTATCACCTCTTTTGTGCAGGCTTCTCTGATGACCCTTGTCTATTCAAGGAATCACACTGGTTCCCACAGAGATTGTATTTTTCTCTATTAGAGCACTATTGCCTTATGTTGCAGCCATTTGTTAACCTATCTCTCTTCCCACTAAATCAGCAGTGGAAGACTGGCATGCTGGAAGCACCGGGGGGTTTTAAGATATGGCCAATAATAGGGTCTCATCCTCAGAGGTTCTGATTTAATTGGCAAGAGGTGAGACCTGAGCATTGAGATATTTAATACCTCCCAGGTGACTAAGGGACCCAGTTTGAGTTCCACTACACTAGATTATGAGCTACTTGAATGTAGTTATTGTGCCTCATTCATCTGTATAATCTCTGCATAGGGCTCAGAGCATGGCATACAGTAGGCGCTCACTGAATGACTGCATGTCTGTATTATTAATTGGCCTTGACTGAAAAGATCAGTGAGGGCCCTATGACAGAGACTGTCAACTCTTCCCCAACAATCATTCTCTCTTCTATGGAGAAGTGGTAGAAATTTTAGCTCCAGGTGTAGTGCTGCTTAGGAGAAAGACCACATTTCCCAGCTTTCCTTGTAGCTAGGAGAGGCCAAGAGAATATTATGGTTAATAGGATGTGAGCAGAAATAGTGTGTGTAATTTTGACATTATGCTCTTAAAAAGAATCATCATACCCTTCTCTGCTCCCTTTTCTCATTCTCTGCAGACTGATATGCCAAACTATTTTATATTTTACTATCACAAAGCCAGATGCCTGAGCCACTAACACTAGCAAAGCATGTACTAACTCCACTCCAGCCTGGTAGCCAACTCTGTTGCTTCACAGAAACAGCACTCACTTGGGTCACTGATGGCTCCCCATCACTCTTAGGCTAACAGCCAAAATCCGTGGCCTGGACCACAAGGTCTTACCTCATCAGGCCATGTCTGCCTCTCCAAACTCATCCTGCCCTCTACTCCTTTTGGTCTTTCTGCCCTGGTCTCAGCTGGCCTTCTCTTGGTTCCCCAAATGAGTTTTGCTCTCTTCCATCACAAGGTCATTAGAGGATCTGTTCCCTGTCTCTGGAATGATCTTGCCCCACATTTTCACCGGACTGACTCTAGCTCATCCTGCTGTCCTCTCAGCTGAGCAACTCTCAGCTTAGCTCAGGTTTCCCCCTCTTTCTGATTAAGCAACCCCCCATATTTACATCTTAAAACTCTGCCTTTATCAAAGATGTTTGCCACTGACTTCCCAGTGCCTGGCAGAGTCTAGCACAAAGTGGATGCTCAATAAATATTTGTTGAATGAACAGATGAATAAATGAGTAAACCCAGGAGGATAATCTTTTCCTTCAACTGAAGACCAGGCAGAGGCAGGGGAGATGGAACGCATATGGTTAAAAGATTAAGAGAGGAAGGACTTTGTTTCCTAACAGTCTTCCGGAGAGCATCCTCCAACCATGATCTGGCTGGAGGAAAGTTAGCCAAGTGTGATCTCACTAGCCTAAGCCCCAAATTAAGTTGTTCTTGGCACTGTAGCCACCAGATCACAAATAGGTGGACTGGCTCTGCTCTGCGTAGCAGCCTTTCTTCTTTGTGCTATGATGAATGGGAGAGCACTAATACTTTTTCCTCTCTTGTTTGCAGGCTCATCTGCTTAAAAGCCCCTGGCCTGAGCTCCCCTGAAAGAGTCATGAGTTCTTACCCAACACGATTCCTCTTGCCTGGAATTGCTTCCTCCTGCCCGCTTTCAAAGTATCCACACCTATACTCTCTTCAAGGCCTGAGCTTGCTCTATCTCTTTCAGGAAGATTTGATGAGCTTCCCTAACTTGCAGTACCCTTCCTCCATTCCAGAACTTCAGGAGTTTTGTCGGGAGCATTCACTAGGCCCTCATGATAAGTGTCTAACAACATTATTTATTTTTATGTAACAACACTATCTCTTCAAATAGGATGTGCATTCATTCAGGACAGAAGTATGAATCTTTTATTCTTAGATCCCAACACAAGCGGTGCTGCCTAGTAAGCTTTGGTGAAGCATGAAGTGTTTAAGATGATGACGACATGAGGAAGCATATACTCCCTCTCACAAGACTATTGTCAAGTTGCTCGTCTGTAATCCTGCACCCCAGAATGAGGGTAAAAATAGAGTGCACATGGGTCTAAAGAAAATATTTCACTCTAAGATCAAAAGTCAAGTTGCTTCCAGCACATGATACCATGAGGTTCCTAATTTACTCCCAGCCAGATTAAAACAGCTGAGATCTGTCTGAGTGTGGTGGCTCATGCCTATAATCCCAGCACTTTTGGAGGCTGAGGTGGGCAGATCACCTGACATCAGGAGTTCAAGGCCAGCTTGGCTAACATGGTGAAACCCCGTCTCTACAAAAATACAAAAATTAGCCAGGCATGATGGCAGGTGCCTGTAATCCCAGCTACTCTGGAGGCTGAGGCGGGAGAATAGCTTGAACCTGGGAGGCGGAGGTTGCAGTGAGCCGAGATTGTGCCATTGCACTCCAGCCTTAGCGACAAGAGCAAGACTCCTTCTCAAAACAAATACAAAACAAACAAACAAACAAAAAAACCAGCTGAGATCTGAATCTCAAAATTGTCCAGGGCAATGGAAATTCTAAGTGAATTGAACTTCAGTTGTAGTGGAAGAAAAGAAATTTACCAGTTAAGTTAAGAGAGCATTAATCTCAGGTGCTATATATTTATTATGTTCTTCCGAGGCATCACAGCTCCTACATCTGACTACTTGATTTATTAATTAGAGAGACACTTGTGGCTTCTTTCTGAGAAAATATCAAAGCACATACGCTGGTATGTTCGTTTGCTTTTGTCAGTCCACTCACTCATCCACCCATCCATTCACCTATCCATCCATCTACCTATCCATCCATCCACTTATCCTTCCTTCCATTCCTTCAGCCTTCCAGCCAGCAAAGATATATTGCAAGTTTCCCATGTGCTAGGCACTATGCTAGGCATGTGATATAAGGACAGGTATTTAGTAACCACGTTAACCAAAATAATGGCTGTTTCTTTTGAAGGTTTACCATGTATTAGATACATACTTTGTGGTATTTAATCCTTACAACAACCCTAAACGTACAGGACTGTTGTATGCCTCATCTGATATCTTCTTGACTCATCTTTTTAGTCTAGCTGTTGCCATGACAACCAGTTTCCTCCAGGTATAAGTTGGCAGTACCTTGTTTCAGCTATACCACTTATCTCTCGCTTTCTGCCCTGGGGTTTCACTGCTTCTGCCAAGGATTTTACCTGTGGGAAATTGCTCAACTATTCTGATGTGTGCTCAAGCTTGAAAGTGTGGGGAAGCTGCTCACGGGACCCATGGAAGATGAGTGATGGTGGATAAATGCTCCCATCCTCTATCCCTCAAAAGGACAACTCAGAGGTCATCTACACAGCTCCTCAGAGGGTACCAGCAAGGTTGAGCTCCAGCTGCCCAGAAAGGCTAGCTCAATAATGTACGCTTATATTGACTTTCCCTCCATTTCCGTCTAACTGTTCCTAGTTCCACCCTCCTGTTTCCTGGGACCACTTCCCCCACGCCCCAACTACTTGCATGCACGTCCTTGGTCTCCAGCCTGCTCAGGGGGAGTGGGGACGGGGGAACTCAGACAAAAACAATTCATATCCAGATTTTGAATAGGACATCTATTTTCATTTACAGTTAAATAGTAAAATATAAAAATAATATTTTAATACATATATAACTCACGGTTAGGGAATGTAGTAGACTGAATGGCAGCCCCTAAAATGTCAGGTTCAAACAACTGGAATTTGTAAGTGTTATCTTATTTGGGAAAAGAGTCTTTGCAGAGGTGAGTAAGCTAAGGATTTTGCGATGGGGAGATTTTCCTGGATTATCCAGATGGGCCCTAAATGCTGTCACATACATCCTCTGATAAGATTCATGTGACGAGGCAGAGGGCGATTCGATACACATGGAATAGGAGAAGGCAATGTGACCACAGAGGCAAAGACTGGAGTGAGGCAGTCGGGTGGAAGAATGTCCGCAGCCATCCGAAACTGGAAGAGGCAGGGAGAGAATTCTCTCCTGGAGCCTCCAGAGGGAGCACGGCCCTGCCGAGACCTTCGTTTCAGCCGACTCACACTGATTTCCAACTCCTTGTCTCCAGAATTGTGAGAGAAGACATTTTTGTCATTTTAAGCCACCAAGCTTGTGGTACTTTGTTACAGCAGCTACAGAAAACTAATACAAGTCAACTGGGGCACACAGGAGTCAATTTGCCCAAGACCTTAACAAGCAGTAATTGGTGGAGCCAGGATTCAAACTTAGGTCTGTCTGATTCTGGCACCCAAATTGTTAATACTCTGTTTTCTCTCCAAAGAAGGCAAGATTTGTACTCTGGAGAGTAGATAGATGTCTATACAAGGAATCATAGCTCATATTAGTAAGGACAGTAATGGAAGGACGTGGGTGTCTGAAAGTTGGGCGCAAGGAAGGCTTCCCTGGGAAGATGTAATCACTGAGTGCAGTAAGAAACCCTGTGTGACATGGATGCTGCACTAAGCGACACACTGGATTCCCATCAGCCAATTTCAACCCACTCATTTCTTTTGTTAACTTCTGATGCCAGCTCAAAGCCACATCCCCACCAGGTCAATCCAAAATGTTTGTCTCAGTTCTCCCACACTGTTACCCAGGGTGGACTGAGGTAATTCTCCTCAGTTCTGGAGAATTCTCTAGGTCCCAACTAAAGTAAGACATTCTGACTCCAAAGGCCCGGAAGGAATTTATTGTGGACTCAAGAATTCCTTGAAGGGACACCCTCCATCAAAATACAGGGCCCGCCAAATGAAGCTGGGGACCCAGTGGAAGTATGTGAGGCTCCATTCTGGAATGGCAGATGAAGGACAACAGAAAGGAGGGACTGTGCACAGGAACAAGCCAGGAGTTTTGCTGGGTGTTATGGTTTGAAAGTTTGTGTCCCCTGCAAAATTCGTGTTCAAACTGAATATCCAATGCAATAGTATTAAGAAGTGGGGCCTTTAGGGGATGAATTAGGGGGTGAATCAGGTCTTGAGGGCTTCTTCCTCATAAATAGGATTAAGGCTTCCCACAGGGTTCATCCCTTTTGCTCTTTGACCCTTCCTCCACATGAGGATGGAGAACAAGGCGCCATCTTGGAAGTAGAGAGATGGGGCCCTCACCAGACACTGAATCTGCTGGTGGCTTAGTCTTGGACTTTCCAGCCCTCAGAACTGTGAGAAAAAAAATTCTGTTTCTTACGAATTACCCAGTCTATGGGTAATTTGTTATATGATATTTTGTTACAGCAGCACAAAAAGGACTGAGATAGTGGGTTTGTGTGTTGCAGATGTTAATTCCCTAACCACACTGTCTCTAATTTGGTCACTAAGCCACAGTAAAGCCATAAAAAATCCCATATATTACCACTTAGCATTAAATGTTTCACTCCTCCAATACTTCTGGAGCCACTTCCTCCTCTCTCCCAACAGTTTAACCCTGGATAAATTCCTTGAGTGATATTATGTGATAGGCTTGCCTGATCATTCTTGGGTACTGGGTTGGCCCTTCTGCTCTTTTATTCCATAAAATGTATCAAGCACCTTCTGTCAAGCACTGGGTAAAGTTTTGGGAATACAGAGATGACAGATACAATCCCTGGCCTCAGAGAGTTCACAGTCTAGGTGCAGAGACAGACGAATATACAACACTTACAAAATAATACTAAAGTCATGCTGTGGTAATATGGGAGAAGATGCCCAGCTTCATATAGAGAGCAAGGGTGTGGAAGGAAGGCAGAAGGAAGTGTGTGCAAGAATGAGAACAAGAGAGTGAGAGCAAGTGAGAGAACAATTGGGTAATTGGTAGGCAGTTCGTGTGGTTGGAGCTCAGGGTATGTGTGCATGCAGCTGGGAAGGTAAACATGAGAACCTCGTATGCCATGATGAAGTTAGACTTTATTATGAATGTAATGGTGAGTCATTGAAGGATTTTAAGTCAGAGAACTGACATGATCAGATTTACCTTTTAAATGATCGCTGTGGCATCATTGTGCAGAATGTATTGCAGTGAGGCCTGACTGGAGACAGAGAGGCCAGTTAGGGAGCTATGGCAGTGATCCAGGTAAGAGATGATGAAATGGGGATGAAAATAGGGGACAGATGCAAGAGCAATTTAGGATATAGAATCAGCAGGAGCTGGCCACAGATGGGCCCTGGGGGCTGATGGAGAAGGAGTTGAGGATGACTTCTAGATTTCCAGCTTGTGCAAGTTGGTGAATGGGTAAGAAAGTTTGAGGGAGAATAAGAAGGGGGAAAGAATGAATTGAGCTGGGGATAGTCCAAGTTTGAGAATATTTCCTATCACATAAGTGGAGATGTTTGGTAGGCAGGTAATTTGGAAATCAGTTCTAGACCCTCTTCTCTTCCCAGTCAATATTCTTTCCTTGGGTAGTCTCATACACTTACATGCTTCAGCTACCACCTAATTGCCGATAACTCCAAAGTCTTTAAATTCTGTCTCGACCTCTCTTCTGAGCTCTAGCTTCCTGGACCTAACAATCACCAATTAGGTATTTCTTTTATTTATTTATTTACTTATTTCTTTTTTAATTAGAGTCAAGTTGTTGCTTTGTCACCCAGGCTGGAGTGCAGTGGCATAATCATAGCTCACTTCAGCCTTAAACTCCTCGACTCAAGCAATCCTCCCAAGTAGCTGGGACTACAGGGAAATGCCACCACAGCCAGCTAACTTTTTTTTTTTTAATGAGGTTTTGCTACATTGCCCAGACCTCAAACTATCCTGCTGCCTTGGCCTCCCAAAGTGCTGGGATTACGGGTGTGAGCCACTGTGACCAGTCTAGGTATTTCCTTTTGGATATCCTATCACAGAGGTCAAATGACTGCATCTCATTACCAGGTTAATCCCTCTAAAGTTGTACTGTCCAGTACAGTAGCCACTAATAACATGTGGCTACTAGGTACTTGAAATGTGGCTAGTCCAGCAAAAAAGAAAAAGAGAGAGAGAGAGAATACAAGCCACAAACTGAGAGAAAATCTTGCAAAGAAATATCTGATTTAAAAACTGTTATACAAAATATACAAAGAGCCCTTAAAACTCAACAGTGAGAAAACAAACAATCCGATTAAAAAAATGGGTCAAAAACCTTCACAGACATCCCACCAACGACGATATACAGATGGTGATATGGTTTGGCTCTGTGTCCCCACCCAAATCTCATCTTGAATTGTACTCCCATAATTCCCACCTATTGTGGCAGGGATCCAGTGGGAGGTAATTGAATCATGGGAGTGGTTTCCCTTATACTGTTCTTGTCGTAGTGAATAAGTCTCACGAGATCTCATGGTTTGATAAGGGGAAACCCGTTTGGTGTGGCTCTCATTCTCTCTCTTGCTGCCACCATATGAGACGTGTCTTTCACCTTCTGCCATGATTGTGAGGCCTCTCCGGCCACGTGGAACTGTAAGTCCAATAAACCTCTGTCTTTTGTAAATTGCCCAGCCTTGGGTATGTCTTTGTCAGCAGCATGAAAATGGACTAATACAGATGGCAAATATGTATATGAAAAGGTGCTCCACATCCTAGATTACCAGGGAGATGCAAATGAAACACACCAAAATCCAGAACACTGACAACACCAAATGCTGGTGAGGATGCAGAGTAACAGGAGCTCTCATTGGTTGCTGATAGGAATAAAAAATGGAACAGCCACTTGGGAAGACAGTTGGATAGTTTCTCACAAAACTAAACATTCTCTTATTATACCATCTAGCAATTGTGCTCTATGGTATTGTACCAAATGAGTTTGAAGCTATGTCCACATAAAAACCTGCACAAAGATGTTTATAGCAGCTTTATTCATAATTGCCCAAACTGGGAAGCAACCAAGATGTCCTTCAGTAGGTAGATGGATAAATAAACTGTGGCACATTCAGATAGTAGAATATTATTCAGCACTAAAAAGAAATGAGCTATAAAGATTGAAAAGATATAGAGGAATCTTAAATTCATACTATTAAATAAAAAAGTCAATTGGAAAGATTGCTACTATATGATTTCAATATAGGACATTCTGGAAAAAAGCAAAACTATGGAGATAGTAGAAGATTAGCTGTTGCCATGGATTATAGGGGAGAGAGGGATGAAGAGGTGGAATGCAGGATTTTTATAGCAGTGAAACTACTCTGATTGTTATGGTGAATAAATATCAATATACATCTGTCAAAATCTATAGACTGTTCAATACCAAGAGTGAACCCTAATGTAAACTATGGACTTTGGGTGATAACTATGTGTCAGTGTGGCTTCATCAGTGGTAACAAATGCTCCGCTGTAGTGCTGTGCGTGGAGGGGCATATGCAGACTCTCTGTACCTTCTGCTCAATTTTGCTGTGAATTGAAAATTATTCTAAAAAATAAAATCTATTTTTTTAAAATGTGGCTAGTCCAAATTGAGATGTGCTATCACTATAAATCCTGAATTTCTAAGACTTGTGTGAAGAAAAAGATATAAATATCTTATTAATTTTTTATATTGATTACATGATGAGAAGATAATAGTTGGTGTATATCAAGTAAAATATATTATTAAAATGTATTTTTCGCTTGTTTTAAAAAGTATGGCTACTAGAACATTTAAGTGGTATGTTGACTAGCCTTCCAATTCTATTGGACAGTGTTGGCAGACTCTAAACAAACCAGCATCAGAAATCAGGTCTCCTGGTGTCTAATCCAGGATGAATCCAAGGAAATGCAAATGGAGCACACCATTTAGGAAACATACTTGAAATACCTACTCTGTAATGAATAAGCTAGAGATGGTTCCTGCCCTTGGAAATCTTACAATCTTTTTCTGTGTTATCATTGAGATCAGTATAAGAAACATCTTTGAAAAACACAAAGCACCTTAACAATATAAAGAATATTATGACTACAATTTCCAGCTAGAAAAAACACATGCTCTTATCTTCAGAGTTAGATACAGTAGGGATTTCTACCTTGTGTAGGTAGAAAACTAAGCAATAATTGTGACCAACTAAGTGACTTTGAAATGACACTGAAGTTATCCAGAGGTTAAACAGAACTATGAAGTCAGTGTATCTAGCAAAAGAAGTTCATGTTGGGAATACCAGAATGGTACAAAAACCAAGAGTGCTGCAGAGAGAGCTTTGCATATAGACGGATCTTTGCCTAAGTAGTAAAAAGAGATGTTGGATTTTAGTCAACTTTCCCTTAGCCAGTGCTGATGGGAAATCATGGCAGAACCAGGTAGGGCAGAAAAAATAGCAAACAAGGCCTTGAGGGAAGTGTAAATCACGCCTCATTGGCAGGAAATGGCAGCAGCAGCAGCATAACAGAAGGCATGGTCCAGGCAAGAGGCAGGCCCATTTGAACGAAGCCTCTGGAAGAGCCAAGGATGTAAGGGGCAGGTGACCAAGAGCCCTGGTTTCCAGATGGATAGGAGGCTGGAGCAAAGTGGAGCCCAGGACCAAGCTTTACAGTGTCTCAGCAATTGCTTTCTCAGGGATCATGTCGCCTGGAAGGAGGTCTCCCAGGACTTGGCTGCTTATTTCACAGGTGAAGGGGAAACAGTAGTAGGAAGGGCAGAATCAGGTGCTGGCCAAACTCCTGCCATGGGCCAGTCCCTGGGCTACCCATGGGAGCCCAAAGGGAATAACATGGCCTCTCTCCCCAGTGAGAAATTCCCTACTGGGAGGAGATCCCATTTATTTGGCAGAGTTTCTCCCAACAGTGGAAGCAGACTGTAAAATGATTAGTTTTAAAAGTACATTGTATTATTTAAAAACCAATTTTGATAAAATTGTCCAAACTTTTTGTACAGTTCTGTAAAACTGGGTTGTTAGAAGAAATAAATCTAAGAGAACATTTTGTACTTCAAAGCAAAACAAAAAAAGGAACAAGAGGAAAATTCCCATTTTGCCACAGTAGGCATGGTTTTTTACTTGCTCATTTCCCCCAAATTCAGGTACGTGCCCCATGCTACTCTCTGACAGGATCAGCTCCTATTATTGAGAACTCCAAGTGACTTAAACATTTTTTTTTTATATTTGAGGAAATTATTGCATTGAATGCCACCTGAAATATGGGAGCCATTAGACTGGGTTAGACATATTTTTTTTTACTCATTTGACAACTGTTTCCTGGGCTTCAACTATGTGATAGGCACAGTGCTGGGCCCTGGGGATACACTGGAGAAGACAAAATCCATGCTCTGAGGATCTTCCATTCTAAGCAAATCAGCATGGAGTGTCGTCAGGTGTTTCAGTGGCAGGATAAGAGTAGACAATGGCGGGATAGGGTAGGGTGCTATTTTTGAGAAGATAGTCAGAGAAAGCCTCTTTGGTAAATGACATTTGAGGAGATAAAGTTCATAAGTGTTAGGGGATGAAGAAGCAATCCAAGAAAATATCTAGGGGAGGAGTGCTCCAGGCAGAGAGATCAGCAAATGTGGAGGTAGGGGCAATTCTTGACGTTGACTGTATTTGCTGAAGTGAATTTTGCCTCTATAAACATGGCTGTCTATATATTCTTTAGAAAATTTACCACGTTTGGGGTTTTTGATATAGGTAGAAGTTTGGAGGATGGTTGGTAAAAGGTGGAGAGAGGTTCTTGAGGAATGGAAGGAAGGCTCAAGGGAATCATGAGGTGAGATCTTTAAATGGCTCTGTATTTCATAGTCTCATTCTTAGGGTGTGTCTACATAAAAGTTTCTTAACCTAGGTGCTGTTGACATTTGGGGCAGATAATTCACTGTTTGGGGGCGGGGTGGGGAAGTAGTCATGTGCATTGTAGGATGTTTAGCGAAATTCTTGATCTCTCCCTACTTGGTACCAGTAGCACCTGCCCATTCGTAGCAACTCAGGGTTTTTCCAGACATTGCCAAATGTTTCAATATTTAATTTAAGTTTGATTGGGAGGAAGCTGGGTGTGTATTGAGCAGCAAAGTGCCAAGTGCTTTCCATGTATTAGCTTACTTAATCCTCATAACAATCTGTTGAAGGAGGTGTCATAAGTCTGATTTTACATATGGGGAAACGGAGGCTTCTATAGATTGAGTGACTTGTCAAAGGCCATACAGCTAGTGAGCAACAAAGCCAGGATTCAAATCCAAGTTTGATTCCAAAGACCATCTTTTGCTCTTGATCTGTACTGTCCAATATGGTAACACTAGCCATATGTGGGTGCTTAAATTTAAGTTAATTAAAATTAAATAAAATTAAAAATTCAGTTGTGCTAGCCACATTTGAACAGTTCGGCAACGACATGTGACTGGTGACTAATGTATTGGACAGTGCAAATCTAGCACATTTCCGTCATTGCAGAAAGTTCCACTGGACACCACTGCTCTAGACTAATTGGCCCAGGAGGAGGTGGAGGCATGAGATAAGTGAGTAGACATGGCCTTAACCTTCATGGCTGGAATTCAAGCATCAGGACTAAATGTAGTTCCCTTGTCCTTTCCTTACTGCCAACCACATGGGTCCTCCCTGTCCCCAACTCCCCAGCCACCTCCTTGGATAGTTCCTACTTAGCACCCACTACATTCTGAAGCCTCTGCACAGAAGGTAGATGCTGTTGCTGCATTTTGGGAATGAGTTTTTCTGTAGTCCTCATGTCTCTGTAGGCTTACCGAGACCAGTCTCCTCACCATGGTCAAGCTGGTAGGAGGCAGGCATGATCCTGGTGTATTGGGGAGTTTTGCTTTTGTTTGCAGAAAAGGCTCTTAGAAGGAGAGACAAGCCTGGCTGGAAGTCATCGGGAAGTATATTTTTAGTTCTGTGCAGGCAGACAACAGCCCTCTGAGCTCACCAAGGGCTTCTTGCTTGTATGAGGATGATAAAGTCCGGAAGGAAAGACACAGCCTTATCAAGTCTAAACAGAAAATTGATGTCAGAATTATTTATTTTTCTACTAAATTTTTTTTATAACCAAGTCATCTTCCCAAAGGTGAACTGAGTGGTCTCACAGCTCTTAGGATGGTGAGCTCAGTATGGCATAGCGCAGCATAGGAGACAACTTCCAGACACTGAATGGCAGTCTCTTAAAGTCAATGTCCATCCTGGCACAATCAAAGCCCTAAGGATGGGGACTGGGAAGGACAGTGAGTGAGAGACTGGTACTTCAATTTTGATCGTATTTCTTCTCACCTGTCTCAGAGATCTTATTGTTATTTTCTTCCCCTTTTAGTCATATTTTAGTCTTCTTCAGGTACAGGGTACTTCTTGGAAAAATCAACAGCACAGTCCCATGTTGTCATTTTACTAGCACAGAGCCGGGCCCTCCCAGGATCTGCTCTAGCCCAGTGCGAGAACGAAATGGGTGTGGCGATCTGACAAGATATCATCATGTGGGAAAATATTTTAATGTAATGGTAACTTTCAAGTCTAGTACTAGACAAACTATCACAGAGGTCGTGAAACACGAAGCTTCGCAGCAGGATACTCAAGTCCACACAGTTGATTAAATCAATTTAAAAGACACAGAGAAAAAGGTGGGCAAGTTTACGTATTTTGGATAAGATACAAATGAAGGGGAAGAACCACACTTGAGTCTTGAGTTAAGCAGTGCTCATCTGTTCTGCCCTCCTCCATCCATCACCTTCCCCTCTCTCTGTCTCTTTCTCTCATCTCTACGTCAGCTTTCTCCCCTATTGGTGTGGTTACAGGGACCAGAATTGAGGTTGAAAAGGGGAGCTCAGCCCTCAGAAGGTTCCTGGAGCTAACACAAACACTGAACTGTGTCTTCTAGGGAGACACAGGGAGCAGATGCACCCGGCCACAGGCATTGCTTTCTGGTCAGCCTGTTGAGCAGCTCTGGGTTTTACCAGCATCTCTGGAACAGAGCAAACGTGGAGCCAGAATGAGACATCTCCATGAGTAACTGATTTACAGATAATGTAGCTGTCGGCCTGGTGGCATGGTCCTTCCTAATGACTTGCTCCTTTCCTCCTTTTCTACCTGTAAATATCATGCTCACTTGTTCCATCCACTTTATCATATATTCCATGCTTCCTTTCTATCTGCTCTACAGGTTACTAACTTACCATCTATAGATGACATGGCTTATGAATTCTGTTTATGTCTTCCAAGCTACTTGCTTACTCAGTACATTAAACATTTATGAGTTTCATTCACCTTTATCTGTTTTGCCTTAGAAGGCAATATTGAATGTTCTCAAATAATACAGCAAACATATACTATAGGCCCATTAAAAATACTAACACCTTTGTAGTGGCACGGGCCTGTAATCCCAGCTACTTGGGAAGCTGAGGCAGAAGAATCATTTGAACCAGGGAGGTAGAGGTTGCAGTGAGCTGAGATCGCATCACTGCACTCTAGCCTGGGAGACAGAACAATACTCTGTCTCAATAAGTAAATAAGTAAATAAATAAATAAACAAACATTAGAAATAAAAATACTAACAACTTTAAATCCATTTAAAAGTATATTTAGCAATTTAGTATTGCAATCTTTTAAATGTACTAGTTCAAAAGAATTTTGTCTGTAGGAAGTATCCTGGTGGGCATAATAGAAGGCTTTTTTTCTGATTTAATAAACTTGTTGTGTCTCAGGGTTATGGTTCTTCACATGGAGTCCGATAATTATAGAATTTTTAGATTTGAAAGACACCTCAGAGTAAATCCAGTCCAATTAATCTGTTAGGAAAAACTGAGGCCTAGAAGTGTTAAGTAACGTGTATCTGGTCACATAACACGATCTCTGAAACAGTAGGCAGGTGCAGATATTTGGGGTCAATTTGCAACAACCCAGAAAGCGTCCCAGAGGTTGCTTTTAAAAATAAATGTTGCTATCAATCTGTTTTTGTTATTTGCCTTCTAGAAGTGGAATAAAAAATATACAAATGAAATAACTTTCTATGGAAGTGTTTCTATGGAAGTATCTCCTCTCTTTAACTACAAACATCTAATTCACCATTCTAGTTAAATTTGTATGTTTCAGGAATGAAATTATAGTGTTGAACACTGCGACAATGAACTGCTCTTCAAAAAAACCACAGTCACTCGCATTTGTTTGAAAAAAAAATCCATTCCCTTTTAAGAGAGGCTCAAGCAAAGATGATGCAGGCAACAATATTTATTTTATTATTATTATTATTTTTGAGATGGAGTCTTGTTCTGTCACCCAGGCTGGAGTCCAGTGGCATGATCTCGGCTCACTGCAACCTCTGTCTCCTGGATTCAAGAGATTCTCCTGCCTCAGCCTCCCAAGTAGCTGGAATTACAGGCACATCCGGCTAATTTTTGTATTTTTAGTAGAGATGGGGTTTCACCATGTTGGCCAGGCTAGTCCCGAACTCTTGGCCTCAAGGGATCTGCCCACCTCGACCTCCCAAAGTGCTAGGATTACAGGCCTGAGCCGCCACACTGGCTATTTTATTATTTTTTGAGGGAGAACTTTCCATAAAATATACAGCATGGATTACAGTTCCTAATCGAGGACCTATGAAAGCGTCTCTCAGTCCTCTGAAACTATGCGCCAATTTTGTGCCTGCCTTGGTGTGTTTCTTTCTGGAAAGACTATGTAAAGAATGGCAGGCTGCTGCGGGTCAAGGGATGATCTCTAAGGCCAGACTGAGCCTGAATCCCGACTCCTCCACTGTGTCTGTCACTTTCTCCATGCCTTGTTTTTTTCATGTGTAAGATGGGTAAAAGAACAGTACCTACTTCACTGAGTTTTTACAAAGCATAAATGAATTAATACATTTGGGTTACTAACTTAATCTCCTTTAATTTAGAAGAGTGCCTGACACACACACAACTCAATAAATATCAGCTCTAACTATTATTGCTTTCATGAGATTCTGAAGGAGATCATTGGCCTCCAAAAGGTTAAGAATCCTTGGTCCAGGCTGTCTTGTTTAGGTTTTGGTGGAACAAGAAAAGATTCTGATTCTTTCAATGAATCCGAAGGGGAAAAAGAAAAAATGTTGGCAGTTGTCTTGTCTGAGCTTTAACAGGAAGTGAAGTGGCACTAGAACTATCAACCATGCTGGTTTGCCCAGGCTATTCCAGTTTTAGCACTGAGAGTCCGTTGTCCCAGGAAACTTCTCAGTTCTGGGCAATGCAGGACTGTTGTCCACCCTAGAACACCACAGAGGAGCAAAGGCGTTGTAGGGGGAAGAAAGTGAAGTAATGTTTGTTGAGTGCTGACTCTGTTCCAGGCCTTTTACAACATGGCATTTCATTTGATCCTCACAACAATCATTAGGCTCTACTTTAGTTGGTATCAATAACTTAAAAATAACTAACAATCACATTTCAAACATAACAGCCCAGTTAATTAGGTATTACCTCTGCGACTTTGCAGAGAAAGAAATGGAGTCTCATTTCAGCCCAAGGTCAAATACTTATTAAGAGGCTCAGGATTATAGTCCATGGTCTCTCTGGCCAGAAAACCTGTGCTTTTTCTAAGATGCCTCTTCTAACCTGTTGCAGAAAAATTGCCCTGCTTTTGGTCCATTTGTGTCTATGTAATTATGGTCAATACATATCCACCCCCAGCTCTTTTTGGGCAGGCTGTAAGGTAGCTTGTGGAGGACATGCTACCTCCTGTGGTGCTCATGGTCAGGTAGCCTGTCTTGCCACCATTCAGAGCTGAATTGCTTTTTTTTTTTCCTTTCTTTCTTTGAGACAGAGTCTCACTCTGTCACCCAGGCTGGAGTGCAGTGGCATGATCTTGGCTCAGCACAACCTCTGCCTCCCGGGTTCAAGCAATTCTCCTACCTCAGCCTCCTGAGTAGCTGGGATCACAGGTACCCACCCCGATGCCTGGCTAATTTTTGTATTTTTAGTAGAGACTGGGTTTCACCATGTTGGCCAGGCTGTTCTCGAACTCCTGACCTCAAGTGATCTGCCCACTTTTGCCTCCCAAAGTGCTAGGATTACAGGTGTGAGCCACCACACCTAGGCTCTGAGTTGCTTTTTATTAGCGTCAGTGCCTTGCAGATTATTCTTTCAACGCTTCCTTTTGCAGTCTCAGCATTTTCATCAACTGACTTGTGAAGCTGTGCAGTGAGGACCAGGGCTTAAGCCCTGGAGGGCAGCTGGAGGGCAAATCACACTGCAGAGGCTGGTTCTATTGCCTGCACTCAAGATGGCAAGACTGTGAGAGACATTAAACTTGCCCAACAGACAGAATAAAACCTACATGGACTCACTCTGCTTCACTCCACTAGGCAGATGTCCTTGTTACCATGTGGTTCATTGCCAGTCTTGCTGAATTCAACCTGGGCACCCCCAACCTTAGTTGGCACATGTTTTTTTGCTTTCTGCATTATCAGTGCATCACTTGATCCAACTTGCCCTGGCAGAAGATGCAGCGATGGCAGATAGGTGCTTGTTGCCCATGAAAATATGGTTACGTAGTCCAAATTAGAGGAACAGCTTTTAGTTCTTATTGGTTATCTCATTGAGATAAACTTCTGAGGACCAGAGTGGACTCTCATTTTGGAAGCATGATTCTTCAGGTGTTTTCTACCTCTGGCTACCAACATTCAGGAAATATTTACTGAGTCCCTCTTTTGCCCCAGACACTGTTTTGAACACTGGGTTTAGAGTAGTGAACAAAACAGATACGCTTACCCATATGGAGCTTGTGTGCTAGAAGGGAGAGATAGACACAAAAGAATAGAACTAGGTAAAATATATAGGATGACAGAAAGGATTAGTGCTATGGAGGAAAAGAAAGTAGGGGAGGGAGTTAGGTAGTACAAGTGTATTAGTCCGTTTTTCACGCTGCTGATAAAGACATATCCAAGACTGGGTAATTTATAAGAAAAAAAGATTTAATGGACTCACAGTTTCAAGTGGCTGGGGAGTTCTCACAATCACAGCGGCAGGTAAAAGGCACATCTCACATGGTGGCAGACAAGCGAAGTGAATGAGAGATAAGCTATAGGGGTTTCCCCTTATAAAACCATCAGATTGGCCAGGTGCAGTGGCTCATGCCTGTAATCCCAGCACTTTGGAAGGTCAAGGAGGTTGGATCACCTGAGGTCAGGAGTTCGAGACCAGCCTGACCAAAATGGTGAAACCCTGTCTCTACTAGAAATACAAAAATCAGCCAGACATGGTGGCACATGCCTGTAATCCCAGCTACTTGGGAGGCTGAGGTAGGTGAATCGCTTGAACCCAGGAGGCGGAGGTTGCAGTGAGCTGAGATGGCACCACTGCACTCCAGCCTGCATGACAGAGCAAGACTTTGTCTCAAAAAAAAAAAAAAAAAAACAGATCTCATGAGACATATTCACTATCATGAGAACAGTATGGGGAAACCGCTCCCATGATTCAATTATCTCCCACTGGGTCCCTCCCACAACACGAGGGAATTATGGGAGCTGCAATTCAAGATGAGATTTGGGTGGGGACACAGTCAAACCATATCAACAAGTAAGGTGGGAGAGTTTCAATTTTAAATATGGAGTGGTCAGGGATGACTTCACTGAGATGGCGGCATTTGAGTGAAAACCTAAAGGACATGAGATAATGAGCCATTTGGACAGCTGGGAGAATCTGCATTCCAGGCAGAGAACAGCAAATGCAAAAGTCCTGAGGAAGTGGCAGAACGCAGGAGCAATGAGGAGGCTGGAGAGGCTGGAGTGGAAAAGGATAGGAGGTAAGGTCCGAGAGTTTGCAGAGGCACTAGAGCATGCAGGGTTCTGAGGCCCATGGTAAGAATTTGGCTTTTATTAATACTTGCATCAGATGAGAAGCCACTGAGCAGAGAGTTGACATAAATGATCACTCTGGGTTCTGTATTGGGAAAAATAAATTCTATGGGAGTGTGGTAGATTTAAAAAATATGTCCACAAGTGCCTCGATGCTCCTCTCTTTAAAGGATGGAGCCTAACCTAATCTCTTTCCCTTGAGAATGGGCTGGACTTAGCGGCTTTCGTCTCACAAATAGAAGTGGGGGTAGCAATGGTGCAGGAGCTTGGAGATTGAATCAAGGGGCAATACAGCCTCCTCCTGGCTCTCTCCCTCTTAGCTCTCTTGCTCTAAGGAAAGCCAGCTGCCATGTCATGAGGACATTCAAGCAGCCAAGGGAGAGCCCACCTGCTTAGGAACTGGAGCCTCCTGCCAATAGCCAGAGAGAAACTGAGGTCTTCATTGATGGTGAACAGCCACGTCAATGAACCATTTTGGAAGTTGATCTTTCAGTCAAGCTTTCAGATGACATCTCTTTCTTTTCCTCATTTTAAAAATTGTGGGCAAGTACACATAACATAAAATGTACCGTCTTGACCATTTTAAAGTATATGGTTTAGTGGTATTGGATACATTCGTCGTGTAGTGCGGCCATCATCACCATTCATCACCAGGACTCCTCTCTTCTAGTAATACTGAAACTCTATGCCCATTGAACAATAACTCCCCATTATCTCTTTCCCTCTGTCCCTGGCAACCAGCATTCTACTTTCTGTCTCTATGGTTTTGACTACTCTAGGTACCTCATGTAAGTGGAATCGCCTAGTATTTGTCTGCTTGTAACTAGTTTATTTCACATAGCATATTGTCCTTCAGAAAACATCTTGACTTCAACCTCATAAGAGACCTTGAGCCAGGATCACCCAGCTAAGCCACTTGATTTTCTGTTGTTTTGAGACAGGGTCAGGCCCAGGCTGGAGTACAATGGTGCCATCTTGGCTCATTGCAACCTCCATCTCCCAAGTTCAAGCGATCCTTCCACCTAAGCCTCCCGAGTAGCTGGGACTACAGGCACACACCACCACACCCAGCTAATTTTTTGTTTTGTAGAGATAGGGTTTTGCCATGTTGCCCAGGCTGGTCTTAAACTCCTGATCTCAAACTCTAATCCTCCCACTTGGCCTCCCAACATGTTGGGATTACAAGACGAGCTACCACGTCTGGCTCACATACATATTTTGAATTCCTGTGTCCACCTTTGAAAGTTTTCTATTTCCTTCATCATTCCCACCAGAATCCATTGTCACATTGCAATCTGTTCCTTAGGGCTAAGAGAACTGAGAATGCTTATTATTTTTTTTTTGAATGGGGTTCAAAGAAGAGTGACAAAGTGAGAGAGTGCGTGGCTGATGGAATCTTAATTTTTGTGCTGCTGCTTTTGCTGCTTAGGAATTTTGCTGATCATCAGTGGCTTCCTCGCTGAGCTGCAGGTAACTGAGGTCGATGGATATTTGACTTTCTGTGCATGAGCCAAAATCTCGCCTGATATTTGCTTCAGTATTTTGCTTTCATTCTTTTGCAGAAACATTCATGCTTTGCCGAGACAGAAATAAAGAGATTAATTGCTAGAAACTCAGACATGTGACTATACAAACAGCATATTTCAGAGAAATTTTTAAAAGTTCTATTGTGGGGGGAAAAAATAAGAATTCTACTCCTCCCATGAGAGCTGATGACAAGGGAGCTGGCTTGGAGAAGTCCTAGAGGGAGAGAAACCCTGGGGCTGGAATGGAAGGGTGCCAGGAATTTATGTCTCCAGTAACTCTGAGGAACGCAGTTTTGCATTAAAATTTTAAGTGGGGCTGAAATTCAGACAGAAAGGATTTTGCCTTCTCCAAGAAAACTGTGATAAATAACTGCAGCATTGACTTAGGGAAGACACAAGTAGTTGAACTAGAAAGTGGAACTGGAGTTGACTCTAAAAACCTAATTTATGGATTACCAGGTTCCCAGTCAAAATGACTAATAATTCTGGGGCTGTAATTACCCACCTGTAGGCTTTACTTTTTTCCCTCAAATTTCTACTTTTTTTTTGTATTTTACAAATTTTTAATAATGAACATGCACTCCTTTTATAATATAAAAAAATCCAATTAACTTAATTAGAAAAAAATTGCCCACCAGGTGATGGGAGGTTTCTTGTTAATTCATCACCCGGCATCATACTCTGCCCACCATGGAACAGTTATTTTTGTGGCTAACTCTGGGTGAGGTGTTGCAGGGGTGTGGTAGGGGAGGGTGGTGATAGGAAGGGTGAGGGGAAAGACTGTTTCTTAGAGCACTGTCTAGAAGAGAGACCCGAGCAACTCCCTCTGAGGGGGAGCCACGTACATCGCCTGGCTTTCAGTGATTTCAAGGGGGAAGGGGAGCGGAAGAAGCAGAGGTTCTACTGTGGCGGGGGAGGCTATGTATCTGGTTTTGTCACATGATATCCACTGTCATGGAAGGCCTTGCATTTGGAAATCTGAGTTTGGTCCAAATGGGAGCCTGGGAGAGAAGTCTCAAACCGTGCCACCTGTCTTCATGCTGTGTAGTTCCTGCAAGGGGGGCAGGGATGGAGCAGCCAGCCCAGTCTGCCTCCCACCTGGCCCATCTTTTGTCTTCTACTGATGGGCTTGCTGGGGTAAGCAGTCAGCTTTGGTATTGATTGAAAATTTACAAGACTTTTTTTTGTTTGTTTTCTTTTCCTTTTTTGAAGACAGGATCTTGCACTATTGCCCAGGCTGGAGTGCAGTGACACAATCATACTCATTGTAGTCTCGACCTCTCTGGACTCAAGTGTCCACTTGCCTCAGCCTCCCCAGTAACTGGGACTACAGGTATGCACCACCATGCCCAGCTTCAAGACCTTTCTCTGGGTTAGACCCATTCTTGGTGTTTGGTGTCCTGAGTAGAAACTTGGGAAGGTCTGGAAGGCTTTACTCAATGTAAATGTCATGATTAATTTTACTTTCATCTAAGGGAGTCAACATCATATAATGAGTGGCTGCTGTGTGCCCATTAAAGAAATAAAGGGCCGGGCACCGTGTCTCACACCTGTAATCCCAGCACTTTGGGAGGTCGAGGCAGGCGGATTGCCTGACCTCAGGAGTTTGCAACCAGTCTGGGCAGCACAGTGAAACCCCATCTCTACTAAAATACAAAAAATTAGCCGGGTGTGGCGGCATGTGCCTGTAGTCCCAGCTACTCAGGAGGCTGAGGCAGGAGAATTGCTTGAACCCGGGAGGCGGAGGTTGCAGTGAGCAGAGATTGCCACTGCACTCCAGCCTGGGTGACAGTGAGACTCCATCTCAAAAAATAAATAAATAAAATAAAATAAATAAAGAATTCAATCCTTGTCAGCTCAGTCTCCAAATGGAAGTCTTCTCTGTTTCTCAGAAGAGCAACGCAGGGATTCCAACATCACACACCACAAATGGGGGAGGAGGAATCTAGTCACAGTTTACAGTGAGATTCAGAGGATTGCAAATGAGAATAGAGGAGACAGTGGAAAATTAAAATGCAGCCTCACAAGGGAAAAAGTGGTATCTGGAATTTGAAAGAATGTTCATGCTCTGAAAGCAGCACTCATGTCTAGGTAGAGTTAATGTATGGCATCTTCGTCATAATCGTTCCATTATTGATTAACTTCACATTGTGCTTCAGTTAGTTAATTGTAGCCTTTTCCTGTTTCTGGCTCTGGTGTCTAAAAGCAAAATAGACCCTTTGTTATGCTCTCAGAAGAACTATTTACACATTTTGATTTGGCAAAGAACAGTTCATTTTTTTTCTGGGACTTTCTGGCTTTTTTATTCCACATGGAATATGCAAGCAAAACTGGCTGAACTTTGAAATAGCAGCTAAATCCTAACAGCACTACAGCATTACTTGCCTTGCTCTTCTCAAATGGCTATATTTATTATAAATTAAGTCAATATTCTGCTGTAGAAAAGTCACTGTATAACGGGTACATCTGCCTACTATGCCTAGTCCCAGAACCATGAGCCTGTCTGGCATAGATCATTCAGTTTTGCAGGCATCCCTCTATGGAATGTGGTTCTCTCCCCTACAGAAGGGTCCCCACTGTACTGGGGGAGGGGAGGTTGTAAGCAAAGTCATCCGTCCCTTGGAAGACGTCCTGACCTCCCCAGGACTGAACTTTCAACCTCTTGAGCTGACAGTTAGTAGTGGATGCACAAATTTTGCTTGCGACTAATTGCAGCTTGTAAATGGAGCATTGTGGCTCCGGAAAAGAGCCAGCAGTCTCTCTTCCCAGGGTCACCCAAGTGGAATCTGGACACAAGAAAGCCTGTCCCCTAATGGGCGTCCTCCCTGAGCCCTTCCCAACCTCTCAGGCCCTGGGTTTGTCTCCATCAAGTAGAGAGCTAGAGGGCACAGCAGGAGACTCCTCTGCAAATCTTCTTCGAATGCCGGGCTATTCATAGTAACTTGCAGCTCCCTCAGGAATTCCCACAGACTTCCCAGAGCTGACTATTGTCTCCCCACCCTGCAGCAGTGGCCTTTCACAGACCCAGGGATATACACGCCATCTCAAAGCACAAAATGCTTTGCAAGCCGTCCGTGAGATGTTCACCAAAGAAACTACTGGAAGTTGAGAGGACGAAAAACAGAGGCAAGTTGGGAAGGTAGAATAAGATTTTCCAGCAGATTAACTATTTATTTTTAGTTTCACAAAGCAGACACAGATTGTAATTGACAAATAAGCTATAGAGTGCCATGGAACATGAAGTCACATTTCTTTTTCTTAAAGGCAGGACTAGGTATGCTCTGAGCATCTCTGATAGAACAGCTGGCTGTACATGTGAACCACAAACATTCAGTTGTAAAACAAAAGGGGTAGCCAAGGGTGACTTTTTTGTTTTCTCTGATAGTTTCATTGGACTGAGGTGGTAGCTAATATCATCCTGTATCCTCAGACCATGAAAAGAACATAAGGAACTCTGTGAAAGTGTGGAGTGAGCTTTCCAGGCAAGCATCATATTGTTCTCAGTTAATCAAATTTGTCAAATTGTTCCCAGTGCCTTAGAGCTAAAGGGTAATACTTAGGACCACAGTAAACAAATCCCCAGCCATCTGCTCTGACAGCTGTTGGACCTTGAGCACGAACTTGTATTCCCAGAGTATTCTGAGAGCCCTTAGGCACAGGGATGTACTAGAATGGTTCGACCATCAAGTGGCCAAAGAAAGGTTAAAACTACTAACAGCCCTGGGATATGTATTCCCAGCTAGAGGTGTCCCAGGAATAAGCAACAGGAGCAAAATTCTCCCTTTGTTCATCAGTCTCTGAGCATTCCAGTTTCTGTGTCATCTGGATATTTTCTCAATACCTTCAGCTTGGCCTTAAAAATCAATGCAGTTAGTGAATTGCTTAGTTGAAACTGAACACATCTATTGATGCCGAAACAAGAGCTGTGCACTTCCAACCAATTTAAAGAAATCTGCTTGGATGATCTGTTCGATTCTGTGCCTCTCGAATGTGAGGGCTCAGAGAATTCCCTTGCAGTTTCAGTAAATTATTTCTATGAAAGTTGTTTGCCTTCACAAGTTAGTTTTTGTGTGCCAATTTCATTAGGCCAATTGGGTGTCATAAATGATGTTAGAATAGGGTGATCAACCAACCCAGTTATGCTGAGACTGTCTCAGTTTTAAAACTGAAAATTCTACATTCTCTGAAACCTCCTATTCCGAGGCAAATGAATAGCTCGTCATTTTACCAAGTAATTTCCCTTCCAAGTCAAAATGTCCTACTGAGCTTGAAAGTGTAGCAACTTAATAAAGTCTTGAGTTTCTGAGTTTAAAATCTTAGTGGAGCACACATTAAAAGGGATTCTTCTGAAAGTGACAAGGGGCTTACCTGGGGAGGTCAGTTTGATTTGAAATTATCCAAGAGTAAGAGGACTCTTTGTGACATCTGATGGGTGGGGGAGCTCGGTGTCCAAGTATACCACACTCAGTAACCACACATAGGTATTTAGTAGCCAGCGTTTTCATCTTTCTTCCATGTCTTCAATTTCTGATACAGAAAAAAAATGCCAGACAGATTTTTATAAATGTTCTCTTGGGACATTGTACATTTCCACTCATATACTTTTATGCACTTGGGAAACATGTGAAAAGGAGGTCAGATGAAAGAAATATTTAAACTATGTAAGCCTCTCTTACTACATTCTTAGAAGATCAAAGTCATTTTGTGCATTAATGTTTTTCCATATCTAAACTTTATATTTGGCTTCATTTATTCCACTCAATTTGACCTAACTCAGTGCTTTTTAAACTCAAATGTGCCAGTGAATCACCTGGGGATCTTGTTAAAATACAAATTCTGATTCAGTATGTCTGGGGTGGAGCCTGGGATTCTGCACTTCCAACTAGCTCCCAGGTGATGCTGATGTGGCTGGTCTGAGGGCCACAACTTGAGTAGCAAGATTCCAGGTGACTGTAACTACATTTTCTTTACTCTCAGGAAATTTCTCAAAAGAGGGAAGAAAAAATATTTTTAAAGGAATGGAGAGAAGAAATTGTGTTTTATATTCTCAAAAATAATGTCTGCGGAACAGTGAATACTGTGTGTTTTAATGCAAAACACAAATGCAATTAGAACTGACCCAAAACATCAGCCTATCTAGGAAAGGAAGGCGGAAGGAACGAAGTAGAGGAAGTTAGAGGGTGTGGCCATTGAATGTCTGTGGCTGGAGGGAGGCCACTCTTTTCTCAAGCAAAGGTACTTACCTTTTCTTCTACCACTCTCTTTCCAGGGACATCAATAGCCAGGATTCCCCTTCCAAAGGTTGCTGTAAGTGTGAGCAGCACTTTGGTTATGAAGCAAGAGAATGTTTTATTCTCTTTCAATTGGTTGTGAGAACCCTACAAAAAGATCCATTAGAGATGAAAAATGAAGCATGCTCTGAAAAGCATACCAATCTTTTCATGTTCATTATAGTTTATTGTGTTTCTGAAGACACAAAAACAGATAATGAAATACATAAGTAGAAGAGGAAATATCATTAAGTCAAATGCCTGACAGAAAATGGATTATACTAAAACACACACAGTTCTGATAGCATTTTACAATAAAAATTGTTTATGTGACTCAAGGATTTCTGTTGCTCACACAGCCCTGGTTGACACATATAGGGGCAGAAAAGAAATTTTGGGATTAAGTATTTTAATTATTTAAGAACAAAGTGGATGTGCCTCAGAAATGGATGAGATGTTTCACCCAAATTATATCAGTCATGACCTTGGGAGAGTTTACATCCTTTTCCCTGAAGAGGAGCATCAAATGTAGCTGATTACATGGTCACTAAGCACCCCCACAAAACAAATCTTTCAATGTATGTTTACATTCCATGGAAAATGTGTAGCCAAGGCTCTGACCAATATGACTTATATCTACTGCTCTTACAGGAGTTTCAGGCTGAAAGAAGAAACCCTTTTTTCATACAGGTCATCAAAGCAGAGGTGGGCCAAATTATGCTCCATGTTTCTTTGCATTTCTACAAAGGAGGAGCATATAATGGAATAAATTGAGTTCAATATTTTTCCTTTACCTAGAAGCTTGCTTCTGTTTAATTTCTCCCATATTTTTGTTTTGAACAGCTGGCTGCTCATAAATGGTCCTCTATGTGTTTTGATATGATATCCTCAGAGACCCTCTTAGATTGTGAAATCCTAGTGAGTGGAGCTGTTTATTTGCTCATCATCAAGACAGGTGGTCTCTCAGGCCAGCAGACACTTCTTTAGAGAGCAGTCTCTGGGCTGCAGCTTTGACTCCAGATGGGTGAAAACCACTCTGTTACATCTTAGGCTTCACTTGCTCTGTTTTTTCTTGGTATGGCTGTGTGGGGGCTGATGATAAGAAGGACCGTGAAGGAGGATCAGTTTTATTTTTCTGCCTCTGCCACCTTCGTGTTCACAGCCTCTGGCTTGGAACAATGCACACACCTCTAGAACGTTGTCACCTCTCATCAGATCTACAAATTGGGTGCTTGCACCAGTGGAGAAGCCAGCTCACAGGCAACTGGAATGGTTTTAAGTGTCCTGCCTTGTTTCTTTTTCTTGAATTTGCTCAGACATATGCATAGATTTACATGATCTGTCCATTTGTATATACTTTGGGCACTTAACCTTGCAGCTACCTATTTCTATTTAAAGTCATAACTTCCCCCACATTTTCCTGATCATGTTCAACTCTGCAGTCTACGTTGCTGAGAACATTCTGTCATTCATTCATTGAACAAATATTTGAGTGCTTTCTATGTGGCAGGCATGGTAGTAGGTGCTGGGGTACAACATTGAATAACACAAAGCCCTTGGCTTCTTTCATTCTAGTGGCAGAGTGGAGAGACAGTCAGCAAACAAATAAACCAATAGATATGAACTGTATTAGATGGTAATAAGTCCTAGAGAGAAGAATGTACAAGGTTAGGAAGATGGGGGTGCTGCAGGGGGGTGCAGGTATTGCTCTTTTACATGGAGTAGTCAGAGAACTTCCCATCTGGAGCTACGACTTGGGATTGTACTTTGTACAAGTCCATAGGTTGCTTTTCTCCTCATGGTTATTATAGGTTGTGTTGCTGTGAAAACTTTCTGGCAGATAGGATCAAAGTACTTGATTAAGAGGGTGCCCTTTTTTGAAATTGTCCTTTGGGACTAGTTGTAGGCCTTGATAATGCTGAGATTTTAGCAGCTCCGTGGAGGAAGTGAGGCAGTGAGTCATACAGCTATATGGGGGAAGTGTATTTCAGGCAGGTGGAACAGCAAATGTGACGTCCTGAAGCAGGAGCAATTCATGGTGTGTTAGAGGATGGGGCCAGTGGCTGGAGCAGAATGAATGAGGGGGCAGGCATGGGAGGTGAGGCCAGGGGTGGAGGAGGACCCACCACAGAGGGTCTTGGAGATCATTGCAAGGACTTTGTCTTTCATTTTAATAGAAACAGAAAGTCAGTGAAAGGCTTTGAACTGAGAATTGATATGGCCTGATTAATATATATTAAGGATCATTCTGGCTGCAATGTGAAGAACTGATATAGGGCAGATATGAGTGCAAGCAGACAACGATGAGGCTATTGCAATTGCCCAGGGGAAAGAATATGGTGGGTTGACCCTTTGGGGTAATAGTGGAAGTGGTGAGAAATATTAATTCTGCTTTAGGAGAAGCCTTTTATATGAATCCTGAGATCCATTAACTTCTTGTGCAATGTGGTGAAAATCCTTCTCTTGCATATCAGGTGTATTTCAACAATTAGTGTCCCACAGAAAGAATGGTGGAACCTCAGAGTTGGAAGGGTCTTAGAAGCAGGACATCTAGTGGAGGAAGAGTGAAAACAGAGATACTTGGTCCGATCTTCAAGCTTGTGTAGCTCTTACATTTTGATAGGGGGGAAAGGAGGAAACTGATGCCTCAATAAATGTTAGTTTATCTGGAATTCACAGTGGTCCCAGGCTAGGGAATCTAAAGGTGGAGACTGCATCCTAGTGTGAGAGAGCACAAAATCTGAAAGCTCCGATCTAACTCAGTTCTCTTTTGAGGCTATTTCAACCTGTCACACAACGCAGAGATTACCTGCTCAGCATCCCAGGTTGCATAAACCTAGCCTTGACTACGTTTCCAATGGAAGAGTGCTTGTCATTTTAAGGTAATTCACCATGATGTTGGACAGCTCCAAGCATCTGGAATATTTTTGTTTGTTTGTTTGTTTTTGTTTTGTTTTTGTACAGAGCTGAAATCTCTCTCTTCTACCCATTCTGTCCTCTGCAGCTAGGCTAGCCAGTAAAGGCAGTGGAAGAATATTGGTTAAGAGTATGGTTCTGGATCCAGATGGTCTAGGTCAGGATCCAGGTTCTTTGTGAACTTGAGCAAGTTGATAAACCTCAGTTTCCTTAATTTGTGCCTCAGTTTCCTCAAAAGCAAGGTAGTACCTATAAAGCACTTAGAAAAAGACATGGTACAGAGATGGTGTTCAAAAAATAATGGCCATATGATTAATTATTCTTTCATGTTGTTATGAATATGAGAATCTGACCCATATTTGAGCACCACTCTCATGAGGCTCTGCTTTTCCTGTAATTTGCTTATTCCTATTAAATTTTGTAGTCCTCACATGATTCCTGGTAGCAATTATCGATGAAATTAACAAAAGCAAAGGGTTTGGTGTTTGCCCTGGGGCAGCAAGAAAAGAGGAATTACTGATAACTGGTTTTGGGGTTCAGGCATTAACCTGAACCCAAGTTGTTGGTTCTCCAGCATTTAAGGTTGACCCCATCTTAAATATAGATCCATAAGGCCCATATCATTTGGTAAGCAGTAGTTCAGGATGCAGTGGAGTAGTGTGGTTGAAAATCTAGGTTTTGGAGTCTGATTTTTCTCATTTGACTCCAGTTTTGACACTTATTCTATAACTATGGGCAACTTATTTAATCATAATAATATATTCCTTCAGTTTATTGTCAAGATCAAATGAGAATATATTCACAGTGCTTTGTACGATGTAGGAGGTCAAGAAATTCTAGTAATAATTTTAAGTTATAGAAATGAATTTCTAAAACAAAGTAATAGGGTTTGGATCTGAGTCCCCACCAAATCGCATGTTGAATTGTAGTCCCCAGTGTTGGAGGTGAGGCCTAGTGGAAGGTGTTTGGATCATGGGGATAGATTTTTCATGAATGATTTAGCACCATCTGCTTGGTGCTGTTCTCATGACAGTGAGTTAATTCTTGCAAGATCTGTTTGTTTAAAAATGTGTAGCACCTCCCCCTTCACTCTCTTCTCTCTTGCTCCTGCTCCCACCATGTGAGATGAAATTTGCCTTCTGCCATGATTGTAAGTTTCCTGAGGCCTTACCAGAATCCAGGCAGATGCCAGCATCTTGCATCCTGTACAGCCTGCAGAACTATGAGCTAATTAAATCTCTTTTCTTTATAAATTACCCAGTCTCAAATATTTCTTTATAGGAATATGAGAACAGACTAATACATAAAGTCAATTCTTAGAAATGACCATGTTCAAAAGTAATCCAAGCCACATTCTCTGGGCTTCATAGTGCATCTTAAGGAGGAGAAGAAGGAAGGAATATTAAGACCTACCTTCCTGGCAAGTGAAGGTTCCCAGTGCTCAAAGAGGCTTACTGCTAGAGCCAGGTGGAGCTGCTCTCACATTCACAAGAAATGTAGGAGACTCTGAAGTTGGCTTACCCTGACACCCACCCATCAACTGAAAATTTAAAATGTGCTTGAACTCGTTATTTCGTAGCAGATAAATTTTTTTAAATAAATTTTTTTCTTGAATACAACAAAATACGTGTCTATTATAGAAATGCAAGAAAGCATAGAATAACCCAAAGAGGCAAACCGGGTTTATTTCCACTGCCCAGAAGTTGCCCTTGCAAGGTTTTTGCACAGCACCTTAGGTGGGTAAGCAACATAAAGCAGGGCTGTGTCTTTCTGGCCTAATCCCAAGACCTTAGAAAGGAATGCAGCATCATGGTACAGAAGAGTGATTAGTAAAGAGTGGCTGGATGAATGACGATAATCATGTCTATAAATATATTTTTACCCCCACTGGGGATAAAAATTGCCAGGTAGATTTCTTTCCGTTGTTGTTTCACTTAATTGGATCCTTTTAAATATTGAATATAAAGCCAGTGGTGAATATAAGTAGATCCTAAATGTGCCAAGAACACAGTCTTGTGTTTTGCCCATGTGGAGGTCCATAATCCAAGAAGTGTCCAATGGGCTTCTCTCAATGGATCCCGAAAACTGACCAGGCTGATCTCAAGTAAGTGGCTCCCACCCAGAAATCCCTTCTCCTGAGTTTTTTTTAACCCCACTTTCACTCATTTGGAGAATTTCACAAACATTTTGGATTTAGGAGAATTTCCACTTCCCTCCCCTACATTCAATTTTCTTTCTAAGATAATGGGGTACCATTTATTTTATGCTTGCAACAAGCCTGATACTTTGCGAAACTTCAAACTGATATCATCTCATTTAATCCTCATAACAACTCTGTGTTGGCTATCACCATTCTTACAGAAGAAAAAGCAGAGGCTATGGAAGGTGCAAAAACTTGCCCAGAGTCACATGGCGGGCAAAGGGCAGAGTCTAGTTCAGGTCAGTCTGACTCCAAAGTCCATGCTTCAACCACCTGGATATGCCATCATGAGAGTTTATGTTTAATCTTGAATATTGTTCTCTATACTTAGCTTTATAAGCATGAAGCTATTATATTACCTCCAGCGGCATCTGAAATGTCAAAATAATATCTGGAGTGGATGTACCATAATTTAAATACTCAATCTCTTGCCCCTCCTTGTTAAACATGTAGGTTGTAGAGAATGTCAGAGCAGAGATGCCCAATATTTAAAGCTCAGAGAGCGTAAGGAAGAGCATCCTATTGTGGAACCCCAGGAGTGAGGTGGTGGACAAAGTAAAAGCCAGTTAACATAAAGGGATCACGTGGAAACTGGGTCCTGGGCATCTTGCACTTTCCTAGAACCCAACATGTGGCTCCCAGGAAATTACAGGAACACTGAACAAGGAGGCTGCAGAAGGGTAACAGGAAAGGTTTGTGTTTGCATTTTCCCCACATCTGGTTTTTGCCCATCTGAACACGTCGTAGGGCTAAATTACAATGTAATAAATTACAAGGGCTTGACCATCAGAGCCTTTTTGGGGTATGGGAGGGAAACATCCAATCCTGCTTTGCTGCTAGGTCTCTCTCTCTCTCTCTCTCTCTCTCTCCCCCTTTCTCTGTCTTCTGAGGAATCTGAAGGATGACTAATAAGGGGTAAAAGAGACTCATCTTCCTCTTCCTCTCTCTCCCCCACTCCCAGGGCTGGGTCTTTCTGCCCTCAGAAACCCTTGGACGCTGTCAGTGATTGTTAGAGAGAGACTTTTCGGGCTGAGGCTTCAGACACTGCCCAAGGGCAGATTGCTGGACTCCCAGCCCGAGCCCTGCCTCACGAACAATGAAGACCCTTCAGCTTCTCCCTTCAGCTGTCTCAGGGCCATCCCGGGTGAGGTGGGGGTGGGCGATCAAGTGAACCCCAGCTCAGGAGGGCACAAGGAGGGAGGTAAAATAGCACGGTTAAAATCAGAGTCTTTTTGAACCCCGGGTTAAATTTCCAGCCCTGCCATTTATCTGTGTAACTTTGATTTGTGTTAGTTAACCTGAAAGAACCTCAGTTTTTCTATCTAGAAAATGGTGATGATAATCCTTAACAAAGAGAGGCTGAAAAGATGAAATAAAATGAAACCATTGTGCCTGTCAATCAGTGCATGTTGGCTGATATTGATATTGTCAGCCTAAGTGTATGGAAGAATTATATTCTCTCTTCTATTTTGTAAAATGCTTCTGACTATTTTTGTGTAATTTTCTACTTAGTTAAACTCATTCATTTTTGCCCGGATGGGTTAATTTACTAACCCTCCCTTACCCACCCTTCCCAAAAGCTTTTGTTCTTCTAGGTCCATGGCTTGGAGAAAGGAGACGTAGGTCTTTTTTGTTTGAAGGATACTGGGGCTTGAGGCGACCCTCAGGTGACCTGTTCCAGCCGGAGAATCTAGCTAGAGAGAAGTTTGCAGGAGACACAAGAAGCTTTTGTGACTTTTTTTGTTTGTTTATGAATATTTAAAAGCATGTGTTATTCTTTGTACGGTGTGTATAGAAGCTATTCAACACTTGCAGGTGAATGATAAGATACTCCTTTTTCAGGACAAGAAATTCCTTTGGCATTCTCATTTTTTCAGTCTTAAGAACCCAAAAGAGAAAAGTATGACTCTGAGAGGCTTCCAAATGGGAATTAACACCACTCTATGATCTGTGCAGTTGTTATTTGCAATACAACACAAGCACAGAGGACATAGGGGGAAAAAAGAAGTATAACCAAGGGACAAGATTGTAGTATATTTTCTCATGAAGAATAGAAAACAATTCTCTCCTAAAACCAGATTGAGACAGCTAATTGGAGCCTTTGGGAGACACCATTGACGAGACACTCAGAAAAGAATTACTCCATTTTGCAGTTCAGTGTGTCTCAGATCTTAGACTGACCTAATTTCAACAAAACATAATATTATGAAAGAAAAAAGTTGTATCCCAATAGTAGGAAGTGATTGTAGGGTTAAAGGGTGCCTGTTTGGTAAGTGTCTACTTCGTCTTCTTATTCCTTTAAGCTCCTCCACTCCCTGGCACTCACCCTATTTCTACTTTCAAGGATAGACTCTGACATTTCTTCTGTGACTAGAGTAAGTCATCCTTTTTCTTTCTGGAATTTGGGTTCGTAAAACTGCAACCCTTATATTTTAAAAGAGACTCTTAGGACAAAACTGGAAAAAAATTAAAGTGATGAATTGTTTCTAGAAACTATTTGATTCAGGAAACTTTAAATTACCAAGAATACTCATGGTTAATTATTCTAGATTTGGTTTACCCAAATCTCAAAATTAACTGTGCATATAGTTTGCTTGGATTGATACATGTTGATGATGTTTACCGCAAATAATCCCTCAAAGCTTAGAATCTATTTTTACTTTTTCCCCCAAGTTAGAATTTAGCCTTTGAATACATTTTGTTTATAGTTATTTAAAATTCCATGTAAGTATATAAACTCCCACTTGCTCTCGTTTCATTTCTCTGCCATTTTTGCAGGCAATTTTTACATGAAAGTTGTGTCACTCTTAACAACCTAGCCTTATTTTCTCATTTCCCTTTAATGGTTTTGTGTTCTAAGTTCAATTTAAGAATGGATTGCTTACATTTCACTTACAAATCTCCCTTCTAATCACTGTTATTAATACCACAATTTTGTTGTAATATCTGTAAGAGCACAAAATGTGTCCTCTTAAAGATGCATTTGCCAACCGCTGACTTGCATACATTTCAATTACAACTCTCCCTTGTAATTATTATTATTAATATCACAATTACTATCTTAATATCTATAAGACTGCAGAAGGTGGCCTGTCAAGGGTGCATTTACAAACAGCTTTTTCAGTTTCCTCTTAAGAAAAATGTGCCAGACTTTATCTAAATTCAACCTCCCCTATGATTTACATTAGACAACACACTCCATCAATAAAACCATCAAAATGATCTACTGCATTGTAGACAAAAGTTATTGTGTCAAGTTGACACTAATCAGTTAATTCCAGTAAACCTTCAGATAAACAAAAGCTTGTTGTCTATTACTGATGTGTGTGATGGGTCTCTTGTATATCCTATGGTTGTGCCCATCTATAGAGATGTATTTGGCAGACACTTGCCCTGAGGCATCTATATGGAAACTGAGACAAGATCTATAGTTAATGATGTTGACCCTGACTCCCCTAACAGAGACTGAATTCAAGTCCTCATAATATCTCGACAGCTGATATGTATATTGTGCTAATAATATTAACAATTACTATGCCACTGGGATTCCCCAGGCCCTGGCTTAAAAAAAAAAAAGCTATTTTAAAGCTTCTTTCCTTATATGAACTAATTTCCTTGTTTATGCCCATCATTACTCCTTTCTCCCCATTGAGACAAGAATGTGTTTCTAAGCAGAGAAAGGCTTTTCTTAGTAGAGGTATTTTGTATTAATAAGAAATGCTGTGTGAGTTCATCAACTTCTGGAAGGGCTAGCAGTACTAGTGATGCTCTAAGGAAACATTTATAGTCATCATTTCCCAGTCAGCTTGGGCTAGTAGAAACCGAGAGAGCTAGCTTCACATTGATGTTGTTGATATTGGTCAGAAGGAGGCATTCAGAATGTCAGTAGGCCCTGCCTGGTGTGGCTCTCCTTTGGACATAGGGAGACAAGACTGCCAACCCCTGCTTGGCATGATTGGGTGGCTGAGGCATCAGAAATTGCCCTTGGGGCTCCTGAGTTAGCTGCCCAGCCTTGGAGAAAAGTGGAGGGATTGAACCAGATCTCTCCTCTTCTCCCGGCTTCTCCTTCCTCTGCAAATAAATAGGAAAGGCCACGGCAGGCTCACAGGCCACAGAGAAGCTCAGGATGAAATGTTGACAGGGGGCACTGTTAAAAATTAAATTCTGCCCTATTTTGTGTACCATTCTTGTGAGTCACATTCGTGAATAGTAGCGAGAGATTTAATGATCGCATATTTTTTATCTTATTTCCCTTCAGTCGATGGCAATTTTTTTCTGTTAATGTCAACTTAGAGCTCAAAGTAATTTAGTAATTGATTCTAAGCACAGCAGTTCGCCAACGGCAGCTCTCCATTTGTGGGGAATATCTCTGCTAATTTTATCCATCAGAATGAGATTACCATGCTAATCTCTCCCATCCTCATCTCTTGGTCATTTGGGACATGCTGATGCAAATGACTTATTAGACACAAGGCCTTCGTCCATCCCCAGTATCAGAGAAAGATGAAAGGAAGCCAAGATAAGGATATTTCAATGCCCGTACAGACACAGATGGTATGCATGCCTAATACTAAAATGATAATACCCTAAACTGGAAACCCAAATAAAAACAAGTTATGACAAATGAAAAATACAATGGATCAAAGTATATTAAGTACATTGATGGGGAAGAACAAAAAGAATTAAGGCAGAACAAATGCATCTGGGGACGTGTAATTGGAAACTTAAACATTCATTGAGCCAGGGAAACCTAGAAAGTCATATGTCAGGTGGAGGGAGGGGGGTACCCTTAATGAGATTAAGTGGAGAAAACCAAAATGGCTGTGCTAACAAAAAGATTGAGGCTGTGTCTACAGACACAATCTGTTCGACTGTTTTCAGTGAATGACTGGTTACTGACCAAGTTAGCTATTGGTTGCTTGTCTGATTCAATTAAAATGCTCAAACCAATGTAAGCGTGTATGGTAAAAATAGCCTGAAACTAGTTTGGGTTACATATACACAATAGGGTATTGTATAACACAATGGGCTGAAAGGCCTTCCAAAGACATTGCTAGTAAATGGATACATTTTAAAATGCTTTGCTTTATGAAATAGCAAAATACTTAGGGGAAGTTCAGAAAAAAATAGTTTAAATACTTCAGGTAAGAAGGGGTTTAAAGAAAGAAAACAACTAATAAAGTAGCTGGGTGAATGTTTATGGAGACAGAAAACACCTCAGAGAGATGGAGTGTTTGTTTTAACACCCCTTAACATTTAGGATGCCAGATATGAGATCAAAAAAGGAAAATCTTGATATTAAGCATATAAATAAATCCTATATTATCTCTTCCATGGAAGAAATGAGAAATGGACATTATGGTCATTTTACCTTTAAAAAGCCAAACATCATGCCTGTAATCCCAGCACTTTGGGAGACCGAGGCTGGCGGATCACGAGGTCAGGAGATTGAGACCATCGTGGTTAACACGGTGAAACCCCGTCTCTACTAAAAAAAAAAAAAATACAAAAAAATTAGCCGGGCGTGGTGGCGGCCGCCTGCAGTCACAGTACTCGGGAGACTGAGGCAGGAGAATGGCGTGAACCCGGGAGGCGGAGCTTGCAGTGAGCTGAGGTCGTGCCACTGCACTCCAGCCTGGGGGACAGAGCGAGACTCCGTCCGAAAAAAAAAGAAAGCCAAAAACTTTATTACCAAGTTAATAAAAATATATCATAAAAATTCTAGAACAAAATGATTTCCAAGTTTTAATCATTGCCTCAATTATTTCAAATGTGATATATATATATATATACATATATATATATATATACATTTTTTAAAGATACATTTTAAAAAATGTATTTATATATACTTTTTTTTTTTTAAGACAGAGTCTTGCTCTGTTGCCTGGGCTGGAGTGCAATGGCATGACCTTGGCTCACTGCAGTCCCCACCTCCCAGGTTCAAGTGATTCTCTGCCTCAGCTTCCTGAGTAGCTGGGATTACAGGCGCGTGCCACCACGTCTGGCTAATTTTTGTATTTTTAGTAGAGATGGGGTTTCACCATGTTGGCCAGGCTGGTCTTGAACTCCTGACCTCAAGTGATCCACCTACCTCAGCCTCCCAAAGTGCTGGGATAACAGGCGTGAGCCACTGCACCTGGCCAAATGTTTTATATTCTAAAGCTGTTATGTAACAATAGCAATAGCCTAAAAATAGGGCTAAAACCCCTCAAATGCACGCTGCTGTCTCATACCCCTAACCTCACACTTGATATCATCCCTCCAAACCAGGATTTTCTCCTGACTTTTCTTTTCTCATTAAGGTGGCACAGTTCCCGAGTTATCTTTAACTCCTTTAAGTCATGGCATTGTCTTGGAGTCCTTGTCATCATTCTCCTACCACACAATTGCCAAATCATATAGATTCTCACTCTCCCCATTGTTTCCATCCTTATTGTCAATTCGCTTATTTGAGTGTTTTTTCTAGCTCTGTCACCTGGGCTGGAGTGCAGTGGCACGAGCTCAGCTCAGCCTCCAAAAGTCATCTGGGTCTTGATCCATTCTTGTCTATATCCTTCTCTGAGCCTGCTCTTCTCAGCCTCCCCTCTGAATCATCTTCCATGCTACTGTCAGATTACTCTTTTTGAAAGCATGCATCTAGATTGGGCTGGAACAACTATGAGGCAAGTGGAGAACTCACCTAGGGTGTCAAAGTTATGAGGGTAAAAACTCAGTAATCAGAATCAATATTGCTTTAAAGAAATATTTTTAAAAATCAAAATGAATGCAAAAGTCATCCATGACAAACAAAGCATCAGTATTTAAAATAAAGAGCAGGATCCAATCCTGCGCTTGTGTGACCTCGCCTCACTTGCCTTACCCTAATCCCATCCCTGGTTTTAATCACTTTATTTACAAAAATAGAAAAAAGGAACAGGGGGTTGTTGTCTGCTGGGTGTGTGTGTGTGTGTGTGTGTGTTTCTTTTTTGAGATGGAGTCTCGTTCTGTCACCCAGGCTGGAGTGGTGCAATGGTGCGATCTCGGCTCACTGCAATTTCCACCTCCTGGGTTCAAGGGATTCTTCTGACTCAGCCACCACGACTCCTGGCTAAACTTTGTTATTATTAGAGATGGAGTTTCGCCATGTTGGTCAGGTGCTGTTTTTTTTTTTAATATTGCATTATAATATTATTTAACTCGATTATTGAGTTTTGTGGCGTGCTGTACTCAGCTGACCCTAGTCCCGTCCATGCTCAGTGATTTGTCCCATCAAGTGCCAATTCCACATCCTGACGTTTCAGGATTTTTTCACATGGAGATAGTATGATTTAGCAATTAACTTCATGGGCGTTGAGTCAATCCTAAATACAAATCCTCGCTCTGCTGCTCACTAGCTGTGGAAAACTTGGGCACAAGATTTTGGTCTTTCAGTTTCATCATCTGTAAATGAAGATTAAATACAGTTTACAGAAGACATTGCCCTATTTTCCCAGTCTTACCAGTCCACTGCCACAAAAATACTCAACTCTCTATACATTGTTTCTTATACGTTTTGTCATTTAAGCCTAATGATCACCATGTTACACATACATGATGCTGACCCTCCAGCCTAAATTTCCTTCCCCTTCAACTTCACAAGTTAAAAGATACTAACAAACTTAAAAAGCCAGCTTTAAAACCACCACTTGCATGAAGGCTTTCCTAAGTTCCCCACAACCCTGCAACAACAACAGGCAAATATTGAGGGCCTATGATGCAGCAGTCATTTGGGATTCAATGGTAAACATGACCAGGGCAAGTTTGGCCCTCACAGAACACAGTCAAATGGCAAAAATGAACAAATAAACTATTAACTATTAAACATGTCAAATAATTCTAATGCATTATAAGAAAATCAATATGATTATATTTCCATTAAGTATAATCAAATTAATTATAAAGTACTTAAAAATAACTACAGGCTGAGGAAACAGTACGTGCCAAGGTCCAGAGCCATAGGAGCTCAGACTTTGTGCTCAGTGTGCTTGAAGAGCTGAAAGAAAGCCTGTGTGAGCTGAGGGGAGAATGGCAGGCTGCATTTCTCTTTGAACACAGGGGTCACTTTCATATCTATTTCTTATGACAATTATTTCCCCCCACTTTATATTCTGGTCAATGGTACCCTTGTCTTGTTCCAGTATTAGAAACAGTTAAGAGCGTGGGTTTTGTAACCACAGTGTCTAGTTTAAATTCTGGCTCCGTTGCTTATTAGCTAAAAGACTATGGACAAGTTTTAACCTCTCTAACACTATTTTCTTGAATTGTAAAATAGGAGTGATAATAATAGAACACACCTCCTAGGGTAATTGTGGAAATTAAAAGTGAATGCATGTAAAGCATCTATAATAACACTGGTACAGAGTGAGTGCTATGTCAAAGTTAGTTATTATCATGATCACCATAACTAGTCTGTAAGTGGCCTGGCACAGTGGCTCGTGCCTGTAATCCCAGCACTTTGGGAGGCTGAGGTGGGTGGATCACCCAAGGTCAGGTGTTTGAGACCAGCCTGGCCAACATGGCGAAACCTCATTTCTACTAAAAACACAAAAATTAGCTGAGTGTGGTGGCGCATGCTTGTAGTTCCAGCTACTTGGGAGACTGAGGCAGGAGAATTGCTTGAACCAAGGAGGCAGATGTTGCAGTGAGCCAAGATAGCACCACTGCACTCCAGCCTGGGTGACAGAGCAAGACTGTGTCTCACAAAACAAAACAAAACAAAACAAAACAAAACAAAAAATCCTAGTCTGTAAGTTCCTTTAGAATTGCTTGTCTTTGCATTAATACAGCAACTTGCACACTGTTTAACAAATAGTACACTCTTTAAAAATGTGTATTGAATCTAGTCACAGGTAGAACAGAAGACTGATTTTTTTTTTTTTTTTTTGAGATGGAGTTTCGCTCTTGTGGCCCAGGCTGGAGTGCAATGGCGCGATCTCGGCTCACTTCGACCTCCACCTCTCTGGTACCAATGATTCTTCTGCCTCAGCCTCCCGAGTAGCTGGGATGACTGATACATTTTTTTGTAAACACCAGTGGCTAGATAGTTATAATAGAGGTTTAAATTCTTTATTTGGTACCTTCTTTATCTGTTCTTTCCTTTCTTACCAACTGAAAGAGATGATCTGTAAAGAGGGCTCAGGCTGAAATAGCATTTAGCAAGGGCCACCAGCATACAAGTGTCTAATATCATCCTGAAACCCATGCTACTCAAAGTTAACATTATCTTTTCTTTCTTCATTTAAGACTGTTTAAGAATTTAGCCTATGTCAAATGGCAATTTTGAAAAACATTTTGCTGATGGAGCTAGTCTGAGATTTTATATTCATTTGCTTCAGGAGGTTGCAAAAATTTTCCACTCTCAGGAATAGGTTTTTCTCGACTAGGAGGGCTGTTATAGAGCATTTCTTACCATGGCCTTTGATATAGGAGCATAAGTGTATATGATCCACCTTAGACCAAGTAGTTTTGATCTTGCAGATAATCTGGGATCTTAAAGAATATATAGGTGACGCTTGAACAATAGGAGTGTTGGGGTACCCATGCCGCATGCTGTCCAAAATACACATATAACTTTTAACTCCTTAAAAACGTAACTACTAATAGACTACTGTTGACCAGAAGCCTCACCGGTAACATAAACAGTCTATTGATATGTATTTTGTATAATACTGTATTCTTCTAATAAAGTAAGTTAGAGAAAAGAAATCGTTATGAAGAAAATCATAAGGAAGAGAAAATATGTTTAGTATTCACTAAGTGAAAGTGGATCCTGATAAAGTCTTCATCCTCCTCATTGTCACATTGAGTAGGCAGAGGAAGAAGAGGATGAGGAGTAGTTGGTCTGTCCCAGGGATGGCAGAGGCAGAAGAAAATCCACATAAAAGTGGACCTGTGCAGTTCAAACCCATGTGTTTTTCAAGCGTCATCTGTGTGTGTGTATGTGTGTGTATATGTGTGTGCGTGTGTGTGTGTGTAATGTGGCAGCGTCTTTAATGAAAAGACGCAAACGTCAATGGGAGCCACATAGTAGAAAACAAGCAACTTGAAAATATGAAAATATTGTTTACAGATGTTTTTATTGCGAATCCCTTGAATTGATTATCTCTCTTTACATACATATAGTGTATAAAGTGTGCTATTTTGATTATTTTATTTTAATTTTTTTAAAGATGGAATCTTGCTCTGTTGCCCAGGCTAGAATGTAGTGGTATGGTCTCGGCTCACTGCAGCCGCCACCTCCAAAGCTCAAGAGACCCTCCCACCTCAGCCTCCTGAGTAGCTGGGACTACAGGCATGCACCACCACCCCAGCATATTTCTGTATATTTTGTAGAGATGGGGCTTAGCCATGTTGCCCAGGCTGCTCTTGAACTCTTGAGCTCAAGGGATCCACTTGCCTCAGCCTCCCAAAGTACTGGGATTACAGGCATGAGGCATGGCATTCAGCCACTATTATTATTTTTACATATCTTGGAATATTTTGTTAAATTGGTCTTCCAACAAATCTATTACTATATTTTAATTTGGGAAATCATGTTTTAATATTTCCAAAGCCATTTCTTTTTAAATTATTCAATGTCTATATAATGTTTTCCTATGAATCCAAGATCTCTGAATTTTTTCTAGTATTTGGAGTCTTTCAATTTTAAAAATTTCACTTCTTACTCCTCACATACCTATTTCTTATTTTATGTTAACTTTTCTGTTGTTTTAATATTAGTGCTTTACCTTCAATTTCTGACTTTTTCAAATGTCTGATAAATGTTTTATCTCTTGATGGAATCTTACCTTAGACAAGTACTGGCACACAGTAAGAAGTAAACAAGTAATTATTTTAAATTATTATTTTTAAATTACATTTTTGTCTTATAATAATAACAAAGTCTTGGTTATACAGAGGTTTTTCTTTACAGTGAGCAGGAAAGGAGCTAACTCTTATGTTAGGGTTCATCCAAATGCCAGAAGAAGGAAGGCTATTCTTAAGCTAGCAACACCCATGCTAAATGTGCACTCTTCCCAGTAAGATTATATAACATAAGAGAAAAGAACCACTTTTTGTGACAGGCAAATTCCTGGCTTCTCTATGATCTCTAAATGAAGGCAGGGGTAGGAAGTGTGAATGCATAATAGACTGTTTGTAAATGGCATTCGAGTTTCCAGTTAGTATTTCTGATTTCTGCCACCACCTTTCTCTTTCCCTTTAATAAGCCTGCTATTTCCAAGTCCAGAGTCCCTTTGGCGCCATAGGCAACTCAGCTTCTTTGTCTTCAGCATCCTCCATTAGACAGGGACTTTCTCTGCTTTGAGTCATCCGTATATAGTCTATCATGTACTTTGCAAATTCTAGAAATTGGTTAAAATTTCTCATCTGTTGAGCTCGTCCTTTAGTGTGAAGAAGTCATGCTTACTAATTGCTGTTCTGTTGATTTCATATGATTGGGAAATAGGAATCTTATAAAAGCGTGGGCTTTAGTCTTTTATAATACTCTGGAAGTCACTTTAAGAATGTTTAGGCCCTTACATTTCTATCATTTTTCCAGCTTCCAACCCAGATTGTAGAGACCTGGAAGAAACATCACTCGAATTCTCACAATGAAATTTGAAGTTGGCTGGGCTAACATTAAACTCACAACCTTTTAAATCTATTGTAGAGAAGAGGTCATAGAGCAGCCAACTGGTACAAAATCTTTGGAAACATGAGGCATGCGGTGAAAGAAGAAATGTGAGGGCCCAGTCAAGTAGATACAAAGGTAAGAAGAGTTCAGCTAGAACAGCTGTACATCCATGAAAGCTCAGTGAGGGCTGGCAGGACAATGTGAAACCACTGGGGGCTGAGGAGGCTGGAGTCCACGCCCTCTTGCATACTTGCACCACGAAGCCCAGTGAGTACTCAGAGAGAAGACTGGACAAAGCCCTGAGAAGTGACCTTGTGGTGCAGACTGGGGGTTGGGGAGAGTAGCTGTGCAGGAAAGGAAAGAAACCCCACACAGACCTTCCTCCCTCTCCACTACTCAATAAAACCTATTCTTTAGAATAAAGGGCAACGAAGAACTGTAGTCCTTAGGGGTATTGGTGAAAACTCATTGCAGCCAAGGGAAGATATCAGGGTTAAAAACCAAACAAATGAAAAACGGTTTTTTGGAAAGCAGTTGGATTGTGCATTAGGCCCACAACTGCAGTCAAGGGAGAGGCAGCAAGACCAAGAAGGCTGCAGTCCCCACACCCAGGGTCATTCCTCCCAGTCAATACTAAGGCTCAACTACAAATTAGAGAATGCATCCACGTGAACACACCACACCATTAAGTGAAGAAGCTTCCAATTACAAGTAACAGCAGAATACTGCTGGGAGAAGGATAGAAGAAAAAAGGCATGTGAAGAGATTCTCTGAGGTTGCCACCAGGGGAGGGCCTAGGACTCAGCATTGGAGAGGCGTCACTCTGGAAAACCAAGCCCAACTCCAAATACAAGGTATTTCTACAGGAATTTGAAGCCTGTGGTACCCTGGTGGTAACCATAGCAACAACACTACAAAACCAGTCCAACTCTTTACTACACCCAAGTGTTTTGAAACTCCTTTTATAAATAAAACCCCAAGTCTCCCATGTTTATCCCAGTTGCTTATCCAAATTTGCTTAAATTGTGCTGAATGACGAACGAGAGAAATGGCATGGTGGAGTGGAAGGAGTAGAGACCAGGATTCAAACTCCAGTTCTGCTACAAAATTACTGTGTGCCTTCAGTTTACTTATATAACCTCTCTGAGCCTCAATTTCCTCTGTAAAACTACAATACTTGGCTGGGTGCAGTGGCTCATGCCTGTAATCCCAGTACTTTGGGAGGCAGAGGCCGGTGGATCACTTGAGGCCAGGAGTTTGAGACCAGCCTGGCCATTATAGTGAAACCCCATCTCTATTAAAATATAAAAACTAGCAGGGTGTGGTGGTGCACACCTGTAATCCCAGCTACTCAGGAGGCTGAGGCACAAGAATCGCTTGAGCTGGGGAGGCGGAGGTTGCAGTGAGCAGAGATCACTCCACAGCACTCCAGCCTGGACTACAGAGTAAGATTCTGTGTCAAACAAACAAACAAACAATACTTGGTTCTTAGCATTAGTGTGAGGATCAGAGAATACACACACACACACACACACACACACACACACACACCCTGCACAGGGCATGATACATGTATTAGTTTTCTGTGGTTGCTGTAACAAATTACCACAAATTTATTGGCTTAAAACAACAGAAAATAATTTTCTCATAGTTCTGAGAATTTCTGCAGCCAGCAATCTGAAAATAGTATCACTGGGGTATCAAGTATGAGTATCAAGGTGTTGGCAAGGCTGCACTCCATCAGTCCCTTCTCTATCCCAGCTTCTTGTGGTGGCATCACTCTGATCTCTGTCTCCACGACCATGCTGCCTTCTCTTCTTTCTAATCTCCTCACACCTCTCTTTTATAAGCACCCATGTGACTGCATTAGGCCCATCTGGGTAATCTACTATAACTTCTCCATCCCAAGAGCCTTACCTTAACCACATCTGCAAAGATGCTTTTTCCATATAAATTAACATTTACAGGTTGCAGGGATTAAGACCTGATATCTTTGGGGGCCATTATTTTAGGCTACTACAATACCTAACGGGTATTTAGTCAGTTACCTATTATCATGATAATGATTAGTGACTCTTGAATTTTTAAAAATCAGAATTAGGGATCTTTCTTTAAGTCAGCTCCTGACTATGGGCCAGATGTGCTTATGACCTCAGCAGTCAGGTAATAGGAGCACAAATTCTCCTTATGCTATGTCATGATATACTTAATACATAAGAGAGAAAAACTGGGAACACAGCAGGTTTGGATGTTTTAATTGTATTGACATCTCTTGGGTTTAGTAACATTGTTTGTACAAAGCAGTCTGTGTTGTGTGACCAGCTGTTTTTATCTCCTTCAACAAAATACTATTATGTGGTAAAAGTTTTGCCCCATCCTGACCCAGTGCCATATAAAGGGATTCCTAAGGACATCCAAGAAAAAAAAATGAATCTTCAAAAAGCACTCCAAAGAGAATGAAATGGACTATTTTTATATCATGCATTAATGGGGGTAAAACATCAAGAAATTCTTGGCATGAGATGTTAGGGAATATGACAGCAATGATATATAGCAATAGATAATCCACCATATTATGCTGTTAGATGTGTGTGTGCACATGTATGTTCATACATTTAATTAAATCTCAAGCTTTGACTCATCTTATGGTTTTACCAAATAACATCCTATGAGCTGGGCTTAAAATCCAAACAACAACAATAATAAGAGCTATCATTTATTAAGCACTTGCCATATGTTAAGAGCTTTATGATTAATATCTTGTTTACCATCACAATAATGTATGAGGTCAATATCATTTTCAGCTTTGTTTTACAGGTAAAGAAATTGAAGCTTAGAGAGACAAAGTAACATACCAACATTCTTGGTGGAATGGGGGTTTGAACTCAAGTCTGTCTGTCTTTGAAACTCATGTTCTTTACACCATGGAGGGTGTTATTTTCTTGTGGCCCCTATATCCAGTGTTCTTGATTCCTCCTGTTAGCCATACCTGAGTTATTCTATGCCTGGTAATGCAGTCATTTCTAACACACATTCCCCATGCTGTGTGATAGAAATACATGTATTTCCTGACCATGTGAAGTGGCATCATTTCAGATGTGAAGTGATGTCAGAAGAGCAGTTTTGTCTGTAACCAGTGTGACCTTGGCACACATACCTTTTCCATGTCTGACTGGCCAGACCACATTTGCTGTCACTAACTTGCCACCCTGCAGAGTTCTTTCATTAAGTCTTAAAGAGCTAAGAAATCAGTGACATTACTGGAAAATATATAAGAGGGCAGGAGGACATTTTTATTGTTATTTTAAAATGTTTTATTGAGTTCACACAGAGGAATATTTTATTAATGAATTTAATATAAATGCCATGAAATATATGCAAAAATTCATGAAACTTATGAACAAAACATTAACACTACTCAAGTTTCACATGGTTTAATTTTACCAATATCCCCTGGGTTCCATGGGAAGAATTTCAGCATAATTATTTTCATTTCAATGCAAAAAAATACTGACTGAGCTTCTACTACGTGCTAGGCACTGAATCTACAGGAGTAAATAAGATATATGCCTGCCCTCTCCTTTCTCAAACTACACATAATGTGGTCTTCATTAGCTGTTCTATGGATTGAAACTCTATATGTAATTAATTTTTTTTTGTGGCAGGGTCTTGCTCTGTTGCCCAGGCTGGAGTACAGTGGCATGATCATGGCTCACTGCAGCCTCAACCTCCTGGGTTCAAGTGATCCTCCTGCCTCAGCCTCCCAAGTAGCTGGGACTATGGGCATATACCACCACACCTGGGTAATTTTTAATTTTTTGTAGAGATGGGGTCTCACTATGTTGCCCAGGCTGTTCTGGAACTCCTGGGCTCAAGCGATCCTCCCACCTTGGCCTGCCAAAGTGCTGGGATTAGCCACCTCACCCAGCCATAATTTTATATGTTAATAATTCCCCAGCCCAAAGTTAAGCAGATAGGCTCTCTAAGTACCCTTATATACTCACTATTAGTCTAGAACAAAGACTGTAAATATGAAACGAGAGTCTATAGGCATTCCAAATTGAGCATGGCACCAATTCCTGATGGGCTGAAACTTAACCTCAGAATCCTCAACATAGCACTCCACACAGCCCCAATTAGAGTTGGCTTGTGAGTTGCCACCCCCTTCTAAAGTTTTTCACTAAAAATGGGAAATGCATCCACTTAGAATTGTTACTATTGAGGCTTTTCAAACATTCAAAATTCATTCCACAAAGATTTACTTAGTAATGTACTAGTTAGTGTGACGAAATGCTTCCATGTGCCAGGTACTGTGCCAAATGCTCTTCTGACATTTTAATTTAATTCTCATGAAAAAAGTAGATGTTGTATCCACTGTAGTATACAGCTCTAAACTAGTTTTATTTTGTCTTTGGTCCTGCCCAGAATCCATTTTCCCTGGAACCTTCCAAGAAGCGTATGTCTATATAGTTGGGTGGAATTGTTCCCATTCCTAACTGCACGAGGAAGCACACAACCCGAGTCTTGCCAAGGAAAATATACATCTTCCTGGCTATGGCAATTGTTTAAGGTTGGGCTGGGATAAAGGTTGGACCTATCAAAGGCAATGAAAGCCATGATGAGGTTTTTGCTGGGACTGTTGGCAAAGAGGCACTTCTTTCCACGGAGTTTGCTGAAGCTTGGATGGAAGCTTGCAGTTGTGATCATCTTGCCACTCCTGGGGCCATCCTAACGAGAAAGTGGCCACATGGAGGAAAGAAAAACTCATGGAGAAACAGTTCCCAATGGCAAAGTCTGACAACTTCAAACTGGCCAGATCTGAAATGCGTTCCTCAGCTTTCTACCTCTGCCCTACAGTTATGGGGGCTTAAAAAATCGTAGTGCATTTTTTATATGTTTGTTGGCCACATAAATGTCTTCTTCTGAGAAGTGTTTGTTCTCACTCATAAGTGGTTGTTGAACAATGAGAACACATGGACACATGGAGGGGAACATCACACACTGAGGCCTGTCAGAGGTTGGGGGGCAAGTGGAGGGAGAGCATTAGGACAAATACCGAATGCATGTGAGGCTTAAAACCTAGATGATGGGTTGACAGGTGCAGCAAACCACCATGGCACATGTATACCTACGTAACAAACCTGCATGTTCTGCATCCCAGAACTTAAAGTTAAAAAAAAAATCCTAGTGCATGTGTATATTTAAAAGCCAGTTTGATTTTTGTTTTCTGTGTTTTATGGACAAAAAGACTAACACAATCCCATTTTACACGTGAAACCTCTTAAGCTTACAATGGGAAATAATTTGCCCAAGGTTACCTAACTAGTTAGTTGTGGAACAGGCTTAGAATCATACTTCAACTTTGTGTCCTTAACCACACCATTCTATTCAGGCACTGTGATAGAATTCTCTCTCAGTACCCACGACTGAAGAGTAAGGTAGCAAAAGTGTAGATTGGACACTTACTTGGCAGAAAGAATGTCATCGTCAAGAAGATGGTTCTCCCAGTACTAGTCTTCTCCCTCGCACTCCAGACTTGCTGGCCCCTGCGATTTCCCCAGTGGGAAACTCTACTGTGGAACTTGTCCCAGTGCGAGACTGCACTCATGTTCTCCCCGACATACTCCAGATAAAGGCAGACATCGCTCCATGTTGGCCAATGTCAGGACTGCTTATCTCTCTCTTTTTTTATTGTTATACTTTAAGTTCTGGGATACATGTGCAGAACGTGCAGGTTTGTTACATAGGTATATACGCGCCATGGTGGTTTGCTGCACCCATCATGTTTTAACGCTGCCCCATCCTCACCGCCTCTACCTCATCTTTTGCTTCCACATTCAAGAGCATGTGCTCTCTCTCAAGTCCATGCTCGCTCTCTCTTTCATTAAAAGTCCCACCAATATTTAAGAAAAAAAAGTAGTGTTGGTATAAAATGAAGACTAATTTCCAGACAGCTCAGATGGGAGATTCTAGTTGCAAAATTCAGAATTCACTGTAGTGAAGGTGAATGGGGAGTCAGGGGGAAGACAGTTCCTAAGTAGACATCTGGGGCCTGGATAAAGGACTTGTTCATATTAAAAGAGAGGAAAACAGGTATTTCCATTTTTATGTTAATTCCTTTTCTGTATCTAAAGCAGAGGAGGAGGGAGAACAGCTGTCTTTCAACTCTTCACAATTCTGTACCCTATCTGCTACAGAGAAGTTAAGCCAAAAATAATTACAGTAGTTCCCTTTCCATTAAAACTGTATGAGATAGAGGGTAGACTAATTTAGATTTTTTCTAATTATAAAATAAATATGTTTATGGAGACTACTTCAGAAATTTCAGAAAAGTATAACAAAGAGAAAATTTGCCTATAATTTTAAGAGACAACCATTGTAAACCTAGTTTACTCCCTTCCAGATTTTTACCATCATCATAATGAAATATTTCAAACATCAAGAAAATATTATATCATCAAGAATGATATAATAAACTCCCATGAATCCACCAGCCATCTTTAACAAATTTCAACAATTTGCCATTTTTTAAAAAGAAATAAAACACCTACAGTAGAAGCAACTTCTTTAATGACACTCACTCATGTAAATTGATATGCATCTTTCCTATCTTGTTTTGATTGTATACCTACAACAATAGTTCATGTATATTTAAATGTATATAAATTTACACACTTTCATTTTGCAAATTGTCCTGTTTATTCAACAATCTTTTCAAGATTCATTCATATTTATATATATAAATCAAGTTCATTCATTTAGACTGTTGGTAATATTAAATTTTATTATTATCATTTATTCATTCTCTTACTGTTGGTTTTTTAGGCTGTTTCCAATGTTTTGTAATTCAGACAATGCCGTCCTAAGCATCCTTTTGTGCAGGTGTCAGAGTTTCTGTAAGGTATGTTCTAGAGATGAAATTGTTATGTCTCAGGGCATGAGCATCTTCAAGGCACTAGCTATTGCCAATTTGCTCTTTCAGGTCACCAGCAGCCTATGAGAGTTCCCATTTTCTCTCACCCTCTTGACAACCCTTGGTATTTTAAGACTTTTAAACTTCTTTCAATATCTATTGCAGAGTATCTCATTTTTATTTTAATTTACCTAATTCCTAGTGAAGAGGAACATCTTTTCATTATGTTTATTCTTTGGATTTCTTTTTCTGCAATTGCGTATTCACAGCCTTTGACCATTTTCACTTTAGATGTTTATCTTACTTTTAATGAGTTCTTTATAAATCCTGAATATTAAACTCTTTAAAATGTTGCAGATATCTTTCCCAGTCTTTTGCTTGTCATTCCATTTTTTTTGTGTGTCATTTGTAGTATATTTAGTATTTTATGCCTATGTTTACATAATTACACTATATACAATTTTGCATCCTGATTTTTAAATTTAATATTAAACTGTAAACACTTTCTAACATAATGTTAACGACTACATGACACTATAGAGTCCATAGAACTATACTTTGTTCACACATCCTTTTTAATTGAACATCTATGCTGTGCCACTTTTGTGGTTTTATTGTTGTTGGTGTGTGCTTATTGCTTTTTTATGAATAATTCCTTGTTGAACATCTTTGTGCTGGAAGTTTTATATGATATTCATTATTTTCTTTTCCTACAAGTTGAATTTTTGTGTCAGAGGATATCAGTACCCTTTGCCAAATTGCTTTTTGAAAGATTATATCAATACGTCTTTACTTTTGTGTCAGAAGAGGCAAGTCTGCCACAATAATTCCCAAGCCTCTGCAGTAACACAGCAAAAGTTTATTTTCCACTTGTTATTTGTTTCAACACTAGTTGTCACAAGAGTGTCTCTGTTCATTCATATCACTAAGGGAATTCAGGGAATTATACACTGGCTCTTAAAACTTTCTTCTGGAAGTGATTAATGTCATTTCTGCTCACATTTCCTTGGCCATAGCAAATTATGTAAATGTGTCCAACTTCCAATGGGAAGTGTAGTCCTACCATATACTCAAAAGGAAAATCAGGACAATTGCAAACAGCCCAAGCTTCCAATGACAGAGAGAAGAGGAGCTCCAGATGCACCATTTCTGACTTTCCAACAAATTTTAAAGCTGAAGAAAGAAGTCATAGTGGGTGAATGGAATGCTTTCCCTAAGCCAAAGACAGTAGCTCTAAATCTCAACAAAAGTATAAAAAAGAATGTTTGTTTTTGGTGTCTGCTTCCCTTTGTTAACCTTCGATTTTGAAAAAATTATGGACAAACAGGAAATTGCAAAAATTGTGCATAGTGTTCCATACATCCTTCACCCAATTTCCCCTAATGATGACATCTCATGTAACTGGTAGAATATCAAAACCAGGACATTGAAATTGGTACAATGTTGTTAACTAGACTGCAGAACTTATTCAGTTTGCACCATTTTACATGCATTTATTTGTGTGTTTATGTATGTGTGTGCATATGGTTCTATGCAATTTTTTTGTTAGTGTTGAGCAATATACCCATCCATTTATATTTATTTTTAATTTTTTAAGTTCTATACAATTTTAACTCATGCATAGATTCACGTAACTGCCAAGATAATCAACATACAAAACTGTTCAATCACCACAAAACAACTCCCTCATGCTACCTCTTTTTTTTTTTTTTTTTTTTGAGATGGAGTTTCACTCTTGTCACCTAGGCTGGAGTGCAGTGGTGCAATCTTGGCTCACTGCAACCTCCACTTCCCGGGTTCAAGCGATTCTCCTGCCTCAGCCTCTCAAGTAGCTGGAATTACAGGTGCCCGCCACGATGCCCAGCTAATTTTTTGTATTTTTTTTTTAGTAGAGAGGGGGTTTCACTGTGTTGACCAGGCTGCTCTTGAACACGTGACCTCGTGATCATCCCGCCTCGGCCTCTCAAAGTGCTGGGATTACAGGTGTGAGCCACCATACCTGGCTGCTACCTCTTTATAATTGGTCCCTGACTGCTGCCCCATTCCTGTCCTTTGGAATGACTATTCTGGCCTCTATCTCTGTAGTTTTATATATGTCAAGAGTATTATGTAAATATTTAACTTCTTGAAGTGGACTTTTTTCACTAAGCACAATGCGCTTGAGGTCCATCCAGGTTGTTGCATGTATCAGTAGTTTGTTTCTTTTTGTTGCTGACCAGCATTCCATGATATGAATGTATCACAGTTTGCTAAATCATTCACTTGTTGAAGGACATTTGGGTTATCTTCAATTTTTGGCTATCACAAATAAAGTTGCTATGAACATCCCTTTATACAAGCTTTTAAGGGGGTTTTATTTCTCTGGGATAAATGCTCAAGAGTGCAATTGCTGAGTGGTAAGGTAAGTGCATATTTAGTTTTATAAGAAACAACCAAGCCATTTTCCACAGTGACTGTACCATTGTACATTCCCTCCAGCAAAACATGAGAGATCCCGTTTCTCCATGTCCTTGCCAGAATTTTGTATTATTACAATATATTTTTAAATTTTAGCTGTTTTAACAGGTATGCAGTGATATCTCATTCCAGTTTTATTTCAAATTTCCCTAGTGGCTAGTGGTCTTGAACATTTTTTAATGTGCTTGTTTGCCTTCTGTATCTCCTCTTTAATAAAATGTCTTTCACCCATTTACTAATTTAATTTTTTTGTTTTTACACGATTGAGTTTTGAGAGTGCTTTATATATTCTAAATACATAACCTTGATCAGGTATGTGGTTTGCAAACTTTCTTCCAGTCTGTACGTTGCCTTTACATCTTTTTAACAGGGTTTTTTGCAATGTAAAAGTTTTTGATGAAGTTCAATTTATCAATATTTTTAATGGATTATGTCTTTGGTGTCATGGCTAAGAACTCCTCACCAAGCCCTAGGTTTCAAATTTTATGGCTTTCCAAACTTTGTTTTTGAATTCAGTCCATCTGCCACACTCCCAACTGCCACCAGTGACTAATCCAGGACCCATTTGCAAAGGGCTTTTTGTATATGTATCAGTCTCAGCTAAACATCAGCTGGGGAAGGCTTAAGGAGTTAATTCTCTTCTTTAGATCCAGTCCCAAAGGAATCTTCTTTAGAACAAAAGTTCAGGCACTGGAGGAGATATTTGGGGTTGGGGAGAGAGATAGTTTTTCCTGATCAGGTCACATATTTATTTGCCAAATGGGACAATCAAAGATGAGACTTGAGTTTGGTATGTATTAGACTTAGCTTTCAGGGCAGTTCTGGCTAAGCCCGGCTGCAAATGTCTATCCAATTTATGGAACAGAACTGCAGAAGTCCTGCTTTGCCCCAGTGTGTGGTAGGGGGAAAAAGGAAGCAAAGTCCACCTCTCCATGTGCCTGAGACCTAGGGATTAATTCCTTCTTTCATAGTCTATACATTTAGGCTCTGACTCAAAAGCCATTTTCTCATGAGCAAAATGCCTCTATTCTCTATAACCAGAGCTCACCATAATATAAAGTCCTTGATAATGCAGGAACTATCATTTTAGAAAATTCCATAGGGCCAGAAATGAAGGCCATCATCTGACATGTTGTCATTTGACTTTCTCTCATAAATCATTTAGTCCTGAAGGTAACAACGTAGATACTTCAATGTTGTGCAAATCTTTGATTATTCTAATACCCACCAAAAGAATTAGCTAGCTGTTATAGCCTACATAGCTTTTCAAATCACAAAACTTTTATATTAAGTTGTTTTTTAATTTTTATGTTTTGGGGAGTAATAGTAGGTGTATATATTGATGGAGTACTTGAGATATTTGGATACAAGCATGAAATGTGAAATAAGTACATCATGGAGAATGGTTTATCCATCCCCTCAAGCATTTATCCTTTGAGTTGCAAACAATCCAATTACACTCTTGAAGTTATTTTAAAAGGTACAATTAAGTTATTATTGACTATAATCACCCTGTTGTGCTATCAAACGGTAGGTCTTATTCATTTTTTCTAACCATTTTTTGTACCCATCAAATCCTAAAACTTTTAAATGCATCAAAACATATTTAGTTCCTCATGGAACTAGGTGAAAAATGCCCAATTAATCATTCATTAAAATTGGGTGTTACCAAAATAAAAAATAAAATCCTCTAACCCAGAAATCAAGAACTGAAAACATAATCAAAATGTGTAGTCTTAGTAGGTTTGTATATATTAGGCAAAACATATGCATGCAATACCTCATTTCTCAAAAAAAAAATGGTTCATTTGATAATTTAAATCTCTCTTCAAACAAATTTTGCAATATCTCAGTCTTCTTTGATGTTTTCTAAAATAACTTTGTCATTTTTTTCTTAGACTAAGGTATCTGAAAAAAATATATAAAAGATAGAAGAAAGTGACCCAACGCAGAACATATTTTCTGACATTATTTCCGTCAAGAATTGATTGGAAGAAAAAGCATGCCTGGAGGCAGAGGGATGGATTCAATGATTTCTTGAAGTCCTTGGCAACTGGGTATGTCTAGGATTGTAATTTTGATTATGTTTATTTATTAACATTTATACTGGGCCATTTTAGTTGATTAGCACAATGCAATTACTAAAAAATATGCAGCTAAAAGTTCTGGGAAATCTCTATATTGCTAGGAAAGTCTAGTATGATATCATTTCTGATTTTCAATAATTTAATTAAAATAAACAAGCGTATTACCTCCATGTTACAATAGTTTCTTAGCATAGTTTACAATATGATAAAGACCCCAGACTAATTGCTTTAAGTAGAAGTAATGAGAGTTAGTAATCTCAAGTTCTTTGCTAATTACTTTCTGGACCCTTCTCTATTAATAAAACAAGAAGGCTATACTCTCTTCAAGTGAAGAAGCCCTAGATGATCTGAATATGGTTGCAGGTATTCTCTGCTGTCTTCTTGTCCCTGATGGGTTCAGTCTTGTGGCTACAGCCTTCCTCCAGCCAGGATCAGACTTCAGTGGAGGCTGAGAGGGCAGTGGGGCTGCCCATCCATGAAGTGGACCACAACAGGAGACCCTCAGCCAGACAAAAGACCTTCTGTGTTATTGAAATGCTACCATTAGAGACTGATTCTTTGGAGGAAGATTTAAGCCTTGTTAAAATGTACATTACTCAAAAACTTTGAACCTGTTAATTGTTATCAGCTACAAATGAATGAATATAGATTAATTTTCCACATCATTTCTTTAGAACAGTGGTTCTGAACGTATGGTCTGGGGACCCCTGGAAGTCCCCAACATTCATTTGGGGGTCTATGAGGTTAAAACTGTTCTCACAATAATACTAATACATTTCTTACCTTATTCATTCTCATTCTCTTGAGGGTACAGTGAAATTTTCTAAAGGTTACATGATGTGATACGGTGGCAATTTGAATGCAGAAGCAGATATGAGAATCCAGCTGTCTTCTATGAAGCCAGATATTTTAAAAATTTGCAAAAATGTAAAGCAGTGTTAGTCTTTTAATAACTTTTTGTTTTGGAAAATATTATTTTCATCAAAAGTATATTATTTGTGTTAATGTTTAATTTACTTTTGTTATTTTTAAAGTCCTAAGTATTTTAATTTTTTTTCAGACTTAATTTATAATATGGCAAATATTAATGGATATAACACACATAAGCAAAAACTCTAAGGGGTCCCCAATAATTTTTAAGAGTGTAAAGGAATCTTGGGACAATCAATGTCTGTTGTATAGAATGTCGGAGTGGGTGGGACCTTAGAAAGTGTTAGGTCCTTTCCCCTCATTTATAGGTTGAAAATTGATCCCCAAAAAGAGAGGGTGACTTACCTGATGTGCTGGTTACCTACTTCTGTGCTATAAACCACCCCAAAACTTAGTGGCTGAAAATATTTATTTTGCTCTCAAAACTGAAATTTGGACTGAGCTTGAAGGGGGTGACATCTCTGCTTCACATTATATCTGTAGCTTCAGCTGGGATGTTTCAAACATCTGACAGCTGGAACAACTGGGGCTTGCCAGGCATCTCTCTCTCTCTCTCTCTCTGCCCTAGTGGATATTGGGGCTTCCTGAAAGAGTGAGCATTCCAAAAAACTGCAGTGAAAACAGCAAGGCTTCCTATGATCTAGCTTTGGAAGCCACAAGGTTTCCACCACATTCTATTGGTCAAGCAAGTCACAGAGACCAGGCCAAATTCTAGGGAAGAGAAGTTAGATTCCATCTGTCAGTGGGGGAAACATCAAAAAATTTGTGGCCATCTTAAATCTACCACTCCTGAGGGTGCTAGAATTAGCATCAGAAGAACTGAAATTAAAATCCAGCTCTCCTGATTCTTAGTGCATATGACAACTTCGACAGTGGTGCATAAGAGGAGGATGAAAAGAAAGAACTAAAGCATGGGGCATTGTGTGAATGAGGAGCTTTTCGGGGTGGGCCCTAAGACCCAAGTGAGTAGCATGAGCATTTGCAAGCCTGAAAAAGAGGCTGCTAAGAGCAGGACAGGACCATGGACTCTCTGATACAGAAAAGAACTTAATTCTTGCTTAATGTGCTTGGCTCTTTTCCTCAACCTCCCTACTAGTCATCTCTGTCTTGATGATGGCAGGTTTGATCTGTGGAGCGGCCTGCCCCACCTCCAGGAGGCTCTGACTATTAGAAAGTTCTATAGAGCAGAAATCTGATTCCTGCTGGCTGGCTGGCTTCTACCCAATGATTTCCTAGTTGTACCTTTATATTGCCTTAGGGTGATATTGCAAAAGGCTTTGACTTCCTTTTTACATGGCAGCTCGATAGCTATTGCAGCTTTATAGTCCCTGTTTGACTCTTTAATGTAGCTTTTAAAATTTCCCTACCTCTCAGACCACTCTCCTCTAAACTACCCTAGTTTGTCAACTGCTGTTTCAAAGTATTCTTCAAGAGGGATCAGAGCAGTCCACTGTTGATCAACATCCCCATCATGTTCTATGCACTTCTTTTTCTTTAACTTTTATTTTAAGTTCAGGGGTATATGTGCAGGTTTGTTATATAGGTAACCCATGTCATGAGGGTTTGTTGTACAGATTATTTTGTTACCCAGGTATTAAGGGTAATACTCAGTAGTTATTTTTCCTGATCCTCTCCCTCCTCTCACTCTTCACTCTCCAGTAGGTCGCACTGTCTGTTGTTCTCCTTTATGTGTCCATAAGTTCTCATTATTTAGCTCTCACTTATAAGTGAGAACATGCAGTATTTGGTTTTCTATTCCTGCGTTATTTTGGCAAGGATAATGGCTTTGAGGAATCCATGTTCCTGCAAAGGACATGATCTCATCCTTCTTTATAGCTGAATAGTATTCCATAGTGTATATGTACCACATTTTCTTTATCCAGTCTACAATCGATGGGCATTTAGGTTGATTCCATGTCTTTGCTATTGTGAAAGGTGCTGCAATGAACATATGTGTGCATGTGTCTTTATGATAGCATAATTTATATTCCTTTGGGTATATACCATGTAACGGGATTGCTGGGTTGAATGGTAGTTCTGATTCCAGGTCTTTGAGGAATCATCACACTGCTTTCCACAATGCTTGAACTAATTTACACTCCCACCAACAGTGTAAAAGTGTTCATGGTTCTAACATGCATAGAGAATTATACAGATCGAAACTCCTTTTCATGTATGCTTTACCAACTATGCTTCTAGTATTTTTGTGTGTGTCTGTGAGTGCTTGTTTGTTTGCTTAGTTTTTTACTCAGCTATGGAAATTTATATTAATCCCTAGAAATTTTCTCAAGAGGCCCAACTTGCCAATATCTTTTTGAATCCAGACTTTGTCACTAAAACTATTCATTGTCCCACTTAGTTTCATATAATCTGCAGATTCGTTAAGTATTTGTTCTATATTTTAATCTAAATCATTGATTAAGATGTTGTACTAGACGGAACCCTGTGCCACTCCACTAGAGACCATCTTCTATGCTAACATCAATTTACTAATCAGCATTCTTTGGGTTCATTTATTCACCTAACTGTTGTTAATTCATCTAATGGTACTATTGTTTAGTCCATATTTCTCCATCTTGTCCACAATGATATCATGATAGGCCTGGACAAATGCTTTGCTAAAGTCCAGATGCATTATGTCTCCTGCATTCAGCTGCTCTCGAAATTCACTAACGCTGTCAAAGGAAATGAAGCAAATCTGACTCTTCTTCAAACACACCATGCACTTTGATGATTCTGAGACTTTGCTCATGTTCTTTTCTCTGCCCAGAATCTTTTTCCATTCCACCTGTCTACTCGACTATTTCTGTTGCTCAGATGTCACCTCCTCAGTGAAGCTTTAGTGCTTGACTCCAGACATAATTATTTCATGCCTGGTTCATTTTTCCAAAGCTCTTTATACATAGCATCATGTCCCAGCTGTTTGTTTATGCTTATTCTCCTCTCCCTCACTAAGAATGAGCCATGTATTATTTAATAGATGTTTGATGACTTCAATTCAACTAGATCCTGGTGCCTACTAACAGTCTCTTCCTTTCGAAAATACTCATAAATCACTCATTCCCAAGTCCAATCTAGCAAGCACAATGTGCTCCCTAAGTACCAGTTCCCAAGAAAAGGAACCAGGGCTTCTTGGCAAAATGGCTGATGCCAGGTCTAGGCATAAAGTGTAAAAGATGAGCCTAGAACATCTTGGCGTGCCAGTCAGTGAGGAAGCTATCAAAAGCAAGGAAGCTATCAAAGATAAAGAAACTATCGAAGACGATTAAGGGTTGTCAAAAACTGAGAAGTCAAACTGAAGAGGTTTCCATTGTCAAAGCTTGGATAATATGATTAATAATTAGAATAATTACTGCAATGAAAGAAAATACATAAAATATGTCTAAACGCATGAGTTCATAATAATGGTAAATAAAAGGTAAGAATTCAACATTTATCCTGCCTTTTCATATCTTACCATACTAACCATACATTAGGGATCCAATAGTTGAAAAAGGAACTATTTTCTTTATAGAAGCATTCTAACTAATAAATTAACAAAGAGTGATATAATTAGAATATCACCATTTTACACCTACTAAATGAATGAAGTAATGTAGTCTAAGCCATGATGATCCATGGCTCCTAAAATCCTTAGGTAAAAAGCTGATGAGGAACTTTACAATGGATGGTTCCAGCTGACAACACCTAAACCCCACAGATCAGACCTTACATCCTAAAAGGAGAGACAACTAGCCTCCTGGTATGGTGCAGGAGGAAGTACACAGCACCACCTACGTGGTATCCTTACTAAAAACTTGCACGTGGCGCTATCAAGACTCTAGATTCAACTAGCAGTTTACAGCAATAATAGGATTTAGAGTGAAACAACTCCATGGGGAGGCGACTGCGGGAAATCCTAAGTGCATATGACCTGCTTCCTTCCTTCCTTTCTCTCTCTCCTTTCCTTCCTTCCTTCCTTCCTTCCTTTCTCCCTCCTTCTCTCCCTTCCTTCCTTTCTTTCTTCCTTCCTTCTTTTTTTTTTGACAGAGTCTTGCTCTGTCACCCAGTCTGGAGTGCAGTGGTAAAATCTCAGATCACTGCAAACTCTGCCTCCTGGGTTCAAGTGATTCTCCTGCCTCAGCCTCCAGAGTAGCTGGGATTACAGGCGTGTGCCACCATGCCCAGCTAATTTTTGTATTTTTACTAGAGATGGGGGTTTCTCCCTGTTGGCCAAGCTGGTCTCGAACTCCTGATCTCAGGTGATTCCGCCCACCTCAGCCTCCAAAAGTGCTGGGATTACAGGCGTGAACCACCACGGCGCCTGGCCTGACCTGCTTCTTCTAGATAAATTGCAAGGAGGAAAAAAAAGGGGGTCGGGAGAGGAACCTATAGATCAAAAAAGACTTAAGAGCCACAAAAATCAAATGCAAGCTTGGACCAGGCTTGGATTCTGATTCAAGTAAACCAACTAAAACGAATGTTTGTGAGATTATCAGGGGAATCTGAACATCAGATATTTGAGGATCTTAAGAAATTATTATTAATCCTGTTGGTATCATAATAGTACTGGGATTGTGTATTTTAAGAAAAGATCCCTTATCTTTTAGGGATAATACTGAAATATTAAATATAATTTCAGAGGAAATGATATGATATCTTAGATTTGCCTCAAAACTACCTAATAGGGAGGCAGTGGAGGTTGGGACGAGGGGTGGAACAAGAACAGTTATGAATCAATTATTGTTCTATATGAGTAAGAGGTTCATGCTTCCTTATATTGTTCTCTCTTCTTTGAACATGTAAAATTTCCCATAATTATCTTTTAATCCAATGTAAAATTTTACCTAAAATTGTTATTGAGCTTACAGACCTGTTTCAGGACACACTTTCCCTTTCTGAAAATTTAAGCATTTGCCAGAAGAGCAGTTTTTTCATTCCTGCCTGATTCTCCATGATACCACAAAAATCACAGTCGTGTGGCCATCACAATGACCAGTTCTCTTGGTCCTCCAGGACAGGGTTCTTGCAGAACTCTTTAGAGTAGTTGGACCCTTCCCAGTCACTCTGTGCACATAGGGCTCTGGCCTCTGTCACCAGTGTTCACACTAGTCGTTTCCATACTGAAGCACATTCTCCTTGACAGAAAGGACAAGATTAAAATAAGAGTTTTGGGCCGGGCATAGTGGCTCACTCCGCCTGTAATCCCAACACTATGGGAGGCTAAGGTAGGAGGATTCCTTGAGGCCAGGAGTTCGAGACGAGCCTGGGCATCATAGTGAGACTCTGCCTCTACAAAAAATTATACAAATTTTATACAAAAATTATAAAAATAGCCAGGCATGGTGGCATTCACCTGTAGTCTCAGCTACTTGGGAGGCTGAGGTGGGAAGATCGCTTGAGCCCAGAAGACGAAGGCTGCAGTGAGCCGTAATCATGCCACTGACAAAAAAATAAAAAATAATAAAATAAAATTTTAAATAAGAGTTTTATTCAATTTTCTTTGTCATTTATCAACATTGAAAAACTACAATACCTTTTATCATCTGGCTCTAAACATACACAAAAGGATCCTTTGTCATCATTAGATTTTTATTTTTTAAATAAAGCTGGACTGGGCCAGGCATGGTGGCTCACACCTGCAATCCCAGCACTTTGGGAGGCTGAGGTGGGTGGATCATCTGAGGTCAGGAGTTCAAGACCAGCCTGACCAAACATGGTGAAACCCTGTCTCTACTAAAAACACAAAAATTAGCTGGGTGTGGTGGTGTACACCTGTAATCTCGGCTACTCAGGAGGCTGAGGCAGGAGGATCTCTTGAACCCAGGAGGCGGAGGTTGCAGTGGGCCTAGATTGAGCCATTGCACTCCAGCCTGGGTGACAAGAGGAAAACTCCATCTCAAATAATAAATAAATAAATAAATAAAGCTGGACTGGGCATTTTTCCTCTATTTTTCTAGATCTCTGTTATTCTTAAAAATTACCTGTTCCTTCTTTCCCTCTTTGTCTTAGCATCACTAGTTTCTTTTGGCACCCTCTCCCCTTTGTTCAGAATTCTTGCTCTTTTACAATAGCACAGTAGAAAGAGAATGGGCTAAGCTTTTTTGATGGAATTATGCAATGTTGGTGAGTACTGGAATGTGGACAGTGTCATATTCTACTCTAGAAGTATAAACTGGTATCACTTTCCTGGAAGGCAATTTTACAACTCCAAAGCCTTTTTAAAAGTGTGTACTTTGTGACCAAGGAATTCCATTTTTAGGAGTTAATCCTTGAGCTTCAAATCACTAACAAGTAAAAAAAAAAAATTGATCCTAAGCATATGGATGCGCACAGAGATTTAGCTAAAAGAATGTCCAAGACAAAATTTTAAATATATTTTAAAAATTAGAAGCAACTTAAATACCAAAAAAAAAAAAAAGCAAACAAACCAGGGTTGCCTAAATAAACTATGGTTTATCTTGCAGTGGAATATCATCTAGCCAAAAAGATGACATGTCAGGATATTTTATGATATGGGGAGATGTTTATAACATAAAATTTAAGGGAGAAAGGTTGATGTTTTTAAATTTAAAAAAATTAAAATTTTTCTAAAAGTGAGAAACATGAACAAAACAGTTGATAGAGAATGTTTCTCATTTTTTTAAAAAAATGTATGCATGAAAAAAAAGACCGAAAAATTATATGAGAAAGTTAAATTAACTCCTTTTATTTTATTCTCCTTTCCGCACACATGCTATAATAATTTCCATAATGGATATTTATTATTTTAAAGTAAAAACAAGGAAGTAATCAATGAAATAGGAAGAGGGTACACAGGGCCAACCTGGACCACATCACAGTTTTCTCCCTTTGTCGGGTGCAGCCTGTTCTGGCCTGACCGCCTCTCATCAGCAACCACTGACCTCCCCTTGGAGGGGCTTTGCTGCCCCATCTCTATGTGCAGAGACCAGGGGGCAGCAGCAGTGACTCTTAGGGGGTTTTCAGCAGGTAGGAGGAAGGCTCCTACCTGCCCAATAGCTGCTAAAAAAGGAATTTGCCCCAAGAATGTGGGCCTGGCCAAGGCAAGGCCAAGAAGTCCAATCTGTCCTCAGCTCTGTCTCTGCAAGGGCACAGTCTGGCCCCACCCTGGGGTTGTTTTAGAGCTTGGTGGCTCACCTCTCAGCAGTTAACACTGTTCATTCAAGAGGTTTCCCTGGGGTTTGGGTTAAAGCCGTTGGCCTCTGCTCTGCAGTCTCTTGTGTGACTCACTGTGCTGTTTTGTTCATTATTATGTACTACTTCCTTCCTAGCAGCCTCCCTGGCTCTTCTTAGAAATCTCTTTTCCTCCTTCTCTTCCTCAAGCCCAATTTCAATGATAAAGATTTATGAATAAGCAAGGGAGTTGGCAGTGTGTGTGATTAGAACCCTTAGCCTTAGAGTTCTCTAGACTGCGGTTTAACTTACCAGAGTAAACAAATCAGAGAGAGAAACAGAAAGGGGAGACAGAGGGAGAGGGAGAGGGAGAGGGAGACGGAGAGGGAGAGGGAGAGAGAGAGGGAGAGAGAAAAAGAGAGAGAGAGAGAAGAAAAGAAGTGTGTGTTTTAAAAGAAAATAAATATTATGCATTATATCTAACAGGGGAAATACTACAAACATGCATCACTGTGAGCATTTTATTGTCTTCTGGCTCCTAAGGTCTAGGACATGTGGTGCCTGTCCCTGAGTACTGGATTGCATTTGTCCTAAATTCTGAATCAGCTGAAATACACATTAAAATGCATGATGCTGCAGCACCTTACTGGCAAACCCCACAAACCTCCTAAAGAAAACAAAATGAGACAAACAAACAGCAGCACCAGTAGGGTCTTTCGAAAGCCCAGAAAAAGAAATATTTTTAAAGTTTTTGAATTCTAACTCATTTTTATATGTATTTCAAGGCTGAGTAGTTTAAGACATTGAATGATTCCAGTGTTCCCGACATGCCTTTCAGTTAGCTCCCTTGCTGTGCTGACGAAGAATGCAAGAACATGTTATTGGAGTTAATTCTGGATATGATGGAGGCAACATAGAGCCCTTGAGTACCAGGACCAAGGCAGCTTTCTTGTGGGTGGACGAAATCGGCATCTTCATGGTGTGACAGGAACAACATAGGAAAGAGCTGTCTAAAATAGCTGCCCCCACTTCTAAAATACCTGCTGTGTCACCACCAGTACTTTCTTCCTCTGTGATACTGGGCTCTCGGTATCTTCACTTGAAAATACACCTGGTGGAGATAACACACAAAATCCTAAGACCATCATGCAAAGGATGGAGGAACAGAAGACAATCATTCTTCTCTCTCCTGTTCTTCATGGAGCCCTCTTTATGAATCTCAAAATACTACTTTGATTTCCCACTGTACACACTGTCCCTTATGTCCTTTCTTTCACTAAGAATACATGTAGAGAAGGTTCCCAGACAACCCCCTCTCCACCAAATCAATGAACAGAATGTTAGGACTGAAAAGAATTTCACAAAATTCTTATTCTGATCCCTGAAGCAATTAGGGTCTTTCCCCAGCTTAAGCAGTGACAGGTCCAATGGCCAGTCCATCCAGTGTTAGTTCTAGACCCTGCAAGGTCAGCACCCAAACTTTCTTGTGGGTGTCCCCACTTTCAAGACCAGCGGCTCCCCTTCCTCTAAGATGCCTGCAGTTCTTGGGTTTGCTTCATCTCAAAAATTAGCTTTCAAGACAATATCTAAACCACTTCTACTCTAAAGTACAGATTTCTAGCACATAGTAGGTAATTAATAAATATGGGTTGAATGAGTGAATGAATGAATGGATAATATCATCAAGTGCTGCCAAACCCAGAGAAATATGTTATTGAGGATCACTAAACCCAAGTTACTGAAGTGAAGGTCTTGCCAGAAAATGTGAGAGAGGGTTTTTGCTTTGAGGTATCTTCCTGGGTCCCCTGAAATCCCAGCACTGTGCAGGACTGTAGGTTCTCCCTGTGCTAAGACTCTACTTCTCTAACATCTCTTGCATCCCTTTACTTCTCTTTGTCCTATACTGCTATTCTCTGGCTGAAAAATATATTATTCCTTAACTAGCATTGTGCCACAGCCTTCTAATTTATCTCTTGGCTTCCCTTTTCCATCATGCCCTCCTCCCCAAATCACATGACCTTGCATCCATAATCCTGTAGGGTCTGATTCCAGATCTATTGCTCTTATCTTGTATTTCATCACACACCTCTTGGTGTGTTCCAGCCCCTATCAGTTCTGCTCTAACCAAAAGCTAAACTGAACTACTTAGAAATTCTCAAACACTCTGTGCTCTCTCTAGTTTTGGAGTCTTTGACTGCCGCTAACATACTGGGAAACATCTTTTCCACTTCATCACCATTTGCTCACTGCCACTCACTGCTTAGTACCCAGTATAGATGTCACCTCTTCCAGAAGCCTTCCCTGAGACTCTAAGGAAATATATGTCCATTGTGGGTCAGCTGAGATCTTTACTTCATGATGTCCTCACTCTGGAACTCAGGCTAACCAAGCAGCCACCATCTGGAGCATAGAAGAGAGCAAAAGAGGGAGATTGGAGACTTGGATGCTAGCTCTCAAAGCTTCCACCTGGAAGTCACACTTTAACAGTTCCATTCAATTTTCATTGCTCAAAGTAAGTCACATGGCCATATCTAACTTCTAGGGGGCAGGGAAGTGAAATCACACTATATGCCTAGAAGTGAAAAGAAAGAGAAATGTTTGTAAAACAACCCTAGTGATTTACATATTCAAGTAAGTGGAGGCCCGGAAAACCCCCAGTGGATCTGATAACCTTACTGAAAAATATTTAATTTGCATGAGGGTAGTGGAAGCCATATTACAGGAAGCTATGGAGTGATCGAGAAGTAAAGAAATAATAATAGTGAGAAGAGATAGCTCCTTCAAGATGTTTGACTGTAAAGGGCAGATGAGAGGTAAGTGGTGGTGGTGGGTTGTGGCCAAGGAAGGATAACAAGTTGGTTGGTAATTTGTATGAGTGTGGTTTGAGCATGTTTAGAGAACAACAGGATATGTCCAGATGGGCAGATGAGAGTTTGAAGATCCATGAGAGAGGAAGAATTGGGTAGGATCCTTGAGCTAGCGGAAGGGATCAAACTCCAAAGTATGATAGAGGGATTGGCCTCAGATGAGACTAGGCTTCCCTCCTCCAAGTAGCAGAAGCAATGGAGAAAGAGTGAGTGCAGAAGTTGATCGATTTCTAGATTGAAACACAGGAGGTTGAGGGAATTCTTGTTCAGTGGCTTCTCTTATCATTTTGAAATTCATTTATATAAAGCTGTCAAAATGTGTTCCACTTAAGAGAAATTTAGGAAATCATTATGAGAGAGAGAGAGAGAGAGAGAGATGCTCCTTTGTAACACTTGTGATTTCCTAGAACAATGGTTAGGAGGATGTTAGCATATCTCACCTCCACCCCACCCCCACCCCGTGCCACAATTGAGCCCAATTTTAGGCACCATGGCAGTTTTAATTGCCAAATGCAATCTCCTAAGCACATGCATGAGCCTGATGAAAAATGGTTCATCTATAGTAGTTGGAAGTAGGAGTTTGAATATAGCTGTTAAATGAAAATCTGTTTCTGCACAAACTTACCCAAAAATATACCGAGATATTATTAACTCTGAAGGCTTTGCCCTTACTTTCTTCTTGTCTTCAACCTGAAAATGATTTCTCAGCCCATACGAGACTCACACAGCTCAGGTCATTGCTTGGCTAAGAAAGATAATCTTGTCTGACCATTTTCTTTGGAGCATAAGAAGATGCCTTCAAGGTCTTAGGACATTGCTACCTTAGGATGCTGCTCCTCCAGTTATTTTGGGAGCTGCTGGCTCAAAAAAATCATAATCCCCTCTGCACCCTGCAAGCTTGGTCAGGGCTCATGATTACTTTTTTTCCTCCTTCTTCAAATAGGTTTTTTTTTTTTTCCCCTGGGTTTAAACAGAAAGGGCTTCCTGGCTAATTTAATTTTGGTTCCCCTTTGTTACAAGCAGATGTCACTTTTACATCTGTGTCACTTTTACATCAAATGCCCCATGTCTCCCCCCACCAGCCCAGCAGATGTTACTACTATTAGCCAAACTCCAGCAAAAAGGTAACAGGCAGCCCCTTCTGCTAATTATAGCATTGTGGGAGTGAAGAGAAGGGGAGGGGAGGAGTGGAGTGGGGCTTTGAAATGTCCTTAAAAGTTCTTAAAAGAATGGATTTTGGAGATCTGTACACCATCACCTATATAACACATACACATGGGGTACCTTCAAAGTTAACCCAGATACAGAAACATCATCTATGAGTTAGCCATAAAAGTTCAACCCAAACCCACACAGCTAGCCCACTGCAAATGCCTTTCAAAGTGAGATCACCCTGAACATACTGACATTTACATACAAGATAAAGCACCATATTAATTATGCATAAATACCATATATAATATTATAAGACAAAACATAATTAACCTATCTAATACAAATACACCTTCCAGTAAATTCCTAAAAAATAAAATTTTCCACCTGGTTGCTTTCTTTTCTCCCATTTGATATCCTAGAGCCTGCTTTTTGATTTAGCCTACCCTCTTCCACATGTATTATAAACATGCAATAGGAAAAATCCTGTGTCTATGCACCATCTAAATCTCAAAGTCAAGTGTTTAATATACAATTCAAGGAGACTTACCAACATCATCATCATTGCCATCATCATAATACTGGTGGCTAACAGTCACTGGATTCTTTCCATGTGCCAAGCACTGTGTTAATTGCTTTGTATACGCTATTGTCAATCAGTTAATAATTGTTAGTCTCACAGTGCCAGGAGGTTAGTTACCAGAACCTCAAAGAGTTTCTATTATGAAACGTGTATCATGGTTGCTAGGCAAATGGAAAGTGTGGTGGATTCTAAAATGCTAGGAAAATGTAGTGGGTCATCAGATGTGGGGCTGCTGTGACTGGTATGCTTTCTGTTCTGGGGAAATGGTGTCCCAGTAAATTCTGTCTAGGTTATTTTCTTAGCGCAGGTGAGTGGGAAAGGCTGCTGTCTGCAGAAATCTTTTTGGAGAAGCCCAAGGACAAATCTTGTCTATTCTTTCTCGGTTGAGAGAAATGTTGGTTCTGAGTTGAGTATGCCAGACAGTAGGCTAGCTGTGCTGGGATAATTTGGATGCAGCATCAAATAAAGCAATCAAAAAGAAAATTCCTCTGAAACTCTCACTGGTATTTAATATTTTATTCATTCCCATGTTATTGTGCTTCGCCTGCGGTAAAACAGCCTCAAAACAGCCTCCTAGGAGTGAGGCATTAGGAGGCTGACAAGCATTTTCCCATGAATCGCTACTACAATACAATGGCATTTTGTTTGCTGTTTTGTTTCCTTGTCTTCTAACATTCTTTCTGACTTTCAAGGAAAAAAGGAAGAAAAAGAAACCCTCCTATGAATGGTGAAGAAAAGGAAAGAAAAGTTTCTTTTAAACTTTCAACCTTTTTCAGTTGGTATTGAGTAACATGTAAACATTTTTTTTTTCCTGATAGTATATATGCTGGTAATCTCTTCCTTTTTGGTGCTTTAAATGGCCTTTTCCCCTCCTTTTATCACATAGCATTGCTTTTCCATTATTGATTCAGAAAATCGGCAGGGGGAAAAAGTCAACCGTGTACGCATACTAAGAAAGGGAAGGCAGAGGCAGATGGATCCAACTCATCCATCTATCCATGTGGTCATTTATCTATCAATCCATCCTGTTACCCACCCGCCTCTATTAAAATAAATAGTAGGCACTGTACACATTGCTGGTTGGCTGAAGTTGTGATCTGGACAAAAGGTCTGTTTGGGGAAAGGATGCTGAAGCTTAATTCTATTTGTGCCGGTTGAAAATCAGGAGGGGTTTTTCTACACTTCACTTTTATTAGATTATTTCTTATAGATGGTTTCTTTTTTCCTCCCAGACGCGTGGTGGAGGCTCCTGAAGCAGTTGGTCTATAGTTGGAATAATTAAATTAACCATTTAGTACAACTTTTAGGGGAGAGCTCGCGTGTAGAAAGCACAACTGGAACAAAACAGGGCGCTGGGGCTGGGGCTCTGGCCTGGCCCAGCCCCGCACGCCTTTCATCTCCAAGCAGAAGCAGGACCCCGGGCCACAAAAGACGGGCAGAGGGACGATAGGCCAGGGGTGGTGGGGGAGGGATGGTGACACTGAACAAAATAAACCTACAAGGTCTACAAAGGGGAAAATGAAGTCAAGCGCATTTGCTCATCCGACCGTGTGGGCCCGGCGCTGAAAGGTCTCCTGGTACAAAGGCGAGAAGGCTCACGGCACCCCGACCCGGGGCGGCCGGCAGCAGGGGGCGCCCGGCAGCAGGGGGCGCCCAGAGAGGGCTGGCGAGGCGTTCCGGAACCGCGGGACGGGAAGGGACCCCAGGACCGGGAGGGACAGAGCCCCGGGCCTGCCCCTTGACCGCCCCCCGGGCACCCTCCCCGGCCAAGCACTTCCCTTGCCAGCGCCCTTCGGCTGAGACCTCGCCCAGATCCCTTAGCTTCTCCTTTTGACACCCTCTGATGCCCCGTCAGCATCCAGGTCCCCTGAGGTGCCCACTGAACTCCCCACCCCAACACTCCCTTTCGCTCAGGAAGTGCCTCTGTGCACCACCTAAATTTCCAAGTTCCACATCTTCACCTAAGAGCAATCCTCAGAAACTGGCAACATGAACCCCTCTACTCCGAGCTCCCAGCACTTTTTAGGTCCTAGTCTCGCCTCCTCCCCAAAAGCTAAAGGGGCCTGGGAACTGTCAGCAAACTAGGACCCACGGCGAAATTGCCCTGCCCTGCACTCGACTAGGGCGTAGGGATCAGGCCCAGGGCGCACAGCGGTGGCGCGGCACCCGGCCGTAGCTTCCGGAGTAGAGCGCGCGCTCTGCACCACGCGGAGACACACCCCAGGTGCAGTAAGGCTCTAGTGCCAAGCGGGGTGTGAACCTGGTTACTGTCAAAAATAGGCCTTGGAGCCGAAATTCATCACCTCCTGACCACCCCTGGTCACTCTCTTCTGCAGGGAAACGCGCTTAAACCCTACAGCAGAGGAGCGGGCTGGCGGTGGACACCCCGGCCTGTGCTCCCTACATCCACATCTCCTGAGTGCAGGCCTCGGCGGCAGAGTTGCGTTCAGAAAACCAGCAAGCACATCCCCCAACCCGAAATCCGAGGGAACGAAGAAACTTGGACGATCTCAGCCTTGTGCTTGACAACCTATCCCCCACCTCCCTTAAGTGGTTGGGGAGGGGGATGAGCGTGGGGGAAATTCCATGTGTGGAGTCCAAAGGGATACAGCCACCTCCCGGCCCAAATGCAAATTCATATTCATGAGAGCGGGATAAATAAAGACAAATCTCCGCTGTAATAGCACTTGGATTCGCATCCGTCTTTGCTGGCCTTTAGGTTTAGGGGACTGAAGACAGATGTTTGCATCCCTTTTCTCCTCTTGTCTGGTGACCATAAAGAAAAACCATTTAGAGCGTTGCAATTTGTTTCCCGCCGCAGTAAAACCTTGTATACATTTATTTTCATTTCACCCCCGTGCACAAAAAAGTGCACACTGGTCACCAAGGGCCCTTCTTTATCAAATACGCATTGTACAACATACAACTGCAATAAAACTATCAGCCCTCCCCATAAAACTATCACCAGGATCCTCGGTAGGTCCGGCTCCCTGCACTCCCGACTTTAGCGCTTCCTCACGCCCCGAGGATTTGCAACCACCTGAAACGAGCCTGAAACTCACCCTGCAAAGAAGCACAAGGCTGGGGGACCGCTGTCCCCGTTTAATCCATTACTGCGTCCGCGGCAGTTTAGTGCGCAATAAAACACGGTGGCAGGGGAGAGCGGGAGCCCATCCACTCCCCGGCACTAGCATCGAATTAAACCACTTAGTTTGGCAAACACTGAACGCCTAAATGCCCCTATAAAGACTTTATGAGTTTGTTACTTTAATTACTGACTTGTTACAGAGCACATAAAGGGGGTAATGAATGCAATAAAACTAATTATCTACACATTTAATTCATATAAAATATCCAGGGTTTGTTTACACCACACGGCGATTCAGCTAAGCTTTCCCCCTCTTGTCCACCGAGAGGAAGGATTTAATGAAATAGTTTCCCTTATTCTGCTAGGGCCTAACAAACCAAATGAAAATTACCCTCCGCTTAAATCATGGGGCCACTGAAGTCCACAAATCACTGCTCGCTCCTTTGTCTGTGCCTCGCTGCCAGCACCCAAAAGCCTGAGGAATCGGACAAGAAAGGTGCCCGACCTGGAGCCCTTGCCTGGGCATTTACATGGCAAGAATTTCCCTCACTACAGTCCGCAAACCTAAAAGGCAAACAGACACAATCCCCGGGTCTGTGGAGGATTGTGGGCACCTGAAAAAAAAAAAGAGGCGAGAAAGAGGGAGAGCGCCCGAAAGAGATGAAAGAGGAGATACATTTGGGTACACTTCATGCTCGCTTGCCAGTTATGGTGTAATTAAAACGAACAACCTCACAGAAACTCAAACCAACCAAGGCTTGCGCTAATGCAAACAGACAGAACTGAGAGCAAAGAACACAACGGTCGAGAATCCAGATGTTTCACATTCGAAAGCTTTCCTCAGATTTTTTTATTATTATTTTTAAGTGGCTGTATACCCTGAGTCTCTTGAAAGCACATTTAGCTGCAAGAAGAAATGCAATTTATAAGATGCTTTCTCTCTGTCTCTCTTTTTTTTAACCCCCTCTACCAGGTGTATTTTTAAAGAAATCCGCTTATCGTTCACATAAACCCCCTTGGCCCACTTACTCTATGTTACAGGGCGCCTGAGTCTTGCCAATGTCCCAGTCCTTTATAACATTTCATGCACTTCGGGGGGTAGGCTTGTTGTTAAATTGAGCGTGTAACACTCTTACAAAACAGGTTTTCTATGACATCAAGGTTTCTTCTCCCTAACCGAGGGGGAAAAAAAGAAGAGGACGAAGAAGGGGGAAAACACACACACTATCTCAATTTATGCCTAAGGTATATGATCAGTTAAAAAGGCTTAAAAGCTCGGGGAAATTGGATCAGGGAGAATCGTCACCCAACTTTCATTATTTCCAAGTAGTGTGATTGAATTAAAGGGCAGGGAGCTGGTTAGAAGGGAGGATCAGGGGCTCGGTGCGTAATGGTGTGGTATTAAATTCTAATTAGAGATGCAGGAATCAATGATAGGGAGGTTGGACAGCTCAGTTCCCCAGTGCCAGCCCAATAGACGGATGAGTTATTGTCATGTAAAAAGCGCCAGCAATAAGACCAACCGCTTTGCTATTGTCCAAGTGGAAAGAGCCAAGTTTATTATGAGGACTATATGCTCTAGAGACCTCAGACAAGGCATCTCATAGGAGGCTTTTTCATAAAACTAGGCTCTGCTGGTAGTAAGGAGGCCAGTTTGGAGGCAGGCGTTGAGCTGTGCACATCTCCCCACTCCAGCCACCTTCTCCATATCCATCTTTTATTTCATTTTTCCACTTGGCTGAGCCATCCAGAACCTTTTCAATGTATAAAATGGAATATTCTTACCTCAATTCCTCTGCCTACGAGTCCTGTATGGCTGGGATGGACACCTCGAGCCTGGCTTCAGCCTATGCTGACTTCAGTTCCTGCAGCCAGGCCAGTGGCTTCCAGTATAACCCGATAAGGACCACTTTTGGGGCCACGTCCGGCTGCCCTTCCCTCACGCCGGGATCCTGCAGCCTGGGCACCCTCAGGGACCACCAGAGCAGTCCGTACGCCGCAGGTAAGGACCTTCAGCTTTCTCAGCGGAGGAAGCCGCCTTTCCGCCCGTATATAGGAAGCCTTGATTGCATTTGAAAATGGAAATGTGTTTAGTATTTACCAAACGAAATTTGCTTACACAAATGAAAGAATTTATCACGTTAGAAGCGATTGCAGGGAGGGGTAATTCACTTACAGGGTTACACTATCCTAGTCACACCCGAACCGCCAACAAAATTATCTTAAGCTGCCAAAATGATAGGCATAATTTATTTACTTTGCGATGAGACGTAAAGCTTAGAAAATAATTAAATAACAAAGAGTAAAGCTCATTACTGGCAGTGTCTCTTTTTTTAAGAACCGACAGCGGCTCACACCTCTTTGGCTGGTCATTTTTATGATTATTTCTTTAATTTATTATTATTTTTTTGCAGCTCTTTCCCCCAACTTTTGAGCCGGGTCAACTTTCTGAGAATTGAAAAGTTCCCAAAGTGGGACTGTTTGGTAACTTCTTTCCTGGCTCCCTGATATTCCGACTGATGTTTTTGGATTTTTTTCCTCTCTGGTTTTTTCCTGCTGAAAGCACTATCTCAAGTCCGTCACATCGCGCTGTTTCAATCCACCCAAAGGCGCTTGTGCCAGAAAGGACTCCGCCAAGCCCGAAGTTTGAGCCCAGGTTTCCGCAGATAACAAATTTCCTCGGTTTCTTCCCGCAGCTTCTCTCGGCAACTCTCTCGCGCGGGTGTAGGTAGCGGCTGCCGTATGACCTGACCTTGGAGTCCTCACATTCTAGCTCCACGGCCGGCGAGCTGCCGGCTGATTTGCTCACTTTCTGTCTCCTCTGTCATACTCTAGTTCCTTACAAACTCTTCACGGACCACGGCGGCCTCAACGAGAAGCGCAAGCAGCGGCGCATCCGCACCACTTTCACCAGTGCCCAGCTCAAAGAGCTGGAAAGGGTCTTCGCGGAGACTCACTACCCCGACATCTACACTCGGGAGGAGCTGGCCCTGAAGATCGACCTCACAGAGGCGCGAGTCCAGGTACGCGCGCCTGGAAACCGACCCCGCTCCGCCGCACTGGTCCGGGGAGGTGTGGGGTGAGGGGCGGCTGGTGAAATTCGAAGTCCTGGAGCCTCGAGTGAGAAGGACCTAGGGCCCCATGGCCGATCAGAAATACTGGATTTGGTGTGGCTGTGCGTTCGAGAGAGGCTTAGAGCGCACGCTCTTGGCATTTTATTTACAGTTGCGAAGTGTTTCCCACCCGAGCAGAGACATGGGGGGCCTTGGGACGTGGATGAGCGATGCAATTTCGGGGACAGGAAGTGCCTGTGGTGGAAGGTGTGCAGACTTTGCTCCCGTATTATAAGTTTTTCCTTCTCCCCTCCCGCCCCCCAAAAAAATGCCTCCTAACTCAAGTGCTTTTAACCTGGCCCCATGGCATATAGGTTCATTTTCCCGGAAACTGTGACTTGCATCAGATTTGCAAAGGGTCTGTGACTTCATGAAGGTCAAGAACCATGACTTACTCCAACCTGTTAAACACAGGTGCGCTCACGAGTTGGCCACAGCGCCTCTCTGGGTGAGCCCCCGACCGAGAAGCGGTGCGCACCATCGCACGCTCTTCCAGGCTCAAAGGCCGGGGATGGGCAGCGGAGCAAACCCAGAGAGGATCCCTTTTCCTTCTACCAATTAGAGTTTAACTTTAGAACTTAGGCTTAGGGGTGAATGGCGAGCTCGGGGCTTGCTCAAGAAGCCGACTGAACAGAGGCCCACCAAAATAAGGCCTTCCCTTTTCGGGTCTTTCTGGGACCTGCGGCTTTTTAAACTCTGCCGCAAGCCTTCATGTCCCTGGCGTGCTCACTCCCCCTAAGAAAGTTTCTCCGAAAATGCACAGCAATAAGAAGCGGTAGACTTGGTGGATGTGCGCGCGGGGGTGATCACAGCGCATGGGGAGGAGGGTGTTAAAACAAGCCGAAGTAGAACTTGGGCCACCCTAACCGGTGCTTTTCTTTCCCATTTTCTTCTTTCTCCCCCTGCTTCACCGTCTCTCCTTCCGTCTTGGGCCAGGTGTGGTTCCAGAACCGCCGCGCCAAGTTTCGCAAGCAGGAGCGCGCAGCGGCAGCCGCAGCGGCCGCGGCCAAGAACGGCTCCTCGGGCAAAAAGTCTGACTCTTCCAGGGACGACGAGAGCAAAGAGGCCAAGAGCACTGACCCGGACAGCACTGGGGGCCCAGGTCCCAATCCCAACCCCACCCCCAGCTGCGGGGCGAATGGAGGCGGCGGCGGCGGGCCCAGCCCGGCTGGAGCTCCGGGGGCGGCGGGGCCCGGGGGCCCGGGAGGCGAACCCGGCAAGGGCGGCGCAGCAGCAGCGGCGGCGGCCGCGGCAGCGGCGGCGGCGGCAGCGGCAGCGGCGGCAGCTGGAGGCCTGGCTGCGGCTGGGGGCCCTGGACAAGGCTGGGCTCCCGGCCCCGGCCCCATCACCTCCATCCCGGATTCGCTTGGGGGTCCCTTCGCCAGCGTCCTATCTTCGCTCCAAAGACCCAACGGTGCCAAAGCCGCCTTAGTGAAGAGCAGTATGTTCTGATCTGGAATCCTGCGGCGGCGGCGGCGGCGGCGACAGCGGGCGAGCCAGGGCCCGGGCGGGCGAGTGGGCGAGCGGGTAGGCCCAAGGCTATTGTCGTCGCTGCTGCCATGGCTTTTTCATTGAGGGCCTAAAGTAATCGCGCTAAGAATAAAGGGAAAACGGCGTCGCCCTCATTTCAACCCCACTCCTACCCCCTTCCTCAACCCCCAAACAAAACAAACAAACTTCCCTGGCTTCGCACCTGCCTGGGGCCTCGCAGCGGGGCCAGGGCTCCGCCTGCTGATCGGGGGTTGTGAGCAGCGCGGCCTGGACGCGGGGCACTCTCAGGGGGCTGTGTCTGCGTGTCAGTTTGTGTCTGTCTCGGGGAATGTGTGTCTGTGGCCCAAGCAGGTGACAGGAAGAGATGGGGGGCCTCAACCAACTTAGTGACTTGTTTAGAAAAAAAAGACAAAAAAGTAAAAATAAAAACAAAAAAGTTGGAAGGCAGAAACCATTAAAAAACAAAAAGCCAACAACCCAGAAAGGTTTAAAAAACATAAGGAAAAAAAAGACAAATTAAAGGAGGGGCTAGGGGAGAAGCTGCAGCTGGAGCTGAAGGCTCGATCTTGTGAACCCCTAAATCCGCTCCCTCCTAACAGCACGGATTCTCTTGGGGCTCTTCTTCAGGGAAGAGTAGGGACGCCGTTCCAGCCCCCCTTCCTATCGTGTCCTTGGGTTCGGGTCACTGCGGCGACGACTTGCTCAGACTGTCCCGGCGGCCGGAGTGACTTTCTCGCACCCCCTTGCCTGTCCCACCTCGCTGAACACCATCCCGCCATTAGCGCATCGGAACCCCACACAGTTGCAACTCCCAACCCCGAATCTTTGCAGCCGTTCGGCCCTGAAAGATGCCCTATCCATGAGATGCCTTTTCATCTGCAAACTCTGCAAAATGTGTCTCATGTTTCGCAACTCTTTTTTTCCCCCTCGCTCCCGCCTACCCCGTCGGCATTTTCTTCTTCCACCAGCTTTTACTGAACTTTTTGGCACTGCTTTGGATTGGGGTCAATTGCAGTCCACGTAACTGGCTGCAGAGAAATCTACCGAGCAAGGAAAAGGCACACACACACGTTTGCAGGGGTGTCTCGGTTTGCATTTCTGTTGGAATGATCCGAACTGGACTCACATCCTGTATGGTGGATGGACTGTATATTGAGGGTTCCATTCTTCGCGCAGTTTAGACATCTCTGTTTTGATTCTTTGTTGTTGTTTTTATTTTAAAAGGCACAAACTCTAGATATTAGTTGAATGTTGAGGCTTTAACTTTTTCGGTGTCTTTCTACAACTGTGTTCTGTGACTCAATTGTATCGTGTTAATATCAGTGCAGACTGTCTCCTCTACGTGACCGTATAATGTTTTTCTCTTCTTGTAGTCTCTATGGCGTGTCTTTATGGTGTAATAAGGTTCTCACGGGTTCAATCTTTTGTGTTTAGAGAGGCCACGGTTCAGACAATGGTATATATTTTTGTTATCAGGTGCATGTCTGTCTGATTTCTTTTTTTTTCCTGTTGGACTATGTTTGTGAACATAATTGTCATAAGTTATGTTTCAGATTTTTGAATTTATTTATATGTGTTATAATGAATGCTTCTATTTAAAAGGGAAATATTTCTACATGTGCATATAGTTTTCCAAGAGTGTACCATTAACTTGATTGTTGATAATAAAAACAAAAAGCAAGTCTAGCAATTGAACTCTTCTTTTTCTTGATTCTTTTTTTTTTTTTTTTTTTTTGGTTGGTCATTGTTTTTTTTTTTTTAAGTTTTTTTTTAAAAGGATAAGGGAAGATAAAGGAAATTGTGCTAAAAAATAGCAAGAACCTCACTGGGCTCTGGAAATCCAGGTGGGTTGGGACATCTAAACCCATGCAGCCAAATTCAGCCAAATATAAAATTTAGTGCTTGAGAGAGCAGGGAGGCTTCTTGTCCATGCTTTTCTGTCCCCCAGAAGCACACCAGGGCATTGATAAAAGTGTTCACATCTGGATGTGGATATGTGGACTAAGTGGCAGCCAAGGCAGGATTTGAATTCAGGTCTTTGAGGTGGACTTAAAACGACAGTGTGGATTCTGTGTGCAGGTGCCTTCAAGACCAGTGATATCCGGCAAGGTCCAGGCTGTCCAGCTCCCCCAAACCCTGCAGAGTGCTGACACCCCAGGACACCCGACAAGCTCCATGTGGGCAGGTGATCAGGTGCTATATGGAACAGGGTGTGCCTTCCATGCATTTTCTCATCTATCCTTCAAAACAAGACCATGAAGCAGGTACAATTCCTATCCTCTGTTTTATTTTAAATAGGTGAGGGAATGGAGGCAACAGAAACTTAACCTGCTGAAGCACCCCTGGTTTATGAGTGATGGGGCCAGCCATTGAAATGAGAAAATCTCATTCAAGAACCTGCGACATTTAACAATACCAATGGTTCTCAAAGTGTGGCTCCTGCACCAGCAGCATCAGTATCACCTGGGGATTTGCTAGACACAAATTCTTGGGACCCACCTTGGACCTACTGAATCAGAAACTCTGGGGGTGGGGTCCAGCAATGTGCTTTAAGTTCTAGAGGTTATAGGAACCACTAAACTACCCTGTAAGAAATGCAAACCAGAAAATTCCAGAACTGGGACTACCTTGGGAACAGGTGAGGGGAAGAATTCTGGCAGCCTTAGTGATCTCTTTTGGAGGGAAGGGGTCCTCACTACGGCCCCAAAATGGAATCGTGCCTCCTCCTTGGACCCTTTGACTGCGCCACTTTCTCCAAGCAGAATCCCTGTGTAAACTTCTGGTACTTACCTTTATACCCCTCTGGCTGGGCATAATCAACACATAATTCAGTTCTCCTCATTTGAAGGGAGGCCACAGTTTGCCTTCTCTGATTTAAGGATTAGCAGCTGATCTGGTTTAAATTTATCAGGGCTTCTTGCCAAAAGCATCCAAATGTGGCTTGCATTTGATCAGGCAGTTTGATTCAGAAATCTCAAATATTTGCATCATATCAAACTTTGAATCATCTTTCTAGAAGGATTTTAGGGCCAGGCGTGGTGGCTCATGCCTGTAATCCCAATCCTTTGGGATGCCAAGGCAGGAGGATCGCTTGAAGGCAGGAGCTGGAAACCTGCCTAAGCAAAAAAAAAAAAAAAAAAAAGAAAGAAAAGAAAAGAAAAAAAGGAAAGAAAAATTAGCCAGGTGTGGTGGCACATGCCTATAGTCCTGGCTACTTGAGAGGCTAAGGTGGGATGATTGCTTGAGCCCAACAGCTGAGGTTGCAATGAGCTATGAACATGCCACCGCATTCCAGCCTAGGTGACAGAGAGAGACACTGTCTGAAAAAAAAAAAAGAGTAAAATAAAAGGCTTTAAAATATTCTTTTAAAAAAATCTGTCTCTAAATGCCCCTCAGTAAAGTCTCCAAGACAACATTGTTTATAAAGAGTGCCACTAATTGTGCTAGTTTAATATGCCAGCAATTCCCGGAACTCTTGGGTTGTAGTCTTTGGTTGTAAATATAACTTAGAAGATCTGAGACAGGCAGACCACAAAAACAATAATTTATTGGCAAAAAGAGCAATCAAGGTCCTGGGCCTGGACACAGGAAAGTTCACCTTCCTATAGTCATGGAAGCCCACGAGGTAAGTCCCTGTAAGCTTTTGGGCAGGCTAGTGGACAGGCATTCTGGAAAAGGCAAGACCAATGGAGAAAAAGAAAGCAATGAGTGGAGAGAGGAAGAAGAGGGATAGAGAAAGAAGAGGAAAAACAAATAGCCACAGGGTTTCTTTGGAAACCCCAGAGAAGGCCCTAGAAGTCCTTTCAGATGTGAATAAACTGATGAGGGTCACCAAATTTCTTTCTCCTGGTCTTGAGCAACTTTGAGTGACTTGTCTCCAGGACAAGGGAAACTCTGGGGATTGGTGAGACAACCATGCCCCCCCACCTCCATCCCAGCTTCCCAGAGGACTACATTGTAAATGTCTGGAGGCACCCAGCTCTAGCTCTAGTATTTTGAATACCACCTTCGTTTTAATTTGGGTCATCTCTGCTTCTCTTACTGATCAAAGAAGCAAACTGTTGGGAGGCAAGTTTATGATGAAATGCAAAATAATATCCCTGTAATATGATGGAGCCTTAGTGGCAGGACACTCTGTCTCTCACATTGTGTCATTTCCTTGGAACCCTGCACAGTGTGAACAAGCTCACTTTCACTTTTCCTCTCCTAAGAAATTTGCATTTTGGCTTATCAAGGCATCCTTTTTCCTGGCAACTCTGGGACCACATGTGACTTCACAAAAGCTTCAGAGCCGATGCCAGAGAGCCACCCCTAAGCCAAGTCTCCTTCAAAATGGTGGAGTGCAGAGAATCAGAGAGTGGTTGTAGAGGGAAGTAGACAACACAGCAAATAGTAGCTGTCCGTAACTCACTCCAGATGCGTCTCTGGGACCACTGCATATCCTTAGGAAGACAGCCTATGGTTAGAGATAGTCCTCAATTCAGAGAAGGGAACTGTGTCACCTGGTGGAGCAAATAACTTAATCCCTCTGTGTCTGATTTATCAACCAAAACTGTGAGTAATTATGTAGAGTATGGGATTGTTGAGAGGATTAAATATAATATACAGTAAGCATCTAATATAGTATAAGTTTTCAGCAAATGTCAGATATGATTATCATGATGCTGTTGCTGGTTGCTGCTGCTCTTGATCACGCTGTAACTTCTAGATCCTTTCTTGATCTGTCCAGCTCAGGCCTTAGAAAATTAAAAAGAGCCCTCAGTTGTCATTTAATCAACTGTCCAGGAACATAGAGTGTGAGTGACTGTTCAAAGGTTGGAATTCGAGAACTTTGCTGAGGGTGGACAGGAACAGACTAAAATCAGTCAGGGGCTGACAAGAAACACCTAACATTTATTGAGTGCCTACTGTATGCCAGGCTCTATTTTAAACTTACAAGCTTTAATGTGTTTAGTCCTCATGACTACCCTGTGAGATAAAGTGCCATTTCCATTTTTTTTTCTTGTGAGGAAACTGAGGCATTGAGGAGCTGGGTAATATGCTTAGGGTTACAAAGTTAGTAGGTTTGCAACAGGAATGGATTCCAGCCCTGGCTGGCTGGTCTCTGGAGTGTGTGTTTCTTCTTAACCACTGCTCTTTAGAGCCTTCCAAGAGGAAGAATTCATTTTAGGCCACAAGGTTACACACTATTGGACCCTGGAGGAGATTTTGCAAGAGACTCCGGAGGCAGGTGAAGGCTAGAAAGGGCAACAGGAGAGCAGTGTTGGGATGGAATCCCAGCCAGACTCAGAAGGAAGCCCAAGGCCTGAAAGGCTTTGCAATCCCCAGGAGGAGGGAGAATGTTTTCTGCAAGGCAACATATTTACAGCTCCCGGTCTTTTTCTGGTAAGTGAACAAGACAAGAAGTAGCCAGGGGCATGGAATGTGGAAGGGAAAAAACAGTTACATTTATGAAGTGCAGAACGTCAGTTGGTGGACAGGAAAGGATGTCAGCCTCTAAGCTCATTCATCACCATCGTAACGGATGGCACAAATGACAAAAGCCCACCTGAATCCTTCATTTTCCAGCCCTCATTCCAGAGTGGCTGTTTACAAATCTGTGTGGATAAATAATGACTAAATGTCTTTACCTTACACCATTTCCATATTGGAAGGAAGGCAAAACACAGTGCAAAGACCTGTGACCTCATTAGATCAACAGGCAGGATTATCTGAAAACAGTCCATGACCATGTCCCCATCGCCATGGTAGATATTTTGAATTGTGTTAGTCTTGGCTTAATGCAGGGGTTCTCAACCCTGGGTTCATGGATAGAATTCAAGGGAGAAAGGGAAAAATACATATATACTTTCACTAACTTCTACCTGAAATGCAGCATTTTCTTCAGTGATGAATGTGGGCAACGTAGCCACAGTAGTAATTATCAGTACCTGTGACTTTGTAGCCAGTGGAAATCACAGATATTTTCATTTCACAATGGAGTTTTTGAAGCTATCTTGATAGATCATTTGTATTCATCCTAAGTTTGAAATTATGATATATACTAGATCAGACATTATATCTTGTTATTTAATGCATTACTGAAGAAGCACATAAGCTACTACAGCACAAATTTGTTTTAAACCATTTTTTATAACTTTGTTTCCATTGGCTTCTGTTGTAATCCTATGTACTTTTAAAGATTATCTTTCCTTTAAAAAATTTTATTTATTTATTAAGCAATTTTAAAAATTATCTTTATTTGACAAAAATTACATATATTTATTGTGTACAACATGTTTTGAAATATGTATTCACTGCGGAATGGCTAAATTGAGCTAATTAACATATACATCACTTCACCTACTTACTATTTTTGTGTGTTTGTGGTGAGAACACTTAAAATCCACCCTCTAAGTGACTTTCAAGAAAACAATACATTATTATTAACTATAGTCACCATGTTGTACGATAGATTTCTTAAACTATTCCTTTCACCTAACTGAAACATTGTATCCTTTAACCAACATCTCCCCAGCCTTGCCCTCCGGGGGAGATGCTCCTTATTGTTTATACTTTAAAACATTATCTTGAGAAGGGATTCTTGGATGTCACCAGGCTGCCATGGAGTCTATGGCATCCACACAAAAAACTAGGATTGGATGTCATTCCTGGCTCCTAGCTAGCTGATGAGAACAGGGTGTTCCGTGTCTCTGTGAAGCTTTGATTCTAAGAACATTTCTTCAGGATCAGAGCATGTAATCATTTTACTTCATAGGTGGAAGCAATCTTAGAGAAGTTTTAAACCTATCTCATGCTCCTTCAAGGGACAAAAGAAAATAAAACAAGCCCTCCAAGTTGCACAAAGAAAGTTCCAGGGTTTTATAGGCCACTGGCTGGATGTGGAGGTGACAGTAAGAAAGCCGGGGAGAGCAGGAGGTGATTCGGAGGAGCAGGAGGTGATTCAGCAGGACTGGAGCACCCTGTTACTGTTTATGGAGGATTTATATGGACTGGGCACTGTGCTGCGTGCACCACACTATCGAGATTCAAATCCATTGACTCTTACCCAAGGTCATATCATTAATAATGGCAAAGCAAGACTCAGTCTAAAGCTCAGCCTTTTAATCAATATGTTAAAAAGGTGTTTTAAAAAAACATGAAAGGAATTCCTTAGTTACCTAGCTGTCGCTTACTTTACTTTTTGTCTGAACTTGAAGCTATTGGGTTTGTTGGATTACCCCAAGGCCAAGTGATTGAACAATAATGTTACTTTAGCCATGTGTTTGATGTCAAAGACCTCCCTCTGGGGAAAGTCAGACATCAAGGGGAATAAAGGCCTCTTACCTGGATATAATTTCATTAGGGAACATAGTGGATGACTACTTGCTATATGACTTCTCAGATGATTTAAGCGATGATTTCCAGAACAGGAAGAGCCTGGGTGCAAAACCTAATTTCTTTACAGCCCCAGTGGCATGGCCACCTTGGACAAAGGAGGAATGTAAACCTGACTTGTTTGAAACTTAAGATATTGTGCTTTCTGGAGTATTTGCTATGTGTTAGATACTCGGCTAGCTGTTTTGCCTTTGTTATCTGTATAGGGTTTCAAGACTTCTGGGGTAGATGGTATTGTTATGAAAAGAAATCCAAGTGATGGAAAAGCTGAGCAACTTGCTCAAGCCCCCAAAGCTGGTATGTACTAGAGATGAGCTCCAAACACAAGTCCCTTGACCCCAAAGTCCCATCGCCTGGGGCTCCCAGGGTCCAGAAGAGTCACTAGCATGGCCTAGAACTCAGTACTGCCCTTAGCCTTTCTTTTCTTTTTCTTTCTTTCTTTCTTTCTTTTTTTTTTTTTTTTGAGGTGGAGTTTCACTCTTCAGCTCAGGTTGGAGTGAAGTGGCATGATCTTGGCTTACTGCAACCTCTGCCTCCCGGGTTCAAGCAATTCTCCTGCCTCAGCCTCCCACGTAGCTGGGATTATAGGCACCTGCCACCACGTCTGGCTAGTTTTTGTATTTTTAGTAGAGACAGGGTTTCACCACGTTGGCCAGGCTGGTCTCCAACTCTTGACCTCAGGCAATCCACCCACCTTGGCCTCCCACATTGCTGGGATTACAGGCGTGAGTCACCGTGCCTGTCCTTGCCCTTAGCCTTTCTGCTCACAACCTAAGCAAATGTTAAAAGCCAGAGAGGGTGATGAGAACGTTCTGGAATTACATAGTGGTGATGGCAGCACAACTTCGTCAATATTCAAAAGTCCACTGAATTATATACTTTAAAAAGATGGATTTTATGGTATGTGAATCATATCTCAATTTTTTTAAAAGTAGAGAATAATACGAGAAACCCATCACCCCCTTTACCTTCCTCCATAATGTCTTTGATTTCTTACAGATATAATTTACATACACCCTCCATCTTAGTCTTAAGTCAGAGCAACATAAATTAGCAGAGAGGGAAGAGTGAAAAATATTACTGTTTTCTTAACCAATTATCTTTTTTTTGAGGCTAGAAAAAGTGTGCTCTCCAATATTGATTTAAAACAAAGTGGACAACAATTTCTTGAGATATATAGACTCTGCTTCACATTGTAGTAAAGTTTTCCTACCTTGTCACTGGAAGCCCGGGTGCTGTTAAAATATTCAGACATATTAACGTCCCTGTACCTGACCATATATTGGAACAATCATTCATGGAAACTCCTCTATATGCCCATTCTTGCCTTTGATTGACTGGAAAGAAGCTACAACCTAAAGGACATTTGGGCCAGGCATGGTGGCTCAAGTCTATATTCCCAGCACTTTGGGAGGCCAAGGTGGGTGGATCACCTGAGGTCAGGAGTTTGAGACCAGCCTGGCCAACATGGTGAAACCCTCTCTCTACTAAAAATACAAAATTAGCTGGGTGTGGTGGGGCATTCCTGTGATCCCAGCTACTTGGGAGGCGGAGGCAGGAGAATTGTTTGAACCTGGGAGGTGTAGGCTGCGGTGAGCCGAGATCACGCCGTTGCACTCCAGCCTGGGCAACAAGAGCAAAACTCTGTCTCAATAAATAAATAAATAAATAACGATTGAAAATGTCTGAGGCCATTCATCTACTTATGCTGGAATTTTGTTCAGGTCCATTGAAACACAAAAAGGTCATTTCTTAGAAAATTCTGAAAAGATTAAATTTTATTTTCTCTAAGCACTCTACTGATGGGGGAAAAAAGAAACAAACAAACACAAAGATGATGCTGGTGAGACTGTGGAGAAAAGGGAACGCTTATGCACCGCTGTGGGAATGTAAACTAGTTCAGCCATTGTGGAAAGCAGATTGACGAACTTAGGTATATACTCAAAGGATTATAAATTGTGCTACCATAAAGACACATGCACATGTGTGTTCATCACAGCACATTCACAATAGCAAAGACATGGAATAAACCTAAATGTCCATCAGTGGTAGACTGGATAGAGAAAATGTGGTACATATACACCATGGAATACTATGCAGCCATAAAAGAATGAGATCATGTCCTTTGCAGGAATGTGGATGGAGCTGGAGGCCATTATCCTAGGCAAACTAACACAGGAACAGAAAACCAAATACTGCATGTTCTCACTTATAAGTGGGAGCTAAATACTGAGTACATACAAACAAAAATAAGGGAACAACAGACATCAGGGCCTACCTGAGGGTGGAGGGTGGGAGGAGGGTGAGAATCAAAAGACTACCTACAGGGTACTATACTTATTACCTGGGTGATGAAACAATTTGCACACCAAATCCCTGCAACAAGTAATTTACCTATATTAGAAAACCTGCACACGTACCCCTAAACCTAAAATAAAAGGCCCGGCGTGGTGGCTTACACCTGTAATCCCAGGACTTTGAGAGGCTGAGATGTGTGGATCACTTGAGGTCAGGAGTTCGAGACCAACCTGGACAACATTGTGAAACACTGTTTCTACTAAAAATAAAAAAAGTAGCTGGATGTGGTCGTGGGCTCCTGTAATCCCAGCTACTCAGGAGGTTGAGGCAGGAGAATCGCTTGAACCGAGGAGGTAAAGGTTGCAGTGAGTTGAGATTGCACCACTGTACTCCAGCCTGGGTGATGGAGTGAGACTCTGTCTCAAAATAAATAAATAAATAAATAAATAAATAAAATAAAAGTTTTAAAAAAAGATGAAAATTTCAGCATACATTTATTTGCAGAAATATGGTAACCCATTTAAAAGGTTGTTTCATGTTCATTGTAGGTCCTTTGAGACGCATAGATGATATTCGTGTGGGAGGCTACCTAAGGTGCAAGCTATTCTTTGAGGAGTTGATTTTTCTGGACTTAAGATAATTATGCCTTTTTATTCACCCAGGATTCTGTTGCTCCAACAGTTTCTGCTTAGTAGGAGGGAACCACATCTAAATGTTAGCCTTGGAGTTAGTTTTTCTTTGGTAAGAAAGTCCTTTGGTACCATCAGTGCTATAACTGGTTGAGACTAGCTTCCATGCCGTTCACACCTCCTTGCAGAAAAAATAGTTTGTAATAAGTAAAAAGAAGTCTGAATAATTCAGCGATTTCAACGTTTTAAAAAAATTGCACACATATACACATGCAGTCTAAAAATTAAAAAAGATTTTAAAGGTTATTTAGTGAAAAGTGTATCTCTCTCTTACCTCTGTTTCCCCAAAGTAACCAGTAGTAGTTATTTTTGTATCCTTCTGAGAACAGTCTCTCTCTACATATGTGTGTGTATAAATACAGATGTTATTACATTATACATCTTTTCTATACTTGTATTTTTTACTTAACATACATATCCCAAAGACCATTTCCTATGAAAACCTGTAGATTTGCCTATTTTAGCTAGCTGCGTGGTATTTGGTTTCAAAAACAAACGAATAAACAAAAAAAGACAGCAAAATTCTTCCTACATTTCTAATGGTGCTTGGAATGCTAAAAAGTAGTGTGGCAGAGATTGCTAACTGTCCCTTAATAAGCATTCTCTTCTTCCAGTTAGCAAGAGAACTCCTTGTTTTTTGGGGAGTTTGCACATGGCCATTCAGATAGAGACTACGTTTCCCAGCTTCCCTTGAAGCTAGACATGGCCATGTGCCATGGGTTTGAGCAGAAAGGATACATGCCACTTCTAGGTGAACGAAAGCTGCTTGCCCTGAAGTACTTCTTTTCCTTTTTGCAGGAGGCTAGAAAGTAGACATGAGGATGATGAGTCATCTTCAACTGCACCAATGAGGGTAAGATTTGGGGGATGGCCAAGCAGCACAACAGAAGCTGCCTGGGGCCATGAGTGACTCCTTGGGGTAGAGCCATCCTATTGCCCTCTATAGATTTGTGCAGTAAAATACATAAACGTATTCCATTGGCAATTGTTTAACCTGTGTTAAATAACTGAACCAATATCTTAACAAACATAAGAGGTGTCCTTGAAGAGTTGACATTAATGTTGAATATTCAGTAGTATTCACCAGATGGACTGGGGTATGAGAATGACATTCCAGGCTGCTGCAGGTGCAAAGATGGAGAAATTTAAATGATTTTTTAAAAAGAGCCATTAGGCTGGGTATGGTGGCTCATGCTTGTAATCCCAGCACTTTGGGAGGCTGAGGCGGGTGGATCACCTGATGTCGGGAGTTCAAGACCAGCCTGACCAACATGGTGAAACCCTGTCTCTACTAAAATTACAAAAATTAGCTGGGCGTGGTGGCACACCCCTGTAATCCCAGTTACTGGGGAGGCTGAGGCAGAAGAATTGCTTGAACATAGGTGCAGAGCTGAGATCGCGCCACTGCACTCCAGGCGGAGCAACAAGGGTGAAACTCCACCAAAAAAAAAAAAAGCCATTAAGTGGCTGATGGATTAGATAATTCATCAAAGTCCATAATTATTTCACAACACCCACTAGTAAGATGTTCATTTAAGGTTTTTATGCCCCTGGGTAATATTCATGGACTTGGGTACTGTCCACATGAATTACCCAATTTGTTTGTGATTCACTGGGAGATCCTAGAACAAGTTTTTCATTTAGAATGACATGAAAACCAGTCCCAGTCAACCCTAGCACTAATAGGTCTGAGAGATGGTCCCATGAATGAGAAAGTGACTACAGGGGTAGCGTCAAGATGTGGCTTTCTTTTACTAAGAAAAAACTTTCTGAGCAGGAGAATCTTGGGTTAATAAAAAAAACCACAATGGTCATAAGGCCGAAAATCAATGTCTTAAAATGCAACCTGTGTCTTCTTTCAAACTCACATGCCGGCATCATCTATATTTCTCCAAAAATGTTACAATGGAACAGGGAACAACCTTCCCAAGAACTGGATTAGGGAGATTATGCAACCTTTTTGCATCAGGTCTAGAAACATTCTGTATGCTCATGAGAAAGGAAACCTGGCACTGATGGCCAATAATAATAATAGTTAACTTCTATTCAGGCTTTGCCATATGCTGAAACTGTGCTAAGCACTTTATATGCATTATCTCATTTAATCTTGGCAACAACCTCATAAGAAGGTACTATGATTATCCTCATTTTAGAGACAAAGAAACCAGGACTTAAAAGAGATTAAGTAGCTTACTCAAAATTCCACAGCTGGTACATAGCAAAGCTGGAATTTGATTTGAACTCAGCTAAGCCTGATTTTAGAGACCACTCTGCCCTACTGCATCTGGTCATACACAATACACTCACACACTAGTGAATAAAACCTTCTTCATGACCCCATAAAGATCTTGATTGTGCACAAAGCAATATTTGTGCGTAGTCCCATGTGTGATTAAATATTTAAGAGCTTTTTGCTTATTGTGAATGATTTCACAGATTTTAAACCACATGCTTGTACCACTGAATGTTTACCTGTACCAGGTGCCTCCTGGGCCCCAAAAGTTGGGGTAGTAGGAACTCAGTGGTGCTCTGGGTGTGGGTAGGATCCCCAAGGGGTCCACTTTGGATGCTGGACCATGGCCCAGATCATCTCCTCTCCTTGCCCATCACTTTTGTTTCAGGCAGCCTTCCTCAGAGCATAATTAACAGTAGGACAGCCAGAAGGAGCCATATTAGGTTGCATTTAGGAGGTTGATCCCAAATGACAAAGATTACATCATTAGGTCCTCCCTCTTTGTGGGCCAAGACTTTTTCCTAAAAGCAGAGGACCAAGTGCCTCTTCCCTGACACAGTGTCCAAGTTACCATCCCGTTTGGTAAGTATTACAGTAGGCTGATTCAGGAATGCCAACCCTTTTCAGTCTGAGGGTGTGGGACGTCTATTGCAGGTGATAAATGGATTGTGCTTAACCAAGGCTTAACAATTGCTTAAACATTTTCGGAGAAAGTAATTTATGGGTCCAGACCCTGCTGTGTAGCCCTGCACAGATGTAGAGCTCAACTGCTCAGAGCATAAGTTACATCATTCAGTCCTCACAGCAAAACTTTATTTGTGGGTATTACTAATATCCTCACTTTCCAGATGTATAAACTTGGGCTTTGGTAGGGGGATGAATAACTAGCTTGAGGTTGCTCAGGAAGAAGCAGAAACACGGATTTAAAACCCCATGCACTTTATTCAGTGGTTCTGCTGCCTCCCTTGAACCTATGTTTGAATTGGAAAAAAATCGTAGAAGTGGTTATTTGGGGAGTGTATGTCATTCTTTGCTCCCTCCCCCTGTGCCTTTGGATGTTTTAAATGAAAAAGACGCATAGAAACACCCACCATCCTCAGCCCAGCTACTGCTCAGAGTAGAACCACATTCTGAGATTACCGGTGTTGTTTTTGAACAACCAGAACTCTGTAGGAGTTAAGCATCAGCTCAGGCGTTGTTCAGACCTTGAGGAGCCAGGCCAGACTGGAGAATGTCAGAATGATCCGGCCTTTTCCCCACAGCAGGATCATTTCCAACCACAGCCTGGGACGCAGGCAGAGACATTAGCAAGCCTGCAACATCTAAACGGTCAGATCAATTCACAGAAGCACTTCTAAGGGAAACAAATCAATAAACTCCTTCCCCTAAAGATTGATAAGATCATCAGGAAGCAACAGATGCGTTTTAGGGCCCAGTACACTGTGCAGGGGACGTGGGTTCCCGGTGCTACAATTTCTCTCTGGAAAAGCAATTGTAAATCAGCGCCTGAACATCCCGGCACCTGTCACAACAATAAAAGCTAACGTTCCTAATGCACTTGGCAGATTTCAGGGTGCCATCACATACTCTGTCTCTTTTGATTAAGACCCTATGAGGTGGATGTTACCATCCTCATTTCACAGATGAGATTCATCCAAACTAAACTGCCCAACTTACTTCAGACCCTGATTACTTGTAGCCAAGCTGGGGCTTGATTTTTGAGTCCCACGTTCTGCCTACTTGCCTTGTGTTCCCCAAACTTCATTCACTCTTGTGTCACCTTCACAATTTTTGACACATCAGATAACCTCCTATGTTATTTATTATTTTTCTTGTCATTGAACTAGTTTTCTTTATCTACATAAATTTATTTGAAAAGGAAACTTCCTATCACTATTAAAAATGAAAACGATGACTTGGTATAACTAGAAATCAAAGACTTACATAATCTTTGAAAAGGACAAAAAGCCATATTCGTCTATGTATTACCTTAACCAATGGTACCTAGGCCATACTTTGCAAACACAATATTATAATGTAGGCCTCTATGTGGGACTAAGAATGTAGTAATTTTAAGTTTTGAGGTCCTAAAATGTGTACTCTATTTAAGTAAGCTCGGTTTTTTTTTTGCCAAAATTGATAGAATGAGGTTTACTTTATCTATACATTGATAAAAAGTTTAAAATTTTAGGATAAATAAAAGGTTTGTCTCCTCTGTCACTGCCAGAGGTCCCATCTCTGGTCACTGCCCTAGCTGAAAAGAGGTGTCTGGGATGAGTAACCCAGGGCAGGTTTCCGAAAACCTGAAGAATAGAGGAGATGAACAGTCCAAATAATACTGGATTTTAAACAAGTGAAAATCAGACCAGCATTCCACACATACAATACAGAAATCAACAAATCTTGCAGTTACATGCCATGAGAGGTAAGGATTCAATGGAAAACTGTCTAACTTCACCTCTGTGATTAATCTATCATTTAAATTTGTTTAAGACTCATTTGAGTCTTATTGTCAGTTTTGACCCACAAGTGCTCTCCCCTGCCTGTCCTCAGATGCTTATTGATTCCATCCCCTTAATATTCCCTGAACCGTCCCCCACCCCGCTTTAATCAGTGTCCTCATGGAAATGGTCTGAGGTCAGCACTCCCTGCATTTATTACCTGGGCTTTTGTAACAGCCTCCTTGATTAGCCCCTTGCTTTCAGGCTTAGCCCCTCCCATTCATCCTGCCTAAGTTGCCAGTATCATTTTTCCAAAGTACAGATCTGGTCAATTTCTCTATCACTCTACACATGCCACCAAACATCTTTAACAGCTTCCTGTTGCTATAGGATAAAGTCTAAATTCTTTATTATGGCCCACAAGGCCCTTCCTAAAGGAATAGCCACATGTTCCCTTTTTTTCTAACCTTCCAAATTTTACTCCCCCCAAACCAGATCTAATTTGAGGGAATGTGTTTTATTAACACATTAGAAATTCTCTTGATGGCATCCCTCCCTGTCTCTAATGGTTTCTTGCCACCACCTTGTGATTCTCTAGTATAGAGTCCAAAAGACACTCAACAAACACTTGTTGATGGCTCTGCAGAGAGAAGGCGTACTTTGCACCTCTGGGCCAGGTGTTTTACGTGAGCAATGCTAAAGAAACACAGAAAAAGCATTTGCCAATTCATGAATTATGTATAAATTTCGACTTCTCTTTACAAAGGTATTTCTTCAAAAACAAAGTTTATTCGTTGATTATTTCCTTTTAGTAAGTGGAAATGTTGACTGAAATATGGTTCTTCATGTGAAATGCAAGACTTTGGAAATTCAAATATACATTTAGAAAAAGCATGCATTTTCATCTCTTAGCTGACAATGACTGAGGCAGAGGCTCTCCTTAAAGTAATTACTAGTTGGAGGAGAAGTGTAAATTTCAGCTTAATTCATGAGCTGGTTCATTTTCATTTCTTCAAACATTAGTCTGGGTTTGGTATGAAATAAGTGCATGCATACCTTAAGTACATTCTATTTTTTGTTGCCTTTGCCTTAAAAAATCTGCTGGATTCATCACTAATCCATTCTACTCAACAGATACTGATTGAGTGTCTACTTTGGGCCAGGCACATTTTAAAAGATGGAATTGTTTGCTGTAATTATTGGTATATTCAATGTTACATATCCTTGCTTTAACCCAGAAGTAAACTGAAATGTTTAGTGTTGATGGTTTATAAGTTACGCTGTAGAAATTATGGAGCTATGCATGGAAAATATGTAAATCTGTCACCTCCTTTTGCTCCTCTTGACCACACTAGTAGTCCTTCACATCTGTATCCGCTGTGCATTCATAATCTCATCATCACTCAAGAAATGTGGCATTCTCCTTGTTTTTTCATGTTAAAAACCCAAGAAATACATTAAGTTACCTGACTGTGGTTCCACTACAAATTCCTATGCAAGTGTGTGTGGGAGGTGATATGTGTCTGGGTGTGGGTAAGTGGGGGAAGAGGACAAGAGAATAAAAGCAAAAGAAATGTGGACTTATTTGTATTGAGTGTCTACTGCATACCAGTCCCCCAGCATGCCTAATTCATTCAACCCTTATAGCCTTTATATTTGTGGTAAAGACAGTATTATTATCCTCTACTTTACAGATATGGAGACTAGCTGTACAGATTGTAATCAGAGAAACAGGCTCCAAACCCATTCTTTCCACTACTTACACTAGTATCCAGACCTTCTATCCCCAAATCTTCCTATTCCATCGCACCTCTCTAACCCAGCTGAAAGAAGGATTCAGTGGTGTGAAGATGCCCTTGGGAGGGCCCTCTTTTAGATTAATTCTGGCTTTCCCACATTTTGACTTCTCAATGGCTTATTTGCATTGTTTTAGAGACATCATCGGACTTTCTCTCACTCAGAAACTGAACTTTTTCCCTTCTATCAAAATAAACATCACCTACAGGTCATGTTCGCTGATGTCATGAGTCACGGAAATCTGACTCAACTTCAGAATCTTGGTATCTATAGCAAGATTTCAAATGCACAATAAGGATGAGGTTCAGTAACCTCCATCCATTGCACTTCTATCTTTATTTTAGAGTGAATTTGGTGGCTGAGGTAGGTCACTGTGTGTTAGGCTTCTAGCCAAGGATGATCTTCAAACTATCACCAATCAGCACCGGCTGATCACAGTGGAGTATCCATCACAGAGGCTCTGATCTCTAGAGACTCTCTCTGAGCCAGACATTAACGCTTTAGCTGCTGCATCATGGGAGATGCATGACAGTCTCAGGAGAGGAGTTGGGGTAGATACGGTCTCAGACAGGCATCCAAAAGAACTTAGGGGACTGACCCTTTACCCAATGGTACAGCTATATTTTAATATTTTCACAATGAGTGCAGCCATATTAGTGGCTATTGACTGAATACTGGCTCTGCTTCTGGCGCTTTTCCCTATTGCCTTACAGCTCCTGCTCCCACTTTTCCCAGCAGATGACTCCCCTGCACTGGGCTAGTGTTGCTTCTGAAGAGAAGGGAAGAAAGGGATGACATGTAACCCTGAGGAGTTGTTCAGTCTTTCTTTGGCCTTCTAGCTCATCTGCAAGCCATCAGGAATAATGCTGTATGGCAGTGACTGCTTATCATTCATCAATATCCATTTTTCTCCTCCTATAATAACCCAACTCTGAAGTTTCAGCTGGACACATGGCTGCCCAGCCAGAGACTACATTTCCTGTTTTCCTTGAACCTCAGTGTGATCACATGTCTGTTCTAGGCAAAGGGATTGTACCATATTCAACTTGCACCTTACAGAGAAATGAGTAGGGCTTTCCTTGCCCCTTCATGCTTTCTGATGTTTAGGATGCACATAAAATATAAAGCAGCCACCTCGGATGGGAAGGGAGCTGCATGCTGAAGATGGCAGATCTGCTCTACAAGCCTGGACTCTTAAGTTCTGGACTATTACATGGGAGAGTAATGTTAAGCCTTTCATGTTTAAGCCACGCAATATTGGGAGACCTTTGTGATAGCAGCTTAGATTCCACCTTTAAAATACTGCTCATTAGTTTTACTTTTCAGTTGGCTGGGTTTCCTCAGCTTACTATCTTTACCAAGGAGACCGACAGTGGGTCTGCACAAAAGCCACCACACATACAAAATCTGTAGGGTGAAACCTAGAAACAAAATAAAAATAAAAATGGAAAATGCCTTCAGAAAATGCTAGACTTTTTTTCTTCTACAGTGAGGAATAATAGCTTTTTGGGTCTTATATCTTGTACTAGTTTCCTTTTCTCTGTGTGAGAACTCTTTTTCTACTTCATGGGACTCTTTTGGGGAATTCTATCATGGCATCCTTCTTCTCTGTCCGCAGAGATAGTCAGATGTCCCAGACTGAACCAATCATGGTGTCCATTCCAATAGTTATTGGTCCAAAGGGTAGGCATGTGACCTATTGAACCACACATACATGGGCTTCCTTGGGATTGATATGTGGATACCAGATGAAATATGGGATCTCTCTGTTTCTTTTTTCTTTTTTTTTTTGGCGTTGCTAAGCTGGGATAATATAAGCACCAATCTTGCCACATGAATTGTCCTTGGCTGGATGGAGAAAGGTCATCTTCAGTAATAGAGTATTATGTCAACACCCAGAGATAAAACAAATTGGGAGATGGGTTGAGAGAATTCTGATGGTGTTGGATTCTTGGTTCCAGACCATGTGACTTTGTTCCTGAAGCTCTCCCCTTAATTCCATGACCTACCACATGCATCTTCTCAGCTTTGCAAGCCAGTAAGTTTCTTATTTGCTTAAGCTGGTTCAAATTGGGGTTTTGTCACTTGCAGGGTTTTAATAATTCATGGTCAGTTTCCAAAACTTCTCTATAACATAATTACTAATGAATGCCCAAGTGCTCACAGATTCACACGAATTAATAAGTTCCTCATCTGGTTTAACATTTGCATTTTACCAAGGGCTTTCTAGAGCTTATACCTTGATGCAAAGGGGTCTTTTCAGTGGCAGGAACAAGTTTTAAGCAGTTTAGCAAGCCAAAAGGAGAGACATATGCTGGGTACCTAGGCTTTCTGCAGCCTGGCAAGTCATTTGGGAGAGTGGAGCAGAATCCTCAGTCTCCGTATCCCCACGGTGGTAGCTAGGAGCAGGGATTGGAGCTAATGGATGTCAGGAGCTTCTTTAATGAGCTTTCCTCCCAGCTCTGGACCTCTCACATGGGTCATTCCATTCCTGGTCCTCCCTTCACTCTACTGCAGCAAGGCATGAGTACATCGTTTAGAAGGGAATTCACCACTAAATAGCAATTGCCACCAATACCGCCACACTTCAGGGAAGGACAGTTTTGCAACTAATTACTTCCCATGGAAATACCCAAACATAATTTTGTTCATTATTAAAATTTTCCAATAAGAAATTTATCTTCCCCATTAAGTAATACATTATTCTCCTACAAAACACACAGTAAACTAGAATTACTAGCACTGCTTATATTAAATTGTTGCTTAATAAATTAAAACTCCTATGGTTATGAATAAACTAGGTCATCTGCACATTTTGTAAATTAGTAGTTTCTTGTAGTTATTCTCTCCTGGTCAAAGCCTAAAAGAGGGGGAGAAGAAAAATGATTATCATTATTATTTTACTGTTTTCAAGCAAAGTACTGCTCTTTGCACTGTAGCTTAAAATAAACCACTCAATCTAATACAGCAGAATCAATGTCGTTAAGTATCAATCAACAAGGATGATTTTTAAAGACTATGGTCTGTAAGCTTTTTAAGTCATGTTAGAAGCCATATGTACTTGGATATATAAGACCTGATGAATAACCAAACTCAGTATTTGAAGATTCTTGATGCACTAAGCATTGTCCAAAGTGACTTTAAATTATTGCTCAAAAGTTTTCTCCTCTTACAACTTTTGAGTGGGTTGAGAAACTTTTCTTTGTGATTTTAAGATAAGTCAACTTTTCCTCTGTCATCTTTTCTATTCGAGATGAATAGAGATTATTCTAGTCATATACAAAATGGTTGAAGCTACTTAAAAGTCTGTTATAAGGACTCCTCAAGTTACAAACTCCTGACTTAGGAAATCCTGTAATGCAAATAGATTGTTGCACTGTGCTTTTTTATTTTTATTTTTATTATTTTTAAATCTCCCTACCCAGTCAGAGGTCACAAGAAACAGCAACCAAGCCACACTGAGACAACTGCTCCACCTTCTGGCAAAACGTGGAATTGTTTGAACCCAAGTATTACCTTCTCTTGAAGGGTGAACATACTGCATCTACCCTGCCCCTCACCACTGCTTTTCAACAGCTGTAATTCAGTTGTTTATATTCAGCTAATCCCCTCCTCATATCTATATGCATATCTTCTTTGAGCACATCTTTCTTTGTTGTGTCTCTCTTAAACTTTTGTCCAAGACCTCAGGGATCTCTTTTTCTTTCCTGAGCAATTTTCTCCTGTTACACATAACTTCTTCCACCTCTTTTTCTCATCATGCATCAAAACAGAAACAAAAATAAAACGGGAAAAATGACAACAAAAAACCTTTATCCTGTTTAATGTATGTAAGGGTAACACTAGTAGTAATAAGGATAAAAGTCAAACACTGGAACCTCAGACAACATAATAAAGAATCAGTGTTAGCAAGCCTTTGGTGTACTCAGAAGTTTCCTTCAGTCTCTGCAAAAAGATCATCTGTTTCTAACGAAGACATTTAGGAAAAACTTTTTTTTACATGTAATTTTTTTTGTTGAGCCATTAATTTTGAAATGAATATCTTCTACCCAAATATATGGTAGTTCAGCTATGTTAAATAGGTTAGCATTATTTCTATGTGTGCGATAGGTTACAAAGAACTAACTTTCTCTATCGCAACATTCTCAAGTTAAAGACATCTTGTATTTTAAAAAATAGTTTCTCTTTTAGAAATACCCCCACTACCATGGTTAAGTATCTCTATAAATTCAGTTCTTGATTTAAAAATCAAATGATTAAGTAATTATCAAAGTAATAATTATTCACTGGAAAAATCCAAAACAATAGGTAAGTGGATAAAATTAAAAATGACACCTCTTACTCCCTTGTCTATCCCTCATCAGAAATAGTCAAGTGTTTGAAATATTTAAGATTTTTTTCCATGCAGCCACAAGCATATTTTTCCTATTTTGGAGAGGGGAAAAATTATCCATCTCCATCTGTCTATTATCTATCTACCTTCCTACCCAGTAACTTTTTCTCCCACTCATTATGGGATCCTTTGGTGTATAGGCAATTTTTTTTTTCTTTTTGAGATCGAGTCTCGCTCTGTCACCCAGGCTGGAGCGCAATGGCGCGATCTCAGCTCACTGAAACCTCTGCCTCCTGGGTTCAAGCAATTCTCCTGCCTCAGCCTCCTGATACAGGCACATGCCACCATGCCTGGCTCATTTTTGTATTTTTAAAGTAGAGACGGGGTTTCACCATGTTGGCCAGGCTGGTCTTGAACTCCTGACCTTGTGATCCACCTGCCTCGGCCTCCCAAAATGCTGGGATTACAGGCATGAGCCACTGCACCTGGCCGGCATAATTTAAATTTTAAACAAACTTTCTACCCATTACATGCTTATTTATGGTTAAAAAAAAAGGAGCAGTGGTGGAGGGGCAGGCTACATATGAAGCTGGTTCATCTGAGATCACAAAGTGGGTGAGGATGGAAGGAAATGGGAGGAAAGTTTGCTCAACTCTATGGACAAGAACTTACTAGTTCGGAGCATAAGAAAGGAAACAAAAGAAAATACTTTTCATTATGGCTTAAATATTACGAAGTTGGAAGACAAATTTTGCTAAACTTTAAAGAAATAATATCTTCTTTTTAAAAAGTACTTTCTTTTCAAAGCACAGAATCCTCTATGATTATAAAATAAGTCATTAATGCACTTTTATGTGTAGTGTGGCTCATCCTTCTGAATCTTCCGACTTTGTTTTTACATTTTGCAAACCCACACATTTTCACCTCTTTACAGTAAAATGTTATCTCATTCATGGGACCAAGAAACAATTACAGGAGACTAAAAGTAGCCATACTGTCTTTTTTGGAAATGGCTAAATGACAAAAGACAAATGCTTTCTCTTTTCTTTTCTTTTCTTTAGACCTCATTAGAAGCCAAGCAAATACAATGTCAAAGAAACACTGGACAGCCATAGCTGAGTTTATTCCCCTGGGACCGACAGATCAAGCCGAGTTGCAGCTTGTCCTTTTTTTCTGTCACGTTCCTGGTCATTTACCTTATTATGGTAATGGGCAATTTGAGCATGATTTTGATCATTAGAAGTGACTGAAAACTTCACATTCCAATGTACTTCTTCCTCAGTCACCTCTCCTTTGCAGTTCTCTGTTATACTCTCAATGTCACTCCTCAGATATTGGTTAATTTCCTATCCAAGAGAAAAACCATTTTCTTCATTGGTTGTGTAAGTTTTTTTTTTTGTTTGTTTTTTGTTTTTTTTGTGAGATGGAGTCTCGCTCTGTCGCCCAGGCAGTGACACGATCTCGGCTCAGTGCAACCTCCGCCTCCCGGGTTCAAGCAATCCTCTGCCTTAGCCTACCGAGTAGCTGAGATTACAGGTGCACACCACCACACCTGGCTAATTTTTGTATTTTTGGTAGAGACGGGGTTTCGCCATGCTGGCCAAGCTGGTCTTGAACTCCTGACCTCCGGTGATCCACCTGCCTTGGCCTCCCAAAGTGATGAGATTACAGGCATGAGCCACCATATCTGGCCGGTTTTTTTGTTTTTTAACTTTTATTTTAGGTTCAAAAGTACATACACAGGTTGGTTATGTTTTATAATTCTACTTTTTCATTGTCCTGATAATCAGAGATTATCATATGCTTACAGTGATGGCTAATGACTGCTACATGGCCATTTGCAAGCCCTTGTTATATGGTAGTAAAATGTCCAGATTTGTCTGCCTCTCTCTGGCTTCTGTTTCTTAAATATATGGCTTTGCAAACTATCTGGCACAGACCATCCGGATGCTTCTTCTGTCCTTCTGAGGATCCAATGAGATCAACCACTTTGACTGTGCGGACCCCCCTCTGTTAGTCCTCCCTTGCGCAGGTACCTGTGTCAAATAAATCATCATGTTGATGGAGCCACACTGTCTTTTGAAACCTGGATATATTTTATAGGAGATTAAACAAAAATGTTGGGATGGTAAGTTTCTAACTCAACATCCTTCCTTTGAGATGTGTCATGGAGGAAGCAGAAAGCATTGTCTTATTAGTGGCAATAATTCTTAGTTGCAACTATGAAGAATTTGCCCTGTGAACTTTCTCTGAATCATGTGCTCCCTATTGCTTGGGCATTCTTATTTTTCTAACTTGGACTGACTTTTACCAGAGGAGCATAAGACTTTAATTTGAATGCATCTTTTACTCACCACATTAATGTTTTTAGAATAATTGATTATTTCCCATCATTAGGGGAAATGGTGCCTACAAGACAACACAATGTTTACCCACCACCTGAAATACTTCCCTGGGCTGATTTTCTCCAGGCCTCTTTCTTTTTCTTTGGCTGAAGATTGAAATTCTTCCCTGATGAAAGGAATGGTCTCACTCCTATTGGTTCTGATTGATCATTTCTTCTTGTTGGAAGCACAGTATTCTTTCTTGTTCATCACTCCGTTGCCTTTGATTAATTTTATATTCTTGGTTAATTAAGTCATGAGGAGGGAAGCTAGTTTGAAAAGGAGGCTTTTTGGATGTGACATGCCAATATTCCCAGGACCACCCTCTGAAAAATCCACAAGTGGGGTCCTCATGGAATCTTTGCTCCTTCCCACTTAGCCCATACCCTGTGGCTAAAATGTACCCCAAAAGCTGAAAAATTGCTTCTCATTGGCCACCATCTCCAATAATTACTGTATTTTTAGTAACACCACAGTCTTGCAATGCCAAGCAGCCAGTGAATCTTAAAGGGAAATAATCATCTTGTAATTCAGACTGGTAGGAAGCAGTCATTTCTAATTACTTGTCATAAGAAAAGACAATGCAATTAAAGATTCTGGCTTAAAATAGAGCGTCCACACAGCCACTGCCTCTGTTGATTCATATTTTTGACTGTCTGAAAAGGCAAAGTCAGCCAGATTGACCACAGGTTTATCCAAATTGGCTTTTACCATGATGGAAGGCACCTTGAAGATGTCTTATATTTTCGGTGGGTATTATTATACAGGCTTGGAGAGCCAGTTATTCAAATCCAAGGTTCTTAGGGCTGAAAGGTTATTAAGGATTATTTTAGAATGAGATTTAGGCACACTACTAAATATGCAGTGGGTACTTAAGTATCTCAAGAGGCATATTTTTTGAGGGTTTATTAGGGTGAGTTGCTTAGAATACAAAGATAATTTGTGGCTCCATCCAAAAGACACTTTTTAGTCTTCATCTTACTTGATCTGCGTGGCAAAGACAATACTATGTGCTCACGAAGTTCTAATCACTTTTCTCTTCCTGAATGTACAAGGCCGCATTTTCTTGCCTCCCTTGTTGTTAGTTTGCAATCTGCTTCTGGCCAAATCCTTTAAGGGAAAGTGATGTGTGTCACTTTTGTGCCGAAACCTAGAAGCACATGTGTGAGCCCTCCTGCCTTCCCTCCCCCTGTCACTGTGGTTGTTGAGGTCTTATCTGCAGATGGAAGACACACAGGATGGAACCAGTCTGGACTCTTGGATCACTGCTCAGAGGTGAGTTTCCTCAGGGTCCTGCGACAGACTGAGTGTGAGGGGGGAAATCAACTTTTATTATAAAGCTGTTACCTGAAAGGGGACCTGAGCCAGATGCCAGAAGAAGGTTCTTGGACCTCACACAAGAAAGAATTCAAGGCAAATCCATAAAGTGAAAGCAAGTTTATTAAGAAAGTAAAGAAATGAAAGAATGGCTACTCCATAGGCAGAGCCAGTGGCATGGGCTGCTAGATTACTGCATCCTGTTTTATCAGCAGGGTCTTTGTGACCTGTATCTTGTGCCGACCTCCTTTCTCATCCCGTGACTAAGAATGCCTAACCTCCTGGGAATGCAGCTCAGTAGGTCTCAGCCTCATTTTACCCAGTTCCTATTCAAGATGGAGTTGCTGTGGTTTGAATGCCTCTGGCAAAGCCGCTGTGACTTTAGGGATTATTTTATTACTGCAGCATCACCTAACTTATTCTGACTCACAGTCTCTTTGGAGGCATCTGACTCTGCCAGTCTTCCTTGGATTATGCAACTCAAAGCTCTCCTGATATTCCTCCCATTCCTTTGACTTCATCTTCTCAGCCTCCCTTTGAGATTTCTTTTCCCCTTCCCAGTCTTTCAATATTGAAATTTCTTAGCTTTCTACTTTGGGCTCTCTTCTCCCATTCTGTGCTGTCTCCCTCTTTCAATGACCATCTGATGAGGACTCTTAAACGTGTATGTCTAGTCCAGTCTTCTCTCAAACGTACAGATCTCTATAAACATCTCCCCACCTATGGGATGTCTCAGGCTCAGTCCGTCCGAAATTCAACTTAAAAGCTCTTCTTCCCTCAAGCCTGCTTCTCTTCCAGTTTTTCTGTCCTCAGTGAATGGTATCATCATATGTTGTAGCATCTGCAGAGATGGCTTCAATGAATCACACCTCTACACGTTCATATCTTTGTTTAGACTCTCTCACATTGACTCTGCCTTGTCCTGTGACCCACTTTAACCGATAGAATGTGGTGGAAGTGACATGGTACTGGCAGCTTCTACTTTTGCACCTTGGGGAGACTTGAATTGCCATCTTAGATGTCCAGCTATCCTTCTGGAGAGACCCCATGGAGACAATGGGATGCGGAGTCTACATGGAAAGAAAGAAGAGGCCAAACTCTTTCAACATCCCAGCGGAGCCCAGTTTATCAGTTATCTGCACCAAGGCCCCCAGCATGTGAATGATGCTATCTTGGAAAGTCCAAGCCACCAACTAACTGCAAATACATGAGAAAGCATGAGCAAGATCAGCAGAAGAACCATCCAGCTCAGCAACATCCACTGCAGAATCATGAGAAATAATGAAACAATTTGTTTAGTCACTAAATGTTGCAGGGTTTGTTATGCAACAATAGATAAAAACCATATCCCCAGAAACCTGGAGATCATCTTTTCATTTTTCTCCTTCATCCTTCACATATAGTTCCCAGCCCCTTGGATTACACGTCCTAATCACTTCTTGAATACTACCCTTCTTTTGATAGTTTATACCATTGCCCAATCTAGATTACTATCATCTCTGTCTCTAATATTGGATCCCTCCTGCAGCTAGAGAGATCATCTACAATGCAAAGATGGTTATGACCTTTGCCAGCTGCTTAAAACCCTCTCGTGGATCTTATTGTTTTTAGGATAACATTCAATCTTCTTAATTTTCTTACAAATCTGTGCAGGCTTTGGCCTCTGCCTATCTTCCAGCCTTATTTTATGTTATTCTACACACTCTAAGCATCCTATGTTTAATTCAGTTTTTCCAGGGTGTCATGTTTCTTGAAATGACTTTTTGCTTTGGAATTTGTTCTTCCTATCCAAAATACCTTTCTCTGTTGTCACCCCTTTCCTTCCCTTCCTCCTTTTTCAAATTCCTACTCATACTCATCCTTCAGGTCTCAGTTTAAATCATTTCCTCATAGAAGGCTTCTTTCAAGGCTGGATTAATTGTACCTGCCAAGTGCTCCCATATTATTAATTAATTCTTTCATTAATCAAATTTTGATTGAGCATACACTCTAAGCCATACACTGTGCCATTCTTCCCATATAATATCACCCACCATGCTGCACTGTAATTATTTGGTTAGTTCTGTGTCAGGCCTGTAGGCTCTTCAAGGAAGAGTGCCATGTTTATCTCATTCCATTTTGTACCCCGGTGTCTAGCACATAATAGATGCTCAATAGATATTCACGAATGAATAAAAGTAAACTTAGTCATGATAGATGGTATAACTAGTGGAAGGAAATTATGATTCAATAGGTGCTGGGTTCTGATAAACATATCACTTAATATTTTATAAATTAAATATTTGGCAAGAGAAAAAAAGCTCATGGTTTGTTGGAGACAAACTACAATTTTCAGTGACAAATTAGAATCAAAACTGAAGTCCATCTGGTTTTCTGAAATCACAGTTATCAATAGATTGGAGGGCTATAGTAGAGACCATCAGCATTAAGCCAGCAGCTTTGAGTCCACACCATTGCAAACATCAGGCTATAAAGGAAGGTTAACCCCAAAGATTTACTAAATCATTTATTTCAAAGAGAGCACTGGAAGTGTCTGTGGACTCTGAAAAACAACTTGAATGCTACAAAGAGGTCCTACTAGAAATATCTTCAGCTATTCTAAAAGACCAAATATGACTAAAAAATGAATGATTTTCCAGGGTTCTCTGACCCAGTAATTGCAGTCACCCTTAGCAATGACTGCCCCTGGTTGACCACCATTAGGTAGCCTGGCAAGTGCTAGGGAGGCCAGTTTCCTTAAATAATCTGCAAAGAACTCAGATTATTGACTCCAGTTCTTGGCTCCATTTCAGGGAAATTTCCACATGAAACCCAAGGCAGCCACAAAAAGATATAGGGGCAGGTGTGTGGTTGCTCACACCTGTAATCACAGTGCTTTGGGAGGTTGAGGCAGGAGGATTGCTTGACTCCAGGTGTTTGAGACCAGCCTGGGCAATACAGCAAGACCCTGTCTCTAAAAAAAATTTAGCCATGCCCGGTGGTGCATGCCTGTAGTCCCAGCTACTTGGGAGGCTGAGGCAGGAGGATCGCTCAAGCCCAGAAGTTCAAGGCTGTGGTGAATTATGATTGTGCACTGCACTCCAGTCTGAGTGACAATAGTGAGAGTTGGTCTCTAAATAAAGAAAACAAGAACAAATAAAAAACAAAACAGAACTGCTTGAGTCTAATTCCTGATTCTCTCACTTACTAGCTGTGTAACCTTGGGTGACCTATTTCAGCTCTCTGCCTCAGGTTCTGCGTCTATAAAACGGAGATAAGAATAATGCTATCTTATTTTTAAAAAGGATATGGGGCAGACACATAGGCAAAGCCCCTTCCATGATAAACTACCTATTGGTGATCATCTGCAGCCATTCTTGTTAACATTATTGTTTCTGGCCAATGAGCTTCCTGCATTCATTACAAAGCCTATCTACTTTTAACCTTATTCCAGTTTTGTTTTCATATTAGGCATTTATGCAAGCTGTGCCAATCCTCTTTGAAAGTATGTTAGATGCAAATAAACATTTGAGATACAGTTATTTATCAAATTAAGATGCTGCAGTATATATGCCGGAAATTTTAGAGCTGTTTTCTCTGGGTGGTAGGAATATGTGTGAACTTTTATTTTTATGGTCCTGAAAAATGTTTTGCATCAAGAATTGTTTTACAAGAATTAACAACATAATAATTAGTAGAATGTTGAAGTGGAAGGGCTCTTAGCAATTATTCTGCCTAAGCCTGCCATCATACACTTGAGGGAGATAAGATCCAGAGAAGAAGTAATTTACCTAATCTCTGATGATACGTGCAAACATCAGCCACAAATGAGGTTTAGGTTCTTGTTTTCAATTAAATGCCAATGATAGTTCATATTCTCAAGAATAGGGTTTGGCTTTCTGGTTATATTGCTTTATATCTTTCCTTTACACCAAACAGACAAATTAGATCTTCACTGAAGATAAAAGTGTCTGACATCTACATTTGAACCGTAAGTTCTGTTGGGGTATTTGAATACAAGAGCTTGGGTTAGTATATTAGTTTGCCGGGGCTGCCATGACAAAGAACTACAAACTGGGTGGCTTAAACAGAAATTTATTATCTCACAGTTCTGAGGGCTAGAAGTCTGATATCAAGATGTTGACACTGTTGGTTCTTTCTGAGCTATGAGAAAGAACCTGCGATGTGCCCATACTCTAGCTTCCAGTGGTTTGCTGGCAATCCTTGGCATTCTTTGGCTCGTAGAAGTATCACCTCGATCTCTGCATCCATCTTTATATGTGTGCATATATCTGTGTCCAATGTGTGCATACATCCCTGTCAAAATGTACATCTCCCTGTTTGCATATATCTGTGTCCAAATTTCCCCTTTTTATGAAGACCACTAGTCACACTGGATTAGAGGGGCCCACTCTACTTCAGTAAGACCTCAGCTTAACTAACTATATCTGCAACAACCCTTTTTCCAAATAAGGTTGCTTTCTTAGGTACGGGGGATTGGGACTTCAACACATGAATTTGAGGGGAAGGAAGACACCACTCAACCCATAACAGTATCACACCAAAGGGGATATCATAGGGTGAATGGACTACAAACGCTCTTGGTGCCTGGTCTATTTCAAAGGAGGTCTGGACCAAGATACATATGAGGAGGCATACGTGGTTCTCAGGATGCCTGGAGGTCAGTTTCTCCTAGAGCAAACCCAAGCCCATGGTCACCTGGGAACCTTGTGGCAGCCATGCTTCAAGCCCACCCTACATTTTTTTTTTTTTGGCTTCTCTAATGAATAACTGTGTATCTGACTCCTCCAGCCTATAGGTGGTAGATAGTTCCCCTTTAGTGTGCTATTTTTTGGTGCCAGAGTGATGAACCAACTTAGATATTATTTTTGGTAAATAGGCAGGCCTACTATATCTAGACATTTAAAAAGTAAAATAACCATTATGCCAAAATGCGAAAACTCCAAATAGCAATAATCGATCCCTTCCCTGAGCCTTCATATTTCTAGGGAGTGGTCAACATTCAAGTCTGTGGCTTTGAAATTATTCAGAATAAATAGAAAGCTTGAGTTATAGAGTTTAACTACCAAGTTTTGTAAAAGCAGAAAGACTGGGAAGAGAATGAATAATTGTGTGCCAAAATTTGCTGAAATTACCTATTTTTCTTGATCATGCCATTCATCACTCTTATTTTGTAGCCAAGCATGAACTGCCTGCATTTAGCACTGGAGACATGTCCTTACTGTAAAGAGATGCACAAATAAGTCTTTTAAAATATGGTTAGAAAGTTTTAAATGCTTTAGCAGATGCCTTTGAAATACTGAGATTTATTCCTCCCGGCTGATTGAACATGATTCTGCTTGGAGTTTTTCCTTAAACCAGATAGTTTTGTTTCAGCATGAAACCAGCTTGGAGAAAATGGGTGATTCCAGGCACTAAACAGGAATTTGAGACATCCTCATCATGCTTTATGTAAGAGAATTAGCAGACGCTCATCTCAATGTGCCTTCAAAAGAGGAAACTAAGCAGACAGCCTTGTTAATTTAGCATATAGACTTGGAATACAGTACAACATCCATCATCTCATCAAAATTCAATTAAAATGTGGGTTACTGGCCAAAGAAAAGGAGCCAATTTTTTTTCCTTCTCTCTCTTTATTTATTTATTTTTCTTGAAGAAGAGTTCTTGGAACATCACTAAGCCCTTAATGGTTCTTTCATTATGGATGCCAATTTTGAAAGGGTAGTTTGAAGGTTTGAGTGGCCCCTTATGTTAAAAGTTAGAAATTCTGCCATCACGTGGTTGCTATTAATTTAAAGTGTGCTAGTGCTAGCAATGGTGGCCAGGTAAGAAGGTAATTTTAAGGTATTTCTCCTTATAGGGACTTTTGATCTAATTTAAAAACTCTTTGGATTCTACAGGATCTTCTCTTATCTGACGGGGAACGTGAACAGTGATTATCCACTTAGCCCAGATCCATTCTCTGATTTTTAAAAATGTGATTTGCTAACACATACCAGACTTCACATAGGGAGAAGGTAAGCCCACAGGTCCAGTAACAAGATTTGTGGTGTTAAATGCAATTGGGTCTCAAATTTTAAGCAGTTAAATGTCTTAATTTGTTCTTTTCTTCCCACCATAATATAATGAGGATAAACTTTGACACACAGCAGCTCTGCAAAGGGAAGATTTCTCCTTGTTCATTGTTTCTCAAATCAATCTTCTCTCCTGAAATTTGATTTTCGAAGTGCCTTACAGTCCTTAAGCCAGGTGGCTGCAATGAGTCCACTTGGAACATTCATAATCATCTGAAATAAAAGCACACTCTAGAAGCCAGATGCACTTAAGACAATCAAATGTGGTTAGTCACCAAGTAGAAATAACTCTTTTAACCTCTCTCTAACTGTGCCCTTTAGCCTACCGATTCTAGCACAGGTTGCCGAAGGGAATCACCTTGGTTTTGAAGTAAATAGTATGAATCTCTCTGGGTTAAGTACTTATGTGTCCTCTTATGCACAGCAATTCGTTTTTCTGATATTTTAGCCCAAATATTGTCAACTGAAGGCTTGTCTTGTGGCTGGGAGAAGGAAAACTATATTGTGTTTTCCAAAAGATCCATGAAAAGACTGCCTATAGAGGCTCTTTTCATCCAGGATTTAATATTTGAAAATTAAATATTATAGTATTTTTCATATCAGTTGGTCCCCCATCTCCAGGAAAGGTCAACTGAGGAAGTGATATAGTTTTTAAAAGTCAAAGAAATATAATACAATGTTAGATTTGTGGGGGGAACCATGAATTTGGATTTGACCACAATTGGCCACCTTTTGGTTTGTTTTTTTGTCTCTTAACAAAATTGTGCTGAGGCACAACTATTTCTCATTACTCAGTTAGCCCAAGGGGTAACTGGACTTAAATGTTTATGTAAGTCACATGTAAACTGAGAGGTGTTGACTTAAAAAGAGTTATCAAACTGCTTCCTCTTGTTTTTATTTCCTCCTAGATGGGAAAGTCAGGAGGTTGGTACTGGAGAACAATAAATAAGAAGAAAGGGTAAACGAATGCTATTAAATGTGGGAAAGTGTTACTAAGGAAAAACTACAAAACCAATGGAAACAATCTGAATGTGTGTCCCCTCCAAATCTCAGGTTGAAATATGATTGCCAGTGTTGGAATTGGGGTCCTGGTGGGAGGTGGTTAGATCATGGGGGCAGATCTCTCCTAAGTGGTTAAACACCATTTCCTTAGTGATACATGAGTCCTCGCTCAATTAGTTTGTGTGAGATCTGGTTGTTTAAGTGTCTGGGACCTCCCCCTCCCTCTTGCTCCCTCTCTGGCCACGTGACATGCTGGTTCCCTGTCGCCTACCGCCATGACTGGAAACTTCCTGAGGCCTTACCAGAAGCAGACACCAACACCAGGCTTCCTGTACAGCCTGCAGAACCATAAGCCAATTAAACCTCTTTTCTTTATAATTACCCAGCCTCAGATAACTCTTTATAGCAACATAAGAATGGCCTAACACACCAATTATATTCTCACATTGAAATAAACATAATAATATATATATATTGAAACCTCAAATCTAAGTACCACCCAGGATGGAATTAAAAGTATCTATGCTTATTTTAATGTGATTCTGTGGCAGAAACATAGCCTAATATTTCTGTCTCAATTGGGATACTTTCCATTGCAAGTGATGGAAAAACTGTCTGACATTGAATTCAGCAATAAGGAAATTTACAAGGTTTTATGAAACCATAGTGGTGTGAGTTCCAAAGGTGGTTAGTTTGGAGCTCAATAATGTCCTTGTGGACTCTGTTTCTTCCATCTTTTTATCTGCATCTGCTAGCTACAATGTGGGCTTCACCCTAAGGCTGGGCCCTTTAAAGTTACAGGATATCTGTCAGTACAGTTAGATCCATGTGCTTCCTCTTAATTATCCAGAAAAAAAAAAAGAATGCTTTCCTTAACTCTAACAAAAGTTCTGAGATTCCTGCTGATTGGAACATTGATTGGCTTAAACCTGGGTTACTTGAACCAATACTTATGGCAAGAGGGTGAGATTAATTTGCTGGATTACAGCAATCAGAGCCCAGCCCTGGAGCTGATGGAGGGGTTAATTCCATCTCAACAACTGCCATAGAATAAATGTTGGAAAGGCAACAGATTTACTGCTATAGATATTCTGGGAGAAAGGGAATTCAAGATTGCCTATCCTCGTGTTGTTTTTTATGACAGGCAGTAAATCATACAGTAGTAACTTTAGAGCTATTAGTAATCTCACTGTTTTTATTGAGCCCTTTTCTGACAGATACTAGAGAAGATGAGATTGTGAGGTTGTTCAATGGTCTCCTCATTCAGGTTACTCATACTTATCTTCTATGACTCACATAGATGTACGCTGATTGACATACCGGTTCAATTCAAAGCATCAAAAATAATTCTTAAATTCTATACAAGAGGATGAAGATCAATGATATTCAAACTGGGAACTACTGCAATTGTCTTACTAAGACTACCAAAATGGTTTATTAAATGGTTCACAAAAGCAAAAGATAGTTTCTTACCTTACTTTTTTTTTTTTTTTACAAAGATAAACTAAGAATTTAGATAAGGCTGATTTTTTCCTATTCAAAAGATTCTCAAAACAAAAAAATACAACGGCATATATTAAATACTCTCCTTTAAAAAAATGTTAAGTTCCGGGATACATGTGCAGAACGTGCAGGTTTGTTACATAGACAAAGGTGTGCCATTGTGGTTTGCTGCACCTATCAACCTGTCATCTAGGTTTTAAGCCCCACATGCATTAGGTATTTGTCCTAATGCTCTCCTTCCCCTTGCCCCCGACCCCTTGAGAGGCCCCAGTGTGTGTTGTTCCCCTCCTTGTGTTCATGTGTTCTCATTGTTCAGCTCCCACTTATAAGTGAGGACATGTGGTGTTTGGTTTTCTGTTCCCATGTTAGTTTGCTGAGGATTATGGCTTCTAGCTTCATCCATGTCCCTGCAAAGGACATGATCTCATTCCTTTTTTATGGCTGTATAGTATTCCATGGTGTATATGCACCACATTTTCTTTATCCAGAATACTCTTTTGATACACAAAACAAGATAATCCTTGAGACTAGAGTAGACTCTTGAGTCTAGAGAACCAGGGAGATCAGAATTCACGAGAGTTCCTTCACCACCTTTCTGAAATGTATTCTATTGTTTACTTCGTCTATTAGGGTAGACTGTCTGATGGCACTTTTTCAGTACTAACCCACTGGTAGTTGCCCGTTCTCTCAAATTCAGATTAAGGTGGATATGTGTTTTATAAAATGAGCTGAGGCCCACCAGCCCCATGGAAATATTTGCCCATGGTGCAGTGCCTGAGATTTTTGCATATGAGGTTTGACACTTTCCCTCCTGAGTGCTGAGGGAAGGTGAGAGAAAGAAAGTTAAATATGGAAACTACTTTTCTTCAATATTCTGTCTCTTGACTGCAATACAAGTCTTATTTGGGGGTATTATTATTCCATCACTGAAACCTAAGTGCTTGCACCATATTCTTGACAGTGTTCCTGATGAAAGCACTACTTTCCACTGGAAATTTCTTAGGAGAATTAGATCTTGAATAAAGAGGTCTAGTGAGTTTCAGCCATGTTTACTCTCAGCCATAGCTCCCTGGCCCTTAACTCACCTGATCCTCCACTTCCTGCTGTCATAGTTCCAGATGCAAGTCCCAACTGATTTTATTATTATTCTTAAATTTTTATCTTTGGAGACAGAGTCGTGCTCTGTTGCCCAGGCTAGAGTGTGATTTCGGCTCACTGCAACCTCTGCCTTCCGGGTTCACGCGATTCTCCTGCTTCAGCCTCCTGAATAGCTGGGGCTACAGGTGTGTGCCACCATGCCTGGCTAATTTTTTTATACTTTAGTAGAGATGGGGTCTTGCCATGTTGCCTAGGCTGGTCTTGAACTCCTGAGCTCAGCCAATCCGCCCACCTTGGCCTCCCAAAGTGCTAGAATTACAGGTGTGAGCCACTGTGCCCAGCTCCAACTGATTTTGTTACCATTCTTGTGACTGGCCATCAAGAATTTTAAAAAGGTCTAACAATTAAACAAAAACCAAAACAAAACAAAATAAAACATGTCTGCATGTTGGTAAGGTATTTGTGTGATTTCCCAAAGGTATTAATTGTCCAGTCAATGTTTCTCAGAGTGTGTACTGTGAAACCTAAGTGCTAGAAGATGTTGAGAAGAGTCTGGAATAGAGCTTCTTAATGAAATATAGTTAGACAAAGATGTTAGTTTAACAAATTTAAACAGGCTCCTGCAGAATTGTGTAGGCCTTTGCTATGCTTTCTATATCTCCAAGAAAAAGGACATGCAGTGCTTTTTACTCAGGTGTAAACATGGAATCCGTTTCTTGAAGAGCATTTCATACAACGCCCCTGAGGAACACACTTTGGAAAATGTTCATCCCTGTCCAACTACCATGTTTGCGTGAGTTTATGATCTGCCTGCCGTTCATCAGCCTTTGTTATCAGGTATCCCAGGATTCTATTCTGTGACCAAAAAAAAAAAAACTAAAAAAAAAAGGAAAAGCTTTGCCCTTTTCTTTTCAAGGAGTAATAGGATGGAATAAATACCCAAAAGCAAATTTTTCCAAGAATGTTAGGTCTAATTCAAAATCAAAAGCCTCTGATTCATCTTCATTGTTGTATTTCTGAGGGCAGAGGACATTTGCCATTAACCTCTAACTGGATCTTAAAGTCCCTTCTGCTATGTAAATACATTGAGGCCATAACAAACTTGGGAGTGGTAACACTGTGGTTTTAGACAACTGACGTCAGATTTTACTGAAGCACTTTTATGACTCACTCTTAAGATGAGGACAAATGCTACACACGTAAACTGCAAATGGAGATGAGGGTCTGGTATCAACTAGAAGTTCATGTTAAGACCTGTCTCTCCCCCATGGGAACAGAACTCTAATTATATATATTGAAAGGCAGCAGCTGAAAAGCTCACAGTCCACTCACAGAGCAGCAACATGGCCGTACAATAGCCAGGCTCTCCCAGGACTAAATACTCAAATAAATGTTCTCTTTATTCAAGCTTGGGCTACCATTTCATTGCAGAGTTTTGTTAATTCAACAAATTCTATGAAACTGTCTTATCTGGTATGGATGTAGAAGAAGGCTTTCCTTCCCTCTTTTGTAACGTTCTTATTTTTCCATATTATAAAAGCCATGTAGATGGTCAGTGTGGAGAAAACACTCAGAAGTGTTCAGATAAAAATTTTTAAAAATCTATAATTACACTAATCAGAAATAACTGCTGTCAGTATCTTGGCATATCTAATTCAATATTTTCTTTTCAGATTGGTACATATTTATTTTGCAGAGGTTCTGAGAATATTTGTAAATTCTTTGTGGCCCTAATGCTATAGGCTAGAATTTATTTCAGGGGCAGATTCCCTCTTTTCAGAAGAGTTACTCTGATAAGCATATCCAGTAATATTGATACAAGTTAAACAAGAGGTTTTTTTTCATACTGTAGCCCTGAATATTGGTAATGTAATTCCACAACCTCAACTTTTACTATATTGTTACTAGTCCTAATGCATGGTCATCCTAATAGAAACGGCTGTTTACCATATACACTAAAATATGTCCTATTTAAAATGCATGATCCTGTTTAATCCTCACAATAACACTATATGGTATGTTTTACTATTATCCCCATTTTGCAGATGAGGAAACCAAGACACAGAGAAGATAAACAACTTGCCTGAAGTCACAAATGGTAAGTGGTGGAGCTGGGATGTGAACCTGGACATCCCAACTCCAGAGTCTGTGCTCCTTCTTTAGACAGAGATGTTAATTGAGGTGTTTAGTAAGGTAAAGGCTGTCTTTGCTGTGGGCTGGCTGTAAAAATCATAGTTATATTTGCTGGCATTATTTGGATTCCTTTAGCATGTTTAAATACAAGGGTGCTCTCCTAGGGGTAGGGGTGGAGGAACGAGGGGAGGAGAGAGAGAATAAAAGGAAACTATAGTTGGGAAAAGTGTGCCTCTCAACGTGGCAGCGGGCCAGAGGCCAGGAGCTAAGGAGGAAGGATGGACATGACTCCCTGTGAACACACATGGCCAGTGGATTTTAAGAGCAATGATACATTAATTCCAATTTGATGTTTTCCTTTCTTGCCTTGTAATCTGGCTATGCTATCCTCAAGCCATATTTAAACTTATTAAACCATGAGAGGCCCCTGTTAGCTGGTCTCTGAAGAATAAAACAGTGGTGGGTTGTTTCCATGTTTGGGGCTTCGCTGGACTGAAAAGAGGGGGAATTGCATATGGAAGGAATGACGAAACAGGCAAAAGTGACTGAAGAAGAAGCCTGGGGCAGCTACTGAGCAAGAACTGTGGGAAACAAAAACCAGGGCACTCTGAAGATCAGACATAATTGCAGAAAGGGCCAGATTTCTTGTAGTCCTGTAGAATGGAGCATGGATTTATGCCTGGATATTATGGGAAGGCATGGCCCCATAAATCTTGAAAACTGCAGATGCTCGGGTTACATATATAATACAAAACATGAGACATAGTTTATATATATATAATATATACACATATATATATACACATATATACACATATATATATAAAATAGATTTGACTTATAAAACTTGAATCACGTGCATAGTTTGATATTATGGCTTTTTATTTATTTACTTATTTTGAGACAGGGTGTTTCTCTGTCACCCAGGCTGGAGTGCAGTGGTACGACCACAGCTCACTGCAACCTCTGCCTCCCAGGTTCAGATGATCCTTCCACTTCAGCCTCCCGAGTAGCTGGGACTACAGGCTCATGCCACCACAACCAGCTAATTTTTCTAGTTTTAGTAGAGATGGGGGTTTTGCCAGGTGGCCCAGGCTTGTCTTGAACTCCTGGGCTTAAGCGATCCTCCCACCTCAGCCTCCCAAAGTGCTGGGATTACAGATATGAGCCACTGTACCTGACCTCATGCCTTTTTTAAACATAGCATTTTATTGTGGGTACTTTAATAATTTAAAGTAAATGTTTTTGAAAATGGAATTTTTCAATGGCAGAATGTTATTATAAAGATATGCCATAATTTTCACAATGATTTCCCTATTGTTAGACATCTAGGATGTTTTCCAATTTTTTGCCTATGTAAATAACAATGAGACAAGGATATCTATTATCACCAATTACTGGATAGCTTAGCAATACAATATGACATGAAAAAAATGAGAACATAAAAAAAGACAAAGTAATCTTTTTTGTAGATGATGATGATTAACATAGAAAATTCAAGAGAAATGATAAACAATGTGTAGAACTAATAAAAGAGTCCAGCAAAGTTGCTGGGTCCATGATTAACATAAAGAAATCAGTAGTATTCTTGTATATGAGCAATACTAATTAGAAAAGTATAGTCTATAAATTCAATGTTCATCAAAATCCCAAGGCATTTTAGAATTTACAAGCTTATCCTAAAATGTGTATGAAAGAGTAAAGAGCCAAAAATAGCTAAGATAATTTTGAGAAAGGAAGTTTGCTGTTCTGGACAGCAAGACTTAATATAAAAATATAGTAATTAAAATAGTGTCATAATAGTGTAGACATATATGAATATATTAATGAAATGGAATAAATTCCCAGAAACAGACTCTTAGATATATGCAAATCAGTATCCCACAGGAGTGATATTACAAATCAACAGGGAAAGGATGGGTTTTTAAGGGGTTCTGGGAAAATCGACTATCCAAAGAGGAAAAACATTAGATCCCTACATCACTTGATAAAGATCCAAATGTCAAATTCAAAACTTTAAGAATTTTAAGAGTATGTAGCAGGATACCTTTATGCAAGCAATTGATAAAAGATTGGGATCTAGAATATTTACACAACCCCTATAAAGCTGTATGAATAATAAAGCCATTTGGTTGGGTGTGGTGGCTCCCAATATTTTGAGAGGATGAGGCAGGTGGATCACCTGAGGTCAGGAGTTGGAGACCAGCCTGGCCAACATGGTGAAACCCTCTCTCTACTAAAAATACAAAAAATGATCTGGCATGGTGGTGCATGCCTGTAATCCCAGATACTGGGGAGGTTGAGGCAGGAGAATTGCTTGAATCCCAGAGGCGGAGGCTGCAGTAAGCTGAGATGGCACCACTGCACTCCAGCCTGGGTGACAGAGCAAGACCCTGTCTCAAATAATAATAATAATAATAATAATAATAATAATAATAATAATAATAATAAGAAAGCCATTCAATAGGAAAATTGGCAAATGAAATGAACAGGTAATTAACAGAAGTGGAAATTGGTCCATTTGTGTGTCCAGAAGTCCAATAGAGATATGAAAATATGCCCATTTCAGCCTCACCATTAGTCAGGAGAACATAAATTTAAGCAATGCCTTCCATCAGAAAGGCAAAAAAAATTAAGAAACCAGAGATACCAACTTTTGAGTATGATGTGGGGAAATAGGATCTTCTATGCTTTGTTAAACTATTTGGAGCAATCACTTTGGAAAGCAGTTTGTCAATATTTAGTAGGGCTGAAGGTACTCATAACAAAACAAAACTTACGAATAAATGTGAAAACATAAAAAGGCAATGAAGTTGATAGCCCCTGTCTATCCTCCTTGATAGGGATCCCCTTCCTCCTGCACCAAATCCTGGATTTTGTTTGTGTTAATCTTTTGTTTTGATTTGCTCTTTTATTGTTATATCAGGTAATCCCAGAGACTATAATGCTTAGTTTTCTATTGTCTTTGAGCTTCATAGCAATGATGTTGTACTGTATGTAATTATGGGTGCCTTGCTATTTTAACCTTATATTTTCTGAGATTCACCTAAATATATGTGTATACTCTGCAGTTCACTCATTTTTCACTACTAAAATAGAATACCATAATATCCAAACGGTGCTGTGAAGGACTTTCTTGAACACGTCTCCCAGGGCACGTGGGTGAGAGTTTTCTTGAGCTTCTCTAGCGTTTAGGTTAAGGTATTTATGTTCTAGAAGTGAAATTGCTATGTCAAGGGGTATGAGCTTCATCAGCTTCACTAGATAATACAGAATTGTCTACCAATACACATTCTTTTTTTTTCTTTTTTTCCTTCTACTTTTAAGTCAGGGGAACATGTGCAGGATGTGCAGGTTTGTTACACAGGTAAATGTGTGCCATGGTGGTTTGCTGCACAGATCGTCCTTTCACCTAGGTATTAAGCCCAGCATCTGCAAGCTATTCTTCCTACTCTCCCTCTCCCCACAGGCCCCAGTATGTGGTATTCTCCTCCCTGTGTCTATGTGTTCTCATTGTTCAGCTTCCACTTATAAGTGAGAACATGCGGTGTTTGGTTTTCTGTTCCTGCGTTAGTTTGCTGAGGATAGCAGCTTCCAGCTCCATCCATGTCCCTGCAAAGGACATGATCTCATTCCTTTTTATGGCTGCATAGTATTCCATGGTGTGTATGTACCACATTTTCTTTATCCAGTCTATCACTGATGGGCATTTGGGTTGATTCCATGTCTTTGCTATTGTAAAAAGTGCTGCAGTGAACATATGTGTGCTTGTATCTTTATAACAGAATAATTAATATCCCTTTGGGTATATACCCAGTAATGGGATTGCTGGGTCAAATGGTATTTCTGCATCTAGATCTTTGAGGAATTGCCACACTGTCTTCCACAATGATTGAACTAGTTTACACTCCCACCAATAGTGTAAAACATTCCTTTTTCTCTGCAACCTCGGCATCATTTGTTTTTGACTTTTTAATAATCGCCATTCTGACTGGCATGATATACTGTCTCACTGTTTTACCAATATACGTTCTTATCAGTAGTGTATGAGTTCCTATTGTTCCACATCCTCACTAACACTTGGTCTTATCAAAACTTTAAATTTCTATCAGCTTGGCTTGTATAAAATGGTATCTCATAACGGCTTAAACTTATATTTCCTCCCTAAAAATATGGAATATATTTGTGTGTTTTGCTATTCATGTTTTCTATGAAATGCCCATCATGTCTTTTGTTGTTTTCTGTTGATCTGTTTGTATTTTTCTTATTGATGTTCTGGAGTTACTTATATATTTTGGATACTAATTGATTTATGTGCAACCAATCTCTTGGGTTGTAGCTTTTTAAAAACTTTCTTTTCACCATATAGAAGTTCTTAATTCTTAACAAAGTTAAATAATTTTCTGTTTTTGGGGAGATAGGAGGAGTCTTGTCTTACTGTTTTTGTTTGTTTGTTTTGTAGAGACAGGGGTTTCCTTTATTGTCCAGGCTGGTCTCGAACTCCTGGGCTCAAGTGATACTCCTGCTTCATGCCTCCCAAAGTGCTGGGATTATAGGTGTGAGCCACCAGGGCCAGCCATCAATCTTACTGTTGTTTTAATTTGCATTTCTATATCTCTAGTATGGTTGAAAATTTTTTGGTATTTATTGGCCATTATATTTCTCTGTGAGTCTATGTACATTTCCTATTGATTAGTAAAAAGCTTTCATAGTTTATGGCTATTAGCTCTTTGTTATATTTGTTGGAAATATTTTCCCCAGCTTTTTATTATTTTTAAAATTTGCCTTCAATTCTCTTTATTGAGTATGTATTTAAACATATTTAAGCCTATCTTTTCTTTTCCTGCACTTAACACGTTACTCTACCTGAATTAATTTTATTGTAAACAAATGATGTTAATCAACTATCCCTCCTCTGGTCATTGAAACACTATTATTATACACTAAAGTTTTTATGTTTATTTGGATTTGTATATCATATTCATTGCTGTGACAGTTACAATCAGTTTATCAATTAGTTTATCAATTCTTGCCCGAGATAGGTACTTTATTATCTTTACAGTAAATTTTACTGTTGGGCAAGGCAAATTCCAGTAAATTTTACTGTTGGGCAAGGCAAATTCCTTTGATTATTCCTTTTTTTTTTTAAAAACACATCTCAGAAAGGCATTCTCCAAGTCTAATCAATGATTCCATGTTTCCCAGAATGTTATCATATCAACAAGATGAAGTTTCTCGATTTTCAAGGTATTAGACAATCACAGATTTTCACGGATTCAGGAGGAAGTGTTCAATACTCCAGGGTCAGACGTTGGGTTAGTCATTAATTCCATAGCAAAGGAGCATGAGTGTAGTGCTTGAGAAAATGTTGGACAGATGCTCCCTATAGCTCTGTAGAGTCATCCTCAGCCAGCCAAGGTGTTTTCTAAGACCACAGGACCTGCTGAAATAATTCTCTATCTACCTGGTGAATAATAAAGAACACAAGCTATCACAGACAATGCCATTATTCCTGCTAAAAACTGAAAACACTTTCATTCATGGATCAATGGATCTATTTGAGTGAAATAATATTGTGATATGGGAACCAATGTGGGGTGCCATCAGAATCCTTTCTCCATCGGGATGGTTAGAAAGAGACCCTCCCTTTGTTCAGGTCTGGGCTGAGTTTGAGTTTGAGGTTTGGCTATGAAGCAAAAGTTGAGTGGGACAATGTGTTATCTATTAGGCAGCACTAGTTTTTCCTTGACTCTGGAAATTAGACTTTGGGAGGGAACAGGAGGTTTTGGAGATGGTATGTGTTAGGGAGAGGTCAGTGGGCTCTGGTCAGGGGTGTGGTTGGCACAGACAGACTCCTCAGCCTCTACTGCAGCAACCACCAAGGTGCCCAAAGCCTTGCCACAAAGGAAAGCTCCACTTTTCTTTCCAGAGTAAAAAAATCAAATCACAAGAGGAAAAAAACAAAAATACTGCTGTGGTTCGGATATTTGTCCCCTCCAAACCTTATGTTAAAATTTGTTCCTCAGTGTTGGAGGTGGGGCCTAACGGGAGGTGTTTAGGTCATGGGGGTGGATCCCTCATGAATAGATTAAAGCTCCTACTCAAGGGTGAGTGAGTTCTCGCTCTATCAGTTTCAATAAGAGCTGGTTGTTAGAGCCAGCCTGGCATCCCCACTCCCACCCGCTCTTCTTGCTTCCTCTCTCACCATGTGATCTCTGCATGTGCCAGCTCCCCTTCACCTTCTGCTATGAGTGGAAGCCACCTGCAGCCCTCATCAGATGCAGATGCCCAATCTTGAACTTTTACAGACAGCAGAATCATTAGCCAATACTTTATTTATAAATTACCCAGTCTCAGGCATTCTTATAGCAACACAAAAGGGACTAAGACAAACAGTCCATTGAGTATTTGTTTATATGCGTAAATTTACTATAAAAAGAGTGTTCTAGTCTCTGTTTGGGTGCAGATGAAATCCTACCAAGGTCTAGCTATGGTCAAAGGTCCTCCTAGTTGGTCTGGAATAAGATCCCAGACACAGGCACCAGGAACAGTTGGATAGGAAATTATCCTGATCCACCCTGACTGGGGACAGAGGGTGAAATACACAATTATGTAAAATCTTATACTCATCCAGAATAAGCCACTTATCCCTCTCATACTTCAGTTTCTCACCTGTAAAATGAGAAGGCATACATCTATGTTCTCACATGCCAGAAATACTATTTGATAAGTAAAACAATACTTGCAAAAGCGCATTTGGTAAAATGATGCCAAACAAATTTAGGAAAAATTCTAGTCTGTCTATTTGCACACTTTTCTGTCCTTTTGAGTCACTCAGAAGCATGAACGTAACCATTAAGGGGAAGGGCACAGTTGGGCAAAACACTGAACACGGGCATTTGTGAAATAGTAATGTTTGATGACAATGCACAAATACTACTATCTGAAAGTGTTATGAATCATAACAATATCACCTGATGATTAATGGCTCTATTGGCTTCTTTCTCTGTGTGACCCAAGACACTCTGAAAAGCAAATATTTTGCATGGCCATTTCTTGATATATTTTTCAAATAAAATGATCCACAGCAGAGCAAATTAGTAGCAGTTGATAGAAAAGCAAAGAGGAGACTGAGCTATAGGTTGGAAATTAGTGGCCTCAGAACAAAATTGGACTTGCATATATATTTTGCTGAACCCCGCAATTTTGGATAGCACTGTGTTGGAAAATGTTTTAAACTGTCAATATTTAAAAACTGGAGATTTCACATAAAACAACTGATGAAGCCAAGTAGCTGCCTCTTTCTTTAGACAGAACTGTTCTTTTTTTTCCAGTTTGCCATACTCCACACTGCTCTCTATTGTCCTCTTCTGGTTCTCATTTACAATGCCTAACTGGTCATTTGGTTTGTAACCCCTCTAGTCATTTGAGTTGTAACCACTACCTTACATAATGCCAAAGAATGGGGAAAGGAGCCTTGATTTGGACTCTAAAAGGAGTCCTTAGATCTTGAAGAAAGTCCACGGAAAGAAAGCTAGTTCAACAACCTTGAGGCAAAATGTTTGTTTTTGAATAAAGATATTTTTCATAGACCTCATATTAGAGTAATAGTCTTTGTTTTGAAATGCATCCTAGTTCAATGGGCTTTCATTTAAATAACAATGAAAATATTAAGTTCACCTGATAGCTACTAAAACTCTCTTATGAGAAGAATCCACTTTTCCATGCAAACAGCAGCAACTACTAACCGTCCACCAAACTTTGCAAAAAGAAGACAATGCGTGGTGGCAATTAGAATATCACATCTTGGCCGGGTGCGGTGGCTCACGCCTGTAATCCCAACACTTTGGGAGGCTGAGGCAGGTGGATCACCTGAGGTCAGGAGTTCGAGATCAGCCTGGCCAACATGATGAAACCTCATTTCTCCTAAAAATACAAAAAATTAGCTGGGCATGGTGGCGGCCGGCTGTAATCTCAGCTACTCGGGAGGCTGAGGCAGGAGAATTGCTTGAACCTGGGAGGCGGAGGTTGCAGCGAGCTGAGATCACGCCACTGTACTCCAGCCTGGGCAACAAGAGCAAAACTTCATCAAAAAAAAAAAAAAAAGTATCACATGTTAAAACAATTGAAAATTTCAGGGGATTTGCTTAGTATTGCCACCACCTTCAAATTTGGAACAGAGTGCAAGGCAGAATACGTGTATACTTCAGAGAGCCAACAGTGTCAGCAGGATGCTACTGATTCACAGCAGATTCCCTGGCTCCACACCTGAGGAAAAGGCCCTTAGTAAACACACCTTACATATATAATAAGTGGGGAACATTGGGGTAGTGCTGGGGAAAGTGGCAGAATACAGGGACTTCAAAAAGTTTGCCTTGGCTGGGTGCGGTAGCTCATGCCTGTAATCCCAGCACTTTGAGAGATGGACGCGGGTGGACTGCTTGAGCCCAGGAGTTCAAGACCAGCGTGGGCAACATGGAGAAACCCGTCTCTAGTGAAAATACAAAAAACTAGCTGGGTGTGGTGGCACATGCCTGTAATCCCAGCTACTTGGGAAGCTGAAGTGGGAGAATCACCTGAGCCCAGGAGGTCGAGGCTGCAGTGAGCTGAGATTGCACCACTGCACTCCATTCTGGGCAACAGAGTGAGACCCTGTCTCAAAAAAAAAAAAAGAAAAAGAAAAAAAAAGTTTGCCTTGCTTTTTGTCTAGCCAGTGCTGCAAGCTGACCATCATTTGGTTGTTTCAGACGAGTTTCACTGGCATTTGCATGGCCTCTGCTGGTTATTGTGTGTCTCATCTCCAGGAGCTTAAACCCTTCTATAGAAGGCAATTCCTCAGTGACCCCTAAACCAGCCAGTAAGTTTGGTTTGCCTTCAATAGTTGACCTCAACTATGCATCAATAGGTACATGCAAACATCCAGCACTGCCATCATCTGTCTATGTAACCCTGGACCAAAAGCTACAAGAGAAAGCTTGAGTCTCTCTTCCCCATGTAAGAAAACCAACTGCCACCCCTCCAAAAATAATTAATGGAATACAAAGTTGATTTGAGTATTTTATTTATAAATGTACATTTACTATAAAAGCTGTTGCATTTTAGACAACTTGTTGTTTTTATTTTTTACTGTTTCTCAGAGGCATTTTAGAATAAATACTTTAAATGAAAGTTAGTATAACCGATATAGAACACTGGCCCACCCAGAGCAGTAACATCTTTTGGACGGACTCACATATGAGGTGGATCATTTCAGTTTGTTAAATCTTACACTGTGTATAGATAACTATAATATGTATTGCATTAATCACACTACATAGAAAGGAAATGTCATGGAAGTTCGCTAGTGAAAAACAAAAAGTTACCCATTATTTTTATTAAAGAGTAGGGACTAGCTTTTGGAGTATGAGAAAAAAAATCAGATATACTTCCTCAGGAACAATAAATCACTCACTTGCCTCACCTGTTTTTTAAACAAACACATTTACATTATAGCTCAATGGAGCAGAGCATTTTTTTTTTCCTGGGATCTCAAAGATTATTTGAAAAGAAATAGATCATACTCATTATGCTGCATTGGAAAAAACAAGATCTAGTCTGCCTAAGCTGCCATGTAACAGACTCCAAATGAAATATAAATCAAATATAAATAGAAACAGTTGGCAATTAGAATTTAGAAAATGTTGGAGATTATTCTGTGCTGGTGACTAGTGTTCATTATGGGAAAGCACATTTTGCAGTTGGAGAATGGGGCTTTATTTTTCTTGACTCGATTCTAGCTTCAATACATGTACAATGAGCCTCACTAAGAAATATGTATAAATGGGTTTGTGAAACCAGAAGGGAATGTGCAATATTCATGTAATCCTTACATAACGGATGGAGTTGCACATGTAAAAAGTATTCTATAAAAATCGGTTATGAATGACCATATTGTACATGTTTGTGCATTACTAGTGGTACTCTGCTAATATCATGCAAAGTGTAAACATCCACATTATCAAAATATTTAATAAAACATGCAGGTGGATAATCAAAATATTGGACTTGATCTGTACATTTTCAAAACAATTTTTCTTTTTAATTTTTTCTTTTTTTCTTTTTTTATTTTTATTTTTTCCTGTAAAACAGCAAACACCTCCATGAGAAGTCTTGGAAACTTGGAAGTGACTTCATCTCTCTTCAATGTACTGCATCCATAATTTATCGCCATGTGCAACAGCTTTGCGTTTTCTAAGGCACAATTTTTAATGAAATGATGTGTAGATTTCAATCTAATAACAGCTCATCCAAATGACAAATATGGTCGAAATCCCTCCAGTGGCTGAGGAAATTTCTGCACCTATATGGAACCCACATGCAAAGAACCCATCTAGCATGTAATAAATAATCGCTAGCCATACTCAATAAGACACGGAAAAATTATTGCTTACATAACAGAAAAACATCTACTTGACCCCCTTTTATGACTACATCAATCTATTAGGAGTGTATCCATAGTCTACATTCACAAAATGTCATCTTGACTTATTTGCCATTGATTTAAGGCAGAATAAATAGTCCCCCTTTCCCCAGTCTTAACAACAAAAAACAAAAAACCAGCCTGGAGATCTACATTGTGATGCTTTTTAATAACTTGACTCCTTTCTTGGCCAGCTGAAACTCGTCGCACAGGGCAGAAAATAAACCAGCTCTCCACAAGAGTTCCTCTCTAAACTTCTCCATGGGCAAGGTCCGGAGTTCTTGATAGCAAAAAAAGTGATGGAGAATGGAGGAGAGTAGGTATTCATTGAAGTGGGCAGGGCATAATCTGTGCTGTAGGTTCTTGCTGATCACAGACCAGGGGCTGACCACATCATATACCACATAGATTCTATTAAGATGGACTTAACGCTTTTCTTTGGACACCTGTGCTTCAGGCCCTTAAGGAGAACTTGCCAGCAAGGGTGAGCAGTGCTCACACCTAATGATGAACTTATCTCGGTGCCTCATCTTCCATATACCTCATGTTAAGTCTCTTATTGAAGACTCCTAATCTAGTGCCTCGAGAGAAGCAGGCAACAGAGGCCTGATGTCTGACATTGACTCTTTGGAAGATTAAACTTCCTCACAGATTTTGATAATGACTTTGGAAATGATGACTGAAATATTTCCCTCTGCTTTCTTCCTACCTTTGGGCAACGTCCCGGAGTGTAAATCTAGCTGATATTGCAAGGTTTTGCTTTATTTGATGAACCAGCCTATATTAATGACATAACTTCCAAGGTACACAGAATCTAATACTAACGGTGCAATAATTTATTGGTATAATTTCTACCTCCAAAGGTAAGTAACACAAATGTTTCAGGATTACAGTATATATTATCAAACTAGTGTCTTTGCATTAAAAACAAATTATAGCTCAGAGATAGAGCTTGCTGTGATGTTTAGTTTCTGAAATGCATTAAATTTATCCTTCAGTCTTAGAAGACCGTGTGTCTCAAATTGGCATGTCTTGCACTTTCTGCAGCTCAATTCTGTAAACATAAAGTGTTTAATTCCTAGACATTCTAAAACAAAACAGGTTTATTGCATCATTTAGCTAATTCCCAAAGAAGAGAATAACACATTTTAAACCATAAGCCTGTTTGACCATGCTAAAACCTTTTTTGAGCTATTCAGGATCATTACAACCCCATATTCTTTTGTGTATACTGTGCAAATGCAAAAAAAAAAAAAAAACCAAAACAATAAACAGGAAAAACATAAACACTGTGCTACGAAAGAACAGATACCACCTTTCAGAAGAGCCTTTCAGAAATTAGGTAAATGCTGAGAAGCCCCTGAGCTTGGGATTTTGTTAAGCAGTTGCCAGGGGACACTCTCAGTAAAGAAATGGTGAGTGATCCGGAAGCTTGAAAGCCGTGTCACAATGTTGTAGGCTGCCCGGCACCTGTGATTAAAACAAACAACAACAAACAAGAGTGGTAGGCAACATTTCTCGCTTCAGACATTTTAAAACCTCCCTAATGAGCAACTGCCTTTACCAAAGTCTCCTCTTCCTGGGGACCAGAAACTTCTCCCATCCTGCTACTTGAAGTGTGGCCCCAGGACAAGTAGTACTGGCATCACCTGGAGTCTGTTTGAAATCCGGGCTCTTAAGCCGCATTCCAGACCCACTTAACGTGGTGCCCAGGTGATTCACATGCACTGTGAAGTTTGATCAAATGCTCTGGATTGCCCCTAAACCAAAGCATCTCCATCAAGTTTTCTACCTTGTCCTCTGGGGCAAATAAGCAAGAAAATAATCTCTTTTCTCTCAGTTTCCTTAGGTTTTGATTTCTCTAAGAATAAGTACATTGTAATATGAGGAATTTGACATATGATCTAGAAATTAGATTGCTAGATTCAGCAAGTATAAATACGCAATACCCAGTACAGTATAATTTCAGATAAACGACACAGAATTTTTCAGTATAAGCATATCCATATGATATTTGGGACATACTTATGTTAAATCCAGAGCATGCAATATTTGGGACATACACAGACTTAAAAAATGTATTGTTTATGTGAAATTCAACTTTAACTTGGTTTAAAAAAATTCCACTAGGTATCTTATATTTTATCTGGTAAACCTATCTAGAAAGGATTGTTTGGGTTCCATATTTTCTGCTGAAACCTTCACAGGATTTCTCCTTTTTAGGCACTACAGTTGTGATGAGGCAATTGCAACATTTGAAAAGACCCCAGGGAGTTTGCATTAAATGCGTTTCACAAGAGTGAATGATGGAACAGAACACCATGTACAAAGACACAGTCATCCAACACCCAAGCACAAATGGCACAAGTTAAACATGTGACGGCTTGATGTATGACAGGTAATTTGTTTTGCACGTCCATTTCCATTTACATATGAACTTAAAAACTGTTTACATTGCTTTTAGGAGTTGCATTTTAATATGCTGGTATGCTATTTTTCCCTTCAAGAGAAAAATTTCATTTAAATGTGACTAGTTACTTGGAGAAAATAGGATTATATATTCAGGTTTTATTATTCCACAAAATGAAATTATTTTGTTTCACTTAGAATGCCTATGACGTAAACCACCCTTCACATCTATCCATCTCCACTCTTCTCAATTTAAATCAAATTTTAAAAAAGAAAGAAAAATGGTTTTTAGCCTTTTTTTTTCCCATTCTGACTCTTTTATTGCATCTTGGATATATTTGACCAATACAAGCATATTTATACTTCTCAATCCAAATTATAATCCCCTCTACCTATTCATTCCTAAGGTATATTTATTTCTTAGGACATCAGCAAAGAATTAAACAGTATTCTCAGATGTGCTGGTCATTCTCTCTGTCATGAGTTAACTTAATTGAAATTAGCCTAAAGATATTAATGTTATCTGGAAAAATGAACATGGGAGAAGAGTTAGGAAAATTTTGGAAAAAAATAATTGGAAAGAAGGTGACCCTTATTACCCAATATTAAAACATATTATGAAGCTACAATAATTAAAAACATTCAGTAATGGAGAATAAATAGGTTAATAAAACATAATAAAATATCCAGAAATAGACCTAAATATATATGGGAACTTAGTTTATGAGAAAGCTGGCATTTCAAATTAGTGAGAAAAAGAGGGGTTATTCATTCAGTGATATTCATACAAGTGGCTAACTGGAAAAAAAATCAGGCCAGATAGCTACCTCATTTTTTACCCCCAAATACAATCCTGCTTATGACATATTTACATGTGAAGGAGAAAAAAAAAAACAATTCTAGAAGAAATCTCAGCTAAATTTATTTATACACTTTAAATGAGAGTTTTCCTAAGAAACCTATAATCCAAAAAAGAAACATATATTTCTTTTATATGTATTAAATATATATATTTAATTACATAAAATGAAAATCTTTTGTATGAAAATAAATCACAGAGTGGGAAAACTAATAACCACAATATGCGGCAAATATAACAAATGGCAAATTTCTTTAATTTGCAAAGAACTCATACAAATCAGGTGCCAAATAGAAGAATGGGCAAAGGCTAGGGAAGCACTTTACAGAAAAGGAAATATAAATAGTGAGTAAACATATGAAAAGATGTTCAAACCCATAATTATGGAAATACAGATCAAAGCAATGAGATTTTTTCCCCCACCAAGCAGAGTGGAAATTTTTAATGTTTGATGATATCCAGAGCTGATACAGGCTTGGAGGAAATAAAGGGGGTCTCTCATACATTTTGCAGGGAGAGTGCACTTTTCTGAATGATAATTAAGCAAGATGTCTGAAAATTTAAAAAGCACATGCCTTTTACGTCACCTGTGCTACTGCTCAGAATCTATCCTATGGAGATGCTCTGAAATATTCACCAAGATATATGCACAAGGATGTTCATTTAAAAATAATATTAAAAAATGGGAAACCACCAAAGTGTCCATTCATAGAGAATTAGTTTTAAATTATAAGTCCACACAATGGGATTGTATGCCGCTATTTAAAAGTCATTAAAAAGAAAAAGGAGACACAACATGTTATCTGGAAAAGTTACCAAGATATATCATTAAGTTCAAAATGACAGCAACAAAAACCAAGTACAGAACACCATGACTATATGATCATCACCTATGTGAAATAAAAACCAACACAAATCCAGGTAGATACATCATACTTATATGTATCTCTGTGTGTACATGTGTGCAAGTGTGTGCATACACATGTACAAACATATATTCTGCCCCTACCCCAAGAAATTATTGGAAGGTGATTACAATGGAGATCTGCCCTTTTAATGTGGTGTCTTTCTGAACAATTCAATTTTTCTAACATTATAGCATCTGTAACTTTTATTTATTCATTGAATGTCTATAGAAGCAGAGAAAACAATGGGCCTTGTTTTCTATGGTAAATCCTGGTAAAACACTGCATTTCACATATAAAATAAAGAAAAAATCATTTTTGTGGCCTACCTCCAAATCACTTTCTTATTTTTCAGCTGATTACAGGAACTCCATGGTTTTGAAATTAAAAGCAGTTAATGCCCTTTATATTTGTATATTTAAGAGAAAAATTCCTGGTCTTGAATTAAAAAGCTAATTTCCAAAAGAAATGACAAAGAATCACCCAACCTCTCAATTTAAAAAAATCTAGATGAAAAGAGGTCACTGTCACCCAGAGGGGGGTTCAGGTTGTTCTGTTGGCATCCTTCAAGCACTTTAAATTATTAAACAAACTCAGATCTACAGCACTTTTCAAATCTTTCTGAGCAGTCCTTCAACCTAACAGTGCCCTCTTCTGGTTCCATAAATTACATTCACTGTGGTTCACTGAGGTAGAGAAAAAGAATAATTTATAGAAGACGATAGGAAAATTCGCATTGAAATCTGGGAGAAAAGAGTTGTTTTCCTTGTTAGCATATAAAAGCAAAAGTCCAGTTTAAATAAAATGTATATAATTATTACCTATTATACATGTACTATATATGTTAATTTGTGTGTATATATTTATGATATATGGTATACTATTTATATAATTTAATATATAAAATACATAGTATAAAAACTAATATCATGCATGATCTAAATAGTCCAGTTTGATAGCAGCGGCTCTAAGTTGGAACTGTTTTGATCTCAAGTCAAATATTTATTATAAATCTAAACTACCTGGGTTTGATTAAATTTTTATTTCCCATTTTATTAATAGGCATATTTAACTGAATTTACTAAATCTATAGCTATAAAACAAATTACCTTCAATTTTTATTCTCAAAGTTTTCAGTCTTGCAGAGATTTGAGATCCATGTAAAAAGGCAGTAAAAACGTGACTTCACTTTGAGAAATAGTCATTCTTGAATTTCACACTCCCTATCTTCACTCCAATTTTTTAAAAGAGTTTCTGACTGATGAATCTGCACTAAAAGGTCTTCTGCTGTCTAGGTGACCCACCAGAAGGACTGTACTCATGATGGAGAATGAGGAAACATTCCGAGGCAAGCCACTGGCCATTTTCAGATTTTCTAAACAGCGGCTAGGCAACAGCACCCCCTGCTGCCCCGCAAACTAACATGCACCTTCCACAGTAGGAGGCCCGGATGCAAGACGGGAAAGCAAGCAGGCTTCTCACTTACTAAGGCAGCAAATAATTTGTTAAGCGCATATTGTTACTAAGATATTGTAGAGGTGGGAGGTGGGGAAGAATCCACAGAGAAGTGGAACCCTCATTGTTGTCTCTCAAGGAACTTTCCATTCAGTTGGGAACACATATGACGTAATGAAACTCCTGAATGTAGGGCGTGGAGACATTGATGAGTTGGTGCTCGATCTGAGAAACAGTGGAGAGCCGCTCTCCACATTTAACCATCCCCAAATGGTGCCAGTCGTCTAAAGACATGCCTGAACAAGTGACAGTGTTTGACAGACCTTATATCTCCTTTCTATCACACCAAAATCTCTGTAGTGAGCTCAGGCAATGTTTTGACCTGCTGGTGTGCTGATGCACTTCAGGATAAAAAGAATTGGTCCACATTGTAGCAATAACTTCCAGGAAGAAACGAGTGGTAAATATCTTTTCTTTTTTAACCTAGATGTTAAGAAACCTTTCTCTCAGATTAGAGTGTCAACGGCTGGGGAAAAATATTTGAATTCCTAAATTGGGTCCTATGGAAGACATACGATTACACTCGGTCATCATGAGGCATTCTCCCCAGTACTTACTTCTGGATCGCATGTAGCAATCATTACAGTTCAGGAGACCATTTCGAATCCTAACATCCGTCCCACTCACTGCATCTCCAAGCTGGCCTTTACAAATTCCACACTATAGGGTAAAAAGAACAGACATCATAAGATGCATAAGGAATTGTTTCTTTCTAATGCTTAGTTACTGTTTATGTGAATAGCACAATAATCCCTTCTACAATCACCACATTTGTGGAGCATCTATTATGTGTAAGATGCTGCACCAGTGTCAACTTACAGCAAAAGCAAATATACAGTTAGCAATTTTAGCTTAATTCCTTGCATTTTACAGAGAAGGACACTGGTTCAGTGAGGTTTGTTGGCTTGTTCCTAGGTTGTGGAGCTGATAAGTGGTAGCAGGTTGACTCCAAAGCCTAGCGTCTTAACCTCTATCATACACCGTTTCTCAATCAAAATGGAAGAACCATTTTAAACACATTAAACCCTAGTGGCTTTAAATAAACACATGGCCAATGAGTTATCAATTGAAATGTGTCCATCAATAATCTTTAAAGGCTTGCCAGCATCGTTGCTAAGTTCTACCAGATCAAAATTTCTAGGAAGTACCTGTTCCATTTGTTTATTTTATTTATTTTTTAAGACAGTGTCTCGCTCTGTAGGCCAGGCTGGAGTGCAATGGCATGATCTCAGCTCACTGCAACCTCCACTTCCTGGGCTCAAGCAATTCTCCTGCCTCAGCCTCCTGAGTAGATGGGATTACAGGCGTGTGCCACCACGCCTGGCTATTTTTTTTTTTTTTTTTTTTTTGTATTTTTAGTAAAGATGGAGTTTCACCATGTTGGCCAGGCTGGTCTCGAACTTCTGACCTCAGGTTATCTGCCCACCTTGGCCTCCCAAAGTGCTGGGATTACAGGCATGAGCCACCGTGCCCAGCCTGCTGTTCCATTTTATATTTCCACATTAAAAGCAGTGATATTCAGAGCAACAAATCCACTGGGAATTTCCACCAACACAGGCTGAGTGCAGAAAGAGACTGTAGGATATACTTGGATGTTTGTACCAGAAGGGTAGAAAGGCAGTGGAAGTTGGTGTGGGTGCCAGCCTCTTGCAGGGGGACCAGGATCTAGCCCCTAATTCATGCTCTAAGGTGACCTGGGACAGAGTGAGGCTTAATCCAAATTATGTCATAAGCTGCCTCTACATTGCAAGAGTGGGGAATAAATCCAAGAGGGGATGTACCTTAAAGCATCAGGCCAGCTCCAGGAAGTGAATGATTAGAGTGAATAAAGGCCTTGAGAGTTAAGAAGGCAAGTCTCCTGACCCTTGAGAATCTGCAAAGAGCCCTTACCACCTTGCTTATTTCTAGTCCTCATAAAGTTTCTGAGAACAGAATGCAGTGTTCTCAGAATGCATATTATCTTGGCATAACTACAAATCTTAAAAAGCATATTCCTTGAGCCTCAAAACATCCCTAGACCATTTAGGACATACATTATCTAGGTTAATCTTTACAACGAGAATATTTTTGCTTGTCCTTTGTGGAATGGTTCTCTATAGAAATAAAATAAAACTTAGGAAACTCTGGTCTCATTCTAATACTTTTGATAAATGAAATCTAAAATAAGTATCTATGCTGTGTTTTGTCTATGATAAATCTTGCTTTCAAGTGATTACTGTTATTATTAAATTAGTAATTTGGGGACAACTTCACTGACTTTCTCTTAGCTTATAGGCAAAGTGGGAGTTATTTTAAACCCAGGCAAATTTACTTCATAGCCAAGGAAACTACCAACAAGAAATAAAAGAAAATCCAAGAAGGGAAAAGAAAGTATGTTAGGATTATGCAGACCAAGAAATTACTCCTCCTTAGAGACAGAGGGTTCGCCTTCAAAAATTATATATTATTTTGAAATGTGTCCATGAGTGGAAAATACAGGATATGCTGATATAGTCCAGCTTATAAATTTCATAATAAATCAGGTATAACTGGTTAACTCACCTACTTATTACCAAGAGATCTGGGACTAGAATCTAGAACTCCTCATTTTCAGTTTATTCACTAATTCATTCACGTAAAAATATTTATTGACACCTACTCTGCTAGGTAGAGAGGAAAGAATGGTAACCAAGACAGACATGGTCCCTGCCCTTACGGAGTTTATTAGAGGAGATAATATTTAAATAATCCAATAATCAGTAATAAGGACCAAGAAAGGTTCTATAAGGACCTATAACAAAGATAACTTAGTCTGGGTGGGCAGGGCAGCTTTTTTGAGGGAGTGATATTTAATCTAAGATTACAGACATATTCATTCTGAGACCTACAATTTTCTAACTAGCCACTTAATTGACAGACAATTTTCCACTAGGTCAAAGACTAAAACCCTTTCACATTAAGTCATAAGAGTTTAAGAAACAGCATAGACATTACATTCCAAATAAATCCACATGGCCCTAAAAGATTTGGAAGAGCATCATCCTCCCCAGCATCCCATTCTCAGCCTCCTGCTGGAGTATATGTTCTTTAGCAACAAAAACTGTTTTGTAAGGACAAATTGCACAAACCTTTCTGCTTCTTCTAATCTGACATCCCAGAGGGATTCGTGATAGGTGAGTTTCATTCTGAAGGAATGTCTATACAACCTAGACAGTGAGACCTCACAGACAAAGCCCTCCAGAATTTCCAAGAGGCATTTTTCAGCACGGAACGATGCCAAAAGACATCATGAAGTTGTGTCTGGAGAGCAAAGCAGTAAGTACGTACCCTGAAACACTGGATGTGAAAATAGAGATTGAGGGTCTCGATGATCATTGCAGCTCCTTTACCCAAAGGAAGCCCACAGGAAGAGCACAGCTTCTTTCCACTTATAGACCTAGGTTTAAAAATATACATAAGAATAAAAACTTCAGTTTAGAATACCTGGTCAAACACACAGACATGTAACCTCATGCAAAAATGAAAATATGGATTTTTAAGATGCCTATATCATGAATGAAATGAGAATGACAGAACTGATGATGAATAGGAGATTAAACATTAGATATAAATGGCAAACAACTGCCAGACTAAATATACTGGGTCTCCACTGTGGTACTGAATCTGGTGCGTGTGTTTAAGTTATTAGGTTATTTGTTTCAAGAAGTTTGTGTTGTAGTCTATTCAAATGCCTCAACATGATTCAATATATTTATCATACTTTTTTTTATAAGTCCTAAAAGATAACTGAGTTTCGCTTTCCTGGGGTTTCAATATTGCTTTTAAATTTCCCATAAGTGGTTCACTGGTCCACTATAGCATTTCTTTTTACTTATTAAGAAAACAACATTTTTGTTTGGAAATAATCACCTGTGATACAGCAGACTAGACAGAGGGCCCGGAGAGGTGAGATCTAATGTCTGCTCTGTCGCCAAGTTCTCTGATCTGGTGTAATAAACTAACTCTGGGTTTCTCTTTCACCTTTTAATATGAAAGGATTGGACCAGATTATCTCTACAATTTCTTCCAGTGCAAACACTCTGTGAATGAAGGCACTTGCCTTCTCTCTAAACTGGAAGCCTCTTGAGGGCAGGACTGCATCTACCTCCTCTCTGTACCCCTGCAGCACCCAGTACAGTGCCCAGCAATGGACTGGAACCAAACCAGCAGAGCAAAACCAGGTGAGAGGATACCTTGAGGACACCTTCAGCAACCCATCTGAAACTAGATAGCTGTCCTCTGAAAGGCAGCTTTTATATAACTAAGATCACATTGCAATGATGCCAAATGTCTGAGAAACTCTTGGAATTACACAAGGAATTTAAAAATATGCAATATCATTTGAAAACCAGCAGGATACAGAGGGACAGGAGAAACAGAAAGGAAGACAGTAGAAAAGAGGAAGAGTTCCCCAATCAAATGCTATTTATTAGGATTTCCCTCTTATCCAGTAGTTAAATGAAATTTCTACATCAAAGAAAATCTCTGAGCACTCAGTAATTTGTCTCTCCAGGGAACGGGAATTCAGGCGGCTTTTAAAAATATCATGGGGCCCAGCTAATGTCCAGAAGTCATCATTAGAGAGCTGGAGTAGGTTAGAAGGATGAAGTTTCGTTTGTCAGCCTCCTCCTGGTTCTCTGTAAGAGCCATCAGTGGATCCCGCCTAGAAGGGCTTAGCCCTCTTGAAGGGAAAGGCGCCAGCTTTGGAGCCCAGCGGTTGTCTGGTGGATTTTATTATTAGATTGGAGGTTCCACACAATGTAATTAAAGCCCTATGGCCATAGCGGCACCAATGTCACAGGCCTGACTTTTTCTATTGCAGCTGATAAATCTGCAGGCAGATGGACAATGTTCTCTTTCCTTTTGCCTCTGTGTGTGTGTAGGAAGAGATGTGGATGGACACATCCCTCAAAATCATTTGGCAAGCACTAATTCAGTTGAAATGATGCTTGGCAAGCTCTAGTCATAACAAAGCAGCCTCAGAAAGGCCTGCTGACCTCTTGTACCTGTTTGGTGACTGACCGGGAGGGGTGGGAGAACAGGGAGAGAAAGGCCCAGCCTGGAAGTGCTCTCGGGGACTTTTCCTGTAATGTGGTAAAGGAGTCAAAAATTATGACAAGCAAAGAGAAGCCAAACTCCATTAAAAAAAGACATTTTAGATTAGGAAAATAAAATAAAATAAAACTTTTGTGACAACCAAATCAAAGACCACAGCATTTCCTGGCAGTATTTTTTTTTTTAATGAACAAAAATAGTAATAATGTCTAGCAAGAATTGTACATGTATTAGCTACATAAAATCAAAACCAGGCTGGCATGCTGGCATTGCTGAACAGAAAAGACAGAATTTTTTATAATCTTTATTTTTAGTTAATTTCTTCATTCGCTAAAATTGCCAGGTTGTTTTTTAAAAGTTGCTAGCCAAACTGCTTTGGCATGCTAATTAGATATAAAAACGATGGACTCCGTGGAAGGGGAAAGATGAGGAGGGATCCAGGGCAGATCTTCAAGGAGAGCCCAGAGATAAAGGGCAGAACTTAAAGGAGCTATTTTCAGTGACTTCCCTTATCAACAAATTCATTATGGATACGTGGGATGAAGGGTCATGTTCAAAACATGTAACAACTGATATGTCGTGGGCATCAACAAGTCAGAATAGCCCCCAGCTAGAAGCTACTAGAACGGTTGTACGTGAGCCCTGCCTGTGATTAAGCCATCAGCTCTGGGCTCTTGCTTTTAAAAGTTAATATCATTTGTAAAGAAAAGGGGTAGAACACAGAAAAGAACAAGGGAAAGAAAAATACCAGCACAGAAGCGAACAGCGTGGGAGTCCATGTGTCTTCCGCTTTCAGCATAACTCCCTGATCCCGCTTCCCACCCAAACCTCCCTCGCCAGGGAATGCTTGTCTTCTCCAAATATCACATTTTCATGTAACACCCTAAAGTATAAGTACCAATGCTTTAAAAAAGATTAAACATCACTGCAATAATCAATAACAATAGTGATTACTTCTAGCCAATTTTAGCTTCTATTGATTCTGAGTGTCATACAGACAAATAGAAATGAAACTGGATAGACATAAGAGAAACAGGAAATGGTTCAAATATTGCACTGGGAAAAAGGAAAATGTAACAAGAAAAATAAGACAATAAATATTTTTCTCTTACAAAACAAGTTATCATCATCATCACCTACACTTACTATTAGCCAGGCACAAAACCCTATGAGGTAGGGACTATTGTCATTCCCATTTTATAAACGAGGCAGAGAAAGGTTAAGTAATTTGCTCAAGGTCCAATGTAGGCAAGTGGCTGAGTCAAAATCTGAATGGAGGTAGTCTGGCTCTAGGTAGAATGATTGGTTACAGTACTATGAATGTTAACATTTTAAACATTGGGTTATAAGGTATCTCTGGCTCAAATATGATCTTACGTGAAACTGAGGGTTCATTTTGAATTCCTCTACTACTTAATCAGTTAAATAATTTGGATAAGTTATTTAACTTCCCTGAGCCTCAATTTTATTGTCTGTAAAATGGCAGGAACAATCTCATTAAGTTATTGGAAGGGTTCAGTGAGTTAATGGATGAAAAGGAGAGAAATATATGTAAACTCTTCAACAGAGTGCCTATTATATTGAAATGGTTCAAACACGATAGAAACTATTATTGTCAAAAATACTTTCTTACAAAATTAAATTACAGCTCAGGTAATTACCTTACAGGAGAGCATAATAATGAGAGAATAACATTTTTTTCCTTGAACGAAACTTTGTCCACAGGCTCTGAGGCAATTTAACTCAAATGAATTACAAACACAACAGGCCTGCACCTGCTTTCCAATGTTTAAATTTGTGGGCTAAAAACATAACTTTGCCTATTACAACTTGATAAATTCAGAGTACATATTTACTTGCCAGAAAGACTGACCCAAACTTCCATTTATATTGACTACCTTGTCAATGAGATTTAATGGAGAGAAAGCACAAAAATGCTGCTGTCCTCTTGCCATCTCACATTTTTCATTCTTCTCCCTTCTAACTAAATGAATTTTTAAAAAAGGGAATCCCACAACCATCGTGTCTGGTTACTCACTTCCGCCTTTCACTGGGAGACTCGATCTGATGGTTAATGCTTTTATCCAGCGGGAGGGTTTTTGGCTTCACATCTTCTGAACTGTGCGTTGGATTTGATGTCTGCTGATTCTGGGATGGATCTGAGGCCAATTAAAGAACATAAATGTAGTGCACAGTAAAATCACCTTACTACCTAGGAAGTCACCTTTCTTTAAAGTGCTAATGCCTGTTGAGGTTTTATAGCGATTTCATGCAGGTCATGGGCACATGGTGGTTAGAGAGGCCACTTAAATCACTGCATCATGATTTAGTTTTGGAAACAAAGGAGGTCAGGAACCATGCCCTTTCCCCTCGCTGATTTCTGATGTCATAAAACAGTACTTTAAAATACTGACTTCTTATGCATGAAAGAAAGCAAATCTGGGTGGATGCAATTATAACCTGGAACATCATTTCTAAAACACAGTAAACACCCATTGCTTTCTCTGACTCATGGATCACACCAACTGTGATGTGGTTTAAATCCATAGGGCACCTGAATGGTATTCAGCTTGCAGGATATCTCCATTTGGGAACACGCACAAATCTATGCTTATGTATTATAATCAAACCCAGGTAAATATGTGTATAGACAACAAGCTAAAAAATTTAAGGCAAAATTCGTTAATTCCACCATTAAAAAATATTTATTTGGTCAGCCAGATTTGCTTTGGCAATAAAACATTTACCAGGGTCATTCTTTCATCCTCTTAGCTCACTCCTCCTCTTTATATCATTCAACATTTGAAGTTTCAGTTATCTAGGAATGATCCTGAAGACCCTCGGCATGTAGAATTTGATCATTTTTGCGAGGAATACATTTGAATTTTGCTATGGTGAGCCAGGAGCGTGGGAGACACAGGTGGGAATGAGGGTGAAATGGCAATGGGAACCGATGGGACCTTCCCAACATTCCAGCACCCACATCTCACCCGGCTTTGGGGATTCCACTCCTCCATAAGCATTTTATGGGGAGATTATGTCCAATGGTGGAATTGGGAATTTGAGGAAGTCTCAGAATGCACTACTTATGAAGGTCAAAGGTTTTCTGTAAAGTTACATTTTTTTTTTAAGTGCGAACACGCTCTCAGGTCTCACTGAGTCCCCAGCAAGTTCCTATAGAGTCTGAGCACACGATGGTAGAAGTTTATTCACTATATATTGGGCATAAGCTAGAAGTCCAGGGCCCTTAGAGAGAAGCCTGCAGCCAGCAGAGATCATAGCTTTCTGGACAATGTGGGGGTCTTACAACAATTTAAACATTGAATGAAACTGGTCTTCTCCATTCTTACCCTGAGCAAGCTGTGGGTTTGTTCCACAGTGTGGGGCCCCAGCCTCGGTATCCAGCTGATGGTCTTCATGGACTCCTTTTGATACAGGGTTCCCAGAATGAGCCAAGGCCCCTTCAGTTAGGCTGTTAAAATAAAGAGGTATACTTCAGAGCAGAGAGAAAAGTAACTGAATCGAACTTCTTGGTCCTATAACTTAAAGGATGGGAGTACCAATTACAATATAAAAAAAGAGATGGGACTCTTTATTTATTCTATTTTAAAATAGATTTAAAATGATAAAGTACTACAAATTTCTATTATCCACCCATTTAACAAGCTCAACAAACTATCATTTCTGATGCCTTCTCTGTCCACAAAGGTCTTCATTCTAATAATTTCAAGGAATGCCAGAGCTAACCTGATGTTCACAAGAGAGCACTTACTGTAAAAATAATTTAGCCACATGGAACCTTTGAAGACCATGGTAACTCACTGGCCTTTCAGTGGCTTCTGTGTGCAAAGAATGAACAGATGGAGGAGATAAAAGGAAAGTTTTTCTGGTGAAAACAGGGACCGCCTGGAGAACTAGCTAAAATTCATGTAAAATGCCTGTCTGGAGAAATTGCAAAAATGCAAAAAATTGCAAAAATGAAGGTCAAAGGTTTTCTGTAAAGTTACATTTTTTGTACATTTTGTAAATAGCTTATCAGCATCATTCAGATCTTCCTGACTAGTGGTTTTCATTGCATAAAACTGAAAAGTCCCTTTAAAGAGTTTAAACTGGAAAGTCATCCAAGGGCTCTACAGTTTCTGGACATAGCCCTGAGCACCTGTAGCTTACAATTTAACCAGTCTTCTAGCTGATGAGCATAGGAGAATTCTCAGAGCAAAATCCCACCAGGAAAGCTCTGCTCCCAGCCAACCTTTCAAGTTGGCCAGTCTTTGAAAATGACACTTAGCCTTTCATGCCTCAGATCCCTCTGGTATGCTGTGTGTGTGCACATGCATGCACTCTTGCCAATACCTATCTGGTAACTCAGAGCCCCAGAGGAAAACATCTTTCTCATGAAGAACATGTTGGTGGCAGAGCACTGCCAGCTTCTTGGGCTTTCTGTGGGTCCCTTCTAGGTAAGGGATGGGGTGGGGTGGCATGAATAAACCCATTACAACCCTCAGCCACAACCAGAGTCTGCTCCAGTATGAGCTAGTTTTGAGCGCTCCAGGGGGTCTCTAGCTGTCCTTTTCTGATCTTCCATGGAACACAGTAGAGCATGGGTGGGGAGACTACCCATAACCAGTTAATTAGTTGGTTATGCTTTATATTATCACCAGAGCAAACATGATTTCTTACAGCTCAGGGGATAATAATGGCCAACTTCAGGTCCACAGTGAAACCACAGTGGTGGGACCCCAGGTTCTCATTTCAATTTCTATCACTCCAGACACATTCATCATTTCAAGTGAGTAATATTTAGGTTTGGGGCTTTGAATCAGCTTTTGAAGACTGATACTGCCCCCCTTTGTTTAAAAAAGAGTTTGCCTATTTAAAAATAAGGCTATTTAGGCCAGGCATGGTGGCTCACACCTGTAATCCCAGTACTTCAGGAGGTAGAGGCAGGTGGATCACCTGAGGTCAGGAGTTCGAGACCAGCCTGACCAACATGACGAAACCCCATCTCTACTAAAAATACAAAAATTAGCTGGGCGTGGTGGCACGCACCTGTAGTCCCAGCTACTTGGGAGGCTGAGGGAGGAGACTCGCTTGAACCTGGGAGGTAGCAGTTGCAGTGAGCCAAGATCGTACCATGGCACTCCAGCCTGAGATAGAGTGAGACTCCGTCTCAAGCAAAAAAAAAAAAAAGAAGAAGAAGAAAAAAAATAAGGCTATTTATATTCAAAAGATAAGGGCACTGATTTTAGACCTATTACAAAATATGTCCAAACAATATGTAATGTATTACTGGAACATTCATTTCGAAGCTGAATGTAATTTGCATCAGCAATGAGTACCCTTCCTGAGCGTGCACGAGCAGAGCCCAGCTTTGTACATTTTCATGGTGGCTTGGGATGGGCTCATACCTGCCCTTCTCCTCCAGTCGATCACTTTCCCTAGTCTTCAGCAATAAGTCACTGTCATCTCCCTGGAATGATTTCTTCCATCTTCTGTCTTGTTTTTCATCTTGACAGTTTCCCAGGTCTATCTTATTCTAAGGAGAAAAACAATGAAAATCTTAAGTATAAATTTTAAAAACACTGTATAACCCTTATCTCTGGCCAGGGATATTTGAAGTATTTTTCAATCATGTTACCTATAATTTAAAGAACAGTTGTCCAAATTAACTGAATAGCAACTGATTTCCAACTATTTGGAATAAATGTATAATCTGAATCTCTTTAGAAAGTTATCACAAAAGGGAATTGATTAGAAAACCCCTCTTTCAAAATAAAACAGTCATAGGACCGCTCATTTCAGGACAAATGGTTTTCTGGTATCCACAGGTTATTTTCCTTTACGTGGATTATGGACCACCCAGGTCTTGATATAACTTCTGCCCTGTACTTCCATCTTCTATGACCTTATTTGGGGAATGTGGAGGCAGACCAGACTTTATAGGCTCTCTCTGGCCTTCAAAGACAACATGTAAATTTCTTGTGGATTTTTGTTTGTTTTTAGTGCTGTTCTACGTAAGTTCATTTTATTTATTTATTTAGGTTTTTTTATTTGTTGTCTTGAAGTTTTGGGGTACATATGCAGGATGTGCAGGTTTGTTACACAGATAAACATGTGCCATGGTGGTTTGCTGCACCCATCACCTGAGTGTTAAGCCCAGCATGCATTAGTTTTTTTTATTATTATTATTTCCTTTAGAGATAGGGTCTTGTTCTCTCACCCGGGCTGGAGTACAGTGGTGCAATGGCAAGATCACGTTCACTGCAGCCTTTACCTCCTTGGCTTAAGGGATCCTTTGCCTCAGCCTCCCAGGCAGCTGGGACTACAGGTCTTGTGGAATGTGGGGGGGTTAGAAGCAATTTTCATGGATGCTGGTGGAGAACATGTTATTGACATCTTTGCTACTGCCAAACAATGGAAAAGAATGTATAGTATGGCAGAGGGGAATAAATATATATTGAATGAATGAATGATCTGGCAACTGGGCTGTGAGAAGGATATTCCACAATATGACTTCACTAATTGAGATCTTGCCAGCCAGGTGTGGAGAGACTTTGGCTTCCAGACTACTGGGATAGATCTTGCTGGGGTAATGACTTTACCACTCCCCAGGAAATGACTCTAGAATTTGGCTGCAGCAGTGATAGAACAATGGGGTACAATGGCCACACAGTAGCTGACGTGATTCTAGGGGAATAGCTAGTCTTGGATTTAAACTAGTGAGTCTGTTCGGTAACCTTGGTCTTGGGGTTTGGTACTTCCATTTAGGTTTATTTATTTCACAAATTGCTTTTAATCTGTGGTCTCACCATTGTCCCACTGCCTTCAGTCATGGAGGAAGAGGTAGACAGCTGGTCAGCGGAACTTGAAGAAACAGTAAATGGAACCACAGTGTCTTCAATTATCTTACGCTCCTAAGGGGAAGGACAGGAATCGATGAAAGGGGGGAAAATAAAAATCATATTTGTCAAGACAAAAATGTCATTAAGGCACTTTAGAAAAAAATCAGAATATGTTCGAACAAGCAGGGCATTTTAAAAAGTCTTATTTTCCAAAAGCATGCAAATCATATAACACTCTCCATGGGTAATAATTTAGAAATTAACATTTAATTTTGAAAAACAAAGACTCTGCAAATTAATTAGTTAGAGTAATACAAGAAGCCTAATTAGAAATGCTATTAGGGATCTGATTATGCACAAAAAGTATTGCTGAATATAAAATTCACAATATTAATCATGAACAAACTTTAGATAACATACATAAAATGCAGCCCCCTTTAAGTTATCTAATGTGTTCTGGCTTATTCATTTAAAAAACAAAATGAACCTAAACAAAATTCTCTTCTCCTCCAAGTCTCTTTAGTGCTATATAGTAAATGCAGTCATTCAGCCTCAATATCAAAATTATCCTCATAAAATTAATTCACTATTACCAAACAACAAACACACAAATGAATGGAACTGATTATTTCATGTCACCTCTCTAAAATCAATCAAGAATCTGACTCACTGATTAGAGAACAGATGTAATTGTATCGTCTCCCTTGACTGTGACTCAACACACCCTTATCACGAACTGTATTTGTGAGGAATTGTGGTCTTTTAGAACCTAAATGACATGACTGTTTTAAAGAGCTTGATGGGATTCTGCTGTCAGTAAAGAGTCAGACACAGCCACATGCATCCGCATGCCACAGACACAGAGAGTGTTGCTAGACTTTGAGGAATTGGGATGACAAGGTCAAATTCCTTCTTGGGAATTTCCTACCTCCTCATAGTATCTGCGTTCTTCCTCTTCCACCTCCTTTTGGGCCTTTTCCCACTCTTCTTTCAGCTTGTCCTGCTCCTTCTGGTATCTCTCCTGTTATGGAATTTCCATAGATTGTTCTCAACTGACCATTGCATACGTCATCGGGAATTTTCCCCCCTAAACCACCATGTACAATATGTTGCAAGATTATCTTCTTCTTGTTAGGATTCTGAATTTAATTGATTCATGCAATAAAAAGGGAATATGGTTTTGTGGCACTCAAACATTTTGGGAACATAATCCAATGGACAGCAGTATTTTCTGCTGCTCATGTTTTGCTTACAGAAAGAGAAAAGACGGAAAGGTGGAAAGCCTCTAAAATCTTCCTTCACTCCAGTTTTGTTCCAGGTGTGCTAAACCAATAGTTTGGTTTTATTGGGCCCTTTGGAGATGAGTTTTGCCATTCCACTAATAGAAATGCATTGCTGCGAGGAGAGTGTAATAAAAGATGAAAAACCCTGAAGGTTTATTAGACACACAATACAGAAAGGTCCACCGTGGACAAGATGATAATTAGCTGAATAGCTGAATTACTCTTTGCTTGTGACTATTCTACCAAAATAGAGTCTTCCTAGCTTTAAGTAACTTCTGAATTAAGAGTAGTTTTTAAACAGTCCATTAGAGTACTTCTTCAGAACTGCCATTTTTGTTTTCAGAAATAATGCAGCAGAAGTCACCATTTCTGGGGGGAAAAAAGAACACACTAAGAATAAAAGTGGTGTTTAAAATGTGATTGGAGTCCCTGATGGCTGATTAGAAGAAATGAATAAATGGGGATTAAAATTAATGCATAAAATGAGAAGTGACACTCCTGATGCCTTGGGAATGGCATCCTGACATGACAGAGACAAAGGAACCATTTATGTGTGGTTCACGCACTCAGATATTTTAGGCTGACTATTGTCAATCCTCTCTTCGAGGCTGAAACAAGTCTGCTTCTGTCTTCATGGGGAAGCCACTGAGATTTCCTCCAGGCATCACCTGTTTCATTGGTATCTTAGGAGCAGGAGGACTTTCTTGGCATTCTCTGGAGCCTGGTGTTCTTATTAACTCTAACAAAATCATTGTTGATCAACTCATGGCATGCTCTTTATTTCCTGGTAAAAATTGTTACGAAAACCAAGTATTGTAAAGTTTTAGAGAGGGACTTCAGGGGCACAGGAAGGAGACCTTAAAACTACATAAAAGCTGAAAACAAGTAAAGCTTCTTAGGCTTCTTGGTTCTAGGAACTTACATCACGTGTTCCCCTCACCAACAGGATGAACTGATGATGCAGAGATGCAGAGAGTGAAAGATGCAGTATTTCACTCACACACACACACACACGATCTCTCTCTCTCTCTCACACCCTCCCCTACAAACACCTTGGCCCATAACTCACGATGCCATACCAGGCAACAAGTTAGAAACACAGGAGCAATACAAAGGCCTGGTGCCCGCCTCTGTTACCAGGGTCACCCCTTGGCATGTAATAGAGCACCACAGTGAGGAGCACATTTGCCTGACTTCACTTTGTGGAAATCTGACTCTTGGCTGTTCACCATTTAGCTGGGGAATGAGCACCTAACTCTCCCAGAGACGAGCAGATGGTCAGGGGTGCACGTCTCACAATGGACCTCAAATCCCAGTAGCCCCCAGATTTTGATGAATCGGGTTCCTACTAACAGTTTGGTATTGAAGGCTTAACCTTCTGCAAGTTACAAAATGCCAAACTTAACAGGCAGAGCCAAAACCACACTACCACCTACTACTGCTATCTAAATCACTGTCTACCACCTCATCCCTGGGAAATAAGCCAAAAGGATTAGGAAAAAAAAAAAGAAAAGAAAAAGTAAGTAAAATAAACTTGCATTAAGCATTGCTTTCTACGCACTGCATGTTCTCACTCATAAGTGGGAGATGAACAATGAGAACACATGGACACAGGGAGGGGAATACCACACACTGGGGCCTGTCAGGGGTTGGGGGGCTAGCGGAGGGATAGCATTAGGAGAAATACCTAATGTAGGTGACGGGTTGGTGGGTGCAGCAAACCACCATGACACGTGTATACCTATGTAACAAACCTGCCCGTTCTGCACATGTATCCCAGAACTTGAAGTATAATTTAAAAAATGAACAAACGTCAAAAAAAGCATTGCTTTCTACAAGCAGCAGAAAGTCATCAAAATTAATGAGATTTAACATTATTTTCCTTTATTTATTTATTTATTTATTTTTGTAAAATCAGTACTAGTGGGAATGTAGTAGAAGGAGCATGAGTTTTAAAGTCATCCAGACTTGGATTTGAATCTGGTCTTGACACCTATTAGTTGTGTAACCTTGGGCAATTAACTTAATTTCAGTGAACTTTACTTTCTTCAATTGCAAACAAGGGCTAATAAGACATACTCTGAAGTGCTGTTTGAGGATAAATGAAGTAAAAATGTCAAGCACTAACCTCAGTTCCTGGCACATCCCAGGTACCCAACATGGGTTAGTTCTTTAGGTTGCTAGGTTACCTTTTGAAGCCCTGTTAATCCATAAAACTGGCATGAAGTGGGAGTATGATGAACTTACTATCAGAATTTTTCTAGAATTGATAATCAGTAGCTTTTACCCAAAGGTAGAGCAAACATTTCTTTTTCTTTTCTTTTTTCTTTTTTTTGAGATGGAGTTTTGTTTTTGTCGTCCAGGCTGGAGTGCAATGGCGTGATCTCGGCTCACTGCAACCTCCGCCTCACGGGTTCAAACAATTCTCCTGTCTCAGCCTCCCTAGCTGGGATTACAGGCATGTGACACCACGCCCGGCTAATTTTGTATTTTTAGTAGAGATGGGGTTTCTCCATGTTGGTCTCAGGCTAGTCTCCAACTCCTGACCTCAGGTGATCCACTCACATCGGCTTTTTTTTTTTTTAGACATTCTCACTCTGTTGTCTAGGTTGGAGTACAGTGGCATGATCTCAGCTCACTGCAACCTCTGCCTTCTGAGTTCAAGCGATTCTTCTGTCTCAACCTCCCGAGTAGCAGGAATTACAGGTGTGCATCACCATGCCCAGCTAATTTTTGTATTTTTGGTAGAGACGGGGTTTCGTCATGTTGGCCAGGCTGGTCTCCAACTCCTGACCTCAGATGATGCACTCACATCGGCCTCCCAAAGTGCTGGGATTACAGTCGTGAGCCACCACGCCCAGCCCTCAAAGGTAGAGCAAAAGTTTCTATTTAAGAAAGTAGACTGAGGCTAAATTTTATTTCACGTGTATGCTAGCAGAGAGCTTTTAGATAATTCATTCCCACTGCTACTTGACTGGAAATTGACTGGCAACTAAGGAGGTGATGAATGGGTAGACTGGCCCTTATCCATACTTGGAGGGTTTTTTGGTTCAGTGTTAATATGAATGGTTTTTCATCATGTTTATTATTGCAGTCTTTGGCAGGAAGAATGAGACACAGGGTACCCTGTTACAAGGACACAAAATGAACTGACTTGAGACTCACTAACTTCCGAGAATAACTTGATTCCATTCATTTCCTGTGCTAAAAGTCTATTTAATGCAATGGAAAGCAAGAGGACAAAAAAGGAAAAACAAAAAAAGCAGCAAACTCCATCCTACCTGGAGCAAACGTTCCTGTTCCTGTTGCCATTTTTCCTGTCGCCTGCGCTCCTCTTCTGGGTCCCATGCCCAGAACTTAAACTGCTTAGAAAAATGAAACCATGATCAGAATTGAGCCATGTCCTCAAGGGACAGGCCGGGTGAAGAGTAGACAATTGGCCTCTGGCCTGGCACCCAGATTGACACACAGGAGCAGAAGGCTTCATATATCTAAACATCCTCTTTGGTGGCAGAAACCATTTTTTAATCTTAGTCCCTCTTTGGTTTACTTCCAAGACGCTGGTATGATTCTGTGAATCTTTTTGGAGCTAATGAAAACACAAAGTAATTAGCCACTGGCATTGGAAGGCTTTGCTTCATTTCTCTTAGAAGTGATTTCTCTTAAATGCATTCATGCTTCTGAACCTAAGGTGCTCATTCTGCATATTGATCCTGGGTCCAAGCAAACGAGACCAGTTATTTTAGCAGAAATGCATTTTGTAAGAAGTGTTGTTTGCCACGCTATAAAAACTAATCTTTTATACTACTGTTGCTTTTCCATACCACTTTTCCCTACAGTGGGTTGTTTAACTCACCAATGCTCACCAGTACCACCTAAGATCCAGGCAAGCAGATCACTTGCCCTGGGGCCCGCATGACACAAACACTCAAGCTCAAAGACTTACTTCCTTTTTGTATTAATAAAAGGTTTTTGCAAGTTTGGGAACCAAGTAAATAATGAGGAATAACAGAGAAAAATCCATGAACCGAAGCAGGTGCCCAGGCCACAGAATATGAGACTGGGAGGGTACAGGTGGGGGGTGGGGGGAAGGGAAATCACAGCCTGCCCCCAGGAAACCAGGAAAAGAGGGGCTGCTGTGTTTAAAGTCGGCTGCCCCAGTCACCCAGAGTAGGTGCCCAGGCAGACCAGGGCACAATAACTGTGCTCCTCCCTTCCCTTTGTTCTGATGGGGTAGGACAGGGAAGCAACTGCCTGGGAATCTTAAGTTGAAAAAGCAAGGCACGGGTGGGGAAGTTGACGGGGGATGGGAAACAGGGTTGGGGTGGGGAGGGGTGCAGGCAAAATCTATGTACCCTGGTAGCCTGGGAAGATGAACAGGGTCAGTCCTATCCAAGGTTTTGATACATCCAGTTAGTGCCCAGGGTACCTGGGCCAGCCCACCTCCCACTCTGCCTGGCCCCCAACAGATCCACATTACCATTCAGGTGCATGGCGGGTGGGCTGGCCCAGGGAAGTATCTTCAGGCAGAGAATGCAGGCCAGGCTGTGGGCAATGCTTGATTTATAACTTCATCAATATTTAGAACTTTAATATATTTGGACAAATGAAACTTGGGCCTCATTTTGTACTCTTGCTGCTGTGCTTCCTGCAATTGATTGGGATGGCCATGATGCTCACAGAATAGTCAAACCCAAGTGGGCCAATAATCTAGGGATACTAGCTTATTGCTTCCTGCTTGCCACTCCTGAGTTTCACACTGCACATTAGCATATTACAGGCTCTTGGAAGTTATGCAGGGGGAAAATCATTTAATTGTGCATACAGATGGTCCCCAGCTTAGGTGGGTTAACTTAACATTTTCTCAAGTTTATAATGGTACAAAAGCAATATGGAGTTGGTAGAAACTGTACTTCAAATACCCAAACAGCCATTCTATTTTTCACTTTTAGGATGGTATTCAATAAATTTCATGAGATATTCAACACTTTATCATAAAATAGGCTTTGTGTGAGATGATTTTGCCCAATTGCAGGCTAACATAATGTTTTGAGCACGTTTAAGGTAGGCTAGGCTGAGCTATAATGTTCATTCAGTAGGTTGGGCATATCAAATGCAGTTTTGACTTAAAGTATTTTCAACTTACAATGTCTTTATTGGGCTGTGACCCCATTCTTAAGTTGAAGAGCATCTGTAATCTAAAATTTCCCAAACTCCCTTGGATGACCATAAATGTTATCCAAATGTGGTTATACCAGATGGGAAATTCTATCGGAATTTAATGGTGTTGGAAGTTGGCTCCACCTGTCATTGTTCCAGAACTTCGAGGTGGTTTAAACATTCAGAAGCTCTTCCAGGGGCATGGCCCCTCTTTGTCTTTTGAGGGAAAAGGGGATGTTTATGTGAATAAAGCCATACAAAAAACACTGAGGAAACTCCAATAGTAGGAAAATAAGAGAAACAATTAGGAATTATTTAATTTCTAAATTTCACTAGGCGGTGCTCTCAGGAATAAGTCAAGTAAGGAGTGGGCAGATAGGAGGAGGAAGTGTGGGGTGGGGGGATTGAGCACAGAAAATACAGAATATGTGTTAAAAGGCAACAGAGGAAAGCAGTGGGTATTTTAAGAGGAGGATAAAGGGGAAGAAACCAGCATGATAAACAAGAGAGAATGAAACAATGATCTTGCTCCTTCTTTTGCAGATAATTTGCAGATTATGGCCCACTGACTGTGGGCCAGGGCGGGGTTACCAGCTAGCCAAGTGGCCCAGCCTCATGGAGCTTACACCTGAGTGTGTGTGGAGTGGAAAAGTGACCAATATATGCATATGACCAGAAGACAGTGTGATAACTATCATAAGAGATGTAAAAGGTGCTAGAGGAAGTCAGAATGGACAGCATTTAACCCACTTTGTCCTACAATTTACCTGTTTACAAGTCCATATCTTCCTCTGGCCTAGGGATTCTTCAGGAGGCAGGAAGAGCCCCTCATCCTCCTATCTACCCCAAGACCTTATATTTTTAGGCCCTCAACAAATGTTTGTTGAATAAATGAATGGAATCCCTTCATGCTGGGTAATGCATCTCCTACCATCAGAGTCCCTTTCTTTCATAGTCCCGAGGGCCTCTGGTACTCCAAGACTGACCAAAAATAGCCAGAGTCTACGGAGGCCAGCATAATCTAATGCTTATCTCCTCTTGAAGCGCTACTTATTTCAAGTTTCTTTTATTTTCTGTTCTATGATGAGACATTTACTATCAAAAGCACATGAAATTTTCAGAGCATTTACTTAAGTAGGCCAGTGATTTGTCTCTTTCTTATTCTATTTTCCTTAAACAAGAAATGCGAATGTGTTTCTTTGGAATGCCCTTCCTCTCCACCCCTACCCAGGGGGCATGAACAACTGACATCTTTGTTCCAAATGCAATTTAAAATGGAAATCTTCAGATCTGTGCCATGGATGCCAGCTTTGGGATCGTTCTGGGGTTCCCATCCATCATCAATGAACTCAGCTTCCCAGGAAACTCAGGATTCCCAGTATTGGCTTGGGACTGAGCCTCCACAGATAGTCCCTAGTTTTGTACTGTGGCTGGGGACATCAAGGGTTATGCAACAAGTGATGGATCCCTTCTCTGTTCTGCAGAGGCACTTAGAACTCCCTAAGTGAGACAATTTACCTACAGATAAGAATTGATATTGACTATGGTGGGCCTCTTGGATTAGCTATTGGGAGAGGGGGAGGATTTATTTACATATCAGCCACTGTGCTAGGGGCTTCTGAATAATTATTTCAATTAAGGCACATGACAACTTCAAAAGAAAAGTACTGTCATCTTACTGTACGGTCAAGGAAGATGAGGGTCAGAGAAGTTATATAACACCTTCAGGGCTACACAGCTAAATCCAGAATCAAAGGCACAGTAGTGATTATGTGGCTGAGCCAGGGTTGCTCATGGGCAATGCCACAGTTGGTTGTGCCACAGAGAAAGTCTCCAAATCTAATGGGAATTCCAGAGGGCGAACAAGGCCTGAGATTAGAAATACCAGTTCAGATGCCATGCAGCAGCAAGGAATGTCCACAGCACCTTGTGTCTTATTTTAATTAACAAATGTTTTCTTATTTCATTAAAATACAAAATAGAAAGCAACATTACAGTTATTATTGGTCAAATACTCATTATGAGAAGGGGTGCAAAAATGAGAGTTTGGGTCTCTTGGAGAGTTCAGGCCAGGTCCTATCTGCCAACAATATACTATGTTCAAGTATTATCCTCATATTAAAAAATGAGGTACATTTAAAAAAATGTATCTATAGAAATTGTCAGTTTTAATACTAATTCTTCTATTCTATTCTATTCTTTTTTCTTTTCTTTGAGATGGAGTCTCGCTCTGTCACCCAGGCTGCAGTGCAGTAGTGTGATCTTGGCTCACTGCAACCTCTTCCTCTTGGGTTGAAGCAATTCTCCTGCCTCAGCCCCCTGAGTAGCTGGGATTACAGGTGCCCGCCAGCACACCCAGCTAATTTTTGTGTTTTCAGTAGAGACGGGGTTTCACCATGTTGGCTAGGTTGGTCTCGAACTCCTGACCTCAAGTGATCCACCTACCTCGGTCTCCCAAAGTGCTGGGATTACAGGTGTGAGCCACCATGCCAAGTCTGTCACATTCATTTTAATTGCCTCTTAGATTTTGCTTTCTTATCACTTATTTCCAGGCACAGTAACAATTCCATATAATGATAATCCATGTCTTTATAATTTACCCAATGGCGTTATATATGACTTTTAATTATTCTTTTACAAATCAATTGTTTGGGTCTCAATTTTGGTTGAATACTCTTTTTTTTTTTTTTTTTTTTTTTGAGACGAAGTCTCGCTCTGTCACCCAGACTGGAGTGCAGTGACACGATCTCGGTGCCACCACACCTGCCTAATTTTTGTATTTTTAGTAAGAGACAGTGTTTCACCATGTTAGTCAGCCTGATCTTGAACACCTGACCTCGTGATCCACCCGCCTCACCCTCCCAAAGTGTTGGGATTACAGGCGTGAGCCACCGCCTGCACCCGGCCTGAATACTCTTTGAGCCAATCAAATGTTATAAATTAAAATCACACTAACTCATAATCTTATTCCTTAAAATGAGTGACTTACAGGTGTCATAACAGGTGACTTCTCACTGCTTGGAGAATCCACTGCACAGAAAAAAAAGAAAGAAAAAAAAGATATGAATGTGAGTATTTTCTAATTGTCTTTGTTTTTGACCTATCAGTGGAGTATAGTTCCTACATCAGCTTTAAACCAATTTTGTGTGTGTGTGTGTGTGTGTGTGTGTGTGTGTGTGTGTGTGTTTGGTAAGTCAAGAACATTAGAAAATCATAATAAAGCAGACAACCCCTGTAGCAGGTTGCACCCATCACCAAAAGAAGTTTAAACTACTATCAAATGATTGATCACATCAATTAACACCAGGTACTAGACTACAGGAAGCAAAAACTGTTCCTATTAGTACTGATTCTTAGTGCACCTTGCATTGTGGCTTGACTGAGCAGTCCCCTCACTGTCTGGCATGGAGAAGTACCATACAAACAGAGGCCAGATGTCACCCAGGAAGCAAACACAGTGACACAGTTAACAAGAGAACTATGATCAGTTTCTGGTAAATGCTTTTAATCTTTTTTTTTTTTTTTAAAGGCAGGGGACTCTCAAGAAAATGATGAATATTATTATTTCTTTGAATTCTTGAAATCAACATAAAGTTGTGTGATTCCTCTCCTCCTACCCCCAATTTTAGCATAACTGGTAGTAATATAAAAGAACTAGCTCTTTGCTAACTGTGCATAAGAAATAATTTTTTCCCCAGAAATCAGAAATGAAGACAAGTGCCACACATCATTGATCGCCCCAACATGGATTTTCGCACAAAAGAAATACAGCTACCCAGTATGCAGTTTACCTGACTGGGAGAAAAACTGGGATCGTCGCCAAGAGTTCTGAACTCTAAGCGGAACACTGGCAGTGCCAGGCGACTCTAGATCAGATGGCAGAACAGAACAAACAGAAAACCATGAAAACTGGGGTGAGAACTGAATAGAACCATGCTCCCAAGTACTATAGGGAGTTTGGCTCTAGTCAATACCAGAATTGAGAGTCAGTAAATCTACAGTACAAAATGTCTTAATAACACACATATAAAACCTGAAGACATGTACAAAATCAACAGAACCAGGACAGTTTATGCTATTGTCTTCTTTGGTGTTAGATGAAATTTCACAGGGTCATACTTAATGGTGATAGTGTTAAAATGTTAAATCTCAAAATGATAGAATGATATACTATGCAAGAACAAAAATGTATAATTTGTATTGCTTTTTGGAGAACACTAGAAAAGTATAAAAGGCAGCAAAGATGGGTGGTTTAATTACTATTTCATATACATTACACATCATAAAGGTTATGTATAGAAGTCTGTGGCAGAAGTTTTTTGTACGTATAAATAAAGGTTGAGTATATGCCTTTCTGTGGTGGCTCATGGCAAGGATTTGTATCCTTAAACTCTGCTGTTGTCGTCATTTTCAATAAAAAAATCAGTTTTTAATGCGCACATATTTTACTGAAACATCAGTTTGAGATATCTTTCTGCTGCTGAGAGGCAGCTAAGAAAAGGGAATTTGTCACTTTCAAATGTATTTTATGACTGTTTTCAGGGCATTTAAAAACTGAATGCCTGGGTGTGTGTGTGTAAGGAAAACGTGTGGAACATCATTAGGGTCGATCAGCAGATCTTCAGTGACCTGTATGACCAGTCTATGAATGGATGACTTTATAGAAATGGGGGAGAGACCACTTTCTGGGGGAGAAAGTGTTAGGTGTGGCTCCAGGATACCTGATCCTAACCCTAGAGTTTCATTGGACTTGATGCTTGACTTCAGATCAGTCCCTTAAATGGGTGCTGGGCAGAGACCTATGCCTCCCCCATTTCCCCATCCCAATTGAAGACAAATCATGTATTTTAAGGTTACATTTATTAGAGGTCTCTGGCTTCTTGAAAGATGGAGACTTTATAAATGTCAAGCAATTATTACTGTTATTTTCATATCAATCAGTGATATTTTTGGTGCACAATTTAAATAAATACTTGAGGCCAGTGGTTTTCAGAGTGTGGTGAGATGTGCAGCATGAGCATCACCTGGGAACCTGTAAGAAATGCAAATCCTCTGGCCCCAGCCTAGACCTACTGAATGAGACACTGTGAGAGTGGGCTCCAAGCCCTACAGGGACCCTGGCACACAGGGTTTGAGAACCACAGTGAAAAACCCGATCTCCACAACATGAACACTCTTATTTTAAAGAAAGGATTCGAGAGTAGTTTATTTCTGCCTGACATCTTGCTTTATTCTTTTACTCCTCCTGCTGCTATTCTACAATTACTAGAATACATTATGAATGCTTATTCTGGGCCAGGTATTGAGCTAAACACTTTTTATGGATTCTCCCATTTGGTATTTCTAAAATCCCTATGAGGTTATTACTGGTATTATTTCTAGTTTACAGGTGCTGATTAGAGATTAGGGGAAATCTGATGGGTAAGGTCACACAGCTAAGAACTAGACACATGAAAATTTGAACCCAGGCATTTTGTCTCCAGAGCATGCAGCTATAATTACAGTTTCCATGAACCAGATGAAAGTATTCATACGGTTTGGCTATGTCCCCTCCCAAATCTTGAATCAAAGCTCCCATGATTCCCACATGTCATGGGAGGGACCTGGTGGGAGGTAACTGAATCATGAGGGTGGGTCTTTCTTGTGCTATTCTTGTGATAGTGAATAAGTCTCACGAGATCTGATGGTTTTATAAAGGGAAGTTTCCCTACACAAGCTCTCTCTTTGCTGGCCACCATGTAAGATGTCCCGTTGCTCTTCCTTCATCTTCCACCATGACTGTGAGGCCTCTTCAGCCATGTGGAACTATGAGTCAATGAAGCCTCTTTCCTTTATAAATTACCCAGTCTCAGGTATGTCTTTATCAACAGCATGAAAACAAACTAATACAAGTATACAACTGGTGTATTCCAAATACAATTCTATCTTAAAGAATACATTTTGAAATGTTTCAGTACTCTACTAAATTTTATTTTTTAGTCATTCGACTTGGGTAAAGAATGAAGTAAAGTTTCTCAATTCAGCAGCACATTTTACAAAATCAAAATGCCTCACAATAAGTAATGAAATGTGTAAATTTATAAGAAAACAAAACATGGCTTTAAAATGGCTTAAAATATTTATTCCCTCTCTATACCACTTATCTACACAATTACAAAGTACTAGAAATAGGGCAGAATTAAAATTGGTCCAAATATGGCCATTTGCTGGCCCAGTTGTGACACTTTATTTTTAATTCCCTTCAGGACAGTAGGACGGACAAATTTAAGACAAATGCTTTGAAAACAGTATTAAACTTGTTTCCACATTAAGAACCTAGTATCCATCAGCACATGTACCAGTTAATTATTGCCAAGAGTTCCCTGTTATGTAGATAAAACCCAACTTATCTGCCAAACATCAATAATAGCTAATGGAAGCCAACTCAGATTCTGCCAGTGGCTCAAATAGCTGCCCACCCTTAAAAAGAAAAGTAAAAATAAGCTAAATCTACAAAACACACTGGAGAAAGTCTGTTAAAAAAGAAAAACAAGAAACCCTACAGTTCTTGCCTCCTGAACTCTGGCTGTTTCTTTTTTTAAAAAATGTTTATATTTAAAATTTTTTTTTTTTTTTGGTAGCGACAAAGTCTTGCTATGTTGCACAGGCTGGTCTCAACTGCTGGCCTCAAGTGCTCCTCCTGCCTCGGCCTCCCAAAGTATTGGGATTACAGGTGTGAGCCACTGCATCTGGCCCATTTCCACATCTAGAGAGAGATCTCACAGCAGTAAAACTCAGCGGTCTAGTTGTTTTGAAGCATAGTCCCTCTGGGTTGTGGAATTCTCAGAACCCATCCTCCACTGTTCACATCCCTCAGGGCCCTTTCTGGTGGTCATGGGCACCTGGGATTCCCACTAGGATAAAGGGATTCAAATTGGGTTCTTAAAGAGTAAAGGGGTGAATTCACAACCCTATATATGGTCTACACAGTACTTGGGGAATTTTCAGTGGTCAGTGCCATTTTAAGACCTTCTTATAGGCCCTAAATGCCCACGTTTCTAGAGGCAACCCCTTCCCACATTATATCAAACACATTAAAATACATCAAACATATTAAAATATATCCTCAGTATGTATGTGTTAAACATTTTTAAATCTTTAGTATTATGTATGTGTATTACACACACACACACGTTTCTCATATATATATGAGAATGTAATTTATGTAATACACACACATAAAGATTAAAATGTTTGTTTATAACCTGTTTAATCTATGATGGTGAATGATTTCTCAATAATCATCATGCACCCAGGAATTATTGTGGAGTAAAAAAAAATAAAGCTTTTTCTCAAAATTACTGTCAAATTAAATGGACATTTATGAAGACTAGAATTAACAGTGAAATATACATAATATTAAACTTTCTATTAAGTACATTAATTTATGATTTTATGACTTTTTATCTTTTTATATTTTGGAGATAATACAAATTTTTTTTTTTTGTCACAGCTCTGTCACCAGGCTCGAGTGCAGTGGCATGATCTCAGCTCACTGCAACCTCAGCCTCCTGGGTTCAAGCGATTCTCCTGCCTCAGCCTCCCAAGTAGCTGGGACTAAAGGCGCATGCCACCACACCCAGCTAATTTTGATAATACAAAATTTTAAAGCTCTAACACTTGTATAGGCTCTATTGTGCCTATAGTGCCTGGCTGACCAAATGGCCTTGGCAGCTAGGGTTCCTGGTCTGCTCAAATAGAGAATCCGGCTCCAGCTTTCCATTCTGAAGTCATAAATTCAGCTATCACAGACTCTGGCAAACACCCTGGCTAAAGGAATAGCAACATAAAGGACGTAATCTTCCTTTAAATTAAGTAATAGTTTACTACAGATGGGCCCAGAACATGCAGACCTAAAATAAAACATGTCCTCTTTACCTTGAGAATTGAGATTTGGCAAATGTAGTTGGTTGGCTTCAGGCATTTTGTCCAGAAATGGAAATGTCAGCGTTGCTTCGGGTTCTGGAGATTTTGGCTTTACCACCTGGACAATGGAAAACAGGTATAAATATTGCAAGAACTGTCCATTGATAAATGCACAGGTGACACACAATTTAAGGATCCATGGCTGTTATAGAAGTCATTCAGTTCAAACAGTTAACATTTAAATTTAAACATTTCATTTTTTGTTTCTTCCCTAAAACGCTTTCATCCTTCTCTACATTAACAGAGCGTCAATTTTTTAGATAAATCAAACATGAGCGTAAAAACGTAATGACCACTTTTCTCCAAACCAGAAGACAATATTACATCTTTGGAATTATACATTACTCTCTTATTTTCTTATTGAACAATCACAAATTCTCTTCATGGTACCACACAAAACTGAATCTGTAATGTCAGGAGATTTAGATGTTCCACATAAGATAATTAAAACAAATCTTACTCCATAAGTGCTAAACATTAAAGTAGTATTACTTTTCAATGGATATTATTCTAAAGACATTACATAACCCCCCACAAATTTATGCAAAGCACATTAAAGACAGTATACTTTGCCTGCTGACAAAGAAACATTATTATAAACAACCACTGTCGAACAGTGCCTTAGTATCTGATGCCCTTAGGGAATTTTTGAGGCATGTTGGACTACTTGTTACTACTTGTAAATAGTTCCAAAATTACAGACTTTAAAAATTCTTATGTTTGCTTTGTAAAACAGATTTTTCTTGTTATTGCTACTTAATTTTGTTTCTCCCTAATATGAATGACCTTTAGTAGAAACACCCTTCTTCTGGTTTGTTGCTTCTGATTAGCTGATTGCTGAAAGACCAGATTACCAAACTTATTAAAACAAAAATGTCTAAAATAAGCATTGGTTGACACTGTGCATAGGTCTGAATGAGGAGCGTGGCTGTATAAATTTATGTTTTTTTCAGCTGCTCGCAGGACCTTCTCTGATTCACTCTTTGGCTGGTGGCTGTGTTCCCTATAGATCAATGACCTCAGGGCGAGTGAGACCACAGAGCACTTGTTTCATCATATGCTGATCCCTAATTTGGTCCTCAGAATAAATTAATGTTAGAATTTATCCTCAGAAGGAATTTTTATGAATAATATATTCAACTCTAAGAGAATCTTAAAGAAAACTAATCACCTCATTCTGCATTACAGAGGTCAACGAGGTGTCCAAATGAACGTTGGTGCTACACAGCAAATGATAAGGTCTAGCCTTCCCAAAGCTGACAACCCACCAGTCATTAACCTCATAGCATTTCCTTGTAGTGGAGGCTGGCAAAAACATGTTTCAGTAATGCCTGGTTGTAAATGAAACAGTTAAGGGTCATCAGCAATGATCAAAATGACCGCTATGTAAAAAGGTAAGCCTGTAAGCATGGGTGCTTTGCTTTATAAAGGAAACACTCTCAAGTGAAATCAGGAAATAAAAGCTGTTGCAATCACAGTGGCCACCATTCGCCCTTTATCTAAGAGCTAGCCGTACAGTAAGAAAGGAAGAAAAGGGAGAAATTCACATAGTCTAAGTGAGAAAAGTGTTTGATTCAAAGACCATGATTCCATTTGCTCATCAGCTGGCAGGGGTTCTTATCCTGGAGTCAACAAAACAGTATTCAGGGGCTATATATATATTTGGCACCACATGATACCAAGAATAACTTGGTAATCCTGTGTATTTTATTTTACGCTTAAAAAATATTCTGAGAATAATGTTTACCAGATGACCAAAAGGCACAATGCACAAAAACACACACACGAACAAACTGAAGAAGTCCTGAAAACACTTTTTTCCATAGTAGGGCAGGTGTGACTCTGGTGATCCACAGATGAACTCCAAGATGAGGTTCCACAGATGAGGTTCGCAATGACTGCTTTTTACTTAGGGTATTCATTCTGTTCAAGTTATATGTTTTACTTGCAATGATACAGATTTTTCCTTTCAGTTTAGATTTAAGTGGGAAAAGCAAGTAAATTTGGAAGGGTAATAAATAATAGTAACTAGTGTGATGCTGATAAAACGAAACCTGCAAAGGTGGGAAATTCTGCCTGCCTCCCAACGTTTGACTCCCAGTTTAGTTCCCCTTTCCAGACCTGCAGACCATTAATTATCTATAAAAATGAAGAATAGCTAGGGTCTGAAATATTGAAAACGCATCAAGGCAACAGGCATTTTAGAGGCTCTACCAAGGATACAGAATTCTCAGCTCCTAAGGCCAGGGAGTGCATCATGTTCACTGTTGACTATCCAGTACCTAGCACAGGGCCAGGCATGACATAGTAGGTGCACAGCCAATACTGGTTGAGTAAATGATGAATAAACTGGAACTACAAGTGGCAGATTTTTCACTTTAAGGTCATACCCAAATTGAGGGTCCATTCTGAAAGGTGGTACACCACTACGGATAGTCTTCCAGTTGTGCAAGTCCGTAGTGGTGGCCCATTAAAATTACCTGGGAGCTTTAAAAAATACAGATGCCTGGGCTCTGCCTCCACAGATTCTAATTTATTTGGTCTGGAATGGGCTTGGATTGTTTTGTTTGTTTGTTTTTGAGATGGGGTCTAGCTGTGTCGCCCAGGTTAGAGTGCAGTGGTATAATCACAGCTCACAGCAGCCTTGACCTCTTGGGCTAAGTGATCCTCCCACCTAAGCCTCCACAGTATCTGGAATTACAGGCACTCACCACCATGCCTGGCTAACTATTATTATTATTACTATTTTTTTTTTTTTTTTTTTTTAGAGATGAAGACTTTCTGGGTTGCCCAGGCTAGTCTTGAACTCCTGGGCTCAAGTGATCCTCCTGCCCTGGCCTCCCAAAGTGCTGGGATTACAGTTGTGAGCCACCACACCCAGCTAGCTTGTTATTTTTTAAATTCCCAAGAGTAATCAAGGTTGCGAACAACTGGTGTAACTGATGAATATTTTTAGACTCTGTACCTGAAAACAAATCAAACTAATGTGAATGAGATGAGACTCTAAACAAGGAAGAAACTTTAATAAAAACAAGACTTTAAAACCTATTATATCAGAATAATAATTTTCTAGGTTTCTTGTTATCCAAATCCAGTGGCATCAGAATTACCATGGCTAACAAATAGATGATTATTGGAGAGAGACTAGCCAGTAAGCTGACAGGTTAAAAAGCAAATAAGCAAACACACACAGCAAACTAAAACCTAACTGCAAGGCTTTAGAACTTATATTACACTTTTCCACAAAGAATAGCCTGGCCAACATGGTGAAACCCCGTCTCTACTAAAAATATAAAAATTAGCTGGGCGTGGTGGCAGACGCCTATAATCCCAGCTACTCGGGAGCCTAAGGCAGGAGAATCACTTGAACCCAGGAGGTAGAAGTTGTGGTGAGCAGAGATCACACCGCTGCACTCCAGCCTGGGCAACAAGAGCAAAACTCCATCACACACACACACACACACACACACACACACACACACACGAAAAAGAAAAACTACAGATTAAAGATAGGAAAAAAGATGAGGAGAGAAATAAATCTTCATTATTCACAACTGCCACAGCAGCAGCTAGCTGTAATATGGGGCCATGTTAACTTGTGGGTTTAACCGCTTTCCTCCACTCTGCACTTCACCTTTTGTGACAGCACCAACTCCACCTTTCCACTCATTTCATTTTCTGGTTTCTTCTGGTCTTTTTCTTCCGACACATCATTCTTCAGCTGGGGGCTGGAGGGAAATTCCACAAAGGCCACGGTCGGGCTGCATCGAGTCACAGTTGTTGTAAAATGCTGTGGTTCTGCAATGGAGTTACATCCAGAAACGTACAGAAGGAAAAGAAAATCAAATATCTATAGGACCATTTATTCTGCAATGCCATGAAGTACATTCAGTCCATATCCCGTCCTGGCAATATAAGCTGAATGACAGTGTGCTCAGAGATATAAAAGAGCCTAAGATGCTGGAATTCCCAAAGCTCTTTCATGGTATTGAACAACAAGCAACACAAATCACGTCCTATAACCACACTATGAAGAACTTAAGTTTTTAGTAAGGGTCACGGTTTACATCTGAATAACACCACATGGAACAGAATGCTGACACGAAATATATAATTATGACAGCTGGGCTAGATAAGAGAACATCTACAGGTAGTTTCTATCCCAGTGAATGAGCAGCAACCTGATGCTTCCTTTTTTTGTATTTCAATGCTCCATTTTAACATCAGAATTTCTTAATTGGAATGTGTTACGGATTGTGGGGTATATGTATATAATGCAATGAAAATAAAGTGTTCTCTGATACATAAAGAAGAATTAGGTTCACTTTAGAAGGGGTGGAAAAGTCACTACCTAAGGGGGCATATCAAAATGTGAAGGCACAATCTAGTTTGAAAAAGTAAATGCTATTATTTTAAGTGATATTTAATTTATTTAAAAATGTTACCTAAAAATAATTTGGTAATTGACAAATTATGTTTCTCAAGTGGTAAACACTGGAGAAAGGCCTTATAAAAAATAATAATTTGGTATTGAAAGAGGGTGAGAGGTTTTACTGTTTATCAAAAGAAGAAAAGTGTTAAACATATTGATAAGGCTGCAAAAAAATATTGAGGAACAAGACTTTCGGGAACAGGGTCTTCTTCCTAAAACAACGAATACAGTATATTATACTCACTGTCCAGATTCATGGCACTATTTTATTCATTTTTAACTATATGTGAGCTTTACCATTTCAGCGTCTATTTTTATGTTTTTGACCTCTCGCTTATCTATTGCTGTTACTGTGTGTCAAAATCCTACCCTCAATTTTTAGCATGATTTATATGGAAGAACACAATATTCTTTATGATTATAGGGATAAATATTTTAAAAAACAAAATAAAACTGGGTAGCTTTAAGAAAGAGCATGGGCTCCTATTTTCACAGCAACATTAACCATACGGGCAGAACTTCCCCAGGAAGCCTCTAGGTGGCAGCACAACCGCACCACTCCTGGAGTCTAATTACTACTTTCCTGTGGCTCAGTAGGAAAAATTCTTGACTATTTCCATTACATCTTAAACAGTTACCATGATTTGCCTTAAAACTAGTCTCTTATGAAACAAACCTGATGAGGCAAGTTCTATATTCCCTTTTCTTGATTTTCCACCATCATTCTTGTCCTCTTGACTATTCGGTTCCGTTTTCTCAGTGGTTGCCTGAAAAAGAGATTTTTTTCCCCCTTGAATAAATGATTCCTTTAAAAGTTCTAAAAATTATTTTTTAAGCAGTAATTTTTAGGTCAACAAAGTGGTTTGGCCATATGAATTCCCTCTTCTACTTCCCAGGCAGCTTCATGGCGAGAGCCTGGATTGGTTGGAAGGAGACATTCTATGGAGAACAGGACACCCATGCGGTTCACCATCTCACCAAACCTCCTATGACTGCCTTGGACGCACATCCCACATTTTCTTTTCTTTCACCACCAAAAGCTCAAAATCATGGCTATCACCTACTTGTTCTTGAAAGCCTTTCAAGCTGGCTTAGGGTCATAACACCAGTGAAGTCTTTTTGTGGTTCTTTAAAGGTTACAATTAACTTCTCAGTGGCCTGTCTTGGCATAGTTGCCTGTGGCCCTTACCATTGTGGATTTTAGCCTGCAGTTCTCATCCTTCCTGGGCTCCCAGTGAATCTCTATTACTGGAGTTCTAATTCATTCTCTCCTTTTCCCTCTCCTCCCCACTTTCAGACTACTCTTTTCTCACTGGTTCTTACTCCTTTTCATCAAAATATGGGTCATTCTGAAAGATTTCAACTGGACCCTGTTTTCCTCCACTTGTGCTGAATTACCCTCAAATATATCAATTATTCCCATGGATTCACCATTACATTCTCCGTGTATAACTCGTATTTTCATCTCCAGCTGTGAGAGTCCATCAGAGCTTCGGTTTCACCTCTAGGGTCAATGGCCTTCTCCTCCAAATTTGACAATTTCTGTTTATGGCAGCAGTTCTTCCCATCACATAAACTTTCAAGTGATCTTTGACTCATACCTCATGAATATTCATCATTTGCCAAGTCCTTCTAAGTTTCTAACATACTAGTTTTCATATCAATCATTTCCTTTCTGTTTCTATGGCTGGGACTCCAGGTTTGCCTTTCTTCCTTGTTCTCCACTAAGAAGTCTCTGTGATTTGAACCTCACTGTCCAATCCACTTGGTACATCACTGTCATGTTCATCTCCATGGCACCTCCAGTAATTACTCTAATGCTTGTGTTCCTCTCTCTCAGTAGTACTTCAATTGTGTCAGTTTTATGCTTGATGGAATTTACAATAGTAAAAAAAATTGAAACAACTTAAATATCCAATAATTGGGGAATGATTGAATGAATTACTGCATGTCCATAAAGGCAATATAATCATGAAAAAATAAGATGTTGAATAATAGTTAATGATACGTGAAAATACTTACTAATGATAGGAAATGTAAACTGTATACATAGTTTGATGTTTACATGTATATGATTATATACATGCCTATACATAAACATATAGAAAAAAAGATAGTAAGAAAATACAAAAATGTTAATTGTGATTATTTTTAATGTGCTTAAGTTTTGGGTGACTTTTCCTTCTCTTTACATACATTTTATATATTCCAAAATGTTCTATAATGACTATGTATTACTTCTGTAATTGGAAAACAAAATCAATGTAATTTTACATTGTCTTTCACTGGGAGCCAATTGACTCTAGAATGAAGTCCAAAATTATCCTGCTATTACAATATTTACTTAGTAAAAATAAATAAAATGTTAAATTAAATACTAGCTAGATTATATTTTGATAATTAAAGAGAGCAAGTTAATGACTATTGCATTTTTTGGTAGAAGTTTCTTGTAAAAAGCTAAAGTTAAATTTTAAAGTGTGTATGAAATATTGCATAAATTTTAAAAGGTTTTAAGATAAAGGCTAAAGTTGGTTTCAGAAAAGGCATTATTAACTCATAAAATATCCCCATGGGTTCTCGAGAACTATGAATTTATTCGTCTCTCATAAGTATATATATTTTATCCATAAATCAAATTTTGCCTCTCAAAATGAAAGGTATTTAAAGTTAATGCATTGGTGGAAACCATCACTGAATTCTTTAAAAACAAAGAAATTTTAAACAACAAAACTTTCAAGTTTCTAAAAGGTTTTACAATAGCATCTAGTGGCAAAAATGTGATTTTTCTTTGGAGGATGGAGTAGTTTTGAAATCCTCATAATTAGATGGGCATTTTCTAATGACAGATAGTCATGTATCAATTCTGGAAGAACATAATATTAAGTTAAAACACACTTTTAAAACCCTAGGCAGGAAATATGCATCACCTTGGATTTTGTAATATTTTAATATATCAATAAGTCTGACTTGAATCCCTGCAAGAGACTTAAATGAGTGAGAATAGTTAACTGGTCTGTTTTGTTATATTTAGGTTATGGTACATGTGTGTGTTTACATTGTTTGCTATATGAACCTCCAACATGGTAGTAGGATTTGAAGATCAACCAGTTTAGCATTGCAAAAGAATAAGTTGGGTTTTATAATTCAAAGTGCTGTCTTGCACATGTAGAAATATTAATACATGATGGTATTTTTGTTTTATGACATCTATATAGAAAATACTGGCAGAAATACTGATTTTTAGCTTCCCCTTCCCCACAAATGGATTACATTATAGAAAACTGAGACTGGGAAACAAATTTGCAGTTAAATATTGATGAATGAGCCTCTTGAGAACACTGGTGTTTACAAATACTATAAACAAAATAAATAACTACACAACAGGGCCAAAGCCTCACCAGACCAAAAATGAACAAAGAAATGAACATATTTTATTAAATCTAAAATGCCATCAATTTTAAGTTGTATTACTTTAGGTACTACTAAGAAAGAAAACACGCCATCTGTTAAATATGATGCACTTTTGATTATAAGACAGATCCTGATTTAGAGATGTTAAAATGTGAAAAGTGTGCCACTTAGAATCAATGAAATAAGATAGTTCATGAAGCCCTTTAGACCTAAAGACCTAATGTGTGATGCAAAGGGGATGGGGTGCTCAAGCACTAACTACTTCACTAAGGCTTATTGTACCAGCATACCACATTCCAGCAACGTTTTACCACTTATGTATGCTGGAGAACTTCTGCTTTCAAGAATTCTCACATTTCTCAAGACATTTCTCTATGGCTCAGCACTCAAATACTAAACTCCAGATAACTTACCTTAAAAGGTGCTTTAAAGGTTACATCCTGACATTTGATACGGTAACTTGATAGTAGCAACAGCAGAAACTGCAATCAATATTTACTGCACTTGCCACGTGTCAGTGCTGTTGGGCCTTTCATAAGAATCGTCTCACATAATTCTCAGAGCAAGCTTAGGAGGTAGGTACCAACATGATTCCCTTCATACAAGTGAAGAAACTGAGGCCCGGGAGGTTAAGCGACTTACCGAGGGTCATACTGCTAGAAGGCAGGGGAGGTGGGAACCCTGCCTGTGCTGGTGACCTCAATGTCCCACCACCTGGGCTTGGAGTCACACCAATTCCAAGCTGTCCTCCAGTATTGAGAGGTTTTGATACATGAGAGGCAATCTATCACCTAAGAGTCTTGTTTATTGCTGAAGTGATTCAAACTGCTTTTTCCATTCCCTTTCTTTCCTCTACCTCCCACTCATTTATTCTGCAAAAGATTAGAACTCTCCTGGAATCTCTCCCCTTCCTAGGGCTCCTGGGGACCCAACTGCCCCCAGCCATCAGCTCATCTCGGGGATTTCTGTTCAGTCCACGTTCTGAGGAATTAGCGGCCAGATACATGCGTAATCCTTGTTAAGTAAATAAATATTATGCACTTATTTATGGAATGTATACTCTCAGGCTTAGTTTAAATGTATGCTAGTCATCAAAATCTGGCTACTGCTAGCAAAATATTCAGATAAAGTAAGAGAAAAAGCAAGCAATTTGAATAACAGGAACCCACTTAAAAATACTTTATACACACTGAGAAAAAGAAGGATATACATTTTCTAAAAATGTTAGCATTAATTTCAGAGTGGCTGAGTAATAGGTAGTCGATGTTTTCTCCAGTTTTCTGTATTCTGCAATGTATATAGGCTATCTGTAATCAAGGGAAATCCCCAAAGCCAGGTTAATTAACTTATGTCTGGATACTCCATCCTGGAGGCTTATTACTTTTGTACTCACATCATTACTTCGAAGGAAATGAGTTCAAAGTTGGCAGGGATACACTCAGCGGTTTGCTTCAAACAAACCCGCCTTGATGGAAAAATGTGTTTTCTGACCTGTATTTTTCTTTGGTTACAGCTCAACAGAGGAGAGCCCTTCCCTTCTCCAACTGGTAACACTTTCTCAAGAATGAAAACAAGTAAATAAAAACAGATCCCTGGACGTGAATGAATGAGAGCACAGAAAGGTTGCATGGGACTCAGCCAGGAGCTGGCTTCCCCTTAACTGAGAATGCGATCCAAACTGCCCGGGTGCCAGACTCAGCCCTGGGGCCTCAGGTGGGAGGTGGCAGTTTCCTGGCTTGAGAGAGACATGGTCTAGCCCAAAGCCTACCTGGCATCTGGCTGCTCATTTTAACTAGAATCTTGGTGGTGGACTGGCCCAGAGAACGACATTGGAAGATGTACTAGACATGTGAAGCAGGAGGGCAAGCACCCTCCTGAGACTGAGGGTCTGGGTGCTGGGCCTGTTTCTCACATGGAGTTGCTGGTGAGCTCGGACTGATCATTTAACCTCTATGGGTTGGAACAAGTGATGTCCAACGTCCTTTCCCGAGCAACGGTTCTGTGACTCTGAGCGATTTCCTGGCTCTCGTCTTGGACAACTTATCTGGACACAAGCCTGGAAAATCAGTCTATTTATGCTCTGGCACTGCGGTGCCAGACCCAGGTGCCACATATGCTGTGCATGGGTTTCTCTTTTCACTTTTATACCTCCAAATATCTACTGCCACTGGAAGACAGGGAATCTATATGGAGAATCAGGCTCTCCATGTCTTAAACTTTTTTTTGTACTAAACTTTTCAAATTAAAAAAAAATGAGGTTTTGACCCAGGTAACTGGATAGATAGGCCAGGTTAATTTTTTATTTTCCCTGATGTATGCTTTCTCGAAATCTGTAAATGCATCTTTATCTTTATCTAAATATCTTTAATGACTTTTAAAAATCATTAAATCTAGCAATCTTACAACTACTTCTAGATGGAGAAAACCAGTTTCTCAAGAAATGTTTATTGACATTTGCCATCTAAAAGGAATTTGCAGTTGGTCTCAGTTATAAGAAAAACGGCACCTACTCAAATGCCTTCACCCTGCTCTCACTGCAAAATGCAATGTTTCAAGAAAGATCCGATTGTCTGTTTTCCTGGATCAGAAAACATAAGTACTGAATTTTCAAGAGGAAGACCTAGAGCTTTTTCAAAATGGGAAAAACAGACCTACCTTGTGACTCAGTTTGAGAAAAGCAGATGAAGTAGTTTAGATACCCAATAGGTGAGTTTGGCCCTTGCTCAATGAGGGAAAATTGCCACGAACCTGATGGGATGGTGCTGACTGGGAGGCAGAGCATGGGCTACGTCACTTGAGATGAGCTGGTGAGAGAGATCTGATGAACAGGCATGGAAAGGAGTGACACAGGGGTCGATGGGTGGGAGTCTTAGGAGTTTAGGTGGCAGGAGGGGGCCAGAACTGGAAAGGAGGGAACAAAAGGAGAGGCAAAAAGAGCTGCAGGAAGGGCCAGGCATGGTGGCTCATGCCTATAATCCCAGCACTTAGGGAGGAAGAGGTGAGAGTATCCCTTGAGCCCCGGAGAATTGCTAGAGACCTGCTTGGGTGATATAGTGAGACCCCATTCTCTACAAAAGGTGGGGGGAAAGACGAAAAAAAAAAGAGCTGCAGGAAGAATCATGTAAGTGTCTGCAAGGACAACTGTCTTCTAGAAAAAGCTGTCCACATCTGTATGTTTTTTAGAGAATTACAATTGGAACAACAAGTTGAGTTAGAAGATTAAAAGCAATTCATCTCATTTGTATGAAATTCACGTCTGTTCAAGATGCTAATTTTGACCAACTTACTTTAATCCAAAAAACTTCATACTGATTGCCTTTTTGGGCCTCTGAAAAATGTATTAAATATTATAACTTCCTTACTCCCACTTGTTGCATGACAATATTAAAGATAGCTGAGTGGCACCTGTGGTCTCTGAGTCACCCTGACAGTATGCTAAGTGCTCTACAGACATGAATTCTCACAATAACCATCTGATGTCTATGCTATTATTATACTTCTTTTTAAATATAAATTGAGGCTTAGACAGTTTGACGTTCAGGTGGAGTCTGACCTTTGATATAGTGTATGAAGTATTTTTTGGTTATTTTCGAAAAGGGTCATTTTGGTGCCATTGAGGAAAGAAGAGCTTCAGATACAAATATAACTGACAGTGAATCAAGACAACACTGGAATAGCTTTGGGGGAGACATACATAAAAATATCTTTCTGTAGGCCACTAAACATAGGATATATTAGCCCTCAGATTAGAAGACCTTCTAAATTCTTTTACAGTCCTATATTCTAGGAGTCTGCTTGTGTGCTATAACATGATTTTCTTACAGAAGCCAGTATTTTTAAATGAAAAAAAAGTGTGAGGTTTCCACTGGGCCTTTAACAGAGATGCTGAAATGAACAAAACCCCTGAAATATCTCAGGGATAATTGGGGGCAAAGGGATTGGGTGGCCACAGGAGGACCTGATCCCTCTGCCTAGAATATACAGCACCCTCATCACCTCTTATCCTTCTTGGGGTCCTCTGGTGGGCTCCTCACCATTGTCCATGCCTTTGATTCTGCCCTTTCTGGTGTGTAGAATAGCCCCTCCTCCACTTCAACACAAATCCCACACTTACTGTCAAGTTTCAAAATCCACATCCCACACAAAACCTTCCCAGACTAAACTCAGCCTATGAAGATCTTGCCTGTTCTTTGCAATCGTATATTCCTCTGGTTTTCTTACTCCACCATCTAGTACAGACGTTCCATGACTTACAAGGTTACATTCTGATAAACCCATTGTAAATTGAAAACATCGTTAAGTCAAAGATGTACTGAATACACCCAACTTACCAAACATCATAGTTTAGCCTAACCTACCTTAAACATGCTCAGAACGCTTACATTCGCGGTTGGGCAAAATCATCTGGAGATTCAGTGCACTATAGAGTATCGGTTGTTTACCCTCGTGATCTCGTGGCTGACTGGGAGCTGCGGCTCACTCACAACCATGCCCAGCATCATGAGAGTGTCCTACTGCATATTACTAGCCCAGGAAAAGATCAAAATTCAAAATTCGAAGCACAGTTGCTATTTAACATATATTGCCTTTGCACAATCATAGGATTGAAAAATGGTAAGGTGAACCATCCTAAGTCATGAGTCCCTCTGTATTTAATTCTACGTTGTTCTATATACTTTTCTAGTGGCTTTATGAACATTTTTTTCCTACCAAGTTTAGAAGTTTATTCTTCTATTTCAAAAAACAGGTAATAGGGTAGGTCCTTAATTCATATTTACCAATTAACACGTGCCCATCTGCAAGGTAACTGCTATCACAATCTTATTACCATAAAGGTGATTCAACTGAAGATGACTGGGAATTATCTGGCATGAGGAGGTACAGACAAAGCATTTTTTAAAATTCCTAACTTAATTTAGGACCTAGTTCTAAAGTAAGAGAGTGACAGTCCCAAGAGTTTCAAATGAGAAAGATGAGGTAGAAGGAAACCAAAGAGATGATATGATGTCATCCATAGTGCCCGTCCCGGGCCCAGATGCTGACGCTCCACACGCAATCCCTTCCCCCAGCAGGTCTCGGGCCGCCCTTCTCTGTTGTTCTCCCTCCATTCCTGAATTCATGCTCCTGCCTACTGCTGCTGCTGTGCCCTTTGAACAGTTCTAGCTCACCCTAAAGGAATTGTGACATTTTAGTGGTGGGTGAAGCTACTCCTCTGTAGAGAGTGTATCTGTTGGGAATGCAGTTTTTGGAAGAAAGACACTATTTAAAAAGAAGAACACTAATCTTTTGACAGCCCCACAGAATCAGGCAAGTGAATTAGAAACAGAAAATGAAGTCCAAGCTGGTGTCAGTCTCTGGGAGGCCCTGAAGTGCAGCCTCCTGTTCTAAGCTGGTCACCATATTTTGCCATGACCAATTAATTCCTTTTTTTTTTTTTTTAACAGGAGTATACCGGCTGTAACACAGTCAAGAAATGCTTTGCTTGGAATCATGCACAAAGAAGTAAAATGGGGAGTAGGTTTACTGGAGAAGTGATTCTTTTAAAATGACTCTTGGGATAACACACTCTGAATGGAAAACTTGTGGTATCCTAAGTTGCATGTGAGTATGATGAGTATTTGAGTAATGAGCCACAGTCCTATGTAGTACAGCTAACAACTTAGCTTATAGTCTGACAGATATATACAGAGATTTTCCCACACAGAAAGTAATGCAATACCCCCTGCCATAGTTGATTCAAAAGCCTAAAGTACTATAGACAGGGTCCATAAATACTACTACCTGTTCAGAAACATTAGGGTTCACTGACCTAGAAATTACTCTGAACTAGGCAATTTCTCCAAGGAAGAAATACACAAAAGGAAAAGACTCCCAGGCTTTTCTGAGTTTAGACCTGCATCCTTAGGCAACCAGGATCAGGCTGGTTTCTAGGAAGAAAGTCCTGAAGGCCATCCTTCTCCATGTGATCATGTATAAACTTTTGAAATAGCATAGTTTCTTTCAGATCGTGTAATTTTGCTTCTCTTAAAACAAGTTACTTTGGGGGATATGTAATCAATGTGAAATCTTTTTAATGAAGGGAATTTAGAAAACGATCATCATGAAAAATGGCAAAAGAGAAATAAGAACAGAATTATTAATTGTCCCTGAAAAGCAATGCCACCCCTATGTCTAATTAATTTGGGGTCTTCTAGTTTAATTTTAACAGCATAAGTTAATGTTTACTCTATCAGTTAAGTTCTCACACTGCTAGCAGAACTCAATATTCTGTCTCGTGATCATCTGCAAGAAATCTCTAGCAGAGGTAAGACGTATGCAAATGACAAGTAAAATGGAAGTCCAGGAAGTCCAAGTTCAGGAGAGACTCCGCAGTGGCCTGGATCACAAAACTCTGCTCCTAGAGACTAGGAAACGTGTTACCATGGTGAGAAAATGATTTTGGTCTACTCCCATTTGAATCTCTTTCACAGAGCACTTGGGTACTGCGTGGAAGAATTATATCTTCTCAACTCCTCTGAAAAAAAAAATAATTTTAGTCTTCAAAAGACTAATCATAAAGGAAAAAAATAATGATATCCAGCCTTCTAGGTGGGTTTTAGCTAGCTGGGTCACACAACGCTCAGCTCCCTTGGTGCCGGAAGAAGTTTCCTTTCACACCAAACCTTTCTAGGTCCTGGGGGAAAATATCTTGATAGTTTTTCCCTTCTTGTAACTATAATATAAACCCAAATGCTATAAATTAGAACAGCAGAAACTCAGCCTCTGGTGAGTACAAATGAGGTTGAACAGAGTCCAGCCCGTACCCCGAAAGCAGGGCTGCATCTGTGTAGTGACAGTTTCGGTTAGATTAGTGAAACCAGCATGAGTCTTTCTGGTGAGAGATGGAAGAAAGTGCAATTTTCCCAATGATGTCTTCTACTCCAAAGAAACAAATATCATGTTATTTTGAGTTCACTTTTCTGCAGTACCTGAATTAGCATACATTTTTTAGCTTTGCCATTCAATAGTACTCTGATGCTTTACATTACTTTCAGCTTTTAAATGAATTTTTGTTTCTTTAACTAATAAGAAAAAGGCCCTTTTATATATACATCGCCGGGGATGGAAAGCTAGATTCTGATAGCACCAGTTATTTTCAAATGGCATTAACAAGTCTAATGAGGTCCTAAATAAACAGGGGGGGAAAAGGTATTTTAAAGATTTACTTATTCTTCTATAACACTGGACACCAATAGTGAGACAAGAAAAAGTAATTTCTGGCTCATAAATTGTAATACCTTCCATTATACCAATGATACAGGTTGAATTGTGTCTCCCAAAATTCATATTATTGAAGTCCTAACCCTTACTACTCAGAAAGTGACCTTTGGAAATAGGGCTGCTGCAGATGTGATTAGTTAAGATGAGGTCACAAGGGAGAAGGGTGGACCTACTCAGTATGACTGGTGTTCTTCTAAAAAGGGGAAATTAGGCTGGGTGTGGTAGCTCATGCCTGTAATCCCAGCACTTTTGGGAGGCTGAGGTGGGTGGATCACTTGAGGTCAGGAGCTCAAGACCAGCCTGGCCAACATGGTGAAACCTGTCTCTACTAAAAATACAAAATTAGCTGGGTGCACTTGTGCATGCCTGTAGTCCCAGTTACTTGGGAGGATGAGGCAGGAGAATTGCTTGAAGCCTGGAGGCAGAGGTTGCAGTGAGCCAAGATCGCACCATTACACTCCAGCCTAGGCAAAAAGAGCGAATTTCCATCTCGAAAAATAAAATAAAATAAAATAAAATAGGGAAATCTGAATACAGACACATCCACAGGGAGAACACCAGTGAAGACAAAGGCAGAGAGGGGGATGACACATCCATAAGCCCAGGAACATCAAGATTGCCAGCAGCCACCAGAGGCTAGGAGAGAGACCTGGAACAGATGCTCTCTCATGACCAATGGAGGGAGCCAACCCTGCCAACACCTTGGTTTTGGACTTCTAGCTACCAGGACTGTGAGACAGTTTCTGTTGTTTAAGCCACTGAGTTTGTGGTACTTACAGCAGCCCTAGCAAACTAATACGCCAACATAGAAAGAAATGGTCATTATCATGACCTACTTATTTTTAAAAACAGATTCTTTCACCATGGAATTATCCCAAAGGGAGGCGGGGAAATGTTTGGTTCTTACTGCGAGCTCTTGGGGAACAGAGTTTGGCTTCTTTATGTTGATCTCGATGCTACCGTTGTCTTGTTTCAGCTCCAGTGGAGACCCGTGCACTCTGGCCACACCTTCAAACATCTGGGATTTGGTTAAGGAGTGGGCAGGTGCCACCGTGGGACACTCTCTTTCCTTCTCCTCCTCTCTATGAACCGTCTCTCCATTCACACTGACTTTCCCGTCTACCTATAAAAGCCAGAATGAACAAAAAACATGCTATATATACCCCAATCAAAGACTGTAACAAAACGACACGTTCAGAATTACCTCAAAAGATCATCATTTAATAACCAGAGTCCAATGAAGGAAGAGGTCTCTTAAATGTTCTGATGGGATCTATGAGTTAGGGCTTCTATAAATGCTATCTTTGAGGGCCTCCTTAAAAGGTAGTTGGCCTGCTTGGGCCACTTCACTATAGATTCCATTTCATGTTCACCTCATTTATGGTCTGCTTTTATTTTAAAGTACAGAAAACCGAAGAATCTTAAGTACAAATACATGCCACATATTGGGGTTCCAATACTGTTTCACTTCAGTTCTGATTGCTATTCCACAACCTTGACTGTTTTTCTGGATAGCATATAAATGAGGCGGAACTTACCACAGATCAGGAATATTTTACAGCTTATCCCATGGTGGTAGCAGGGGAAACAGATACTTTTTTTGAAGCTAAGGCAGAGGGCAAGGGATCTGAGACTATGCTCTGTTACAGTGAATCTCTATTTCTAGTTACTTTTATAACCTCCATTTTTTAAAGAAAAAAAGACCATGCACATTAAAATATTTTTGTTTTGCACTCACATCGAGGGGAGGCAGTTGGAGCAAGAAAGGGAAACCAGAGAGGGCGGTTAGCCTGGCTTACTGAAAGGCATCTGGAAATCTCGGTCTTGAAATTTGAGGCAGAAAGTAGAGTGGTTTTGAGAGGGAGCTGTGCAGTTAGGTGACCTGATTGAAACCTGGCTCTACCATTTAACAGGCATGGAATCTTCAACAGGTTTCCTATTCTCTGTGCTCTGATGCAAAATTTAAAGTAACAGTATCTTCCTCATAGTGCTGTTATGGAGATTTTATGGATTATCAAATGTACAGAATTTAGAACAGTACCTGACACATTTTAAGTGCTTAACTATTAGCCATTATTATCATTAGGCCTCTTATTTATGTATTTATTTATTTTTTGAGACGGGGTCTCACTCTGTCACCCAGGCTGGAGTGGAGTGGTGTAATCTCAGCTCACTGCAGCCTCCACCTTCCTGGTTCAAGCAATTCTCATGCCTCAGCCTCCCAAGTAGATGGGATTACAGGCGTATGCCAACATGGCTGGTTAATTTTTGTATTTTTAGTAGAGACAGGGTTTCATCATGTTGTCCAGACTGGTCTCGAACTCCTGGTCTCAAGTGATCTGCCTGCCTCGGCCTCCCAAAGTGCTGGCATTACAGGTGTGAGCCACCTCGCCCAGCCTCATTAGGCCTTTTAAAATCTTTTAAAAGAAATAATGGAAGGCTGGATATTAGTTATAGTTTATTTACCTTAAGCCACTGGTCTTTTTACTCTATTATTTGTTACCCATAAAAAGAAATTTAAATCACAACTCAGCACACACACACACACATAAATATAACTGAAACAGAAGTTGCCCCAAGCAATTTTGCCTTCATTGTGTGACACACTATGTTTTTTTATTATATTCTATTCTAGTTCTTTTTTTTTTATATTGGCTTCAAACCACTAAACTGATTTTATAACCTAGCAACGGGTGGTAACTTTCAGTTTGAAAAACACTGCCTTAAACTATTTCTCTTGATCTTCCTTTATTCTTAATTCTGTTGTACTGGAAAAACAACGGGGCCTGTATTCCCTGCCCTGCCCTCCAAGAAGACACACACACACACACACACACACACACACACACACACACACCCCTACCCCTTAGCTTCTGTCCTGGCATTATTAGCTGGTAACAACGGTCTGATTTGCATGTTACTTTGACCTTTGACCAAAGTTGCTGTCCATGCACTCAGTAATGGAACTGTAGGCCATCAGTAGAAATACTAGCCAGTGAGGCCTACAATGAGGCAGGGGACCCCCACTAGTGAGTGATGAGGAGTAATCTCCAGCTCTAAGAGGGCCTCTGCTCAAATTCTCTAATAACCCCCTCCATGGAAGTGCTTCCTGAGGCCGCCATACCACCTTGCTCCACTTTGCCGCCATGGTGAAGAACAGAGTTTTCTCAGAGCTGAAGTTCTGCCATAAAATCATTTATGCTAATCCTTCTGTTTAAACGATCACTTTGCACTATTTAGATAAAGGAGGGAAAGTGGACATCTAGAATGTTTGGTCAGATGCCTTGGAAATCCAGTTAAATAAATGTATTCTCTATCCTATTCTGGGCCACCTCAACATAGAATCTTCCTTCAGGAAATACCATAGCCATTCATTATCATAGGCCCTAGGTGAAGGAAAGCTTCTGAAACACTTAGGTGGACCACTGAGCACACATGAGCATGTGTGTGTCTATCTGTGTGTGTGTGAGTCCATATGATTAGTAGCTCATCTTCTCAGGAAAAATTCACTTATTTATTTAAGGAGCACTTGCTGAGTGCCTACTCTGTCCTGGGCACCTGTGCCAGGCTCTCAGGATGAAGCCATGAATGACAGAGACATGGCCCCTGCCCTTATAAGGGGACAAACAGCTCAATGTGATCCAGATGAGACAGTCTGGACATTTTTGTTCTATCAAAGCCTAAGATAGAGATTTTTGAGATACATTCAGAGTTATTTCAGCAAAAGTCAGAAAGTGTGGTTTTGTTCTCTTTGAAATACAGCAAGGAAGCTACGTGGCATCACACTGCTCAATCAGTTACGAAAACTTTTCTATCTAATGGTCACATCTCCAAGTGATGCATTCCACCTCTGTTTATTACAAACTCATTGAGTGCAAGGACAAGGGGAACTGATTTTTCTTTACAAGTCAAAAGAACTTAAGACAAAGGATGAGTGCTTCCTCCTGATATAAGAGAAAGTACTTGAATTTGAGGAAGCGAAAAGATGTTTGGTTTCCACAAGTTCTTCAGTCTGGAACACTATTTTACACACTCATTAGCAAAACAACCCAGTTTCTTTCCACTTGTTTAAAAAACCTGTCTCATTTGAGGACCAAGTATGTCCCATGTTCCCATGTGTTCCTTGTATTTTTATCAATTGTAAAATCTTTTTGGATGCTACAATGTCAAATGGATGCTGAATGCCAATTTCTTCCTAAAAGAGAGGTAGCTGCATATACTTCTATTTGAACCAAAAGCAAATAAAATTTTGTTTTGAGGAGTCTGCCATACCTCCTGATACCTAGAAATACTAGGGTATTACTAAATTAGGGTTTTTACCACTAGTACAGAGAAATCATGCCATTATATCAAACTAGAAAATAGACCTTGCTCATGGAGACGACTCCACTATCAGTCTTATAGGAGTCCATCTGTATTAACAACAGCAATTGAGGGAAACAGCTGTCCCTGAAGCATTTACAAACCAAATCTCCAGAGACCTATGACTTTCACAGCTGTAAATGTCAACACATTTTTCTTTTGTATGGTAAAAAGAATGACATTTTCTTGAGTCATGATGCTTCTTTCCATCCACTCCCTGGAGTTCAGCTTTGGTTCTACTCTTAAGGAACTTGTCCTACCTTAAAGGTCTTCAGAACATCTTGAGAATTTTTGGGCTGGGAGTAAGGCTTGGGTGTCAGCATAGGCACTGCTTTGGGAGTGACAGTTTTGCTTGGAGACCCACTGCCTGCTGACATGCTGGTATCCAGAACACTGGCACGAGCAATGGTGGTTTCAACAGTGGCAGTGAATTTGGGTGGAGGCAGTGACTGTTGCCGCAGGTATTTCATGGGATTGGGGTCATTCAGGAAGGAGGATAAATTTGGCTCTGTTGAATGGCTTCTTTCCAGAATTTTTGGCATCTCCAAGCGTTCGAGAACAGCCTCACTGATGGTGAACCTCTCAATGTACTGTTGAAGGATCCCCTCTGCCTCCTCCTGGGACCGAGCGTTCTTATATGCTTCATGCAGCTCTCTCTCTCTCCGCTCTCTAAAGGACATGGGAGAAGCAATAACAAAGTCAACTAATGAAAATTGCAAAGAAGACCTTGGTAGAAACGAAGGTAGCACTGAAGAGATAGTACAGGGAATATAAAATGTTACTATCAGAACCTTTGTGACAGCCAATAATTTTTAGAAAAAAAAAACACCTAGATAATATTGTACATTAAAAACGACAACAGAAAGAACTCACTTTTCTTGAACAATTTCTCTGTAGGTTTTGATGCTTTTCCTTCGTTCACTTGTCCCATCTTCTCCAGCCAGTAACTTCTCCATTTTTTTCCTTTCTTCCTCTTTCTTGATTAAGTCCTGAGAAACACTTCTTCTACGACTCTTCCAACGAGCCAGGTCCTGGCAGGGAAAGAAAGATATAATATTCTTCTTCAGACTTGTGCATAATTCCATTTCTATTCTTCAGAGTTTAGTCATTTCTACTCTTTAGAGAACTGACTATGGGCCCAGGCACTATAACATCGTGTGCATTCCCACACAATCCAATGTAAGTCTGGTTGGAACTGGAATGCCTCAAAGGCAGAAACATCCAGATATTATCTACAGTATCCATAGCAGGGCTGCACATTTATTTAAATATGGCAGTGTGAAATATGCAATCACATTTCATGTCAGTTGCCAAATTTCAGAGAATTGCCTCACAAGGTAACTGTAAGAAACTTCATTCCTTCCTATTTATAACCTCTGCATTGTGAACAGATTTGCTGACAATAGAATAGTAGGGATTCATTTACAGTTTCCACATGGAAGGCAGTCAAGGCAGAAAAAAAACTGTTTTGGAGTCTTTAGATCTGGTGATTCTATATGTATTAATTCATCTGATCCTTACAACAACCTCACCACAATCCTACAGGTAGTTATAGCATAATGATGAAGAGTGAGGATTCTGGAGGCAGATGGTTGGGGTTGCAGCTGTGGGAAATAATCCCAGCTCTGTCTTTTCCATGCTTTGGAATCTCAGGCATGTTTCTTAGTCTCCCTGTGCCTCCATTTCCTCCTCTCTAAAATGATGATAATAGCACCTATTCTTACAAGCTTGCAGGGTTAAATGTGAAAATAGACGTAAGGTGCCAGGCACATAGTAAGTGCTCAAGATACTTTAGACATAATTGTTACTATATTTTATGAACTTTGGAGAAGTTAACTTTTTAAACTAAAGGTGGAGTCAAGTTTGCAATAGCTACCTCCAGAGTGCTTTGTGAGAATTAAATGAAATAATCCACTCTCCCTCCTCTCTCCCCGCTTTGGCTCTCAGCACACAATCTCAAAGCCCTCATCAGCCTCTTTAGCCTTCCTTCCCTGGTTCTAATCCTGGCTCCCCCACTCGCTAGCTATGTGACGTTCAGCAAGTGACAGCTGTGCTGGGATTCGTCTGTGGAATCGAGGACAATAAGAGTTGCTAGTTCATTGAGTTACTAAGAGGATTAAATGAATGCATGCAAAGTACTTAGAACAATGCCTGGTACTGGTACACATTTGATGTTGGTCATTGTTATCGTTACTACCATCATCATCATGATCAATTTGAAATATATAACCTCAGAAGATAGTGCAGCCTCAATTCTACAACCCATCCCAGTTTCCTGCCTCCCCTCCCCTCTTTTGTGACCAAGCTTCTGGCCAGGGTGTTTGCTGATTACATGTCTGGGCCATCACTCCATACCTTCACGCTGCTACTCACCTTCCTTTGAGTCCCACATTTACCGTGTCACCTTTTGAAACCCTCTAGGGGCTCCCTTTCCCCGCATGGCTTTCAAGTCCACGTCTACCCACCCGGCTGGATTTTCTGCTGCCAGAAGCCTCCCCGCTGCCCGCGCGCCTTGGCCACAACTCACATCTTGCCATTTGTCGTCCTCTTCCCTCAGCTGGTTATTTATCAGCTGCAGCTGCTCCTGGCGGGCCCTGCTGTGCGGCTGCACCGCGGCCTCCTCCTCACACCGCATGTCAAACATGCTGGTGCTCCTGAGTGTGGAGAGAGCGAACACAAGAGGGACCGCGATCAGCGCCCGTCGCGTCTCCGCGCGCCTGGGCGTCCTGCCGCGTGGGGGCGCTACCGGGCTTGGAAAACTGCCCCCTTCCCGGGCTGCGCACAGCGCGTGACTGGCGGTGTGTTCTGGCCCTGGGCGGGCGGTGGGCGTGCTGGCACCCCACCGCCTCCTTTTGCCGCAAACGCCAAAATGTGACCGTCTTTGTCTTCAGTGATGTCACTGAATCGGGTCAATATCATTTTATATGTAGGTGCCAAAATAGGTTTAAAGAAGAGCTAGAAAAATGGTATTTGAAGCCCCAGGCTCCTCTCACTTGGAAATGCATTTAAAAAATAAAATTAAGATAATTAAAAGGTATAACCTGGGTAGAATTTGTGGGGAAAGAGGGCGGTGTTCCATGAAGTAAAACTGTATTACGTTAAATGCTTCTTTGTGTAGAAAGCTGGCTTAAAGGCTTCCTATGTGAATGGAGGCAATTTCTCCATTTCCAAAAAAATATCATTTGGCCTTAAGTTTAAGACACTCACTTTTTCTTATTTTATTTTATTGAATTTTAGATGCATCTGACAACTATGGATGGCTGATGTATATGTTCATTGTAATCATTTCTTTTTATTTCTTGTAAAACTGCTGTAATTGATAGTGCAGTTGATGGCATCTTGGAATCAAGAAAACAAGGCATTTTATAACAAGAGTAAGGAGTAAAACACATAAATTAGGTATATATTTTGTATTCTAATATGCACACAGTCATTTAATTTTTGTCAGGATAACTCTGAATATCTCTTTTAAAAGAAAAATGCAAGGGAAATCAGTCTTTAAAAAACTCTTAGACTGTGCATACATATAATTTATATGTTTTATAGGAGCTTATTAAATGTTGTGCAAGACCATAGGGCCTTTTTTGTGATGCTTACATAAACCTTTGTTACAGCAAAAGCTGAAGCAGCAAGATGAAAACAGAAATAGAAACCAAAGCAAAATCCTCCTCCTTTTATTTTTCTTTCAAAGAAATGACTCACTTTGGGACAAGTGGGCTATGGAGCCCAAAATTCAAGACATAGAGGGCTCTTAAAAGCTCACTGTTAAGTGCTAGCAACAAAATATGGTGACAGTCCATTTTTGAAACCAGCCTAACACAAAGAAAAAAAAAACTACCATGCACTTAGACACCAAAGAATTCCAGACATCATCAATGATGTCCAAAATTGTTACTCCCATGGCCAGACAATGAACAGCAGCAGCATCGCCGAATGCAAAGGGCTCCCTAGCAGGCAGCTGTCTGGAAGATGACCCCCAAAGCAATGGCTGCCCACCTTCCCTTCAATCCACTCAAAAGGAATGTGTATAAATGTGTGAGTGCCTCTCTCTGCTCTCCAGATGTTGGACAATTTAAGTCTAAGAGAACTAAACTGAAAAACTGTACTTGTAACCTGTCTTCCCCAAGAGTATTCTAATAATCTGGCTGCACAGAAGGACTCTTAGCTGAGGTTTCTATTAGCATGGATATGACAAGCCATTGCATAATGCTGCCTCCATGTATTCAGTGGAGAATGTTGATTTCAGCAGCTGTGGCTTCTAGAAAAAATAAGCTGGGCCAGGTGTGGTGGCTCACGCCTGTAATCCCAGCACTCTGGGAGGCCAAGGTGGGCAGATCACTTGAGGTCAGGAATTCAAGACCAGCCTGGCCAACATGGTGAAACCCCTTCTCTACTAAAAATACAAAAAAAAAAAAAGAAAAAAGAAAAAAAATTAGGCATGCTAGCACACGCCTATAGTCCCAGCTACTAGGGAGGTTGAGGCAGGAGGATGGCTTGAACCTGGGAGGCAGAAGTTGCAGTGAGCTGAGATTACATCACTGCACTCCAGCCTGGGTGACAGAGCGAGACTCTATCTCAAAAAAATAAAATAAAATAAAGAATGAAAGAAAAGAAAAAGAAAGAAACTGTAGTCCTCGATAGAGGAGAAGGGCTGTGATTTTTCATCTATTTTAGACTATTGATTAATGGTATCTAAGAAAGATTAAGAAATTTGCAGGATTAGGTAGAAAAGTCTAACCCATGCTTTTAAACTTCATGGATCAAAATTCACTTAAGCAGGCCTTCCAGAAAGACACAAAAATTCGTCCCATTCTTCCTCTCACAGTTTAAAAAAAAAAAATCTTACTTTTAAAATATTCAATCTAGTCAGTTCATCTTTTAAGGTGATTTATAATCTTTGCTAAGATCTTAGAAGACTTAAACCTCTCTGAGCTGGGACCCTCTTACCATCCCACTAAGTAGTTTGTAGATTATGGGAGAGAAAAGAGGTCCCTTCATTCAACTCTGCCATCTATAATATCTACAGGTCAGAATTTTGGTTTAGGCCACTATGGGTGGCCATAGATCCAGGTTTTCTTCTGGGACCCCAAGAAGAAAATGGCAGCCTTCTCCAGGATCTGGGATTTGATTATCTCACCCAATGGGCATGGAGAAAATGAGAGCAGACCTTAAGAATTACCTTTGTCTGTCCTGCGTTCCCATCTCTACTCCCACTGTGAAGCTCTAACTAGCTCAGCCCAAATGTGGCCAGAAGCCAGTTAGTTAAATAAAAGGAGAAACTCGTTTGCCCTTTCATGTACCAGGAAGTACATGGTTGAACATCCCTAATCCAAAAATCTGAAATCTGAAATGCTCCAAACTCCAAAACTCTTTGAATGCTGACATGACCCCACAAGTGGAGAATTCCACACCTGACCTTGTGTGATGGGGTGCAGCCAAAACTTTGTTTCATGCACAAAATTATTTAAACTATTGTATAAAATCACCTCCAGTCTATATGTATAAGGTATATATGGAACATAAATGAATTTCATGTTTAGACTTGGGTTCCATCCTCAAGATACTTCACTATGTATATGCAAATATTCCAAAATCTAAAAAAGTTCAAAATCTGAAACACTTCTCATTCCAAACATTTTCTATAAGGCAGGCTCAACCTGTATGATTTTTTTTCTCAAGATTTTTTTTTTTTAAGAAATATCAGCAAACTGGCCAAAAAAGAAATAACAAACCTATGAGTGATATATTTATGCCATTTTCAAAAAAAAATTAAGAAGTTGAGAATTGATAATACTAGAAAGAAAATGGGCTGAGTTGTCATTCAGAACATGTTCCCTAGTTCAGGTTAGACTTGGCCTCCCAAATGAAGAGGTGTGTGTCTGGGGATGGGGGTTGGCGGATATGGGATCCTGGAGATGGCCAGCTTCCAGAATATTAATGTGACTTGGACTAATCCTGTGCTCCTCAGTACCTACGTCTATGCCCTTGGGCTGTTGGGATGAGGGCTCCTGGCTGCAGAGTCCAGGAGTCTCCCTTGGTGGTGGGTTGGCATTTTTGAGGGCCGGGATGGAATTACCCCAAGGGCCTGGAAATTGTTTCTGGGCCAAGTCTACCGTAAAGGAATTCAGAATAAAATGGCCTATGGCTCTCACAACGTACCGACTCCTTTGGTGGGCCAGGTATTGGGAGGGAAAGAGTGTGAAAGTGAAGAAAAGGGCAAGAAGGTGAAATTAAATCTATGGAAACATTCTTGGCTGGTTAGGAGGTGGAAATTTCTCTGTTTGCCTGTGCGGTAGGTCTGCCCCTGACCTATATTCTCCTTAAAGGGCTCATCTTTTTTTTGATTGGGCTCTATTTTAAGAATGTGTCAATTATTAATAAATATAGCCTGTGCCAAAAAACTGCCTTTAAAGATTTTGGAAAAAGGAGATATTAAGGGAATAAACTAAAAATAGTATAAGTTTCTATTTTAAGAATAAATTCCTGATATCAACTTTTCATTTTGTTCCCCACATGGTTTCATGTAAATTGTATCTGCTCTAAGCAGGAAACTCAGCACTTTGGATATCCCTAGATAAGAGCTCTGGAAAAAAAGCTCCTTTTACTCTTCTTGGTCCCTGGGGCTGCATTTTGTAAACTTAGAGAAGGCAAGAAGGGAGTCCCTGTCCCCACCCCTTTTAAGAAATCATTAACTTTTCCTGTGGGTGAAGTTTTGTGTTCAGGTGAAGGCAAAATTCAGAAACTCTTTAATTTCCCTTCCTTTCTTTCACCTTTCCCAGGGGTCTATTTTAAGCAAATTGTATAGCAGCCTTGCATTGATGAAGAAGAAATCCATTCTATCAAAATGTTTTCGCTCACCAAACCAAAGTAGTGTTTTGCCTGTCAATCTTATAAAATCCTCCTTTCAGTGAATGTTAAATATTGCCATTGCAGGTTTGAAAAGTAATAACCAGGGCTCAATTTTACAGACTACTTAACTCTGTGCAGTCAGTCAAGCTCAGGCTGAATTTGGTTTTGAGGCATGAGTGTTCTTTATGTCAGATCACACATGGGAAACTTGGCCCTGGAGTTTGACCACTTAGGGCTCAGAGTCCAAACTAAGCAGACATCTTGAACACAAACATGAAAATAGCACAATCTGAAGACACTTAATTTTTTGCCTAATCTCATTGTCATTGGTGGAAATGATGTTTGCATGTTCTACATGCAAATTCTATTCAAATTCCTCATTGTGTGACTTGAAACTGAGGCTCAGGAAAGGATAGGCAGAGGAGGACTGGTGATTACATTCTGGATGGCCCAGGCTCCCACGAGGCCACAAAATGCTCCTCAATATCAGGATCAGCAGACTACTGATGCTGGATTTAGATATTAATCATGTTTCTTCAAATACAAATTACTTGAATCTGAGAAGTCTAGCATTTTGCAAATAAAAAAAAGTTTGCCTTGAATATCAGTTGCAGAATGATCTGCATATGGGAAATCCATTTCTGAAGCAGAGTTAATGTGGTCACAAATGGGAGGGTTTGGAGTCTTCTCAAATTTGGATGTGGAGTACGGGATAAGGAATGAACCTCTGCTTGGTTGAGTGAAAACCAAGCAGCAGGGAGGGGAAGGGCCAGTCATGTCTTACATCCTTGGCCCCCTGCTAAGCCATGGGACTTGAGCAAAACTCCAATGTTTTGGTCTCAAGCATCCCACAGTTTATGTGACTCCAACCTGGGAGGAACTTGGGCTTCTGAATCTATAATTAGTGGTTTGGGATTTATTTTCTTAGTTAAAAAATGAGACTATGGGAATGACTACCTCATTGTTAACTCTAAGCCCCAACATATCAAGAATTAAGTGCAAAACTCAGAATGCCCTTTAAATAAATCTATAGTTCAGAAGGGGTACCAATGTTCAGACCATAACAAGAACAACGACTTTAACATGCCCAGTCTATGGAAAGCAAATGTTAAGTTTCAAGCAGCAGCTTCATATTAGAATCATGCTTAAGTTGCTTTTTCATTCATCTTTCCTGCACAGAATGTATGCTCTGCATTCCAACTTCAAGTGCTTTGCTGCACAAGTCAGCTAACTATTCAGTTCACTTGCATCAGTTGCATTTCAATTAGTGGTAAGTACTGGAAGCATGCAGTTTAGGCTAGTAATTAATGTAATCCTACAAATACAAGGCAACTTACTCTGCGTCATCAGACACAGGAGTTCTCGGACCGTATCTATAAGATCAAATAAAAAATTAGAGGACTGGCAGAGTTGAAAGTGAACACTGTAAGCAAGCTGGAAATAGAAACTGCCGGTGAAATACATGTGCGCCAAACCTTTTTTGCTGAGATACTGAAAGAGAAATGGCATTATACAATTAGCAATATTCATTGGCTGCTGAAAAATCAAAGACAAGTCTTGATATTTCTAAAAAATGCAAAATTTATCTCAAAACCCAGAAGAGAAATGAAAATAATCCCCACACTACCCAAAAAGAAAGAATCTGTTCAATATAAACACAGAAAGGCTTAGGTGCAATCCACAGCGTTTAGAGAAGGCAGCTTAGAAAACAAACATGTATTACAGTCATTCACAAACAGTTCAACTTTTTGTGCCTTTATGTTCAGCAGTAATGGGCTGTAATGGACACCCACTGTACAAGTGCACCCTTACTGACCCTGTCCCTGAGATGTTAATGCATTTGCACAAATAACATCAAAGAGTGTTTCTGCAGTTTTCTGAAGGGAAACCAGAACTCCAACCAGAACCCCAATCAGTGCCTTCCGCATGCATTTGACAGAAACCACAATTCCTAGAAAACTGGTAGCCTTAATCAAAACCAGACTTGAATGATACTCCATAACTTGAAAAACTAAAGTTTTTTTCTAATCTTTTATATTCTCCTGATAATTTAGATCCATAAAGTTGTACCCTCTGCGATAGTCACCGGAAGTCTAAATGAGTCTAAAGCAAAAAGACTAAATTAGAAAAATATTAGAACATTACAAGCCATATTTCCAGCACATGAAAAAACAACAACAACAACAACAACAACAACAACAAAACAACACAGCTCCCACAAATGCCTGTCTCTTCAGCAAAGGCGAGTTTTAAGGGTCAGTTCTTACCTATACCCTGAAAAGCTCCTCCTTTCTGCAATTCTGATGGTGGACAAAGAATAGTGAAGAAAATACGTCCTGCTTCCAGTTTCCAATAAATTACATTTTGGAGTCGGCAGCAAAAATTACCTGGTCCCATGATCAGTTTCACAATAGTTTATAGGAAAAGGGTAATTTCTAAACATCTCTTCCTGCAATCTTAGAGAAATCTTAGAGAATCTTAGAGAAAACACCCCAGAATGCATGAGTGTACACACACATACCCCCTTCTCTCTTATGCTTTTATCATTCTAGAATAATCTACATTCATTGATAATGATTTAATTCACAGTGAAGGCAACCATACCAATGCAAAACCCCAAATCTCTGTTGAAATGGCCAAAAACAAGACAAGGAAAGGGTTTATGAATGTTTTTCTTCTGGCAGTAAGACTCATTTTCTCCTTCTCCAGAGTATCGTTTCGGAAGGTGCTTAAGTTGAACCTAATATTCTCAATTTTCAAAAACACTACTGCATTGAAGCAGATGACAAGTGGGTTCTTTCACATTGAGAGAGTGGGCTGGGCGTGGTGGCTCATGCTTGTAATCCCAGCACTTTGGGAGGCCAAGGCAGGCAGATTGCTTGAGCTCAGGAGTTCGAGACCAGCCTGGGCAACATGGCAAAGCCTTGTCTCTACCAATCACATAAAAAATTAGCTGGGCATGGTGGTGCACACCTGTGGTCCCAGCTACTCTGGAGGGTGAGGCAGGAGAATCACTTGAACTGGGGAGGCAGAGGTTGCAGTGAGCAGAGATCACGCCACTGTACTCCAGCCTGGGTGACAACAGAGTGAGACTCTGTCTGAAAAGGAAAGGAAAGGAAAAGGAAAAGGAGTGCAAGGGCAATATTAATTCTGAAGACTAGGTAAGTGTTTCCCAGTTAATAAATAGGCCTATTGGAATACATTTATTCAAACACAGTGTTTTCTAAGTTATCTATGGAAGAGAGCAGAGAATTTCTTCCCAATGGATGGTTAATCAAGAATCTATTAATAGTTGCTATGTGTTTTTGTGTTTCAATTTGAATATTTTAATTAACATTTTATTGAAGTTTAAGCTATATACAGAAAGTGCACATACCACACATATACTTCAATGCATTTTCACAAAATGAACATATGCATAGATTAGCGTTGAGTGATTTGTACTACGTAAACAGACTCAAATAGTATGTACTCTTGAGTTTGTCTTCTTTAGCACATTTTGTGAGTTTCAACTATGTTGTTGCATGTAGGATATATCTGAATTTAAGTTGTTTCTACACAAAGTAATTAACAGTATTTCATGGACATCTCTACCAATAAATGTAGATCTATACCAAAATGTAAGCCCCACAGAAGCAGAGATTTTTCTGTTTGGGTTCCCTGAACAGTGGCCAGACTAGTCAATAAGTATTTATTAAATACTTATCAGGTGCTCTAGAAATTGAAGAGAAAAGAATAGCCCAGTTTCCGAAGATAACCTTCATTTATCCCTTTACTATGTACTGGGGGTTTAAGGAATTTCCTCTGAGACTTGTATTAGCTTTAAAAGGGCACCAACTTAAGCAGAATTGCCTTTGCTGGCAAGGGGAAGATAATTAGAGCTGAGGTGTCAAGTGACTTTCCCAATCATCCTACAGGAGATCAAAAAGTAAAGGCAAGTTAGCAAAAAAAAAAAAAAAAAAAAGTAATAAAGCAATCTTTCCAATGCAAAGTACGTGACTCAATAGGTTATGAGGTAAAAATTGGCCACGCAGGTCACAGTTGACAAAAGCATCCTACAAAAAAAAAAAAAAAGTCAATAAAGTTTAATTTTGAGGCCAGGCATGGTGGCTCATGCCTATAATCCCAACACTTGGGAGGCTGAAGTTAGAGGATCACTTGAGGCCAGGAGTTTGAGACCAGCCTGGGCAACATAGTGAGACTCTGCCTCTACAAAATAAAAACAAAAAAATCAGCCAGGTGTAGTGGTGTACGCCTGTGGTCCCAGCTACTTGGGAGGCTGAGGTGGGAGGATTGCTCAAGTCTGGAAGGGATATGCTGCAGTGAACTATGATCACACTAGCTTGGGTGATGGAGTGAGATCCTGTCTCAAAAAAATAAAATAAAGTTTACTTTTGAGGGTAGGGGTAGGTAGAAAGATAAAGGGAATAGCCTATGCACCCATTGCCTGTATTTATGTAACTTTCACTACTAATAAAGCATTTCAGAATCAATAATTTGATAGTTATCTATTTCTATATCATGAACTAGCGTTAGCTTAAAGTGTTTTTACTGCTCATCTAAGATCACCCCCAGCATCCAGCACAGTGCTTTACACATAGTGATTATTACTTGATAAACACTTGTTGATAGGAAATGTGCATACCGACAGTGTTTGCTGGCTCATTCACACAATATGTCACATAGTTCACCTGACCATTCCTCCCTGTGCTCAGAGTAACTGTCCATTCCCATGTGAAAATAAAGAGGAATCTTTCCAGAATCACAAAGAGTGACAGGCCAGGTGCAGTGGCTCAAACCTGTAATCCCGGGACTTTGGGAGATCAAGGCAGGTGGATCACTTGAGGTCAGGAGTTCCAGACCAGCCTGGCCAACACAGCGAAACCCCGTCTCTACTAAAAATACAAAAATTAGCTGGGCGTGGTGGAGGGCGCATATAATCCCAGCTATTCAGGAGGCTGAGGCATAAGAATCGCTTGAATGGGCAGAGGTTTCAGTGAGCTGAGATCGGGCCCTGCACTCCAGTCTGGGCAACAAAGCAAGACTCCATCTCAAAAAAAAAAAAAAAGTGACAGAGAATTCCTCAGGCTTCCACAGTCTCCTCTAGTTACTCGTGTAGGCATCATGCTGGAGAGGGATGCTGGTTTTCCACTCTGACAGAGCTGAGTTTGGATCTTGGCTCTGTAGGTACCAGCTGTGTACATGTGGACCTCAGTTTCCTAACTGCAAAATGCAGATGAAAATTCTTCCTCTCAAAGGTAGTGTAAGGAATAAATGAATGGGAGAGCGCCTAAATGTATCCAGTAGGCAGTCTCTAGGCCTCACCTCCTTCTTTCCTTTCATTCTAACTTGCTTTACAGAAGCCCGCGGATCCAGGGTCAAGTCCAGGGCATCTGGAAAGTGAGTAACTGTGGAGGACCCACTTCACCACTCTGTTCCTCTGTCTTCCCAGTCCTAACCAGCTCGGGAATCATGTGTGATCCACTCACGCAGCTTTTCTCTACATCAGCCTTCTTATTTGTGAAATGGAGCTAACATAGATTCCTTCAACCTACCTGTGAATTCCCAGGACAAGGTGAGCTTGAGGGAGCAGACACACAGGAAACGCTACAAAGCACTCTGTGGTTGTAAAGCACAAATATTACTTCTGCTCCCTGAAAACAGTGCTAGGCTCCATTACTGTTTTATTCAGAAGAATGTAAAATATAGATTAAATTCAGGTGATCAAGATGGCTAGGGTATTGATTTTTTAAAAATCTGGAGAGATTACCTACTGTTCTCCTTGCCTCCCACTCTGCCTTCTCTCCCACTGCCATCAGGGTCCTTGGAGAAGCAGAACTCCATTGCTTCCTATTTTATGGTGAGCTTATAAATTATGCAAAGCCCTCCTCACTTCTTTGCCCTACATTGGTAGGCTTACCATACATTTAACAAAAATGTATCACTTTTATTAAATGGCAAGACAGGCTTCAACATATAGGACCCTAAACTGGAACAGGAACCCCAGGATAATTATTTCCTTAGTCGTCATCAAGTCATGGTTGACTCTAAGTCAAGTCAGAGCATGGAATAGAAATCCTACTGCAGAAGGCAACGAGTGTTTGCTAATGTTGAAAAATTAATATAATTACAACTTTTATAAATGTATTCATCTTCTTTGGACCTGGAATCAAAGTGAAATCAAGTAAGTCAGATAGAAGTTCAACCCCTTTGCCCAAAGGCTCCTATGTGAGCTAGAAAGAAATAAAAGAATTTCCCATTTATTCAGTCCACAAGAGTCAGAAAAAAATGTTTAACAGGTAAATTCACCACTGAATCACACCTGCTTACATGTAAAAAGAGGAAAAATTTCTTCGCAGATGAGGCCAATTTTGATCATTCTGTTTCTGCTAGCAACAGCAGGTAAGCGGCACTGAGGTGCCATAATGCATTAAGAACACACTGAAAGCTCAGACTGGAGAAACAAAGTCACAAGGGCACAGAATAACTTTCTGACCTCTGATCTTTCATGGGTAGACCTTTAGAAGATTCTTCCACATCCTGTTGCTTTGCAAATGGAACTGGAAGGAACTGGTTTGGGTTGGATCCAGTGTGTCTAAGGGACATCCCAGTTCTCCTGGCCATCATGTCATCTTTTCGTGAATCATCCAACTTTCGCTGGCCTTTCAGTCCACTGCCACTCCAGGCAGGAGCTGTCATCTTCTCCAACTTCTCTTCTGTCCCTGAAGCCTCACACTCAGAGGCCAGAGGACACACCCTAGGGCAACATTCAGTCCAGCCAGTCAAAGGCCACTTACTGCTAAAGATATTTTCAGTAGTGTCACTCACTGGCGTTAATTCAAGACAGAAGAAGCCAGCATCCCTGGAGGCAGCGGCACACAGAGCAGCTGAGCAGGAAATCTCCCTTTTGAGTACTGGGACCCTCTGTCATGCAGCTGATACTCACACAGGAATGGGGGTCCCTTTCTGGTTTTCATGAGTCCTGAGAATGAAATTTGGCCAGTACTCAGCCACATGCAAAGGCTAAAATATCTACCCAGAGCGGGCACCAGAAGCAGAACTCTGATCTTGGGATGAGCACACTCTTTTAGTGACTTTACTCCACGCTCTATCAGTCGCCAGGTGCAGACTGTGACTTTAAGCTGTTTTTTTGGGAACACGACAGCCACACACAGCAGGGGCAACACACCACGGAGCAGAGCGCAGGCAAGATGCTCACAGTGGCTGGCTGCTGTCCTCTGATCTTTCTGCCTTTGACAGCCTCTCAGAATCTCTTGGAGCGCTTTCTGTTTCTTCTTTGCCATCCTGTGGCAGCTGTTTGGATGTAACTAAAGCCAGAGAGGACAGTTTCACTCCTAGGAAAGAATTCACACCAGAGGCTCTGACCCCACCTGTCCTCCTTCACCTCCCGGGAAGGCAGGAAACACTGCTCCTCACCTTCCTCTGTCCCCCTCGGGCACTCGCCCAAACTGCAGACCCACTCTTCCTGAGACTCCGGCACAGGAGCCAGCCACGAGGCCCTTCTGCAATAGTCACCTCGGCCACAATTCATTGTTCTGCAGACGATCAAGTAGCATTGGTGGCAAGAGAGGAGAGGAACATGGGTTACGAAAGAAGACAGTGAAAGTCCTTGGGACTGAAAGATTAAGAGAAGAATGTGGCTGCTCTCATTCCAAAGGCTGGTTAGTAAGGATGATATAATCAGATTGAGATAATGGAATGTGAACTCTGGCTAGGGCCTATGAAGGTCAAACAAGGCTGTGTGACTCTGTCACCACAAGACTGAATGATGGGCCTCTCAGGATTCAAGGCCTCGAGGACGTATTTCTTATTAATTTCCTACCCCCTCCTCCCCACCCCAGATCCCCACCATCCTCTGAAACCTCAACTCTTTATTTCTGGTGTTTATAGCCTTCTCTCTTCTATGGTGTCACCCCGAGTCTGGAACCAAAGAAACCCTTCTATAGGTCATAGGCCATCCATCATTTCCTTTGGATTTCAAGGGCAAGGTATAAAGAAGAATGCTATGAACACTTCTTCCTGCTACGGAGAGCCTCACTTTGCTCCTGCTGTACAGAGGGAATGGAGGTTCCCAGGGCAATCCGGTTTTACACATGTCCTATATGTGTTTCCTGGAAGACAGACCAGCCCACAGAACCAAATCCCCAAAAGAGGGCTTGGGAACTCAAAACTGGGTGGCCTCCAGGGAGGATGAGAACTGAGACAGGCCTATAAAGGTGTTCTTCCCTCACACATTTGGATAGCGATTCATCCAAGGAAACTCTCGACTTACAGAAACCCCCAAAGAGGAGGTTTTTAAGACTCCTGATTTATTATATAATTTTAAAAAGTGGGGGAGGAAGGAGACCTTTACTTTTTTAATATGTCTACTTAGATGTATGTCTGAAACGTGAACTCATGATACTAATAACTTTTTCTTTCTCTCTCTAAGGGACAGGAAAGAGAGAGGTTATACATAAGCCCAGGAAACCCTACTGATATCATTAAAACATTCCATTTAGCTCATTTGGTATTTTCAACTAATAAAATAGTACTGGATGCAGCCAAGGGAAAAAGGGTCATTTGCCAAGATTATTGGCATTCCCAGGCAGTGATTCTGGTGACAACAGAATCAAAATGGATGCCTGCCATTTAACTTCACATACATGTTCCCCGCAGGGGGACCCGCTAACATTACTTCTCTGCTATACATAGTCTGTTAAAACTATGTCATCTCTAGGGGCTTGTATAATGTGCTTCAGCAAACTCTACAAAAGCAGCAGTGACTCCCATGCAGATATCCTTGCACACGTATGGCAAAAAATACCTGCAGTCATTTTGTCGATTAAATATTTGGTGGCCCTTTAAGCTGGAAGTGGCCGCTGAGACAGGAGACACAGAGTCCATTTGAATCTTGCTGCCATGACAGATGACTTCTTCTTCATCCTCTCTAGGCCCAGCCTTGCCAATGCTAAGCCGCTTCCATTTCTGCTGATCTAGCTCCGTCACTGGCCCAAAGTGCACAAACTTTTGCCTGGGGCTGGAAGCTTTCTTAGAGGCCCTTGCTTTGCGGTTGGCAAAGTCATCACGAATGGCAGTTTCTGCTTTAATTTCTGGGGAAGGCTCAGAAGCACAGATGTGCTGAACATCTCCATCCCTAGTCAAAACCAGAAATAAGTTCTAAAAGTGTCTGAGTACAAATCAATAAGAGGTTTTTAAAAAAAAAACAAAAAAAAAAACTAGAAGTAGTTGGCCCTCCCTATCAGTGAGTTCGGCATCCCACTGACGGGATTCAACCAACCTCAATGGAAATTATTTGGGAGAAAAAAATTCCACAAAGTTTCAAAAAGCAAAACTTGAATTTGCCGTGCACTAAGTACTACACTGAATCCACATGAATAAAGTGATGTGAAAGCACTGTATTAGGTATACACGTATAAGGTATGCTTACGTTAATGTAGCTATTATCGGTAATCTACAGATAATTTAAAGTATATGGGAGGATGTGCATAGGTTATATGCAAATACTATACCATTTCATATAAGGAACTTGAGCCTCTAAGAATTTTGGTATCCAAGGGGAATTCTGGAATCAAGCACGGATACTGAGGGAAGACTGTATATGAAAAATATTTTTAAGGCTAGAGCAAAATTGCTTTTTCATTAACACTCAAATGGAGAAATGATCATTGTCTTGCCTAGAAATGATCATTACCTTGTCTTTAAGCTTCTATAGCTTTCAAAACATCAATTCTAACATCTCTAACATCATAAACAAGGGCATAAGAAAATCTTAGGTACTGTGGAATAATTAAAATTATTTGAAAGTCAAGTTTAAATTATTTACAGTAAACAAGTCTATCAAAATAAATAAACATTCTTAGAAAGTTGGCTGGGTTAAAAAGAGAATGTTTTCTCTCCATGTGGTTTGTAACTTTTAGTATTAATAAATTCATCTCATGCTGCATATGCTGAGCTCCAGCAGCTCTGTGATGTGAGACGCACTTTTTCAAGCCATCAAAATAAAAAATGATACAAGGGGCTTGCACGGTGGCTCATGCCTGTAATCCCAGCACTTTGGGAGGCTGATATGGAAGGATCACTTGAGCCCCAGGAGCCCTAGGTGTTCGAGATCAGCCTGAGCAACATAGCAAGACCCCATCTCTATTTAAAAAAATTAATTAATTAATTAAAATTTTGGCCAGGTGCAGTGGCTCACATCTGTAATCCCAAGACTTTGGGAAGCTGAGGTGGGAGGATCCCTTGAGCCCAGGAGTTCAAGACCAGCATGGGCAGCATAGTGAGACCTTGTCTCTAGAAAAAATCAAAAGATTAACCAGGCATAGTGGCATGGGCCTGTAGTCCCAGCTATTCAAGAGGCTGAGGGAGAGGACTGCTTGAGCCCAGGAGTCGAGGGTACAGTGAACTGTGATCAAGCCACTATATTCCAGCCTGGGCAACAGAGCAAGACCCTGACAAAAAAAAAAAAGACACAAAGATAAGCATTTGATGCCTTCAAAATGAAATACCATGACTGCCAGGGGGAAACTGGGGGGGAAACATGACACACCTCGCCTTTTCTGACACTTTGAGTCTCTCCCACGTCTCCAAGTCAGCTTCTGTTATGTTGGAGAGCGTAATGAAGCTCGGGGGCTCGCGGTGAGGGGCAAGGCTGCCCTGAATTCTCTGCTGGGCCAGGTCATCCTTGTGAAGATCTGGCACCTTCCTGAGTCCTCCTTCCACAGGTTCACTTTCCTGAGCCCTCATGTTACAGGTCACTATCAACTTCACCTCTTCTGTGTGGCCCTGGTTTCTGTCCATTTGATCCGGGCCCCCACACCAATGGAAAAATCAAGTTCAAGGAAGGGGAGCAGACAAAGAGAATGTCAAGCATGGAAACTCACAGGCTGAGGACAGAACAAAATGATGGAAACACTTTTCTCTTTCTCAAAAATGGAATCAACGGGAGCTGTGATGACTTTCATCTATACCACCCTTATTACAACTCTGAATGAGACAGAGGTTTTTTTCCCCTTCCAGATGACAGTCTCAACTACAGTTTAGGAAAAGAAGCCGTGCCTGCTGAAAGATTACTAATGGTAATGAGATTTTGGTTGGATGGTAATGATGCCCAATTCCCACACTATTCAAGTTACTGTAATGAATTCGGGTTTTCTGATGAATCCCTTAGCCCTCTTGGAATGTTTTTTACTGCATTAGTAAAATGTTCATAATGAGCTCTGCATGATCCAAATTCTAGGATTAGTTTGGAGATAGCTGGAACATTGTTCACATATTAAACATCTCAAACCTAAACCCACAGCTGCCAGAAAGTACATCTAAGTCAATTCTGAACAGAAAGTTTCAATGTTTAAACTCAACGTCTGCTTCATGGCATTAGTCAGGTTTGGCTAATGCAAACTTGAAAAGCAGAGGGTATTCCTCTTTACCTGGATTGACAGGGTCAATACCCACTTGTTTCTTGTGTTAATAACCGTTCACCTTTATTGATGCTAAAACTGATATTTTCCATTGTTCTCCTATGAAGTGAACCTTAGCTGGCTAATGTTGACAAAACTGCGATTTAAACCAAAGCTGTGGCATTTATATATATAAATATTCCATTAAAAGTCTATTTCTAACTAAATATGCTTCTTGAAATAGAAAAATCTCAAAAAATATATAAATAGAGCCTATTAATCTTCCCACAAAATATATCATTCAAGCTGGAAAATCAAGAGGTAGTCTTTTGTTACCTTGATGATTTGGCATGCTTGCACAGCCCATAAAAATAGAAAGGCTATAGAATTTTCTTAGTTTGAGGAAGGAGATCAAGGAAGGGCATGGCAAAGAGGCACTAGGGACCCTTCTTTTTTTTTTTTTTTTTAATAAGTTCTTTGATGCTGTCTAGAGAGGTCAAGGGCTGCTTCAGACCCAGAACTGCGTCCGCAAACACAGAGTCAGGTGACAACAGACAAATATAGCTGGAAATATCAGGAATTAAAATTACATGGAGGAGAAAGGAAACAAGGGAGATACAAAGGCTAGTCCTTTTCCTGACTCAAATTGCTGATTGCCATCAATATGCCTTGATGTTAGTCAGTTATCCAAAAGTCTTTGTTTCACTTGCACAACTGATCCCTCCCACAAGGCCCTCCAAGAATGGTTTGTTACAAGGCCTGCCAACAGCAATGGCAAAGACCAAGGGCCTCCTGAAGCTATAATGTGTCCTGTAAAGAAATGATGCCAGATTTTCTCTTATCGAATCCCTGTTCTATATCCAGGAATCCCTCATGGGTTTTTGTATCTGGTACTTCCTAAGAAAAATCAAAAAGACCAACTACTCCCCTGAGCTCAACAACTCTGCCTAAAGAACCATTTTAATTGTCTAAAGCACAGCTGAGATAATTATATACTAAGTTCAACAGGCTTAAAAACCTCTAAAGTGATGGGCAAAAAGATGACAATTCAATAATGTAGATGCTAACTCTAGCTGATTTTGATATAAGGAAAAATACAAGAATGATTAACTCTGCAGGATGAAATTCAGCAAGTAGGTTCCCTAAATGAAATCATATCTCCCTCTCAGGACAAAAATCACTGGTCAAATTCCATCTTACTATAATTTTCCTGTCCCCAATTCACTCCAACATGTATTAAGAGGACGGGGAAAATGTTGGCAAAAGGAAACTGGCTTGAAAACAATTTCTATGACAGAACATATAGAAGTATAAGTTTGAGAAGTGTTTTTGATGGGAAATATCCATTATCATTTGTCTAGGTGATGTTGCTGGTGTGACAGAAGAAAGAACAAGTCTCATTTTTTTTTCTTCCAACATCTAAATGTAGCTAATAAGAGAGAAGTGCTTTTAGCGTTTTTCTGCTTCCTTTGAATGGACTAGAGCAGCTGTGAGAGGTGGCTGTTCTCTGATAGGCAATAGTACATGTCTATTTTTGCTAATAATGCCAACTGATGACACCAGCACCCATATGTGGTGATGAGCCCTGATTCAGCACATCTACACACTGGAATTCAATGTTTCTTTGGCAAATTCAGCCCTATTTTGGACATGGACACTCTACTGTCTGCCATCTGCATTTAAGGGAGATTGAATATCTAAAGTTCCGCTTCAAAATAAACCCCCATTACAAAGTACATATAATTGAGAGGCTGGAAAGAGGAACTGGAGGGGGTACAATACAAACTGACTTCACTTAATTATGTCCTCTCTCCCTGTGTCTCTTTCATAGACACACACACACACACACACACACACACACACACCATGCACACCTTTTATATTCTAGACTTCTTTTTTTTGAGATTCCCTTTGAGAGCTGTTTGCTGCCATCTGATTTCTCTGCCCCTTTCTTTGGATAAGGGCCATAGAGGAGTTGATTTAATGGCACCATTGGCTTGGTTTGGTTCATCCTTGCTCTCCTTGCAGCAAAGTCATCCTTCTCAAGATCAGGCAGTCGACACACAACTTCACCTTCTGCCTCTGAATCGTTGCCATGTTGGTGGGTCAGGAAAGAGTTTTCTTTGCGAAGGACAATATCACGAATAGCTTCTTTCTCTTCACTTAATTGTTTTTGACTGATAGGGGAAAATTAAATGGGACTCCACATGTGATCAGACAAAAAAAATTAAATCTCCATCTCTAGACAGACAACTGTGTTGTTAGTGAAAAGTCTTCTCGATATTGTTAGTTCAAATGACATCTGTTCATTATTTCAGTCTAGAATTGCAGCATAGTTAGGGTGGGTTTTAAAACCTTGAATTTAGCCAGACACTAGCAATACTAAAAATTCATTTAATTTTCAGGGCTTCCACCAGCAACAGAAAAGCAGGATCCTAAATGGCTCTGAAAGTGACAGTGCAGATTCTTTGCATGAAATTGGGGAAAAATGGGAAGCTTTTTGTTACTGTTCCTTTTTCTTTAGCACATGAGTACCCAGTAGACACTTAATTTGTTTTTGACTGACAGGGCAAAAAATTGAGCCACCAAGAAACTGATCTGGGGGAAAACAAATGAATGCAGCTGTGTGACACCACACCTAGAATGTGTAACAGATTACAAAATGTAAGGAAGTCTTTCTTCAGAGCTGAGCTAACCTGAAACATCTGGGATAGTTTACGACCACTCATAGGATGGTCTTAAACTATTCCATTCCCTGGTCCTCCACTCCCAGGAAGCTTATCTTGCCCTGCACCTTTCCATCAGCAACTCTTTCTTCCCTCTTCTATCCTCCTGTCTCTCCACCTCTCTTCTTTTTCTTTTTTTTAAGAGACAGGGTCTTGTTCTGTCACCCAGGCTGGAACGCAGTGGTGCAATCATAGCTCTCATACCCTAATTTGGGAGCAGATCTTCTGCTTGAACCCCTGAAGTCCAAGAGCAACATTCTTTCCACTTTGGGACAAACCAAACAGTCCTGGGCTCCAACCTCCCCCAACTTGGGCAGAATTTTTTGGAATAAAATATTCGTATTTATGCAAATGACCCTGCCAATTTGCGATGCCAATTTGAGCAGGGAGAATCTGGTCCCTTGTGCATCTTGTGAACCCAGCCAGGCTGCAAATTCCGTTGGGTGTTTATTTTTAGGCTAAATGCCCAGTGTGGCAAGACTCATTTCAAGTGATCTCAATTTAGATATGCAGACTTAAAAAAATATATAAAAAAGAGCGTGAAGAAAGTTTCCGTATCATTGGCTATTTGAAGACACTCCCCACCCACTTGAAAAGTTGTCACAATGACTGATTTTCCACTAATTGCTTGAGTCTTTTAAATTCAGAGCTTCAAGGCAGATTCACGGCGAGCAAAAAATAATGATACAAGTTTTGAGCTGGCCCTGTTGGCCTTGAAATAATAAATAATATGTATAAGGTAGATATGTAGGATTGTATTCACAGGTGTCTAGGTATCAAAATACTTAAATGACTTTTATAATGTGCTTTTTTTTTCTTTGAAGGACCTTAAGGACAGTCTTTTGTGAAACTTGGGTCTGTTTTACTTTATTTTTCAATAACTACAACTCTTAGTAGCTAGTACATTTAGTACATTCCAGATACACTAACTTTCATGACAACCCTGCAAAATAGGAATTATGACGCCCACTTTGCAGAAGAGAATATTAAGGTCTCTAGCTCAAGCCATCTGAACTCAGGTAAATTAATTAAAGTATACTCAAGGGGCAGGCCAGGCTGTCTGGCTTTATATTCATGAGGAGGTTTGGCACTTTTATTTTGTCCAAGTCACTCATAGATGAGTAGCTTTGGGAAGAAGGAGTTGCTTTGGGGGCACAGCTCACTGTTTCATGTGGAAGGAATACAGTGTGGCAATGTGAAACGAGAAATGCCAAGCCCTGCCTCCAACTGGCGATCCTGCACAGCCTCACCTAAAGAAAGGCAGGCTAGCTTTCTTGGTAGGAGGGATTACGGACTCAAAGCAGGTGAGGGGGAAGAAAAGCTCTTGTCTCAACATTTCTGAGGCTTATATATTTCAAAGTGAATGAGGTAATGATTTAAGCTAAGGAAGAGCTGGTGTTTTCTTTCACCCGGTTTTATGTGGCAATGCATAAGCAACCAGGTCAGATTGGTAGCTAGTGTGTTCCAATGAAGGAAACTCTGCTCTCCAGAAAAGCCTGTTAGTCCCCCTGGGAATGTCCTGGGTGACACTGGAAACTTCCCTGTTCACCCCATCTCCAATCAGGGCAGCTATTTGGTCGGTGCACAAGTAATTGCGGTTTTTGCCTTTAAAAATGGCAAAACCGCAATTACTTGTGCACCGCCCTAATACATCCAGAGTCACAAAGGTTCGTGCAAGTTATGTGCCTGACTGGTCCCCGATACCCAAGGATCTGTTCAGCAGCCACGGTGAACCGGCGTTTGGTAAGGAGGGCTGTAGAGGAATCCATGTCTGGCACTTAGCTGCATCTGCTCTTCCTCTAAAGATTTCTAAAATGTCTATTGTTCCTCGGAGGTTTTTTTACGCCCCCACACCCCCTGCCTTGTTTTCCCCTCTGTAATTAATTACTACGTGGTTGAGAAGATCCACAGACTAGCAGAAAGCAAGCACTGAGTGCTGAAACATATGAAAACAATTAGAAAAGAGGTACAATCATGTGAAACCTATAATTCAGTTCAAAAAAAAGTTTACTTCTCCAATGGGAAACACCAAGTAAAAGAACTCAAATCTCCATGGCATTTTAATTCAGGGGAAGTGCATCTTGGTTCTTATTTTATCCTCTTAAAAACAGAAATCTTGGCTTCTTTGGCAGACTCTCATATTTGGGGGATAATTAAGTTAGCACAACCATAAAATAAAATAGAAGAAAAAGTAATTTATGTACTTTTTCCCTTCAGTGGAAACTCTAATAAATATTAAACTCCACACATTTATTAAGAAATCCTACTTTCTGTCTCTTGATGCTAAGATACCGCTAATATATTGTTTGACAGGAAGCTTGAAACTTCTAGGTTTTTGACCTCTTGTGAAAATGAAATAACATGCACCTTTGCTCCCTTTTGTATACTGCCTTAAAGATAATGCGAGTCTCGCTCTGTTGCCCAGGCTGGAGTGCAGTGACACGATCTCGGCTCACTGCAACCTCTGCCTCCCGGGTTCAAGCAATTCTCTTGCCTCAGCCTCCCAAGTAGCTGGGATTACAGGCCTATGCCACCACGCCTGGCTAATTTTTTTGGTACTTTTAGTGGAGACAGGGTTTCACTATGTTGGCCAGGCTGGTCTTGAACTCCTGACCTCAAGTGATCCGCCCGCCTCGGCCTGCCAAAGTGCTCGAATTACAGGTTTGGGCCACCGCACCCAGCCTAGCAAGGTGTTTAAGAATACTTGGGAAACAAGCAAACAAAAAACAGTCTACAAAATAAAGCTTTGTTGTTCATCTATATGCTCTTCCCCTCGGACATGGCTCTATTATCTCAATCATCTCTGCAAACATTTCCCAGCTGAGAAATGGGCCACAACAAGTGGTCCTCTTGTTGGGTGCAAAGACGTGCTGGTCAGAATTCATCTGGATGTCAAAGACAGAACACTGAGGTTAAAATGCCTCGAGAGATATCAGCGTATTTCAATGATTTAAATTCCTATTTTCCAGACACCAAGAGTCCTTTTCTTTTTCATGATACTTCATTCCAGTTAAGCTACTTTCTGCCACATTAAAAGCAGGATCCCAAATGTGGATAAACTTAGAATGACTCTCAACTCTTGTGGCATGCAAAAAAGTAAGTGACAAAGACGTAGACATGCCAGGCTGGTGGCATGCTATGTGTAAAACCTTTGTGAGAGCGCTGGCTGGCAGCTGAAAAATCTGCCTAACAAATGAATTCTGGGTGTTTGGAGCAGCTGTGTTGTGTTGCTATTGGGAACATTCTCTGAGAATATGCATAATTATCCAGAGCCCAATTTTAAATGCTAAGTCAGAAGACCTGAGGCATCATGACATTAACTGACCTGCAAACTTCTGCATATGAGAGCTAACTTGGATGAAATAGGTTAAAATTAAGCCAAATAACAGGAAACATGAATGGAAGTGAAATAAACAAAGATAATATATATTCATTAGAATTACATTTTTAAACTATGATTTGATGTTTGTACAGTGAATGGGAGTTGTCATAAAAGAGTTCAAAGTTTTTAATAAAATAAACGTCCCAGGTACTGAAGTGGCACAGTACGTGTATGGACTTCCCAGCCTTTACCCCACTTCTCTTCTCTATGTGACCATTATTCCTGAGTGTGCTGAATTAGCTTAATGCCGCTCCCCTTCATCCCCCTTTGCTGTTTTAGATACTCTAAGGATGATGGTATCCTTGGTAAACACTAGCTTAAAGACTTTACACGTGATATAAATGAAAGATGTGTGTCAAAGACAGGAAGATTAAAATTTCAGGTAAGTTCATATTCTTATCTGTATCACTTATTACCTACTACTATGTCCTTAAAGGCAGAAGCTGGAGAAGTCTGAAAAATGGTACCTAGTGAGGAGATAGTATTCCCCTCACTATTATTATTTTTGTCTTCTCAGCATCTAGTCCAGTCTCTGGTACATGGTGTATGGGATGCTCAAGGGATGCAGAAAAAAATGTGTTTGATAAGGTCTCTGTATCAAAACTTTAAAAAATCTGGAGTTTTAAAAAAAGATTTTATTACATTACTCTTTATTTAATAAACTCAGAGAGCTGTTTGTAACATAAACACAATTTTATGTTAGAATATTCCAGAAGCACATACGTGTTCAGAATAGGCATGATTATCTGTAATATACCACAGACAAGGAGGAAGTATATCCTTAGTTGTTTTTTTTTTTAATACAAAGGTACTCTAGAATTAAATTTATGTAACTCAACACTGGATATTTAATTAAGACCTGGACCACATAAATAACCACATGTGGAGCTGTATAGAGAAATGGAAAATGTGTGGGAGGCAGATGTGGTGCTGTGGTCAGAGCATCCGAATCTGATCACCAGGTCGGTGGTGACCAGCTCTGCAAGTCACTGACTATCAACGATCCTCAGCTCCCACTTCTGGACTTCTGGAAGATGGGTATATCAGCCACCTCTTAGACTAGCCTGGCCAACCTGGTAAAACCCCATCTCTACTAAAAATCCAAAAATTAGCCAGGCGTGGTGGTACACGCTTGTAATCCGAGCTACTTGGGAGGCTGAGGCAGGAGAATTGCTTGAACCTGGGAAGCAGAGGTTGCAGTGAGCCAAGATTGCACCACTGCACCCCAGCTTGGGTGACGGAGTGAGACTCTATCTCAAAAAAAAAAAAAAATTAAATGGAACAGCAAGTGGCAAAGGAATTCCAACTGTCAAATTATTATGAATGTCAATTTGTAAAATACATTTTGGCTGCACTATTATTTGTTAGGATCATTGTGGTTATTTTATAAGAAAAATTAACCAGCTTCTCAAAACACTACAGAAGAGTGCAGAACTATAGTTTTCCTTGGCTCTGATTGCTGAAGGTCTCCATCTCACATGTAATATGAAGCTATCAGGACTGGATACTAGTACCTTTGTTACAATTAAAGAGAAGTAATTACTCCATTCTTTGTTTTTGAATCAACATGCTTTAGAAACTAAGGAGTCAAATAAACCCAATTCTACTTAGTACTCTCTTGGGACAAAGAAAGTAAGTGGATTTTGTAAGCCAGCCACTCTCTAAAGAGAGTGTTCCCCATTTCAAAGCAACAGACTATTTTTCTAGTGATGTGTAAAGTAAGATATGAGCCATTTAGGAGTAGCATGAAAATTAACAAGCCACAAACAATAGAAAAATACAATGTTATTGCTAGGTAAATCCTGCAGCCCACACATGACTGATCACAAATACATGACAAAGACAAGGGCTGCACCCAGCAGTGAGGAGCTCACTCTTCACCTTCATTTAAAATACCCAGGAGGTACTTAGCAGAGACATGCCTTAAGGCAAAGACTATCATCTACGTGCTCAGAGCAGGGAACAGTGATGCAATAGGAAAAGCGGGAAGTGGAAAAATCAGATGAAAACTCCAACTCTCTAGACAGATTCCAAATCCCCAGGCATGCAGAAAGCCAGCCGGGCCAGCCCTCAGCCCAGAGCTGACCTGGCAAAGCGCTGTGCTGCTGGCATGACCTTGATTCCAGCTTGCTCTAGCCTTTTGCGCTTTTGGATCTCAGCAGCATCTTTTTCTTCAGACTTGGGAGCTGGTGCCACCACAGCCCCGTCTGAAGAAGGGTGCTCCTTACCACTGCCGTCAGGTAATTCACACCCACCATCGGAAGGCTTCCAACCAGGATTCATTTGGCCAGCTGGGTTGTCTTCACCAGCAGACCCCACTTCACTCCCCTCTTCCTCTATCGTTTCAGGAAAGCTAGTGAGTTGGACAATATGGTTTACCAAACTAACAGACTGGGCTGGGGAGCAGACCCCATGTCATCTCCCCGCTATTCTGATATTACTTTTCACTTTAGAAAAGAAAGTCATAGCACACAATATAATCCTGATAATGTGAAGAAAATTCAACGCAGCCATTTAATTCATACAATGCATCATACCCGCAACATTGAGAGTTATCCCAGACTTGATAATGAAAGGCAAAAACCTTTTCTGCTGGAAAGGTAAATTTCATTAGTTTGTTCAGCAAATTAAAAATTGTAATAACATCTTTATTCAATGGAAAATAATAGTACAGATGGACTATTAGACAAGTTTATTTTATTGTAAGATTCTTGAAGGCAGGGACTCTGCCTTATTTGTTATTGGGTCCCCAATGCCTAGCATATAGTAGATGCTCAATAAGTACTTGCTGAATAAATGAATAAATAAATACAAAAGCATAATCAGAGATTAAAACACTGTTTCTCTAAAGAGATGAGAAATCCATTTATTATGACTATTTCTATATGTTATTGTGAACCACATTCCATGCATCACATATTTGAGCTTATATCAAGTTAATTTAAGCCTAGAGTTTTAAAACATCTTTTTGCATAAAGATAGGAATCTTTCTACGCCTAATCTGACAGGATTGGGAGTCAAGCAGTCTCCGCAGAAGGACAAGGATGACAGATTTGCTCTCAATGTCCTATCAACAGAATTGGTTTCAGAAATCTGCTTATTTAGACAAGTAGTTGCTGAATACCTACTGTGTGCCAGGCACTGTTCTAGGCGCACTCACGAAGCTTCTATTTTCTCCTGACAAGCTCTCTCCAAAGATCTGTCCCACCCACCTCCATCTGTAATCTTCCATCAAAGTTCTGAATTGGTCATTTAACCTCGTTCCTGTCCAGGAGCTGCAGTTCCCAAACCACTCATGCCCAAGCCAGGAAGAGGGCAGCGGTGCTCAGGCCTTACCTGAAGGGCCTCTCCCCACCCAGCGGGGAGGTGGCGGTACTCCAGCTCTTGCGGTATTCCTCTCTCTCTGCTTTCTTCTTTCTCAGAGGCGCGGGGACGTAGGCCGTCTGATTGCTTTTGTTCGGGAGGTACTGGTTAAAAGGCACTGCTGATTTCGGCTCACCATGGGAAGTCCGCCGTGCAGACATGTCATCCTTCTTCACATCTGGCAGCTTCCGATGAGGCAAGTCGGATTCAGAGTCGCTTCCTCTCCCTAGGGAAGAGAGGATGGGTACTGAGAAAGTGTGTTAGGCTAGCAGAAAGTTCCCAATGTTAAGCATGCATTAGGGATGTGGTTCAATCTGTGGGTTCTGAGGATTCCTTCTTAAATCATTCACTTAACAAATCTAAAGTGTAGATTTGTTACACATGTAGATTACTCCACTCTGGGAAAAGAAGGAAAAAAATCAGGAAAAAAACCTGACAAGGGCAAAACTAAAAACTACAGACATAAGCCTAACTGTATCCGAGAATTACAATTAGCAACACATCTGCAATAGGATTTTATGCCTCCTGAGATTCTGCTACTCTCAGAAGAAAACAGAAATTATCCAATGAAGTTTTCACTGAGCCCCTGCTGCATGTCTTACACTATGCTAGATACTCCAGCAAATAAAAATTATGAAGCATTTTGTCTTTGAGGCATCTTTAACCAACCCATAACATACCTAGAGAATTTAAGTTATAATCAAGAAGCACAGATGTAGAACAACAGAAACTCAGAAAAGTGATCAATTCGGATTATACCAAGGGTTTGTCTTCCAGGAAGTGGTTCAAGTAGTTCCTCTGCATGGGAGCTCTTCCTGGTTCCCACGGCTGGAGGCAATCTGTTCTTCCTGTGAACCCTATGCCCCCATGATCTTGTCTTTTCTTCTGGCACATTATACTTTCTACCTTGTACTTTGAGAATAAGGGCTTTATAGTTTTTATAGTTATTATGTCATTGCCTTTGTACACAGTGGGCATCCTTAGATTATCTGATGAATAAAAGAGTTGGTTTGGCTTAGAGTGTTTTAAACAACACAAAGGAATTCAGCATTCCCAACATCAGCCATTTGTTGGACAAAAGCCCCAATAATTATATAGTATTCTTGTTTCCTGAGTCTCATCTTATTAGATTTCTAGGATCTATTAGTATGAAGCCATCATTCCAACAAACACTGCCATATAAGTAGCGGCCACTTCAATGCTGGTTGAAAACAATCAATGAGAGCATTACAAGATTATTCAACTATGGTGGTAACAAATAAAATATATACCTATTTACCCTTAAGAAAAGAGCCTTAAACTAAGAGCCAGGAGATGTGGCATCCTGGCAGAGAAGGTTGGTGTTAAGTCAGAGCCACTTCCTTTTGAGTTCTGCTGCTCATTAGCCATGAGACTTTACATATGTTACATCAGTACTTTAAGCCTCAGTTTCCCAATTTACAAAATGAGGATAATAATATCCCTACTTCATAGCTGTTGGAAGAACCAGATACATATGAAACTATTGGTACAGTGCTTGGGGCAGCCTAAGTGCTTAATAAATGCTGGCTACTCTTTATGTCATAATAGTTCTGGATCTGTCAGAAATGAGCTGGGGCTCCTAGGGTTGTCTCTAACACACTTGACTGTCCTTTTCTGTAAAATAGGAATAAAATGATTTGCCCTGGAGGTTAAATGATATAATGGCTTTTAAAAGACTGTAAACGTTAAAGGCATTGACCATAAACAAGTTGTTCATTGTTGCAGATGAAATATTCAGTTTATGAATTATTCATGCCACATGCTTTCAGTCCTCCTTCTGAAGTTTTGACCATTTCATTACTTATTAGTACAGTATTTGACTCACAATTTAGCTCCTTTCCACCCGGTCCTTAAACAAGTATATCTGTCTCAGTATCATAATGAAATGTTTAGAGCCCCCTGTGAATTGCTTTATAAACAAACATTACCCTACCTTGCTAAACTCTTAAATTTGTTTCCCCATTTGATACTATCCCATTTTATAAAGGTGGGTACAGAGGCTCAGAGACACTGTAGGAACCCCTGCTGCAGGGCTGGTTAGTGACAGTTCTGAAACTCTACTTTCTGTTCTCTTGACTCCCAAAGTTCTTTCCTCTGTGACACACCTGTCTTGGGAAAATGTCTCCTGATAAAAGTGTTCTGACTACGAGAAGTGCTGCACTTTGTTGAACAAATAAAGCAAATGATTCTTCAATCAACTATGAAAGCTTAGTGATGGATTAGAGTTGTCTCAGGTCCCTCAATTCTAAAATCCTATAATCTATGAATCCTATTTGTGTATAGTATCTATACACACACATATATAGATATAGATATATATTTATATTATCTATAATATACTGAGTGAAAGTCTCCAAATATGTTGTCTAACAACATAAGCAAATCACTTTTTCCCCCAATTATTCTTTGGTGAATGTCTTAGACACTTCAAGAAATATTAGCCATGCAAATGCTCCAGGACAGAGTAGCTCAGTTGAAAGAAGTATAGGTTTATGGATTTAGAGACCAGGGTCTAAAATTTCAGCTCTACCATCTACTAGCTGTGTGACCCTGGGATACTTAAATCTTCTATACTTCAGGGTCCTCATGGGATACATGGAGGTGATAATACAGGTATCACATGTTGTCGCAAGAATTAAATGAGATGACATAAAGCACCTAGGAGGTGGCCGGCCCAGTATACCCTTGGGAAATGTCAGAGTCTTCTTTTGAGGCTGACACCTCAAAAGTTTTGACTTCACTTCTCCCTGTGAACATGGAAATCTACTAAGGTGGCTTCTCCATTTATGTCCAGAGTTAGGAGAATGTAATCTAGCATGTGATGATGATTTTCTTTATTTTATTATTATTATTATTATTTTTTGAGATGGAGTTTCGCTCTTGTTGTCCAGTCTGGAGTGCAATGGTGTGATCTCAGCTCACTGCAACTTCCACCTCCCAGGTTCAAGTGATTCTCCTGCCTCAGCCTCCTGAGTAGCTGGAATTACAGGCGCCCGCCACCATGCCCAGCTAATTTTTTGTATTTTTAGTAGAGATGGGGTTTCACCAGGTTGGCCAGGCTGGTCTTGAACTCCTGACCTCAGGTGATCTACTCACCTTGGCCTCCTGAAGTGCTGGGATTACTTTTTTTTAATGTATCTTTGCCGTACACACCCCCAACCCTTCGCTTTTTAATCTTCCTCTAGCACTTTGATTTCTCTCATTACTTGTTTCCCTCCCTCAGCACATCTTTGATATAAAACATTAGACTGTTCATTTAACCTAATGCATATTTACAAAATATGTTCTTAATTTTGAAAACATCTGGGTAGAGGGTTTTGTTATTTCCTCTTCAATGAAGCCCATTAAGTGGACTCATAAGAGATGCTATTAATGCTGGGGGAGAAATTGGACACCTGTCTAGCAAGACAGATTGGTTGAATCAACCCTGGGATCTACAGCATCCTACCAGGTAGCTCTGTGTCCAACCCACAGAATCATGATGCTTCTCATGAGTATGGCCCTTGATTATCTTTATTGAATGGATTAGTGGGAGTGGATAATAATAAAATGAAAGATGTCTATATTGGCCCAACATAGAGTTGAATAATTTCATGGTAAGATATTCCCCAATTGATTGTGAGTCCTAGGAAATAAATTCTCAAGACTTACAACAAGTTTTTTCAAATTTGGAAGTGTTTATTAGGACTAGCAATCTTCCTAATCAGCACCATTTAAAAACATACTATAAACGCTTATGAAACCCAACATCTATTTGGCTAAAATTATACTACATTTTAAATGGCAGATTAATAAATGTGTTGTTTTTCTTTAAGAATCTCATTAGGTCTTGATTAGTTTACAAGAGCATAAGCCTTAAGGTATCGGGTTGATTGGTAAAATCTGTGTATAAGAAGCTCTTTCATGGATGGTGTTTGTGAAGCTCTAATTTCATGTTTTTTTGGATGGAGAAAACATTCATAAAAACACTCTAGCTTATCAATTTTAATTGCTGCAAACTAAATTGTACTTCATACATATTAGTATAATATTAGTAATCACCACCTCCAATCCCTTCAAGATGTGATTCGTTTAAACTCTGAACCCCCCAAAGCTGGTAATGATAAATAATGATAATCTACATTACCAGTTAAGAAAAACACAGGATGAAGAAAATGCAATAACTTAAAACAACTAATCAAAATAATATGTATGAAATCGTTTGGTTAAGACATGTTTTGGAAAAGTAAATCTACTCTTTGGTTATGTTAAAGCTCAGTTAGATAGTGAACTTGGTATTTAACTTCTAATAGTGTGGGGGGCACTTAAAATGACATATAACATTTTAGAAATGCTTTGCAAGAGGCTCACAATGCACCCTGGAATTCTTTAGGAGTCACATACTATGTGGCCCCAAGGTTAAACTATTTGCTGGAAAGTTTAAGTCCTAAACAAAAGCATTAGTTGCAGCCATTCCAGAATAAAACATCTATTAGGCAAAGAGAAAGAAATGTGGGTAAATTAAGCTTAAGAGCATAGATTCTGCATTCACACTTCTTAAAGCTAACATTGTTATGCTACTTTCTGACAGTGATTTTTTTGTAACTTGTAAATGTTGAGATGATTACTTAACTTCTCAAAGGCTCATTGGTGAAGTAAGGATAAGCAGTGTCTCACAGCTCTGTGGGAGTGTTGAATGAGATACTGAGTGAGTATCTCTAAAATCTCAGCTGAGGACTAAATGAGATACTGTGTACCAAGGAATTAACTTAGATCCTGGACACATTAAATAGTCAAGTATTTTCGTAACAGAATTTTATAGCTGGAAGGGATCTTTTAGCTACAAAAGATAATTCGGATCTCAGAGTAGGCTTAAGATATATTAGCTAGATATAGCAGCATCAACCAAGCAATACATTGAAAAAAGAAACAATTTAAAAATTCCCCACTAGCCCTCATGTTTTTCCGCAAGTTTATATATGTAGAATATGTAGAACCAAACCATCTTTCCTTCTAAAAGTACAAAGGTACAAGATAAGTAAGACAAATGGCTTCTGAAAAATAGGCATTACGTGTATATCAAGTTACATGATTACACATTTTTGTAACGAAAAATGATCATTTCTTCCAAGTGATATAAAACCCATAGGGTTTAAATCAATCCCAGCTTCAGAACAAGCAGGCAGCCTGGGTTGTGCACTATACATTAACAGCCACCTGCATCGTGCTAGCTATACCAGTCAGGTATCACAAGCATCAAACAGATTGCCAAAAAACATGCCAATTAAAGTTGCACAATCCCAGGCTTCAGAACTTTCTAAGTGTGTGCAGTTCATTTCCAGTTTACTGGAAGTTGATCCATTTTCTCTTATATAGTGTGGTACTCACTCAAACATTTAGCTTCCTCATGCCCAGAGTATATAAACCTCCAGCACACTTTATGAGCTAATGGTCTGCACAGTGTCTTGATTCACTGAGTCCAAGGGAGGAATGATGTAACACATTTTCCAACAGAAGATATGCTCACTGAGGCAGTGCTCAAATAAACTCCTGGCAAAGCCAACCAAAATTCTAAGGACCATGAAAAACAACATTCAAAGACTTCTTTTTTCTGCCAGTTTATAGAATTACTAAGTTCCGGCAAGGTGGATATGGAGCCTGCTTTCCCAGTGCCCATCCCTCTGCCAGGCGCAATGCAGCCCCTGCAAATGTTTAATTTCAAGATGGATAGTTTATTAAGACTCCAACCTACCATCGCTGCTTCCCCTGAGGACTACATCTGGTGAAGGCGTCTGCCGAGAGCGAGAGCCAAAGGAATCCAGGCTGTCGAAGGAATCATCTCTGCCGTGGCGAGGAGGAGAGAGGGAGTCGCTGCGCTCGGAATCCCAGCAGTCGATGTAGCCACTGTCTCGGATACTGCGTTTAGGACTTTCAATGTCATCAGTGTCCTGTCAAAAAAGAAAATGAAAGGGTTACAGACATAATTCTAGCCTACACTATCAGGAAGATGGGTCTCCAGTGGTCTCCAAAAAAACCCCTGCATATCACATCAGAATGGAAAGGTTGTGGAAACCAGTTACAGGATCAATCATCTTTGAAAAGTCACTGCTCTGTTCCTGGAGCCTCCTTTGCTGCAACTTTCCCAATCAGAAAATCATGCACAACGTTTTTTTTAAAAAAATCCCCAAATAACTCATATTCCCTAGGTTTAAAAAAAAAAGAGTAGAGAAAGAATTAGAAGAAAGGATCACAAAGTTTGGATTCACAACAGTACAATGATAGTTCAAAACAAAAACGAAAAACCAAAACCTTAACCTTGACTTGTCTTTCGGAATCCATAACTGCATGTCTGTCCTGGGAATGAGCCCCTGGTTTAGCTGTGCAACTTTTGCTCCTGTTTATACTATCTGGCAAATACAGGCAACATTTGTCTTTGCTGCAGAATCAGTTCTGTAAAATCCTGGAGCAGCACGCGTTCATCTCCTGCTACCTTGAAGGGAAATTCCTGCTCTGAAAGGGAGCTGTCTTTCTGAGGCAAAAGTTAAAAAAAAAAAAAAAAAAAGAAAGGCAATGAAAAATATGCAAAACGCTTTTCCTGATGCCTCAGAAGAATCCAGGCATGCTCTCGCTCTCAGCCAGCTCTTGGCGCTGGGGGAGCTGAAAGCACTTGTGGCTGACCCACATGTTCAGAGCAGGGAGAACAATGGCTGTCTTTGACAGCCTGTGATTATAAATTCTTTCCAGCACAAGCAGCACATACTAAAACACTGAAACTCCAGCAGAAGAAAGGTCAGTCAAAGCCATCCTCACCCTCGTATTATAATAAAAGCCTTGTTCCCGCCAGTGTCTTAGCATTAATTACAATAGTCCAGGCTGACTAAAACAAAAATAACTCTGGTCACTCAAAGATAAACCTCAATTTAATATCATCCAGACTGTCGCTTAAAATTAGGACTGTGGATAACACTGGCAGAGAGGCATGTTCTCATCCGCAAAGACTGGAATGCCACACTGCAGATTCCCTGGGATGCTCGCGAAAGTCCCCTCTGCATTCCCAATAGAAAGGAAAAATAAATATTCTTCATGTTAGCAGTTTTGGAAACTGGTCTAAACTGTCTAGGATGCCCACGGGAGCCAATGCCTTTGCAGGAAGTGCCTTTGCTGGCTGCTTCTATCAATTATATCCTGAGCCTCTGACATACTCCGCAGCAGGAGGCCCTTTGCGGGGGACAGAGTGGCTGTAATTTACAAGACACACACAGCTTTGCATCAAGAGAAGGGAGTGGGCAAGAGGACAAGGGCAGGACGGAGAGGAGCACCCTGCAGCCTCCAGACAGAGGACTGATTAATGCCCTGAAGAACAGGTTGTCAAATGGCCTGGGTGAGTAGAGCCGGCATAACCCTCCAGAGGAAGGCAGAAATTCCAGTTATGGAAATTAAGGTAGCTTACTCTTAGGTCAAAAGTTAACCAGGACTTGAACAAAAGCCAGGCCTGACTAACTGAAAAAGGAAGAACTCATGACTCACTGAAAATTATAGACCCAAATTGGATATGGTTTCATATTTAATTTCTTTGGAAATGCAAGTAATTATCTTGGATTATTTACCTACTGAGAATAGGCCAAATGGCTAAAAAACAAAGGTCACTTTTATTGAACACTTATTATGTGTCTGCAGCTACACTTGATGTTTTTTGCATGTTATGTTATTTAATCCTCACAACCACTCATCCTAAAACATGGTTAGCATTATCCCTATTTTACAGAAGAGAAAAATAAGAATCAGAGAGGTTAAGTAACTTGACTGAGGTCACACAGTTAGTGGCAAAGCTGTGATTCTAACACAGGACTCTGTCTCCAAATCCCAAACGGTATAGCTGAAAATATTTGATCATCTTTGGTACAGTTACAGTTCCACCATCAGCATCTTCTCTACTACTAGACACTTACTGCCTCCTTATTCTGTAGATGATGCTAACCTGGATTATGATCCTCAGCTAAATGCTATTATGACTAGATCACAAAACTATAAATATAGTTATGTGTTGCTGAATGACAGGGATATGTCATTAGGTGATTTCATTGTTGTGTAAACATCACAGTGTGTACTCACACAAACCTAGATGGCCAATCCTACTACACACCTAGACTATATGTACAGCTCATTGTTCCTATGCTGCAAAGCTGTACAGCATGTGACTGTACTGAATACTGTAGGTAACTGCAACACAATGGTATTTGTGCATCTACACATACCTAAACATAGAAAACATACAGTAAAATGTGCTACAGATTGAGTCTCCATTATCCAAATGCTTGGGACCAAAAGCTTTCAGGATTTGACTTTTTTGGATTTGGAAATATCTGCATTACACTTACCAGTTCAGCATCATCCCAAAACTGAAAATCCAAAATCCAAAATGTTCCAGTGAGCACTTCCTTTCAGAGTTACGTCTTTGCTCAAAAGTTTTGGATTTTGGAGCATTTCGGATTTCAGATTTTCAGATTAGGGATATTCAACTTGAATTTTAATTTTCTAGGACCATTGTGTATATGCTGTCTACTGTTGACTGAAATGTTATATGAAGCATGATTAGTGCAAGAGAGAAGGAGTTTAGGGTAATGGTTAAGAGAATGGTCTCCGAATACCGACTGGCTGGGTTTAACTATTGGCTCCACCCCTTGCCAGCTGTGACCTCAGGCAAGTTATTTCATTTCTCCAGACCTCAGTTTTCTCATCTGTAAAATGGGACTAATAATAACGCCTGTCTCACAGAGTTGCTGGGAGGGTTAAATGTGTTCATATATGGAAAGTATTCAGAAAAATGCCTGTTACAGAACAAGTACTCTAAAAGTGTCAGCTATAGTTATAATTACTACAATTTATTCTCTCAAATGGGTAAATTTCAATATATACAAATCATAAAACATTTATAAATGTAGCTAAGGACACAACTTTCTACACATCCTGACACTCCTCTATCTCTCTCTTCATTTATATCCCATGTCTAGATGTCTTGAGCCTAATTTACCATCAGGGAAGGCAGACACTCAGGGAGGCGGACCGCTGGTCACATCTGGAAATGACACAGCTACAAGTTCCTTGGTGCAGCCATTACACAACTGGACTTTCAAGAAAATAATATCAGAAAGGCTCCCCACAGGCCCAAATGTCTTCCCCACCCTCACCCTACAAACCACAGGAGAAGAAAGGAGAAAGTCAACATGCCTCTTGGAGCGTTAGTTGCTTTCTCACAGATAGTTATGGGAAGGAAAAACAGAGAGGCCGTTATATTCACGGCTGTGTAGAAAGCCAAGAATCAAACCTTGGACCAAGTGCAAGAGCTGGGAGCTGAATGGCATGGCCAGTTTGAACAGTGAAAACCAGGCCACCCAGGGCTGTGCTTGGCCAAGCTCGTCCCGAGGAAGCTCAGGGTGAAGTGACAGGCTGGCTCTTCAGCCAGAAATAAAAATGAGGATATCAGCTGGATGGACAATTCTATTGGTTCCCATCAAGTCACCATATCTCATTTTCTGGTCACTTAAAGTGAAGCTTCTGATGGCGAGCAGAAGATATAAACCAACAGAGACTAGCACATCTACATTCTCCTTTCTTGGGCTCTAATTAACATTGTCTCTGCTTTTCATCTAGAATCTCAGTCCCTTGTGCTAACTGCTACTGAGTTACTCTAGTTAAAGTATGTTAATGAAGGGGTGAGAACTACTAGCTTCATGAAATTTTGGGATTATTTTACTCATCTTCCTCCTATCCCCCTTTCTCAGACATAACAAGAACCAGCTAGGACTGGTGGATGACTTAACAGTTTCTGAGAAACTCCAGATGCTTCTCTTTTACTGCTCAACATTTTCTGCTCCCTTTGTGATTTGTAAGGTGGCTCACCCTGATCTAGAGGGCTTTAGGGTTCTACTTTTCCAGCCTGCTCAGCCACTCTCCACCCACCACCCTCTGGTTGTGGAAGCTGTTCATTCCACAAATATCTACTGAGCATCTTCTGTGTGACAGGCACTGTTCTAGTTCACAACATTCCAGAAAAATCAACAAATACCCTGTCTTCATGGGTCTTAAATTCCAGTAAAGAAGACAAAAAATACACAGAAAAACACAAATGAATACAAAATTGGATGATAAGTATCATGAAAAAAAAAAAAAACATAAGGTGGGTTGAGGGACTAGAAATTGAGATGGTTGCTCTTTTAGGCAGAGATCTTGCATCTGCTTGCCCACCATGCTCCCTCCCCTTTTCCCTTTCTTCCTGTAATACCCCTCACCCCCTGAAACAGGAGTAGCCTGGGCCAGTCACGGTATCACTTGCCCCTGATCACAGTGACTGCTTCAGGAATAAGGTCCACATGGGGCCAGGGTACATTACTAGGAATTTTTTACACCTGGGGCCAGGGGACAGCATTCCCTTGCTTTTCTGGGCAAGGAGCTAGAAGCAAGTAATCCTGGGGATGATACTGGCCACGCTCCCTGTTATAAGGGAATGTTTGCCTATAGGAAGAAATAATGAGTTTAAGGAGAGATAAGAGATGAGAGAAAGATCCTGAAATCTCCAGGGCCACCCTCGTCCCCATGGGTGTCCCTTCAATCTTAATATTCTTGTAGTAAATCCTCTTTGTTCAGCTGAAGTGCCACTTCCTTTGGAAGGACTTTTCTGACATATCCAGTCTCAGTGAAAGGCCACTGTCACTGTGATGTTAGAGATCCTTTAAAAAAAAATACAGCAGTAGCAGCAATCTATGAATACCTACTACATGCCAGACTTTATGCCAAGGGCTCTACCTGGGTCACCTTTACTATAGAACTTAACAAGTTGCACCCTAGTGAATCATTTTTATGCACATTTCACCCACTAGAAAAATGAATATAAAAATTTGTGGATAATCTCCTTTGTGAAAGAAAAAAAACTAATTTCAAATTTATTTCAGCCTGCATATGTGCAGAAGAGATTACAGTTGTCCCTCAATATCTGCTCTCCTAACAAAAATGCCTACAGTTTTTAGCTGAAATAAAGTCTACTTTCCCCAAGTCTTTGCTTGCAGCTAGATATGGATGCATGACCAAGTTCAAGTCTGTAAGATGTAGCTATGTGTGTAGTGTGTAATTTCCCAGAGGTGTGTTTAAAGGGAGAGCATGGAATCTTCTCCCCGCCATTCCTCCCTTTTCTTGGCTGAATGTGGACATGATGGCTAAAGCCTGAACAGCCATCTTGGATCAGCAGGTGAACAGCCATGGGTTGAGGTTGTTGGTACAAAAAGACAAAGAAGCTTGGGCCTTCTGTTGGTGAAAAGACATGGAACCCCACATCAGCCCTGGACTGCTCATGTCCACGTCTCATTTATGTGAATTAGAAATAAAATTGTTGTCTTATTTTATCTGTTATTTTGAGGCTTTTGTGTTTCCCAGCTGAACCCGATCCTAACTGACAAAATGAGATTATATATATCACATATAAAACTAGTATTTCCAGGTGCTCAGATAGTCCAGTGAAGTTCAAGTCATTTTCTCTCTAGATGGAGATATGGCAGTATCATGGCTGGCCATTTTTGCTAAGAGTCATGTATCCAGGGATACTACTTACTCCACCATGTCCTGTGATGTTACCTACATTCAACAAAAAGGGTAACAGCTGTTAACAACAGGTCATTTTACAGCAGTTGAAGAAACTAACTGTAGAAAGAGAAGCTAGGAGAGTTGAAGAAACCAATAGCTGCTCAGATTCTACAGGAGCTGGACTAGTAGTAAGAAATGTCAATCATGAGAATAAATCAGATTCCAACAGAATCTAGCAGGGGAACTGTGAGACAAAGCTTCATGACCCATCTATTATTATTCAAGTCCAAATTTAATATAAAAACAATAAACATTTAGACATCTCAAATCCAGACTGGATGTTAGATGAGAAATTAAAGGGCAAATAAGAGGTGAGACTGAGAAGCAATGAGTTGTGCTTCATTGTGTGTCTGTGTTTATTTAATTTTTAAAGGAATTCAGCTTAAAGTACCTTGTGTATGTGCGTTATGACCAATATGAAAGCTTTGGCCATTTATAAATACATGAGCCAGACTGGCCTTAGCCAAATGTGAAGAACTATCAGGACCATTAGCTTTAATTTAAGGAAAGGAAAATAAATGTTTAGAAAATTGGAACCAATTCTTGCTTTCAGTATTAAAAGAAAAATTGCAAGGAACTGAATGTTTCTAGTTCATTTATTTTGCATACTAGAGAAATGAGGAAGAGTAAGGCCTCAATTATTTGTCCTCTAATGTGGACTTTATCCAAAATGCCTGGAGGGGCCGGGTGCGGTGGCTCACACTTGCAATCTCAGCACTTTGGGAGGCCAAGGTGGGTGGATCACCTGAGGTCAGGAGTTCAAGACCAGCCTGGCCAACACGGTGAAACCCTGTCTCCACTAAAAATACAAAAATTAGCCAGGCTTAGTGGTGGCTGCCTATAATCCCAGCTACTCGGGAGACTGAGGCAGGAGAATCACTTGAATCTGGGAGGCGGACGTTGCAGTCAGCTGAGATTGCGCCACTGCACTCCAGCCTGGGCGACACAGCAAGAATCCATCTCAAAAAAATAAAATAATTAAAAAAGTACATGGAGGTCCATTATAAATAAGCCTTACCTGTACACTAAGGCGGGTTGGGAGGGCCTCTCCTGGGTAACACTATGTACTAGCCATTTGTATGAGTTGTATATTGCTGGACCTTCAGATGAAACATTCAGGCAAGTAGTACACATGAAACATTCAACTGTTTCCTTGACAAATCCCTACCTTAGGTCAGTCTTTTCTATACTCAAAGAAACAAATGAAGCTTTTAACAATGTATGAAATGTTTTCCAAATTCCTATGTCATTCAAAAACAGTGGCTATAACATGCACATGTTAGAGGAGAATGCATTTAATGTATCCCGCCTTGTCCAGAGCGTATGCCAAGGTAAGAGCTTGGTTCACGTTACCTCACCCACATCAAGGCCCCAGTGGGTAAGCAAAATGCCCTTTAGCACAAAAGTGCAGAGCGAGTCTTCATTTTTGCATAATACTGCATTGTTTAATTCAAGCATTATTCCCCCAAGAAAACAAGCACTGAGCATCTTGGCATACAAAGGCATATACTGATAGATTGAATTTGCTTTTTTGGAATTAAAAAGTTGGATGGAGCTCAGAACTCCTGTTCTCTGAAGGGTATGAAAGTGCAGGTAGGTGTGACATGCATGAGGCAAAGATGTCATTGGTAAGACAAGTGATCGTTTCCTTGAGTGCATATCTTTGGCTCATACCATTCCACAACCCAGTACTCTAGTAATCTTAAAAACAAGCAAATGTGTAGCTTTCCCACCTTGTCTAACGCTTATGGGATAAAGAAGAAAAGCCAAGTTACCTTTCGCATCTGAGCCAACAATCCTTCAAACTCCTTCAGGTTTAGTGTCGTTCCGCTGTAGGATGTGCAGCTGTTTGCTGCTTTTCCCAGCCAGTAAATGGTAACTAATACCTGTGGAACAAAACGCACAAGAGCAGATTTTTCCCTCAAGAATGACGTTTAAACTAAGGAGTCAATAATGTACCACTAACAGGAAGGCAGGAAGGAAAGAGCTGATTTACATCGATTTTAAAAAACCACCACCCATGAGGTATCCATTAAATGTAAAATCACTTTAATAAGAACCCAATGCCATGTCAGGCAACACAAACACGGTTGAGTAGTTAAAACGACTCCAGCGTTAGGGAAAGTTAGGTAGTGAGGAAATGATCTCTAAGACAGCAAGAAGGAAAAATGAATCTACCCACATTATCTTTTATGTAGTGAAGGTTTCACAATTTTTCAAAAATGCTTTGGAATCTTTATCCAGAGAAGCAATGAAAGAGACTGTCAATTCCTTTTGAGAAAGGTGCTTTTGAAGGCCCATAATTTCTACTTGTGGGCACAGAGGTTCCGCTAAGGCCAATGGCAGAAAAAAAATAAAATCCCAAACAAGTGATAAAGGTTAATTAGTGGTTCCCAGCACAGGATCAACATAATATATCTAATTAAAGTCAAAAGAAAGCAGTGTCGTGAAGAATATGATCTGCAGATACCTAGCTTTGGGGTATAGTTAGATTCCCATTAATCTGAGATGGGAAATTTTGAGCCTTGACAAGGCTTGCTACCAATTAAACAACCTTGGATATTTAAGAATGTCTATGAGTATTCAATGGTCTGAAGCTACGGTCCCAAGTTAATTTTGTTCTGTATTTCCAAAGAAATTGTCCACAAAAGCAAATCCTCTTTACATTCACTTCCCATGAAACCCAGCAGAGTCAGCTGAAGATGAGCTCCTTCACACTGAATTACAAGTATCTGAGGCCCATGTAGAAGCTAAGATGAGTATTTTCTTTTCACACTCTGTCTTATCGCTTCAGCCAGTCTGGGAAGTACTTATTGTGCCTCCTTCTACTTGGTAGGCCAGAAAATGTTTCGGACAACATGGTATAGTTACATGAGTCCAGCTGGCGACAGACCCAAAATATGGTTATGTGCACTGATGCTAAGAGGTGATTCTGTTTTCTACCTCTGTGGGAAAATTTTACTTCATGAATCCCTCGAAACTTCCAGAACATCCTTTTGAACTGATTGCTTACAAATAAATTTCCAGAGATTCAAACGTCAGGACATTAACTAGGACCATAAAATAACTAATGTGTGCTGAGAGTATGAGGCTATCTTAAAAGGTATAACGGGGGAATGGAAAATAGACTGTTGTGTTTTAGGTTAAAGGTTTTCTGATTTGTTTAAAATTTTATGATGAAAAATGGCGTATACCTCTAGTTTTATAAAGGAGGAAAAAGAAGATAAGAATGAAAATGCCAATCAAATATAATAGCACCTAGGGAAACTTTTTTAAAAAGAGGCTTCAGCCAATTTTAAAATTTTAGATGCAGAATGTGACTTCTTTCATTCCTCAATCTAAACTGAAAATAAAACAGCACTAACATACTTGCCTTTTGAAAATAAGATCTACAAAAAGTTCATTTGGGCAAGTACTAATAAAAGTGCAAAAGATTTAAAGGAGAACAAAATACATAGAGTATAGGCCCATGGCAGTCAACACTATTCATATTGTGCAGATCTTACCCTACAACAATTTGCCAAACTCCTTAATTTAATAATCCCATCTGTGCCTACAAATGGAAAGGGGCTAATGTTAGTATTGAGCCTGATCATTTTGTGTTTAAGAAACTGAATCATAAACAGAGTACAAGCTTTCACTTGTTTATTTCTGGATTGAGCACTTATCTAAATAAAGAGAACCACCACCACCCCAGCCCAACACATACACAATTTACTATTTTTATTTCTATCATGGTCATTAACTATTCTATGAAATACACATATACTTTTTTCTAAGGACTTTTTCCAGCAAGGCATATGAGAAACACTGAATTAGCTAAATTTTACACTTGAACCATCAAAGATACAAGTTTGGAAGTTAAAACACTTACATTTTTCAGCTTCCTACTATAATCAAGGCTCCTAGTCAAGGAAAGGGAAAAGAAAATATTGTCAGAATAGCAGATTCTAAATTGTGACCTTTCCTTAAATGCCACTAAGATGTACTTGAAGCTAACATATATAATGAAATCAGAAGAATGTATTATTTTTTAAGGCTTAAGTTTTGTGATTTCGGGCACTGAATAAAGTTAATTAGGAAACAAAATGTAGAAGGACAAGGTGGGATTAAAGTTCCACAGTACGCTATAAAAAGACGATGCTTTATAATTTCTGGAAATAGAAAAAGTCCGATCAGAACTGGGACTATTCATAGTTGTGTTCTCAAAGATTAACCACTGAAGATTCTGCCTTGATTATAGACCACCGTCAAACTGAAATCCGACTGCACTTCCAAAATCTTCATGCAAGTATTTTTAACACAGGTCTAAAACCTTATTTAATTAGACAGACCTGAAAATATGTGTACAAGAAGGAATCCTATCCAAATATTTGTTCTTTTCTGCTCTGGACATAAATTAGCACTGGGAATAAGCCATAAGCAGGAAAATATGCCTGTTATGTTCAAATATACACACATGCATGCTCAAATATGCACCCATGTTTACTCTCTAACTATAAACAAAAAAGCTACTTCGAAATATTCATACAATGAAATAAGACTTCCTGCAAAATTATTTCAAAGTTTTTTTAACACGTCAACAAATACACACTAGAAAAAACAAACTGCACTTCTTTTTTCCACAGTAACTTCGGTGAGGGGGAAGGGAGTGTAAGACTATCATATAAACCAGTCAAGAATTCCTGCAAGTATTTAGACCCTGATTACTTCATTGCAGCATACACTGACCTAAAGTACATATTAATGAATAAGTGAACCATTTTAAGTCCATTGAAATTTGAAGAAATAGAAAACAAGTAGCATACCATGGAAATAAACCCATCAACAAGGACATAGATTGAAAGAAGCATTAGTCCAGTTTGGATTTGATTTAAAAAATGTTTCATGTTTCTGTTTTTAATAGGAAAAAAAATGGGATGTCCTTATCTGCTTGGATATCTGCTAGGGTTTGTTGTTGTTGTTGTTGTTTTGAGACTGAGCCTCACTCTGTCGCCCGGCTGGAGTGTAGTGGTGTGATCTTGTTTCACTGCAACCTACACCTCCTAGGTTCAAGCGATTCTCCTGCCTCAGCCTCCCGAATAGCTGGGACTACAGGCACGTGCCACCATGACCAGCTAATTTTTGTATTTTTAGTAGAAATGGGGTTTCACCATGTTGGTCTCCATCTCCTGACCTCGTGATCTGCCCGCCTTGGCCTCCCAATCTGCTAGGGTTTTTAATTTAAGAAAGAAACCAGATTTTTAAAAATCTATAAAAGATTTGAAACTTTTATGGAAAACAAATTAAGAATAGGGAACATAAAGCTTTTTCTGCAGTGATGATAAAAGTTCACTAAGACTGTAACCCAGTGCTAAAAATTATGCTTGGTACATAGTAGAAGCTCACAAAATATTTGTTGAATGACTCCCACCTATTATGTGGAAATACTTCCAAATTTTGACAGAGACACTCGGGAGCAATCCAGAGCCTGCGTACATTTCGTCCAGTTGCTTTGATTCCTTGGAATAATACTTGCTGTGTGCCTGTCTAGATTACACTTTCATTTCCCATCAAGGTTGTCTGGCATCCATTACAGGTAGAGTTCACTAAATTACACATGCAGTAATCACTTGCAGGCTTTTCCTCTTTTTTTTTTTTTTTTTTTTTTTTTTTGGTCTACTCAAGTTTCTTCTAAAAGAAAACACACACACACACACACACACACCACACAAGAAAAACTGCCTATCATGAAAGCTAAATGAAAGAGTATTTTCTGAAACAAAACTTCCAGAAAACCATCCAAAGCTCTTCTGTGGGATCTATCCCTATACCTTACTGCTTCCGCTAGTAATTGGTGGCAATGGGGTGCTCCTCTCTGTGTCTACAGATGTCCTGCTCAGCTCTTAGAGGGACAACAGAGAAATATAGCAGTTCCACTTTAACTACCTTAGTTTACAAAATCTGCATATGTTACAAGCATTCCCTGCACAGTGCCAAATTAAACCAGCATCACTTATCAAAAATACACGAAATCCGATAGTTTATTCCATACTCTACTCCTTACTAAAACCAGAAACAACTTTCTACGTACTGTAAGTGAATTTATAGCATCATTTTAAGATAAAATTCTTTATGTTCTTTGAAATACTCATACAGTAAAATGTTTTTTCTCTATAATGATTCTGAGTTCAACATCCTACCCTGCTTGTGGACTGCCACGCCCACCACACATGTCCTTACACATTATCCTTCAACCACACCAGTTACTTTTCTTTCTTTTAAACATGAAGCTTGTGGTTCCTCTTCCCCTGACTTTGTACCTGCTCTTTCTCTGTCCTGAATGCCCCACAGATCTTCCCACAGCCTGTTCTTCCTTCCTATTTGTGTCTCAGCCCCCAGTTAGTGCTCAGCTGAAATGCCAGCACTTCAGAGAAGCCACCCTCAACCACCTCCGGACTGGCCACTGTCTTTTGCTTATCACTCCATTTTATTTTCTTCTCAGCACTTATCACTTCCTGCAATGATCTTCTTTGTTTACTTCTTTGCTTCTCATTTCTTGACACTGGATTGTAAACTCCACATGAGCAGAAGACCTTGGCTATCTGAGTTCATTCTATTTCTCTAGTGATGAAAAGTATCTAACACACAGAAGCTGCTCAGCAAACATTTGTTGAATGAATGAATGAAAAATGCCAGGGTCATGGGGGAATGTGATGGCAAAGTATTGCCTAAAGAAAATAAGAGTACCCAAGTGAAGGAAACATTAAAAAGAAAATGAGGAGAAGAAATACAAAAGGAGAGATAGATGGAAAGACGGGATTAAAAAGGGAGGGAAGGCAGAAGGAAGAAAAGGAGACAGAAAAAAAGACGGAAAAATCAACAGGAAAACAAAAAGATGGTACAGTAACTAAGAAGGGACTGTATCCACGTGTCACTTGCCTACGTGACATTTTCCCCTTTAGATTTCTTTCCACACCTTGATTTAAATCTCTTTTTTTTTACAAGTCAGTTGTTCCATCTTCCCATATCTGCACTGAGCAAGCTTGACCCAGAATCATACCAGATGGAATATTCCATCCAGTTTCAATTTTTAGATGAATACATGGGGCCTGCTGAAGAAGGGAGCTTAACCAGGGCTTCAGATCTAGTGAGCAGCAGACCTAGGGCTAGATCCTCATTTTCCTGATGCCCAGTTTTTTGTAGATAAGCAATAAAGGTGATACGAGATTTGAATTTTTAAAACCAATCAGGCTCAGAATTCTGGTTTAGTAACATACTGATTTAAAGTGGCTCTAAAAAAAAATGAATGCAGCTGCAGACACTTTCAAAGTGACCTTTCCTTCACCCTCCAAGCAATGTGTGTGTGACTAATTATTACCTACGAAGCTGCACAGTTGCTATTGTTTCTGGTCACTTGCCACCCGGGTGAAACTATGAATGGGAGATGAGGCAGAACCTAAAACAATTTCCTAAAGTGAACAATGGTTTATAGAGGATAGATTTAAGTACAATAATAAATGGGGCATGTGATGACCAAGATGAGGTTTAGTGCGGTTTCCATATTCAAATATCCTGATTTTTATTCTGTTATTTTTTCGCTTAGTTAAAATTTTTCCAAGAGAAGTTTTAAAGAATGGCATATTGACAACAGAAAAGTACTTTTAGATAACAGATCACTACTAACTCTCCCATATTCCCAGTCATGAATCACAAAATCCAACATAAACCCCAAATTTTATTTTATCCAGTAGTTCTCATTTTTTTCCTATTTTTCCTCATCCTTTTTAAAAAATAAAAAATCAAGCAAATAGTATAAAATCAAATAGTACAAAAAATCAAGCAAATAGTATAAAATCAAATGTATAAAAATCAAGCAAATATAATATAAAAATCAAGCAAATAGTATAAAATCAAGCAAATTGTATAAAATTAACAGCTCTGAATTTTGGCTTCTCTCCCTTTTCTGTTCCTTCATGATAAAATGACTCCAAAAACAATCAAAAGAAGAAAAGTTACCTATTCACAGACCCTATCTATGTAACTATGTTTATTATTAAGGCATATCCATGTCAAACATTGTTTGGCTAAAGTGGAAAATGTTTTATATGAAATCAGTAGGATCTAAAGAACTTCTAAACTACAGGAAAGTTATCTCTGCCATCTCATACCCTGGTCACAAGCTATTTCTTTACACAAAGTACACTGCTGTCTCTTTTATTGTGACATTCTGCTCCAAGAATTATTTGGCCCAAACAGGGCTCATTAAGTAGATATAGTCAAAGTTCTTGATCCATCTTCAAAGAACTTGATCACTGACACATATGAGAAGACAGTTACACATGTAAATGAAGAAGCAAGTTCTCCATAATCTAATGCTTTCTTTGCATAACAGAGTTCAGATCTGTTTACCTTCCAAGAGCCTACTCAAATGTTCAATTGGTGCCAATAAAAGTTTTTTGTCTAACACACTGATTCTGTGCCTATTTCTTTCTTGCCTCTCTGTTAATCTTTACTTAACATTTTTCTCCTCTTCAAAATTCAAACTCTATATGCAAGAATTTTGCATTCAAAAAATGATGTTTGATCAGAATGAAAGCTATGCACAGAGGGAAAGTCAATGTGAGTTGTTTTGAAAGTTGATTTTTACCTTCACATTTTTATTTTATTAAGCATAACCAATTCTCTGTCTCTTAGAACTTACAACATCATCACAAAATTGCAAATCAAACTATAAAGGAGTTTCCCTTAAACATAAATCACGCTTTACTTACTTGACTGTTACTCTGTTGGATGTATCCTGGAGGTCACTCGGGTCAAAAAGTTGAGATTCTTTAAGGCCGAGCTCTTTACAACCTCTCAAGAATAAGATAATATTGTCCTAGAAGGAAAAAAAGAAATATAAGTCTATATTATCTTAGATTATCTTTATGAACCAGCCCCTCCCAAGTTGCTGTAGGGATACTGGTCACTAAGGCAGCTATGGTCAGGTCTAAATCATAGCTTGCATAACAAATCATACTTTGTTAGGAAATGCCAGATAAACAGACACTTCAAACCTCCAAACCCACAACCATGCCAGATTCATTTTTTCCCGTTAGCTTGACACATTTGTATAAAACTGCAAGTAAAATGCCATTAAAAAGGAAAACTTAGCATTGTTAGGGGGAACTGTACTCAAAAACAGGTATTCCTTATTGCTTCTTTGTCCATGTCTTGTTGCCTAGAATCTGGTTGAAATTGATTTCTTTTCTTTTCTTTCTTTTTTTTTTAAAAAGGTTTTTCATCTTTAGCAAGTTTTTCTTCTTAATTGATCTTCTAAAATATATTCTTTAGATGTATTTTACATCCTTTAGGGATTTTGACTAGTAATACCTCTTTGTGGATTATACACTGAGTTAAATGCAAGAAAAAAAATCTAGACAATCGAAATGAGAAAAAAGGACAGGGAAAGCTTTTAAAATACTAATGCAAAAGACTGTCAAGAAAGTGAAATTTTCTCTAGCAGATACAAATTTACTTTGAATTGGCAGGCACCAATGACAATTAAGGAGGGGTCTGTCTTCATCTATTTTAAGTCATTAAGTACAAACAAATGCTTCTGAAAGGGATTGCAAATTGTGGGTCATCCTTTTGGAACTCCAGGGTATTAGTCAAGAAGTTTACCAGCTACAAGTCTCTAACTGTTCTCTTCCTAAAAGACTTTTGAAGGTGCTAACTGACCCCATCAGTTAGTGAAAACTACAGGATAGGGAATGTCGGCTCCAGAAGCCAGACTGATGTGAATCCATCTGAATGCTGTGAGAAACATGCTACAAAAATCTGAAACGATGGTGGTGATTACAGAATCACGTATTCACCCACGTGCAATTCAACTTAGTGAACAGAGAATATTTCCAGTTACCCAGTTTGCAGTCAGGATTCTAAGATAAACCCCAAGAATCCTGCCCCCAATGTACACACCTCTTCTTGAGTGCAAGTGAAATCTGTGAATATGATGGGCTATAACTCTGTGATATGTCACTAGCAAGTTGACTTGGAGTTAATCAAAAGAAAGATTATCTGATTGGGCCTGACCTAATCAGGGAAACTCTTAGAAGGTGAGGTCAGAATTCATGCTGGCCATGAATTCTATAGCTGCAAGGAGATGAATTCTGTTAACAACCACATGAGCTTGGAAGGAGCTTGGAAGATGTTCAGATAGGACCTCAGCCCACACTAACACTTTAGTTTCAGTCCTGCAGGACCCTGAGCTAAAAATCCAGTTACACCATGTCCAGACTGCTGACATTCAGAAAATGAGAGATAACCATTGGTGTTAAAGACATTAGGTTGTATGCAGTAATAAAAAAATTAATACATCCAGGCTCAAAATAACAACAAGAACAATAGCAATAAGTTGCTAACCTTTCTATAGCCCTTATTATTCACCATGCATTATTCCAAGAACTTTACATATATTCACTCATTTAATTCCTGTACAACTTTATGAAAAATTTTGGCAGATGAGTGATCTAAGGCACAGAACAATTAAGCAAATTGTCCAAGATCACACAGCCCCCAAACGATGGAGGTGCAAAACAACATGTCTTATATGAGGAACTGAAGCATAAAATCTGAGGCCAGCACCAAAGGAAGATGAGGCTATGCAGGTAGAGGCTGATCATAGACGCCTCGAAGGCCATGGAAGACAAGTTGCAGAATGTCACAGGGGGGCTATATCTGAGAAGTGAAAACCCAGATCTATGGTGGAAGGAGATTGTTGCAGGTGGGGTTGGGGGGAGGTAGACGGTGTGAAGGAAGTACTAAAAAGGAAGAAGATGGGAGACAGGGAGAACAATGACGAGTTACTACAACTTTATTTTCCCCCAGTGAGGGTGGCTTCATCCCAGGATGTTTTCTTTCTGGGTAAAGCCTAGGTCTTTTTTCAGCAGGCAAGAGATGCCATTGTTCACAAGACCTCTTGGAGGCTGACAGTGAGCTAGCTGCTCAAAGTCTGAAGTCACCTACACCCTCACCAGTTTCTCCTTCGGTTACTTTCCACATTTTTAAATTATCAAATGTAAGAGTTCCCTCCCATCCCCTGAGTTTTGCAGTTTTCCACTTTCTTGGCCATATATGTTTCATTGATTGACACTGTCCTAGGTAGAAAAGAAAGGGAAAGAAAGCAAGGATTGAAAAAAGTGGTGATACAGAGTCCATTTTAAAGGACCCAGATTTTCTAGTTGTGCATTGATCATCCTGTCGCTGAATTTAAATATAACATCTTTCTTTCCAAAACACTTATTTTGTCCCAATATTTCAGTTACTTGAAATAAATCGTTTTCAATCCTTTTTTCTAGTTAACTTTGTTATCACACGGACATATCAGTTTATCACTGATTTTAGCTATGCAAACCATGCCAGTCTTACTTGCTTCCAGACTTGTCTTTACTCAGTACTCAGACTTCCAATTTGGGTCACATCATTTTCCAGAGACAGCAAAATTTTCTCCCTGGAATTTTGCTTTTCTTATTGCCAGTGGAAGAAGTACATGTGGATGTTCATTTGGTACGTTTACATGTAAATGATCGGTTACAAAAATGGTAGAAAAAGAAGGAATAAAAGTCACATACTTTACTATTACTGGAATATTTATGAGCACGTATGGAGATAAAAATTAGTACAATAAAGTATTGCTGAAAAGTGGAAAAATACTTTGTCAATATGAGAATCAAAGCTTGCTGGTGAACTTTTTTATTTTTTTTTTTTTGAGATGGAGTCTCACTCTGTCACCCAGGCTGGAGTGCAGTATGCAATCTCGGCTCACTTCAGCCTCCACCTCCTAGGTTCAAGAGATTCTACTGCCTCAGCCTCCTGAGTAGCTGGGACCACAGGCATGAGCCACCATGCCTGGCTAATTTCTGTATTTTTAGTAGAGATGAAGTTTCACTATGTTGGCCAGGCTGGTCTCGAGCTCAAGTGATCTGCCCACCTTGGCCCTGCAACGTGCTGGGATTACAGGCATGAGCCACCATGTCCAGTTGATGAATTCTTTTTTAAAAGGCTTTAAAAAATTTACTCATTATTCTTAAGAAAATAGGTTAAAGATTGGTGAAGGCTGTAGATATCAGACCATTATGGTGAATTATGTGGGGCACTTAATAATATGAACTAAACATTTATACCTTACACTCTTCAAGCATTTGCCATCTAGCTACCAGGTCTGTTCTGAGGATGTACATGGATTATTTCATTTATTTTCAAAACAGCCATACACAGCAGGTACTGTTATTGTCTCCATTTTCTAGAGGAGTAGTTGAGGCACAGAGAGGTTATATACCATACCAGTCACCCCGCTACTAAATCTGACTCCCAATTAACTTCACACAGTGGAAAAAATAAAATAAAGTTTCCCCAGATGTTAAAAATGCTAAGTCTGAAAAGTGGCAATTCCTTTTCCCGCCTCTCCAAATTTCCAGGTGCCTTATTCTGAATTCAGCCTTCCTGAAATTTCCATTTTAGTTCTCTTTCTTCTTGTCTTCTCTTTCTCTATGATGTTCTTCTTCCTCCTTCCCTCCCAACGGCAAACAAACACACATACATATGCACCCTCTTAACTTACTTGGCTCTGTGATTCTCAAATGCTCCACTGCTCTAGCCTTGAACAATCTTGAGGATACCACATTCAAAAACACGTGCACCACTCACTTACAATTCTACCATTCAGGAACAGTAAATAAACCCTTTACCCCATGAGGCAACTCCAAACCAACGAGTGACTAGTACAGATCCAGGTGAGTCTTCACTTGGGAGTGCAAGTATCCTCTGACTGGCCTTTAAGCTCTGAGTGCTTTCTGCCCAGAGGAAAGCAAAGGCTGAGTGTTGATGCTCTCTGGACATCATTTGGCACCACAATAAAAGACAAGACCTGTGACCAGCATGTAGTCCCCTAAGAGGTGCATGACTGTGACCCCCACAGATTCTCAACAAGGTGCTCCTCCTATGTGCATCCCAGACACACAGATCTGGGATGCACGCCTTTGAACACCATGCTGTGTTCAGCGTGCAGCCTGCAAACACAAAAGCTTTGTGCTGCCAGCCAGCCCAAACAATTTGGGCTAGAAGATTTAAATAACTGCAGGTCTGTTTCCAGCTTCTTGCTACAACCTAATGATGCTGGAGGGGAGCCAGGCCCTAGGCAGAAGAAAAGCCAGAAGGAAGAGCCACCCAGCCAAGAGCTAGCAAGGGCAGCCACTGGAGCAAGCGAGAAGGGCTGTGCCTTTAATTACATAAAATGCATTCTGTGAATTCTCATCTGCCTTGCTGTTCACACTGAGATTTTTCCACATTTACAATTTCCAGCAAAACCCAAAACTTAGTGTGTTAACTTTGGAAGCCAAACACTAAAAGTGTCTCAATCCCAAGGGAAAAGAAGTACAAGACACTGCTTTACTATAATGGCTATATATTTAGCTCTTACTATCGTGGAGCTAACAAACCCATACATCTTTGCAAGAAGTTTTTAAAGGACTCTTCAAAAAAGTCAATGTCATGTAAAACAAAAATTGGCAATCAAAGCCATCATGAACAAATGCAATGTATGATCTTTGATTAGACCCCAGATCCCAAAGGAAAAACTAAATAAGGGTGTAATAGTCTAATTTAAATATAAACTGCACATTGGATGATATTACTCAATGAATGTTAATTTTTTAGGTGTGATCATGATTTTGCATTTATATGAGAGACTGCCTTTATTTTTAAGCATCCACATGAATTATTTAGGGGTGAATTATCATAATGTCAGTAACATAACTTTCAAATGGTTCAAAAAAAGTATGCATGTATATATATGTTCACACGTGTGGGGGAAGGGAGAGAGAGAGAGGTTGCGAGTATGTCTGCCTGTCTGTGAAGACAGAGATAAAGCAAATAGTAAAATAGTAACAAGCAGTGAATCTAGATCAAGGGACAGTCAACTTTTTCTATAAAGGGTCAGATAGTAAATCTTTTAGGCCTTGTGGGCCATATGGTGGTCTCTGTTAAAATAATTCAACACTGTTGTTGTAACCAGATCATATGTAAACAAACGTGTGTCTGTATTCTAACAAACTTTATTTATGAAAGCAGGCATTGGGTGGATTTGGCCCATAGACCATAGCTGGATGACCCTGTATTCGCTTATTCACCATACCATTCTTTGAATTTTTCTGTATGTTTGAGATTTTTCCCAAAAAAGGTTGTGAGAAAAGGTTCTTGACTTTCTAAAAGATATATTCAACTAGGTAGGATTGTGACTTCATTGGTAAAAATCTATTCCACAAAATTCAAGGAAAAATGGTTGTCACCTCTGAGATGACCACTGCAAACTCATGGCGGTAAATCCTCAGGTGCTACTGATGGAAAGTTACCATTTCTGGCTAATTGGCAAGTACTGCATAACATGAGTCTCAGTTCAACAGAAAGGCATAACATAAAGTTCCTCAAAGAGTCTATTTTGTACTAGACAAATATTAATACATGAATTTATACCACTGTTTATGTAACTTCCATACATTAAACCCTCCTTGTTCATGGGCCAGTGGTTTCTCATTTCATTGATTTGTGGGCTTGCCCTGTGTATAAAAACATTTCCCAAGGGCTATGGGTAAGACCTGAGCTTGCTACCTTCCCAGGGCCTCTTACTCTAAAGACATCCTTGCAACTCACTCCCTTTCCTTTCACACTCCAAAGGCAAGGTGAGGGAATAGCCCAGGATGGTCTCTACCCCAGAGTGTAGCAAAGTTCCTGACATGTACAAGTGCTCACTAAATATTTAAATAAACTCAATTCAATGTGCTACGTACTCTTCTAGGTATCTGTAATGAATAAAACAGAATTCCTTAGTCTTCACAATCCATCAAATAACTGGAATTGTTCAACATACACATAAACAGAGTTCTGACATCAAATTAGAAAATAGAAGTAAGAGAATAACAAACATATCAAGGAACAGGGCACAAATAGCTTTTCTAGTTAGAATCCCAGCCTTGTCTGCTTCTTAGCTACGTGTCCTTGGGCATAGTTCCTAACCTTTCTGATCCTCAGATTTCTAACTCATAAGGTGGGGGATGCTATCGACCTGTGGGGATGTCAAAATTACAGAAAATATACATTAAGAACACAGCTCAGCGTCTGGCACCTTCTGGGCACTCATTGTCTGGGAGTTATTATTAAGACATTCTTGTTCACTCAGGTCAAGAAAGGACCATGGAAGATGCGATGATGAAGAACAGTTTATCCATTTATGAAAAACAGGCACACTGTGTAGGTATAGCCCTTGCCAGTTACATAGGAGATGGCAAAGAAAAAAAAAAGATAGTTGCTGCTATTGTTACTTAGTTGTTATTAACCACCAGCTTGACAGTTTTATACAAACAGCCTCAAATTTAGGGGCAGGCTACATACCAAAAGTTCATTTGGAGGGTAGCTGCTTATAAGCCATCATTTGTAATTAACCCACAGAAATAAATCCTTGCATGGTGGTTCTAAGTTCAGGCCAGAAAAGCTTATTTCATCCAAAGTACACATGAAGGAGAGTAGGAATTACATGATGGAATCTAAAAGCTGGACAGAACACTTCAGTGGGAAAACATATTCAGAGATGCCAGGTGCACTTGTCCTCTGACTACAGTTGGATCAAGGATCCCAGCAGTTACAGAAGAGGTTTCCTCAGCCCATGGCAGTGCTATCAGAGGGAGAAGGGGCAGGAGGAGGGGGCTTCATCCAGGCCCTTCTTCCTCTTTTCTTCAGAAGGCAAGCAAGAAGCTCCTTGCTACCTTTCTCTTTCTTCAGTTGTCATTTCCATCTGCAAAAAGGTTTCTCTCTTTCCTTTATCTCCTGCACAGAGCAAGCAGCTTTCTGGCTCTGGGGCAGACACCCTGCATTTGGTAGTTCTCTGTGGAAACCAGACAGGGAATGAGAAGCTCCCTTCTGTGCCCAACCTTCTTGGCGTTATTTCTTTTACCCCAATAGGGAGAGATCAACATGATCATGGATTTGCGTTCACAGAAAATGAAGGGAATGCTCATTTGGGTTTCAAATGAATCCAGACACCTTTACTGCCACATATTTAAAATGCAATATATACATATAAAGCATCCATATAATTCTCAGTTTCCACAAATGAAAAGACTAGGTGGAAAATATTAAAATGTAAACTAGAATTACCACTTTTGAAGTTCTCATTTTTATACATTTTCTATAACAAATATTTGCCCTAAAAATCTTAGTAAGGCCCAGGTGCAGTGGGTCACACTTGTACTGCCAGTGCTTTGAGAGGCTGAGGCAGGAGGACCCCTTGAGGCCAGAAGTTCAAGACCAGCCTGGGCAAGAGAGCAAGACTCTCTCTATAAAACGTTTTTTAAAAAATTAGCTGGCCATGGTGGAGCATGCCTGTAGTCCCAGCTACTCAGGAGGCTGGGGTGGGAGAATCACCTGAGCCCAGGAGGTAGAGGCTGCAGTGAGCTATGATCGCACCACTGTACTTCAGCCTGGGTAACAAAGCAAGACCTTGGCAAGCAAGCAAGCAAGCAAGAAAGAAAGAAAGAAAAAGAAAAAAGAGAATGAGAAAAGAAAGAAAGAAATTTTAATACGGACTAGCATACCTCAGAAAGGCTTTCAGATTTGCAAGTCTATCATAGAAGACCCAGATCTTGTTAGGAAACCCATAACCAACAATAATGTTACTTTTCTATTCTACCTATAAGACTTGTTTTTCTTTTAAACATGGTTTTGGTTAGGTTTTCTACATTTGAAGTAAACTCCCTTTAACAGAAATGCAATTAAGAAACTCAGAACTTTAGGAATACATTACCAAAATATCTCCAGGAACTTACCACATAATTAATAGAATTTGGGGATTTCCTGTACCTGCCGTGTGTTCACAGTTGCTGCCTCAGCCTGTATGGGTAACAGTCACACTCCAGTGACTGGCTGATGTCCAACAACAATCAGCACTTGCCAGACTTTCAATGCATTTTTATTTGCCAGGAGCACTTAATGAGGATACCAGCTCTTCCACTGAGAGAAAAGAGCAACTCATTCTGCCTGGGGGAATTCTGGGGACGTTTGACCCAGAAGGTGGCAGCTGGGTGGCTGCTTGAAGCAGAAGAAAACATTTTATGGATGGGAAATGAGCAGAAGCACAGCGGATCACAGAAGAGAAAATGGGAGGTGGGAGGAGAAGAGAACTATGAAAGGTGAGACAGAGGAGGCCTCTGAGTGTCTTGCTAAAGATCTAGACTGTTCTTTAGGCAGTGGGGAAGCCAGACCAGCTCATGAGAACAGGAGTCCTGGGATCCTAGCTTTGTTTTGGGAAAAGATGTCAGGTGCAGAGGGAGAGAGCCAATGGGTGGAGGAGAGGGTCCATTTAAGAGGCTACTATAAGATCCCAGGCCTGGCGTGGTAGTTCATGCCTATAATTTCAGCACTTTAGGAGGCAGGCAGATCACCTGAGCCCAGAAGTTCGAGACCAGCCTGGGCAATGTGGCGAAACCTTATCTCTACAAAAATAAAAAAATTAGATGGGCCTGGTGGTGCGCACCTTAGACCCAACTACTCGGGAGGCTGAGATGGGAGGATGGCTTGAACCTGGGAGGCAGAAATTGAAGTGAGCCGTGATTGTGCCACTACACTCCAGCCTGGGCAAGAGCGAGACCCTGTCTCAAAAAAAAGAACAATTAATTAACTAACTATTTTTAAAAGATCCCAGGGAGAGCTAAACCAGAGGGGGAAGATATGAGCACCTCTCTTTGGATTGGCCATTGAGTGGATGTGGGGATAGAGGACGAGGGGAAAGATGGGATTTCAGGTAATGCCATGGTTTTTAGACATTGAGATTGTCCTAAGGAACAGGGGCAAGAGGAGATCTGTGAGGAAGGGAAATAAACTGGGAGCACTCTATATTTAGAGAGCCCTAGCTCATCAGGGACTTATATTTGGGTTTGGAGTTGAGAAGCAAGGCCCCTGCAGAATATGTAGGTTTGGGAATCACCAGCCCAGGAACACAGGAGAAGCCAAGGGAAAGCAGGATATTTCCTGGGAGAGGTCAGACACAGAACGAGCGAGGCTAACCCAGAGACATCATCCACATGTAAAGGACAGTTAGAGGAGGACAAGTTCATCGTGCCTGAAGAAAAGCAAACATAAGCAGGAGGAGAACCTGGGAAGCCAGCAACAGGGAAGCCAGACCAGAGCACTGTTTCAGGAAGCACTGTGTGTCTGGGGTCAAATGCCACACCACCACACTGAGGATCCCAGCTCTGCCCCTTCCTGGCTGAATAACCTAACCCTTCTCTGTCCCAGGTTTCTCTTCTAAAAGCCTATGTCCTTACAAGTCCTGCAGAACCTGTTACCCACTACATTTCTGATCACATCTCCAAGGCTCTCCCCCACCCACCACCCCCGATGCGGCTTCAGCCAGGCACCTGCTCACTGGTCCTCAGACATGCCAGGTGAGCTCCTGCCAGGGCCTTTGCACAGCTCTCTCGCTCTCTTTTAACCTAGATATCACCTAGAACAACAATAACTGGGACATAAGAAGTAAATGCTCTTCCTCTTTTACCTTAGTCCCTCTTCTTCCAGGATTCTCATTCTTTCTCACCTATAACACCTGCTCTTTCATTTACAAACTTTGCTCTTTTCTCTCAGTCCATTTCTCTCTCCCCTTGTTGCCTTATTTCCTTCATGATCCAGTCTAGGCCACTGCATGTAGCTTCAGCATCCCCACCTCTTTGTCATTCTATAAGAGAACAAGGACTAGGAGGAGGAAATAATGCAGATGGAACAGTTAGCCTGGGACAATGATCCTTGGCATCGAACCCAGCCATCTCTTGCCTCCACTGGAAGAAGGATCAGCCGTCTGTCTATATGGAGGGACATCAGCTGGGATAACACTCCTGGCCCTCCCTCCTTCTTTGCTAAGTTGGTTTGGGAGAAGAAATGGGACATCTCTCCTCAGCTATTTCCGTTCCACGAAGACAGGCTCTCGGTCTCTGCCATGTGGTAAGGGGCCTCTCTCTGTGGCGGAGGCCTGTGGTTGCCCAGCTGTGCCAGAAATGGGTGGATAAATTCATTTAATTCAGGATTGAGGATTGGCAAACCCACTTGGTTGAAGAGCTAAACTCATGTTCTCCAATTTGTTCCATGAGAAGTCAAGATGATATTGTGATCTCTGTCTGATTCCCATGTTTATGTCTCAGCTAGAAGAGGAAGAGGGGAATATTATTTATCACCCTAAGTCCCTAATGCTTGGCTCCCTGTGCTACTGGACAAAATGCTGCCATGATTGGGCCTGGAGCTGCCACAAATTTATGAGCTCCCACATCAGTAGGCTCCTGGATCCACTTGTTAATCCTTCCAGGCATCCTTGGTCAGCCCCCTCTTCCAATCTTGGAAGAAGTGTGAACAAGCCTCCTCTACTTCCTTCCACCTCTCTGCCATGCCTTCACCTTCTGCTCACTCACAGATGTCATTAGCCCCCAAGATTTAAATCCCCTCACTTCACCCATCCCATATTCTGTATCTAAAAATTATTTTTTAAAAAGAATATAAAGTCATTCTCAGTAAACTATCGCAAGAACAAAAAACCAAACACCGCATATTCTCACTCATAGGTGGGAATTGAACAATGAGAACACATGGACACAGGAAGGGGAACATCACACTCTAGGGACTGTTGTGGGGTGGGGGGAAGGGGGAGGGATAGCATTAGGAGATATACCTAATGCTAATTGACGAGTTAATGGGCGCAGCACACCAGCATGGCACATGTATACATATGTAACTAACCTGCACATTGTGCACATGTACCCTAAAACTTAAAGTATAATAATAATAAAACAAAATAAAAAAAAGAATATAAAGTTTGATATGTTACGGTATTTTGAAGTAATCTGTTACTGTTTTTTCAATAATGGGAGCAAAGTGTGAGTCTGGGTTAGAATGATGACGAGTCAGTGCTTAGGCTATGTTAACTTTAACTTTTAAAGCTTATTCAAAGCTATCAATGGCATACTTGCTGTTTGAAAGGTAGTATGTTAAGTGTTTTGAGCAGGAAGGGGTCATGAGGGACTCTTATTTGCAAGTGAGAGAAATCCAGATGTAAATAGGCATATATTGGATTACAGAGTCCAGTATAACCCAGCAGGGCACAGGGTGGGGATGCAGCTGACCCACTGAAACAGCTGTAAACCAAGGCCTCAGGTACTGGGGCCCTGGACTTCCTTAATCTCTTGTGTGCCCACCCTGCATGTTGGCTTATTGGCTCTTGCTGTTCATGAGTTTCTTCCACACGAACCTCTAGTTCCCAAGTTTCATTATTGAAGGCTGGCACCCCGTCAGAGGACTGACTCTCTTCTTACTTGCAGTTTGAAAAACATCCCAGGAAAAGGCCCATATTGACCTGTCTAGGGTCAAGTTCCCTCCCACAGTAGCTAATGAAAGAGGATAGAAAGACCGTGAATCCTTGGCCAGGGAGGAGTAGAGGAGGAATAGTTTCCAAAAGAAGGAAAATGAGACTCCCTAGGGCAGACAAAACTATCAATACTGGCTGCACTCACAAAAGTGGATCAGATGTGGATTTTTCTTTCAAAGTTTTAGAGTAGAATGTGAATTACTACTATCATTTTTAGCATACAAACTCTTCAAATTTGGTTTTGCTTTATTCTTTTGGAACTATGCACTAAGCTGCAATGCTGCTTCCATTTGCTTAAGTTAACAGTCTTGATGCCAAAGAGAACCAACTACAAAATGAAGTGAGCATACATTACTTAATTAACTCTGCTTGGAAGAGCTTTGGAAGCACAATTCCTTGCCAGCATAGCATATATTAATTATTTTTTCCTCATAGCACAGTTAGGGAAATAGAGTGCTCAACCCCAAAGACTCCGTTGGCTCTTGCACCTTGATTTTATCTCTTTCTGGATTCCAGACTCATGACCATCCATACAGCAGCTGTATCGCCTCTCAAGGACTTGACATTCAAGCTCATTTGAGGGGCAATACCACAGTGCAGCCTATCAGGAAAACTGTCTGGATTCCAAGGAATCTATCCCTCCAAAAAATTACTGAACTATTCCCCAGGCTACTTAAACTAACCCTAAAACCCAACATATGCATTACTATATTATATGGCCAGATTGTTTTCCAACATAATTCACTAGTTGCATTTTGGGAATTGAATGAAAAATACCTTCACTTATTTTAGAATAAAACTGCTTAAACTATCTATCATATTCCATTAAACAGTTTCCATATATTTGACATGTAAAATATGACTGAGAGCAGTGATAAACTGTGGTCTGTGGATTGCTATGGGTTTGGTACTGGTCCATGATGAAATAACTGCAAAATTGAAAATAAGCATTTAGGCCAGGCGCAGTGGCTCATGCCTATAATCCTAGCACTTTGGGAGGCCAAAGCAGGTGGATCACTTGAGCCCAGGGGTTTCAGACCAGTGCAGGCAACACAATGTGATCTCATCTCTACAAAAAAATATGAAAATTAGCCAGGCATGGTGACATGTGCCTATAGTCCCAGCTACTTGGGAGACTAAGGTGGGAGGATTGATGGAGCCCAGGAGGTTGAGGATGCAGTGAGCTGAGATCACGCTACTGCACTCCAGCCTAGGTGACAGAGTGAGACCCTGTTTCAAAAAGGGAAGGGGAGAGGAGGGGAGGGGAGTGGAGGGGAGGGGAGGAGAGGGAGCGGAGGGGAGGGGAGGGAAAGGAAGGGAAAGGAAAAGAGAGGAGATGAGAAGAGAAGAGAAGAGAAAAGAAGACAGAAGAGAAGCGAAGTGAAGCATTTAAAAACTTTTATAACAATTTGGTATTCTAATCACATCCAACTGTGTGATCAATGAACTCATTTCACTGAATAGGGAGTATAACATTTCGGATGTTTTCCAACCTACATGAGTCATATATTGTGCTGAACTGTGTAACCAATGGTAGTAGAATCACGTATCAGTCTGAGATGAGTTGGAAGTTAAACAACAACAATAATAACAGGCAAATCAAACACAATGAGATATCGCTTCACACTCATTAGAATGCCTGTTTTTAAAAAGACAGAAAATAACAAGTGTTGATGAGAATACAGAGAAACTAGAACCACTGTGCATTGCTGGTGAGAATGTAAAATGGTGTAACTGCTATGGAAAACAGTTTGATGTTTCCTCAAAAAGTTAAACACAGGATTACAATATGATCCAGCAATCCCACTTTTAGGTATATGCCCAAAATAACTGAAAGCAGAAACTCAAATAGACACTTGCACACTAAAGTTTATAATGGCCAAAATGTGGAAACAACCCAAATGTTCATCAGCAGATGAACAGATAAACAAAATGTGGTCTATACATACAATGGAATAGTATTTAGCGTTATAAAGAGATGACTTTCTGACATATGCTACAATGTAAATAAATCCGGAAGATAGTATGCTAAGTGAAATAAGTCAGACACAAAAGAACAGATATTGCAGGATTCCACTTATACATGAGGTACTTAGAGTAGTCAAATTCATAGAGACAGAAGGTAAAACAAAGGTTACCAGGGTCTGAGGTAAGGGTAGGGGATAATGGGTAGTTGTTGTTTAATAAGTAAAAAGTTTTAGTTTGTGATGATGAAAAAGTTCTCAAAATAGTGCTATAGACTGAATGTTTGTGCCGATCAATGTGATGGTATTTGGAAGTGGAGTGTTAAGAAGTGATTAAGTCATGAGGGTGAGCCCTCATAAATGGGATTAGTGCCCTTTTAAAAGAGACCCCAGAGAGCATCCTTGCCCTTTCTACCATGGAAGGACAAAGAAAGAAGATGGTCATCTATGAACCAGGAAACAGGTCCTCACCAGATGCCAAATCTGCCAGTGCCTTGATCTTGGACTTCCCAGCCTCCAGAACTGTGAGAAATAAAGTCCTGTTGTTTATAAGCCACCTAGTCTATAGTATTTTCTTATAGCAGCCTGAACAAACTAAGACAAATGGATAGAGATGACAATTGCATAACATTGTGAATATAACTTACTAAACTGTACACCTAAAAATGGTTAAAATGGTCAATTTTGTTAGGTATAAAAATGCAAAACAAACAAACAAACAAAAAAAACAGCAATAAACACATCACAGAGTCCTAGAGATATGTCCCAGGAGATTCTGGATCAAATAAAGTTTGGAAAATGCTACATAAAATACTCCCCACTTGAGAGTTCATAATGTTTAGACTAACAGTTCTGAGAAATTCTTACTAAGAGACTCTTAATTTTAACTCAGCTTTTCCTAAACTTATTGGACTTCAGAATCCCTTTTTCCATCATACACCTTTTCACAGCTCATAAAGCACAGTTTAAGAAATGCTGAGCCAGATGAACTACTGAAACACAGTTTGTATTTTCACATCATATTCAAATAGGAGTCAAATAGTCATCACACTCTGGTTGTGGCTCATCATCTAAAACCCAACTTTCAATCCATTTCTACACTGGCAATGCCAACCAACCCCCAAGACATGTGAGACAAATAGGAGTCAAACATCAAGGTCTGATTCATCTCTGCATACTTCAATCTTTGCAACAAAGGATATATTCCACACTTGTCTCTATAGGGCTGCAGGTTAAGACAATGATTTACTAGTTAGGGGTGACCCCAGGAACAAAGTATTTCATAGTCCAGGTCAGGCATGTGGATGACATTAGGAAAAGAAACAGGCGTATAGAGGTCATATGAGTGTGAGTGCAAAGAGCCATGTCAATAGATCTAAAAACCATTATCCCTATCATATTTACAGATCACAACCTCTCTACTGAGAAGGCTAAAAAGTCAGCCAGAAAGGAAACACCACAAAATAAAAAAAAACCCAAAACAAACCTGAAGTAATTTCGGTATTCGGAAATTTCAGCTGGGGAAAAGTCCTCTTGAAATATTCTGCTGATATTAAAATGTGTATGAAAAGGAAGAAGAGATATGTAGGGTACGAATTCAAAGCAAAAAAAAAAAAGAGAGAGAGAGAGAAATTGGGTGGAAATATCACCACCACTCCTTTTATGTTTTCAAGTTTATCAGGTGCCTAACCCAAGATGGGGCTGCCTTTACTATTCCAATTTTTTTCTATGTAATTCAAAAAAGGTGTGGAGAAAAGCTTGTCTTCATATAACTCTAGATTCTCAACGTTGTAATCATGCACAAGTGGAAACCACATTTCATCGTCAAGGAATGTTGAAAAAAAAGTATATTCAAAATAATAAATTTTCCATGGATACTGGCTTCTTCTTTCCAACTTAGTGTTTGACCTAATTTATACAGTAAATCTAATGGGGGAAGTTATCTCTCCCAAATAGCACCTAGCACATTCTTGGCAACTAAAACGAGTTAACACATTGCATATGCTGTTCCTGTTCACAAAACAAGATATCTGAGAAAAAGGTCACCATGGAGGGGGGAAGAGAGGAGAAGGGTGAACATAAGGAATGTTGAGAGCCACCAGTGTGACTGCAGAGGACCCTTTCCTAAGCACTCAGGTTTGGGAAGATATAGACAGGGTTTCCTAAGGACAAGAAGTACTAAGGCCCTATAAGGTGTGTGGGGCTTTGCAATTTCTCCCACATTTAGTTCTCACAACCTAGCCCTAAGTGTGCCTACCCTCACAGATGTAGAGAAAGATGTTTAAAATAAGTTCCATAGAGTTATTGTTTGATAGGAACAGAGTTTCAGTTTGAGATGATGAAAAGTTACAGGGAAGGATGGTGGTGATGCTTGCACAGCAATGCAAACGTATTAACACCATTGAACTGTCCACTTAAAATGATTAAATGGTAAAGTTTGTTATGTATATTTTACCACAATAAAATAAAGTTCAGTAAAGTTCCAAGGGCACACAATACACCCACGACAAAGCTAACAGGTATGCCAGTCTGATTTAAAAGCCATACATAGTCTTTCCCTCCAACTTATAAAAATACTGCTGAAGATGATGATAATGATAATTATAAATATCAACATCATGATCATCATCATTACTGACTTATTGAGGGCATTCTATGTGTAAGACACTGTTCTAAGCAATTTATGTATATTTACATACTAAAGCTTCATGTCAACCCTATGAGGTAGATACTATTATTATCCCCATTTTCCAGATGAGAAAGTGAACTACAGAGACATAATGTAACGTGCTTAATGGCACACACGTAAATGGTTGAACCAACATAAATGGTTGAATCAAATCCTGGCCATCTGACTCCAGAACCCCTACCCCTTACCACTACACTGCGTTGCCTCCAGGTCTATAAATTTAGGCACATAGCATATAAAGACATAAACCTCACTAGCCTGAAAATGATGCCCAAACCAAGCATGTCAATAGGTTATAAATAATGTTTACATGGGCTAATAAAAGTGAGTTGCCACCTAGTCTCTCAGGAGTATATTCCAAAGACCAGCTTCAGTACCATCTTCCATCTAGTTTTCCATGTGTGCCTGTGGATCATGATTCCTTGGCACCACCTGATCCACGGTGGTAGGAACAACATACACATGCAGCTCTGGGTTACGGTTAAAGCCTGTGGCTTCGTTTTCCATTATTCCATGAGTTACCATGCAGGAATTCACACTCATGTATGTACCAACTATTTTAGGACTAGCACTATGGCTAGCACACTACACATTTTAAGCAAGTATTTTTTTAAATTCAGTTGGAAGAGTTTAAATAACATGTTCATTGCAGTATTATTAGCAATAGCCAAAATATGGGAACAACCTATGTGTCCTTCAATGGATGAACGGATAAAGAAAATCTGACATATATATTCACAATGGAATATTAGCCATAAAAGGAAGGAAATCCTGTTATTTGTGAGAACGTGGATGAACTCTGGAGGACATTATGCCAAGTGAAATAGGCCAGACTCAAAGATAAATTCTGTATGATCTCACTTGTGGAGTTTTGCTGTTGTTTTTTTTTTTTTTTTTTTTTTTTTGAGACAGAGTCTTGCTCTGTTGCCCAGGCTGGAGTGCAGTGGCGCGATCTCGGCTCACTGCAACCTCTGCCTCCCAGGTTCAAACGATTCTCCTGCCTCAACCTCCCAAGTAGCTGGGACTACAGGTGCATGCCACCATGCCCAGCTAATTTTTGTACTTTTTAGTAGAGACAGGGTTTCACCATGTTGGCCAGGATGGTCTTGATCTCTTGACCTCGGGATCCACCCGCCTTGGCCTCCCAAAGTGCTGGGATTACAGGTGTGAGCCACTGCGCCCGGCTGTCACTTGTGGAATTTAAAGTCACTGAACTCACAGAAGCAGAGAGTAGAATTGGGGTTGCCAGGGGCTGTGGGAAATAGGGAAATGTTGGTCAAAAGGGCATAATCAGTAATAAGATGTATAAATTCTGAGGACATAACGTGCAGGATGGTGACTATAGTTAATAACACTGTATTGTATACTTGAAATTTGCTAGGAGAGTAGATCTTAAGTGTTCTCACTGCATTTGCAGTGATGGATGTGTTAATTAGCTCAGTTGTGGTGGTCATTTCACGGTGTATACATATACCAAATCATGATGTTGCACACCTTAAATACATACAAATTTTATTTGACAACTATCCCTCAATAAAGCTAGAAAACAGATGATTGATTAGATGATAGATAGATAGATAGATAGATAGATAGATAGACAGACAGACAGATGAATGGACAGACAGACAGACAGTTTTCCTTCTTTAAAGGTTATCTCTGTAACCGTCTGGCTCTGGAATCCTTTTGAATGATAACTCTTTACCTTTCCAGTATCTTCTACAGTAATTGGTATAGTCAAGGTTTCTACTTCTGGGATCAATTTTGATCATTTATATTTTGCTGAAAAATCATCCTTTTCTGCTGGTTTTCAAACCTCTTACCATGAGTTTGTTTATACAAGTCTCAAAATGATTTTAACTTATCTTCTATTTATTGGTTTGCCATTTATTTTCTTTGTCTTTAGTTTGTACTCTTTTGCTATCTTATTTTCCCTTAAGTGGGCTTTCAACAGATTTATATATTTTACTGGTCTTTCCAAAGAAACAGCTTTCGGATTTATTTATCCATTATTCTATCCCTTTAATTTCAGCTTTTATCTTTATTAATTCCTTCTTCCTGTTTTTTTAGGTTTATTTTGTTTCTCTTTATTTCTTAAGCTGAGTAATGACTTGTCCTATTTTTTCTTTATTCTTTAGTAAGGAATAGAAAATTTCCTCTTTCACTGTGCTTAGAAGTTTTGATAATAAAATATTCTTTTTTCTTTCTTCTCTGATAACTTTCACTTCCAATGAAAATGGAAGTGATGATGTCAATATTTTCTTTGGTTTTCTTTTTGATTCCAGGGTTATCAGTGAGTGTGTTTCATAATTTGCAAGTGGGTAAAATTTTTTAAATTGCCTTCTTGTTATTATTTCTATACCCATTGCATCATGATCACAGAGTGTGACCTGTTCAATATCTCCATTTTCTTTGATCTTTTGAAGGATTTCTTTGTGGCCATGATTCAGGGGAAGGAGAGGGACAGTACACGTTCCATGGACATTTAACTGTCTATTTTTATACACTGACCATGATCTTTGAAAACGGACACGAAACGCATTCACTTAAGGATTGTTCTATAGGACACCTCACATGATGTGGTGAGAAAACCCATGAGATTTGGAATTTTAAAATCCTGTCTCCTCCATGCATAGGCCTGGAACTCAGTTACCCTGTGTGTCAAATGTAAATTGTACCTGCCTGCCTTACCACATTACTAGTGAAAATTAAATGAGCCTGGTGGTGCCCTCCCCGAAGGCTGTGCCTCCCCAAAGTCCCAGTTAACTATTGAAATACTGCCCTTAAAAAGCAGCTCCTCTGCAGCCCTGGTAAGCAACAGAAAAGCCTTCAAATGGAGACTGGGTCTTGTCAGGCACCACAGACCATGAAGCATTGAGAAACAAACAGACCGCTACATGTATGTTACACATGCCAAGAGGATACCAGAGAAAGGCAATCATCCCCTATCATGCATCCTCTGAAGCAGTTAAGTGTTTTAAATTCCTTAAAACACTGAGTGTACAGTGGGGGAGGAGAGAAAAGACTTAAAGCAATTTTGCTGTTACACTCAGCAGTGTAAAGAATATTTTTGAAACTAAAGACTGATTGAAAAGGACATCAAAAGAGTTTGATTTGTTTGATGTTTAGACACATATACATGATGCGGATCACTGTTACATTAACGATGACCGTCTGTACGCCAGATGGACTGCACAACTATGTCAAGAGACATCTGACACAGTGTGCCATTTGAAAAGCAGATTAAGGTAAAACCATCCTAACACAAATGATTCCCCCATCTCATGTTTAAGGGTGCAACAAGCTATTGTGAGTTAAAATAATTCAGAAAATTGCAATTAACTTTTAAGACCTTTCCTGCCTCAGTAAATGCCACTGCGTAAGGATCAGAAGTGGTGACATTATGCCCGATCAATTTCAATGACTAGGCCAGACTCTTACGGAACAGGAGGTGGTAAACAGCCCTGATATTGAGAGGTACAAAGTCAGATATAACCTAGCAGCTGGCCTGTAGACTTACATAATCATTTTACACTTGACATTTCTATAACAGCTCTTATTCTGAGCACCTTGACTGGCAAAAAGAAGAAAGCCAAGATATGTGCTACTCCATTCTCCCAGAACCTTCTTTTAAGGTTTTGGTCCCATTAAAAAAAAAAAAAAATCACACATTTTTCTTCTGTTAGTTTTATTCATAAGAAATATAAATAGAGCTGGGTGCAGTGGTTCACATTTGTAAGCTCAGCGCTTTGGGAGGCTGAGGCAGGAGAATCCCTTGAGGCCAGGAGTTTGAGACCAGCCTGGAAAACATAGTGAGACCCTGTCTCTATAAAAAAATTTAAAAATTAGCCAGGTGTGGGTTTGCATGCCTGTAATCCTAGCTACTGGGTCACTTGAGCCCAATAGTTCAAGGCTACAGGGAGCTATGACTTCATTTCACTCTAGCCTGGGCAACCAAGTGAGACCCTATCAAAGGAGGGGAGGGGAGGGGAGTGGAAGGGAAGGGGGAAAAGAAGAAAAGAAAAGAAGAAATACTAATGGTCAATAAATGTGTGGGGGGAAATTTGGCCTACTCCCCAAAAACATTTTAATGCTAATTAAAACAACAGCAGAGAAAGAGTTTTACCCATCAAATTGGCCAAGATGAATAAGAATTATAAGATCCAGTGTTGGGAAGATATAAAGAAGTTGACAGTCTCAGATTCAGCTATCAAGGGTGTAAATTGGTTCTATACTATATTTTAGAAGAGTGATTTAGAAATTGATATGGTTTGACTATGTCCCCACCCATATCTCATCTGGAATTGTAATTTGAATTGTAATCGTCACATGTCAAGGGAGGGTCCAGGTGAGAGGTGATCGGCTCATGGGGGCAGTTTCCTCTACGCTGTTCTCATGATAATGAGAGAGTTCTCACGAGATCTGGTTGTTTGATAAGTGTCTGGTGCTTCCCCCTTCTCTCTCTCCTGCTGCCATGTAAGATGTGCTTTGCTTCCTCTTCATTCTACGCCATGATTGTAAGTTTCCTGAGGCTTCCTCAGCATGCAGAACTGTGAGTCAATTAAACCTCCTTATAAATTACCCAGTCATCTTAAAATGATATACATGAAAATAATTCAGTAAGCATTGTAGGGCTGGTATAGAAATGGGTGCCAAAAGCCTTAGGATTTGGCATTTGTTGGATTCAGATACACTTTTTTGAGGAATCTATCCTAAAGAAATACAAATGGACATTCACAAAGCTTTTTATGAAAGAATGCCCATTGCAACATTGTTTAAAATGAAAAACTGGAACAACATGAATGTTCAACAACAAGAGATCGCTTAAATAGAATTATGGTATACACTTATGTTGGAAATTATTATGGTATATACTTACGTTGGTATATGCTTATGTTAGGCATTAAAATAATTTGAAGAAGTTTAATCCTGAAGTCCAAATGATGCCAATATTCAAAAAGATGTGTATAAAAAAAATCACTTGTGGCAAGGCGTGGTAGCTCACACTTGTAATCTCAGTGCTTTGGGAGGCCGAGTCTAGAGGATTGCTTGAGCCCAGGAGTTCAAGACAGCCTGAGCAACATAGGGTGACCCCATCTCTACAAAAAATTTTAAAACTAGCCGGGTGTGGTGGCACATACCTGTAGTCTCGGTTATTCAGGAAGCTGAGATAGGAGGATCACTTGGGCCTAAAGGGTTGAGGCTGCAGTGAGTTGTGATCATGCCACTACACTTCAGCCTGGGTGAGAGAGCAAGACCTTGTCTCAAAAAGTAAATAAATAAATAAATCACTTGCAACTGAACTATTCGGAATAAGCACTGTTAACACTAGGATGTATAATTTTAAAGTTGTTTTTCTATATAGATATATAATTTTTCCTCCCTTTCTAAAATTCTGGGCTTTCCTAATAGGTAGTTTATTCACATGGTTAAAAAAGTACAGAAACGGGTATACTGTAAAGTTTCCCTTTTAGTTCTGGTCTCCAGCCACCAAGATTCCAAGCCCTAAAACAACTAATATTTTCAGTTTTTTATACGTATTTCCAGAAGTATTTGGTGTACAGTCATCCCTCGGTACATGCAGGGAATTGGTTCCAGGACCCCTAAGTATATTAAAATCCATGTGTACTCAAGTCCCACAGTGAGCCCTGTGGAGCTCACCTATAGGAAAAGTCGGCCCTCCATACGTGAGGGCTTAACATCCTGGGAATGCTGTATTTTTTTATCTGCATTTGGTTGCACATGCAGAACGCTCAGATGCAGTGGGCCTACTGAAGAAAATCTGCATATCAGTGTATTATCAACAGTCAATTCTGCTTATGAATCTCCTTATATGTATTCCACATCCTCCTCCATATTTTAATATTTTAAAACCCAATGTAGGTACATCTTGCTTTTTTTTTAATTAGTCAAAGATAAGATAAAGAATGCCATCATTTAAAAAAATTATTATATGGCATTCCATAGTAAGACTACACTCAAATTAGGCTAAACACAAAATTTACTGGCCAAATCAAGATACTTTTGAAAGGGAAGAGCATGCTATTCCTAACTACTGCAGAACAGACATAAACAAAGACTGTCCCCGCCAAACCTGGATGAATGATCATCCTAACCATAAATGACCACAACTAATTTTACCATTTCTCTGTTGATGGACACTTAGGTTATTTTTAATCACATGCTACCACAAAAATGCTGCAATGAAAACCTCTTTATGCATGTCATTTCACATAAATGGGAGTGTATCTGTAAATTATAACACTTAGAAGAGAAGTTGCTTAGTCAAAGGATATCTGTATTTTTAAAATTTGATAGGTATTTCCAAATTGTCCTCCCTAAAGGTTGTCACCATTTTCATTTTTTCTGACATAAGCAAGTATTGCCTTTATAATAAGATAAAACAATAAGTTACTTTTGAAATTTAAAAAAAGTCTGAAAAAATGTATATTGAGCAAGTTTAAAGCATTCTTGATCATAAACACATACAGAAACACAAGACTGGAAATAATTAAAGTCAAATGTATTTGGACAAATAGAAGTTCAAAAACAAACATAAACCTCACAAGAAATATGCACAAATCAACAGGTTATGCAGACGGTGAACTAACAAACACTTTGTAAATGTATTGCTTATTAATGTCACTGTGAGCATCCCATCCCCTTTTTATATCTTACACATTCTTCTTTTTGTCCAACTAGGCAAGTTAGTTTTCATTTGAAGTCAATAAATGACAACAAATGGCTGATAGAAACCTGCCTTTTTTCTTCTTGGAGAACAAATAGTTCCAAAAAGGTTATTCTTCTACTTAGAGGCAGCTATTGTAGTACCAACTGTGGCCATTACAGCTGATGGACCTGAAGCCCAAAGTATAGGGGAATCTCCTATAAGATCAACAGGCTGGGAGTATCTGCTAGAATTGTGCGATCTCAACATTGCAAGAGGCAAATATCTACTACCACCAGATACATTCCTGCTTCATGTATTTAAGCTCCAGGAAAAAAAGACACAGCTCCTTTCACATATAAAAAATAAAACCCACACTTGCCAAAATGTGTTTTAAAAATCTCATATATTTAGGCCCTAACCTTAAACATCTTCCTACTACTCACAAGATGCGCCTGATATGAGCTTTATATACAATCATATAAATTTGTATGCCAAGTAGTTACAAACTAAGTACAGAGTGTTCTCAAACATGACAGAAGATTTCTATGAGCACTTTCTAAAGAATGTCATATCCGCATGATGAAACAGTGTTTGAAAATTATTTCCAAAAGAATACACCCCTGAATGAATCCAGTTTAAAAAAATTCAAACTTGTAATGGGTTTGTGAAACTATAGCACCATGCTGGCACATAATAAATATTTACTGAATGATTGCATTTGCGGTGAGGCAGATATTTACCCATTCAAACCATACCTGATGAAATAATACAGAGCTAACAGGTAAAACAGCACTTTCTCAATCACAATGCCTTTAAAAATCAGCGATGCTTTTAAAAAAATGCTATCTGGTCAGTGTCTTCATACTTAACATGGTAACAACAGCTACTAGTCAGAATAATTACATTAGTCTTCTACCAATAGATATTTAGAGGTTACAGGTTGTTTCCAATCATTTGCTACTTCAAAATATGCCTCAATAAATTGTGTGTGTGTGTGTGGGTGTGTGATTTCACATAATTGGGAGTGCATCAGTAGGATTTAAAAAGCCATAGAAATGAAATTGTGCTGAGTATTTCACAGACATTATTCTTTTCATTCTCACAACAGCCCTCCAAGATGAATTCAGTGGTTCCTAACTGACAGATGAGGAAATTAAAACCTAAAGCTCAGAGTGGTAAAATGATTTCTCCAAGGTCATACGGCCAGCAAGTGGTAGAGATGGGATTTAAACCTACCCCCAAGTGCCCAACCTATTTCGCTCCCTTACACAGTCTCATAAATGTTTTCCAGAAAGCAAAAAGCAAACAGCGTAATAGAATACTCGAGCCACATTTGAAGTCTTAATAGCTTACATTCAACACATTAAAACAATGACAGGGATGATGGTTAAGCTGATAGGTTTGTAGCCTGTGCTTGTCTCCCAGGGATGAGTCTGGATCCTAAAATATGAAAAGAGATGGGCACAGTGGCTCATGCCTGTAGTCCCAGCACTTTGGGAGACTGAGGCAGGTGGATCACCTGAGGTCAAGAGTTTGAAACCAGCCTGGCCAACATGGTAAAACCTCATCTCCATGAAAAATACAAAAAAATTAGCCAGGTGTGGTGGCAGTAATCCCAGCTACTTAGGAGGCTGAGGCTGGAGAATCACTTGAACCCGGGAGGTGGAGCTTGCAGTGAGCTGAGATTGTGCCACTGCACTCCAGCCTGGTCGACACAGCAAGGTTCTGTCTCAAAAAAGGAGAGGGGAGGGGAGGGGAGGGGAGGGGAGGGGAGGGGAGGGGAGGGGAGGGGAGGGGAGGGGAGGGGAGGGGATCTTCAAGGATATAAGTCAAAATCAAGATGGTCCTCTTCACACCTTCAACACATTTTATCTTTCTGAGACTTTTACTTGATGACCCCTGCCAGATCCCACCTGATTCTGTACTTAAGCTCTGCCTGGAATAAACCTAGTTCAACAAAACCCATGATATTTCCTGCCGCCTGAGTTTGCATTATAGGAAAGAGTTTTGTTTGAATAATTTAGCACAAATTCCCTCACAGATGGCATATAAGAGAGATTTGTCTTCCTAATTGTATTATAGACGGGAGCTTATGGCAAAGGTCCAGGACACAGAACTTTAAAAATAGCTCTTTAAGCTAATGACCTAATAGCCATTGGCTTTTATAATCCAGTATCTCCCCTTGGGTCCCTTATAATACTTTACACATGCAAAGTGTGTATTACAACCTTTATGAGGAGGACCTGACAACACGTCTCAAAAACCTTAAAAATGTGGGTTTTCTTTGATCTAGCAACTTTACTGCTGGGAATTTGTCCTAAAAAATGATCAGGAAAAAAAGAAGGTTTATGTGCAGTATTGCTCATCACAAGTTGATTTATAGTAGCTTAAAAATAGCAACCACCCAAATGCCCAGCAACAGGAATGCAGTTAAGCAATTTATTGCACATTGATGTGGGAAAAGGGTATACAGCCATCAAAATAGCATTTGCGAAGAATACTTAACAATATACGGAAGTCCTCATGATCAAGGTCCAGGGAAAATGAAGGCTGGAAAAGTGATGCACAGTGTAACCTCAACCATGTCATTTACATACATATCAACATACAGAGAAATTACTAGAGGAATGTCAACCAAATGCTAACAGTCTCTGAGTGGACTGCTATGCATGATTTTATTTGCCCCTTTATATATTTTTTAATTTTTATTTTTACATAGTGATTACATATCATAGTTAAATCTAGAAAAAGATGGCAATGATTTTTTAAAAAAGATTTTCTAAATTGATTGTTGATGCTGTTGACTTTCTCAGCTATTGGTTTTTTCCAGTGACAGCCAAGCCAATTAGACATGGACTATTTTTCTCTTGCCTTCTGTTGTCTGAAAATTCACTGCTTATTGGCATCACCACTGGTGCATAGAAAGAGGAGACACGACAGTAAACTTCAAAGCCATCGTTTTGGTAGGAGAGGCTGATTGCCATACATTGGTTTGGAGAAGATCTGAAAGTCCTACACTGGCTAACATTACTTGGAGATTTTCCTTATCTACATAACCCCTAATGCAGAAACTGTCCCATTCCTGTAGATAACCATATCTTGGTTTGAGGATCTAAGAACCTCTAAATTAGGTACTTCCGTGATGTCACTGAATAGCAGTAGCCTTTGGGAAGTGCCTGCCTCCTCTGAACACTCGTCTGACTCCTCTTTCAGTTTCCTCATTCCCGTTGCCTTATGTCTAGAAAGTTCTTAACCCACCTAAGAATTACTGACTAGGTCCTATCTAACTGCCAAGATACTGAAATCAAAACACAAACACCATGTGACAATACTCTGGTTGTGCGATTTCACAGACTCTAATTACAGTTCATTTCAGCCTGACCTTGCATTATTCCTTTCTGTGTTTTCTCATCCAAGCTTATGAGAGAATCTGTTTCACGTTATTTTCCTTGACCATTACTCATTTAAAATTTGCTACTAAGAGCCTTGCTTTTTTCTGCCAGAAAATCTTATCTCAGAGGTCCTTCTTTTTATTTACTTCACTGTCAAATTCCACATCACTCAAATTCCACTCTTAATTTTCCTTTTGGTATTAAGATGTCTCATATTTTCTTTCCTTAAGTAAAAAAAACTAGTATTGTAAAATATGCAATCTTGGACACTAAAATGTAATATAAAACCAAATCCAATGGTAATTCCCCTAAATCCAATGTATTGCCAATCGTCAAATTTTGTTTCTCTGTGGTTTCTAAACCCCCGAACTGTGTGTATCTCTATACAACTTATAATAATAATTTGAGTGGGGCACTTGCAAGATCATTGTCTTGCATCTGTGAAGATGTTGTTAATTGTGTTACATTTCCAGATGGAGCAGTGTTTAGAAAAGTTTGACAAAGCAGAATTCAGCTCAGCAGCTAACGTTTCTTTTTCTCATACTCAGTGCCCATCTCAGCCTCTCCATTTGCTCCCACCCCTATCAACAAACCAACCAATAATTATTTCTTAGAACTGCTCCTTTCATGTTTCATTCACGCTTAGGTAGAAATCATTGGAGATTAAAATATCCCCAGTCTCAAATATATTTCCAGTTTACTATAAATGAAAGGCTGCTTGCTATAAGGCACCCCTCAAGGAATTTCAGGCTCTGGTAAATACCTAATAAGAATAAAGGTTTCTGAGGTGGCAATGGTTTTCGACATCCTTGACATCAAACCCTATAAAAGCCATCTACTTCCCCTTCCTTTGAGGCCAGGCACCACACCACTCTGGAGACCCACTTTGAATCTTGTCATTACCTGCAGTGATACTGTAGATAATCCAGTATCATATTCCATGGCCGAACACATTATCCATCAGGCTCTTGCTCACCCTCAAAATGCACTAGTTCTTGGACCTCACACCAAACTTTTAACCTGTTGATCACCCAGTGGAACATGTTGGCTCCCTTATAAATTCATTGTTTCCAAATTCAGCTGAGTCCTCACTGAGGCCATAATTTTATCCCATTCCCCTCAACAACAAATCCAACCTCCTGCTTCTCTCTTCATATTCTCTCTGTGACACCCCTCCCACTTACTCTCAGACATCCTTGCCTGCTGCTGCCCTGAGAAAGTCAAGGCCTCCAGAAACGGCACTGTCAATACTCCATTCCTTTTTTATACACTCCTGTGTTCCGTCTCCTTTCCCCTGCTCCGAGGACAAAAGAAGTCTCTCCTTCCTTGTCAAAGTCATCCCTTCCTAACTTCCAAGACTTCACACTTATTTTCCCCTCTCTTCTCTGTCTCTGTCTTCATCTTTTTCTCACCAGTCTTCTCCTTGTCCTATAAACAAGACAAAAAACATTTCTACCCTAACGAACAGTCCTCCAAGGACTGTGTGGCTCCCTGAGCCACACATTCTCTCCTCTTCTTTCTCAGCTCTCCTGCCCACAAGAGTTGATCATAATCACAGTCTTTATTTCTCTCCTCCTGTTTGATCCCCCTCACAATCTGACTTCAATTCTCACCATCTGGTACAAATCCTCTTACGGTCAACAATCATTCCTTACTTGCTAATCCAAGGGACACTTTTCAGTTCTTGCAATGTGCTAAATCTCTACCTGCATTTGACACAGTTCATTACCTCCTATTTCTGCACTCTCCTTCAAATGGATGCTAGAATGCTCCACTTTCCACTGTTTCTCTGTTTCTTTTTCTCAGTCCTCTTCCTGAGTCCCTTTTTCTCCCCCAATCCTTAAACGACAGTTTCTCCAAGTCACACCCCATGGCCAATAACTCTCATCAGTCTATTTTTGTTGGGCGGTGCCATTCATCCTTCTGTCTTTAACCTTTGCCTAAATGTTATTGATTCTTGAATCCCTCTTGTCCGCCCAGAGCTACCTACTAAACATTTCTTTGCCACAAAATGTTCGGAGCAGGGCCACTGTTACAGATGGTGGAAATTATAATTTCCTCCTTTCCTCAAGTGCACAGGTCCAAACCAGGATTCATTCTTCCTCAAAATTAACACCTCTGCCTTAGCATAAGCATGCAAACCAAAATCAATACAGGCTAGTGTCTACTCCACTGCAACGCTAATGCAAAACATATCACTGAAGGAAAAGAGGGCTGATAGAACAAAAGCAAGGCTTAAACTTCAGATTCAAAGGCTCCTGTTGAAACCAGAGAGTCCCTACAGCAATTAAGTGGAAGTGAGGCCACATGTTTTGAAAGTATTTCTTTAACCCCTTGGAAAGCAAAGTTTTGTTAGTGCTATAAGCAGAATGCCTCAGGTCAGAGCTTCGCTGTAAGACTACTGGTTAAAGCACAGAATGGCCACAGAATTATGCGTGCCAGGCAGGCTTACTATTTTCAGCAGTCAAGCTGATGCAGCATATCTAATGTTTTGTGGAGGTCACAGAGTACATTGCCAAGGATACCGTTCTGTGTTACTGAGACACATGGTGACACTCATACCTAATATCCCACGCTGGGACCTGCTGTCCACCAACCATTCTGCAAACATGTGGTTCATGCTGGGCAGACCCTCAGCTGTGTCCTCAGCAATGATGCTATAAATGGCTGTCATTTAGTCTTATCTATTTACTCATGAAAGAGAAATTCAGTCACAATGGCCAGAGAAATGCAAAATAGATTAAATAGCATAGGAACTTTAAAGCATAAATCCTTTCCTGATGATGACGAGGAACAGAATTTTAATCAACAGGTTATTTTTCAGTGAACTAAAGTGAATTTGATGCACAGCTAATATTGAGAATCTGCTTTTAGTGGCATTTTTGGAGTCCTTATTATGTTTCATTATCTTTGAAACCCACTTCAATATTGAATATGGTCCTTGACTTGACTACTTTGACAATGCATCTCCAGTAATCCGAGTACATACAATATATTTACTATAGTATTTGGAAACCACAGGTACTATATAGCTAATGTGTTCAGCCAGATTTAAAACAGGTCCTAGATTTCAGCTGTGCCTCATCTCCTAATTGACTGTTGAGGGCCGACCCTCCTATTCTTTTACTTCGCGTTTCCAAGTAGAGGAAGCTCCCTTAGCATAACCCCTGGGCATTTTTCTGCCCTCTTGCTCATGGGGTATCTGAGTGATGAAGGAACTGAGCATGTTTAGCCAAGCCTCTTCCTCCAACTTCGGGCAAAATGTGCACTTTCTCTTCCACTCCATACTACAGGTTTTACGGGAGCTGCCCCTACAGGAGAGAACTGCATGGTGGGCTCTTCCTGGTGGCTGAGTGGGTAAGTCTGGCTTCGTTCAGGCTAAAAGGGCAGCAGGCACCCTTGCCACAGACCGAAGTCTTCAATTGAGCTCTTCTCATTAAGAAAGCGAGCATTTTGATCTCTAACTCCTGCATCTCTCAAGTGGGGTAACAGGTCACGCAGCATTATTTATCATGAGAAACAAAACCAATTATTAAACAATATCTATGCTGGTTCGGGTGTAGGCATTTACACAGTCAATTCTTATCAGTTTCCCTCAGTTGGTAATTTCTATTTAGTACAATGTTAAGAAGCACTAAATTGTTTTTTTTAATTATATGAGACATTTCTTGATTACATTCTGTGCATATTTTCATTACACCATATGTAGAAGATCAAGAGAATGACAGACTAAAAACACAAAGAGAAAAAAAGAGAAGAAAAAATGTAATAAGACTGCCAATGCACAAAGATGGGCCACATAACCTGAATAGAGAGGTAAATAACATGTCTAGAAATTTGAGAGAAAACTTTTAAATGTTTATCTCTGCAATCAATTTCAAAGTCAAGCAATCTTTCAATGGTTATTTACTATTCATAGTAACTGCCAATACCTCGACCTATAGCCTCGCCTTATTTTATGACAAAGGAGACAATTTACATTTGAGTATATCCTCCAATATCCACAGACATTTCATCAACATTTTGGCCTATTTTAGCAGCATCATATTTTTCTCATTCAGTCTTTCTGAAGGATAGCCAGAAGAAATCATCCATTTTAGAGTATTTTTCTCGCATTAGTTTTTGAAGAAATCTAGATCCAAAAATAAGTAGAACATTATGTCACCACTGTTTTCAATACATATACTCTGTGTGCATGTGGATCAAACCCATGACACACCATTGCAAGGGAATGCAACAGTTCTTGTGTTGTAACTCCGGTGCATCAGGTCAGCTGTCACGTTGGCTCTCCTGAAGCTGGACCTTGATAACTTTTTGTTTTAAAATTATTTTCAGATTACACAATTTATTGTAAAGTGATAGGAAAGCTTTCTTAGTGATGAGTCTGTAATTTCACTATCAATTATGGTTGTAAATACTGGATCCTATTGACCATTTATTCCTCAAATGCCATTTTACTGCCCATTTAAGTAACCGTCATAGCTGCTTTTTTCTTTTTTGAGAAGGAGTCTCGCTCTGTCGCCTAGGCTGAAGTGCAGTGGTGCAATCTCGGCTCACTACAACATCTGTCTCCTGGGTTCAAGAGATTCTCCTGCCTCAGGCTCCTAAATAGCTGGGATTACAGGTGGGTTTCACCATGCCTGGCTAATTTTTGTATTTTTAGTAGAGCCGGGGTTTCACTATGTGGGCCAAGCTGGTCTCGAACTCCTGACCTCGTGGTCCGCCTGTCTTGGCATCCCAGAGTGCTGGGATTACAGGCATGAGCCACCACGCCCGGCCTATAGCTGCCAATTTTAAGGACATTACCTGGGAGGTGAAATGAACTTATCATCTTTTCTGATGCCACTTAAGCACAAGATTTCTAAAAAAAGAGCTATTTATTACTACCAAACAAGTGTAGCAATACTTCCAAAGATAAACACAAAAAGACCTGGATTCTAATCATGCCTTTCTGTGCACTTATTGGTAATACTGGGCAAACTACATAATCTGTCTAAGCCCCAGGTTCCTCATCTATAAAATGCAGTAACACTTACCTACCAGGTTTTCCTAGGGAATAAAGGAGATAATTCAAGTATAGCACCTAACTCAGTACCTAACCCTAAGTAGGTAGTTAAAAGTATGGGCTCTGGAATTTAATTCTGCCTCAGTCATATATTACTACTATTGCTGCTACTATTGACCTTGTCATGATTATTTTTGCATAAATACTTTACTTATTTGGCTGAGAGCAAGTCAAAAGTTAAAAAAAGTTTTGCTGACGTGCTTATAAAGCCAACAAAAACACTTACTGAATATCTCAAACATGCCAGGCATTGTTCTGAGGGCTTTAAATGTATTATCTCATTAATCTTAAAAACACTTTCATTTTAATATTATCCCATGTACAGCATAATATATGAGGAAACCAAGGCACAGAGAGGTAGAGTAACTTCAGCATGTATGCACAGCAAGTGACGAGACAGGGTTCAAATCCAAGCAGGTCCCCCCCTTAACCTCAGCATCCTTTATTCTGCCTTCTTATGCAGACCCATCAGTTTTGTACTGTGCTATGACACACCACTGGGCAGAGCCCTTGCTAGTTCTCAGAACTTGGTGAAAGGAAGAACAGCTTTAAGAATAGAGGAGTTTGAGCAGGTAGGTTTTGCAAGTATTCTGATGGGCACTTATAAGAGCACTGCTGATTGGGATCAAAGAATTATAGGATTGACAATGATTCAGTCCTCATGATGAAGCTGCCCAGTCTAGGCTTGAAAGACTTCAGTAACAAGGAAGTGGTCAATTTCTGATGCATTTCAGCCCATCTTCGGATAACTCTGTATGTGATAGAAAACTCTTCTTTTTTTAAGTTTATTCCCAGCTTTAATGGGGTATAATTAACAAATAAAAATTGTATAAAGTGTATGATGAGATGTTTATCAAAACATCACATTCTACATTTTAAATTTATACAATTTTTGTATAATGATTTTGTGTAGAATGATTAGCATATCACTTCACATAGTTATCATAGAAAACTCATTCTTACATTGTATCAACATGTTGATGCTCCTAGTGACTTCTCCTCATTGGTTCTAAGTATACTTCCAGGAAACTGCCTACATCATGCTGAGGCTCTCTTTCACCCAACTGTCCTTCAGTATTCTGATATTTCATCATGTCTCCCCCAGGCCTATCTCTTCCCCACATTCAAAGCCTTTCCCACATTCAAAACCTCACTCAAAGCTCTGCAGCCCATGGATCAAGGAGTAATTTCAATTTTCAAGTCCTATTATCTAAGAAATATATTTGTAAGGCTATAGCTGCCATAGATAGTGATTCCTCTGATGGATCTGGGCAAAGCAAATTGAAGACCTTCTGGAAAGGATTCATCATGCTAGATGCCATTAAGACCATTTGTGATTCTTGGGGGAGGCTCAAAATATCAACATTAACAAGAGTCTGGAATAAGTTGATTCCAGTCCTCATAGATGATGTGGAGGGGCTCAATGTGACATGACCACCCATATGGCCTGACTCCTACCTTAGTGTCTTCACCACTAGGGATGCCTACTTTAGTGGTTAAGAGTTCAGGGATGAATGAGACAGACTTTGGTTTGAACTCTGGCTCTGTCTTACTAATTTTGTGATCGTGGACAAGTTTCCTTATCTGTGAAACAGGAATAAGAATATCTACAGTATAAGTTGTCAGGGTTAAATAAGAAATTCCCAAGAGCTTAGTGCCATGCCTAGTACACAGTCTGTATCCCCAAATGTTAGTTGCTTGTAGTGGTTATTATCAGCATCATCTTAGACACTGTCAGAGTGTGGGGCACAAATTGGGATGGGATACCTACCCTGGTCCAGACTCAGGGTGGCACAGGTGGAGCAGCAACAGATTCCTAAGCTCCAACCACATACATCACAACTCCAGTGCCAAGGCTGAGACAGTCAAAATGCCCACCTTTCCCTCTCTCAACCATCAGATCCCCTAAAATTTGGGGACCTAATAGTTCACCAGTCCAAGCATACTTGTGGTAAGAAGTACCTGGACCATTGTTAAACATCTTGGAATTCTTCTTAGAGAAAGATACAAAAGCTAAGTGTTATTTTTACCAGGAGACAAAGGAAATTCTAAAAAATCATAAGACTCTATCCAGAACAATGAAAACAGACAACAAACACTAGTTTGAAATATATATATATATTTATCTCATATATATATTTATCATATATTTATTTAATTTATCATATATATGTGTGTGTGTGTGTGTCTGTGTGTGTGTGTATGTGTGTGTGTGTGTGTGTGTGTGTGTGTGTGTGTGTATCCGAAATAGCTAACTTCTAACTATCTTTCCTAAGATGCCAACCCATGACAGAGAGCCCTCGAATCACTATGCATAAAGCAAGGAGATCTTGGCTTGGATGACTGATCCTTGCTTAAAACAGAACAGTGACAACTAGAAAAGAAAACCACTCCAATATCCCACGAGCTTCTAGGCACTGGCAAAACAGCAGTGTCCCATCACTTTCACAACCTACCAAGGTCTAATTTGAGGACACTGCTTATTCATAGTTTGTTCTCTTATTTGTTTTTAATTGGGTGTATCAGTCTGTTCTCACACTGCTATAAAGAACTGCCTGAGACTGGGTAATTTATAAAGGAAAGAGGTTTAATTGACTTACAGTTCTGTAGGGCTGTCTGGGGAGGCCTCAGGAAACTTACAATCATGGCAGAAGGCAAACTCCTCACAGGGCAGTAGGAGAGAGAAATGAGTGCTGAGTAAAGGCGGAAGCCCCTTATAAAACCATAAGATCTCGTGACAACTCACTCACCATCACGAGAACAACACAGGGAAAACCTCCTCCACGATTCAATTATCTCCACCTGATCCTGCCCTTGACATGTGGGGATATTACAATTCAGGGTGAGATTTGGGTGGGGATACAGAGCCAAACCATATTGTAGGGACAAATTATCCTTCAGGTAATTTGGATTTCCTAGACTCAACGGCTTATAGTGAGAACTGACATCAGTCATGCTAACTCTATGGAAGTCCCTGGGAAGTTTCTGGAATAGGATACATTAATTTCACTGAGGACAAAACAGGGATCATATCCACTTTTTTCTGTATAGAAATATCGGGTTTAATGTATGCTGCATTAATCATGCCTACTTTTGTATTCCCCCACAGAACCAAGCACAGACCCTTAACCATACTATGTACTCAATAAGTATTTACTAAATAAATGTTCCCAAATAGCAGGCAAGTGTGTCTTTTATTTTTCATTATAATAACCTCAAGCAATAATGCTTTCACGGGAACCAGGAAAACCTGAAATAGCCTCAATGTGAATTCTCTTCTGCCGCCAGAGCAAATGGGTGAGAGAAGCCTCTGGATTTAGCTATCTGAATTCTAATTCCAGGTCTACCACCTTGGGCAAGTTACTCACCTCCCATGCTCCTTTCCTCATCTGTAAAATGGGAACAATCATATTATCTATACTTCTTACACTTGTTATGAGAAGTAATTGAAATAACATACAAAGTACATAAGGAGAGCTTTGAGCCTATAATGAGCACTAAGTAAATATTAGGTATTGTATTATCTGCTGGCTGATGAGCCTAGGGTAAGTCACTTAACCATGCTGTTCTATAATTTCCTGAAGTGTAAAACAGAGAGGGGGAACACAGTTCCACGGATCCTCCTGCTCTAGGATGGAGAGAAGAGGACTGCTAAGAAGTCCAACACTCCTGACTTAAATTTGACAGGAGATCCCTGATGGTAAATTTTCTGATAGCTGGTCCAAGAATGAAGAAGTAGGCAAAATGTTATAGTCTCCTGTTTTCATCTCTAATAGAGATATATTAGGACTTTAGTGATAAAATCTGATAATACCTGGCTAAGAGGAAAAGGCGGGTGATTTGTAGGGAAAAATGAGAGGGCATTGTCATGCAAAGCATTCACAAGCAATACTTGTTCATTTTTTGCAGGATGGGTAGAGGGAGGTGCTGTTCTCCAAAGCACAGTTGCTTTTCATGCCATTGGTATATTGGGTTTCCCAGAATTTCTCAGTAAACTACAAATTCAGGACAATGGAGGAAAGAAATTTGCTCTACTTTTTAGCATCTATCACTATAAATGACTCAATTCTACTCTTTTGTGTAGGAAAAATACTAAAATCCATTTGCAAGTATCTGGGCTGCTTACTTAATTTTGAGAGATACTTGCTTCATTTTACAAGCTGTTTGCGGGGTTCTGATTATCTATGCTCCAGATACATCCCTGGAAGAGAATAACATACCTAGAGTATGGATGTCAGGATAAAGACATTAACAGGTAGCACTTACTGAGCATTTACTGTGTGTGCATACACTGCAGGCCCCCATATATATCCCCTTTTATCCATAATCTCTTGAATATATTACCATCAAGTTTGACAGATCAAAGAAACTGAGTATGGGAGAGGCTCTGTGACATGTACACTATCACAGAGCTGGTCGGTGATGGCACAGAGATGTGGGCCAAGGTCTATATAGGCCACGGTTTATGCTATGAACCTTCAACTATTAATAACAGAAGATGAATCTTCCCAACTTAAGCACAGTGTTTGAAGTTTACAGGACAATCCTTTGCAGTGTTCCACTGGGAGAGGAAAATAGACCCATCTTCAGAATTGATGCTGCTTGATTTAATCTAGTTAAAAAGCTATAATTGGGGAATCAAATCCTTTCATAACATTCTGCCCAGTGTACTCTCACTGATTGTGTCATTCCAAAGATCTTTTCTATCAAACATTTATCAGTTCTGACAAAAGGGAAAGCAAAAATCACCCCTCCCCCATGACCCAGAAAGAGCAATATTTTTCTCCTTGGTGCAGATACCCAAATACCTATTTAATAATTCTGTCAAATCCTTAGCCCTACAGAAGGGAGATACAGGGATCAATACTTATTTCCAGACTCCAGCCTGAACTTTCCTATTTTAAACATTTCCGTACCAATAATCATTGCCACAGTGGACTATGTAGCCATCCAGATACTAGGGGTAACAATTTTGAATTTTGCTACAGATTTTGCTATCTAATCAGCACAATTTTTAAAGTCTAAATTAATTTATTTTGGGACAGAATGACTGGACCCATGCTAATTCTCATGACAGGTCAAAAACAATTTCCTTTTTGTCTCAGCATTGCACCAAAATTGTTATCCTACTACCAATACTTATTGACACTTTTCCTTTTATTTCTGGATAGGAACTTAGCTAATTGACATTCTCTCAGACTTCTTCAAATGTTACAGGAGACAAGGGAAAGTTAAAATACCACTCAGAAAGCCTGACTCATCCTCACCACACTAGAAAGGGGAAAGTAAGGAAAACTCGTACACCCCAATCACTCTACTAATGGTGAAATAAAATTTTTAAAAGGAAGCAAAAAGGATGACAGAAAGTTGTAACTGGAAACTGAACATGCAAAGTGGAGAGAGGTTGATGGGCCTCTTTTTCAAAAGAAGTAGGACAGGACTGTGACTCTTTCATGCCCATATCTGGCCCTGGCACCAGGAACACCTGAAAAAGGGTACCTTGGCTACTTCTGAACACTGCTCAGAGGCTCGTAACAGAGGCAGAAGCAAAATAAAGCCCCAAACCCACAAGCAATAATGATACTGCCTATGAAAGAGGGTGAGACGTGCAGAAAATGTTTTATAATCAGAATTCTCTCTAGAGAGAAGGCTTTTTAGAGGCCTTTGGGGAGATTTCAGAGGATTCTTAAATACCATTTTCAAGCAAATGTTTACTGAAGTGCATGCTCTTGTGACATCCGTCTATTTCTTCACGGTGTAATTAGGAGGCATAAAGAATAGAATTGTTGGTTACTTTTCCCATTCTGCTGTTCCCCTAGTCTCTTTTTGATCAAATTCCCAGTAGGAATTTAGTTCTTCAACATCAGTGGAATTTTTGCAGAATATCCACTTCTTTTTCTTTCCCATGGTACTTGTCCACATTTTAGTGCCCAAGAATATGAACTGAAGAGCAAGAGAGACTTAAAGAAATTTTGTAAACTGTTTTTTCATATGAGATAAGGCACACAAACTTCCCCCTTGAAAACCATAAACAAGACTTGAAAGCCCCATGTTTATTTACAGCCTTCTCAAAACCTATCACACAAGAGCAGCGACTATACATTCTAATTAGTTCATCTGTATTCTGCTCACACATCGCCATGCTCAAAGAACTTTAAAATGTTCATCATCATTTACGAACAAGCCCTGACTCACCAAGATTTACAAAGTAATCAGCAGCAAAGTTAATTGGAATCTAGATTTTCTAACACCTACAGAAAAATCCATGCAGTTCTGGAGGGGGAAAAAAATACAGCCAAGGAAGCAAGACTAAATTTATGTGCAGCATTTCTAAACTGGAGAGAAAGGAAGGGAGAATAATGTTTAAAACATTTAAATGTGTGTGAGCACAGTATTGTTTCTTTTCCTTTCATATTTAGGTTGGATTAAACAACACAAGGTCAGAAAGAGCCTGGCAGCTTCTACAGATCCAAGTCAGCATTTGGGGCTTCTCATGGGTCAGAAACATCCTGAGGTGGGAAAGAATCAGAATAGTTGTTTTTTTGGTTTGTTTGGTTTGTTTGTTTTTTTGAGACACGGTCTCACTCTGTTGCCCAGGCTGGAGTGCAGTGCTGTAATCATGGCTCACGGCAGCCTTGACCTCCTGGACTAAAGTGATCCTCCTGCCTCAGACTCCAGAGTAGTTGGGACTATGGGGAAGCGCACCACACCTGGCTGATGTTTGTATTTCTGTAGATCCAGGGTTTCACCATGTTGCCCAGGCTATTCTTGAACTCCTAAGCTCAAGTGACCCATCTACCTTGGTCTCCCAAAGTGCTGGGACTACAGGAACATGCCACCATGCCTGACCGATTTATTTTTTTTGTAGAGACAGGGTCTCACTATGTTGCCCAGGCTGGTCTCAAATTCCTGGGCTCAAGTAATCCTCCTGCCTCAGCCTCCCAAAGTGCTGGGATTATAGGCGTGAGCCATCATGCCCAGCCTCAGAAGAGTTTTTAACCAAAGCCCAAAAAAGACAATAGAGAGGGGAGTACACAAGGATGAAGCTTAGAGAGAAGCAAGCACATTTGAGGGAGGGGAAGACTGAGGTTTTCATTCATGTCTATGTACTTCAGAAGCCTAGATTTTCACCATTAACAGAGTGCTGCTTTCCACTGTGCCCTTATGCTTATATAAGGTAAATGACAGTCAGACTTGTGTGGCCCTGAAAGCCTTCTGCAGGAATTTGAAGTCTTTCATTGCTGCAGTGAAAGGGCAGGAGAGTCACAGAATCCCCACTGTGCTTTGACACATGAGCTTTGACAAAGGCCAGGAGGAATAGAAAGGAAAAGGTAGATGTGTGTGTGAGAGAGTGTGGACTTAGAATCTACAGAACTTTGGAACAACTAGATGGAGGGGTGAGTGCTGGGAACACTTCCAGGATGCTGGCTATAAGAATTGTGCTGCCAATAAAGGACATAAGGTGTTAAGGGAAATAAGGAATGCAGATGGAGGAACGGGTTGTTTGATTCATTACACTTTGGACAGTTTGGACAGAATAAAGTGGAGAAATTGTCAGGAACACAGGAAAAGAAGTCTAGGTAGTACTTGGAAATAAGCCCTGGAAAGAGATCGGGACTATCAATAGAGACTTGGGAATTTTTGGCATATGGACTTGGGGTTCCTTAGCATGTAGACAGTGGTTTAAAAGAAAAGAGCAAGCAGAGTTGTCAAGAGAAAAATGATAGACAGAGGTGCACAAGAATCAAAGACAGAACCAGAAGAAATATCTGCGTTGGGTAGGGGTAGGGTGCATATAAAGGAAATGTAGGAGAGCTAGAAGCTGTGGTGTGGCAACAGCCAACAAGAAAGCTAATTTCAGGTAGTGACTGACCAATGGTATCAAACACATAGGAGGTAGCTGATGGGGGTTAGTGACCCTGAGAGTAGGTTTAATCCCATGAAGCAGTGGAAGTCAGGCTGGTACGAGCTTAAGATGTGAGATGATGAGGGATGATGATGTAAATGGAGACTATTTTTGCAACGAGTTGCACCTGAAGAAGAGGATGAAGAAAACGGGAGTCGGAGGATGCAGCCAGGTTCAGGAAAGGGGGATTTAAGAGTAAAAGAGGGCTTAGTAGGTTTGTAGACTGAAGGGTAGCAGCTGATGGTAAGATGAGGGGTTGAAAATGTGAGAGAGATGGACTATAATAGTGGGGCTTGGTTCAGAAGATTCTTGAAGGAAGTAGGATCAAGACAGGGAGGAGGCACCCTTCTTCCTTTACAACTTTGGGAAAGAGAACAGGACACAGGTTACATGGAACATCTAAGACAGAAGAGGAAATTGAAGGTGCTCCTGTAAGATAACTTGAAGCTGGACTTTTGATTTATCTTTATTATGTTTTAGGGGGCAAAAACAGCAAGGATATTTTATTTAAAAATCTACAATTCTTAGAGTACTGTATTTAAAAGACAACATAAATTGCCTTCCACATATATTGTCATAATCCCCAGCCCAGCTCTATCCTGCCAAATTAATCTGCCAAACCAGATAAAATATTTTTTTTCAGCCACGAAGACAATGCTCTTTTGGATAATACAAAACCAAACAAAAATCTGTAGGTGTTTCTCAAAGCTAAATTTCTGCATTAGTAAGTCAAACATTTATCATAATCTCAGATGGTGAAGACATGTCTGCTGAGATTCAAAATCCAACAGTTTTAACAAAGAAAGAAGCTCTGCTTGCACTGAGATTATATACAGGAACCCTCCTCTTTATAGCATCAATCCAATCATTCATGAGCTAGAATTATGCCACATGCTGAAGGGGTTCATAGAAAATGGTCTCTAAATTTCAAAAAATTTACTGTACCAAGGTGGAAATACACAAATGCATCTTTCATAAATACAATATGGTTGACATCATCGTAGGAAACTGTACCATGGGCACAGGAACCCACTCAGAAGCACCTAACAGGGCTTCAGTGAGGTGATGTGAGCTGGGTCTCCAAGGCTGACTTCAGGTTTGCCTCTTCTCTGATGAGGGAAGGGCTGGGACGGTAATGGCATTGGGAGGTGGAGGAAATAGAAATGAGGGACAGGATATGAGGCTGGGCAGACTGTGGAAAGGAATATGGATTGTAACATGCTGGGGAATAGAACCAACAAAGATTTTGAACTGGAAAGAAGCATAATCAGACATTACTGCCTAATTTGTTTTAAACCATTCATTTAGCCAGTGGCTTAAACGATACCCTCCTATACACCGCCCCTTTTTGGTGAAATTCCCATAAGATCTAAGGCAGGCATCTCATTCCTGCCTTTACAACTCTAAGAGACAAACTTTGAAGTTTTTTTTTTCAATGTTGGTATCAGTTTTTATGACTCTTTAGAGAAGAGTGAAATGGTCCAAGAGTTGTCACCAAAGTGTCAAAGTGACATAAAAGCACAGCACACACCGTTTATGGGTGGCTGCTACTTGGGCTGATGTATACGGAGCAGCTTTATTTAAAGCTTTATGCAAACTGACATCCAGGCACCGTGAGGGGTCCTTGAGGAACGTGAAACACCATCATCACCAGGCTGACACGTGTGGCCACTGTGATAAGGTAGATAATCTGCAACCCTTAAAACCTAGCTGTTGGACATCAAGTTTCAGAGGAGATTGAGTTGAGCATGAGGATAAGAGAAAAAAAAAAGTGTGTATTGGTGTCAAAGTCAGCTCTCCAGGATTCTTATTCAGATCCTAACCTCACAATTAAAGCCCCCACAAAAGCCCACACTGATTGTAGCCACCTTCACTAGAGTGTAGTTTAGAACCGCCCTTGGCACTTCCAACCCTCCAGAACACCTTCACCCTATGTGGCTTAGGTAAGGATTCCTTCCATGCAGTGTCGGGAGAGGTTTCTGGTAAATCAAGTTTCCCTCATCACCTTAAATTTCTAGTGGTGTTTTAACACCTCACTGATAAAAATTGTGCTGGGTCTGCTCACCAGGCCACCTTTATTAAGAATTCTCCTCATCATTCTAATTACACACACACACACACACACACACACACAGAGGCAATAAAGATTTTTAAAACACACACATTTTAACATCTTTGCTTGATTTAGATCTATTTATTGCAAGAAAAAGCATCAGTTTAAACTTCCCTGGATACCTTTTTAAAAATCATCTCTTCCATCGATTCTTGTAAACTCTAAATGTATGAGAGAGTGGAGTTAGGTATATTTTTAGTGTGTTTTATGCACACTAGTACATGAGGCTCCCTTGTATAACCCTTTTTACGAAGCTTCAAAGGTAATTTTACATTTATCTTTGCATTTATGACATTGTTGGTCATGATGACCACTTGATGCCTAGTCCTTATAAATGGAGGCAACTCCTCCATCCTGGTATTGATGCTATGGAAAGATGAGAACCATTTTACAACGGCCCACAGGATGATACAATTTGCAACATTAGAACACAAGGAAGGTCTGCATTTATTATGTGTCAAGATTGTCAAGCAATCGATACAGAACTGGTTTTGTATCCCAAAGAAATAGAGATAGATTCCTGGAATGGCCATTAATGATAGTTAAAATAAACAGAATTCTGTGTCGAATGGCTGCTTTAATAGCAGATAGGCTATATAAAGAGCTCTATTAACCTAGCTGGATGCTGTATGCCAAATACCTTCCCTTATTCAGGGGAGATTTCTTGGAAAAAGTAGATCCTGTGGTGAATTTTAAAGAACAGCAGTTATATGATTTTATCTCTTAGAAACCCAGTCTCTTAGTTTCAAAAACACTCCTCAAATTGCTTGGTTCAAAGGGTAATTTCCCAGTTTGTTTTTATCAAGATTATGTCTATACTGAAAGAAGCCACAAGACAGGAGGAAATGCTCAGGCTTCCAGGAATTCAAAGTCAGATGGATTCAAATCCCATCTCAGCTGCTGCTTAAGATATGGGGCTTGACTTAATTCATCTAAGTCTCAGTTTCCTCCACTGTAGATGGGGAGGCGTAATATAATGTACTTCCTAGGCAGGGTCCAAGCAATAGATGTAAACTGCCCAGTGTCTGGGCACATCAGGGCACTCAAAAACTTGTAGCTAATTTAATAGCAGAGTTAATGATCAAAAAGGTAGAACCAGGGACCTTGACACTGGCAGTCATCTCTGCATGTTATGATATTTTCTTTTTCTTTCCTTTTTTTTTTTTTTTTTTGAGATAGAGTTTTGCCCTTGTTGCCCAGGCTGGAATGCAATGGGATGATATCAGCTTGCTGCAACCTCTGCCTCCCAGGTTCAAGCAATTCTCCTACCTCAGCCTCTCAAATGGCTGGGATTACAGATGTGCACCACCATGCCCAGCTAATTTTTGTATTTTTAGTAGAGACAGGGTTTTGCCATGTTGGTCAGGCTGGTCTTGAACTCCTGACCTCAGGTGATCCACCCGCCTCGGCCTCCCAAAGTGCTGGGATTTGGCTAACTTCTTTTTTCAGATCATTTTCCAGATTTCTGCTCTACATACTACCTTTCAATGAGGACTCTGCCAACCACTCTATTTAAAATTACTGGCCAGGTGTGGTGGCTCACACCTGTAATCCCAACACCTTCAGAGACTGAGGCAGGCAGACCCCCTGAGCCCAGGAGTTCAAGACCAACCTGGGCAATACAGTGAAACCCTGTCTCTACAAAAAGTACAAGAAAAATTAACCAGACACAGTAGCAAATGCCTGTGGTGCCAGCTACTCAGAAAACAGATTAGGAGGATTCACTGAACCTGGGAGGTCGAGGTTGTGAGCTGTGATCACGCCGCTGCACTGCAGCCTGGGCAACAGAATGAGACCGTCTCAAAAATAAAATAAAATAAAATAACACTCTACAGTCTTTCACCTCAGCACTTTACACCCTTGTTTATAGAACTTGCTTTCTAACCATATAAGAAAAAAAAATTCTTGTTTGTTTTACCATTATTATCTGTTTTCTCATTAGAAGATAAGCTCCTCAAGGGCATTTTGCCTGCTGATCAATTTCCAGTACCTGGTGATTTTCTGATATTTGTTGAATGAATGAAAGAACTTCACTTAGATTTGTTTTGCATTTTGAATGCTGGATTAGTCAAAAAGGGGTGATGCTTCCTCCCAGTACTCACACCCCAGCTTTAGAGTCAGGGCAACACCCAGTACACTGCTAACCAAGTGTCCTTAGAACCAATGGAAGGCGGTCAACTAGCTCTAACATAGGCATACCATGTAGTTGTGAGTGACAGAAAGCTTTGATAGGCTTCAGTATTCACCGCATGCTCTTTTGCCTAAAATCCTTCACATTTATGCCCATCAAGTGGCACAGGGGAAAGATGTTTGAACTTTCCATGAAAACAGTAGGACACGCTTGCTAAATCAACACCACCCTGAGTGTGATGTCAATCAAGTTCATAACGTTCAACAGAAACCTGCTTTTTGCAATTTGTGAACAGTTTTCACATCCGCTAACTATTCATGCCTTGTTCGAGCAGATGTGTCAACATCTCAGCAAAACCCCAAATATCAATCAAATGGCAATGACTGGAATTTTAATCAACTACAGGAGTTCTCAAAAAGAATGGAGAAGACTCCATGGCAACAAACATGTCACAAAGTGGATAATGCCTTTTAATCCTGACTACTGAATCTTCAACATCCACCCTACCCTTCTGCAAGTAGAGCACAAATTCTACAAGACCAAGGACTATGTTCATGTCTTGTTCCCTGCACAGTGCTCGACACCTAATAGGGACATGATAAATATTTATGGAATGAATGAATGAACTTAGTTAATTCAAGACATACTTCAAAGACCCTTTACAAAACCCAATTGACACGGTTCAAGGACTAGGCATGAAAGACAAAAATTTTTTTTCACAGGATGGATGAGACTTGGCAGCAGTATATATGGACAAAAATCTGAGAAGTTTTATTTTTCTCAAGCTTAATGTGAGAAGAGGGCCAACTGTGCAATTCATCTGCTAAGTAAGCTAATGCCATCTCAGCCTAAATTAATAACTAATAGAAGCAGTGTGTCCAGAGGATAGGAAATAATGGTTCCCCTGCAGTTTTTACTGGTTAGACCACACCTAGAGGAAGGTTGTACAGGTCTGAGTGCACATTTTAGGAAGAAATACTGACAAAATGAATAGTCCAGAAACAACATCTCATAGGTGACAGCAGAAGGAATTGGGAAGCATGAGCACATGCCTGGCATTGCCAACCAGAGTAAGAGAGGTATGTGGAGCAGTCCCACATCCCATCACCTTGGCCAACCTCAGCAGAGCCACCAATTCAGCCATCTCAGATGCATGAGCAATGAACACTTGTTTTACACTCCTGAGGTTTTGTGATTGTTGCCTAGTTCAATTGCAATAATAGATAAATGACAAAAAGAGAAACAGTGGAAGATCTATTAAATACAAGTGGAAGCAAAATAGTTCCTTTTCCTTAGAAGAAGGGAATGGAAAAACCGATTCAAATGGCTCTCAGGAAGAAAACTTTGGATTCAGAAAATTGTAGTTTTATAAGGATTGAAGCCAACCATGAAAAGAACAGGCTTCAGTGAATTTGAGCTTGGAAACCAACAAAGCTGGCCACCACACCACAGCTTCTCCTGAACCTGACTTGCTCTGGCCTAATACTACTGAGCTTGAGAATTCACTTAGGTCAAGGATATTATCTGTTTTGTTTTTACGTCACTATACATTGAGATAACAGTGCAGGATCTGGTGCATAGTAGGTATGCAATACATAGTAGGTAAACCAAAAATGAATGGAGGATGCCAAAACTGGCCTCCAGTCCCTGGATCCAAGAGGGAAGATGGCTGAAACTGGCTCAAGAATCTTTCATCAGAGGTCACCACCAGCGCACCATGAAGTCTGATCCACTGACACCAACATCCCCTTGAAATCAGGCTCCCTTCCTCCGTTCTTTCATTGCTATCATTCAGAGTTACCACTTTCTTTTAATCACCATGAAGAGGGATCCCACGTCCTTTACCAGGTACACAGGGATTCTCAAGACTTAGTCCATATCTCCCTGCCCTCCTCATCCCCCACCACACCCTACCTCATCCACTGGTCTAGTGGTATCTTGCACACTTTGCTCATGCTGTTCTATCTGCTGGGAACATACATACCACCTTTTTCTTTCTGCCTGGTGAACTCAGTTATCCTTCAAGACTCACCTCCTGTAAGTCTTTTAGGAAGATTTCTCCAAATTCCCAAGTAGACTCAATTAAGGCCCTCCTCTATGTTCCCACAGCACTTTGTGAATATATCCATCTTATCACCTACCATGCTAAACTGAAATTGTCTGCCTCCCCTACTAAATAGTTCCTCAAAGGTGGAGACCATGCCATTCATGGTTGTAACCCCGAATGCACAGTGGCTGGCACAGTAGACAGTCACATGATAACAGAACTAAATCAGGAGTCAGACAGCTGCCCATCACTGCGAGAGATCTCGCAGAGACCAACTGGCCATCACTCCAGAAGGGAGAGAAGAGATTCTTGTAGCGCCTGGAAGGCTGATTATACCAGTGGCACCTAGGGTCACGTTAACCCCATAATTACATGATTTTATAAATCTCCATTCAGATTTTTGGGGATTGGAATAGGAATTAAACACATAAGCACTTTGCACTTTTATTTTTTTAAACAGCTCACCTCAAATAATTAAAATTCCTAAGGAGATAACTATATATATTACTTCCATGAGCCATGAAACTGAACTTTCAGCTCATAATTCTTAAAGTCTGTCTTACTTCTGATTATATAATGCTTTAAAATTATCATAATCAAATAGTAATAAGGACATAAAATGCAGAGCCTAGCAGAAAGGCAAACAGATTTCAGCAAATATTTTTAAAAGCTATTTTATCCAAGCTCCTGAAAAAAGGACAGCATTAATAAAGAACAGACCAAGTGTCTAGAAGAGGTAGTGGCAGGGTAATTTGAATACTTTGTGTCACAAAATTTTTAAATATCCATGTTTATAATTTTTATGGATTGGTGAGCAGCAGCCTAGGAGAACAAGAAGCAAGAGACAGGAAAAGGCACTGATTCCAAGAGAACAAGAGCCTGTAGGGAAAGCCTCCAAAGTAACGCGATGGCATTTATATTGGCCCTGAGCTCATGATTCGAGCCTTCTGGAGTGTTCTTCCTCTCAGATGGATCCTGATGCAGGCGTGGCACATGCCATGTTTTAAAGATCAGTATATGGAGATATAAAGGATGCACCACACAGATAGAGGGCCCTGTCTACAAGAGAAGACGGTTCTTCTTTTTACAGACTCTTCACACAGCTCATGAACACATAGTGATATGGTTTGGCTGTGTCTCCACCCAAATCTCATCTTCAATTGTAGCTCCCACAATCCCCACAAGTTGTGGGAGGGAGTCAGTGGGAGGTAACTGAATAATGGGGGCAGGTCTTTCCCATGCTGTTCTCCTGATAGTGAATAAGTCTCATAACAAGATCTGATGGTTTTACAAAGTGGAGTTCCCCTGCACACGCTCTCTCTTGCCTGCTGCCATGTAAGACGTCCCTTGCTCTTCTGCCATGATTGTGAGGCCTCCCCAGCCATGCGGAACTGTTCGTCCATTAAACCTCTTTCCTTTATAAATTATCCAGTCTTGGGTATGTCTTTATTAGCAGCACGAGAACAGACTAATACACATAGAAAGCACTTTCTCCACTATAACAGGAATTGGTAAACTTTTTCTGAAAGGGCCAAATAGTACACATTTCAGGCTCTGTGGTCCATATGTTTTCTGTTGTATCTACTCTGCCACTGTGGTATGAAAGTAGCCATGGATACTACATAAATGAGTGAACATGGCTGTATTCCAATAAAACTATGTTTATAGACACTGAAATTAGAAATTCACTTAATTTCCATGTATTATGAAATATTCTTCTTTTATTTTTTTCCAACCATTTAAAGATATAAAAACTATTCTTATCCCACAGGCCATGAACAAAAGGAAGCAGGCTGGTTTTGGCCTGCAGGGTATAGTTCCTTGACCTCGGCTTCATCCAAACACTCTAATTTCATCTCGTATTTGTATCCTTGGAGTGCCCAATGCCAGCAATACAGCCTACCCCTGGAAGATGCCCAGTATTGACCATTTGAATTTGATAAAAGTAAGTGCTAACTTCATGATACAACTATATAAAGAAAAGCAAGTCTTACCAGTGTTATTTTGTCCTGAGCAACTCCTTTGGAAAATTTTAAGAATCATGCACTTGTTTGGAAGGATCTCTGAGCCTAGCAATAGAAGGCAAGGCTGTTATAAATATCCATAATTATGAAAGTTCAACTAAACTCATGAACTCTGTAGATATTGCTGGAAGGATCAAAGACATATTTCCCCTCACAGTCCATCTGTATTCTTACCTAATTAGACAGCTGCCTTGACAATGACTTTAGAAACTTACTTCTCATCTTGAATGGGATCAATTTCCTATCATGGAGGAAGAAAGATAGAAGAAACATTCTGAATTTTTGGAATCAAAGAGTTAGTCTCCAATATGAATACCTATGAAAGGAATTTCTTTTAAACCTAGATGTTAAGAATAACTTTCTTCCTCATGAGAAATTAACTAAGTCTGATGGAAGCTAAAAGCTTTGTAATTAATCATATTTTCCTTTTTGCTGTGGCTGCCCGGAAACTCAGAGTAAAGTGTGTGCCCCGATTATAAAAGTTATATTATCTTTTGGTTACACTGATATTTTCCACAGTCAAAGCTTTTACTTTTTCCCCCAACTATAACTTAATATTTTTATGTTTCCAGTCCTTTGTAGAATAAGAAGGAGTACCAATTAATTCATTAATTCTCTAATCTTAGTAAGCTTGCATTTCTACTCAGGAACACAATCAATCATGTTAGCAATACACTCACTCATATCAAGATGAGCCAAATGAATAATTTCTTTCAAATATCTCTTTTCAAGGTTGTCTTTCACTTCTCCATATGTTTCTGTTCTTCATCTGGCTGTTAGTTTTTTGTTGCCATGGCACTTAACATTTATACAAACAATAAAAAACAAGGAAACAGTTCCTGCCCACTTCCTGTCAACTCTTATCTGAATTTCAGGCCAAGTGGTGTATGATTGATTCCAACTTGAGGCACCTAGAGATGGTGAAATGAGATGGCCTTGAGCCATTTACTCCAGAGCATTTTGAAAGTAGAAGGCTCATTTTTTAAATACCTAGGAGAATAAAATGAGCTAAAGGTATCAAATTATTTTTCCTATTGATTCAGTCAACAGGTATTAATTGATCACCTGCCACATGTGCTAAATTAATACCTGTTGACTGAATCAATAGGAAAAATACATACACACAATATAAAATTAACCAATTAGATTCTATATCAAATTTTGAGTCTCACCTTGTAAACAGGATAATCAGTTTTTAAATAGCAGCATGAGGGACAGTGGGCATAAGAAATGGCAGCCACACTGAGGATACTGGGGGTGAAGCCTGCCGTCTCTTACAATTTGGGTACATGGCCAAGTTTTATTATTAGGTTGGTACAAAAGTAATTGTGGTTTTCGCCATTACTTTTTATTTTGCCATTATTTTTAATGGCAAAAACCACAACTACTTTTGTACCAACCTAATAATTCAGACAGCATTCTTTGAAATAGAAGACAAATCCGACAGAAACTAGATTAAACTGTAATAATCTTACTCAATAAAAAGAATCTATCCACATATAAATCGTGTTGATTACAGAATGATTTCTATCTGTTTCTTCAAGTAAATCTAGCAAAATTTCTATCTTATATGCTTAAAAAATTTAATGAACAGAAAGCAAAAGTATCCTTCTTTTTAAAATGTACTATACTTTGCTTATCACTAACCCACAAGATACATGTGACAGAAGTAAGAAATCCACTCTGCTCTTGGAACACGGTGGTTAGGAGCCAGACTTAGGTTTGATCCCCAGCTCTGTCATACGCTAGCTGGGTTATTTTGGCCAAATTGTTTAGCTTCATTGCACTTGGTTTCTTCATTTTTTAAGTGAGGGTACTATTATATTGTTCCTAGTGCTATAGTAGAGAGAAAAAGAAAAAAATGAAGTCCTTAAGAATGTTATATAATAAAATGACTAAGGGCAAGGGCAAGGCATCAGCCTCCTGGGTTCAGCTTCTGGCTCTATCCCTCACCGAGTGCATACCCATGAGCACGGACTTCACATCCCTGTGTCTCAGTCTCCTCATCTGTAAAAGAAGAACACTAGTTGCATCTACTTTTTTGGGTTACTGTGAAGAGTAAAGAATAGAAATAAAGCGCTTAGCACATGGTGAGCACATACTAAATGTTAACTATTATTAGATTAATATCTGGCATATTGTAGGTACTAAATAAATGGTAGTTAATATTAACAGGCCCAGCACAGTGGCCCGTATGCCTGTAATCCCAGCACTTTGGGAGGCCAAGGCAGGATGGTTGCTGGAGTCTGGGAGTTTGAGACCAGCCCAGGCAACATAGTGAGACCAAGTGTCTTTAAAAAAAAAAATTAACAGTAGGGGACAAAATGGGAAAGAATAGAAACCATGAGTTTTCACAGGTAGAAAGGTCTCAGCAATCATTCAGTTTTATCTTTCACTCCACAAATGAGACAACTAAGGACTAAAGCAACAGAAACTACCCTGCCCAAAGCCCCTCAGCTCTGGAGGCAGAGCCAGCACTGCAACCCAGCTCTTTACACCTCCAGTCCAATGTTCTTGGCCTGAAACCACACTGCATACTTAGTCCTCCTGCCTCTAGGGGTGATGGAATTATAATGGAAACCAGTTTTTCACGACTCTTCTCCAAAAAGGAAAAAACGAGATGGGGATTTGGGAGTTGGAACAAGGTGAGAGCAGCCACTGGCAAAGAGACAAAATTGAATACTGTTCCTCAATATTTGGAACATATATCTGGAAGGCATCAGGATTTAATTTTTGGTGAAACTGGCCAAGGGTTTATAAATTAAAAATATAATCATAGGAAATAAGAATGACTTGGGGAATTATGGACTGATCAATTACACTCTGGGATAGGGCCAGTTGATGGTGTCATTAATCAAACAAAACAGCCCAGCTTTTTGAATAAGAGAAAATTGACTGAACAACTAAAGAGATTAGTTTAGTAAGGTTTTTGGTGGAGCGGGGGCAAAGAGGCTCTCTTGGATGAGTTTCTCATTATCAGGTATTTCTTAAAATGAGTTGAGTGAGATAAAATGGTTGTGAAAATACTTTAGAGGAAGAAACTATTCAGAGTACTCAGTTCAACACTCGCATTTTACAAATGAGAAACAGAAATGAAGAAAGCAAATCACTGGCTCAAACTGACTTGGCTAGTGTAATTTCAGGGCCTCATGGTAAGATTATAGATTAAAGTGTAAGCCTTAAACAAAGGGTAGAGATAAACAGGAGAAGTGCAATGATCTGTATCATTGCAGAAGTATACATCATCATTCACTGAGATCTTATAAGGTGCCAGGCAACATGCTACGTTGATCCATATGCCTTTATTCCTCACAAATTAATGAGTTAGGTACTATTACTATGCTATTTAATAGATGGGAAAATAGAGGTTTAGGGAAAAATATGAATGACATTAACACCTGCCAGCACCATTACTATAGTCATCTTTTTCTGAGCACATACCATGCACTAGGTAATGTACTCACTGTTTATATATATATATATATATATATATATATATATACACACACACAAATTATATATCATAAAACATTATATGTATTTATAATGTATATTATATTGTATTTATTTATAATATATGTATATTATATGTATGTTTATATTTTTATATTTTTATATATTATTTATGTATATATTATATATGTATATATGTGTATACTATTATATATGTATATATAACATACATATATTATATATGTATATATTTATATCTGTATATATTATATATGTATATATTTATAATATCTGTATATTTTATTATATATTAGCTCATTTAATCCTTACTATGGTCTTATAAGGTCAATACTATAGTTAATCATCATTTTACAGATGAAAAAATGCGAAACTTAAATTATTAGCCCAAGGTCACCTTGGGCTGGGAAGTGGCTAAGACAGGGGATGAAGCTGGGCCTCTGCAGTTAATATCTTTAAGAATAAAAAGCACAGGAAGACAGATACCACATGATCTCACTTATACTTGGAATCTAAAAAAGCCAAACTCATAGAGGTAGAGAGTAGAATGGGGGTTACCGGAGGCTAAGGAGGAGGTAACAGGTGGGTGAAGAAAGGTGACATGTTAGTCAAAGCACACGAAATTCCAGTTAGACAGGAGGAGTATGTTCCAGTGATCTATTAGACAGCACAGCGACTATAGCTGATAATAATGTATATGTCAAAATTGTGTGAAGAGTAGATTTTAAATGTTCTCACCACAAAGAAATAAGTCAGCAAGCTGACAGTTAATTAGCCTGATTTGATCATTCCACATTGTATAGACATCATAACATCACCTCATCACCTTGTATCCCAGAAATATATATAATTATTACTTGTCAATTAAAAATAAAATAAACATTGTTTACAAAAAAGGATAATAGGAAGAAGAAGATGCAAAGAAAAATCTCCATTTGCAAATCTTTGACTCTTCCAGTAGTAAAGACCTGACAGGGAACTAGCTCTCTCTGTCTCAATCTCGGTCTCAACCTCTCTCTCTCTTTCTCTCTCTCGCTTGTCTCTCTCTCTCTCCATATATATATGTAGGTATGTGGAATCCTTGGCATTTCTGTGGCTAATGGAACACTGAATTGAGCTAGGGGAAGAATGGGGCTTACCTAGGAGAGTAATTTTTGCTCTGATTGTACTAAAGCTCATTACTATTTTAGTGCCATAATCTATCACAGGGGAAGCAACACATTCATTGCCTGGAATAACATGCTAAGTGGAACAGAAAATCAGGTAAGAAAATAGTGTGGTTAAAGCATCTGAAAGACTTAGGAACAAAGAGACTGAATGATGGGGCTAAAAAAGAATAAAAAAGAAGAAAGTTGAGAAAAAAAACCACATTGATTTCATTCTATAGATAGGCAAGCATAACAGAACAACATAAACAGCTGCCCAAGGATTATTTTTATTAAAAAAAAAAAATACAGGCTGGGCATGGTGGCTCATGCCTATAATCCCAGCACTTTGGGAGGCTGAGAGAGGCAGATCACTTGAGCTCAGGAATTCGAGACCAGCCTGGCCAACATGGTGAAACCCCATCTCTATGAAAATTACAAAAATTAGTTGGGCATGGTGGCGCACACCTGTACTCCCAGCTACTTGGGAGGGTGAGGCAGGAGAATTGCTTGAACCAGGGAGGTGGAGGTTGCAGTGAGCTGAGATCACACCACTGCACTCCAGCCTGGGTGACAGAGTGAGACTCCATCTCAAAAAAACAAAAAAAACAGACCAATGAAGGCTTCTTTCTACTCTACATGGAAGGTAGTTTTCTATTTCTATAACATATTTTTTATTCCTATAACAATATATCATCAAATATCTGCTTAGAAATCTGTTGACAGAGCCTGGGAAATCTTGATGAATGAATAAACAGGTAGACCAAGCAGAAACAATTTCTTGTTTTCATAAAGCATTCACCCCAATGTTAATATTTCATATTGGCAAATTTAAGCAACCTAACAGTTGGACCATGTAAACTATGGCCAAAAAAAAATTAAACTGCCAAGTAAGTATGAAACGAAATGGATATTCTTGACTGAACATATTAATATTTTGACTTCCAACTGCTTAAATACATAAGCTCTGTGCTGACTTGACTTTTAAAAAAGTTAAACCTATGACTTTTTAAATGAATACTTTCTGATCAACCATAAGAGATGATCACTCACTCATTTATTGATTAAATAACCATTTAATAAAACATCAGGTAGCTCCAACAACCCTATAACTCAAGTTGCAACAGTGTCCTTTCAGGAATGAGTAAAGGAGCCTGTTTGGGGGGAGGATGTAAAAGTCGTTGTCGAGGTCAACATTAAGTTTAGAGCCAGATAATAGGGTAACTGCTTGATCACCCTTGCTGTGATTTTCTAGCAAAGCTCTTTGTTTTCCATTCCTGATGATCACTGCCCTTCACTTTCCACAGTAACTCTCCCCTCGTACTGACGAACAGGAAAAAAACACTCAAGTCCTTTCTTACATAATGTGTTTTTTTGCAGGAGATCCAGAACTCAAAGATCCTTGATGCTTTTTATCAATTCCACTAAACGTCAAGGACAGGAAATAAAAACATTTTTCTCTTCCGACTCAAACACAATACCCCTTTGTGAAGCTGCTAAAAATCTAGAAATGGCAAATCTGGGAAAATTTTCAGGTGAGCGATAGGCATCAAAATATTTCATTTTTGCTAAAAATATCTCTTAAGTTTTTCTTAGCATTCCAACTCACATCACACTGAATTTGAGTACAAAGAACAGAATCTGTTTTACCCTTGTATTGGCAGTGACTTTGAGGTTATACAAAGGAGTCAAAGTAGCCTGTCCTATGACACTGAAGTCCCTGTAGGCATTTGCCAGTTCAGAGCAGTTCCTTTCAGAATGGAAACAGGAAAGATGGAAAAGGGAAGAGAGATCAATGCAAAATTCTGTATCTTCATTACTTGGCAACTGGAGTTTCAATCAAGGACCCAAGAGGTAACTTAGGCAAGTTGGGGAGTCCCTGAAAGCTAAACCCATGACAGTGAATCTTGTGTAGTCCTCAGCAGCTGCCCCAGCACAGATAAATGAGGCTTTCTAGGAAGCATAAGCATCCTAATGGCAGTAAGGCTGATCCAGTGTCCAGAGGGAAACGTGGTGGCAACAGAAGACACGTGTGGTCTGGGGTAGGCTTTGATGTTGCAGCTCCACAGCAACAGAGACACATGAGAAGAGATCAAAATAGAAGAACCACCCAGCCTTGCTTGGAGAGGAGGTGGAATGGAATGGAATAACTAGGTAACTAGGTAATAGAAAACCAGGTAACTAGGTAATGGAATAATTAGGGAACCACTGGGCACCTGGAGGCTTCTGGGCTCTTCTCTACTCTGCAGGCTTCTCTCTGACACATTAGAGGCCTCCCAGACTCAACTGCTCCCCTCGACAGGAGCAGAAAATAGACGACAGCTACATTTTCTTCAAGTCTTGCCAAGAAAAACCTTGCAGGGTTAAGAACACAAAAGCCTTCAAATATCTTGCTACTGAGGTTCTTTCTTATAAGTTTCAGTGTATACCCACACACAGAGAGTGAAGAAAATTCACTTTGATTCAAAGGGTTCAAGAATGTTCACAGTCTTTCGAGGAGTCACTATGTTTTTAAACTCTTTCAACAGCTCTATTTGTTCTCAAAAGAGTCATAGATTTATTTAATAGCAGTTTATCTTTCAGTTGGCCCATTACAAGCCGGAGCATAACACGTAAAGCATCCAGCATAATCACAGGTTTGGAATTGAGAAGGCTTGGTGGGGGTGGGGGGGTATCTGAAATATAAAGACAATATAAAGGCAAAGAGTTTGTCATGTTATTTGCTGCAGGGAAGCATGTCCATAGGTGAAAAAGTTGAATTTCACATAAAAATATAGAAGTAAACATCTGGAGAAGAAAGACTTTCATGGCAGGTTTGTGAATACGCCCCTAAAAATCCATCGCCCATTTTAAAGAAACAACTAGGGTCTGTGGAGCAACAGGGTGAAACAATCGTTCACTTAAGATACAGTAACATCTTTCTACCAAGTGATAAAAACCTATCACAAAATAAATACACACCACATGTGCTCCATAAAAGTATAACACAGAGGCGCCTTTGTTTTTTTAACAGAAACCTGGCCAAGATGTGAAGACCCAGACTGTGGCGCTATGTTTGGGACTCAGAGGTCTGACACGGGAGCTGAGACTCAGACCAAAGAATTAAGATAGTAACAACATGTTGTCAATTAATCATGCTCATAAGGTGGTCAAAATGACCATGAGGACACATTTCAGTCTACCGGACAGTATGCCAGCTTTCATTCTTGTGCTCAAAGACAAAGAAGAAAGCTTTAATTTGGTGCAATATGGGCCGAAAGTTTAGTTGTCATATATATTAAACTCAGCCTACAGTCTTACTTGAGTAAATTTCATGAAAAATCCAATTTTCTTAAATGTAAGTTATGTTAGGGAAAAAACACTATCTCCACAGGAGCTCAGAGATGTCCCTAACAATACACTCAAACATATTTCATGTATTTTATGTTTTTATGTTTAAACTTATAAATGTAAATTAATATATTTCTATTAAAATTCATAAAATATATATGTACATTTATAATATAAATTAAATACCTTCAGCTGAGTTAGACATTCTGTGCCTTGAAGGACACCAGTTATTTTAGGAACAAATACTCTTTATTGAGGAAGAAAGTGCTGGATCCACCAATGGAATGAACACCCACATCTCTTAGACATAGTTCCATGCGTTACCTTCTTCCCCACAAACCGCATGTTTGTGCAATTAGCTTTCATCAAATCAACATATTAGTCACCAAAAAACATGCTGATGAAAACAAAGACAGGCTAGTTGCTTATTTCTTGAAAGTGAACAGTTCCTTTGGCCATTATATAAGATAATCAGTTTTGCCAGCATCGAAACAGATAATGCTTTAAAAATAATGTGAGGACAATGTTACAATTTTTTCAGTTCTTATTTTCAATTTATTGGCGTTGACTCATATGAGCCCTATATAGCAAGTTGTTCTCTCTTACTGTAGATACCTGCACTTACATACATATAAGACCATCCTCTGACTTCAGGAAATACTGAGGTCAGGTTCCCTGGCAGTAGGGAAGCTGCTATGATGGGATGGATTTCTGGAAACAATTGAAATATCAACGTGGAATAAACTTTATAAATACTTATCTTAAGGGAGTGTTGGCAGAAGCAAGGAAAATGGGTCAACTTCAGGAAATAGCACAGCCTATTTAAAGGCAAAAAAATCAAGAAACAAAAGGGAGTTCAGTTGCTGGTAAATCAGTTTTCTCTTTCTAACAAGTTTATTTATATGCATTTTTCTCTTCTTCCTATAAGGAAGGTATTTTTTCCTTCCTTTAAGTTTTTACTGTTAAATTCACACATTCACATTTTTTTAGTCCTTAATTACCCTGACTGAGTAATTTGAGAGCAGAAACCTCTGGCCATCAGGAAAAAAAAAAAGAAAAGAAAGAAAGAGAGAAAAACACATGTCCAAAAATTCCCTAAGCTTTTCCATATTCCTAAAAGCAAAATGTAACACTAGCAGTGTAAATAAAATCAATACACTGAGAACTCCTAAGGCTGGTTCTCAATGGAACCAGCCATTCCATTCTTGGAATGAAAACCTGAAACGGAAACGAGGAAGATGAAATGAGATTCTACCTAAAAAGACTCCAACAGATTGAGGGCTAGTGTGAAAATCCCAGGATGTGTAATGAGGGGAGGGGAGTAAGCTCTATGGTCAGAGCTCCCATCCAGCCCAGAGTGGCCCAGCAGAAGTCAGGCAAACACAGACGCAGTCCACATCGCTGCTCTACCACAAGCATGGCTGAGTTCGGCTTTTCAGATGTCGGACCTGGGGTGGGCCCTAGGAGGGGCTCAGAAACCAGAGCGACTTTTCAAGTTGTGTCCTTTATGGTATTTGCAGGGAAAGGGCCAACAATAGCCAAGGGGCTGTTTACCAAAGTCATTCTCCAGCACCTCCCACAGAAACGCTTGTGGAAATCACTGCCAAAGCTTACATGGGAATCAAACAGAAGGAACTGAGCACAGCCATGTAAAACATGCCCCAGTCATTTCGTAAGCTCTGTTTCTTCACAGATGGCTGCTGTGGAAGAAATGACTGCTTACAGAAAGCAGAGATCCAAAAATTAATCCAGCCACTGGGATGAAAGCAGGATGAAAAATGATCCTGTTCTATAATTCACATTGGTGATTTACCAGGTCTGGGCTATAAGACATCTAGGGATAAAACTGCTACTCAAAAGCAGATCTGGCAAAGGTGAGGAAACGGTGTGAAGGGCAGGTACTGCTGAAGATCTCTAGAGTCAAAAAAGGATTCACCAAATTAAAATAGAATGTTTCACAGACCAGTAAAGCCAGATGGGAGTTGGTAGCTCATACATATCCTTGTATTTCCAAGAGATGGGAGACTCCAGACTCTGAAAGGGACCAAACACAAGCTCACCTGCTGCGGCAGTACCCAGAGCTGAAAAGAGAGGATGCCAAAGGAATCCAGCCTTCCCGAATCTACACTCTCAAGGCTGGGCTTTGGGACTCTAAGGGTCTAATAAGCTATGGCTCTTATTTTATATCATTACAACAACTGCTTTGGTTCCTTCATTCTTTCACTACTTACCTGTGCTTCTTTACATTTCACAGGTTGATGATACATTACTGCTTTGGATTTCCCTTCAGTTTCATGGTTCAATCCAATGCCCACGTCTACATTTCTTTCACTGCCTTTATACTGCTGTACAGTTAGACTTCATCTGCTACTCCACACACACACAAATCTCTCCCTACTTCCTCACTCCTCATTTCCTGTTGGGAGCTAAGTTTAAAGCTTCATCCTTCTAGATCTACTCAACATTCCTTTTTAAAAGGTAGAGAACAAGGAACGTAGCAGCTGTGTTCGCTGAGCCATTGAATTCACACTGCCCAGCAGCCCTTGAAAGTCAACTGCAGCGTCCATCAGGGCAAGGACTGACAGTTTGTTTCAACACTGAATATGGTTAGTACCTGGCAAGGAGCAGGAGTTCAATAACTCTTGGCAATAATTCGTCATCATTTTCCCCCTGAAATCCATTTTATTATTCTTTTTTTTTCTTTTCAGGCTAGAGTGCAGTGGTGCGATCTCAGCTCACTGTAACCTCCACCTCCCGGGTTCAAGCGATTCTCCTGCCTCAGCCTCCTGAATAGCTGGGATTACAGGTGCCCATCACCACACCCGGCTAACTTTTGTATTTTTAGTAGAGATAGAGTTTCGCCACGTTGGCCAGGCTGGTCTCGAACGCCTGATCTCAGGTGATCCACCTGCCTCAGCCTCCCAAAGTGCTAGGATTACAGGCGTAAGCCACTGCATCTGGCCCGTTTTATTCTTTTATTCTCAAATTATTCTCTCTACAGGACAAGAGAAGGTTTAAAAATCACTGAATCATGATTTTAGGGAAATATTCAACCTAAAAGGCAGGGCCAAAATCTCAAAGGGTCCCAAATTTATCCCAACAGCCAAAGTTCCTCCTCCTCCTCTTTCTCCTTCTTTTCCTACTCCTGTTTTTCTTCTTCTTCATATCTTGAACCACATGACAAGAAAAAAAAATCTAGACTCTTTACCTATATTAATTAATTTACTCTTCATGAAAACCACATAAGGTAGTTACTATATTATGTCCATTTTTACAGACGAGGAAACAAACGATTGTGTTGCCTGCCAAAGATCAGCACACAACTGAGAAGCTGCAAATCCAGGATTTGAACTCAGGCCATCTCACTCTAGAATGTCAGCTCCTAGCTGCCCTGCATACTATGTCCTGAAGGAGAGCTCTTAAGAAGGCCAACTGAAGCCTATGGGGAACAGTATCCTGGTCATTCATTTCCCAAATTGTTATTGAGTGTCTACTATATACCAGGTGCAGGGAATACCCCCAACAGCCATGGTCACTGTTCCTGTCTAGTCAACATTCCTGTTGCTTTCCTAATTGCCATTTGTTATAGCTCCCAGAGAGTAAGCATGCTGAATCCATTAGAAAAGGAAACTCAAGAGTGAGTTCTTCTTCCATATCTTTATCCTTTAAACTTTATTATAGAGAACAATTGCCACTCCTCTCAGCATTAGTTGGGACTCCAGCAAGAACCAGCTAGGACTATGTATCAGCCTGGAATGCATAGTTACAGAACTAAATGGAAATGGGAAAATGAATACAACGGTGTTAGGAAGTCCCTCTCTGCCCGATGATTAGATTGAGGAGATGTATTGGCAGCTGTAAGGAGGGTGGCTTATTCTTGCCCCTTCTTCCCTTGGGAAGGTCTTCAAAATTGGAGGAGTTATGGCTGCCCAGTCACCTTCTAGTCACCTTACAGAGAGAGCAGGAGAGCAGAGTGGCACATACCCTCAGGCAGGATTCCTGAGTCAAAGGCTGGCTGCTGACACTTGCAGCCTCTCGGTTTTATTTGACCTTCACCTTGTGCGGAACCCACCCGCGCAGCACAGGACAAACCCCTTCTCCCGGGACTGCTGAATCAGCCACTCTGGGAGTGGCAGGAGAGAAGTTTCAGACTCCTGAGACATTTGGTCTATTCAGCACCATGAAGAAAACGGCTGTAGCTCAGTGAGAGAATCACAATCAGGAGCTGGCTGAATAAAGGTGATAAAAATAGATTTCCCGACTCCACAAAGATGAATCATTTTGCCATAGGGATTCGCCAGGCTCTGTTTCAACCTGATTTTCAACCCAGCCTCATAAATTTGGCTAAGGAAAATTTTCTTCCCCTAGATAACCAGTGCCATGGAACGTTTAGCATTCAGACGGGTCTGACGGGATTTTATGAGACAATTGTCCAGAAATAACCCCCATTCCTTTCCCGGCCTGCAGTAAATAGTGACTATGAAGGACAAGGACTAAGTGGGCAAGGCTGGAGATGCAGCCCTTCCCTCCAGACTCCTCCCTGCCTCCCCAATGTCTTCCTTGCTTCTTTTCCTCCTCATTTTAAGAAATGGAAGTTTTTAAAAAGCAAAGGGGGCTGTGGAGTCAGGAGCAGAATGTGACAGGGGCTCAGGTGAAGCAGCCCCACCATGAATGCAGCCACATCTCCCCCACAACACCATGTGCTGCTGGACCACATCTTAAAAATGCAGCCAAGTTGCTTCTCATTCTCAAAATTCTCAAAAATCCTTTTTATTTTGACTAAACTAATGGAGTTATGTGTCTTGTACCACATACCGGAAAATAAAAAACAATGCTTTCCTTAGGGAATTAAAAAAAAAAAAAAGCTTAATTAAAAGCAACAGGTGCTAACAGTTATCAAAGGACAAGATGAATCCACAGGAAAGTAATTTTCATATTATTTTCGCCATACTAATAAGTGAATAAAAAGTCACTTTTTTTTAAACCAAGTATTAAAGTCTAAATAGCTTCCTTCTTTCCATCATGGATACCCCTAAGCATGTATTTCTTTTATAATGAATTTTACTTACCCCCACACGTCCTCATGCTCCGCAATGAACTCCAGCCAACCCACTCTGGGAGATGGGAGGGGCATCTCTCCTGTGTGCTCCTCGTCAGCCCCAGCACAGCAGCCGAAATGCCCTTACATTTCCTTTCCCAAAACAGTCGTCACCACTGCCAACCCCTGCTCTGTCCACAAGCAGGCTGCTGCGGCTGAAATGCTGATGCAGTGAAAGGGAACTGGAAGACAGCTGATTGCCACACCTATTGGAGAGGGAGGCGGAGAAGCCCATTCCCTCTGAGGAAAAGGAATGGCATCTTCAGAAGTAGAGATGCCAGGATTGGAATTGTGCAGAGAGCTTTGTGTCAGCCACTAGCACACAGTAGGTTTGCAGTACTGTCAGGAAATCTGGATCTAGAAAAAGCACCCAAGTGGGACCCGAGGAACAAAGACTCACTCCAGTCCCAACTCTGGAACAAAGTTGCTGCCTGACTCCAGGCAAGTCACTGCCTTCTGGTCTCAGTTTCCTTATTTGTAAAATAACAATGTTTCAAAAAGTAAATCTCTAAGTGGCTTCTAGTTCTGGGATTCTAAGACCATCCTAATGTTCATGAGCATAATAAAAAGTAAACTACCATTTATTGAAAACATCCTGTGTACCATCCATCATATTAGGTATTTTATGTATATCATCTCATTTAATCCCACAATGCTGAGATGGGATTTATCAACCCCATCTTATAGATGAGGAAACTGGCAAACTCACTCCATGAATCCCCATGAAAAAAAAGGATCATCATATTCCTTCAGTGTTTTGAATTTAAATGGAGGCATTCAATCTTTGTGCCTGAAATTGAGATGACATCTGAGAATGGAATTTCTGCACTGCTGGGAGATTAATGTGTTTACAGTCCTCTGCTGGTATAATTCTGAGGTACTAGTATTTATGGTTATGGCTGTTCATGCTACTGCAAAATCCATTTTCCACCTGTTGCTTTTTATTAAACCTCCCTAAAGGACATGAACTATTTCTTTCTGCAGATTCTAAAAGCAGGATGCTGAAATATGTGAGCAGAAGCATCGTGTGCGGAGTTACCATTTGGAATTTTCAAATGCTATAAAACACAATGTTTACAACCAATTCATCATTTATAAAAGTTTATTGGATTAATATGCCAATGGACTCACTGGTATCCTGCCATTTATTGACACAAATACATCAAGTGGTAGGCTGACATTTAATATTTATTAATAACTTCTGTATTTCCTTACCTATTTCATAGTTTCCTTGCATTATGCTCTTTTATCTTTATTGTCATTCATCCTACTTTAAGTGAACTTTTTATTTTAGAATAGTTTTTAGATTTATAGAAAGCTACAAAGATAATATGCAGAGTTTCAGTATAACTCATGTCTTACATCTTACATTCCTATGGTACATCTACATTTATCACAGTTAAGAAATAAACACTGGTACACTACTATTAACTAAATCCATGTTTTATTTGGATTTCATTAGTTTTTCCCTAATATGCTCTTTCTGTTTTAAGATCCCATCTATAATGCCATATAATATTTAATCATTATGTCTCCTTAACTTTTTCTGGACTTTCCTTGTTTCTCAGATATGCCTTGCTTTTGATGGCCTTGACAGTTTTGAAGAATACTGGTCGGGTATTTTGTAGAATATCCTTCCATTTAGGTTTGTCTGATATTCTTTCCATGGCTGGGGATATAGGTTTTTGTGAGGAAAAAGTACCATTCTTTTAACACTGAGGGAAAAGAGGAAAAGTACCATTCCTATATAACATTATATCAATCATCCTATTTTTAATGTTATGTTTAAGTTAAATCAAAAACTTAAACTGAATATAGTTAAATTTTAGAAAGGAAAAATTAGATATCAAACTACTCAGAAATCTAGTATTTTATACTGTGGACAGAGCGACAGAGAGGAATTAATTTTTGTACCATTTGAGATGAAGGTAGACCTAACATTCTAGCAGAAAGCCAGCTAATTACAAGAGAGGCGTCTAGCGAGTTCTTTTGAAATGCTTGCCAAGACAAACTTCCTACAAAAACAATCCAGAGGAAGGCACGTTTTAAGAGAAGTGCTGTTTCAGCCTAGCATGGTCTCATACTTCATACATTTGGTGGTATTTTTTTCCTGTTGTCAAACAACCAAATCCCTATAAACCTGGGTTTGGAATACATGCTAAGAATTAGTTCCACAGAAAGTTATCCTCTAGGTAAGCTATAACTATGGAAAAAAAGGAGTCAGACGTCAGCTGAAATATGTATTTCCTGCTATTATATATTTTTTGCTCACAGTTTGTAATTGAAGGTCTATTCCTAAGGGAAAAAAGTGAGGAACTGATGTAATGTCACAAATTCTGCTAAACGCTGTTCAACGAAAGATAAGGGAGAACAAGTGGTTTCTTTCTTCAAAGAATGGCATTTTTTGTTTTTTCGGGAACAGGAAAGGGAAAAAAAAATGAAGTTGGGGAAAAAAAAGCTTTACAGCACTGCTATATATAACCTTCCACCTCTGCAGAGACACAGAATAATTATGGAAACAAATTTGGAAAAATAGTTTGTGGTGGTGCAGAAAGAGGATATTAGACTTCAGCTAGCAAGTCTAGGCATTCAAAACACACGTGAATAAGAATTTAAGGGCTTAGCTGGCTAACCCACTGTTACGAGCTAAATTGTCTCCTCCTCCCTCCCCCAATTCGTATCTTGAACTCCTAACCCGTTCTAACTCAGAATGTGACTGTAGTGACTGTAAGAAGGTAATTAAGTTATATGAGGTCATCTGAGGGGGCCCTAATCCAATACGACAGTGTCCTTATAAAAAGGCAAAATATGGACACAGATACATACAGGGGAAAGACCACGTGAAGATGCAGGGAAAGGCAGCCATCTGGGAGCCAAGGAGACAGGCCTTAGAACAAACCCACTCTGATCACACCTTGATCTCAGACTTCTAACCTACAGAATTGACAAAATAAATTTCTATTATTTAAGCCATCCAATCTGTGGTACTTTGTTATGGCCATCAGAGCAAATTAATATACTCATCTAGTACTAAGAATGAAATATCAGGGGTATAAGAGAGGCTGCAGGGCACAAGATTGGATGGATATGATATCTCAATGAATTGTCAATTATATGAAGATCTTTCTTTTCTTTTCTTTTTTTTTTTTTTTTTTTTTTGTGACAGGGTCCGACTCCCATCACCCAGGCTGGAGTCCAGTGGCACATTCAAAGCTCACTGCAGGCTTGACTTCCCAGGCCCAGGTGATTCTCCTACCTCAGCCTCCTAAGTAGCTGGGACTACAGGCATGCACAACCATGCCTGGCTAATTTTTTGTATTTTTAGTAAAGACAAGATTTTGCCATGTTGCCTAGGCTGGTCTTGAACTCCTGGGCTCAAGCGATCACCTGCCTTAGGCTCCCAAAGTTCTGGGATTATAGGCATGAGCCACTGCACCGGTCTTTCTGTCATGATTTTCAATTCTAAGTGCAATTGCTAATGACTTTTCCTGTAGTCTCAAACTCCTTTTTTCACTCCTTTCTCCATATCCCAGTCCCTGCCAATGTGGATCAAACACTCCAAAGACAATACTATAATTTGGAGGGGGAGGGGAACTTCATAGTGGTTATAGAAAAAAAAAATATGTCTTCATTTATACTGAAGCATAGGATTTAACTTCAAAATAGTCCATCCATTAACCTAGTCCAATTTTTTGTAACTTTTTCCTTGAGTTCCAAACCAGCATTTCTAATAGTCTGCCAGACATCTGCACATGAATATCTTTTAGAGATAGCCAACTCAATATGTCCAAAAGAGAATGCATCTTTTCTTTTGGAGCTCATTTCTCATTCCCATGTTCCCATGATTCCTATTAATGGCATCAGTACCCTCCACACTGCTCAAGTCCAAAATGCAAATGTCATCTTCCTAAAATTATCTGTTGTATTTCATCAGTTCTAAGATGTACACCTTTTTTAACCTCTGAAATAAAGATGCATTTTTTTCATTGCCAGTGTCTTAGCATTGTGTCATCATTGAATTGGCAGCTTTTTTAAATGAGCTATAATTTTTAAAAATGGTGTGTGTCATCATTGATGGCATATTACATTTAGTGAAAAGTAAATCCTGTCTCCTCATCTCTAATCCCACTGCTTCTACTAAGGTTTAAGTGTCCATCCTCTCTCATTTGGACTACTTATCTCCTACTTGACTTTTATTGCTGGTATCTTGCCATAATCAGCTTTCTATACGGCCACCTCAGTTATCTGGAACACGAGATTCCCTTGTTTTCAGTGGCTTTTACTGCACACAAAATGAGTCCAAACACCCCCAGATGGCATTTCTGGTCTCAGCTTACTATTCCTGGTCTAGTTTCCAAGCATGGATTTTCTCAGGGACTCTGCGTCCAGCTGCAGCCACTGGACCCAGTGCAAATAATGCAAATGATAGCCACTTCCAGATAAGACCCAGGTCCTTCTGACTCAGAGCCTTTCTCATTCCATGCCCTGAAGCTAGTTGTTCTTCCTCTAACTCCATGATCTTCACTATTTGTAGACGCCCTGTTCAAATCCCACCCCTTCCAAAGTTCTTAATCACAAATCAAAATTTCTTCCTTGGTCTTTCTTGCATATTATACTTCATTAACATTTCACAGTCTACCTTACATTTGACCTTTCTTCTATATTTGTCTTCTAGAAAGTAGTCTCCTAAAAGGCAGGAATTATGTCTTGAAGTGGATTTTTACTTGGAAGGCAAGAGAGAGAACACATCATCTCTATTTGGTATATATGTGCAGAAGAAAATTAGAAAAAAGTCCTTGGATGTCATGCAAGAAAGGTTAACCAAGGAAAACTGTGTTATCTTTAAAGTCCTATAAGCACAAGGAGCCGGTGTTCAGGAGAATGAGAGATCTATGCCCTGGCTGCTCAATAGACGGATACAACCATTTCATTCATCGGGACAAGCAGCTTCTGAAGAGCTCCCAGAGATCCCTTCCTCCTGGCATTCAGACCCTTGTGGGACCTCCTCCCCTTGAATGTGGGCTGGGCCTAGCAACTTGCTTTTAATTAATAGAATAAGGCAGAACTGACAAAACATCACTTCAGAGATTAGGTTATAAAGGACTGTGACTTCCATCTCACTTGTTGTCTCCCTCCCTTTCTCTTTCTTTCTTTCTCAGGCCCTTCCTGCTTGCTCACTCTGATGATGCAAGCTGCAACCCTGTAAGCTGTTCTATAGAAAGACCCACATGGCAAGTACACAAGGATGGCTTTGGCCAACAGCCTGTGAGGAACTGAATCCTGCCAATATCCACGAGTAAGCTTAGAAACGGAAGTTCTAAGCTCCCTACTCTGGCCTGGAAATGATACTGACCAACACCTTGAATGCAGCCTTGTGAGGGACCCTGAACCAGAGACCCAGCTAAGCCTTGCTCATATTCCTGACCCATGAGAACAATGAGATGATAAATGTTGTTGTTTTAAGCCACTAAGTTCTGGGGTAATTTGTTATAGAGCAATTAATAACTAAAACTCTCACCAAATAAAAGAAAACCAGAAAGGACATAATAATCACAAGATGAGTGAAGGGACAAAAAATTCTTATTAAGTCTTCCCAAATACCCACAAAAGATGCGCAAGGGGACTAACTTATTGGTCTGATCCAAGCACATCAGTGAACAACCAAAAGCCAGCCTGCTCCAGTGGGCATCAGAACTCCCCTTCACCCGGTCCAACCTACAGTGGAGAATGGCTCTTGCCATCTGACACACTTTTATCACTGTATTCACGATGTGGTCAAGCCTTTTGGTGTAGGTCATGAACCATCTGTTGCCCTGGTTTCCGAGTGTGATGTACAAAGTGAGAGATAAATGTTACTTTTGAATGTTACTCGAATGTTACTTTCACTCAGGAAGAGCCTTAAATACGTTTCTGAAGTGTTTGGATTTTATTCCACATTCAGTAGGGAGCCATATAAAATTATGAGAAGATGAGGGACACGAGATGACCTGTACATTTTTTACAAGCTAACTGTAAAGGCTGTTTCAAACAGCAGCACACAAGCCATATCAACCTGGGAGGCAGTAAATAAACTTAGAATCCCCAAGTTCATATTCCACCTTTCAATTGAATGCAGGTGGAATGCACCAAAGACCTCGTGTGTTTTGTTGTTTTTCCCTGCGGTGTGTAGTCTTTCATGGCTAGACCTACTAAAATGCTAACCATCACTCCTATGTTGGCTTGGCTTTGGCATCAAACTTGAGAGCAGCAAATTGAGCATTCCCTCTGTGTGTGGTGTGGGAACGCAACCGAGGTTTCTCATACTGTGCCAGGGATGAGGATAAAGGAAAGTGTGTCATTAAATTCCATTTTGGCTGAGAAACCTCACAATGTCTATTCATTTCCCTCAGTGAATATGCCTTCTTCACACAGAACATCGCTTGGCTACCAGTTTTTACTTGTTCCCCTAAAGAAGGGGAGGACGACCCCTGGAGACTCCGGATCGTACCATGCAACTACTACAGAGAACACAGAGTAGCAGGAAAAACACATGAGGGTTTTTATTCCAAGCCCTTCCTTCTCCCCTACCCATGAAGGAGAATTCTGTCTTCCTGTCTCTGAGTCTTTGTTGTCCAGAATCAGAATCAGGGGCAAAAGGAGCCGAGTCTAGCTGGATTGATTTGCACTGGAAAGAGCTAACCATTAGTCATAGCAGACAAAAGGGTAAGAAGCAAGGAAGGCAAGAACTAGCACAGTGTGAGGCTCAAAGATTTGAGGTCACTGGGCATAGAGAGGTTTGGGAGAGTTGGCAAGTATAAGGTGTGTATGTGTGTGTGTGTGTGTGTGTGTGTGTGTGTGTGTGTGTGTGACAGAGAAAGACTGTAGAAGAGAAAGAGAGGAGGGCATTTTAGGTAATTCTGCTGCATATTATGAATAAAATCACTCTGACTTTTTTTTTAAGACTCCAGTAAAGAATTCTAATGCTTTCCTATGATCACTTGTTAGGTATGGCCACATGAAGCCTGATTTGATAGTGGCCATGGTAGAAACATTACATGTAGCAGTGCCTTTTTCAAAAAGGCCACTTCCTCAATTTGGTTGAATTAATAAATTTTAAATGAGAGAGTCTGATTTCTAACAACTTAGGTCTCCTTAGAGGTTGATGTCTCCAAACAAATGTTCGGAAAGTGTTGAGATTCAATTCTATATCCTAGGGTCTAATGGAGAGAGTATAACACAGTAGAAAAGGCACAGATGTAGAGTTGGGCAAACCCAGGTTCAAGTACCAACTCTGCCTCTTATTAGTTGGAAAGCTGGTGACATTTCTTTGAACTTTAGAGTAAAGATACAGCAATAACAACATCACAGGTGTGTTGTAAAGATTAGGAAGGATGATCTAGCACTGCACCTGGGGCAGGGTAGGAATGTGATACGTGATGGTTATCACTGTGGTAACTTTCACCTCTAACCTCCCTCTTCCCTGCCTTGCCTGCTTCCTGGCCAAAAAAAAAAAAAAAAAAAAATTTTTTTTTTTTTTTTTTTTTTTTTAGGCGGGGTTTCGCTCTTGTAGCCCCGGCTGGAGTGCAATGGCACAATCTCGGCTCACTGCCTGGGTTCAAGCAATTCTCCTGCCTTAGCCTCCCAAGTAGCTGGGATTACGGGCACACACCACCATGCCAGGCTAATTTTTGTACTTTTAGTAGAGACAGGGTTTCACCATGTTGGCCAGGCTAATCTCGAACTCCTGACCTCAGGTGATCTGCATGCCTTGGCCTCCCAAAGTGCTGGGATTACAGGCATGAGCCACCATGCCTGGCCAAAAAACAACAATTTTAACTGGAGGAGAGACCGAGCCCGGAGAACAGAACTTTAACCAGTTTTTTCTAAGGTAATCTATAAGATAAACCACTGGAGGGAAGGTAAAGTTCTAGAAGAGAAGACATTGATCAGGATGAGTTGAGGCACACCAGAGCTAATTCTTAGGAAGGATGTGCAGGAAACCTTTTCTTGACAGCTAGACACCCAAAGCAGTGAGGACCCCAATTTATTGCATTGTTATCCTCCTAAAAAGATGAAGTCTGCATAAAGGCTTTTCACTCATACTACTCAGGTTAACAGCCTTGTATGTCTAGTTTTGTCCAAAACAATATTTTTAATCTTCTCATAATGTGGAAATCACTACAGCTCTTTCATCACTTCCCCTACTCTGATCTCACTCGATGAAATGGCAACTGTTCTGATGTCAGTTTTCATAAACTAAAGCAGATAACTTTTGAAAGCTTCCTAAAGTCTAAAGAACTTATGGAAACTTACATTTTTTTCCATGGCAGGAAGCTCTAACCATATTTGAAATCTTATCTTTGATTAGAGAAAAGTACATCCTTTTCCCCAAAATGCGTTTCTGAGTGGGTTAGGGTTACTGAATGGTAGGATCATCTGACCAGTCACATTCCTGCTTCTGCTTCTGACCTTCAGCTAGCGTCAAATTTCCATCGTTCATCAGGCTAAGAAGTGATACATGAAGTAAGGCCTTTCACAGAGCTCAGAAAGATATTTTGTAGGTATTGGCCGACAGAAAGAAAAAAAAGAGATGAACTTAAAAAATGAGTTTTTGCCTTCCTCTCTTTTTCAAAAAAGGTAAAATAAAATGTCATTAAAATGTGTCCCATCTTCAACTGGGAACAGTGTATATGTAATAACCAAGGAGAGGGGTGGCCAGGGCTCGGGATCCATCTCATCTTTTACTGTTTGTCTAATGTGGGGCAAATAATTTCCCTTTATGGACCCACATGTCCTCATCTGCAAAACAAACACATCTAAGATGTCCTTCTAAGATACATCTAAGACGTAAAATTGTCTTTTCCTCAGATCACTTTTATCCTTACAGACCCATGGAAAAATCAAACAGTATTTCATGACAACTCTAAGAAGGTTCAGCACTCAGGGGCAGAATCCGCAAATATCACCTATTTCCAATTATACTTCACATGTGCATATGTGCACACACGACGGCTGTCACAATTCAAATCTGTGCAAGAAAAGGCTTAATCCCCAAACTCCTATCATAAGCAAAGATTTCATACATTCATGGCTTTTGCACAAAACCTAAAGCTCCTGGGATGAAACAACATTTAGCATGATCTCTGATGACCACTAAATTGAGTTTCAAGATGTGGCTCGATAGTACAATACTGATGAGCTAGCAGACTGAAGTGCAGCATTTTAAAAAAAAACCTTTGGTATGCCAAGACCTAAATTTGAGGACTTTCTCTCTGGCAGCAGCAAACAGTATCACTAACACCTAAAAGAGAATGCAAGCATCTGCAGGCAGTCACCACACGGCTTCATATGTCAGCAATCGTTGCAGAAGAAATGCAGACCCGGATTCAGGGTCTTTGCATTCTTGCCAGGAAATGATTTTCAACTACTTTGTTTTAACACCTTCACCCCTGAATTCTTTGTAACCACAGCTTAACTCAGGGGCTAAAATACACCTATTCATGCCTTTGTAAATCTACATATGTTTATAATTTGATATTGCTATGTGAAAACACACTTTTTTATTTATCTTCAAGTCAAGCAGCTGGGCCATCTTAATGGATTGGCTTCTCAACACTAGCCCATTAAGACACACGGGCATGGCTTCCAGGCATAGAAAACCCTCTGGCCACACTTCTCAGATCTCTATGGCCCCTGCTACTATGGACTTCTTGATCAACAGACGGTCAGTGGCCTGTCAACCCCTGACAAAGTGAAAAAACCAACCTGATGTATTCAGAAGTATTTCAGGGATTTTTCTATCTGCCCTTTCCTGACTGTCATGAATATTTGGAAGAAGAAAATATTGTTTGAAAAATACCCTCACACAAAGGCTGCATCTCTACTAACAAGATGATCTCTGCCATCTTCAAACCCATTAATTATTTGAGGTTTCCTATGTCTCCCCTGAAAATAAGAGAATTAATGTATTTTAATCCTCAACTTTTTATATTGAAAAATTTCAAACCTACCAAAAGGTTGCAAGAATAGTACCATGACCCCCGTACGCCCTTTATCTAGAGACAGTATTTTGCCACATTTCCACCCTTCCTCCCTTTCTTCCTCTCTCCCTTCCTTCCTTCCTTTCCTTCCTTCTTATCTCTATGTGTATATGAAATTATATATTATGTACCCAGACTTTTTTGCTAAACATATTGAGGATTGGTTGTATACATGACATTTCATTTCAAAATACTCCAGCATATATATTTGCCATCTAAGATCAATAGTATTCTCCTATATACACAAAGATAGCTATCGCATACAGGAAATCCAACACTGAGAGAATACTATTATCTAATACTCAATTTATATTCAAATTTCCCTAATTGTCTCAATAATGTCTATTATAGTTGCGTTTTCCCAACTAAGGATCATGCACTGTATGAGGCTGTCATATTTCCTTAGTCATCTTTAATCTACGACAGTTTTCCAGCCTTTTGGGGATGGGGCAGTTTTTTTTTTTTTTTTTTTTTTTTTTTGAGACGGAGTCTCGCTCTGTCGCCCAGGCTGGAGTGCAGTGGCGCAATCTTGGCTCACTGCAAGCTCCGCCTCCCGGGTTCACGCCATTCTCCTGCCTCAGCCTCCTGAGTAGCTGGGACTACAGGCGCCCACCACCGCGCCTGGCTAATTTTTTGTATTTTTAGTAGAGACGGAGTTTTACCGTGGTCGCAATCTCCTGACATCGTGATCCGCCCGCCTCGGCCTCCCAAAGTGCTGGGATTACAGGCGTGAGCCACCACCACGCCCGGCCGAGGACGGGGCAGTATTTTTAATGACGCTGACAGTGGTGAAGAGGACAGGCCAGCTGTTTTGCAGTATGTCCCTTAATGTGGATTTGTCGTATTGTTTCCTGAGAACTGCTGTGATTTCTTAGTGCATCACCAGGACATCTAACATCATTTGGACCCATTATAGATATCGGTAAGTTTGATCATGGCCAACTACTTAAAGACATAGTGTCTTGACATGAATACGAAACCACTTGCAGGCCTTTAATTTCAAACTGTTAACCATAGTTATTCAAAATCTTACTTTCCAAAATATATTTCAGAACAGAGCTACTTTTATCTCTCTCGAGTATTAACTCATTTTCTCCTATACCAGGGGATATTCTCTGTATTCTATAATAAAAGATCATAATGGACTATAAATACTAAAGGTTTCACAAAGGAGGCTGTTTTGCATTAGATCTTTAGTTTTATTTAATTTATTTTATTTTTTAACTTAAAAGATGTGTTAGTCTGTGTTAGATCTTGATGGACAAATATAATTTTGTCAAGAAGAGCAGGAGGAAAGTATTCAATGAATAACACATATCACAAGAAAAGGCACCATTCATGGGAGTGAAGAGTGTTTGCAGAACTGTGAGTCAACTATTATAGTCCAGGCAAGAGATGAGGATGGCCTGCTCTGGGGCAGTGGCCAAGGAAATGCAGACAAGTAGACAAATGGGAAAATTCTTTGATAGCTGAACTGGTGCAACTGCATGTCTATGATGCCTTCACTTACATTGGGAAATAGGTGCACAGGACTGGTGATGCAAGTCCCATTTGAATATGTTAAGTTTGAGGTGCCAGTAGGATACCGAGATGAAACTGTCCAATAGACAGAACACGAGGTCTGGAGTTCAGGAGAGAGTACTTGATGAGAAATGCTGCTTTGGGTCAATATCATGGAGAGCTGAAGTCATGGACACAGTCAAGAATATGAGCATAGAGAGGGAGGCACAGGCATGACGCGAGAACCGTGGAAGTACATGAACATAACAGGGGGTTGCGGGATGGCGATCTGTTTCCCACCAGGGCCACAAGTGCTCTGGTTTTTGTGGAAATGTTGATCTCAAGGCAACTGGAGCAAAGGAAAAGAGTTTGACCAGGTTTGTAGATTCAGGAGTCACTAGTGAATGGGTTAGTAGGTGACTTTACTTAAGAAAGTATTTTTTTGGACTAAAGATGATAAATTAGTTAAGAAAATATAAATGATACAGGGTGACGGTAAGCAGGGGAGGTGTTCATTGAAAGGGGCAAAAAAAAAAAAAAAGCGATAGCAAGGACAAAGTGAAAAGGAAATCCAAATGAAAAAAGAAAGTAGAGGAATACTAGTCAAGAACATAAATAGAAGGAAAGAAGATGAGGTCACCTTGTCTTCTTGTATCAAGTTGCCCAAATGCTCCAAGACAGAGGCAATATGTGAGAAACAACATTTGATCCATGATAGGAAATAATATAAAGACAAATGCATGTGCCCCTAACAGTTAATTTTACTAAAATTATTTATGATTTCCATTTTAAATTGAGGTTTTGAAAGCCTTTTCTCTTTAGCTACTGGACTGGGAGTGACTTGTTTCTCCTCATCTGGATTTTCCTGGGGCCTTCCTTAGTTTTATGCTGCAAATTTTGCTTCTATAACATTAAACCCCAGAGCTCCAGGGTCCAGAGTTGCCATAGGCTTAGGGACAAACAGATGTTCATCAGGATCATTAAGACCTTGGCTTTAACATTTGGAAGAGGTGAATTTACTAAATGTTTTAAAATAATTGATATATGTATACACTGATATATAATACTTATATATTATTTATTTTATAGAACTATTCAAATATATTCCTTCCAAATATATGTATCTATCTCGATATTAACTAACTTATTTGGTTACATGATTCTGAAGAACAAAATTAGAAAGATTTTTAACGACTAATCACCAGCTCACTACCAACCAATATGGGGAATAAAATGCATCCACAGAAATAGCAGTTCTTAAAGAAAACATCTATTTCATTCAACTTGCTGAAACCATGTACCTTCCCACAAGGACCCCCCACAATTCTCAAACACAATTGGTTTTTTGTCACATCTAATTTCAATTAGTCATCGTGATATGGCTAAGAAGCTTTTTAACAACAATCAGTAAGGTCTACGTAGGATCCTGCTTAAATTCTTGACATTCTTCTCATTGCTTTCTGCAAAACTACATGCGCAGAAGGCGATCACAATGGAAACAATCAGTGAGTCATTACCGAGCTACATACTTCCTCTGCTCTGTGTGTGTGTGTGCGCGCGCGTGTGCACGCACACACACATATGCCAATTCCTTCCAAAACTAAGATTTGATTGTCTTCCTCATCTTCTACTTCTTTCCTTTTTCTACACAAAGGCAACATCGATGAAGCAATTAAAAAATTAGTTGCCAAGAATTATAAGACATATCAACGCATGAAAAAAATATTCTGCTTCTAACCACATATGAACATGTAAGTTTTAGATTTTATGTGGATAGGTTCAGAAGGGCAAGGATTCTGCTTAAACAGTTCTCCAGATGACGTTAGACCACCTTAGTGCCCCAGTATGTCTTCAGGATAGTTGGCCTACAATTGTGGTATTTCAACCCAAGTAGATTATAATATTGAAAGCAGCAATTTATTATAAAACGACTGTTTTCTCTTAAAATTCTCTTTCTCTCTACCTCCCCTACCCTCCATTCTAGGGGAATGCAGTGATGAACTGAAATGAGAAAACGTAATTAAAATCACATTCCTCCCCCAAGGGTCAACCTAATTATCAGCCTCTCACACCAAAACAAATTTAGCTCTTTGAGAATGAAGGTCCTTATCACTCATGGAAAAAACACAAACAAAGATTAACATGCCATTTAGGCATGACTGCAATCTTTCATTTTAAGTGACCTCTTCGTTTAATGGATTCAATGCGTTCTCATTCAAGTGGAATATATATTGCAGGAGAGAACTGTAATAAATGGTGCTGTCATGACCCCTAGGTTAGAGCAAAGGAATATTGGAAAATAAATCTCAATTCCACGTACTCACCAGTCCTGCAATGGGGGTAGGCAATCTATTGATCTTTTTAACAAGTCCTGGCTTTATAGCATTCAGCAACCTGTCATGAAAAAGGCAGAATGTCAAGTGAGACATAAAGCAAGATGGATCACACAAATCACCTTTATCCGGGGCTACAGCTAAATTGCTGGATAGGAAAAGCAGTGAATTTAAAGCATATAGTAAATCTCAATAATCTATCAGCCTTCATGCATATAAGTGAAGAGCTTTGCCAACATCAAGTTGGTCCACGGCAGGTGAAGTTTTAGAATTTAGAAATGTTGAGAGATGAGAAAAGGTAGAGACTGAGGAGGGCTTCAAGGAAAAGGACAAGGGGGAGAGCTGGATTGAGGTTGTGAGGGAATTATCTGGAACTGGAACCAGGTATTACAACTCAGGTAAGGCTTGTTGCCAATTTTCCTGGCTAAGACATGGATCTCTCCAGGGATGCACTAAATTCAAAGACCAGTTTCTATCTTTACAAATGATTCGCCAAGACACATTCTAAGTCAGACCCTACTTGCTCTTTGAGAAGAGTGGCTTTTTCAATGTGGTTGAGTTTCACTTTAAAAAGGGAAGAATGTGTTTAATAAGAGGTTAGCCAATCATATTCTGAAGATTTTAAACAAGGCTAACCAAGAGTCCCTAGGTACAAAAGATATTTGAGCAAAAGATTTTCAGCTAAAGATTGAAATTATATAACAATGGTTACACAAGCAAGGGAATGCAAGAGAAACAACTATCATTGCCTGTTTTCAGGACATAAAAACCCAGAGTGAAGAGAAACAAGGAAAGCAACTTATAAAATTAAAATATGGTTAGCATCGGGGTAATTGGGTAAAGTGTAGTATTTGCAAAGTAGGTTATTCATAAATAAGTGATTGAAGGTAAGGGGCTGTAGAATGTAGAATGTTATTTCCACGTTCGGGAATCAGGCAATTAGGTAACTTAGAATACTGTGCAAAGAGAAACTTAGGGTAGGAGTGTATCATAATTGAGAGGTCAACAAACTACAATCCATGAGCCAAATCTGGTCCAACACCTGTACTTATAAATAAAGTCTTACTGGAACAGGAATATAACCATCCTCATTCATTTACATATTGTCTATGGCTACTTTTGTGCTACAACTGCAGAGTTGAGTAGTTACAATGGAGACCTGAGGGGCCACAAAGCATAAAATCTTTACTATTTGATGCTTTATGGAAAAAGTTTGCTGACCTCTGTTAAAATTCATGCAATCCAAGGTTATAACAAATTATAAAGAACCTGTGCTTGCCAGATTTCTACAGATCAGTAACAAAAATTTTTCAAATGGTTTAATAGTCTTGAATTTAGACTATCTTTGACTTTGATACCACCATATATTCATATGTTGAGAAATGTCCCTACAGTGATTGTGACAGACAGGATATTCCATTTTTGCATGCAAGATTAATTGGCTGTTCTCGGTAATTTTCACTGCAATTCCAACATGCTGCTACCAAGAGGCGGTACTCAGAGTGCACAAGTGCTGTTTTGCCCACGGAGAGCCAAGCTGGCTGCTCTTTTCATGAATGCACTTATTTTTTAACCATAAATTTAACCTTTTAAAAATGCTTCTTTATAACTTATTTTGGACTTATTGGTTTTACCAGTTGGAAGGCAATTTATTCACTCTTCTCATTTTATAGTTCAGAAAATTGAGGCCTGGTGAAGTCTGAATTGAAGTCTGAGTGACTTCCCCAGAGCTGGTTAGTAGCACACTCAGGCCCAGAACCCAAATTTCTTAGATCAATGCATTCTCTCAGGTGGTGTAAATATCCCAAATCTTCTGGTTTAAAATACACAGATAGATATGATATCTCCAAAGCCACATTTTTAAATGTACAAAATTCTTTTTCTCGCTACTTTTGCTTTTCTCAGATACATTACTTTTCTTAGTAGTTTTTAACAGTGTCATTTTAAACTGAATTTTAAGATAATATTTTTGTACAGTTGTTGACAACTCAAAAGCATCAAAAGGATATACAGTAAAATATCTCACTGTCACCTTTGTACCACAGGACTCCAGCCTACTCTCTGAAGGCAACCTGAAAGACTTTCCAGAGGAGAATTTATAAAAAATATATAGAATTTAAAAATATATATGTGTAGCATATAGTACACACTGTCCTACACCTTGTTTTTTCACTTAACAATATATTTTGGAGGTTGAACAATTTACCTTGGAGACCCCTCATCCATACATATGGAGCTATGCCCTTTTCAATAGCTGTGGACCACTGATGACTGCAGAGCTGACAGATCAACCACTCTGTCTAATAGTTTTAGATTTTTCTAATAAGATGAAATACCATTGCTACCAGACAGACTGAGATCTGAGCTTTGTTGTTAATTAGGCAAAGTAGAAAAAATAACAAAATGTCCTACCCCAAAATTCATTATTTTAAAATTATCTTTTAAAGAGGTATGCTTTTTGTCCTCTATATCTAAGAACTATATTAATATTTTTAGCAATCACGGCCTCAAAACTCCTCTTTTATATATATTGAGATTTTTAAGCTGTTTTTAATATTTCATGGTATTCATCCTTTGTAAAAATTACACTTATATGGCAGAATCTTCCCTATCACATAAAGGGAAGATTGGAAAAAATCAATCTATCAATCAACTGACATATAACACTAGGCCTTACTTAAAAGTAGCAGAAACTATGATTTCTCTCACAATGTTTTACCATAAATTAAAAAATAAAAAGCCATAATGTTCACTTTCAAGACTAAGACAGCTGTATTTTTTTTCAGGTAAACACTGCTCCAATCCAGTGTTCTGTTTATAATACTCAACAATAAAAGATAACATTGAATTCACATTGTTGAAATGCCCAACACCTGCTTATCTTGTATTTTGTGTTAAATCAAGGACATTTTTTGTGTGAGAGATTTTTTGAGTAAGAGTCAAGGATATTCACTTGCAATTTTATTAAAAACCACTATGCCATCCTATATAAGTTAAGATATAAATATTTTCAGTAAATACTTATTGATGACATGCTTTGAAGTGATTATGCTGATGATATGTTATATTTATATAACTTCTGAGGTGCATTATTTCCCAAAAGTCCTGCCCTGTAGAGATAGGTCATGTATGTGTCCCACCATTTTTGTAGAAGAAAAAATGAACCCCAAACAGATATGAAGATTTCCCAGAGACATGCACAGCTAATCTGAAGCACAGCTGGGACAGTTTTCACCTCTTAGGCCATTTTATTTCACAGTTTGGTGCTTTAGAAAGTCCAACCTCAGTATGTGTCATCAAAGCATAATTCGAGACAAAACACAAAAATCAAAAACCCAAACAAATACGACCTAAATACAATGAGATAATATCAACACCAGGTGGGAATAAAAGGAAAATGGAAGAGAGTGTCTGTTGGTGAAGTATAAGACACATAGGATCCAAGTTCCACCTACAGATGATCTGCAACCTCATCCAGAGGAAAGGAGGCTGTCATCCACTTGGAGGAATATCTCCACTCAGCAGAACCCTATGCCAACTTCCTGCCTGTGGTTCCCAAAACATACAGCTAAAGGCCTTAACAGGTAGTCTGCTCTCTGGTAGGAGATCATCTTCGTATTCATCAAAAGATGAATTTTCTGGAAAATTAGCATAATCCTACACAACAAAACTACTAGGCATTTGTACCATCCCATGTCTTCTGTGCTAAATATACCCACAACTACAAATAAAAATAAAGAAAATTTTAAAATGTCAAAAATGTAAGAGCCAATGAGAAGGAACTATTTTCAGATATTTACTGTTTATCCAATATTCTTGATCAAGTGCCTGCTATGTGTTGTCCACTATTCTAGGCACAGGAAGGGCAACAGTGAACAAGACAAGCAAAGTTCTTGTTCTTTGGAATTTGTAATCTTGGTACAGTGAGTGGATGGGGCAGTGGAGGGAACAGAAAACAGGTAAATAAATAAGAAGAAAATTTCAGATAGCACACAAGTAGGCCACGCAGTAGTACTCTAATTGTATGGTCTGAAGGCTGCTAGGGAGGTCATATTTGAGAAAAAAGTTGAATGATACAAAGGAACAAGAGACTTTAGCCAACGAGAGACTGGAGGACAAGCGTTCCAGGCAGATTGAACAGTCAGCAGAAAGGCTTTGAGGTAGGAGTGGACTTGGTATATTCAAGGAACAACCAGAAGGCCAATGTAGCTGAGGAGAGTGAGTAGAAGGAAGAGGTCTGGGACAAGATGGCCAAGGTGTAAGCAAAATCCAGGCCCAGGTAAGACTTCTAGATTTTTTATCTTAAGTTCAATGTGAAGCATAAGAAGATTCGTAAAACAGAGACTGAGATAATCTGATTTATATTTTTAAAACATCACTGTTTGCAAATCGGTAAAAAATAAAGTTACAACTACATGCATATAGAAAATTTCTGCTTATTAAAAATCATAGGTATCAGAGAGCATAGATAAAACATCACCAATAACTTACAACATTCAGCTTGATGAAGAGGAAGAGGCAGTGAATTTGGAGTCAGTAGCCTAGGTTTTAAAGTTGAATCCTATACATATTAGCTATGAGTTACTGAAAGGTTTCTTAATCAGGGTCTCAGTTTTCCCTTCCATAAAATGGGGATTTAAAATTAGCTTTGCCTCCTATTCAGGATTAGAGTGAGAATCCAGTGGGGTGATGGGTGTTGCTAGCATTTGATAAATGGAAACTTGCAAATTCATTCATTTACTATACTGAGCATTTCCCTTTTAGCTAGGTAACTGCAAGCTATTTTAGTTTCAATATTCCTATTAGCCAGTTGCAAAAACCAAAATAAGTTTTGCTTGTTCTCTTTCTCTGGCCACCTTTAGATAAAAATCTCACATAAATGAATCAGGTCAACAAATGTCTATAGCTTGCCTAGCAAACACCAGGTGAGAAACAACTAGAAACAGGAAGAAAAGCTATGATCTTGGATAATCCTTAATTATGAAACAAGTTAATGGCACTGAGAGTAATCAAAAATAAATGTTAATTTTATGATACAAATGAAATGGTGTCTACTAAACTTTTACATTCTAAATCTGAAACACACTGCAACCCATTTCAAGTAAGCCTATGCCATATGTTCTTTCATGTACTCAACAAGCATTTATTGCGTATGCATGATGTCTGGACTGAAGCTGGGTTCTGGGGATATGAAGAAAGGCACGGAAGACCCCAGGTCTCCTCCTCGTGGGGTATGCTCACTAGTGGATTAAAAACCCACAGGAAGACCAGAATGGTGCACATACGTGTCTCGCTGTCATACATCCTAATTCACGGCCATCTTAATTTTTGAGAAGGTGAATTAAAGATATGCTTTGCACACATTCTATAGAACACAGTTCTTAAAAGATTAAGAAACAATTTTTCAAATGGAATGCTCCACATGTATGTTTATTGTAGTACTATTTACAATAGCAAAGACTTGGAACCAACCCAAATGCCCATCAATGACAGACTGGATAAAGAAAATGTGGCACATATACACCATGGAATACTATGCAGCCGTAAAAAAAAATGTGTTCATGTCCTTTGCAGGGACATGGATGAAGCTGGAAACCATCATCCTCACCAAACTAACCTAGGAAGAGAAAACCAAACACCGCATATTCTCACTTATAAGTGGGAGTTGAACAATGAGAACACATGGACACAGGGAGGGGAACACCACACACCAGGGCCTATCGGGGGTGGGGGGCAAGAAGAGGCAGAACATTAGGACAAATACCTAATGCATGTGGGGCTTAAAACCTAGATGACAGGTTAATAGGTGCAGCAAACCACCATGGCACACGTATACCTATGTAACAAACCTGCACGTTCTGCACATGTATCTCAGAACTTAAAGCAAATTAACAACAAAAAAGAAACAATTGTTGAGACACCCAGGAATGATGCTAATGTTCCAATTCAACCACAGACTGCATTTAATAACTCTTTGCACCCCTAATATCCAGCATGTGGTAGTCTCTCAATCATCATTTAATGATTATGAAATACAAAGTGAAGACTTTTTTTCTATCTGCAACTTAAAAAACAAACAAACAAACAAAAACCTCAAAGCCCTACTCTGGAAGAGAGAGGTTCTGTTTCAGACAGACTCTTCCAACAGCCCATATAGTAGTTCTTCAAGGAGCACAGCACTAAGAATAGTGCTACAAAATGGTACCTTATGAGACCATCTAGACGTTAGGAATTATAGCAATGGGCAGCTTATATGTTATCGGACTGTAATGTGAACATTAAAGGTAAAATTCTTAAAGGATTGCAAATTTAAAAAGGATTGAGCTTACTCTATAAGTCATTTAGCTCAGAAATTCAATTCTAGTAATTATCCTAGAGTTTCGGGAAGAACAGAAGAGCTATCTAAATCTTAAACACAAGGTTGGAAAGTTCATGCTTAATCTCATAGGAAATCACTTTATTCTTTGCAACAAGAGATTACATCATCATCTCATTAGCTTGGTTTGTACAGCTGCAATAGGCAACTATGATCACAAAATTACCCACTTTGTGTCCCTTTTAATTTGGCTCAATAGTGTTTTTCTATGTGGTTTCCTTGATCACTTTCTGGGTTTGACTATGTACCCTGGATGAAAGTATATGCACTTTCATTTAACATAACATGGCATCTGTTTTTGAACCTAAGCATGAGATCAATTTAACCTTGACCAAAAATCTGTTACAGATGTCATTTTAAAAGATTTCTTTCTTGCCCAGGCAAAACCAGGAAAATTAACAAATCCTCTGAGATCAAGAAAAATCGACTAAAATATAGGGAAAAGTGAAATGTGAAACAGAGGAGTTTCAAATGAACAAGAGTGTTGGAACGCAAGCTGCCATCAATATCTACCAAATGCTTGTGGGATGCTATGCACGGTTCAGAATGTGTGAAATATAGGTCACACTTAAGCCACTTGCCTGGAGCACACCTAAGAAGAGATCATAGGAGCTTTAGAAGGTTTTTGTAGATTTGGAATTCCAAGAAGTTGAGCCTGACCCCGTGTATTTCTAGGGCTCAGCAGTGCTATCAGTACTGTAATACAGCACCTGTGGCAGAGACTGCTTACCATTCTTATCTTCCTGCTGTCTCGGGCACACACTGGACTTTATTGCCCAGCCTCCTTTGCAATTTGCTGTGGCTATATAATAGAGTGCTGGCCAATGAAGCACAGGCAGAAGTTATTCTATCACATGCAGGCCTGGCCCTAAAAACCCTCTCAAACAATTCTCCATTCTCTCTCCTCCACATTTACTAGTTAGATGTTGACACCCGGAAGTCCTCGGAAGTTGTATGTTGAAGATGGAGTCTCTATTAGCTGGTGTCCCTAAATAACTGCCTAAAGCAGAGTTGTCTCCATCCTTCCCTGTTGCCAACATTAGGCCATACAAGAGTGGAAATACATTTCCACAGTGTTACACCACTGAGATTTAGGGGTTTATTACTTACAGCACCTAGCACTATCTTGACTGTTATATCTCTGCAGGAGGCCTTTCTCCAATACCCAGGCAAACTGTACCCAAGAAAATCCTGTTCCAGAATGTGAAGTTTAACACCTGGGCACATACTTCCCTCCGGATCTTGCTGGGATGGCAGCAGAAGGAAGAAGAGCTAACATTTGGGATACTGTAAACAAATGGACCAATTTTTATTTTCCCACATTTTCTAGGGGGAAAAATAAAACCTCTTCTTGCCTATCACATCCCTCTTAATACTAAAACACTAACACTAATAAAATCATCTATACTGTAAGCATGGGAAGGAACAGACAGCAATTATTTGAATATGTTCAGAGTGCTTTGATCCATTTCCAATATCTTTTACAGTCTGTTCTTTGCATAACTATTCCTGCTGTCTGGAAATTATGGACTTTGGAAACTAGAAAAGGCATAAAAATCAAATCAAATAATCTAGATAAGGAGTAAAGGAACTGTCCCCGGGAGGTGAAGGCACATGTCTGAGGTCAGAGCTCCTAAGCGGTAGATTTGGGATTATAAACTTGGGTTTCTAAATCTGAAGAGAGTGCTTTTCTATGATGCTTCACTTTTTGCATTTCTACAGATAATCTCCAGCCACCAGTCTCTGCCATCCTAATCCACAGGCCCACTGCACCCAAACTGCACTCCAACTGACCACTGCTAAAACCTGGCTCTGGCCGGGATCCTTCCCTCTTCCAAGGACTTCCAGGCTCCCAAGTGCCACAGGATGCCCTCCAAATGCCTTCACCTGGTAATCAAGCCCAATCACCCCCAAATTGCCTTTCCCACTCAAGACTCTCCCTGCTTTTATAAGCTACAAGCTTAGGATGAAACATATGATCAATGAACCGTGAAAGCTGCCAACACACGAAAAGAACTTAGTATAACTACATAAAATGGAGACTAAAGTTACTCTGACACAGGGAGTGATACATGCAATCATCATTGTGCTATGTAGTAATTATGTTTAAATGATTGTAATTAGTATTTCCTTTGCGCAGCTAAAACCCAGTTATTGCTGGGTTTGCTATCAAGAGCGTGGAGAGAAAACTCAGAGGGTGAAATTGCTGTGATGCAGCTCTGAAGATTTCTGTATCCAGTCTTGGGGTGGAATACACAGCCAGCTCCCAACTCTTCTTTAGCAAGAAGTTCTCAGAACAAAGAGTTCCAGGATTGGGATCCATAAAATTCCAAGAGCAGCAGGAAGCTCCAGAGACAGAAAGACCTGGGTTCAAATCATAGCCCTGTAACTCACTAGACAAGTTATTTACGCATTTGACATCCACGAGCCTCAGTTTCCTCCTCTTTCAAATGGTGACAAAAATACCTGCTAGTCATAGCTTGAGGATGTGGAATAAGTAAAACAATGCATGTAATGCACTTGGCACAGGCCCGGTGTACAATATACACTTCATCAATGGCCGGCATTATTACCATCTTCTCCAAGCAGATTTCAATGCAGCCCTCCCACTGGTGAAAATTGGCTGTGTTGATCACTGGCTCACTTCTCCTCCTGAGAATCCTGCCTGTGGCTAAGGCTAGGTTAGAAGCAATGAAAGAACAGCAGTGAGGGAACGAGACAATGCCAATCCTTCTGAAGGACAGGCCTCCATAGGCGTAGTCTCTGGACAGGCGGAAGGCAATAGAAAAGCTGGGGACGCGGAGGAAGGAAGGGAGGATGCCGACAAAGGAAAGGCAGAAAGAAGCTCTAAAGACAGACCCGGCTGCGTGATCACCGCAGCCACAGCTGGCTCCAGCCCTGCTTTCTGCCAAAATTGGGCTTTAACTCTTTTCAAGGCTCCCATCTCCCCAGCCTCACTTGCCGTCCTGAGGATGACGAGGACAAGCCAACAGCTACAGAGAAAGGGGAGTCTGCTCCTAATGTGGCCATGAGAATTCTGAATCTACTTCCTATTCATTCCACATCTTGTCATCAAAAGTTTACCCCACACCAGCTAAGCCCAGACACACTCAAGAAGCCGGGTTCAACAGTGGGGCTGACACAATCTCAGATGTGGTTTGGGTTACATAAGACTTTGTGAAGCGAACTGCTTCTATAGGGAAATAACTTCCAAGTTCTAAACAAGTAACTTGGAAGAGAACCTCTGAGACGTACATGTGCATAGTAAGGATGTAAACTAAGGACAGGCATAGCAAGATAGGTGCAGTAAGGATTTCTGCTGCTCCTTGGGAGGCGTGGTGTTTTATTCACCTATTTGTATTTGGGGCACAGCAGAAAGCAATCAAAAGTCTCCATTGCCACCAGAGGTAATTGCCTAAAAAGCAAACCCATTGCTCTTCTGTATAGAGACTGTGCTGGCTGCCTATTGCTCACTGGATGCTGTTTAAAGTCCTTACCATGCTATTCAAGATTGTTCACAAACTGACTTGATACCTACCTCTCACCTCTAGTCTGCCCCACCTTGCACTTGTCCTAGCCTTTGTCCCTGAGCATACAAAGTCTCTTCATATAGCTAGGCACTTTCACATGCTTACTGCTTCCTCCCCTGAACTGCCTTTCCCACAGGCCTCCTCTCACTCCTTTGTGGCCTAACAAACTCCTACTCATCCTTCAAAACCCAGTTTAAATGTTACCTCCTCACCGAACCATTTAAGTAGAGACTGTACCTTCCACCTCTGGGTCCCAACACTCTTTGGCTTCCCTATTTATCACACATCACAGAAACTATCTGGCTTCTTCATCAGGCAAAGGGTTAGTCCTCTCTGTAACTCTAGCTCTAGTGTAAGGGCCAGTCCTTGTTAGGGCCTCAATTTTTGTTTGTTGAGTGAATTGTTAATGAAATGAGCAACATTATAAAGTATTGGGAAGGACTCAAAACATCAGTTTTGGAACTATCACGGACTTTAGACCTGCTAACGATTTACAACTTTTGTTGTCGTTAATAATTTTTTTTTTTTTTTTTTTTTTTTTTTTTTTTTTTTTTTTTTAAGACGGAGTCTCTCTCTATCACCCAGGCTGGAGTACAGTGGCACGATCTCCGCTCACCGGAACCTCCACCTCCCAAGTACAAGCGATTCTTCTGCCTCAGTCTCCCAAGTAGCTGGGATTACAGGCATGCACCACCACACCTGGCTACTTTTCATATTTTTTAGTAGAAATGGGGTTTTGCCATGTTGACCAGGCTGGTCTTGAACTCCTGACTTCAGGTGATCCGCCCGCCTTGGCCTCCCAAAGTGCTGGGATTACAGGCATGAGGCACCATGCCTGGCCCATTAATCATATATGAATCATTCTCTCAGGACCAAGACTAAAGTTGGATTCAAGCAACCACACCAGGGAAAGGATCATCGGACAGGCTTTTAGTTCCTTCCTGCCAGTCATTACTGCATGAAGTTCCTGTTGGTTTGTGAAAGAGGGGATGGGAATGAGTGGAGTCCCCCTGTTCCTCTCTAAAGAAGAGTTAGGAGTTGGCTCCAAAGGAAGCAGTAAAATCTCTGGGTCCTTCTTTTTTTATGTACCACCGGATACACAAATGGGGCAAGGAGAAAACAATATGGCCATCTCCCCTTGGGCAACACACATTATTCTCCTTTACTGGGCGTGCAGCAGAAATACAAAATGCAGCTTTATTCAGAGGACTGGGGAATACATTCTTGAGGCCAGAGGCTCTGGCAGGAAAATCATCAAACAGCAAGCAACGCCTTTTCATCTGTGGCAGAAGAAGAGTTTTAAGTGATGCAAAAGCCATGTAGTATTTAAGTAATAACATCTTCTCATTCTTCCATTCCATGGCCTTTCTTTGTCTGATGTTACTATTTCTGATCTTAATGAATGTGCCTTTTTTAGTTTTATTTTTGTAATTTTCTTTATATCTCTTTTGAAGTAGACAATATAAATATCAATCTATGAAACATTCTCTTCAATGATGTTCTAAAATATGAGCAGCACTTTACAATATGATACTAGCACATCAGAAATGAACTAAATGATATTTGGAATGAGATTTCTAGATGACTTTTTAAACATCTTGAAGCCAAAAATTTAAATCCCATTGTGTGTGTATGTGTTTGTGTTTTAATGACTTGAGATACAATTCACATAGTTTACCCACTGAAAATGTAGAATTCAATATTTTTGTACATTCACAGGATTATGCAACCATCACTACAAACTAATTTTAGTTTCCCTTCCACTAGCAGAAGCCCCAAATCCATTAGTTTTCACTTCCCCTCTTACTCACCCACAACCCCCAGCCCCAAACAACCACTAATTTGCCTTCTGTCTCTATAGATTTGCCTATTCAGAACATTTATATAAATGAAATTATATAATGTGTAGTCTTTTATGACTGGTTTCTTTCATTTAACATGCTTTTAAGGTTCATCCATGTTGTAGCATGCATCAATGCTTTATTCCTTTTTATAGCCAAATAATATTGCATTGCAAGGATATACCACATTTGATCTATCCATTCATCACTCTGTGGACATTTGGGTGTTTCCACCTTTTGGCTATTATGAATAATGCTGCTATGAACATTTGAGTACAAGATTTTGTGTGGATGTGTGTTTTCATTTCTCTTGGGTATGTACTTAGGAGTATAACAGCTGGGTCATATGGTAACTTAATGTTTAACCTTTTGAGGAACTGCCAAACTGTTTTCCAAAATGGCTGTGTCATTTTGCAACCCTGCAAGTAATGCATGAAAGTTCTCATTTCTCCACATCATGCCACACTTCTTACTGTCTTCCTTTTTTATTATAGCCATCCTAGTAGGTGTGAAGTGGTATTTCATTGTGGATTTGATTTGCATTTCTCTCAAGACTAACAACGTTGAACATCTTTTTTATGTACTTACTAGTCATTTTTGTAGCTTCTTTGGAGAAGTGTCTATTCCGATATTTTGTCCATTTTTAAATTGGGTTATCTTTTTATTATTGAGTTATAAGAGCTCTTTATATATTTTGGATACAAGCCTCTTATCAGATATATGATTTGCAAATATTTTTTCCCATTCTGTGGGTTGAGAGATGATATCATTTGCAGGACAAAAGTTTTTAATTTTGATATAGTCCAGTTTATTTATTTTTTCTTGTCACTTGTATTTTTGATGTTATATATAAAAAATGATTGCCTAATCCAAGGTCACAAAGATTTACTGCCATGTTTTATTCTAAGAGTTTTGTAGGTTTAGCACTTACATTTATGTCTATGATCCATTCTGAGTTAAAATTGTAGCATTTTACTACACAAATTTACTGGTTAGTTATAAACATATCAATAATTTCAAAAGTATTAATTTTAAAATAATCTTTCTTCTTCCCGTCCTCCCTTCAAAAGCTTACTACATGCCTGCCATGTGCAAGCACCATTAGGCATACAAAGATGGGTGAGTCGCTGTCAGTACTTCAAGGAATTTATCATCTAATAGAAAGTTAAAATATCCAACTTCATGAGTAGTGCCATGTGTGAGACAAATGACTTGCTCTAGGCACAGCCAAAATTTCTCCTTCAAACAAGAAATGAGGGAGACAGCAGTTGAAATCAGGGTTGTCATCTCCACTTCGGGATGTATGGCTGTCACAGCGATGGGTGCTCAGAGGACTGAATTCAGGTTGCAGCACTGGGGATGTTGTGGTGGAGGGAAAGGTGCCCATTGCGTTTGTTTGGGATTTAAGAAGATGGAAATGGACAGGGAATACAGCACTGCAGGTAGCTAGAAGCAAATGCAAGAAAGATACAAAGCAGGGAAGCACAAAGAGAATTGTAGGAACAATAATAGATCAACCTCTGTGACCAGTGCAAATGGACAGGGCTGATGAGTTGAATAGAATCATTGCACCCAGACAGAGGGACACCACGTTCTAGGCAAAGGAACTTGAATCACACCCCGTCTTCTGGGAAGAGGCCACCAGTCACGATGAAGCCATGTTTGGGAATGTTAGCCTCCCAGCAGAGTCTACAGTGGCTTAAGGAAGGGCAAGCACTAGAGCTAATCACTCAGATATACAGTCTTCACTTTTTCTTTTTATTCACTCTTTCTTCCTCTTGATACCAAGAAGGAAGTCTATTTCTTCATAGTTAACTTTTTAAAGAAATCATTTGGTCGGGTGCGGTGGCTCACACCTTTAATCCCAGCACTTTGGGAGGCCGAGGTGGGCGGATCACCTGAGGGCAGGAGTTCGAGACCAGCCTGCCCAACATGGCGAAACTCCGTCTCTACTAAAAATACAAAAATTAGCCAGGCATGGTGGCAGACGCCTGTAATCCCAGCTACTCGGGAGGCTGAGGCAGCAGAATCACTTGAACCCGGGAGGCAGAGGTTGCAGCAAGCCGAGATCGTGCCAGTGCACTCCAGCCTAGGCGACAAGAATGAAACTCCATCTCAAAAAAAAAAAATCATTTATAAACTGGGTCCTTAGTAGGCTATTTAAGAAAAAGTCCACTCCTTCGAGTAACCAAAGGGAACATTCAGAACAGGTGAGGCAGAGATTTTGCACACTTCATCATGGGAAGCCAGCCCACCAAGCCTGACAGCCCATTAGAGACAATCAAAAAATGGATTATTAAGGAAATACAATTAGAGCTACTAAATCCTCTTAAATCTAAGCAAAGCCTAATCCAGCATGTAACCCCACAGGCAGGCAATGGGCTAGGCCAGTTTCTCATCTACCACATGAGCAGTCCACATTTAAACCAGTTGTTATATTTTCTTAAATTAATTGATCATTCTTAAAAATCTGTCAAAAATTTGTTCAGGAGGAGAAAGATTAGCCTGAGATTCAAGTCAGGAGAATTTTAATATTTATTAAGGAGCAGATTAATAGGATGAGGGAATTGCCACATGTTGAGGGAAGTGGTTCCAAGTGACAATTCTGCTAAAATAAGTTTCAAACACATTTCTAGGAAGCTTCAAAACAAACTCTGTAAATGCCCTACTGGGTCTGGGTCATATAAGACTATGTATTAGGAGAAAGGAAGTGACAAGGATCGTATAATTTTTAATGAACAGAATATTTACAAAGATGGATGAGCTTGAGAATATTCCAAAGGCAAGATGCTCAAGTGCACACAAGAGCTCCCAGAGTAGACTTTGTAATTGATGTCCAAAGAACAGTTTGAATGGAGACAGTACCCCTACTGTGCTGAGTCCCTCTTTTGAGTAGGAGCCAAGGGCTATTTATTTGGTGAGGATTCAAAAAAAGAGGCAACACTGGGGGCTCATTCTGCTCACCATGAGTCCTGCATATTCACCTTCCATGTTCTCCATCTGTTTTCATCTTTCTAACAGAAGCCTGTTGGGGATACTCAATTCTTGCCTAAGCCCCCACCTAAGCCAGGCCAATCTTCAAACAAAAAGCAGCTTTTTCACTGGAGATCTTTTTCAGAAAAGGAGCGGGTTGAAATGTCCTCACTTGAACTTAAAGGCTTAATGAGTCTTGGTGCCAAACAGCTGGAGACAGGCCAAGTCAGCGTGGCCAATTGTGATTTGGCAGAAGGACAAGGGAGAACCCTACATAGAAAGTCTATCAAATTCTTCCCAGTCTGCTAAGGCCAAAATCAGTAATGGAAAAAGGACCCAAGTTTGCTGAGATTGGAGCGAGCATCTGGGTTAGAGAGAGAGCTCTAGACAAAGAGTGCAAAGACACATTGTGCCCTACCACCTCGGGTCTCCATCTAATCATCTACAGAAGAGGGGTTGGAAGATCTAGGTTCACTGGGGTTGCTCTGAGGACTAAATAAGGGATTGGTTTGTGAATACTGAACAAAGCAATGGTGACCAGTAGGGACCAGTCTAAAGTCATCAATAACTGGGGTGACCATATATCCCAGTTAGCTGAGGTCAGTCCCAGCTTCCACTTGTTCCAGCATCTCATCTGGTTAATACCCCCTTTCGCTCTGAACAGTGTCTCAGTTTGAATGACAGGTTGTATTGTTGCTCTACTAATCAGCCATTGGGTCATACTAATCTCATCTCTTTACCAATGTTTCAGAAAATGATTGCATGTGTACTTTATATTACACAAGGTCTCTAACAATAGCTGTTGGAATGATACACAAACATGAGCTAGACCTAAAACAGTTAGGTGGAATCATGATCAGTTGACTGGCAGTTCCCAGAGATACATATTAATTGTTAAAAGTCTCCAGTCCTTCCTTCTGCAAGCAAGGCAGGCCTTTTCTGAGGTTTTGCTCAAACTGATATCTACTGGGGACATACAATACAAGTCACCTCCACCTTCTTAAAAGTCTTCTTAGCCCTCTTGGTTTCCATGACCTCACAGTCTCCTGGGTTTCCTCTCATCTCTCTGATAGCTCTTTTGTGAGCTTCTCTTTCTCCCACCCATGACCCAGGGGAGACACTTCCTCAAACTGAGACCTCCTTCTGCGGCTCTTTCCTAATGTGGCCTTTCCCTCAGAGAGGCTTCCATATCTCATAGCTTAACCCTGATGTCCGACAATGGCTCACAAATCCAACTTGAGCAAGTTGAATGCATCGTCTCACCTCTAAGAGCCAGGCCCTCATCCCCAACAGCCTACAGGACTCTGGTCCTGGGTGGCTTGTCCATATCCCGAACTCATCCTGCCCAAACTAAAACCATGACCTCTCCAACAAACAGAGGAGCCTTTCTGGCTTGTATCAGGACCCCACTCAACTGAAACACCAAAATTATTTTTTGTCTTTTCTTTCATTCATCACTATACTCTACCAGGTGCTGCTGATTTCTTCAAAATCCTCTTCATTTCCATTGCTCTTGGGAATCAAACCACCAAATCCTTATATGGCTTGCAAGGCCCTGCACAATCTTGCCCCCACTACTTCTCTCCATCCACACTGATCTCATACCATTGCCCCACTGGTTTTCTACCTTTTGGCCAAACAAGTCTACCTGCAATTCCTCCAAGACACAGAGCTTGTTCCAGTCGTAGAGTTTTCAATCATGTTATTCTTTCAGCCCTAGAGTATGTTTCTTCTCAACTTTCATTTCCCTTTCCTCTTTCCTGGTAGAAGAGAATAATTTCTCCTCTTCGTTCAGGTCTCCACCTAAATGTGCTTCTTGAAGGGAATCTGAGATTTATATCCCACACAGTCAGGATTTAGATCTCAAATCAGCTGCCCGCCCCCCTCCCACCACCACCATTACATGATTTGATTGCATAATGCATTCATCTTTACAGTAACTTACCACACTCATAAGTGGGTTCCTATAAAGGTCAGTTGGATAAAGGAAGAGATGTCCTTGCCCTTTCAGGCACCTATCCTCTATATGTGCCAAACACAGCCTACTCATTCCTGACTCCAAACCTTCCCTCCTGCCTTTGTCCCTGTGTAGGATGCTGTGATACTGTGAATTATATTAAGAAATCCATATTTTGGTCTTCATCCCCAGCTCCTGGCACAGAGTCCCTAAAATCCTTGTAATTTCCTGAGCAATAGGAATGCTAGGTGCATTTTTTTACTCTGATATTTAGTCTCTGACCCCAGTTGCTGACGCAGAACTCCTAATCCCTTGGAATTTCCTGGGTGATAGGAGTGTCTTTTGCTCTAATGAGGTGACTCTTGGTAGGCTCCTAGATGGAGGCTGGTTACCAGAAAGACCAAGCTACGATTAGAAGCTTGGAACTTCTAGCCCCACTCCCATCCTCCAGGAAGGGGAGAGAGGCTGGAAATGGAATTAACAACCAATCATGCCTAAGTGACAAAGCCTCCATAAAAATCCCGGTTTCAATCCCTCTGTTTCAAGAGTCTGAAGATATACTGGGTTGCTGGGCGTGTGGAGGTGCTGGGAGGATGGACCAACAAGAAAGGGATGAAAACCCTATTCCCTTGGCCCCACGCCTTCCCCTCTGCATCTTCCATTTGGCTGTTCATGTGTACCCTTTATCAGATCCTTTAGAATAAATCCATAAATACACGGATGTACCCCGGAGTTCTGTGAGCCATTCTGATAAATATTCAAACCCAAGAAGGAGGCCATGAGAGCCTCCAATTTGTAGCCAAGTGGACAGAAGTTGTGGATCACCTGAGGACCTGTTATTTGCAACTGGCATCTAAATGAGGGGTGGGGGCAGTCTTGTGGGACTGAGCCCTTAACCTGTGTAGTCTGTATTATCTCCAGTTAGTGTCGAGATTAAGTTAAACTTTAAGATAACCAGCTGGTATTGGAGAATTGGTCATTATGAGGGATAAAAACCACACATTTTTGTGACCAGAGTGTTATGAAAGTATAAAGAAAGAAAAAACTACTTGTTTTTCTCTATAAAGATGATTTTCCCTTTCCCTCAACCTATTCTTAATAGTCAATTAATATTATATCTCCCCAATTAACTGTCTCCCAAGTCATAACAGTATCCTCATTTAACCTCTTATTAAATCTTGGAGATTAAATCTTTGTTGGTTTTACATTTACTCGTACACTGGTTTACACTGTAACTTAACTGCTCTGTGTGTGTGGGTCCAGTCCCCAAGCACATCATAAAACTTTTGAAGATCATGTCTTACATTCTGTTTTTATGCCTCTTGGTGCCTAATTTGGTGCTATGCAGCACATGGTCGATAGCCAACAATTCCTCCATGTGATAAAATGTCTCCACACAAAGTTACACCATCAACCCTCAACCTGTCCTACAAGACTAGGACACATCCGTGACACACCACATCTCATGCTGAAATCATGACAAGAATCTAAGGCCAGACCTCCTTCTGACAAGCAGCTCATTTATCAGTGATGATAGAATAAGTGTTTGCCAACAGATTTCTTATCTTTGGAAAATCATTTCAGCAACACAGGAACTGAGACAAAAATCCACTAAGACATTCTTTATTGGTCACTTATTTGTAGATTAACATACTCACACTTTCATTTCATGACAATACGTTTGCAAAACAAAACTTTTAAGTTCAGTTCTATGACTCCTAGGAAGATGGAATTTGTAATAGAGAATCTTACACTTGAAGAAAGCAAATACATCCATCCTTTGGTCTCCCAGTCTTTAGGGATGGGTCTGTTGTTTATACAAAGTGTGTGTGTGTGTGTGTGTGTGTGTGTGTGTGTGTGTGTGTGTCAGAAACACAGAGAGAGAGAATAATACTGACTAAGACTGGGAGAAAGTTAAAGGCAGTCATTGATGATCAGGTGGCCTAGGTAGAAATCTTATAACTTGGTCTCAATCTATTCACCAAGTGTTTCTATAGATGGATTATTTGCTACACCAGTGTCCAATGAGTGAAATACAAAGACAAAGGGTCTTCAAGAAAGCTCTCAATCCGGTACAAAGATGGGACAAAGAGGTAGAGCTCTATAATAGCACTAAAGTGGAGTTGTGTATGGGTACTTAGCAGCCAGACAAGAACCTATTAACACTGCCTAGAAGGTTCTGGAACAGCTTCCCAGAGAAGAAAACCACAACAGACTGGATGGATGGGAGAAAATGACATCACCACAGAGGTCAGGGTTATTGTTTTCAAAACAATCACTCTAGTCCCCAAGCTCTGCCAGCCAAAGTTCATTATTCACACATGATCAAGTTTGTAAGGGACCCAAATTTTCTTGCCCAGTTTTTGATCACAAGCTAGATGAGAGAAGCTAGAAAGTATAATCCAAATGCCTTCATCCCGTGGCTTGCTGGCAGCCCAAGGGAGCGAGCCACTGGGTGCACAGTGACACAGAGTTGCAATGACTATGTCATATTCATAATTGACTTTTGGACTATTTCCAAAAACAATAATAAGAACAGCCAGTGGTACAGGGTGCCAAGCAAGTGCCAGATGCTATGCTGAGTGCTTGACTGTATTCTCTCACTGGAATCTCCTAGAAACCTCAAGAAGTAGTAATTTCTCTGTTACATAGACGAACGGGGGAAAGTTAACATTTAAGTGCCTGCTATGTTCCAAACACTGAACAAAGAATTTTATACATATTTTCAATTCATTTTATCCTCAGAACAATCCTATATGGATTTTTACAATTATGATCTGTTTTTATAGATAAAAGTAAACTGGGGGACTCAAAGAGGTTAGGTTACTAGCCTAAGGATACACAGGAGGCAAATCTAGGATCTGCTCCATCTACTAGGTTGAACCCTAGGAAATCACATTATCTGACTATTTTTTGGTCTATTGACACAATTTCATAGGATTTAATGAAGGAATTCCAAAATCCATTCACTTTCCACTATACTCTCTCATAAAAGGGTTTGAACTGGCTTTTGTTAAATATATGTCCTTAGATAGTAACAAAAATGGAAGAAAGGAGTGGGGAAAATGATAAGCAAACCAGAGAATAAGGGAGAGCATATCAGTAAGAATCAAGGTAAGAAAATAAACACAGTCATACACTCACTGAAACTTGGCTTTGCATTTCTCTATGCGCAAGCTACAAATAGCCATGAAGAGTATCTGCATACTGCCATTGCCAGGGAGCATTTGGGAATCTGAAGGTGAGTATGGGGTTGCTCCCACGAGTGGGAAGCACCACTGGCTTGAAGTGAGCAGGGCAGAGGAGGTGAATTATCTGCAATGAGTGGAACTGCTCAGATGCAAAAAGGAATTGTTCTGATGACATCAATAGCATCCCTGTGGAGACACAGGAGCTCATCAATTTCAAAACCTACCTAGGATGTTTGAACAGCTCCACAGGGATCCCATTGACTGGGGCTCCCCTAGACCTCCTGGAAGAAATGGTTAAAGAAACACTAGGAAACTCAGAATGAAGAGATATCAGGACTAATGCCAGGGAAGCAAACATTAACCCCAACCCCTGGAAAGAAAGGTCTGAAGTATGCAGAGACAGACCCTGAGGTTGGACAGAGCTGAAAATGGAGGGGCCTTATTCTAGGAGACAGCAAATGGTTGTGAGGAGAAACTGAACTGGATAGCTCCAAGGTCTCCTGTCCACTCTCAGAGAATTGGTGCCAAGTTATTCAGTAGGGGGTACTATAAATTAAAAGGAGAAAGTACAGACTACTCAGAGGATCACCTGTCTAAGATTTGCTCAAAGAGCTGTCATTGGGAGAGAGGTCTCTCTCGCAACTCCAAGTGCTCGGAGGCAGAAGAGTTGGGAAACGTGGCAGCCACATCAGAAAAATGGCAGCTCCTGGAAGCATCAGCCCAAACCCCTAGAGAGGGAGGTAAAAAGGCTGGGAGGAAGCTCAGAGCAAGGGCAGTTATCACTTGAGGGCTGAGGGAACCGACTGGTAGAGGACAAAGCCTGCTTCTCAGGAGAGAGGCTTTTCTCCGGCAACACTCCCAAGGAAGGAGTGATCTATAGATTTTGGTGGCCTCAGTTTTACCTCACCAAGGTAACTCACTCCATAGTTTAGAGAGGATAGGGATAAAGGAATGGACTCCTGACAGGACAGGTCTGAAAACGTAAGTCCCTCCAAAGCATCCTTCTCTGAACACACCCCTATGTAAGTCTAACCAAGGCCTCAAAGAGACCTAATAAACCTTTCACACCACTCTTAAGCTCACCTTTTCTCCACTAGAAGTTCCAAAGGCTGTCTGTCCTGGTTGGATGGAAGAGTCCCTCAGCGGGCCTGTATTGGTTTTGTTGGTCTAATAGTCATTCCTTCTTCTTTGATAACAGCTTCTTAATTTCCACTTGAGCAACTTTCCTCCCCAACTCTCCAGGAATAGTAGGGCAGTTGTAGGGTAGGGCAGACTGTGGAGAGCGCCCATGCTACGTCCTGGCTCCAAGCAAGGGCAAATCCAGACCTGGCCATTCGGTTAATTCCGAGATGAGCACCAGGCCCAATTCACGTCAATAAAGGGCAGGCACCAGGACTTCTACTGGAATTACTCCAAAAAAGTATCTCTTTTTTCCTGCTGGGATTGCAAAGCTAGTAAAATATAAGCTAAAAGCTAATAGTAGCCAACTTTGTCACCATATGGGAAAACTTACCCAAAGACAAAGTCAATAAAGAAGAAAGCAGAGGCAAGAGATGGATGGATGGATGGATGGATGGATGGATGGATGGATGGATGGATGGACAGACAGACCAGTCAGATAACACAATTCAAGCATGGTTATATAGTTATGTCTGTACCTGGGGTGTGTGTGTGTGTGTGTGTGTGTGTGTGTGATTTACCTCCGTGCTTATTCACATAAACCAATCACATCCCATTTTTGTTTAAACTGGTTTCAGTTGCATTTCTATCACTGACAACAACAAAAATTCTCACTAGCAAACTTCAACTCAACCCCCAACCCGACCACCAAAAAAACCTCATCTTTAAATGTAGACCTAACTCATTTTGACACATCTCTACAAGTAGGAAATGAGGAAAGTGAAAAAAGAATTCTATACCAGTATGAAAAAAAGCTCAACATCACGGATGATTAGAGAAATGCAAATCAAAACCACAATGAGATATCGTCTCACGCCAGTCAGAATAGTGATTATTAAAAAGTCAAACAATAGATGCTGGTGAGGTTGCAGAGAAAAAGGAATGCTTTACACTGTTGGTGGGAACGTAGATTAGTTCAACTACTGTGGTAGATAGTGTGGCGATTCCTCAGAGATCTAGAAGCAGAAATATCATTTGACCCAGCGATCCCATTACTGGGTATATACCCAAAGGAATATAAATCATTCTATTATAAAGATACAGGCACGCATATGTTCATTGCAGCACTATTCACAATAGCGAAGAATGGAATCAATCCAAATGCCCATCAGTGATAGACTGGATAAAGAAAATGTGGTACAGATACACCATGGAATACTATGCAGCCATAAAAAGGAATGAAATTATATCCTTTGCAGAGACATGGATGGAGCTGGAAGCCATAATCCTCAACAAACTAACTCAAGAACAGAAAACCAAACACCACATCTTCTCACTTATAAGGGGGAGCTGAATGATGAGACCACATGGACAATAGGGGGAACAACACACACTGGGGCCTGTCAGTGTGGCAGGGGGAAGTCATTGGGGGAGGGAGAGCATCAGGAAGAATAGCTCATGGATGCTGGGCTTAATACCTGGGTGATGGGTTGATCTATGCAGCAAACCACCATGGCACACATTTACCTATGTAACAAACCTGCATATCCTGCACACGTACCCTGGAACTTAAAATAAAAATTGAAGGTTTTTTTTAAAAAAAAAAAAAAAAAAAAAAAAAAAAAGGATTCTACACCGGGAGATGAGAGTGAAAATGCCATTGATTTTAAACCCGCCTTCCTGATTCTAAATTAAGATTCCCACTAAAGATTTAATACAGTGGACAAGGGAATTAATTTGTCTTCTATTGTTTTCTATAATTCAGTAATTGTGCCTCATCACCAGGAAAAGGGTATTTTCCAGTTACTTTCATTTATACTTTAGAGACAAAATATAAGGAAGCCTGTCCCTTCTCTAGAATGACCCCACCAAAAAAACTGAAATATTTCATAGAATTATCCCTAAACAGGCAACATGAGAGCAGAAGAAACAAAAGAAGGGCTGGAATACCTCTGTCTCCTTTTGATGTGGCGACTAGATGACTTATCTCTACAAGGCTTATCAATTCTTGATTTCAGCATCAAGCAATACCAAAAAGTGAGGGAATCTTTTCGGCCTTCTAAGCCAATTACACCACTTCATGTTCACAAATAGAAATATGTCTTTCATACAGCTCTGGTCAAAAGACATGAGATTCTAAAACACTTAAGAATTCATTTCCTTAAGGTTCTTGCAGTGAATGCTTCAGATCAGATAGAAAATGGTAAGCCACTAGCAGGCTCTTTCTCATCCACATATATCTATGCTTTCAAAGAAATAATCTTTACTATAACTAACTTAAAAATATTGAAGGTTCCCTGTAGAACTAACTCATGTGTGGTCTGTACTTTTCTCAGGGGTTAAAGAAAATCACAGTGGCCATTAATGGTCTTTCTTGTGCAGAGTTCTTACCTGAACTCCCCAGTGACCTCACCCGGAGCCCCCATGCTGAAATATGTCATCTCCCGGGGTGATTTTGATGATCCTCAGTTTCCATCATTCATGCTGCCTGTAGATGCTAGTTTTTTCTCTCTTCTGCCTCTGTAGTCTTTAGTCCAGGTCCACCTCTCTCATTTGTCTCCATCTGGTCTCAACCACTCTATCGAAAACTGAAACCCCTCCATCCTCCACTGACCCCAGCCTCCTAACCTTTCAGCTCTCTCATGCCCTCACTTGTATTGAACCTGCCTTCTTAACCCAAGTGGGACTACCAGGCCCTTGATGGTTATACTCTTCTAGTGCCTGTCTGTCTCTTAAGTCTTCACTGGAAGCTCCTTCCTTGGGCAGGTGTGCCCAACATAGTCATATTGGTGATTCTGTCCGAACATTGGCCAGGGCAGGACATCTGACCTTGCCAAAGGTGAACACTAAGATAAAGCAAGAATTGGAAAATAATATAAAAGCAAACAGAAATATGAACCATCTACCTATATGAACACAAAAGCTCTAAAATCTTTTTTCAGTGGACTGACTTTAAAATCTTAGATGTTCTATATTCTGGTTGTATTTGTAAAACAGGCCTGCTATTATCACTTACCTCATTCGTTATCTATAGAGAATTTTTTAGCGATTAAGGGTAATGTAAAAGTATGGATGCCAATGGATTGGTGATACTCAAAAAGAGGAGGGAGAAAAGCTCTTTTCTTCAAAAAGACACAAGAATGACAGCTAACAAATGTAGAAAGAACAGAATTAGAAAGTCACCATTGTGCAACTCTCAGTGTAATGACTGATTCAGGAAAGTATCATCAATAGATACTAAAGCCATTGGATGAAAGATCTGGGGATATCAAGTTATTTCCACAACTTGAGTATCTTTCACAGATGACAAAATAGAAAAGGCATATTAACAATGCATAAATCTTGGGGACATCACCTTGACCAATTATCACTCATAACATTACCAGCAATGGGACAAACCCTACTATGTCCCATGCCAAGAACATCACCCACGTGGTCTTGCTATAACTGTCTAACCTGGATTTAACCATGAGGAAGAAATTAGAAAAATCCAAATGTGAGATATATTCTACAAAATAGCTGGTCTGGAATCTTCAAACATGTTAATGTCATGAAAGACACAAAAGACTAGATGGATTGTTCTAGGTTTAGGGAAGCTAAAGAGGCATGGTAACCAAATGCAATGTGTGACCTTTGATTAGATCTTAGATTTTTTTTTTCTTTTTTGAGATGGAGTCTTGTTCTGTTGCCAGGCTAGAGTGCAGTGGCACAATCTCAGCTCACTGCAATCTCCGCCTCCCGGGTTCAAGAGATTCTCCTGCCTCAGCCTCCCGAGTAGCTGGGACTAGAGGCATGCGCCACCACGCCCAGCTAATTTTTGTATTTTTAGTAGAGACAGGGTTTTGCCATGTTGGCCAGGATGGACTCGATCTCTTGACCTCATGATCCCCCCACCTTGCCCTTCCAAAGTGCTAGAATTATAGGCGTGAGCCATCGCTCCCGGCCAGATCCTAGATTTTTAAAAAATCAGTATAAAGGATATTACTGGGGATACTAGCAACATTTAATTCTGGACTATGCTTTAAACGTTACTATATTATTGCTAAATGCCTTGAATGGTTACGGAGGATAATGTTCCTATATTTACAAGATCCACCCTGCAACATTTAGGAGTCAAGTTTCATGATGTTTGCATCTTACATTCAAATGGTTCAGGGAAAAAGAGGCATATATACACATGAAGAGATAAAGCAAATATGGCAAAATGATAATAATTAGTATAGTGAGGTGCAGGGTATATGGATATTTATTATATTATTCTTGTAACTTTTCTATAAATTTGAAATTGTCCAAAATAAAAAGGTGGGGGAGAAAACTTGTAAAGAGACTCCTGGGAAAACCTTTTGTAAAATGTTATTTAATTTACCCAAATAGCATTTTGCACTGCCCAAACTCAATTTCTTAACTTTACAAGGATAAACAATTTACATCTAAAATTAATTCCACAGTCCTTTAGAACTGGCAAAGTTTCTCTGTAAAGGACCAGATAGTAAACACTTTAGGCTTTGTGAGCCACATATAGACTCTTGTTTAATTTAGTTTGGTTTACAATCCTTTAAAAACATAAAACACATTCTTAGCAAGAAGGCCAGTTAAAAAAAAAAAAAGGCCAAGGGCCATAATTTGCCAGCCCCTGATCCTATAGACTCTTATCTAAATAATAAAATCAGAGTCAGGAACACAAGTCAGAAAGTTTCTTTTCTGGAGTTATTTCAAAACAGGCCGGTGTATGTGCAGGGAAGTAGAGAATATCATCTGCTAATGACTCCAACCTGGGAGTAGCTTCTTTAAAGACTAACTCTCTGCAGCCCTCCTTTTTGACTCGTAAGTCATCAAGGACACTGTGCCGTATATGATTGATATTTCTAACAGCATAACATTTGTCACATATTTGTGGCTCTGTCACACTTTGACCCCAGCCTCTTATTAAATACTCAGAAGAGGGTTCACACCATTTAAGCATTTAACCTCTGAAACTTCAACTACACACACACTTGGCAAAAACAACAGAGGAAGAGAGACATGAGTATGGCAAAAACACATCTACTGCCATTCCACTGGGCACAGGCACTCTATTTTATACTTGCTATTACTCTAAGTTATACATTTATGTATTAGTATTCCGGCATAGGAGTTGCATATTCAAAGCCATATGGAGTAAGAGATGTCCCAGGGTGATTTTGAGGGTATTCCATTTCCATCGTACATGCTGTATGTAGGTGCTCGTCTTTTCTCTCTCCTGTCTCTGTAGTCTTTAATCCAGGTCCACTATTCTCGTTTGTCTCCATCTGGTCTTGACTGCTCTATCAAAAACTGAAACTCCTACATCCTCCACTGACCACAGCCTCCGACCCTTTCAGCTCTCTTGCCCTCACTTTTATTGACGCTGCCTTCTTAGCCCAAGTGGAACCACCAGGCCCTTGATGCTTACATTTTTCTAAGACCACCAACCACATGCAGTCCTTCTTTGTCCTCTGCCCAGCTGAGACTCAGTGGTTCACCCTCTGCACTGCCACCTTCCCCAAACTTAGGTCTGCAGGCACTAATGCCCTCTCCTCTCTCCACCTGCCAATCTCTTTCTTTTCTCTCCCATTAAAATCCCAATTCTAGAACAGGGCAGTGATTAAGAGCAAGAGCTAAGGGATCAGACCTCCTAAACTTAATTTTTTTTTTTTTTGAGACGAAGTTTCGCTCTTGTTGCCCAGGCTGGAGTACAGTAGCACGATCCCAGCTCACTGCAACCTCCGCCTCCCAGGTTCAAGCAATTCTCCTGCTTCAGCCTCCCGAGTAGCTGGGATTACAGGCATCCGCCACCAAGCCCAGCTAATTTTTTGTATTTTTAGTACAGATGGGATTTCACCATGTTGACCAGGCTGGTCTTGAACTCCTGACCTCAGGTGACCCATCTGCCCCTGCCTCCCAAAGTGCTGGGATTACAGGCGTGAGCCACCGTGCCCGGCCAAACTTAAATACTTTTTATCTGTATGATCTTAGCCAAGTTATTTAATCCTTTGTACCTCAGTTACTTTCTCTGTAAAATAGGTATAATAATATTCCTTAGAGACCACAGCTAAGTTTGAAACCAGGCTGGTCAGGGGAAACCAGACCCCAGGACCAGAAGGTATCCTTCTGTTTGATGAAAATGATGAAGCTTTTTTTTTTTTCTTTAGACTCCTACAACAACTCAGGAAATTTTTAGTGAACAAAGATGCTGGTGTCTCTACACAGTTGCTACTAACATTTAGAGTGGATTCAACTCAGACAAAAAGATGAGCATTTGTTGAACAAAAGAAAGAATTCAACAATGCTGCTCATGTATTTGCCAACTGGGATAACACTGTTCCAAGATACCAACTGGGCTTCTATTTTGAATAACACAAAACTGGAAAGCATCAAATAATTTTTTAAAGCCTATATACTATAAAAAGCCCAATTCTAAGAAGAGCCAAACTGCTTAGTTTTCAAAATTTGAAATTGTAGAGAGTCCTCATATTTCTTAATGTTTCTGTGGTGTGGGGTAGCTATGAATTAGACTCCTAATCACTGGCATCCACTAAACTCTCTCCAGTTCTAGAGAGTGGTACAGTCTTAGGCATTCTAATCTAATCTCCAAAGACAGGTGTTTGACACCTGTGTGGCTCCACTGTCTGGGAGCCTTCAACTTCTAAAATCCTCCATGCTGAGTGTTCCAGCTTTTGGCCCCCACCATCAAACGATCCCACATTTTCAACAGAGCAAGTCCCCCTTTTTGCTAGATTGGCCTTGGGATACAAGTCCCAGAAAATACACCTGCTAATCTCAGTCTGTAGCAGCCTAATAGTCTCAACTTACACAAAACCTAGCCATAAGGGTGAGGAAGAAAACTCTTCCTCCCCTGTCCCCAGTCACCATTGCATGCAGCTCCTGGGTCATGGTTTTGGTTCTCATTGCTCTGCAAGTTCCATGCCTAGAAATTTGTGTGCATTTGGTTTCTCTGGCTCCTGACCCAGCTTTCTCTTGAAGGACCTAGCAGAGGTTCACGCTACTGGCTTTCCTTGCCTCTGGCCTCCTATGTGGTTCATTCCACTTTAGCAAACTCTTTGCTGGGCCTGCTAGCTAGAGTCCCACTGGGGAAACGAGAGCTTGATCCCTAGTCCTCAGACTCCAAAGCTCGTGCTCCTTCAAATACACCAGTGGGTCTAATCCCCTGTGATTAGAGGACTTAGACAATTTCATCCTACCTACCTGGGCATGAGAATATAGTGGAGAAGTGGATGCCTACAAGAATCTCTGGAGCAAATGTTAGGTAAACAAAAATTGGACCAAAGACCCACTTCAATTGAACCAACATGGTCTGCATGAATTAGATCAGATTTTGGCTAGTCTGTTAATATCAGGAGAGGGCTAAGCCCAGAATCATGGGAAAAGCAAGTGGTAGAACAGAGAGAAAGAGTTCAGAGCCTGACTGGCTTGCATCCACTGAGCTTGCATCCACTGAAGTAACTGCAGCTTACCTAAGAGTTAAGCTCTGATTTAAATGTAATAATGAGAAAAGAGGTGGTGAGGGATACACGAGTAGGGTGGAGAGACTTCGTAGGAAAGAGAATATGGAAACATCAAATAGAAGATACACATTTTTCTTTGAAGAAAGAAGAGCAGTGGGGAGGCAGAAAAAAATGCTGACAGGAGCTGTGTTGAGAGGTTCAACAAAATAGTCAACATTTGTACAGTGCTGCATAATCTTTGAAAGTGCCTCACTCACTCTATCCTTTTGAAGCTCATAAAAAGCCTACAAAATAGAGTTATACATTTTTTATTATGATTTTAGAAAAAAATGAGACTTGGGGTGATTAAATGATTTAGGGGTAAAGTAAGAACATCAATCTCTAGTCCACAGGCTCCAAACCCACATTCCTTCCGTGTCATCATTGGATCCCAAGCAATATTCTGAAAGTTGCCAAAAACAGGAGTTTATTCTATGTGATTCCACTGAAATCAAGTATAAGAGAAGGCAAAATAGATGCTACTGTGACAGAGATCAGAACAGTGCTTGTCTCCAGGGGCTTGAGATTGAGTGAGAAGGGGCATGAGGAAACTTTTTGTTTCATATCTTGATTAGGTTACATACATGTACACATCTTTCAATACCCATTAGATTGTACAGTTAGGAGCTGTGTGTTTCATTGTATGTACATTTCACCTCAATAAAACAAAAATCAGTATTGAAATCACAAAACCTGTTAAATAAATGCAAATTTTGAAATCTTGAAATTTACGTCTATCCATAAATCTTGAAATATATGTCTTTATAAGTACGAAGGCTCTGCTTATTTTGTAGCTAGAGCTACTTCACAGGAGCCCTGAATTCTTTAAAACACAAAAATTAAACACTGTAGTTATTGTTCACATTTAAATTTTGCCAACAGCACAGATTAAACATATTTGAAATACACCAGTGAAACAGGCAAAGTGAGGAGCATTACCCGGCATGTTTTAAGATGTTGTAAGTATATAGAAGCACTGTTTTATTTTGGCACAAGCTGCTTTTGTTTGGGATTTAAAAGGGGAGAAAAGTTTTACTTTTACCACAATTAGGTCCACCCTTACAATTACATGGGCTCAAATTGATGCACAGTGAAAGATTATTGGAGCTGAACAGCAGCTACCAGATGCTCTTTCTCTGTCTTGTTTGCAATTGCCACAGTCCCCACCACTCCCTACTGGCACACCAAGGCTCCCACACCGACTTGTGTTTCTTGTCTAGCCCAGGGATTTTTTGAGTTTCAGATTCAAACTGTGAATAAATTCAAAACAAAACACTAGAAGTCTTACAGCCAAACTGGATAGTATTAATGATGTTTTTTGAATAAAACCAACTGAATATAGGCTATACTTACTCGCAGAGGAGGATTCCATTTTCTAAACCTGTCCGAAAATCTTTATCACCAAAACTTCTGCCAGTTACTTGCTGCAAAAAAGAAAAGAAAAAGAGCACATAAGTTTTTCTTTTTTAATCAAGAAGTCCAATCATATATATATGTGTGTGTGTATGTGTGTGTACATATATATAACTATGTATGTGTATATATGTATGTTTATGTGTATGTACGTATATGTATGTATGTGTATATATGTATGTGTATGTGTACGTATGTATATATATGTATGTGTATATATATGTATGTGTGTATATATATAATTATATATATATAATTTTTTTTCAATAATCTTGAAAAAAACGGGTGGCATTCCAAGAATGGGGAAAATCTGTTAGGCCTGAATTTCCTTCCCATGTGTAGCTTTGCCTAGATCAGCTAAAGTTAAATTTAGACCATTTCTTTGAAGCCTTTTTTTCTATTTACTACCTTAAACAATATCTACCCTTCCTGACAAGAATTTCTTACTTTTGGGGGTTTGGGCACAATAAGTCAAGGCCACAGTCTCTTTCATCCAGAGGATCCACCCCATGCACACTTTCAAAAAAGCCTGGGGAAAGCACACCTGAGGATAAAGTCCTTATTTACTGAAACCTCCAGGGACTGAGGGAGAAGAGGATATGGATGTCTAATCTCAAGGGACTAACATCAAGATGGGAAGATTAAAGCCAATATCCATTAATAATATGGCATAAAAGAGAAAAAATTAAAAGCTGGGAAAGAATAATTGTCTGACAGCACAGGATTGATAGCCACTCTTGGTGCCTCTGGCTCTCAGCAGCCCTGTGGCCTAGGCACCAGGGAGACATTTGTTCATGTGTTCATTCAGGAAATATGTATTGAGCACCTAAAATATACCAGGTAAGTATACAGGCATCCCTCAATATCCATGGGGGAATGGTTTCAAAACCCATCTCGGCTACCAAAATCTGTGAATGCTCAAGTCTCTGATAAAAAATGTGTAGTATTTGCATATAACCTATGCACATCTTCCAGTACACATAGAATCATCTCCAGATTACACTGCATAATATAATATAAATGCTATATAAACAGTTGTTACACTGTATTGTTTAGGAAATAATGACAACAAAAACAGATGCTTTTTTTTTTTTTAATATTTTTGGTCCACAGTTAGTTGAACCCACAAATGTAGAACTCATGGATACGGAAGCCTGACTTGACTATAAACCCTAAAGCAACCTCTAAAATAGCAAAATAAAGTTATAGCTAACAAACCAAGAAAGGAGATAAAATTGATCATAAAAAATACTAACAATTTAAAAAGCAACAAAAAAGGGAGAGGGGAACAAAGAACAGAAGGAGCAAATAGAAAAACAATATATTATAGACTTAAACCTGACCATGTCAATACTTACCTTAAATATAAATGGTTTAAACATCCCCAATTAAAAGACAGAGATTGTCAGAATGGCTAAAAAAGCAGGATCCAACAACTATGTACTGTCTACAGAAATGCACTTTAAATATAAAGACACAAAAAAGTTAAATAAAAGAATAAAATAAGATATACCATGATAACACTAATCAAAAGAAAGCTGGATTAACCATATATATATGGTTATATGTAAATCATTGTTACACTGTATTGTTTAGGAAATAATTTTTTTCCAGGAAAGTCTGATATAACTATATATCAGACAAAGAAACTTTCAGAAGAAAAATAACAACAGAAATAAAATCATTTGATAATGATAAAGAGGTTCACTAATCAGGAAGATGCAAGAATCCTAAACATTCATACACCTAATTAAAAAGCTTCAAAATATGCAAGCCAAAACAGATAGAACTATACAGAGAAATGGACATATCCACAAATAGATTCAGAGATTTATATATCTCTCTTCAATAATTGACAGGACAAGTAGAGAGAAAAATCAATAACGCTATAGAAGACTTGACCAACACTATCTACCAAATAGACCTAAATGACATTTCTAGAATATTCCACCCTAAAACTGCAGAATGTACATTTTTTTAAGTTCACAGTGAGCATTTATGAAGACAGTCCAAATTCTGAGTCAGAATGCAAATCTCAATACACTTAAAAGAATTCATGGGAGCCAAAAAGAAAGGGAGAAAGTCCCCCTCCCCCTCCCCCTCCCCTTCTCCCTCTGGGCTCCCTCTCTTGTGGAGCCTCTCCCTCTTTCTACGGTCTCCCTCTCTTGCGGAGCCTGGACTGTACTGCCATGATCTCGGCTCGCTGCAACCTCCCTGCCTCGGGCTCCGGTGATTCTCCTGCCTCGGCCTGCCCAGTGCCTGGGATTCCAGGCACACACCGCCACTCCTGACTGGTTTTTGTATTTTTGGTGGAGACGGGGTTTCGCCATGTTGACCGGACTGGTCTCCAGCTCCTGGCCTCGGGTGATCTGCCCGCCTCGGCCTCCTGAGGTGCTAGGATTGCAGACGGAGTCTCGCTCACTCAATGCTCAATGTTGCCCAGGCTGGAGTGCAGTGGCGTGATCTCGGCTGGCTACAACCTCCACCTCCCAGCCGCCTGCCTTGGCCTCCCAAAGTGCTAAGATTACAGCCTCTGCCTGCCCGCCACCCCGTCTAGGAAGTGAGCAGCATCTCTGCCTGGCCGCCCATCGTCTGGGATGTGAGGAGCCCCTCTGCCCGGCCGCCCCGTCTGGGACGTGAGGAGTGCCTCTGCCCGGCTGCCCCATCTGGGAGGAAGTGAGGAGCGCCTCTGCCCGGCTGCCCCGAATGGGAAGTGAGGAGCGCTTCTGCCTGGCCGCCCCGTCTGGGAGGAAGTGAGGAGCGCCTCTGCCCGGCTGCCCCGAATGGGAAGTGAGGAGCGCCTCTGCCTGGCCGCCCCCATCTGGGAAGTGAGGAGCACCTCTGCCCAATCGCCACCCCATCTAGGAAGTGAGGAGCGTCTCTGCCTGGCCGCCCCGTCTGGGAAGTGAGGAGCACCTCTGCCCAATCGCCACCCCATCTAGGAAGTGAGGAGCGTCTCTGCCTGACCGCTCATCGTCTGGGATGTGAGGAGCGCCTCTACCCGGCCGCCCAGTATGGGATGTGAGGAGCCCCTCTGCCTGGCCACTCTGTCTGGGAAGTGAGGAGCGCCTCTGCCCGGTCGCCACCCCATCTAGGAAGTGAGGGGCACCTCTGCCCGGCCGCCCTTCATCTGGGAGGTGGGGAGCGCCTCTGCCCGGCTGCCCTGTCGGGGAAGTGGGCACCTCTGCCCGGCTGCCCCGTCTGGGAGGTGAGGAGCACCTCTGCCTGGCTGCCCCGTCTGGGAGGTGGGGAGCGCCTCTGCCCAGCCACCCATCATCTAGGAGGTGAGGAGCGCCTCTGCCCGGCCGCCCCATCTGGGAAGTTGGGGGCGCCTCTGCCTGGCCACTCTTCGTCTGGGATGTGGGGAGCACCTCTGCCCGGCCGCCCCGTCTGGGAGGTGGGGAGCGCCTCTGCCCAGCCGCCCCATCTGGGAGGTGAGGAGCGCCTCTGTCCGGCCACCACCCTGTCTGGGAAGTGAGGTGCACCTCTGCCCAGCCGCCCCGTCTGGGAAGTGAGGTGCACCTCTGCCCAGCCGCCCCGTCTGGGAAGTGAGGAGCACCTCTGCCCGGCCGCCCCGTCTGGGAAGTGAGGAGTGCCTCTGCCCGGCCGCCCCGTCTGGGAAGTGAGGAGCGCCTCTGCCTGGCCGCCCCGTCTGGGAAGTGAGAAGTGCCTCTGCCCGGCCGCCCTGTCTGGGAAGTGAGGAGCGCCTCTGCCAGGCCACCCCATCTGGGAAGTGTACCCAACAGCTCCGAAGAGACAGCGATCATCGAGAACGGGCCGTGATAACGATGGCGGTTTTGTCAAAAAGAAAAGGGGGAAATGTGGGGAAAAGAAAGAGAGATCAGATTGTTACTGTGTCTGTGTAGGAAGAAGTAGACATAGGAGACTCCATTTTGTTCTGTACCAAGAAAAATTATTCTGCCTTGGGATGCTGTTAATCTATAACCTTACCCCCAACCCCGTGCTCTCTGAAACATGTGCTGTGTCAACTCAGGGTTAAATGGTTTAAGGGCAGTGCAAGATGTGCTTTGTTAAACAGATGCTTGAAGACAGCATGCTCCTTAAGAGTCATCACCACTCCCTAACCTCAAGCACCCAGGGACACAAACAGGGCCGAAGGCTGCAGGGTCCTCTGCCTAGGAAAACCAGAGACCTTTGTTCTCATGTTTATCTGCTGACCTTCTCTCCACTATTATCCTATGACCCTGCCACATCCCCCTCTCTGAGAAACACCCAAGAATGATCAATAAATTAAAAAAAAAAAAAAAAGAAAGGGAGAAAGAAAGAAAAAAAAATAGCAGCAGAGCCTACAGCTGACTCTCCAACAACACAGGTTTGAACTGTGTGGGTCCACTTACGCATGGATTAAAAGTGACACTGAGTGTGCTTGCCTTTCCTGCCTCTCTTTCTATTTGCTCCATCTCTTCTGTCTCTGCCACCCCTGAGACAGCGAGACCAACCCCTCCTCCTCCTCAGTCTACCCCATATGAAGATGAGGATGAATACCTTTATGATAATCCACTTCCCCTTAATGAATAGTAAGTAGATTTTCTGTCCCTTATGATTTTTAATAACATTTTTTCTCTAGCTTACTTTATTAAAAGAGTACAGTATATAATATATATGACATATACAATATTTGTTAATTGACTATGTTATTGATAAGGCTTCTGATCAACAGTAGACTGCTAGTAAAGTTTTTGTGGACTCAAAATTTCACGTGAATTTTCTACTGAATGGGGAGTTGATGCTCTGAACCTTGCATTGTTCAAGGGTCAACTATATATATATTTTTTCAAGTGCCCATGTAACTCTCACTAGATAACTCATAGTCTTGGAAATAAAATGAACTACATAAATTTAAAAAATAAAAAAATAAAAAAAAGAATTCATACAAAATATGTTATCTGATTGCAATGGAATTAAATTCTAAGCTAATAACAGAAATATCACTGGAAAATCCCCAAATATTTTTAAACTAAATAACATAATTCTTAATAACCCACTGATCAAAGAAGAAATCAAAAAGAAATTACAATGTATTTTGTAGTGAAAGAATATGACAATATCAAAATGTATGGAAAGACACTAAGGCAATATTTAGGGTAAAGAAATGCCCAAAATGCCCATATCAGAAAAGATCATCTCAAATCAATGAATTGTGCTTTATCTCATCAAAATAAGGCCAAATTAAGTGAAGAAAGGGAGAAAACTCAGGAGTGAAATCAATCAGATACAAAACTGAAAAACAATAGGGAAAAATCAAAGAAACCAAAAGCTGGTGGGGGGTTTTGTGAGATCAATAAAATTTAGAAACCTTTGGCTACATTAGTAAACTCTTGGCCAATAAAATTAGTAACCCTTTTGTTTTTAGTCAAAAAAGAAAGAAGGCAGAAATTACTGATATCAAGAATGACAGCAATGACATTATTACAGATACTATAGATACTAAAAGGATAACAAGAAAAATTATAAATAAATTTGTACCAATAACTTTGTCAACTTAGATGAACTTGATAAATCCCTTGACACGAACAGCCATAGTTCACTCAACAAAGACATAGAAAGATACCCTTCTCACAAAGAAAATGTCAGGCCCAGAAGGCTTACCTAATAAACATATCAAATATTTAAGGAAGAAATAAGGCAATTCTACACAAACTCTTCCAGATAATTGAAAAGGAAAGAATAGTTCCCAATTCATTTTAATAGGTTAGTATTACCCTGATATCGAAACCAGACAGATATTATAAGACACATACACAGAAAATATGCCAAAATGGTATTTCTTCACAATGGAATCATATATGACTTTTACTTTACTTTTTAAATTTTTCAATATTTTCCTAAAACTTTCTACAATATATATTACTTTAACCATCAGAAAAATCAAACAAGACTTTTTGTTACAAAAAAAATCTAAAGAAACTAAATGGTCTCAATTTTTCCTTATAAACCAAAGTTTAAATTCTATCATAAAACATGCTCATTAACCACTCCCACTATGTAATGTTACAAACAATTATTTTGTTAGTATCCTCTCATTCTTATTTGAGGGAGGGTAAGAAAATGAATTTTAAAAAGTCATTCTTAACAGTTTATGAATATCGAGTTTTCCCAAAATAAAGAAATTAAGAAAGATCCCATTTAAAAAGCTAATATTTTAAACATAGACTTTAAACATATTGGCATTTTTTTCCCAGAATCTGTCCATGATTTTTCTGCCACTGATGTGTCATCTGTCAGAATGATTTACATTTTGGAAACATCACTAAGCCTCTCTATAATACTAACTTTGTTCACCAAGAAGTGATTGGAAAGGTTCTAAAACATTTTTTCATACGTCTTTACATTTTTGTCAAAAGCATTATGTTCTAGTGAAAACAGTGCCAACATTGACAGCCCAACAAAGTTTAGCTACATTTATTTCAGAATCTCTGGTTCAGTTTACCTAGGCCTTTCTCCATGTATTGAGCAATGATGATGAGCAGTATCTAGAGACAGAACCACAGATGAACTGTGGCCACTGTGTGCAGGAAGCTCACCGATTGCTGAGAAAAGCAATCTAAACTCTTATGATAAATACAAGATAACATAACTATTAAGAATCTATAGAAAAAAAAAAAAAGCACTTTGGGAGGCCAAGGCGGGCAGATCAGGAGGTCAGGAGATTGAGACCATCCTGGCTAACACGGTGAAACCCCGTCTCTACTAAAAATACAAAAAATTAGCCGGGCGTGGTGGCAGGTGCCTGTAGTCCCAGCTACTAGGGAGGCAGGAGAATGGCGTGAACCCAGGAGGTGGAGCTTGCAGTGAGCCGAGATCACACCACTGCACTCCAGCCTGGGCGACAGAGCGAGACTCCGTCTCAAAAAAAAAAAAAAAAAAAAAAAGAATATAAAAAAATTGGTGCCCCACATACAACCTAAATTGTTCATGTACCACTTAAAATTATCTTAGTATGTAATGCATAGCCACTGAAAATTTTCAAGTAGAGGTTGATACAATAATCTAAAAGTCAGTCTGCTAATCAAAAGTCCCCCAAGATGTAGTCTGATCAAATTCAATTTCTTAGACCCAATTCTGGGAATAGGCACCATGTGTTTGCAGGAAGATGCTAGTTTCCACCTCTGTTCCTCCTCCTCTGCTCTCTGTTGTCCCTCTCCCATGCCCATTAGGACCGAGCACGGTCTTCACACTGCTCTCCACCGATTCAAATGCCATCCATTCCATCTATTTAGGATAGATGCACTTGGATCTTTGTTAGGAGGATCAACAGCTGTACAGACTGCAGAAATTCAATAAGGACCAAGCCACTGAAAATTTGGCCCTTAGACCAGTAGCAGCAGCATCTTCACCTGCAATTCATGTTAGAAACACAGATTCTCGGCCGGGCGTGGTGGCTCACACCTGTAATCCCAGCACTTTGGGAGTCCGAGGCGGGTGGATCACGAGGTCAAGAGTTCAAGACCAGCCTGGCCAACATGGTGAAACCCCATCTCTACTAAAAATACAATATATATATGTACGTGTGTATATATATATGTGTGTGTGTGTGTGTGTGTGTGTATGTATGTGTGTGTGTGTATATATATATATCAGCTGGGCGTGGTAGCATGCATCTGTAATCCCAGCTACTTGGGAAGCTGAGGGAGGAGAATCACTTGAACCCAGGAGGCAGGGGTTGCAGTGAGCCGAGATCACACCACTGCACTCCAGCCTGGGCAACAGAGCAAAACTCTGTCTCTGTCTCAAAATAAAAAAGAAAAAAAGAAAGAAAGAGACATAGATTCTTAGTGCTCCCATCCCCTCTAAGAACTACTAAATCATAACTGGCATCTTAAAAAGATCCCCATGTGATTCCTATGCACAGTACATTTCACAAAGCCCTCACCTCGTATACTAAACTAAGCCAGCAGTTCAGAACCACAGAGGGAAGACCTTCCACTGGAGTCAGGATTTGGGATGGCCTGTCTCAACTACCCCTCTCAGCAACATCTTTATAATATGTTTACAATATCACACATTCTATATACTAACTATAAAGACTGCTAATTCCTGTTCCCCTCATGACAGCATAAGCCATTGCTATAAACAGCAAAACAGCTGCCAAGAATCAACCACCAGTACCAACAGTCCATTTGCAGGGTACATAAAAAGTGACTGCCTTCCCTTATTACTGTGCCACCTGGATCCTGACTGACGAAGGACTCTCAGTAACTTTCCAGACAAGGCACTGGGCAAACCATCAGCTCATGATCACTCTCCAAAGACACAAGGGCAGGATGGGAAGCTTAGGAGAACGGGAAGCTTAGCAGAGCTCTTAAAAAGAGCCCGAGATGGAAGTGATGAAGAGAGAGCCCAGGTTCAGAAGCATTCAGGGGCCAGTAGGGGAAAAGCTGCATGCAATGTCAGGAGCACTTCATCAGTCCCCCAAATCCTGCTCTCTCATCCTCTTGATCCTTGCCCATTGATCACTTAATCCTTACAGCTCTATCTTTGCAGCTGTTTAGCCAAAATCTTAAGAGTTATGCTTGACCTCTATCTTTCCACACCTAACCACACCTATCAACAAATCCTGTTGATTCTCCCTTCAGAACTTAGCCAGAATCATTGCTTCTCACTGCCTGCATTCTATTGTCTTTTTCCAAGCCACTGTCATCTTACACCTACATAGGTCAAGGGTCTCCTAACTGGTCTTGCTGCTTCTACCCTTGCCTCCCTTCCATCTATTCTCAAGCCAGCAGCCAGGGTAATCCTGTAAAATTAAATCATGCTACCATTCCACTCAGACCCTCGCTCCCACTCCCATAGCTCCCCATCTCACTCAAGGTTAAGTGAAAGTTCTCATAGTTCCCTAATGGTGAGCAACATAAAACCAAAGGAGTAAACATAGAAACACACAAACTAATGGGCATGCACGGACAAAAACTATTGGACACTACTGTCTTAAAGGTGGGCATAATAAACTTCCATATATATCTCCATTAAAGGGGACCCTCAGAAGTACTTACGGTGGCAATTATGTCACCAACTATGCCCTGTGTGCCTTTCAAGAAAGCCCAATAGCATAGTTTTCTTGCTTTGTGCTTTAGGATTAATTCACTAACCAAAATATTTCTTGGAGGGACACGAAGATTAACACTATCCATGAATGGATAATTCACCAAAATCTTGATGATTTTAAAGGAAAAGAAAAGTGTTCATCTGCTTTAGCAGTTACACCAAAAGCAGAAGCAAGAGGAGATTTTAATGTGTCATCACACTATTTTATGGAAGTAATTATTGAGGAAGCTCATCTGTATCCTATTTCCTTTCCACAGGACTAAAAGGTAATTATGTTTCTAAGTTTGTCTATGTCAATGGCACTGCTCTGAACCATCCAAATAAGAAACATGGGGGACTTTAAAAAAAACAGTCTAATAAAGAAAACCACACAACTTTATGGCAACATTTTCACAGTGTGTTTACAATGTGATATAAAACACTGTATATGAGTATGCTCCACTCTGCTAATTTCTTTGTAACCATTGTTATTATGTAATTGCCATAAAAAGTCAAAGGCTGCCAAGAATCAGTCTCGCAGCCTGATCGTTCCCATTTTTATAAAAGGTATTTTAGAAATATTTTCATTAATCTTTGGTTGTTTTTTGAAAGCAATCTGGTAGACAAACTACAGTCCACTCACAAACTGTCTGAAGAAGAGTTTAAACAAATGTTGACAAACCCTATTATAATGATCTTAAGAGGAGATTCTGTTGGCTGATGAAATAATGGTGCCTAGATTCAAGCAACTGGAACAAAATACTAGATTTAACAGATTTTGGCAACTTTTGAAAGACATGAATATATTCCCTAAATTGTACAAAAGCAGGCACACTTTTCAGAAGACCGTGATTTCCTCCTACAAACACCTCATTAGTTCACTGAAGATAATCTGTAGCTCATTATGCTTACTCTCTTCTGATTTATATTTGACTTAATTCACAAGAAGAACATCTCTGCATATTTTTATACCTAAATTGTGAAATAAAGCAGAACAAAATTTATCTACTTTTGACATTTTCTGAGGAATAAACCCTTTGTGGGATTGCTAGAAACAATCAAATCAAAATTCTACAGAAGTGCTTTGTAAACATTGATGGATCACACTCATGTAAGCCATAATTAGAAATCAACCAATCGATCATTTACCAAATTCCTGTTTTATGTCAGTCAGTGTAAAAGGTGTAAGACCAAAATGACAAGATCTGGTCCCAACCCTGTAGAAATCACAGTCCAGGGAAAAAATAAAACATTAGAAAACAATAGATTGATGGAAAAGATGTGTGGTTTTCAATAAATTAATGGAAGAGAGTTACAAGAGCATGGAAGAAGCAATGAACACAAATTGCATAACTGAAGAAATAGCTGAATGATAAGAGCTCACATTCATATCACAACTACAATATGCCCTCTCTGTTCTAAATGCTTGTCACATTAATTTATTTAAACCTCATAACAACTTTATGGTGTTTGATTATTGCTTCTATTTTAAAGCCAAAGAAATCCAGGCACAGAAAGGTTAAGTAACTTGCCCAAGGGCTCAAAACTAGTAAAAAACAGAGCCTGGATTTAACCCAGGGAATGTGCCTACAGAGTTGATGTCACAGTTAAGCACCCTTTGGTGCAGCATTTGAGCAAAATATTATGGGAGGGCTGAAGAATAAACTCTCTCTCCTAAGACAGTCAGGGAAGGCCCTTGAGCGGCTGACATTTGAGTTGGTCCTGAGATAAGAAGGAATTTCCCAAGGAAGGAGATGAAGTAGGGCGCTCCAGGCAGATACAAAGACCTGTACAAAGGTTTATTTGAACAAAGACCAAAAGCTTTCAAAGACCTGAGCACAGGGTTCCCGGCAGGTGGGGATGAGAAGGGTGGTAGGTGATGAGGTGCCAGAGTAGGCATGGTCGAGATGGGGAAGGGCCTTGTGTGCCAGCACTATGGGTTACACCTGAACCCAGAACAAAAGAGACAACCCAGAAGATGGGAGCAAGGGGAGGAGTTCTTTGGTAATCAATTTCCCTATTTCCCACCAATTTCCTACCTCTAAAGAGATTCTTCCAGAATGACATTTTGCTTGTTGCTCCTAATTATCTCTCCGTGGACTCTCCCACTCCTATGTATAGCCAATGATCTCATGGTTGGAATTGCAATGAGACAGAGACCATTGGGGAAGACTTTCCTTTAGAACCACCATCCCTGGCCCCACACCCCCCACCAAAAACATGCCATATCCACACCTATCTTTTCATTTTATCCTGCCAGCTCAAAAGGCAGAAATACATTCTCTCCTTCCTGAACTGGGTTCCTCCATTAAGGCTCTGGGCCCTATCCCTTCTCATCCCTAGGTCCTGCCTTTGTATGTCAACCTTACCCCTCTACCCACAGCATCCATCATTTCTCTAGTGATAGCATGGCAGTTTCCTCTTTCCCTAAAAACCCTCATTCGATCCAGCCCTCTAATCACTATCCTGTTCTTCTCCTTCCCATCACAGCCCAAACTTCCTATATGAGTATCCTATACCCATTACCCTATCATCATAGCTCAGCCATCTGCAAGCTGTCCTCATTTAACTCACTGAAAATCCTTATATTCTCAGCCCCCCAGCATAAGCTAAATCATCTTAGGCAATTAATGAACTTGTACCAACCCTCAGCTTTCCTAATTAAGACATGCTAATGGAACCTACTCCAAAGGTTTGCATGAAGAATAAATAAATTAATGTCTCTAAAACCCAGATTATATTACCTGCTCCATTGTAAGAGCTCAGGACATTCCATTATCATTATTGGCAGCAATAATAAAATTGCCATGGATCTCATTCTTGGTTTCTCCCTTTCCAGTCCTTTTTTCAGCTTCCTCCCTGATCTTAAATAAGGCCACGCTTTCCTGGCTCTCCTCTTATATTCTAATATTGTCATACTGTCTAACCCAAAAGACATTTTTCTCATTTGATTGTAACATCGCAGAAGCATGACAGTCACCCTCTCCCTCCATTTTGGATCCCTTGCCTCTCCCAGTCTTCCCCACCAGCAGACATTCCTGATTTCCTTCTCCTTTCTCCATAAATACTCCTTCCTCCACAGCCTTAGGGACTTCTATGTCATTCTCTTCCTAGCTGTAATTGCAGGCGTTTTTCTCCTCTCTTCGCATCTCTTTTCTTCTCTCTGTACCACCCCTACCTCCTTCCCCGGGTAGTCGCATCCAATCCTATGGCTCTCTACAGCTCACAGATGATGATAACTCACATTTTTACATGTAGTACTGACCTCTGGTCCAGAATCAAGTATCCAATTTCTTAGTCAACATCTCTACTTGGGTACCTAAGAACTATTTCAGGCCAGGCACAGTGGCTCACACCTGTAATCCCAGCACTTTGGGAGGCCAAGGCAGGCAGATCGCATAGGCAGGCAGATTGCTTTAGGCCAGAAGCTGGAGACCAGCCTGGCCAACATGGCGAAACCCCATCTCTACTAAAAATACAAAAATTAGCCAGCCATGGTGGTACACACCTGTAATCCCAGCTATTCAGGAGGCTGAGGCAGAAGAATCGCTTGAACCCAAGAGACCGAGGTTGCAGTGAGCTGAGATTGCACCACTGCACTCCAGCCTGGGTGACAGAGAGAGACTCAGTCTCAAAAGAAAAAAAAAAAAAACAACTATTTCACACTAAGATCAATACCAAAGTCTTAACATCTGTTCCCTACTCCGACCTGTTCCACCTCTGGTCTCCTCCATATCAATGAACAGCACTACCATCTCCCTCCCCGAGTAACACAGAGATACATTCAAACCACCAAGAAGAATAACATTCTCCCCCCAAAATATATTTCAGGTCTGTCCTTTTCTCTCTGTCTCTACGCTATGACACTAGTGTAGGCTCCATCATCTCTCAGCCAGACAACTGCAGTTGCCACCTGAGGGATCTCTCTGCTTCCACTCCAGCCATTCCACAGGCCACCTCCCACACAGCATCCAGGGATCTTTCTAGAGATCCATCTATGTCCTTTCTTTATGCTAAAGTTCAGGTTATACGCACAACCCCTATATTTTACAGATGAGGAAAATAATGTCCTGGAAATCAGGTGACTTGCTCAAGGTCATATAACTAGCTAGCAGCAAGGATGAGTCCAGACTCAGTTCTCCTTTCACCCAGCCCAGGGCTTCACCGCCCCACCATGCTGCATTCTGAAGCCCAACTCTTCTTCCTGTGGCAGTTACACTGCTACACTTTCTTTAATAACAATAGTTCCCTATATCTATTCAGTTTGTGTTGGCAAAGAAACAGCACAGAAGTCCAGCCCTGAGGTTATTTAATCAACATTATCCGACCATAATTCCCTCCAGCACCAGCTCTGAGTGCTTAATATTGAGGAAAATAAAATGCAATCTGCAGAATCCATTTATATTTTCATCATGTCATCAGAAAACCAGAAGGTACTGTTTATAGACACAGACTGACAGAGTCTACAAAAAAAAAAAAATCTAATTAAGAATACAGCCGATGCTCAAAAGCATCCTGGGAGCATTAAATCCTCTGATCGAGCCCTTGTATGATCTAGATGCAGAAAATGGGTCAGTCCGGAGACATGCGAGTGGCTTTAGCAAAACTGTGTTTGCACATCCTTAAGCTGCCCTTGCCTTGCAAAAAGGAAGAACAGAAGCTGCACAGAAAGACAGACAACACTCAAAATGAGCTTTACCACAGCATAAAGCCTTAGTAACTGACTTGAGAGCAGAGAGAAGGAAGAGTCTAGAAAGAAAATGGACTAGTGGAGAGCTCGTAGGCTACATGGGTTGCCTCCATTTCCAGGAGCAGAGATGTGCTTTGACCACAGTGTTATTGTTACCTGGGTATCATGTTGCTGCTTGAATAAACATTTTAGTTGTTGGCTTTTTTTTGACGGAATCTCACTCTGTCTCCAGGCTGGAGTGCAGAGGCGCAATCTCAGCTCACTGCAACCTCCGCCTCCCAGGTTCAAGAGATTCTCCTGCCTCAGCCTCCCGAGTAGCTGGGACTACAGATGCATGCCACCACACCCAGCTAATTTTTGTATTTTTAGTGGAGCCGGGGTTTCACCATGTTGGCCAGGGTGGTCTCGATCTCTCGACCTCCTGATCCATCCACCTCGGCCTCCCAAAGTGCTGGGATTACAGGAGTGAGCCACTGCACCCGGCCAGTTCTTGCCTAATTTTGGCAAATCAGTCCATCTGTCAGCTAGCCTTCAGCATAATGAAGTATAAAACCTGTGAATTAGGCAGATCTACATTCCAATTCCAGGTCTGGCACTTGGGAACTGGACAAATGGCTTCACATCTCTGAGCCTGCTTCCTTTAAAAGATGGTTATGGAAGTCTGATTGACAACAGTCCAACCTGTAGGTTGGAAATCATGGGTAGGAACCATCTAATAGGACACTTAGTACTTACTGAGTGTGCAAAAATGGTAGTTCTATTTTTTTTTCAAGCTTCATATTTAAGGAGAAGAAAATCCATAACTGGAGTGTCTAAATCAGGTGGTTGCAATTTTTGTTCAGAAAAGCTGCCCAGCGGAGAGAAAATCTAGTTGAGGCAAATTTGCCACTTCAACGATGGATTTGGGTTGGTAAGTGCTGAGCACAAAATCACACGGGGAAGCCCATGTGATAACCTCCTATACACATTATCTGGGTTAAATGAGACTATGAAGAAACAGTTATGCAAATCCAAAAAATGACACATTGTATAAGAGAACTGGACTTCAAAAAGTTGATGTCATGAAGAAAAGTGGAGGGGTTGCTATTCTAGATAAGAGATTTATGAGACATAATGACCAATTGCAATGTATACTCCTTAATGAGATCCTAGTTTAAAAGAATATTTATAATTAATGTTTTGGGCACATTTGGGGAAAGCTAAATATATACTGGTCATTTGATGATATTAGGGCATCACTGTTCACCTTATTAAGAGTGATGCTGGGCGCGGTGGCTCACGCCTGTAATCCCAGCATTTTGAAAGGCTGAAGTGAAAGAATTGCTTGAGGCCAAGAATTCGACGAGCCTGGGCAACACAGTGAGACCCCACCTCTATAAAAAAACAAAAAAATTTGGCCGGGTGTGGTGGTACATGCATGTAGACCCAGCTACTTGGGAGGCTGAGGCAAGAGGACAGCTTGAGCCAAGAGTTGGAGGCTGCAGTGAGCTGTGATCACAGCACTGTGCTCTAGCCTGGAGGACCAAGTGAAATACTATTTTGAACAAACAAAAAGAGTGATAATGGCATGGTGGTTATATAAAGGAATGGTCTTGCACTTTGGAGATGCATACTAAAATAAATGGAAAGGGTTTTGACATCTATAATTTATTTTGAAATGACCGAAAAAATAGTAGAGTGGAATGTGTGTGTAGGAAGCAAATAAAGAAAATTCTAACAATTGTTGAAACTAGGTGGTGGGTATATGGGTCTCTTTGAACCAATCTCCCTCCCCTCCCCTTCCCTTCCCTTTCTTTTTCTTTCTTTTGAATGTTTCAACACATTCACAATAAAATGTTTGGGGGCTAGGGCTGAAAGTAGTTCAACAGCCCAGGGAAAATACTCAGGTCAACAACCTGTCCAGTGCCACCTCATTAATTTCTAGGAGTTTTTCATATTTATTTTCACTAATGACACTCATTTGCCAGTTCACTATTGGTCACTACATTTATGTTCAACTCACTCTTCATCTGCTTACTACATAGAAATGGCACATACTAGCCATCAAATCGACATGACGTTACCAATGAGGATGGGAAGGAAGAAGGGGTTGAGCCCCTTGGCTTCCTGAGTTCAGGCAAAGAACTAGAACTAGAGGCTCTGCCAAGAACACACAGTCCTGTAACAGTTGTAGAGCTGTCTGATGAAGTGATCGATTTCACTATTTGATATTCTAATAACTGGATAATTTTTAGGTAAGAATCCAAAGTAACCACAAAACTGTTGTATGTCACCAATTCTTGGCATTTAAAAAGGCATCAAACTCAAGTTAGGAAACTAATAGAATTCACCCAAACAAGTTATTAGATTACCAAATGAAAATAAAACATGGTGAAATGCTCAGCATAAAGACAGAATGATCACAGTTCAATCAGCCTATCCTTTAAAAGGGCTTGACTTGGGCAACACAACTATAAAGAAAAGCAAGGAAGTGATCAACGGAAAATGAGAAGAGGATTTTAGGAAGGAGGGAAGGAGTGATCATTGAGGGATAGCAACAAATGTGCTTCCAGGGTGGTAAAATACTAATTTTTGATTTGAGTAGTCATTACAAGACTGTTCACCTTCAATAATTAGCTAAGCTATGTATTTGTTTCATGTAATTCTCTGTACTTGTGTTACATTTTATAATGAAATAGGTTTTACAGGGAACTGGAAAAATGTAGCTTAACTTGCACAGTAGCTCAACTCCCTTGTTTTTCCCTCTTATAAGAAACAAAGGTATTTTTTTCCACTTAGTTGTACTCAGAAAACACTGTGGCGAGAAATGCTACTTTTAAGAGCTGTTTAGTTCAAATATTACAGAAATACATCTTCATCTACTAATATTCCTCAAGTCCACCATTAAGGTGGTAGCTGTGATCCCCACATGCCTACTTCATGGTATATTTTTAAATGAACACTTAAATCCTGGACAAAGGAACATATATACTGTTTGGTTTTAGGAGGAAAACCCATCATCTTCTAAGAGTTTGTTATTTGAATGGCTCTCAGTGGCACCTGGGGCTGGGACTGACCGCAGTGCCCCTCACCCCTATCCTCTATCAATGGTCCTTTTGTTTGAATCACATAGTTGTGTAGCAACGCCTAGTCAGGATTGGCAAAAACCAAAAGTCAAGACAACTGTGTTCTAGCCACAGTTTTGCTAATAACCAAGGGCTTTCAGCAAATTGCTTCATTTTCTAAGATTACTCTGCACGAAACTACAGGCTCTTCTGAACCCTCTTCTACTCTAGCTTGTCACCTCAAAATAATGATGATGATAATAACAGCATCTTTTATTGAATCTTCATCAACTCGTTTACTCCTCAGCACCCGGTGTGGTAGTCAGAGCTACCACAGCTGCTTACACAGGTTGTCATGGTGGGGGGAACACCCAGCCTGAGCTCTCTTTGCTAAACCACGCAAACTCCTCTGAAGGAAGAGTCCTGTTTTCCTAATTCACATAAAGCTACTGTCTGTACCCAAGCCCATAGAGTCCACCCTGGGGAGCTGCCTTTTCTAATTTACACAAAAGTGCTCAGTGGGCTATCAGGAGCCTGGATATAAGCATTATTATTATCCCTGGTCTCCAGATGAAGAAACAAAAGTACAGACCATTAAGTAATTTGCCCAATTTCCTATAGCTAGCAGGTGGCAGACCCAGGATTCTAAGCTGGGCAGTCTGGCTCCTGACCTGCCCTCCTAGCCAGTGTGCCATGTTGTCTAAATATGTTGCTGATTTCCCCCTATTATCAGTTGAGTTGCAAAGAAAGATCAGACTTCCACTGCCTATGACACCTTCTGCTCTCTTCAATGCGCCTTTTCCTCAAAATGTGTAATAAGAAAATAAACCCCCAAATCCAGAAAAACATCAACACATCTGTGCATTTATTGTCAATTCACTCAACACCAAAGGGGTGAAATAATAACAATCTTTGTCAGGTCCCTGGATTTTTATCTTTGTTTTTAAAAAATCATCACAAGTACCCAAAGAATCCAGCTTGAAATAATCCTATATACAACTCAGTCCCCTATGGAATGAAAATACATATCCATTAAGGGAGGGTGGAGGGGAACAGAAGGAAGGAAGACAAGATGCCTCATTTAATACCATCAGGCATTTTTGGAACAAAATATTTCCCTACTTATCTTCCTTTGGTTCCTTAGACTTATAAATAATGTATTATGGCAGGAAATCTGTTCTTTTGGCTGGTTTGTGATACAGACAGCAGGTGGTAACCCAGCCCACTAAAATGCCATTCATCACTGAGCATTGCTGATGCAGAGTGTGGTGTTGCCCCGCCAGAGGCAGCAGCAGCCATCTTGGCCTGCACAGGAGTGAACCTTGCTCAGGCTCTGTATTTGGCTCTCCTTACCTCCACCTCCACGAACAACGCCCACAGCAATGAAGAACAAGTGCTGTCTCCAGGGTATTACCAAGAACTCTAAGGAAACAATGCAAAACTGGACTATCCTCTTGAAATTACAGGAAAAAAAGCAAGGTTATTCTTTATGAAACTAATAGGTGAGAATCATGTTTAACCAACCAACCAACAAACAATGGGACCTTGTGGCCACACATCAGCTTAAACACCATTAACCAAAAGACTGGGGAAATGAAGAAAGGAATAAAGATATAAAAGGCAATTGTGAGGGCCAGGTGTGAGAGCTCATGTCTGGAATCCCAGCACTTTGAAAGGCTGAGGCAGGAGGATCACTTGAGCCCAGGAGTTCAAGGTTACAGTGAGCTATAATCATGCCACTGCCCTCCAGCCTGGGCGACAGAGCAAGACCTTGTCTCTAAAAATAAATAAATAAGAGGCAATTGTGTTATTGTTAAAACACTCACTGTGTTCTAAAAGGTCCTTGATTGTATTTTTAAAAATCTTTTTAATGTCTTTTTTTGTATTATTTTACTTTAAGTTCTGGGATACATGTGCTGAATGTGCAGGTTTGTTACATAGGTATACACGTGCCATGGTGGTTTGCTGCACCTATCAACCAGTCATCTAGTTTTTAAGCTCCGCATGCACTAGGTATTTGTCCTAATGCTCTCCCTCCCCTTGCCCCCCACCCTCCAACAGGCCCCAGGGTGTGATGTTCCCCTCCCTGTGTCCATGTGTCCTCACTGTTCAACTCCCACATTCTTTATAATCAAGTCATCCTGAGAAATGACCTAGGACTAAGGGTGTTCTAAAATGTTTGTTTAACAACCAGTTCTCATGGGAATAGGGAGATTCCTAATGTACAGCATTTGCCAGCTTCTGTGGTTTCAACATTCCCACCTTAGCTGAATTCATGCTCAACCTGATATCACTGAATGCAAAGTGGGGAAGAAACAGACACAATCCCTTCTCCCCAGTCATATGAACTGGCTCCAGACCCCTACTGCAAACTCACAGTCTGTATGACATACATTATAGGACTAAGAGTTAATCCAATTGCAGTGCTCCAACTGTATTATAATTTCTGAATATTCATGAAATTGGAGAATTTTATCAAATAATGATTGAAAACAAAGCATGTAACTATATAAACATTCAGATACTTCTAAACTTGCATATACTCTTATTTATAAACAGTCAACATCTTATAGAAAGACACAAGTACTTGAATAATGTAAACTAGCGTCCTTTCAGATGGCTGTTTCTGATTTCCTGGATACAGGTAGGCAATAGAAAACAAAAGCAAAGGTCTCCACTAAACTCCTGAAAATTGTCTCTTGGTGCCTGGTTTATTTCATTTAGCACAATGTCCTCTAGGTTCGCTCATATTGTCCAAATGACAGAATTTCCTGGCTTTTTTTTTTAAGGCTGAATAATACTCCTTTGTGTATATATACCACATTTTAATCTGTTGTGAACACTCTGTTGTTTCCATATCTTGGCTATGGTGAATAGTGCTGCAGTCAACACGGGAACACAGACATCTCTTCGACACACTGATTTCAATTCCTTTGGGTATATGCCCATTGGTGGGATGCTGGAGCATATGATAATTTTATTTTTTAGTTGTTTGAGGAACCTCCCTATTGTTTTCCAAAATGGCTATACTAATTTACAATACCACCAACAGTGTATGAGGGTTCCCGTTCTCCAGATCCTCACCAATGTTTGTTATCTATTGTCTTTTTGATAATAGCCAATCTAACAGGTGTGAGGTGATATCTCATTGTGGTTTTATTTTGCATTTTTCTAGTGATTAGAGGTGTTGAGCATATTTTCATATATCTGTTGGCCATTTGTGTGTCTTCTTTTGAGAATAGTCTATCCAGGTCCTTTGCCCATTTTTATTTTTATTTTGAGACACAGAGTCTCACTCTGTCGCCCAGGCTGGACAGCAGTGGTGCGATCTTGGCTCACTGCAACCTCCACCTCCTGGGTTCAAGCGATTCTGCTGCCTCAGCCTACTGAGTAGCTGGGACTACAGGTGCCTGCCACCACACCCAGCTAATTTTTGTATTTTTAGTAGAGACAGGGTTTCACCACATTGGCCAGGCTGGTCTTGAACTCCTGCCCTTGTGATCCACCTGCCTCAGCCTCCCAAAGTGCTGGGATTACAGGCGTGAGCCACCGCGCCTGACCACCCATTTTTGTTTTTATTTTTATTTTGAGATGCAGAGTCTCACTCTGTTGCCCAGGCTGGAGTGCAGTGGTGCAACCTTGACTTACTGCAATCTCCCCTTCATGCGTTCAAGCAATTATCATGTCTCAACCTCCCGAGTAGCTGGGATTACAGGGGCGCACCACCGTGCCTTGTTAATTTTTTTATTTTTAGTAGAGACAGGGTTGTTCCATGTTGGCCAGGCTGGTCTCAAAATCCTGACCTCAGGTGATGCCCCTGCCTCAGCCTCCCAAAGTGCTGAGATTACAGGCGTAAACCACTGTGCCTGCCATTTGCCCATTTTTAAAATAAGGTTATGTGTTTTCTTGTTAATTAGTCATTACAGTTCCTTCTATATTTTGGACATTGGCCCCTTATCTGATGTATGATTTGCAAATATTTTCTCCCAATCTGTAGGCTGTCTTTTTATACTGTTAACTGTTTCCTTCGCTGTGCAGAAGCTTTTAAGTTTGATGCAATCTCATTTGTCTATTTTTGCTTTTGCTGCCTGTGCTTTGGGGTCATATCCAAGAAATCACTGCCCAGACCAATGTCATGGAGTTTTCCCCTATGTTTTCTTTTAGTAGTTTTGTACTTTCAGGTTTTGCATTTAAGTCTTTAATCCATTTTCAGTTGATTCTTGTATCAGGGTGAGATAAAGGCCCTGAACTAGACTCTTGATTACACTGCAAGGGAGGTGATCAGTAGAACCAGCAAAACAGACCAGTTGCTATTTTACTACTGATTGACACAGGGATCTGTTGTTTGTAAAAGAGAGAAAAGACTAATGCATTTTCCAACCATCAACAGCTCTGTTCTTTCTCTGTTTTGTTAAATTGCTGCCTGCTGCCTGGGTCTCTTCAGCCTCATCCATTATGCAACACGTTGGTAGTGATGGGACCAGGATGTACCATTGCACAAAATGACAAACCTGAGCAAAGTCAAAGAAACAGAACTAACATCTCAAAGAACATGCAGTAAACAGCACACACCTTTCCTCTTCTCACTCTCGGTATTGGCAGGTCCTTAAAAGATTCACACTCACATCAACATTTACCAAGTTGTCATTTTATGGCACTGGGAGGAGTTAAAATGCAGAGGCAATATCTGTTCTTCACCTCTTGTCTTGAATGGAATTACATTATTATTTCGTGGAGATTGGCCTTCGCATTTATTCTCTGGCCTACCGAGGAGAAAAAAAAAAAAAGGCTTACAGCAGCATTTCCCAAAGTGTTTTCTGCAGAATCCTAGCTCCATGGGATGTTAAGAGATGTGATGTGGAAAGAAGGGTCCATGGTCAAGTAAGCTTGGGGAATCCTGCGTTTTAAAAAAAGTTTTGTTTTGTTTTTTAACTTTGAACTTCTCAGTGCCAACAATATGCTAATGAGATTCTCCAGAGGGGGATAAAATACTGTTTCCCAATCTGTCTAACCAAGACTACCTTGCAGGAAAATTATCCAATGGGTGGGGTCAGTGTTCTGTGGAACTTGCCTTAGGAAACTGGGTTTCTGGGAGGCCAAGGTGGGCGATCGCTTTAGCCCAGGAGTTTGAGACCAGCCTGGGCAACATGGCAACACCCATCTCTACAAAAAATACAAAAATTAGCCAGGTGTGGTGGCATGCACCTATAGTCCCAGCTACTTGGGAGACTGAGATGGGAGGATCACTTGGGCCCAAGAGGCAAAGGTTGCAGTGAGCCGTGATGGCACCACTGCACTCGAGCCAGGGTGACAGAGTGAGACCCTGTCAGAAAGAAAGAAAAAGAAGAAAGTAGGAAGGAAAGAGAGAGAGAGAGGAATGAAGGAAGGAAGGAAAGAGAGGGAGGAAGGGAGGGGCAGGGAGGGAGGCAGGGAGGGAGGGAGGGAGGGAAGGAACTGGCTTTCTGCAGAGTTGGCAAAATCATGGCTTCAGGCGCCAAACAGGCGCCTACATGTGTCGTTTGGCCTTTGCTGTACTGGCACACATGGTACTTTAAAAAAATGTGCATAAGCCACCAAAATTTAAAAATTTGAAGAGCTAATATTTAAGCAAAAACAACAAATGGTTTCTTTATGGCTTCTCTTGAAAGAAAGAAAACGTGGACTTACAGGGCAATACTACCCACACAACACTACCTACAGATGTGCTTGCCCTGTGCAGAATCTTTTAAACCATAAAGGAATTAAAATTGCACACCATATAAGGCACCCAGTTTACAGAAAAGTTAAGGAAAGAAAAGTAACAAGTGCACTTGTGTGTAGATGTTCAAGAGAAGTGAAACAAGTCCGGTGAGAGTAGGGTATTAAAGAGGGAAGGCTTCCAAAAAGGCGTGCTGAGCTCAGATGGGCAGGAAGAAAAGAGTGTGTGCAGAGCTAAAGGAAGTTCCAGGAACAAACATACATGGCTGGAATGAGTAAGTCAAAAAGGTAGATCACAGCCTGCCTCACAATACAGATACAAAACACACACACTTGACTTTTTAATTTGAAACTGAATTGAGGAACACAGCAGTCAGGAATTTTAACAATTAAGCAGCTCTGAGACATGGACACGGCCAAATCCAGCCATTTGGCCATTAAATCCAATCTCTAGGAGGATAAACGCTGGATACTTCTTAGCTATATGACCAAGTAATTCCCCAATTTTCATCAAATGCCAGGTGGAAAAGCAATTACGGCAAGAGCCTCATCGGTGCCATGGACGTGGGGCAGCAGGGCCTCCAAGAGCCAGTGAACCAGTTCAAAAATAATTCTGGAACCTCAGAGATCCTATTACTAAGAAGCAGAAATAGATTTTCAAGTCCTTGCTTTGAAATATTAAGCATTGTTCCACCCAGCTCTTTCCACCATCCTCAAGCTTTTATTAAAATCAGTTCAAGGTGAGTCAGCTTCTAAAGCAAAGCTCTGCTGTGCCCCCACACTCATAATGCATAGTAGTTGAACTTCACCACAATGTGACTAGCACGATAATTTTTAATACAAAAATATTTTCTTGTTAGTAAGTTAAAGCTAACACGATAGCTCAAAATGTATTTGTTAATCTGAGTTGAGATCTAACTGTTGCTATTCTACAATTTCTGTTATTTTTCACATGACTATTTTAAGATTTCTACTAACAATTCAAAACTCCAACCTCTAGACATGATTAGTCTTCCATCTATGTTAAAAAAAAAAAAAAAAAAGTCTTAGTTTGGAAAGACTGGCATCCTCAGACACAAAAACAATTATGCTTCAAAATCCTGGGAGCTACCAGTAACTTCCCTAACCTTTGTAGTTCCTTTTTTAACCTCTCCATAAGAATCGCCTCTCTTTCTTTTCAAGTAAGTCCTTTCAACCCAGGCCCTAGACAATAGAGACAGAAATAAGAGAGAGAACGAAATATGCGGTCAGAGGCCACTAGATGAAATCACGCATGGAGTGTGCAAGAGAAGAGGTCCAAGGACTGAATCCTAGGGCCAGCCAACCATTAAGTCAGAAAAGATGGAGAAAAGATGTTTGAAGAGAAGAGGCGTGGTTAATAGTCCAAATTGTTAAGGGGTTGTGTAAGATGAGAACTGGGAATTGTCTGTTGGATCTGGGGCAATAGAAGACACAGGTAACCTTGACATGAGCAATTTCTACAGAATGGTGAGGAGAAGTGTACACTGGAGTGGATAAAGGAGGAATAGCATAGTCAACTCTCTGAATGAGTAGAAAAGAAGTAGCTGGAGATGGGTGTGTAGAGAGGGCACATACTAAAGGAATGACCCAGTAGAGAAAGAGAAGTCCCTCACATAGGAAAGAGAGAAATGACAATTGCAGGAACAAAGAGCAAATCTCTGAATGGGTGAAAGGATGTAGATCACAAGGGTAAGGTCTAGCCTTACACACGAGCAGGGAGAGATCATCCATTGCAAAGGAATGAAGACAGAGTAAATGGGTACAGATGCAGGGCAGATAGTAAATTTGGTGAGAAATGAGCAGTTCTCTTCAGGTTGCTTTTAGAAGTGATCCGTTGACAAAGCTAAAAGAAGAATGGTGTTGGAGGTTTGAGGAAAGAAAAAGGTGAAGAGTGAGGATGGTGAACTGATACATGGGTAGTGGGTAAGTAAGGGGTGCCCATTGGATGTTCCTTTCCTCCTTCTGCCTCCTTCAAGAACCTTGGCCACTGCAGTTATTATCCATGAACACAAAATCCCATAATTATGCTCAAAGATGAGCCTGACTGCTTTAAAACAAAAACAAAATCTTGGCCAGGCATGGTGGCTCACACCTGTAATCCCAGCACCTTGGGAGGCAGAGGCAGGCAGATCACGAGATCAGGAGTTTGAAACCAGCCTGGCCAATATGGTGAAACTCTGTCTCTACTAAAAACACAAAAATTAGCTGAGCCTGGTGGCAGGCACCTGTAGTCCCAGCTACTCGGGAGGCTGAGGCAGGAGAATTGCTTGAACCCGGGAGGCAGAGGTTGCAGTGAGCCGAGATTGTGCCACTGCAGTCCAGCCTGGGCGACAGAGAGAGATTCCATCTCAAAAATAAATAAATAAATAAATAAATAAATAAATCTCAAAACAAGCTATGACATAATCCTAAAAAAGGTTGTTAAAACTAAAAAGAAATTATTTCCTGTTGGGATTCAAATAAATAAATAAACTACCTAACTAACTAAAAGGAAAGCTTTTTTGGAATGTGTGCTGCTGGCCATGCCTTGGACACTATGAAGAATGCCTATGGCTGCAAGCATGGCCCGCACTGAGAGTCACCTTCCTCTCTCACTTTGACAAGTACAGGGGAGTCATTGATGCCACAGGAGGACATTCTAGAGAAGCAAGACTTCAAAGACTTTGGAAACCTATTACTGATTGAAAGAGGGAGGCAGCAAATAGACCAGCATAGTATGATTTCTGAGTTGTAACCATACTTGTATATGCTAGAAGAACGTAACAGATCTGTTTCCCCTGAAGAAGGAGCAAGATCAACAGAAGAGGAGGAGTGTCAGTCACTCAAATGTGCTTGGCTTTATTTCAACTGTTGTGGGAGGTAGGCTTTAAAAACATCAGTGTCCGGCTACCAGGAGGCCCAGATTACTAATTCCCACCTCATAAAAGGAATTATCATCCTCAGTCCCAGTGGATGCACAGATGACTCTTGGCCCTAAACACCTGCAACATCATTACAAATATCACGGTGAAAGCTGCCTGTTTGACTACGTTGGAGTGAACTCATGACAACAAGTCCTCTGATGAGTCTTTTGGGAAGAAGGGTTTGAAAATTATCAGGATAAACACTTTGCCTGTGTTTCCCAGGGTAAGGTGACAGTTTTTCAACCTCTTAAAAAATAACGGTCTCTCCATAAGAAAGCTTTACAAACATTCCCAACACACAAAAGCCCAGAGTTAGAAATCCGAGCTGCCACCCACCAGCTACACTGGGAAAGAGACACTAGGTGTGTACGAAAGTAAGACTCTCAAAGGTGGCCAAAGTGTGATCACCACCTTTGATCTTACCTGAATGACAGAAAACGAGATACCTTATAATGCAGGACTACATGCCTTACCCAAAACTCTTGAAGCTAATTGGTAATGTGTTACATTTTAGAATGGTAAGATATGTACTGTCTACTATGTAACACCTCTAAAAGATCTGGGGAAGCACTCTGTAATCAAACACAATATTTCTGTGGTAAAATGTATGAATGTTCACATTAAGTTTAATACATTAAGATAAAGAATAACCTAATGTCATTTCAGATCAGGTCAAGATTTTGCTAAATGAATTTACCAAAGGAAGATAGAAGGAAGGAAAGAAGGAAAGAAGGAAGGAAGGAAGGGAGGAAGGGAGGGAGGGAGGGAGAGAGGAGGGGGAGGGAGGGAGGGAGGAGGAGGAGGGGAGGGGAGGGGAGCAGGGAAGGCAGGGCAGGGCAGGGCAGGCAGGGCAGGGAAGGCAAGTCAGGCAGGGCAGAAGGAAGAAAGGAGGGAGGGGAGGGAGGGAGAGAGGGGAGGGGAGGGAGGGAATAAAGGCAGGCCGGCCAGTTGAGAACAAAAAGACTAAACTTAAAAGAAAAATAAAACTTCCACTTCTCAAAGCTTTTTGGATTTTGTATTTGTGCTCAAATAATTGAAGACCTGTAAAAATAAAAGCAAACATGTAAGCTTTGCTCTGTGGGCTTGCTATACTGAACTCTCAGGCTTCCAAAGAGCTGTCATTTTTACCATATGAAAAGCAAATGAAAAAAGTGGAGATTATCAAAATGTTGACAAGCATCAGGCAAGCACCGTCTTTTGAATTCTGATATGTGACGCTGTATGAATGGCGTCCCGCACGTGTCAATGCTTCCAATGTACAGTGAGGAACACTGTTGAGCATTATCTAGCCTCTGAGTTCAGGGGTACCTACAAGCACAATGTTGACTATTCTGTTTTCTGGTAGAACTGCAAGATGTGCAATGCTTACTGGCCTCTGACCTTCCCAGAACATCATCTTTTGTGTGAAAATAATAAGGACCATGTGCCAGATCTGAATTCTCCTTAGGACAAAATCAAAGATACTCAGTGGATATGATTTGGCTCTGTGTCCCCACCCAAATCTCACCTTGAATTGTAATAATCCCCATGGGAGGGACCCGGTGGGAAGTAATTGGATCATGGGGGTGGGTTTTTCCTATGCTGTTCTCCTGACAGTGAATGAGTCTCACGAGATCTGATGGTTTTATAAAGGGGAGTTCCCCTGCACATGCCCTCTTGCCTTTAAGATGTGACTTTGATCCTCATTCACCTTCTGCCATGATTGTGAGGCCTCCCAGCCATGTGGAACTGTGAATTCGTTAAACCTCTTTCCTTCATAAATCACCCAGTCTCAGGTATGACTTTATTAACAGCATGAGAACGAACTAATACACTGGTTAAAAAACATTTAATAGACTCAAAGAGATACTTGCACACTAATGTTCAAAGCAGCATTATTCACAATAGCCAAAAGATGGAAACAACCCAAATGTCCCTTGATGGATGCATGGATAAATAAAATGTGTGTGTGTGTGTGTGTGTGTGTGTGTGTGTGTGTGTGTGTGTGTATATATACATACACATATATATATGGGAATATTACTCAGCTTTTAAAAAGAAGGCAATTCTGATCCACACTATAACATGGATGAAGGCATGAGGACATCATGTTAGGTGAAGTCAGCCAGTCACAAAGGACAGATACTGTGTGATTCCACCTATGCGAGGTACCTAGAGTATTCCGATTCATAGAGAAAAAAGGTAGCATGGTGGTTTCCAAAAGCTGGAGGGCAAGAGAATGAGGAGTTACTGCTTAATGGGTACAGAGTTTCGGTTTTACAAGACAAAAAGAGTTCTGTGGATGGATGGTGGTGATGGCTGCAGAAAAATGTGAATGCACTTCACGTCACTGAACTACACACTTAAAAATAGTTTAAATGGTAAATGTTATGTTATGTACATTTTACCATGATTAAAACATAATAATAATAATGAAGGAATTTAATAGTAAAAGAAGGTATATTCCGAAAATATGTACTGAACAACCTGAAAAATGACACAGGAAATCTATCATTCTGGCTATTTAGAGATAGCTTTAGGGCAGACTAGGGACTTTTGAGATAAAGTGAAGCATGAGGTTTATTGTAATCTCTCCATCTCTCAGCTGAGGCTGAGGAACCGAACTGTTTCTAAGCCTTGGTAGTCATAAATTTGGAAGGCCCAGGAAGTAGAATTCATCAATTAATCAAGAAATGAAGGGAAACCTATTAACAGTGCTTCTCAATCTGATTGCACATAATTACCTGGAAATATGGCCCCAGCCAGAGAGTCTAATTTAATTGTTGTGAAGTGGGGCCTGGGCATTGCCATTTTTTAAGGAAGCTTCCCAGTTAATTTAATGTGTCCTCGGGGTGGAGAACTACTGATCTAGAGTAGAGGTCAGCAAAGGTATTCTAAGAAGAGCCAGACTGGATGGGCGCAGTGGCTCACGCCTGTAATCCCAGCACTTTGGGAGGCCAAGGCAGGCGGATCACAAGGTCAGGAGATCCAGACCATCCTGGCCAACATGGTGAAACCCCGTCTCTACTAAAAATACAAAAATTAGCCAGGCATGGTGGTGTGCGCCTGTAGTCCCAGCTACTCAGGAGGCTGAAACGGGAGAATCACTTGAATCCAGCAGGCGGAGGTTGCAGTGAGCCCAGATCGTGCCACTGCACTCCAGTGTGGGAGACAGAGCGAGACTCTGACTCAAAAAAAAAAAAAAAAAAAAAAGAGCCAAACAGTAAATCTCTTAGGCTTTACAAGAGACACTGTCACAACTATTCAACTGCCACTGTAGTGTGAAAACAGGCATAGGCAATAGATACAACGAATGGGTATGGCTTTGCTCCAATAGAACTTTATTTGTAAAATCAGGCAGTGGGGCCACAGTTGGCTTACATCTATTCTATAGGGAAGGAAGCCTTCACATTTTCTACATGTATAGAAAATTATTACTTGGGCTTTAGAAGGATAATCTCAAACTCAGAGAGGAGAAGTATCAATATAAAACACTAGCTTTGGAGTTAAAAACAAAAACTGGAGGAGGAAAACCTGCTGATCCAGCCCTCCATGTGACAGATGGGAACAGCAACCAAAGAAGTGGGCTGTAACCCGTGCTGCATACGAACTTCTTTACAAGGGAGAAGAAACCAATGGAGGAAAATGGGCAGGGAGCACCAGGAGAACAGGAATTGTGATCCACACTGGAGGAGAAGAGGTAGCAGGAGGTCATGCCAGAGTGGAGATTTTAACTCAAGGCCTGGCAAGCCTTTGAAGATCATTTGGCCAAGACATTTTGGACCTCACTGGTGTGCTGGCAGCGGGACTTGAGACTCATCACCACTTGATGAGTTCAGAGACTCATCAAGCAGATTTCTCAGACAGGAACAAATGCGGGGGCAGGTGGGAACCAGCCCCCACAAGACTGGCTTATGGACTTTGGAGTTCCAAAAAGGAGGCAACAAATGGCAGCACAGGGGGAAGAAAGTTGGGGGCTCTGCTGAGAATGAAAAAATAGACGCCAGCAGGAGAAAGACTGCTGGAAATGCAACTTGGAGAATTCCCTCCCCGCTCAGTTTAGTTCTGGGCTCCTAGGAATGCAGCAGTCCAAAAGAAAAGTTTGCAAGTTTGATGTTTAAAACATACAGAATGTGCACCCAAAAAAGGTAGGCAGGAAAGACAAAGAGATGAGAGGCACGACCATTGCAAGTTTCTAAATTCAGTAGTAGAGGGTTAAGTTCCAGTCTTCCACTGTGATGAGGGAGTAGATTCACCCTCAGAGATAATTCACTGATTCAACAAATATTTGCATGCACCTACTGTAACAGGAAAGACTCTGTGCTCCACACAAGAAGCGCAAGGTTTGAGGAAGCTTGTGGAGGGGAGAAGACAGTCGTTAAATAATCACACACAAATGTAAAACTGCAATTGTTTTAAATTTCAGACAGAAAAAAACAGACAATGCTGGGGAGGTTAGAATGAACAGACTTGACCTACTTAAGAAAATGGCTCGGGCAGGCCTGGTAGTTCACGCCTGTAACCCCAGCACTTTGGGAGGCTGAGGGGGGCAGATCACGAGGTCAGGAGTTTGAGACCAGCCCAACCAACATGGTGAAACCCTGTCTCTACTAAAAACACAAAAATTAGCCAGGGTGGGGGCACGCACCTGTAATGCCAGCTACTCAGGAGGCTGAGGCAGGAGAATCGCTTGAACCTGGGAGGCGGAGATTGCAGTGAGCAAGTGATCAGAGATCACATCAATGCACTCCAGCCTGGGCAACAAAGCAAGACTCCATCTCAGAAAAAAAAAAAAAAGAAAAAAAGAAAAGGAAAAAGAAAATGGCTCCAGAGTGGAAATCCGAAGAATGAGTAGGAGGTAAGGAAGTAAAGAGGGAAGAGCCTTCCAGGGGAGGAGATGGCATGCACACAGCCCAGTGGAGGAAGAGTACAGGGCAAGTGTGAGGGACAGGAAGAAGGATACTGGAGCAGGAGCTCAGAGAACAACGGCAAGCAGAGATAACTGGCTAGAGATGTGGGTGGGACAAGGACCAAGGCATTGAAGAAACATCAGCTGAACCCAGGAACAATGGGATGCCATGGAATGATTTTAAGCAGACTTGGGAAGGGGGTGACAAAATAAGATTTGGGTTTCAAAAAGATGCCACTGTAAAGAAAAAAGGATGGGGATGGCCGTAATCCCAGCACTTTGTGAGGCTAAGCTGGAAAGATAGCTGGAGCCCTGGAGTTTGAGATCAGACTGGGCAAATAGAGTGAGACCTCATCCCTACAAAAAAATGTTTAAAATGTGACCGGGCACAGTGGCTCATGCTTGTAATCCTAGCACTTTGGGAGGCTGAGTCAGGTGAATTACTTTAGGTCAGGAGTTCAGGACCAGCCTGGCCAACATGGTGAAACCCCATGTCTACTAAAAACACAAAAAATTAGCCACACATGGTAGCGCGCACCTGTAGTGCCAGCTGCTCGGGGGGTGCTGAGGTGGAAGCATCGCCTGAGCTGAGGAAATGGGGGCTGCAGTGAGCCGAGATCATGACTCTGCACAACAGCCTGGGCGACAGAGTGAGACCCCTGTCTCAAAAAATAAAAGTTAAAAAAAAAAAAAAGGATTGGGAGAAGTGAGGGGTAGGGAGCAGATACAGAAACTACTTGGATGCTTTCATGATAGATTTCTAACTGGAAGCCATGTCACAATTGACTAGGAGTCATAGCTTTCCACCAATTTAATTTCAATCCAGGTCCTGGATTCTAGACATTTATCACAGATTTACTACCAATGGGAAAAGCATTAAACCTTTCTCATTTTTTTCTGTTCTGAGCCCTAAACACAGATAATATAGTCTCTGCTAGCAATGGCTGCTACATAAAGTGGGTGTACTATAAAAAGAAAAAGTGACTCCTAGGAAGCCAATCATGTCTAGATCTTCAGCAGCTGATACCCAAGTCACCCTGCCCAAGTTCTTCAGGACCTTAAAAAGAACTTCAGAGTTTTTTTTTTTAATGAATTTTTCTCAACTTATTCTCTACGTGTGTAACTCCCTCTGGGACCTTCCAGGAGGTGAATGGTCATAGTAGCACAGAAGACAATTGGTTAAATATTCGGGTGATCCTGGAGCTACCCAAGCAACCTCACCCCAAGATAATTAAGAGCTGTGCCATGCTGGTGATCAAAATTGCTCTGGTCTTTCACATAATACAAACTACACATGAGAGACCAATGTGTGCTATTAAACCTATGCTCGCTGATTTCATGTAAAGATGGAATTTCAATATAAACTTAAAAAAAAATAAAAGGTCTATTTTAAATTTCCAGACAATTATAAGTGAGGTAAAATGCCTGCCTTTTGCCAGCTGTGTTACTTTTGGGGGAAAAAAAGCCAAACAGACTTTTCCTCTTTTATGTTTCATATCCAAGCCACAAGCCAGCAAACACTGGTATTTACTCCAATGTTAATAAAAGTAAATTGCTTTGTGGTTTTGGGTCATTGGTATAAAACTTGTGCTCTTTTCAGTTTATGTTATGTATAAAAGTTCAAAATTTCAAGATACATCTAGCACCAACTGATGACTTACGTATGCTTTTCTATGTGATTCAAAGCATTTTTTTAAGTTTATGTTTGAATTACTTCTGCTTTTCTATGCCAAGTGCTCTCATGATTCCTGTGGGATTCTTTTCCTCTCTTCTTCTATCATTTAACCTTCATGATGTTAGAACTTTTTTCTTCTTGAGATATCTCCTGGATTGTAATCTATTCAAGGAGGAAATCAAACCCATAAGAAGTTACATTACCAATGAAAACTCTCATCTCAAACTGTAAGTTACCAATAAAGATTTTTCTCCCAGAGAGATGGAATCTAATTAATCCTTTTTGCAGTTGCCTTTTTACTTCCTACAGGATACAAGTCAACTGGGACCAGCACAAACAACTTGAAAAGAACATTCTAGGACCAATACACAGATGTCAAACATACTGCCCCCTCCCAAATCCATCGTATCCCCACACCAGATGCTGGGGCTGGATGCACTCAAAGTTCAGCACTTGATTTCAAGTCAGTCTTTCCATCAGCCAGATGTTCAAGTAGACCGTTCCCTTTATAATTATTTATCATACAAAGAGAACTTTGCAGACTTCAAGCAGCAGCCCCTTTGGCAACACTGGCCAAAATGCTAAATAGGTTGGTCTTCTGCAAGCTGTCCAAAAACATGCTACTGATTTAGATAGTCCTGCAGAACAATCAATCATGGGTGAGGCCCTGATGAAGGGCTGTGGGATGCACATGCTCATTTCATTACGCTCTTACTTAGGTCTGAGCATTTTTCTCTTTTATGTTTTTAAACTAAGGTAATGATTTCCATGCAAAGCAAAGGGACAACATGTGAGGGAGAAATGCCACTTGGATTCATGTTTTGCTGATGGCCTTCACAATTCTAAATCCTCAAAAAAATTTTAAGGCCTTCTAGCCATCAGGAAACTGCCAAGCTTTCAAGAACCTAACAGAAATCAGGCACTGGCCCTCAACACAACCCCAGTAAACCCTGCTTCTTTTTTATTATTTTTGTGGCAGTTTGTCACAGATGTCCTAAGGGAGTTATCAGTAAGCTAACACTGTACTCGTGCTCTAGAGATTTGAGGCCAAAATTAGGTATCAAACAGCCCAGTGGGACCACGGACCCTCAGCTTCTCAAAAACCATCTATAATTTTATGTTTTTTATCTTCTTCTTTTTTAAAGTAAAAGACAATAGAAAGTGTGCAACTCACAATAGAACATCCATCAAATGAGGCAAAACCTCTTTAGTCGTTTTTAAGCAATCGAAGAAATAAGCCCAAACAAACTGCATCCAGCATTCTAGGACTCGAGTGAGAGAAGCATGGCCAACGGCATGGATTCTGCAGCCAGACTGCAGCCTATGAAACCCTGTTCAGCTGCCTCCTAGCCATGAGCAAGTCATACTAAAACACTCTCTGCCTCCGTTTGCTCATTTGAAATTGAAGGTAACAACAGTATCTACCTCAGAATGTTTCTCTGAAGATTCAACAAATTAATAGGTGCTTAGGAAGTGCTGGTGTTTAGAAGAAGGACTAGCATAGGATAACCACTACATAAATGTTCATTATTCCTATTTCCACAAAACTATAAACAAACCAGATTATTGCATCTTGAGTGTTCAACAAATAAAGGAAATTAGGAGCAACAGAGCCAGTCGGAGATCATTTGTTTTAAAAAAATATTAAAAACAACTGCAATTTCCAATGGGCCAATGTGCAGCACCTGCCACAGTCAGGGGAACTGAGGACAGCAGGAAGCTCATCAGAGCAGGCATTTCCTTGCCAGCATGCATGGCGCTCTGGCTCTGAACATCCGTCAACTACACCCACTGAAATAAAAGGCTTTTCTATAAGAGGAAAAGCCAAAGGGACACAGCTACTCAACCACTCATAATGGCACCAAATGAACCAAGAGAGGGCTGACGGTTAGCAGAGGAACTCATGATTAAAGCAGGTGGCTCTTTCGGGCTTTTATGCCTTTAAAAATTATTTATATTTTTACTTTGAGTAATTAGAAAAATACTGAAAAGCACTGAGAATCAATCGTATAACCAACACACCTAAATCTCTACTTAAAACTGACAAACAACTTAAAAAAAATCTTTTTGTGTATATTTAAGATCTATAACATGATATTATAAGATATATATATATATATATATAGATGATTACTATAGTGGAACAAATTTACCTATGCATCACCTCATTCTACAGACCAAGGCCAACGTGTAATATAGGTGAAGGATGTTCCAGCAAACCTGGGGCTCACGTAGCATGTCATGATCAACGATCAAAATATTCTACATCTGCGCTATGCAATATGGTAGCCACTAGTCACATGTGAATATTGAGTATTTGTAATACAGCTAGTGCACTGAGAAACTGAATTTTTAATTCAACTATTTCAATTTAAAGTTAAATAGTCACACCTGACTAGTGGCTACCATATTGACTGTGCAGATTTTTATAGTCAATTAGAATTCTATCTGTGCCGATCCTCTGTCTGTTGACTCTAAGATCCATATCCTACTGCCCACACCCCCTCTCTGCTTTATATCAAAGGGAACTTAAATTTCCCAGGCTCCCTTGACAGTCGGCTTCCAGGTAAGAAAGTCTCACTGATATTCATCCATCAGTGAGAGACTTGGGCGAAGACTGGGGCAGGAGGTGTGGAAAAGGCAGGAAATCTTCCCTTCCCTATCTTCGCCTCAGGTGGCATCTCTAGCAATGGTCATTTCTCCTCCATGCTCTAGCTTTCCCTGGTCAGCACCTTCCTCCACATTGCAGCTCTTACTGCAAGCTTCGTCATGGTTCTAGCTCCCACTTAGCAGCCCCTGTCTCTGGGCTGAGGTAAAAATATCCTCCCTAAGTCCCTTCAGCCCTAGGAGTAGTTAGTGGTAGCTTCTTGCTATTGTTAATCTCTGGGTTGCTTCCCTGCCTCCTGTTTAGTTCTTAGCCCTTATACCATCCACATACCTAATTCCCTCTGTTAAATTCCCTCCATTAAAATACCTAAAATGGGCTGTGCACAGTGGCTCACACCTATAATCCCAACCCTTTGGGAGGCTGAGGCAGGAGGACTGCTTGAGCCCAGAAGTTCAAGACCAGCTGGGGCAACAGGGTGAGACCTCGTCTTTACAGAAAATTAAAAATATTATTTGGATGCATTGGCACACACCTGTGGTCTCAGCTACTTGGGAGGCTGAGGTGGGAGAATTACTTAAGCCCAGGAGGTCGAGGCTGCAATGAGCCATGTTGAAGCTGCTGTACTCCAGCCTGGGTGACAGAGCAAGACCCTGTCAAAAAAGAAGGAAGGAAGGGACAGAGGGAGGGAGGGAAGGAAGGAAGGAGGGAGGCAAAGAAATACCTAAAATGATTTTTCTTTTCCTTACTGAACACTAATACACCATCCTAACTAAATTTTCCTCTTTAAGCTCTTTATCCTTGTAATTACTGCCATGAAACTCAGCCATAATCAGCATGTTCATCTTCCAAATAGTAAATGATACAAAAGTATCTCAGAAATCATAACTTGTACAGTGCCAAGCATGTTATTGGCAGTTTTGCATATCCTAGTTCCTTATAAGAACTCTATGAAATCAATATTATTTTTCCCATTTTATAACTGAATATAATGAGGCTTAGAGAGCAACTTCAGCAGGTTGAACAGCAACTAAATGACTCAGGATGCCTCAAAAGTTCATATAAGTTCATGCAAAGTCATTCCACTCAAGTACACTATTTAAACACTGTCAGTTCCTTCCCATTGTCTCAGGAAAGAGTTCAGCTTCCTTAGCCTGATATTCAAGAAAGGACTCACAATCTATTTTTTTTTTTTTTTTTTTTTTGGTGACAGAGTCTCATTCTGTCACCAGGCTGGAGTGCAGTGGCACAATCTCAGCTTACTGCAACCTCCGCCCCCCAGGTTCACGCCATTCTCCTGCCTCAGCCTCCTGAGTAGCTGGGATTACAGGTGCATGCCACCACGCCCAGCTAATTTTTGTATTTTTAGTAGAGACGGGGTTTCACCATGTTGGCCAGGATGGTCTTGATCTCTTGACCTCGTGATTGGCCGCCTCTGCCTCCCAAAGTGCTGGCATTACAGGCATGAGCCACCACGCCTGGCCCACAATCCATCTTTAACTCACCTTTCCAGCCTTGGCTCCTACTCTCTCCTTGCCCAAACCCAAACTGAACTATGTGCTGTTTCCTGCACATATGTGATTAGTATTATTCCACCCCTATTCAATTACTAGGTACCTCTCAAGATCTGTTCAAACTTTGATTTAATTTCAACATATTTATTTGGTTTTTTTACAAGTCACTCATTTTAATCATTTTGTAGTAGCAAATAAATTGGAAGCAAGATTAATGTGCAAAAAGAAGGAGATTGGCTTGTTACAAGTTCTTCCTTTCATCGAGTGAGATACTATGCATCCATTTTTTTAAAAATTTTGTGGGTACATAGCAGGTGTATGAGGTACATAAGAAGTTTTGATACAAGCATACGATGCATAATAATTACATCAGGGTAAATGGGGTCCATCATCTCAAGCATTTATCCTTTCTTTGTGTTACAAACAATCCAATTATACTGTTTTAGTCATCTTATCAACATACTTATTAATTGCCTCCTATTTTCAAAATATCTTTCTCTTTCTTGCCCTTCCCTGAGGTTTCCCATTTCGTAGTTCCTCATCTATTTATCCATTATTTGCCTTATAGTCTAGTTATGTTCTTATTTTAATACCTTTACTAAATAACAAAGTCTTTGAAGGCAAAGATGCTATTTCAAGGATTTTTTTTAAATCTCCAGTCAGATGATTTGCAAATGTTTTCTGAATGGATTTGCATAACTGTTCACAAATGCAGCATCATGTGATTTCTTAAAAGAAATGAAAGTCAAAGGCCATGGCTTTGTCCAAAGTCTACCTTCACCTTCGTTAGGGATGTGGCCTCCAGAGCCAAACTGCACACTGCCTACGTTCTAACTCAGCCCCAGCACTGAGTGACTCTATGATTTGGGCTAAGCTACTTAGCCTCCCTGGGCCACTGTTTTTTCACTTATAAAATAAAAATAATAAAACTACTTGCTTCAGTACTATTGGGAGGATTAAATGAGCAATTTATGTAAAGTACTTACAACAGTGCCTAGGACAGAAAAAATGCTCAAAAAATGTTAGTTCTTATTAATATCACATCACCTCTCAAGCCAATGGTATAATGGACCCAGTTAAAATCCACATAATTTCCCTACGTTATATAAAAATATCAATCCATAATTCTCCTCAAGGTCTCTTTCTAGAGGCCTCCAGAAAATAAACTGTCTATACCTATTCAACAAGATAATCAAATTTATTACAAGCAGAATAATGTCAGTAAGACTGTGAAAGCAAGATGAAATTAATTGCCAATTGAGAAATTAAGGTATATATTTCAGAAAACTTGTCTAAATTGAGAGCTATGTATCTAATAAACTCAAGAGATTTGTTACATCTACTGTAGAGAGCACACGTGCATTTTCTCTGTATCTAACCAAAGTATAAGTTCTGAATTTTCAGGTTTGATATGCCAGGTTCCAAGTAGAATTTCCCTTTGTGCCCTCAAGCTCTGATGGTCTTAGCCTCTGTGACAGAGACTGCTGCTCTTACATAGGAAGAGAATATTGTCTTCACACCTTGAAACTCAGCCCCCATACTGTGAGGGAGCCCGGGCCACATGGAGAGGCCACATGTCGGTATGGTGGTTGACAGTCTCGCTAAAGTCTCAGCTGACCTGTAGCATCGACCACCAGACATGTGAGCAAACAAGCTTCAGATGATTCCAGCCCCAAACCTCTGAGCTGACCCAGCTGACAGTGAGTGGAACAGACAAGCTAGCCCTGCAGAACTCTGACCAAATTGCTGGTCTGTGAGTGAAACAAATGCTGTCATTGTTTTCAGCCACTGTTTTGCCATTGAAAGTAATGCTAAAAAGCACAATTATTTTGCACCAACCTAATAACTAGAGCAGATGGTTTGTTATAAAGCAGCAGCCCATTGATAAAGGCAGCATCTCCTCCCTCCCTCTGCCTTAGCGTCTCTGTCAAAACTGCAACACTGGTCAAAGAAGATGGTCAAGGGCATACAGTATTGTTTTCAATCTAGATGAGTCTGATAAAAAAGCAATTTTGTCTGATTAGTTGCTTAAGACAAGGCATATTACTTGGTGTACCCAGGGAATTTGCAATTGCTCTTTTGGGCATGAAAACATCACACACATGCACACGCACACACCCAAAACAATCAAACATAATAAGAAAAATGAGAAAATTTGCATCAAAGATGCAAATAAAACTATCCAGGGTGAGGCCAAAAACAAAAATTGACATAAACCTAAAATTTAAGCTGTGTGAGAAATATAAACCTAGCCATGTTTCTGGAAAATGGCCATTAAAGCTCATGCAGCTATGGAGTCGTAAGTTTTACAACCTCAGTAGGCCAAATCGTCTCACTGACAAACTCACTATTGCCATCAAAGATACTGATCCAGCTGTTTCACTGGTATTACAAGAACTCATGCAGGCAAAAACAAACAAACAAAACAAACAAACAAAAAAAAGTGTGTCTCACATCCAGGAGTTAAATAAAATTGGAAATAAAAGAATGTTGAAATGCAAATTCACTAACCAGGTAAGTAATTTTACTAGTCATTTTAAAGGAACAAGAGATTTCTTATGTGTTAGTATCAAGTCAGAAGGTACCACCATTGGATATCTTGTCTGAGGTCGAAGAGTCTTTCTTTAACAACAGGTTAATGTAACTACCATGATTAACAAGACTCTTGACATTACAGACTAACTACAGCAGTAACAATTTAGGATTTGAATAAGTCACCAAACTCAAAACATTAAATTAACTTGTGCGCTGAGTCGAAGCAACTAAATGCAGAGGTCCTCATCAGCATGTTTGCCATACAGCTGTTTTATTTGGGTTTTTTTGTTTTTTGTTTTTTTGTTTTTTGAGTCATTTTAGGCAGCGTATGAAATAACTCTAGCAGACAACTCAATAAATGATGCCAACCACCTGGAAATAGCTGAGCGTTTAAGCCACATTCTTAGAAGCTGATTAGAAAGAAACAATGAAAGAGCATCTGCAGCTGACCTTGCACCCAGCAGGATGAAAGCAGCGTCCTCTTCAAATACCCATTCTGACTTGTAAAAACCCAGCTGAGCAGTGTTTCTCCCCACTCCATACAATCCAGCCCCACCCTCTCTGCCCCTGGACTGTTTCCAAACTAATCACTCCTGGCTCACCCCTCTCCTTTTAGAGTTAAGGGGAACACACCCAGATGTGGTCAACCAGAATTTGCTCACAATATTGTTTGATACATTAAATAACAAATCATCCTTTTATCTAAAGCCATACTTTTAAACACTATAATTGATAGCAGCCTCCCTTTCTTCATTTCAGAATGATCTGCTATTGTTTTCCTTTTAATCTGGAAAAGTTGCATTCTAGAGAATCAACTACACATAAATATTTATAATACTCAAACCCATAGAGAAATACAGTACATTTTATGACTGTATCTATGGTATTCATGTCAATAACCCCAACTAATCAGTCAAAGAAGCATGTCTTCATGAAATTTGACCACACAAACACACACACACACACACACACACACACACACACACACATGTACGCATACAAGCACAGCTATAAAACTCTCAGGTATACATTTTCTGTGCCATCAAAGCATTTAATGCAGAATCAGAGAAGGTCAGGATTTCGATCTCTCATCTTCTCACCACTGAGCATTGGATTGCCCTTAAACCATACCTACCATGCATTGAAAACAGCCTAATAATCAGATCAGATTCACAAGTGCTTTCTAGAAAATAGCTTGCTGTGAATGTTGACGTGCCCTGCATAGCTTGCGTCTCTGCTTTATCTTTTAGCAATAGCTGTGAAATGTGCACTGCCACTAGATACACTACTTTGACACATACTCAGGGGACTGTTTGAATGCTACAGATTTCTCCCAGAGCTTGGGGAAACACACCAGGAGGGGTGCGGCATCCTCCAGCACAGAACGAACAGCTGGCCACACCTACTCTCAAATATGCAGTAGTTTAGCTCCCAGATGCACATTCTCTCTCTCTCCCTCTCTCTCTCTCTCTCTCTCTCCCCCTCATCATCCACCCATTTGAAAAACACTCCATTTTTATTAATTTCCATTAGCAAACATAAAATTTTTTTCAGAGTGCAAGTGGAAGTCTTTAAACAATTTCTTTACCAACTAATGAAACAGAAATCATTTTAGTTTAATAAAACAGTGATCAAAGAGAATCACTTGGCTGTTTAATTTACGCATTCCCTTATTTACCAGATTTTATCCCAGTCCTGGAAGAGATTTACATTGTAGCAGTGGATAAAAACATTACATGTGCATGTAACTGCTAATGATGGTGAGGGTCATGAAGGGAGCATGAAGGCACTTACGGGAGAGAATGTGGTGAGGGTGGGGGGCATTGAAAGAGAATAACAGGGCACAGGGAGATTGATTGACATGAAGTAGGAGGGGAGGACCAGATAGGCTTCTCCAAAGCAGTGATATTTAAACTTAGATAGGAAGGATGACTTGGTGTTGACCAGAGTAAGAGTGTTGGAGGAGGCGGGGCAAGGAGAGAAGGGTAGAAGAGGGGAGGCAGATGGAAAACGAACAGAAGCGTGGAAAAAGAAAGACTGTTCCCTTCAGAGAAATGAGATAAATGGAGGCACTCAGGCTGGAGATTCATCCTAAGAAACAAGCTTTAGATAACAAATAAGTGAGTGACATGAGAGAGTATTAATACCTTTAATGTAGGAAGAGGTTATACAAGCAAGACAAATATCCCAAAAGAGAAAAGAGCAAAGGATATAAACAGAAATCTCACAAAATCAATACATACATGCAGTTGACCCTTGAATAACACAGGTTTGAACTTCACGAGTCCAGCTACATGTCAATTTTCTTCCGCCTCTGCCATCCCTGAAACAACAAGACCAACTCCTCCTCTTCCTCCTCAGCCTGCTGAAAGTGAAGGCAATGAGGATAAAGACTTTATGATGATCCACTTCCACTTAATGGATAGTAAATATATTTCCTCTTCCTTATGATTTTCTAAAGAACATTTTCTTTTCTTTAGCTTACTTTATTGTAAGAATACAGTATATAATACACATAACATACAAAATATATGTTAACTGACTATGTTATCAGTAAGGCTTCTGGTCAATAGTGGGCTATTAGCAGTTAAGTTTGAGCAGAGTCAACAGTTATACACAGATTTTTGACTAGGTGGGGTTCAGTGCCCATAATCCCTGCATTGTTCAAGGGCCAACTGTATATGTGTGTGTGTATCTATATATACGGTATCTCATAATTACCATTTTTTCCCTAACCCACTGACAAAGATGAAGAGGTTGGACAATCCCAGCACTGGGGCAGGTGTGGGGTGAAAAGTCCTCTTGTTTGCTGCAGTCCTTCTAGAGCACCACCTGGCCACCGATAAACAACCTACGTTAGGTACATATCCTTTGTGTCAGCAACAGCACTGAGTATCATCAAGTAAGAAGGGTGTGAATGATTTCCCAGAACACAGCAGGCACTGAAGTATTCACTCAAATATTTATCAAGCACCTAAAACATACATGGCACCGGTACCGTGGGTGCTGCAAAGATGAGGAAGATCTTCTCCACCCTCAAGAACCAGCTAATCTATTGAGGGCAACAGAAAAGTACACATTTAGATATAAGACATGGTGAATATTAAAAAGGCACAAAAACTGCTATTAACAACAGAGGACCCCAAAAAAGGAAGAGCCATCTGATTTTGAGGGATTGAGGAAGGCTTTGCAGAAGATTTGGCATGTGAAACTGGCCTTGCGGTGCAGAAGAAGGAAGGAGGTGTTGGATTTCAGGAACTCCTGAGAGTGGAATGGTGAACAAACAGGCACTATCCCTGCCTCTTAGAGTCTACAGACTGGCAAGGGCATTAAACAAGTATGATGAGAAGACAAAGTTCAGGGAGCTAGGAGAATATCATAAAGGCAATTATCAAAAAATACAACAAAGCCCAGTGTTGATGAGGATGCAGGGAACTGAAACTGAAATATAGCACTGGTAGAAGGATAAGTTGGCATAATCACTTTGAAAAGCGACTGACCACCTCTCACACAGGGACTTGTACATCCAGAGACAATGAAGTGCTCTAGGGGCCATTGGCAGGGAAAATATTCTAGGTATCCGTGATGAAGAAATCCATGTACCAAACAGCTATAATGAAGGCTTATGAAAGGAAATAAGGCCAAGTCTTCAAATGAGGGCTGGAAACAGTTAAAAACATGAAGCTCAGCTTTATTTGATAAATTTACATAAATAAAATAAGGAAGGAACTTCAAAAAGGAGAGAAGATGTGGCTGGGCATGGTTGCCATAGTAGCAAAAACATGCTTTTGCCTTTTTGTCAGTTCTTTCAATATGATACTGGAGGGCAGTGGGGAGAGGCTCTACAGACTAGAGCTGGAGCCTAGGGGAAGAGCCAAGCGGGGACTAAGTTGTTTGATCCTGAGAAGAAAAGAAGAAAGAGTTTATCCAGAAAGCGTGCCTAGGGCTTATGAGGAGGCAAAGTGGTGAATGAAGCCTCCCCTGAGAAACAAGTCCAACTGGCAGAGGCTTCCCAGCATGGAGACATCTGGAAAAAAGGTAAGAAGATGGGGCAGGTGGGAGCTTAGCTAAAGGGATGAAATTTTGTGCAGAATAAAAAAGACGAAAGGAAAGGAAAGAATGCAATAATTGAACATACAGTGCTACCCCGAAGGTAGAGGTTTTAACTGAGAACTAAAGTAACAAACATCAAGGCAAGTGTTTGAAACCAGGAACTGCAAATCTGTGAATTGCAAAGGTTTCCCATTCTTTCAAATTTAAAATGTTTCTGCTTTCAGCTGTAGGATTTGAGATGAAAGACGCAATGTTGAGTGTTTGCACAATAGGCCAATCCTCAAATATTCCTGAACCAGCACTCCATGGGGGAGAAGGGAGAGAGGAGAGGTCCCGGGGGTGGGAAAGACTCTCAAGAGTTGGAAATGCAACAGAATATAGCAGGACGGGGGATCTGTGAGCCTTCTTTCGACCATAAAAATAAAAGTGTTTTAAAATAATTACCCTTTCGGGCCGGGCACGGTGGCTCATGCCTGTAATCCCAGCACTTTGGGAGGCCGAGGCAGGCAGATTACCTGAGGTCAGGAGTTTGAGATCAGCCTGACCAACATGGAGAAAACCTGTCTCTACCAAAAATACAAAAAAAAAAAAAAATTAGCCAGGCGTGGTGGCACATCCCTGTAATCTCAGCTACTCGGGAGGCTGAGGCAGGAGAATAGCTTGAACCCGGGAGGCGGAGGTTGCGGTGAGCCAAGATCGTGCCATTGCACTCCAGCCTGGGCACCAAGAGTGAAACTCCATCTCAAAAAATAAATAAATAAAAATAAAATAATTACCCTTTTAGGGTGTTTCTTATTTTTTCCATGTAATGTAAATTTTCAATCATCTGTATTTCTAAAGACTAAAGAAGGAAAAGGAGACCTTGGTGGTAATGAGTTTATTTTATGCAGTCTTTTCTCATAATAGTATTTCAGCTTCTACACTTCCTCTATGATGACCCATATACACAAAGGGAATTATCAAATTGAGAACTCAATCTGTCCTGATAAAGGACAATCTTAGACAAATTCAAGTATGTAAGTACCCAAACTGTACAGCAACATCCCCTACAACTTTTTTTTTTTTTTTTTTTTTTTTTGAGAGAGAGAGAGTCTTGCTCTATGGCCCAGGTTAGAGTGAAGTGGTGTGATCTCAGCTCACTGCAACCTCTGCCTACCGGGTTCAAACAATTCTCCTGCCTCAGCCTCCTGAGTAGCTGGGACTACAGTTGCTCGCCACCATGCCCAGCTAATTTTTGTATTTTCAGTAGAGACGGGATTTCACCACATTGACCAGGCGAACTCCTGACCTCAAGTGATCCGCCCGCCTCAGCCTCCCAAAGTGCTGGGATTACAGGTGTGAGCCACCACACCTGGCCATCATCCCCTACAACTTTTACGTTGCTAAATTAAATGTTCTTTAACTTTGATTCCCTCTACTCATGCAGCAAATTTACTCCACAGACGCTCATGAAGTGCCAACTATATGCCAGTGACCCCACTCCATTCTCTTACCTTCCCTAATGTGATTTACCCATATTCTTCCAGGTCTGATCCCATTTTACAAATATTCTAACTTTCTAAGGCCCCAAACCCAATAAATCTATAAAATTGACTTGATGAAATAAATATAAATAAATCTTAAATAAAAAGAGAAATATATCTTGTTCCTAACTAGGAAGATTTGACATTATAAGTGTATCAAATCTCCCTAATAATATATAACTTTAATTGTGTGTCAATCAAATGTTATGGACTGAATTGTGCGCCACTCTGCAAACTCATATGAAGTCGTAACCCCCAGTACCTTCAGAATGTGACCTTATCTGGAAATGGGGTCATTACAGATGTAATTTGTTAAGCTACAATGAGGTCACACTGGAATAAGGTGGGCCTCTAATCCAATGTGACTGGTGCCATCATAAAGGGGGAATCTGGGTACACAGGCAGGCATATGGGGAGAATGTCAGGTGAACCTGAAGAAGGCCAAGAAGCCTGGCACAGATCCTTCCCCACAGCCCTCAGAAGACATCAACCCTGCCAACACTCTGCTTTTGGACTTCCAGCCTCCAGAACTGCTGAGATGATAAATCCTGTTGTTCCAGCCACCCACTTGGTGGTAGTTTGTTACAGCAGCTCTAGCAAACTCATATGATTAGTGCCCAATCAATAAGCTTTAATGTTTGGAGATCTGAGGTTCAAGTTACTTCACAATCTGGTCTCAATCCATTTTTCTGGATTTTTTTAACTATGACCAAAAAGTGGCATCGACATTCTAGGAATCTATCCCTAGGAAGACATGCGGGAAAGTGCAAAGATTCATGTATAAGGGAGAATATACTTATCAACACTGCTGTAATAAGAAAGTAAGAGAGAGAGAAGGTGGGGAGAAAATGTAAGCAAGGTACAAGTCCAATCCCTGGGGCCTAAAATGGGAAACAAACAAATAAATATATTGTTACAATAAACAGGTATAGCTGTTAAGGGGAAAAGGAGGTAGGCCCATCTAGCTGGGCTTCAGAGAGTAAGGAAAACTAGCAGAAGAGGTAAACCTGGGCATATGCTGTGTGAATTAGACCAAGTTCGCCAGAAAGACGGGGACAGGGAGAACATTCCACGTGGAGGGAAAGTCAAGATAGTGGGGTGTCATCGGGAGAGAAAAGCCAGCATCTGGGAGCACTGCCTGGAGTTCTGCAAGGCCAGAGAGCAAGGAGTGGGTTGGAAGGGTGCCAGGGGATGAGAGAGAGAGGTCCAGGGGTCAGCTGAGCCCAGACCAAACTGGGCCTGTATACGCTAACTGAAGGCCATCAAAACGGGAGGGAGGCCCACAGAGGCTGAGTCACAGGGGCGTGTGGAGAAAATACCAGCTTTTTTTTTTTACTAAGTGCTGAACTCTGTGTGTGTTTGATAATGTAATACTGTATCAGTACAGTGGCATACATCATTTACAAATGTTTTATTTTCTTTTTTTAAAGCCTGAAATAGAAGTCAACAAATGTATTTCCATCTACGTAAATTGGGGGTACATGCTCAAAAGCTTTTTTACTGAATATTTAATAAATAAAGAAAGTTTGGAGACCACCGTATCAGCCTACAGATGCCAAAGTTCATCTTTTCTCTCGAGGTGTCCGCTGACGCTACAGCCTCAGCCCAAGAAAGGAAAGGTTGGGAAATGATAACTAAAGGGTACAAGGTCTCCTTTCAAAGTCATAAAAATAATCCAAAATTGATATGGGTGATGCTTGCACAGCTCTGTGAATATACTGAAAAGCATGATTTGCATATTTTAAATTGATAAAATGTGTGTTATATGAATTATTTCTCAATAAAACTGTTACCAAAAAAATCTTTAAAAAAAAAAAATTAATGAATTGTGCTTCCTTACGCACTGACATACTGCTTCTGATTCTTGGGTCAGTGCAGGCCAAGGAGAGAGCACTGTGATAAATATCTGTGAGGAAACAGACAAGCTCAGGCCCTGAACCTGCAGGTATAATGTAACTGCAGAATCAGAGACTCAAAAGCTGTGGTTGAGTCTTCGAGCCTTCTCAATCAGACATCACCCTAGCCTCAACCAGTCAGCCAGACCTCTCCAATTTGGGGTGGGATTTTGCTGGTCCCACCAACCTAAAGCGAACCTAAAGCTGAAGCTCTAGGAGAAATACAGGAAAGTTACCTCCTACATCATGACTGCAGACACCTCTGTGTAGACACACAAGAGAGAGCAATAATGCAAAAGCTCCCAAAAGCTCCTACATTCTACTCTGCATTTTCTACTCCATTTCATTTTTTTAAAGTGTTACTCCCAGGCTGGGCATGGTGGCTCACTCCTATAATCCCAGCACTTTGGGAGGCCAAGGCAGGCAGATCACCTGAGGTCAGGAGTTTGAGACCAGCCTGGCCAACATGGCAAAACCATGTTTCTACTAAAAACACAAAAATTAGCCAGGCGTGGTGGTGCATGCCTGTAATCCCAGCTACTAGGCAGGCTGATGCAGGAGAATCACTTGAACCCAGGAGGCAGAGGTTGCAGTCAGCGGAAATCGCGCCACTGCACTCCAGACTGGGAGACAGAGGGAGACCCTGTCTCAAAAACGAAAAAAAAATGCTACTCCCAACCCACTAGCTTGATTTCATTACCCTCGTGAAGGTCACATCCAGCAGTGTGAAAATCACTGTTCTAGAGGTAAGTTGGTAAGACAGACAGACATTTGTCTCGATATTCTCGTCTCCATGGTCCCGCATTTTCAGGATCCAGAATTAATCTACTCAACAAGAATTTTCCTTCAGTTTAATAAAAGATGTGACGATTAACATATGTTCTGTATTACGAAAAACAGATTTTTAAGAGCAGATGTGCAATTCCCAGCTCCATTACTTTATTAAAAAAGAATATTTGGTTTTCCTTGAAGATTCCATGAATCACAGTCATCTAGTTTGGATTGACATCACTGCATTAATAATAAAAACAGCATTTTGCTGCCCAAGGTTTGTCTTCTTTCCAGATATAGACAAGAACAGTGATCCTGTTAAAGAAGCAGATATCAGTATTTAACCCAACTTACCAAAAGTCCTTGTCTTTTCTCAAAACACTCGCTCCTCTTGAAATGCAATGAATAAATTTATTTGTTGTTGGGTTTTGGGAGCGCTGTTTGTTTGTTGTTGAGACAGGGTCTCGCTCTATCACTCAGGCTGGAGTGGTACAGTTAGTGGCCATCTCAGCTCACTGCAGCCTCAAGCTCCTGGGCTCAGGCGATTTTCCCACGTCAGCCTCCTGAGTAACTAGGACTACAGGCACATGCCACCATGCCCAGCTAATTTTTTATATTTTTAGTAGAGACAGGGTTTCACCATGTTGCCCGGGTTGGTCTCAAACTCCTGGGCTCAAGTGATCTGCCTGCCTCAGCCTCCCAAAGTGCAGGAGTTACAGACAGGCATGAGCCACCACACCTGGCCCATTGAATAAATTTAACCTTCAAATTTGTCTCTAATGTCTCCACGACACTGATCTATACCAGAATCTTTAACTCAGAATCACACACATACACATCCTTAAGTCATTCTTCCTTTTCCTTTCATGATAATTCAAATTTCTGAGGCCACTTGCCACTTTTAAAGAAACTTTGAAAGATCATGAAAAATATTAAGGACTTTTATCATTTATCTTTATATAATGTGTTACCAATTGGATTTATATACAGGCTTTTCCTAGTTTAATTGTAAACACATGGTTTATTTCTTTAAATTCCTCCTAGTTGCCTAAGGGTTCATGTAGTTGTCTTCCAACACTTACTCAGCACATCTATCCATTTGTTCACCATTCCAGAAAGGTTAGAGGATGTGTGGCACATTCACTCATTAGCTAGTATAAAATAAAGCAATCAGCATTCAAAGCTCACTTCATTCCAGCTATTCCCATCTGTCCTGTGAACACTGACTTCTAAAAGTTATGGTTCCATTAACTACGTATATTTGTGAATCTCTGAGAATGTCTTTCCCTTCCCTAATGGTTAGAAATCTAGTCTTTGATCTATTTTAACAAACACTTTTGTCGGACACTAATAGACTCAGAGGTTTCAAAACTGCAACAGGACTAGGAAGGTGAGTCTAAATCCCCTATACCCTGCTGCATTGCCCCTTACTCCCCTCCCCTCATCATGCCACCCAAATCTCACAGGCCCCATCTGTGCTTCAAAAACCAACGACTAGCAGAATAGAGATTTTTCTCCCCACGATGTTCCAATTGAACCTGCAGTTGACAATCATCCTCCTCATCTTCAGTTTTGAAAATAGACTGACAGCAACCCTCAAACCCTTTGACAAGAAGAACCTATTTTAACAAAATTACCCAATGTACTGAGGCTTCAGACCGTAATCCTTTAGGGAAACTTCGTTCTGTTATATTTGAGCTTTTAGTTCTTTCCACAATTTCAATTCTCTAGGAACTCATTCACAGAGGAAAATAAAACCCACTTTAAGTTGATATATATTTATCTCAGCCACAAAGAGCCAAAGTCCTCCAAAGAGCATTTGTTTCACTGAACCATTCTGGGAATGCATCCTGGAAGAGAAAGGTACTGCCAAGACCAACAGATAATAAAGCAAGATAGAAAGGTCAGTAGCTACCCTCATCTCCAGAATGCAAAGAAACTCTAATCTCAGGCCATCAGTGCAAAATTAATTTCTATTTTTAGGCTAAATAAATTCCATTTGAAAGTATCGTGGAAAGATACAGGTCACTGGATAAACAGATAAGGAAACCTTCACATACTTCTATGCTTTTCTTGAATACCTAATTGGAGGAACTAATTGTAACAATCCATTTTACTGTTTTTCTTGAAAATATTAGCAGTGCTTCAGTTGCAATTTTCATTGCCAAAAAATTTGAGGACAATTCCACAGGTGCCTATGATCCTTCTTGCTTTATGGTTACATTACAGGGGTTCGTCTCAGAAGATGGCAATGGCTTTCTGCCTAAGTAAAGCTTGGGAACATAGAATGGTAAAAGTCCACCTTTCATGGACAATCAATCAACTGCTGTCAATCAGAGGTTTGAGATATAAATAGGCTTCCTACACGTTTAATAAAGAATGGGGGCCGTGCACTGTGGCTCACGCCTGTAATCCCAGCACTTTGGGAGGCTGAGGCAGGTGGATCACGAGGTCAGGAGATCAAGACCATCCTGGCCAACATGGTGAAACTCTGTTTCTACTAAAAATATAAAAATTAGCCAGGCGTGGCGGTGTGCACCTGTAGTTCCAGCTACTCGGGAGGCTGAGGCAGGAGAATTGCTTGAACCTGGGAGGTGGAGGTTGCAGTGAGCCAAGATTGCGCCACTGCACTCCAGCCTGGGTGTCTCAAAAAAAAAAAAAAAAAAAGAATGGGAAAATGTTGTTGAATATTCTCTTCATGTGCCTACAAAAGCACACAGTGGTTATTGAGCAAGATGCTGAGCTAGAAGAAGTTGGTGACTTTGTCAGTAAATAACTCAGCTCTTTAACCTCAGTCTGGTAGCCTGGCCATCACATCAGACAGTGGATGGTCAGATTTCGGCAAAATATTGCCCATAAGCAGATTTCTTTTATGGGGACTATATCCTTAACCACTAGAGAAGAGATTATCCTAAGAGCTATTCAAATCCCCAATGTTGAGCAAGACTGAAAATCCCATTGCTGTGATGACCAACTTAGGTTGCCCCTCTTTAGGGCTGATGGAACCTCATGTTGTTGTACTTGGCAAGGGCTTATGCTTGTATTGGCACTTTTGTTCTCACAGTTATTTGGGAAGGGAAAGACCACTGTGATATGTTGACCACCCTAATGAGAGGTAGAGATTCCCAGACAAAGACGCCATTGTGTTGGCCAATGAAGAGACACCACAGGCACGGCCTGACGCCAACCAAATAGTTCAAGGTCCACTGACCTACCCTTAAGGTCAAACTCATATATTAATATAGATTTTCCTCAATATTCTGTAATTGTATTTCAGTCTTACCTTCTCAATGAAACATTAATAAACTTATGCTATGCCCTGCACTCTATATATGTGTGTGTGTGTGTGTGTGTGTGTGTGTGTGTGTGTGTGTATATATATACACACACACTCACACACATACACATACATATATTTCAGTCATATGTAATATGACTGAAAAGTCACCAAAAAGTCGTTTAGGAGTAGTAAAAACAGAATTTTTATACAAAGAATACCTGCCAGAACATAAACTCAAACCAAATGAGTCTCTACATCTTTAGAACTATTCAGACTCACAGAAATTGGAAGCACTCTTCAATCTCTGAGCCATCTCTTGCACACATTTCAGCTATCTTCAGTCCCACGGACAATACCTATCCAGATAGGAATATCTGCACTGTCCATGATTACAGAGTTTTCTCTGACAGATGTAGCCTCTTCTATGATTCAGTTTTATTTAAATCTAGCCAGCTTGCCTTTCCTTGAGTCTACGAGTTTTAAGTGAGCATATTCTTCAAGACATCAAGACAAAGTCAGCAATATAGACAGAAATTGCTGAGTTGCTTATATGAATAGTTCTCTAGCCCTGAGGGAAGGCAAACTCCCTCACATCCTTCACAGGCTGGAATCAGATGCTCAGCAGCACTTGTTCCATGGGCCTCTCTCATCCGAGCTGCTCCCTTGGTTAACTGAGAACATTCCATTTTATCTGGCAGAAGAGCTTTCCTTCACCAGGTGTATTTCTGATGTTTACAGAAAAGAGTTTAGCCATTGCTTACAAATACTGTAAATTAACAGATCTTCGTTTCTCCTAGGAAATGGTACTTTTGGATCACATGTGAAGGTTTAAAAAAATACAGCTGCCCTGGCTTCCTGAAATCTGGAAAGCTTTACAGCATGAAAGAAGAATGGTTTCATTGGATAATAATCCATCTGCAATAAGAGCAAAGTCCATACTACTATTAAATGTGTTTATCCACTGATTCATCTGAATATTCCTTGATTTGCTTTAAGTACCATAATCAAATGTTGTTATTTAATTCAACAACGATTCAGGAAAAGCAATTTGGAATCTCACAGGTGGTCTGAATTCACTGTGTTGGTTACATTTGATGCACTTCCCAGAGCAGAAAGAAAAAAAACATCCAGATTGCGCCACTGCAGTCCGCAGTCCGGCCTGGGCGACAGAGCGAGACTCCGTCTCAAAAAAAAAAAAAAAAAAAAAAAAAAAAAGAAAAAAAACATCCAATATGATTTTTTTTTCTCTTTACCTTGGAGCATAAGACATGAAGCTTTTATGAGGGAAATCATTCCCCAAAAGTGAAACTGTTGCTTGCTAGCTTATGTTTCCATTTAAACAAATCTCTAACTAAACACACATGAAAAATGATAGGACCTTTCCTTTGATAAAAATCTAGCATCTAATATTGGCAGGCAAAGTTTAAGTCACTTCCTGAATTGCTAAACAAACAGCTACACAAAAGAATCACACAGTACATTTGTATGTTTCCCTTTCATTTACTTAGCAATTCCTTTCTTCATATTAAAAATCTTAGTTTTCCAGCAATTATTGTTTACCCTGGTTAAATGACTGATGTATAATAATGTAATTACATGTGATACAATAGAGGGAGGAAGGGGTAGGAGATGTGTGCAGTTTAAATAATTAAAATTCAATCCATAGTTAATTTCCATACTGCATCATTATAACAAGTGTGCATCTGTGTGAAGCTATATTTAGATTTCTGAGTGTTACAGAGTCTTTTTCTTTGTCAACACAGTCAACCAAAATGGAGAGAGAGTACCTGTTTGAAAAATGCAGGTGATTTCAACCCACAATGGTAACCCACACAGATGAGTTCTCAACTATCATGAAATCAGCTAGTTGGTTAACTAGTTGGTTATACACCCAATTAATTCCTTCATCCATTTGCTCCATGAATACATATTTGAGCCATGTGTGTGCTTGGGAATATGCAAAGCATGTATACAAAAGTGGGCAAGAATAGACACTGATGCTAAGTGGCCAAACTTGTGTTTTTCGTAAAATGCATCTTTGATGGTTTGTTCCAGTCTATCTGTCCTTTTTTATTTATTTTTATTTTTATTTTTATTTATGTATTTTTGAGACAGGGTCTGGCTCTGTTGCCCAGGCTGGAAGGCAGTAACATAATCATGGCTCACTGCAGCCTCAACCTCCCAGGCTCAAGTGATCCTCTCGCATCAGCCTCCCAAGTAGCTGAAACTACAGGTGCATACCACCACACCTGGCTAATTTTTGTATTTTCTGTAGAGATGCAGTTTCGCCATGTTGCCCAGACTGGTCTTGATCTGCCCACCTCGGCCTCCCAAATTGCTGGGATTACAGGCATGAGCTACCACACCCAGGCTATTTTAAAATTAATGTCTAAGAGAAAGAATCACAGCTTTTGTGGTCTCCATGTTCCCACTAACCCAAGAGTTTAGGGACAGAGAGAGACAAAGAAGCAAAATCATTTCTGAGTCTAATTACTCTCTATTTCCTTAGCAGATATCCCACATCAAAAACAAACGACGACAGCAAAAACCTATAAAATTAATATTGCTTATACCATTATTAGTTTATACTAGCAAACTACTTTATATTAGCAAAGTAGATATTTCATATTAACTTCTTAAAAAGACTTTCAATCTTTAAGAAGTTAAAATAAAAACCAAGAAAAAGAAAAAGAGTATTAGACACAACTTTGTAACCTAAGCTCCTAAATGAAATGGCACTATTCAGAAATCACAACTCCCCACCATTTAGAAATGCATTTTTAAAATATCTGTGAAAGATCCTGTTTCTAATTTGTTTTCCAAATCCCATGCATATTTTAGACGTTGAGGGTGGGGAGGAAGAAAAATTCCAAATATTTAATGCAAATTCCACTCCCACCTTCATTTTTCCTCATATTAAAACCAAGGCACAATGGTGTCTTTACCAAAGTGAAAAAAAAATGACCGACTCAAGAGAGAGAATGCCCTAAGTTTTTAAGCCTTTCTTTACAGAAACTCAGAAATGGGACAATAAGAAAGAGGATTGGCCAAGGGAACTAAGACAAATAGCAATAATTTTAAAAATACATTAATTAGATCTTTGCTTAAAACATTGCTAATAGATTTAAATTATAAAGAAGCTGTTTGGTTTTCATTTTTCATTGAAATATAAGCAAATTTCATTTTTCATTGATTACTATAAAACTAAGATTTCTACATCTTCTTCTAGTAAATTCATTTCTACTCAAGACAGAAGCTGAATTAAAAATCCCTAGCAATACATGGCATTTTTGACTTGTCACAGCAAAGTGTTGGGAAGAGGGGTTCATGTCATTCATACCTACACATGCAATACCAAGGGAAAGAGATCTCCATACCATGAAACAGAAGTAAAATCAAACATGAAGGAAAAGAATCTGTGAACAATCAGAATCAAAGACTTAAGACCAAACTTCTTATTCTGCCACATATTCATATTCAGTATCATTTTAAAAGCTTTTGAGAACATCATTAATTTCTGTTATATTTAGTCACCATAGAAATAGGTCTGCTATATTATCAATAGTAGACTATGGGCCAGGTGCGGTGGCTTATACCTATAATCCCAGCACTTTGGAGAGGCAGAGGCAGGTGGATCACCTGAGGTCAGGAGTTCGAGACCAGGTTGGCCAACATGGCAAAACCCCACCTCTACTAAAAATACAAAAATTAGCCGGGCGCGGTGGTGTGCACCTGTAGTCCTGGTTACTTGGGAGGCTGAGGCAGGAGAATCACTTAAACCTGGGAGGTGGAGGTTGCAGTAAGCCAAGATTGCGCCACTGCACTCCAGCCTGGGAGCCAGAGTGAGACTCTGTCTCAAACAAAGAAATAAATAAATAATAGACCATGGTATTTTTTCTGTATTTTATAGAACATAAAATTCCAGCTTATTATAATATCTCAGGCCAAAGAAACCCAATGGTACCATTTGGGGACATTTACCAATACTGGTTCACATAACAAATTGCTCTGCTAAGTACAGGCAGTATTCACACTTCTGACAGGTTTTATTCTTGAGGAAAGCATTGAAGTCAAAAATATTTCTGTAGAATGTGATTTTCTCATAGAAACATTGTTTTAGTTAGATACTAGTTTCCTGATTAAAGCCCTTAAAAATAAAATTACTACAAAGACCCTATTTAATCACCTAGAAAAGATATAACTAAGCATTAAACAGTATTTTTGTTAAACTTGTTAATTATAGAGGGGAAACTAATAAAATTAATGCTCAAGTTTATTTAATAATTTTTAAAATGTCTTCTTGTTACTTCTTCCTTTCCTCCAGCAGCTGTAAATTACACAGTATAGGAATACTACCTTAATCATGAAGCATCAAGCAAAATGCCTAGTGTACAGGAGATGTTCAGTAAGGAAGCAGAACAAATCACCAAGTGAATTAATAAAGTTTTCTGGAGAAACTCATGCAAGGATGTTGCCCTCCTCCTTTTTGTTTTTTCTTTTTTTTGAGATGGAGTTTTGCCCTGTCGCCCAGGCTGGACTACAATGGCATGATCTCGGCTCACTGCAACCTCTGCCTCCCGGGTTCAAGTGATTCTCCTGCCTCAGCCTCCAGAGCAGCAGGGATGATAGGGGCACATTACCATGCCCGCCTCATTTTTTGTATCTTTAGTAGAGACTGGGTTTCACCATGTTGGCCAGGCTGTTCTCTAACTCCTGACCTCGTGATCTGCCCACCTCAGCCTCCCAAAGTGCTGGGATTCCAAGCGTGACACACTGCACCCAGCCCACTTTTTTAAGAAATTTTTTAATTCTTTTTTTTTTAATGAGACAGGGTCTTGCTCTGTCATCCAGGCTGCAGTGCAATGGCACAATCACAACTCACTGCAGCCTTGACCTCCAGGGCTCACACAATCCTCCAACTTCAGCTTCCTGAGCTGGGACAACAGGCACACACCACCACACCCAGCTAATTCCTGTATTTTTTATAGAGATGGGGGTTTCACCATGTTGCCCAGGCTGGTCTCAAACTCCTGGGCTCAAGCGATCCATGCACCTTGGCCTTCCAAAGTGGGATTACAGGCATGAGCCACGGCGCTGGCCTGCCCTCCCCTTTTTGAGCCCCTTTCTACCAGGCAAATTGTGCTTGTTGTAGGTATTAGAAATCACTTGGTGTTTTTCCTATAGTGGACACTGCAATTATGTCCCCATCTGACTTCAGAACAAAAATCTGCATGTACTGAATCAGAACATGACTTGCTGGAATTCAAGTTTGTCCTGGAGAGAATAAGAAAACCACACCATCTGCACGCTGAAGGGTACATCTTCCACATATTCTATTCCTAGCCTCCCAACTGCACTCCCAATGCTTCTCTTTAGTCAAAGGAGTCTGGCTTTTCCCTGACAGATGCTCCCCTCACCCTTAAACCAAAGCAGCATTATTTCAAGCATGATCTGTGAATTGATCACTGCTGGTCCATGGCATTGTACATTACAGGATTGATAATCCACATTTACAGCAGTCTGGCCATCGCCACCACATCCAAGCCATGTGATGGCAGGACTCATCTTGCTGAGCAAGATGTAAATCTGTTTAGGTGTTGGCCAACTGGCCTGGGCGAGGTGCATGTGATGCAAGCAGCATGCTGATCCTGTGCAGTCAGCCCTGTATTACAGCGGATTGGAAATTTAAAAAACAAAAGCAAAACAAAAAAAAAAAATAGTCCTTCACTGCAGAAGTTTGAAAAGCTCTGTAATAAAAAGGCACAAGCCAGCCAGGCGCAGTGGCTCACGCTGGTAATCCCAGCACTTTGGGAGGCCGAGGCGGGTAGATCGCTTGAGGCCAGGAGTTCAAGATCAGCCTGGCCAACACAGTGAAACCCTGTCTCTACTAAAAATACAAAAATTAGCCAGGTGTCGTGGCGGGAGGCTGAGGCAGGAGAATTGCTTGAACCTGGGAAATGGAGGCTGCAGTGAGCCGAGATTATGTCCAGCCTGGGCAACAGAGCAAGACTCTGTCTCAAAAAAAAAAAAAGAAAAGAAAAGAAAAATTAAAAGGCACAAGCACTGTAATCAGACAGGACCAGGTATGAGTCTTTGCTCCACTACTCACCTGACGATGTGGCCTGAACAAGTTCCTTTACTTCTCTGAACCTCCATTCTCTCATCTTTGCAGATATGGATGATGGAGGGTACATCTCTGTTCAATGAGCAGCTTCCTCATGCCATGAAATGGGCAATTTTAATATCTGTTCAATATGAGGGTCAATCACACACTTGAATATGCTTTGGATGTGGTTTGTTCCACAGCTATGTAGAAAAAAAAAGGTAGCTGATTGGGGAAAACAGCTATCCTGCAATAAAACAATGAATGCCCCCAGCACTTTCTCATATTCCAGGTAGAAGATATTTTAGTAACAAATTCAGTGCATCATGGAATGGATATGGATATGATAATCCAGTGGTCACTGCAGGGTCCAGACTTAAACCACATGTGACAATTTACTTTGGGCCATTGTGAAAGCAAAAAATTCTCAACTGCATCCAACAACAGCTAAAGACCTAAGAACAGTTTTTGGGAACTGCTTTAATGACTTACAGTCATAAACAAACCAAAAGAAAAAAAACAAAAAAGAAGATGCCCAGGAGAAGAAGAGGGAAAAAATTGAATTTACATGAAACAGAGAGGTAAACACAGATAACTTCAACTAGCAGGCATAGGGCCCTCCTGGCCACTCTGTAAATGAAAAACAAAAACCTTTTCTCATTATTTTGAAGTCCACCTACAACACACCAAGCACAGTATCTAGCAAAAGCAGACAGCAAATAAAAGTTCCCTTTGGATCCTTCCCATGCTACGTATGCCTGTAAAATTGTGCTTTAATTCTTTCCTCTTTAAGTTAATTCCACTACAGTTTCCTTTCTATCTGTTACAAATGCCATCTGGGTGGAAGCCTAATGATATGTCAGTGTCACCACTTACAATGGTTCAGAAATCTTTCTCACTCTCAATCAGCAACAGTCCCCAAGGACTGCTGGCTAAAAACAGGAAAGCCCAGTAATGCCAAGGCTGATTTATAACATCAGCATCAAGCTCCAGCTCAGGCTCCTTGCACACTTCTGGCTCCTGTTTCACTAGTTGAGTGAGAGGTCACTTGGGTCACGTAGGACCTTACAAGGTTTCTGGGGAGAATAATAGTTTTTCTGTATCCCTTCCTTACAAAAGGCAGCCGATCAGCACTACTGTCTAGACATGCAAAGATATTTTTCATGGACACAAATAGGTTGGTGTTTTGTTTTGTTTTGTTTAAGTGAGAAAGGGATTTACTTTTATTTTAAAGCATGCACACAGCTACAGTAGGCCTTCTGGAAAGCCTTCTTAAAAGAAGATTTGTGTGTCAAGCTCACATTCAGAAATAACAAAGAGTGCAATGAAAGGGATCTGAGGTCCGTGACAGTATTTGACATATTACCTAGGAGACATTGGAGATGGCTTTCATTTTCAGATTCAAGGATTCACCTTTCACACAGGAAATGCAAAAGACCAGACAAAAACCATGTGTTTTTACCCTAATTTTCTGCTTTATATCTCCTTCGCAAATTTTTTTTTTCAACCAGCTCCATACTTCCAATATATACCCAGACGCTGACAAAATCCTAGTTTCCCATCCTCCACAAGGACTGAAACACACACGAAGGCTCCTTGGGAAGGACCAAAGAGTACACACAGAAATTTGGAAATTTCTGCATTCTGTCTCCAGTCCTGACAGCATCTGTCACACAGATTGCCCTGGTGCCATTATTTTAATCACTTTACATGCTGCTTCTACAATCCCGATGATAAAATGGAAAAGTTGTTTTGTTGGAACTTGTGCTGCAAATAGCACAATGACAATGTCAGGAAAAAATCTCTCACAGCATTAACTGGCTCACAAAGATTATTCTTAATACAAGCTGTCCCCAACATATGGACATTATTTTTTAATGCCCCAGACCCATGAGCAGACCCTAAGTAAGTCTGCAACCCCAGACCCTTCGGTGGGGGCAACTGCTCACTTTTCTAAGTCAGAAAAGCTCAAGGAGAGGTAAACTGGAGGTATACTCATGTTCAGACAAATGTCATGCCATCTCTACACAGGCGGAGAAGTGCGAACAGTGAATAGTTGTGGAGTCCAGGTACCTAGATCTAGGCAAGGAGACAGCTCAAACCACCACCACAATCACCTCCAAAGAGGGAACAAGAATTCCTGGCCTCCTAATTTACAACCCAGAATGTATTTTTTTAATAGAAAAACAAGGTTTAAAGAGATTTTCTTATGGCTCTATGAGCTTTATTAGAACTAAACTTTACAAAAGTAATAAATGAATTGAAAAGTGCCTGTATCATTGAAAGTGGAACAAATATGGTACACTGGTTATTTCTTGAGAAGCTGAGTGAAGTCTTCAAAATAAGGAGGGGACAATTTGAGTCACGTAGTGGCAACTGTTTTATTATTTCTATTATAGGAATCATCATGTCAATAAGTTGCTACAATATAGGACTTCAGAAATAAGATTTTTGAGATACCGAAAGCTTACTCTGTATATAAACTTCTACTTAATACATTTTTATATGAGACCCTGATCTTGCATGATGTTCCCAGACAGTGTCTCTGCAGCTTAGATTAATCCTGCTCAATCATTAACCATTCAACCTGGGCAAAGTTACTGAACTTCACTCCTTACCCCTCAATGTTCTTGCTCATCAAATAGTCAGAAATAATATCTTACTAGGAAAATGAATGGGAGAAAAAATAAAATAGAACTCTATTAGCTTTATTCTGCACTCAAATGAGCAAAGAAATTGTAGCTTCAATGTTTCTAAGTGACTGGTTTAGGACAAGAAGGGTGTATTAGTTTCCTGTGGCTGCTCTAACAAGTTACCACATTAAGTTTAGTGGCTTAAAACCATACAAATTGACTCTTACAGTTCTAGGGGTAGGAAATTTAATGTCCAGATGTTGGCAGGGCTGCCTTCCTTCTGGAGGCTTCGGCACGGGGAACAGGAGGCTTTCCATGCCCTTTCCAGCTTCTAGAGGCCACCTGTTTTCCTTTGCTCATGGTCCCTTCTTCATCGTCGAAATGCATCACTCCAATACCTGGTTCCATCATCATCTCTCCGTTTTCTGTTTCTGATATCCAGTCTCCCTCTTATAAGGACTTCTGTGGTAACATAGGGTCCACTGGGATAACATTGGATAATCTCCTCTTTTTCTGCTTCTGATGTCCAGTCCCCCTCTTATGAGGACTTTTGTGATAACATAGGGTCCACTGAGATAACCTAGGATAATCTCCCCATCTCAGGATCCTTGATTTAACCATATCTGCAAAGTCTCATTTTCCATATAAGATAATATAGCCAGAGGCTCTAAGGATTAAGATATTAACATCCATAGGAAGACTTTATTCAGACTATTGGAAAAAGGGAGACCCAACTGTAGAAAAGTCTGGCAAATATTTACTCCTATGCAATAAATTAAACAGTTCCTTTAGGTTCAGTCTTTTTAGACACCATGCTCAGTCACTCAGATTTCTGTTCATCAAGACAGTATCCAGGGCTGGGTATGGTGGCTCACGCCTGTAATCCCAGCACTTTGGGAGGCCAAGACTGGCGGATCATCTGAGGTCAGGAGTCCAAGACCAGCCTGGCCAACATAGCAAAACCCTGGCTCTACTAAAAATACAAAAGTTAGCCGGGCATGGGGGTGGGCACCTGTAATCCCAGCTACTCAGGAGGCTGAGGCAGGAGAATCTCCTGAACTTGGGAGGTGGAGGTGGCAGTGAGCCAAGATCACACCCCTGCACTCCAGCCTGGGTGACAAAGCAAGACTGTCTCAGGAAAAAAATACCCCAAAAACCAACTGTAACCAGGTGTATGGGGAGAGGGAAGAGTGTCTCCATTATGGTGATGTGAGAGATGGAGAATGCAAATCACATGTTGTCCTCTACATCCTAGCTGCCCTCTGCTGCAAAGCAGCTAGTCTGGGTTGCTGCCTGGCCTGGTGACCATGGGAGTGAAACCGGCTAGCTCTACAACCCTAGATATTCCATGGACATCTGTAGCTGATGTCTACAGCTGGTGGCCAGGGCCTTAGAGTGCCACTGGCTGGCCTCCAGTGGTGCCACAGCCAGCTCTGGGTCCATTCTCCACCCAGTTCCTAGCCTAAGCCCACTGCCTCTTAACTCAGCTGCCTTCTGAGACCTCCCTTGGAAGAATTCCAGAACATCTGGCTCCTTCTGCCATCACACAGGAGCTGAGAGAGCCTTGGTGAGTGCCCTGGGGCCCCTTCCACCTGACCTCACCATTTTGTCCTCTTATGTCACTTGGAAGTGTACCCCTTTTAAGCTGGCATGAAGTTACTCACATAGCAGTGTCTGTCCAGAACCCTAAAAAGAAAGTGGGACAAAACTCTCCTCCGCCCTTGGTGTTCCCACCAGCTAAGACGAGCCCCTCTGCCCTCAGTCCTCCCTCTACTTGTACAATTTGGGCCATCAATTCGTTTCCTCCTATAGGGACATGCCACTCCACCCTTCCAGAAATGGGGTCTATTTCCCCGACTTCCCTCAAATCTGGACTGACTCTAGGGCTTCCTTTGACCAACAGGATATGGTGGAAGTAACATGCTGCCACTTTCAAGCTTGGCCTTAAGAAGACTGACAGCTTTATAATTTAAAAGTTTAAAAAAAAAAAAAAAAGAAGACTAACAGCTTCTGCTTTCTTTTCCTTGAAGGCCAGCTACCTGAGGAAGTCCAACTACCCTGAAACCACCATGCTATGAGGGCGCCCAAACCTGCCAGGTAGAAAGGCCACGTGGAGAAGCACTGAGGTACCAGACATGTGAGAAAAGATGTCTTGGACCTTCCAGCCCAGCCCCGGCACCAACTGAACACAGGGACCAGCCAACACCCCATGGAACAGAATTGAACTAGTCAACTCATGGAATCTTAAGAAACAATAAATTGTTGTTATTTTAAGCCACTAAGTTTGGAGTCATTTCTTATACAGCAATAGGTAATTAAAGCAATCAGAAAAATAAAAAACAAACCATATATACATTCAAGTGTTTCCCCCCCAAAACTGGAATCACAGTGACACAGCACAGCAGTAAGACAGACGCAAAACGACTAGAGTAAGCAGCCATTTCAAAAGAATGCCCGCTCATTTGCAAGGGTTTTGTTGTGCTTTGTTTTTTCACTAAATGCCCTCCCTCATTTAATTCATCTGTAGCCAAAGAACCACTTGCACTACTTTTTTCCTTCTCCAATTAGCATGCAAGGATTTCCCTCATGTTAAGAGAATGTGATATGCAAAGTCACTGGACCACTGTCTTGCATAACAAACCAAAGTCTTTTGACATCAGTGAGAAAATTCCTCAAGAATGCAAAGAACATAATGCCGATTGTTAAGTGTGAAATTCCAGGGTATTAACCCTTTGAGAGATGCTGTCTTGTTCAGTTTTATTTTGGGTTGATCAAAAGGACCGTGAAACTAGATTGGAACATTATGCACCAGACTCCACTGCCTACTTGAAAAAGAATTATACTTGGAACTTGATCTTTTTAAGATCTCCCATATGTCCTGTATTTTAACAATCAGGTTTTAAAACAGGAAGGATCGTTGCCATTGAAAAATGGTGTCCAGCCAAGTAAGCCTCATAATTCAAAGTAAAAATCTCAAACTATAGCTGTCATTCAGGCCTTAATGTTTACCTTAGGAAATGTTTTTAAATGAAAAATTGATGGCAAAGCTTTGCCCAAATGATGCTATTCCCAACAAGGATAGAGACCCATGGATTTACTTGCTAGGACAATTTATTGAGAAAGTTGTCAGGGATGAGAAAAATGAGAGAATAATTCAGACAGGAAGGTACAGCCTATTTGTTTTTCTAGCTTCTATCTTTACCCTTACTTCTCAGTACTAACCCTCCTGTTAGGGATGCAGATCAGGGGCCACCTGTCCACAGAATCTGACGTTATACGTAAAGAGTTACACAAAGGACAGGCTTCCAGGTCTCTAAAGTTCTCTGTTAGGAATCAAGAGCAGCAACACACTCATATTTTAAAGTCATCCAGAAAAGAAGTTTAGACTGTACAAAAAGTCAACAATACACCCTGTTATTTTTAGCTGCCACAATTAATCCACTCAGACAGTGTTCACACAACACGCATCAGCCAGCAATATAACCTCCCTATTTTAAACCCAAATTTATCTGTACTATAGAGCTGAGTGGGGAAAAACAGCAATTTTGAAATCAAACAATCACGGATTTAAATTCCAGTGCTAATCTTACTAAGTATACTGCCTTGGACAAATTATTTAACATCCTAGCCTAAATTTCTTCACCTGCAATGTGCAAGTAATAGTCATAGCTGCCTTACAGAGTGGAGAGAAGATTAATTATGATTTCATAGAAAAAAGAAAACTTCAATTAGGAACTAGGCACAGAATCATTATTCAATTGGTGTTAGTCATTATTATTAAAATTATCAAAGTTTTTGTTTTCTTCTCCTATAGTATGAACACCAATCCCCTCAGCCCTTAATCATCCATTGCTGGCTGAAGTAATCACCCAAAACTCATAATAGCACAAGAAAAGATTTATAACTTAAAAAGTGTAGAGGATTCAGTCTATATGTAATGTAACAGATGATGGGTGAGGGAAAATGTGAGTAGAGAAGAAAACATACACATATCATAATAAAATAAGATCTTTGCGAAGTCAACTGTGACTCCAAGAGAATGCAGTCTGTATTTATTTTCTTGGAAAGTTAATGGAAAACTAATTCAGCTAGATGCCTTTTACCTCCTTGATGTAGTCCCATGAGATAAAATGTAATGAAGTTCTTTAAAAACCAGTAAGCACTGTGCCAATAGGGAATATTTATTGGGTGCTTGTTACATGTCAGACACTGTTGGCATTTTATATAAACCATATACTTAACCCTCACAACAAGCCACTGAAACAGTTCTTATGCTCTTCATATGACTGGGAAGGAAGCTGAGAATTAAAGAGATAAAGCAATCTGCCCAAAGTTCTACAGGTAAGAAGGGGCTGGCCAAGATTCCAACTCTATGTCTATAGATCCTCAAAATCTGCTCTTTCCACCAAGCAGGGGGAGGTGGTATGTCTCAAAGCTTTGACCCTTCCTCTGAATTTTGCAGAGAAGAAGGGAAACAGATTACATAATCATTTTTCATTTCATGTCTAGACTCTAGGACACAACCCATAACCCACTAGGAAGCAGACAAGAAGCATGGGGCTGTGAGCCCAACACTGGAAATGCATCTGAGGAGGATGGAGAAATAACAGTCTGAACATTCAGTTGCAGTTTAGAAGGTCAGCACCAACTTCTGACAGATGTCTGCTATTTTAAATGACAAACTTGCTTGTGCATTGTGCAGAATTGCTACACTTTCCGTCATGAAGCCATAATGCTGGTTTATTTCCAATTTCAGCACTGAAAGACACATAGAAAAAAAAAACAAAACAGAAAACCAACTGGCTTTCAATGGAATTCTGTCTGAGATTTAAGCCAGCATGTAATAAAAAAGTTATTCTCCTTAGGCACATTCAATTTTTAGACTGCTAAAGCATGGCAAAACCACAAAAATGATGTCTTTCACATATAAAGATTCAAGAAAGGACCCAAACATTATGTAAAATTAAGTAAAGCCAATTTTTCTTCATCATATTTAAGTTCTGAAGATTATTTAGTAGCTATTTGTAACTTTTGGAACATACTTACAAAAACTGGAGAAATGAAACAACAAAGGAAACATTCCTAATCTTTTAAAATACAGAGATGGGGGCAGGGTGCCCGATGGCTCAAGCCTGTAATCCCAGCACTTTGGGAGGCCGAGGCAGACAGATCTTGAGGTCAGGAGATCGAGACCATCCTAGCCAACGTGGTGAAACTCCATCTCAACTAAAAATACGAAAATTAGCCGGGCGTAGTGGCACGTGCCTGTAGTCCCAGCTACTCGGAAGGCTGAGGCAAGAGAATCGCTTGAACCTCTGGAGGCAGAGATTGTGGTGAGCCAAGATCGCACCACTGCACTCCAGCTTGGGCAACAGAGCAAGACTCTGTCTCAAAAAATAAATAGATAAATATAATAAAATACAGAAATGGTTTTAAAAACATCTTAGCTTCATCACCATCATTTTGAAATTCCTATATAAAGCTATTTCCCCCAAAAAATATAATTTCTCTAGAATTAGAATACACTCCATTCATCTTTGTGCCCCTAGACTCTATTATGGTATTTGACTTACGTAACGTCTATACTGTATTAGGAATTTAGTGCTGTTCACCAAATATTTCCAATTCTCCTTCCTCCAAGAACATTATAGGATTGTGTTTCCCTGCCCATCCATGTGAAGTTAGGCATGGCCATTTGACTTGCCTTTCATTGACTGGCCAATGAATATGAGCAGAAGTAATATTACTTCTAAGCCAAATCCCACAAGACAGTGTGCATGATTCACCATGTTTCCTTTCCTTCCCTTGTAACTGGTGACAGGGGGATATCTATCAACGTGCATCTACATGAAGGCCTACATGAAGGCCAGCCCTCCATGGATATGTAGCATAGCCAATAAAGAAAATGGTGTTTCTTTAAGCAACTGAGACTTGGGTATCATTTGTTACTGCAGCATCATCTAACACATCCTGTCTGATAAAAACACTGAATGAAAATTTAATGAAGAAAAATCAAGAAAGGCAAACTGGAAAAATATAAGTGCCATGACCACTTCTGCGGACCTCACCATCCTTTTTCCATAATTCTTTATAGGTTCAAATCTGAGAATACTGTGCTTACCACAGCCTGATACAAACGCTAATATAAACCAAGTTGAATATTTGTTTGAACAGAGCATCATGCTGCCAAATGCCATTGTTGTCGCCAGCACCTCTCAAAGATACTCAAATCTGTAGAGAACAGTCTGTTCACATAGCTTATGCCAGAATAATAAGTATGTTCCTCAGAAATGAGTACCCTTCACTCGGTGGCTATGGCTAAACGCAAGTGAATTTATATTTAAAAAAACCCATGGGTCAGAGCACTAGAAGCACAAATAAGAAAAAGAAAAAAAATGCTGCTTTGTAGAATAAGACTACTTAAAGAGCCCAAGGGAAAAAATGAGAATAAAGCAAACCAAAAAACAAAAACATACGCATTAAAAAATGGTGCACAGATGGACTGTAATATCAAAAATCTGCTATCAAGTTGGGAGGAGGAATTCAGCACAGCCACTCAAGCACCACTCTCCCTCGGCTGGAACTCATCTGGAGGATTTGCACCTGCTATTTACGTTGCTGCATGCCACTTTCTTCCTTCCCAAGAAGAGATTTCAAACAAGGAGGCCCTTTCACAGGCAACTTCGAAAGAGTAACAGTCAGAAAAAAAGTAAGAAGGGGAATCAAATGCTTGAGATGGGAAAGGAAGAAATCACAGAAGAAACCATGGAAGACTTCAGGCAGCAGTGAGCGACTGTCTTCACACAGCAACTCAACCCCATGCCTCTCAGCCCTGGCTTTGCCATTAGCGATGCTCTCTCTTCTCACTCACTGCCAGGAAATGACTTAGATACCAAGTGTCAGCTCTTTCATCTTTCCTCAATCCAACCTGAAATCTCAGTCTGGCTTCTGCTCACAGCACTCCACTAAAAATGGAAACCAGTCTGTGCATTTCTGGGGCTGGGACACATAACAGAATATCGAGCCAGCCAAGTGTCACCTTTTACCGATAGGGAGATAAATTGGCTTGCTTAAAGCCACATTCTGAATAGTTAGAAGTTACTTAAGAACTCCAAATGGCCAAATGCATAGTCTATCATTTAATCCCCAATTTACTTGCTTTCTCTGCCACTCCCTATCAGCTCTTCTCATTTGAAATTGCCCCCTCCCTTCAAGGGCTTAACACTAATCTCTTCTGACATTATCTCATCTCTATTTCCTTTTCATGTGTTTTAAAAACACTTGCACAGCACTTATTATGTAGTGCTTTAGAGATATTAACTTATTTAATCATGATAGCACGGAGGAGGTACTACTATTATTACCATTATACAGATGAGGGACAGTGAGGTTAAGTGATATAACCAAGGTCCACAGCTAGTAAGAGGCAGATGATTTGAAACCAAACCAACTGGCCTCAGAGTTCATGTTCTTTACCACGACCTCATACTGTCTCTAGCTAATGCTGCATCCCTCTCTCTCTCCAAAAGATGAGAAAGTCGACACCCCTCCTTTGAACAGATCATCTTTGAGGATTTCAATTTCAGAGCAATCTGTTAAGCTGTTAAGACCACCCAAGGAAAACTGCTTATTATTCTCCAGCACACATTTCAGAGAATTTTTTTTTTATTGCTGAATACACAGAGGTAAAAAGGAACCAGTAAATTCTTCTTCTTTTTTTTTTTTTTTCCAAATAGATGCACCATTTTGTAGGTAAACAAGGTGAGGAAATAGAACTAAGCTCTAAGGACTAGACAATGTGGTATGAGTTAAAGCAAAACTTTAGCTGAATCCGTCAGGAATGATTGATTGAATTTAACTAGGGAACTCATGTGTTTGTACAATCTAAAGAAGGAAGACGTCCTGTTTTGGTAAGATAACCTTAAGTCTGGCTTCTGTTTTATTTTTGTTATGTATTTTTGTAATTTGGGGTTTGAATAAGCAAGAGTGCAAAGGTCTCCTGGCAAAAGCTCCTTTGTTAAAATCCAGAAAAACAAACAATCAACATTGATGTTTTGGAACAGGCCACAGCTGTCCGGCTTTCAAACATGTTACCTTCCACTTCTTTAAGGAAATGAACACACAAAGGCTTTCAGAACTGTCTGGCCCAGCGGAGGTCACTGCTCGGAACCAAGTGATTTCTTGCCTAAGACAGGGAGAGGGCAGTAGGATAGGAGGGAGGAAATGGCCCCGAAGACTGTACATACAAAAGTGCCCATTCTTTTGACCCTCAGGCCGAAGGAAAACAAAAATCCATCATTTGTGAGCTTGGCAAAGGAAGCTTTACTTTGAAGATAAATTTTATGGGGTACTTAAAACACATGATATGGCCTTCCTTGGAGTCAGAAGAAGTGAGTAGTTCACTGCAGGCAGGCCCTATGCAGTTCAGAGTGGAGAGAGGGAAGGGGTGGGAAGGACAATGAAAGTAACTCAAAGAAATTAAAAGATCTCAAGCCATCAAAACATCCTCTCCAAATTTTGCAAGAAATGTTTATATGTAAAATAACTTAAGTCCTGCCACTTTCTCTGACCACCAAATAGAATCAGGAGGTGCCAATGATCAATCATTCTTTGATTGACCCAACATGAATTGTATGTCTCTTTCTGTGCCCAGGAATTGTGTGAGGCACTGGAGGTAGAGACTAATAATGCCACCTCTCCATCCATGGCCTCAAAGAGTTATGAGTTAACTGGAATTTCACTGAATACATCAAACATATATTATTTTCATATACCAAGTAGAAATGAGTATGTTTTTTACTTAGTATCTTACTTGTAATGGTTATTTTAGGTGAAAGGAAAACCCACGTCAACTGTAAACATGAGAGCCTAGATTTTTCCACTAATTTCAGCAAGGCTGAAGAAGTTTGTTTACAAAGACCTGTCAAACACACTCGGGAATGGGTGGCTCTTTTGAGCAATAATGTTTCCGTGCCAACTCTTAAGTTTAAAAGGGAGAGTCCCTGGTAGGAAATGACAATGCTGTGTGGAAACAACAGCAGTATATATTGGACTCTTTACACCCAGAGGACAATCATTTCCAAATCTATCTTCAAATATGAAAGGCAGTAATATGTAGAGAACCTTCAAAGGACTGAGTTATCTGAATTACTCTAAGCATATAATATTTCTAAAGTAAAATTGCCAGGATAAAGTCATGATTCCTAAATTTAACTAAAGTCTCCTGTGAAATGTCTATACTGTTACAAACATCTATTACTATCATAAAGAAAGATGTAGAAAAACACTTCTCATATACAGACCATGAAAAGAACTAAGAATCACCTGGAATCTTACAAGAATCTTTTCACGGGCCGGGCGCAGTGGCTCACGCCTGTAATCCCAGCACTTTGGGAGGCCGAGGCGGGCGGATCACGAGGTCAGGAGATCGAGACCATCCCGGCTAAAACGGTGAAACCCCGTCTCTACTAAAAATACAAAAAATTAGCCGGGCGTAGTGGCGGGCGCCTGTAGTCCCAGCTACTTGGGAGGCTGAGGCAGGAGAATGGCGTGAACCCGGGAGGCGGAACTTGCAGTGAGCCGAGATCCCGCCACTGCACTCCAGCCTGGGCGACAGAGCGAGACTCCGTCTCAAAAAAAAAAAAAAAAAAAAAAGAATCTTTTCACTCTCTCAGATTTCATAGTTAGCATCCTTAGTTTCAAATCAAAACCACTCACATGCATATAAATGTTCCTTAAAACAGCAGCACCTCAGACATCCAACTCTCAGCTGCCCAGCAACCCAAGTCCTCTAAGACAGCCATGAAACTAGAAGTTTAAGTGTCTGCATATGTGGGCAGAATCCCAAACAGAAAAGCCTCCAACAGGAAGAGGGAAGAAATGTGTTTGTCAGGAAACTGTTTTCAGAGATTGGCAACTGATTGTAAACAACTAAAAGTGAACACAATTGATTAAAAAGAAGCAGGTAGCAGAGGCAGCAGGCAAAAGAAAAGAGATGGGGTGGTAAGAAAGAGACCACCCAGGCCAGGTGGGTGTGGTGGCTCACACCTGTAATCCCAGAACTTAGGGAGGCTGAGGCCAGCAGATAACCCGAGGTCAGGAGTTCGAGACCAGCCTGGCCAACATGGCGAAACCCTGTCTCTACTGAAAATACAAAAATTAGCCAGGTGTGGTGGTGCACACCTGTAGTCTCAGCTACCTGGGAGGCTGAGGTGGGAGAATCGCTTGAACCCGGGAGGCGGGGGTTGCAGTGGGCAGAGATCATGCCACTGCATTCCAGCCTGGGCAACAGAGTGAGACTCCGTCTTTAAAAAAGAAAAACTGCCTGAGAATACTGAAAAGCAAGGGTGGAAACCAAGACCAAGAGAAGAGGATTAAGGAAGAAATAGATGAGACAGGATCAGTTCATGGGATCAAGACCCTTCCCAGACATGAAGCCATTAGAAGTCATTCTCTCTCTGTATTAAAACAAGCAAATTACTTTTTACATCTGTTCCATGTTTAAAATCTTTTTAAACGTTCAGAAGGAAAACAGATATGCCCTTCTTAGTTTAAGAACCAATTTGTATCAGGCCAAACCCCAGGTTGTTAAAAGCAATGAACGATGTCACACTCTTCAAGCACTGATAAAGGAGGAGATGGACCAGGGAAGTGACTGAGGAATCTGGTGGCCGAGAGGAATATTTTTACAATTGAGAGACAAGGCTAATCAGGATCTAAAACAGACACCCAGAAGGAAGACCAAAGACGATTTTCCTTCTGATTTTCTCTTTGCTGCAGAGCCTAAAAGAAGTACAGGTTTCCTGCAGGAAACAGAAGATGAATGATACCAATAGCTGCTGTCTGGCCCAGGGGAATCCAATATTTTTAAGGCAGACTGGGCAACAGCTAACAGCAACATAAGCAGGAAATAGTTCCAAAAAGCCACTATGGTCTACAATTCCAAAACCCCAAGTTCTGAAACCCAAAAGTATGCAAGCTTGGTGAAAACTCAATTAGTGACAAAACCTGACCTGAACTGACTTGCAGCTGCATTGTCTTTATTTATTCAATGTGAACATTCATAAGTTTCATTACAAAACAAAAAAAAATGATATGTTTGGATATGGGTGCTGCTACTGAAGAAGTTACATAATACATGCTATCTGCACTGTATAAACTTTTTTAAATCTGGAAAATTCTGATATATGAAAGGCGTTTGGCCCCAAGAGTTTCAGATAAGGGTCCACGGGTTTGTAAGAATCCATGGTAAGATTACTTTAAGCAGCCAATAAGAATCTGTGAAAACAGCTTTTAACTGTAATTCAGGTGGTTTCATTCCACTGACTTCTAACACTCACTATATGCTTGGTGCTGGGCTATGTACTAATGTGTTTATTTCCAAACGGTCTCAATTTACTTTTGCTGTATATATAAAACAAGATCAGAAGACAGAATCATGATCACTGCTTGAATCATTAGCAGAGTTCCATGTTCACAGGGAGAGAAAGAGAGAGGGAGAGAAGGAGGGAGGGAGAGAGGGAAAGAGGGAGCCCTACGTCACATGTATAAGGCTAGTACGCATGGTAAAAAGAAAATAAAAAGTTTAATTAAAAAGTCTGAGTCAATCATATCAAAATGAGAGAAAGAAAAGGCAGGAAGGAGGGAATCACACTAATGATGGTATGCCAGTATCCTATCCTTGTTATTCTGATGCTCAGAACATCACTCATGGGCAAAGAGTAACTCATTGACTGGCCCTGGCAGCCTGAAACACCACTGAGATGCCCTATGCTACTTCACAGTTATCCCCAACCCACCTTTCCCTTCTCTCCACCAAGCCACTCCAATCTTTCCCATATTAAACACTTACTTTCCCCCAAACTCCACACCTTTATAGCACTTTCACCGAAAATTTAACTTCTCAATTCTCAGCCCTCACCCAAGAATTCTCCCAGATTGGGATAATCACAGACACCAGAATATTTTGATGTATTTTGAACATATAGAATGTATCTGCTTAGAGGACTTTTGGTCCCACCCTCACTCTCCCCCAGGCTATAGGCTTGGAGAAGGCAGGAGCTTGAGACCTGTTTGCTTGTATCAAAACAAGCCCACAACTGACCCATTTCTTTGCCTCTCCCAATAGACCACCACCATAGCTTCTCACCTCCCCTCCCATTTCCACTCTCAAATCCATCTGCTAGCAGTCTCAGAGCTCTGCAGGATTCCTTTTTTTTTTTTAACCCCAAGACAACATATTTGTATTTAATGCAAATTACTTTTTGCTCATTTGCAAAATTCATTTTAACAGCCTCTTGATCATGTTGGTGTGCATACCACCCAAAACTCTTTCCCAGACTTCATGAAATTCAAATCTTTCCATTTGTGGATAGCTGTAGTCAAAGCCAAAAGGCTTTCCCTGAAAAGATTACTTGGAAAGAAAAGTTATAGCTTCAAGCCAGAACATAAGTTTGCGGCTTTCTTTACTTCTCCATATCATACGGAGGGTGTCTGACGCTGATGTTTATCAAGCACCCCATGAATGTTAGCCTTCACAGTAGTCCCCTCAGAAGGGCATTCATTGATTTCATTGTGGCTGCTGCTGGGTAACAGAACTCCATTTTAAATCCCCAGGCTGGGTACGGTGGCTCACACTTGTAATTCCAGCACTTTGGGAGGCCAAGGCGGAGGATCACTTGAACCCAGGAGATCAAGACCAGCCTAAGCAACATAGCGAAACCCCATCTCTACAGAAAATTGAAAACATTAGCTGGGTGTGGTGGCACACACCTGCAATCCCAGCTCCTCAGGAGGCTGAAGCAGGAGGATTACTTGAGTCCAGGAGGTCAAGGCGGCAGTGAGCCATGATTGTGTCACTGCCCTGCAGCCTGGGTGACAGAGCAAGACCCTTTATCAAAGAAAAAATAAAAAAGGAAAGAAAGAAAAAAGAAATGTCCGTATCTGCTAGAGCCACACAGGAAAACCACAATCTGGCCACACAAGCTAAACAGCTTTTTAGTCCCAAATTGATTATATACCATTTTCTTGCACTACCTTTGAAGCTGCTTTCTATATCTGAAGAAGGAAAAAGGTATCAAGTAATGTCTACATTTTTACTAAATTGAGGCTGAAGTAAATTTTTTCTTTTAAAAAAATTAATATTAACCTTTAAAGCATATTTAAAATAAGGTGATACCATACCTGGCCTGGCACGGTGGCTCACACCTGTAATCCCAGCACTTTGGGAGGCCGAGGCAGGCAGATCACTTCAGATCAGAAGCTCAAGACCAGCCTGGGCAATGCCGTGAAACCTCGTCACTACTAAAAATTCAAAAATTAGCTGGGCATGGTGATGCGCGCCTATAATCCAAGCTACTTGGGAGGCTGAGGCACAAGAATCGCTTGAACCTGGGAGGTGGAGGTTGCAGTGAGCCGAGATCACTCATTTATCTCAAAAAAATAAATAAATAAAATAAGGTGATACCCATTGTTAAGGTAATTTCCAAAGAGAAGTTTCAGGTATATTTGACGAATGACAGCACCATTGAGAAAAGTCTCTAATCTCTCTCACTCTCTGTTGTTTGTTTATTTGTTTCTTTGCTTGTTTTGAGACAGAGCCTCGCTCTGTCACCCAGGCTGGAGTGCAGTGGTGTGATCCCAGCTCACTGCAACCTTTGCCTTCCAGGTTCAAGCAATTCTCATGCCTCAGCCTCCCAAGTAGCTGGGATTACAGGTGCATGCCACCACACCTGGCTAATTTCTGTATTTTTAGTAGAGACGAGGTTTCACCATGTTGGCCAGGCTGATCTCAAACTCCTAGGCTCAAGTGATCCACCCATCTCACCCTCCCAAAGTGCTGGGATTACAGGTGTGAGCTATCATGCCTGGCCTCTAATCTCATTGTGATATCTGAATTGCTAATTCATCTTTTTAATCGTATTCTTTTATAGTTTTGCCTCACAGGACAGTTCATTTAATTTTAATATTGGAAATAACACTTTCAGTCTTATGCTTTTTACATTGCTTATAAAATTAGGATCCAGAAATGAAAAGACCAATGGCATACTAAAAATATCAACCAAAGTAACATCAGGTCATTGCAAAACAACTGCAATATACCTCAGTTTCCCCATATGTAAAGGAGAGATAACAGTACCACTACTTCAAATAGTGTGTGATTCTATTACTAGGATCCTAAATATCTTCCTATGCTTCTTTCTGAGTTTATGTTTTAAAATCATAACCAATAACTGTTAAACATAAGAAAAAGTAGGAAGATTACTAGACTTAGAATCAGACTTGTGTTTGAGTCTCAACTCTGCAAATCTGCTCACCTGAATCAGCGATCTGACCTCTTAAGTCTCTCTCTCCCCGCCATTTAAGTCTTGGTTCACACCCAGGTATGACTCTAAGGAGCTTACATAGAGTAACTCACTTCTCACAGCACTCCTATGAGGTGGGCACAATGATCTCCACTTTACCATAAGGAACCAAGTCACAGAGTAGGTAAATATGTTAACCAGGATCTCACTGCTAGTGGTAGAACCTGGATCCAACCCCGTGGAAGTCTAGCTTCAGAATATCAATACCCCTTAACCAGTATGCCACACTACTTGGGGATACGATTCTTGGGGCCGGCCCTAACAACCCCCAAGGTTGCAGTAAGGCCCAAAGATCCAGGTCAAGGTGTACACGCTATACAAACTCAAGCGTTAGTTACAAATGTGTTACTTGAGTAAGCCTTGTATGCACCTTTTTGAAGCAGAGCCTACAACAATTACCAACTAGTAAGAAGAAATTCAAATTGGCCCACATACAGTAAAATGTGCTTTCTCCAGCGTTCTTGCAATGAGGAATCTCTATCATCAAGCTCTTGGCAGCCACAAGGTAACACCTGCCATCAAATTTCCAGGCCAAAGCCATCTCTTCCATGCTCTGCAGAGCAGAACTCGAGAATTTCAGTGGAGGACCTGCCAAGCATGTGAGCATATCTCAAGGGCCTCCGGAGGCCAGCACGTTGGCCCTGCCTTCAGAGGTCCCTGCATCTCACCTCCTTGGGGAGGAGGAATCGGGTTAAGTCAACCTAAGGCGTGGTTCATATTGGGAAGTCCTATGTCCAACTCATCCATCAAATAACCAAGCTCCAGCCAACTCCTGAAATAAAGTTGGCAAATAAAGGAACATAATTAACCCCACTGGTAATCTCAAGAGGCAGGGCTATATTCTGGCATCATCTTGTCTGGTCCTACACCCTGAATCCAAGGCATGGCTCTGATAGATCTTTTATTCTGACCTCTATATCTGGCAGATTTTTATACAGATGATATGATGAATACTTCAACAGGCATGAAAAATGGGGGTGGGAACCTTTTTAAGTTCTACTATTATAATTCAAGGCTATTAAGTACCAAAGCACTATTCTGGGCATTTTGGCATGTTACCTCAGTTAATCCCAATCATCCTGTGAGGTAGGTATTACCATCCTGCCCCACCTGCCACCACTGACACACGGAAAATGGAAGCCCTCAGGTCTGGCTGACAGTATTTCCCATAGTTTCTCAACATTCAGGTCTCAGCTGAAGGGCCAGCTCCACAGAGAAGCTTGCCTAGAGCACCCAATTAAGAGTAGAAGGCCCCCCTCATCCACATTTATCAGCCCCTCTATCACATTACCTTGTTTAGTTTTATTCATAGCACTTAATATTTCTGAAGTTCTTATTTAGTATGTATTATCTGTTTATCTGCACCAAAATGTCAGTTTCTTGAGGGCAAGGAAACTTTTCCATCTGGTTCGAAGTTATATCCTCAATGCTGATAATAATACCTGTCAGAATGGCATGGGAGGGAGGGAGGAAGAGAGGGAGGGAAGAGGGAAGGGAAGAAAGGAGGAAGGCAGAGAGGAAGAAAGGAAGGAGAGGAGGGAAAAGGGCAGGAAGGAAGAAAAGAAGGAGGGGAGGAAGAAAGGAAGGAGGAAGGAAGGAAGGAAGGAAGGAAGGAAGGAAGGAAGGAGGAAGGAAGGAAGGAAGGAAGGAAGGAAGGAGGAAGAAAGGAAGGAGGAAGGAAGGAAGGAAGGAAGGAAGGAAGGACGGAAGGAAGGAAGGAAGGAAGGAAGGAAGGAAGGAAGGAAGGGGAAAGGAAAGGAAGAAAATGTAGGCTCTTCCATAAGCTTCACAAGGAGAAAGGGTTATTGTAGGCATTAAAAAAAACTTAATGACTTGGCCGGGTATGGTGGCTCACGCTTGTAATCCCAGCACTTTGGGAGGCCGAGGTGGGCGGATCACAAACTCCTGTTTGAGACCAGCCTGGCCAACACAGTGAAACCCCGTCTCTACTAAAAATACAAAAATTAGCAGGATGTGGTGGTGGGCATCTGTGTTCCCAGCTACTCGGGAGGCTGAGGCAGGAGAATCTGTGGAACCCGGGAGGCGAAGGTTGCAGTGAGCTGAGATTGTGCCACTGCACTCCAGCCTGGGCAACAGAGCTAGACTCCGTCTCAAAATAATAAAATTAAATAAAATAAAATGAAATAAAATAAAATAAAATAAAATAAAATAAAATAAAATAAAACAAAACGTAGTGACTTAGAAATGTAAAATTCTGAGACACTTTACTGAGGCAGATTGTGAAGTGACTGGAAATTCAGAAGTGAAATAAGCCCTCTACCTTTCTGAAAGAATTTTAACACAATCCTTTGTGAAATGTGGATGACTTAAGATTCCAGCATCATTCCACATTTCAAATACCTATGTTTTATCACTGCTAACACTCATATCCTATGGAGATCAAAATATATGTTTGTTCTCTAGTTGAGAACAATAAACAATTGCTTGTTTGTTCATCTTCATACTGTTTCCTCCCCAACACAGTTTCTCTCTCTCTCTCTCTCTATCTCTCACCGTGTCAGCCCTTTAAAAGCCTGAGTTAACAGAGTTTCATGGTCACAAGCAGCATTCTAAAATTGGAATTTGGCTGCCTAACCACACACTAGCCCTGGAATTCTGCAAACGTCTGGGCCAGTGAGTGTGAGAAAGTTCTGTGGTAACAACAGTTTCTGAGGCAACAATCAGAGTTGGAATCCCACAGGCAACAAGGCGCAGGTGCCGGGCACGGAGGCTTGTCAACCAGACTGCAGGAGCGGCAGCCTGCTTCTCTCGGCACAGCTCTTGGCTGTGGGTGTTGAAGGCCTGGTGACTTCACTGGCACATAAACACTTAGTGATGGACTCCCAACGCAAACCTGGACTTTTTTATAGTCCTGTACATGCATGTGGCTGACCAAGATTCCTGTGCCAGATGCTTAAATAGCTGCTCACCCAGGTTGAGTCCCTCCCTCTTCACACCAGGTGAATGGAGAAAAACGCAGATGTAATTAAAATTTACAACTTCCATACAATCTAGAATAGAGTCTTTTGTTATATTAAATTTTTGAAAGTCAGAGAATTTGTTCCCTTATGGAAAGAGGCATTTCTGGCTGGAAAGCTGTAGTCTTTTTTACAGTCACTGAGATTTAATACTACATGACTTATTCGCTAAAACTTCACCTATCCTCACAAATATGATAAATGAAAGTCAAATGCAAGTGAATTGCTGAGACCCAGAAAACAAGAAAAGTAGTGGGTAGGGGCAGCTCTCTTTTGTTTCAAATGCACTATTTTAGCTCGAATTAAACAACTTTCATTGCCAAAATGACAAATAATTACATTAACATTTCAGTTATGTTAACATTTCATTTCTTGGCTACTTCTTTTTAAGAAAATGGATAGTTCCAAAGTGAATGATCATTTATTGCTTTATTTCATTAAATATAAAATAATACATGCTCATTGTAAAAAAAATTTTTCAAACCAAATTTTAAAATACCCTCTAGAGGCTGGGCACAGTGGCTTACAACTGTAATCCCAGCATTTTGGGAGGCTGAGGTGGGCGGCTCTATTGAACCCAGGAGTTCAAGACCAGCCTGGGCAACATGGTGAAACCACATCTCTACAGAAAAATACAAAAGTATTAGCCAGGCATGGTGGCACGTGCCTGTAGTCCCAGCTATTTGGGAGGCTGAGGTGGGAGGATCACTTGAGCCCAGGAGGTGGAGATTGCAGTGAGCCAAAATCACACCACTGCACTCCAGCCTGGGCAACAGAGCAACACTGACTCCCTGTAGAAAGAAACTCCCTCAGAAATCTAGTCTCCAGAGATAACGACTACTAATTCTTGGATGGATCGCCTATCAGGGTTGTTTTTCCTATGCTTAATAAATGGCTCTTCAGCTTGCTTCTGATTGATGCCCAAAACAGCGCACCTCTTCCTGTGCCAGTCACACAGTTTCTACTTCATCTGTAAACTGAGGACTCTGGATCTGGATTTCAAAGGGGTGTTGTAAAGATTAAATGAGATATTTGTTCAATGCTTAGAACAGGGCCTGGTGCATGCAGGAAAACAGGCTGTTTTCACCCGGAGTGACTCGATCTTGAAACAAAACCTCTGTGATGACCAATGTGTTCCCATATCATAGATAACCCCTCACAAAGAAACAATGCCTATAGCATAGATAACCCCTCACAAAGAAACAATGCCTATAGCATAGATAACCCCTCACAAAGAAGCAATGCCTATAGCACAGATAACCCCTCATAAAGATGGGTATCTAACCTCCCCAAAAGTCACAAATTTCACAAAAAAGTCTTAGAAATGACCAGTTGCACATGTCTTTGCCCTAAAAGCTTGCTATGTAAAGATATTTTTTGCAGGCCAAGTGCAGGGATCCACCATCTCTCAGCTGCCGGAGACACTGGTTCTATTTGTAAGTCCCTATTTCTTTCTGAGAAACTAGGTTTGTCAGCTTCTTTCTTTGGCCTGTCAGCTCCCTTGGCCTTTGGGGATAGGTTTGCCTAGACCAGTTCATTCACAGTAGAACAGCACATAATTTAAACATTCAGTAAATATTATCAGCTGCCTAATACTATATTGTGTGTGTGTAGCATCAGTGATTTAACAAATAACCTAGTGATAAAATTTTCTTTTTTTTTTTTTTGTTTTTGAGATGGAATCTTAGTTTGTTGCCCAGGCTGGAGTGCAGTGGCATGATCTCGACTCACTGCAACCTCCAATTCCTAGATTCAAGAGATTCTCATGCCTCAGCCTCCTGAGCAGCTGGGATTACAGGCGCCCGCTACCACACCCAGCTAATTTTTTTTTTTGTATTTTTAGTAGAGATGAGGTTTCACCATGTTGGCCAGGCTGGTCTCAAATTCCTGACCTCAAGTGATCCACCCACCTCAGCCTCCCAAAGTGCTGGGATTACAAGCGTGAGCCACAGAAAATATCAGTTGTTTCCAGTTCTCACTATTATGAAGCATACCAGGGTAAATATTATAGCTTGGGTTTCAATATTATTGTTATTATCGTGACCAGGTTTTAAAATCTTCTATTGCCTGGCATTTTGAAATTACAGAAACTATTTACATTTATTCATTTGAGCTCACATTAGCTATTTGCAGGAGACAAATCAGGTGTGAGGTTCATTGGGTTTCAGAGTAAATAAATTGCCCAAAACCACCCAGCAAAGTAAGCCTACAGCCACACCTTGACGCTGGTCACACAATCACTCAACAAATCTTTACTAAGTCAGTACTCAGCGCCAGCCTGAGTACTATACATAAAATACCCTCAAAGAACTCACAGTTTAATCGGTGGGCAAGTTATTCCTTTTTTTTTTTTCGAGACGGAGTCTCACTCTCTCACCCAGGCTGGAGTGCAATGGCGTGATCTTGGCTCACTGCAACCTCCACCTCCCGGGTTCAAGCGATTCTCCTGCCTCAGCCTCCTGAATAGCTGGGATTACAGGCGCGTGCCACCATGCCCAGCTATTTTTTTTTATTTTTAGTAGACACGGGGTTTCACCGTGTTGGTCAGGCTGGCCTCTAACTCCTGACCTCGCGATCTGCCTGCCCTGACCTCCCAAAGTGCTGGGATTACAGGCGTGAGCCACCGCGCTGTGTTCCCAGCATAATAATGGACATGTACACAAATAGCAGTACCAGACACATAGATAAAGGACAATAGCTAACCAAGGTCACAGAAGCATCACAGAGCTGGTGATGCTTCCAAAACCTGTCTCCTAAAGCAGACGACAGCTGTATGGGCAAGGCTGGGTTTCAGACTCCTGGGCCTCTCCTTTTTCTCCTGCAGCATGCTGCTTCAAAACCTCAAATAATTTAGATTATTTGTTCCAGCATGGAAATCATATACATATTATTGCCATAAAATTTCTCTTCAAGGAGGGGAGGGGGCAAGAGAGGGGATGGAAAGTTTAAAGAATTTTATTTTATCTATTTATCTAGATGGTTTTAAAAATCCATTATCAGGTCACCTCCCAATAATACATCTTCAGGACACACTACTGACATTCTCCACATGGCTTTCAGGAGCGAAAGGACAAAAGTTAATATGTTCTACAATATCAACATCAAAACAACAACAGAAATTAATCCCTCTGCATTTTCAGGAAGGTTACAAATTCGAGATGTTAAGGGTGGTACCCTTAATATTTATTTCTATTATTATTGTTAACTGTAGCTAGTAATTATTGAGCACTCACAAGGTACCAGCCTAAAGCCTTTACATGCGTCACCTCAATTAACCATCACAATGTCTCTATGAAACAGGTATTATATTGTTATTCCTGTAGTATATATGGAGGAGGGGGGATGAGGTTAAGAGAGATTAAACATCTAATAAGCGGCAAGAAAGACCTGGACTCAAACTAAGGTTTGATTCCAGAGTCCGTGTTCCTAACCACTCTATTGTGTTTACTTTCCATTTTATCAACATTTTCTTTTCAAGATATTGTGACCACAATACGTGTACAACATTCCTTAAAAGCATTAATTTTATTCTTTATATATTGAGACCCACTTGTAAGATTTAAGTTGCTTTAAAGCACAAATTATAAAACCTTATCATCATGGGTGACATCTAAATTTGAAATTGGCATTCTAGGAGTATGAAATTTCACACTCAGGACCAACATTAGACAAAGTCTTCCATGATGAGTAGTTGACACAGTGACATAATGCATAATTTTACATCAGGCTCCAGGTCCAGCATAATTTACGGTCATAACAAAAATGTCAATCGCCCGGTATCTGACATACGGATTTACAGTCTTAGCTGCGGCCAAGTCAAAGTGCATTAGATTAGTCTAGCGTGTCTAAACATCTGACTCTAATCACTACGGTAAGGATCAAGTCAGGCATTAGAGGCTTATAAGTATATTTCATGGAATGTGAGAAGTTGAGAGGAAAACAGTTTTTAAGGGGGTAGATCGGGATAACGGTTTTTTAATTTAAGATAATCAACTTCAGTAGTACGTGAGTTGTCTCTCCCTCTCAACCCCCTTCTCTCATGCTAAGAACTCGGCTACGTCTAGTGCTGTCAAACCAAGAAGGTCAGGAAGAAAACAGAAGAGGGATCTGTCAGTGATCAGTGGTTTTCATACTATTCATTGTCCTATGTTGTCCACACACACACTCTTCCTGCCCCCCCATCCTGTTAATATGAATAATACAGGATTATATCATGTTTTATTTACTCCCAGATATTTGGGAGAATGAGTTATAATAAATCTGTAATCTAATCTTTTCTCATGTAAACATAAGGAATTGAAGTTTAAACTAAATATATTTATTACCCTCTAATGATATTTCCCATTCTACCAGGCTGGAGAAAGGCAGGCCCCTGCCCCCCTTTAAGGTCTGCGTTAAAACTGCACCAGCTAACCCCGGTTTACTAATCCTCAGTCATTAATCTTCTCCCTCAACCACTTCCTTTTTATAAACCACAGGAACCTCTGCTAGTCTTTTTTCCTTTAACCCATTTATCCTCCTCCTACTTGAGGTCGGCTTTACATTATGTGGAACTGATCTGGACATTAACCACTCCACAGCATAATAGCCATGTTAAATAAATATTCACTGCCACCAGAACAAATGGCATAAGATGTTAACATCTTGCCATTTCTCTTGGTCTTTATACTACTATTGCTATTTTCTTAAAAGTTAATTATAGGCCAGGGTCACATCTATTATCCCAGGACACTGAGAAGCTGAGACAGGAGGATCACTTGAAGCCAGGATTTTGAGACCATCCTGGGCAACAAAGCAAGACCCCATCTCTACAAAAAATACAAAAAAAAAAAAAATAGCCAGGCATGGTGGCATGTTCCTGTAATCCTAGCTACTCAGGAGGCTGAAGTGGGAGGATCGCTTGAGCCCAGGGGTTCAAGGCTGCAGTGAGCTATGATTGCACCACTGTAGTCCAGTCTAGGCAATGGAATGAGACCTTGTCTCAAAAAAAAGTCAAATTGTAGATACATTTTCATGGCTCCATGAGACTTCAAACCATTTGGCCATAAGGTAACTTACCTGGAAGTTACCTTACAACACACAAAACTGATATTTAAAAAAAAAAAAAAAAAACTTATTATGTCTACATGTTGCATATAATAACATGGCTCTCTGTTAGTTTTTTTAAGACAAAGAGGACTCAGGAGAAAACAATGTCATGAGCAAAAATTTAAACAACTTACAGATCAATATGTAAAGGAAGGAGAAGGGAATTTGACATTTATCAAGTTCCAGATATTGTCATGCACATTATCTCAATCTTCAAAGGTGGTAGATAAGCTTATCCTCAAAAAGTCCTTTCCCTTTAGCTATGAGGATCTCCAGATTTGAGGCCCCAACTTCAGCAACTTACCTAGGTTACAAAGCTGGTAACCCCCAGAGTTGAGCTAAACCATTTTTTTTAGTGCAAAGTCAGTGATATCACACTAGTCCCCTAGATGAACATCTTCCCTTTTAATTTTTTCTCTTGACATGGTGGATCCTTCTTGCCATCCACTCAGCCAGAAGGCAAAGGTCAAGTGTACTTGAATCCAGAAGGATGTGTTTCAATCCCAGCTCTGTCCTCACTTCCCCAGAGTCTCTTGGTCTCTCATTTAGCCTCTCTACTGCTCATTTCCCCACCTATAAAGCATGATTCTAACACATGATGGTATTAGAATATAATGCAAAAAACCTTCTCTCTTTTCCAATGCACTGACTTTCCCATACACATGCATACATATATAAACTGACCCAATTACTATATTCTTTTTTTAAATACTGCCCTAAATATTAACGTTTTAGTTTCCCATTTTACCTCTATTTCCCCCTATGACTATAAAACCTCATGTCACTTAGTATCCTTAAGTAACCTCTGTAGATACTGGGATTATCTAAGTCTTCAAACCCGAAAAGTGAAAGAAAAATGCAGATTGAGATATGCAATTCAGCACCTAGAACAACAGCCATCATATCTCTTCAGTACCTAATTATATTCCATGTCTTAGTATCCTCTAATTTTCAACTTGACACTTTTTTCAGACACTATTAAAAATATTTGGCTACAAGAGGCATGAGGAAGACCAAGTGCCATATGAAATCTTCAATTTGTACCTTTAATAAATTGCTGCTCAGCTGCACCAACTCCAATGCCCCGCTGTGAGGATGAGATCTATGGGTCACAGCCTTAATACAGAAGAAAACATTTTTTTAAAAGGGAACTTAGTTGGACATAGCTAATAATCTCTGCTAATGAGGCTGGTTTTTAAAAATGCACATTCTCTGTGATCCATGTAACAGGTTTTCAACCTGTGTCAGGGCTATCCTTTTTTTTTTTTTTTTTTTTTTTTTTTTTTGAGATGGAGTCTCGCTCTGTCGCCTAGGCTGTAGTGCAGTGCAGAGATCTCGCTCACTGCAACTTCCACCTCCTGGGTTCAAGCAATTCTTCTGCCTCAACCTCCCGAGTAGCTGGGATTACAGGCACCTGCCACCACGCCGGGCTAATTTTTGTATTTTTAGTAGAAACAAGGTTTCACCATTTGGCCAGGCTGGTCTTGAACTCCTGACCTCATGATCTGCCCGCCCCGGCCTCCTAAAGTGCTGGTATTACAGGCGTGAGCCACCACACCCAGCCTATCCTTTTTTTTTTCCCTAAAAGCTGAGTCCATTGGCAGATGGTGGACCACAAGAGTGAGTGGTGGAGCGATCAATCCGGCAATGAATCCCAGCCATTTGTGAGAGAGGAAAAAGTCAGGTTTGGTTGCTTAAAGCTTCAAGGGAACTTCCTGATAAAAAGAAAAACAGCAAGCTGGGCAGTAGCCTGCACCTATAGTCCCAGCTACTCAGGAGGCTGAGGCAGGAGGATTGCTTGAGCCCAAAAGATCAAGTCCAAGCCTAAGCAACATAGTGAGACCTTGTCTCAAAAAACACAAACAAAAAAAACAAAAACAAAACCCAGCAACATAGTAATTTTCGGCTGAGAAATTTTGATCATGTTGGCCATGATGAGATAGAATGCCATGCAAGCAAAGGAACAGGTTATATATAAAAGTTTTTGTCCAAATTCTCATCTCTCTATTATCCCAAATATAAAACTTAGTAACTTAAGAACACAGGCTCTGGAGCCAGACTGCCTGGATTCAAATCCTAGCCTGAATACATTTTAGAAACATTTGTAAATGAGACATTCTAGGTGAAAATACACACTGTAAAAATGCTTTACAAACACAGGCAATCATTCAAGTGCTGAGTTTGAGAAGACTAAGAGTCTTCAATGGAGTCTAACGTAATAAGGGAGAAGAAATAACCTGATGGTGGTGAAGAATGTCTTGAGCTGTGTGAACCTCTACAAACAGCAAGACAATAGAATGGAGTTCATTTATCCGGATGGGCTAGCAGGTATGAGTGTGGGGCTTAGGTAAGGGCCAGGTCAGCCCAGCAGGGAGCAGGGCCTGGCAAAATGAGATGGAAGTCAAGTGTAGAGAAAAATCAGAGAAACGGTTTCACCAATCTAGGCATGGGCTTGAGGAAAGCCAGAAGATGGGCTAATGAACCAGCATGTAGCAGAAACAGCAGCACACAAATTAACCCTAAAACATCTGGGACCGAAATACCTCTCACTGGATCCCATGGACGGGAGAGGAGAATGCTGGCAGTGTTGACAATGCAGGGGAGGGGTGCTGTCTTGCAGGGAGCACAGAGAGTTAGTTCCATTTTCCCCCATGTTTTGTTTAAGTGCATCCAAGCAGAGCTATCACACCCTGGTCGAGATGTAAAGTGGTTTGAGGGCAGATCCTTTAGGGGAGAGCAAAGAAGGACCATTGAAGAAAACAACAGTAATGGGAACAGGAAAAAATAATTCTTTCCTACGACGCCAATGACATAAGCCTTAATGGAACAGGAGAAGTAAACTGAGAGGAGTGCAAATCTTAACTGAGCCAAAAGAAGCTATACTGGAGAATGTGAAGACTGAATTAACCAACAGAAATGAGCAGAATCCAATATTGTGTAAGATGCAATCTACAGGCCCTAGGAATCATAAACACAGCCTCCTGGGAAAGTACACAGGTATCAACTGGGTCTTGAGTCATACCTCCCTTGTTTCTGGAAGGCAGTACGATGAAAATACATTCATCCTCTTGGGCTACTGCTAAAATCAGCCCTGACTCTTTTTTCCCTGTGCTTTCATTCAGAATCTGATTTTTTTTTCCAGTTTACATAAAAGGATTTGGGTAGCATAAGATATAAAGCCCTTATATGACCCCATTTTCAGGAATTCCTAACATAACCTTTCTTAACTATTCTGAGGCAGATAAAAAATAAAGGAGTAACTGTTAGCATGTTTTTCTCTTTTGTTTTTAAAGAATTTAAATCAAAATGATTGCATAAGGAAGAAAACGTTTTGATAAAAAGAACCAGGGAAGAGTGAATTAAGTTGGCTATTACTCAATTCAATCAACTTGTGACAAGAAAACTAACACTATTAGCCCTTTTGCTTGGAATGAGTAAATAGGGCAGTTTTCATACTGTTTCAAATTATGGTACAGCTGTAAAGTCTGGCAATATTATTAAACAAAAAGAGCCAAGAGTTGACTTCCAAATGATGAGTGCAGTGTTACTGTATCGGGACCTCATTTATAGGAACCGCTCTAAGTCAATGTCAGCACAATTTCTGAATAAAGACCCAACCAGCTTATAGCTATCAAACCATCCCTCTTCCCTAACATAGATGCATTTAGGTATAAATGGCAGCTTTTTAATTATAGCAAAGATGTCCATATTTCTTAAAAGATTAATAAAACAGTCAATATTTTCCCAATGTCAAGCTATTACTAGTTATCACTAGATACATTTTCTGACTCACCTCAATAGTGTATCATTCAAATTTGAAATGTCATAGTGTTAATAGTCATCTCTACTACTGGCGGCATTAATCTCCTTGATATTCTGGGCCTAGAAGAGCCCCAATAAATGCTTTTTGGCTGAATATTTCCTAATGAACTGACTCAAAATTCAAGCCACACATTTCAGCTGCTCATGAGTCATAATGAGCCAAACAATCAGACTGTGCATGGTAAAATGTAACTGCTTATAAATAATAATATTATTTTTTAAATTTGGCATGAAATATCAGCCAAGCCCTGGCAACACTTCAGGAATAAAAAGTCATATCGTAGAATTTCAAGTTAAGTTCCTCAGCTTATGTAATAAAAAGTCCTCAAAATGAAGCAAGCACACACTCCCACACTGATCTATACACAGCCCATGTACACAGCGAGTCAGGATGAGCAAATTTTATAAACTACTTCAAATCAGGATATAGCTGCAAATAATTCTGTGTCATTGATTCCTACAACTAAAGTTAAAAGGCCTACTTTCAAGACTAAATTGCTGATCATCGCTAGAATTTATGAGAAACATCAGGACTAACTTAAGTGCTAGAAGATTCTATGGCAATAGTTTGTTGGGGCCAATAGTTGTCCCCTCTTGGAAGCTTACCCTCAATACAATCCAACTGAACTCCCAAAAGTTTAAACCATCACAGATGTTTAAGAAAGAGCAGAACAAAATGAAGATGTTATTTCAGGTGGAAGCAAAACCTGTTGATTCAACTACCCTTTTTGATTCCATAAAATCACACAAGAAACAACCTTACTTAGTTCCTATTTCTTGTCACCTCCCTACTTTCACTCAGGGCAAATCAACACTATACAGTTGGGTCCAGGAGGAACATTGGAAAACCTGACATTTTTACATGGGAATACATATGCATATTTTGAGGGTCTGCAGAGAGGCTCCAACTGTGAGACTTTGGGCAGATTTCTTGACTCTTCTGAGTCTCCATTTCCTCATCTAAAATGGGATAGTAGTAAGAGTTTTGCAGCTTCTTGAAAGCACCAACACATTCACAGTGGAGTCATGTTATATTTGCATAAAGTCAGAGAAATCCAACCACACAGACTGCACAAAGGGAGTTCACATGAGTATTTCTCAGGGCGAGTCTTTTACTGCACTGAGTGGGATGCTCCTTAGGTGAATCCTGCTCTAACCCAGCCATCTCTACTCAACCATCTCTCATCTCACCATTCCCCAAAATCTGTTATTTTCCTTGACTCCTTAAAGTTCTCCCAGGCTTGTCTCCCTACCCATGCCTTTGCCCTTGTTCACTTTGCTGCCTTCCATAAATAAATCTGTCTGATACTCATTCCTCATTCATTCGACCTGACATTTTGAACACTAACTATGGACAAGGTATGGAATGAGGCGAGGTATGAAATGAGACCAGTTTCATATTCTATATGGAACTATGCTGGCAAAAGGTCAATAACTTTATAAATAGTTCCTATTTTGTTTCCAGGAATTTCTTAAATGATGCCTACAAAACTAAGTCCAGCAATACGCACTTAGTTGATCCACTAAGTGACTAATTTTAAGTGTCCAGAGCACTAGTAGCCCAGAGTTTAAATCACAAGAACCTGGGAAAGTAGCAGCAGTTGGCCTCACATGTTCCAAGTATTCAAGTCTAGACGTGGGGCTCAACCCTCCAAGCCTCAACGTGGGATACTATGATGAGAAGCAGGCAGGAAGGGGCAGGTGGTCGCTATGGGATAGGAGAAGTTTGTGGCTATTTGGTTTGGTTTTATCTTGTTTCGATATATTTTTCTTAGCCTGGCACCTTCCGCAGAGGGCACGGATTGGCCACGTGACAACACTGACACTCCTCACCTATGGACACGGACCAGTCCCTCCAGGACTCTTTACTTGAAGGATAAAGATGATGGGGGGCCAGGTGCAGTGGCTCATGCCTGTAAACCCGGCACTTTGGGAGGCCAAGGCGGGAGGATCACTTGAGCCCAGGAGTTTGAGACCAGCCTGGCCAACATAGTGAGACCTCCTCTCTACAAAAAAATTTAAAAATTAACCAGGCATGGTGGCAAATGCCCATAGTCCTAGCGACTCAGGTGGCTGAGGTGGGAGGATCGCTTGAGCCCAGCAGGTCGAAGATGCAGTGAGCCATGATTGCACCACTGCACTCCAGCCTGGGTGACAAAGTAAGACACTGTCTCAAGAAAAAAAGATGACAGGGAAGCACCCAGTGTGGACTTACAGACTTTCAAAGGATTTTTTTTTTCTTTTACCTATATCCCAAGAACAAACACGAGGACCAACACAAAGCCTCCTTATTAGAAAGTTGGAAGGGCATCCATTATCATGAAAGTGAGGCTGTGCTCCAGGCAGAGGGATGAAAGCCACCAGATGCATGGATCTGGATTGACATATTAGATCCTTGGAAGACCCAACAATGATAGGTGCATATGCCTAGAAGCACAGAGATCACTCGTACCCGTGCTCTCAAACTGGCAAGAATGTCTGTGGCTGGTGAACAAATGTGATCAACTCTTAATCATATTTCCTCAAGCATGGTAATTCTGGAAGAAAGCTTTTCATTGAAACCTAAAATCATATCCACGCTGGAGTCTCTAATAATGAATATATATCCCGCCTCAGTTCCCTTGAATAAGAATTCTTACCACACACATCAAAGGAAGGTCTGATTACCCAGGCAATCTGCTGCAATATTTTTAACTTTAATGACAAAAATCTTGTCAGTGTCTTTACAGTGCGACACTGTAATTCACTGCTGGTCTCTTCAAGCTAGGCTTCAGGGAACCCAAGCCACAAAACAAAATCCTTGACATTTCAATAATTTTTTTCCATTAATATCTAAACCCTTGGTTTCCATAGTAAGAGAAAAATCAATTAATAATAGCTATCATCCCCTCCCTGGAGAGGGAGGGAGGGGGAAGCTGCTTGCAGTGCAGTTACCTTTTCCTTACACACATAAGCTTATCCTCACCATTCATGGTGAAATATTTCCCTGTGCGTCAGTCAGCCCTCTAAGTACACAGAGGTAAAAGTCAAGCTTCTGATGACATCACTACAGCTATTCTAGATAATTTCCCAAAGAAAAATGAAAGCAATCAACTAAAAGAGCTACCATAAAACATACCCAAATTCTAAAAGTAGACTTTTCATAAACTATAAATCAAGTAATGTCCTTAGACCAGAGTCAGAACAGGTCTATAAAGTGGCTTTTAAAATGTCAGTTAATTATGTTTCTTCAAGGCAGAAACACTGGATTTGGTCCCAGAAGAATTCACTTCAACTGCTCTCCTGAAAGGAAGATACAAAAGTTATTAGGAAGCAAGAAGTGATTGATAGAGGCTTGATTACGTCAAAAAGCTCCTTTTTTGTGTGTTTTTTTCATCTCAGAAACATTAATCTTATATAGGCAAAGTGAAACAAACTGCTCCCCTGACACAAGTCAAGGCAATCTAAACAGGCTAGAACATTCTATACACAAAATCTTCCTTCGTGCAGGCCATATTGTCGTGTCTCCCTTCAGACTCCATTCCACAACTACTTTCTGAATTAAACAATTACAGTTTTGTTCTTAGCCTTGCATCACTTCAAAAGCACAACCCCTATCATCATTGAAAATCAAATCCCTTAACAAGATTTTATGTTTCATTGATACATAATACATGCACATATTTTAGGGGTATAGGTGATAATTTGATACATTCATATAATCAAATCAGGGTAACTGTGATATCTATCACCTTAATATTTAACAAGCTTTTATTGAACAGCTACTATGCACAAGTTACTGAGTAAGGCCTGTAGGGTGAGAGGAGGGGTAATGGACTACAAAGATAAATAAGATAACTTCCTGTGATCACCCAGTTCTAAGAAAGACTCAACTGCAGAACCACATTATAAGTCAGACTATGCAATGGAAATACACAAGACCAAGCAAAGATGAATCAAGGGGACGGTGATTAATCAGAAAAGAAATTTTAGTTGCACTCAAGGACCCCACTATGTTTCATTGTCTAAAAGAGCTCCCTCCTCTGGGATAATTTTACTCATTACGCAGAGGTTTTTTTGTGTCACCTGAACAACACATACTAGAGTCATTTGACTCTACAAGTAAAACAGCAAGGGAAAAATTCTACCTGTGTATTACAGATAAAATTTCAAGATGCTGATTAAAATGCTAATAGACTGGGATAGTTTTTTAAAATCAAAACTGCTTCAGAGAAATATTGAAAAAGATATAACCAATAAACTATGGTTTCTCTCTCATTATCAAATATTTACTAATAATACATGTGGATAGTACGGTAAAGAAAACAGATCAGGTGCACACCCTGAAGGAATTTAAGAAATAACAGATTCAAAATAAACATGCAAACAAAAGGCTGCTCCTGAGTGCAACTAAAAATTGACAAGACAGAAAAAATGGGTTAAAGAAATAATCACTACAGATTACACAAGCAAAAGCAAAATCAATAAAATATATCAGCACTCACATCATGTACTTGATATGTGATCTTTAAATAAATATTTAGTGAAGGAGTGAAGGAACAAAAGAATGAAGAAGAGAATGAACTAACATGCCCTGGAATCACATATTGGGTCCTTGCCTCCATATGCAATATTGTTAATCAATTATTATTATTTGTTTTTTGAGACAGAATCTCACTCTGTCACCCAGGCTGGAGCGTAGTGGCACAATCCTGGCTCACCGCAACCTTTGCCTCCCAGGTTCAAGTGATTTTCCTGCCTCAGCCTCCCCAGTAGCTGGGATTACAGGCGCCCACCACCACGCCCAGCTAATTTTTTGTATTTTTAGTAGAGACGGGGTTTCATCATGTTGGTCAGGCTGGTCTCAAATTTCTGACCTCAAGTGATCCACCCACCTCAGCCTCCCAAAGTGCTAGGATTACAAGCGTGAGCCACCGCACCCAGCCTATTAATCAATTTTTTTAAAAGAAAATACTCCCCAAGGAGCAAGGCAAGACTGAAGTGGTTGGCACTGCCCCCACCTTAATCCTTTACTGATATCACTCTTTCTCAAGAAAAGTTAGGGAACAGTACTGGCTGTCATTGGTATCGGGTCTTCCTGTTGAGACACAAAGTCTGATGGCTCTTCCCCTCCCCACCTGCAGGTGGGCATTGCTGTAAGACTTGCTTTGGCCCATGAATCATGTCTCAACAGAAAGCTCCTTTCCCTCCCCACTGTAAGGGTGGTCATAGTTGGAGATATGGTGAAGGAAGTCTCTGTCAGTCTGGGTACCAATCCACATTGGATATATAGCATGAGCAAGAAAAAATGTCTATGGTGCAAGCCAACGAGATTTGGGGGTCATTTGTAACTGACACATAATCTAGCCTCTAGCCTATCCTAGCTCTGGCATGCACTATTATGCATATAAAACCCACTCCCATTTCCTTGTACCTCTACCTCACATCAAACACTTCTCAGTTCCCCAAATACATTAAATCTCAAATATGTTATCCCTCAAATGTCTGAAATCAATTTGTTTTTTATAATACTCTTTTAATGTTAAATATTTGGACAGCAGCAAAACAGAGACAGAGGGAGAAAACGGAAGGTGGTTTCCACCATTCCATCCCTTCATGTGATAGAATCCATGGTAATGACAACTTTTCTTCTCAGCAGTTCACTAGGGCATGGAATTAATGAGATTAATGAGGCTTGCTATGGGAATTAAGTGTATAAGTAGACCAACCAAAATGCATTGGATTGAAAAATGCAAGATCAATGCAGGAGCTAGGTGGAAATTACAAAGTTATTACTGGAGAGTAACCAAACACAAAACACTGATGGGTCTCTTAATTTTATTTTATTTATTTATTTACTTGAGACTGAGTCTCACTGTGTCACCCAGGCTGGAGTGCAGTGGCACAATCTCAGCTCACTGCAACCTCCACCTCCTGGGTTCAAGCGATTCTCCTGCCTCAGCCTCCCGAATAGCTGGGATTACAGACACGCGCCACCACCCCTGGCTAATTTTTGTATTTTCAGTAGAGACAGGGTTTCATCATGTTGACCAGGCTGGTCTTGAACTCCTGAGCTCAAGTGATCCGCTTGCCTCAGCCTCCCAAACTGCTGGGATTACAGTTGTGAACCACCGTGCCCGGCGTGATGGGTCCCATGAAACAAAGCAACATAGTTCTTTGCATCTTAAATACCATGCTATAAATCAACCAGGAAATTCCATCTTCCCCCACCACCCCCAGGAGAAATTTTAGTAATAAAATGTCTATTGGATAGCTGAGGCACTTTTACAGCATTAGTCTGTTTTCCTAGATATGGTACTAGGCTTTTTTATTTTTTGAATAGAAAAATATCTAAGTTGTGATAACTATGTAAAATCCTCAATATAAGTTATTTCATCTTTATATAATTCCTACTAGTTTCATTTTCAGCATTTGGATAGGTCTTTTTTTTTCTTTTTTTTTATTATTATACTTTACCTTTTAGGGTACATGTGCACAATGTGCAGGTTAGTTACATATGTATACATGTGCCATGCTGGTGTGCTGCACCCATTAACTTGTCATTTAGCATTAGCTATATCTCCTAATGCTATTCCTCCCCCCTCCCCCCACCCCACAACAGTCCCCAGAGTGTGATGTTCCCCTTCCTGTGTCCATGTGTTCTCATTGTTCAATTCTCATCTATGAGTGAGAACATGCGGTGTTTGGTTTTTTGTCCTTGCGATAGTTTACTGAGAATGATGATTTCCAATTTCATCCATGTCCCTACAAAGGACATGAACTCATCATTTTTTATGGCTGCATAGTATTCCATGGTGTATATGTGCCACATTTTCTTAATCCAGTCTATCATTGTTGTACATTTGGGTTGGTTCCAAGTCTTTGCTATTGGGAATAGTGTCGCAATAAACATACGTGTGCATGTGTCTTTATAGCAGCATGATTTATAGTCCTTTGGGTATATACCCAGTAATGGGATGGCTGGGTCAAATGGTATTTCTAGTTCTAGATCCCTGAGGAATCGCCACACTGACTTCCACAATGGTTGAACTAGTTTACAGTCCCACCAACCGTGTAAAAGTGTTCCTATTTCTCCACATCCTCTCCAGCACCTGTTGTTTCCTGACTTTTTAATGATTGCCATTCTAACTGGTGTGAGATGGTATCTCATTGTGGTTTTGATTTGCATTTCTCTGATGGCCAGTGATGATGAGCATTTTTCATGTGTCTTTTGGCTGCATAAATGTCTTCTTTTGAGAAGTGTCTGTTCATATCCTTTGCCCACTTTTTGATGGGGTTGTTTGTTTTTTTCTTGTAAATTTGTGAAAACTGGCACAAGACAGGGATGCCCTCTCTCACCACTCCTATTCAACTTAGTGTTGGAAGTTCTGGCCAGGGCAATTAGGCAGGGGAAGGAAATAAAGGGTATTCAATTAGGAAAACAGGAAGTCAAATTGTCCCTGTTTGCAGACGACACGATTGTATATCTAGAAAACCCCACTGTCTCAGCCCAAAATCTCCTTAAGCTCATAAGCAACTTCAGCAAAGTCTCAGGATACAAAATCAATGTGCAAAAATCACAAGCATTCTTATACACCAATAACAGACAAACAGAGAGCCAAATCATGAGTGAACTCCCATTCACACTTGCTACAAATAGAATAAAATACTTAGGAATCCAGCTTACAAGGGATGTGAAGGACCTCTTCAAGGAGAACTACAAACCACTGCTCAATGAAATAAAAGAGGATACAAACAAATGGAAGAACATTCCATGCTCATGGGTAGGAAGAATCAATATCGTGAAAATGGCCATACTGCCCAAGGTAATTTATAGATTCAATGCCATCCCCATCAAGCTACCAATGACTTTCTTCACAGAATTGGAAAAAACTACTTTAAAGTTCATATGAAACCAAAAAAGAGCCCGCATCACCAAGTCAATCCTAAGCCAAAAGAACAAAGCTGGAGGCATCATGCTACCTGACTTCAAACCATACTACAAGGCTACAGTAACCAAAACAGCATGGTACTGGTATCAAAACAGAGATATAGATCAATGGAACAGAACAGAGCCCTCAGAAATAACGCCGCATATCTACAACTATCTGATCTTTGACAAACCTGAGAAAAACAAGCAGTGGGGAAAGGATTCCCTATTTAATAAATGGTGCTGGGAAAACAGGCTAGCCATATGTAGAAGGCTGAAACTGGATCCCTTCCTTACACTTTATACAAAAATTAATTCAAGGTGGATTAAAAACTTAAACGTTAGACCTAAAACCATAAAAACCCTAGAAGAAAACCTAGGCATTAGCATTCAAGACATAGGCATGGGCAAGGACTTCATGTGTAAAACACCAAAAGCAATGGCAACAAAAGCCAAAATTGACAAATGGGATCTAATTAAACTAAAGAGCTTCTGCACAGCAAAAGAAACTACCGTCAGAGTGAACAGGCAACCTACAAAATGGGAGAAAATTTTCGCAACCTACTCATCTGACAAAGGGCTAATATCCAGAATCTACAATGAACTCAAACAAATTTGGATAGGTCTTTTTTAATAAAACAAAAAGCGGGCTCCAAGAACACTTAAATATATTTGGCTATGAAATTTCTGTTGCAAATTTCATGGTGCACGGTGTGATTTGTGGCTACTTTCTCATATTCTCATCAAAATATATCCAGAATTGACATTCTAAAATTAATTTTCTGTACCTTCCAGTTTGTTTTATATCGATATCTATTTTAAGATCTATCTAGAAAACATCAAGTAATGTTTAAATTCTATTCTACAGCCCTTGGCATTACCGCATAATAATCATTTTAACTACTGGTGGTGTACTACACTTCCTAAAGAAACTGCATTAGGGCTCCATTCTCCTTACCCTACACATAATAAGAGAGAGAGTACAAAACAGAAAAATTCCCTACATTCCAGCTTTGCATGCAGTGCAAATTGCCAAGCACAACATGTAATTCTTCAAGCATTACTTATGACAGAGTCCAATTTAAAATAGATACCTTCCCCGACATTCATAATGAACAAAAAACTGGAAAAAAATTGACAGAGAAAATTATGCATTTTATGGTTTTTGGGAAGTTGAATACAAAGGTAAAAAATTTTCCAAGGTACCCCATGACACAGTTTAGGAACTCTCCCTGGACTTCCATTTTTTTCTCTATAATCTGACCTCTAAGACCTTTTAAATTTTAAGATTCTATGCCCCTATTGCTACTGTTTCTTTAAAAAATGCAAAATAATTTCAGTTGTATATTTTATTTCCTCAAGTATTCAGATACAGTATAGGATAGCCGTTAGGGGCACAGTCTTGGTCCAAACCTTGGTTTTATTACTTACCAGCTGAGACTTTAGGAAATGTAATCTCTCTAAGCTTCAGTTTCCTCCTCAAAAAAAGACCAAAAAAAAAAAAATGGAAATGAAAAGAGTATCCACCTCGGCCGGGCACGGTGGCTCACGCCTGTAATCCCAGCACTTTGGGAGGCTGAGGTGGGCGAATCACGAGGTCAGGAGATCAAGACCATCCTGGCCAACATGGTGAAACCCCATCTCTACTAAAAATACAAAAAAAAAAAAAAATTAGCCGGGCATGGTGGCACACTCCCAGCTACTCGGGAGGCTGAAGCAGGAGAATCACTTGAACCCAGGAGGCAGAGGTTGAGGTACACCGAGATCCCGCTACTGCGCTCCAGCCTGGCGAAAGAGCAAGACTCCATCTCAAAAAAAAAAAAAAAGAGTATCCACCTCATAGGATTGTTACAAGTAAAGTTAGCTGAGTAATATATATAAAGTCCTGTTCTCCATCAGTTTCAACACATACATGTTAAGCAGTCATTAATCATTAGCCAAAATTTTTATTACATTATATTACCTCTTCTCTTGAAATGTCCATCTAGAATCTAAAATATTTGACCAGTTACATGTGTAAGATCTTCATAACTAGAAAGTCTTATTTCTCCTAACCCACAACTGTCTTCACTTATTTTAACTGAAAGGATCGCCCAACTTCTTCCATCTCCTTACTTCCCAGATTCCCTCAGGCAAACCACAATATTTCTTCACCTTCTGAGTTCCCTCCCTTTTCTCTGCCCCCTTCATCCTCTCTATTCTTATGGGTTTTTTTTTCCTTATTTGTGCCACTGAGCAATCTTAATATAAGAAACAAGCAAATAAATAATGAAGTCTGAATTGTAGAAAACAGCATGCTTTTCAGAATAAACAACAGGCTGATTTGCACTAGGCCTCACATGAAAATCAACCTCCTTACTTTATAATAACATCCCATGCCTCTGCTTTCCCCTTTAAGCAGGCAAGGCAACAAAAAGCACATTTTAATTTACCTCTGCAAAGCTTAAATAACACCTCACATGGTGGCACAGCAATGGGCACCCTGTAAATGTTAATTAGCTGAAATCTTTTCATAGAATTCTCCTTTTATGTTTCTGGACACCACAACACAAAGAGTTCCTAGATTTTGCCAAAATTAAAAAGGAACTGTCTTCCTGTTAGGCATTTGGGGTTGTTTGCTGCTTGTTGTATTTAGGGATGTGGGAGGGAGCAAGCGAGATGGGTATTTTTAAGTCTTCGTCAGTATCCCACCTCAAAGAGACACTTGGGATGGGAGACTTGGGAAGAGAATATTTATTTCACACTCTTTGTCCACCTTTCCCTACAAGATGCTGAAAGAGAACAGTGTGTGCTTTGGAATTGATTATCAGAGGCCTGTCAGGTAGCTCACTCCAGGCTCAGCAATCAGAGAAATATGCACAAAGCTACCTTGTGCAGAACCTAGGAACCTCTCAGATTTCAGTTCAGATGCAAAAAAGACACGCACTGTTCGCATTTTCCCAGGGTCTTGGCCAACCTTTTTAATTTTACTGCTCACTCCCCATTTGAACAGCAAAGTTCTACTCCTAGCCTCTATAAGAACAAAAAGAGATATGTGAGAAAAAAAATACCAAATATGTTGCTTTAAAATAAATAAAATGGTAACATTATTCACCCACAAAACTCAGTTGGATGACGGAAAAGTACGGAAATTGATGAGCCCACAGTCTGGCCACCTTAAAACCCTCAAATATTGATGTCTCAATTTGCTAGGATTACCTGTGCTTGAGAAAACTCTTCTCATGGCACATGTATATATATGTAACTAACCTGCACATTGTGCACATGTACCCTAAAACTTAAAGTATAATAATAATAAAAAATAAAATAAAAATAATAGAAACTAAAAAAAAAAAAGAAAACTCTTAATAAATGAATGGGATAAAGGGATGAATTCCAAGTTCTTCAACATTTCTTTTTTTTTAATTTAAAGTATCTGGGCTCATGCAAGAATAGCTGTGATGAATCTGGTACATGGACATGGGTTTGTATCATATAATTTACCTTTCTTTTCTACTATTGATAGTTCAGATGTTGCTAACTTAAAGAGCAGGGTACAATCATTAAAATAAATTAATATGGTCTAAAAGGTCTTTTCAGCTCTTTATTTTTTTACATAATATAAAAATTGTAATTCACCAGAAAGACATAACCATTATAAACTCTACGCATCTAAGAAAATAATCTAGAGAAATATAAATATATAAATGTCAATACATATGTCAGACTGATAAGATTGTAAGGAGAAATTGACAAAGTCACCATCATAATGGGAGGTTTCAGTACAGCACATTCAATTACAAATATGCCAACGAAAATTAGTACAGCTACAGAATATTTGAACAACACAGTCTAATAACCTTGTTTTTTTTTTCTGTATCTGTACTTCTTTTATTTTTCCTTTTCAGCTCTTTAAACACACAAAATTTTCATACTGCTTTTATGAAACAAAACTCCAGATGTTAACAAGGGCAACTTAATGTCACTACATTCCCACTCTAATCTGCTAAATCATTTCAGTAAGTTTGGAATCCATAGGGCTAAATATTACTGAAAAACACTGCATGTAAATCCATATAACGTATTCTGAAAAAAAAACTTCAGGAAGGGAATTAATACATCTTTACCAGTTAGGATGCTTTCAGCTGTAAACAAAACAAATAAACCTGTCTCAAACAACGAGGATATATATCTCATGCCATAAAAAGCCCAAAGTGAGAAGGACCCAGAATTAGATAATCCTGTAGCTCAGAACATACTAATTTCATTCTCAGGCGGGTAGCAAAATAACTGCAGCAATTCCAGGCATCACAACCAGACACAGCAATGACCAAAGGAAGAAAGGCAACCTTCTCTCCGTGTCTTTCTTAGAAGCAAGGAAATCCTTCATAGAAGCTCCCTCAACATTAGCCATGACCAAACCAATGGCCCAATCCTTAACTAATAAATAACCAGCAAGGAGCACAGGAATGCCATGAGTGGCTTAGGAGGAGGGACTTGACATAAGGGAGTCAACTGAAATGACCATAGTGGGGTGGACTGGGTGTCAGGGAATCAATCACAATAACCATTATACTCCAAACATACCTGTCTTCTCAGAGCTTGCTGACTTTTTATTTATTTATTTTTTTTTTTGAGACAGTCTTGCTCTGTCACCCAGGCTGAAGCGCAGTGGCACCACTTGGCTCATTGCAACCTCTGCCTCCCAGGTTCAAGCGATTCCTGCCTTACCCTCCCAAGTAGTTGGGATTACAGGTGCCTGCCACCACACCCAGAGCTAGTTTTTGTATTTTTAGTAGGGACAGGGTTTCACCATGTTGGCCAGGCTGGTCTCGAACTCCTGACCTCAAGTGATCTGCCCACCTCGGCCTCCCAAAGCGCTGGGATTACAGGCATGAGCCACTGCACCTGGCCTTCAGAGCTTACTTTCTAAAAAATGCCCAGACACAGATAAATATCAAAGTCAGGTGCAAAAACAAACAAACAAACAAAAGAAAACAAAACAAAAAAAAACCCGCACAATACAATCACGAAACAATCTATCAACTTTCTATCCCCACAGAGGGTTAAGTGCATCTTGTTGGGCTGGGAAGGGCTCTGAGCTCAGCATATTTAAATAGGTCAGTAGCAAATGCTGCTTTCCCCAGCAAATGACACATATAAAGAAGAGAGGTTTAGTAGAAATAGACATGCAGATTTCAATCTTTTGCATTTAATACATTGTTATTTGGGTTATATCTGTTTATTTTTGAAACCTTAACAAAGTTTACATGTTGAAACAACTGGAAATGGTATAGGAAAATGAAGGAGGTTGGGCAGAAGAAATATCAACAATCGTATTAGGATGCAACTCACACAGGAAAAAAATCCTAAATCCTTCTCTTGGCTATGAGATCCTACAGATCCGGCCCCACAAACACTCTGACTTCTGTTACTGCTCCTCCTCACTCACAGCCCCACCCTGGCTCCCCTTGTTGTTCCCATTACCGGGGAGCTCTTCTCCCAGGTGTTCTTATGGCTTTCGCCCTCATTCCTTTCAGGTCTCTGCCCCACTGTCACCTTCTCAGTAAGACTGTCCCTGATCACCTTAAAACACAGCACATTCCCTTCCCCAAATAATCCATATCTCCACTGCCCTACTTTATTTTTCTCCATGACACTTATCACTGTCTGACATACATTCTTGCCTCTTTTTTGTCTTTACCCTCTAGAACCTAAGTTCCCAGAAGGCAGGAGCTAGCTCCCCAGGAGCTAGAAAAGTTCCTGACATATAGTAGATGCTCAATAAGTATTTGCTGAATGAATGAATGGGGGTGACATGGAGCCATAATAGAAAAAAAATACACTCAAGACTTTTATAAAAGTATGCCCAGACCTAAGAGCAGGAAAATTGAGACCCAGCTACCAAGAAGTATTTAATAGAATAGTATATTTTCCTTTCTCTCATGAGGCCAAAAGTAAACACAATTATACTATCACTAAAAATATTCGGCCGGACACGGTGGCTCATGCCTGTAATCACAGCACTTTGGGAGGCCAAGGCGGGCGGATCACTTGAGGTCGGGAGTTCGAGACCAGCTTGGTCAACATGGTGAAACCCCACCTCTACTAAAAATACAAAAATTAGCCAGGTGTGGTGGGTGGGAGGGGTGGGCACCTGTAGTCCCAGCTACTTGGGAGGGTGAGACAGGAGAACTGCTTGAACCCGGGAGGTGGAGGTTGCAGTGAGCCGAGATTGCGCCACTGCCCTCCAGACTGGGTGACAAGAGCGAAACTCCATCTCAAAAAAAAAAAAAAAAAAAATTAACTTCTACTAGTCTAGCTGATGAAGAAAATCTATTGTAAAAATATAAAATAGTCTATCAAATTATAGTTCTCCAAGGTAAGCTTCAAGGAGTCAAATCAAATTATTTTGCTTAAATTAACATTTGAAGAACCATACAACATAGACAAGCCTGTTCTCTTTCCCCTCCTTTTTCTTTTTAAGAGAAACTGGGCACCCCAATACTATCTTTAAATTCATCTGCAGTTCAGTTTCTCAGATATCAAGAAGTATGTCTTGTCCTTTTGGCCAAAGAAAAAAGTGAAGCCGTTAACTTAGCTTTAATGACTCAGTCCACACAGATTTTAATGGGAACTCATGCTAGGTCCTTAGTTTCTTTTTGGCTAGGGACACAGGCAGTGTTCTTGTTCTGAGCACCATTTGTAAATGCCACTTCCTGCTGCAAGGCCTCCAAGCACTCAGATTCCTCCACCACGAAAGATGCTCTATGAATAATCTACCCTTCCCTACATATTCCCCAATTACAGAATGAAGAGAGCTATTTAGGTGTTCCCCAAAACATGTGATTTCCAGGGGAACATTAAGGTGACTCATAATAAGGAATCTTGAATTAAAGGTCAGAGAAGTACCTACAATCCCCGATCAAGAAGAGCAGTAATTTCCTTGGCATTTTCACTTCTACACTCCTTCCCACTACCAATCTCAGGAAATCCAAAGGTTTTAAATACCAAGCCCCAGAGTACAGCTGCACAGCTTTTACAGCTTGCAGAGAAGTATGATAGAGATTTTCAGATTAGCCTTAGTCAACAATAGGTCTTTATTCTGTAACTCCTATATGAAATTTAAGAATTTAACAGGTTCCAAGCAAATGAATATTTCATTCTCATTTCAGAGTATAATAAAAAGTCCTTTTCATTGGAAGGGTTTAAGTGTAACCCAAGAATCTAACTTCTGATTCTATCAGAATACCACAAGCAGGGTCCTATGGAAAGTGTTCGTTCCTTAACGTTCCACAGCAACCACCTCAACAATCTTCCCTGAAAGGTATGGTAGGACTCAATCAAAACTGTCAATAATACATAAAACAGAACCAATTTTGGCCTAGCACACTACGGAAATGGAAGGAAAATTCTTTATGTAGTTACTTTAAAACTACATAAAGTAAGTTTACATAGACAAAGAACTCAATCCCAAAAATAAAAAGTTGCCCCCAGATGATATAAAATTTCTACTTAAACCCAGATACTTCAGACACAAGGATATTTTATGTTATTCCCAAACCGTTGTTATTTTTCCTAATGACACAGTAAAACGAGTTCCTGAGATAATTCAATTGAAAGGGTTCCATTTTATACATCTCCTAAAGATGGAAAAGTCTAAGCCAGAGGATAAAGATACATTTTGAATAAAAGAAATTTTTATTTCTTTTTATTCAAGTATCTTCAGGTCTTTCTAATTTTACAGTTTATATTTATATATACAATTCTAGATGATTAAAAGAGGGATACATTTTTATAGGTTAAAGATAAAAGTGTTTTTCCTTCTGTTATATGTCTTTAAAGCCATGGTATTTGTTATAAGATATTCAAGCTCCAAATGAAACTATAATGCTCTATTCTGTAGAAGAAACTCTCATTTTCTTTTATTCCTAGCAGGCTTTCAGCCATATAGTCTCCATCATGGGACTAACTAGCTATACATGAGTAACTGGAACACACATCTATATAACTAGCCCAGTGTTTGAAAGGTACATTTAAAGAGATTGCCTTTTAGGACCCATAATAAAGGAATTCTTTATCAAAGGACATTCTAAAGCCAAATGCAACAATCCCATGCTCTACTAATGCACACTTTATTGCCGTGACAGTGACATTCATGAAGGGCAGAGTAGAACCATCATAATTTACCACCAGCAGCAGCAGCCACATTGTCTACCAAAGGGAAAAAAGACACAGCACACTCCTCCTGGCCACTTCCTCCCAAGCAGGTAGGAGAGTACACATTCAACGAGGAAAGCCAGAGACAACAGGCAGCCAACAAGGAGTAAGTCAACCTTTCCTAGCAACACTCAATGTCTTCATCATGAATGGGCTCTGTAGTCATATCACAAAGTTGGCACATAAAGTAAACATCTTTTCTTTGCCTTTAACAAATTCAACATAAATTACATGTGCTCGACCAAAAAATAAAAGATATATAACATTTTCTTTTTTCTTTTTTGAGACAGAGTCTTGCTCTCTCACCCAGGCTGGAGTGCAGCGGCGCGATCTTGGCTCACTGCAACCTCCGCCTCCCAGATTCAAGTGATTCCTGCCTCAGCCTCCCAAGTAGCTGAGACTATAGGCATGCACCACCATGCCAGGCTAATTTTTGTATTTTTTTGTAGAGACGGGGTTTCACCATGTTGCCCAGGCTGGTCTCGAATTCCTGACCTCAAGTGATCCACCTGCCTCGGCCTCCCACAGGCTGGGATGACAGGGGTAAGCCACTGCGCCTGGCCTATAACATTTTCAATAGTGTGGAGAGTTTAGCCTTCCATTTCACTGGATAAGCATATGACCCTAGATGAGATGGAAGAAGACTGCCCCTTCAATCAGGTGGAGTTCCCACATGCCTCTCATAATGTAAGTAACTCACCAAGCTGAGTTTAATTCAAAGACACACATTTTTCCTACAACATGACTCCAAATGAAAACTAGCTACTCTATCTGTGGTTCAAGTAAGCAAACAGCATCCCTTGCTGTTCTTCAGTTATACCAGGCAAGTGCTGTCTCAGGGCCTTTGCACACACTATTTCCTCTATCTGGAATGCTTTTCTCCAAAATATCCATTGAGTTTGTCTGATGTGGCTCTTTTTCTCACTTCCTTCATGTCTTTACATTAAAGTCATCTTCTTAGGGAGGACATCTTTAGACCTCTAAACTTTTATCAACCCTCCAATACTTTCTTTCCTGCTTTATTTTTTCCATAGCACTTAATACTATTTTACAGATAATACATTTTGCTTATTTCTTTTATTACATCCCTACTAGAATGTAAGCTCTAGGAGGGCAGAGATTTTTTTAACTGTTTTCTCACTGCTGTATTACCAGCACCAGAAAAATTCATGTTAAATACCTATTAAGAAAACAGTAATCTGCCCTAATGCTGGAAGAAAACCTGACATGTTAATCTTCTTTCAAGGTATCACATGGTTCTCATTCACAACATAGGGCATTTTCAAGAGAATTTCAGGAGTAGTTTAAAAAAATTATTTTGGAATAACTTTAGATTTAAGAAAAGTTGCAAAGAGAGTTCTCATATGTTCTTTATCCAGCTTCCTCTAATATTAACATCTTATCTAACCATAGTGCATTTATCAAAACTAAGAAATTGACATTGGTACAACACTATTAACTACAGAATTTACTTGGATTTCACCAGTTTTTCCACTAATGTCCATATTGTATTTAGTTATCATGACCCCTTAGTCTCCATCAATCTGTGATAGCTTCTCAGTCTTTGCTTGCTTTTTACGACCTTGACACTTTTGAAGGGTGCTTGGTTGGATACTTTGTAGAATGTCCCTCAATTTGGGCTTGTCTGATGCTATGTCATGATTAATCTGGGGCATAGATTTGGGAGAAGAATACCACAGAGATGAAGTGCTCTTCAGAAGCACCATGACTTGTTGGGAAGGTTCATCTTGAATACTTGATAAGGTGGTGTCTGCCAGATTTCTCCACTGTAAAGTTATTATTTTTCCCTTCCCCTAGTCTGTCTGTTAAAAATGAGTCACTATATCAGCCCACATTCAGTAATTTTAACTACACACAATGTTTGTTCTATGTGCTGACGTTAGAACCTAATTTCTGCAAAAATCCACCTCTACTTTAACTTAGTCACCAAGAAAATAGAAGGTATATAAAATCCAGGTGGCACGTTTTGAAATTGCCAACAATTGGATCAGCAACCAGCTATATGATGTAATTATGTCTGTGACCCCAGTCAACATAGGCTTCACACAAATGAAGAAACTAGAGCACTTAAGGATTAAAATATTTTTCCAATATGGCAGGACAGGTCAGCTAGTGAGTTGAATCCAAGAATAATCCCCTACTCTATATCCTTGGCAGTGATCCAAACAATTTCTTGATTTGTTGCAACTGGGTAGTGGCCTTTATTCTATTAAATGTGTTTAATCAATAGCATTTATTTAACAGTATTGTAGACAGAAAAAAAAGTGTGTGGCAAACACTGTTAATTGCTCCCGAGTTCTTCCCACATAAGAGAATCCCTAATTGGTACTTTAGGCACGTGGCTGCCCAGAATAAGGACCATATCCAAGCCACTCTTAGAGCTAGGTGTGGCCATCTGATTATATTTCAGACAATAAAATGTAAGCATAAGTTCTAAACTTGGCACAGAGGGCTAACCACTGTTCCCCATGAGCTTGGAGTCCACTGAGAAGGAAGGAAGCCCACACTTACAGGTAATATTTGCCCTAATTTTCAGATAAGGAAACCAAAGTTTAGAGATGTTAAGTAACCTACTGAGTACCTAACTATTCAAGTGGAAAAGCCAAAAGGAAAACCAGGTCTGATGGAAACTTTAGGAATGTCCAATGAAATAGAGGATACAACGTTAGATTCTAATTTCAGATAAAGTGATATGTTTACAATAAAAAATTTGTTATTCTTTTGAAATTCAAATCTAACTGGGCATCATGTATTTTTCTTTGCTAAATCTGGCAACCCTAATTGCCAAAGCCTAGGTGCCTTGATGCCATCTAATAATGCATCCCTTGGTAACATTGCACACCACGCATGGCAGACCTTACGCACTACATGAGAAGTATTTGATGAGTTGAGTTGAACTAAGCAGAACACATAAACACAGAAGAAACAAACAGTAACTCATCAACAAGATAAAGAAAACTGTACTCCCCGGAATTCCAGGGAGGCAGAGAGGCTCCCCAGCATGAGGAGCGCTCTCGCTCTCTCTCTCTCTCTCTCTCTCTCTCTCTCTCTCCCTGAGAGAGATGCAGGTAGAGCAGAAGATTGGACCACACAGGGTCACCCAAGCTTCAGAAAGTAGTGGAGTGAGAGGCACAGGACAGCAAGATGGCAGAAGGGTCACAGGAAGGGACACCTAGAACTTGGGAGAGCAGGAATGTCATGTGCTCTGTAGCTAATACTTTCTTGTCTCTCCAGTTAAAAAAAAAATGGTGCTGCTGATGCTTCTGCAGTGAGTCAATTCCTTAAGGTGAATGCAGAGAAGCACCAAGTCTAGCTTTAAGTAGGAGAAGAAAGGCTTTCAAGGTAAACCATGGGGAGCCAGGGGATTTGACATCTATTTAGCTCACACCAGAAGGGAAGGTGAAATAAGCACCTATTGACTACGTCTGTCTTGGTATTTTTCAGAATAGTTCAGGATCTGGAGCAATGGCTCACAAAAAGCAGTGGTTTCCAACCTGACTAGCCAATGATCTAGGAAGATCATTGAAAACAGGAATCCTAAGGCTGAGGTCAGGCCCAGGACTCTTTTTTTATTTAATTTTATTTCCCAAAAGATTCTGATGAGCAGGCAGGTTGGGAACTTCTGTTGATGTCCTTTTGTTTGTTTGGTTGGTTGGTTGGTTGTCAAATGATCTTCACTGAAATATTTTCCTCTGTACTTAACGAGCTGTGCATTCCACCATGTCATTGTTGATGTCATCTATGAAGTCATGAGGGTGGTAGCCATCAACAACTGCGGCCCACAGACGGGGCAGTCCCCAGGATCTCTGTAATGATTCCAGAGAGTTCTCTGGCTAAAGATCAGTGCCACATTTGTCAGGCAATGCTGACAATCTCATCAAAAGTGATATTTCTACTGAGTTTATTTTTCTATTTCCATCTGTTGATGGTTTCTTGAGTGCTTTGATGACGAGGGCAGAGGTATAAGGTACCACCTCAAATTGGGCCTTATCAGTTTCACTGTAATCCTCAGACATTTCCAACCACTGGTTGCCTTAGCAATGTCCTCACCAACCTTGATGGGGAAAGACCCAGGGGGCTGATCTTAGAGGCCAGGGGTAGATGTGGCTCTGATTTTGCCACTGGTTCACCTCAGATATACGACCTTGATCTCACTGGGGTCAAACTTAGGTGGTATGGGAGAGGCAGCTGGTGTCAGAGGAACCAGGATATGAGATGACCAAAGAAAGTTGCACTCTGGCCACCTCCCAGCCAAAAAACACAAAAGTACTATAGATATCTTACCAATTTCCTTTTCAATGTTTTAATAATCAAATACCATTCATTATGTTTAAAAAAACAGCTTTATGGGCTGGGTGCAGTGGCTCACGCCTGTAATCCCAGCACTTTGGGAGGCCGAGGCGGGTGGATCACCTGAGGTCTGGAGTTCGAGACCAGCCTGGTCAACATGGCAAAACCCCATCTCTATTAAAAATATAAAAATTAGTTGGGCGTGGTGGCAGGTGCCTGTAATCCCAGCTACTCGGGAAGCTGAGGCAGAAGAATCACTTGAACCCGGGAGGCGGAGGTTGCAGTGAGCCAAGATCGTGCCATTGCACTCCAGCCTGGGTGACAAGAGTGAAACTCTGTCTCAAAAACAAAAAAGCTTAATGGATGCATAGCCTGCATACTGCAAAATTCACCCATTGTAAAAGTCCAATTCCATAAGTTTTAGTGAATTTATAGAATTGTGCAACCATCACTACAAATGCGTTTTAGACTATTTCCAACATCCCCAATAGATTCCTCCTGCCCATGAGCAGTTAATGGTTACACCCATCTGCAGCCCAGGCAACTCTGTTTTCTGTCTCTATAGATCTGCCTTTTCTGGACATCACATATAAATGGAATAACACAATGTACAGTCTTTCGCATCTGGTTTCTTTCACTTAGCATAATGTTTTTGAGGTTTGGTAGTTCATTCCTTTTAACTGTCAAACAGTAGAGTATTCCATTGTATGGATATACCACCTTTATTCTTTCACCAGTTCATAGACATTTGGGCTGTTTCCACTTTTGGGCTATTATGAATAATGCTTCTAGGAACATTCATGAGCAAGTTATTGTAGGCACATATGTTTTCAATTCTCTAAGGTAGCTACCTAAAAGTAGAATTGCTGGGTCTGTGGTAAGTTAACTTTTCTTTTGAGAGTCTTGCTCTTTCGCCCAGGCTGGAGTGCTGTAGCACGATCTCAGCTCACTGCAACCTCCGCTTCTTGGGTTCAAGTGATTCTCCTGCCTCAGCCTCCCAAGTAGCTGGGATTACAGGCATGCACCACCACACCCGGCTAATTTTTGTATTTTTAGTAGAGGCAGGGTTTCGCCATGTTGCCCAGGCTGGTCTCAAACTCCTGAGCTCAGGTGATCCACCCGCCTCAGCCTCCCAAAGTGCTAGGATTACAGGCATTGAGCCACCATGCCCGGCTAAGTTAAATTTTTAAGAATCTTCACATCAAGTTTTGACTGGCAAAATTTGTGAAATAGTTGCCAAATGTAGACTTCCAAGGTAATAACCTGCCCTTCCTTGGTGCATCACTGAACATGAGTATATCTCTTTCACTAAACTGGTGTGGATTTGTCATCAAATGCTGAATAAAACCATGCCTTCATCAGAAAACAGTCTTCCCAGAGGTGCGTATGCACAGAGAAGCTGCTGCCTTGGCTCTGTTAAAATAAATAACCCTTTAGGTTGAAGGAGGCTCATTGTTCTGCCTGGCTGGCAAGTGTTCAGTCCTGTTATTTAAGAACATGTTCATAAAAATTGGAAATAATCTACACATTGATAAAGAATAATGATTCAATAATTTTTTTGGTCTATCCTTTGATTGCTTTATGAATTACTCAATTATATAGGAAATGTATATTCATTGTAAAATAAATGTATTTATAATGTACTTTAAAATAGAAAGCATATGAGCCCCATTTACATCAACGTGCATGTACCCAGAAAATGTTCATGTAAGTAGATTTCTGTGCAAAAGGATTATGAGTGGAATGTACATACATTCTATAAAGAATGAACAATGTATGTTCTCATGTATGTTATCTGTACATTCTCATTTTCTGTATTTTCATCATTTCTAATAAGACAAATGAAAATAAATATTGTTTAACTTTAAAAAATACAGTATGCATGAGTATTTATTTATTGTCATAGATAACAATTTTTGTCTCAGAAGCCACAAACTGTTTTATTCTTTTTGTGCCTTCTGATAGGCAGCTCTTCATCTTCAGAACTTGGGAAAAAGAAGAGCCCAGATAACCCAACAGTTTCCTAACAACCAAAAGCTGCAGTGTTTTACCATAGCATATAGCTATAACAGCTACTTTGGCTAAAAACAATTAAAGTAAAGAAAACAGCATACAATTCCTTTTCCTACCATATAACAGCAGAAATCTCACCCCTGGATGTCATGCACATCAGAAACCTCACTATTGAACTGATAAGTTACCTAGGCTGTCCCTTAGATACATCTTTGCTAAATATCCATATTTTCCCTAAATGCTACAGACCAGAATGTTCCATGTGTCAGTGATCTCTCAGTATCCCACATGACGCCAGGTCATGGAAAATTGGGTTTCAATATATCCCCTCCCCATTTATACCCATCCCATTTTAACTTATTACAAAGTAATTACCAAAGAACAACAACAAAAACTAATTGTTTGCCTGTCCATTTCATAAACATATCCAATATAGGAAAGTCACAGCCAAAAAAAAGCATCACTTGTAGATTCTTCAATAATTAGAGCTAATAATTGGTGCTTACTATGTTTCAGGCATTTCTTTTAATTTTTTGTACATATTAACTCATGTATTCCTGAAAACAACCCTATAAGATAGCTGTTATAACCATAACCATTTCATAGATAAGAAAACTGATGTTTGGAGAGGTTAAGTAACTTTCCCAAGCTACTTCCAGCCTTGTCAGTCAGGATCTATGCCTGAGCACTTCATCCCTCCTCTAAGGAATACTGATGTTCCTGTAGGTCCTCTGGTGCTTCCCCAAGAAGGGTAACAGAAGCCCTGGAATAGCAACCATTTACAGGTCAGACACTGAGTTCTACACGACCAGTTTGGTGCTACTACTGGATGCCATGTTGACAACTGATCTGCCCACCAGTCTCTCTACAAAAATGGTACATGGCTTGATTCTACTTTTTACTATTAATCAATGTATCAATTCATTGACTATGTATTATTTCTTTTTTGACACTCTGCTAGAATCATTCTAATCAAACTCACCCTAGTAGCACTCCTTCAGTGTTGAAGTGTCAAAAGTGGTGTGATGACACCTTAAGAACCTTCCCCCACCAACCCCTGCAGCTATCCATTCATCCTTAGCCTTGACACTTACAGTTGGCTCCAAAAAGTTGCATTACAAAGAAAAATTCAACAGGCTCTTTGGCAGATCTGTTTTAGTAGTGTCAATATATACGCCACCTTTTTATAGCTCTTCCTTATGAGAAAAAACAAATGGGGTCCTAAATAACACAGAGTCACCCAGGGCATCAAACCCATTCTTTTATGAGCTCACTTCCTGGAAGCCAGAGACACAATCTGCACTGCTCTTTTTTATACCTCTTACTCAGATTTAGAATTTTCCTTTCAGAAAAACAAAATAAGGGCATTCTACTGAGTTGCCATGGTGATTTTTTTGCTTTCCTTTCTGGAACATTTTTAATATGCAGAATAAAATGTATCATAACTCTCTGACAAAACTGAACACCCATAGGATAAGTTTGATATCCCTCCAAAAATCACCATGCACAAAATTACATTTTTAATAAGCCCATTGCCACAGAAATTTAAGGAAACCCATGATGATGATTTCTGTATCACTCAAAACATTAGAAAAAAAATCTAAATTATCAATTTAATGCATATAAAATGCTCAGAAAACAAATACTCTCAATCCAAAATGGCTTTAAAAAGAGGAGGCTCACTTGCTCACATTAATTTCTAAGCAAAGAAGTTAAAACTGAAACACAGTGGAATAGAAACAGATGTTCAATCCATAGATGCAGATAAGAATTCCTCACTTGCCTGCTTATCACTAACAGATGAAGGAAGTGCATTCATTAAGGAAGCAAAAGCTGGCCCAAGTGGCACAGCGCCAGGTCACAATATCCACTGGTTCAGAGTACAACTGAATGTTCCCAACTTCAAGAGGACAAAGAGAAGTTAAATACACTGAAAAATTAAATATACAATTTTTAAATGCCATAACAGAGGTAGAACTACTCCAACTTCCTCAGGCAAAGAGGATGTGTTCCCCTTCCTATCAGTTCTACTTCACTTATATCCCAAAATGATGCTGTTCAGACTTTTTTCTTAAATTCCTAGATTTCCTCTTTTTTTCAAGTTCTATCATATTGTCAAGCATACAAAGTTGAGGGGAAACCCTACTTCTGATCAACACCAAGTAATACTTGGTAGTATTTGGAGTGGACTTTGAAGACAACGCTGTACTTACAGAATAATCAGAAAAAGAGCATCAAACTTAATATATCTACAACCGCACTTAGCATCTTCTCCCTTGCATATTTAAAACACAAAATCAAGCTCAGCCCTTTCTTCTGGCTTTGCTTCAAATCTCAGCAAATGCCACTGCCATGTGCCCAACCAGTCAGGCTAAAAATGTTGCATCAACTTAATCCTTACTCTCCCAATACCCACACTTTCACTTATTCAAAGTTTATTGACTGCTGAGGATTCTGTGATGACCAAGAAAGCACGATGTAGGCCGGGCGCGGTGGCTCACGCCTGTAATCCCAGCACTTTGGGAGGCCGAGGCGGGTGGATCACCAGGTCAGGAGATCGAGACCATCCTGGCTAATACGGTGAAACCCCGTCTCTACTAAAAATAAAAAAAAAAAAATAGCCCGGCGTGGTGGCAGGCACCTGTAGTCCCAGTTACTAGGGAGGCTGAGGCAGGAGAATGGCGTCAACCCAGGAGACGGAGCTTGTAGTGAGCCGAGATCGCACCACTGCACTCCAGCCTGGGTGACAGAGCAAGACTCCGTCTCAAAAAAAAAAAAGAAAGCAGGATGTAATGTGAAGGACCCCTCACTGTCTAATCCCTCTCACCTCCCACTCACTGCTCAGCCCCCTGCAGTCTGGCTTCTGCCCCACCATTCTACTGAAATGCTCCAGCCTAGATCTCTAACAACCTTTTTAGCCATATTCAGCAGTCACTTTTCAGTTCATTATTTGCCTTCCTGGCAGCATTTGACAATTGTGTTCCTCCCTTCCTTCTTGAAAATTCCTCTTGCCTTAGCTGCTGATACTATTAGTTGTCTTCAACATTTAACAACTAGGAGTTCTCCCACTTAATTGTCCACGTTTCTCACTTCCCTATCTCAGTTTCTCTGCAGGTTCCTCTTTCTATTCATCCCTTAAATGTCATTCTTCACAGTGTTCACAGAGAGAGCCCTACAGCTCTCAACCCTGGTCACACACCAGAATCACCTATGGAGCCTTAAATATATACATACACATACATATAGACATATATATAGATAGATCTATAGATATAGATATATATCTGAGCCACACACTCTGGTCATAGTAATTAAACAAGCTTGGAGTGGGGCCCAGTTCCCTCTACTATTAAAAGCGCCATACAATGGTTCTGTTGTGCAGCCAGGATTGAAAATCAATCAAAGATTTTTCCCAACACAGCTCTGATCATAGTTTACAAGACCCTTTAAAATGATGTTGAATTTTCTTCTTTTCCTCAGATGTGCAGTTTTCTCTTAATCCAGAGCCACAAAGCCCACAGATCCCTGGCTTTAACTCCTCCCACACCACATCCAACCCCTTCATCACTTCGCTCCTCATGAGGTCTTCACTGGCACCCACACATTCCAGGCTGTCTGTCCTATATGTTCCTAAACCGTTCTTTACTTCCCCCATTACAGCATGTACAGTAATTGCCTGTTTATCTGTGTGTCTCCCCACTAGACCACATGCTTCAAGAAATCAGCAATTATATATCTCTCTAACTCACCAGTGTGTCCCAAGCACCTACCTCCAGACCAAACATAGAAAGGGTGCTTACTAAGTGAATTAGCAGCTAATAATATGGAAGAGACAGACTTACAACTGATTATTAGTTCAAATATAAGATGGACAATTCAATGATAAAAAGATTAGCATGGCTGGGCACAGTGGCTCACGTCTGTAATCCCAACACTTTGGGAGGCTGAAGCAGGTGAATCGATTGAGCCCAGGAGCTCAAGACCAGCCTGGCCAATGTGGCAAGACCTCACCTCTTAAAAAATACCAAAAGATAGCCAGGTGTGCTGGCATGCACCTGTAGTCCCAGCTACTTGGGTGGCTGAGGTGGGAGGATTGCTTGGCCCAGGAGGTCGAGGCTGCAGTGAGCCAAGATTGTGCCACTGCACTCCAGCCTGGGTGATGGTAGCAAGACTCTGTATCAAAAAAACAATGGTGACAGCCATATAAGCTCTGCCTTCACGAGACGTGGAAGACTACCAAAAAGACTTCCCTGAGTGTTGAGCTGAGTATTGATGGTTGAGTAGAGCAACACTCGAGAAGAGGGAGCCTTTGAGACAGGGGAAACCAAATGTGCAAAGGTAGCAATGTACAGGTTACCAAGTTGTATCCATTTTACACCAAATGTGCCTGGAAGCCCTCCCCTCCTTTCCACACCTATGATCACTCTCCTAATTCCCTAATTCAGGCCTTATGTATGCATCAACTGAACTACTGCAGAGCCCTCCCTCCTGCTTCCAATTCCCCCTCCCTACTGCTGCCTACAGTACAAACTCATAGCCCTGTTTCCTTGGCTATAAATACATAACTAAAACCTCTGACAGCACCCCTCCCTCCCCCGCCCATGAATAACCGTGTCCCCAGTTCATACCAAGGCACCTAAATTCTCCACGGATACAGCCTACCCTAGCTTTCTAGCCTCGTCTGTACTTCACACTAACCCAACTCTACCTACAAATCTACTTGTCAAGTTCCCACCCAACTGGACTACTTCCAATTGTCCAGTTCCATCTCCCACTTCCATGTTTCCATGTTTTTGATCACTGTATTAGCTACCTATTCCACAACAATGCTATGAGACAAATATCCACACACTTCAGTGGTAAACAACACTAGGCATTTACTGCTCATGTATCTGCGGTCAGAAACTAGGTAGCACTGCTGATCTTAGCTGGACGCACTCATAAGTCTGGAGCACAAGTTCTCAATCAGAGGATGTTTTGCCCCTTGGGGGCATCTGGCAATGTCTGGAGACATTTTTGGTTGTCACACCTTTGGCAGTGGGGGTACTACTGGGATCCGGTGAGTACAGGCCAGGGATGATGCTAACCATCCTAAAATGAACAGCTCCCCAAAACACAATGATCCAACCCCTAATGTCAAAGTGCTTCTGCTGAGAAACTTCACTGTAGGTGCTGGCTGGCTATTAGCTGATCTAGGATAGCCTTGTCTGGGGCAAGTGGGGCAATTTGGCTTTGTCCAGGTCTCTCATCCTCCAGCAGGCCATCTGGGGCATCTTGTCACAGCGATGACAGAGGAGAAAGAACAAGCAGAATTACCCAAGGTGTCTTACAGCCTAAGCTTGGAACAGGCACCTCATCACTTCTGCTGCATTCTACTGGCCAAAGCAAGTCAGAGGGCCTGCCCGAATCCAAGGAGTCAGGAAACAGACTCCACCTCTTCAGGGAGAAGAACGGCAGTCACTTGGCAAGGGGTATGTACACAGGACAGGATGGAAAACTGGTATAGCCAACCACACCAATTCAGCTCCCTCTGTGAGGGAAACATGAATTTGGAATTATAAAAGTGGTTCCCTTCTCTCTGCTCCCTCTTGTTTACATTCCTCTTTGGGTGTTTAAAATACTGCACTTCGTATTACCGATACTTGGAGCTGACAGACAGCCGGTATTCACCATGGCAGGCACTACTGTCACTGGGTCTGCTCTGATTGGTTGGTGCTGTGCTGTACAGTTATTTAAATTTAGTTACCTTGGCCTCCACTTTTGTGCACCTGTTTGTCTCCTCTATGGGACTGAGAATCACTCACTTGGTGCTAGAATCTATATTAAGATATTAGTTTAAGAATAAGGTTAAGTTCTTCCTTGGGCATTCAGTGCCTGGCATTCAGTGGCTTGGATATTAAATGCACCTACCTGGCACACAGTAAGTGTTCAAGATCTGTTTATTGAATAAATGAATAAATTAGGACATTTGTACAAAGAATAACTGATTGTGATATGACTTTACACTCAGGAATGCCTATGATTCAGTGCAGAAAATAAGAAGATTCTCCTAAAGAAGCTGTGGTCAAATCTGCTCAGGTATCTAGAACATTCTACTACTCTTTATAGTATGCCATAAAATACTGATTATTTTATTCCATCATGTGAACTAGGAATGATGTTGTTGGCAGACAGAATATAACTGTATTCCCTGGATGCACATCTCTTCACACACCCCCACATAAATAATCATTCAAACAAGTTTTAAATCTTAGATCTGCCAATATCGCCCAGTGCAACTTACTCACTTATTTTGTCATCTGCTGTGTTCTCCACCCTGGCTGCACATTGCAATCACTTGGGGGAAAATGTCTATAAAATAACAATGCTCAGGCCCTGATCCAGATCATTTTAAATCAAAAGCTCCCAAATAATTCTAATGTGTAGCCAGAGTTGAGAACTGCTGAGCCAGAGCTCTCCACTAGCAGGGAGGCAGTAATTATTATTACATGCTTATCTAAAAAAAAAAAAAGAAAGAAAAGAAAATATCAAATCAAATCTCAGGCTGGGTGCAGTGGCTCATGCTTGTAATCCCAGCACTTTGGGAGGCCAGGGCAGGATTGCTTGAGGCCAGGAGGAGATCAAGGCCAGCCTAGGCAACAAAGTGAGATACCATCTCTACAAGAAAGAAGAAAGAAAAGAAAAGAAGATATCAAATCTCTGTAAGATTTTGTTTAAATAAAAGTTTCCAGAACTAATCAAAACTTTCAGTAACATGAGTTTCAATATAAATAGTGCATATTACCAGTGATTACCTATATCAGGTGGGATTTCAGAGTGGAAGCATTTTTATTCCTATATTGTTTGGTGGTGGTGGTAGTGGTGGTGTTTAAAATACTAGACCTGGCTGGGCATGGTGGCTCACACCTGTAATCCTAGCACTTTGGGAGGCCAAAACGGGTGGATCACCTGAGGTTAACGTCAGGGAGTTTGAGACCAGCCTGGCCAACATGGCAAAACCCCATCTCTACTAAAAATACAAAATTAGCCAGGTGTGGTAGTGCACACCTGTAATCCCAGCTACTCAGGGGGCTGAGGCAGGAGAACTGCCTGAACCCAGGAGATGGAGGTTGCAGTGAGCTGAGATCGCGTCACTGCACCCCAGCCTGGGCAACACAGCGAGACTCTGTCTCAAAAAAATAAAAATAAAAATAAATAAATAAATAAAATACTAGACCTATTTTGGAAAATATATCTAGAGAGAATATCTTACCGTCATCATTTATCTAAATAGACTGGACTAGACAAATGACTTAGTATCAGAATATCTAATATTGAATCCCTTATATATAAAACATGATAAATGACCAGTTACAGTTAAAATTACATATTGATCGTGTAGCCACTTATGATGGCTTTAAAATATGTCCACAGATTCTTTGATACTCCTCCTTTCAAAAGGTGGAGTCTAATTCCTCTCCTCTTGGGTGTGGGCTGTACTTAATGACTAACTTCTTAGGAAGTTATGGTGGCTGATACAGTGGCAGATAAGTTGGCAGATATGGTGACATGTGAAGTCTGAAGCCAGGTCCTACCATGCCTTCCTTTTTGCTCTCCTGAATCATTCACTTTAGGGGAAGTCAGCTGCCATGTTATAAGGACACACAAGCAGCCCCACAGGGAGGCCTAGATGACAGGAACTAATACCTCCTGCCAACAGCCAGCAAAGTACTGAGGCCTCCTGCATACAGGCACATGAGGGAGCCATCTTAGAAGCAGATCTTCCAGCCACAGTCAAGCCTTCAGATGACACCTGCCCAGCCAACATCTTGTTTGCAACCTCAAGAAAAACCCGAGCCAGAACCATCTAACTAATCATTCCCAAATTTCTGACTCATAGAAACTATAAAATAATAAATACTTGTTGGTTTAAGCTACTGTGTTTTGGGCTAATCTATTATGCACCAATAACTAAATCACCATCAAAAAACTTTTAACAGTTTTCTTGACAAGTATCTAAAGTGTCCCTTCTACTATTTACACCTACTCTCAACTCCCTCTCTGAATGTCTCAGGAACTTGTTTTATCCATCATTCCTTCTCATTGTTATATAATAAATGGCTCCCTCTCTACCCCTTCGTCAAGGCCTTCTAATATGTCCAAGTCTCTCCCATCCTTAAATACAGAACAAAACAAATCCTACTACAATCTTTTGTTCCTCCTTTCCCTGGATTTCTCTGTTTCTCTCACCTCACACATCCACTCAGTCACTAAGTCTCATCATTTTTACACCTTTAACATCTCTCACATTCATTCCCACTGATGTTGCCATCATCACCTCTTACCTCTATTATTGCAACAACCCTATGGCCTCCCTGCTTCCATGCTGGCCATCGTAATCATCCCCTACACTACCACCAATGTCTTCTTGCCAAAATATAATCACATCCCTTTCTTACTTTTAAGTCATACCCCATTGCTTACAGATAAAATCTAAACTCCATTAAAAAATACTAACAGCAGCCAAAACTTATTGAGCACTTGACTTTATATCAAGCACTGAGTATATTAATTTATTTAATCCTAATCACAATTCACAAGGTAGGTGCTAAAAATACCCTCACCATTTCACAGATTAAGAGGTAAAGCACAGAGAGGCCAAATAACTTCCCCCACAGTCATAGCATTAGTAAATGGCAGAGCCAAGTTTGCGATTCAGGCTGACTCTGAGCCCAGCCCATTTAGTTCCAACACCAAACCCTCAGGCATGGCACACAAGGCCTCTGCTGATGTGACCCAGTGTGTCTTCTTCCAGCAGCACTCTCCATGTGCTATGTCCCAGCTCTGCTGCTTCCCAAGTGCACTCTGCTACCACACACCTCCATGCCTCTGCTCATGTTCCCTTCGAGGTCTAGCCATTGCTGTCACCTCTCCTCACCCTTACTGCCCCATCCAACTGACAATGCTTGCTAATTTTTCAAGACTCAACCCAAGTGCTATGACTTAAGTGTGTACCCCAGAATTCATGTGTTGAAAACTTGGTCCCCAGTGCAGCAGTGTTGAAAAATAGAACCTTTGGGAGGTGATTTGGTCATGAGCATTCTGCCCTCATGATTGGATTAATTCATTCATGAATTAATGGATTAATGGGTTACCAAGGGAGTGGGTCAGTTATCACAAGAGTGGGTCTCTTACCAAAACCAGTTTGGCCGTCTCTAGTGAGCCCTTCTTGCCATGTGATGCCCCGCAACATCTTGGGATTCTGCAGCGTCTCCACTAGCAAGAACGCCCCTCACTATATGCAGCCCCTTAACCTTGGACTTCCCAGTCTCCAGAATTGTAACAAATAAATTTATTTTCTTTGTACATTACCCAGCCTGTGGTATTTAGTTATAGCAACAGAAAACAAACCAAGGCACCAAGGAACCCAATGCCCATCTCTCAAACATTCCAATACCCAGGGAGAATGTTCACATCTTCCTTTGCAGCACCAAGGAAACCTGAACAGACTTTGCGGTAGATGAGAGTATTACTGGAAAAATATCCACTCCTCTCCCCTCGCACTGTGAGCAGAATGCCCTTTCCTGCCCCACTGACTTTGGACTTGGCCATATCACTTGTTTTTGCAGTGGAATGTGAGTAGATGTGATGCAAGTGGAGACTTTAAAACCATTTGTTGCATGGTTTTGGCTGGGTTCTGGTGCACCTGTCATTCATTTGCCATAAAGAGAGCATCTCCCAGGTAGTCTGTGGTCCAAGAAGAAAGGAGACACATGAAACAGACTTGAACGTAACCCACAGCCTTGAGCCAAGTGCAGCCAATCCACAGCTTGAAGCAGAGCTGCTCAAGCTGACCCTTCAACCCGTGAGCAAGAAAAATAAAATATACCATTGCCATCTGCCACTGGGTTTGGGGGTGGTTTGTTATGCTGCAATATTGTACATACATCTGAAAGTCTTAATTTCATGTGCTTGTTTACATACCTTGGGAGCTCAAAATCATGCTTAAAACATTAAGAGCTCGTAGCAGATTTTTTGTTAAGATATAACTCAGATACCATCAAATTCACCCTTTTATAATTAAAAAAATTTTAGTTTTTCACTAAGTACTGCATATGGGCAACCATCACCACTATCCAATTCCAGAACATTTCCATCACCCCAAAAGGAAACCCATAGCTATTAGCAGTCTCTTAATAGATTTTATAAATAAATAACTTAATGAACGAAAACGTAAGAAATTTCTTAGAAGAACTCTAGTTCCAAATTAGTGTCATGAGGTAAACATTGCAGAAAATTCTTTTTCCCAGAAATATGTCTTACCCTAGGGTATTCCTACTACTAGGGTATTTTAAGGACATTTTATCTTTAAAAGAAGTTATATCCACATTTCCCATATATTTTAAGTATAAATATTTAATATTATTTTCAATTGCTATTGCAAGGTAAAGGCCATTTGGAGATTTAATTATTGGTCTACAGATCACAGAAAGATTATTACAGTAAAAGCCACAAAGCATTCAGGAGGGAAAAAATTTCATATAGTTTATCAAAGCTATCCATAACTGAGGAAAACATTACATAAAATCTGCTTTTGCATTTTAAAAAAATCCCTTGGTCAAACACCAAAAATAAAACCTCAAAATTTCTAATAGTAAGGACCAAAGCTTCAAAAATTAGCAAATCTACTACACTTTAAAAACACAAATGTCAAAATGCCAAACAGTGGCAGAGATTGAACAACTATTCTGGGTGGGTAACTTGACACCATACCTAAACACTCTTACTCATTTTTCTTAGATAACATAGAAAACTATATAGAAACTATAATGGCAAGTACATTTCGTTCTATTAACAAAAAAGACAGAAATGTCTTCATTCAGAAAGTAACTCCATAAAAGAGATACCTTTGGGGAAAACTTTATTGGAGACTTGAATGTTGAATAGGATAAATAAGAAACTCATGTCAAGGGCAAATGTTCTAATCTCAAAAAACATATTTTCTACATACTTCATTTTGCTGTTCTGTATGAAACTATTTTGTCAAATCCAAGAAATCTAGAAAACTGTCATTGGAATCATCACTATCCCCTCAAAAAAGAAAAAAGGAAAAATCTGCCCAAGAATTAGCAAAGTAACCTGTGAGCTTTCAAGTATCCTGACTCCACCTAAGCTGCCCAACCAGTTTTTATTTTTACTCCTCTTTCCCGTACTCGCCCTGGGTAGGACCCAGCTGCGCTGTGCCAATCTGGGTCACTCAGCACAGAGGATCAGTGGGCGACAGCCGCTGTATCCACTTTTAGAAAAGCCCCACATGCCTGGGGACTGCTCAGGCACAGAGCTGCACACCCCCTGGACCCGGAGTGTCCGGTGAACAGCAACTGCATGGTTTTGCTATTTCTAGGCTTCAGGCTCCAAAAAATAGATATCTTTACCTGAGAAATATGAAATTAAATGGGAAAAAAATCAGATACTGGTATTGGATACTTTAATTTATAACATTTTTTTAAAGTTACAGTAATTCAGTGTAAAGGTTTATATATATTGGGAAGAAAGGAGAGTTGAAGTACCCAGGATGAACATCTTTATTTTTTTAATCAACAGTTTAAAAATCAATCCAGTTCATTCAATCACATTTTTACACCTAATAGAACCCATTAGGTATGGGTTGGGCACTTGACATTCAGTGATACCTCTAAAAATAGCACTGTTCTAGTCTTATAAAAATAGGAGTAAAACAATCTATTAATGCCTCTTTTTAACCACTCCCAGCTTATAATCTTATACTCACCTCCAAGAAGTAGTCAGTGTTCTGAATAGTTCATTTTAATTATTTCCTTCCTTCCCTTATCATCTGTGTGTTCTTGTATATTACCACATTTTTAATAAAATGTTAGTAACAATTGGTGGTAGCCTCTTTGGCATCCACTTTACCCATTCTTCTACTAAAAGTACCCAGATTTTCCTCTAGGGAATTCACTGCTTCTCTGTTGGGTAGCAGCCAGCATCTTTGATAGGGACGGACCAGGGTGAAGTCTGATTGGCTTAGGCTAATCAACTCATCTATTTCCCTGGTGATCATGAATGAGAATGTGTCCTCTTTCTCTGCCCAGAGGGTGTAAAGAGAACTTGAGGACTGGAGTCGCTCTTTCCCAGCCAGCCTTTAGTGGAAAAGCCTGGACCTTCTGAAGTGGGGTAGGGCAGGTGTGGAGGCCCTATGTAAAGCCAGAGCATAAAGCCACACAATGCACAGCACGGTGGAAAGAGAGAGAGAATCCAGATCCTTACTGATATCATTGAGCTGCTGAGTCAGCCTTTGTATGAAGTAGGGATCTACCTCCAGAACGTCAATGAGCAATCAACTGTCTATTTTTTAGAGCCAGTTTTGGTTGGATTTCTGTTGCTTGCAACCATAAGAATGCTAACTAAAACAAAAAAAAAAATTGAATGAAAAAAATTATTAAACACACACACAGAGTTTAAAATAAAATAAGAAATACATTTTTAAATATATCATACTACTTACAACTCTTGATGGAAGTTAAAAATGAGTGGCCTATCATGTCAGAGCAATACCAGGGTTCATCAGGCTGCTTGGGAACCAGAGTCCCCATGCATTAGAATGTGGGGTTTGGGAGATGCCTGGAGCACTCTTTCTATACAATCACTCTCCTTCCCAGGTGGCAAAACTGTCAAGGTGAGAGGACTTATTTTTGGAGTTTCTTTTAAAATACAGAAAACATGTCTAAAGCCAACACTGGCCTCCAGCATCCTTAGGCATCCCCTACCTCTACCCTCCTGCCCCCAGCTCTTTACTGCTGTTCCCCCTCATCAATATCCCTCACAGACACCCTTGGTCAACAGCCTGCATTTGCACCCTGTATTAGTCTGTTCTCACACTGCTATATAGAACTACCTGAGGCTGGGTAATTTATAAAGAAAAAAGGTTTAATTGGCTTACAGTCCTGCAGGCTCTACAGGAAGCATGGCTGGGGAGACTCAGGAAACTTACAATCATGGCAGAAGGGGAAGTAGGCATGTCCTGCATGGTAGGAACAGGAGGAAGAGAGAGCAGGGGGAGGTACTACACACTTTTAAACAACCAGATCCCGTGAGAGCTCCCTCACTATCTCAAGAACAGCAAGGGGGAAATTTGCCCCCATGATCCAGTCACCTCCCACCAGGCCCCTCCTCCAACATTGGGGATTACAATTCAACATGAGATTTGGGCAGGGACATAAATCCAAACCATATCACACCCCATAGCATGGTGGTTAGGAGCACAGGTAAAGCAGCCAGACTGCATGAGTTTGAAGATCAGCTCTACCACCTAATGACCGTAAAACCCTTAGCCATTCACTCATTTCTAGGTTTAATGGGAGTAATAAGAGTTTGTAGCTAGCTCATAGGATGGTTGAAAAGTCAGGTGCTTAGGACAGAATTTGCCAGGCCATAAGCTCTCATAAATGTTAGCTATGTTTCTATTCTTTTGTCAGGAACTATAGTAATTTGAGAGAGTTTGGAGAAAATCCAACTGCTGTCCTCCCAGACAAGGCCAGCCATGGCCCAGGCCGGGCCAAGAAGCACGGAGGATTCCTATCTTCGGTGCCAGGACCATGCAGCTTTCCTGCAGCCCACTCTAGCTTCATCCTGCACCTCCCTCATACCTACTCCCAAAGCTCCTGCCTTACTGGTCTTCTTCAGCTCTTCCATTAAGGCAAACACTACAGCCTGAAGTGTTTGCCTAGAACATGATTTCTTGCTCATTTTTGCATGGCCAACCCCTGCTCATCCTTGGGGTCTCAGCTTACATAGCACTTCCTCAGAGAGGCTGTCCCATTGCCCCTTAGACCAAAGGAGATCCCGGCCCTTTTTGTGTTCCAGACCAACTTGCTCTTCCCTTTCCAAGCATGCATCACACGCGTGATTCTGTGCTCAGCGTCCATCCTTCCAGGTGGAATGGAAATCTCACATTTGTCTCTCATACTACTGAGTCCCTAGGACACGCTCAATAACTATATGATGAATGAATGAATGATGTCCCAAACGGAGACAAATTGCCAATACTCATATACTGGTGTAGAAAGGGCTCCAGAGAACAGGAATAATCGCAGCCAAGAAGTCACTGACCCTCAGACAAATTGCCAACCCTCAAGTCTCAGTTTCCTCATTTCCAACTCACTTAAGCTTCTCACTCACAATAAGTAACTCCTGTAGGTTTCCTGGATGAAAACAGTGCTGCTTTATGTAGTACCCAGGCACAAAATCTCAAAGAAAAATGGATCAGAAAAACACACACACAGACAATATTCAACTACCTCCTCCAAAGGCAACAGAAGCTTCTCCTGGAAATGTTGTCCAAGGTCTTCTGATAGCAGATAGGAAATGTGAAATTCCTAAAGAAAACATTTTCCATATGACCCAAGATCCCAGGCTCCAGCACTGGGAATCTTCAAGGTATTGTTTTATGTATGCATCTGTGTGGGTAAGTGTGTGAGAGATACTATCTGCCCAAACTATTAATATCTATGTATTTCTACCATAAAACAGTATCCATATTCCTGTAAATGTATGAATAATGTCCCAAACTAAGACAGCCAGCCAAAAACCTTGTATCCTACAAAATCTCACACTAAAAATAACAGGGCTTGTGGAAAATACAGAGTTCATGTAAAAGGCCCAAACCCTACTCAACTTTGTAACCAGAGCAGTAACAAAAACAAGAACACTAAAAATTACCAGCACACATAAAAAGATGTTTTCTATTTCCTATTACAGAACAAACGGAAGATTACACAAAAAGGTGGGGGGCAAGAGCGCATGGTGGAAGGGTGTGAGGAAAGACCGAGACTGCTGCATTATGGAGATGAGAGGAAAATGCAGAAAGATCTGGGAAAAGCAGACGTTTCAATCAACACAAAGCCAAATGGAGTCTAGAGCAAAAAGAGGGGTGTTCACCTCCCTGGCTGGTTGTGTTCACCTCTACTATCCTATTTTGTTTTCAACTACTGCTATTTGGTGGTACAAAATACGCAAGTGTTAATAAAAATCTCACATGAACCATCGCAACTTGCACCTTACCAAGCATGCTTCTCTTATTTCCCAATCGCATATGTAATAATCCTCATTACAGAAACCGACATTATAAAATAGCCAACTATATTTGTTCAGAATGCCAGAGCCTGTGCCACATGAGAGGTCTAAGAGTGGAGCTGCTGTTGGGAGGTGCCAGATGAGGCCAAAAGAAGAACTATCATGTGGGCACTATGTGGGGACTCAGGAGCTACGTGGGATCAGGCCTGCCAGTCTTAACATGGGTGAAATTTATTGAAACAGGCACAGTAGAGAACTTCAAACTGGGACGGGGGCAGCAGATACCTGTGTTACACAAAGACTAAACAGAATACCATACGCAAAGAACTAACGGTGCCTGGCAGGGAGGCACCCTAAATCCACATTTTCCTTCCCCTTGTTTATAATCATTCCAGTCTGGATCTCAGCATCAAGGACTATTTGAATCCAGTGGGGGAGTCAGGTTCCAATCAAGGAGAAAAAGACTGGGGAAATAGACGTGAAGTGAAAGGGAGTAAAAATGGTTCCACCCACTGATGATGGTTCATTGGGCTCCTGTAATGATTTTTCATCATGGTCCTAACCACCCTACTGACAATTATCTTTTAAAACATATTGAAAGGGTTCCAGTTTCAGAGAATGTGCTTGGGAGCCATATGGATGAAATTGTTTCCTCGCAACTAACGGTGCTATGTATATAGAAGATGCTCAATAAACAGCATATTGAACCATTAAGGGAATGAAGAGAGAGAAGGAGAGAGGCAGGTCACCTGCTTGGTTAGGTAGTTACTTGGGACCATGATCTTTTTAGAAGTTTCGCTTTTACTTCTAAAGGGTCCCAAATACTAACTCTGCAAAGGTACTTTTTCCAATAAGTAAATATATACGGAGCAGCTGTTAAGGATAAGGCAGCGGGACACAGCAGTCACCAGTCCAAGCTCTGGAACCAGTTTGCCTGGGTTCAAATCCCAGCTCTGCCACTGATTATCTGTGTGGCTTCAAGCATATCACTTACCATTTCCGTGCTTCCATTTTCCCATCTGTAAAACGGCCATAAACAGTGCTTGCTTGAGAAGTATCTTATATATCAGGCACTGTGCTGGGTGTTTGTTCTATACACAATATACCACCTCATGCAAGCACCTACACTACCACTCAAGCAAGCTCCTAGACTACCGCTTGTACATGGTAAGTGTTCCAGAAGTGTGTTTGCTGTTATTTTTATTTGGCACTGAACTAGCCATTTTTATCACTATTATCACACTCTGTCAACTCTAACAGCATAATGAATCAGGCTTCTACTTGTCACTGGCCCCTCCTATTTATGACATCTTGCATGGTCCCTTAGGGAAAAAGGTGGCAACCTCATCTGTTGGCTGATGACAACATTCAGCTCCACAGGCAACTTTTTTTTTAATTTTCCATAGGAAAAGAAGAGGGGATGCTATTTCTCAGTGCTCCCATTGGGTCATGACAATTAACAGTCACAGCCGTGGCCATTTATTGATACCATGGATACCAGCTACTAGTCAGTTATTTTGGGTTTTTTTCCTTTAAAAATACCTGTCTAATAAGAACTCATACAGGTGACCACTATAATAAAAATTCTTCCATTTCTTTTTAGATTCACTATCATTGGAAGTGCTCTATCTTTCCCTCATCCTAAGAAGTGGGAATTAGCTAGACTTCTATAACAGGTGAAAGAGAGGTTTGCTTTGACTTAGGGAAAGAAAGAGAAGGTGAGAGCCCTAAGGCCGAATGCTGGGGGCATGTTTATTTAAAGAAAAGAGATGTCTGCTCTCCCGCCTTGCAGCCAGGAACTCCAACGAGCCCTGACCCAGTCTAACTTGAGGGGAGGGTTAGCACCCTAAAGAATATCTTCACCCAAGGGCCAACAGAGAAATCACCCTCCGAGTGTCCAATCACTGACTGTCTCCAGGCAACTATTGGGTAAACTGCTTTTTTTAATCACTACAAAACACACACACACACACACACTTTGCTTCCTGTCAGGGCAGCAACAGAGTCTATTTTCTCTGCCACAGCCAAGTCCAAGTGCCAATCAGGCAACCGTAGCTGGGCACAGACTCACTGAGAAAGCGCTCAGGCAGTGGGGAAATGTGGCTGTGAGGCCCTAGTGAGGAACAGCCTGGCTGAAACAAGGAGGGAACAGGGTGATGACTAAGACGCAGTCCTTGGCCACAGGGCTCTGGGGTTCACCAAAGGAGGCAAATCCCCCCACCACACACACACACAAAAAAAATTCGTGATAGTAAAATACAGCAACTTTTCTAAAAAAAAGGCAAAAACTGAGGCTCAGGTGTGTACAAAGAAGGGAAGGATTAATGAGCTTAGAGGAATCAGGGACCATGCTGCAGAGGCAGTCGGGTTTAAGCTCTATCTTGAAAGGATTTGTCCCTGGAGAAGTGGAGAAGGGGCATTCCAGGTTGTGGCTACCCCAATAGCCATTCTCCCCTTTTTCCTGAGGAATACAACTCAAGAATATTATCTGAGCATTACTCCTGCCTGGGGTAAAAGATCCTTCTCCAGAGTCTCTCCTATATACAGAAAGGGCCATGTTCCTGAAGTTCTGGGCAATAAAATAGTAGCCAGTATGTCAGAAAGGGTTTCCCAGAAGCCACCTTATATGGGAAGGATGCACTCTTCACTTTCCTTGCCTCCATCCAGCTTCCTGGAAAGGTGATGTGATCACGACTCTCCAGCAGCCATGTTAGACTGGGAAGATGGGGGAGGGGGTCTAAGAATGGTAGTTCAAGTGTTGAAAGGAATCTCAGTCAAGGACCTCCAGGGTTTACAATTTATGAGGATCCCAAAGGGCACCTGGCTTTAGTAGTTTATAAAGCCCCCTCTTTTGGAAGAATTTGGGAAAAGTTCCCAAATGAGAAGACATCTGTGGGTCACCACCCTAAGTCTCACACAAAATGGCTCTCTTCCCTCACTGAAAAGCAAGCAGGTTTCCCGCAGCCCCTTCCTGCTAAGAGTGGAGTACAGCCTCTACAGCCTCTATTTTGTCCAAGAATTTTAATCCAGAGTCTAGGCTCAAACACAAATCCCAAAGTCCTCTCCGCATTTTTCTTAGAAGAGTTCTTATCTGTGCCTCAGATGTAAAATGGACAGTGGATCATCATGCAAACTCTGAGTGGCCTGCAAGGAATATTCAAGAACTTCCGAGGCAGGTACCTTCACCCCCTGCCCTACCACCAACACATATCTACCTTCAATAGACCTAGAGAAATTTAAGAGTGTTTCTACCCTACCTTGTTTCAAAACACAATCATAATAAAAGTATGTGTAGCATCCAACGCAAGCCCTTTTCTCAATAAATCATCATCAATCAAATTCTCCTGCTTAGAATTCTTCCGTGGTCTTAGCTTAAATCTTATTTTCACTAAGAATCCTTGTCTTTTTAAAGAGTGCTTTTCTCTTAATCCCCCCTGCCCCATTCTTTGTCTTCATAGTATGTATTCCAAATCGTAATTATATATGTATTGTTTAATCTCTCTGTCCCCCTGCCACATTGTATATTTCATGAGGGCAGGAAGTATGTTTATTTTGTTCATTACCTAACACCATGCCTAACACTATGCTGCACATTGTTGGAGCTCAGTAAACACTTTTCAGGAAATAATTTTTGAAAGCACACTTTCACACATTAAAATATTAATGCTTATTTTTGCCACTGTTTATACTGAAGCAAACTTACAAATGAGTGATAGCCAAGTCTCCCAAATAATTATTTTCATATTTTAACAATTTGACTGAGCTTATTGTCGCTTTCATTCCATTTCAATTGGAATAAGATATTCAATTAAAATAAAATAATTGTTCAAAATATTTTTTAAACACTTCTGAGGGGAGAAAAAGATAGCTATGTACTCATTGCAATAAATATAACTTCAGTTCCTCACTTGGTGCAGACCCATTTGGTGAACATACTTGGCAAAAAAATAAGGCTGAGGAATTTTTTTTAACAGTTTTCAGTCATGGAAATGAAAAAGCTACAAGTCCTTCTGTTCTTGACCTTGATTTCTTTTTTTTTTTTTTTTTTTTATGATGGAGTCTCGCACTGCCGCCCAGGCTGGAGTGCAGTGGCGCGATTTTGGCTCACTGCAAGTTCCGCCTCCCAGGTTCACACCATTCTCCTGTTTCAGCGTTCCGAGTAGCTGGGACTACAGGTGCCTGCCACCACGCCCGGATGATTTTTCTTTCCTTTTTTTTTTTTTTTTTTTTTTGGATTTTTAGTAGAGACAGGGTTTCACTGTGTTAGCCAGAATGGTCTGGATCTCCAAACCTCATGATCCACCAGCCTTGGCCTCCCATAGTGCTGGGATTACAGGCGTGAGCCACCGCACCTAGCCGACCTTGATTTTAAAAGCAAGTGCAGGTGTATTCCTCCATGGCCTCCTAATGGGCTATCTAGGGGTGAATGGGTGGGGCAGTCCCTAACTTACACTGACCAGGAGGCCAAGCTGCAGCCTCCAACAGCCACACTAGAGTAACTCTCACAGGCAAAATGCAGGACAGTGGAAACATGGAGCTTTCCCAACCTAACCAATATTTTATTCTTAAGGTCTCAGCATAGAGCACAGTTTTGCTGACAGTGGGAAAAGGTATCAGCCAAGTTATTTCTTAGGTGCATTTTATATGACTATATCATCTGTCCTTTTCCTGATGCCAAAGGTAATTCCCTGAGATACACTAGCCATCCTGATATGGTTTGGCTCTGTGTCCCCACCCAAATCTCATCTCAAGTTGTAATCCCCACATGTCAGGACAGGGAGCCTGCAGGGAGATGACTGGATCACGGGGGCGGTTACCCCATGCTGTTCTCATGATGGTGAGTGAGTTCTCATGAGAGCTAATGGTTTTAAAAGCATTTGGCAGTTCCCTCTTCGCTTGCTCTCTCTCTCCTGCCACCATATGAGACCTGTCTTGCTTCCCCTTTGCCTTCCATCATAATTATAAGTTTCTTGAGGCCTCCCCAGCCACGTGGAACTGTAAGTCAGTTAAACCTCCTTTCTTTATAAATTACCCAGTCTCAGGTCGTATCTTTATGGCAGTATGTAAATGAACTAATACACATCCCATCAGGGTTAGATGCATGGGCATCTCTTTGGAAGTGTTGTTTTCAATATTGCAAACATGGAATTTTATCACAGCAGAACTGAATTCCACGGCATCATTCCTCCTTGAAATATAACATCTTATGTCCAGACAGAAGTCTTTCCAATATTCTATCATTTTTTTAAGAACTATTTTTCCCCTATATTATCTTTAGCCCTCTAGTTTAGGCTATTTTTATATTTCTCAATCACTTAAAACCAAAGTTCTATTATCCCTTCCTTTCCTGATTTAATAGCACTGAAGTCATCCTTTTATCTACCCTACCCTTCCTCCAAAAAAGATCATATCTGATACCTTTCTTCTGCCTCAGATGTAAACACACACACATCCTAAGGAACATATGAGGTGTTCTATTATAAAATTGTATTGTACTTTTTAAAAAATCTCAGAACAGTGAACTGGGCTTAAAAGGAAAACCTAATTCCAGTAAGAACAGTTTGGTCAAAAATCAACCAGTGTTAACTGATTCTGTCCTGAATCATGAAAATCAAGGCCAAAATACAAAATACAAAATGTATTTTGCGCCACTTCGAGGGGCCAACTGTACATAGACTTTAGCAGGCACATAATAAGCACCCAATAAATAGTACCTTTTATCATCAGCAACATCAGCATCATTAACATAATTTTTATCATCATGTTATCCCCCAACTATGATGCTTTTAAGCTTCAGAATGGTCTAAAGCAAAAAGAGAAGCTGCCAGGCCAATTTCTAGTACTCCTAGAGCTGCCTAGTCCCACCTAGCACTGACTGCCACTCACAGAATCAAGGCCAACTGTCTACATCATGGCTCTATTGTCATCCATCAGCAGAGAGCTGGAGGCCAAGAGACCCAGTGGCTGAGAACACATGCTCAGCCTTCCCTTTCTTGGTAGCCAGTGCTCAGTCTGCCCTTTGGAGCTCGCCTGATGCAACTGGTTTCCAGGGAGATGCCGGGGCAAGAAGTGCCAGCTCCACCTCCCATTCCGCATCCCCTTTCCCCAAATCTGTGGGACCTCACTGTTTTCCTACCATGTGACAGCATTGTGTCATAGCTGCTCTTGTATACAAACAAGCTAGACTATTTAAATGTCATTGTGAGAAAGATGCCGCCTGCTCTCATTTACATATCTATTCAGACCACTACTCCTTCCTTGATCTAGCCAGAAAAGTTTTTTCTTCCTCTTCCTTGGCAACTTATGCAAAGCTGGAGGACCATCTGCAAAGTTAACTACCTGTTGGGATAAAAAGATGTTAAGAATCTAGTCCCTACAGAGGTGGAGAATTAGAATGACTACATGTATAACTTATGGTATTACATCACAAAAGTCATATGTTACTGGCCATTAAATGCTAAATTATCTCAAAAGCTATTCATAAATTTTCCCTACTGCCAAACAACACAAGCATCTTTTGGTCTTGGAGAGCTATGATACCCTCAGTGTTTTTAATCTTCAGAATTAGGTCCCAGCTGAATAAGAAAACAATTCTATGTGGGCAGCAGGGAATGAACCAAAATGAGAAACTGATCCCTTCCAGCACTAGTTCTCACTCTTGTGAAGTATGGATTAGGTCACAAATAAGATTGTATTCATCACCAAGCCCCATGGGCACACTCTGATTGAAGGTAAAGGAGTCCAGGAACTTCTCAAGTTGAGAAATAAGGCTGAGTTGGGTTGAAATTTCCAGTCCCTCCCTAAAGGCCTGGGAACCTGTTCCAAATCATAACCGAAACCAAGTCGAAGGACATCTGTTTCTTCAGAAAGTGTTTGGCACTGAAAAGAAGAACCACAGATTAGAACAGATAAATATTGTTGTGGGTGGTGAGGCCAAGAGAAGCGGGGAATCAGGAAAATCAGAGTCATCTAACCTACTAATAAACTCTTGTAACTCAATAAATACCACCAAAAAAAAAGAAGGAAATAATAAAAGGGAGGAAGAGGGAAAGAAAATCAATGGAAGAATTCTTCTTATTCCTAGCAGGAGTTGACACAACCTCAGTGAATAAAATTCTGCTGCATTTAGATGAATATTTGGACCCATTATTTGTATAATGATTTAATATTAGATCATCTACAAGAACAAGAGGAGAGGCATTGAGCATTCTGCTTGGAGTTTGGTAACAAAGATTATACATTAAACTTACATATTCAGCATAATATTGAAGAATAATTTTCTAAGCTTTGATGGACTACCAAGATCACTTTATGAGTAGATATTAAAGGTTTTTCTCTGATCCCCAAGTCACTTTTAGTGCAAATTAGAGTGACATGTAGCATCTAGTTAACTTCGACTCCAGGTATCCAGAGTTAACAGAGTGAGATAATAGGATGAAATCAGTAGGCAATTGAATCATATTTTCTACCCGGGAAATCTGGTGTTCTGAATCATTTCTTTCAAAATCAACCTTAGTTGTTATTAACAACAGAAAAAAACAATAGCAATAGCAGTAGTAGTAATAATTATCATAATGATAATAGTAGTAGTAAAAGTAACAGCAGTGGTAATAATAATGGTAATAATACTACTAACCATACTTACACAGCACTTCCTATGTACTGGGCACTGTTCTAAGCATTTTAAATATATTAATTGATTTAATCCTGACAGCACTCCTATGAAATAGGTGAGCTGTTATTAGTATCCTGTTTTACAGATGCTCTCAATAATAACTCTTAGTCATTTTTGTTGTTGCTAACAACTAGAGCTATCTTCCAAAGAAATCATTTGGAACCACAGTAAAGGAAAAGTAGCTTGCTCAGGGTCATCCAGCTACAAAGTAACAGACTCTGGACTCAAACCTAGGATGCCCAGCTCCAAGGTCTGACCTCTCACCTACTGTGTTCTGCTTAGTAAGGCCTTCTAGAAAAGTAGTATGGAAAGAAGTTAGTCACTCCCCTGCCTGCTGGTAGCCACAGTTACTACTTCAAGTTTGCTGTCTCCTCTAGGAGTCTTCCCAAACACAGTTAGATGTGCAACCTGTTCCTACAGCTATAAAAAGTCACTAGGAGTGTTAAAGGGCTGTCCCCACGTGGTCTGTGACCATCTAGTGCTCCGTTAGAGCTTTCACCTTTGCCAACTAAGGAAGGAGTGAGGGGAAGGGGGCTGAAGTGGGGGAATCGTTCCCAGGCCACATTTCCTGCCCAGTAACACGGTCCTCAAATAGCCAAGGCTGCACGCCGAGAAATTCCTCACTAACAAGTTACGTCCTGGATCTGGTTCCCTGAGCCTTTATTAAGAATGAATGTTTTCTTGCCAATCCATGACTCAAGGAAGACCAAGAATCGAGGCGAGACAAGCAGCAAAGTTTGTTTATTAACTTGCTCCACCCAAGGGAACATTTTTATGAAAGGGTGAAATTCCTGACTACTCAAAAAGAAGAAAGAAAGAAAAAAAACCTATGGGAAATTTAATCACCAACTGAATAAAAGTAAAAACAAAGCCCTACCAATGAGGATGCTGCCAGAGACAATGGGGCCCCTAGAGGAGTTGCAATTGTCTCGAGATACCAATCCCCAATCCGCCCCCCCACCCGGGGATTCACTGCCCCTAAGTACTACATTATTGCTGTATTAGCTGAGGAATCTTTGTTCACAAGGCAACTGCATGCAAAACCATCTGTTACAACTTCTGGGTTCCCGTGGTTTGCAGACTCGGCATTTACATTTCAAGAAGAACCTCTGGGAAGGAAGGGGGAGGTCTCTATCTTTCCCCTGGAGCAATTACCTTTTTATATAGCCTGGGAGGGGGAAGCTCTCCTTTCCCTGAAACTGAACCCAACAATTGAAAGGAGATAGGCCACTTCAATAATGCACACGCAGCTCGCCTGGGCTGCCTGGTCCTAAAGCCACGCATGCCCCATTACGGTTTTCACATTCTTAAATTGGTATGAATGGTAAAGCATCAAGAACAATCCCAAACTGTCTATAGGGCTTAATGAGGTTCTACTGTCTTAAGGAATCCCTTCTTCCTTTTCTTAAACGTGATATTAAAGCTAATATTCTGCACTGCATAATAGCCTGAAATATACTACCACTTAAAAGCAAACTGTAATCTGGGCCAAAGGAGACATTTTGTATCTTGATTTAGGTGGGGGCTATAGTAATATACATATGTCAAAATTCATGGAGGTGTACACTTCAGATTTGTGCACTTTTACATGTGTAACTCATACCACAATACATTTTTAAAGCAGAATATGTCAATGATACAGTTAAGGAAATTGAGAATAAATCACTTGCCTTCAAGAATAGTAAAGACTGTTCTGCTTCTAGATCCTCCCCTTACCCCCACCCACACTCGAAGTCTCTCCTGAGAATTTTAGAGTTCAAGAACCTGAAAAATAGTTATCCAACTCTGCAATAAGCCAGTAACTACAAATGCTTCCTGTGTATCCTGGGAGCATAAGTACGCAACACAGGCAGAGCACCTGTCACACGCCAAACCGTTCCAGCCACATATCAAAAATAAAAAGCCAAGGTCTTTTTCTCATCTGATGGTGAGTTATCAAATTATGAGACATGCCTGGGGCTTTCAGCAAGACAGCCCTGATGTTCATTGTTCTGTTTCTTGAACCCTATTTTCAAACAGATGTTTCTATACTCAAGTAGCACTCTTGCTTGCGGGAAGCAGGTTAACCCTGTAGGGTACAGGTCTCTGGCTGGAGCAGGAGAGCAGCATTAAGTGAGGGTGGTTTCTGCAGGAAGCTCAGCAGGTTTAAATCTGTACGTGGAGCTCTTGTTACTCTAGCAGCTTCTTGGGAACCACAATGCTGAACGGAGTGGGGAGTCACTAAGTGACAGGCGGAATTCTGGAAGCTTCAACATTGCTGGGTCATGATTTAGCGATACACTTCCTCCTCTGAACTACCAGGCAAAGAGGGCTGCTTGTCACTGAGGGAAACAAGGCCAAATTCATACCTTCCACTAAGCCTCCAGAAAGGCCACCCATTGAAGCTGAGGCTCCTTGCACTAATCATAGGGGGTCACCTTTCCCCTTCATGCCCTTCAAGCGTCCTGAACCCCGCAGACAGTTCATTTCGGGAGCTCGGGGCTACCAAGCTGCATCTACTGATAGACATCGTGAATCAGGATCACCCAGTGAGCGCTTCCGGGACTGAGAGCCGAGAGCTCCAGTGATTTCCCTGGCCTGCCAACGAGTTATTTAAGAAGTGAAATATGCCAACCAGACCGGGTAGCCCGTACTTCGGAACCGACCCTGCAGTCCTTGGGATGGAGAGGGGCGGGGGTTGCCAAAGGCTGGGCAGCGTCTATGCGGATGCGTGCTCGCAGGTGGGTCTTGCAAGCTACCCCCGCCCTGCGCACTGTGCCAGCCTCACACCTGACCCGGTGCCAGGAATACAGCAAGAGGCTCCGGTGGGTATGCGCCTCCGTGAAGACACTGCCAACTCTGCTCCGGAAGGGTGCGGGGTAGGGGGACAAGGGGCGAAATGTGGGACCAGAAGCAAGATACCCCGAAATGCGAGCACCGGTGAAGTCTCTGGGGGCTCGCGCTTCCTGCGCCTTTGCAACGCTTTGCTAGCACTGCGCTTCCCTTGGCAGCGCCTGGAAGCGGCGCTAGCTGAGATTTGCGAGGCCAGCGGGCAGGAAGGATGGACGCGCAGGGGATCCCTTCCTGCCCTCACGCGCGCAGCTAGACTGCAGTGTCCCCTTTCACGCCCACCCTCGCCCGGGATTCCAATGCCAAAGCGCTAAGGTTTCGCGGCTCGCCGAGGCCCGGGGGGGTGACCTGGAGCAGCTGGCAAAAGAAAGTGGGGGCGGTTGGGGGGAGGCAAGGCTGGACCTGCGGTCGGAGCGTGCGCGGGTCCGTGGCTCAGGGCGCCAGTGCAAGGCCGCCCGCCAGCCACCCGCACCTACCTCAATCCACTTCTGCGCCTCGGAGAAGGCGGGCTCGGGGGGCGGCTCGGGCTGCAGGGGCTGAAGAGCTTCCAGACCGAGAGCGGGACAAGCCATTTGCGCAGCCCCGCGTCCTCTCAAGCGCCGGGATGAGGACGGCCGCCGCCGTCGCCGCCGCAGGAGCGCGCTCCCCGCCCCTTCCCGCCCGCCGGCCTCCCCTCCCCGCCTCTCCCCGCCCCCGGCCGGCGCAGGTCCCGGGAGAGCCGCGCGCTGCTAGAGGACGCCGCGGCAGCTGTTCCCGGCGCCGCCCGGGCTCCAACGCGCCGTGAGTGACCCGCGGGAGCGAGCGCGGAGGCGCCGGGAGCTTCTTCTCCTCCCCACCTTCGAGGGCCGCTCCGCCCCCGGGGAGGGGGAGCACAGCTACGGACTAAAAATAACCCGGAGCGAGCGCTGCGTGTCTCCCTCCCGTTCACACCCGGCCCGATAGAGGGAATCCGCTGGCCGCCCCGCACGTCCCTGCGCCCCGCCGGCTGCTGAGGGGCGGGCGGATGGGTCTGGCATCATATGGGAGACGCGCGCCCAGTGGGGCGCACCCGGGCCCGGGGGAGCGGGCGCTGCGGCACCGGAGCAGTAGGACGCGCGGGCACTGGCCGCGCAGCACCTGCAGTCCTTCCTGGCCGCAGAGGTAGGGGCAAGGCGGGGCAGCCCCTGGCCCGGCGCCGGGAAGTACACAGCCACCTGATCTTTTTGTAAGAAGAAAAAGAAAAACGACCCTGATGAGCTTTTCTTCTCCAGGAAGGCTACCTGTGTCCTAGTCTGTCGATGCAGTCAACCAACAGTCACTGTGCACCTACTATGCGTCAGGCACTGGGCCAGGCGCTGGGGACGCAGAGATGGAAACACACACACACACACACACACACACACACACCCTACACACCCTACCCACACACACCCTACCTGGAAGTCCTTGCCCTCGAGGTATCTACATTGTAGAGGGAATTGGGGGCCGGGACAGACAATAAACATGTAAATCAAAAGAAGATAATTGTGGCGGGTGTTGTTAAGATAAAAGAGGAGAAGATAATGACATGGAAAGAAAAAGCGCGGGGTAATTTCCGATAGCCTTCCCCCCTTTTGGCTGGGAGGCTGACCTGTGAGTCGCGGTTCCATTAACGGGAGGTAGGCAGATGGTCAGTGAGCTGAAGAGAGACGTGCATTTATTTATCTCGTCCCTTCCTGCAGGTGGTTAGGGGGTTTCCAGAAGGTTCCTCATCTCCTCTTGTCCCACTCAACCTCCCAGGCCTAGGTATGGTAAAGGCTTCCCCATCCCATAATGGTCTCCCGATCCGGCTCACTTCTTTCTAACCCTTCCTTTAAACTCTCCTTGGCCACTCCCACTTGAGCATGCCTTCTGTTTTGCACTACAGCCCAAGTGACGATCAAGGAAGGTGTCTGTAAGGAAATGTCCTGAAGAGGTGACATGAGTGAGGGAGATTTAACTGTGTAACAATTTGGGGGAAGAATTCCAGATGGATGCCAAGGCCTTAAGGTAGGAATGAGCTTCCCCGTGGAGGAGCCCACAGCGGGCCAGCAAGACTGGAGCTGGTGTGGAGAGCACCAGGCGGGAATGATAGCATGGGAGAGGCAGGCCAGGTCCCGCCTGCGGGTGAGGGGGCACACACTACCTTTTAGATTGTTGCCTGGGTATACCCTGGTAGGCCACCAGGGAGCTCTGACCTACGTGAGCCCAGCGCTGGGTCCGGAGGAGCTCAGTATTCTTGGCCTAACCTCAAGCTAATGGATTCCCCTCTTCAGAATGGCTGCTAACAAGAGGTTTCTGACGGTGGCTGGAGGTCCCTGGGTGCCTCAGCCTCTAAATCTCTGTTCCCCATCCAGAATCCGAGTTTAATCTTTGTCCAATTCTGCTGCTATAATAGGGGAATGGAACAAAAAGCAGGCCTCAAATTCCACCATTACCAGCTTTGGAGTCAGACAGGCTTTAGTTTATTTGCTTTGAAAACACTTACGTGGCACTTATACTGTGCCAGGCACTGTTCTAAGTGCATTACAAATAATTGACTAACTCAGTCCTTATTCCAGCTCTGTAAGATAGGACTGTTATCATCCCTACGAGGAAACCAGGGGACAGAGCTGGTGGACAGGGAGGGTTGGATTCAAGCCCAGACAGCCTGGCGCCAGATTTGCTCCTAACTGCACACCAAGCTGTCTTACCAGTCCTGTCCAGACTCCCACTTACAGTGTGTCCCTCAGTTTCCTCACCTAAAATGAGGTGGATATAGTCATCCAGCAGAATCATTGTGAAAGGCACGAACAAGGGGACTGAATGTAAACAGACCAAAGCTGGACCTGACAAACAAGCAGTTGCTGAGTACAGACCACTGATCCTCACCTCCACCCTGCTGTCCAAAACAGAGGGAGGGAAAAGTATACAAAGAAGAGATAAAGAAGGCAAGCATGGGAAAGGGCTAAAGACGTGTGGGCAGAAGATGACCTTGTTTCCATAAAGAAACATGGCAAAGCAAACAGTCCACAAAATGACTCTGGTACACTAATACAATATATGGCTTTGGGCAGTGATATGATCTGGCTCCATGTCCCCACCCAAATCTCATCTTGAATTATAATCTGAATTGTAATCCCTACATGTTGAGGAAGGGACCTGGTGGGAGGTGATTAGATCATGGGAGCAGTTTCCACCGTGCTGTTCTCATGGTAGTGAATGAGTTCTCATAAAATCTGATGGCTTAAAAGTGTCTGGCAGTTCCCTCTTTGTTCTCTTTCTCCTGCCGCCTTGTGAAGAAGGCACTTGCTTCTCCATCTCCTTCTGCCATGATTGTAAGTTCCTGAGGCCTCCCCAGCCATGTGGAACTATGAGTCAATTAAACCTCTTTTCTTTATAAATTACCCAGTCTCAGGTATGTGTTTATAGCAGTGTGAGAATGGGCTAATATAGGCAGGTTCCACTGCATGGAGTAACTAGGAGGAAGGGAAGCGAGCTAGCCCAGATGGTATATCTAAATCCATTTGAAAATGAGTATTAAATTTTATCATATCTCTAATATATCTGGCATTGAAATTGGCATTTAAATAAAACTTTTTTCCTTCAGTGAAAATACATTTTACATCTTTTAAGGTTTATAATCATAAGGTAACATTTGCTTTTTCTGAGCTTTTACCAATCACAAATTCACGCTAGCAAAGACCCACAGACTTAGAACCATAATAGAATTCAAACCTAGTGCTGCTATCAATAATATCCATAAATAGTTGTTAAGAACCTACTATGTGGAAGATACAGAAGAATCCACAAGGGGACACAGACTATGCCCTTTAGGAGCTAATAATTTTGTGTTTTTTTTTATTTATTTAAATTTTTAATTTTTGTGGGTATATACCTGGTATATACATCTATGAAGTATATGGGATATTTTGATAAAGGCATAAAATATGTAATAATCACACCAAAGTAAATGGCATATCCATCACCTCAAGCATTTATCTTTTGTGTTACAAATAATCCAATTATACTCTTTTAGTTTTTGTTTGTTTGTTTGTTTTTGAGACAGAGTCTTGCTCTGTCACCCAGGCTGAAGTGCAGTGGCTCAATCTGGGCTTACTGCAACCTCCACCTCCTAGGTTCAAGTGATTCTCCTGCCTCAGCCTCCCAAGTAGCTGGGATTACAGGCGCCCGCCACCACGCCCGGCTATGTTTTGTATTTTTAGTAGAGACAGGGTTTCACCATTTTGGCCAGGATGGTCTTGATCTCCTGACCTCATGATCTGCCCACCTTGGCCTCCCAGAGTGCTGGGATTACAGGCATGAGCCACCATGCCCAGCCTAGTTATTTTTAAATTTACAATTAAATTATTCACTATAGTCACCCTGTTGTGCTATCAAATACTAGATCTTATTTATTCTTCCTATTTTTTGTACCCGTTAACCATCCCCACTTCCAATCCAATCCCCACCACAACTACCCTTCCCAGCCTTTGGTAGCCATCAGTCTGCTATCTCCATGAGTTCAATTGTTTTAATTTTTAGCTCCCACAAATAGGTGAGAACATGCTAAGTTTGTCTTTCTGTGCCTGGTTTATTTCACTTATCACAATGACCTCCTGTTCCATCCATGTTGTTGCAAATGACAGAATCTCATTCTTTTCTATGGCTCAGTAGTACTTCGTAGTACTTTGTTAGTGAAATGATATTTTCATTTCTCTATAATGTAGTTCTTTCAAATATAAAAGTAATATGTGCCATTGGAGAAAATTTGGAAAATATAATGAAGAAAATAAATCTTGAAGAAACCCCACAATTCAGAGATTATCATGATTTGGGGGGTATGAAGTAACATTTTGGGGTTTTTTGTTTTTGTTTTTGTTTTTTTGAAACAGAGTCTCACTCTATCACCCAGGCTAGAGTGCAGTGGCGTGATCTCGGCTCACTGCAACTCCACCACCAGGGTTCAAGCAATTCTCTTGCCTCAGCCTCCTAAGTAGCTGGGATTACAGGCACCCACCACCATGCCTGGCTAATTTTGTTTGTTTGTTTGTTTGTTTGTTTGTTTGTTTTTTAGTAGAGATGGGGTTTTACCATATTGGCCAGGCTGGTTTCGAACTCTTGACCTCAAGTGATCTACCCAGCTCCCCCACCTCCCAAAGTGCTGGGATTACAGGGGAGAGCCACTGTGCCCGGCCAATTATGACTGGGAAAAAACCATAAGACAAAATACTATATGATAAGTGCCAAATTAGAGATGTAGTGTATTCAAAGAATATAGGTGGGTTGTTGGTGGGTTTTTTTGTTTTGTTTTGTTTTGTTTTTTTGGTAACAGCTTTATTGAGATGTGATTCACATACCCTACTATCCAGCTATTTAAAGTGTACAAGTCAATGGTTTTTAGTATATTCACAGAGTTGTGCAAGTATCACCACATTCAGTTTTGGCACATTTTTACCTCATCTGACTGAGCCCTGGCAACCATGACTCTACTTTCTGTCTCCATACATTTGCCTGTTCTGGACATTTCATATAAATGGAATCATACAATATGTGGCCCTTTGTGTGTGACTTCATGAGCATGATATTAAGGTTCATTCATGTTGCAGCATGTATCAGTACTTCGTTCCTTTTTATTGCCAAATAATATGCCATTGTATGGCTATGTATTTTGTATATCCATTCATCAGGTTTTTTTTTTTAGACAGTTTACATATATTTAGCACATTATTTGTAGCAAGAATCTAACACACATTTTGTCACTTAATCCTTACAATGATCTTATATGGTTGGTATACCCATTTATGTATTTATTTATTTATTTATTTTTAATTATACTTTAAGTTCTAGGGTACATGTGCACAACGTGCAGGTTTGTTACAAAGGTATACATGTGCCATGTTGGTTTGCTGCACACATTAACTCGTCATCTGCATTAGGTATTTCTCCTAATGCTATCCCTCCCCCCTCCCCCTACCCCACAACAGGCCCTGGTGTGTGATGTTCTCCACCCTGTGTCCAAGTGTTCTCCTTGTTCAATTCCCACTTATGAGTGAGAACATGCAGTGTTTGGTTTTCTGTCCTTGCGAAGGTTTGCTCAGAATGATGGTTTCCGTCTTCATCCATGTCCCTACAAAGGACATGAACTCATCCTTTTTTATGGCCACATAGTATTCCATGGTGTATATGTGCCACATTTTCTTAATCCAGTCTATCATTGATGGACATTTGGGTTGGTTCCAAGTCTTTGCTATTGTGAATACTGCCGCAATAAACATACATGTGCATGTGTCTTTATAGTAGCATGATTTATAATCCTTTGGGTATATACCCAGTAATGGGATGGCTGGGTCAAATGGTATTTCTAGTTCTAGATCCTTGAGGAATCGCCACACTGTCTTCCACAATGGTTGCCTAGTTTACAGTCCCACCAACAGTGTAAAAGCATTCCTATTTCTCCATATTTTCTCCAGCACCTGTTGTTTCCTGACTTTTTAATGATCGCCATTCTAACTGGTGTGAGATGGTATCTCATTGTGGTTTTTATTTGCATTTCTCTGACGACCAGTGATGATGAGCATTTTTTCATGTGTCTGTTGGCTGCATAAATGTTTTCTTTTGAGAAGTGTCTGTTCATATCCTTTGCCCACTTTTTGATGGGTTGTTTGATTTTTTCTTGTAAATTTGTGTAAGTTCTTTGTAGATTCTAGATATTATCCCTTTGTCAGATAGGTAGATTGCAAAAATTGTCTCCCATTCTGTAGGTTACCTGTTCACTCTGATGGTAGTTTCTTTTGCTGTGCAGAAGCTCTTTAGTTTAATTAGATCCCATTTATCAATTTTGGCTTTTGTTGCCATTGCTTTTGGTGTTTTAGTCATGAAGTCCTTGCCCATGCCTATGACCTGAATGGTATTGCCTAGGTTTTCTTCTAGGGTTTTTATGGTTTTAGGTCTAACATTTAAGCGTTTAATCCACATTGAATTAATTTTTGTATAGGTGTAAAGAAGGGATCCAGTTTCAGCTTTCTACATATGACTAGCCAGTTTTCCCAGCACCATTTATTAAATAGAGAATCCTTTCCCCATTTCTTGTTTTTGTCAGGTTTGTCAAAGATCAGATGGTTGTAGATGTGTGGTGTTATTTCTGAGGCCTCTGTTTTGTTCCATTGGTCTATATCTCTGTTTTGGTACCAGTACCATGCTGTTTTGATTACGGTAGCCTTGTAGTATAGTTTGAAGTCAGGTAGCATGACACCTCCTGCTTTGTTCTTTTTGCTTAGGATTGTCTTGGCAATGCGGGCTCTTTTTTGGTTCCACATGAACCTTAAAGTAGTTTTTTCCAATTCTGTGAAGAAAGTCATTGGTAGCTTAATGGGGATGGCATTGAATCTATAAATTACCTTGGACAGTATGGCCATTTTCACAATATTGATTCTTCCTATCCATGAGCATGGAATGTTCTTCCATTTGTTTGTGTCCTCTTTTATTTTGTTGAACAGTGTTTTTTAGTTCTCCTTGAAGAGGTCCTTCACATCCCTTGTAAGTTGGATTCCTAGGTATTTTATTCTATTTGTAGCAATTGTGAATGGGAGTTCACTCATGATTTGGCTCTCTGTTTGTCTATTATTGGTGTATAGGAATGCTTGTGATTTTTGCACATTGATTTTGTATCCTGAGACTTTGCTGAATTTGCTTATCAGCTTAAGGAGATTTTGGGCAAGACGATAGGGTTTTCTAAATATACAATCAAGTCATCTGCAAACAGGGACAATTTGACTTCCTCTTTTCCTAATTGAATACCCTTTACTTCTTTCTCTTGGATGATAGTCCTGGTCAGAACTTCCAACACTATGTTGAATAGGAGTGGTAAGAGAGGGCATCCCTGTCTTGTGCCAGTTTTCAAAGGGAATGCTTCCAGTTTTTGCCCATTCAGTTTGATATTGGCTGTGGGTTTGTCATAGATAGCTCTTATTATTTTGAGATACATTCCATCAATACCTATTTTATTGAGAGTTTTTAGCATGAAGGGCTGTTGAATTTTGTCAAAGGCCTTTTCTGCATCTATTGAGATAATCATGTGTTTTTTTGTCTTTGGTTCTGTTTATGTGATGGATTACGTTTATTGATTTACGTATGTTGAACCAGCCTTGCATCCCAGGGATGAAGCCAACTTGATCTTCGTGGATAAGCTTTTTGATATGCTGCTGGATTCGGTTTGCCAGTATTTTTTTGAGGCTTTTCACATTGATGTTCATCAGAGATATTGGTCTAAAATTATCTTTTTCTGTTGTGTCTCTGCCAGGCTTTGGTATCAGGATGATGCTGGCCTCATAAAATGAGTTAGGGAGGATTCCCTCTTTTCTATTGATTGGAATAGTTTCAGAAGGAATGGTACCAGCTCCTCTTTGTACCTCTGGTAGAATTCGGCTGTGAATCCGTCTTGTCCTGGACTTTTTTTAGTTGGTAGGCTATTAATTATTGCCTCCATTTCAAAGCCTGTTATTAGTCTATTCAGGGATTCAACTTCTTCCTGGTTTAGTCTTGGGAGGGGATATGTGTCCAGGAATTTATCCATTTCTTCTAGATTTTCTAGTTTATTTGCATAGAGGTGTTTATAGTATTCTCTGATGGTAGTTTGTATTTCTGTGGGATCGGTGGTGATATCTCCTTTATCATTTTTTATTGCATCTATTTGATTCTTCTCTCTTTTCTTCTTTATTAGTCTTGCTAGCAGTCTATCAATTTTGTGGATCTTTTCAAAAAACCAGCTCCTGGATTCATTGATTTTTTGAAGGGTTTTTTGTGTCTCTATCTCCTTCAGTTCTGCTCTGATCTTAGTTATTTCTTGCCGTCTGCTAGCTTTTGAATTTGTTTGCTCTTCCTTCTCTAGTTCTTTTAATTGTGATGTTAGGGTGTCGATTTTAGATCTTTCCTGCTTTCTCTTGTGGGCATTTAGTGCTATAAATTTCCCTTTACGTACTGCTTTAAATGTGTCCCAGAGATTCTGGTACGTTGTGTTTTTGTTCTCATTGGTTTCAAAGAACATCTTTATTTCTGCCTTCATTTCATTATTTACCCAGTAGTCATTCAGGAGCAGGTTGTTCCATGTTTCCATGTAGTTGTGCGGTTTTGAGTGAGTTTCTTAATCCTGAGTTCTAATTTGATCGCACTGTGATCCGAGAGACGTTTGTTGTGATTTCTGTTCTTTTACATTTGCTGAGGAGTGCTTTACTTCCAATTATGTGGTCAATTTTAGAATAAGTGTGATGTGGTGCTGAGAAGAATGTATATTCTGTGGATTTGGGGTGGAGAGTTCTGTAGATGTCTATTAGGTCTGCTTGGTGCAGCACTGAGTTCAAGTCCTGGATATCCTTGTTAACCTTCTGTCTCGTTGATCTGTCTAATATTGACAGTGGGGTGTTAAAGTCTCCCATTATTATTGTGTGCGAGTCTAAGTCTCTTTGTAGGTCTCTAAGGACTTACTTTATGAATCTGAGTGCTCCTGTGTTGGGTGCATATATATTTAGGATAGTTAGCTCTTCTTGTTGAATTGATCCCTTTACCATTATGTAATGGCCTTCTTTGTCTCTTTTGATCTTCGTCTGTTTAAAGTTGGTTTTATCAGAGACTAGGATTGCAACTCCTGCTTTTTTTTTTTTTTGTCTCTCCATTTGCTTGATAGATCTTCCTCCATCCATTTATTTTGAGCCTATGTGTGTCTTTGCACGTGAGATGGGTCTCCTGAATACAGGACACTGATGTGTCTTGACTCTTTATCCAATTTGCTAGTCTGTGTCTTTTAATTGGGGCATTTATCCTATTTACATTTAAGGTTAATATTGTTATGTGTGAATTTGATCCTGTCATTATGATGTTAGCTGGTTATTTTGCCCGTTAGTTGATGCAGTTTCTTCCCAGCATCAATGGTCTTTACAATTTGGTATGTTTTTGCAGTGGCTGGTACCGGTTGTCCCTTTCCAAGTTTAGTGCTTCCTTCAGGCGCTCTCGTAAGGCAGGCCTGGTGGTGACAAAATCTCTCAGCATTTGCTTGTCTGTAAAGGAGTTTATTTCTCCTTCACTTATGAAGCTTAGTTTGGCTGGATATGAAATTCTGGGTTGAAAATTCTTTTCTTTAAGAATGTTGGATATTGGCCCCCACTCTCTTCTGGCTTGTAGAGTTTCTGCTGAGAGATCAGCTGTTAGTCTGATGGGCTTCCCTTTGTGGGTAACCCGACCTTTCTTGCTGGCTGCCCTTAACATTTTTTCCTTCATTTCAACCTTGGTGAAACTGACAATTATCTGTCTTGGGGTTGCTCTTCTCGAGGAGTATCTTTGTGGTGTTCTCTGTATTTCCTGAATTTGAATGTTGGCCTGTCTTGCTAGGTTGGGGAAGTTCTCCTGGATAATATCCTGCAGAGTGTTTTCCAGCTTGGTTCCATTCTCCCTGTCACTTTCAGGTACACCCATCAAACGTAGATTTGGTCTTTTCACATAGTCCCATATTTCTTGGAGGCTTTGTTCATTTCTTTTTACTCATTTTTCTCTAAACTTCTCTTCTCACTTCATTTCATTAATTTGATCTTCAATCACTGATACCCTTTCTTCTACTTGATCGGAATTGGCTACTGAAGCTTGTGCATGCATCATGTAGTTCTCGTGCCATGGTTTTCAGCTCCATCAGGTCATGTAAGGTCTTCTCTACACTGTTTATTCTAATTAGCCATTCATCTAATCTTTTTTCAGGGTTTTTAGCTTCCTTGCAATGGGTTCAAACATCCTCCTTTAGCTCAGAGAAGTTTGTTATTACCGACCTTCTGAAGCCTACTTCTGTCAACTTGTCAAAGTCATTCTCCGTCCAGCTTTGTTCCATTGCTGGTGAGGAGCTGTGATCTTTTGGAGGAGAAAAGGTGCTCTTGTTTTTAGAATTTTCAGCTTTTCTGCTCTGCTTTCTCCCCATCTTTGTGGTTTTATCTACCTTTGGTGTTTGATGATGGTGACCTACAGATGGGGTTTTGGTGTGGATGTCCTTTTTGTTGATGTTGATGCTATTCCTTTCTGTTTGTTAGTTTTCTTTCTAACAGTCAGGTCCCTCAGCTGCAGGTCTGTTGGAGTTTGCTGGAGGTCCAATCCAGACCCTGTTTCCCTGGGTATCACCAGCGGAGGCTGCAGAACAGCAAATATTGCTGCCTGATCCTTCCTCTGGAAGCTTCATCTCAGAGGGGCACCCAGCTGTATGAGGTGTCAGTCGGCCCCTACTGGGAGGTGTCTCCCAGTTAGGCAACATGTGGGTCAGGGACCCACTTGAGGAGGCAGTCTGCCCATTCTCAGAGCTCAAACACCACGCTGGGAGAACCACTGCTCTCTTCAGAGCCATCAGACAGGGACGTTTAAGTCTGCAGAAGTTTCTGCTGCCTTTTGTTCACTTATGCCCTACTTCCAGAAGTGGAGTCTACAGAGGCAGGCAGGCCTTGTTGAGCTGTGGTGGGCTCCACCCAGTTCAAGCTTCCCGGCGGCTTTGTTTACCTACTCAAGCCTCAGCAATGGCGGACGCTCCTCCCCCAGCCAGGCTGCCACCTCACAGTTAAATCATGGACTGCTGTGCTAGCAGTGAGCGGGGCTCCATGGGCATGGGACCCGCTGAGTCACGCCCGGGATATAATCTCCTGGTGTGCCATTTGCTAAGACCATTGGAAAAGCACAGTATTTGGGTGGCAGTGTCGCGCTTTTCCTGGTACAGTCTGTCATGGCTTCCCTTGGCTAGGAAAGGGAAATCCCCCAACCCCTTGCACTTCCCAGGTGAGGCAATGCCCCACCCTGCTTCGGCTCACCCTTCATGGGCAGCACCCACTGTCCAACCAGTCCCAGTGAGATGAACCAGGTACCTCAGTTGGAAATGCAGAAATCACACGTCTTCTGCGTCAGTCACGCTGGGAGCTACAGACCGGAGCTGTTCCTATTCAGCCATCTTGGAACGGACCCTCCCATTCATCAGTTGATGGATACTTCAGTTCTTTCCACTTGTTGGTTATTATGAATAATGCTGCTTATCAACATTCATGCACAAGATTTTGTATGGACAAATGTTTTCATTTCTCTTCAGTATAGGAGAAAAAGTAGAATTGCTGGGTCATATGATAACTCTATGTTTAATCTTTTGATGAATGACCAGACTTTTCCTCAGCAGCTGCATCCTTTTACATTCCCAGCAGCAGTGTATAAAGTTTCCAATTTCTCCACATCCTTGCCAACACTTGCCAAGTTTTTTTATTATAGCTATCCTAGTGTGTATCTGGTTGTGGTATCTGGTTGTGGGTTTAGTTTGCATTTCCCTGATGGCTAATGATGCCAGACATCTTTTCTTGTGCTTTTTGGCCATTTGTACATATTCTTCAGAGAAATGTCTATTCAGAACTTTTGTCCATTCTTAGTTGTTATTTCTCTTTTTATCATTGAGTTATAAGAGTTCTTTATATATTCTAGATACAAATCTCTTATCCAGATATATGGTTTGCAAATATCTTCTGCCATTTGGTAGTGGGACTTTTCACTTTCTTAGTGGTGTCCTTTGAAGTACCAGAGTTTTTCATTCTGATGAGGTCTAATTATTTATTTTTTTCTTTTGTTGCTGGTGCTTTTGGTGTCATATCTAAGAAAGCATTGACTAATCCAAGGTCATGAAGATTTATGCTGTTTACTTGTAAGAGTTTTATTGCTGTAGCTCTTACATTTAGGTCTTTGATCGATTTTTAGTTAATTTTTTTTAAGAGCATAGGTTTTGAGGTCAAACAGTGTGATAGTCTTGGTCTTCTGAGAAGCAGACACCAAAGTAGAAATTAGGCTGGGCATGGTGGCTTATGCCTGTAATGCCAACACTTTGGGAGGCTGAGGCAGGAGAATAATTTGAGACCAAGAGTTCGAGACCAGCCTGAGCAACATACGGAGACCCCCCCACCCATCTCTACAAAAACAAACAAATAAATAAATTAGCTGCATGTGCCTGGTGCATGCCTGTAGTCCTAGCTACTTAGGAGGCTGAAGTGGGAAGATCGCTTGTATGCAGGAGTTCCAGGCTGCAGTGAGCTGTGACTGCACCACTACACTCCAGGCTGGGTGACAGAGTGAGACCTCATCTCCAGAAAAAAAAAAAAAAAAAAAAAAAATGGAGAATTAGGTAGGGCATGGTGGCTCATGCCTGTAATCCCAGCATTTTGGGAGGCCGAGATGGGTGGATCACCTGAGGTCAGGAGTTTGAGGCCTGCCTGGCCAACATGGTGAAACCCCATCTCTACTAAAAATATAAAAACTAGCCAGGCATGGTGGACATGCATGTAATCCCAGTTACTCAGGAGGCTGAGACAGAAGAATCACTGGAAACTGGGAGGCAGAAGTTGCAGTGAGCTGAGACCATGCCACTGCACTCCAGCCTGGGCGACAGAGCGAGACTCCATCTCAAAAAAAAGAAAAAAAAAAAAGAAAAGAAAGAAGAATAAGAGACAGAATTAAACATGCAAAGATTTTATCAAATGAGAGAAAACACAGAGGGACCTGGAAAAATGCTGAGGAAGCAGTCAGAGCGCAATGCAAGTCTGACCCAGAGTGAAGAAGAGAAGGAAGGAAGGTTGTTGGGTAGAAGCGACTTCAGGCTGCCATTGAGTTCAAAGCTCAGCAAGGCCATCAGAAGGTCCTTGAGCCAAAGTCAGCCTCAGAGGAGTCCTGGGTCTCCCAGGAACAGGTCTGCCTTAGTCCCTGCCATTTTCAGTAACTGACTGGGAAAAGCCCAGTGGGAAGTGTGGCCTCAGTACAAACAAGACAATGGATTTCAAAGAGCAACAACTGGGGCCCTTGGTCAGTTCAGCTCCCAGAGGGACACATTTCATGACTGACACACTTCAGTTTGATTCCGACCCTGTCGCTCATTTTGTTATATGAACAAAAACATTATTGAATCTCTCTGAGTCTGTTTTATTTATAATGCACTTATTTTCTTGCCTGGAACTTAGAAATCATGGCTAGTAATGATAACTTTGGTGGCATTATATATTAAATATGCATATTTATTAATATATAAAGTGATTACTTCTTATTAATATGTTAGAATATAAAATGAGATAAATCCATTGGACAAAGACAAACTCCAAATGTCATCATATATTATACTTTGAAGACTTATGGTTGGATGTTAATAAGTATTCAATAAATTTCTCATCTTCAAAGTTCTGCCTTAAATGTCACCTTTTTGGTGAAGACTTCCTTAGCCACCAAGGCAATATTAGTCACTTTTTGTGTGTTCCCATAACATAGTGACTCTCAACATGAAAAAGTAAGTATGAAAATCTTTAGGGAAGTCTTAAAAACTACTCTGAATTCATCATTGCTTTAAGGTTTTAAGCCATTCAAAAATAATGTGAATAACAATTCTAATTCCTAGACTATGACATACTGAATCATTTTCCTCTTACAAAACTCTATAAATGCCACACAAACTATAAATTATATTCTTTGCATGCATAGCTGAGCTGAAAAGGAATGAACAGAAATCCCCCGGAGGCAAACAAGAGGAAACATAAAGCCAGAGCAGTAAGCCCATGAATTGACCTTTGACTCCTCTCTGGAGAAACAGAGTGAAAGGTGGCTCAGAAGCCGAGGGCCAGGGCTTACCTGCTAGGGGTCCAGGCCCTGGGCCTGTGCTGTGTGGAGAATTGGAGCTGAGCAGCAACACACAGACACACATTCACATGCACACACACTCACATACACAGACATACACAAACAGACACACATTCACAAACATACACACACTCACATGCAGAGGCATAAACACACACACACAGACACACTCACACATTCTCACACACACACATGCACAGACATACACAAAGACACACAGACAGACCTACACATTCACACACTCACACACATGCACAGACCTATACAAACACACGCTTTCACAGACACAGACACACACATTCACAGACAAACACACACACACACACACACACACAGACACACACACACACACACACACACACACACAGAGGCTACTCCCACAGAGAAACAATGGACCAGAAGATATTCCACTGCCACCACAGAGGGAAACAAAAGGAAGCTTCCTTCTTTTTATTTTTTGGGGGGTATGGATTCTCACTTTGTCACCCAGTCTGAAGTGCAGTGGCACAATCTCAGCTCACTGTAACCTCCACCTTCTGGGATCAAGTGATCTGCCTGCCTCAGCCTCCAAAGTAGCTGGGACTACAGGCGTGTGCCACCATGCCCGGCTAATTTTTTGTATTTTTTGTACAGTCAGGGTTTTGCCATGTTGGCCAGACTGGTTTGAACTCCTGGGCTCAAGCAATCCACCTGCCTCAACCTCCCAAATAAAGCTTCTTTGTCTTTACCTCAGCTCTGGGTATGTGGGGGGAAGGGCAGGGGACTACAGATAAACCTCCTTTGAGAATGTGTAAATATAAGCCTAATTCTCTTTATGAACAAAGCATACATGATCCAGGAAACCACCCCCCCAACAACAACACCACAAGCTAATAAATTAACTTAGAATTTGGTCTAGGACCTGTAAGTCACCTGGAGGAAGCAAATGTAAATTTGGAAGACATGCCTTCAATCCAAACCTCACAAGATTCCCACAGACAAGCCCTGCTGAAGATGAGTTTATAATCCAAAAGTTCAAAATGCAAAAACAATGCAACCTAAACAAATTCAAGAGGCACAACAAAGAATCAAATTAACAGCCTGGGTTGGGCACAGTGGCTCACACCTATAATCCCAGCACTTTGGGAGGCCTAGGCAGGAGGATCACTTGAGGTCCAGAGTTTGAGACCAGCCTGGCAAACATGGTGAAACACCATCTCTACTAAAAATGCAAAAATTACCCAGGACTAGTGGTGCACACCTGTAATCCCAGCTACTCAGGAGGCTGAGGCAGAAGAATCGCTTGAACCCAGGAGGTAGAGGTTGCAGTGAGCTGAGATGGCGCTGCTATACTCCAGCCTGGGCAACAGAGTGAGACAGGCAATAATAATAATAATAACAACAACAGCTTGGGCAGCATAGCGAGACCCCATCTCTACAAAAATAAAATAAAATAAATAAAATTAGCTGGGCATGTAGTCCCAGCTACACTCAGGGGGCTGATGCAGGAGGATTGCTTCAGCCCAGGAGGTCGAGGTTGCAGTGAGACATGATCACGCCACTGCACTCCAGCCTGGGTGACAGAGTGAGACAGAGAGTCTTACTCTGGAGTTGTTCCTCTTGGTTTTCCTCTATCTCATCTTTTCTCTCATATTTTCCCTCTTTTAGTTTCTGCTTGATGTTCTGGGTGGCTTCTGTAACCTATTTTCTAGTCTTTCTACTGAATTTTTAATTGTGGTAACTATAACTTTATCTCTAAGAATTCACCATGTTCCTTGAGTGTTGCTTTTTCTTAGCAAGTTATTCTTGTTTGTGGATGTATTTGCCTCTTCAGGCTGAGTGTATTTAGAGGTTTTACATTTGTTTCTTCTTTGGTGATGGAAATATTTTACTTCTTCATGGGTGGTGGTTACACGGTTATATAAAAATTCAGTGAGCTGTATTCAATACCTGTCCATTTTACTCTGTAATTGTACCTTTACAAAACTGGCTTTGCTTTTATAGGAGGAATGAGAGGAAGGGTAGATCTAAGTTTTACTGAACCTGAAGCTGTTACAAATTACAAATATAAAATTAGGTTTGAAAGTGAGTATTTATTCAGGAGGACAAAAGAAATCAAACAGATTACAAGTTTTAAGAGACTGTCAGACACCACAGATATTATAAAATCCAGAAGAATCACATAATTGTTTTTGTTATCTAGCTGCCTAATACCTCTCTATAATGTTTTTTTCCTATATTTTTTGGGCTGCATCCTCTTTGATTACCTCTTATAACTATATTTTGGATAATCATTTTCTTTTTCTTTTTCTTTTTTTTTTTTTTTTGAGACGGAGTCTCACTCTGTAGCCCAGGCTGGAGTGCAGTGGTGTGATCTGCAGCCTCTGCCTCCTGGGTTCAAGCAATTCTCCTGCCTTAGCCTCCAAGTAGCTAGGACTACAGGTGTGCACCACCATGCCTAGCTAATTTTTGTATTTTTAGTAGAGATGGGGTTTCACCATGTTGGCCAGGGTGGTCTTGATCTCCTGACCTCGTAATCTGCCCATCTTGGCCTCCCAAAGTGCTGGGATTACAAGCGTGAGCCACCATGCCCGGCCTGGATAATCATTTTCTATAGAGTGAAGAGAGAGAGATTATTCACTCGTCTCTACCATGTAAATTGAAATTTGGGGCTTTTTCACTGAAAGTGTTTTTATTATACTTCATTTGCATACTCATGCCAGGAAACATTTTAACTAAAATAAAATAATAAAAACCACAATATTCATTATAGTAGAAAAAGGAAAAATAATGGATTGATTTTTTCTTTTCTTTTTTTTTTTTTTTTTTTTTTTTTTTAGCTACAATACCTTTTTTTTTAAGGGGAGAAAGCTCATGAAAAATTGCTTCCAAAAAGTAAACTCTCCAAAGTTCAGGGTTGATTTGCATTGAGAATAACACATTGAAGTAATTTAAGTTCTATTTCTTCATTTTTACAATCACTGTGCTGTCACTGTTTGTTTAGAAACTATTGTTTAAGGCTAGGCACAGTGGCTCCTCCCAGTAATCCAGCACTTTGGGAGGCCAAGGCAGGAGACTCACTTGAAGCTAGGAGTTCAAGATCAGCCTGGGCAGCATAGCAAGACCCTGTCTCTACCAAGAAATTAAAAAATTAAAGATAGACAGGCATGGTGGCATACACCTGTAGTCCTAGATACTTGGGAGGCTGAGGTAGGAGAATCACTTGAGCCCAGGAGTTCAAGGCTGTAGTGAGCTGTGATTGCACCACTGCACTCCAGCCTGGGTGACAGAGACCCTGTCTTTAAAAAATTAAATAAATAAATAAAAGTTTAAAGGAGCTACTGTTTAAATCCAGGGGTATGTATTATCACCAGAATTAGAGACACAACCTGTGTTTGAAGTAAACTGGAATGATTCTGAACCATTATGAACCTACTCTCAAAATAATGTATATGTAACTGAGTCAGTGTATGCCTGGAGTTGATCATATAACTGGGAGTTTATCAAACGTAACTGTGGAACACAATGCTTATAAAGGATAAATCATTTTTAAATTGGCCAATCTAAGCCTTACACATATATTGTGTTACAAAAACTCAACAATAACAGTAGTAATTGTTTTAAACTTGGACCAACAAGATTTTGTAGAAGAATATTTCATCACTAACAATAATAAGAATTGCTGGCCCATGGCATATTAAAATCTTGATTTTTGTTACTGATGGTTCAGAAAGTTTCTTTTAGCTTCACAATTCATTTTTGTCTTAGTCCATTCAGGCTGCTATAACAAAATACCATAGACCGGGTAATATGGACAACAGAAATTTATTGGACACAGTTCTGGAGGCTGGGAAGTCCAAGATCAAGGCCAGCAGATTCAATGTCTAGTGAGGACTTGTTCCTCAAAGATGGCACCTTCTACCTGAGGACACAGTGGAAGGGACCAACAAGCTCCCTCGGGCCTCTTTCATAAGGGCACTAATTCCATTCATAAGGGCACCACCTTCATGACCTAATCACATCCCAAAGGCCTCACCTCCTCATGCCACTGCATTGGGGATTAGGTTTCAATGTATGAATTTTGAAGGGACACAAGCATTCAGACCATGGCAGTTGTTGATAATGTGATGTAATTTTTAAGATTGCTGTCAAATTGGGGGAACCTCTATCAGGTTTTTTTATATGAGCAACAATATTGCAGGCCTTTCGAGTTTCCTATAGTTCAGTCCTTTAGTAGTGACCAATCTTAAATGCTCTTTGAAGCAACAGTCCTTAACTGGTTTGTCATCAATGTTCTGGTAGTAGTTGTATATTGAGCTTTATGTTACCTTTTTCATTGTCAGTACCTCAAGTTAATTAAACTAGAAATTTAATCATAGAAATTCTGATAAATTATCTATAACAAAATGTTCATAAAACTGTGCAGTGTGTTTATATATGCTCCATTATCAAGACTATTCTTGATAGACAAGATGTGTTAGTCTGCTGTCACAATGCTGTAAAGAAATACCTGAGACTGGGTAATTTACAAAGAAAAAGGCTTTAATTGGCTCACAGTTCTGCAGGCTGTACAGGAAGCATGATGCTAGCTTCTGCTCAGCTTCTGGGAGAACCTCAGGAAACTGACAGTCATGGCGGAAGGCAAATGGGAAGCAGGAACATTACATGACCAAAGCAGAAGCAAGCAAGAGAGGGAAGGTGCCACATACTTTTAAATAACCAGATCTCACGAGAATCACCCACAGCACCAAGGGAGATAAGGCTAAACCATTCATGAGAAATCTGACCCCATGATCCAATCACCTCGCACCAGGCCCCTCCTCCAACACTGAGGATTACATTTCAACATGAGACTTGGGTGGGGACACAGATCCAAACTATATCACAAGAACTTCCATTTTGACCAGGACTCATTGAAAACCAAATTCTCCATTGAAGATTTTATGTATCTGAGGATGGGAAGAGTTTTCTACAGCTTAACTCTGAGCTCCATTTCAACCTTGTTTCTCCTCCATGTCCATACCCCACGGTGCCAGCCACCCTAGGACACGGGCATCCAGTGTCTGGTGCAGGATTTCTGTGTCACGGTGCTGAGTGACAGGCATAGCAGGCAATAGAAGTATTTCTACAAGATATTCCTGTACCAGGACAGCCAGCAATGACCTACCCATACACAAAACCATGACCCATGTAAATAAATCCCACTAAATCCATGCTTAATATCTTGCCAACTCAACATACACTTACCCAGACCACAAAAATACCTGCCACCATTTCATCACCACCCATCACTAGGGGAATTGTGATGGAGAGGAAGTCCGAGTGGAAAGAGACAGCAGTCTTAACCAATTGCAGTTAAAATATATTTTACACATTTTACAAAATTTTTCAAACATATATGGCCATGTGAACATTCCAAAGGGTCTCCCCAGGGCCTTGGAAGAGGACAATTCAAGGGATGGGACATGAAGCTCAGGCTTCCTTAGCTTCCTCTTTAATTCACTTCTGGATGAGAAAAGGCACAAATGAGACCAACTCTCTTCAATCGTTAATTCAGAAGAGCAGAGTGCTTTCCAGGGAGTCTGATTTCTCACATGTCCATTGGGTGCCTGGAAGTTCAGACGAACTTATTAATGATATATTTTATTCCTAAAAGAAAACCTCATTGACAGAAAAATCAAATTTCTTTGAATGTCTATTCTTTATACAAAACGTATAAAAATTATAAAAATTTATAAAAAATTTATTTTAAAATGTTATTTAAAATTTATAAAAATTAAAACAATGACTTTCTGCATGTCATGGCTTAACTAGTAAACGATACAGCTTACCTGAGGGAGACCTTACAGCTTATTAACAATTTTCAGATTTCAGCAATTAGAAATGCTTACACTTATCTGATACTCGCAGACATCTTAACCTAACCCACAGACACCTGAAGCATTAACTAAATGTTATTTATTATCCTATTATGAACTAAAGTTAAAGCACTTTAGGAGGGAAAAACTAAATATATAAGGCGAGAGTGGTGGAATAATGCAGCCATTTTTCTAAGACTGTGTGGCAGGGGAGCCTGTTTCCTATTCTGTTCAAATGCCAGGCAGTATGGCTGCTTCCTCTGTTCCCATGGAAACCCCAGCATTGCTGAAATTCAAGTTAATTTCTTACTGCCATCTGCCTGTTGAGCTACAGGGCTTTCTCCAGCAAATACCAAGCAGAGGCCTGTGAGGAGAATGGAGTTTACTTAGGAACTCCCTGGGCTGTTTCCTCGGGAGGTCAAGATTGAAAACAGATTGAGCCGAACTTTAATACTGAATTAGTTGAAGGATGAAAGGAATTACAATATACTGTATGAGCTCTTTTTAAAAATTAACTGATGTTTAATGCAAATTGACTGCACAGGATATTACAAACAGTTCATATTACATTGGACAAAGTTTGTGTAATGTTTTGTCATCCCTTTAAACTCTAAAATTGGCAAAATTTCTATGTGCTTCTTGAAAATGTTAACGATATCTTCAATCAAAGGTCACGAGCTGGTGACCCGTGATTCAGCTCTAGGCTGCAGACATGGGTTTCGGTCTGCACGGTGTTTTAAAATAGTGCTTGAATTAATTGCCAATGTCTAGAAATTAGGAAACTTCATGGGAAAAAAAAAACACACAAACCAAAACCCTAGAATTCCATCTTTTGTCTTGAAAACTTGGAAGATGTGGCTGGCTCTGCATTCCTGCATTGTCAAAGCCAGAGCTCAGTAGCGGCTGCCCCCTCCTGCCCCTGGAAGGGGTGGGGCTGTCCCATTTGCCACAATCCCTGTCACTCTTTACTCATTTACATTTGACTACTTCATTCATTGGTGGTAGCTGCTTGGATCATTCGCATTCACAATTTCTGCCTTAAATTCATGGAATGCCCACTTCCAAAAGAGTAATACAGAAACTCTAAAACTCAAACACATGCTATCTCCCAGAATACAGTGCTTTTACCAACCTAAAACCTAGACTAGCAAAGTAAATATTAATCACTATTGTTTGCTTCTCCAGCATCAATTCTCTAGCATAAATTGCTTGATTTAAGTAATTTGCAGTGCTTTCCACTAAGGATGAGTAAAGTATAAAGCTGTAAGCATGTTGGTCTTTCCATTCTCCACCTAATATTAATAATGATCACCTGGACTTGTTTGCTTCCTGGTATGGTTTGGCAGTGTCCCCACTCAATCTCATCTTGAATTGTAGCTCCCATAGTTCTGACATGTTGTGGGAGAGACCCAGTGGGAGATAATTGAATTATGGGGGTGGTTACCCCCATGCTGTTCTCATGGTAGTGAATAAGACTCAAGAGATCTGATGGTTTTATATGGGGTTTCCCCTTTTGCTTGGCTCTCATTCTCTCTTGCCTGCCACCATGTAAGATGTGCCTTTTGCTTTCTGCCATGATTGTGATGCCTCCCAGCCATGTAGAATTGTGAGTCCATTAAACCTCTTTTTCTTTATAAGTTACCCAATCTCAGGTATGTCTTTATCAGCAGCATGAAAATAGACTATTACATTTCCTATGTGGCAGACAATAGGCTTTACAGCAACTACCTATCAAGTCATTATAAGGCTCTTCATCTTATAGTTGAGAAAACTGAAGCTTAGGAAGATCAATAAATTATGCAAAGCTGAATAGCTAGTAAATAACAATCTCCAGCTTACTCAATTCTGTCCGATGGAGTATTCTACAGCCTGTGCATTAAACCACACTGCTTATTCATCCTCATTTTTATTTAAGCGTATTTACCAAGAGTGTAAACTATTTCTATTCTAAATCTGTTTTAGAATATATTCAGAATTAAGAAAAAAAAAGGTCTATGACATAGTCCTTAACCTCAAGGAGTATAGAATTTCAATGAGAAGGACAACTGTTTTAGCAGGTTTTATTGCCCACACTGCCACAAACAAATAAATATACAATTACAATATAGCGTGATACATGTTATTATGGAGGGAAACAGAAATATGATAATACAGAGAGTTAAAGCAGGAGTTAATCAGGAGAAAAAGTATGTAAAAAGACCTTTGGAAGTACAAGAGAATATGATGCTTTGGGAAAATTAAAAGTAGTTGGCATGAGCCAAAAACAAGAACGAGCATTTCACAAAAGAATTAGTACAACTAGCCAATAATGTGGTAGGATATATACTTTGAAATATTAGCAAATGTTTTATTTTATTTTATTTATTTATTTATTTAGCAAATGTTTTAAACAGGTATTTTCTTTCTCCCTTTGCCCTTCCCGCGTTTGAATAGCTCAGTGCTACATACTGACTGCCTTAGGGAAGTGGTGGTGTGTCTAGGCTGATGGAATCTCTCACAGCCTCATAATTTCTCCCAGTTGGGTGCCAGACTGTCACAGGGCAGCAGAATGGGTCTGTGCCCCAAAGGGGGCCTCAGAAATGGTGAATTGAGCTTTCAGAACTGAAAGATCTGGCCGGGCGCGGTAGCTCACACCTATAATCCCAGCACTTTGGGAGGCCGAGGCAAGTGGATCACTTGAGGCCAGGAGTTCCAGACCAGCCTGGCCAACATGGTGAAACCCCGTCTCTACTAAAAATACAAAAATTAGCCAGGCATTTTTGTGTGCGCCTGTAGTCCTAGCTACTCAGAAGGCTGAGGTGGGAGAATCTCTTGAACCCGGGAGGTGGAGGTTGCAGTGACCCCAGATAGCGCCACTGCACTCCAGTTTGGTGGCAGAGTGAGACCCTGTCTCCAAAAAAAAAGTCCTCATTGGCAGGAATAAGGAACATCTTGTTGTCACTTATCATGAAGGGATGGATGACCAAGGACCAATGGGTAGATGGTCACCTCACTTCAGTAGATTCTTGTGGGGAAGGGGTGACAGAGGCAGTCAGTTGGATAACGCCCCGACCCTGACAGCAATACTCATACCTAATGCCTTAATGCTTAGTCCCTTGGAATTTGGCTGTGATCCAGGGAAAAGTGTATGGCAATGGAGATTGCTTCTATCTCCCAGTGGAATAAGGACTCACAAGCTGAGAAAATAGGTTGAGTACAGAAAAATAAAGAGTGCCTTTTGCACACCTAAATTATGGAACAAGCATCATATCATCTTTTAGAAATTACCAATAATTGCTGGGCTTGGTGACTCATGCCTGCAGTCCCAGCACTTTGGGAGGCTGACCCAGGAGGACGGCTTGAACCCAGGAGTTCGAGACGAGCCTACAGCAACAAAGCGAGGCCCCATCTCTACAAAAAGTCAAAAATTAGCTGGGTGCGGTGTCACATGCCTATGATCCCAGCTACATGGGAGGCTGAGGTGGGAGGATCACTTGAGCCCAGAAAGTCGAGGCTGCAAGTGAGCCAAGATTGCACCACTGCACTCTGGCCTGGATGACAGAGTGAGACCCTGTGTCAAAAAATAAAAAGGAAAGAAATGACCAACAATCACAGAAATACAAATGACAACAAAATTCCATTTATTTTATGTAGCAGATTGACAAACATTAAATAGGTTGATAATTACCAGTCTGTGAAATTATTGGGAATGGGCATTTGAAAATGCTGTTGGTGGGAGAGTACACCAATATAAATGCTTTTGAGAGTAGTTTGGCATCAACTCTAAAGAAATCAATAGACACTCAAGATTAATATGTAAAGATTGCTCATTTCAGTGTTGCTTACAATAGTGAATAATTACAGTAACATACATGTCTGACAATAAGGGATTTATTAAGTTACAATAAATTATTAAAACAGAACAATATAAGCCATTGAAAGGATTGAGGTAATTCTATGCTTAGTAATATATCCAATGCTTATAATACACAGTTAAAGGGGAGAAAAGCAACTTTTCAAATGGTGTGTATAGTGTGATCAAATTCTTGTAACTACATGCTTATACTTGCATAGAAGAATTCTGTGAGGATTTTCACCAATGTGTTTACAGTGACAGTCTTTGGTTGACATGATTATGAGTAATTTAAGTTCCATGTCCATTTGACTGCTTTATACTTTCTTTTCCTTTTTTTTTTTTTTAAGACAGGGTCTTGCTCTGTTGCCCAGGCTAGAGTATAGTGAATGCAATCATGGCTCACTGCAGCCTCAACTCCTGGGCTCAAGTGGGAGCCCAGCTAATTTTTTAAAATTTTTTGTAGAGATGAGGTCTCACTCTGTTGCCCAGGCTGGTCTCTAACTCCTGGCCTCAAGCAATTCTCCCACCTTAGCCTCTCAAAGCACTGGGATTCCAGGCAGGAGCTACCACACCTGGCTGCTTTGTATTTTCTAATTATCTTACAATGGACAGGAATTGCTTGTGTTACTATTTTCTTCCTTTTATTTAAAAAATAAAATAGTTGAGGATGGCTGAGCCGTACTATGACCATGGATGAATGATGAGGGTGGGAAACAGAGAGACACCTCAGACTCAGATCCTAAGCTCCAAGATTGGCATTTGTCCTGCCCATATCACATAGGCATTTTCCCCAACATTCCAGGAAATAACTATAAAAATGACTGACTGGGCATGGTGGCTCACACCTGTAATCCCAGCACTCTGGGAGGCTGAGGTGGGAAGATCACCTGAGGTCAGGAGTTCGACACCAGCCTGGCCAACATGGTGAAACCCATTTCTATTTTTCTTTTTTTTTTTTTCTTTTTTTTTCAGACAGAGTCTTGCTCTGTCGTCAGGCTGGAGTGCAGTGGCATGATCTTGGCTCACTGCAACTTCTACCTCCCGGGTTCAAGCAATTCTCCTGCCTCAGCCTCCCCAGTAGCTGGGATTACATGCCACCACCATGTGGTTTACATGCTGCACCTCCATGCCCAGCTAATTTTTGTATTTTTTTAGTAGAGACAGGGTTTCACCATGGTGGCCAGGATGGTCTTGAGCTCTTGACCTCATGATCCGCCCACCTCGGCCTTCCAAAGTGCTGGGATTACCACCATGAGCCACTGCACCCAGCCAGTGAAACCCCATTTCTACTAAAAAAAAAAAAAAAAAAAAAAAAAAGAACAAAAATTAGTCGGGTGAGGTGGCAGGCACCTGTGATCCCAGCTACTCGGGAGGCTGAGGCAGGAGAATCGCTTGAACTGGGGAGGCAGAGGTTGCAGTGAGCTGAGATTGTGCCACTGCACTCCAGCCTGGGCAACAGAGTGAGACTCTGTTTCAAAAAAAAAAAAAGACTCAGCCATTTCTCTCAGAAGGTATCAGGAGACCTTGAGAACTAATACTTGAGCCAATATCTTAACATTTTTATTCTCATGCAAATGATTCAAATACAGATAATGTATTTTCCTTTGCCTATGTTGCCTAGGAAACAAAAATAGAGTGGCATTTCTTTAGGTGATTATTATCTGATCTCTGTCCAATATACTACAGTTATTCTCTATGCCACTGGTTCTCCTACTTTCATTCAGAGCCAGCCCAGTTGGGGACTCTGTGTGGTAGAGATTTTCAGAGCAGAACATGCTCCATTTCTGGTGCCCCTACTCCCCACCCCTGGAAAAGAGGGATGGAGCCTTGAAACCTCCTCCAAGTGATTCTAATATGTCCCCACTAGACACGCCGGATCTGATCCATACTATTCCATTATTTAAAAAAAAAAAAACCCACATATTCCCTTTAAACATCCTTTTTCTTTGTTTGACATTTGTATGTTTCCTTAGGCTGCTATAACAAATTACCACAAACTTGGGGGCTTAAAACAACAAAGACTTATTCTCTCACACTTCCGAGACCAGAAGTCCAAAATCAAGGTGTCAGGAGGGCCACACTCCTCTGACAGTCTAGGGGAGAGCCCTAACCTCTTTCAGCTTCTAGCAGCTCCCAGCCTTCCTTGCATGACAGCATCTCTCCAACCTGTGCCTCCATCTTCATGCTGTGGCCACCAACCCTGTGTATCTCTCTCTTCTTTCTCTTATAAGGACACCAACCAGTCACTGGATTTAGGACCCATCCAAAATTCAGGATACTCTCATATTGAGATCTTTAACTCACATCTGCAAAGAACTGATTTCTAAATAAGGTCACATTCACAGGTACTAGGGGTTAGGACTTGAACATATCTTCTTGGAGGATACAATTCGAGCTACTACAATATTACACCCGCATGTGCTTTAATTTTTAGGTAAGAAGCCAATTATAATCATAGCTAACATTTATTGAAAACTTAGCCAACATGCTAAGCATTTTATAAGCATTATTTCAATTAAGTTACAGCATGTTTTTCCCCACCCCACCTACCTCCATCTCCCCTCGACCACCCAAATATCCAGTTTCCATTACTTTGCCTTCTGGTAAACAGAATAGCACTTCAAAATTCCTGCCAGTGAATAAAGCAACAGCTTTCACAAGTGAAGAAGAATTGCTGCTCCTAGACAATCACTGGTTTGACCTGTTTGGTCACTTTTTGAGGCTGTACAGCTAGACTTACCCAACTGGATGTAATACCAATAGGATCTGCAAAACTCAATACCTGACACCAGGCTCTTTTTAAGGAATACAATCTCTGTCAGCTTCCAAGCGTATATCAAATGCCTGTGTCAAGCTAGACTGTCATAAAGCATTCTGCTTCTTCCCACCTTTTTAGTATAAAAATTTTCAAACATAAAGTGAATTTTTAAAGTTCTACAATTAATACCCATTTTCCCACTACGTAAATTCTACATTACTATTCTGCTATTCTTGCTTTATTCTATAATTATGCATGCATCTATCCATTAATCCATCTTATTTTTCCCCCTCTAAGTACTTCAGCATGCATATCATTAAACCAGACCAGAACACAGGCTCTTTGGAGGCAGGCAGATCCCCTAAGAGAGGAAAGAGGGAGGAGGTCAGCTGAGGACGCACTCTTCCTTCTTCCACACTTAACCGATTAACCCAGGAACTCCTTTTGCCACAGGAGAAGTAAGAAGTAGCAAGAGAAGCCAGGAGTGGGACAGTGAGGATCTCTCTCCACAAGGAAACAGGAAGAAGGGGGGAATATATTCCCATAAAAGGATACACTGAATAATGTAATGGATAAACATTTTCAATGACCAATACAACAAATTATTGGCATACTCAACACTACTGCCAAGCAATGATTTGGACTTCAGTAATTCTAGTCTGTTCCATTTTCCGCAATTCTCCAATGACTGTAACCATCTCTGTTTCTCTTTGCTTTTATTTGCCTTTGCCCTCATTCTCTCATACTCCAAAAGGACATCTCCATGAATTTAATACTAGAGCCATATCACATTGAGAATTAATACTAGAGCCAATATCTTAACATTTTTATTATCATGCAAATGGCTCAAATACAGATAATGTATTTTCTTTTGCCTATGTTGCCTAGGAAACAAAAATAGTGTGGCATTTCTTTAGGTGATTATTATCTGATCTCAATCCAACATACTGCAGCTATTCTCTATGCCACTGGCTCTCCTACTTTCGTTCAAAGCAAGCCCAGTTGGGGACTCCATGTGGTAGAGATTTTCAGAGCAGAGTATGAAAATCTTCACGTGATATGGTTTGAATTTGTGACACTGCCGAAATCTTATGTTGAATTGGAATCTCCAATGTTGGAGGAGGGGTTTGGTGGGAGTGATTGGATCATGGGAGCAGACTTCCCCCTTGCTGTTCTTGTGATAGTGAGTGAGTTCTCACAAGATCTTGTTGTTTAAAAGTATGTAGCACCTCCCCCCTTCTCTCTCTTCCTTCTGCTCCAACCGTGTAAGACATGTCTGCTTCCCCTTTACCTTCCCCCATGATTGTAAGTTTCCTGAGGCCTCCCCAACCATGCTTCCTGTAGAGCCTATGGAACTGTGAGCCAATTAAATGTCTTTTCTTTATAAATTAACCAGTCTCAAGTATTTTACAGTAGTGCAAGAACAGACTAATACACGATGCAAAGAGGAATGTGGTGGCCTGTGGTGATTGACTCACATCCCAAATCACTCCCTGATCCTTTGATAACTCCCTGATCAAAGAAGAAAAAGAATTATTTATTTCTATCCCCTGTCTGCAAAATTCCATGAAAGTTCTAAAATTAGTCCAGCTTGGGTCACATGTCTATTCAGGACCAATCACTGAAGTTAAGAGGATAAGGAACAGTGATCAGCCCAACTTGGGTCATGAGTCAGCCCGCCAACCCCTGTGCAAAAAGGGATAAGGTCTATTATAGAAAGAAGTTAGCGGTGCTGGGCTTCACTGGGAACACAGAGGAAATCTAATGTTCTCATTTATTCTATAACCCTTTTCTTCCAAGTCCCACTCCACTCATAAGTTCTGTTAAAAGTTGAAATGTCTACTGATATTTTCTTTTCTTTCTTTCTTACTTTTTTTTTTTTTTTGAGGTAGGGTCTTTCTTGTTCTATCACCCAGGCTGGGGTGCTGGAGTACAGTAGAGCAATCATAACTCACTACAGCCTCAAGCTCCTAGGCTCAGGCGATCCTGCCTCAACCTTCTGAGTAGCTGGGACTACAGGTGCACGCCACAGTACCCGGCTAATTTCTTTTTAAGTTTTTGTAGAGACGGGGTTTCAAGATGTTGACCAGGCTGGTCTCAAATGTGTGGCTTCAAGCTACTCTCCTGCCTCAGCCTTCCAAAGTGTTGGGATTACAGGCATGAGCCACCATGCCCAGCTATGGATATTATATAGAGAAACAACCCTCTAGCAAACAGGGTTTTGTTTTGCAGCAGAGTCTCACTCTGTTGCCTAGGCTGGAGTCTAGTGGCATGATCATAGCTCACTGTAGCCTCGAACTCCTGGGCTCAAGTGATCCCCCTCCCTCAGCCTCCCAAGTAGTTAGGAATTCAGGCACAAGCCATGACACCCAGCTAAATTTTTTATTTTTTGTACAGACAGGGTCTTGCAATGTTGCCCAAACTGGTCTGGAACTCCTGGTCTCAAGTGATCCTCCCACTCCCAAAGCACTGGGATTACAGGTGTGAGCCCTGTGTCCAGCCACAAATAGTTTTTATGACACTTTATGGGCAACACTTTTTTTTTAGAAAAAAACTTTTTTCATATTGTGACACTTTAGAGGCAATGAACTGTTTAGATTATAAAAACTTTTCGTTTTCATATTATGACACTCAAGAGGCAATGACATGTTTAGATTAAATGAGTAGTTAACAAAAGATTAAGATGCTTTTATAGCAAGTTCTATTAACAGTTTTTATTAAGAATGATCATAAAATTCTTTGTTCTTAAAATTTTTGCTGAGTAAAATAGAAAATTTTAAGGGTGAATCCAAATGCCTAAGGAACTTGGTATGAAGGGAAGAATAAACTGTTTAACCTCTATTTAACCTTTCCTAGCATGTTTATTTAAACGTTCTGCCAATGTTGATATGATTCGCTCAAGAATGTAACCCAGGTTATGTACAGTTAGATATAATTTATTTACAAGTCTGCAGAACTTTAGTTGCCTCTATAACAAACTTTAAGAAAATAAACTGAATGTGCAATGGCTTTAATCAAATAGTGTCAACATATAAAAGTAAAAACAAAATTGAGACAATTCCAACCCTTAGCAACTTTGTTTTTCCAACTCAAGAATGTGCCCAGTAGTCAAATAAAGAGATATTAGAACAGATACTGATAACACAAATCCAGTATCTCTTATATCAAAATCTCACCCATTTCTCCAACTTTAATATCAAGAAGCAACCCATTCCATCAAAAGCAAAATAAAACTCACCAAACACCATTTTATTTTGCAAAAACTACAATCTTATCTTGTGACAATGTTAGCAGAACTAAATTTCTAGAATTATTTCTCTTTCCCAGCACATGGATTAAAAAATCTCAAATACCTTGACTTCAGAGCTAAATCCTATAAGCAACTGGAACTTGGGGGGAAATGCACTTTAAAATATAATTAGGCCAGGTGCGGTGGCTCACACCTGTAATCCTAGCACTTTGGGAGGCTGAGGCAGGCAGGTCATCCTGAGCTCAGGAGCTCGAGACCAGCCTGGGCAACATGGCGGAACCCCGTCTCTACCAAAAATACAAAAAATAATTAGCCAGGCGTGGTGGTGGGTGCCTGTACTCCCAGCTACTCAGGAGGCTGGGGCAGGATAATCGCTTGAACCTGGGAGGTGGAGGTTGTGGTGAGCTGAGATCATGCCACTGCACTCCAGCTTGGGCTACAGAGTGAGACCCTGTCTCAAAAATAAATAAATAAATAAATAAATAAATAAAAAATAATAATCAGGGCCAGTGGCTCACACCTGTAATCCCAACACTTGGGGAGGTAAAGTAGGAGGATAGCTTGAGCCCAGGGTTCAAGACCAGCCTGGGAAACACAGTGACACTTTATTTTCACGTAAAAAATATTAAAAATTAGTGGGCTGTGGTGGCCTGCACCTGTAGTCCCAGCTATTTGGGAGGCTGAGGTGGGAGGATTGCTTGAGCCCAGGAGTTCGAGGCTGCAGTGAGCTACCACTGGTACACTTCATAATGTAAAGCCCAAAGAGTAGCAATGGGTCCAATATATCTCTAATTGGCCCTAATTACACCTATGTGTCCTCATCAGACTAACACTGTCATATAACACTTTTACCTTGAACCCAACCAAAGAGACTGGGTCCTGCACAGTCATCACTCAGCATTCAAGGAATTACTTCCCCAGATACTTCCTGCTTCTCTTACTTCCTTCTCTTCAATTCCCTTGAATATACTTCGACACATCATGCCACTGCACTCCAGCCTGGGTGACAGAGCAAGACCTCAGCTAAAAAAAAAAGGGGTGGGTAATCAAGGGTGGAAATGAACTATCAAATGGCTCCTCCATAAGACCACTTCAGATATTGAACTTAGGGTTATTTCAGAGCTGTCAAATAAACTCTGGCTTGATCCTAAACCAAATGCCCTTGAGGTTACCCAACCAAATGCCAGGGTCCCCCATAGCACTGTGATATGACCCCATTTTGGACTCTTCCAATGCATGTTCTGCTCCTGCTTTGCCGACAGTCTTTCTGCCATGGGAAATCTTGCCTAATGGTCCTAAAAGCCTGGGTGAAGTTTCCCCACAATGGAATTAGCCCCCTATTCTGAATCCCCTTGGAGAGAGGATAATCGAGTTGGACAGTTGAAACATAACAGGAAAGCAGTTCCTCTAGGTTCCTGTACCAGGAAATAGCTCCTAGTGCCAAGATAACTCCAGTGCCAAGACCCCAATCATATGGAGGTTGACATGCTGTGTTTCATCTCACTGCTACTGAAGGAATAATACTTTGCAAAAATCATGATGTCGAAAGTGCATCCTGTTCGGCATAGAGCCTTGAGCAAACACAGAAACCTTTGTCCCTGCTCGTATCATATGGTGGACAAAGACTTCCAGTCATAATTCTCTTCTCATTTTGGACATGAAAATCAACCCTAAAAAAAAATAAATAAAAACAGAAAAATAAATGCAAGACATTTGAACACTGGAACCACTGAGCCAGACCAAAGGTCAATCTTTTGTGTTTGTGAGTGGAAACTAATGAATGTTTCAAGGCATGGTGTAATTGGGCTTCATAATGTAAAGCCCAAAGGGTAGCAATGGGCCCAATATATCTCTAATTGGCCTTAATTACAGCCTATATGTCCTCATAAGACTAACTCTGTCATATAACACTTCTACCTTGAACCCAACCAAAGAGACTGGATCCTGCCTAGTCATCACTCAGCATTCAAGAAATTACTTCCCAAAATTCCTGCTTCTCTTACTTCCTCCTCTTCAATTCCCTTGAAAGGTGAATTCCCACATTTTTTTGATATAGCCCCTCCATTTTAATGCACTGATAAATGCCTCTTCTGGATTCTAGCCCAAAGTTCCATTTCTTGATCTATAAACTCCTATGTCCCTCTGACAGTTCTTTGTCACAAATAGGTCATTGGGAGCCACCTACTATGTTAGCATTGCCACTTCACCCAGGAAGGTCACACCAAGTATGGCTGAGCCTTCCAAAAATACTCTTTGATGGGTAAAGCATATACCTGGGTTAACTGCTCGCCCTTTATAATATATCACTTTTCTTATTTGCAGGAAACTACTCAGTTAAGGCACCTACACCAGTAACTTTCAACCTCAGCTACACATTGCCATCAACTGGGAAGTTTTAAAGACCTATTTATGCCTGCATTTTACACCCAGAGTCTGGCTTAATGAATATAGGGTGGAACAGAGATTCTTCAAAAATTACAAGGTTGAGAATTCCTAATTTGGAACATACATTTCAGTTCAAGCCAATTTAGCCCTTCTCCACATTCATCTTCACAGGCCAAAAAGTTTAAATCCTTTTAGTATGACTTCTTACAGAATCCGTCCATCCTCTCGATTATTTTAACTGCTACTTTCAACTCACTAAAGTTTGTGATGTTAATGTGGACAGGTGAAATAAATAATTGTTACCATTTACAGACCACAGCAGCTAGAAGTCAAATGAATGGAAATGATCATATTGAAGCTTCTCAAAGGAAGGGATATACCTTATTCATCTTTGTCTTTCCACAGTATCCTACCATGGTACTGATACAGAAGGTAGAAATTATTTAGGCAGATAGTAAGGGCAACAGAATCCTCAGCAGAATTTCCCTTTTAACAAAAAGCAGCCTCCAAATCATTTCTCTTCTAACAAAGAGCAGCCTGAAAAATCGAGCTGCAGACATAGATAAGTAAGCTGGAAGCTTGCACTGGTGAATGCCGGCAGCTGTGCCAGTAGAAAAGGGCTATCTGAGGGTCAGTCATGTTCAACACGGGGGCTCCATCTTCTCTTTTCTTTGTCACCATGTGTATAGTAAAGGAACAGGTAACATGGCACCTGCCAGGTAGAGAACCCGTTTGCATAATAAAAGATTAGGCTGGGGGTGGCCAGATTCTCATGCACTATGCTAATGGCACACCTAGCCCTAACCAGTTTTTCGTGTGCTATGCAAATGTCACACCCTGTTCAACCAATCTTTCATGCCCTATGTAAATCAGACACCACCTCCTCAAGTTCATCTATAAAACCTCTTACACTTCACCGGGGACTGGAAGACCTGCTCAAGACCCCTCTCTCTACAGGAGAGAGCTTTTCTCTTTCTTTTGCAACCCTTGCCTCCAGAGCTCAAGCAATTCTCTATTAAACTTCCACTCTTAACCTCACTCCTTGTGTGTCCGTGTCCTTGATTTCCTTGGCGTGGGACAATGAACCTTGGGTATTACCCCAGACAAACAATACTGCTTCAGTAGTTTGACCAAAGTAGGCACCTAATACATATTTAGGAGGAAAAGTTAGATAACCTATATGTAATATCTGCTTCAAATTTTTTGAAATATCTGGGCCAGGCACAGTGGCTCACACCTGTAATCCCAGCACTTTGGGAGGCCAGGGTGAATGGATCACTTGAGCTCAGGAGTTTGAAACCAGCCTGGACAACACGGCAAAACCCCATTTCTACCAAAAATTAAAAAAAATTAACAGTGCACAGCGCACGTGCCTGTAGTCACAACTACTCAGGAGGCTGAAGTGAGAGAACTGCTTGAGCTCTGGAGGCGAGGGTTGCAATGAGCTGAGATGGCACCACTCACTGTACTTTAACCTGGTGACAGAATAAGACTCCATCTCAAAAAATAAATAAATAAATTTAAAATAATTAAAAATAAAATAAAAATATCTGCAATATATAAGATGTGCATGTAGTTGAATAATAGTTTGGGGGGAGGAAGTAACCAATATTTTTTCAATTCATTTTTTTAGCAGCTTTATTAGGATATAAGTCATATGTGATACAATCCACCAATTTAAAATATACAACTCATTGGTTTTAGTATATTCACAAAGTTGCGCAACCATCCCCACCATCAATTTTAGAATATTCATCACCTAAAAGGAAACCTCCTACCCAGTAGCAGTCACTCCCATTCCTCCCCCAAGCCCTAGCAACCACTATTTTATGTCTCTATGAATTTGTCTATTCTGGACATTCATATATACAAAGTTATACAATATAAGGTCTTACATGTCAGGCTTCTTTCACTTCCCATAATGCCTTCAAGGTTCATCCAATATTGTCTCATGTACCAGCACTTCATTAATTTTTATCACCAAATAATATTTCATTATATGAATATAAAGCATTTTATCCATTCATTAGTTGATGGACATTTGGGTTATTTTCACTTTGGGCTACAATGAATAATGCTGCTATGAACACTTGTTTTTGTGTGGACATATATTTTTATTTCTATTGGAGTAGAATTGCTGGGTCATATGGCAACTCTATGCTTAATGTTTTGAGAAATTCCCAAACCATTTTCCACATTTGCTGCACCATTTCACATTGTCACAGTCTGCCCTACCCTCCTCTCCCCCATTCAAGCACTTAGGTCTTTCTTTTCCCATTGCCTCAGGAGAAGGATGTGACTGGCTGAAAGAAGAAAAAAAGAGTGTTTCTGACTTTCATTTCTAAAAGCCTTAGGAAACCAGTGAAGACTGGCAGAATAAATGTAAAAAAAAAAAAAAGGAAAAAGGAATTAGAGAGAGAGGACTTCCCTCATTCCACTCCACCCTAATCTTCAATACAAAGAAAAATTCCTTCCAGGGCTGAGAAGAGAACAAGAGATCAGAGAGAAGAGATAAGAAGGCAGCTGTTTGGGGGTCCCAAGGAGGTTGTTAGATGGGCAACATGCTTTCCTTATTAAGTAGACTGACAAAGCTCAGGGAGGAAATTGCTGCATAGGACATCTAGGCTCCTGGGTCTTTAGAGTCTTGCAGACATTTCCTCATCCCAGCATGGCAAGAAGAGCAGATGTTTGAGTGCACTCTAAGCTAACACAAAAGGGCCAGATTGGCAATGAGAAAAGAAAAATAGCTCAGAGCTGTCTGAGCTATATGGAGGTATGCAGGCCCAGAGAGACATGAGTATGAAACTTCAATCATTCCCCACAAAATGCCCCCTCCACATATCCCATACCTGGGGGCAACTATTTAAAGTCATTTTGTCCCCAACTACCTGCCTTGCCCATTATCCTCATGTTCCTGGAATTTGTGAGACAAAGAACAATGGATAACCAATAGCTTGCATAATTCTAATGTAACTTCTTGGTAAACAACTCAACAACTGCTTCTTCTTTCCCTTTAAAAATCCACTTGTAACTGCTGCCAATCAGAGTGTCTATTCAGAGCAACTTGAATCGGTGCTCCTTGGTTGCAACTCTTAAGCTTGGCCCAAATTAACTATACTTATATTAATTTTGCCTCAGCTTCTTCCTTTTGAAACTGCTTTTGCAAAATTATGACAGTAAGAGAAATCTGACCTTGACTCCATCTTGCTTCTGACCTCCAAGCTGTCTTTGATCATTGCTGGCTATAGGCCAGGCTAACTTTAAGAGGAATATAGTTTATAGTTTAACTTGAAAGTAAGAATAATAGTACCTCCCTAAAACTAACCCCCTCCTTGCTCAGGGACCAAAAACCACCTTTTTAAAACTAAAGAAAGGCCACAAGATTAGGATAGGGGGGCCTGAACTTGGCTCAAATGTAGGCATAGTTTCTATAATTCCTTGCTGCTCAGGGGTCATATGGCCAGAGGTCACAAGACTTGTGACTTTCCCAATTGCCCTTACAGATAAATAACGTCACTATTATAGAACCTAAGGATTGGTTTCTTTGAGACGTTTTTCAGACTGACCCCCACCCGGACTCGGAACTCACGACTCAACTAATCCTGTGGCCCCACCCAGAGGTAGACACAGCACATGAGGCCAGTTTTCCACATCCTATGATTTCATCCTAAACCAATCATCCCTAGCCTCCTGCCCACAAGATTGTCCATAAAAACCCTAACCTCCAAGTCATCAGGGAGACAGATTTGAGTGATAACTCCAGTTCTCCCACACAGGCCGGCCTCATGTCAATTAAGCTCTTTCTCTACTGCAGTGCCCTGGTTTCAGTGAATTAACTTTGTCTTTGCGGTGGGCAGGAAGAACTTATCAGGCGATTATGCTTTAGGTTGATAGCAGGATTGAAGGACACATCAATGGCAATGTGCAGAGATGGAGGCCCTGGGACCTACACTCAAACACCTTGGATCTACATAAACCTCCCAGAATTTAGATTTAATCTCGGGGAAAGAGGTGGTAAGGGAAGCCCATAATGATTAAGATTAATTTTCTACCAGTCTAGAAAAATACAGGTTCAAAATTCAGTTGTGTTTCTTGTTTGTTTTTTTTTGAGACGGAGTCTCGCTCTGTTGCCCAGGCTGGAGTGCAGTGGCACAATCTCGACTCACTGCAACTTCCGCCTCCCAGGTTCAAGCGATTCTCCTACTTCAGCCTCCCGAGTAGCTGGGACTGCAGGCGCACGCCACCACACTCAGCTAATTTTTGTGTTTTTAGTAGAGACAGGGTTTCACCATGTTGGTCAGGCTGGTCTCGAACTCTTGACCTCGTGATCCACCCACCTCGGCCTCCCAGTGTGCTGGGATTACAGGCATCAGCCACCACACCCAGCCTCAGTTGTGTTTTTGATATCAGACTAGGTTTATTCTGCCCACACTCAGCAAGTCAATCACTGTGATGATGGGTTTTGCAAAAGAAACAGTTTACTCACAAGGCAGCCAAGGAAGGAGGTGGGAGATCCAGAGGGATGTTTATGGGACAGAGGAGCAAGGTGGTCTGAGGCGAGGGGAAAGGTAATTAGGGATAAGGAAAAGTGAGTTAATCCACAATCTGTGCACGCATAGTCTAGCTTCATGGCTCTTCATAGAACACATGTTCTGAAAATGGCAGTGTTAGCATGATCTGCGGGTAGAATTTTTGGCCCTCTAATGTCAAAATGTCTCCTCTCAAGAATTCTCCCAGGCCCAGTTGAATGGTTGATGGTCTTAACCAGCTTGAACTGGACAAGAGCTGCCCCTTAGCTCCTGAAAAACAACCTTAAGCAACTGTTACTATGGTGACCCACAGTCAGAGATGTTATCTATAAGGAAGCTAGTAGGAGTTTAGTTCTGTATTATTTGGCTTTATGACTTGCTAGTGGGAGTTTTTAGATCAACTAGAAGTAAGTGATTAAAAGCAAGCAGGGCAGGTTAAGTTTGGTGGGCTTAATCAAGTTAACCCTCAGTTAAATTTTGGCAAAGTGAAGAAAATCGTATTTTTGAGGTACACACTAAGATTAGTATCCACCACATAAACTTAGAAAAAAGACTAAAGAAATCAAATGTTCAACAAATATATGAAAAGACACACTCACTGCTGAAAGTACCATGTGCAGTAAGCATATGGAACAAAAGGAATTTTTCCAAATTTCTTATACAGCAATCAGTGGAAACCACCACTTTGGAGAGCAAGTTAGCAGTACTTAGTAAAATTGAACAGTGGTAGATCCTATGACCCAGCCACTGCATTTCTAGGTATATACTCTGGAGAACTCTTGCATAAGGATGCCAAGAGATATGCAAAAGAATGCTCACTGTAATACTTGTAATGTTACGTAATGGTAAAAATAAACTTAAAACAAGCTAAGAGTTCATCAACAGGGGAATAAATGAATAAATTGTCCCACATGCATTCAAGGGAATTCTATGCAGCCTTGCCTCCAAAAATGTGATGCCCAACCAGCAGTGTTGGCTTCAGTTGAGAACTTCAGACATACCAAATCAGAATCTGTACTTGAACAAGATCCTGTAGTGATTCATGTGCCAATTAAGGTTCAAGAAGGGCTGTTCTTACAGTTAAATGAATGAACTATGGCTCCTTGTGTCAACTTGGATAACTCTTAAAAATATAATTTCAGAGAAAAAAATACAAGCTGCCAAAGTTTAGTAACAGTATTATTGAGTCAGGATAGATAGTAAAGGAAATAACCATGTCCTTGGGACATGAAAACTGCACCGTCAACACATGAGCTGGTAACAATGTCAGTTACCATGTCTGTTATGTGGGACACAGCAACTGCACCAGCAACGTAACAAACCCCAGTACTCACATTGTGATCAAGCCCATCCAAGCAGAACTATCTTCAGGGACTTTCCCCTGTAGAAAGCATGCGCATTTTAATTTTACTTGTCCTCAGATTGACCCTTTGCTCATTATAATAGTAAAAAACACACCCCTGGATGGAGATTGAAGATGCTAATGAGACATGTGATACATGAACAAGCACGTACAGCTACTGAGAATACCCAAAAGACCACCTATAATATACTTACTAGCAACATCCTTTCCCACCCGTTATGAATAATTATGTGATATGGTTTGGCTCTATGTCTTCTCCCAAATCTCATGTTGAATTGTAATCTCCAGTGTTGAGGGAGGGACCTGGTGGGAGGTGATTGAATCATGGGGGCAGATTTCCTCCTTGCTCTTCTCTTGATAGTGAGTGAGTTCTCATGAGATCCAATGGTTTAAAACTGTGTGGCACTTCCCCCTTCTCTCTCTCTTGCCACCATGTGAAGAAGATGTTTGCTTCCCCTTCACCTTCTGCCATGATTATAAGTTTCCTGAGGCCTCCCAGTCATGCTTCCTATGAAGCATGTGGAACTGTGAGTCAATTAAACCTCTTTTCTTCATAAATTACCCAGGCTCAGGTAGTTCTTTATAGCAGTGTGAGAATGGACTATTACAGAAAATTGGTACCAAGAGTGGAGTATTGCTAAAAAGATACCTGAAAATGTGGAAGCAACTTTGGAACTGGGTAATGGGCAGAGGCTGGAACAGTTTAGAGGGCTCAGAAGAAGACAGGAAGATGATGGAAGATTTAGAACTTCCTAGAGATTTGTTGAATGGTTGTAACCAAAACACTCATAGTGATATGGACAATGAAGTCCAGGCTGAGGTGCTCTCAGATGGAGATGAGGAACTTATAGGAAACTGGAGTAAAGGTCACTCTTGCTATGCTTTAGGAAAGAGACACAGCATTTTGTCCCTGCCCTAGAGATCTGTGGAACTTTGAACTTGAGAGAGATGATTTAGGGTATCTGGCAGAAGAAATTTCTAAGTAGCAAAGCATTCAAGATGAGACCTGGCTGTTTCTAAAAGTGTACACTCATGTGTGTGAACAAAGAGATTATCTGAAACTGAAACTTCTGTTTAAAAGAGAAGCAGAGCATAAAGGTTTGGAAAATTTGCAACCTGGTTGTGTGGTAGAAAAGAAAAAATTTTCTGGGGAGAAATTTAAGCCTGCTACAGAAATTTCCATAAGTAAAGAGGAACTGAATGTTAATAGCCAAGACAATGGAGAAAATGTCTCCAGGATATGTCAGAGACCTTTGTGGCAGCCTTTCCCATCACAGGCCCCAGATGGACATGTGTTGTTAAGTGAAAAAATAAACCTCTACTATTTTAAGCCACTGAGATTGTGGGGTTGTTTGTTACAGCAGCATAACCTAGCCTCTCCTGACTGATACAGAGGGAAATCCTGAGATAAAGTTACTGCTTCTTTTGACATGGTCACAACCAGCACAATCCTCAGTTGAAGTTATACCATTCCCCTCCACAACCTGGCTAACTTAGCAAAAAAGCAAAATAAAACAGAAACAAAGCAAAAAGAACACAGAATCCCCAGAGGCTTTATTAATGGAGGTATCACTATATGCCTCTGATGAAGGAGCCTACATGGTCCTCCCACAAGCATTGATTCTGGTTCTAAGGTATCATCTGGGGCCCAATCTCCTGGGCAGCTCGGAAGCTGAGAACATACTGCTCAAGAAAGGATGCTGTTTTTCCTCTTGTTTCCAGGTCAAAGATTGAGTTCCCAGAGGTGAATTAACAAGTGAATGTTTAAGATCTGTTAGTACTCAGAAGCTTTCAAAATCTTTTTCACAGTATTTACCACTGACTCATTATTTCATACCTGTATATTTTCTTATAAATGTGTTTGTTCTTCTGAGTAATAAAAAGGAAAAAACTGCCTAATGCAGCCAGGTGATCTCTAGAAGGGAATTAACTGCTATAATGTTTTTGGTTTTAGAGACAGGGTCCCACACTCTATCACCTAGGCTGGAGTGCAGTGGCATGACATAGCTCACTGTAGCCTCAAACTCCTGAGTTTAAGTGATTCTGTCATCTCAGCCCCCCAAGTAGCTAGGACTATAGGCATGCACCACCACACCTAGCTATTTTTATTTTTATTTTTAGTAGAGACAGATCTCTCTATATTGCCCAGGCTGGTCTCAAACTCCTGCCCTCAAGGGATCCTCCTGCCTTGGCTTCTGAAAGCATTGGGATTACAGGTGTAAACCTCCGTGCCTTGCCTAACTATTACAACTTTGACCTAATTCCTACAGACATTTTCTTTAGTTGCCTTGTGCAAAGTACTTTATTTCAAGTGCTAGGAAGAATACCTAGAGAACTGCTCATCTCATCAACTAAGGCTTTCCTCTCAGTATGAAGCTCTTTTACCTCAGCCTTTATGTGGTTTTGTTTCTGAGATAAGATCTCTTAAACTCTTGATTGATTGCTGAGAATATTTAAACTTTATTTATTCAGTGGACTGATACAATAAATATTTAAACTTTATCCAGTGGATTGAGTAAATTTATTTAATCAATTGAAAACTTAATTTGTTTTCAACTGATTAAGGAGACATTCAGAAGATCAAAAATGTTATTCATCAAAGAGCATCCATCTGTAACAAGAGAAATATTCTGAAGTTGGTGTTCAGATGTTGGTGTAGAGGTAGTCTACAGATTTTTGGAAACTCAGTTTGAATAGCTACTTCAAGAGAAAAGAGAGGCACCTCCATGTGGTTGTCAGCATGCCCGGTTGTTATAAGCCGGACAACTGAAAACTACTTGAAATCTAAGAGGGTCTTTCCACTGTCTTCCCAGCTCCCTCAGCTGGATTACTCCACTCCACCTTCTGGTCTCAGGCTAAGTGTTGCTGCCTCAACAAACTATCCCTGGCCCCCTAATTAGGTTGGGCCCCTCGTATACTCTCAGATACAACTCCATATTTCCTTCTTAGCTATCACAATTATCACTAAATAAGCATTTCTGTAATAATTCATTTACATTCACCTCCAATAAATCATGAGCTCTATGACACCAGTGATCTTATCTGTATTGCATGCTGCTCTTCCGGCTCCCAGTTGATTCATTCAACAAATATTTATCAAGTGTCTCTTACGTGCCAGACTCCATGCCAGGTACCAGGGACACATGGTGAAAAAAACAGACAAAGATTCCTGCCCTGATGAAACTTAACATTCAAGAGAGGAACTCAAACGATAAACGATGACCTAATCAATGAAATAGTGTATTAAAAGGTAAACAGAGCTGTGGAAAAATAAAAGGTAGAACAGTGTAAGGAAGGGAAGCTGGTTGCAGGGGTAAATAGGGTGGTCACGTTAACCCCTATCGAGAAGGTGAGAAGTAAGCAAAGATTTGAAGGTGAGGAAGTTAGCTCAGTAGACAACTGGGTAAGAAAGTTCCAGGCTGCAGCAGATTCCTTAAGGCAGAGGAGTACCTGGTTTGTTCTAAGAAGATCAGCGGGGTTAGTGTGGTTGGAGAGGTATAAGCAAGACAGTAGTAGAAGATAAGATCAGAGATGCTCAACAAATATTTGTTGAGTGAATGGATGAAAAAAACAAATATTTTCAATTTTTACTACTATGAAGAATGTTCCCATGCCTTGCATATTTTCTCATAGGTGAGAAAACAAGTCTCTAGATTCATCCAGTCCACAAACTGTAATCTCATCTATATTAAGTGGCAACTCTACAAAGCATTGTGTCCTTTTATTGCCAAAGAGGAAGGATCTCCTGGCTGAGTCAAGAGATGGCGGTGTGTCCTCTTAACCCTGAGTCATTGAACTGCTCTTAGCCTGGATTCACACAACAGAGCCTGAAGCTGAGGAGATAAAGGAGATCCTGTGGCTCCAGTCACAAGCCTGTGGTGCTGACAGGCCACTCCACCTTCAAGGCTGACGTGATGGGAACCAAAGTGCAGGCAGAGGGACAAGAAAGCGTTCAAAGAGGCTGAGAAGCACTATCTCACTCAGCACATTGAGCAGAGAGAGCTGGGAAGAAAAATGGGCTCTTTGTGGACAAATGGCTATCCCACCCTCACTCCCAACATTGAAACTCACTCCCCAGAAGGGGTCTGAAATCTACACACACTAATGGTATATGTCAGTAGTTTCCAAATACCGCTGCAGGACCAGCTGTCAGATGCTTGGCCAACTCTTCTCTCAGAACTTCCTAAGAAGCCTTCTCTTTTTTCTTTTTTATTGATTTTCAAAATTTTTTTCTTACTCTGACAGATGGAGAGAAGCCTTCTCAAACTGCAGAGTCTGGAAGTCCACCTCTGGAGAGTCTGAATCGGTTTTCTGGACAGACTCAGGAATTCACATTTTTCACAGCTCCCCATGAAATTCTAAAGAGCAGCCAAGTTTGGGAACCACTGCTTTACTGTGCTGCTAGTGTGCCTGCATTTGATAGGAAAGGAACATCTTTCACCAGTGGCATAGGTTTCCTTTGGAGTTATTTCAGGGATCACTGGTCATATTATGTTGAGGTACCAAGGGCAGGGGGACCTGCCAGAATTTCTGAAATCACAGGCTAGAAACGACCATCTTCACAGAGTCTATGCCCCTTGGGACAGTGATGGAAGAATCTGACCCTCTTCTCAGGTTTCTCCTCACCCCCACCGGCAAGTTCTTCCAATGGGGTCACCAGTTTGAAAGCAGCTAGAGATTTTTGTACATATTAATGAATTATAACAGAGAGAAGTGTGAGAATCTTAGAATTTCCATTAATATTCTAGTAAGGGTTGTGAGAAAGATAGCTGTGGAAACCATCACAAGATGGCTCCCAAAGATCCCTACCAGCTCGTCTTCATGCTCTTGGGTAGTTCCCTTTCATTGCACTAGGGTTGATCTGTGTTGTCAGTGGAATACAGCAGAAGTGATGGTATGTAGCTTCCACAATTAGGTCATTTAAAAACACAGTGTCTTTCATCTTGGGCTGCCTTTCCCCCTTTGCTCACTCACTCTGGAGAAAGCCAGCTGTCATGTTGTGAGGACACTCAGGTGCTGTATGGCCATGTAATGAGAGACTGAAGACCCGCTGACAGCTAGCAAGGAACTAGAGCCTGCCAACAGTGCAAATGAGCTGGAACATGGATCCCCCAGTCCCAGTCAAGCTTTCAGATGATTGTAGCCCCAGCCAAGTTAGACTGCAACCTCATGAGAGACCCTGAATGATAATAAATGTTTGTTGTTTTAAGCTGCTAAGTTTCAGAATAATTGTTTTGCAGCAGTAGATAATACAATGGTGAGTTCAATAGTTCATCAGAGAATAATTCATTACAATCCCAATCTATACTTTTCTCTCCAACTAAGCCATATGGCATTTTAACAAACTTTTACTGAAATATAGCATAGAGATATAGATGTAGATATATAGAAAGTGTACAAATCATAAATGAATACATTTCTTTATACAACACCCAGACCAGGAAATAAAATATCACCAGCATCCCAGAAGCACCCTCATGCCCCTTTTCAGTTACTAGCCACCTCATCCTTAAATATAACAAGTATGGCCATACAGAAGTTTTGCCTGCTTTTAAACTTTATATGAATTAAATCATACCAATCATACCACATATACTCTTTTGTGTCTGGCTCCTTGACCTCATCATGTCTGTGAGATTCATCCATGTTGCTTTGTGCTTTGAAAGTATCTGTTGAATTGTCTTACTGATTTGTAGTAGTTATATATTCTAGAGACCAGTTCTTTGTCAGATAGGTGAGATACAAATTTCTCCCATGTTATGGCTTTTTTTTTTTTTGAGACAAAGTCTCACTCTGTCACCCAGGCTGGAGTGCAGTGGCACAATCTTGGCTTGCTTGCCTCCCGGGTTCAAGCAATTCTCCTACTTCAGCCTCCCGAGTAGCTGAGATTACAGATGTGTGCCAATACACCCAGCTAATTTTTGTATTTTTAGTAGAGATGGGGTTTCACCACATTGGCCAGTCTGGTCTCGAACTCCTGGTTGAGTTCAGGAGATTTGCCTACCAGGTGATCTGCCTGCCCCAGCCTCCCAGAGTGCTGGGATTACAGGTGTGAGCCACCACACCCGGCCAGTTTTTTCATTCTCTTAATGGGATCTTTTTAAAAAGGAAGTTGTTAGTTTTAATTTAGTCCATTTTATGATTTATTTTCTTTGTGGTTTATACTTTCTGTGTCCTGTTTGAAAAATAATTGCCTTCACCAAGATCATAAAGATATCCTTGTTTTCTTTTAGAAGCTTCATTTCATACAATACATATGGAATTGATTTTTGTGTATCATGTAGTATAGAAGTTGTGATTCATTTTTCCTATGTGGGTATCCAATTGATTTATTGCTATTTATGAAGATCATTCTTTTTCTTGTGCTTTATTGTCCCTTTGTCATAACCCTAGTGACTGCATATTGTCTGTTTCTGGACTGTTTATAAAGCTGCCTTTGCAAAATTATGACAGTAAGAGAAATCTGACATAATCGACTCCATCTTGCTTCTGATCTCCAAGCTGTCCTTGGTCATTCCTAGGCACAGGCCAAGCTAACTTGGGGAGGAATATAGTTGATAGTTGAACTTTGAAGCAAGGATGATAAAGTCCCTCCCTTAAACCAAACCCCTCCTAGTTGAGGGACTAAAACCACCTTTGTAAGACTAATGAAAGTCCACAATATTAGGATTATGAGAGAGGCCTGAATTCTGCTAAAATATAGGTGTAGTTTTTGTAATCCCTTACTGCTCAGGAGTCATGTGGCCAAAGGCCACACAACATGTGACTTTCCCAATTTCTCTTATAGATAACATCACCATTGTAGAACCTAAGATTGACCTTTTGAGATTTTTTTTTCAGACTTTCTGGCCACCAGCTGATCCCACCTGGACCTGTGACTCATGACTTAACTGACCCTGCAGGCCCACCCAGAGGTGCACTTAGCACAAAATGACCGATTTCCACAACCCTATGATTTCATCCCCAGCTAATCAGCAGCCTCCATTCCCTACCCACTTGCCCACCAAGTTGTCCACAAAAACCCTAGCCTCTGAGTTCTTGGCAAGACTGATTTGAGTAATAACTCCGTCTCCCGTGTGTCCAGCCTTGTGTCAATTAAACTCTTTTTTTTTTTTTTTTTTTTTTTTTTTTTGCCGGAATACCATGGTCTCAGTGAACTGGTTTTGTCTCTGCAGGAGGCAGGAAAACCTGTTGTGCAATTACATCTAGTCTGTTCATTTTTTTTATTATTATTTTGAGACAGAGTCTCGCTCTGTCTCCCAGGATAGAGTGCAGTGGCGCAATCTCGGCTCACTGCAACCTCCGACTTCCGGGTTCACGCCATTCTTCTGCCTCAGCCTCCTGAGTAGCTGGGACTACAGGCGCCCGCCACCGCGCCCGGCTAATTTTTTTTATATATTTTTAGTAGAGACGGGGTTTCACCGTGTTAGCCAGGATGGTCTCCATCTCCTGACCTCGTGACCCGCCCACCTCAGCCTCCCAAAGTGCTGAGATTACGGGCGTGAGCCACCGTGCCCAGCCTACATTGTCTGTTCATTTTTAAAATACCAAGTTCATCAATCCATAAATATAACATATTTCTCTATTTATTTAGGTCTTTTTTAAAAAATTTTCTTCTAAAAAATAAAGGGGGGACACATGTGCAGAATGTGCAGGTTTGTTACATAGGTATATGTGTGCCAAGGTGGTTTGCTGCACCTATTGACCCATCCTCTAAGTTCCCTCCCCTCAGCCCCCACCCCCCCAACAGGCTCTGGTGTGTGTTGTTCCCCTCTCTGTGTCTATGTGATCTCATTGTTCAACTCCCACTTATGAGTGAGAACATGCAGTTTTTGGTTTTCTGTTCCTGTGTTAGTTTGCAGAGGATAATGGCTTCCAGCTTCATCCATGTCCCTGCAAAGGACATAATCTCATTCCTTTTTATGGTTGCATAGTATTCCATGGTGTATATGTACCGCATTTTCTTTATCCAGTCTATCATTGATGGGCAGTTGGGTTGGTTCCATGTCTTTGCTATTGTGAATAGTGCTGCAATAAACATATATGTACATGTGTCTTATAGAATGATTTATATTTCTTTGGGTATATATCCAATAATGGGATTGCTGGGTCAAATGGTATTCCTGGTTCTAGATCCTTGAGGAATCACCATACTGTCTCCCACAATGGTTTAACTAATTTACATTCCCACCAGCAGTGTAAAAAGCATTCCCATTTCTCCACAGCCTCACCAGCAACTACTGTTTTCTGACTTTTTAATAATAACCATTCAGATTGGCGTGAGATGGTATCTCATTGTGGTTTTGATTTGCATTTCTCTGATGATCAGTAATGTTGAGCTTTCTTTCATATGTTTGTTGGCCATATAATTTTTTTTTTTTTTTTTGAGAAGGAGTTTCACTCTGTTGCCCAGGCTGGAATACAGTGGTACAGTCTTGGCTCACTGCAAACTCCACCTCCTGGGTTCAAATGATTCTCCTGCCTCAGCCTCCTGAGTAGCTGGGATTACAGGTGCCTGCCACCATGCCCAGCTAATTTTTGTATTTTTAGTAGAGAGAGGGTTTCACTATGTTGGCCAGGCTGGTCTCAAACTCCTGACCTCAGGTGATCCGCCCACCTCGGCCTCCCAAAGTGCTGGGATTACAGGTGTGAGCCACCACGCCCAACCTAAATGCCTTCTTTTGAGAAGTGTCTGTTCATATCCTTTGCCCACTTTTTGATGGGGTTGTTTTTTTCTTATAAATTTGTTTAAGTTCCTTGTAAATTCTGGGTATTGGACCTTTGTCAGATGGGTAGACTGCAAAAATTTTCTGCCATGCTGTAGGTTGCCTGTTCACTCTGATGGTAGTTTCTTTTGCTGTGCAGAAGCTCTTTAGTTTCATCAGATCCCATTTGTCAATTTTGGCTTTTGTTGCAATTGCTTTTGGCATTTTTGTCATGAAGTCTTTGTCCACACCTATGTCCTGAATAGTATTGCCTAGGTTTTCTTCTAGGGTTTTTATGGTTTGGGGTTTTACATTTAAGTTTTTAATCCATCTTGAGTTAATTTTTGTATAAAGTGTAAGGAAGGGATCCAGTTTCAGTTTTCTGCATATGGCTAGCCCGTTTTCCCAGCACCATTTACTGAATAGGAGATCCTTTCCCCATTGCTTGTTTTTGTCAAGTTTGCCGAAAATCAGATGGTTGTAGATGTGCAGTGTTATGTCTGAGGCCTCTGTTCTGCTCCATTGGTCTATATATCTGTTTTGGTACCAGTACCATGCTCTTTTGGTTACTGTAGACTTGCAGTATAGTTTGAAGTCAGGTAGTATGATGCCTCCAGCTTTGTTCTTCTTGCTTTGGATTGTCTTGGCTATACGGGGTCTTCTTTGATTCCATATGAAATTTAAAGTAGTTTTTTCTAATTTTGTGAAGAATGTCAATGGTAGTTTGATGGGAATAGCATTGAATTTATAAATTATTTTGGGTAGTATGGCCATTTTCACCATATTGATTCTTCCTATTCATGAGGATGGAATATTTTTCCATTTGTTTGTGTCCTCTCTTATTTCCTTGAGCAGTGGTTTAGAGTTCTCCTTGAAGAGGTCCTTCACATCCCTTGTTAGCTGTATTCCTAGGTATTTTATTTTCTTTTTAGCGATTATGAATGGGAGTTCATTCATGATTTGGCTCTCTGCTTGTCTATTGTTGGTGTAAAGGAATGCTTGTGATTTTTGCACATTGATTCTGTATCCTAAGACGTTGCTGAAGTTGCTTATCAGTTTAAGGAGTTTGGGGGCTGAGATGATGGGGTTTTCTAAATATAAAATCATGTCGTCTACAAAGAGAGACAATTTGACTTCCTCTCTTCCTAACTGAATACCCTTTATTTCTTCCTCTTGCCTGATTGCCATGGCCAGAACTTCCAATACTATGTTGAATAGGAGTGGTGAGAGAGGGCATCCTAGTCTTGTACCGGTTTTCAAAGGTAATGCTTCCAGCTTTTGCCTATTCAGTATGATATTGGCAGTGGGTTTGTCATAAATAGTTCTTATTATTTTGAGACATATTCCATCAATACCTCATTTATTGAGAGTTTTGATTAATTTGTTTCAGTAATATTTTGTAGTTTCATCAATATTTTGCTAGTATAAAGCGGACGGCATTTTTAAATCTTTTTTTTTTTTTGAGACAGTCTTGCTCTGTTACACAGGCTGCAGTGCGGTGGTGCTAAAATAGGCTTGTTCTGTTGACTTTGACCCTCTTTGCGGGTGGGAACTGGAGTGACACGTTTCACTCAGCCCACCACTGGCCACTCCTCCCGAGAGGAAGCGTTCAAGCGAGTGCAGGAACCCGAGGGAATGAATGCTAGAACCGGCCAGTCACTCCTCTGGGGCAGGAGCAGGTTCTATGCGAGCCCCGCAGCAGCGTCCAAGCCCCTGCCCTCTCGGCACTTGGGTTCTTGTCTCGCATCATGGAAGAATCAGATCACACAAACGGATTGAAGGGTAGTGTATATGGAGAATTTTATTGGGCAATGGAAGTGGCTCCCAGCGGGATAGGAGTTGGAAAGGGGATGGTGCGGGAAGAAGGTAGTCTTTCCCTGAAGCCAGAGTCTGAAGTTAGCCGCGTCTATCTGTAGTCTCTGACGCTCAGTTGCTTCTCTACTTGCTGCTCAGCCGCTTGTGTTGCTCTGCCAGCTGCAGTCTTTTTATGGGCACAGGATAGGGGCGTGGCAGGTCAAAAAGGCAACATTTGTGGGGGGAAAATGGGGTCAGCTGTTTTCACTTGGGGCCACAGTTCCAGGCTTAAGGGTGAGGTTTAGCTGGGAGCCCAGCCATTCTGTGTCAGTGCAATCATAGCTCACTCTAATCTCAAACTCCTGGACTCAAGTGATCCTCCCACCTCAGCCTCTCAAGTAGCCAGGACTACAGGAATGCACCACCACACCCAGCTAATTTTTGTATTTTTTTGTAGAGACAGGGTCTCACTATGTTGCTCAGTTTGTGCAGGCTGATCTCGAACTCCTGGACTCAAGCAATCCTCCTGCCTTGGCCTCCCAAAGTACTGGAATTACAGGCGTGAGCCTCTATGCCTGGCTTTGTCTTTTAACTTTTTATTTTGAAATAATTTTAGATTTACAGAAGAGTTACAAAAATAGCACAGAGCTCCCATTACTCAGCTTTTGTGCCATCACTCAGCTTTACCTAATGTGAACATCATTTATAACCATGATGTTTATCAAAACTAAGAAAATTAACATTGGTAAATATTACCCTTAACTACTGTTCTTCAGTGAGCAGGCCTATGCAAACCTGCCCCCAAAGTCCAAGGAAGCTGAAAGGCCAAAAAGGAGGCTAACATATTCGGCTCCTAAGAAAGAAATATTTAATAGGGACTTATGAACAGAAACCATGTTTGTTTCTCAGGCAGCAGCAAGACAAGATGGTGGATCCCTGTGCTATTACCCACCAGACCAAGGGCTTGGATACCACAGGGAAGGGTCACTCAGAAGGGATGTGTAAGACAACTGAAATATGATAGAATGAAGGTCACTTTAACCTAAGGGCAGGACTTATGGTAAGTAGTTACTGTTACACAGGAATAATAGATTAACTGGAAATCTTAGAGGCTTTCCTGGATCTGGGTTAATCAGAAGTCAAAGTGATGGATTAGCCTCCAAGATGGAGGTGTTTTAGCTTCCACACTACAGACTTTGTTCAGATTTCACCAATTATTCCACTCATGTCCTTTCTGTATTCTAGGATCCAATTCATATTACCACATAGCTTTTAGGTGGTAAACATTTTTAAGAAAGCAGATTCCTATCTGTAGCCAGCATCTTCTTTTCTCCCTTCATTCCCAGCCATGCTCCACCACCCACCTGCCATCACTATAGAAGTTTCTGCTCTTCTTCTGCATGGCTTCCCTATCCTCAGGGAATCTATCTAGTGGAGGCATGGTGGGGTGGTAAGTCACAGCTGATGATGCTCCATGGTGAGTGATTTGGTTTGGCTGTGTCCCCACCCAAATCTCATCTTGAATTGTGGTTTCCATAATCCCCACGTGTCGTGGGAGGGAGCAGGTAAAGAAACTGAATCATGAGGGTGGTTTCCACCATGCTGTTCTCATGATAGTGAGTTCTCAAGAGATCTGATGGTTTAAGGGGCTTCCCACTTCACTCAGCACTCACTTCACTTCCTGCCGCCATGTGAAGGACATGTTTGCTTCCCCTTCCACTATGATTGTAAGTTTCCTGAGGTCTCCCCTGCCTTGCAGAAGTGTGAGTCAATTAAACCTCTTTCCTTTATAAATTACCCAGCCTGAGGTAAATCTTTATTAGCAGCATGAGAACAGGCTAACACAGTGAGGAAGCAGTGCCTTCATAGAACACTCCTCCTCCAGAAAACTGCAGACCTCACTTTTTCACTCCATTTGGGTCTCTGTTCAAATGTTCTTCCTGAAAGAGGTCTTCCTTGACCACTCCACCTAAAATAGCAACCCATCACTCTCTGACCCCCTGTATTAGTCTGTTTTGCACTGCTGTAAAGGAATACCTGAGACTGGATATTTTAAAAATAGGTTTATTTGGCTCATGATTCTGCAGGTGCCAACCTGCAGAACCTTCAAGAAGCATGGCACCAACGTCTATTTCTGTTGAGGGCCTCAGAAAGCTTATAATCATGGCAGAAGGTAAAAGGGGAGCAGATGTGTCACATGTTTAGAGGGGGTGCAAGAGAAGGGGAGGGAGGTGCCAGACTCTAACAACCAGATCCCTGAGTAACTAATAGAGCAATAATTCACTAATTGCCATGGGGACAGCACCAAGCCATTCATGAGGGATTGTATGGCAGATGCACCTGGCAGCAATAACTTAAGCATACCCTGAGAATTACACTGTATAGCAGATGCACCTGAATATGTGTTTGAAGTTTCAAGCTAAGAAATCTGGGAGTGGCCAACCCAGAGATTAATTTCATATTTGTGAGGAACATCTGAACCCCCAGCCCATCCCATGGAACAAGGGTCATACAGGGGATCAAGTCCCTTTGTTTTGAGTTAAATGATGTTTTCCAGGTGGAGACTGTTAGAGGAAAGGTGCTAAGTGAAAACGCTATATAAACTTCAGGGTTTTTGCAAGTGGTTGTGGTCCTCCTGTCCAGCCTGCTACCACTGGACCACCCCTGTGTGCAAGTTTAATGCTAATAAAACCCTATGTCTTGTCTGCTGGCTCCAGGTCTCTTCTTCTGCCTCTTGAACCTGGTGCCATCCCTACTGCAGTCAATAGAGATCCAGCAGAACAAGGACCCACCCCCATGATCCAAATACCTCCCACCAGGCCCTATCTCCAACATTGGGGATCACATTTCAACGTGAGATTTGGAGGGGACAAACATGCAAACCATATCACCCCCTCACCTTGCTTTGTTTTTCTTTCTAGAACTTGTTACCACCTGATAGGACATAGTATCTGTCTGCATGTTTATTATCTATCTCCCCTGGGATGTAAGCTCTCTTTGAGGACTGGGAACATTATCTTGTTTGCTGTTGCCTTCTCAGCATTTAGAACTATGCTAGGCACCCAGTAGGTGCTCAGTAATTTCTTTTAAATTAATGAATGTGCAGCTTTAATCTCATGGAGGACTTTCAAGGAGGTTTCAACGTAAGAGCAGGGGTTGGGGAGAGGTGCAAAAGTACCTGCCTTCCCCAGTGCAGTTGTAGAAAGCCTAGTATTTGCCTGATGGGCAATGGAAAGAACATGGCATATGGAGGCAGCACTCCTTGAATCCTGACTCCCACCTACCAGCTTTTATGTTATTTCATTTTTGAGACAGAATCTCGCTCTGTGGCCCCGGCTGGAGTGCAGTGGTGTGACCTAGGCTCACTGCAACCTCTGCCTCCTGGAGTCAAGCAATTCTCCTGCCTCAGCTTCCCAAGTAGCTGGGATTACAGGTGTGTGCCACCATGCCCAGATAATTTTTGTATTTTTAGTAGAGACAGGGTTTCACCATGTTGGCCAGGCTGGTCTCGAACTCCTGACCTCAACTGATCCACCCTTCTCAGCCTCCCACCTACTAGCTTTTAGACTCTAGCCAAATTACTTACTCTGAACTTAAATATTCTCATCTATAAGATGGCTATAGAAATACTTACCTTGCAAGGTTCCTGGGAGAGTTGGGGATATTAATAGATGTGAGTTGATGATCCCTTGTGTAAACATTCTAAAATTAGTGGTGAAGCAGTCTGTGCACGGTGGTATCATGGTATGGGCTGGGGAAGCATTTCGATGTTAAGTAGCTAAAACAAGGCCAGGGATCTGGAAGCCAGGGGTTTTGTACTCATGAAGGTCTTTATTTTTTATTTTTTATTTTTTACAGGGATGCCTCAAATTTGTAGGTAGTTCCCTTGAATAGAGATAAAAAGGGAATGAGAGAAAGAAAAATATCCAAAGACCCAATAGAAACAAGATAGCAAGCAGAGCATCTGTATAGAAGAGCTTTGGAATTTAGCAGTGATGTGACAAAATGAAGAGGATACTGGACTAGGAGCTGAGTAAGAGTTCATGTGTCCTACTCCCCCCTACCTACCTGCCAATCTTCATTTTGGCTAACACTGTTTTCTTTTTATTTAGTTTTCTAATTAAGAAGCTGCAGCCCTCAGTAAATGTCCCTGTAAGCACTTAATATCCACTGTATATGTTTGACAAACAGAAAGCAAATGTCTAAGTATACTAAAGCAAGTGCTTTATTTAAATAAAAACTCCATGTGTTCATTCTCTTTTGGTTGCAAGTGGCAGGACCCAACTGGAACCGCTTAAGCTAAAAAGAAAAAAAGAAAAAAGAAAAGACATCTATTGGCTCATGTAACTGCAGAGTCCAGGAATAATAGGCACAGCTTTATACAAGAGCTAATGTTATGACATCAGGATGCAGTTTGTCTATTTCTTAGCTCTGTTTCCTCTGTGCTGACTTCCTCCTGCTTGGAGCCTTCTCTCACCAGCAAACAATAGCTGCTGGCAGCTCCTGGGATTACATACTTCCTGATTCACACCAAAAGGAAGAAAAGCAGGAACCTCCTTCTCTGGGAACTTAAGCAAACTTATGAACTGAGTCTGATTGTCTGTGATTGGCCTGACATGTGGTCTATATCTGTGAATTAGTCTCTGGGTAGTATCATGTGCTGATCAGGTTATATCTAGGTTGCATGCCTTCCTCTGAATCAGAAATGGGGCTCCACCTGAAGAACATGGGCTAGGGGTGGGAAAGAGGATTGGTCCTTATGGGAAGAATCAGGCTATGGGCCAGCGGGTAAAAGGATCCTGATATGGTTTGGAAGTTTGTCCCCTCTAAATCTCATGTTGAAACGTGATTCTCAATGTTGGAGGTGGGGCCTGGTAGGAGGTGATTGGATCATGAAGGCAGATCCCTCACGAATGGTGATATGGTTTGGCTGTGTCCCCACCTAAATCTCATCTTGAATTGTAATCCTCATAATCCCCACCTGTCTAGGAAGAGACCTGATGGGAGGTGATTAGATCATGGGGACAGTTCCCCCATGCCATTCTCGTGATAGTGAGTTCTCACAAGATCTGATGGTTTTAAATGTGTTTGAATTTCCTCCTACACACTCTCACCTGCTGCCATGTAAGATGTGCCTACCTCCCCTTCCACCATAATTGTAAGTTTCCTGAGGCCTCCTCAGCCATGTGGAACTATGAGTCAATTAAACCTCCTTTGTTTATAAATGACCCAGCCTCAGGTAGTATCTTTACAGCTGTGTGAGAACTAACTAATATGAATGGTTTAGCACGATCCCCTTTGTGATGAGTGAGTTCTTGCTTGTGCAAGATCTGGTTGTTTAAAGGGGTCTGGGACCTCCCCCTTCTCTCTTTCTTGCTCCTTTTTGCCATCTCATATGTCTGTTCCCTCTTGGCCTTCCACCATGATTGTAAGCTTCCTGAGTCCCTCACCAGAAGCAGATGCCAGAACTGTTTCCTGTACAACTTGCAGAACCATGAGACAAATGAACCTTTTCTGTTTAAAAATTACCCAGCCTTGGGTTGTTCTTTATTGTGACACAGATTGGACTAACACAGATGCTGAAGAAATATGTAACAGATGTCTACTGTATGGGGTCTTCAAACTCATAGTCTGTGTTCTTTATCCATAGGACAACTATTATAAGCTTGAGGTCGTTATGTTTGGGAGTTAATCCTATCTTGTTTGGCTTCCCTTCTGTAAAGCTTTATCTTTTGCAGATAGATCTAACAGAAAGAATCATCTAAGCATTCTTAAATAAATCTGCCCAGTTGTGCAGAAAAATTTTTAAGAAGAAGAAAAACTAATTTATAGGGGAGAAGGCAAAAAGTAAGGAGAGAAACATGAACTGAAAAATGGAGAAAATCACATAACTAAGAAAGCATAGAGGAGCTAACCCATTAGAAACTCCAGCACCTAGGGGCCGGGTGCAGTAGCTCATGCCTATAATCCCAACACTTTGGGAAGCTGAAGTGGGGGAATCACTTGAGGTCAGGAGCTACAGACCAGCCTGGCCAACATGGTGAAACCTTGTCTCTACTAAACATACAAGAAAAAAAAAAAAGGAGCCAGGCATGGTGGTGCACACCTGTAGTTCCAGCTACTCACGAGATTGAGGCAGAATGAATGGCTTGAACCTGGGAGGTGGAGGTTGCAGTGAGCTGAAATCACCCCACTGCGCTCCAGCTTGGGCGACAGAGACAGACTCTGAAAGAAAAAAAAAAGGAAAAAGAAAAAAGAAATTCCAGCACCGAGGTAGCTTTGGGGAAGAAAAAAATTATAAAAAGAAATTCCAGCACCTACTTGAACATTTTTTCTCTCCGCTTCTTAGGTTGAGTTTCTTAGAGCTGGGGCTCGCTCTCAGGAGAAGGAAAGTAAAGGAAACAGCATAGAGCAGGAGAAGCGGCTGAGCAAGGATGTGGACTCACCTGGAGACCAGCTTCAGCCTGATCCCCCAGGGAAGCTCTGGAGCATGAGTTGTACCACTGAGTCAGTCTCACCCACAGGAAAGGGGGCGGCCTTCTGTGGCCTGTGCCAATCAGTAAAAGGTGGAATATATCTCCTCCCTGGCAGACAGCTCCTGTTCAGTTGAGGGCAATTTTCCAGAGAAAGGAACAGCTGTGAGTTGTTGTCAGCCAGCACTCACAGCAGCTGGGAGATGGTGGATTAGCAGCTAATGGGGATAGAGCAGGAGGCACCAACAGCATCCACTACACCTGCAACCTGACCTTCAGTAGCACCGTGCGCCTGTAACTCTCATCTGAGCTTTAATATGATGTCCTATTGCATAGTGAATTCTTCCATTTTCTAAATATCTGCTCCTCTCCACTCACATGACTTCGTAGCTCAGCCTCTCATTGTCTATTGCCTACATTCTGAAAATAACTTCCTAATCGTGTGGTCCCCAATAAACCAACTTGTATTCACCTCTTCATGTTGTCTCCTTCTCCCATGTGGTTATCACCAATACACTGCAGCAGAAGTGATATCATGCAACCTCCAAGGACAGGCCTTGAGAAGACATGGAGGTTCGGCATTAGCCTTCTTTATGCTCTCACCAATATGTGAGAAAACATGGCCTAGATACTGAAAGATGAGCGACCATGGAGCAAGGATGGCCTCGAGCCCACATGGATAAAGAGGCCCAGCCTTTGCAGTGTCCCAGCTGAGTCTGGCCCTCAGATGCACTAGTTGAATGGATCATATGAGTCCAGATGAGAACAGCGGAAGAGCCATTCAACTAACTCACAAAATTGTGAGCAATAACAGATCATCATTTTTAGTCACTCAGTTTGGGGTCATTTGTTACACAGTGACTGATAACTAAAACACTCACTTCTTGCTTTTATCCTCTTAAATCCATCCTCCACACTGCTTCCTAAGGCCTGGATCTGACCATATGTCTTCCCTGCTTGATAAAAACCTGATCAGCTTCTACTCTTTAGAGAATCAGGTCTCAACTCTGAAGCCTGCTGTGTGGCATATGAAATCCTTCACAACCTTGCCCTAGCCTACTTTTCCAACCTAATCTTCAACCGTGAGAGGTGCACTCTAGCCAGCATGAGCTTCTCCCTTTCCTCTGGACACACTACATTGTCACAAGACATCCCTCTGTCCACCACCCTTCACAGGGCCAACCCAACTCCAAGGGCAGATTCTCCTTCTAGCCTTCCTCAGCTCCTTCAGATAGATTCACTCATTCTCACCTCTGCCCTTTCTTAATGCCTTCTTACCGCCATGACAGCCCTTAGCATGTTTTGTTTGTACCCGTCTCTCCTGCAGGCAACAAGCTCTTTCAGTGCCCAGGTGGTGTTGTATTCATTTTTTAACCCCAGAACCTAGTTGAATGCTTGGCATGCACTTCAGCCCTCAAGTGGTGGTTGACTGATTGTGAAACATCGCCAACTCCGGGCTTCCTGGGAGCAGGCACTAAGTGTTCTTCCTCGTGTTATGCTTAGCTTGGCTATTAGGTACTCACTGATATATTTGCTTAATTAGATTGAGTGATGGGAAATATAAAAATCAAGAAATGAAGCAAAATGATAGAATAGAGCAAATGAGAAAGTTCTGTGAGAGAAGGTGACTAGAAGACAGAGTCTTCACAAAGACGATGACAATTAGAACTTCTCAGGGTTGAAGAATTCTTACCTTCTCTAAACACCCTGATTTTAGTTTGTTGTCAGTTTATCTCTCTCCTTGCACCAAGTAGTAGTTTTTAATAGAGGAAGGAAAGGGCAAGAGCTCTGTGATGTGGTTTGAGGGCTGATACGGCTGACTTTTCCCAGATACCTCCCCACAGAGGCCCTAGCACAGGCTCCCAGCTCACAGACTGGGTTTGAGTGAGGTGGTGCCAAGATGGAGTCAAGGTCTGCAAGGGCCAACCGTTCTAATTTATTTCCATGTGTTGTCTTATCTGCTGTGATAAGCTGGAGCCACTTTAGACAGGCCAGAAGCACACACCTACCTTTATTGTTGGCCCTGGGACAAGAACATGAGTGATTTTCCCAGGATGTCTACAGCTTGATTTTAATGTTCAGAAGTCTCAAGATGATTTCCATTTTCAATCATTTAAACTGGGGTTTGGGTTTGTATTATAGTTTACAAATTGTGCCATTAGTGAGAAGGGAGATGGGTAAGCAGATATACATAAATAAGTCCCTAGATCAGTTCTCACACTTTAGCTATGTCAGCATCACCTGGAGGGCTTGTTAAAACACAGATTGCTGGGTTTCTGAGTCATTTGCACTTCTCACAGGTTCCCAGGTGATGCAGTGGCTGCCAACTTGAAGAGGACAATTTGAGCACAATTGTCCTAGACCATGAACTTCTGTGGAGAATTAGGCCTTTTATCTCTATGTGCTTAGTGCCCAGCATACAACAGGTGTTCAATACGTGCCATTTACAAATTTGAATGGCATTAATGCTAATCGTTAGAAAAGTAATTCAAAAAGAATTCTAGGCTGGTCCCATACAGTGGTGTTTACAACTAATTGATCACAACCAGTTACAGACTTCTTTGTTTCTTCTCCACTCCCACTGCTTCACTTGACTAGCCCTAATAATAATAATAATAATAATAATAATAAATAAGCATTCTATTGAGTGTCAATAATAACATCTTTTTGTATTAAGGACAAAAAAATCTTGATTGAACTTATTTCTCCCATTTTTATCTCCTCCAGTAAACTCTAATGAAGAAAGCTACTCAGCTAACACTGTTTCTGGCAACCAAATAGAGTATAGACATATAAATCATTCAAGTAAGTTCCAGAAAAAGAACTTTTCCCTAGAGGTGACTATAAACTACTCTTGATGTTGTATTTGTTTGGTTTCAAGTGATAGAAACCCAAGGAGTTCTAGAACAACCAAACCAAGCAGGGATGCCATTGAACCCAAGGAACTACTGGAACCAGGGCTATAAAACCAGCCAGCAATCCCTTTTGGTCTCTCTTCTCAGGCTCTCTGTTTTGACTCTATTATTACAATAAATTCAAAAATGATAAAACAACTAGAAAAACAAAAACAAATTAAACCCAAAGTTAGCAGAAGAAAGAAAATTACTAATTACTAAAACCAGAGCAGAACTAAATGAAATTGAGATAAAAAATTTTTTTTATCAACAAAACAAAAAGTTGGTTTCTTGAAAGGATGAACAAAATTGATAGACTGCTAGCTACATTAGAAAAAGTGAGAAGATCCAAATAAGCACAATCAGAAATGACAAAGGTGACATTACAACTGATCCCACAGAAAAACACAAGATCCTCAGAGACTACTATAAACATCTCTTTGTGCACAAACTAGATAATCTAGAGGAAACTGATAAATTCCTGGAAACACACAACCTCCCAAGATTGAACCAGGAAGAAATTGAAACCCTTAAAAGACCAAATATGAGTTAAGAAATTGAATCATTTAAAAACAAAACAAACAAAAAAAAACCCTACCAACCCCAAAAAAAAAAAGCCCTGGACCAGGCAGATTTACAGCTGACTTCTATGAAACATACAGAGAAGAGATGGTACTAATCCTGCTGAAATTCTTCCAAAAAATCAAGGAGTAGGAATTGCTCCCTAATTCATTCTATGAAACCAGTATCATCCTGATACCAAAATCTGGCAGGAACACAACAACAACAAAAAAGAAAACTAGGCCAGGTGCGGTGGCTCACACCTGTAATCCCAGCACTCTGGGAGGCCGAGGCAGACGGATCACAAGGTCAGAAGATCGAGACCATCCTGGCTAACACGACGAAACCCCGAGATCTCTACTAAAAACACAAAAAATTAGCCGGGCGTGGTTGCGTGCACCTGTAGTCCCAGCTACTTGGGAAGCTGAGGCAGGAGAATGGTGTGAACCTGGGAGGCAGAGCTTGCAGTGAGCCGAGATCACACCACTGCACTCCAGCCTGGGCGACAGAGCAAGACTCCATCTCAAAAAAAAGAAAAAAAGAAAACTATAAGCCAATATTCTTGATAAATACAGATTAAAAATTCCTCAGCAAAATACTAGCAAACAGAACCCAGCAGCACATCAAAAAGATAATTTACCACAATCAAGTGGACTTTCTTCCTGGGATGCAAGGGTGGTCCAACATATGCAAATCAATAAATGTGATTCATGCCATAAACAGAATTAAAAACAAAAACCATATGATCATCTTAACAGATGCAGAAAAAAGGTTTTGATAAATTCCAATATTCTTTCATGATAAAAACCCTCAACAAACTAGGCATTGAGGGAACATACCCCAAAATAATCAGAGCCTTCTATGACAAACCCACAGCCAACATCATACTGTATGAGCTAAAGCTGAAAGCATTCCCTCCAAGAACTGGAACAAGACAAGGATGTCCACTCTCTCCATTTCTATTCAACATCGTACTGGAAGTCCTAGCCAGAGCAATCAGGCAAGAGAAAGAAAGACAGTAGGAAAAGAGGAAGTCAAATTATCTCTCTTCACTGAAAATATAATTTTTTCTTTTGAGTCAGGGTCTCACTCCATTGCTCAGGCTAGAGTGGAGTGGCGCTATCTCGGCTCACTGCAGCCTTAACTTCCCAGGGCTAAGCAATCCTCAGCCTCCCGAGTAATGTTTCTATATATAGAAAACCCTAAAGATTTTGCCAAAATACTCCTAGACCTGACAAATGGCTTCAGTAAAGTTTCAGGATACAAAAATCGATGTACAAAATTCAGTAGCAATTCTGTATACCAATAATGTTCAAGCTGAGAACCAAATCAAGAATGCAATCCCATTTACAATAGCCAATAAATAAATAAATAAAATACCTAGGAATACATCCAACCAAGGAGTTTAAAGCTCTCTACAAGGAGAACTGCAAAACACTGTTGAAATAAATCATAGATGACACAAACAAATGGAAAAACATTCTGTTCTCATGGATTGGAAAGCAATCTACAGATTTAATGGAATTCCTATCAAGTTACCAATGTCATTTTTCACAGAATTAGAAAAAACTATTATAAAATGTATACAGAACCAAAAGAGAGCCCAAATAGCCAAAGCAATCCTAAGTAAAAAGAACAAAGCTGGAGGCATTGCATTACCTGACTTCGAGTTATACTATAAGGCTACAGTAACCAAAATAGTGTGTTACTGGTAAAAAATAGACACATAGACCAATGGAACAGAATAGAGAACCCAGAAATAAAGCTGCACACATATAACCAGCTGATCTTGACAAAGCTGACATAAACAATGGGGGAAAGGACATCCTATTCAATAAATGGTGCTAGGAAGACTGGCTAAACATACCCAGAAGAATGAAACTGGAGACCCTACCTCTCACCATATATACAAAAACTCAGGATGGATTAAATGTATACACCATATACAAAAACTCAGGCTGGATTAAAGACTTACATGTTAAGACCTCAAACTATAAAAATCTGAAAAGAAAACCTAGGAAATACTCTTCTGAACACTGGCCTATGCAAAGAATTTATGACTAAGACATCAAAAGCAAAAACAGGCCGGGCACAGTGGCTCACGCCTATAATCCCAACACTTTGGGAGGCCAAAGTGGCCAGATAGCTTGTACTCAGGAGTTCAAGACCAGCCCGGTCAACCTGGCAAAACCCTGTCTCTACCAAAAAATACAAACATTAGCTGGGCATGGTGGTGCACACCTGTAATCCCAGCTACTCAAGAGGATGAGGTGGAGGATCACTTGAGCCCAGGAGGCAGAGGCTGCAGTGAGCCAAGATCACACCACTGCACTCCAGGCTGGGTGACAGAGTGAGATGTCAAAAAAAAATTGGCAATTGGGACCTAATTAAACTAAAGAGCTTCTGCACAGCAAAAGAAAGTATCAACAGAGTAAACAGACAACCCACAGAATGAGAAAAAATATTTTCAAACTGTGCATCTGACAAAGAATATCCAGAATCTGTAAGTAACATAAACAAGTCAGCAAGAAAAAAAAAATCACCCCATTGAGAAATGGACAAAGGACAGAGACATTTCACAAAAGAAGACATACAAGCAGCTAGCAGGCATATGAAAAAAATGTTCAATGCCACTGATAATCACAGAAATGCAAATCAAACCCACAATGAGATACCATCTCACATCAGTCAGAATGACTATTATTAAAAAGTTAAAAAATAACAGATGTTGGCGAGGTTGCAGAGAAAATGGAACACTTATACACTGTTGGTGGGAATGTAAATTAGTTCAACTCTTGTGGAAAGCAATTTAGAGATTTCTTAAGGAACTAAAAATAGAACTCCCATTGGACCAAGCAATCCCATACCCAAAAGAAAATAAATCGTTGTACCATAAAGACACTTGCACTCATATGTTTATTGCAGCACTATTCACAATAGCAAAGACATGGAATTAACCTAGGTGTCCATCAACATTGGTTTAAATAAAGAAAATGTAGCACATGTACACCCATGGAATACTCTGCAGCCATAAAAAAAGAATGAAATCCTGTCCTCTGCAGCAACATGGATGCAACTGGAGGCCATTATCCTAAGTGAATTAATGCAGAAACAGAAAATCAAATACCACATGTTCTCACTTATAAGTGGGAGCTAAGCAATGGGTACACATGAACACAAACAGGGGACCAACAGACCCTGGGAACTCCAAAAGAGGGAAGGGAGGGAGGGAGGGAGGAAAGGAGGGAGGGAGAGTAGCAAGGGTTGAAAAACTTCCTATTGGGTACTGTGTTCACTGTTTGGGCGGTGTGTTCAATAGAAGCCCAAACCTCAGCATTACACAATATATCCATGTAACAAACCTGCACAGGTACCCCCTGAATCCAAAATAAAAATCAAAAAGTTCAAGGAAGAGACAGCCCAGCTTGGATGAGGAGTGGGGGTCACATAAGAAAATGGCACCTCCACAGTGGCCTTATGGGTGAGGAAGAGCACAGCTCCCCGAGGAGTGGGTATTAGACATACATGTCAGCTACTGATGCTTTTGGGCAATGAAAACCTAAGGGTTGGTGAACCCTAAAGCTCATTTAGTAAACATTCCTCTAGATCTTCTATACTAAGTGAATGTAACAAAAGTGAAACAAAAGTACAAACAGGTCAGCCCTGGAGAGCAACTGAAGCCTAAAACCAATAGGAAAAAACAGCCTGGAATTTGGGATGCCCTTGAAAAATGTTCAAAACTACCATTGGGATGTTACAGCTTGGTGCTTCTCTAAATCATACCCTCAAATGAGGGGGCTCTAGAAATGCAAGGCAGATGTTCTCCAGTTACAAAACAGATCTACTCGTTAGCAAATGATGTTTTCAAGGGTGTGATCATGGCTTTCCCAGATATTTGGAAGAGAAAGCTTTCCTGCTGCATCTCCACATTGACCCAAAGTCAAAATATTTCCTCTGCCTGTGTCTAACTTAAACCTGAGTTTTCATATTGAAAAATCCCAGTATGGGAGGCAGAATTCCATACAAAATGGCAATCAATGCAATCCATTACCTTTTAAACATACATGAAAATCAGTCCACTCTTCTTACTCTATGTGGGTCCTGAATGTTTTGCATTTTAAGTACCACAAGGTCACTTTTAGTTTAGATGAAGGCCCAGGGACATCAATTCTTTAGAAAACAGATTAAACTGTAACAAATATTATTGCTTGCTGCTGTTAAACAAGCTCATAAAACACAAGCTGGCCAAGTTCAAACTTATTTTGAAAATTGGTGTTGCTTTTTTGTTTTGTTTTGTTTTGTTTTTCAGAATGCTGACTCAGGTGCTGTATGTTAGGAGGATGAGATAACACAATGGTTTACTTCTGGCCAAACTAGGTCACCAATGGTGATTCAAATGAACACGAACATTTTCAGCTGGCAACTGTTGTGCTGGTTTTCCTTGGTGTGTGCCAATTATTCCAGTGAAAATTTCTGGGATTTCCTATCGTGTTTTTAGGCTGAGATTTAATGTTAGATTTTTTTGTGCTCTACCTTCATACTCCATTATTGTTAAAGGTAGAAAATCCAGCAGATAAAGGAGCTCAAAATGTGCTGCATTTGATAAGTCAAACTATGAATAAATCAAATTTGAAAAAAATTGACGATTGACAAAATTAAGCACATTAAGAAAGCGTGAATATTTTCTTTGAATTGTACAATTGAGAGTAGAACAAAAAATAAAATATATTTAAGCCATACGAAGCAGATGTTGATAACTAATAACAGAAGTAGAAAGTATTTATTTGGGGAATGCTAGACCACTGAAACATTAGTTGCTGAACGCAGATATAGACACATCAAAGTGCATGGATTATTATCTATGCAGCAGTTTACATTCCTCTTATAAATTTAGGCTTGTCATCATTTTGTTATTTCTAAAGAGACAGAGTCTGTATCTCATGTATTAATTTTACCAACAATTACAACTCTCCATTCTGTGCCGGACCCTGAGATAATTGCTGGAAATATAACTAAATAAAGCCAGGTTCTTGTTCTCAAGAAGTTCTCCATCTAGCCAGGAGACAGATGTGTAAAAAAGTAATTTAGAGGGAGATTACAAACACTTATACAGTCATGTGTTGCTTAACGACAGAAATATGTTCTGAGAAATGTGTCATTAGGAGATTTCATCATTGTGTGAACATTATAGAGTGTACTTACACAAACCTACATGGTGTAGCCTACTGCACACTCAGCCTATGTGGTATAGCCTAGTGCTCCTAGGCTACAAACCTGTACTGCATGCTACTGTACTGAACAATGTAGGCAATTATAACACAATGGTAAGTATTGTGTATCTAAATTTATCTAAACATAGAAAAGGTACAGTAAAAATACAATATAAAAGATTAAAAAATAATACACCAATATAGAATACTTACCATGATTGGAACTTGCAGAACTAGAAGCTGCTCTGGGTGACAATGAGTGATGAGTGAATGTGAAGGCCTGGGACGTTAGTGTGCACTACTATAGACCTTATAAACACTGCACACTTAGGCTATGCTAAATTTATTTTGAAAGTATTTTTCTTTAATAAATTAACTTTAACTTACTGTAACATTTTACTTTATAAACTTTTAGTTTTTTTTTTAACTTCTGGACTCTTTTGTAATAACAGTTAGCTTAAAATGCAAACACATTGTACAGCTTTACAAAAACATCTTCTTTCTTTATATCTTTATTCTATAAGCTTTTTTCTATTTTTAAATTTTTTTTATTTTTTAAACTTTTTTGTTAAAATGAAAACACAAGCACACACATTAGCCTAGGCCTACAGAGGGTCAGGATCATCAATATCACTGTCTTCCACTTTCATATCTTGTCTCACTGGAAGGTCTTCAGGGTCAATAACACGCATGGAGTTGTCATCCTTTTTTTTTTTTTTTTTTTTTTTTTGAGACAGAGTCTCGCTCTGTCGCCCAGGCTGGAGTGCAGTGGTGCAATCTCGGCGCACTGCAAGCTCTGCCTCCCAGGTTCACACCATTCTCCTGCCTCAGCCTCCCGAGTAGCTGGGACTACAGGTGCCTGCCACCACCCCCGGCTAATTTTTTTGTATTTTTAGTAGAGATGGGGTTTCACCGTGTTAGCCAGGATGGTCTCGATCTCCTGACCTCATGATCCGCCCACCTTGGCCTCCCAAAGTGCTGGGATTACAGGTGTGAGCCACTGCGCCCGGCTGGAGCTGTCATCTTCTATGATAACAATGCCTTCTTCTGGAACACCTCCTGAAGGATCTGCCTGAGGCTGTTTTACAGTTAACTTTTTTTTAATAAGTAGGAGTACACTCAAAAATAACGAAAACAAGTATAGTATAGTAAATATATAACTGAGTAGCATAGTCATTATCATTATCAAGCACTATGTGCTGTACATAACTGTGTGTACTAGACTTTTATATGACTGGCAGTGCAGTAAGTTTGTTCACACCAGCATTATCACCACACTAGAGTGAAGTTGTGCTATGATGGTTACAATGTCACTAGGCAATAGGAATTTTTCAGCTCCATTATACTCTTATGGGACCACTGTCATATATGCAGTTCATCGATGACTGAAACGTCATTATAGGGCTCATTACTGTAATTTGTTTCCTTCATGTCTGGGATAAACAGTGGATTATTTAAGAACCCTACCTGACCACAGCCGCCAAGTTTCCAGGGGTCAGAGCCAGCAGAGCCAGATAAGCAGCACCCTCTAGGTCACTACTTTCACTACGCTTCTTTCTGCCTCGATCTGTCATGCACTTGATCCTCTGGGAGGGCTATTCAAGGAGCCATGCCTGTGTCTGTTTCTCCCTATACTCTCAACATAAGAAGAGATGATATGGATGTTGGCAAGACAAAGAGAAAAAGCTTATAACAACCATAGGAGACAACTGAAAACGCTTGGATAGGCAGAGTAAAATAGAGGATTGCCTTGTACAGATATGAAGATTACTGAAATAAATGAATTCTGATTCATTCTAATTGACTGTCAGACTCGTGTATTTTCCTATCAAGCCCAAGATACTGGAAAAGAATTCATCTTCTTAAGGGTTTTCTGCCTCAAGTAGAACCATATTCTGGTCAGAAGCAATCATAGAGCTCCTTGGCTTGGAGGAAGGCTACAGCAGCTTCCTTTAATTAGCTTAGGATCCAGATAGATAGAGAATGGACACAGCCCACCAGAGACTTCCCCCAAGACCCAACCCTGGACACTCTGCCAACCAGGCCCCTTGGAGGAGATGTCAAAGCTCACCAGGGATCTCTGTTTCGCCCCACATGACAGCAAGCTGTCACCGAGGATTCTCTTTCTTTACTCTTTGTGCATCTCAATCCTTTTCTTCCTGCTTCCATGACTTGTTCCCAGCTACTTCACGGGCAGGTGTTAGGTTCTAACTGAGGTCCGAGGGGAGTCAGTGGGGTGGCAGGTAGCTGGAAAAACATTCGAGGAATTGTAGACAGTTTCAACATGGCTTTTACCCTCTCTCTGGCACAAGCGAGCCTAGGCATGAGCTGTGGGCACGAGCTGTATGTACATTCTCTCCCTGGGCATGAGCCATATGTACAGTGTCAGCAGGGTAATTATACCTTTTACAGGCAATAGTGACTCCAAGCCAAGCATGAGCTCACATGGGTGATCACCTAATGCACCTTACGTGGCGTGGTTACATAATGTGCCTGACATGGCATGGTTAAATACTGTGTGGAGTTGTGCACCTGCACTCCAAACCTGCTGAGTTATGCTGCACCAGAAGGCTTCCTCAGACTACTCCTGACTAAAGCACAGCCATCTCCCTTACAGCAGGCTGAGACACCCTTACCTTTCTAATTCTCAGCTTCTGGATATACTGCTGTGTAGAACTGCACATGCTCAAGGACTCAATAAGTAACCATGAAACATGAGCACAATTTGCTTTCCAAAAGAATGGCTGCAACAGTGATTCATTTCAGTTATTCCTCAAACTCAGGGATGGTAGCTTATAAAACAAAAAATAATAAACTTTGGATACTTGGGCCCCACCCAGAATTAGCATCTCTGGGAGTAAGGAATTTGATTTTTTCTTTAAGGAGGTTTTGTAGAATAGCCAACACTGAGGGCTAGACTAGATGGTGTTTCTCAAGTGTGCCTGGTCAGGAGAATTAGCTGGGTAGCATATTAAGTCCACCAAGTCCCAGCCTTCCTCTGGAGATCCAAGTTTAATAGGTCTGGATGGGCCAGGCTCAGTGGCTCACACCTGTAATCCTAGCACTTTGGGAGGCTGAGGCAGGAGAATCGCTTGAACCCAGAAGGTGGAGGTTGCAGTGAGCCAAGGTTGCACCACTGCACTCCAGCCTGGGTGATAGAGTGAGACTCTGTCTCAAAAAAAAAAAAAAAAAAGTCTAGATGGGCCTATCAATAGATTTGGAAGCTTAACAGGATCCCCTGGTGATTCTTACAATTGAGCAGGCTTGGGAAGCACTGGGTATATCTGGGTTTCCCAAACTTCTCTTGTATAAGAATTACTTGGTGTTGGCCGGGCACGGTGGCTCATGCTTGTAATCCCAGCACTCTGGGAGGCTGAGGCAGGTGGATCACGAGGTCAGAATTTTGAGACCATCCTGGCTAACACCGTGAAACCCCGTCTCTACTAAAAAAATTAGCCGGGTGTGGTGGCACGGGCCTGTAGTCTCAGCTACTCGGGAGGCTGAGGCAGGAGAATCGCTTGAACCTGGGAGGCAGAGGTTGCAGTGAACCGAGATCATGCCACTGTACTCCAGCCTGGGCAACAGAGACTCCATCTCAAAAAAAGAAAGAAGAATTACCTGGTGTTCTATTTGAAAGCACAGATTCCTTTGCCCCCATCCAGATAAACAGAATGAGACTTCCTGGCTTTGAGGTCTGGCAATCTATTTATTTAACAAAGACTTCCACTTGATTCTTATTATCTGAGAAATGGCAACAAAGCTTTGTTGATTGTCAACTTTGTCTTGCCCATAGCATCATCAGGGAACTTTTGTGTGTGTGGTAAAATACACAAACATAGCATTTACCATTAGTGACATATAATCTGTTCTAATACGTTCAGAATATACAGCCATCACCACTGTCTAGTTCCAGAACACTTTCATCTCTCATCTGGGAACTTCTAAAACATACAGATGCCCAGGCTGTACCCCAACTGAATAAATGAGAATCCCTGTGGTGGAACCCACACATTGGGACTCCTTAAGGCATTCCAGTTGATTACAATGTACAGTCAAGTTTGGGACCACTCAGGATTCCTGCCCTCCAGAAAGCCTTGTTAATGCATCCCATGGGGGACTCTCGTGCTGCTACTCTGCAGTCCATTAAGTGCAACCTCACATGGCTCTATGCCATTCTGGCATTCTGGTTTCTTTTCTTTTCTTTCCTCCCTCCTTCTCTCCCTCTTTTCTTTTCTCTTTTCTTTTCTTTTCTTTTCTTTTCTTTCTTTCTTTCTTTCTTTCTTTCTTTCTTTCTTTCTTTCTTTCTTTCTTTCTTTTCTTTCTCTTTCTCTCTCTCTTTCTTTCTTAGAAAAGACATCTATATGAGTGAATTAACCCTTTATCTTTCTTTTTTTAGAAAAGACATCTATAGGCCAGGCACAGTGGCTCATGCCTGTAATCCCAGCACTTTGGGAGGCCGAGGTGGGAGGATCATGAGGTCAGGAGATCGAGACCATCCTGGCTAACATGGTGAAACCCTGTCTCTACTAAAAATACAAAAACAAAATTAGCCGGGAGTTGTGGTGGGCACCTGTAGTCCTAGCTACTCAGGAGGCTAAGGAAGGAGAATGGCATGAACCCAGGAAGTGGAGCTTGCAGTGAGCCGAGATCGCACCACTGCACTTCAGCCTGGGTGACAGAGCAAGACTCCGTCTCAAAAAAAAAAAAAAAAAAAAAGAAAAGAAAAGAAAAGAAAAGACATCTATATGAGTGAATTAACCCTTTATAGATGAGTGAATTAACCCTATATATTTTAACCCTTTATCAGACATATGATTTGCAAATATTTTCTCTCATTGTATAGGTTACCTTTTCATTCTTTTTATGTATGACATATAAAGATGCTCAATATCACTAATCATTAGGAAAACGCAAATCAAAACCACAATGAGATAGCACCTCCATACCCACTAGGATGATTACTTTAACATTTTTCAAAAAAAAAAAAACAGAAGATAAGTGTTGGTGAGAATGTGGAGAAATTGGAATCCTTATGCATTGCCAGTGGAAATGTAAAATGGTGCAGTTGCTATGGGAAACATACTATATGACAGTTCCTCAAAAACTATTTTTCTAATTAAAAATAGAACTTCCAAATATCCAGGAATTCCACTTATGGGCATAAGGAATTTAAAAACAGGATCTCAAAGAGGTATTAATATTTGTATACCCATATTCATAGCAGCATTATTCACAAGCATCAAAAGTTGGTAATAACCCAAATGTCCATCAGCAGATGAATGGATAAACAAAATGTGGTATAGTCTGTGCATGCAATGGAATATTGTTTCAACTTTAAAAAGAAAGGAAATTCTGGGCCGGGCACGGTAGCTCACACCTGTAATCCCAGCACTTTGGGAGGCCGAGGCAGGCAAATCACGAGGTCAGGAGTTTGAGACCAGCCTGGCCAATATGGTGAAACCCATCTCTACTAAAAACACAAAAATTAGCCGGGCATGGTGGCGTGCGCCTATAGTCCCAGCTACTCGAGAGGCTGAGGCAGGAGAATCACTTGAGCCTGGGAGGTGGAGGTTGCAGCAAGTGGAGATCACGCCACTGCACTCCAGCCTGGGCAACAGAGCGAGACTCCATTTCAAAAAAATAAATAAATAAACATAAATATATAAATAAATAAATAAAAAGAAAGGAAATTCTGACACATGCTACAACATGGGTGAAGCCTTAGAACATTGTGCTAAGTTAAACAAGCCAGTCACAAAAGGATAAATACTGTATGATCCTACTTGTATGATGTACCTAGAGTGATCAAATTCATAGAGACAGAAGGTAGAATAGTGGTTGCCAAGGACTGGGGGAGGGAAGGGAATTGGGCGTTAGTGTCTAATGGGTACAGAATTTCAGTTTTGCAAGCTGATAAGAGTTTTGGAGATGAACAGTGGTGATGGCTGTACAATGATGTGAATTTATTTAATGCCACCGAACTGTACACTTAAAATGGGGAAGATGGCAAATTTTATGTTGTATATATTTTATTACAATTTAAAAATTTTTAATAATATTTAAAAATGAGAAAAAAAGGTTGTTGCAATAATCTAGGTAAGAAATGCCAAGAGTCTGACCTGAGGAAGTATCAGTGGAGATGGGAGGAAGAGACACACTTTAAGTATATTTGGGAGGAAAATAATTAAGATGGGGTATGGAGATGAGAGAAGAGAGTCCAAGTTTCAAGTCTTGGGAGGTGAGTGGTGGCATTTCCCAAGATCGGAAGCACAGAACGAGGAGAATTCCCACTTCCAAAACACTTGGAAATTTTCCAGAATACTTTTCCATCTGTAATCTAATTTCAACGTGAGCTAGAAGGAACAAATAGTTTTATCCACCCTTTACAGGTGATGAAACTGAGACAGCCAAATATAAAAGGGTCCCTGGAGAGGCTCTGACCAGGCTGCGTACTGGGAGAACAGGGTGGAGCCTCGGGAAGTTCCTGCCATTCTGCAGCAGGGAGGTGCCTGGCCTCTCCTCTTCCTGGGTGGTACCTGGGACTCAAGCTGTGAGGCAGGAAACTGAAAGCAAGACTCTTGCCTTGCTGAGAGTCCCTGTTTCCCTTTTGTTCCTTTTCGCCCAATAGATTTCATTTTTCTCACCTTTCTATGAAAAAAAAATTATCTCCTTTTTAAGCCACAGGATGGCCCTTCCCCCTGTTTTGGTGACGATCCTGAGAAGTTAAGCTCTTTGCTGAAGGAAATATATATAGTTAGTGATAGAATCAAGATTCAAGTCCAAGTCTTCCAAATCAGAAGTTCTTAATAACATATACTGCCTGCCATAGTAAATTTAAAATAGTAATAGAAGACATTTAAACATATTAATAGACCAGACGGGGTTCATGCCTGTAATCCCAGCACTTTGGGAGGCCAAGGTGGGAGGATTGCTTGAGCCAGGAGTTCAAGACCAGCCAGGACAACATAGCAAGACCCTGTCTTTACAAAAAATGCAAACATCAGCCAGGCATGGTGGTGCACACCTGTGGTCCCAGCTACTTAGGCTGAGGTGGGAGGATTGCTTGAGCCTAGGAAATTGAAACTATGGTGAGCAGCATTTGTGCCACTGCACTTCAGCCTGGGCAACAGAGCAAGACCCTGCCTCAAAAAAATATATATTTAAAAATTGTTTAATAAAATATATAGAATTTTTAATATATATATTTATAAATCTCGTCTTTTTTTTTTTTTTTTTTTTTGAGACAGAGTCTTACTCTATCACCCAGGCTGGAGTGCAGTGGTGTGATCTCGGCTCACTCCAACCTCCACCTCTGGATTCAAGTGATTCTCATGCCTTAGCTTCCCAAGTTGCTGGGGTTACAGGTGTGCACCACCACACCCAGCTAATTTTTGTATTTTTATTAGAGGTGGGGTTTCACCATGTTGGCCAGACTGGTCTCGATATCCCAACCTCAGGTGATCCACCCACCTTGGCCTCCCAAAGTGCTGGGATTACAGGTGTGAGCCATTGCACCTGGCCTAAAAACCAAGTCTTGAAATATGTTCCTTGAGAATCCATAGGGGCCATCAGGGAATTCAGCTTTAGGGACTCTCATGCCTGAGTAGGGCCACTGCCACGTATGGCAGCTCAGCCAGTAACCACTGATAGCCATCTTTTCCGCTCCCTTCTCCACTGACACTACCAGGTAGTGGTGGAGGAGGAGGGCCATCCTCTACATAGGCCACCTGCCTAGGTGGACACCATCAGAACACCAGACTTTGCTCTATGCATCCTAAGTTCTTATATAAGGAGTCAGTGAGACAGAAACTAGAATGTCAGTAACTCGCCCTTAGGAATTTACCCTAGTGAAATTAAAACTGATCCACATAAATACATGCATATGAATGTTCAGAGCAGTATTATTCACGATAGCTCAAAACTGGAAACAACCCAGATGTCCATGAACTGATGAATGGGTAAATAGGATATGGTATTTTTATGCAACGGAATACTATTCAGCAGCAAAAAAGAAAGAACTAAGACACATGCTACAGCACAAATGAACTTGTGCTAAGTGAAAGAAGCCAAATACAAAAGATTCTATTTGTATAATTCCATTTATATGAAATGTCCAGAAAAGGCATATTTACAGAGATAGAAAGCAGATCAGTGGTTGTCTGGGGCTGGCAGTGGGATCAGGGATTAACTGTAAACAGACATGAGAGAACTTTTAGGGATGATGGAAATGTTCTAAAACCGGATTTGCAGTAATGGTTTAACAACTCTATTCATAAAAATAATAAATTATATACTTACAACAGTTAAATTTTTATGGTATGTAGATTATACCGTAATAAAGCTGATAGCAGCAGGAAACAAATTCCTAGGCAGACAGGGACAGGACCCCGGTGAAACCCGACCTTCAAGTCAAAGACAGCATGAAGCTGGAAAACCAAACTGCCAGTTCTGGGTGGAGTCCACGACCACAGTGAGAACTTCCTTCATGCCTTTTAGCCAATCGAATGGTGCTTTTTCCAGGCCAAATCATGGACCAATTAGCACACACTCTCCTATTCTGAGCCCACAGAAAACCCCGGACTCAGCCCCACAGACCACTACCCACTTTCAGCCCCGTCTCACACAGAGGGCTGCTCGTTTCAGGGTCCCTCTCATTGTCAAGAGCTTTTCTTTCGCTCAATAAAATTTTATCTGCCTTGCTCACTCTCTGATGTCTGCATACCTCATTCCTCTTGGTCACGGGACAAGAACCTGGAACCTGCTGAATGGAGGGTGCGAAAAGAGCTGTAACATACATTCCTGCTCGCAGAGCTACCGGAGTGAAAAAACCACTTGACACCACACACCCCCATTCACTGAGCTGCGGGCAGCAGGACCGAACAAGCTGTGACACTTCCTGGGGGCTCAGACCTTGGGACTCCCCAACCAAAAGCTGTAACACCCCTTGGGGGCTCTGCAGTTGCTGGCATCTCCGAGTTTTTGGGTACCACCACATCTCCCTTGTCCAGACGCCGGCACCCAAGGCAGAAGCTGGTCACCGCACGCCTTAACCAGCCACAGGCTGGGCACAGAGCCACAGCAGGCGTGCGATCTGGGCCAGTAGCATGAGCAGAGCGCAGCCTGCTGAGCAGAGTGGGTGAGGTGAGCCCAGCAGGCCCATGTGAAGCCCCAGCAGAGGAACTGCTGACGGTGGAGATTTTTGTCTGGCAAAGTGGCACCAAAAGAATCCTGTGTCAAAGCGATTAAGAAAATGGGGGAGATATATAATCAGAGGGAAAGATTAGGAAGAAAATTAATGTACAATGCATGCTGATTTCAAAAGTTTGAGAAATCCAGAGTATATTGTAAGGCAAAAAAGAAGGAAATGCTATAAATATTTGAAGGCCCCTTTTGTGATTGGGTAAACAATATCAGAAGACAGTCTGGGGGCAAATTCATGAAATAAGTCAATTGCACAAATAATAGTAAACTTATGGCCTCTATACTGGCACCACATGTCTTTACAAAAAGGGGCATGGGTCCATAGCATCCCACGGAAGCAAATATAGGCACATGAAGTAGAAAAACTAAGCCTGGTCTCTGAGCCAACTGTTGTTCTTTATTTCAAAGATGATTTTATGGGCTTTAAATTTTAAAATAATAATTATCATAAAGCTCTCAAATGTGGCTTTCGTGTTTCCAAAAGGAACAAAAAAGAGAGCCTTCCAGAGTGAACTGACTCTGTTGGTGGCATTTCTGGTGGCTGATGCCTGCAAAGGGCGGTGGGGGGTGGGAGAACACAGAAAAAAATAGTCCCAGAGGGAAGTAGGCAATGGGTCATACCTGAGGGCCTGGGATTCTTTCCTGCACACAAAATGTGAAGTATTTCAGTCCCATGCATGCTGAAGAACATTTTTTCATTGTTTTCATACAGATTAGATTTATGTGACCTTCTGCAGCAATGAGTAAAACATGCGGATCAGATTTCAATAAATAGTTAAGGTTACACATTACTTTTCCTGTTTAGGTTTCACCAGCACAGTGCCTCATGATGAAAAGCATAAGCAGAGGTTATAAATGAGGTAAACATAGGCTGTGGGCTGAACCAGAGAACCCAGATGACCTTCAACATCCTCAGGGAGGATCTAGAATCAGGGAGTGTGGTCAGTTTTTGGAATTTCAGTGTATGCTTTTCACCCTCATATTCAGAGAGATAGAGAGGGCAAGGAACTGAGAAGAATCAATATGACTTCTTCCCAGTCCAACCATGAGGGTCAGTGGTAGGGACAGAGAATGGGTGGTTGACAGAGGGCAACAAGGGGGATGCCCAGTGTTTTAGTGAACACATTGCATTGCCTTATTAAATTATGTGTGAGACCAGGTACAGTGACTCAAACCTGCAGTCCCAGCACTTTGGGAAGCCAAGGTGGGAAGATTGCTTGAGGCCAGAAGTTCGAGAACAGCCTGGACAATACAGGGAGACCCTGTCTCTTAAAAAAAAATAAATAAAATTAAATTATGTGTGAGTTTTCTGTTGCTGCATAACAAATTACCACAAACTTAGAGGCTTAAATCAACACTCCTTCATTAGAGCATAATTCTGCAGGTTAGAAGTCTAGCACAGAGTGACTGGGTTCTCTTCTTAGAAACTTAAAAGTTGAAATTAAGGAGTTGGCTGGGCTATGTCCCTTTCTAAAGCTCTGGGGGAAGAATCAGTTTCCAGGCTTATATGGGACAGTTGGTCAAGTTCAAGTCCTTGCGGTTGTAGAACTTACATCCTCATTTCCTTGCTGATGGTCAGTTGCAGACCAGTCTTAGCCCCTCAAGGCTGCCAGTCGTTCCCTTGCCAGAAAGAGCCCAGTCCTTTTTAAGGACTGGGTCAGGCCAACTGAGTATAATCTCTCTATCTTAATGTCCATTTATTTGGAGCCTTAATTACACCTGCAAAATCCCTTCAGTGCAGCATCTAGATTAGTGTCGGATTAAATACCTGGGAGAAGGTGTCTGTGCACCAGGGGCTGGGAATCTTGGGGACCATTTTAGAATTCTGCCAAGCACAGATTAGTTATTAAAGATTCTCCAGTCTAGCTAAGTGGTCCTTAGGGGTGGTAGTGCCAACCCCTAAGGGCTGTTTTGGAAATGTGTGGGCAAATATTTTGTTGTTGTAATCATAGTAGGGTAGGTCCCACTGGCATTTAGTGTTCAGGGCCCGAGTCACCAGAAGGCAGTCTCATACAATGAGGAATTTGTGCTGCGTCTTACACAGCTTTTGAATGTCCCCATGGGGACTCTTGTAGATGAAAAATCTGTGTATAATTTTCTGATCCTATATATAAAATATTTTTCACAGAGTTTTTGCACTGAAGTTTTCATAAGTGCAATTATGGGGTAAATCAAGGGCAGAATGTAATATAATTGTGTTTGGAATTTTGCCAAGATGGTTCACCATTTTGGAAACTTCCCATGGCCAATAATGAGCTGCTGTGACCCCTGATTACATCAGCTGTGTGTCTGTTCCTCTCTCAGGGATCTCATGTTTACATACAAGCCTCTCCCTACTTTATGCATCTTATGGAGTAATAACTGAGCGTTTACAGGTTGAAAAAAATACATATTTTGTGTCTTTAAATTGATTTGTAAACATTATATGTGTAGGTAGGTTATATTAGCTATGAATTTTATTTTAGGAGAGTAAAGGGGGCATTACAAATTTCTTAAAAGAAGCAGCTGTGGGGCTGGCAGACTTGAGAGTCAAAGGTCAACTAACAGCGTGCACTTGCTGAAGCTGGAACTGGCCAAGAGGTGAACGGTGGGCCCTGCTGCTCAGGAGTCAGGCAAGGTGAGGACGGGAAGGCATAAAAGCAGCTTAGGAATAAAGCACCAGGCAATCTGACTACACAGAACTTTGGGATAATCTACGGCAGCTGAGCAGTCCTTTGAGCTCAGCCGAAGGAACATCAAAGTCCTTTTGCTCAAGCCAATCAAACAACCCAGGTAGAGCATTTGGGGCCTGGGCAAATGATTATGTGGCTGCCCTTTCTCTGGAGGAGTGAAGGATTTCTGATGAGGATGGTGAGCCCCTGACGTAGATCCCAAAGTCACCCCTAATCACCAACCCCCAAGCATGTATTTTTTGAAGCAACTGTTGTACGACTCCCATGTACCTAAAATTGTTTTGTGTTATTTAATATAAAATATATCCAATCATATGTAAGTTAGCATGAGGTGAATTTGTGCTACTAGGTTGTTTTGAGGGTGAACTTCTGCTATGGGCTGAATTATATCCCCTTGAAATTCATCAACTGAAGCCCTAAGCCCCAGTGTGATGGTATTTGGAGATGGGGCCTTTGGGGTGATTAAGTTTAGATGACATCATGAGGGTGGGGCCATCGTGGTGGCATTAGCGCCTTTATGGGAAGAGACACCAAAGGACTTTCTCTCTCTTTCTGTCCACTGCAGGCACCAAAGAAAGAGCATGTGAGGGTATATTGAGAAGGTTGCTGTCTGTAGTGTAAGGAGAGGGCCCTAACCAGATACTGACCCTGCTGTCACCTTGGACTGTATTTCATAACAAAAAATGTAATACTGTTATAAAAAGAATAATTACATTAAATTATAATATTGTATATTAGTATCATAGAGTATAACAGCAGTTACAAACGATGAGAGTAATGGCCATGGAGACACATGGAAACTTATGAAAGGAGAACAATATTCTTCATATAGCTTATATTAATTATGTAAAAACTGTAGGCAGCAAAACAAACATTCAAAGCTACAGGAGAGGAGGCCGGGCATGGTGGCTCATGCCTGTAATCCCAGCACTTTGGGAGGCCGAGGCAGGTGGATCACTTGAGGTCAGGAGTTCGAGACCAGCCTGACCAACATAGTGAAACTCCATCTCTACTAAAAATACAAAATTAGCCAGGCATGGTGGCGGGTGCCTGTAATCCCAGCTACCTGGGAGGCTGAGGCAGGAAAATCACTTGAATCCAAGAGGCAGAGGTTGCAATGAGCCACGATCTTGTCATTGCACTCTAGCCTGGGCAACAAGAATGAAACTCTGTCTCAAAAAAAAAAAAAAAACAAAAAAAAAGATACAGGAGAGGCAGGGAGTATCTCTGGCTCAGTACTTGGCTTTAGTCTAATAATTCTCAAACTTTTTGGGTCTCAGGAAACCCTTTATCTCTTCAAGATTATTGAGGACCTCAATATGTTATGTCTATTGATATATGTCATCTTAGCAATCAAAGCTGAGAATAATTGAAATCTTTATTAATTAACTTTAACATAAAAATTGTAAACATGGGGCCAGGTCTGGTGGCTCACGCCTGTAATCCCAGCACTTTTAAGAGACCAAAGCGGTTGGATCGCTTGAACCCAGGAGTTCGAGACCAGCAAGGGCAATATAGCAAAACCCCATCTCCATAAAAAAAATACACGAATTAGCTGGGCATGGTGGCTTGAGTCTGTAGTCCCAGCTATTTGGGAGGCTGAGGTGGGAGGATCACTTGAGCCTGGGAAGTTGAGATTGCAATGAGCCGTGATCATGCCACTCCCTCCAGTCCGGGCAACACAGTGAAACCCTGTCTCGAAAAAAAAAAAAGTTATAAATATGGTAACAACACATTTTTTACAAAAAAGAACTACATTTTTTTACAATTAAAAAAATAGAAGAATGGCATTGTTTTACATTTTTCCATCTAAAGTGAAGTACTGGCTTAATAGTGACATCTGATTCACCTATCTACTTCTACATTCAAGAGTGAAAAAGATACATAATGTCTTAGGATCATTATGGAAATAGTTTTGACATCACAGACTCTGTATAAGGTCTCAGGGAGCCCCATGGGTCCCCAGGCCATACTTTAAGAAAGACTGGTTGTGATAAGTGACACTATCAGGACGCTGAATCGTTTATAAACTCCTTTTGAACTTATATGCCCCCCACTCTTTTTTTGTGAGACAGAGTCTCACTCTGTTGCCCAGGCTGGAGTTCAGTGGTGTGATCATGGCTCACTGCAGCCTCAAACTCCCGAACTCAAGTGAGCCTCCTGCCTCAGCCTCCTAAGTAGCTGGGACTACAGCTGCACACCACCATACCCAGATAGTGTTTCATTTTTTGTAGAGATAGGGGTCTCACTATGTTGCCCGGGCTGGCCTTGAACTCCTGGGCTCAAGGGTTCCTCTGGCCTTGGCCTCCCAAAGTGCTGGAATTACAGGTGTGAGCCACCACACCCAACCATATGGCCCCTTCCTTATAGGACTCTTAGACTAACAGAAACAATAATATTAAAATATTTAAGTTAGTTTAAAGCGGATTTAATGTATTCAAGCCATAATCCCCTCTATTAGCATAGATAATTAAGTTGCTTATGGAAAATTAACACTATGTTGTTAAAATTAAGTTTCTCATAAAACCTGTTTTGGTCCTCAGCTTGGTGGTTCATAAATAATGCACTTCTTTGAAGCACTCGCATTTGAGCTTTACTAGAACTAGGGATTCAAAAATAACCCAATGGCTGAATAGAAAAGCAGAGAGGATTCATGTATAAGACAAAGGATTGAGTCACATTTAAACTCTTAAAAAATCTTTCCAGGTTCTGAGTCTAGAAGAAAAACACTGCTACTTCCCACATGTCTTTCAGCAGTTCTGATCCTTATCTCATCACCTCTTTCTTTTGAAAGCACCCATTAAAAAGATTATCAGCTCTATTGTAAGAACCCCAAAAAAGCACTAAAAGGGAAACAAATGTGTATTACAATGAAACAAATTACATTAAGTAAAAAAATATAGATCATAGAAAAACTCCTAAATTGAGGATCTGTTCCCAACCCAAACGTGCCACATCTAATTGCCATTGTTGGAATTATGACCACAAGGGAATGGGATTAATTAGGATTTACGTATGCAAATGGGTATTTATCTCTTAAAATTGTTACCCTGGAAAATAATAACTATTATTTCATTGCTGCTACTATCTTCTCAAAAAAAAAAAAAAGAACATTTTCAAAGCTTGTGGTACATAATAGGATATGAGACTTTAGTAGAATTCAAGCCTACCTAATTCTTTTATTTTAAAATATAATTGAGGCTGGATACAGTGGCTCACGCCTATAATCCCAGCACTTTGGGAGGCTGAGGTGGGCGGATCACTTGAGGTCAGGAGTTTTAGACCATCCTGGCCAACATAGTAAAACCCTGTCTCTACTAAAAATACTTAAAATTAGCTGGGTGTGGCGGCACACACCTGTAATCCCAGCTACTTGTGTGGCTGTGGCAGGAAAATTGCTTGAACCCAGGAGGTGGAGGCTGAAGTAGGCCAAGATCACGCCACTGCACTTCAGCCTGGGCAACATAGTGAGACTCCATCTCAAAACAAAAAACAAACAAACAAAAAATATATATATACACACACACACACATTTGAGACCAAAAAAAGAAAAGAGAATTGATTAATGTAACCCAACTAATTAATGTCAATGTTGGAACCAGATTCAGTTTTCTTGATGGAAAAGTCAAACTGGTTTATATTAAACCCTTATGTTAAGATAGATTTGAAAGCAAGGTTTTACTAGAAGTAGAACTGATAATATAATTGATTACATAAAATCAATTATATTTGGGATAATATCTAACTCGACGTAAGCAGAAGAGACATTCATTATAGTGAACTTGTGAAATTATTACTGCTTCTCTCTTTCATTTTACTTTCATGAAAAAATAAATAGAACCTACCCAAAAATATGAATGGACCAACAAGCAATTCACAGGGCCAGCTTTAGCCAATCTGTAGCTGGACAAATTCATCCAGTCTGAAACACGGCGCTAAAATAAAGAATGATATGGGATATGCTATCAAACTGCTCCATCTTGCCTAAGAAGGGCAGTCACCAACTGCTCCTGGTATTAAGATTTCTGGCTCATCCTACCAGCTACAATAGTGCCATAAGTTTTCCTATGCTGCCACCTACTGGATATAGTGCACATAGCCTTGAATACATCATCTGCCTTCCCGTATTAGTCGGTGTGCTTGGGTGTGAAATGGGTTAATTCAAGATATTAGCCGCTCAGTTTGGATTTAAACATCCAAATGCTGGACATTTAAAGGTTGTTTATTTTGATGACTAGAGATACCTTATGTCAACCAAAGCAAAAACCTATTGATCTGTTTTTAAAATACTTCTTGTCCTTAGAAAATTAGCTTTTAAATTTTAAATTATATCATTCCCTTTTAAAAATTGGTAACCTCAAGAGGGTAAATACACTTATATTCTTCATGCTTTAATGTAAGGCAAAATGCATTCGTCTCACTGCAATGAACAAGGCATTGATGGTTTGGGCACTATGGTTTAAGATAACTTTTAGGAAAACTTCTTTTAGAAATAGGGCATTACCGCGGGGCGCGGTGGCTCACACCTGTAATCCCAGCACTTTGGGATGACGAGACGGGCGGATCACGAGGTCAGGAGATCGAGACCATCCTGGCTTACACGGTGAAAAAATACAAAAAATTAGCCGGGTTTGGTGGCAGGCGCCTATAGTCCCAGCTACTCGGGAGGCCGAGACGGGAGAATGGCGTGAACCCAGGAGGCGGAGCTTGCAGTGAGCCGAGATGTGCCACTGCACTCCAGCCTGGGCGACAGAGCGAGACTCCGTCTCAAAAAAAAAAAAAGAAAGAAAAAGAAAAAGAAAAGAAAGAAAGAAATAGGGCATTACCCTCAGGGAATGAGGTCTAGTATGGCATTGAGCAGAAAAGGGCACTTTGTACCTTGGGATTAAGACTGGAGAAAAAGGAGTTTTAATGTATCCCCGCCGAACTCCCCTCTATTAGCATAGATAAAGAAAGGAGCTAAGTGGTGATAAAAAGTAAAAACAATAACACTTGATACATTCCAGGCACATCCCCAAGAACTTCACAATGTTCTCATGTGCTGCTCACAACAATCCTATGAGGCGGATACTGACCTCACTCTACAGATGAGGACATCGAGGCTTAGGGAGTTCATCGGCCAAGGCACCCAGCTGGTAAGGGGTGGAGCTGGTTGTATAGCCCAAGCTGTCAACCAGAGCTGTGCCGCCTGGAAGGCGGAAGGTGGAAGGATTGTTGAGCCCAGGAATTTGAGGTTACAGTAAACTGTGACCGTGCCACTGCACTCCAGTGTGGGTGACAGTGAGAACCTGTCTCTGAAAATTAAAAAATTTTTAAAAACAAATAAAGTAGCCCTATAATGGAGCCTGATAAGTGTTGGCTGTGTCCCCACCCAAATCTCATCTTGAATTGTAGCTCCCGTAATTCTCACATGTCATGGGAGGGACCCAGTGGGAGGTAATTGAATCATGGGGGTGGATCTTTCCTGTGCTGTTCTTGTGACAGTGAATAAGTCTCACGAGATCTGATGGTTTTGTAAAGGGGAGTTCCGCTGCACATGTCCTCTTGCCTGCTGCCATCCACGTAAGATGTGACTTGGCTTCTCCTTTGCCTTCTGCCATGATTGTGAGGCCTCCACAGCCATGTGGAACTGTGATTCAATTAAACCTCTTTCCTTTATTAATTACCCAGTCTCAGGTATATCTTTATTAGCAGGATGAGAACGGACTAATACAGAGCCTGTTGAAAAACGTCTTAGAAGACAGGCAACTAAATCTGTAAGTTGCACTGACTTCAGTTATAAATTAAAGAAACATGGAAGTAAGCTAGAATTAACCAGCAGGAGTTTATGGCAGAATTCTGTCTTAGGGGAAAAACTTAAGCTTTTTTATTATAAAAAATAATGTAATTTTAGAAAGCTTATAAAATTAGAATATAAAGTTAAATCACCCATAATCTTAACACCCAGACACAGGTGTAGAACCATGTTTTTGAGAATAAAAATACAATAATATCCTATTGTTGCAAATTTTACAAGGACACACAAGCCAGACTATTAGAAGGGGCCATTAAAGTGTGGAGCTATAAAGGTTAAACTTCATTCCTTTTAAGTTAGGTCTGTCCCTGCCCCCGGAAGAATTATTAAATACTATGGACTCTTAGAGCCAATTGGCTTGGGTTAGAATCTCAGGAACATCAGTTATTAACCTAACGACCTTAGGCAAGTTGCTTAAGCTTCGCCATGCCTTAGTTTTCTATCTGCAAAATGGGAATAATACCAACATCATGTGATGACTAAGTAGAACATGTAAGGCAGTTAAGATATAGTAAGCACTTATCTGTTATAGTCCTGTCTCTTCTAAACACATACGTATACACATTTTACAGATCTCACTAGTTTCATATATGAACATTTTTCCATGTTCATGGGTGTTTAAGTCAGTCCAAGTATTGTACTGTATAGATGTATAACTTAGACTAAGACATTTGAGGTGTCAGTTTAAAAAGGGAGATACGGTCGGGCACAGTGGCTCATGCCTGTAATCCCAGCACTTTGGGAGGCCAAGGCAGGTGGGTCACCTGAGGTCAGGAGTTCGAGACCAGCCTGGCCAACATGGTGAAACTCTGTCTCTACTAAAAATACAAAAATTAGCTGGGCATTGTGGCAGGCACCTGTAATCCCAGCTACACGGGAGCCTGAGGCAGGAGAATTGCTTGAAGCCGGGAGGCGGAGATTGTGGTGAGCCCAGATCGCACCATTGCACTCCAGCCTGGGCGTCAAGAGTGAAACTCCATCTCTAAATAAATAAATAAATAGGGAGATACTTAACATCAGATGGCTTTGGCTGTGGAAAGCACTACAAAGTCAACTTCATCACCAAAGACTAGTAACATTTTAGGGAATAAGTCAATTATACACAGACTATTGGCAAATCTGAGGTGTCAAATAAGAGGGCTTGTTGGAGAAGCAAGGTCCTCTGAGTCTCACAACCCCAGGAAGCACTCTGCCTTAACATGGAATACAAAGTGGACGGTACCCCCTGAGGTTGTGTGTTGCTGAGGGCCCAGGGAAAGGAGAAGAGACTATGGTATTAGATGCCACCTTCTAGAGGCCAGGCCCTTCCCAGACATCTTCACTGTGTCTATTTCAACATGAAACAAGGAAGATGTGGTAGAGCATAATTCCTTTGCCCAAAGTTACTGAGGTAGAAGCAGAGGTCAAAGACAGGTTTGATGAACCCTAAAGCCTATGATATTGACTACCAGTAGGATAGCTGCCTTTAGGTCCTGATATGGTTTGGCTCTGTGTCCCCACCCAAACCTCATCTTGAATTGTACTCCCATGATTCCCATGTGTTGTGGGAGGGACCCAGTGGAAGATAATTGAATCACAGGGGCAGTTTCCCCCATACTGTTCTTGTGGTAGTGAATAAGTCTCACAAGATCTGGTTTTATAAGGGGTTTCTGCTTTTGCTTCTTCCTCAGTCTCTCTTGCCTGCCACCATGTAAAAAGTGCCTTTCACCTTCAACCATGATTGTGAGACCTCGCCAGCCACATGGAACTGTGAGTCCATTAAACCTATTTTTCTTCCCAGTCTCAGGTATGTCTTTATCAGCAGCGTGAAAATGCACTAATACAGGTCCATAGCCTAAGTCCTGGTTTCCCTAGTGACTAGCTACAAGAACATGGGCACGTAACCTAATCTCTGTGCATTTCTTTAGTGAAACCAAAATTTATCTGCACCTCTGGGGTGGCAATCACCCACATACATGATCTATTGCATAACCTTCCATGGGGTGGCACACTAAGTTACGTTGGATTTTGAGAGCATTTAAATAAATACACTTCTCATATATGAAGTATAAAGTCCTCCAGCTATGTTTAGTGGTATAATTTACATTTCGAAGGCCAAAAACAATCTTTGTACCAGCGCTTATATGCAGGAAGGAGCCCTTTGTTCCTTTCCCCTAAGTCAACCTTCGAGATGATTGTATAGAAGTCATGCACCAAGTTAGAATTTAAAATTTAAAGGCAAGTAGAACCACCTGAATCACTGTGTATTTAGTTTTTACATTAATAGGATGTCAACAGAAGGGATCACTTTCTTTCAAGGAACCAAAATGTCCTTCATATAAAAGTTGAGGCCAGGTGTGGTGGCTCACGTCTGTAATCCCAGCACTTTGGGAGGCTGAGGTGGGCGGATCACTTGAGGTCAGTAGTTTGAGACCAGCCTAGTCAACACAGCAAAACCCCTGTCTACTAAAAATACAAAAAAAAAAGAAAAAAAATTAGCCAGGCGTGGTGGCAGGTGCCTGTAATCCCAGCTACTCAGGAGGCTGAGGCAGGAGAATTGCTTGAACCCAGGAGATGGAGTTTTCAGTGAGCCAAGATAGCAACACTGCACTCCAGCCTGGGTGACAGAGTGAGACACTATCTCAAAAAAAAAAAAAAAAAAAAAAAAGTTGGAATCGGGCCAGGTGTGGTGGCTCATGCCAGTAATCCTAGAACTTTGGGAGGCTGAGGCACGTGGATCACTTGAGCTCACGAGTTCAAGACTGGCCTGGGCAACAGGGCAAAACCTGTCTCTACTAAAAATACAAAATTAGCTGGGTGTGGTGGCACGTGCCTGTAGTCCCAGCTACTAGCAGGGGCTGAAGTGGGAGAATCACTTGAGCCCGGGATTTGGAGGTCGCAGTGAGCCGAGATCTCACCACTGCACTCCAGCAGGAGTGACAGAGTGAGAACCTGTCTCAAAAAAAAAAGTTGGGGATGGCCAAATAGGAACAGCTCCAGTCTACAGCTCCCAGCATGAGCGATGCCAAAGACGGGTGATTTCTGCATTTCCAACTGAGGTACCAGGTTCATCTCACTGGGGAGTGCCAGACAGTGGGTGCAGGTCAGTGGGTGCAGCGCACTGTGTGTGAGCCGAAGCAGGGCGAGGCATTGCCTCACCCAGGAAGTGCAAGGGGTCAGGGAATTCCCTTTCCTAGTCAAAGAAAGGGGTGACAGACGGCACCTGGAAAATCGGGTCACTCCCACCCTAACACTGCGCTTTTCCAATGGGCTTAATAAAGGGCACACCAGGAGATTATATCCTGCACCTGGCTCGGAGGGTCCTACACCCACGGAGCCTCGCTCATTGCTAGCACAGCAGTCTGAGATCAAACTGCAAGGCGGCAGCGAGGCTGGGGGAGGGGCACCCGCCATTGCCATGGCTTGAGTAGGTAAAAAAAGCGGCCGGGAAGCTCGAACTGGGTGGAGCCCACCACAGCTCAAGGAGGCCTGCCTGCCTCTGTAGCCTCCACCTCTGGGGGCACGGCACAGACAAACAAAAGGCAGCAGTAACCTCTGCAGACTTAAATGTCCCTGTCTGATAGCTTTGAAGAGAGTAGTGGTTCTCCCAGCACGCAGCTTGAGATCTGAGAACGGGCAGACTGCCTCCTCAAGTGGGTCCCTGACCCCCGAGTAGCCTAACTGGGAGGCACCCCCCAGTAGGGGCAGACTGACACCTCACACGGCTGGGTACTCCTCTGAGACAAAACTTCCAGAGGAATGATCAGGCAGCAGCATTTGCAGTTCACCAATATCCGCGGTTCTGCAGCCACTGCTGCTGATACCCAGGCAAACAGGGTCTGGAGTGGACCTCCAGCAAACTCCAACAGACCTGCAGCTGAGGGTCCTGACTATTAGAATGAAAACTAACAAACAGAAAGGACATCCACACCAAAACCCCATCTGTACGTCACCATCATCAAAGACCAAAGGTAGATAATACCACAAAGATGGGGAAAAAACAGAGCAGAAAAACCGGAAACTCTAAAAATCAGAGCGCCTCTCCTCCTCCAAAGGAACGCAGCTCCTCACCAGCAACAGAACAAAGCTGGACGGAGAATGACCTTGATGAGTTGAGAGAAGAAGGCTTCAGAAGATCAAACTACTCCAAGCTAAAGGAGGAAGTTCGAACCAATGGCAAAGAAGTTAAAAACCTTGAAAAAAATTAGACAAATGGCTAACTAGAATAACCAATACGGAGAAGTCCTTAAAGAACCTGATGGAGCTGAAAACCACAGCACGAGAACTACGTGACGAATGCACAAGCCTCAGTAGCCGATGCGATCAACTGGAAGAAAGGGTACCAGCGATGGAAGATGAAATGAATGAAATGAAACAAGAAGAGAAGTTTAGAGAAAAAAGAATAAAAAGAAATGAACAAAGCCTCCAAGAAACATGGGACTATGTGAAAAGACCAAATCTAGTTCTGATTGGTGTATCTGAAAGTGACGGGGAGAATGGAACCAAGTTGGAATACACTCTGCAGGATATTATCCAGGAGAACTTCCCCAATCTAGCAAGGCAGGCCAATACTCAAATTCAGGAAATTCAGAGAACGCCACAACGATACTCCTCGAGAAGAGCAATTCCAAGACACATAATTGTCAGATTCACCAAAGTTAAAATGAAGGAAAAAATGTTAAGGGCAGCCAGAGAGAAAGGTTGGGTTACCCACAAAGGGAAGCCCATCGGACTAACAGCTGATCTCTCAGCAGAAACTCTACAAGCCAGAAGAGAGTGGGGGCCAATATCCAACAGTCTTAAAGAAAACAATTTTCAACCCAGAATTTCATATCCAGCCAAACTAAGCTTCATAAGTGAAGGAGAAATAAAATACTTTACAGACAAGCAAATGCTGAGAGATTTTGTCACCACCAGGCCTGCCCTAAAAGAGCTCCTGAAGGAAGCACTAAACATGGAAAGGAACAACCAGTACCAGCCACTGCAAAAACCTGCCAAATTGTAAAGACCATCAAGGCTAGGAAGAAACTGCATCAACTAACAAGCAAAATAACCAGCTAACATCATAATGACAGGATCAAACTCACACATAACAATATTAATCTTAAATGTAAATGGGCTAAATGCTCCAATGAAAAGACACAGACTGGCAAATTGGATAAAGAGTCAAGACCCATCAGTGTGCTGTATTCAGGAAACCCATCTCACGTGCAGAGACACACATAGGCTCAAAATAAAGGGATGGAGGAAGATCTACTAAGCAAATAGAAAACAAAAAAAGGCAGGGGTTGCAATCCTAGTCTCAGATAAAACAGACTTTAAACCAACAAAGATCAAAAGAGACAAAGAAGGCCATTACATAATGGTAAAGGGATCAATTCAACAAGAAGAGCTAACTATCCTAAATATATATGCAACCAATATAGGAGCACCCAGATTCATAAAGCAAGTCCTTCATGACCTACAAAGAGACTTAGACTCCCAAACAATAATAATGGGAGATTTTAACACCCCACTGTCAACATTAGACAGATCAACGAGACAGAAAGTTAACAAGAATATCCAGGAATTGAACTCAGCTCTGCACCAAGTGGACCTAATAGACATCTACAGAAATCTCCACCCCAAATCAACAGAATATATATTCTTTTCAGCACCACACCACACCTATTCCAAAATTGACCACATAGTTGGAAGTAAAGCACTCCTCAGCAAATGTAAAAGAACAGAAATTATAACAAACTGTCTCTCAGACCACAGTGCAATCAAACTAGAACTCAGGATTAAAAAACTCACTCAAAACCGCTCAACTACATAGAAACTGAACAACCTGCTCCTGAATGACTACTGGGTACATAATGAAATGAAGGCAGAAATAAAGATGTTCTTTGAAACCAATGAGAACAAAGACACAACATACCAGAATCTCTGGGACACATTCAAAGCAGTGTGTAGAGGGAAGTTTATAGCACTAAATGCCCACAAGAGAAAGCAGGAAAGATCTAAAATCGACACCCTAACATCACAATTAAAAGAACTAGAGAAGCAAGAGAAAAACACATTCAAAAGCTAGCAGAAGGCAAGAAATAACTAAGATCAGAGCAGAACTGAAGGAGATAGAGACACAAAAAGCCCTTCAAAAAATCAATGAATCCAGGAGCTGGTTTTTTTGAAAAGATCCACAAAATTGATAGACTGCTAGCAAGACTAATAAAGAAGAAAAGAGAGAAGAATCAAATAGACACAATAAAAAATGACAAAGGGGACATCACCACCGATCCCACTACCATCAGAGAATACTATAAACACCTCTACACAAATAAACTGGAAAATCTAGAAGAAATGGATAAATTCCTCGACACATACACCCTCCCAAGACTAAACCAGGAAGAAGTTGAATCTCTGAATACACCAATAACAGGCTCGGAAATTGAGGCAATAATTAATCGCTTACCAACCAAAAAAACTCCAGGACCAGATGGATTCACAGCCGAATTCTACCAGAGGTACAAGGAGGAGCTGGTACCATTCCTTCTGAAACTATTCCAATCAATAGAAAAAGAGGGAATCCTCCCTAACTCATTTTATGAGGCCAGCATCATCCTGATACCAAAGCCTGGCAGAGACACAACCAAAAAAGAGAATTTTAGACCAATATCCTTCATGAACATTGATGCAAAAATCCTCAATAAAATACTGGTAAACTGAATCCAGCAGCACATCAAAAAGCTTACCCACCATGATCAAGTGGGCTTCATCCCTGGGACGCAAGGCTGGTTCAACATATGAAAATCAATAAATGTAATCCAGCATATAAACAGAACCAAAGACAAAAAACACATGATCATCTCAATAGATGCAGAAAAGGCCTTTGACAAAATTCAACAACGCTTCATGCTAAAAACTCTCAATAAATTAGGTATTGATGGGATGTATCTCAAAATAATAAGAGCTATCTATGACAAACCCACAGCCAATATCATACTGAATGGACAAAAACTGGAAGCATTCCCTTTGAAAACTGGCACAAGACAGGGATGCCCTCTCTTACCACTCCTATTCAACTTAGTGTTGGAAGCTCTGGCCAGGGCAATCAGGCAAGAGAAAGAAATAAAGGGTATTCAATTAGGAAAAGAGGAAGTCAAATTGTCCCTGTTTGCAGATGACATGATTGTATATCTAGAAAACCCCATTGTCTCAGCCCAAAATCTCCTTAAGCTGATAAGCAACTTCAGCAAAGTCTCAGGATACAAAATCAATGTGCAAAAATCACAAGCATTCTTATACACCAATAACAGACAAACAGAGAGCCAAATCATGAGTGAACTCCCATTCACAATTGTTTCAAAGAGAATAAAATACCTAGGAATCCAACTTACAAGGGATGTGAAGGACCTCTTCAAGGAGAACTACAAACCACTGCTCAATGAAATAAAAGAGGATACAAACAAATGGAAGAACATTCCATGCTCATGGGTAGAAAGAATCAATATCGTGAAAATGGCCATACTACCCAAGGTAATTTATAGATTCAATGCCATCCCCATCAAGCTACCAATGACTTTCTTCACAGAATTGGAAAAAACTACTTTAAAGTTCATATGGAATGAAAAAAGAGCCCGCATCACCAAGTCAATCCTAAGCCAAAAGAACAAAGCTGGAGGCATCATGCTACCTGACTTCAAACTATACTACAAGGCTACAGTAACCAAAACAGCATGGTACTGGTACCAAAACAGAGATATAGACCAATGGAACAGAACAGAGCCCTCAGAAATAATGCCGCATATCTACAACTATTTGATCTTTGACAAACCTGACAAAAACAAGCAATGGGGAAAGGATTCCCTATTTAATAAATGGTGCTGGGAAAACGGGCTAGCCATATGTAGAGAGCTGAAACTGGATCCCTTCCTTACACTTTATACAAAAATTAATTCAAGATGGATTAAAGACTTACATGTTAGACTTAAAACCATAAAAACCCTAGAAGAAAACCTAGGCAATACCATTCAGGACATAGGCATGGGCAAGGACTTCATGTCTAAAACACCAAAAGCAATGGCAACAAAAGACAAAATTGACAAATGGGATCTAATTAAACTAAAGAGCTTCTGCACAGCAAAAGAAAATACCATCAGAGTGAACAGGCAACCTACAGAATGGGAGAAAATTTTCACAACCTACTCATCTGACAAAGGGCTAATATCCAGAATCTACAATGAACTCAAACAAATTGACAAGAAAAAAACAAACAACACCATCAAAAAGTGGGTGAAGGATATGAACAGACACTTCTCAAAAGAAGACATTTATGCAGCCAAAAAACACATGAAAAAATGCTCATCATCACTGGCCATCAGAGAAATGCAAATCAAAACCACAACGAGATACCATCTCACACCAGTTAGAATGGCAATCATTAAAAAGTCAGGAAACAACAGGTGCTGGAGAGGATGTGGAGAAGTAGGAACACTATTACACTGTTGGTGGGACTGTAAACTAGTTCAACCATTGTGGAAGTCAGTGTGGCCATTCCTCAGGGATCTAGAACTAGAAATACCATTTGACCCAGCCATCCCATTACTGGGTATATACCCAAAGGATTATAAATCATGCTGCTATAAAGACACATGCACACGTATGTTTATTGTGGCACTATTCACAATAGCAAAGACTTGGAACCAACCTAAATGTCCAACAATGATAGACTGGATTAAGAAAATGTGGCACATATACACCATGGAATACTATGCAGCCATAAAAAATGATGAGTTCATGTCCTTTGTAGGGACATGGATGAAGCTGGAAACCATCATTCTCAGCAAACTATCACAAGGACAAAAAACCAAACACCGCATGTTCTCACTCATAGGTGGGAACTGAACAATGAGAACACATGGACACAGGAAGGGGAACATCACACACCGGGGACTGTTGTGGGGTTGGGGGAGGGGGGAGGGATAGCATTAGGAGATATAGCTAATGCTAAATGACAAGTTAATGGGTGCAGCACACCAACATGGCACATGTATACATATGTAACAAACCTGCATGTTGTGCACATGTACCCTAAAACTTAAAGTATAATAATTTTTAAAAAAAAGAAATTGCAGATAATTTGAATACATGAATAAATTTTCTGTAAATTATGCCCCCCCCCCAAAAAAAAAAAGTTGGAATCAGGAATATTACCACCATAATCAGGGCTTAGAGAACTGTGAATAAGGCAGTTGAGACCCAAGTTATCTGGATTCCTGGCACCAGACAGGACAGAGCCCTTTTGTGAGGATCACAGTATAGGCAGGAAGCATTGGGTTTCTTCCCTGCTTCCCTCATTTTGTGTAACTGGAAGTGAACTGTTACATTCAACGTCCATTGTTGAGAACAGACGTCCTCCTTTAATATTTAATGAAAACCTATACATTACATAATAGTGTATCCTTATCTATAAAACAAGGGCACATTGATCTATAAAGTAAAGCTTAACAACAAATGCCAAAGACTTTTGCTTTTTTAAAAAAAAAAACTAATTTCTAGACAGTAAGGAATTGCTAAGAAAAACAAAACATGCTACACTGATTGGGGTATGTCAAAGCAACATAGGAGCCAACTGAAAGAGCTCCCAACAACTAAAGCAGAACAATGTGGGCAACAGGTAGTACTGGATTATAACATAAATCCACAGTATATGATATGAGTTCATACTGATAAAAATGGTTACATAGGAGAAAAAAGACAACTCTCCCAAAAGAATTCCAAATAATTCATATAGATACTTGGCCCTCAAGGAGATAGAACATACACCTCCACTCCTTAAGTGTGGGCTTTGCATGGTGACTTCCTAGGAGTACAGCATGGAAAAGGCAGTGGGGGTGAGTTTATGGTGAAGTCTTTCAAACACGACCTCAGCCAGGTAAGAGGTGAGAATCAGTGATAAATTATGCTTATGTACCCTTTGTAGCATATGATGAAAACAACGCTTTGCCTCTGTGGTCTTCCTCCCCAAAACCCATAACCCTAGTCTAACATTAGACAAATCCCAATAGAGGGCACCTTACAAAATACTTGATGGTACTCCTCCAATTTGTCAAGGTCATCCAAGGAGAAGAGAAGTCTGAGAAACTGACAAAGCCCAAAGGAGCCTGGTGAGACATGGCAACTAACAGTCATGTGGGATCCCGGATGGGATCCTAAAACAAAGGACATTAGGGAAAACAGCCAGGAAATCTAAACAAGCTATGGACTTAATAGCAGTGTATCGATATGTCAATAACTGTGATGGTTAATATTGAGCATCAACTTGGATTGAAGGTATTGTACTTTTCCTGGGTGTCTGTGAGGGTGTTGCTAAAGGAGATTAACACTTGAGTCAGTGGACTGGGAAAGGCAGACCCACCCTCAATCTGCGTGGGCACAATCTAATCAGCGGCCAGTGCAGCCAAAATGAAAGCAGGCAAAAGAACATGGGAAGACTAGACTGGCCCAGTCTCCCACCTCCACCTTTCTCCTGTGCTGGATGTGTCCTCCCCTGGAATATCAGACTCCCAAGTTTTTCAGCTTTGGGACTCTTGGACCTTTGACTATAGAGTGAAGGCTGCACTATTGGTTTTCCTACTTTTGAGGTTTTGAGACTCGGACTGGCTTCCTTGCTCCTCAGCTTGCAGAGGGCCTACCATGGGACTTTACCTTGTGATCGTGTGGGTCAACACTCCTTAATAAACTCCCCTTTATACATACATATATCCTATTAGTTCTGTCCTCTAGAAAACCCCGCTTAATACAATAGAGGAAACTGGGTGGTGGGTTTATGGGACTTCTACAATGTCCAGTATTTTCTTTTTGTCTTCAATATTTTTATAAGTCTAAAATTGTGCTACAAAATTTGCCTATTTAAAAATCTTTAAAAATTAGTTTCTACAGGTATACATAGGGAATACAAATGCAAAAAAAAATCCAAAGACACATCAAACCAATGCTTTTATGGTAATTCTTGGCAGCACTGTATGAGTTACTTATGTGGAAGACATTCATATATTACTACCAAAATAACCTGACATATTGAGGAGAGGGTAAAAGAAAATGAGAATCAGCTGTGGCTATCTTATCAGCAGAAAAGTTTTATTCCTTTTGAGGACAAACAATTAAACCACATCCAAGGTCTTAACTTACAGACAGAAACCAAAGTAGCCATTTAAAGCGTTAGATATCGGATACAAGACATACACTGGGGAGAATGCTTCACCATCTGAAGCTCACACCACAATGGCCCAGTGGACAGCTGTGCACTCTGCTTGTGCTTAAGTGCCTGGGTGTGGCTGAGGGGAAGGCGTGTCTGCAGAACAGAAGAACAGCTGTGTTTCACAAGTACTGAAGCATTTTAGACTGCATGGGGGGGTATATATTTTCATGTTGAAGGGAAGAGGGGAAATCAGCAAAGTCCCTCCCACAGAGCATTAGGCTGCCTTGCAGAGAGCCACGGCAGAGAAGCGGACTTCTCCTTGCTCACGCTCGGTGAATTCTCTGCAGACCTTGGCAGCGTCCTGGAAAGGAGAAATGTCATTAAAATCCAAACAGCAAGAGCTCAAAATGAAAGTCACATAGGGAAAGGCTCCAAGGTCTATTAATGCTCAAAGTTCACCCTCATCAACTTTAATTCCATCATTAATTTGAAAACCAGGGCTTAAAGCAAAAAATCAGGTGATGGGAAAGACAAGGTTACATCATGGATTTGACTTATCACTTCCACCAAATGGTTTTGTGCTTCTCTCACTTTGTACCTGGTTTTGGAAAAGTTAAAAAAAACAAAAACAAAAAAACCCAACAACAAAAACACAACTATGAACGTTATTTTCCTCAAATCTAAAGATTGGAAATTGATCTTTCTTCCATAAGGTGGCATAAGTGAAAAGTTGTAACTCAGAAATTCCTGGAATAAAGAAAATTGTCTTTCAAATAAACATTTTAAAAAACAGCCTTAACGTGGCCGGGCGCAGTGGCTCACGCCTGTAATCCCAGCACTTTGGGAGGCTGAGGCAGGCGGATCACGAGGCTGGGAGATAGAGACCATCCTGGCCAACATGGTGAAACCACGTCTCTACTAAAAATACAAAAAAAATTAGCCGGGCATGATGGCGGGCATCTGCAGTCACAGCTACTCTGAGAGGCTAAGGCAGGAGAATGGCGTGAACCCAGGAGGCGGAGCTTGCAGTGAGGCGAGATCGCGCCACTACACTCCAGCCTGGGCGACAGAGCGAGACTCCGTCTCAGAAAACAAACAAACAAACAAAAAAAAAAACAGCCTTAACGTTTACCTGATATTCTAGGTACAGACAAGCATGGAACCTTAGAGATTGATGGTGAAGTGACATGCGTTACTACTTCTAAGATCTAGATGACAAAGACTGGTAACAGGAAACTGATCCCAGTGTTATTTACCAACTTCTAGGATATAATTGTTTTGGGATCAAAAATATTACTCTGTTCAATCTGTAAAAAAGCCCAGTGGAAAGATAGCTCTGTAAACCATAGTATAAGACCCTGAAGGAGAAAAGGAATGCTCTATGATACAGAATGGTAATGAAACATCACTCCTAAAATTTAGAAATCACCAACTCAATGAGTTTGGGCCAGACACAGCTCAGGCCTGCAATCTCAGCACTTTGGGAAGCTGAGGCAGCGGATGACTTGAGCTCAGGAGTTCAAGACCAGCCTGGGCAAAATCTCTACTAAAAATTTAAAAATTAGCTGGGCATGGTGGTGTGCGCTTCTAGTCCTGGCTACTCAGAAGACTTAGGTGGGAGGATTGCTTGAGCAAGGACTTCAAGGCTACAGTAAGCCATGATTGCACCACTGCACTCCAGCCTGAATGACACAGCGAGACCCTTTCTCAAAAAAAGCAACCAAAGAGTATCTGGATTGACATCAACATTTTATCCTCTACCAAGTTTTTTAATATATCAGTATTCCAGACCTGTCTTCCCTGAATTGACCTTACTATAGGACATACAATATTGATTTCACTATTAAAGATGTACCTTTAAAGAGAATAACCATCTTCTATAGAGCTAACGTGCAGGGACCTAATTCATTCAAGCTTAAGATATTTGGGTTAAGTGCATGTATATTCTAACCAGTTTAATAATTTAGTGTGACATTTAGACAACCTAAAACATCCTTAACCATATAGAACCAGCCTTACTTAGGGTAAGAATTTTAACTAAAATGCTGGTTTAATTTAGAAACTCTTTTAATTTTAAATAAGGTTCTAATTAGAAAAGTTAAAAAAAAAAAAAAAAAAAAAGTTTTAGCCAGGTACTGTGGCTCACGCCTATAATCCCAGCACTCTGGGAAGCTGAGGCAGGAAGATCACTTGAGCCCAAGAGTTAAAGACCAGCCTGGGCAACATAGTGAGTCCCTCCCCGCCCCATCTCTATACAAAAATTTTACCTTCCCCACACCTTATAAATTCTACTCATGTGACACTTGTATCCTATGTGGGACACATTTTTATGGTATTAGTGCAGTGTTAGATGAGTTAGCATGTACCTTAAAAGCTTTACTAGGAAGGACCAGGGTCTCTTTCCTCCAAATGGATCAAAGACCAGAAATTCTGCCTGTTTTCTTATTCTCACCAAGTAAATTCTGACTCTCATGAAACCCTTCCATCCCATCCTGGCTCTCCAGGTCTATTCTTCATTCCATATTACTATTCCCACATACCTCTTGAATACCAAGAATTAGCTTTAACTGATCTCAGGTGTGTCTGACAGATGAGAGAAATCAACCTTCCCTATTAAGAGTGGCATAATGTGGTCCACTAGCATCTTAGGGCTATCAGGTCTGTGAAGTTCCAAAGAGAGGTCTTTTCTAAAGAAAGGTCATATTGGTATTGTACAATGGCTAAGAACACAGACTCTAGATGCGGACTAACTTTTCTTTTTTTTCTTCTGAGACAGAGTCTTGCTCTGTTGCCCAGACTGGAGTACAGTGGTGCAATCTCGGCTCACTGCAACCTCCACCTCCCAGGTAACAAGTGATTCTTGTGCCTCAGCCTCCCAAGCAGCTGGGACTACAGGAATGCACCACCAGGTCTGGCTAATTTTTATATTTTTAGTAGAGATGGGGTTTCACCATTTTGCCCAGGCTGGTCTTGAACTCCTGAGCTCAAGCAATCCTCCCGCGTCAGCCTCCCAAGTGCTGGGATTATAGGCATGAGCCACTGCACCTTGCCAGACTATCTAGGTTTGAATCACAGTTTGCCATGTAAGTCCTTGACCTCAGGCCTTAAACTCTTGAGTTTTGTCAGCTCTGAGATGGGGATAATACCTACCTCACTGTGTCATTAAAGGATTTCTATAAAAGACGTAGATCACCTAGAACAGCACCTAAGAAGAGGGGTCAGTAAACTGCAGCATGTGGGCCCAACCCAGCCTGTGCTGGTGGAAAACAGCTACATACATTCATTTAGAGAGTGTCTATGGGCTGCTGAGTTGTAACAGCAGAACTGAATACTTGCAACAGAGCCATATGCCATACAAAGCCTAAAATATTTTGTTTGGCTCTTTATAGAAAATGCTTGCTGAGTCCTGGTCTGCACACAGTAAGTTCTGCAAAGATTTTATACTATTACTACTCAAATTAAGTATAGTTATATCTTAATAGCAGTTTGTATATTTTTCTTCAGCACAGCAAGCTAAAAACAGTATTTTGTGTATCATAATTAAGCAATTTTCCTTTATAATAGCAAATTGATTCAACTCTAGAGGCTCATTTTTTAGTGAAGAGGCCTAGGGTCGTCTACCAACCTTTGCCCAGAATCACTTTTCTGTCCAGGATGGTTACAAAGTGATCCTGGATATTAACAGTTTTTGTCAGGTGGATTTTAAATCTGCTTATTTTGTTCTTGTAACAGTAGACCATGTGGGAAGGAAAAACTCCTAAATTTAACCACCTAACTAGAATCTATAGTACACTACCTCCAAGACTGACCCAAATCCCGTTGTCTTAGAGGGATTATGAAAGGCTGCTGTTTTGTGAGTCTTTAGCTATGATGTAATCTGATGGGAGGACAATGGTCACCTTAATCCCACCAGGAAGCAAAGCAACAGCTTTCAGGCTAATTCTAACTGTGGACTAAAGACAACACATGAAACAGATTACTCAGGGTGTCTCTGAAGCCCTGTTTAAAACCACTTGCAATAAAATAAGGTAGATAGAGTTACTAAGAGGATCTTGCAGCCCTAAAGACTGCTATTAACCCAGGCAACTGATGCTGGCTATACTGGAAGAGTGTTAGCACTTTAGAATAGAAAATTTAGCCAAAGAATTGTGAGGCACATTAAGAAGAGATGCATTCCAAAGATGACCTTCAGCAGGGTGTCCTCTGAACTGGCGCCATGGTTCACCGGAAAAGGCATTCGTCCATCTGTAACAAAGAAGCCAGGCATGTCAATTTTCTCTGCATGTTTTCTGGCTACCGTGCTTACCTAGCCTAGATGGAAGTTTTAGATTCTTCCAAAAACCACTGCCAAACCCACAGAAGGAAGCCTGGTTATGAAGCAAGAGGCTGCAAATGAGGTTCAAGTGTCCCTAGGCATCCATCCCAGGCAATTCTAGTCTACAATTGACAAGATCGCACAAGCTCAAGTCAGCTACCCTAATAGAGGGGCCTGTGCCCCAACCCTTGGAAAGGGCCACAGAACAAAAGTCAGATGCAGTCTCTGGGGATAGGGAAGATGGAGGCGAGAGGAGGAGACGCCTGAGATTTTATCTGCCCTCCAATGACTGTAGATTGCCTTCACTATTCCTTTGCCTTTGTAAGCCTGTAGGTCGTATCTTGGCTTGAGACAAGAGTTACAAGTCTTTCTCCATTAATACAAAAGGAATGAATCTTACAAGGTGGGTCGTCTTTCTTGATGCCATAAACTAGTTAATAGAAGTTATTCCAACATGTTCAGATTCTTTTTAGACAAGTAAGGTCATATTCAGGCACTGATCCTTTTTCAGACGTACTCTTTGCCCAGAAAGGATGATACTAGGGGATGCTAGTCAGTTGCCTGAGGAAGTTGCTCTGGGGATGATAAGGGGTTAAGTGCCCTCATGAGAATACTTTGTTATTGTGGCTTTATAAACAATGATATGCCAAGTGCCATAAAGTCACACAATATATCAAGAGAAATTCAGTCTGAAAGAACACATGAAACTACACTGGGTTCCAAAAATGGAGTAAAACATACCAAGTTCATAGAGGTGGCCATCCACGTTGTTAAACAGAATAAAATGGAAATTCACCTTGTCATCTACCTAAAGAAAGTCAAGAAATTTTTGAAAATGAGTGTAAGCTGTATTTTAAAAATTATCTTGCAATTCAAGTGAAATGTGCTTGAACTGACTTGATTTTTAGAAATTATAGCTAATATTTAATGTATGTCTTACATTAAGCCCTATTCTAAGCCCACTAAGGTAAATATACTGTTAACTGTCAGAACAACTCTATGAGGATGCTATTACTACAGGATTTTTACTGAGGAGAAAATTGAGGCTTAGAGAGGCTAACTATCTCAACCAAGGTCAATGCTAGAAAGTGGCAGCCAGTTGTAGTTATAAAGACACTGAGATCTGGCTAGGCACGGTGGCTCACACCTGCAATACTAGCACTTTGGGAGGCTGAGGCAGGCAGATCACTTGAGCTCACAAGAGTTCAAGACCAGCCTGAACAACATGGTGAAACCCCATCTCTACAAAAAATATAAAAATTAGTAGGTGTGGTGGTGTGTACTTGTAATCCCAGCTACTCGGGAGGCTGAGATGAGAGAATTGCTGCAGTGAGCCAAGATCACACCACTGCATTCCAGCCTGGGAAATGGAGGCTGACCTTGTCAACTTTTTTTTTTTTTTAAAAAGGACACTGAGATCTGACTTAAATTTAGCAGCTGACTCAGAGGTTCTCATCAGATTATGGTATATTCAAGCCTTCTAGAACTTGTCCTTCGTTGGGCATTTCATTCTCCCCAACAGCCTGTGAAGATTATTTGAAATGCTCACTTACTAGGAGAGGTGTACACTCTATAAGACTCATTTGTTTCTGTTATTGAGACAGGGTCACCCAGACCGGAGTGCAGCGACATGGTCTCAGCTCACTGCAACCTCTGCCTCTAGGGCTCAAGCAATTCTCCCACCTCAGCCTCCCAAGTGGCTGGGACTACAGACCTCGCTACTCTGTATTTTTTGTAGGGACGGGGTTTCACTATGTTGGCCAAGCTGGTCTCAAACTCCTGGGCTCAAGTGATTCACCCTCCTCGGCCTCCCAAATTGTTGGGATTACAGGCATGAGCCACTATGCCTGACCTATAAGACTCATTTGGATCTAAACAAAATACTGTCAATTTGAATTTACTCAAGACTTCAATGACCAATACAATTTCTGAAGAAAACTTTTTTTATGAACAGGTCTAGTCAAAGCATTATTTGGGTAGAACTTTCTGGTGTCATTTGGCCTTGGGTGGATAACATTTGCTGTGTTCCAGTAAGAGATTCCTGCACAATTTCAGTAGAAACACAGATGGCACCCAGGCAGCCTGGCTCCGATTTGTATTTGCATTTACCCGACATTGGCCTTCCTGTGCCACGGCATCATGGGCTGCCTGTATGGCCTGCGGAAAAAAGAAAATAATTAGCACAAAAATCTCTAGAGTTATTTAAAGGCCATGCTCTGTAAGTTCTCTTACCTCATTCTTTTCAAAGCATTTTGCTCTGTCTTCAGGGGACATTTTCTCTGTTTCAGAAAGAAACTGTTTCAGAACTGATCCATCCTCTTAAAAAAAAAATGGATGTGTTAGTATAGGTAAAATAATACAAGTGGGTACATATTTATTGTTGACTTAAGCCTTTGCTGAACATGCTGAGCAACCTGAATCTTTAATACTGCCTCCAGGGTTGTGGATGAGCTGTACCTTTTCCCCTAGCCTCTTTTTCTAACCCCTCTCTATTCACTGCTTTCAGGCCAGAGAGGTCTCTCCGCTCTCCCAATATGCCAAGCTCTTTCTTGCCTCTGTTCCCTTCTACCCTGGACCCCTTTTTCCCTCCCACCTCACTCATCTCTCAAATCTCCTGTCACTTTTTCACAGCAATTCTTAATTTGTAAAACATATTTGAGATTTCTAGCACCATAAAAGCCGGGGCTGCCTTGTTTACCTGCTGTATCTACAGCATCTAAGAATGTACAGTTAACATCTATTATATACATGACGCTATAATCATGTTCTAATAAAAATGCTTCCCAAACCAAGATTATGGGGTAGAAAATTCAACTTTAGTAATTCGGTTATTCAGATAGAAAAATAAAGATCTTGAATAGAAATGTAAAGAAACAAAATAGTCCAGCATAGAGACATCTGACTGGCTAACCACTGACATAGGCTTATCCACACTGAGCATTAACAAAATGCTTAAGAGACACTAATTACAAACCTATAGCAATAACAATGTATATTTCAAAAGACCTCAATATGAACTTTCAGCTCTAAAATTTGTGAAATGGGACCATTTCAAAATTTGGAAGTGCTAGGAATCCTTTCTGAGGAGGACTGTGAGTCAGATTAAGTGTCTGACACCATCATTACAAAATGGTTTCAAAAGGTACAGCATCTCTGACCTCGGGAAAACAGCTGTTTCTGAACTCCATGTTTCAAGTTCAAGCTTAGGATGGCTGGCCTCAAAACCCACACCTACCAAATCCCAGTTTGTCTTGATTATTGGCCACTGCGTGAATAAGTCCGATTGTGCCACAGGAATTCCCAATGGTCTGCTTCATGAAGTACACTTTAGGACTAACTTCTTGTCCCTTCAGCTCTTCAATCTGCTTTTTCCTGAAGTTCTCATGCTGCGAATGTAAAAAGCGTTTTTACATCTCAGAATGAAAGTGCAAAGAACAGATGGCAGCACATGAGTTCTACCAACTAAATGGAAACACCAGTGGGATGTGTGACCAGAACCCCTGGTTCTAGATGTTGGCTGACTCCCAGAGAAGGGCCCGTCTGTCTGCCTCCCACACCACCCACGCCAGCCAGTGGGGCTCTGAGAGGTTCGGAGACTCCACCCTGGTGCTGCAGTGCAGTGACTGCCTTGGATACTGCCCAAGGCTGTGTCTAGACACCACTGCAACCTTTCAGCCCAAAATGGTGTCACGAAGTCAGAAAACAAAGAAACCAATTCATTATTTTCTCCCTTTAACACTTAACAACTATTTCACATAGGCATCCTAAATCAAGCTTCAGTCAATTGAATGCCCAACAAGAGCACCAGCTGGTTTACATTTCATTATTCTTTAAAGTTCTACTTCTACTCGGCTTAAGTACACTTCGCTTCAAAAACAAAAACGGCCTTAACTGCTGAAAAGAACAAGTGAAAGAAATTAACCATTACCTCCGCCCTCTTTTTAAGGAAAAGACAACTGATCCAGGGTATTGGGCTGTGATTTTACAAGAGGAAGATGTGACACTAGCTTGTCCTTGCCAGCTAAACAGTTTACTTTGAGGACAGACTGGCAATTTGAGGAGGAGGATAGAGACTGGTAAATGAATCGGACTAGGAAACGGATTTCCTCAAAGCATCTGCTAGCTTTCTGTATAGTAATTTAGTAAGCCTATCTGGACTTTTCACTAACTAGCTTTAAAGACCTTAGAAGTTATGATTTCTTGAGCCAGGGTCAGTGGCTTGCACCTATAATCCCAGCTACTAGGGAGGCTGAGGCAGGAGGATCACTTGAGCTCAGAAGTTTGAGACCTTGTCTCTAAAAAATAAAAATATAATAAATAAGTTAGGACTTCCCAGTTAAAGAGTAGGGTACTAACACTATAGAAACACTGATTTCCCATAACGAGCAAAACCAGACAGACCATCAGAAACCTATTTCCAATTCTAGTAGCTTTGCATTTCTGTACATGAACTGAAGTTTAAGCTTGCTCTCTGGTACTAATAGAAGAGTAAGATCTCTTACCCCAGAAGATCAACTTAAACTCCAACTAGCAGAACTTTTTCGCTTCTATCTAACTGGATCCTCAACTTAGTATTCATTGACCAGTAAGTGTTTTTCATTTTCTAGGCTAATTAGATGAAATGTTAAAATGGGATAGCACCATCCTTTAGGGCTGCTTGAGCTCTTCCATGGAAATCATTCTGTAAATAGTCTACTAGCACTTAATGTTTCAGAAGTGGTCCATGTAGGGGGTCATAACATTCCCTTAGTCAAAAATTAAATGCCTTCCAAATTAACATTAGCATCTTTGGAGTCAACCTATAAAACCTCAACTTTTCTTTCAATCGGCTTCAGTGTTTTGTCCAGTAGGCATTCTGTGTAGCAGAATAGGCGCTCGATAAATCTGATAGGTTGAATTGAAACTAAAGGACAAAGTATCGAGCTCTTTCAAACATAACACAAACTAGAATGTTCTCTAAACAAGATTCAGCAAAAGGAGAACAGTCAGCTTTTAAAGGCAAACATGCTGCACCACTGCCTCCCAGAGGCCTTGCCTCTGAATGCTGCTCAAAACCTCCGAGTCATCATGGTTGCTCTAATAAAAAACCTCTGTGTGATGCTCAACTGGAGACAGGAGACTGATTTGGTCAACCAGGAAGCTAATTCGACTTCCAACAATTTGGCATCTTCCTTTTAGCCCAAGTAAAAGACTTTAGCAATAAAAACATGTCAGTGAGATCATCTTATTAGCTGTAAATAAGTGTTTTTACCCACAATACTTAGCTTACTTACTAGGAGGAAGGCTTGGAACTTCCCATACTCTTGATTTTGGCTACAGATGCTTCCAGAACACCTAGCCTTAGGACGGTGCTTCAGTTAACCTCACTCTTTAGAGTGATGCCCCAAGTTTTGCTAAAGCTAATTTCAGTCACTCCCACATCAGCGGTCAAGTGACAGCAATAGGAGATAAGACAATGCCATGCGCTAATGACTGGGATTCCATACATCACAAGACTGCAAATATCCTAGCTATCCTTTAAAAAAAAAAATCTGACGCTGTCTTTCAGATACATCTATCCATGCACACTTGTAGGAGGAAAATCATTTCAAGGGAAATGCAAAGGTGCTTTCAAAACTGAGCTAATAACCCCCTATTTCAGTTAGCTACAAGGTCAGAGATGAACAAGGATAAGTGAAGAGGAAGGAGGTTCCCACACAGAAACCATACACAAAATGATTAAGCTTTAAGAAATACATTCAAGAGGCTAAAAACCAAGTGTGCAAGTGGTGGGAGTGGAGAAGAGAGAAGAACCCCTTAAGACCATCAGAAACCCAAGTAATGGAGGCGGAGAATTAGCGAACCTAATTGTTTCCCTGCGATTTAGGTCAGCCCTTCCCCCTCCATTCTACAGCTAGGTGGGAGTCTGAGAAGCAAACAATGAGTTGACAGGTTATAGCCCTTAAAGGGAAACCAGCAGCCATTCCCCGGAACCGGAGGCTCGAAAAAGCCCAAGTTCGAGGGAACTCATGAGTAGGATGAATGATTTCCCTGGATAACGGGATAGATGGAACTGAGATACTGCCTCTCTTCCAAATTTAAGGCAATTGTGGACGGATGGGCAAGAAGGCGACAGGCACCGCTGGAACAGGAGCCCAGGGAGTAGGTACCACGAAAATGCAGGCTCCTCCCTTCCTTGTAGGCGCGCCCCGCATCACCTACAGGGGAGGGGGCGGGGCGGGGAGCCCCCGAGGACTCAAGCTGGGGAGCGGCGTGCACTGCCGGCGGCCGGCGCATCCTGGGCCCCACGCCCTACCTGGGCCGTGAGGGGAAACAGCAGCAGCAGCGCGCAGGCAGGCGCTGGCACCGAGCCCAGAGACTCCTCTTCCAGCCCCAGCACGTCCACGAAGCGCCACTGGCCGGCGACCCCCAGCCGGGACAGCACCTGCGGAGAGGAGACAAGGCGGCCAGGCGCACGGGGACACGCGGGTCGCGGGCACCTGCCAGGGGGCGGGGCCAGGAGGCGCGCGCCCTCCGCGCCCGCACCCGAGCCTGGGAGGAGCCCCAGTCCCGCCCTGCCACCCCCACCCGGGCCGGCGCAATGACACAGCACAAAGCGCGGCCCACACGTGGCGCCCGCGAAGCCCGTGCAGCCGAGTCTGTGCTGCCCGCGCCACGCCCTCGGGAGCTCCGCCTGGCGCTCGCTCGCCACGGGGCGCAGCCCCCTCCGTCTCCCCGTGACCGGTTTCGTAGAGTCACCCGCTAAATGCAGGGGCCCAGGAAAGGCGCCCAGCCCACGCCCCAGCCCGGCCGTCTCCGGTGCTCGCAGCGGGCGGCTTGGTCCCTGCCAGCAGCCGGAACCGGTGGGCGCCCCCGCCTCGGCGCTCGCGGGGGAGGGGGCCAGAGACGGCGCGAGACGCCACTCACTTTGTTCAGCATCTGAAAGGCAAATGCAAAGAAAAAGGCAAAACCGAACCGATCAGCGACTCGGCTCCCCCTCCCTCGGCCTCGCGCTCTCCGGGTAGCGGTGCACCTGGCGCTCACCTCGGGGTTGATCTCCATCGGCTTGAGCTGCATCTTCGCGGAGCGCCCGGCAGAAATAGCCTAGGGAAGACGAAAAACAGCTAGCGGAGCCGCCCAGGCTGCAGCTATAAAGCGCCGGCCAGACGCACTGTGAGGCCTGTGCAGGGGGAGCAGGGGCAGAACCAAGCGAGGGGGAAACGGACGGTCGCGGCCAGATGGGTACGAACCCCCCGTGCGCAGCGCGGAGTGGTACGGCCGGGCCCCCAAACCTTGCAGTCTCACTCGCCGGTGAGATAATCTGGTGGTTGTGGAGACGGGATTTGTTGGTGGGTGTTCCTTGAGTGTATGGAGCAGTCCTTTTGATGGAGTCTTTAATTTTGGGCGAAGTTTCTGGAAACCCATCCTTTCACCATCCCAATTACTCTAAAGCTCGAGTCTCTGAAGCATTTGAGAAAAAGCACAAATTCAACAGGTATATATTTAATACGAATGAATGTAAATGTGTGCCCCCCGCCCCAAATCTCTCAGCAGTTTGCGTTTAACCTTAGACAATTCCTCCTCCATGTTAAGTCAGACCAGTACCGAGGTTCGTTTTTAAGTGACTACCTAGAATAAAACAGAATCTGGTAGATAACAGATACTGCATTAGGAATGCTGATGTAATGTGACTCCCGCGGAAGAAATGGTTGGTCCTGGGAGAGCAGTAGAAAGCTGGGGGATGTGAGGGTAATACAAGACACAAAGAAGGCAGGCGATTGGAGACTTGAGAAAACAGATCCAGGGAAAAGATGGGTATGATTTTGAGCGAGAGGCTGTAAAAGGAAAAGCATTTTTAAAAGAATGGGAAGCTTTGAAAAATAAAATGTCTGAGTTCACCGCAGAATACTCCCAATGAAGAAGAAAGGGAATGGCAACCAAGGAAACCACTGTTCTCTAATGATCTCAGGTGATCTCTAATGATCTCTAGTCAAAAGATGGAGAGAGAAAGCATTTGCTGAAGAATGAATTTTAAAAGGGACCAAAATCTATAAGAATTGTGCCAGGAAAGCTAAGCTGCAGAACAAAGTGGGCTTGCAGAAATACTTAGGTAGCGAAGGAAGCAAGAAGGTTGAGTATTTTTTAAAAATAGGCACCGAAGAGAATAATGATGATGGTAAAAGAATAGACCTTCTATTTAGGAAGTTGAGGTTAACAGATGACAGAGGGAAGGGAGGGAATCAACATTTTTTGAGTTATTGTTTTTGGGGATCCTTTGCATGTGTCTCTCATTTAATCCTTAGAGGAGCCGTGAAGAGACTCATATTAGTGCAATTTTACAGATCAGAATCCCAGGCCTAGAGAAGTTAATTTGCTTACGGTCACAATTGAAAAGTAAAACTGAGAAGTAAACCCTGCTAAACTGGGCTCCAAGAGCCCATTCTTTATCTAAGATTCCACAACATTCTACTTCTATTTTCTTTCCATTTTTGCCATTAGAAAATGACCTTCACACACAAAAATGAGAGAGAAAAAAATTAGTAAGAGGAGCTTAATGGGTGAATCTTATGGTATGTAAATTTTCCCTCAATAAGGTTGTTAAAGAAAAAAAGAGGTGAAGGTCAAGACAAGTGACTAGGTTATATTGAATGAGTTCTTGCCTTTAGACAAAGACAAATTACATTTCCAATTTACTTCATTTATTCATTCACTCAACAAATATTAAGAACCTACTGTGTGCTGGGTGCCGAGCTTGGAAAGTTTGGAATTAGGCATACAAAGATGAACACAATAAACATGGAAATTTCCCTCATGCCGTTTTTTTGTTTGTTTGTTTTGTTTGTTTTGTTTTGAGACGGAGTCTCGCTCTGTCGCCCAAGCTGGAGTGCAGTGGCGCGATCTCGGCTCACTGCAAGCTCCGCCTCCCCGGTTCACGCCATTCTCCTGCCTCAGCCTCCGGAGTAGCTGGGACTACAGGCGCCCGCCACCACACCCGGCTAATTTTTTTTGTATTTTTAGTAGAGACGGGGTTTCACCGTGTTAGCCAGGATGGTCTCATCTGCTGACCTCGTGATCCGCCCGTCTCGGCCTCCCAAAGTGCTGGGATTACAGGCGTGAGCCACCGCGCCTGGCCCCCTCGTGCTGTTTTTATCAGTCATAAGAGTTGTATGAAAGGGAGCAGAGATCAGGAGCACCTAACCTAGTGGAGGGGATCAGGAAGGCGTCCTGAAGGAAGTGACATTTAAGCTAAGGGCTGATCGGCAAGCAGACGTTAGCAGTTATAAGTGATTGCCAAAATAACTAATAAAAGCAGTCATGAAATCACTGTCAGAAATATTTGTTGAAGGCATTAATTCATTCACATTCATATACATATATGGCCTACTGTTTGCCAGGAAGCATCAGAGCAGTGAATGAAACAACTCCCTGCTTACAAAGAGATGCCAGAGACTGGATATGAACAAACCTAAGCCTAATCTTTTTTAAAAAAAAAAAAAAGAAGAAGAAGAAGAAGTAGGGGGTGATTGGGAATATACTGCTGAAACTGCAGGCCAGAAGAGTTTATATCAGTCATTAGCCAAATGTTAGGACTCATAATTTTTTACTTTTAGAAACAATAAGATGGATGCATTTAGAACAAGTTATGCCAGCCAGAACTTATCTTCTTTTCTTTGGGGGTTATTAACTGGATGGACAGGTAGAACACTGTCATTGTATTTCTTATGCTGCCAGGGTTGGCATTGGTTGATACCACAGTTGAGGTGGTTTTATAGCTTATTTAATTGATTCTACCTTAAAAAAAAAAGTGGTACTGGATGGAGCTACCTCAACCTGTAGCCACCTGACAATGGTTTTAACCTTGTCTGGTGCCACTTTATTACAGCAGAGAAAAAGAGAGGTCGTGCATACAAGCAAGAACAAGCAGTCTAAATGGCAGAATTCTTAGCCAGGTGTGGTGGTGTGTACCTGCAGTCCCAGCTACTTGAGAGGCCAAAGTGGGAGGATTGCTTGAGCCCAGGAGTTCGAGGCTACAATGAGCTGTGATGGCATGACTGCATTCCAACCTGGGCAACAGAGTGAGACCCCATCTCTTAAAATAAATAAATACATAATAAATGGCAGAATTTTGGGATTAAAAAATAAGTTTAAAATAAAATGATGAAATTTAACAGGGATTTAGGTGACGATTACATAACCCTGTGAATATACTAAAAAACTAAAAAGTGGGTTTAGGTATCACAATAAAGCTATTAAAAATGTAACAGGAATATGTGTAAAGCTCTATATTATAGTAACAGTTGTCAATTATTGCCATACAGTTAATCTTTATATTAACTTTTTTCTTGATGCTATGATTGCAAAAGTATGAAATAATTTGGAAAATATCAAGTGAAAACAACACAATAGTTTGATTGTAACCTTTTAAAAATAAATACACAGAGATCAGAAGGAAAAACATTTTTTAAAAAAAATCATTTACAGATGCATTAATGAATTAGATCTGGCTTTGTGAACAGTACCTGAGAAAAAGATTCAAATATTTCAGGTGTCATAATTTGACTATAAAGCTAGTGCAATCTTTATTTATACCAGGAGTGAGAGATTCAATTTCATTTTAATCATAGGTTCCTGAAGGAGAGTCCTGAGTCCAGTAGGGGGAAAAATGCTGTGATTGATTAGTGATGTCTACCACGAGTATGGGAAAGGGAAGTGGTAAGGATAACCAGGTATTTGCTAACCTTTGGCTAGATTAATATAATATTCAAGATCTAATCCACTCACAGAATTGACCAGACTATAACTGGATTATGATGCCCAGCCTGGCATATAATGAACACTCAATAAATACTTTTCAACTGAAAATTCGAACTACCACACTTCAAAAGAGACATTGACATATTAGAGAGTTTTCAGAGACTGAGCGCCAAAATAATGAACAAAGGTGGTTGAAGAAATTGAGAAGACAGTATATGATGTGGAGAAGAGAAAGGGTTTGTGTGTGTGTTTGGGGGATGGGGAGGGGAGTTACATGATACCAAATGCTCAAAAATACAAAGAGGGCGAGAATAATCTTTATGATTATTTAAGAATACAGGACAGACAGGTAGAAGTCAGATGAAAATATTAGTTTATATAAGAAAGCACTTAATAATTAGAGTGGTTCAACATTTATGTAAATTCTTCACATGTAATGGTGAGCATGCTTTTAGCAGCATAATCATAGCTAACACTTACTGATTGCTTACGGATGCCAGGCACTACTTCTTTGTGTTTTCTGTGTATTAACTCTTTTAATCAACATAACAACCTATTAGGTAGGTTACTATTATTATTCTCATTTAGAAATGAAGATCAGAAAGGTTAAGTTCTTTGCCTATGGTTATTTAAGTCATGAGAACTGAAATTTGACCACAGACAGTCTGCACTCTTGACCACTGTACTATATTATACCAGGAGTCCTCAAGTCCCAGGCTGAGGACTGGTACAGGTCTGTGGCCTGTTAGGAACTGGGTGGCACAGCAAGAGGTGAGCGGCGGGTGAGCAAACATTACTGCCTGAGCTCCGCCTCCTGTCAGATCAGCAGCAGTATTAGATTCTCATAGGAGCATAAACCCTATTATGAACTGCACATGCGAGGGATCTAGGCTGTGTGCTTCTTATGAGAATCTAATGACTGATGATCTGAGGTGGAACAGTTTCATCCCGAAACCATTCCCACCCCCAGTCCGTGGAAAAATTGTCTTCCATGAAACTGGTCCCTGGGGCCAAAAAGGCTGGGGACCGCTGTATTATACTATGTCTACCAAGGGCAGAATACCCAACTAAAACTGACTGAAAGCTTAGGACATGAATTCCCTCTCTTAACTCAATGACTGGAGGTTGGTGGTTCTAGGGTTGTCCATGTGTCAACATAAATAACAGAGAAATGTTCTCTAAAAGAAAGTGATATTTATTCAGGAATAGGGCATTGCAATGGAAATACACATGCCATAGTAAACTGTGTGTATATTCAGGAAGATACAAGAAGACAAAGGTTTTTTAAGGACAAATGAGGAATATTACATAATTGTTTTGAAATAATTATCCTTGGCTACAAGGATCAATAACAAGGGTGACACCAGTCTGAGGCTGGACAAGCAGTTTCTAGGCACAAGTCCTTGCAGAAGGATTTTTTATGTAAGATCGTGATGGCCTTTGTACAAAGTTGTGGGTTTTGCAGTCTTTTGTGATAATTTTTGTTATCAGGCATTTATGCATGAGAATCATTCTCTTCCTGGCTTTTCCCAGCTCTATTTGTCAGAGGCTTTTTGTGGTTTGTTTGTTTTTTGTTTCTGTTTTTGTTTTTTGAAACAGGGTTTCGCTCTTGTTGCCCAGGCTGGAGTGCAGTGGTGCAGTCTTGGCTCACTGCCACCTCCGCCTCCCGGGTTCAAGCGATTCTCCTGCCTCAAGCCTCCCGAGTAGCTGGGATTATAGGCATGTGCCACCACGCCCGACTAATTTTTATTTTTAGTAGAGATGGGGTTTCACCATGTTGGTCAGGCTGGTCTCGAACTCCTGACCTCAGGTGATCCACCCTCCTCGGCCTCCCAAAGTGCTGGGATTACAGATGTGAGCCACGGCGACTGGTCTTGTTTTTGTTTTGAAACAGGGTCTTGCTGTGCCGCCTAGGCTAGAGTGCAGTGGCAGGATCATAGTGTACGACAGCCTTGAACTCTGGACTCAAGCTATCATCATGTGTCAGCGCCCTGAGTAGCTGGGTATGCAGGTGTGCACCACCACACCTGGATAAGTTTTTCTTTATCTTTTTTTTTTTTTTTTTTTTTTTGAGACAGAGTTTCGCTCTTGTTGCTAGGCTGGAGTGCAGTGGCGCGATCTCAGCTCACCGCAACCTCCCCTTCCCGGGTTCAAGCGATCCTCCTGCCTCAGCCTCCTGAGTAGCTGGGATTACGGGCATGTGCCACCACGCCCAGCTAATTTTGTATTTTTAGTAGAGACAGGGTTTCTCCATGTTGGTCAGGCTGGTCTCAAACTCCCAACCTCAGATGATCCACCCGCCTCGGCCTCCTAAAGTGCTGGGATTACAGGTGTGAGCCATCTCACCCAGCCTGTTTTTTTAACACAAGTGACTCCATTTTGATTCTGACAAAGTTCACACATGGCTCAATGATCTTATCAAGAATTTAGGGTTTTTCCGTCTTTCCAGTCCACTGTCTTTACGTTATTGTTGAAAGTGTCATCTATAATGGTTGTAAGGTACCTACAGAAGTTCTAAGAATCACATCCTCACACAAGGTCCAAAGGCAAGAAGGAAAATGATATTCTCTTTCACTCTTGCTGTTTCTCAAGTCTGAAGTTTTGCAGAAGCCCCACCCTCCTGAAGAATTCCTTTTAGGTAGCATTGGCCTGAATTTAATCACATATTCATGCACTAGTCAAAAGAGAGGCTGAGAAAGTAAATATGTAGCATTTTTAGACTCCGAGAAGTAAGGTGGGCTTTGCTACCAAGGAATAGGGTAGGGGCAAGGCTACTGGACAGGCAGCTACCAGTGTCTGCCACATCATACCTGGAACTTTTTAAAGACTTGATGAATATCTGTTAATGATGTGGTAGAAAGAACTTCTGCTGGAGGGGGATGGGCAGGAAGTTTGAAATCTTAAGAATACAAGACAAACAGAAATCAGAGGAAAATATTAATTTATATAAGAAAGCATGCTGGGCGCAGTGGTTCATGCCTGTAATCCCAGCACTTTGGGAGGCCGAGGCAGGTGGATCACCTGAGGTCAGGAGTTCAAGACCAGCCTGACCAACATGGTGAAATCCCATCTCTACTCAAAATATAAAAATTAGCCTGGCGTGGTGGCACGCGCCTGTAATCCCAGCTACTCAGGAGGCTGAGACAGGAGAATTGCTTAAACCTGGGAGGCAGAGGATGCAGTGAGCTGAGATCCCACCACTGCACTCCAGCCTGGGCAACAAAGTGAAACTCTGTAGGTAGGTAGGTAGGTAGGAAGGAAGGAAGGAAGGAAGGAAAAGTTAAAATTAGTGTGCTGACCAAGCTGGTGTGGGGGTGAGGGGGACCCCTAGAAAAGAACATACAAGAACGCCACAGACACCTCTGTTCTTGCCCAGAGTCCAGCATTTTTTTGGATGAATATATACTCCAAGATCCCTTTTTGCTTTAATATTCTGTGATTTTCCTCAGTAAGTAATTTTTTTTTTTTTTTGAGACAGATCTTGCTTTGTTGCCCAGGCTGGAGTGCAGCAGCGCAATGGGCTCACTGCAACTTCACTGCGCCTCCTGGGTTCAAGCAATTCTCCTGTTTCAGCTTCCTGAGTAGCTGGAACTACATGCGTGCGCCACCATGCCTGGCTAATTTTTGTATTTTTAGCCAGGCATGGCTGACCTCAGGTGATTCACCCACCTCAGCCTCCCAAAGTGCTGGGATTACAGGCGTGAGCCCCCATGCCCAGCCAAGTAATTTCTTTTCACTGATATTGAGATACCCACAAAGTACTGAGGAGAATATGGTTCTGTGTGTCTTCAAAGGAAAAAGAAGTAAAGATGCAATTTGGTGTGATGGTGAACATTATAGATGATTATTTAGAAGACCTTGATTCCAGTCTTCCTGACTCTGCCTCTAAAGAATGGTGTGATCTTTGGGTCCCAGTTTTCTTGTTTATAATCCTAAGCATTTTAGATTCCACTGAGTATGTATACAGGCAGAGAAACAAAATCAATGGATGAATATGTGTTTTTTGTTTTTTTTTGACGGAGCCTCACTCTGATGCCCAGGCTGGAGTGGCACGATCTCGGCTCACTGCAACCTCCACCTCCCAGGTTCAAGTGATTCTCTTGCCTCAGCCTCTTGAGTAGCTGGGATTACAGGCACCCGCCACCACGCCCGGCTAATTTTTGTATTTTGAGTAGAGATGGGGTTTCACCATGTTGACCAGGCTGATCTGGAACTCCTCACCTCAAGTGATCCACCCACCTCAGCCTTCCAAAGTGCTGGGATTACAGGTGTGAGCCACCATGCCCGGCCTGAATATGTTGCTCTTTCTAAAAAAAAGATTCTGATTCACCAGCAATAGAATTTTTTATCATAAGCATTATTTTTCTTACAATAATGAAGATTTGGGATGGACCCTTTAAAAACTACCTTCTGATGATTCTGATAACTAACAGACACTCATTGTTAAGTAGCTGAATCTGACCACGCGTAAGGATGTAGTTTGAGGCTGAGAAGTAATAGACGAATTTTCTGCTCTGTCAAACATTTGATGGGTTTCTATTCAAACATATTATCTTCTCAGGTAATTGGAACACTTTTTAACAGCTTATTGAGGTACATTTGACATACCATAAAATTCGCTCATTGTAAGTGTACAATTCAACGCTTTCTAGTAGAGTTATGCATTTGTACAACCATCACCACAATCAGGTTCTAAAACATTTCCATTACCCACAAAAGCTCCCTCTTGCCCTTTGCAGTCAATTTCCTCTCCCAGCCCAGCCAACTACTTATGTTTTCTTGTCTTTATAGATTTGCCTATCCTGGACGTTCCTGGACATTCACATACATGGAATCATGCAATACTTAGTCTTTCATGTCTAGCTTCTTTTACTTAGCATACTTTTGAGGTTCCTTCATGTTCTAGCATGTATCAGAGGTCAATTTCTCTTTATTGTTGGATGGTACTCCATTGTACAGATACATCGCATTTTGTTGTCCATTCAGTGGTTGATGGGTATTTGGGTTGCTTCTAGTTTTAGCTACTATGAATAACACTACCGTGAAGATTTGTGTATGTCTATATGTTGACAAATGTTTTCATTTCTTTTAGTTAAATACCTAGAAGTGGAAATGTTGGGTTGAATGGTAACTCTATGTTTAACCTTTTAAGACATTTTCAAACTGTTTTCCAAAGCAATTGTACTATTTTACATTCTCACTTGCAATGTATGAGAGTCGCAGTTTCTCCACATCTTTGCCACATCTGCTGTTGTCAATGTCTTTTTGACTAGAGCCTTTACTGTGGGTATGTGGTGGTATCACTGCACTTTTAATTTGCATTTCCCTGATGACAACTGATGTTGAGCATCTTTTCATGGTGCTTATTAGCCATGCAAGTGTCTTCTTTTGGTGAAATGTCTATTCAAATCTTTTGCCCATTTTTAGTGAGTTTTTCATCTTATTAATGGATTATAATGGTTCTTTATATATTCTGAATACTAGATCCTTATCAAATATTTGATTTACAAATACCATCTCCTGTTCTGTGACTTTAAATTTCTACTCAGTGTTTTTGAGTAGGTTTTTGTTTTGTTTTTTAGAGATAGGATCTCACTATTGTGCCCAGGCTGGCCTAAGGAGGCAGAGGTGGTAGGATGGCTTGAGATAAGAGTTCAAGGACACCTTGGGCAAAATATTGGTTCATGGCTATTGACTATTGTCACATGCCACCACCCCAAGCTGTACGTAGTGTTTTTTGAAGAACAAAAGTTTTTAATTTTGATGAAGTCCAATTTATCAGTTTTTCCTTTATGGGTCATCTAAGAAATCTTTGCCTAATCCAAGGTTACAAAGATTTTCTTTTATTTATTTTTTGTTAAGAAGTGTTAATGTTTTAGCTCTTACATTTAGGTCTGTGATGCATTTTGAGTTAATTTTTGTGTATGGAGTAAAGTAAGGGTTTAAATTCATTTTTTTGTATATGTGTATCTAATTGTCCTAGCATTGTTTGTTAAAAGGGTTATACTTTGTCCACTCATTTGCCTTGGCATCTTTGTCAAATATCTTTTGACTATAAATGTAATGATTTATTTCTGGTCTCTTAATTATGTTCCACAGAGTGATTTGTCTATCTTGATTACTATGTGCCTTGATTAATATGATTTTATAGTTAAGTTGTGAAATCAGGTAATGCAAGTTCTTCAACTTTGTTTTCTTTTTAAAATTGTTTTGGCTATTCTAAGTCCTTTGCATTTTCATATACATTTTTGGATCTGCAGACAGGCTTGTTAATTTCAATCCCCACCTCAAGAAAAGCCTTTCGGGGTTTTAATAGAGATTAGGTTGAATCTATATATTTATTTGGGTAGAATTGCCATCTTAACAATATTGAGTCTCCCTGGCCATGAACATGGACTGTCCTCCATTTATTTAGAGCTTTAAAAAATTATTTCAGTAATATTTTGTAGTTTTCAGTATAAAAGCCTTATACTTCTTTTGCTAAATTTATTTTTAGGTTTTTTTTCTTTTTGATGCCATTGTGAATTCTTTTTGATGCCATTGTGAATGAAATTGTTTTCTTCATTTCAGTATCACATTGCTCATAGCTAGTATGTAAAATACAATTGATTTTTATATTCCCGCAACCTAGCTAAACCCTTATTTTATTCTAGTCATTTTGTTGTTGGTTCTTTAGGATTTTCTACATAAAGGATCACTCCAGTGTGTAGCTGCCTTCTTCTCAGTTTGGGTCTTAAAAAAATGTCTCTTCTCAGTTTGGGTTTTAAAAAAATTCTTATTTTCCTGTGTTACCTGTCTTTCTAAGAATGACCCTATGTCTCGTAGCTGAGTTATCAGCCAGTGACTGGTGAGAGATTATGCTCAAACACCTTGAGCCTGCAAGGTTTCCATGCTTTGCTGTGGATTTGTGTTTGGTTTGGGGAGTGCATTCCAAGTTTGAAAAGTTTTCAAATCTGTCTTCACCTTTGCTTTCTCTTAGGCTCTCTTGGGTCTCTACTGCATGTGTACAGGCACCCAGACATCTGAGGATGAGAGCTTAGTATCTGAGTTTTCAATGGCTATCTCATTTCCAGGAGCTTCCTCACCTGAGACTGCAGCCTCAGGCTAGGAGAGCTGAAGGCTTTTCTCATTCACCGCTGGGCATAGATTTCCTGCCCTTCACTCCAAATCAAGTCATCACTTTGTCTGCTGCTGGCTTTCAAGGCCAGCTCCACCCTGGTAAAATTACTGTGCTGACCAAGCTGGGGGTGAGAGGGATCCTTAGGAATGAACATGCAAGAATGCCAGAGACACCTTCATTCTTGCCCAAAGCCCAGCATTTTTTGGGTGGATATATGCTCTTCAATTTGTTCTTTGCTTTTAGTTGGTTTCCAGAACCCTAAAATGATACTCCTTGACAATTTTATCCAGTTTTATAATTATTTTCGGGAGAGATGATTTATCAGTTTCCTTACTCTCCCATAGCTGGAAGTCCAGCAACATTTATTGCACACATTCTATATGCCAGGCACTGGTAATTCCAGTAACAACTCTATGAGGATCGTAATGTTATCCTCTCCATTTTGCAGATGAGAAGACTGAGGCTTAGCAAGATGAGGCTTAGCAAGATGAAGTACTGTGCTTAAGGTCACCAGAATCCAAACCCCAGAAGGCTGACTGCAGAGCTAGTTTACTTGACTAGTATATCATATCCCCTGCACTCCTGTCTTCGGCCTGGTATTGAGTGATTAATTATCTTCTCTAGCATTTGTTCTTTTTATTAGACCATTTAGGTTGACTTTGCTGCCATTTTTGTCACTTAGCACAAAATGTCAGTCTTCAGATTTTTCACTTAAATGGAAATATCAGTCCTAATTCTTTGTCACTCAAACAAGTGGCAGTTTATAACACTTAACAAAGAGCTTGAAATACAATATTCATGGTTAGCAAGACAATCCCACGTGTCCAGTTGACTGGACCAATCTCCGTATTCCAGAGTAGAGCCAGAGCAGAAATCAGGGGCAAGCTTTCCCATAGTTAGATAACCAAAGCCTCTAGTCTCTTAAGACTGGTGAGATCTAACCTCTCAAGACTGAGTCCTTTGTTTCGTTCAGTGTTCTGTAGGATTTTAAATGGGATCGCTATTCAGAATGTCCACTGTGCTAATGGACTGAAGATGATAGAGTTCTCTCCAATCACTAGCAACTGAGATAGAGACAGTGAAGCTTATCAAATCTGACCATGTGCAATGTTAAAAAACAAAAAGATGGCTGGGTGTAGTGGCTCATGCCTGTAATCCCATTGCTTTGGGAAGCCAAGGCAGGAGGACCACTTGAGGCCAGGAGTTCGAGACCAGCCTGAACAACATAGCAAGACCATCGTCTCTACGAGAAATAAATTAAAATTAGCTGGATTTGGTGGCGTGTGCCTGTAATTGCAGCTACTGGGGAGGCTGAGGTGGGAGGATCACTTGAGCCCAGGGGTTCGAGGTCACAGTGAACTGTGATGGCACCACTGCACTCCAGCTTGGGTGACAGGACAGGACACCGTCTCTAAAATCTTTTTTTTTAAAAGAGAGAACTTCTGGCTGATTCCTTCTCACTTTGACCTTGAACACAATGAGAAAATGAATAAATGATGTTAAAAAGAAGGAAACAAGGCCAGGCCCAGTGGCTCACATCTGTAATCCCAGCACTTTGGGAGGCCTAGGCAGGTGAATCACTTGAGGTCAGGAGGTCAAGACCAGCTGGCCAACATGGTAAAACCCTGTCTCTACTAAAAAAAAAAAAATACAAAAATGAGCTGGGAATGGTGGCACTCGCCTGTAATCCCAGCTACTCAGGAGGCTGAGGCAAGAGAATTGCTTGAACCCAGGAGGCGGAGGTTGCAGTGAGCCAAGACAGTGCCACTGCACTTCAGCCTGAGCAACAGAGTAAGACTCTGTCTCAAAAAAATAAATAAATAAATAAAATAAAATGAAGGAAGCGAAAGAGCTATCCCCAGTACAGCTTGGTAAATGAAGCCCTCAAGTAGTGATAATTGGCCAGACAAAGAAGTGTGGGAAGGCAGAGAAGAAGAAGAGTAAGGTTAGGGGAGCATGAAAGCCCTGCTCTCCAGCTTTTATGTACAAGCTCCTGTGCCTTGAAACAAGGTATATTCCCTGTGGTCTGTAGTGGACGCCTCAGACTGTTTCACCCAAGTGCCCTTCCAGTGTGCCTTCTTATATTTCAGAGGCTAGAGAGCTAAAAATTGTATTTTCCAGACTTCCTTCCAGCAAAGCTTCCTAATATAAATTCATTTCTATCACTTGTACATAATTGTATGAGATTTGAAAGGGGGGCATGAAAAAGAGACTATCTTTCTGCCTGTTTTCTGCTGACAAGCACGGTCATGGAATTACAGGGTTTCTCTAAAGCAACATTCATTCCAGTGTCTTTCCCTCAGCCTCCTGGATGTTGAGAGGGAATCATGCATCATCAGAGGCTGGACTCCATGTACAGTGCCCACTCACAGACTTTATAGATTTGGAGAGCAGTTGTGGGAGTGACAATAGCAGTGGCAGATTCTGCATCCCTGGATTGCAGCTGCAGCAGCATGCTCGTGAATTCAACAGGGCCAGTGGTGCTCCCTGAAGTCAGAGTTCCCTTGGCAGGTCAGTTCTACAGTGTTCGGGGAGTCAATCCTGAAGGGCCAGCCCCAAGTTTCATCCTCCAGCATTTCCAGTGGTTTTGTCAATACCTAATTCCCTATATTAAATCCCTTTCTACTTAAAATACCTAGAGTAGTTTTGGACTCCTGTACTGATATGCTGAACGCATACCAGTGTGGTACATGACATGATTGTAGGTGAATCACAAATAGGTAATAATATTTTTTCATTTTAACACATATTATAAAAGTTGCATATTTATATATGTATATGTGTATAATCAGAACATCAAGTTTGTGATTTCACAGCTGTTAAATCTTTGGCTAAGTCTAAAATATCCTAAGTAGGCCAGGTGTGGTGGCTTACGCCTGTGATCCCAGCACTTTGAGAGGCTGAGGCAGGTGGATCACTTGAGGTCAGGAGTTCAAGACCAGCCTGGCCAACATGGTGAAAACCTGTCTCTACTAAAAATACAAAAATTAGCCGACCGTGGTGGCAGGCACCTGTAATCCCAGCTACTTAGGAGGCTGAGGCAGGAGAATCTCTTGAACCTGGGAGGCGGAGGTTACAGTGAGCCAAGATCGCAGCACTGTACTCCAGCTGGGTGACAGAGTGAGACTCCATCTCAAAATAAATAAATAAATATCCTAAGTAAATAATATTCCTTAATAATGTTAATATGGCAAAAATGATAGAAGTCATTCATAAATCCTGAAGATAGGATAACTCTGCTCTAATGACAGGACTCTTGCTAAGTTGAAGGGGTAGATGATAGAGTGTATTTATGAAGGCAGGATACTCAAGCTCAGCACTCCCCAAATATTTTATGGTGTGAGTAAGTATTTCTGTCTGACACCTTTTTTTTTTTTTTTTTTGAGACAGAGTCTCGCACTGTTGCCCAGGCTGGAATGCAGTGGCGTGATCTTGGCTCGCTGCAAGCTCCGCCTCGCAGGTTCACAGCATTCTCCTGCCTCAGCCTCCTGAGTAGCTGGGACTACAGGCACCCACTACCACACCTGGTTAATTTTTTGTATTTTTTTTTTTTAGTAGAGATAGGGTTTCACCGTGTTAGCCAGGATGGTCTTGATCTCCTGACCTCCTGATCTACCTGCTTCGGCCTCCCAAAGTGTTGGGATTACAGGCGTGAGCCCCTGCACGTGGCCCTGTCTGACATCTTAAGCGACTGAAGGAAAGAGATAAGGAAGGAAAGAGTACTTGCTTTTTTGAGTTACACAAAGGGCATTGAACAAGTTATCCCCACTGAATTCTCATACCAACCTCTGACATCTGTATTTCTACCTTAGTTTTACAGATAGGAAAACTGAGGCCTCAAAGAGACCATTTAACTTGCTAAGTCACACAGCTACTAAGTGTTCAAGTCAGGGTCTGAACCCAGCTTCACTGGATTTCGAAGCCTGTGCACCTTCAGTTCTCCTGCTTGCCTTCCATCCAAGGCCCAGCCCTACAGCCTTAGTCACTACCACCAGAAATACAAGTTAAGCTTCCCTGCAGAGAAGAAAGAACTTAAATGATTTCTGTAATGTCTAGGGCCACAGCAGGTCACCCAACTCTCATAAGCATGGCTCACCTTGAGGTTCAAGAATCTAGTTTGAATTTATAATTAGCATGACATTAATTATTGACAAGTACTTGCTCAACATTTTAAAACTTGCTTGGCAATTCCTTTGTCAATAATGTTTCCCCAGAAGCAAGGTCTGACATCCAGACATTTTAAAGTTAAAAATAGCACAATAAAAATGATACATAATGCGAAGAAATTACTGCACTTAGTTCCCATGGTAAAGTCAGTTTTCCTCCTGTTTCCTATAAGCAGTTCATTAACTGGGTAGTCACAAGAATATGTGGAAGAAGGAAAAAATAAACGTGAAAGAAGGCAGTGCATGTTCTCATTAAATTTCATCTTACTACATATACTCATATAGTCATTCACAAATATATTTTGAGCACCTACTACATGGCACACACTATGCTAGGCTTACCTGGGTTGGGAGTGGGATTGGCAAATGACAGACATAAGACATAGACCATGTTTTCTAGATTTTTTAAAATGTCTTCAATTTTAAGATAAATCATCCATTTAAAAATTGCTTTTTTGGGGGGGATCAAGAGGCAGGCAGGAGGACCCAGTACATTTAATATATGTTTCTCTTTTCAAAAGCATTTAAACATAAAAAAAAATGCATCTAAGAAATAAGGAAGCACTATATGTTGGTTTTTTTTTAATCAAGCTCTTCCCAACCAATTTGTATTCAGGATAGCTAGCAGTTTGCACTGTTTGCAATGAAAGAAAAAATGTCTCGTATTCCTAAGGTACAGAGAAAGGGCTGAGGACATAGGAGAGATGATAAAACTAGTAGTAGATAATGAGAGGTACACTCAGTACAAGTGAAATATAGATCTTCCTCTATTGTCCCTCAGTTACTATTCTTGTAGAGTTGTAAAACTGGAAATAAGAGGGCTTTGGCTGGATACAGTGGCTCATGCCTGTAATTCCAGCTACTTGGGTGGCTGAGGTGGGAGGACTGCATGAGCCCTGGAGTTCAAGACCAGCCTGGGCCACAAAGTGAGACCCCTATCTCAAAAAAAAAAAAAAAGCTGGGCACAGTGGCTCAAGCCTATAAGCCTGGCGCTTTGGGAGGCCGAGGTGGGTGGATCACCTGCGGTCAGGAGTTCAAGACCAGCCTGCAACATGGCGAAACCCCATCTCTACTAAAAAATACAAAAATTAGCCAGGCGTGGCTGGGCGCGGTGGCTCACGCCTGTAATCCCAGCACTTTGGGAGGCCGAGGCGGGCGGATCATGAGGTCAGGAGATCGAGACCATCCTGGCTAACATGGTGAAACCCTGTCTCTATTAAAAATACAAAAACAAAATTAGCCAAGCGTGGTGGTGCACGCCTTTAGTCCCAGCTACTCGGGAGGCTGAGGTGGGAGAATTGCTGGAGCCCTGGAGACAGAGGTTGCAGTGAGCTGAGATCGCACCACTGCACTCCAGCCTGGTGACAGAGTGAGACTCCATCTCAAAAAAATACTACTCTTCCATAAATCTACCACCATTAGAAATTTACAGTTTAATGTCTCCATATATTCCTTCTAGTACTTGACCATTTGTGTAGAAAACTTCTACTAGGTCAGCCATAATGCCAGAAGCAGATATCCAGCTTGTTTTTTTTCCCTGAGACAGAATCTTGCTTTGTTGTCCAGGCTAGAGTGCAGTGGAGCGATTTCGGCTTACTGCAACATCCGCCTCCCAGGTTCAAGTGCTTCTTGTACCTCAGCCTCCTGAGTAGCTGGGATTACAGACATGTACCACCATGCCCAGCTAACTTTTGTATTTTCAGTAGAAACAGGGTTTCACCATGTTGGCCAGGCTGGTCTTGAACTTCTGGCCTTATGTAATTCGACCGCATTGGCCTTCCAAAGTGCTGGGATTACAGGTGTCAGCCATCACTCCTGGCCCAGCTTGTTTCTTTTTATTAGCTACTGAATTTTCACCAGCTGCCCCTACTGCTTGAAAACTTGCCAGTGTCTAACCGGCCAGAATTGAGCCTCACACTTACACGGAAAGGGTAATCCAATCACTCAAGGAGAATGCCAAGCACATTGTTTTTCAAGAAGGAAAAATGAAAAGAAATCCACATTGTATCTCAAAAAGGACAAGTTCAAAAACCATGTTGTATCTCAAAAGTGAAAAATAAAAAAAAATTAATCTTTAAATATAAGCAGTGCAACTGCAGAATACCAAGAACAAAGAGAAGATTTAAAAATCGTTGATAAAGAAAACATAAATGAAAATGACATCGGTCTCCTCCACAGCAACCAGGGAGGCCAGAAGATGGTAGACTAGTGTCTCCAAAATGTTGAGAGAAAATAACTGTCATCCTTGAATTTCCTATCCGTAAAACTGTCTTTCAAAACCAGAGTGAAAATTTATATATAACTAGGAACTGCATTTGCTATCAAGAGACGCAAACAAAAGAAACATCTAAAGGATGTTTGATCTAGTAGATGGACTGAGAAAAAAATAAAGGATTAAAACAAATTCAGGTGGGGCATGATGGCATGTATCTATAGTCCCGGCTACTTAGGAGGCTGAGCTGGGAGGATCACTGGAGGCCAGGAGTTTGAGGCTGCAGTGCACCAGATCATGCCTGTGAATAGTCACTGCACTCCAGCCTGGGTAACATAGTGAGACCCCATCTCTAGAACAAACAAAAACCAATATTCAGTGGAAGCACACATGTAAATGCAAATAAATATTATTTATGTATAATAATAATATCTAATTCTGGCCAGGCGCAGTGGCTCACGCTTGTAATCCCAGCACTTTGGGAGGCCAAGGCGGGTGGATCACGAGGTCAAGAGATCGAGACCATCCTGGCTAACACAGTAAAACCCTGTCTCTTCTAAAAATACAAAAAATTAGCCGGGCATGGTGGCGGGTGCCTGTAGTCCCAGCTACTTGGGAGGCTGAGGCAGGAGAATGGCATGAACCCAGGAGGTGGAGCTTGCAGTGAGCCAAGATCGTGCCACTGCACTCCAGCCTGGGCAACAGAGCAAGACTCTGTCTCAAAAAAAAAATTAATAATAATAATAATAATATCTAACTCATTGGATTAATACAAGAATAATGCTAGAATACTGTTCTGCATAGTATGTTGGAAGGAAGTATAATGAGAATAAAGTATTCAAAGGTTCCTTTTATTGTTCTGGCAAAGGTTAAGAAATCATTTACCTTTAGACTTAGTTAAGTAAAATAGTCATGGTAACATTTCAAGGGAAATTAATCAAGAAAAGTAAAAGTATATAAATTCAAACAATTAGAGATAAATAGAATAAGGGAAAAAATGCAAACACCACAAAAGACAAGATAAGAGAAAAGCAGCACAGAAAATCCAAGATCAATGGAATAAAAAGGTAAGATATATTATTTGGGCAAAAGCCCAAATAAAGTATACTAAATGTAAATGGACTAAACTTAGATTTTAAAATCAAATTATGTTTTTAAAATCTAGATATGTGTCATTATTTTTTTAGACAGAGTCTTGCTCTGTCACCCAGTCTCGAGTGCCATTGTGTGATCATGGCTCACTGCAGCCTCAACCTCCTGGGCTCTCAAGTGAAGGAGGCCTCAGCCTCCTGAATAGGTGGGACTATACTCATGCACTACCCCACCCAGCTAATTAATTCTTGTAGAGATAGGGTCTTGCTATGTTGCCCAGGCTGGTGATATGTGCTATTTTAAAGAGACATGCCTCATGCATTACAATATGGCAAGATTGAAAGTAAAAAGCAAAGGAAAGCTTTCCAAGAAAAAGATCAACCAAAGAAACCTAGTATAGTTATATTAATAGCGTAATAGATTTTTAAGCAAAAAGCATTCTTAGAGATAGAGGGCCTCATTATGGTTACATTTTAAATTCACCAGGAAGATATAACAATTCTACAGTTGTATGCTTCTAATAAAGTACCCTCAAATGTATAAAGCGAAAACTGATAGGACCACAGGAGAAAGCTACCCGCCCCACACCAGGCTTGGGGCATAGCCAGGGCATTGCAGCCTCTGAGAGGAGTTGCTGTCAAGGTCTCAGACCCCCTGGCCAGTCATGCTTTTTTTTACATGTTTGCATTTGGAGCCCTGGCACCTTCTTTTCTAGGTCTCCTTATCTGAGACCTTGGGCAGAGGTCTGCAGGCACCTTGGCTTAGGCCTCCTTATGGGCAGAGAAGGGGAAACCTTAAAGACACTTGTACCCACTCTGACTCCATAGTTTTCCACTTCTAGCCCTTCCCCCTTGCCCTGACCTTGACCCCAGGGTTCATAAATCTACTGGAGTCTTTTGTTGAGGGCTCCCTCAACTGTGAGATAATCCCTACAGCTGTATTGACCCACCTCACCCTTTACTGGTGTGCAGTTCTATGGGGAAGACAGAATGGAGGAGAGTTGATGCTTTCTTCAGTTTGGCCTCTTGCTTGTACTGTTGCAGAAATTTACAAATCTTTCATTTTGGTTTGCTGCTTTAATTCGTTACTCTGATACTTGGCAGCTCAGTTCTCTTTCCGAGCTCAACTAACATATAGAAGACCGACATATAGAAAATCATTAAAAAGTCAGGAAACAACAGGTGCTGGAGAGGATGTGGAGAAATAGGAACACTTTTACACTGTTGGTGGGACTGTAAACTAGTTCAACCATTGTGGAAGTCAGTGTGGCGATTCCTCAGGGATCTAGAACTGGAAATACCATTTGACCCAGCCATCCCATTACTGGGTATATACCCAAAGGACTATAAATCATGCTGCTATAAAGACACATGCACACGTATGTTTATTGCGGCATTATTCACAATAGCAAAGACTTGGAACCAACCCAAATGTCCAACAATGATAGACTGGATTAAGAAAATGTGGCACATATACGCCATGGAATACTATGCAGCCATAAAAAATGATGAGTTCATGTCCTTTGTAGGGACATGGATGAAATTGGAAAACATCATTCTCAGTAAACTATCGCAAGAACAAAAAACCAAACACCGCATGTTCTCACTCATAGATGAGAATTGAACAATGAGATCACATGGACACAGGAAGGGGAATATCACACTCTGGGGACTGTTGTGGGGTGGGGGGAGGGGGGAGGGATAGCACTGGGAGATATACCTAATGCTAGATGACGAGTTAGTGGGTGTAGTGCACCAGCATGGCACATGTATACATATGTAACTAACCTGCACAATGTGCACATGTACCCTAAAACTTAAAGTATAATAAAAAAAAAAGAAAATTTTAAAAATTTTAAAAATTGAACGCTATAATTAACAATCTTAATCTAATGGACATATGTAAAACTCTGCATCCCACAATTTTAAAATGTGTATTCTTCTCAAACATACATAGAGAATTTACAAACATTAAGTGCTTAGTTATGAAGCATGAGTCAGCAAATTTTAAAGAATCAGTTTATGCAGACCATGTTTTCTAATTGCAACACAACTAATTTAATACCAGTAATAAAATGATAAATGAGACTTATAAAATTAACTTTGGAAATTAAAATTCACACTCTTTAGTAAATCATGGGTCAAAGTAGAAGTCATAATTAAAATTGGAAAATCTTGAGAACTGAACATTAATAAAACTTTAAATATCAATATTTATGAGATGCAGTGCTATCATATTTATGGGAAATTCATACCATTAAAAAGAAGAAGTGAAGTCAGGCCCAGTGGCTCATGGCTGTAATCCCATCACTTTGGGAGGTGGAGGTAGGAGCATCAATTGATGCCAAAAGTTCAAGACCAGCCTGGGCAATGTAGTGAGCCCTCATCTCTACAAAAATGAAAATAAAAATTAGCTGGGTGTGGCAGCGCATGCCTGTAACCCTAGCTATTAGGAGGGCTGAGACAGGAGGATGGCTTGAGCCCAGAAGTTTGAGGTTGCAATGAGCTATGATTGCTACACTGCCCTCCAGCCTGGGCCACAGAGTAGAACCCTGTTACAAAACACACACACAAAAAAAGAAGTGTAGAAAATTACTGAGCCAAGCATCCAACTTAAGAAGTTATAGAAAGAACAACAACATAAATTCAAGGCAAATAGAAAAGAGTAGATAATTATGAGCAGAAATAGATGAGAGTAAAATAGAGAAAATCAATAAACAAAAGTTAGTTTTTTAAAAATGATTAATCAAATAGACAATCATCTGGCAGAATTTACGGAAAAATAAATTATACACAAATAGACAATATCAAGGACATAAAATGGGAACGTAATCACATACACCTTATAGATTTAAAAGACAATAAGAAATACTATGAACAATTTTTTGCCAATGAATTTGAACCTAGAGAAAAATCTCAAATACTTAGAAAAAAATAGAAAGCATGCACTGTGAAAGAAAATAAAGCAGCAATCAAAAATCTTTCATGAAAAAATACTGAGATTTAAATGCTTTTATGACAATCTTACCAAACATTCAAAGGATCATCCTATTCTTACATAAATGATTCCCCAGAAGATAAAAGAGGAAATGCTGGGTGATATTAGGAAAATGGCAGAAGAAGGATCTCCAAAAATTCACCCCTTTATAAAAGGAACCAAAAACAGTTGAAGACTCACTTGAGAGGCTTTTCTTTATTTGTACTGACTGAGAGATGGCCTGTTGCTGAAAGCCTCTCCCACAGGAGCTTACAAGGAAAAGCTGAGCAGTGAAATGTCTACAGGAGCTTTGGAAAGGTTTGACATATTCCTGGGAATCTAGAAGGCCACGTGCATATCCTCAGGCTGCATACATGCTCAGGAAAACATGAGAAGCCCCTAAGCTCTCACCTGCAGCTGACCCTGAGGCTCTGCACAATCAGGAAATGAAGGCCCAGAAAGAGTTGTACATGGCCTGGCTGAGTGCTGATGATGTACCCCAAAATACACTCAGAGCCCCTTGCCAAAGATTGGGAGATTTATTGATTTCAGGCAATTAAGAAAATCCTTGTCCAGGCCGGGCATGGTGGCTCATGCCTGGAACGCAAGCATGAGCATAAGCAACAACAATAATAAAGCCTGAAGGTGGGTAGAACCTGATTTCCAGGGTAGTCACATTTCAGCTATTGTAATTTTCAGCTCCAAAAATTTCTTTTGTGAGCCCTCAAGGGGCTAATCTGTCAAGATGGACCCTGAGTGGTTAACTGGGCCTAAATTCAAAATATAGCCAAGTGGCCATTGGCTGACTAGAAGTCACACACTGAGAAATAAAAAGAAAATCCTAAGTCCCCCAACCAACTGAATGGACTCCCTCTTGGCCATGGGAACCCTAGAAGGGTTAATAACTGAATTCCCAGCCACGACAAGAAGAGAGGTCAGACACACCTTGTTAAACCCCCACCCTCACTAACCACCATTAGACTTTCTTTCCTAAGGGTTAAACAGAAACCGCCCCTTTTGAAAGACTTGCACCACCACTGACATCAACTAACCACCTGACACTGCTGCGTTCCCCTCCCTTTTTGGAGTTTCAACACAACAGCTGATCAGCATTCCTTCCTAATAAGAGACCATTGACAATGGACTGATTCTGGTCAGTTCGCAGAGGCTGTGCACAAGATGCCCTTGTGTCCTCTGTTTCACCTTTGATCTATACAGCCTAATTTTAATGCATTTAAATGTTAAGCCTCCACCCTAAAGTGAACATGGGACATGTGTAGTAACATGCATGTTTACTTACTATGCATGCACACATTCACCCCATCATAAATATTCATAACTCCTCCTATAACCTATTAAATATATACACTTAGACAAACCATTTGGCATAAATTCCAGTCTCATTATTCCCTCCCTCAAAGTGCCTGCTTCCAGTTTCTGCCCAAGGCTACACTGCCCAGCCTGCAGATGGCCAGTGTGCAGATTGCAACCCTTTATTTTTTTATTTTATTTATTTATTTTTGAGATGGAGTCTCCCTCTGTTGCCCAGGCTGGAGTGCAGTGGTGCAATCTTGGCTCACTGCAATCTCCACCTCCTGGGTTCAAGCGATTCTCCTGCCTCAGCCTCCCCGAGTAGCTGGGACTACAGGCTCGCGCCACCATGTCCAGCTAAATTTTTTTTGTATTTTTAGTAGAGACGAGGTTTCACCATGTTGGCCAGGCTGGTCTTGAACTCTTGACCTCAGGTGATCCGCCCGCCTCGGCCTCCCAAAGTGCTGGAATTATAGGCGTGAGCCACTGCACCTGGCCACAACCCTTTATAAGAAATAAAGCTCTCCTCTCCAAATTTTTGAACCTTATGATTCTTCAGTTGACAACACATACTCTGAGTTCCTGGCAAGCCCCCACACTTATTTAACTTTGAGACTTCGTAGCTGCTGTTCTGTTTATGCTGCCTGAACCAACCAAAGACTGTAACCTGCAGCTACCAATCAGAACTCAGCAAGCCTCAACCAAGCAGAACTAAGCAAGTTTGCATCCATCGTTTGCATAAGTAGACCAGAGTGGTAGCCTGCGCAAGAACTCTATAAAACACAAGCACTTTCTTTGTTCTGTCTGAACACACCTTCATTTTATATCAAAGCCTGTGTATCTCTGGTTTGCAAACCATTTGCTAGAATAAAGTCTCTTTCCTTTTTCTCGAAAGAAAACACTTTTGAGTGGATTTGTTGACACTTTTTATTTTTATAACATCTATCTCTTCATTAATAACCTCTATTTAGTGAGACTTTGCTCTAATACTTTTTTTAGTTCTTTAGAAATCAACTCCTTTTGTTCTTGGACCATATTTAAGATAGCTGACTTAAAGTCTTTGTCTACTAAGTCTAACATCTGGAATTCTGGGACAGTTTCTACTGATTACTTTCCCCCATCATGTATGAGCTATACGTTCTTGTTTCTCTTTATGTCTCTTAATTTTTTGCTGAACACTGGACATTTGTTTTTTTCCCAGTTTTTGGCTGTTATGAATAATGTTGCTATGAACATTCATGTACAAGTTTTTGTGTGGACATATGTTTTCATTTCTTTAGGATATATTTCTAGTAGATGAATTGCTGGATCATATGGTAACTCTATGTTTAACTTTCTGAGGAACTGCCAAACTGTTTTCCAAAGTGCTACACCATTTTGCATTTCACTAGCAGTGTATGAGGGTTCCGATTTCTCCACATTCTCACCAACACGTTATTTTTCTTCGGATTTCATCCATCCTTATGGGTGTGAAGTGGTACATCATTGTGGTTTTGATGTATATTTCTCTGATGGATAATGATGGTGAGAATATTTTCTTGTGCTCATTGGCCACTTGTGTATCTTCCTAGGATATAACCTTTTGAATCCACTCTACTCATAGTGCCCTTGATATAACTACCCTTTGTTTTAAGAGCATGTTTTTCATTCTCTTCTTACTTGAGTGATAAGCATCATTCTCTCCTATAAACACTTTCTTCACTTGGCTTTCCAAACAGCCTACGCTCCTTCCTCCTTGATCGCACTCCTTTTCTGTCACCTTTACTGCTTCCTCCTCAACTCCAGGATCTAGCCATTAGGGGGCCTCCATGACTCAGTTGTTGAGCCTCTTCTGCTGTCTATTTATACTCATGCCCTTGAAGACCACATCCAACTCATGGCTTTAAATATCGTCTTTATGCTGGAGACTCCCATATTTATATCTCCAGCTGGACCTCCCCTTGGATCTCAGGTCCACTGCCTACTCCAGCGATGTTTAATACCTAACTTCTCCTCAAAATGGAAGTTCCCCACCGAAGCTGCCCTTTACAAATTCTTCCTTTCTCAGAAAATGTCAGCTTCATCAAACTTCTAATTGCTCAGGCCAAAAACTGTAGTGTCATCCCTGAGTCCTCTTTCTCTCACATCCCAAATTCAATCTGTCAGTAAATCCTGGCAATTCTCCCTTCAAATATATCAGGAATTCTTAGCCCTAAGAAAATCATGAGACAGTCATTAAAAATAGTTTGTGGGTCAGGCATGATGGCTCACATCTGTAATCCCAGCACTTTGGGAGGCCGAGGTGGGTGGATCACTTGAGCCCAGGAGTTTGAGACCAGCCTGGGCAACATGGCAAAAACCCGTAACTACAAAAAAATACAAAAATTAGCCAGGCGTGGTGGTGCACGCCTGTAGTCCCAACTACTTGGGAGGCTGAAGTGGGAGGATAGTTTGAGCCCATGAGGTCAAGGCTGTGGTGAGCTGTGTTCAGGCCACTGCATTTCAGCCTGGATGACAGAATGAGACCCTGTCTCAAATAATAATAATAATAATAATGAAAAAAGGAAAAAATAGTTTGCAGACATCTTAGGTAAACCATGGAGTTGAGAAGTAGCATGCAAGTCCTATGTAAAGTGTGATTCCAACAATGCAAAATATGCCTCTAATGAAGATTTGAAAAAAACCCACAGAAATAATATCCTAAATAAGCTGCAGAGGTATTTTCATATTATCCCATATTTTTCTTTGAAAATATTTATCAAGCTACAAAACGCAAAGGAGATTTCAGAGTTCACGGAGGTTTATGAAGTAGAATACCATTTTAAATAGCCCTGTGACATAAATGAAGCTGGGGTTGTGGGGGTGGGGACTCATTTCTGGAGGCCTACTTGTGCCATGCACTGCACTAATTGTTTTTCACATACTATCTCATTGAATTCTCTGACCCTTTTTAAGAAAGGTGTGATTGACATGCAATAAATGTTTTAAATGTTTAATGTGTGATTTGATCAATTTTGACAGATGTATATACCTGTGAAACTATCACCAAATTAGGATCATGGACATATCCACCACCTCAAGTTTCCTTGCCCCTTTGTAATTCTTTCCACCCACCCTTTCTGCTTCCCAGGTCCCCAAATAACCATTGATCTGCTTACTGTCACTGTAGATTAGTTTGCATTTTCTGGAGTTTTATGTAAATTGAATAATACATTATGTATTATTTTTTGGCCTTCCTTCTTCCAAATAATTTTTTTTAAGAGATGGGGGTCTTGCTATGTTGACCAGGCTGGTCGTAACTCCTGGGCTTAGGTGAGCCTGCCACCTCCACCTCCCAAAGTGCTGGGATTACAGGCATGAGCCACTGCGCCTGGCCCCAAATAATTTTTGATGTCTTCTTCACATCTTATGGTTGAAGAAATAGATTCATAGAAGTCACGTAACTTTCCTAAAATGATATAGTAATAAGAGATGGACCTGGAATTCCAACCCAGTGCCACCTGTCACTTCAATGTGTTGAAAGTGAAGCCCTGAGTGGTTAAATGAATTGTCAAAGGTTATAATGCCAGCAAGTAGCCAAAGTAGGACAGAACCCACTATGCCACATGCCTCTTCGTTATTTATGTGGCTATTGGAAAGAGCATATGACTCATTTTACGTTTCACTAATACTGCATTTTCAGAAGTCTCAACTTTGACAATGACCTCAGGCAGAAGATCCAATGTGGTATGTTTTGGCAAAAGTTTCCTTCAACAATTTCTTTCAACTTGTCAGAATAGAGAAATCTACTTTTTTAGAAATTGCCTTTGATTTCCCTTCAATTATTGTCCTCTTTAGAAATATACTTGAAATTAGGTTAAAGGAAACCATTGGCTGGTTGGGCTTTTTTCCACTTCAGTTTTCTCTTTTGCAGTGAATTATCATCACCTTTGTTACCACCGCTTTATATTTTAGGTGGCCTAGATTGTCAAGGTAATGCATGAAATTGCAGCAAAAGAATTTGGTTTGTGATTTTCTAAAACTGCCACATTGTTACAGCTTGATTTCTAATGAATGTATTTATTAGGCTTATATTTAAGAGATCATATAAGTTTTATCCTAAACACTAGTTTAGTATCTGCAAAGTTTGATTAGTGGGTTGGGAGTTGTTTACATACTGAAAAACAAGTTTAAAAAAATAGAAAGGGCCGGGCACAGTGGCTCACGCCTGTAATCCCAGTACTTTGGGTGGCCGAGGTGGGTGGATCACGAGGTCAGGAGATCGAGACCATCCTGGCTAACATGGTGAAACAGTGTCTCTACTAAAAATACAAAAAATTAGCCGGGCGTGGTGGCGGGTGCCTGTAGTCCCAGCTACTTGGGAGGCTGAGGCAGGAGAATGGCGTGAACCCGGGAGGCGGAGCTTGCAGTGAGCTGAGATTGTGCCACTGCACTCCAGCCTGGGCAACAGAGCGAGACTCCGTCTCAAAAAAATAAATAAATAAAAATTTAAAAAAATAAAAAAATAAAAAATAGAAAGATATAAAATAATTTATAAGCAATAAAATGAGAGCCTTAAAAAGTATTGAAATTATGGAATGCTTATCAGAAAGGCAGGGGAAAGACTTTCCCACTGTTTTCAATCATCTTCTTTAAAAAATGATTTTAATTTTGTGCAACTACTGTTCTCTATGCATGTCAAGTGTCAGAAACCACATATTTCAACAAAGTTCCTGAATATTGTGGATAACTAACATATGTAAAATAATGCTCTATATCTATTGGGGCAGAGTATTTAAGGAGATGAAATGGCATTAGCTCCCATGCCACAAAAGCAAACTAGAATACTGTGGGGAAATATGTCAGTATGAACATTAATTGATACATAAGCCAGATTTACGAGAGTATAAATCAGCCCTGGGTGCGGTGGCTCATGTCTGTAATTCCAGCACTTTGGGAGGCCGAGGTGGAAGAATCGCTCGAGGCCAGGAGTTTGAGACCAGCCTGGGTAACATAGTGAGAACCTGTTTCTACAAAAATAAAACAAAATTAGCCTGGCATGGTGGGGCATGCCTGTAGTCCTAGCTACGCTGGAGGCTGAGGCAGGAGGATCACTGGAGCCCAGGAGTTCAAGGCTGCAGTGAGCTGTGATCACGCCAGTGTACCCCAGCCTGGGTGACAGAGTGAGACCCTGTTTCAAAAAAGAAAGAAAGAAAGGTGGGGGAAAGAGAGAAATAGAGAGAAAGAAAAAACATTTAAGTCAGAAAGGAATAGAAATCATCTTTAGAGTCTGGCTCTATAAGCCTCCTATTCCCAGATGTACGCCCAGCAACACAGCAGAGTAAGAACAAAGTACTAAACATTAAAAAAAAATAATGCTATTGATGAGGCATAGCCAGCCTTAATCTTTTCTCCTAAAAGTTTCCAAATTATAGATTTGAGCTTGTATTTATGAGACACTGAAACAACATTGGAATTTTTTTAGAGGAAAATGAACTGTGTACATGGAACCTAGAAAATTAATAAAGACATAAAAAAATACAACCTTTATAAAGAGATTCTTTATGACCTCTGTACTCATGAAACCTGCTTGTTCAGAGCTCTAATATTGTCAAACTTATCTTTTATTTATTTGTTCATATGTTTCTCTATTTTTATGTAGCATACCAGGCCAAAGAGGTTATACACAGGGCAACATTTATATAGGTTATAAGAGAGAAATATATACGTTGAAAGCAGCCATCACCGACTCTGCTCACCAAGCTCTTCCATCAAACTTTCCCACTAAACTACCCCTTACAGCAGAAGAACCTTGACCTCTGGAGGCCTTCAAGTGCCTGCCTCAGAAAAAATGTGTCTTTTGAGATAGATAGTTGGATGGATGGATGGACGGATGGACGGATGGACAGACGGACGGACAGACAGACAGACAGGCAGGCAGACAGATAGATGTAGTAAAGAAGGAAGTCAAAGTTTACTATTAAAACATCCAGTTGAAAAACATGAAATCAAGAGAACAAAAGTATAAAAATGAACATTAGGATAAGAGGTAGGAAATGAGATGTTCTAATTCAAGCATTGATTTTAGCTGTTTTTGACTTCAGTGACATTTTATTTTAGAGATAACAAGTTCCTGGATCTCTCTATTTTTGTATGTCCTACATTCTATTAGCACAAAATGGAGAAGACACAAAATGTGGAAAGAGATGAAGATACTCACATATTTTTCCAGTTGCCTTAGGAAAGTTATTGTACCTCTCTGAATTTCATTTTTCCCATATGGAAAATATGAATACTCACAGTACCCACCTCACAGAATGCCTCTGGGATTAAGTGAATTCATATATGCACAACGTTTAGCAAATAGGAAGCCCTCAAGCATGTTAGTTACTACACGGGAAAGTACAAAAGCCTATCATAGGTTCGTTTCATGGAACTATGAAGGCCCAGGCTTGCTCCAGGTTTTCTCCTTTTCTTGCTTGGCCTGCGGGATGGAGCCTGTCTTCCTCTCTGGTTCAAAGCAGCCATCACAAAGTCTGCTCATCCAGCTTTCCCATTGTGCTTTCCCTCTAACCTACCCCTTACAGCAGAACTTTGAGCTCCAGAGGTCCCCAGTTGCCTGCCTCCGGAGAAATGTGCCTTTTGACATCTTGTGTTTCATCTAAAAAACTTTTGCCCACTTTTTAGTCTACTTCATTATATATGTGTGTGTATGTGTGTGTGTGTATTTTTGTCTTTGTTTTTGTTTTTGAGACGGAGTCTCGCTGTATTACCCAGGCTGGAGTACAGTGGCGCGATCTTGGCTCACTGAAACCTTTGCCTCCCGGGTTCAAGCTATTCTCCTGCCTCAACCTCCTGAGTAGCTGGGATTACAGGCGCCCGCCGCCATGCCCAGCTAATTTTTGTATGTTTAGTAGAGACGGGGTTTCACCATGTTGGCCAGGGTATTGAACTCCTGACCTCAGGTGATCCGCCTGCCCTGGCCTCCTAAAGTGCTGGGATTACAGGCGTGAGCCACCGTGCCTGGTCTATATATATGTTCTAATATCAAGTATTTTCTCCAAATTTCCTAACACATTTGTCACTCCAGGAGGATGTAGGTTTATCCTGTGATTTCCAATAATTCCTAGAATGTGTTGTATGTTCCCATGGTATAAAGAACTCAGTTTAAGAAAGAGAGACTGACTCCCAGTTCTTAGGATCTGTTTAGTCAGGAAGAATCAAGGAAGGCAGGTCTTTTGTCTCAAGCAGGAATTTAACCACTCTGAGGACCTAGAGCCACTGTGGAAAGGGGCCCTGCAAGAGGGTAATTCAGCTCAGACAGAAAAGAGAGGCAGGACATGGAGCTGGAGAAAGATCCAGTTCTGATGATATCACCTTGATCCTCTAGTCCTCGTCATCACCAGCCTCTTATATTCTTCTTATAAGAATACCAGCCATGGCCGGGCCCAGTGGCTCACGCCTATAATTCCAGCACTTTGGGAGGCCAAGGCAGGCGGATCACGAGGTCAGGAGTTCGAGGCCAGCCTGACCAATATGGTGAAACCCCGTCTCTACTAAAAATACAAAAACATTAGTGGGTGTGGTGGTGCGTGCCTGTAATCCCAGCTACTCGGGGGGCTGAGGCAGGAGAATAGCTTGAACCTGGGAGGCAGAGGTTGCGGTGAGCCGAGATCACGTCATTGCACTGCAGCCTGGGCAACAGAGCAAGATTCCGTCTCAAAAAAAAAAAAAAAAAAAAAAGAATACCAGCCGTATTGGATTAGGGAATACTCCTGGACTCTTGAGTTGCATTTTCTCTTTTGCTCTGGCCTGCTCTAGCCCTATGCCTTGAGGTGCCCTAATATGGCGGGTCATCGCCAACCTCAATTTAAAAAAATGAGAATTACTTTGTAAACATAGATTATTGTATGAACTATGTACCTATGTTCTCAAATGCAGTGATGGAACATTAATTATATATACATTTTTTTCCAGCTTGGCTTACTTTTTACATTTTTTTATTTTTTAACATTGTGGTAAAATACATGTAACAAAATTGACTATCTTTTTTTTCCTTTTTTTCTTGAAGCGGAGTCTCGCTCTGTCACCCAGGCTGAAGTGCAGTGGCGCAATCTCGGCTCACTGCAAGCTCCGCCTCCCAGGTTCACGCCATTCTCCTGCCTTAGCCTCCTGAGTAGCTGGGAGTACAGGAGCCCGCCAGCACACCCAGCTAATTTGTTTGTATTTTTAGTAGAGACGGGGTTTCACCGTGTTAGCCAGGATGGTCTTCATCTCCTGACCTCGTCGTGATCTGCCCGCCTCGGCCTCCCAGAGTGCTGGGATTACAGGCATGAGCCACCGCACCCGGCCTAAAATTGACTATCTTAATCATTTTTAAGTGTACAGTTCAGCAGCATTAAGTACATTCCTATTGTGCAACCATCAACATCATCCATCTCCAGAACTCTTTTCACCTTGCAAAACTGAAATTCTGTATCCATAAAACAGTAACTCCCTATTCCCCCCTTCCCCCAAGCTCCTGGCAATAGGATTAGTTATATTTGAAATATAGAAGATTGTCTGAGGCCAATACCTATGGGGAGATTGTACTCCAAAACTTGAGACATGTATTGTGCCTCTTGTTATTGCAATCACATTTGAAGGATCCATTTATCAGATTTCGTGTTCGTTCTACATATTTTCACAAAATCAATACTGAAATAAGTTGGAGGTAAAGTCACTTTTTGGACCTAGGGAGTTTTTAAAGTGCAGTCAATATGTCATCACAGAAAAAGAAAGTAACATTTTGCAAGAATTATTTGGACTTCATTATTTTGTCTTTGACACCTCTGACTGTCTCTAAAGTTTATAGATATTAGTTTAGGTTAATGAACATTTTCCTGGCTGGGCGAGGCGGCTCACGCCTGTAATCCCAGCACTTGGGGAGGTGGAGTCAGGTGGATCACCTGAGCTCAGGAGTTCGAGACTAGCCTGGCCAACATGGTGTAACCCCGTCTCTACTAAAAATACAAAAATTAGCTTGGCATGGTGGTGGATGCCTGTGATCCCAGCTACTCGGGAGGCTGAGGCAGGAGAATCGCCTGAACCCAGGTGGCAGAGGTTGCAGTGAGCTGATATTGCATCATTGCACTCCAGCCTGGGCAACAAGAGTGAAACACTGTCTTAAAAAAAATTTCCTGTATAATTTTTAACTATTTATAAAGGTATTTATTTGGAATGAATAGTGTATTAGTTTCCTAGGGCTGCCATAACAAAGCACACAAAACGAAAGTCTATTCCCTTGCAGTTCTGGATGCTAGAAGTTTGAAATAAAAATGAATGTCAGCAGGTTGGTTCCTACTGAGGGCTCTGAGGTCATGTCTATTCCATGCCTCTCTCTTAGCTTCTTTTGACAGCCAGCAATCTTTAGTGTCCCTTGGCTTATAAATGGATCGCTCTAATCTTTGCCTCCATTTTCCTGGGGGCATTCTTCCTGTGTCTTCACGTAGTTGTCTTCTTATAAGACTACCAGCCATATTGGATTGGGGCCCACCCTATCCAGTATGATCATATCTTAACTAATTTACATCTGTCTGGCCTTGTTATGAAATAAGGTCTCATTCTGAGATACTAGCTTAGGACAACAACATATCTTTTTGGGTGGATGCAATTCAACCCAAAACAGTCAGCCAGGATGAGCCTGATTAATGGCTTGTGTCTTTTATAATACTCTGATAGTTTAACTATTTTTGGACTAACAGGCCAAATAGCACAATAACCAACTCATTGCCTACTACTTACTAGGTATGCAAATATGTTTGTTAAATGAATGTTGCTACCAAACAGTTTAGGAATAACAAAAGAGAAGAATCTCTTTCAAAAAAAAATTAATACCAATAAAATTCTAAAGATTTTTCATCAAAATTGATATTGGAAGTATAAATTCTATGTGGAAAAGATATTATGAAAGAAGAGCTAAGTCAGTTTTGATAAACCAGGACAGAGAAGAGAGACCCACACTACCAGATATCAAGATATATTACAAAGGTATAGAAACAAAAATAGTGCAATATTACCACCCTAATAGAAGAAGTAGTCTATGAAAGGGAATAGAGAGCATAGGAACAGACCAATGAGAATTGGACATATAATAGAGGTGACATTATAAATAAGTAGCGATGGAAAGATTGTTTGATACGTTGCATTAGAACAGTTGGCTTTCTGCTTGCAAAGTTATATCCCTGTTTCACAGTGTATTAGAAAACAAATTAAAGTTTAAATGTGAGAACGAAACAAAATAAAATACACAAAACTTGTAACCTGTCAGACTGTAATAGGGAAAAATATTTTTATGACCTGAAGTAAAAAAAATTTTAAAAATTTAGAATATTTTTTCTAGTCATATTTTGAGTCATGAAAAAAATAACACATTAAAATTTGTAGAAACAGCTTTGAAATATATATATAAGACTTTAGATATTAAATATATATATATAATATATATATGAGGAGAAAGAGATCTATCCCCTGCCTCACCTAGTATTTCCTCTTCCTCTCCTCTTTCCCTAAGTGTTCTCTTAGAAAATTCAGACTCTAGGCAAAACTTTTTCTAGTACATTTTTAATTTTGCTCTTTTTATGACAACAAATAACATAAATAACATGCATACGATATTGTACCTAATGTTCTCAGAACTGTTATCTGATACAAACTTTAACATAATTTCAACAGAACTAAGTGTTTTTCTATTAGTGATAACTTTCTAGAGAGGATATGAAGCTATTTTACCTTTTACAAAAAGGTAAAAACTGGTAGAATATTAGCCTGCTCCACTTTTCCTGTACCCTATTCCTTCACTTCTTGGAAACTTTATTCCAAGAATTTTGCCAGTGCATGATGGAAGAAAATATATGGTGATTTGTCATGTTTACTAATGCTATAACTTTGATTTTTAAACTTTTATTGTCTAAATAAGAGTTAAATTATTACTTGCAAAGCCATTGACTTGGAAACCATTTTCATGAGAAATCATATCTCATTTGATTAAAATAAAGACAGAAAATTCAACCTCAAGGAAAGCTCATTTGTCTTCTACAAATAGCATTTCAGCGAGTCAAAGAAATTAGAGGTGGAAAAATCAATTAGAGCTAATCTACCAGCTTGTCAGAAAAGATTGCTTTCTACGAAATATATTCTAGCTCTTTGTCCAGGTTAATTCTAAAAGTCTCACGGGATGGAGCACTTGTTATATCCTTTTGAAGTTTTTCCTTTTATCTAATTGACCCTACCAAGAATCTTTTTTTTTTTTTTTTTTTTGCTAATATCTAACTTCCATATTAGCTACTAATTCTGTGCTATTACTTTTAATCATACCTCTTCCTATACTAATGTCCCTTCCCCACCAAGTTTGGTTTTTATGATCTCAGATATTTGTAAGGAGCTAGCTTTCTTTCATTTAACCTAATGACAAATGTTTGCTTGTTATAATAAGCTCTTAAAAGCAAAAGAAATCTTTAGATCTTTTTTCTCCATCTTCCTTTCTTTTCCTATTTTGCAGACCTTGTAATGAGGCACTTAAAAGTGAAGATACTGGCAGGAACAAATAGAGAAAGGAGACTATAAATCCCTTGCTTGATCAAGAAGACTATCAATGTCTTTGCAAATTAGCAATATATATTTTATCTATCTCTGGGATGAGCAAAGCATTTTCTCTTGTAAATGATTTCTAGTTATTTTTAAATGTCTTCTCTCTCAGTGTTCCTCATTTCAGATTCCCCATTCCTATTTAATTATGTTTATATGAATTTAAAATGGAGTATTTTTTCAGGTTGGATGGTGTAATTTATGTACCCTGTGAACATGAAGGTGATGGTTTTCCTCTATTCACAAGATTTAAATTCTTGCCCTTATCATGCAGACAATTACTTGTGAGGCACCCTGCACATTGGTGCTCTGGAGTCAAGTTTCTGCTGTTTGATGATAACCAAAAGAGGGATTCTAGGAGTGGTGAGAGATATCATATAACCAGGGAAGGAGATTGCCCTGGGCATAAGAACATAAATTCCTTGTAGCCGGAACCAGTTCAATAAAATGCCAGTGTCTGCACTAACAACTCCTGGTAACCTGGGGGAAGGGCAGAGACAAAGAGTGTGATGAATTTTATTGTGTGCTTTTGTGCTCATTTGAGTTTCTATGAATTTGTGTATAGAGCTGTCTATTACCATTGTTCAGGAATGATTGAATACGTGTTTATGAAATTTACTAAATATGTTTTTCAATATTAAAAATGTACAGAAACATTTAATTAGCTTTCTCTGCTTACCAAGACACTGTCAGCACTTTAAATAACAAAAAAAGATGTGGTAGAATTTTTCTAGAAAAAGGGCCCTGTACTACCTTTCACAGAGTCATAACATCTCTTTAGGTGAAAGCCTGTGCTCTGGAGCGAGACTGCCTTCTTCAGATTCTGCCTCTGTCCCTTAGCTGTGTGACCTTTGGAAAGTAATTTCACTCCCTTGGCCTCAGTTTCCTCTGTTATAAAAGAGTAATCAGCCTATCTGAGGAAAAACTATTATAAATTGAGACTAAATTGCGTTAACATTTGGATGGTTTTGTTTGTTTGTTTGTTTGTTTTTTGAGTCAGAGTCTCACTCTGTTATCCAGGCTGGAGTGCAGTGGTGTGATCTTGGCTCACTGCAGCCCCTGCCTCCTGAGTTCAAGCGATTCTGCTGCCTCAGCCTCCCTAGTAGCTGGCATTACAGGTGTGCACCACCATGCCTGGCTAATTTTTGTATTTTTAGTAGAGAAGGGGTTTTACCATGTTGCCCAGACTGGTCTCAAACTCTGTGAACTCAAGTGATCCACTGGCCTCAGCCTCCCAAAGTGCTGGGATTACAGGTGTGAGGCACTGTGCCCAGTGAGTTAATGTTTGTGAAGTGCTTAGTGCAGTGCCTTAAAAACTAATTTAATTTTTTTCTTCCTTTCATTCACTAAACAGATATTTATCAAGTGTCTTCTCTGTGATGTGGCTGAAGATAGGAATTTACAGCATGGCAACAAAGAATGATACAACATCTAACTGTACTATGTGTGAAGTGCTACAAAAACATATGGCAAGCTCTGGAATCAAGAAGTGAGGAGGCCAGGTGTGGTGGCTCATGCTTGTAACCCCACGACTTTGGGAGCCCAAGGTGGGAGGATTGCTTGAGCTCAGGAGTTCGAGTCCAGCCTAGGCAACATAGTGAGACCTCATCTCAACGAAAAATAAAAAAATTATCTGGGTGTGGTGGTGCACACTTGTGGTCCCAGCTACGAGGGAGGCTGAGCCAGGGAGGTCGGGGCCTCAGTGAGTCATGAACGTGCCACAGCACTCCAGCCTGGGTGACAGAGCGAGACTATTTCAGGCAAAAGGAACGGCATAAGCAAAGGCACCAAAGTTTGTAACTGCAAGATTTGTTGGCCTGTGTGTGACCAAATATAGGTAAAGATCGTGGGGTGGGTGAGTGGGAGAGGGGATAAGATGCTCTTCCTACTTCAGCTAAGTTGCAAAGGTTCAGGAACTGTGGCCACAGCAAGTGGCCCATGGGGTTGTGCCATTGGTGACACACTGTGCCGTGGTCTTGTCTGTTATTTGCCGCCAGTCCTCCATGGATCCCGACCCTTTTCTTAACCTGATTCTCCATCTTTGGGTTGAGACAGTGAGCTGCCTGACAACTCTCTCAGAAATTATTTTTTCTGGGTAAGTTAACCAGAATGAGTTCCTTTTGCTTGTAACCAAGAGATGTCTCATACAATAGAGAATGTAATCTCTTTGGCATGTCATCTGAATTTCCTAAATTTTAATCAATAAATAATGAAGTACTTCTGTAATAAAATACTTGTATTTAATATAAAAATCAAATGTAAATGTAAAACATAAAAATTTAATTGAAAATTATTTAAAATGTAAAAAAAAATTCACATTGAGACAAAAGGATAAGATGGATAATTAATAATAGTGGGAACAATTTGAAGATAATCTGTATTGAGTGCTTGCCTGTGGGCCAGATACATTGTTACGAGCTTCACGTGCAATATCTCACATGCTTGGTAACAACAATAAGATATTCATGCTATGATTATCATTGTTTTCAGATGAGGAAACTGAGGGGTGAAGAGTTTAAGTCGTCTGCCCAAAACTAGCAGTGGGAGAGTGATGCAGCCAGGATTTAAACCCAGGTAGCCCAAATACGGCATCTACAATCTATCTCAAATCTATGGCATCACAGATGAGCTGGTGTCCACCTTTCCCTGAAGGAGTTGAAGGAGCTTTTATAGAAGAAGTGATATCTGAACTGGACCTTAGAGAGTAAGTAAAATTCTGCCAGATAAAGAATATGTAAAAGTGTTAGTCCAGCCTGAGATTTGTGTGCAAGGGCAGAGTCGGGAAAGGCCACTACGTGCTTGCAGGAATGCCTCATGGGCATAAGTTGCTGGCGTGTGGGTGTAGTGGGGGTTGGGTAGAGGGAGAGGTATGAGCTGGGGACGGGGTGGCTGAAAAAAGAGGTTGGTAGTAGAGGAATCCAAATATATTTTTGAAATGGAATAAGGGTTGTTATATTTTTAATTTTCTTTTTATTACCAACCAAACAAGCAGCAGTGATGGAGTGATGGAGTTTGATTATGTGTCCTTCAGTTTAGTAGTTAAGATTTTATCTTTAAGCAACTGGAAGTCATCAGCGGTTTTAAAGGAGAAGAATGACATCATCAGCACCTTTTTTTAGAAGGATCACTCTGGCAGCGGTGTGAAGAAAGGGCTTGGATTGGGAGTGATGGGTGTCATCAAGGTTGGTTAGCAGGATTCTGAAATATGCATGAAAAGACAGTGAGGACAGTGGACAGTGAGGACAGAGAGGCAGGCCCACATTTGAGAGGCAGGCATTCCTGAGTTGGGAGCAAAAGGGCTTGGTGATTAATTTAATGCGGGTGGTTGAGGAGGAAGGAAGAATTGAAGATGACTGAGATTTCTAGTTTAGAAACCTGAGTAATTGGGGAATGTCATTAACTGAAATAGGAGTGGAAGGAAGGAAATCATCCTATGTGAGGCCTACCAGAAGCTTTACATATGTTATTTAATCTTAAATAAACCTATAATGAAAAAATTAACATGCCCATTTTGCAGATAAGAAAAGTGAGATTCAGTGAGGTAAAGTAGCTTGCCCAAGGTCACACAACTACTAAGAGCTGGAATGTGAAATAAGGTCTTACTCCAGTGCCCCTATTCTTTCCATGATAGTAGGGGACTTTATGCTTTGTACCTCTTTGTACCTTTCTACACTCTAATAATAATTTTAGTTTGGAAAAATAGGACTGAAGCTCAATGGGAAGGTAGACCATGGAAACATGGTCCTCCCAGGAATAGTGCAGTATGAAGAGAGATTAAAGGATTGCCCTAATGACATTAAGGCCCAGAGCAGCACTGTTGAATACAATTTTTTGCAGTGATGCAAATGCTTTTTACTTACATTATCCAATACAGTAGTCATTAGGCCATATGCTACTGAGCACTTGAAATGTGGCTAGTATGAAAGAGGAACCGAAGAGTTAATTCTAACTGATTTTAAGTGATTTCAGATTAAATAAGCATATGTGGCTAGTGACTGCCATATTGGATGGTTTAGGACTAGAGAAACCAGTCAGGCGTAGAGGGTTCATCAGAGAAGAGGCCTTGCTGGTACCCCTGAAAAATCACTCGATATTTGATCATCTGCCTCATACCTCTGGGTAATATTGGTCCTATATTTGGGGACCATAATTTATTAGCTAGCAAAAGGTTTTTTCCTAGTGTGGACTACAAACTTATTTTACTATGTTTTATCTTTAGGAGAGTAAGTACAATACTCCCTCTCCTTTCTTATCTGAGAATCATTATAGTCATTTTCTCTGTATTTACATTTTTCCATACATAGTATTATTTAAGAGCTCAAGCTCCAGGAAAACTGCCTGGGTTCAAATCCCAGTTCTGCCAATGAATATTTTGTGCCTTGAGTTAGCTGCTTCACATTTGCAAGCCTCACTTTCCCTATCCATAAAATAGGGATAATAATAGTGCTTCATTTATAGGGTAGTTGTGAGGATTGAGTTAAATAACCTATGGAAAATGCTTAGCCAGTATCTGGCACATGCTAAATAGTCAGTAAGAGTTAGCTATTCTAAAACTAGTACCGTGTGACAGTGTGTATTTTGTACCTCTGCATTTTGACATTTACTCAACTCTATTTTTGCTTCAATAGAAGGTGTTCCTCCAGATCTCTGTCAGAACATTCCAAAAAGAAATTCATTCCTCAAGATAAGAAGGTAGACAGAGTTTTGAAGAATTAGATTTTATCTTATTGCAGGCATGAGTTTTGAGTTGTTTTTTATTTCACTTTGATTACTAAATTGTTAAAGTATTTAAAATCATTACAGAAGAAAATCATGACCGTGATATTTTGTTGTGATCATTAAAATTCCCTTGGTTTAAGCTCAAACCGTTGCACATATACCACACAATCAAATAATAATACTAGAAGTTCTTAATGTTGGCACAGAAGATTTCTTGATGTTTTGTAGTTATACTGTTTTTTTTGTTTTGTTTTGAGATGAGGTCTTGCTGTGTGGCTCAGGCTGGAGTGCAGTGGCTATTCACAGGCAAGATCCTACTGCAACTTTGAACGTCCAGCCTCATGTACCCTCTTGCCTCAGCCTCCCCAGTAGCTGGTACTACAGGCTTGGGCCACTGCACCTGACTCATACCTGTTTAATTGAAATATTTAATTCCTAGACTCTGGCTATTCAATGCCACTTAGAAGTGGCTGGATATTTGTTGATCATGGACTATTTAAAGACTAATGACGTCACAGGAACAAGTAATAGGATCCCTTTTGTTGTCACCTATTTTGTATTTTGTAATCTTTGGATTGTAAAACTGCATTGTAATATAGTATTGCACTCCCTACGGTGTTTGTGCAAAAAACATTTTTTTTTCCCCATTAGATTGGAATTTTGAGAAATCTGGCTTCAAGTGCCAGTTCTGCCTTTGGTTTGTCTAAATAAAGAAGTCATTTATTTCTCTGGGCCACAGAGAGGTAAATGTCATCTGTAAAGTCTAAGAGTTGATCTTGATTTGATTCTAGAATGGTCTTGAGGTATCCTTCCAAATAAAATTCCTTGGATCTGCCTCCTTCCCCCAACTCCCTAGGAGGACCTTTGGCCTTAAGGGACTTAAGAGAGGTCAGTTTTATCTACTGTTCACAGCGTTTACTTCCATGCTTTAAAAAACATGCTCTTGGAATATTCTTGGATATTTCATTTCCTTGGAAAACAATTAATGGGTGAGTCAGCATGAAGAAAAAAACCCACTCACAATAGATATAAAAATTGCATGAAGTGGTGAAACGAGAAATGATTTTCTTTGTAAACTGAAATGATGAGGTATGCAGAAACCAATTACGTATTTATAAAATGAGCGCGCGGTGGGAAAGCTTTATGTAGCAAAGCTAAAGTGCTGTTACATATTTAGCAAGACAGAGGGCATGGAGATTCCTCTCCATACTGCCTTAAAACTGCTGTTAAACGTTCCTTTCAGTGAGAGAGACAATGTGTTGGGAGGCGGACGAAGGAAGGAAGCAAGGGAAGGGTCAAAGCCTTCCCTCCGGCCCCGATCAGTCCCCTCTGTAAATTCATAATTAAGGGAATTTCCTCCTGCAGCTGCGCAACGCTTGGTGGCCGTTTCGACGTCACTGTCAGGGCATTTCAGGGATTTTGTGTGCCCAGGCAGTGACTTCCCGACTTCTCCGGCGTATCCCCGACGGGGCGCAGAACACCGCCCGTGGCGAAGTCGGGCCGGGGGAGTTTGGGAACCCGTCCCCGGGAGCTCAGCGGCCAGAGGAGGGCGCGGAAGTGTTTCCTGGGTGAGCGCGGCAGCGGGACCCGTTTCCGGAAGGCTGATTGCATCAGGTGTGGAGCAGGGCGCCTCCTCGGCCCAACCTGGCGGCCTCTGCGCCTGCGCGCGCCGCCCCGCCCCCCCCCCCCCCCCCCCCCCCGCCGCCGCGGACTCCACCGCGGGTTTTCCTCTCCGTCGGGAAGAGACCGACCTGGGAGGGGCAGGCTCCGCTCACCTACCCCGGACCCCCGAGAGAGAGCGGGGTGGCCAGGCCGGGTTCCGGGGATCTGAGGGGAGCTGTGAGGTCCGGGAATAGAGTGCCTTGGAAAGAGGACCCGTCTGCAAGGTTGGAGGCTGGTCGATCTCCGCTCCTGACGGGAATGGTGGTCTTGGGCTGGTTTCCTTGCCTCTTTGGCCTTGAAGATCACAGACTAAGAACCACAGGCTCTCCAGTTCAGAGAGCCTGTATTTTCCCCAAGAGGTCTACTGTGGCCCTCGACTGTCCTTGGTCCACGGACGTGTTAGGTGGATCTTGGGGTGCAGAGACTCAGTCCCAAGAGTAAACACTTTTCATGAATTTATAGGGATTTCTCTGTGACAGTATTGTTTTTATGTTGTAGGAAGGAGGGACATGATTGCTGGCCTCCAGCTCGGTCTGAGGGAGATAATTGTTAATTGGAGAGGTTATTGGAGTGCAAAAGTCAGAAACCACCTTCCACAAGGCAGCCCCCCTCCCATCCCTTCGTAACAACCTCACTGAGTCTGCATGAGGGTCCCTCTATACACTCTATTCGCACCTTGTGCATTTCCCTCCCAGCACTCTACCTGTTTGAAATAACCGTTTTGAGTGATTATTTGATAGGTGTCTGTCACCCGGCCGGACTATAAATTCCATGAAAGCAGGGGCCTGGGCTTTTAAATTCACCACTATCCTCAGGCCTAGTACAAGACCTCGTGGATCCTTAATAAACTCATGTAGGAAAGAATAAAGTAATGCCCACCCCACTGCATAGAGTCCTCATAGGAAGAATCACGTGAGTTTTTAATTCGAGATCCTTGGTAGGACTGTGTGTGTGTGTGTGTATGGGTAGGGTTCTCTAAAGTGTATAGTCCTCACACCAGCAGCATCAGCATCCCATGGGAACTTGTTAGATATACAGATGCTTGGGCCCCACCACATATCTACCCATTCAGAGACACAGATTGGGACTCAGGGATTTGTACTTCAGCAAACCCTCCAGGCGATTCTGATCCAGGCTCCAGTTTGACAACCGCTGCCCTGGTGAAGAGCAATCCTAAGGATACTTTGGGGATGTCATTCACAGCGTCTGGGGCAGAGCACGGTTTACCGTTTACTGAGACTCGACTCTTATCAGGGCTTTGTTTGCACGCTTACAATTAGAGTTATAGATAATATTATTGGCAATGGAAAGGAAAACCTCCTTTTCCTCTCCGGCAGTTGTATCTCTCCCCTGATATTATCTTGTGATTTCCGGATCAAAGAAGAGTGTGTGTGCGGCATATGCCTGGGGGTGGGGATAGGAGGTAGAAGGAAGGAGAAGGTGTCGCCTACAACTTGCAGTTAGCCTGGGTGGGTGTGGGCAGCTCTCCTGTGGGGACATTTTCCTATTGCAAGGGAATGCTGGCGTGTGGGAGAAAAGCCAGGGCTAAGGTAACCCAACTGCCTTTTGGTGCAGACAGACACCAGCCACACGGAGGGGATACCCGGGCTGCACTGCACGTCCTGCCTTTGGGTCTTACTGGGGGACCCATTGCCTCCCTGCGTGTTCCCAGGCGATTGGGGAGGGTGCCTCCCGCAGGCCCTGCCGCCTCCACCTGCAGGGGTCGCCCTGGGAGCGCGGCCCGCCTCCTTCTGCCCGGCCCCCACCCCCCGGCCCCGCCTTTCTCCCATTCGGCCCCCTCCCCGCCGGGTCCCTCCAGCCTTCCCTCGCGCAGCCGCTGCCAAAGCCTGGAGAAGTGGAATCTCGTCAGCGCCGCTCCCTGCGCGGGACTCGCGGAACGGCACTGAGCATGCTCAGTTGCCGGAGCCCGTTCTGGTCTCAAGTAGGAAGCTAGTGCGCTGTAACCGCATCTGATCTGGGCGCTCCGGGAAGGGCGAGACTGGAGCAGAGCCGCTGGGCGCCGGAGCCGAGGCGAGCGCCGCGCGCACCACTGGTGAGCCCAGCTTTCTTCCTTGCCTTTGCCCCGGATTCCGGGGCAGCACGAGAGTGCTGGGGAAACACCCGGGTAGCGGCAGCAGCGTGCGGCGAGCGGCTGCGGGTTCCCCCGGCGGCTTCTCCTCTGCTCCCGGCCCCGGGGCTCCGCGGCCACTGCTGCCCGCTCAGCCGCAGCCACACCTGCAGCAGCTGCCGCGGCATCTGCAGCGGGGCGCCTGCTGCGGAGTCCCGTGCGCCCTGCGCCCGCGCCGCAGGGCCAGTGGCACGGCGACTGCGGGCTCACTCTCCTTGACTTCCATCCCTCCCGCTTCCCGGCGCCCTCTTTCCCTCAGCAGCCCCGGCTTGGCAGGGCCTGGGGCGGGGGAGACCGGGTTGGAGGCGGTGCGCCCGGGTGGGGACTGCAGAGGGGAAAAGTGAGGGTGGGCGCCTGCGGGAAGAGCGCACACCCCCTTGTCCTGGCACCGGCCTCCGCTGTGCCGCTCGGCTGTCTCTCCTGGGCGGCAGCGCGCTCCTGCCGGGGAGTTGGAGCCGGGGTTGGCTTCTCCACGAGGGGTTCAGAGGCCAGCCCATGAGACATGAAAGGGGGGAAAAGTTCCTTTTCCCCCTCGGTGGCAGAGAGAGCGTTTAACTAGAAAATGGCTGTGCATAGGGGACCGACTCCAGGAAACTGGCCACTGGGACCCGAAAGCCCCTGCGCTGCCCACCGGGCGGAATGGAGGGTGGTACGCTAGAAATGACATTTGTGCGGCGAGAACAGAGCTGGACGGAGGGAAGGATGCTGAGACCCATAGAAACAATGAAAGGTGGTCTTCACGTCGGTGAAGTGGTGTAGACTACGGGTTCGGGGCAAACAGCCGAGGGAGCATGGGACTAGAATTCAAAAAAATAAATTAATTTGGATAAATCATATGTGGAGTTGTCACCGACCGTTCTGTAGTCAAGTTCTGCGCGGTTTTAGAGCCACGACTGTCACAGACGTTTTTGGATGGATTGAGTGGTTGAGGAGGGTTAAAATTGAGAGGAGAATAAGGTCAGTGTCGGAAGCTCCAACTGGGCTCTCGGAGGGGACAGTTTGTTTAAGTCCCTCAGTCACTGGCTTTACATTGTGTCTAATTACTTACGTGAAATACCCAAAGGATTATCATAAAATGATGCCATCGGTGGTGTTTGAATTCCAAGGAATGAGGAAACTTTGTGAGGTTGGCATGGGTTTATCATTTGTTTTAATATTTCACTGATTTAAAAAAAACAAACACAATGGCAGTTTGATCTGTTGTTTCTGGAGTTTACTCTCTTAAATCTTGCTTTTTTTTTTTTTCTTGTCATGGTTTCAGATTTAAAATCTTGTCCCCAAATGGCCATAATAATGCAGAGTATTAGAATTTGTGTGGCTGGCCTTTTAGGAACAGATGGAATCCTTGAAAGGGGATTTCTTCATGAACTTAGGTAGCAACCTTCTCGTTTTCAACTTGTAGCTTGTAAGCAATATTTGTTCAACAGTTGTTTATCATAACTTGCAACATCCTAGAAATGGCATCGTTCGTGAAGGATGGTATTTGTGGCGAGAATGGGGAAACCTCCAGGCTGGGGAAATGCCGAGAGAACACAGGTGGCAGTAGAGTACAGTGGGTTGATCATAGGGCGGAAGGTGGTGGGGTACAAGTACAAGATTTCAATTGCTGTTCTTTCGTTGTCCATGTACTGTATGACCCCGAAGTCACCGACAGTCTTCGTAAACTGGATGTAACCACGTCTCTAGATATTTGCTGAGAGCCTTTGAGAGACGACTCTAAAGTTGAGATCCTTTCCACAGAAGGTTTTTAGGTCCTATGCTTTTATTCCCTCTTCTAATGGATACTTTTAACTGAATAAATTCACCTTCAAGGAGCCAATGTGAACTGGCTTTCTGAAATTTTTATAAAGTGGTAATTGAAAAGCTGGATGGTGAGGTGGGAGGATTGCTTGAGCCTAGGAGTTTGAGGCTGTAGTGAGCTATGATCACGCCACTGCACTCCAGCCTGGGCAACAGAGTGAGATCCTGTTTCTGAAAAAAAGAAAGCTTGATGAGCTAAAGTGCAAAATACTGGTGTTTACACTTAGCTGGAGTAATGTGAATACTGACTCCAAAATTACTTGGGAAAAAACTATTGCATATATTGTAAGAATCCACATGTACAAACATAAAATATTTTTAAACTGGTACTTTTTGTCATGTTTCAACCTTTTGATGACTGTTTTCTTTTCCTGCCACCAGAAAAACAGCATATGAACATTGAATTCTTTTATTTTTCTGTTACCACAGGAATGAATACTGAAAGCCTTGTCATAATATTAGAATAATGATGTGTGTGGACTATCCTGAGTACTGGATATCTAAATTTATCTTTTAAGAAAAATGGAAGGGAGAGCATCAGGAAGAATAGCTAATAGATACTGGGCTTAATACCTAGGTGATGGGTTGATCTGTGCATCAAACCACCATAGCACATGTTTACCTGTGTAACAAATCTGCACATCCTGCACACGTACCTGGAACTTAAAAGTTGAAGGAAAAAATAAGAAAAATGGTATGTCGTGTCTCTGTACCTTTTTCAATTTCATTTTAAAAATAGACAATACCTGGCCGGGTACGGTGGCTAACACCTATAATCACAGCACTTTGGGAAGCTGAGGCGGGCAGATCACTTGAGGTCAGGAGTTTGAGACCAGCCTGGCCAAGAGGTAAAACCCCCGTCTCTAAAAAAATACAAAAATTAGCCGGGTGTGGTGGCTCCCGCCTGTAATCCCAGCTACTGGGAAAGCTGAGGCAGGAGAATCACTTGAACCTGGGAGGTGGAGGTTACAGTGAGCCAAGATCGCGCCACTGCACTCCAGCCTGGGCAAAAGGGTGAGACTCCGTCTCAAAATAAATACATAAATAAAATAAATAAATAAGTAAATAAATAACAAAACAAAACTGGACAATACCCTTGTGATATAACACCTTAAGTTTTCCGGGGGCGGGGGAGGGGAGCAGGTGGGACAGACTTTTAGGAAAATATTGTAATAAGTTATTACTGGTTATGGGGGGAATACTTATTTTCCTACATGGGGTTAGGAAACCAGCATTTGTTCAGTGCCTAGTATTATTATTATTATTATTATTTTTGAGACAGAGTTTCAGTCTGTCACCCAGGCTGGAGTGTAGTGGCGCGATCTTGGCTCACTGTAACCTCCACCTCCCAGGTTCAAGTAATTCTCCTGCCTCAGCCTCCTGAGTAGCTGGGATTCCAGGTGCCCGCCACCACGCCTGGCTAATTTTTGTAATTTTAGTAGAAATGGGGTTTCACCATGTTGGCCAGGCTGGTCTCCAAGTCCTGACCTCAGGAGGTCCACCAGTCTCGGTCTCCCAAAGTGCTGGGATTACAGGCGTGAGCCATCACGCCTGGTCTGTTCAGTGCTTTTTATGTGTCCTATTATCCTATTAAGGTTTTGTATATATCATCTTATGCTGTAAGCATCTATGCATAAATGTCAGCTGTCTAAGAAAACCCCTCTGAAAAGGTAGATGCTCGTGATTTCACAGCAATAGAGCTTTAAACTTTTATCTTATATGAAAATATCTTTAATTGATTCCATTATTATTCAGTAAGCATTCTCTTTTAAAGCATCTTTGATTTGTTATTTAGAATTAAATTTGATTGGAACTGCATATCTTCAGAATGATTTGAATGTTTTCAAGAAGGTTCTATCCAGATTTTAAAACTGTTTTGTGTTCATTTATTTTCAATAATGTTGCACTACCAACAAATGAAATTAGATGTCAGAAGATAAACCCAGATTAGCCATTTTGATTTTAATGTGTTATTAGTGCATATTCTGCATGCTGATATGTGTTGACGGCATTTCTCTCAGCCGAAATGGTTTGTCAGAGGCAGAGTAACAGACTCTCCATAATAAAGGGTCTGGGGGGATTTGGAGGAAAGACTACTAACCAGGGACCCCAAAGACTTGCCTTTGGGGCTGGCTTGTCCCTTACTTCAATTCACTGTGTTACCTGGAAAAAGTCAGTTATGTCTCTGGGCCTGTTTTCCCATCTGTAAAATGAGAGAGCTGCAGTCACCCTCTGGTTGTCTATCGGGTCCTTCTTGTCCCAGTCTAGAGATCTGTGATGCAGCCATTCGAGGAGAGAGGTCTTCGTTTAAGAGCAGGGGTCCCCAGCCCCCTGCTTCGGACCTGAACTGGTCAGTGGCCTATTAGGAACCGGGCCATAGAGCAGGAGGTGAGCGGCGGGCAAGTGACCTTTACCACCTGAGCTCCACCTCTGTCAGATCAGTGGTGGCATTTGATTCTCACAGGACTGTGAACCCTGTTGTGAACTGCACATGTGTGGGATCTTGGTTGTGCACTCCCTATGAGAATCTACTGCTTGTTGATCTGAGTTGGAACAGTTTCATCCCAATCCCCAACCCCATCCGTGGAAAAATTGTCTTCCATGAACGCTGTCTGGAGACCACTGGTTTAGAGCATTATTTGGAGGTGATTTTGTGTTTCCCTGTCTGGTTTGTCACTGCTTTGTCCAATGCCCTTCTTTTTTTGCCCAATTCCTACTTCCCTTATAGTTTTCATTTGTTATAAAATGGTTGTCATAAAATTAACTTTATGGCCCTGCCAGTCTAGTTAGCAGATAAGGTAATGATTAGATTTGGGTAAAGTGTATTCGACATTTGAAACTACTTCATAGCATTTTCTGCGGGGAGACTTTCTGCTCTTGAGCACACAGATAGTCTGAGAAAGAAACCTCTACCTAGGCTGCAGGGGAGGGGGTCCTGTGCTTTGCTTCCCAGGCCCACCCTTGTGAAATTTTGGCAAGCCTTTCCTGTGTCCCAGCCTTTGTCTCCTCGCCTCGATGAGAAATGCAGCCCTTGGTCTCTGGAATACGACTTTCACTCTCATTTGACGTTAGCCCTGTCACTGTGTTGGACAGATGCCTGTGATTGGCTGCTGCAGTAGCAGGAGTGGTGGCTGGTGAAATGTGTCTACTCAGTGTCATTAGCAGGATCATGAGCTTTTTTTTCTTTTTTCTTGGCAAGCTGCGATGGGGCAGAGAGCAAAGGAAACCAATCCCATTTGGTGTTTTTAGTGCATTTTGCTTTCAAGAGGCTCACAAAACTCAGCCTCATTAACCTTTAAGTGAGTCAGTGAGGAGTTGTTATCCCATTGAAATAATTTTTAATAAAGGGAGAGTGACTCTAGTTCCTCTAATAACCAGGCTCCAGGGTTCCTGGACCCCTGTTAGGAGTGGGTCATTAACTCCAGACATTAGATGAGAGCTGGGAGAGAGGAAGGGCATAGAGGGTGGAAGGTCAAGTCACACAACTGGGCAGGAAGTAAGAAGCTTGATCAGTTTAAAGGTATTAGAGCTCTTTGTGTGTAGAGTTACAGGAGATATTCCCTTTCTATATAATTTATTTCCATGGTGTTTGAATCTTATCTTGTTTTCTGTAATGGACGTATATTTATTTTATAATCAGAGAAAAATCCCAATATATAATTTATTGATATATAAAATGTACAGATTCACATGGACAAATACGAGAAGAGAACATGGAAAGAAATGAATGGTATAGAAAAGGATGGATTAAAGCTTTTCTTTGTTGTTGGTTAATGACTTGACAGTGGTTATAAACAAAGTTTACCAGTTCTACCCTCTCTTTTCCTCTTGTGGAAATCTTGCAAACTTTGTTTGCTAGGTAATAACTGAAGTTCCCGAAGTGTAACTCATTGGCAAGTATGCTTCAGGAATGCTTAGAGTGGGAGGAAGAGTGTCGTTTTTTTTAAGTTGATGAAAAAGAATGCAGAAACCGGGAGCAGTGGCTCATGCCTGTAATCCTAGCACTTTCGGAGGCCAAGGCAGGTGGCTCACTTGAGGTCGGGAGTTTGAGACCAGCCTGGCCAACATGGTGAAACCCCGTCTCTGCTAAAAATACAAAAATTAGCCGGGCATGGTGGCACACGCCTGTAATTTCAGCTACTCAGGAGGCTGAGGCAGGAGAATCGCTTGAACCCAGGAGGTGGAGGTTGCTGTGAGCTGAGACCGCGCCACTGCACTCCAGCCTGGGTGAAAGGGCGAGACTCTGTCTCAAAAAAAAGAATGCAGAATATTGGAATCGAGGTAGAAGGAAAAACGTGTGTTTAAGAGGGTGAGATAGATTGGAGAGACTTTGCGGAATTCCAGAGGGTAAAGGGAAATGCCATTGTTGAAGAAGGAAGGCCTGGCATTACTGGAGGTATGGGATGTGTCCCTGTCGTGTAAGTCAGAGCTCAGTTTCCACACAATATAAAAGTAAATGAGTATCTCCTATATGCAGAGCATAATGTTAGCCCCACAGGTCATTTATTGTTGGTTAGTGGTTTTCACTGTTCTTATCACAATGATGATAATGATGTAGTGAATATGTCATAATTGTTCAAATAAGAAGATATGTCCTTTTCTCTGATACTATGCCTTTCTCATTTTTGGGTAAGATTCTTTTATGATTTGATAGGAATATTTTTATCTAGCCGCTGAATGGTCCATGAAATTGGTAAGTCTGGGAATCTGGGCCTGAGATGCAGGGAGGCCTGCCCTTGGGATTGAGTTGAGTCATGGAGGCCAGGCCAACATGTGGAGTTTGTGGGTCAGCTGATGGGGCCCCTGGGCTTTCCAGGAATATAGAGTCACCCAAGGTCCTAGGAACTGTGAATGAGCTAATTTTGAAAGTGCCCTAGGAGCCAGTGACTATTTTTGAATTATAGCTTGAGAATGACAAGGAAAGCACCAAGATGAAAGATGAGGGTGTAAGGGAACAGAATGGGCAAGTGGTTGAAGTGTGAATTTCAGCAGGTGAACCTCAAGATGTATCTTGACATTTGATTCTTTGCATGCAGGCCTCTTTCTGGCAAAACAACACTCTTTAGCAATTCTTAGTTAGTGATTCTAGGAAATGGTGATGGGTGAAAGCCATAGAACCTAGAATTGTGTAATAGCCAGCTTGGCCCAGACCTCTGCAGTATCATTCCCTCCAGGGTGAGCCTTGAATTGCTGGAGGAAGCTTCAGAATGATTTGCTCATGGAATTGCTGTTATTCACCTTTAGTTTTGGTTGCTATTGTGGGGTGAAGAAGGAGTGTCAAAACAATAACAACAAATTATTTCCTTTTTTTTTTTTTTTTTTTTTTTTTTTGAGACGGAGTCTCACTTGGTCGCCCAGGCTGGAATGCAGTGGCTTAATCTCGGCTCACTGCAACCTCCACCTTCCAGGTTCAAGCAGTTTTCCTGCCTCAGCTACCCAAGTAGTTGGAACTACAGGTGCCCGCCACTGTATCCGGCTAATTTTTGTATTTTTAGTAGAGGCTGGGGTTTCACCACTTTGGCCAAGCAGGTCTCGAACTCCTGACCTCAAGTGATCTGCCCGCCTCAGCCTCTCAAAGTGCTGGGATTACAGGTATGGGTCCTCTCCCTGGCAGCATCCTGCTTGCTCTTTGGTGCTGGCTCTGTTCTTACCTTCTGATCTTCCTTCTGTTTCTCAGGTAGACTTCTGTCCTGGGCAAGAGTCGACCTGCCACATTGAGTATCACAATTTGCTAGGTGGTATTGTTTGTCAGTGGAAGTGAATAAATCAGAATTTCCTTAGCATGAGTTAGGTTTCTTGAGTTGTTTCATTCCTGGGGGAACTAATACCGTTAAAATTTCCTTGACATTTCAAGAAATGATCATATACCACATTGCAAATTTTGAACACAGCAGAGGCATGATTTGGGTGTAGAGACACCTTGGGAAGCATTGATTCAGACTCAGATTCTTCAGATTATCTGATCAGAACCTCTTGTCCTCTCCAAGAACCAAGGTCTGTGTATACCTTTTCCAGGACACTGGTGAAGAGAGACATTCATTTGGTGACATCCAGAAACCTCGGCTTCATTTGTTCCTTCCTTTGTTCAGCAAATGCTTATTGAGTACATAGTTTGTGCCTGGCACTGTGCTAAGTTCAGGAGGACAGAGAGGAATGTACCAGAACATTGGTTATAGGGTGCTGCAGTAGAGGCATGTGTGTGATGGGAGTGGAGGGGAAGGAAGGCTGTCCTAATCCTGCGAGAGTGGCAAGAGCTGTGGCTAGTGACTCCTCATGTAAAATTCCCACTACAGCAAACCCTTCAGCTGCTTCCTTTGTCATCTTTCCTTAACTCAATTTTATTCCTGCCTACCACCCAGGATTTGCTACTCCTTTTGTAAGGGAACTCGGGATTTGGCCTTTCAAATCTCTGTGGCAGTAGTTCTTAAGCAGGACAGTTTTGCTCACTGGGGAACATTTGGCAGTGACATTTTGGTCATGGTGACTGTGGAGGGATAACTACTGGCATCTAGTAGGAAGAGGCTAAGAATGCTACTAAATATCCTACAACATGTGCAAGGATAGCCCTAGAAGGAGGCAGCAGGGGTTTAGTGGTCAAGTCCCAGTGCTGCTCTGCAATTTAATAGCCATATGACAAAGGGCAACAGAATTGTACTTTGACAACAGAATTACACAGTGCTCAGTTTGCTCATCTGCAAATAGGAATACTAATTGTGCTTATATAATATGATTGTTGTGAAGATTTCATCAGTGAATGTATAAGGGCAGAGAACAATACTTGATGTGAGATAAGACCTTACTTAACGAGTATTTTTATTTTTAGTTTTAAACAAAAACTTTACCTTTTGACTCTAAAGAGCTTGAGTTTAGAGTATCCAGGGCAGTTGAGCTTGTAGCCCTACCTGTAAGTATGCTTTGGTGTAGGAAATGGCCATAGTTTTTGTGTTTTTCTAGTTCCTTTTTGTCCGTTGGCTTTATTTCCCATTGTCTCATCTCTTGAGATTTTTAATAGCTTTGCCTTTCATCCCTTTTTTCCCAGGGACCCAAATTTATGCCCTTAATGAGCTTTTCCCTAGAGGGCTGAGAATTATATTTATGATTTTCCTTAGCTCTGTCTATTTTGGGAATGGTGAGAAAATGGGAAGCGGGTCAGGGGAGATGTTGCATTACTTCCTGATTGCCATAGCTCCCTTCTCTGTAAAATCCCGTGAAGGATTGAGAGGCAGGTGGTAGTGCTTGCTTAGTAACTCTTCCCTTTACACCCACCAGCTCCACTCCCAAGTTGGGTGCCTACTACTTCCAAAATACCCCGTAATTGGGTCACAACATTATCTGCCTGCTTGGAATCATATTTAAAAATCAAAGCAAAGATGCAGACTATGTCAGCAGGATTTGAAATGTTTCCATCCTCTGCTTTGAGGCTTTGCAGAATTATTCTGAAAACAAAAGAAGGTAAACTTGTTATCCCAATGAGGTGGCAGTTTCTATGTGGCCTAGAATTATGCCTAATTTTTGCTTGTAAAAGGGCTCAAACCATGATCCTTTCTGACTTTCCACAGGGATGTGAGCTTTTGTGGACATCACTCAACAGATCAGATTTACTGTTGAATTTTCATAACATAATTGACTTGGAAAGCATTTCATTCAGTGTTTTGAATGGTGACTAGAGAGAAATTAAGAAGCTCAGTTGTTATATCTTTCGAATTCCTTTCCCATGACACAGTCATCTCTCCCCTGAATGAGAGCAGTGGCCTCCTGGCTTATCCAGCTCTGTTCACTCAGTTTGGCTTCCCAAGTGCTGGGCACTGTTCCAGATGCCACACGTGGACACTGACCAGGATGGCCACTGCCTCTACCTGCTCGGAGCTCTGGGTCTATAGAGAAAGGCTGACAGCTAAGGAATGAATGACGGTACTATGTGATACGTATTACTGGGAGAAATACTCAGTGCTTCCCAGACGAGCACTTATCCTGCTTGGGTGTGGGGAGTGTGTGGGGCAAAGCTTCCAGGAGAAGGGATGCTAAGTCTATTCCACAGTGCACCTGGACCTCTATCTTATGGTTCCTTAAGGCACCCTGACTCTAGCTCCCGCATGGAGCCTGCTGTTTCTGAATGCGTGCCTCCACCTTCCCTCCCACCTCGGTTGCTTCTCACCTTGGAGGCTGCACTTGCCTTTTTCCTGGTCTCTTTCTGTTTCTACTGTACACTGCCTCCAAGGTGATCTTCTGAAATCTTCTGCAGATCTGGGCATATCATCCCAACTCTTCAGGGGCTCCTTGCTGCCCTCAGGATGAAGTCTAAGCTTTTTGATGAGGCACCGAACATATTTCATGATCTGCTTTCCATCTCGTTCTTACGACATGCCAGATTTTCTCTGGCCTTTCGGCTTTTATCCCCTGTTGCCATTGCCTGCGACCATCCCTCCTGTCTGTTCTTTACCGCCTTTCAGTACTCCTTCAGGAAGTAGCTTAAACATTCTCTGATATCTTTATGGTTCTTGCTTGGCACAGCAAGTGGGAAAGTGGACAAGGTGGGGCAGGCTCACTGAAAATTTTCATTTGAGAGAGTCCAGGATGGGTCTTTTTGAAAAGCATGTTTGTTAAGATAAAACAATATAGAGTAAAAGTGTTTGGTTCAGTTGTCAGGGATGTGAGGAGACATCCATCCTAGGCTGCTGATTTCTCATGCTTGGAGCAGTTTCCAGAAAGATGCAGTGGGGTTTGACTGAGGAGAGGATTGATGGAGCTGGAGACATAAAGGGAGACGGCCCAGGAAACAGTTCACACAGGAAGGGAACCAGGCCTGGAGTACTGGGGAGAATTGGGGCTTACAGCTCCTGGAGGTTCCTACTGTTTCTGGGAACTTAGACTTTGGGGCCCTCTTGTTAGTGGTCTCTGTATTCGTGGCATTTCTGCTCTCCCTAAATGAGATAGGAAGTATGAACACTGAATATGTTGGATACTATCACTGTGGAGAGGGTCTCCATGTTCCAGAATTCAGGGGGGAAAACCTCCTGCATTCAAATTCCAATTATTTGAGCAGAAAATATGTGAATGGGGTGAAACAAAACTAACACTGACTGTTCTTATTCATGAGACTTGGCAATCAGATCACTGTCATTTTCAAAAAATGCCTCTTTTCCTAAGATTTGAGATAATTTCTACTAAGAAAAATAAAGGAAGTTCTGCATTCCATCAGTTTATGTATCATTGTCTCATGATCACAGTCATCTCCTGCTGACTTGAATTTTATTTCAGTTTAAATCATTTTCCTTTACTAGTACTAGATCCTGCTGTTACGTGTACACGTGTGTGTGTGTATATGTGTATCTTTTTTTTACAAGCTGCAAGTAGAAATAAGAAACAAAAATAAAGTGAGGTGTTTTATTGAATTTTTATCTTTTCTTCCTCTTAGTTCTGAAAACATGTGGATTGCAAGAAAAACCAATTAAAAAAAAAAACTGAGGAGAATGTGGATTTGTGGCATGATTATCTTTATTTCCTGTAAAGAAAACAGGATTTTCATTAGATCCTGTTGTGCTGTTCTCCCATGAGAGAAATAATAATGAGATAGACTGCCACATTTGGAGTATATATACAATTTTGCTTAACATTTAAATGATTTTTATACGAACATTTGTGAAGGTTTGAACGTTTGCCTACATTCTGCAGCCCCAGTTATTAACAATACAGTGCTGTCTTGTCAAGAACAATTTCTTTATATCAGCGAAACTTCAGGTAGTTTAAACTTATTTCTACAACAGGAGAGCTGGGTACAGATTTTCATTAAAGCACATTTATTTTACGTTAGTATTGACCTTGAAAGTTAATTTTTGAAATGCTCAGAGATACATCATTTTGATAAATGGTCAAGTTAAACAACGCAATGTGAATGTTTCTATGTGATGCAGTTGTAAAAAATTTGTTTGCATAAAGCCAAAGATTATAAGAGAATGAATAGAAACAAAAATAGTATGGTTTCTTGGTGGGATTGTGGATGGTTTTGTTGGCGTTATCGTTCTTCCTCCTTCCCAAGCATCCTTAGTGTTTTTATATCCTGTTAGCAATGAGTAAAAGGGAAAAAATAATTCTTGTGTGTTCATTTTTGTTTCCTCTAAAGGATGTGCATTTCAGGGGTGTTTCTTTAAGCAAACTAATTGGGAACAAAAGAGAACTGGCATATGCTAAGTGAAATTAGCCAGTCACAAAAGGAAAAATATTGTACAATTCTACTTGTATGGATTGCCTACAGTAAATTTAGAGACAGACAGTAGAATGGCAGTTGCCAGAGGTTGCGGGGAGGGAGGAATGGAGAGTTACTGTTTAATATGTACAGAATTTTAGTTGGGGAAGACGAAAAGTTTTGAAGACGAATGGTGGTGATCATTGTACAACAATGTGAATGTACTTAATGCTGCAGAACTATACACTTAAAAATAGTTAAAATTCCAAGGAGAAATTAATTTGCACTAGACTGAAGCTCCTGGGGGCATGTTCTCACCTCAGTGCAATCTGCTGCTGGGTCTGAAGCTCCGAGGAGCGGGGAAGTCACAGACCCCAGGAGCTGGGAGGGTATAGACGCCACTCACCTGAACTTGACACCAAGCTACTCATCCAGACAGGTTTCAAATTGTGAATTGGGTATGATCTATGTGGGGCGTATTTTTGGCCGTGTATATTACTGACTTGCACTTTGGAGATAATTTGGTAAAAATGAACTTGATTGGCATATTCTCAAAAACTGTGGCACCTTTCCCATTTACCCTGCTGAGTGTATTCTCAAAGCCAAGTGACTAGCTGGCCTAACCTTTTTTTCTTGCCCATGTTGTTCTAAAGAGAGCATAGGCTTTATCTGTATAGATCTGGGTTTAAATTCAGGCCTTACTCTGGGATAGACGGATATAGGTGGGTGCCCTGAGGTGAACAGCTTTTTCTCCCTGAGCCACGTGTGCTTTTCCCATCTGTAAAATATCTTTAGTGATACTTACCTGGCCATGCTGTGGGAAGGGTTTACTGTGATAACATGTGAAAGTTCTTGCTATATAGAGCAAGTAATCAAGATATTTAGCCACTTTTCATATTTTGTTTCATATTTTGGAGCATTTTGGATTTCAGATTTTCAGATTAGCGATGCTCCACCTTTTGTAGGTTTAAAATGCTTTTTATTCAACTACATGGTTTGGGTTTTTATTCTTACCTGTCTCCCCTCCCTTTTATTATCTTCAGAAAATACAGATGACAGTCCCTCTGTGTTTGATACTTCATATTACAGTTTGATAGGCTTGGGAAATGTATCAGTTGGGATTTGATTCTGGGTTTGATTTGATCAGCGTGGTAACCCTAAACAAGTTACCTCCTTTCCCTACAGGAATCTTATGGGATCCTATAGGAATTATAAAGGTCAGTGTTTAATGAGCCCTCCGTATAAGGCAACTGTCACTGTGATGAATGCACTGCATGGATTATCTCATTTGATGCTGTACTTCTAAGAGGTAGATACTGTTATAATCTCCTAATACAGATGGGGAAGGTGAGGCACACTAAGGTTGTTTGAGAGCATGCAGCTAGAGTTGCACTAGATGAAGATTAAGGGGCCAGAATTTGCAAAGGAGAAAGCACTCAGTATATGTGAATACACATGCACAGATACACACATGTACACACACCCTGAATATTTTCTTAAAACACAAGAGCTACTAGATTGTAACACTGGGAATTCCCCAGGACGATAGAGAGGTCTAAGGACCAAGCAGTGTGAGAAAGATGTCAGAAGTGCTACCTGTATTTGGTTGTAATTGTAGCTACTTTGCATTTTTTAAACAAAGAAAATTTCTACATGCTCTATAGAGTGACACATACTTTTAAAGGCTGTAACTGGTATTGCGATGTTTTCTTTAGGAAAAAAAAATCAGTTATTTCTCAAATCATTGAGCATTCTGTCCTGAGAATGTGCTCAGGATAATCACGGAGGATAAGTTCCAGCCGCCAGGGGAGAGCAACTGGCAGTCTCAAAATATTCTCTGTAAATATATTAGTCTGAAAATTGCATTTTAATGTGGTGTACTAGTAAAATAGAATTTTACTTGCTAAATTATTCCATGTTAATAGTGGTATAATTTTTCTAGAGAAAGGCTAATTTTATTTAAAAAAAAAATAGGTCATTCATTTCTTCCAAAATTATTGAATTATCCTTTGGAATAACCTGTTAGTACTTCCTCTTCTATTTCAGTCAGGGTAATAGAATACAAGAAAGCTGATTGAATTTTATGATAAGAATTTGATTTTCAGAAATGTCATTTTCACCACAATGTTTGCTTTGACCAGCTTTGCTCTATAGTGCATTTTGACTTGAATGCTGTATTTTGGTATTTAAAGTGAGTTAAGGAACTTACGTGGTGCTTTTCACCATGTAGGTGATGCTAGCGTAATATATTCATTTAGTTGTGTCTGATGTCATTCAAAGAGTAATTCTTGAAATGGGTTGGTTAACAATGATTTCAAAGAGTAATTCTTGAAGTGGGTTGGTTAACAATTACTCATACCAGATCATTTCCCCAAATCTGTCTAAAGGGCCAAATTCTGAATTAGCCTATTGTGGAAATTTCTTTGTTTTCTAGCATACAGAGGAAATCAGGCTGCCAGTGCATGGTGAATGTATTTCTCATGATTTAGAAGTGAACAAAGTATAGCTGATGTAGAGCAAATGCACAAGTTTGCCACTAGACACCGGAAGAACAGTGAAGCTATTAATAAGATAAATTCAAAACATACCCTTTTACTTGAATAATTATGTACCTCATTTATGTTTTTCCTTGAAGGCTAGTTATTGTCAGGTTAATGAAAATTTGAAAGTTGCATGTAATCTTAAACTGTTAGCTGTAGATCCCAAAGAATCACAAGCTTTTAAAATAAATGGGCACCTCTATTAAGAGTTTAACAAATAAAATATCAATGATTATAGGTTGCTCTTATCAAATTATTTAATTATTGTTCATTGGTCAAAATTCAAAGGTGTTGCTTTAGTGCAAGAAAAGGAGGTGCACAATAAATTAGCAGTGGGCAGGTAGGCAGATTATAAGTACTGCCCTTGGAATTTTTTTGGTATATTAACTAGCTTCTCTTCTAGGGAAAGACTTGCTTTTTTATGACAAAGAAAGTTTCTCATGTATGTTTTGGATGTGTTCCATTTACCTGTATAAAGAGAAACCTTGAATCTCAAACCATTAACCATTTCCTTACTCTGAAGGGTAGTTTGAGAACTGGCAAATCTTGCATTTATAAGGTAACTGGTTAAAGAGACTCGAGTTATCTCTGTGCATCTCTGGAGTCAGTTCTATTGAGGGCATCTGTTTGGGTTAAATTGTGTCCCCCCCAAAAATATAACTTGAAGTCCTAATACTTCATATCTGCAAATGTAACCTTATTTTGAAAAGGGTTTTTGCAGATGTTAAGGTGAGGTCATACTGGATAGAGTAGGTTAGGGTTCTTAATTCCTTATAACTGGTTTTCTTATAAGAAGAGGGAAATTTGTTTTTGTTTTGTTTTGCTTATCCTGGCTTGCTTTAAGCTTTAGAAGAAGAGGGAAATTTGGACACAGACACACAGGTAGAGTGTCGTATAAAGACAGACACACAGACACACAGAAGGAAGACATGCGAAGATGGAGGCAGAGACTGGACTTGTGCTGCCACAAACCAAGGGATGCTTGGGGCTACCGGAAGCTTGAAGAAACAAGGAAGGGTCCTCTCCTGAAGACTTTGGAGGGATCATGGCTCTGCCAACACCTTGATTTCAGACTTCTAGCTTCTAGAACCGAGAGAGAATAAATTTTGGTTGTTTTAAGCCACCCAGTTTATAGCAGTTTCTTACAGCAGCCACAGGACACTTAATCCACAAGCCTTTGGAGTCAGTCGGCCTGCGTTTGAATCCTGGGTTTACCTTCTAATGCTGTGATCTTGGGCAAGTTACTGAACCTCATGGTGCCACAGTTGACTCATCTGTAAAATAGGACTAAAAAGAACACCATCTTCCTATAGTTGTTTTGAGGATAAAACAATATATGTATAGCACTTTGAACAGTGCTTGCTGCTATTATATTTCAAAAACCAATTGTTTCAAAGCTAAAAGGAAATGATTTTTGATAATTCTACAAATATCTCCTGAACTTCCTCTTTAATGACAGGCCATATGCTAGCCAGTAAGTGTACATGTTGGCCCAGGCAGACAGGATCCCTGCTTTCCTAGATCCATCAGGCGCTTATTCCTCCATTAACATGAAGAAGAAGGACATGTTCCTTGTGGTAGCATTATGGGCAAGAGCTGGGTGTAGCCTTTCCTGTGGACCTCAGAGACATGTATTAGGGAGGTGGTGAATATGGAGCCAGACTGCTTGGGTTTAAATTCTAGTTCTTATCAGCTCTGGCCTTGGGGAGTGATAGAATTTTTGAATTATTTCTCTACCTCCACATCTGCAAAATGGAGACAATAATAGCGCCTTTCTCAGTAGGGTTATTGTAAGGATTAAATGAGTTAAAATACTTAAAGTACCTAGAATAGTCAGCACGTAATGAATATTGTTATATTATCAAATGAAACCAGAAAGGCCTCAAATTTGTAAATTCATTCTTTTGCATTTTATTAAGTGTAGGGAGTTAATGCATAAATCAGATGGAGCTCTTTTCCACATAGAGCTCATAGTCAAATGGGGGAGACTTATTCGTCTACATGTTAGTGAAATAGCATATGAACAAAGAATATGGGGGTAGAAAGAAGAGTGTGATTAAATCTCCTAGGAGTATCAGGAAAAGTTGTTTTAAGACGGGTTTTGAAGGTTAAGTAGGAGTTTGCCAGGCAACAAAGGCAGAATAGAGCTTAGAGGATGTGGGAGGAAGCATCTCTAAAGACGTTGGCAGGTACAGCAGACACCCAGCAGTCACAGTGCTACAAGAGTATAGACTCTGGAGCCAGGATTGAAATTCTGCCAGTTACTGTTGTATGACCTTGAGTCACTTTCTTGACCTCTCTGTACCTCTGTATTTTCATCTTTTAAGTGGGGATCACAGGCTTTGGGTAGATAACTTGGAGTGCTTAGATCAGTGTTTGGCCAAAATAAGTGCTCAGAAAATACTGGCTTTTATTAGTGTTATTATTCTTGTATTTGCTATTGGAAGATAAGCATTAAGAAGGCTCATCAAATATTTTTAGTTCAGTTCAGTGATTCCTGTGGGCTTGGATAAATGCTGCGGCCCTGAGCCCATATACTCTCTTGAAAACAACTTTCACCATTTGAACACTGGTATTAAGAGGGGAAAAAATAACATGCATATTGTTCGAGCAGGAGAAAAAAATATTAAAATAGGCCAGACATTGGCACAAAGTTGTGTACAGATTGCTGATTAGGCAAAATAAAAAAAATAAACCGGCATGTTGAGCCAACATGATTTTGTTGTTAAATCTGGTGAACCACCTGTATCTTTAAGTGATCAATTTAAAGATAGTTTTGGTTTGTTGTTAATTGTCTTCAAATTACCCAGTGACATCAGTCTATGTTCAGAACTAATACAATTTAAAAAAACTAGTGCTGGAGCACACCCTCCGTGGTGGTGCCGCCTCACTTGGGCTGTGTTCAGAGGGGGAAAGGAGTGTGTGGGATTTCTTCGGCCACACATTTCAGAGCTATGATGGCAAATGCATGATTTCAACTGTGGTCTCACTTAGTTTTATTTTTATTTTTGAAGAGGAGGATTATTTCCAATTGTGGTTTTCTTTGATCATGAAAGGAAAATGTGCTCATGATGGCAAGAGTCAGGCAAAAAGAGACTAAAAAGTAAACATCACTAGAAATTTCAACATTTGGAGATAATTGTTAACACTTGTGGTCAAACCTTCTAAGCCTCTCCCCACTTGCAAAAAAAAAAAAAAAAAAAAAAAGCAGGGGGCTTTTCTCAACGACAGGAACAGCAAAGACCAGCACTGGATGTGGGGCAGTGAGGTTTTGGGGGAGATGCTTAATTGAAAATTGTTTTGGAAAGTTCCAGACAAAAACAGCAAAATGGTGATAATGGAATTTTTTTGCATTGAATGTGTTTAAAATCTTTGCGATAATAAGTGGCTGGGCAAAGGTTACCTATGTATTCATCCAGCATGTGTTTATTGAGTACCCACTAGGTGCTAGGGGTATAGTAAGTGGACACAACAGATGAAAATCTGAACTTTGGTGGCACTTGCACCCAGTGTCAGGACTATAGACAGTAACTAACCATAGTACGTAATTGACATTACAAACTGTAAGTGCTGTGATGAAAAATGAACTAGACGGGGGGATGGGTGATCATGGGATGGGCTAGGAGGGGATGTGATTTTTTTTTTTTTGAGACGGAGTCTTGCTCTGTCGACCAGGCTGGAGTGCAGTGGCGGGATCTTGGCTCACTGCAAGCTCCGCCTCCCGGGTTCACGCCATTCTCTTGCCTCAGCCTCCCAAGTAGCTGGGACTACAGGCGCCGCCACCACACCCAGCTAATTTTTTGTAGTTTCGGTAGAGACGGGGTTTCACCGTGTTAGCCAGGATGGTCTCGATCTCCTGACCTTGTGATCTGCCCGCCTTGGCCTCCCAAAGTGCTGGGATTACAGGCATGAGCCACTGAGCCTGGCCGGGATGTGATTTTTAAATCGAGGAGAGGACTTGAAAGAGTTGAGGGAGGATCCCCTGGGTTGTGCATATGGCGGGAAGGGGTATTCCAGGAGTGGAGGATGTCAGCAGGGTGGGAATGGGATCAGTGAGGGGAGGAGGAGCAGAGGAGTCAGAAGGATCTAAGGGTAGGGCTGAAGGTGGGAAAACAACCTGTAGGGCTGTTTAGGACACGGAAAGGGCCTTGACTTTGCTGCCAACGAAGATGTGAAGGCTCCAGGCAAGGGTAACAATCTAACTTACATTTTATGAGGGTCCTGTGGCAGCTGTGGTGAGAACAGACTTTAGGGGTGCTGAGGTGGATCAGGGAGACCTGTGGCGAGGCTCTTGTGTGGTAATCTGGTTTGGGAGAATGGTGGAGAACTGGATGCAGGTAGGAGCAGTGGAAGTGGCAAGAAATGACTGGATTCTGAATATTTGTTCAAAGTGGAGCGAGCACGGTTTGTTGATGGACTGAATGTGGGGTGTGATAGAAAGAGAGGAGTCAAGGACAATTCTGAGGATCTTAGTCGGAGCAGCTGGAAGCAGGAGGCTGCTGTGAATGGAGATGGAATGGAGCTGGTTTTGGTGGGGATTTCAGCCATGGATACCATCATTTGAGGTGTTTCATCAGCATCCTAGTGGTGATATGGACTGGGCAGTTGGACTTACGAGTTTAGAGCTTAGGGCAGAGGTCTGAGAGGGGCCTGTAGGTTTGGGAGTATAACGGTCACCCAGGGAGGGGGTGAAGACGGAGAAGACTTACATAGCACGGTCAGGTTAGGGCTGGACAGATGAGGAAGAGCTAGCAAAGGGGGCTTGAGGAGCAGTGGCCACTAAGACAGGAGTGTGACATCTTAGAAGCCAAAAGAAGACCATGTAATTCAAGGGAGAGGTATGATCTGCTGGGTCAGATCTAAAAATAAATCACACGTCTTCTTAAACTGTAGTAATTAACCACTGAAAACTTATGAGTGATCCAATATTACGTAAATAAAAAAAGAAAAAATTAAAAAAAGAAAAACGAGTGAGTGAGTATTCCTTAGATTTTATCTTACTTCAATATACAGAATTGTTTTAAGTATTCAGTACAAATTCCTCTGTTCTCTCTTCCCATACCCTAGAGGTCTCATTGTTAATAGTTAATAGTCTGGATAACCTTTCAGATGTGTGTATTTATTTTATTTTATTTTATTTTTTGAGGCAAGGTCTTGCTCTGTCACCAAGGCTAGAGTGCGGTGACATGATCTTACCTCACTGTGGCCATCCATCCTCAGACGATTCTCCCACGTAGCGGGGACTACAGGCGCCTGCCACCATGCCCGGCTAATTTTTGTATTTTTGGTAGAGACAGGGTTTTGCCATCTTGCCCAAGCTGGTCTCAAACTCCTGGGCTCAAGCAGTCCACCTGCCGTGGCCTCCCAAAGTGCTGGGATTACAGGCATGAGCCACTGTGACCGGCCCCAGATGTGTATATTTATTTTATCTATACTGATATCTGTATATCTGTATCTATAAATGATCTCTCTTCTTTTCTTTTTTGAGAGAGAGTTTCGCTCTGTTGCCCAGGCTGGAGTGCAGTGGCACAATCATGGCTCATTGCAGCCTTGAACTCCTGGGTTCAAGCAGTCTTCCTGCCTCAGCCCCCGGAGTAACTGGGAAGACAGGCACACACCATCACATCCAGCTAATTAAAACAATTTTTTTTTTTTTTGTAGAGATGCAGTCTCACTGTGTTGCCCAGAATGGTTTCAAACTCCTCAAAGATTGGGCTCAAAGTTCGGGCTCAAGTGATCCTCCCGCCTTGGCCTCCCGAAGTTCTTGGATTACAAGCTTGAGCCACTGCCTGGCCTCAATTTCACTCTTAACAAAATATTTCAAATATACAAATAATCTAAAAAGTGGGGACTAATGTTCTAGATACTGATATTCCTACCACACCCATCAGAAAAGAAATGCGAACACTGTTCTAGATGTTTTCAGATTTATCTTTACTTCTCCATTATTGCAGTTATTTTTACTATTTTTACTTGTGCCATTCAACATACACCCTCTTACAACTACTTGCTAGTGTGAGTGCATGGGTGTGTTTTCTCTCTCTCTCTCCCTCTCTCTCTCTACCCAGACTCTTCTACCCTGCCTAGGGCTATCCTGTGTTTTTCAGACAGTTGCTGTAACAGCAGCAGTGGTGGTTCTGTATCCAACTGGGTCCTGGGAGACCTGCAGAAGTAATAATGCAGAAAACAGCAGCCTCCGCAAGGAACATGTTAAGCTCACTGACAAAAAGTAGCTTACCTTGGGGAGTCCCTGGTTTCCATTCGGAGAGCTCAGGAGGGCCTGTGGGAGTACCATGGTCTAGGGGTAGGACTGAGGTTTTGGTGCCCTTCAGTTCTTTCTGCATATCCTAGCTTTGTCACCAGCTGTGACCTTGGACAAGTGACCTAAGCTTTATGCATCCCAGCTTTCTTCATCCAGAGGACTGAAAATAGTAATTGCCTCCTTGAAAGGTTGTTGTGGGGCTTATAGGAAATAACATATGTAAAGTGCCTAAGAGGCCTGTCACAGAGTATGTGCCAGTTACATTTGTTCTTTTTCCAGGTCTTTATCATCTTTTCCCTATTTTACTGTTAAGTTAGTTGGTGGACAAAAAAGATTGAGAGGTACATTATTTAAATAAATATGCTTTGGTTATCTATAACAGGATATTGAAGTTAGACAATTTTAGCGCATAAAATAGGTGAACTGAAACTAGAGCTCAACCAGTTTTTGCTTTTGTATTTTAAAATTTTAAATACAGTTTCTTAGCCAGTAAGCCTTTAGGTTTCACTGTGAACACGTTCATTGTCAAGCTCACTACTAGAAATCAAATGGTGCCTTTAACCTGTGGCTCTCAGGCCACCCCACTTGGCGAGTGACTTGGATTGGTGAGAACCCTCTTCTTTTTATAAAAAAGATTATTTAAAAAAATCATTTATAAGGTGTACAACATGATGTTATGGTATGATACATAGAGAGTGTAAAATCATTACTATAGTGAACCAAATTAACATATCCATCATCTCACAGTTCCCCATTTTTTTTGTTTTGTTTTTGTGCCAAGAGCAGCTAAAATCTGTTCATTTATCAGGAATCCCAAATATAGTACAGTTCGTTAGATTCCTAGTCTTGTTCATCCTACATATCTGCTACTTTGTATCCTCTGAACCTATATTTCCCCACCTCCCCCATTCCATTCCACTGTTTTATTCTCTATCTCTGTATGTTTGATATTAAATTTTTTTTTAAGATTCCACATATAAGTGAGATCATGTGGTGTTTTTCTTTCCGTGTCTGGTATAATACCACTTAGCATAATATCTTCTAGGTTCGTCCATGTTGTGGCCAATGGCAAGATCCCCTTTTTTAAGGCAGAATAATATTCTGTTGCATGAATATATCACAGTTTCTTTATCTGTTCCTTTGTAGATGGACACTTAGGTTGTTTCCGTATCTTGGCTATTGTAAGTAATCCTACAATGAACATGGCACTGCAGATATCTTAATGAGATGGTGATTTCATTTCCTTTGGGTATATGCCCAGAAGAGGGATTGCTGGCTCCTATAGTAGTTCTGTTTTGAGTTTCTTTGGTAACCTCCATACTGTTTTCCATAATGACTACACCAGTCTATATTCCCACCAACAGTGTACAAACGTTCCCTTTTCTCCACACCTTCAACAACATTTGTTATCTCTTGACTTTTTTGACAACAGCATTCCTAATGGGTGTGAGGTGGTACCTCATAGTGCTTTTAATTTCAATTTGCATTTCCTTGATGATTAATTGATGTTGAGTTTCTTTTCATATATCTGTTGGCCATTTTTATGTCTTCTTTAGGAAAAATGTCTATCCAGGTGACTTATTCATTTTTTATCAGGTTATTTATTTTTCTACTATTGAGTTGTATGAGTTCTTTATAAATTTTGGATCGTGACCGCCATATTAGGTATATGGTTTGCAAATGCTTTTTCCCAGTCTCATAGGTTGCCATTTCATTTTGTTGATTGTTTTCTTTGCTGTGCAGAAAAGGTTTTGATGTAGTTTGATGTAGTCCCATTTATTAATTTTTGCTTTTATGACCCAGGCTTTTGGCGTCATATCCAAAAAATCATTGCCAAGGCCAGTGTTAAGGAACTTTTCCCTTATGTTCTCTTCTGGGAGTCTTTATGGTTTCGGGTATTATGTTTAGGTCTTTTATCCATTTTGAGTTGATTTTTATGTATGGTATAAGATAAGGGTCCAGTTTTGTCCTTTTGTGTGTGGAAATCCAGTTTTCCTAGTACTGTTTATTGAGGAGACTATCCTTTCCCCATTGTGTCTTCTTAGTGTGCTTGTGAAATATTAGTTGACTCTATAGAACCATCTTCTTTCACACTTGGATTTTTAAAGGAGGGTTGGGGGAGAAATAAAAATAAATGAATGCGTAGAAATAAACTTTAAAAAGATTTGATAGCTGTTGATGTTGTCAGTGGACACCAGGTTGGGCAGGGGAATTAGATTGTTGCAGATTGTTCATAACCTAGCCACGTGGTTCGATTATGTTAAGCACATAGGCATTAATAAGGGGGAGAGAAGGCTGTTTATTGGTTAAAGTGGACAAAGGAGGAAAATACATGTGGTAGAAGTTGTCCACCCTCCTCATCCTCCCCACTCCAGTCCTCTGGTCCCATGAGTGAAATATTTTATCAGTCTGAGCGTTCTCCTTCCTGGATAGGCAAGGCTGCTGTCATTGAGATGTTTTTGACCTCTTGGGTGTGACCTGACTCCGCTGGGTCCCTGCCAAGCTTCTCCTCAGAGAGAATTGAATCGATCAGGTTGGGTCTCAAAGCATGGTCCACATGGGAAATGATGGGCCAACCACAGCTCTCTGGTTTTTCTTCTGCTAGCCTTTTTGCTGCTCTCGTTCATCAGAAACAGCAGACCAGCGTTGGTCCATTTCTTCAAAGCTCCTTAATCAGAAGTAGAGGATTAGCTTTCTTTGGCTTTTTTCTTTTCAGATCTTCTTAAAGTGTTTTACTTTGTATGGCGCAACCACTTTATGTTACTTTGGAGGTAAAGTTTAGCTGACTCCAGGAGTCAAGCCGTGTTTTTATGGACAGGTATGTGTGATTAGTATGAAGTTGTCTTGTGCATAATCTATGCAACAAAATACACTTAGTATCCAAACCTAATAATACAAAGGTGGATGCATATCCCTTTTCCATGCTGGATACTTGCTCTTCTTTTCCTACCTCTTCTGAGGAGATAATCACAGAACTTTAAGAAATAGCCTTTGTAGCTGGGTGCGGTGCCTCACAACCTGTAATCCCAGAGCTTTGGGAGGCTGAGGCAGGTGGATCACAAGGTCAAGAGTTTGAAGACCAGCCTGGCCAACACGGTGAAACCCTGTGTCTACTAAAAATATAAAAATTAGCCGTGTGTGGTGGTGGGTGCCTGTAATCCCAGCTACTCGCGGGCTGAGGCAGAGAATTGCTTGAACCTGGGAGGTGGAGGTTGCAGTGAGCCGAGATCGCGGCACTGCGCTCCAGCCTGGGCGACGGAACAAGACTCCATCTCAAAAAAAAAAAAAAAAAAAAAAAAAAAATAGCCTATGTAGGAAATTCTTTTGATATAGTAAGTTTTAGAAAGCAAATATACTACAATGAAATAATACTAAGCAGTATGTTAAACTATGGGACATTTTTATTTCTTCAAGGATTATAACACTGGGGGATTATCAACTTTCTAATGAAAAAAAATAATAGCACGTGTAAGATTGGACCTATTTGGATAATTAAATATTAATGAAAGAAGATGTGACTTTTGATTTTTAGCCATGAATTTTTAAGGGACTTCTATTTGAAGACATGCTGAATTGTTTACTAAATTCAGGAAACAGTTACAGATTTTCAACCCTGTGCTGAGGCAACGTGCAGGTGCTTAGGAGACAAAAGAGAATGGGCCCCAGGCCTGTCTCCCAGGGGTTCACAGACAGTAAGTGTTATCGTGGAGAAACCTGTTCATGTAACACAGAGGAGGGATCAGTTAGTTTTGTCTGGGGTGTTAGAGAAAGAAGAAGAAAGGAAATGACTTACTATGTAAGGACCACAGTTCTATGGCTGAAGAATCTGAGCCATGTCCAGAATACTTAGCTAATGACTTCCTCAGGAGAGAGAAGTATACCGCTATTTACTTGTACTGAGGACTTTAATTTGTTGAGATGCTTTTATTGCTTGATTTTCTGAGGTTAGGCTGTTTTATTGTTAGGTAGCAGCAGCCAGAGAGCTGTTTTCGGAGGGGATTTACTGTCACTGTAATGCTCTGGGGCTGGGAGACTTTTATTTACCCATTAACCTTTTACATTAAGGGAAAGCACACAGATCTTAGGTGTACTGCTTGATTTTTCCATATATATGCAACTGTTTAGCCATTACCCAGGTCAAGATAGATAACATTCCTATCCCTCCTGTGGCCTTCCTCCTGCCCCTTCCAGACAGTACCCCTCCCATTGTATCTTTATCACTGTAGGCAAGTGTTCCCTCTTTGAACTTGGTGTAAATGGAATCATGAAGTGATTCAGTATGTGCTTTCATTCTGACCACGTCTGTGCAACCATCCACGTTGTTGTGAGTAGCAACAGCTCATGTTTTTCCCACTGTATATATTATATGAATATACTTCAGCCTATCCACTTTACTGTTGACAGACATTTGGTTTTCCAGTTTATGGCTACTGGGAATAATGATGCTATGAATATTCTTGTATTTGCCTTTGGTAGACACTTACCAGGCATTTCTGTTAGGTATATTCTTAGGAGTAGGATTGCTGAATTGTAAGGGGTGTGTAGGTTGTTTAATAAAGTCTTCCAAATTGGTGGTTCCAGTTTACATTCCTACCAGCCATGTATGTTGCCACCACTTTTTCTTTTTTTGAATTGAGACGGGGTCTCACTGTCACCTAGGCTGGAGTGCAGTGGCATGATCTTGGCTCACTGCATCTGTGCCTCCCAGGCTCAAGCAAACCTCCCGCCTCAGCCTCCCTAGTAGCCCAGACTACAGGCACGTGCCACCACACCCTGCTAGTTGCCACCACTTTTAACCCGGTTAGAACTGCCTTTGTTCCTTACCTTAGTTCACATAAGCATCCCCACACCCACAGGCACTGTTTTAGTCTGTTCAGGCTGCTGTAACAAAATACTCTAAAACAACAGACACTTATTTCTCACAGTTCGGGAAGCTGGAAAACGTTCGAGATGAAGGTGCTGGCAGATTAGGGTCCTGCTTTCTGGCTCATAGATGGCCATCTTCTCACTGTGTCCTCACATGGCAGAAAAGGGCCAGAAAGCTCGTAGAGGATCTTTTATAAGGGCACAAATCCCATCCATGAGGGCTGTACCCTCGTGATCTAATCACCTCTTAAAGACCCCACCTCCCAGTACCATCACATTTGGAGTTGGGATTCCAACACATGAATTTTGGAGGGGAACAAACATTCAGTCTGCAACAGGCACCACAGCTGGAAATCTTCCTGCCTCTTTAAGATTCTTTTCTTTTACTTCATGGAGGTAGCTTGTCAATAGGGCTGGAAATGTCTCTGGAACCTGTTTTCTTTTTCAGTCCCCAGATGTCTTCATTTTTTTCTCACCTTCATGATGGCAAAGCCTGCTAATTGGTTGTTCTGTCTCTAGATTTTCTTTTCTACAAGCCAACCTCCACATGTTCCCCTAGAATAGAAAGATACATAACTAAAAGCACCTATCACAGTTTATAGGCACTTTAATGTGAATTGAATGGAAATCTGATTTAAAACTGGCTGTATTATACAGTCTAAACTCTTTTGCATAAATATGTATTGGAAAGAGTTAAGGAGTAATGATTTTTCATGCTATTGAGGATCTCATTTGGGAAAAATATAAATATATAAATCTCAATAGATGTTTATGTATGTATACACATATATACATACATGCATACATAGAAACTTTTTTCCTTTGCCTCTGCAGTGAGATTTGGATTACAAAAGAAGCTAAAGTACAAATGGATAACTCATGTCACATAAATGAATTGAGAGTACTGTCTGTTTAAGGATCTTTCAGTTTAGATTTTAAAAGTTTTGGTTGATAATAATAAATAACTCTTGGTTGGCACTTAACAGTTTATGAATGTGTATGTGTGTACATAAATGTCTGTGTTGCTTATTTAATTCTTACAATGACCATGTTCAATAGATAGTATTACAGTATTCTTTTTTGCAAATGAGGAAATAGGGTCTCTGATGAGCTGAACAGTCGTCCAGGGTAACATGAATTGTACTTGATGGTTTGGTAAAGATAACAAAGCCTTCTGAATTCATAGCCCATGGTCATTAAATTCATTTATCTCCTATCTGTGTATGACTTCTGCAGATAAGCTCTGAACTTAAGTTTGTGTGTATAATATTAGCCTATTGGTACAACTGTGTATTATTAATGTTGTTTGTTTTTCTCAAATTTAAAAGACTCTTATCTTTTTTCATGTTATAAAAATGGCATGGTTTTTAGTAGGAAACACAGCAGTAAATAACAAAGTATAAAAAGCCATTTTTTAAAAAATCACCTGAAATCCCACCATTTTGATAGGTGTTACATTTTAATATTTGGCAAGTAAAGGACTGCTGCCTTTTGCTACCTGAGATCTTATTTTGTATCATTGTATCTTCACTTCATTAGGAAAACAGTTCTTACAGAAGCTCATCTCTGACTTGATTTTATTTCTGTGCTGGGGTTGTTTGCTAAAACTTGAAATAATCTTAAATGAAAACACAAAATACAAAATAGCATTCTCATATTGATGATTCCTATATGTGTGCAGAAGCTAGGAATTTTAGTGATAAAATTAAGTTCTTTGTTGCTATGCATCTTAAATATTTGTTTGCATTTCAAAGGAACATATAGTACAGTCAAATGCATGGATTTGGAGTCTGACAAGTTTAGGTATCAGCTCTGGCTTCATAATGTCCTAGTTGTATGGCATTGAGCATGTTTATCGATTAATACCTACCTGATAGGGTTGCTGTGAACACCCAACAGTGCAAAAGTAGTTGTAGTTAGTAATAATAATAGTGCTGTATTAAATGCATTTTTTACTCATGATATTTTCAATTTATGGTGGGTTTATTGCAATGTAAGTCAAGGGTATGGGTAATGATGGTGCTTTATTTCTAGTCAGCAGTAATTTGTTTCCAGATAAAGTAGAGATCTGAACTACAACAGTGGTAATACTGAGTGTTTCCATAGGATTGTATAGACTCTGCATTTTTTTGAGTGAAACAGTTGTTGACATAGTGTAAGGGTTGACACATTGTATTTTTGAACTTCTTGGAATCTGCTTAATGGCAAACAGGTTGCTGAGAACCGAAGGTCTTAGCTGCAAAGTGAGCATACATACACAGCCCTGCAAAGCTAGGTGCATACCAGACAAGTGAATAACATACTAATTATTATCCTACCTTGGTAGTAATAGAATTGTAGCTTCAGGCACTATGTAAGACCTAGCTTTTTGAGCTGGCAAAATAGTGATTACTATTTTTAGTTCAATTTCTGCTCTTTAAAAAAACATAGTATACTACTTGCTACTCCTGGATGGTTTTATGTATTTTAATTAATGTTATCTTATTGCATTTGTACCCTGAGGCTGCTTTAGTGAAAGATATAATTTCAGAAGGCTGATGAAATTAGATAGGTCTGACTAGGAAGACTCTGTTATTCATATTTATGGTTATAAAATATTTCGGGTACATCTGTGTAAGACATTCTTGTGCTATAAACATACAGACACTGTTGTGAATCAATTTGCCTTAGAGTGTGGTAGAGTAGTTACAGACCAGTATAGTAGCTCTAGTGTGGGGGTGATTTGTTGTTTTTGTTGGGGGTGTTTTTGGTATTAAACATGACTTTACATTTTTCACTTGAAATCTCATCGTGCAGTGCTGTGTAAAGAAATGAAAGTGATTCTAAACCAAACACACACAACACTCCTCAGCTCTATTACTTTATAGTCAGGCTTAACACATTCTGATGGAATTGGCATGAAGTACGTGACCAGGTAGAAATCAGCTTTATTTGGTCTAAATGACTAGCCGGTTATAGGGCATGGAAAATCTATTTTAAATCACTTTCCAGAGCCAAATGCAATTAAGATGTTGCAATAAAGTGAAGGCCAATTCTCTGAGAAAGAAAGAAATACTATTTTGAATGAAAAAAATACTATTTTATTTGACATAGTCAATAAAGAAGAAAAGCTATAATAAACTATTTATAATGATAATGTGCAGAGCAGAGTTTTCTTTGAAATGGGAGTTAAGAATTACATAAAGGTGTCACAGAGTGATTGAACAGTTACTATACAGCATATTCCCTACCTTAAAGGTTAGGGTCCTGAAACCCTCTTTATGGTAGATCTTGTGGTTGTGAAATTTGAAATCTTAGGGGGAAAGGTCATGGGCATCAAGAGAAGAAGTGAACCTTAGGAAAACTTAGTACACATTGTTTTTAAGATTCTCTGAAATCAATAGCAATGTGCATTTTAGAAACCTCACACAGCTTCATTGTAATGCTGTGTATTCCTTTTGCTTTGTGATACATAATAACCATATTAAGATGCTTTTGTTGTATCCAGGGGCCAGTCATCTATCCAAATACTTATTGCCCTTTCTTCTTTCTGCTCTCCTTCATCCATCCATATATTTCCATTCAATCATTTCTCCTTTCCTGCGAGGTGCCATTTTAGGCTTTGGGGATACAATGAAACAAAGTTCCTGCCCTCAGTAAGATTACACTCTAGTGAAGGGAGATAGATAAGTGTCTCAGGTTGGATTCTCCACAGGCGGACGCTGAAATGGAGTTTGGGAAGCAGGATGTTTATTTGCGATCAATTCCTGTGAACAGGAGGTGGAAGGAGAATTGTGCAGGGGAAGAAGCTGAGCTGTGATGCAGGTTTGGCGGAGTCTCTGCCAACCTTCCAGAGAGCTCTGCAGTGAATGTCACCTCTCAGAGTGTCCCACACAGAGGTGTGGACTACCCTGGGAAGGATGTGACCTCAGGCAGGTGAGGCTGCACTCTGTAGCCAAGGCTGACCCCAAGGAACTGAGTCATGGACGCTGTTTACCTGCATTTGCTCAGCAAGTTCTTTCTTTATTGGGGGATCTAGCAATGCATCTCCCAGTCTGCCACAATAAGTACTTAAAGTACCTGGTGGTGACACACAATGGAGAAAAATAAAGTGGATGAGGGGGACAGACAGTGTTGGAGGGAGGAGAAGGCCTTAAGGAGCTATTTAAACAGAGGTCTAAAGGAATTAAGGGCTCTGGGGCAGAGTGGTCTAAGCCCAGGGAAGAGCTAGAGCAAAGGCTAGACATGAGCCTGGCCTGTTGGAGGAACAATAAGGGGGCCAGTGTGTGAGCTAGGGTATGAGCATGTAGGGTCTTTTGGCCATTGCCTTTTATCCTTTATGAGGTGGTGTATTACTTTGCTAGGGCTGCTGTAACAAACTACTATAAACTGGGTGGCTTAACCCAGGGGTCTTCTACCCCCAGCCAGGGATACTGGTCTGTGGCCTGTTAGCAACTGGGCCACACAGCAAGAGGAGAGTGGCAGGCCAGCGAATGAAGCTTCATATGTATTTACAGCCGCTCCCCATGGCTCTCATTACCACCTGAGCTCTGCCCCCTGTCAGATCAGTGGTGGCCTTAGATTCTCTAAGGAGCACGAATCCTATTGTGAACTGCACATGTGAGGGATCTAGGTTGTACGCTCTTTATGGGAATCTAATGCCTGATGATCTGTCGCTGTCTCCCATCACTCCCAGATGGGACCATCTAGTTGCAGGAAAACAAGCTCAGGGCTCCCACTGATTCTACATTGTGATGAGTTGTATAATTATTTCATTATAAATTACAATGAAATAATAATAGAAATAAAGTGCACAATAACTGTAGTGCGCTTGAATCATCATGAACCGCCCCCTCCCACCCCCTGCAACTCCCCCAGTCCATAGAAAAATTGTCTTCCATGAAACAACTTCTTGGTGCCAAAAAGGTTGGGGACAACTGGCTTAAACAACACAAATTATTGTTTTACAGTTCTGGAGGCTGGAAGTCTGACTCAGGTTATTGGTAGAGTTGGTTCCTTCTGAAGATCATGAGAGAAAGAGAATCTGTTCCATCCCTCTCTCCTAGCTCTTGGTGGTTTCCTGGCAATATGTGGCATTCCTTGGCTTATAGATCTCTGCCTTCATCTTCACATGGTGTTCTCCCTATGTATGTGTCTCTGTGTCCAAATTTTCCCTTTTTATAAGGACATCATTCATATTGGAATTGGGGCCCACCTAAATGACCTCATCTTAACTAATTACATCTGCAATGACATTATTTCTGAATACGATCACATTCTGTGGTACTGGAGGTTAAGAGTGTAACATATGAATTTTTGAGGGACACAGTTCAACCTGTAACAGGTGGAAAGCCGTCAATGGGTTTTGAGCAGAGGAATGATGCAATCCAACTTAGGTTTATAAAGGATCACTGTTTTGTGGAGAATAGAATGAAAGGAGGAAGCAGAGTCATTGTAAAAAGCCAGGCGAGACAATGGTGATTGCTGGGCCAGGGTGCTAGAGAGGGCGGTGGTGTGGACAGGTTCCAGATATAAGGTACAGCTGACAGAATTTCCTTATAAATTAGATATGGACTGAGAGAGAGAGAAAGAGAATGTAAGCATAGACAAGGATGGCTCTCCTGGGCAACTGCAAGAATGGAATTGCCATTTACTGAGATGGGCAAGGTCTTGGAAGAAGCCAGTTTGGAGGTACCATTAGGAGTTTGATTTAGGACTTAGGTTTCTGATGCTTCTTAGACATTGGTATGGTTAGGCTTTGTGACCCCACCCAAATCTCATCTTGAATTGTATTCCCCATAATTCCCACATGTCAAGGGAGAAAGTAGGTAGAGGTAATTGAATCATGGGGGTGGTTTCCCCATGCTGTTCTAATGGTAGTCAGTGAGTTCTCACAATATCTGATGGTTTTATAAGGGGCTCTTCCCCCTTGGCTTGGCACTTCTCCTTCCTGCTGCCTTGTGAGGAAGGCGCCTTGCTTCCCCTTCACCTTCTGCCATGATTGTAAGTTTCCTGAGGCCTCCCAGCCATGCTGATCTGTGAGTCAATTAAATGTCTTTCCTTTATAAATTACCCAGTCTCAGGCAGTTCTTCATAGCAGTGTGAAAACAGATTAATATAGCTATTCATGTGATGATATTGAATAGGCAGTTGGATATATGAGAGATTCTGGAATCCAGAGTTCAAAGAAGTTTCAGCTGGAAATGTGATTTGAAAGGCAGCTATGTTCACCACTATACCACCAATACTGGAGATGTGATTTATAAATCATGAATTTGTAGAAGGTGTTTGAAGCTGTGAGATTAACCAAGGTTACCTTGGTGAGATCACCAAGAAGGCAGGTACTGAATGTTCGCAATTAGAGTAATCATTCAGTAGAATGAAGGTTCAAATTGACCATTGGCTTTGGCAACATGGAGGTCATTGGTGATCTTGACAAGCAGTTTTGATAGAATGGTAGGAATGAAAGCCTAATTGGAGTGAGCTTAATGGGAGGAGAGAAATGGAGACTGTAAATATAGACAGCCCTTGACTTTACAACTGTCTCTCCCTTGTTTATCCTGGAGATGCGGAGTCACTAGGATGCTAGAGATGGAAAGATCTTTATGTGACCTTCTTAGAAGGGAAGTTAGGTACTTCTCACGCCTCCTTTTCTGTTACAAGGTTATTTAACTCTACAGAGTAAAGATGGCTTCATGCCAAAGTATGTTATGGTAGTCCCTTTCTTTTTTCTTTTTCTTTTTTTTTTTTTTTTTTTGAGACAGTTTCACTCTTGTTGCCCAGGCTGGTGCAATGGCGTGATCTCGACTCACCGCAATCTCCACCTCCCAGGTTCAAGCGATTCTTCTGCCTCAGCCTCCTGAGTAGCTGGGATTACAGGCATGTTGCCACCATGCCGGGCTAATTTTGTATTTTTAGTAGAGACAGGGTTGCTCCATGTTGGTCAGGCTGGTCTCGAACTCCTGACCTCAGGTGATCCACTCTCCTCGGCCTCCCAAAGTGCTGGAATTATAGGCGTGAGCCACTGTGCCCGGCCATGCTAGTCCCTTTCGAGCAAGTTCTAGCTCCTTTCTTCCTAACAGGATAGTATATTAATACTGAGTTCTTAAGGAGTAAGAGTGTGTTAGGCTTACATAGAATTAGTCATGAAGTCATAAGGGAAGAAATATTTGACCTAAAAGGATGTTTACTGCGATTCACTTGCATGAATAAAGAAAATGAAGAAATTATACATAATTAGCTCTTGGGATAATTTACATCCAAAAACAATTTTAAGCACGTTTCAATTTCTTCTTTCACGTGTCTTAAAATCAAGAGTTATAAGCAAAGTATAATTAACCCACTTGAGTTTCATCGTCTCCCATTATCCAAGGTAAGGGAGCGGAAGACCCAAAAAGGCAACCGAAAGAGTAGCGTGAAACAAAAGGGCCCTTGAGTTGTAGCCTTGCCCCTGGCAACTTCCCCAACTCCCCACAATGGCTTGGTGAAACAGTTTAGGAAAAACTCTGTGCCTGCTTGGAATTGAATGTGGGTGAAGGTGTGAACTTAAGCTTTCAGAAAACCTGTGCAATTTCATAATCAAAGGAGATATTAAATGTTTAGTTTCTACAAGGCCATATTAGCTCTTAAAAAGATTTTTTAAATGTAATTGATGGGATTAAATTTGATCACTGACGTTCCTGCTCTTTTGAAGAGAGCACCTATTCTGTTAACCCATAGGATTCATTTGATCAAATGTGATTTTTTTTTAGATGAAAGGGACTTCTTTCAGGGGTTCATTCTTCTCCACTGAGTTCACAGAGGGAAAAAAGGAAGGAAGTAGAATTAAACTATACAATGAAAACAGCTTTGGATTTAATACAGGAGAAGCTTTTCTTAATGAGGCCTCTTGAGGATGGTCATAGTGTAGGATTTGTAAATCATTCCCTTGTAGACAATCAAGGTAAAGTGATCAGGAGTCCTTGAAGGTGGGAGGTCATTCTGGTCCACTGGAAGACACAAGAAAACATGTGCCCACATTTACTGTTTAGTAGTTTTTGTTTTTTTGTTTTAGAGACAGGGTCTTACTCTGTCACCCAGGCTGGAGTGTAGTGGTGCGATCATAGCTCACTGCAGCCTCGACCTCCTGGGCTCAAGTGATCCTCCAGCCTCACCCTCCCTCTGCCCCCCCATCAAGTAGTTGGGACTACACGCATGTACCACCACTATGACTGGCTAATTCAATTTAATTTAATTTTTGTTTGTTTGTTTGTTTTTTTGCAGAAACAAGGTCTAGCTAAGTTTTACAGGCTGGTCTTGAACTTCTAGACTCAGGCAGTCCTCCCGTCTCCCCCTCCCATGGGGCTGGGATTACTGACGTGAGCCACTGTGTCCAGCCAAGTTTACTCTTAAGGACCCTGAATCAAGCACACATAACCCCACCTTCATGCAGGTTTACTTTGATTTATTCGGGATTCACAGGACCATGGTGTTTAAAAGCATTTGTGTCCTTGTAAGAGATAGCGAGGAGGGGGTCAGGCATGCTGCCTTACACTGATGGAAGCTCTTCACTAACCCAAACCTTTGCCCACAGAGACAAATGATTTCTCAGGTTTGTGTCCATTCTGAGAGCTGTTTTGTTCCTGTACTTTCCCTTTTTGTCTTATCTGATGTTGGTCTCTTAAATTCAGCATTGAAATTTAAGTATGAAAGAAAGAGAAGGATTAGTTGGATGTTGTTTGTATTAAATTCTCTAATGAGTTAACACGTTATCAAGTACCATTTTGTTTGCTTTCCCTGAGGTTTTAAAATATTATTTCCAAGATAAGATTCCCAGGCAGCTGTCTTCCTTACTTCTGAATTTATATATAATCTAGTGTTATTAACCCTTTGTAGTTCTTTTTTATGCCAGTATGTGTCTGTTTTGGGAATTTTTAAATAAAGCCAGCTGTGTTAAATATTCACAGAATCGATTTTCACTTGCTTAAAGTCTTTAGTGATTTATCTTCAGGGAGTATTAATACGGCAGTAATTCTGCATTACATTTCTTGTACCAGCATTTAATTGATGCTATATTTCATGAGGATTATTGCAGGTTTATTGCTGTTATATTTAGAGTTGTGGTTCTGGGCTGGTAATCTAGAAGCGTGAGATTCCCAAATCTGTTGTTCCATTTTAATTGTGTGTTCTTTTGAGCTGACAAGTTTGAGAAGGGCTGTTAACTATTTAACAGACCTGATAGATAAAAACTATTTTAGTAGAGTAGACCTGGGGATACTTTACCTGTGTATGTTGTGTGAATCTATTTTTTTACATGACGGTAGATGAATTGAATCTATACATATTTTTAAATTGATATATATGTTGATATGATTTATGTTAGGTGTTAGTGTTTGATTTACTTCCCAATTGAGGTACTCGGACATCTCAGGCTGTGTGAATGGCAGCAGTTGTATTGTGTTTTAAAACAGGTTAATTTACATTGTTGTTCTCTTTGAGAAACTTCAGTAGTTTCTCAGAACATTAGAACACAGTTCTCCTTGGAACCTCACACTGTATGACACTTGGCAAGTGTTCGTCATTGTATTGAAAGAACAAATACATGTCTGTAGAACAGAAAACTTTTTGTTGAGCGAGTAAATGGATGTCTGTGCAATAGACGTGACACGTATACAACACACTGGTGGACCCTCAAGGAAGAAGGAGAGTTTGCCCATCAATCACAGTCCTTAATAAATATTTGTTTAATGAATGAAAAGTAGGAAAAGAGGTAGGAGGCAGTTCTGGGTGGGTGGAAGGGAAGTGTAAAAACTGCAGAGGCAGAAAAGTACAAGACAAGGTTATGGCTCAAGTATTTGTATTGGATTTAACCCAGGCAGCAGAATGTTCTGAAAGGAACCCTAGACTAGGAGTTAACACACTTGGGTCTTTGCCACTTATTAAGAATGTGGTCTTGGGTGACTCAGTGAACTTTTGGGCCTTGGTTTTCTCATCTGCTCTGGCTTTCTTCCCCAAAAGCTTACTATGAAGGTCAGATGAGAAAATTTATGAGAGAATGTTTTGCAGACCCTCAAGGGACATCCATATTAGATGGTGATGTGAGCCTTGATAGAAGATGAGGTTCATTCATCCAACAAATGTTTACTGAGCACCTGCCTCGGGCCATGCACTGTGATAGATGGTGGCAGTACAGTGGAGGGTAAAACACACACCTTATCTCCTGGCTTTTGTTCTAGTGGGTGAGAAAGATATTTATCAGTCACTCAAATAGAGAATTACATACTGTTGTAAGTACTTTAAAGTACAGGGTACCGGAGGCTCCATTCTAGTCTGGGTGGGTTTGAGGCTTCTCCTGTAGATGTATGTAGAGATTTTAAAGATCCTTAGTAGGAGTGACTTAAACACAACATTGCTTTAGGAAGTTTAATCTATTTGGCTACCTGTAGGATAGATTGACAAAGGATTGGAGTCTGGAAGAATAAAAAAGTTACTGTGCTGTATATATGTATATTTTTCTTTACTTGGAATTGTCTTGATGTTTTGTTTAATATTGATACATGTGGGTAAGGTTTTCTGGAGTCTTGATGTTTATATGGTTTGCATTTGGTGTATTAGTGAACATCTATTTTTAGTTAGACATGAAGTTGTTTAGCATAAAGTGTTAGTAAACTCTTACGTAGGTTCTTCTGCGTGTGAGACCCTGTACTTAGTGCTTCATATATACAGGTTGAGCATCTGTAATCTGAAAATCTGAAATCCAAAGTGCTCCAAAATCTGAAACTTCTTAAGCACTGACATGGTGTTCAAAGGAAATGCTCACTGGAGCATTTCAGATTTCAGATTTTTGGATTATGGATGCTCAACCGGTAAGTATAATGCAAATATTCTCAAATATGAAAAATCTAAAACTTGAAACACTTCTGGTCCCAAGCATTTTGGATAAGGGATACTTACCCTGTATTAACTCATATTAACTCCCAACAACCACTGTTGAGACCATGTTATTCAACCATATTGTCCTCATTTTACAGACAGGGAAACTGAAACTTCCCAGGCTGTGCAGCTAGTAGGTGGGACTTGGACCCAGACCAGGTGTGTGTCCATCGCTGCATTATCATCTCTTCATAAAACAAAGAATTTAATATTGTATGAACGAAGATAAGGTAACCTTTAAATAACCACTGTGAATCCCTTTGTTTCAATATATTTCATTCCTCTTGATTTTTAAAATAAATATTTGTTAATTACAAAATTAAGAACAAAACCTATTTTAAAGCAAAATATTTTTTATGTTACAGTTTGCATTTTACAATGCAGAATGAGAAAAGCATGGTAGTTCTTGATACTGCTTTCAGGGCTGCATAGCTCCCCATTTTTTCCCTTTGTTTCATAACCAGAATAACTGTCAGCTGAGTCAGTGAGTGTCCAGAGCTGTTAACTGTGGTAGATCTTGTTTGCCTCCTGTCTTTCACTGCCCAGAAAAGCTTCAATTCTGTATCATCTGTGCATTTTAGTTCTAGGGCAGAAAAGTCTTAGAGCAGATAGCATCTGTGGTGTGTACTTAAACTGACCCTCTGAATTCACAGATGGGAACCACAAAATGAAGGCAACCACTTTCCATGGTGTTAATTATTGGCAGAGCCAGAACCAAAGAGCAGGACCCAGGACATCAGCCCAGTTTCCCCCATGGCCTATTTAGACATTGCTCATTTTCATGCTTTTTTTTTTTTTTGGTACACTATTTTCATTCAATTGCATTTGTGTAATATATTTGACAGTGAAATTTTGCATTAATTCAGCTAAGTCCTGAAGTAGAGGTGTAAGGCATGCTCTGGCTGTTTTCAAAATGAGTTCATATTCAGATTATTTCAATTTAGATATTAATAAGATCTCAAATTTTTTTCTTATAATTTTAGTTTTTGTTAACCCAAAATGCTTTATGAAATAAGCTGTCTTGTGTTATTTTCCCTCATTGCATTAGCTTTTCATTTGTTTTGCTTCTTTTTCTTAAAACTTTGATCCTAAACTATGGGCCAGTGTAGATAAGCTACAAAATGTCTGAGTTCAGAATTGAACTAAACCCATGGTTTTGGATTACTTTGGTTTACGGCCAGAATTACTGACATTTTTTGTAGTGATAGTAAGAGAAAATGTTTTGCAGTGTCTCATAAGGGACTTTTTATATATTACTTTTTGATTCTGCTTTTGTTTTTTGACCTTTGGGCTGGTAGGTGGGGGCCAAGCAGGATTGGGAGGGGGAAGAAGCTGGAAGTATGCTTTCTGTCTAATGTAACCCAGCTTGTCCTCTGAGGGCTCTGGTTTAATTTGGTTAATGCTGTAAACTGCTAAAAAAAAATACATTCTTTATGGGAATTGGGTGTAGATATAATGTTACTAGGAAAGAGACAATAAGCTTGCAGTTTTACAGATGGTCTCATTTTCTTTATTTGGTTAGAATCTCTTTTTGGACTCTTTATGCTTTCTGTGATTGGTGTGAGTCTTTCTGTTTTTATTTTGTCCGTGTTTTATTACCAACTGGTTATATTTCAGTAACAGAGCCAGGGGGACCAGAATCTCTTAAATATTCTGTACAGAATTTTGTGTTTAGAGTGTAGACCCTCTTATCTGGGAATATCATGACCAGCAGCTGGTTAGTTATTTAAGGTGGAGAAATGTGAAAAATGTTACATTCATGTCTTAAACATTTTATTTCAAACATGTTTGCTAATTTCTGATATGGGGCCAAGTCCTGATAAGTGGCTTCCATGTTGGTTTTGTACATAAACTTCACCTATGATGCATGATCTACACAGTTTTCAGTTTAGGTTGCTTTAAAGTAAGAACTTTAAAATACTTGTGAATATCTTGAGTGTAGAATCCTAGATTTTTATGATTTGCCTTCCAGTCTTTTGCTGTTTTCTTCCTCACATCTAATATCATGGCATTTATTTTAGTGTTTAACTTTTATTGAATTATTCCAAATCATTCAAACATTCAACTTCATTTTCGTTGAAACATTAATTTATCTGAATAAAAAAATTAAAAAACATTCATTTCTCTGAATATTGTGTTTATATACAATTTACTATGTGTTTATATATTTAAATTGTAAGAACAACTGGTGTAAATAGGAATAAACATATCTGACCATAGGGAATGATACAGCTTGATTGGTGGGAGCAGATCACTACTTTTTAATCTGTATGTGATGAAAATCTAGTCTTTTTTATTTCCAATCTTTTGTGGACCTGTACTTTTACTTAAAAAACAAACAAACAAAATACAAGCCTTATTTTTTAAATTTATTTTTAAAAACGACAGAAATAAAGTTACATTTTAATAAATGTAGTTGGAAAAAACAGAATATAGGGAAGAATTTCTAAATGTGTACTTTGAAAGTGTACATGTCTTGGCAATTCACAAAGAATTACTGTTACTCTTGTTAATTTTTATTCCATTTATAACTAAGCAAAAAGTTATGAGTGAAATAATGATTCTTCATATTAAATTCCTCTGTATATACTTTGACCAAACTCTATGTATATCAATATTTAGAGTTTTTAATGTCACAAATGAATTCCCATCTTGCTTGTTAACCTATCTAACTAGGCTGGGTTGGTGACAAGCTTGTCTTGAGGCTAATGTCTATCCAAACTATTTCTAGTTTTCCTTAAATAATACTCATGGTAGAGGAACTGATCTTATAGAGGGATGTGGATGATAATGAATGAAAAAAGACATTTTAAAGGAATTCTGGAACGCTCAGGATATTCATTTTTAATTTTACTCCAAAATGATGTAAGTGATGCTATCGTGTCAAAATTCATCTTCAGTCCTTCTTCAGTAGCCAGTTCCAACAATATATCCTGTAAATTTATGTTTAAATTTAAATGAACTTTTAGTGTTAAGAAATGGATTCCTGATTTTAATACTTTCGTACTGCAGTTGACTAACCTTAAACTATCATATGTGGTCACGTAGTTCTTCAGAGCTTGACTAGTAGGTAGCTGGTGCTGCATGTACCTCACAAGATCAGCAACACTGGAGTTGGTCAATGAAGCGAGTCAGATACTTAGGCCCTTAGGTGATGCAACCATGTCTAATGGCTCTGTATGTTTCTAAATGCCTTCTCACCATTTTTGTACTTACCTCATGGGCAACTGGTAATAAACAGTTGGCAGACTAGCACCCACCTAGACCACACATTGAGTAGTCTTGTGCTCAGGTAGAGTCTCCTACTAGTTATGAGCTGCTAGCGTGCTCAAACATCAGTCATGTTCTGATGTAGGATGCGCCGGTTAATTTGGCAGGGTGGTTAAGCAGAGATGAGTTAAGGGAGCCTCTCTTGTGTAAACATTTTTTTTCTGGGGAGCAGGTTTATAGCTTTCTTGAGATTCTCTGACTTAAAAAAGGTTAGGAACTGCACTATCAGATATGTGTGTGTGCATGCTTGTATGTATTATATTAATCCCGTGATTGTGAGGCCAATAGAAGTCTGCTTAGTTATCTCTTAAGAAATCTCAGTAGTTGATTCTTTTGTCCTTTGCCTGAGTATATTGCCTGGGCCCAGGAAAATTTATCTGCTATTGCAGTTTAACACACCCTGAAAAAGTGATCAGCTTCGGTGTTTCAGTCCACAGTTACCTGTTAACTAAGATGATTTTAAACGAGAATCGTGTGAACAGGGACTACCTAGGTTAGCTGTGATTTATCTTGCTTTTGTTCATAGCTGAGATAGAAGTCAGTTTTTCATGTTTTTTAAGTAATCATGTTCTTCTCCATCTTTAACACTGGGGTTTGCATGTAGCTTCTGGGTATTGTGGCATATAATACTTATACAGTCATGCATCACTTAGTGGTGGGGATATCTTCTGAGAAACATGTTAGGCGATTTCATAGTTGTGCGAACGTTGTAGAGTGTACTTACACAAGCCTAGATGGTATAGCTTATTACACACCTAGGCTATCTGGTATGGCCTATTGCTCCTAGGTTATGGACCTGTACAGCATGTTACTCTACTCAATTCTGTAGGCAATTGTAACACAATGGTAAGTATTTGTGTATCTAAACATATCTTAACATAGAAAAGTTATGGTAGAAGTATGGTATTGTAATCTAATGGGACCACCTTGTATATGCAGCCTGCCGTTGACTGAAGTGTTGTTATGTGCACCTAGAATGTAGCCATTTCCGTGGAGACATTTTTTACAGCCAGGTACTTCTCTGAAGTATAGTTTTCTGCCTAAGAACTAACACACTCTTGAATTCTCCAGTTTCTCCCCTGGCCGATAGGAATCTGTCTAGTTATCTCTGAAGAAATCTCCGTATTTGGTTCCTTCATCCTTTGCCTGAGAATATTGCCTGGGTCCAGGAGAATTTAGCTGCTGTTACAGTGTAACACACCCTGAAAAAATCAGTTTGGGTATTTCAGGCCCCCATTTTTATGTTAACTAACTTATGATTTTAAATGGTAATCCTTCTGTGAACAGGGACTACTTAGGATAGCTGCGATTTAGCTTGCTTTTATTAGTTCATACCTGAGATAAAAGCGAGTTTTTCATGTTTTTTAAGCAAATGAAATTTTAGCTACAGTTGAACTTTGTTCCCATGGAAGTTATTAGTAGAGTCTTTGGTGTTGGAGAAAGAGTCTGAATTTCCTTGTAGTGGTAATAACCAGAATTTTGAAAGAGAAGATGACAGCGAGGCTGCAGAGGGAAGTGAAAATGTACTAATGATGAGTATAGATTTATTTCAGAGTAAAAAAAGTGTAGTGTGTTAATTTTAGAAGCATTTCCTTTCTTGATGTTTTACCTTGCAACTTGAAGTTTTTCAATATCCTAAAATGAGCTGATTTGACAGTCAAAAAGTATCCTTGAAAAAAATGACAGCTTGGCATCTTTTGCCTGGCTGACTTTTCCCCCTTCCATCAGGTGGAAAGAAAAAGCAGTGGTAAATTTCAGGCATAGTCAGAGGGAAGCCATTTTTACATAATTTTAGTAGCTCTTACTTGAGTGCTTACTGTGTCCATACTATTTCAAGCATATGGATTTCATTTCAAGCTGAGGATGTGGGCAGAGCCCACTCCCATTGCGTGAAGTGCAAAGTACTGTACCAGGCATTGGCGTATGAGAGTTTGTAAACCACACTTAGTTCCTGCCCTCTGGATGCTCCTAATCTAGTGGGGGAGACCAAGAGCCTAACAAATCATCATTTGAAATGGTGGTAGTTTCTATGAAGAGTAATTATAGAGTGCTATGAGAACATAAAGGGTGCTCGTCTAGTCCCCGAGGTTGGTGAGAGAAGCCTTTCCAGCTAAGTGATATTTAAGCCAAAACCTGAGTATATCTTGATGAGTAGAAGTTACGTAGGCCAAAGTGTATGTATAGGGGGCTGGCGGATGGGGGTGGGAAGACAGTCTAGATGAGGGTACGGTTTGCATTAAGCCCTTGAAGTAATGATCGAAGCTGGCTTAGGGACTGGAATGTGCCTGGGGCGGGGGGTGCTGGATGAGGTGTTGGAACAGCAGGCAGGGGCCAGGCACCAGGCAGTGACCAGGATTTTGGTCTTTGTTTTAGAGGCAATGGAAAACTTTAAAGGGGTTATTTATTTATTTATTGTTTCGAGATGGAGTCTCGCTTTGTCACCCAGGCTGGAGTGCAGTAGTACGCTCTTGGCTTACTACAACCTCCGCCTCTTGGGTTCAAGCGATTCTACTGCCTTAGCCTCCCGATTAGCTGGGATTACAGGCTTCTGCCACCATGCCCAGCTAATTTTTTTTGTACTTCTGGTAGAGATGGGGTTTCACCATATTGGCCAGGCTGGTCTCAAACTCCTGACCTCAGGTGATTCCACCCACCTTGGCCTCCCAACGTGGTGGGATTACAGGCGGCTGCCACCACGCCCAGCTAATTTTTTTGTACTTTTGGTAGAGATGGGGTTTCACCATGTTGGCCAGACTGGTCTTGAACTCCTGACCTCAGGCGATTCTGCCCACCTTGGCCTCCTAACGTGCTGGGATTACAGGCATGAGCCACCGCGCCCAGCCCTATTAAAGGGTTTTAAGACAAGACATGGATAGATGTATGCTTTATAAGGCTCATTCTGGGTCACAGTGGATACAGGTAGGTCTTCATGGAGCCTTATGAAATGGTTACTCAGCTCGAACAGTCACTAGACCTTTGCTGAGCTGGGCATAAGTTTGGTTCTTGGCCCTGTTTTGTCTTCCAAAATTCTGTTTATTCAACAAGATTCAAAGTTGGCTTCTGACACCTTCCCCTGCTTTAGAGAAGACTGCATTTTTTTTTTTTGCTATTATTGTTAGAGCCACCTGTTACCTTTGCAAGGAAGCTATGGAACAAAACAATTTACAGGTGTTCCAGGCTGCAGAATGGTCCTTGGGCAGGGCCTACTGGGCAAGTAGCTCTGTATCACTATAGTCCAGGGGCTGGCTCTCAGCTATGGTAATCTGGAAATCAGTTATTTTTCAGCACATGTGTAAAGTGATTGAACTCTGGGGAGCAGATTCTTGTTAACCTAAATCATGAGAGACTCATGTAACTAAAGTGCCAGGTGGTTAATGCTGAGTAAAGACAAGAGCTGGGAGGGGGTCTAGACAGGAGTTCTGGAGGCAAGCCTACATGGAAAGACAAAGGAGAAACTGACGTAGCGAGTTGGTTAGATCTCCATAAGGGCCATCCCTGCAGACCTGTCAAGGGGACTGATACTTGAGTCACTGGATGTTATCAGATATTGTACAGGTTAACACATTCAAGTTATTTAGGCCTCCTTTTTATTGATCCATACCCTTCCTTATTTTAACTTCTTTATAGTTTTCAATTTTTCATTTTGAAATAATATCAGGCTTTTGAAAAAGTAGCAAAAACAGTACAAAGAATTCCCCTGTATTATTCACCTAGATTTCCTAAATGTTAATATCTTATATAATCATTGTACAGTTACCAAAACCAGGAAATTAACATTGGCAGAATACCATCATCTGTAGACCTTATACAAATTTTGCCAGTTAAGGTCCCATTAAAGTTCTTTTTCTGGTCTAGGATCCAATCCAGGATTAGATGTTGCATTTGGTTGTTTCCTTAGTCTTCCTTACTCTTTCTTGGTCTTTCATAACCTTGACTTTTCTGAAGAGTACTGGGCAGCTATTTTGTATTGTAGAATGCCCCTCAGTTTGAATTTTTTGGTTATCTCTTCATGACTGAATAAGCATTTTTGTTAAGAATATTATGGAAGTGATGATGTTGTGTGCTTCTCAGAGCATATCACCCTTCTTTGTTTGTAACCATCATAACTTGGTCTTCCTTCCAAATGGATGTGAAACTTGAGCCAATGTTGACCCTGAGACTATGTCTGGGGGCACCGTAGGTGCTTATGAATGCAAATGTGGGAATTGAGATTACATGGCTATAATAAGATTGCCCTCCGGATGGCCTAGGATATGCCTACATTATTATATATTAATTTTAAAAATCATCATAAAAAGAAAAAAAGAAATAGTTTCTAAATCTCAGACAGACCACTGGGGAAAATGTCCCTGGACTTCAGTTAGGAAAGCTTTGGATAACTTTACCCATTTTAACACCTCACTTAGCAGAGACTGTGCCATCTTGGTAAGACTTGGGAGTTCCCTGCCTTGAACTGATTATTTAGAGGGGGTATTCCCTGCTATGGTCTATGCACTCCAACTATTATATGCGGATTTTGAATTTAGAGTAACCTCATTCTGTTTTAGGATTTTCTTAGATTAATAGAAATGAAACTACTCAACATTTTTCTTCACAAAGTTCATCCTTTATTCTTTCCTAACTGTTCCTGTTTCTAGATCTTATCTTCTTAAAAAAAAAAACCTACAGTAATATTTTCTTTCCTTTTTTCCCCCCCTATTCGTTTTTGGATCTTTACTCTGGTAAAATACTATAAAAATAAATCAGCTACATTTTAGCATAAATACAGAGAAAGCCAGCAGTTGAAATGATTACAGTTTGGAAAATGTTCGATGGAGGCATTTTAGAAGAACGATTTTACCATATCGCAGGCTGCTGCTTTGAAATAACTCATGTTTCTTTCCCACCTCTAAATTGTCATTTTTCCAGTTCTCCTTTTTGGAAGCTTTAGTATGCAAAGCTTTGACAACCATTTAGGAAAATGAAATCACTACCCACTGTGTGTGACATTTGCTTGAGGATAATTCATTTGGTTCAAAATTGGCAGTTGCTGAAATGGGTGGAACAAAGAAATGTTTGCATGGGTTCATTGTTTGAAGGAAGGAAACCTTCCAGGTGGCCATTTAATTGCAGGGATGTGAAAAGCTTTTATCTGATTTTGCGTCTTTGAGTGGATTTTTTCCTCTTCAGTCTCTCCTAGAGTAGTTTTAGGTAATGTTTGGAATTCTCTGCACCTTTGCCTGTGTTGTACTTTTCCTCCCTCTCTGACCTCTTCCTTACTTTACCTCCCTCTCTGTGCTCTTCCTTACCTTTCCTTCCTCTCTGTCCTCTTCCTTTTTTTTTTTTTTTTTTTTTTGAGACGGAGTGTTGCTCTGTCGCCAAGCTGGAGTGCAGTGGCGCAATCTCAGCTCACTGCAACCTCTGCCTCCAGGGTTCAAACGATTCTCCTGCCTCAGCCTCCTGAGTAGCTAGGACTGTAGGTGTGCGCCACCATGCCCAGCTAATTTTTGTATTTTTGGTAGAGACGGGGTCTCACTACCTTGGCCAGGATGGTCTCGATCTCTTGACCTTGTGATCCGCCCACCTCAGCCTCCCAAAGTGCTGGGATTACAGGCATGAGCCACTGCATCCAGCCACTTCTCTGTCCTCTTCCTTACCTTTCCTTCCTTTCTGTCCTCTTCCTTACCTTTGTGTGGGCTGGCAAGTCATTTCCTGTATCAGGTAGAAAACTTTCTATTGTAAATCACAGAAAATTTCACTCAACTAAGTTTAAACAGTAAAGGTAATCTTCCTAACTGAAGAGTAGAGATTAAGAGTTAGGCTTAGGTTTGATCAGGGCCGTGGTTCTATTTCTCTGTAGATCTTTAGGTCAGTTCTCAAGCGGTCTGAGGAATGGGACTTTTTCTTTTTTAAATTTCTATACCATTGCAGACCAATACTTTTGTAAAATACAAATGAATTTCTAGGAAAACGAATTACTAGGAAAACAAAGTTATAAAAAACAAATATAAGCCCATTATTTAAAATTGTTGACTTCGCTGGGCATGGTGGCAGGTGCCTGTAATCCCAGCTACTCAGGATGCTGAGGCAGGAGAATCGCCACTTGCACTCCAGCCTGGGTGACAGAGCGAGACTCTTTGTCTGAGGAAAAAAATAAAAAAATAAATAAATAATTAAAAAAATGTTGGCTTCAACAGACAAAATTATTCTGTCAAATTGCTGTCAATATTTCTTTTTCTTTTTTTTTTTGTTTTTAGACGTTGTCTCACTCTGTCGCCCAGGCTGGAGTGCAGTGGCGCGATCTCGGCTCACTGCAGGCTTCGGCTCACTGCAGGCTCCGCCTCCCGGGTTCATGCCATTCTCCTGCCTCAGCCTCCCGAGTAGCTGGGACTACAGGCACCTGCCACCACGCCCGGCCAATTTTTGTATTTTTAGTAGAGATGAGGTTTCACCATGTTAGCCAGGATGGTCTCCATCTCCTGACCTCGTGATCCGCCCGCCTCGGCCTCCCAAAGTACTGGGATTATAGGCGTGAGCCACCACGCCCAGCCAAATTGCTGTCAATATTTCTAAACATGCTCATTGTCAGTTTCTGTCCTGACCTTGTGGTAGGCTGTGGAAAAGCACCATGTTGGCTCTGGCCTCCTCTGCTAGCTGGATTCAGTGCAGCTCTCCTCCTTGTGGCAAGATGGCTGCCAGTAGTTTCCAGAATGATGTGTGTCTTTGTTCTCATCTAGGGAAAGAGTTTTCCTCAGTATTGTTCCTAAGCTTTGAGCCTCATACTAGGATCAGCTCACAGCTGGTCACTGAGACCAGAGGGTTTGTCCGTTTTTGAACCTATCACCATTAGAAGGAATATTGCCCTAGGGATGGGGGCTGGTGGCTCTCTGAATCCATATGACTTCCATACAATGCTGAGGAGGCACTTGCATTATTCACTACTGTTTTAGATTAATAAAATATGCATAGGCACTACTTGTACATTTAGTCTGTGATAAAATAAAAAAAAATTAACATTTGGTTTTTGTCCCTGGTTCCTGTCACAGAGCTCCTAAAACCCTTGGAGTCCCCTGAGTGGTGAGAGTGTCTTTCACGTGCTAATCATTCACTCTTGGGGGTTGTTGTGGGTAGTTATCTTCAGGTTGAGCCTGGTCACCACAAAGACCAAAGCATGTTTAGAGGGTTAGAACTTTCTGCTCCATTTCAGACCTCGAGGGAGATGAGAAGGATTCATGATTTAACCAATCATGCCTACATAATGGAGCCTCCATAGTAGACAGTGAGATTTGGCGAGCTTCTGGGTTGGTGAGCACACGGAGGTGCTGGGAGGGTGGCATGCTCCAGGAGGGCTTGGAAACTGTGCGCCTGCCCCCACCTCTTGCCTGGTGCATCCTTTCCATTTGACTGTTCATGAGTTATATCCTTTTTGATAAACCTTTATGTATATGCAAAGAAACATAAGTGTCTTCCTGGGTTCTATGAGCCAACCTAGTGAATTATTGAACGTGGGAGGGCTTATGTGGAAACCCCCAAATTTGTAGCCAAGACAGAAGTGTGGGTTTAACCCCAAAATGCAGGTTCAGTCACCCACCACTTGCAGAGTCCAGTTAACAAGAGCAAGGTCTGGTATAAAACAGTTTTTTTAAATTTTATTTTATTTTTCTGCTCAGGCTGGAGTGCAGTGGTGTGGTCACGGCTCACTGCAACGTCTGCCTCCTGGGTTCAAGCGAATCTCCTGCATCAACCTCCTGAGTACCTGAGATTACAAGCATGTGCCACCATACCCGGCTAATTTTTTGTGTTTTTAGTAGAGACAGGGTTTCACCATGTTGGTCAGGCTGGTCTCAAACTCTTGACCTTAAATGATCCGCCTGCCTCGGCCTCCCAAAGTGTTGGGATTACAGGTGTAAGCCACTGAGCCACCGCACCCGGCTTTTCTTTTCTTTTCTTTCTTTTTTTTTTTTTTGACAGTCTCGCTCTGTTGACCCGGCTGGAGTGCAGTGGTGCAATCTTGGCTCACTGCAGCCTCCACCTCCTGGACTCACGTGATCCTTCCACCTCAGCCTCGCCAGTAGCTGGGACTACAGGTACATGCCACTATGCCTGGCTAATTTTTTGATTTTTTTGTAGAGATGAGGTCTCGTTATTTTGCCCATAGATCCAGATCCATTTTTTTGCCCATAGAATACAGCTCTGGGCTGGTTTCAAACTCCTGGGCTCAAGTGATCTTCCCGCCTCAGCCTCCCAAAGTGTTGGGATTACAGGCGTGAGCTACCAAGCCTGGCTGAAAGTGACTTTTTATTCCAAAGCTAGCTTAGCGGAAGAACTACAGGCTTCTTGCTTCCCTTTTGGAGCAGAAAGTGGGTACTTTTAAAAGGGGGCCTGACCCTGTAATCCCAGCACTTTGGGAGGCCGAGGCGGGCGGATCACGAGGTCAGGAGATTGAGACCATCCTGGCTAACATGGTGAAACCCCGTCTCTACTAAAAATACAAAAAAATTAGCCGGGCGTGGTGGCGGGCGCCTGTAGTCCCAGCTACTCGGGAGGCTGAGGCAGGAGAATGGCGTGAACCCGGGAGGCGGAGCTTGCAGTGAGTGGAGATCGCGCCACTGCACTCCAGGCTGGGTGACAGAGCGAGACTCCGTCTCAAAAAAAAAAAAAAAAAAAGGGGGCCTGACATGCTGGCATGAATGGCTTGCAGGGGAGGAAGCGAGCAGGTGGAGGGGTTCGTGTACTTGCTTCAGTGTCTTATCTACTGGGCGATCAAGCTGGTGACTGCTGGTACCTTCATGGACTGAACTGTGTTGTAAAAGTGGCCGAAAACTCCCCAGGTGTAGAGAGTTTCATAGTGGGCATACCTTGGGTTATAAATTGACGTCTTGTCTCTTGAGGCAACCTCCTGGTGGGTGAGAGTTCCGCTCTGGAATTGCTAAGCACATAGTTAGATGAACTTGCTGTAGGGAGTATCTGGTGAAGATGAGGTAAAAGGCTATAATTGCATTACTAAAGAGCTAAGTAGGAAGTGAGGAAACAGAGGAAAGAGATAAGAAGAGAGAGAGAAAAAACCGATTCTGAGAACTATCGGGGTACTTGGTTACATGGGTAACCTAGGGATGTAGTACTCATGGTGGCCCCTGGGTGAGGGCAGTCTTGTGGTACTGAGCCCTTCTACCTGTGGCCTCTGACTCCTTGTGGGTAGTTCGTGTGAGAGTAGCATTGGATGGTAAGATGCCCAATTTGTGTTGGAGGATCAGAGAATCCAAGATAGTCCTTGTAGCATCCTTGAAAGACGGGTACTCTTAGGACCCTCCTGTGCAGTGAGGAAACAGTTAAGTGACTTGCTACACCGCTACAATGGCACACCTGGGGTTCTTTGGATTCTAACTGTCTCTCCCACATGGGTGCCTTGCGGACATCTCAAATGGTCAAATAAAATATAAAATAATCGCTGTTTTTGTGAGGGAAGTGTTAGAGGGTTCATGGCTTTGGGAAGTGGTTTATTGCTGTGATGGTGAATCTCTCTGCAAATGGGGCTAAAGGGAAAATATTCTCACTTAAAGCCCTTTGTAAAATAAAAGCTTAAAAAAAGTGAAATCCAGAATTATTCCCTGAAGATGGACTCTATGTTAATTTTAATATGTACTTAAACACCTGGATTTAGTCTAGCCCTCTAAAAAACAGCCATGTTTAAAAGATCACTTAGGACTATTTCTAAATTAAAAGAATCAACCTCTTAAGTCATAACCTTCTATTGGCTCTTAGAACAACTGGAATTTACCCTTTGTATGTATGTTAAAGCTAGTGTGATGTAGGGTTTTAAGTCCAGAGGATAAACTAGCTGTTTTAGTTATTTAAAGGTTAACATTTAACGAGAAGTGATATTACTTCACTTTTTCAGGCAATCTATATAAGATTTTGTTTTGTTTTGTTTTTCAAAGGGACTTATCACAGAAAGTATCTATTAAACACTTAATTGGGTTTGTGCTGTCTGGTACAAAGGGAAACTATTGTGGTCTCTTAGATAAAAGGGAAATTATGTATCTAGGGATCTCTTCTGAATCAAAGGAGCCGCCTTTTGCATCCTGTGTCAGTGTCTTGAAACTCTGTAGTCCTAGACTACTGATAATTATTTGTGTATATTTTCAAAATCAGTTGTGGATTCAGAGATTGTAATGTGCACACTGCTTACGTTTTATCTCAGTGTACAAGGTGAGTACCCCTCATGTGAAAATCTGAAGTGCTCCAAAATCCAAAACTTTTTAGCTGCCATTGTGATGCCGCAAGAGGGAAATTTCACACCTGACCTCATGTGACGGGTTGTGGTCAAACCAAAGTCAAAACTTTGTTTCATGCACAAAATTATTAAAAATATTGTGTAAAATTTCCTTTAGGCTATGTGTATAAGTTATATATGAAACATGAATTTCATGTTTAGACTTGGGCTCCATCTCCAAGATACTTCCTTATGCAGATATTTCCAAATACAAAATCCGAAACTCTACTGATCCCAAGCATTTTGTTTAAGGTACCCCAGCCTTTATAGATCTTATAGACTTTTCTTTATAATTAATTTCCTTCCATCTATGTTCCTTGTTTTTGAAACGTTAGAGAACATTTATATTTCATGTAGGTTGAATACAAAGCTGTAGAAGTATGTTATTTGAGGTTTTGGAGTATAAAGGTGATCTCAAAATTTTTAGACTTGAATTTCTTTTTCTCTCTCATTTTCTAAAAAATAGAATTAACGTGGAAAATACACATTTGCCTCAGACTCACATGCCCAGAGTATGGAAGGCCTCAGAGAAATCAAAATAAGATTTATGAACATATTGAAGAAAGTGGATTGGTCCAGTGTTCCCTGGGATCTGTTGAATTTAGCTTAAAGTCAAGATGTCCAGGATGCCCATTATCACTGTTGACAAGAATTTTTGACTGACGCTTGTTTATGATCTGAAAGGTGTATATATTTTCTTGAGGAACTATAGGGATAATTTTTCTTTTCCTTAAGAAAGTAATCTTCTTTCTCTGAAAGCTGAAAATCAGCTTATATTATCTTTTACTCCTCCTGCCTCCTGGCCCCAGGTATTCAGTTGATAAACCATGTCACTTCCTTCTTTCTTTGGTCATTCTTGTTGACCTAGTGCAGGGACCCATCAGGTGGATTATTGAAATCCAAACTGGAATCCTCACTTCTAATACACTCACTAATGCTTTAGAATACAGATCCAGGGCTATTCCCCTATTCAAAAATGCGTGATGATTCTCAAATCTCTCAGCAGATATGTGGTCTATCATTACCATACTCTTTCCCCCCAGATCTTTTACCCACCTGTGCTGCTGCTGTTTTAAAATCTGCCGGAATCATCCCTGCCTTGTGGCATTACCCAAGCTGTCCTCTATGTCACATTGCATGTTGCTCCATCTGGGCCCAAACTGCCATTTTCAAAGTCTAGCCTAGGTCTTACCTTATCCTGGAAATTCTTCTAGAGTCCTCTTAAGTAGTTCTCACTTATCTTCCTTGAATTAACATTATAGAGCTTATCACCTTTCTTGGATTGTGTCTTCCCAGAGATAAAGACCATATCTTATTCACCTTGTTATTCCACACACCTTGCCCTTATTGATACTCAGTGGATATTTGCTGAATTGAATCAACAATTAAATAAAATTTATTATTTATTTTAACAGAGTCTTACTCTGTTGCCCAGGCTAGAGTGAAGTGGTGTGATCAGAGCTCATTGTAGCCTCAAACTCCTGGGATCCAGCAAGCCGTCCTCCCACCTCAGCCTCCTGAGTGCTGGGACCGCAGGTGTATGCCACCTTGCCCGGCTAATTTTGTTTATTTTTTTGTAGAGACATGGTCTTGCCATGTTGCCCAGGCTGGTCTCAAACTCCAGGGCTCAAGCAGTCTTCCCACCACAGCCTCCCAAAGTACTAGGATTACAGGCAGGAGCCACTGTGCCTTGCCTGTTCTCTTAAATTATTTTATGATGAGCATGTATGTGTGTCTATGTAGAGGGTGAGATAGAGAGAGAAAGAATGCATATGGGTGAGTCTAAGCTCACTTCCTTTATGCAAGGTACAATGAAGAGCGTTGTGGGGAGATAAAAAGAAAGCAAAATCCAGACTTTGAGACAGAATCGTCCCCATGGTACAATTGATCTGATTTTATCAATGAATCAATTGTTAGAAAAAAGGGAGACAGAGAGATGAATAGGAGACCTAGAGATTAAAAGAAATTTAAGAAATACTTTAACCAGTTGCTATGTGTAGACTGTGATTCAATACACAATCTATGTATAGATTGTGATTCGACAAATTGTAAAAAAAAAAAAAAAAAAGACGGGGAAATTTGAACACTGATCAGATAATTGATGTTAAGAAATTATTGTTAATTTTTATAGGTGTGTTAATACTATTGTGGTTATGCTTTAGAGTGTCTCTTAAAAATTTTATCTTTTTAAGAGATATATGCTGAAATATTTGTGGATGAAAGGATGTGTGATGCCTGGAATTTACTTCAAAGCAACTGGTGGTGATGAGGTGGGGAGAGTAGATAAATGTGGAAATAAGGTAAGATTCCCCATGAGTTAATAATCATTGAAGTTGGATGATGGCTGGCTGTATGGGGGTTCATTCATTCTTTCTACGTTTGTATGTGTTTGAAAGTTTCTATAATAAGCGGAAAAAAAATAAGGGATAGGAGACATGGGTTTTGTTTTTAAAGAATTGAAAGAACTTTACACTGGAATTTGGGAGGCTCAACATTCTAGCTCTAGCTTTCTCTCTAATTACCTGTGTGACTTGGAGCCACTCTTTCAACATTTCTGGGCTTCACCTACTCTCCTGAGTAAATAAGAAGTTGGCTGTGTGGGGTCCTCATTGTCCCTGGTGTCTGGAATGTTGTACTTTATTTTTTATTTTTATCTTTTTAGAGATGGGGTCTTGCTTTGTCACCCAGGCTGGAGGGCGGTGGCACAATTTTAGCTCACAGCTGCCTCCAATTCCTGAGCTCAAACAATCCTCCCACCTCAGCCTCCTGAGTAGCTGGCACTGCAGGTGCCTGCCACTACACCCAGCTTATTTTGAAATTTTTTGTAGAGAAGAGTTTCGCCATCTTGCCCAGGCTAGTCTTGAACTCCCGGGCTCAAGGAGTTATTCTACCTCAGCCTCCCAAAGTGCTAGGATTACAGGTGTGAGCCACCATGCCCGGCTGAATGCTATACTTTTGAGAGAGACTTTGGGCTTGGACTCAGAGATTCCAGAATAAACGAGCAGTGTCTATGAAAGTCATGGTTTCACCCAAGCTGTATATTTGCCAAATCACAATTCCAAACTTACCACGTTTTTTTTTTTTTTTTTTTTTTTTGCCAGGGAAGAGGATCATAGCTGCAGCATTCTGTAATACATGCTGTCAGTTTGAGTTGGTGTAATTTCATTCTAAAGCAAAGAGGCATCATATCATAATTAGCTGGGGTAGTCTTATCCCCAAAGTTAATGCTGTGGGTATAATGATTAAGAGGTCAGGCTCGGGAGGCCACATTCACATCTCAGCTTAACCACAAGCTGTGTCACTTGGACAAATTACTTATCTACCTCCTTCCTTAGAGGGTCGTCATAAGGATTAAGTGAGCTAATGCATGCGAGGTGCTTAGGACAGTGTCTGGCACATAGTAATGGTTCAATAAGTGGTAGATATAATTTTCATTGGCTTTATTAGTTTGATTTATATTTTGGATTTTCAGTTCTTGTAAGGCATGTTGAGGTTTAAGCACATTTGTCATCCTTAGGCCACCCTTCCTCCCTCCCTCCCTCTCTTTGAGCTAGAAGTATATTGGAGAGCTCATTGCAATGTGAGATGAAAGAGGGTGAGAGGGAGACCAGGGAAGGGAGTTAGTCACCAAACACAGCCTCTTAGAGGTCATCCTGTCCCACCCTTCTCTTGGAGGCTGATGGATTGAGTCGCTGAGGGATTTGCCCAAGGCGGCCAAGCCCAGGGCATTAGTGGTGGAGCCGTATCTTGAACCTGGGTCTCCTAACTGCTGGTTATGTCTGCTGCAATCTTCAGCTCCCTGAAGTCTCCTCTGTCATTCTGATTGCTAACTAGAGTGCATTCTGGAGAGAAAATTTCCCTGCGTCTGGTTTATCTAATATTTAAAAAGTCATCTCTGTTAAGGAATCTCTGGTCATGTCCTATCATTTGCAGGGAGTGAAATGGGAATGTGCATGGTGTTCTTCAAGCACTCTGACTAATCACTTCATAAGCTATGGGCTTCCGTCATTTCCTTTCCAAGTCCTGCTGATCCCAGGCCCTTGTCTTCCCTGTCCAGGCCGGCAGCACCTGTGAGGCCCCGCACCCGTTCCTTACAGCCAGCTTGCCCTGGGCCCTGGATCACTGCATTACTGTTGTCTGAATCACCTCCGTGGCCTTGTTTTTCATCCTTGATGTTTTCCCAAAAGCATTGTTTCTCCAGTATCCGCAAAACAGCATCCTGTGATGTTTTCTTCTTCTTCTTCTTCTTCTTCTTCTTCTTCTTCTTCTTCTTCTTCTTCTTCTTCTTCTTCTTCTTCTTCTTCTCCTTCTCCTTCTCCTTCTCCTCCTCCTCCTCCTCCTCCTCCTCCTCCTCCTCCTTCTCCTTCTTCTTCCTTTTTTTTTTTTTGCCCTTAAGCCTATTGCTTCCTTCCTTAATGTTATTTCTTGCTTGCTTTCATTTTCTTTGGATGCTTCTATTTATTTTCCATTCATTAAGCTGCAAATAGGATTACAAGCTTCTTTTACTTATTCCAGGGATGAGATTGCAGTTTATAGACTATTCACATCCCTTTGCTTTTTCTGCAGCTTAGAGGCACTTTATAGCTCATGAAAATTTCCTAGTAAGGGAAAAGTAATATCTCTATAAGAATTGACAGATTACATAGTGATTTTATCAACAAGATAGGATACTAGGCCTAAGAGTTGAAAAGGTTAGATATAATCCTGGGTTTGAATTTGCATTCATAAACTGTAGTTCTTTGGACAAGTTATTTTTACCTTTTTCCATTTCAGTTTTCTCATCTGAAAAATGGGAATGTTAATACTCATCTCTTTGGGTTGTTGTCTTGGCAGATTTACTGAAGGAGTTAAGTAAGTCGGCTAATATTACTGTGTATATTGTGATCTTATTTGCGCTTCATAGAAAAATAGCCCTTTTGAGGTAGATAGGGTTATTTTCTCCATTTTTATCTGACTTTATATTAATTCATCTGTTCCCTTCCCTTCTTCCTTCCTGTTTCCTATCAGAGAGAGAGAGAAAGAAAAAGAGAGAGATAGAGAAAGGGAAAGGTCGATTTAAGGCTAATACATTTCTCTTGTACAGATGCAGCATTAAGGCCTAGTGAGTTTGAGACTTGCCCTACAGTCCTCTCTTGGAGGAGGTGGCAAGGTGGGAGTGGAGAACTCCTTCCTACATCTTTAAACTTCAGGTCTGATTGTGGTTCAGTACAACCTGAGAGGACCTGAGGGTGAGGTGGGGTGGGTGTAAAGCTACCCTTTTAGTCAGTTTCATGTCCTTGATTTGGAACTGTGTCCGGGATTCCTGAGCCCAGGTCATAGACTAGGAGGCAGGGTGGTGCAGGAGGCAGACACACCTGGGATGGAATCTCGGCTATGCTAGGAACCTCTCTGCTCCTCAGTTTCCTCATTTGTATAGTAACCGTGCTGTGGGGTGACCTTGAGAAACGGGACAGATGGGTAAAGGGCCTGGCATGTAGTAGGTGCTCAATCGATATTAGTTCCTTTTCTAGTTTAAAATGTATTTCTGGTTTGTGCTACAAAAAAAATCCTGCTAAAAGAATTTCAGGCAGCAGCATACAGGTTGCAGAGGCATTTTTGTGGGCAGTGATACCCCTCAACACCCTTGAACTATTCCCATCCTCCTGGGAAAGACCTGTCTTGTAGAGTTGGGACTTGCTTTCAACCAGTGTTTCTCACCTCCATGTGTGCATTAGAATGACATTGCTTTGTCAAAATACACATTTTGGGCTCCAAACCAGACCTGTTGCCCAGACATGTACCTTTTGGAAAAGTTTTCCAGATGTTCCTGATGCCACTGTAGCATAGAGCTACTGCTTTCAACAAACCAGAATGACTTCTTAGTGTGTCTAAAATATGATTCCGTTTGGGCATAGCCTCTTAGACATAAACTCTTAGAGAAATAGGAATCCTTTTCTGAGAAAAGAATATACTCTTTTCACCTCTGACTCATTAATGGGAAATGGATGTAATTTTCATAGTAATAATAGCCAATTCAGGTGCTTTTACTGTATTATTTAATTCTGACAGCAGCCCTGTGAGTTAGTTGGTATCATTATGCCTATCCTGCATGACATGTCCAAGGCCACACAGCTTGGAGAGTGTGGAGCCAGGCTTTGAACCCAGGCAGTCTGGCTCCAGAGTCCATTTTTTTTGTCCCCACGAATATCCCACTTCTCTTAATTACAAGTGAGATTACCTTGGGAAATGCACTTTGGAGTCCGTGGCTCTTTTGTTTGTTTGACTGTTTGGTTTTTGAGGTGGAGTCTCACTCTGTCGCCCAGACTGGAGTGCAGTGGCGCAATCTCGGCTCACTGCAACCTCTGCCTCCCAGGTTCAAGTGATTCTCCTGCCTTAGCCTCCTGAGTAGCTGAGATTATAGGTGTGTGCCACCACACCCAGCTAATTTTTTGTATTTTTAGTAGAGACGGGGTTTTACCATGTTGGCCAGGCTGGTCCCGAACTCCTGACCTCAAGTGATCCACCCACATCATCCTCCCAAAGTGCTGGGATTACAGGTGTGAGCCACTGCGCGGCCTGGAGTCGTAGCTCTCAGCTAAGAGCCATGGAAATTTGCGAAGAACTGGCAGCTTCTTTCTCACTGCCCCTGTATTGTTTCTTGGCATATCTTGGTCTGGTCTGGATTTCAGGAAGATCCATGCATTGCAGCAGTTGTGTGTGCTGTTGGCTTGGTGTGGGTGGTGAAGCAAATTTACAATTCCATCTCTCATATTTGCTCATTCCACTCTCCCACCTATCGGTAGAGCGTTTGGGATTAGCTTGCTCTAGGGGTGAAAAATTTAGGGGTGAATTATTGGGCTTCTTTCGCTCTAGTTCAATGGTAAACAAAGTTCTCTTTGCTCCCAAGGGCCTGTTGGCCTTCACCAACCTAGTGTTAGAAGGTCATTTGAAGGGGGCTTTCATGCAGGAGCTCTTTGCAGCCTGGAAGAGAGTACAAAGTAGTCCAGGGAAAAATAGTCGGGGGAAGATTTGCCTTGTGCTGACCTGCCTGCACCAGAAAATTCTGGAGCCCTCGGGGAAATGCAGCAGGTGTGCAAGACGATAGAAATCGCCACTTGCTGTGTGCCAGGCACTGTGCCAAGCGCTTTAAAACACTTTATCCCTAATCCCTTCTCCATCTGGAAGGTGGATGTTATGATCCTTGTTTTTTTTTTTTTTTTTTGAGACAGAGTCTCTCTCTGTCACCTAGGCTGGAGTGCAGTGGCGTGATCTTGGGTCACTGCAACCTCTGCCTCCTGGGTTCAAGCGATTCTCCTGCCTCAGTCCCCCAAGTAGCTGGGATTGCAGGCGTACACCACCATTCCCGGCTAATTTTGTATTTTTAGTAGAGACGGGGGTTTTCCCATGTTAGTCCGGCTGGTCTCGAACTCCTAACCTCAGATGATTCATCCGTCTTGGCCTCACAAAGTGCTGAGATTACAGGCGTGAGCCACTGTGCCCCGTCTGATTCTTGTTTTATAGAGGAGGAAACTGACTCAGAATATTAAATGATGAGTCTTAAGATCACACAGATAAGGAACGTATTCAGGATTTGAACCCATTTCTCTCAGACTCAGAAGCCAATGAACTTTCCGTAATACTTTGCTCCATCTTCTGTGAAAGACAATTGTGTACTCAGATGTACAGCAGACATTAACTTACAAATACAAGTTATTTTCACCGCTAGTGTCACATGAGGATTTCCCTTTGAATAAAATAAATAAAACAAAACACTGCTAAATGTTCTCCTGAAATGAAAGAAAAGAAATGAATGAGTGAATGAAGCTGGACTGGCTATCGATACTCGGAGCACATGGAGATTCTTCCCTCGACCCCCGGTGTACTCGGGAACTCTGATAATTTCGTTTATAGGAAGTCTGTTGAGGATTTGTTTTTCTTTTATGTTAAAAATGATATATTACAATATCTGGACCATAAAGTAGCAGTTTGTATTTTTAGCTACATTTATTTCTGACTTCTTTACTCATGATTTTTTTCCCCTCAATTAATTGTACGTCCTGTTCTCCTTTTCTTCCTCCTGTTCTTCTCCTTTTCCTATTTTCGCACCCATTTTTTCTAGTAGAGGGTTTTGCTTGCAAATGTTACTTGGTGGATAATGGATGTAATTTTTACAAAGTTCAGGGTTTTTTTTTTTTTAAGTCTCTGAGAACAATTCATAAAGCCATATCTGTCAACTTATGTACTACTAAAATACAGGATGAACTTTCCAACAAATGTTGTTATAATACTTGTGGTTCCATTTCCAATTCAGCCATTATAGATGCCCCGAGGAAACAAACAAAGGGGAAAAATAAGATACGACCAAATTCATTATGATTTCACTTTTATGGTTAAATAGATTTCTAGCTAGAGCTGGAGTTGCTTCTCAATTAAACAGATATTTCTGGAGGGCCTGAAATCTGCCAAACCCTATACTAGTCTGTGACTTGATTTCACCTGTTGATTGGGTGAATAGCTCCTTTTTTGCTTTGAGTTGGTTTAAAAAATTCTTAGCAGCAGCTCTCAGCATAATTTATTAGGCAAGAGTTTAGGAATGTTATTCCATGAAAGCTGCTTTCCTGCATGCTTGACGGGTAGCACCATGTCTGCCTGACTGTCTCGTCTGTCTGAGTAGTCTGTCTGGGTAGTGTGTCTTTCGGATTCTCTCTTATTCGTCCTCCTTTCTCCTTCCTTCTTTATTTTATTGACTAGGTAGAAATAGTACTAAAGTGTACTTTTAAAAAGTGTTGAATAGATCAGTGTTTCCCATCAAGTTTCCTCTAGACCATCAGCATTATAATCAGTTGTGCTTGTTAAAGACGCATAATCTTGTGCCCTGACCCAGAATCTGAATTTGAAAATTGCTGAACTACAGTTATCTGTGGTCACTGTGTTATTTTTAAACTATCAGTGGAATGTTCTGTTTCTCTCTGAATCAAAAGATAATCTCATTTTCCCCCTGAGTTAATGTACTCTGATAAAACAAAAACAAAAACAAAAACAAAAAAACAGTTCCAAATAAGAATCCTGGAATTAGGTTTCAGAATTTGAGAAACTTTCATTAGACTTTTATTGAAACAAGAGTTGGTGTTTCATACACTGTGGATATCCTCAAGTTGTTGTTAGTAAAATGCCAAATTACTTGACGTTTAAAAATAAACTTTAATGATGACCAAACCCGTTAATTTTAAGTCTTTGTTCAAACTACTTATGATTTAAAATGAGTCACAGAGTTGGATCGGGTGGCCACACTGGGTAGAACTGGGTACTGACCTCTGCCAGTCAGCTGCGTAACTCCAGGCCCTAGGGTGCCCCGTCTGTCCAGCCAGGGATTGCATGGATATGCTGTGATCTCCCTTTTGGTTCTGATTGAGTTGGACCTTGTGGGAGGAGAAACATAGATGTTGATACATGAGCACATATGTTGGAGAGAGAAAGTTTTATCTTGGCATAGGACTTTTAAAACACAAGGTAATTTTTAATCAGTTTTGGGACCAAAAAACACTCAATATGGGAAAAATCCAAATTCTGCCAAAATGTCTAAAGAGGTTTATTCTGAACCAGTATAAGTGACTGTGGTCTAGGTTACACAATTTCAAGAGATCCTGATAAAGCGTGCATGAGAGAGTTGGGCTACAGCTTGGTTTTACACATTTCAGGGAGACAGGAATTGTAGGGTAAAATTATGGCACAGGACTTTTAAAATGAAGCTGTGAAAGTTTACAGTCCATAGAGAATAAAAATCTAGAAGTTTAAAAGAAATGATTGGTAGTTTCTTTACTCGTTCAGAAAAACAATGCCATATTTCCCAAAATTCCTGGTTATGGAAACGCAACCAGGAAATGGACTTCCTTAAGGCAAGGACGACCATCCTTTGTTGGAGACATTTGATTGGTTGTACTATTGCCAGGTGCATTTGTGTTATTTTACAAATTCTAGTAGAAGCGGGTATAATGGTAGGAGCTGGGCAGAGAAGTGTTTCCAGTCATTTTTCCTATTAGAAGCCATCTCTATTGGAGGAAAAAAACAAGGCCTGCTGCCTCCAAAGGTTAATCAGTAATGACATAATTCAAACAGCTGGAGAACTGGGGAGAAATTGGAGTTTAGCAAATGATTTCTTGCATGTGCGATTGTGTTCCATTTCTCTCCATTCATTTATGGAGAGAATGATAAATGTATCAAGGGTGGTGAAGTATATAAAGAGCATTGTTTTTTAAATCTCAGTAATTTATGGACCTCTATTTAGAGGAAACATTTCTCACAAATCCTCAGTAATAAATATTTTTATTATGAAGGAGCTTCAATATAAACTAGGTATAAACTCCTTACGCGTCTAGCTCTTACTTAACTGTAAAGCAGTGATAGATTTATAGAGCAAATTCAAACAAAACTACAAAACCAATAAAATTCAAATTAATATTAATTTATCATGACAGATAATTTTGTTTCACTAAAATTAAACCCCTCCTCGAAAATGTGATTATGTTTCTGACAGCCGGAGTGCCAGTTCTTTTTAGATCTGCATGAAACTCAATTCCTCCACTTTCCTGTATTCTATGCTTCCTTCATATTAAAGCTCCTTCATTTAGTAAGAATGCAGGATTTAGGTTTTAATTCTGCCTCATTTATCTTGACTTGGCCTTGAAGATTAAGATTGTACTACTAGGTGCCAAGATCAGAAACATAAATGGAAACCTACTTTTGATCAGTAAGATTTCCGGACTTGTTGCCTAGTTACAGATGAGATAGTAGGGGAAAGAGAAGGGTCACTGGTACCTGTAATTTTGGGTTGCAGATTTGGGTGAGAGTGAATGGTGCCATTTAGCAAAATGTGTAACAAAGGAGGAAAAGTAGGTTTTGGGAGAAGATGATTAGTTTAAGACTAATACTGCTTAGGTTCCTAGCAGTACGGTAGACTGAATAACACACTTTTCCACTAAAGCATTATATTCTGGATAAAACATTTTTTAATGTATTTCTGAGACCACAAGAACTAAGACCTCTCCAAAATCTCTCACTTCAAGTAGTTCAACCAAGCATCAAAGGGTAAGGTAAAACCCAAGCTTTATGTGTAAGCAAACACAAAAGATAGGTTACCTGAAGAGCAAATGCTACAGGTTGAACATCCCTAATCTGAAAATCTAAAATTGAAAATACTCTAAAATTTGAAGCTTTTGGGGTACGGGCATGAAACTCAAAGGAAAATGCTCATAATTTTTGGATTAGGAAGGCATAGCAAGTATATATTCTGCAGAATATTCCAAAATTTGAAAATGTCTGAAATCCAAAACACTTCTGGTCCCAAGCATTGTGGATAAGGAATACTCCACCTCTAATATCACCATTGTGGTTAGAGACTAAGTCTTGGGTCAGTGGCAAGGTATAAGAGCCTGCATTCCACCAGTACTTATTTGTAAGAGGAGCTAAAGTGGCTCTAGGAAGATAGTGCCCTTTGGCTTCTGGCAGAAGCAAGTGCACATCCTTTCAGGAGGAAGGCATCTTCACTTTAGACCTTAGGATTTTCCTGACTAACATCAATCAAATCGGCATTCAGAATCAAAGATCTCCAGTCCTACAAGAAAACAAGCCATCAGCAGTGCGAGTCATCAGAAACAAGTGAAGGCCGGGCGCGGTGGCTCATGCCTGTAATCCCAGCACTTTGGGAGGCCGAGGTGGGTAGATCACGAGGTCAGGAGATCGAGACCATCCTGGCTAACACGGTGAAATCCCGTCTCTACTAAAAATACAAAAAAAATTAGCCGGACATGGTTGGTGGTGGGCGCCTGTAGTCCCAGCTACTCGGGAGGCTGAGGCAGGAGAATGGTGTGAACGCAGGAGGCGGAGCTTGTAGTGAGCGGAGATTGCGCCCCTGTACTCCAGCCTGGGCGACAGAGTGAGACTCCATCTCAAGAAAAAAAAAAAAGAAGAAAAGAAACAAGTGAAAAACAATAGATTTAGAACCCTAAGGACTTTAGATATTAGAATTATCTGATATAGAATATAAAATTACTAGGTATGAAATATTTTAAGAAAGAAAACATGTAATCACAACTAAATGCAAAATTGACCAGGCAGATTTGGAAAGCCAAGACCTAAGGAAATATTAGAACTGTTGAAATAAAAACTAAATAAATTAGATTAGAAATAGGTGAACTAGAAAAATGAACTAGAAAAAAAGTTTGAAGAAATTAACCAGAAAGTAGCATAAGGGAGAAGAAAAACGAAAGTAGTTGAAGGATATAACGGTCATGACGAGATCTCTTCTGAGTTCCAGAAAGATAATAAGAGTAAATGGTTAGGAGTACTATTTGAAGATCTAATGTATATATAATTTCCAGAGAGAGTTTATGAATGACATAAATGGCCATGTTCCTTAAATCTAAGTAATTTATGGGCCGATAAGGGAAGCACAACATATAAATAAAAAAATTCATACTAGACATAAAGAAACTTTAATTCACTTAAAAAAAAAAAAGAAGACCATGTTTAAGAACAGCCAGAAAAAAAGGCAGATTGTTTATCAGACTGAGAGCTGACTTCCCAACAGCAACAATGGAAGCTGGAAATTAGTGGAAAAATATCTTCAAAACGCTAAAAGAAAATATTGATTGTATGTCAAAAAAAGCTGTCATTCAAGGAAAAAGCAAAATACGCTTTCAGAAAAACCTAAACCTGATTTTACCACAGAAGATCTTTTCTAAGAAACTTCTTAAAGGATATACTTCCGGAAGGAGAGATTCCAGGAGGAAGGGCTGAGATGCAAAAAGGAATGATGAAGAAATAAACTGGTAAACATGTAGATAAATCTCATTAATTAAAATTAAATAAATTAAAAATTTAGCTCCTCAGTCATGCTAGTTAGCTGCATTTCAAGGCACGTGTGCCTAGTGGCTATTGTATTGAACAATACAAATATGGAACATTTCCATAATTGAAGAAAGTTCTGTTGAACAGCACTGTTGTAGAGCAGCGGAAGGGAAGATGCACTAAGATAGTCTCTGCAATGCGTTGACTGTAAGATGGCATCTTTGTAAGAGCCACCATTATATGTTAACAATTTTAAGATAAACATTGCCCCACATCTTTAAAATGCCATTAAAAAAAGATAAGACACACCTCAAGATTACCTGTATGAAAATGTAAAGAAATGTGTCTCTTGAGCATGGATGCAGTATGGAGTTAGAATGTTAGGGGCACAGAAGTCCAAGAGTTGTGGTGCAGTAGATTGGGAGAGGTCTGGGCCAGCGCTTTGAGAGGCCAAGGTGGGCAGATCACCTGAGGTCAGGAGTTCAAGACCAACCTGGCCAAATAGTGAAACTGCGTCCCTCCAAAAATACAAAAATTGGCCTGACATGATGGTGGTTGTCTGTATCCCAGCTACTCGGGAGGCTGAGGCAGGAGAATCGCTTGAACCTGGTAGGTGGAGGTTGCAGTAAGCTGAGATCGGGCCATTGCACTCCAGCCTGGACAACAGAATGAGACTCTGTCTCAAGAACAAACAAACAAACAAAAAACGGTGAGGAGGTGAGATGTTGTAGAGATTCTTTCAGGATAAGGCATATATATTACTGAAATGAACATCAGCCTGCTATGTATGATAGGAGAAGCAATGAAAATTGCAAAGCCTTCGGGAATTCTTTCTGTTGCTATACTGGGGAAGGCTTCATGAGGGCAGTAATATTTGGGCTGGACCTTGAGGAATGAAGAATTGACAGAGTAGTAGGGCAGGGCAGTATAGATAGAAGGAATGACACTAATGACAGCATGGAATTGTGAAAAGGTGTTAGCTTTGGCAATAATTCCTAATGATCTAGACTTCACTGTTTCCAGCTTCTTTCTAGGTAGTCTAGTTTTGATGAAGGAACATTTATTCCCTGAGACCGGAAGCATGCCTTTTACTAATCTTAAGTTGGAAGTTAATCAAAATAACTAGACACCTAACCTGCTACTTCCCCAATGCTCTAAATAGACAACACTTAATACATGTTTTTCACATCCTCTTGAATTACACAATTTATTGGTAAATTTGGGGATTTAAGTTCAGAAAACAGTTGCCCATTATTATAATAAAAATATTCCAATACTTTTTCTCATTAAGTAAAATACAGTAAATCAGTGGTTCCCAACCGTGGCTGTATTAGCATCATCTGGGAACAGTTGAAAAATGATGCAGAGTACTTGGGCTTTGTATTTTATGTAAGAACCCCAGTGTATTAGTCCATTTTCATACTGGTATGAAGAAATACCCAAGACTGGGTAATTTATAAGGAGAAAGAAGTTTAATGGACTCACAGTTCCACATGGCTGGGGAGGCCTCACAGTCATGGTGGAAAGCAAAGGAGGAGTTAAGGCACGTCTTACATGGTGTCAGGAAAGAGTGTGTGTGCAGGGGAATTGCTCTTTATAAAACCATCAGATCTCGTGAGACTTACTCACTATCATGAGAACAGCATGGGAAAAACTTGCCCCCATGATTCAGTGATTCAGTTACCGCCCACTGGGTCCCTGCCATGACACATGGGGATTATGAGAGCTACAATTCAAGATGAGATTTGGGTGGGGACACAGTCAAATCGTATTACCCCAGGTTTGGGAACCCTTGCTCTGGAGTTGAGTAACATCTTGGTCACTTTTACCCAGATATTCATTCTTTTTATGCAGTATTTTGAACATTGGCTTTTAGTGTTGTTGAGTGCATGGATTTTCAGATTATTAGAGATTAATGTGTAGATCTTAACGCCTGTGCCTTCCCTTCTCCTTCTTTCTCCCCCCTTTCCTCAGCCCTTTCCCCTGCATCCCATATTGAATTTTTTGTACAGCAGGGCTGACATGTCCTGCATAGCTTAGTTCTCAGGACTTTTAATTAAATAAAAATTTTTTTTAAAAAAGAAACTTTGCTAAGACAGACTTTTGGCATGTTAAAGTTGAACTTGAGTTTAGTTTCTAAAATAATTTAATTTTTTTTTAATCTTTAAAATAATGACTACAGGAAATACTTCTAAAATAATTGATATTCCCCGTGGTAAAACTGGGGTTATTACTGGATGAATTTCAGCATGTGTTCTTTTTTCCTGGGGTGAAAAAAAAGTGTTGGGGAGTGTTCCATTGTATGCCAAAACACATAAATTGTAATCCCTCAAACCTCAGAGCGCCCTTCATATGGTGGTAGTTATTTGGTATATTGTAAAATGTGGCCTGGAGATTAAAATAAGAAATAAAATATTTTACTATATACGGATCAGTTAGAATATTCCTTTTAACACTTTTGCATGGATACTTTGGTTAAAATAAATCATTGTATTGAAGCAGACGTAGCATTGCTGCTCGTTTCTATTTCCTATATGTATTTTATATTTCCTACAGATGAAGAATGACCAAAATGTCAGCCCCATTAAAGCAGAAATTTTTTTTTAGTGCCAGTCTCCATCACCTAGAATGGTACCTGATACATAGTGATTGCTCGCTAAAAAAATGTACTAAATGAATGAGCTAACAAGCAACCAAAATTAAAAATGACACTATCACTTTTCACTGATAAACTTCCTTCCAGAAGTATTGGGAACGTCACAATACCTGGTGTTTGTCTGGAATTCCGATTAGGTGCCGCCTGCATGTTCCTTTAGCCCCCTGAGCCTTCCCACAGATCACAGCTTCCCTTAGAGTCAGTCCGTGCAGAAAGAGCTGTGTCTTAGTGTTCATGGTTGTATTGGTAATGCCACATCTAGCAGCATAGTGGTTTCTTAGTAAATATTTGTTGGATGAATATAGTGCTTTATAGTTTCAATAATGCTTTCATATTCAGTTTGAATGGTTGACAGCTCCATGAAGTTGGCTAATAGTATCATCCTAGTTTTATAGATGATGGAACAGAGGTTAAAGAGGCTGTTAGTTATCCTTGGGTCATAAGTAGCAGACCTGGAACCACAACCTCTAAATCTGTTAATTTCTTCATCCCTTGTTTCAGAACAGCTTTAAAAACATTAGTGAACCTATTAATTAATTAATATTCGCCTTCCCCTAGTTGAAATCCTACAGGGAAAGTTATTACATGAACCCTTTTCCAAACTGCCCTAAGGTTATCAGTCACAGACTTTGTTGGATGCCAGTTTCGGTTTTCATAGTAGTTCTTTTTTGGTTACCTGTGATAGATTCTTTTTGAAAGAAAATTTTTTTTTAACGAACCCTCATTCTTTCAAACAATTTATATTCTTCTTTCCCAGACATTTTAACCTGTAAATTTATCAATACTGTAAATCTAATTTTTATAATAAAAATATTCCAATACTTTTTTTTAAGTAAGTTAATGCAGTAAATCAATGGTTCCCAAAATTAAACAAATTTTCACAGCCCTAGAGGAGTGGGCTCCAGTGTGTTCCTTCTTGCCTTGTCTGCCTGGTCATTTTGACATAGAAATTTCAGCTGTGTTGAATTGGCTTGGTGGATATTTCTGGAATCAGGCTTGAAAAGGAGAGACCTTCCCTGTGACATTAGTAAAAACAAAAAAGTCTGAGTCATGTGGATCACCTGAGGTCAGGAGTTTGAGGCCAGCCTGGCCAACATGGTGAAACCTGTCTCTACTAAAACTACAAAATTAGCCAGGTGTGGTGGTGCGCGCCTGTAATCCCAGCTGCTTGGGTGGCTGAGGCAGGAGAATCGCTTGAACCCAGGAGGTGGAGGTTACAGTGAGCTGAGATTGTGCCACTGCACTCCAGCCTGGGAGACAAGAGGGAAACTCCTCATTTAAAAAAAAAAAAAAAAAAAAAAAAAGCTGGCCAAACATTGAAGATCCTCAAATGGTGGCAGTGTCTGGGTGCACATTTTGCCAGATCCATTCACGGAGGCCAAAGACCAACTGACATATGACCAAGGTTTTGAATAAAAAAGGATTTCACAATCTATGAATCAAATCCAGTTCTCATTTCTGTTTAGTCTTCTGTTGAGAAAAATAACTTGGTGACTTCAGTAAGCTTTAATCTACTTTGTGATTCTTGGGTTAGAGGTTATTTTATCAGACTGCTACATTTAAACTTACCCTCATTATCTTACAAATGACTTTAAGGTGTTACTGGAACAATACTCACCACAAAGCTATGATTTCATTGTGAAATACCAACAAGACCCTGATTCCGTTTGCCTGCTGCAGACATTAATGTTTACTGTTAGAACTGAGGCATCAAAGGGAATAAATAAACTGCTGACATTGTGTTGCCTTCAGGATCCGTCACGGGAATATATGGTAGGGGTTTGAGAAGTGGTTTTGGGTGGAGAAAAAGCATTTTCTTTTTTCACCCAGCGCCTGACTTCTCAGTTGAGGCGGGACAGAGCCATTGTGTTTGTTCGGGCTCTCGCAAAGCCAGATCACATCAGCCCGGGCCGCGGCTTTATGCGCAGCCTCACAGTTCATGCCTTTGTTGCCCTGATGCACAGTCGGGAAAGGATGACGAGAAGGGAGCTCAGTAAAGACCTTTCAGGGATTGTTTCTGAGTTTGTCATTGCCACCTGTCCTCCTCTCTCCCCTGGCTTTTCAGACTATTCCCATTTTGTGAGACTCCTGGGTTTCTGATTGGTGTGGCGTGGATACCATAGGTAGATGTAACACAAAAAGTGGAAGTAAACAATGTTTCAAAGAAATAATCTTGAAGAAGAGAGAAAAAAGCCTGCTCTTACTCCAAGGCTGTGTGGACATAAGCGATGAAGGATTAGGATTATTTTAATTATTAGTGACTGTATTGTTTTCTTTATTTCTTTTTTTTCTGAGACGGGGTCTTGTTCTCTTGCCCAGGCTGGAGTGCAGTGGTGAGACCTCAGCTCACTGCAGCCTCAACCGCCCAGGATCAAGCAATCCTCCCACTTCAGCCTTCTGAATAGCTGGACCACAGGCATGTGCCATCATGCCCGGGTTTTTTTTTTTTTTTTTTTTTTTTTGAGACAGTCTTACTCTGTTGCCCAGGCTGGAGTACAGTGCTGCTATCTTAGCTCACTGTAATCTCCTCCTCCTGGGTTCAAGTGATCCTCCTGCCTCAGCCACCTGAGTAGCTGGAATTAGAGGCGTGTGCCACCATGCCTTGCTAATTTATGTATTTTTAGAAGTGAAAGGGTTTTGGCATGTTGGCCAGGCTGGTCTTGAACTCCTGGCCTCAAGTTATCTGCCTGCTTCAGCCTCCCAGAGTGCTAGGATTACAGGCATGAGTCACCATGTTGGATAAATATTTAAAATTTTTTGTAGAGATAGGGTCTCACTATGTTGCCCAGGCTGGTCTCGAACTCCTGGGCTCAAGCAATCCACTTGTCTTGGCCTCCCAAAGTGCTAGGATTACAAGTATGAGTCACCGTGCCTGGCATCTCTTAATTTTTGAAACCACTAATGTCTTTCCCTTAAGACTTGGGTCATTTTGGAAGTAAGAGGCCAGACTTGATGCCTTCAGACATTTATTATTTCTAACACTGGTGCATGCATCTTTCCTGTCTCTCACAGGTGGCTTGGTGCAAGTGTAGTTTTATCTTGTTGAAAGCCTTTTGTTCTTCTTTGAACAGTGGGACTGTAGTGTTATCAACAGGGCCAGTGCTAGGACCAGAAAGCTTTCGGTGTGATAGGCAGTTTCTGTTCAGGACACCTGCTGCCCAAGCACAGTGCACTCATTGTTTCTTCAGTTGAACATGTTCTAGGCAGAGCTGTGTCTTTTTTAGCCTAGGATTGAGTCTTCACTTTTTCTCCTGCATGCGTTTCATTTTTGGTAGAATAAATTTCTGTCTTCTTCTTCTGGTTTTGCTGGTATGAATTTAATACCTGCACGTGATTTGTACAAAGTTTATTTCCAAGAGTTCATGCTGAAATGTCATAGTGGTGGAAAGAGCACTTGGTCAAAGTGGAGGCAAATGGTCTGGACTCTCATTCCTGCTTTGCTGGCTGTGTGGCTGAGGGAAAGACATTTTACCTCTCTGGGCACGGGCTTATTAGAGCAATGGGTTGCCAAGGCCCCAGTGTAAAGATTCCACCATTGTGTCTTGTGTTTTTCAGGATGCCAAGAGCATCAGAAATGAGTGTGCCAGGAGTCATTAAGGGCCCTGCTCCTGTGAGTAGGTAACACCAGGAGGCATTCTTTTATTTATTTAATTTATTTGTGTATTTGAAACAAGGTCTCACTCTGTCTCCCAGACTGGAGTATAGTGACGTGAACATGGCTCACTGCAGCCCCGACTTCCCAGGCTGTAGTGACCTTCCCACCTCAGCCTCCTAAATAGCTGGGCCCACAGGCATGTCCCAACATGCCCGGCTAATTTTTTAAATTTTTGTAGAGACAAGGCCTCTCTTTGTTGCCCAGGCTGGTCTTGAACGTCTGGGCTCAAGTGATCCTCTGGCCTTAGCCTCCCAAATTGCTGGGATTACAGGCCATAAGCCACCATGCCCAGCCCGTTCTTTTAACTTAGTGACAGTTTTATGGCATGGCCAGTGATAGAGAAATTTGGATGCGATAGGTGAGGGAGGGAAACAACTATGGTTCTCTGTCTGTGGCAAGTTTGCAGAGTAAAAAAGAATTTTTTATTTCTAGGAAAGTGTTGTTCATCACTGGAAGTGTTACTGGACACTTGGGTTTTGAACGTGTAAATTAAGAACTTCTGTGATCAGATAAATACTTCTTCATTTGTTAGCTCTGTTCAGATAAGAGGCAGACCGAAGATCAGGCTAATATAGCATAGATACCCCATTTCTGATTTGTATTCCTGCAGTCTTAAACCCCTTATTTAAAAATTCTCTTAAAATACATGTTAATTGTAGAAAATTTGGAAAATACTAGAAAGAAAATACAAATAGCTTTCCATTCCATAACCCAAAAGTGCTGTTGTTCATACTTAGGTGTCTTTAGATTATATGCACTCAGTTTGTAGAACAAAATTGGGATCATACCATACATATATAACTTGATATTTTGCTTTTTTTCTGCTGTTCCTTTCGAGATGATTTTTGGGACTGAGGTTTCAACTGAAGGTAGAGATTAATGTAATGTTATGCTTAGCACACTTGTGACGAGGACTGTTTTGATTTACAGAAATAGAACTGTGGACCCAGTATCTGAAAATAACATTTGTCCTGTCCCCTCTTGAATAGACTTTCAATATTTGGCATATACAGATGTCGTCATAACTGTTACTATAATTAACAAATGAAGACTTCTTAATCTATTAGCTCTTAATGTTCACTAATTGCTTTCATAAGATTCCCTCATTGAGTTTTCTGTGCCAGAATTGCTAGCTGCACCACCAGTGAGCATAAGTTATTTCCACACTGTTTTTCCTTAAGCCCTGATTCCTCTAGCTAAAGCATGGCAGCGCCTGTGGGCTAGGCCACATGTTTGGCAGCAGGATAGTTAAGGGATTCCTTTTGCCCAGTTATGTTATACGTTTGATAATATTTATGATTTACTTGTTGAATGTTGGTTTCATATATAATTTCCTCTATTAGGAAATGAAAGATTATTCGTTTCCCCTTTGGATTATGTAGCCTATAAAATTTTCTATTACACCATTCATATTGCAATGTAAATATATTCTAAATCCTGAACCGCATTAGAATTTTTTATAGCCCCCACTTATGTGTCTTTTTGTGGTGCCCTTTGAAGTCCTGTAATGTTTTATATTTGAGATTAAATCTGGGTTTCGCTTTACTTTTTAAAGCATATTGAGCAAGTTAATTTTCTGTTTCAGTTCCTAAGGGGAATGATTCCAGCCCTCTGTGTCCCAAGAATTCAGACTGAGCCCTGCCAGAACATTCCTGTGGTTTTCCACGGGGCAGATCAGTATGTTCATGAAATTTTAGTTGTAGCTTGTGTTTTCCATGGTTAATTAAAACATCTGGCTTTTCAGTTTCCCACAAACAGAGCATAATCACTAGGCCAAACCTTTTCAATAAATGATTAAATATTTCAATCCTCCCCTCAGAATAGCCCACACTTGTCTTTAGGATACCTTGTAAGCTGTTGCCTCTGTTTATAATGATTTTGAACGTTGGGAACATGTTTGAGGTTATCCTGCCAAATATGTGCCCTTGAGAGAGAGAAAGTTGATGACTTTGAGTCCTTATAATGGCTTCTGGCCTTTGCCCCCCCAGGTTGGAGTTGCTGTGGGTGAGCTGCTGTGGTCTGTAGCCAAGCATGCTGTGGTCGGATCTGCCCAGCCGTGGAACAGAAACATTTGCTGGATGGAAAATCCATAAAAGAAAGCTCCTGTGAAAAGCTGAGGCTGACAATAATTTAAGCAAAATCAGGTTAGTATAAGTAAGAGAGGCTGGATAAAGCGGATTGGGCCGGATAGGGAAAAGTTGTTTTGTTCCTTCCAGGCTCATTTTGGAGACCACCCCAAATGATTATTTTCAGTTATTTGTGAGAGTCCCAGCATGTGTAAATGGCAGATACATGCTGATAGCCTTTTGTGTATAGTGTAATGATGTCTTCCTTTCCTTCTCTTCCTTTTCCTCTCCTCTGTCCTATCCTCTTTCTCATCTTCCTCTCCTCTCTCAGAGAAGAGAGAAGGACGTTGGCACAAATATTGGAAGAAGCCACAACTGGAAGCCACCTATGCCAACTTCAATGGTCTTGGCTTTATTTTGGGGAGAAAGCGGCGTCCAGCCTCATGGAGTTGGATTTGTAGTTTCAAAGACTTGCACTCATTTGTGTTTTCGAACTTTGAAGGGTGGGGCATGGAGACCTGCCATTTCTGTTGGGATAATTCTGGCTGTGAGCCTCCAGTCTGCTTGGCCAGATTTTATATACTCTAATCTTTCCCCAAACAAAAGCCACCAACACATTTCATTTTCTGCAGTGTGTGCATTTGGCATTAAGATACTTATATACGACAGGGGAAGAGAATGTCCTGAAAAACATAGGTGTTTAAATAAATGCCAAATGCTCTCACTGTGGGCCAGGTGAATGAAACAGCATGGATAACCCCATATGAGGCAGTAAAGTGAAATAATTCATTTTGAAAACATATATTATACAGGGACAGACATTGCAGACCATTTCTGTTGGACATTCAGTGGGTAAGTCAGCTTTCTACATAAGCAGCTAATAAATACTCCCTAGAAAGTAGTGAGTCACAGTCTTTCAGAATCTGTGAAGTAGTGAATGTCTGTTGGCTTTGTCTGCCCAGCATCCTTTTCCTCCATCTTTTAATAAATCATCCAGATTTTTCCTGGACAATTGCCCTTGTTTCATTTTCACCCTATGTAGTTAGAGGAGGTGACCCTGCTGACTCAGTTATGGGCATGTAACATAAGCGTGGCCAGTGATATGGTTTGGCTGTGTCCCCACCCAAATCTCATCTTGAATTGTAACTCTCATAATTCCCACATGTCATGGGAGGATCCTGGTGGGAGGTGATTGAATTATGGGGGTGGGGTTTTCCTGTGCCGTTCTTGTGATAGGTAATGAGTCTTATGAGATCTGTTGGTTTTAAAAACAGGAGTTTCTCTGCGCAAGCTCTGTCTTTTTTTGCCTGCTGGCATCCATGCAAGACATGACTAGCTCCTCCTTGCCTTCCACCATGATTGTGAGGCTTCCCCAGCCACATGGAACTTAAGTCCATTAAACCTCTTTCTTTTGTAAACTGCCCAGTCTCAGGTACAGCATGAAAATGGACTAAAGGGTCACAACCATCTTTGGAGGGGCCATAGTATTCTTATTGCAACTATTGAAGAAGTTTTGCCTTCTGTGAGTTTGTTAAGCTGGAGCTGCTAGTGGCAGTTTTTCTATGACTTAGGGAAAACCTTACTGAAAATTAAGACAACACAGGATAAATCAAAGCAGGGAGATGGAGGAAAAGAGATTGGTGGGAAGGGAAGGGACACTCGTATGCATATGCACACATGCACACGCACACATGCGCGTGTGCACACAGACACACAGACACACACACACACAGACACACACACACACACAGACACACACATATTTTTGACCTGCAATTCAGCAGTGCCTAAACCCAGCATCTCCTGTTTCACTTTCTTGGCAACTTAGCTAGTTCATCTGAGTTAGGTGTCTGTCTCTTACATCCAAAACATCCCAATTGGTGGTACCTTCTAGGAGTGAGGTCTTAGTGTAAAATGACTGTGGCATAGTCCCTGTCTTTAGGGGCTCATGGTGTAGGGCAGCAGTCCCCAACCTGTTTGGTATGAGGGACTAGTTTTGTGGAAGACAGTTTTTCCAAACAGTGAGTGGGGTGGCAGGGATGGTTTCAGGATGATCTAAGCACGTTACATTTATTGTACACTTTATTTCTATTATTATTACTACATTGTGGTCTATAATGAAATAATTTTGCAACTCATTGTAATGTAGAATCAGTGGGAGCCCTGAGCTTGTGTTCCTGCAACTAGGTGGTCCCATCTGGGGATGATGGGAGACAGTGGCAGATCATGAGGCATTACATTCTCATAGGAAGCATGCAACCTAGATCCCTGGCACGTGCAGTTCACAATAGCATTTGCGTTCCTATGAGAATCTAATGCTGCCACTGATCTGTCAGGGGGCAGAGCCCAGGAGGTAACGTGAGCGATGGAGACCGGCTGTAAATACAAATGAAGCTGTGCTCATTAGCCCACTGCTCACCTCCTGCTATGCAGCCTGGTTCCTAACAGGCCACAGACTGGTACCAGGGGCCCCTGGTGTAGGGGATAGGCCAGATAAGTATTCACATGACTGACATGCAGTGTGACAATGTATCTCTAGAGGTAAGAACAAAGTTTTGTGGGAACAGAGATGGAATTAGGAATTCTGTTGGGTGGTAGACTAGCAGGGAGGGCGATTATTTAACAAGGTAGAAGAGGATTAAGTCTTAGGAACATTAAAAAACATTAAAAAGATTTAAAAAATAGATTTAATTCAATTACTTGCTTTTTGAGTCTAAAAGAAGGGAAGGCTTTCCAGAGCATATAGTTAAAGTAAATTGCAGATAATGAAGATAATTTCAGAGGTTAGTAATGGTAGAATCTTGTTTATTTACTCTGAATACAATTGTTTAAGGCCTAGCCAAATGAGAGGCTATCAGAAAGCTGTCTGGAGTTAGTTTTAACACGACAAGGTAACAGCTGCTGTTCTCACCAGAACCTCAGTCAGCTTTCTGTTTTAAGGAGAATTAAATGAATTTAAAGACTTATTTCCTCTTTTTAATGATAGAGTTTTCATTAATATTATATTTTGTAATTACACTGTTTTTTGGGGGAAATTTTGCAGCAAGTACAGAAAGTTTCCATGTGACTTCTACTGCCAGTTTCCTATATCATTAGTGTCTTGCATTAGTGTGGTATATTATAATTGATGAGCCAATATTGATACATTATCATTACTAAAATCTATAGTTTATATTAGGTTCACTCTTTGCGTTGTATGTTCTATGAGCTTTCATAAATATATAAGTTGTATTTCCATTACAGTATCATACAAAATAGTTTCACTGCCCTAAAAGAATTGCATGTTCTACCTGTTCATTTCTTCTTCCTGAACCCCTGGCCACTACTTATCTTTTGCCCCATAGTTCTACTTTTTCCACAGTGTCATATAGTTAGAATTATACAATAGATAGACTTTTCAGATTGGCTTTTTCACTTACCAATGTGCGTTTAAGTTTCCTCCATGTCTTTTCATGAATTGATAGTTCATTTTTTTTAAAGCACTGAATAATATTCCATTATATCGTTGTTCCACACTTTATCCATTCACCTATTGAAGGACATCTTGGTTGCTTCCAAGTTTTGGCAGTTACGAACAATACTGCTGGAAACATTAATTTGCAGGTTTTTATATAGATATGTGGATAAGTTTTTTACTCATTTGAGTTTCTCACCATTAAATATGATGTCAGTTTTAGGTTTTTTGTGAATGTTCTTTATCAAGTTGACAAATTTCCCCTCTATTTCTAGTTGCTGAGAGTTTTTATTATGAAATAGTGTTGGATTTTTGTTGGGTGCTTTTTTGCAACTATTGATATGGTCATGATTTTCTTCTTTAACTTATTCATAGGTTGGATGATACTGATACTTGAATGTTGAGCCAGCCTTTTGATAAGAGATTATGTTGACTTTCTAGTTCAATATTAAGAGCTCTTATGTTGACTTGCAGATCAATATTAAGAGCTCTGATACGTGAACATGGGACATGTTTCCATTTCTTTCAGTTTTCTTTAATATCTTTCAACAGTGTTATATTGCTTTCAGGGTACAAGTCTAATACTTCCATATCAAATTTATTCCTAAGTATTTTTCTCTTTTTGATGCCTTTATAAATTAAGAAAGTAATTATTTTCAAAGTATTTGTAGCTAGTGTATAGAAATGCAGTTGGTTTCTGTATAATGATCTTGTTTCCTGCAACCGTGTTGAACCTGTTTATCAGTACTGATAGTTTTTTATGTGTATGACTTTGCTAGTATTTTCTATATACCAGATTATGTCATCTGCAGATATAGTTTTATTTCATGTCCAATCTGGATGTTATTATTATTTATTTTTGCAGTGATTTGAAAACTTGAGTGTGATGTGAGAAATACAAAGTTATGTGCTTTGGAGTTTCTAGTGAAATCATTCTGTTATGTAGCTTTTTGATAAGGATAAAAGATGATAATTATGAAATTTATCTTCTCACAGTTGACTTAGTTATTCAGTCATTGAGCTTCTTAGTCACTCCTATATCTTCTTTGGAGAAATACCTGTTCAAATCCTTTGCCCATTTTTATATTGGGTTGTTTCTTTTGTATATAGTCTGATATAAGCTCTTTATTGGATATATGATTTGCACATATTTTCTTCTAGTCTCTGGCTTGTTTAATGGTGTCTTTCCCCCCAACAATGAAATACTGTAAATTTTAATCATTGATAAATTGCATCAATATGGGAAACTGTGTGTATGTATAAACTTATTTTCTTAACGGTGTTGTTTGGTGCTCAGAAGTTTTTAATTGTAACAAAATTCAGTTTATTCGTTTTTTCTTTCAAAGCTCATGATTTTGATGTTTCTAAAAACTCTTTGGCTGGCTAATCAAAGCTCATGAAAAGTTTCTGTGTTTCTTTCTAAAACTTAGTTTTTGTGTTTTTTTTAAATGCAGTCTCACTCTGTCACCAGGCTGGAGTGCAGTGACGTGATCTCGGCTCACAGCAACCGCTGTCTGCCAGGTTCAAGTGATTCTCCTGCCTCAGCCTCTCGAGTAACTGGAACTACAGGTGCCAGCCACCCACCTGGCTAATTTTTTGTATTTTTGATAGAGACGGGGTTTTACCGTGTTAGCTAGGATGGTCTTGATCTCCTGACCTCATGATCCACCTGCCTCAGTGCGCCCAGGCTCTTTCTAAAACTTTTGTTGCTTTACCCTTTACATTTTGGTGTTTAATTCATTTGGGGTCAATTTTTATGTATGGTGTGAGGTTTGGGTCTATGTTTATCTTATTTTGTTGATTTTTTATTTTTATTTTTTGCATATAGGTCTTAGCACCATTTGCAGAAAAGGCTAACCAGTGACTTGACTTTTTTTGTAGAAAATCAATTGACCACAAATGTAAGGGCTTTCTTTCTGTACTCTCAATTCTGTGCCTTTGGTTTACCATCTGTCCTTATGCTAGTACCACACTGGTTTTTGCAATGCAATTTTTCTATGAAAAAAGTTAGTTCAAGAATTGGACTTAAGATGCAGTGTCTTCACTAAAAAACACTGTTGTACCTTTGCTACTTTTCCTCTCTGTTCTTTATGAGTCACTGTGTTAGAGTACTAGTATTTGGTGTTTTCTCTTTGGGGTAATTATGGAAATCTAATATGGTAGATGACAATGTGGAATCAATCAAAGTGCATTTTCCAGATTACTATATATATGACTTTAAGCAGTGCTTTGTTTTTCATAAAGGTGGTAATCATTTTTATACCTGTTCTGCATTTGGAAAAAAAAAGATTAAGTTTTTCATTACCTCTGTCTTAATCATTCCCAATAACTACTGAATGAAGGTTTTACAAGGCTGGCATATTATTTCAAGTATTTTCATTAATGGTAACATGAATTGGGTCTCATATCACAAAACTATTATTTTACTAAATAGAAAACCTATGAATTAAAATGTCTTGCGTGTGTTTGGTAACATAGTGTAGTTGTATATGTTTTATGAAAATGGGACATTTTTCATAGTATAAAATGCTAGCTGTATTTTTATATTTACCTATTCTGTTTTTATCTTTGTATTAGTATGATTCTGAATAGCTAAGTGTGAAGACATTAAAATAATTATATTAGAAATGTGAAGATTGCAAAATATATATATCTTTAGTTACAACTGCGTTATGGATGCATAAACATTGAAAAGGAAATTGTTTAAAAGTCAGTGCTTTATTGTGACATTTGGAATCTAGTTGATCATTTTCTCTTGTTTTCTAATAAACTCCTAATTTTGTTTGGGACATGACATTTTTAATGTGAAAAAAATCTAAATGTAAGTCTTGGTGAAATGCAGAGACATTTCCCTTCTCTGGCACATAGCTGAGCTGACTATTGCTGCTGGGCTTTAACTGGAGATTACAGTCATGCTATTAGATTTGGAACCTGTTTTCTGCAGTGCCGTTAGTAGGTCAAGCCATGCGTCCTGGTTCCTGGAGGGCTCAGTTCTCAGGATGGCTTATCTGCTTCCTGCTTTCTTCGTAATCTTCTCATTTCAACCTGAGTAGACCAGCTTGATGGCAACTGACATGTGTGTTACCTGGCCCTTTTACTTTCCTGGGAAGTCTTTTAACTGATAATATCACCTCCTAAAAACATATCCATAGAGCAACATGGAATTATCTTTTTTATTGTTCATTTAAAGTCAAAGCCATAAGTAAGCTTTCATTTATAACTCTAAGTCCCTGGAAATAGGTGTTATGAAACTTTTAACCCAGTCACTTCTTTAAATCTTTTCTTTCTCTCTGTTGCCCCTTTAAACATCTTTGTGACCTATTCACAGAATGACTCCATGAGGAGTGTAGTATAATGTTCTGGAAAGATAAGGTCTTCTTATTCTTGTTTTCTTTTGGGAGCTGAATCAAAGCATGGCTGGGTTAGAGTAACCTCTTAACCATCGTTTACTTTGAATAGAGCCTTTTTGCCAGCTGAAGTTGGGATTCAAAATGATTGAATCACTGAAGTTTGAGTTGTAGTACAATTACATTCATGAAGACTCTGGCCTATTTATGATCATTTGCTTGCAGATGAAGCAAAATCAGATCAACCTAGTCACATTCACTGAGTCAACACCAGAATGAAGAGAGTGTCAGGGAACTGGGTGTGGTGGCACGTATCTGTAGTCCCAGCTATTCAGGAGGCTGAGGCAAGAGAATTGCTTGAGCCCAGGAGCTTGAGACCAGCATGGGCAACATAGCAAGACCCAGATCCTGTCTAGAAAAGAAAAGAGTGCCTGGAACTTGCTTCTTTAGTACAGCCACAATTTTGTATACATCTGTAATGAGGATGTTTATGACAAATACATTAACAGAGTTTGGAATAATATATCTTTTGATATTTTTCTTGTCTTTTTTTATGTTGAATAATCTGTGAAGTATAGGTTTTCTTTAACAGCTTTCAAAGATACTGTGAGTGACATACAGTCATTTATTTTAATATAATTACTGATACAAGAACAAACAGTACTTTCTCAGTTTCATACTGATCTGTGATGCATAAAATGTTTAATTTGATTATATTGTCCAAATAAGATCTATACGCATGACACGATAGCTATTCAAAGTTTCTGAAATTTCCAAATTGATTATTATCTATTCAAATAAGCATTGATCATTGATCCTTGGCTTCATTCATAAACAAAAATAGTCTACTGGTTTGGATAGTGTCTATGAAAAAACATATAATAATTTATAAAAAACAAGTATCAACATTGGTCTGGCTTGCATTAAAAAATCTTTCGGTGCAGTTTGTTAGTGTACTGTCTTTAAGGATGAAAGAATATAGTTTTGAATGTAATCGTCATGCATCTGAGGCCCTTTGAGGACAGGTTTTAGAATCATAGTAACCATGCTATGCTTGGGTTTGTAAGGGTGATTTTTTTTTTTTTTTTTTTTTTGAGGGCTCAAGGATATAGTTTGTTACTGCTGTGGCTTTTTTTCTGGTGTCTGGTTAAAATGTCACAGAGCATATGAAAAGTAAGACAGTAATTAGTGACTTGAGGAATGAATTCTCCTAGAAATAAGAAGTCTGGAGTTCCAATCAGGACTTTAGATCCTTGATTATTCTAAAATAGGATTGAAAATGACCACTGGTCTTGAGCAGTCATTAACATATGAGTGATAAGGAATGTTGAATTTGTGTTACTTCAGTGCAAATCAGTTAAATTCCAAGTGAACTAGTTAGCAGTGTCCTGTAAGGAGGGCAGCTGTGGTAGTTTGCTGGAGGGAACGAAATGAAGTATTATTGAGGGAAACAGCCAAAATGCAAGCCCTTCTGGGGAGAGGTTGCATGTGCAGTTTGCCAAGTACTAAGCACTTTCTCAGTATCTTATGGGAGTGGCTCAAGGCGGGGGCAGACTTCATTTGATCCTCACAACAGTTCTTTGACAGAGACAGTGTTACCCAGTTTTAGAGAAGCTCAGGATTGGAGAGATCAAATGATTTTTGTTCAAGTCTTACACCCACTAATTTAAATTTGAATCCAGATGTTCCGAAACTCCATGATATACTTGTATAAATCAAAGCACTGCCTATGAAGTGGTTTACCCAGAGCAAACTCTCTTTATATATTTTCTTTATTTGTGGGGGGCTGGGGGCTGGGACTACAGGCACCCGCCACCATGCCTGGCTAATTGTTTTTTTTGTATTTTTAGTAGAGATGGGGTTTCACCATGTTAGCCAGGATGGTCTCCATCTCCTGACCTTGTGATCAGCCCGCCTTGGCCTCCCAAAGTGCTGGGATTACAGGCATGAGCCACTGCGCCCGGCCCTAAAAAGTTTGTCCTGGCTGGGCACGATGGCTCACACCTGTAATCCCAGCCCTTTGAGAGGCTGAGGCAGGAGGATCACTTGAGACCAGGAGTTCCAGACCAGCCTGGATAACATAGGACAACCTATCTCTACAAAAAATTAATTAACTTAAAAAAAAATTAGCCAGGTATGGTGGCACATGCCTATAAACCTAGCTACTCAAGAGGCAGAGGTGGGTGGACCACTTGAGCCCAGGAGGTCAAGGTTTTAGTGAACAATGATGGAGCCACTGTATTCCAGCCTGGGTGACAGAGCAAGACTGTCTAAAAAAAAAGAAAAAAGGAAAGTGTGTCCTAGGTTTTATAGCTAGGTATGTGGCCCAGCCATCTACTCCATGAACTTGCTGTGAATTACTGAGAGGTATTTTGGTGGCTGGGGGAATCAGATACTCCTAAGCAGCTGCTTAGAGAAGGAAGGAAGAAGATAAGCCTTGGACATTCCTGGCTTCCCCTCCCCCTTACTCTGCACTCCTTGTTTGGGAGCTGCCTAGAATTTTTCAGTGGGGAGAGAGGGACCAAGGTGTTTACCTCTATGATGGTTTGAGACTCTGGTCAATCTGTTGCTTTTCTAGTATTCTCACCTGGTAGCATTCTTAGTTAAGTACCTAGTAGATGTTAATCCCTTTCTTCCTTTTCCTGTCGCTGTGTCTGCCTCTTAGACACAAAGTACAGAAACTAATAAACGGAAAGGTTAAGCTATACAGAACCCTTTCCAAAGCTGTGATTGCCAACCTCCAGCTTTTTAGAGACATTTCTGGTTTGATTCACGGAGTCTGTGTTGTCTAGAAGAGCTTGACTTGGTCTGCTAGGGGTTGATTGTCTAGCAGTTCTGAGATGCAGTTTGAGGCACAGCAGGTCAGTTGTGATACTTCCAGCACGTGCAAAAAAGGGACTTCTGTTTGAGATTAAATTATCTTCTGAAATAGACACAATTCAAAAGCAATTTGGTGATGTATTTCAGAACTTAAAATCACCAGCAATTTCATAAATATGTTCACTTAAAACTATGCCAAGATATTTATATGATATATTGTAGCATATTTGTAAAGAATGAAGTAGTTCTGTATATGTGCTCCTTTGGAAAGATTTATAAGATATATATACACACTTACGTGTACATATATATAAAAAATGAAAAAAATGCCTTGTGGAATCAATGTGATTACCATTCCCTTTTGTATAATTTTTTTAAAAAAGGTATATATGCTGGTGTATGCATTTTTTCCCTGAAAAAGATGTACAGTACAACTGTTAATAAACTGGAAAACTTTTTCTTCCTTTTCTGTATTTGAATTTTCTAACTATGTTCACTTATTTTTCTTTCCTTTAAAAAAAAATCGGGATAGCTGAGCAGTATGATTATGTATCATTTTGCTTTAGTTTTAATGTATTTTATAAAACCTTACTAAGTGTTTTTTAAAAATATTGCAATTTTTTTCTAATGTTCATTTGTCAGTTTTTCTTGTCCTCTGGGAGTTCAGAGGAAGTAAGCAATTTTTGTGGGGAGAGTGGTAAAGCATATAGATAGCAAATGTTCTCAGGAAAGCTTATTAATTAAAACATTGAGTTGAAAAATAGAAAGGAAAAAGATATTTCCTAAATGTAATTTGAAGGACAATGAATTCAATCTTGCTGAAGTGTGTTTGAAGGTGTACCTTTATGCTTAGTTTGTTTGCTTTCAAAGGAGCTTTGGACTGAATTGTATTTGCTTTTCAGACTGCAGGGCTGGAGGTGGCCATGGAAGCCTCCAGAATCTGATTGCTAATCAGGAAAGCTGTTTGCTAAGAAAGGCCTGCCTGTTTGGACTTGAAGTAATGACTGATGCACAGATAAAGCCAGGGTGACTTTTTAAATATCTTTTGACTTCTGTGTCCAGATTTTGCTTTTCTCTTAATTAAAACCCTTAGACAAAGGTCACAGGTCAAAGGAGATGATTCCTCTAAACTCTTCTGGTAGCAATAGCTGCTTAACTCTTCAACTCTTGATAGGCTTGTCTGGAAACTGTTGTGTTCATTTTTCTATGACGTGATTTACCTCCTTTGGCTTAGTTTGAGTGCTGAAATGTAGTAATAGATACGAAGATGGAAATTTTTTTTTACAATGTAGATAATGGTAGTCTGGAGAAGAAAGGCATTGTGCTAACCTTTATCCATATTTCATATGGAATACTTGAAGTTTTATTTTTACTTTTTATTTATTTATTTATTTATTTATTTTTGAGACAGAGTCTTGCTCTGTCGCCCAAGCTGGAGTGCAGTGGTGCAGTCTTGACTCACTGCAACCTCCGCCTCCTGGGTTCAAGTGATTCTCCTGCCTCAGCCTCCTGAGTAGCTGGGACTACAGGTGTGTGCCACCATGCCTGGCTAATTTTTGTATTTTTAGTAGAGACAGGGTTTTGCCATGTTGCCCAGGCTGGTCTTGAACTCCTGGCCTCAGGTGATCCACCCGCCTTGGCCTCCCAAAGTGCTGGGATTACAGACGTGATCCACTGTGCCCGGCCGAAGTTTTATTTTTAAAAATCAGTAAACAGTGTTATTTTTCTAATTTCATAAGAATTTTAGAAACGTATTTTCCTAAAATGGTTTGTTAAATACCTCATCCGACTCAGTAATGTTTATTTTTGCCATATCTCCTTCTCTTTATAACTTCTGTACTGATATCTGACCTTAAACTTAGTCATGCCAGGAATCATAACCCCTATATTTCAAGGTATGTGAACCATAGTACAGGAATTTTAATCTATTAGGAAGATTAAGGGGACAGTTTCTAAAATACATATCTATGTATGTATATGTATGTGTTTGTATGTAATTGATATTTATAATATAGAAAAGTCTAAAACACCACCATTGTCAGTTGATATCATAAATGAGGAAAAACTGATATTATCTTCAGTACATACTCACTTCCCAAAAGAATCTGATAATTTAAAAATTCAGGGTAATCAATACCTAATACAAAGATAGCAAACTCAAATGCCGACAAGACAGGGACCCAACAGAAAGTAAACCAGTGAACTTGGGCATAGAGTGGAGAAAAAGGGCACAGCTACTGCTCAGCTTCTCGCTTCTGCTGTTCAGGAATGAGGCTCCAGTGTAGCATGATCTGCTGATACATCAAGAGAAGGCAGAAATGTAGAGCTTTGTGAATGCCCCCATACTTTTAATGTGTTGGAAACACATTAAAAAATTAAAACATTGTACTCTCGCATGTTTTGCTGTGATGTTCCTTGTCAGTACTTCAGGGCCTGAGAAGCATAAGGGGTGGCGCTTGTTCTTTGGTGACGTATGGTCTAGTTGGGCCCTTATGATGTGGAGCAGTTGAAGGGCTGAGATAAATGGTGTGGGTGCTGAAGGCCACAGGATCCTAAGGAGGTAGAAATTGGTGTGAGTCAGACCATCCTAGGAAGCTTCATAGAGGAAGGGGATCTGTCCTACAAGGCCTTAACATTTAGGGCCATGGAGAGAAGGGAGGGCGGATGGGGAGCAGAAGTGGGGAGGGCGTGGTCTTGGGGCATCGGTAGGCACTCGAGGAGACTGGCCTCTGTAGAAGGCCTCACAGTGGGTCTGTGCTCTGAAGAGCTCCTCACAGAGCTGGAGGAGAGTTAGCTATGGGGAGAATATGAGATGTAGTTAGAAAGGAAAGGAGGGGGCCACCCTCTGGGGCCCTCTAGGCAATCATAAGGACTTCATGTTTTACTGTGGGGACAGAGAAGACTGATTGCAAGTTCTGATAGCAGAAGTGCTGTGGTGTGGCTTGAGTTTTAACAGGATTCCTCTGTTGAGAATAGAGTGTAGAGGGCAAGGATAGAATTAGGGCAAGCAGCAAGGAGGTCACTGGAATAATCCAGGCCAGATGAATGAGGGCTTGGGTAAGGGGCAGCAATGGATCTACGCTGAAGGTCGAGTCAGGACTGTTTTCTGGTGGAATGGACCTTGGAAACATGTCCACATTCCATTCTTTTCATTGATAATGACCAAGCTGCAGCTTAGACCCTTCTCCTCATTCCTAGATAACTGTGAAATTCTAGAAATTTTCCTTCTCGTTCTCAATTTTCTCTTTTCATCGTATAGCTACAGCAGGATTGATGTTGGAATGCTGGCCCCATCACAGCCTCCCTGGCTTTTGAACACAGTGGGCAGATTTCTGCCTCAGGGCCATTGCATTGGCTGGTTCTTCTTGTGTTCTCTTCCCCAGATATCCTCCTGGATAATGTCCTTTCTCATTTAATTCTTACTCAAATGTTAGTCTGTCGGTGAAACCTACCCTGATCGATGTTTTAAAAATTGCAAACCTTCCTGTCACTCCTCCCCAAATCCCTCTTAACCTTTTAATTTTTTTCCCTGTAGATCTTAGCCCCTTCTAACATACCTGCATACTTTACTTACATTTTAAGTTATTGTCTCTCTCTTCTCACTGGAATATAAATGCCAAGAGGAATTTATATAAATATAAATATATTTATATATATAAATTGCAAAAGGCAGGGATTTTTGTTTTTGTTCACTGATACATCCCTGTCACCTAGACTAGTGTCTGGTGGGGACTGGGTACTTGATAAATATTTGTTGAAGGAATGAATAAGTGGCTTTCAAGAGGCACTTAAGATATACCACATGTCAGACACTGAAAATTAAAAACAAACAAAGCAAAGACACAAGCCCTGCCCCAGCGCACATGGTTCAGTGAGGCACAACAGCAGGAGAACAAAGCCTGTTGATCTAATACAATGTGTCCAAACTTCTGTGCAAACAAAAGTAAAAAAGCAAGTAATTCTTCCCTTTTCAGCCAAGTCTAGACTGTTGATTTGGACTTCCCAAGGCACACAGGTAGGGGAGAGGTGATGACATTTCAGGGAGAGGGAGCAGTGTGAGAGGGGACATGGAGGCAGGAATGTGCCATCTGTGTAGTCAGGAGGGTGTTGGTGGTGGAGAGTGACTGAAGATGAGGCAAGAAAATGGAAAGTGGGGCCAGTTGAGAGGGGACTTGAATACCCTGCACAGGAGTCTTGACTCCCCAAATTTATTGAGCTCCTGTTGTGTGTCAAGAACAGTGCTAGGTGCTTGGGATTCAAAGGTGAATAGATGGCTCTTCCTGCTTTATGGGTTTCATCTTCTAGAGAGAGGCTGTGGTGTTAAGGGAGAAGAAAAATGGCCAGGATTGTGGTGGGAATGGAGAGGCCAGGAGAGACAGAGGAGGGACACTGGGGTAGGATTAATAGGATTTGGTCAAAGACACGGTGTGTGATGGAGGGAGTAGGAAGTAGAGTCTTCTGGCTCGTCACTGGGGCTTAGGGGTAGATAAATGTTGACAGTGTTGTCTGTAGTAGGAAAGGCAGGTAAAGGATGCAAGGGGCTGGAAATGCCAATCAGAGATCTCAGGAGGGATGTGAAGGAAAATTAAAAATATATAATAGCCCGTTAGTTTTGTCTTTGGGAAGCCAGGAGGCTGGAGATACAGGTGCCCCAACCAGGAAAGTTGGAAGGGGAAATGTGTTTGTAGGACAGTAGGGGAAGTGATGTGTGTACCTTACCAGAATGTCACTTCCATGAGGGCACAGGTTTGGTTTGTTCACTGCTGTATATCCAGCCCCTAGAACACTGCCTGATACAGAGTATAATCTCAGCCATTGTTTGTGGAATTAATGAATAACGTAGTTGAATTTGGAGGACAAAACTGGAGTCATAAGTTATTAGAAGGCTTAAAATGAGATTAAAGTGATTACAATTATATTATTTTAGATATTCTTTTACAGGGCTTTGGTGATCAGTTAGATTTTTTAGAAATTTTAAAATGTTACCTTTTACTGGTGATATTCCTGGTCACATACTTGCTTTGGATATATACCCAACAATGGGATTGCTGGGTTGAATGGCAGTCCTAAGTTCTTTGAGAAGTCTCCAAACTGCTTTCCTCAGTGGCTGAACTAATTTACATTCCCATCAATGGCATAGAAGTGTTCCTTTGCTCCAAAGCCTCACCAGCATCTGTTGTTTTTTGACTTTTTAATAATAACCATTCTGGCTGGTATAAGACAGTATATCATTGTGGTTTTGAATTGCATTTCTCTGATGATTAGTGATGTTGAACATTTTTTCATAGATTTGTTGGCTGCTTATATGTCTTGTTTTGAGAAGTGTCTCCTCATGTCTTTTGCTCTTTTTTTCTTTTTTTTTCTGAGATGGAGTCTCGCTCTGTTACCCAGGCCGGAGTGCAGTGGTGCAATCTTGGCATACTGCAATCTCCGCCTCCTGGGTTCAAGCGATTCTCATGCTTCAGTCTCCCAGGTAGCTGGGATTACAGGTGCTTGCCACCACACCTGGCTAATTATTATATTTTTGGTAGAGATGGGGTTGCATCAAGTTGGCCAGGCTGGTCTCGAACTCCTGACCTCAGGTAATCCACCCGCCTCCGCCTCCCAAAGTGCTGGGATTACAAGCATGAGCCATCGCCCCTGGCCTTTTGGCCAGGCTGGTCTCGAACTCCTGACCTCAGGTAATCCACCCACCTCGGCCTCCCAAAGTGCTGGGATTACAGGCATGACCCATCGTGCCTAGCCTTTTGCCCACTTTTTAATGGAGTTATTTGTTTTTTTGCTTATTGAATTGTTTAAGTTCCTCCTAGATTCTGGATATTAGATCTTTGTCAGATGCATGGTTTGTGAATATTTTCTCCCATTCTGTAGTACATACCTGCTTTGAATAGAAATCTTAATCTCCGATAGTGTTATCATTTGCTGAACCCAGTTTGATGTTGGAAGCAGGTAGTCTAGATTAACACAGCAGTAGGCAACCTTTCATGCCAAGAAGTGAATGGCTACATGAAAAGGCACATGTGAAGTGAGTGAGAATGAAATTTTTTTGCAATTGCCTTCTATTGATGTGGAATATCAAGTGAATGCTTTGATTTTTTTTTCCTTGTGTTGTATTGTCGCAGTACAAATGCTTATAAAATGTGGACTGGCAACTGGTGCTTAGAAATCTTTGGGTTTCCCCAAAAGACTTTTCATTATGGTTGTTTGGTGTGTGTCTTTATGAAGTATTTCATAAAGACAGTGAAAAAGATATGTTGCTTTTTTTTTTTGTAATCAAAATCAGGGTGTCATTGGGACATTGTAGAATGTAGTATCCTTTCATTATATTAGAAAGGTAGCTAATCTTTAAGTAAGTGAGAAATGAATTGTGAGTTTATTGAGTCTAGCCTCATGGCACTGGTAAGAATAAATGGAAATAGAACCTTGCCATGTTAGTGATTCCAACAGTGTTATGGACTGAATTGTGTCTCCCCAAAATTCATATGTTAAAATGTGAGTGTATTTGGAGACAAAGTCTTTAAAGAGGTAGTTAAGATAAATTTAATTATCTTAAAGAGGTAAGATAAATTTACCTCTTAAAGAGGTAGTTAAGATAAAATTAAGGAGGGTCCTAGTGCAGTCTGATTGGTGCCTTATAAGAAGAAGAAATTAGGCACAGACACGTTCAGTGGGAGGACACTGTGAAGACATAGGGATAAGACGGCTCTCTACAAGCCAAGGAGAGAGGCCTCAGAATAAACCAGTGCTGCTGACACCTTGATTTCACATTTCTAGCCTCCAGAAATGTGAGAAAATAACTTTCTATTGTTTAAGCCACCCAGTCGTGGTACTTTGTTATGGCAGTCCTATCAAACTACTGCAAGCAGGCAGCCCAGGCTATTTTAGCATCACAGTCTCCCTGCAAGTCAGGAAGAGGGAGACTCAGTAGTGCCCTGGGTATCCCAAGATGGATGTTTCTGTTTGAATGCTCACAGGGTCGCCAGGTAACTGCTGTTGTCTGTTGTTCATTAGTCATTCATTTCTGATCATTTTCTTCTGTTGTTTATTCATTTACTTATTTATTGACAGGGTCTTGCTCTGTCGCCCAGACTGGAGTGCAGAGGTGTGAAACAGCTTACTGTAGCCTTGACTTCCTGGTCTCAAGCGATCCTCCTGCTTCAGCCTCCCAAGTAGCTGGGACCACAGGCATGCACCACCATGCCCAGCTAATTTTTTTTTTTTTTTTTTGTAGAGACACGATCTCACTATGTTGCCCAGGCTGGTCTTGAACTCCTGGATTCAAGCATTCCCCCGGTCTCTGCCTCCCACAGTGCTGGGATTACAGGTGTGAACCACTGTGCCTGGCCTTTCTGATCATTTTTGTTGGAAGCTGCATACCTTGTCAGCATTTTGTTTCCTTCCAAAACTCCAATTAAAGGTGTGAAACGAAGCTGAGGTGCTTATCTTACAACTTTCTGTGATTGGAGTCCTCGGGTTTCATTTATATGGATAGTCCCAAGCTCAGCTGACTAGATGAGATTCTTGCTGAGGCAGGACAGCTTTGTGGACGGCTGTCTTTGGTGTGAATTGGACCATGTGCATGGGATGCCAGGGTTTCAAGCCAAGGCTGCTTTCTCAAGAGACTGTCTCCGGCAGCTTGGAATTTAAGTGAAGCTTAATTTAATCCCTGGTTTTCACAGTAAATGTGTAGGGTGTATGTTACTTACAGTAGGAGTTGGAAAACCATTGGCTTCCTTTGGCCTATTTATTTGAATTTGATTTACTTGGAAATTTTCCAAGCAGCAGAGCACTTAGAGGTCTTCCAAAGAACTTAAAAAGTTTTCATTTCACATTCCAATAGATCTGTTTTCAAAATGGGTAGGGCAAGTGGAGTCTGTGATTAATTAGGTTATAGTAAATTTTGTTTTTTTTCGATGTATCCTAGGTTTGAAGAAAATGAGAGGCATAAATGTTGAGAACTATCTTCTTGAATTCCTTCTTGATTGGGTTGCTGGGACACCCAACCTCAGGATATTTAAAATACCTGGAGACCTAAAGTGAAGTACTCTCATTCTCTATTTTGTATCTAGGGCCACATAGATGTGTTTGATGTGAATCACACCTCTTCATTATGTGTGGCCGACTCTTCTGAGTAATACCATGAAAAGTGCTTCTTCAAATTCCATATCTTCACATATTGCTGTTATGTAAGAGGAATGAGACTATTATAATTGAGTGAAATTTAAAATCTTGTGCTTTAAGTTATGAAATAACATGCTTTTGGCTATGCCATCCTGCAACCTGGCCTTTTCAGCAAATTTTGTAGCTTGTGGGGACAGATGACCCTGAATTCCAGCAGCACCTGCAATCAAAATAGTTCTCATTCCAGGGCCCACACAACAGGGTGTGTTTGAAAGTACTTAAAAGGAAAGTGTAGGCAACGCATTGTACCCTTAGTCATAAAACATTATCCTGGAATTTGCCTTGCCCCAAAGCTTGGGAAGCCACCCTTTTCTCCCTATCCCAAAGTTTCATTGTAATTCCCATTTCTGAAAAGAAAGAAAGAGTACGATGGAATTTCTTCACTAGGATGGCAGATTGAAGGTACTTAGGTGAGGAAAGAGACGCTAACAGAGCTTGTGTGACAAGATGACCAAAATCTGGGTGGAAGGATAGTCTTAGAAGAGTGATTAAGTGATGTTTATTTACCCAAATAAACTATTTTTCCAGCCAATTATAACAAATGCATTTATTCCATGTTTAATCAGTTGTAGAATATCCAGCAGATTCATGGGGTAGAATGTATTTTATCAAGACAAAAATAGCCAGCTTGAGAAATGATTTAAACCAGAGATCAGCAAACTACAGCTTGGAGGCCAAATCCAGCTTGCCACCTGTTTTTTTTATATGGCCCATGAGCCTAGAATGGTTTTTACATTTTTAAATGCTTGAAGAGGCCAGGCGCGGTGGCTCACGCCTGTAATCCCAGCACTTTGGGATTTGGGGAGGCGGGCGGATCACGACGTCAAGAGATCGAGACCATCCTGGCTAACACGGTCTCTACTAAAAATACAAAAAATTAGCCGGGCATGGTGGTGGGCGCCTACAGTCCCAGCTACTCAGGAGGCTGAGGCAGGAGAATGGCGTGAATGCGGGAGGCGGAGCTTGCAGTGAGCCGAGATCACGCCACTGCACTCCAGCCTGGGCGACAGAGTGAGACTTTGTCTCAAAAAATAAAATAAATAAAATAAAATAAATGCTTGAAGAAAAGTCAAAAGTAGGAGAAGAATTTTGTGACAGCTGAAAATTATAGAAATTTGTATTTCATTGTTTATAATAAAGTTTTATTGGAACACAGCTGTGTTCATCTATGTATGAGGATATTCCGCACTGTATATCAAAGCTCTGTGGGCAAGCTTCTTCCTGCTGAGGCAGCACAGCTTTCTGGATGGCCATGAAAAGCAACTTTCATGGTACAGCAGCAGAGTTGAGTATTGTCACAGAGACTCTAGTCCACACAGTGTTCAGTTATTTACTGTCTGGTCCTTTACAGATATCTCTGCCCTTCCCTGCTAGTTTAAGCAATCGTTTAAATTTACTTGTGGTTTTTTTTTGTTTTGTTTTGTTTTTTGGTTTTTTTTTGTGAGACAGAGTCTTGCTGTCGCCCAGGCTGGAGTGCAGTGGTGCCATCTCGGCTCACTGCAACCTCCGCCTTCCAACTTCAAGCAATTCTCCTGCCTCAGCCTCCTGAGTAGCTGGTACTGCAGGCGCATGCCACCATACCCAGCTAATTTTTGTATTTTTAGTAGAGATGGAGTTTCACCATGTTGACCAGGCTGGTCACAAACTCCTGACCTCACCTGCCTTGGCCTCCCAAAGTGCTGGGATTACAGGTGTGAGCCACCACACTCAGCCTCTGAATTTACATTTGATCATATTTTTGATTGTTTACTGTGCAGTGTGCTGGTTTTGACATGCAGGGTGGAATATCCTCATGTTGGATGGCAGGTTATTCCATAAGCTCATCTTTTAATAGAAACAGAATCCCTTCAATGTAATCTGCAAAAGATAACCACTGAGCATCTCCTTGGTCACTGGAAATTGAGCCACAACCATTAAGAAAGTGGACCAGCTGTTCTTTCTTTTCCCTCTCTGACCGACCGAATCATTCATTTATTCAACAAATATTTAGTGAGTGCCGGCTGTCTGCTTGCCACTGTTCAGCCAGTGACGATGAATGGTGAGCCTAACAAAAGCCCCTCCTTGGGGACCCTACATTCTCATAGGAGGAGATGGATCGTAAGCACTGGGGGGAAGAAGCACCAGGAAGAAAAGACAAAGGGGGAGAGAGAGAGAGAGAGAGCTGGGGCAAGAGAGGGCTGCTGGAGATGTGGTGCTGGGCCAAGGCTTTTGGCCACAAGAATCAGGTGAGTAGGAATTTGTGACATGAAGACTCAGGAGGTGGCATTCCAGGTGGAGGGAACTGCAGGGGCATAGGCCCCCAGGTGGAGCCAGTGCGGCGTGTTTGAAGAATGGGAATGCTGTTCTGGAGGCCAGGGCAGAGGTGAGGACAGAAAAATATTGGTGGGGCGAGGGACAGGTTTCGGAGGGCATGGCACGGCAGGGCAGAATAAGGACTTAAAACATTTTTAATTCTGGGAGAGACGAAAAGGCTTTGAGCAAAGAACTAACTTGATCTGGTAATGTTTTTTAAAAAAATCACTGAAATTACAAGATATATCCTCTGCCTTGTGGTTTATTGCAGATAATGGCATTTTGTGGATTAAAAGAAAGAAAAACCCTTTCAGTTCACCAGCCACAACAGTTAGCTTTAAGAGTGTTATAAAAGTAGGATCAAAACAATAGGAATTACAGGCCAGGATCTTCTTAGGGGAGTGTTCAAAGCTTCAGGTATCCATATCAGTCCAGGTCCCATAAGAAAACAGGTGGCATATGGTAGGTAATGGGAAGACAATGGACTCTAGTGTGGAGGGAATGCCACTCCTACCTTGGTGCTTCAGGACAATTAATCTGCTAGTGTTGTTTAGAATGGATTGAAGAACAGAGGGGAAGAAGGTAGGGAGACCAAATTGTTTCATTAAATTATATAAAAAATTTTCAAAAAAAGTCAGCTTCTATTGTGGAGGAAAACTATTGTACAGACCCCAGTCAGAACAGTGAAGATACTTGTACTGTCCTCAAGTGTCATTGTACTTGTTGATTAACATATATTAAAAACAAGCAGGTGTGGTGGCTCACACTGGTAATCTTTGCACTTTGGGTGGCCAAGGCAGGAGGATTGCTTGAGCCCAGGAGTTTGAGACCAGCCTGGGCAACTTAGTAAGACTCCTGTCTGTACAAAAAATAAACAAAATTAGTCAAGCCTGGTGGTGTGCCCTGTAGTTCCACTACTTAGGAGGCTGAGGTCAGGGATTGCTTGAGCTCGGGAAGTCAAGGCTACAGTGAGTCGAGATGGGGCCACTGCACTCCAGCTTTGGTGACAGTGTGAGACACTGTTTCAGACACACACACATACACACACACATACACACATACACACACACACACACAACCAAAAAAGGAAGCCATATATTAAAAATGTTGCCATAAAAAATATTGGGGACAGGGTATATAGGAGCCACAAAGACGTGGCTGCATCCGGGGGCTAGTAATAGCCAAGCTCCTCCCACTCCTAGGCCTGAGGGGTGAGGGAGGAAGCAGTTTCCAGGGGACCCTATATAGAGAGCCACCTGACAGGACCCAGGGAATATGGTGGGAAAGGATTTGGCTGAACCAAAATGGGAGCCAGTGGGCAAGACAGCCTGTTGTTAAATGGGTCAGCTTCCCAGAACACACAACACGGTGGCAGAGTAGAGGGCAGGTGGAGGATTTCCATCCTAGGGGACACCTCAGGAGTCTTAGCTGCATCCCAACTCTGTCGCTTTCCCTCACTCCCACCACCAGCCACACCACAGATGCGCACGCATGAGCGTGTACACACGCACGCTCCCAAGTACCCTCTGGTATTCTTCCATTGCTTTTCTGACCAGGACAGAGGAACTATTTATTAATTGTGAAATTTGAGGACATTTCTCATTATTTTTGTGGTATTTGATGCTATAATATTTGCAAGACAAGGAACATGTGGGTAGCTCTACGCATTCCATTTTCCATTCCTGATAAAAATTCAAAGCACGTATGTTACTGATGCTAGAGTTAAACATTTTATTTTTTAAAAGTATCATTTCTAATTGGCTGCAGAAGGAAAAATACAGTAAGCAGGACATTAAAAATCTTGGGGAACTATATTCAGTTTTGGCTATTCTGGTTACAAACAAAGCAAGCATTGAATTTTAGCCACTTCAAACAGTTTTCGTTTTCCACCGTTGAGCATGTTAAAACTGTGAAGACACAGAAGTACCATTCAGTAAACTGCTTCTTTCAGCAGCTTCTGTGATATCCCAGTACTTTGGAAGCCTTCCATTTTCTTTCAGGTACAAGAAGTTAACACCCTGAATTAGTCACTATCTGTGTATATAAAGCCAGGAGCTTTATATTTTGTACTGAGGCAGAGCTGAAGTTTTTAGATAATTTGATCTTTTAAAAATATTTGACTTTTCACTTGATTTAGGTTCTGAGAATCAAAGGTTCTACTAACAAAATGGTCAACTTGGCAAAGAGAAATATGCAGAAGTCAATTTTAGGCTGTATTTTGCAAGAGCGCGGTGCCTGTGAAAGCAGCCCAAGCTGTACGGATGGTGAAACTCATTTTTCTCCCCTACTTTTTCTGGAATCTGGCCAAAAATTAAGTATCGTGGCACATTTTCTCAACAATCTTGGCCCCAAATTGGAGGGCTGGCTCAGGGCCCCAGGGGAAAAGAAAACTCCCTTTTCCATTTATGATTATCAGCCATGTTATAAAACTTAAACATTATTTTAAGGTCAAGGAAAATAAGTCACCTTGAATTTCCCGTAAGTTTTGAAGCACTGGAACGAGGTCTGTTTTTGTTCCTTGGCTTTTGCTCATGTGTCGGTTTTGCAGCACAGGATCAGTCACGTGGTTGTGGGGCCTTTGGGGTTGAGGAGCTTCCACTGCATGCAAAGGCACTTTGTTAACACAGCGGGACCTGGGTGAGTGAGCCAGGTCCTAGGCCTGAGTCGGTTTATATAATTCTGCTCAGGAGATTGGAGGCATGAACAGATAGGTGGCCTGCAGAGAAAGAGAGAACCTCCATGGATGACAAGAGGACTGTGGAAAATTATTAAAAAATGAGAGGGATCCTGTCTTTCTGGTGGAGAGAGTGAAAACACAGCTGGCATGGAGCCAGGCCTTGAAGGATCCTGAGGAACAGAGTCACTAGTCGTGGATTTGAATGAGTTCTGTGTCTTGACTTCAACTCGTAAGCCTCCGTTTTCCTCATCTATATAATGGTGATGACATCTTTACCACCCATATCACGGTATTTTTATGAGGCTAAATTACAGCATGGAACACAAACCATAAAATACCCGAATGCTGTTACTTATTATTGTCATGAATATTATCAAATGGCATCTGTTAAATATTTATTTTTGATGCTTGTTATCACATTTGTAGTTTTCCAGGAGTTTGATCTAAAAAACACAGTTGCTGCCACTGATGGTGATTTCTTAGGCCAGCTCCACATAGGAAGGTTTTTATATGTGGTAGACTTTTTATATGTGCAGATCTCACAAATGCAGTGTGGAGTCTCTTGTTACAGTTGAGAGGAGTCTCTGGACAGGGTATGTGAAAGGCTGAGCTCCCTTCTTTAGGCAGGAATCGGATATAGTATGGTGGAGTATGTTAATGTACAGACAGACGCTTGAAGTTCTGGGTTTAAGATTGTCTATAGAACTTGGGAATTGGGACTGCGATTTTTAAGGAAAAAAAAATTGCCAACTTTTTTTTTTTTTTTTTTTTAATGGAACTTCCTAGAGCCTTTCTGGGACTTACTTTACTTGTTAGAGGAGTAGGAGGTGTGGTAAATTCCTTCCTGGGTATGTTAATTAAAATGTAGTGAATTAAGCTGGAGAACTTGGAGCCCGAAACATGTTAGTGTTGTATAAAAGGAGGAATATAAATGCATGAGATTAAGTTTAAAAAACACGTGCCACACATTTAGCTAGAGATCCTAGTTCAAACTCACTCCCCCAGTCGGCCCCATTCACACGTTTCAGTGCCACCTTCTTTGTTAAAGACGATAGGACTACACTTCTTTGGAATTAGTTTAAGAGGTAGTTTATAAGCCAGTCAAGAAAATTGACCTCATGTTCATGCTCTTAAAAAAAAAAAATCAATTATTTTTGAGACAGGCCTCACTCTGTCACCCAGGCTGGAGTGCAGTGGCATGATCTCGGTTTGCCGCAGCCTCAACCTCCAGGGCTCAAACCATCTTCCTGCCCCCTCCTCCTGAGTAGCTGGGGCCACAGGTGCGCACTACAACGCCTGGCTAATTTTTGTATTTTTGTAGAGTTGGGGTTTCGCTGTATTGCCAAGGCCAGTCTTGAACTCCTGAGCTTAATCATTTTGCCTGCTTCAGCCTGCCAAAGTGCTAGAATTACAGGCGTGAGCCACCGCGCCCGGCCAGTCTTAATTTTTTTTAAAGCATTTTTAGATTTACAGGAAAACTGAGCAGATAGTACAGGGTATCTCAATACTCCCTCACCTCCCTTTCTCTTTTTTTGTATCTTAATATGGTATGCTTGTTATAATTAAGCTATATTGATACGTTTTTATTAACTAAAGGCTATCAGATTTATTCAGCACATATAAAAAGTACCACATATAAAAACCTTCCTATATGAAGCTGGCCTAATAAATCACCATCAGTGATAGTAACTCTTTTTTTAGATCAAACTCCTGGAAAACTACAGATGTGATAACAAGCGTCACAGACACATAAATATTTAATAGATGCCATTTGATAATATTAATGACAATAATTAACAGCATTCGGGTATTTGACGGTTTGTGTTGCATGCTGTAATTTAGCCTCATAAAAATACCATGATATGGGTGGTAAAGGTATCATCATCATTTTATAGATGAGGAAAACGGAGGCTTAGAAATTGAAGTCAAGACACAGAACTCATTCAAATCCACGACTAGTGACTCTGTTCCTCAAGATCCTTCAAGGCCTGGCTCCATGTCAGCTCATTCAAATCCACGACTAGTGGCTAATTAGATCAGATTTCCTTAGGGTTTTTTGTTTTTGTTTTTTGTTTTTTGTTTTGATAGGATCTTGCTCCATCACCCAGGCTGGAGTGCGTGGTACAATCATGGCTCACTGCAGCCTTGATCTCCCAGGCTCAACTGATCTTCCTTCCTCAGCCTCCTGAATAGCTGGGACCACAGGTATGCCCCACTGCTCCTGGCTAATTTTTTTTTTTGTTTTGTTTTGTAGATACAGTTTCTCCGTGTTGCCCAGGCTGGTCTTGAACTCCAGGGCTCATGTGAGTCTCTCCCCACTTAGCTTCTCAAAGTGCTGGGATTACAGATATGAGCCACTGCCCTCAGCTAGATTTCCTTAGTTTTGACCTGAGTCAAATACTGTCCTTTTTCATTTGCCACTTTATCCCATCATGTAGAACAGTTGCCTGACACATAGTGACTTTGCACAGATGTTGTTGAAATAAAGATGCTCTGCCTGCCCTTGAGTTGGTATAATAGAGTAGGGAAGGATCAAGCCATGGTGCAAATGACACCACACTAGCGCTTAGGAATTTGGAAGCAGATGGGGCTGAGTGGGAATGAACCCTGGCCCTACCATCCACCAATCCTATGACTTGGGCAAGTCACCCATCCTCTCAACCTGTTTTCTCACCTGTGAAAAGAAGATGATAATAATTCCTAGGCCAGGCGTGGTGCCTCACGCCTGTAATCCCAGCACTTTGGGAGGCCAAGGCGGGTGGATCACAAGGTCAGGAGTTGAAGACCAGCCTGGCCAAGATGGTGAAACCCCATCTTTATCAAAAATACAAAAATTAGCTGGGCGTGGTGGTGGGCACCTGTAATCCCAGCTATTCGAGAGGCTGAGGCAGGAGAATTGCTTGAACCTGGGAGGTGGAGGTTGCAGTGAGCTGAGATTGCGCCACTGCACTCCAGCCTGGGTGACAGAGTGAGACTCCATCTCAAAAAAAAAAAAAAATAATAATAATAATAACAACAATAATAATTCCTACCTCATTGAGGTAGGGATTAAATGAAAGAACACATATGAGAGTTTCCAGACTCTGGCCTCACCCATGAGAAACTCTTAGTAAATATCTTCTTAAAGACCATGCAGGACAGAATGTGATACCTGTGATGTGAGCTGCAGAGTGTCACTGAGAGTCAGAAAAGAGGGGATCGCCTAAAGTTGGGATGGGGGGTTAGGAAAGCTTTCCTAGAGAGGGCAACATTTGTGATGGACCCAAAAGAATGGGTCTGTTCTTAACTGAGGGACAGTGATGGGAGAATAAAACACCAGGTTGAGAGACTGTATCTCACAAAGCGACAGAGGTGGGAACGTGTGAGAATGTCTTTTGGAGGAAAGAAAATCACCCAATGTAAGTGGACTATAATTTAATTTGGCAAGACAACACGACGAGAGAGAGAAAGGTGTAAGGCCATAAATGCTTTTGACAGATATATATTTCAGCTTTTCTAAAAGTTTTCAAGTATAGAAAAAAGAACAGTACAATGAACACCCATATAACCCCCCTCATTTATACAATTATTAACATTATTTGCTTTCTGTATAGAAATCAATACATATTATTTTTTGCCAAATCATTAAAAATTAATTATAGCTAGCATGACTTTATTTTTTTGAGACAGAGTTTCGCTCTTGTCGCCCATGTTGGAAAGCAGTGACGCGATCTTGGGTCACTGCAACCTCTGCCTCCCAGGTTCAAGCAATTCTCCTGCCTCAGCCTCCCGAGTAGCTGGGATTACAGGCACCCGCCACCATGCCCAGCTCATTTTTGTATTTTTTTAAGTTATACTTTTAAGTTCTGGGGTACATGTGCAGAACGTGCAGGTTTGCCACATAGGTATACACTTGCCATGTTGGCTTGCTGCACCCATCAACCCGCCATATACATTAGGTATTTCTCCTAATGCTGTCCCTCCCCTGGCCCCCCACCCACCGACAGGCCCCGGTGTGTGATCTTCCTCTCCCTGTGTCCATGTGTTCCCATTGTTCAACTCCCACCCATGAGTGATAACATGCAGTGTTTGGTTTTCTGTTCCTGTGTTAGTTTGCTAAGAATGATGGTTTCCAGCTTCATCCATGTTCCTGCAAAAGACATGAACTCATCCTTTTTTATGTCTGCATAGTATTCCATGGTGTATATGTGCCACATTTGCTTTATCCAGTCTATCATTGATGGGCATTTAGGTTGTTTCCAAGTCTCTGCTATTGTGAACTGTGCTGCAATAAACATACGTGTGTATGTGTCTTTACAGTAGAATGATTTATAATCTTTTTGTATATACCCAGTAATGGGGTTGCTGGGTCAAATGGTATTTCTGGTTCTAGATCCTCGAGGAATCGCCACACTGTCTTCCACAATGGTTGAACTAATTTACACTCCCACCAACAGTGTAATAGTGTTCCTATTTCTCCACATCCTCTCTAGTATCTGTTGTTTCCTAACTTTTTAATGATCGCCATTCTAATTGGCATGAGATGGTATCTCATTGTGGTTTTGATTTGCATTTCTGTAATGACCAGTGATGATGAGCATTTTTTCATATGTTTGTTGGCTGCATAAATGTTTTCTTTTGAGAAGTGTCTGTTCATATCCTTTGCCCACTTTTTGATGGGTCTTTTTTTGGAAATTTTTTTAAGCTCCTTGTAGATTTTGAATATTAGCCCTTTGTCAGATTGATAGATTGCAAAAATTTTCTCCCATTCTGTAGGTTGCCTGTTCACTCTGATGATAGTTTCCCTTGCTGTGCAGAAGCTCTTTAGTTTTAATTAGATCCCATTTGTCAATTTTGGTTTTTGTTGCCATTGCTTTTGGTGTTTTAGTCATGAAGTCTTTGCCCATGCCTATGTCCTGAATGGTATTCTCTAGGTTTTCTTCTAGGGTTTTTATGATTTTAGATCTACGTTTAAGTATTTAATCCATCATGAGTTAATTTTTGTATAAGTTGTAAGGAGAGGGTCCAGTTTCAGTTTTCTGCATATGGCTAGCCAGTTTTCCCAGCACCATTTATTAAATAGGGAATCCTTTCCCCATTGCTTGTTTTTGTCAGGTTTATCAAAGATCAGATGGTTGTAGCTGTGTGGCGTTATTTCTGATGCCTTTGTTCTGTTCCATTGGTCTGTATATATGTTTTAGTACCAGTACCATGCTGTTTTGGTTACTGTAGCCTTGTAGTATAGTTTGAAGTCAGGTAGCATGATGCCTCCAGCTTTGTTCTTTTTGCTTAGGATTGTCTTGGGTATACGGGCTCTTTTTTGGTTCCATGTGAAATTTAAAGTAGTATTTTCTAATTCTGTGAAGAAAGTCAATGGTAGCTTGATGGGGATAGCATTGAATCTATAAATTACTTTGGGCAGTATGGCCATTTTAACAATATTGATTCTTCCTATCCATGAGAGTGGAATGTTTTTCCATTTGTTTGTGTCCTCTCTTATTTCCTTGAGCAGTGGTTTGTAGTTCTCCTTGAAGGGGTCCTTCACATCCCTTGTAAGTTGGATTCCTAGGTATTTTATTCTTTTTGTAGCAGTTGTGAATGGGAGTTCACTTATGATTTGGCTCTCTGTTCGTCTATTATTGGTGTATAGGAATACTTGTGATTTTTGCACATTGATTTTGTATCCTGAGACTTTGTGGAAGTTGCTTATCAGCTTAAGGAGATTTTGGGCTGAAATGATGGGGCTTTCTAAATACACAATCATGTCATCTGCAAACAGAGACAATTTGACTTCCTCTCTTTTTATTTGAATACTGTTTATTTCTTCCTCTTGTCTGATTGCCCTGACCAGAACTTTCAATACTATGTTGAATACGAGTGATGAGAGAGGGCATCCTTGTCTTGTGCCAGTTTTCAAAGGGAATGCTTCCAGCTTTTACCCATTCAGTATGATATTGGCTGTGGGTTTGTCATAAATAACTCTTATTATTTTGAAATACGTTCCATCAATACCTAGTTTATTAAGTTTTTAGCATGAAGAGGTGTTGAATTTTATCGAAGGCCTTTTCTGCATCTATTGAGATAATCATGTGGTTTTTGTCATTGGTTCTGTTTATGTGGTGGATTACGTTTATTGATTTGTGTATGTTGAACCAGCCTTGCTTCTCAGGGATGAAGCCAACTTGATCGTGGTGGATAAGCTTTTTGATGTGCTGCCAGATTGGGTTTGCCAGTATTTTATTGAGGATTTTTGCGTTGATGTTCATAAGAAAAATATGGAACGCTCCATGAATTTGCGTGTCATCCTTGCGCAGGGGCCAGGCTAATGTCTGTGTCGTTCCAGTTGTAGTATATGTGTTACTGAAGCGAGCACTAATTTTTGTATTTTTAGTAGAGACAGGGTTCACCATGTTGGCCAGGCTGGTCTCAAACTCCTGATCTCAGGAGATGCACCCACCTCTGCCTCCCAAAGTACTGGGATTACAGGCGTGAGCTACCGCACCTGGCCTGTCATGACATTTTAACCCTCAATACTTTAGCATCCATCTCCAAAAAAATAAGGAAGCTTCATAATAAAAGTACACCACCATTATCATACCAAACAAAATTAACAGTAGTCCCCAAATATTACTTAATATTAGTCCATAATCAAACTTTCTAAATTCATTTCCCAGACCTTTAGTGTTTTAACAAAATTTTAAACCAGAATCCAGGCAAAAGGCTGTGTATTGTATTAAATACACAATCATGTCATCTGCAAACAGAGACAATTTGACTTCCTCTCTTTTTATTTGAATACTCTTTATTTCTTTCTCTTGCCTGATTGCCCTGGCCAGAACTTTCAATACTATGTTGACTAGATGAGTGACAATTTAGTCAAATTGTCCCTGTTTGCAGATGACGTGATTTTGTATTGCATTGTTATGCCTCTTACCTCTCTTTAAATCTAAAATTCCAGCTATGATATTGAGATTTTTAGGATTTGGAACATTGAAAAGATTATGGAGCTTTCCCCCAACTCAGATATCCCTATCTAACACCAAAATAATTCAAAAAAGAAACAATACTGAATTTCAAAGTAAATGTAAGGAAGTCCATATAAATTCAGATATTTTTTCTCTCATCAGGTTGGTGCCTTTGATACTAGTTTTGCAATTTCAGGTAATCACATTTTTAAACTCAGCATATGCTTGCTTTCCTTCAGTTAAATAACCCAGCCCTGGACTCACAGAATTCAATAGACATACAGTGGCTCGTTGTTTTCTGTTGAGCTGAATATCTGGTATGTCTAACCTTCACAGATATGAAACCACATTGTTTTTTTTTTTGAGACAGAGTCTCGCTCTGTCGCCCAGGTTGGAGTGCCATTGTGCAATCTCGGCTCACTGCAACCTCCGCCTCCTGGATTCAAGCAGTTCTTCTGCCTCAGCCTCCTGAGTAGCTGGGATTACAGGTGCATGCCACCACACCCGGCTAATTTTGCATTTTTAGTACAGATGGGGTTTCACCATGTTGGTCAGGCTGGTCTCGAACTCCTGACCTCATGATCCACCCGCCTTGGCCTCCCAAAGTGCTGGGATTACAGGCGTCAGCCACCACGCCCGGCCTGAAACCACATTCTTAATAATGCTGTGTAGACCCACAGAAGTGATTTTTGGCTTCATTGTATTTACAGGTTTTTTGAACCCTAGGTTCCAACCTTAGTGGAATTTCATACAGAATTTCACAGTTTTTCTTTAAGGAAAAACATCAGGTAGGACTGTGGGCAGAACTATAGTATGAAAACCCATATCCTGCAGTGAGAAACTCTTACCTGGAAGCGGGAAAGGAGTAGAACGCAGAGTGTGCAGGGCGCTGCCAGGCCTGCTATAACCAGGAGTGCCCTGCATAGGCCATGGGATGGTTGGGTGCCTTCTTTTTGGCCCTGCCTGTATCCCAGATACTTGTGGCCAAGCAAGTCCCTGGAATTGTTGCAGGCATTGCAGTGGGAGTGAAATGCCCACCAGCTGGGCTACATCTTCCACGACTGAGGGAATATAACTTGGTATTCATTGGAACTCCACTGAAGAGAGGTCGGGTGCTTTGGGAGTGTTTTCTTGCAAATATGTGCCCTCTAATTGCCTTTTCCTAATGATCTCTCCTCATTCTGCTTTGGAGGTGGGGTTTCTCCAAGGATCATTTCTTTTCCACCTCACCTGCAGGTGCACAGTGAATGATGCTTTAATTTATTTCATTTCACCTTGCTGTGGAACTCAGCCCATCCCACCTCTGCTGTGAGAAAAGCATTTCCATCTGTTTCAACTTTCCTGTGGTTCTGTTGACCCACTTGGAAGAGCTCCAGTGTAGTGCCTGCTGGTTTTTTTCTATCTGCCCTTAATTTGGTTTGCCTTTTATTGTATTCCAACTGAACGGATTCTTTCTCTTTCTTTTAAGGGAAAGGACCTGAGAAAAACAATACTTGTAATGGCGACTGCTTGTTAAGGGTAATTGCTGTTTCATGTTAATTTGCATGTTAAAATGAGAATATAGGGAATTGCTAAATTCACCAACCTGTTCTATCCCAAGGCTAGTCCTTTTAAGTATATTTGTTGCTTAAATAAAGATGGAGCTATGCAGAATGGAAATGTCCAAATATGCAGTTTTTTTTGTGCATGTATATATAGAGAGAGCATTTAAAATTTTTATTTCCATCAGCAAGAGTCATTATACAATACATGGAAATTACAGAAAAGCAGAAAGAAGAAACCCAGAGACAACTAGCATTAACATTCTGTGAAATTATGTCTAGTCATTTCAATCTACATGTTATATACTCTTTAAATGGGAATAGTTTCACTATAACTGTCTAGAACTTTTTGCTACTCCAAAGAATGTTCTGTGGATCAGCAGCATTGCTATCTCTTGGGAACTTGTTAGAAATGCAGAATCTTGGGCTCCACCACAGACATACTGAATCATAATTTTTATTGATTGCTATTACATATACATTAAAATTTGGAAGCACTCTTCTGCAAATGGGGTCCCCAACCCCTAAGTTTTGGAGTGGTACCATTCTGTGGTCTGTTAGGAACAGGGCTGCACAGCAGGAGGTGAGTGGCAGGTGAGTGAGGAAAGCTTAATCTATATTTCCAGCTGCTCCTTATCTCTTGCATTACTGCCTGAGCTCCGCCTCCTGTCAGATCAGCAGCAGCATTAGATTCTCATAGGAGCACAAGCCCTTTTGTGACTTGTGCATGCGAGGGATCTAGGTTGCCCACTCGTTATGAGAATCTAATGCCTGATGATCTGGTACTGTCTCCCATCACCCCCAGATGGGATGTCTAGTTGCAGGAGAACAAGCTCAGGGTTCCCACTGGTTCTACATTACAGTGAGTTGTATAGTTACTTCATTATATATTACAATGTAATAATAGAAATAAAGTGCACTATAAACATCATGCATTTGAATTATCCTAAACCCCTCCAACCTCCCCTCACCCTATTGGGGAAAAATTGTCTTTCACGAAACCAGTTCCTGGTGCCAAAAAGGTTGGGGACCGCTGCTCTAGAACATACTATACCCAGGGCAGCATGTAGAGAGAACACAAAGTAGAGGGGATGCAAAGGGGCTCAGACCTATATTCTCTTCTCCATTTTCTGTCAGTCTTGCCTAAAATAATTTTTGTCAGTACATGATAAGGATAAAAATGAGGTCTTTTTTTTTTTTTTTTTGAGACAGAGTCTTAACTCTGATGCCCAGGCTGGAGTGCAGTGGTGCGATCTCGGCTCACTGCAACCTCTGCCTCCCGGGCTCAAGTGATTCTCCTGCCTCAGCCTCCTGAGTAGCTGGGATTACAGGTGCCCGTCACCACACACAGCTGACTTTTATATTTTTAGTAGAGATGGGGTTTCACTGTGTTGGCCAGGCTGGTCTCGAACTCCTGACCTCATGATCTACCCTCCTCAGTCTCCCAAAGTGCTGGGATTATAAGCGTGAGCCACCGTGTCCGGCTGAGGTCAAATTTTTTAACAGGGTACGACAACCTTGTTGAGAAACACGACTGTGCCATGTGTAATCATTTCACTCAGTAAACACTAAGTGCCTCCTGCGTGCCAGGCACATGTGTGGCAGCCACGGGCCTTGCATTCCGGCTTGCATGTGCTGCAGTGGAAACATACAGAGGCCAAGGAGGAGGGAGTGGTTGCTTCTGCAGGGATGGGGGCTGTAAATTAGAAAGAAAGGTGGTCTCTGGGTGGAGTCTTGATGGATAAATCAGTTATCATAAGTTATGAGTATTACCAGGTTCTGGAGAGAACACAAAGATGATAAAATTTGTCTCATCCTTCAAGGACCTTATGCTTGGTTAAAGGACAGGAGACAGTGTTTAAAACTAAATAATACAAAGCACCTTGATATTAGGGTAGAACCAGAAGACAAGGGTCTGAACATTAATTTTTTAGCTCCGTGACCTTTGACAAATTATTCCACATGTTGGAACATCCGATTCTTCTGTAAAATAGGGATAAAATGATATAAACACCTTTATAAAATCATATTGCTTTCTTGGCCAGGCGCAGTGGCTCACGGCTGTAATCCCAGCATTTTGGGAGGCCGAGGCGGGCAGATCATGAGGTCAGGAGATCAAGACCATCCTGGCTAACATGGTGAAACTCCATCTCTACCAAAAATATAAAAAATTAGCCCAGTGTAGTGGTGGGTGCCTGTAATCCCGGCTACTCGGGAGGCTGAGGCAGGAGAATGGCGTGAACCTAGGAGGCGGAGGTTGCAGTGAGCCAAGATCACGCCACTGCACTCCAGCCTGGGTGACAGAGCGAGACTCCATCTCAAAAACAAACAAAAAACAAAACAACCAAAAATTAGCTGGGCGTGGTGGCACGCCCCTGTAGTACCAGCTACTTGGGAGGCTGAGGCAGGAGAATTGCTTGAACCCGGGAGGTGGAAGTTGCAGTGAGCCAAGATGGCGTCACTGCACTCCAGCCTGGCGACAGAGCAAGACTCCGTCTAAAAAAAAAAGAAAATTATAGTGATTTTTTTCTTTTTTTAGTGTAGAGAGATAGGGTCTTGCCCTGTCGCCTAGGCTGGAGTGCAGTGGCACAATTGTAGCCCATTGCAGCCTAGAACTTCTGGCCTCAAAGGATCCCCCACCTCAGCCTCTTAGAGTGTCGGGATTACAGCGAGAACCATGGTGCGGGACCTGTAGTGCTTTTTAAAGTGAAATAACATAGCAAAGCACTGGCTTGCAGTGGATGTGGAATCAATGCTGTGTGGCAAAGATATTTAAAAAGTGCCAAGTGAGCACCATAGATGGAAAATTGAGGAATAACAGAGAAAAAGAGAGAGTATTTTGACTTGGAGTGTGCGAGGCCATGTGGCCTGTGTGGCCTTGAGGATGCTGATGAGGCAGAGAAGGTATGAAGAATGGGCCAGTGGGAAGAGAAGCAAAAGAGGAAGCTGCAGTTTTGAGACTGGATAGACCAAGAAAAGAGATAGGAGAAACAAGGGGTTGGGTTTGTTGGGGTGATGTCTGTCTTAGACATGTCAGGTTTCAGGGACTGCTGAAGGCTGTAGGCCTGGGTGCGTGTGTCAGACACTGCCCTTGATGCAGGCTCAGCCAGGGGTGGGTGAGGAATGAGGTCCTTGGCCCTCCCTGGGCAGGGTGTTTGGTCAGTGTAAATCTGGAAAAGGGAATCTTTCTGACTTGTTGGAAATGTCCGCACCTGCACAGCGTTTCTCACCAGGATGGGAAACACAGGCTGAATGTTTTAAACCTTGAAGACCTACCTCTTCTTCAGACTTGGGTAGAGGAGAACTGAACTTTTCTGTGTAATTTTTACCCACTGTCATCCTCTTCCACGGGTCTCTTTTTTTTTCTTCTCAACGTTCTTCCTCCCAACTGAGAACCATTAATTGCTTCAGAAAAGAAATAGAATTGGATTTCTTTTTTTTTTAAGAAATGGACTAAATGCTCTAACACTGAAGAACTATATTCCTATGTGCGTCAGTTTCTTTTCAACCATTAGCTCCTTTATGATCTCTTTATACAGGGTGGGTATAGCCCACAAGTAACTATGGTTACTAGTTTTTATAGGTTGTGACCAGTCTGCTGTATAAGGTGTTAACATTTTGCCCAATCTGCCTTATCTCCATCTCTTCTGTTTTTTTGTGTCTGTGTCTCTTTACACGCACACACTTAAAACATGTTTGCTGAACCATCTGAGTTAGTTGTAGAGATTATGACCTTTTCAACATGTATTTCTCAAGCACAAGGATATTTTCCCACATAGCCTATAATAAGATGATCACCAATAAATATTATCTGATATATAAATAATACTTGAATACATGTTCAGATTTCACCTGTTACCCTAATACTGTCTTTTATACCCGCCTCCCAATCCAGGATGAGTCAACAGTCATTCATTGAATTTTGTCTTTTTAGTTTCCTTTAATCTAAAACAGTCACCCTGTTTTTGTTTTGTTTTTGTGGTTCATGGCATTGGTGTCTTGAAAGATACCTTTGTTTTGTAGAATGTATCACAATCTGGTTTTGTGTGATTGTTACCTTATGATTAGATACAGATTAAGCATGTTTGGCAAAAATGCTACATAGTGACTGTGGCGATACCTACTGTTCCATTGTCCTGGAATTGATTATGCCGAGCACCACTTGGTTGAGCTGGTCTGCCAGAACTCTCCGTTTGTAAAGATGCCTTTTCTCTTAGGTAATCTGTGGGGTGATATTCTGAGACTGTGTGTGAGTGTTCTGTCCTACAACAACCCTTTCTAGAATGGTTTTAGCATGTATTAATGATTGTTGACTGAATCAGTGATTGCATTGGTAGTTGCAAAGTGGGATTTTCTTCTGCTCTCCCTTTGATATTTATTAGCTGGCATCCTTTATAAAGAAGAGTTTCCCCCATTATTTTTTCAATGAATATTTGTGGGTTTATGGTTTCTTTTTTAATCCAATGTATTATAGTTCATCAACATCATTCTTTTTTTTGAGAAAGGGTCTCACTGTGTTGCCCAGACTGGAGTGCAGCGGTGTGATCTCAGCTCACTGTAACCTCCGTCTCCCAGGTTCAAGAGATTCTCCCACCTCAGTCTCTCAAGTAGCTGGGACTACAGGCACCTGCCACCATGCCTGGCTAATTTTTGTATTTTTTTGTAAAGATGGGGTTTCACTGTGTTGGCCAGGCTGATCTCAAACACCTGGCTTCAAGTGATCTGCCTGCCTTGGCCTCCCAGAGTGCTAAGATGATAGGCATGAGCTACTGTGCCTGGTCAACATCTTTTTTTTTTTGTTCAAACTGCCCCACTTTTGGCTATGAGGAGCCCTTTTAAAGCTTCTCCTCCTATGTCCTTTTGTCATGTCTGCATTAGCATTTGAGCACTCCCTTGCTTTTTGGCACAGTAAGATGTTCTGGGCTTATCTTGTACTTTCTCTGCCCAGACCCAACTATTTCTCCAGTAAGCAAAAGTATTTAGAAACCAAGATCTAGGTACTTGGGATTTTCTTTAAAAATGTACCTAATCTAGGCCAGGCACGGTGGCTCACTCCTGTAATCCCAGCACTTTGGAAGGCCGAGGTGGGCGGATCACGAGGTCAGGAGATCGAGACCATCCTGGCTAACACGGTGAAACCCCATCTCCATTAAAAATACAAAAAATTAGCCTGGCGTGGTGGCGGGCGCCTGTAGTCCCAGCTACTTGGGAGGCTGAGGCAGGAGAATGCCGTGAACCTGGGAGGTGGAGCTTGCAGTGAGCTGAGGTAGCGCCACTGTACTCCAGCCTGGGCAACAGAGCAAGACTCCATCTCAAACAAACAAACAAACAAAGAAACAAAAAAAAGTGCCTAATCTATAAAAAGTTAAAAGTCATTAATCATTTAAGTTCATCCACCCATTTCCCAAGATTATTCCCTTGGTGGCATCAAGAGTTTTAGATGTTCACCAATGAAGGGAGAAGGCCATCCAAAGTGAAGGTCTTTGGGCTTTGGGCTAGAGGTTGAAGAGGAATGCACAAAGGGAAATGAGATAGTGCCAAAGATTAACTTAGATAACATTGGAATTCTGCCCCAGAAGTGACTTAGAGAGCCTGAGAATATAGTTTCTGTGTGTTTTCTAGGTAGACTCTGAAAATTGGTTACCCTTTTTTATATCCATTAATGGTAAGATAATTTATTCCCCTGAGCTATACATATGCTAATTCTTAAAGCAATTTAAGATGTGTAGTTTCCATGCCAAGAGTTCCTAACTGCTCTGTATTTTCAGAGTCAGTGTAAGGTATGTATATGTGAATGTATATCTCAGCATGTCTTTGAAAAATTAAGATTCATAGTTTTTATTTTGAATACTCATAATTGGACACAGTCTCTGGATTTTCTGGTTGATTATAATAGTTGGTTAATTCTTTTTTTTTTTTTTTTGAGACGGGGTCTCGCTCTGTCGCCCAGGCTGGAGTGCAGTGGCGCTATCTGGGCTCACCGCAAGCTCCGCCTCCCGGGTTCACGCCATTCTCCTGCCTCAGCCTCCTGAGTAGCTGGGACTACAGGCGCCCGCTACCACACCTGGCTAATTTTTTTTGTATTTTTAGTAGAGACGGGGTTTCACTGTGTTAGCCAGGATGGTCTCAATCTCCTGACCTTGTGATCTGCCCGCCTTGGCCTCCTAGAGTGCTGGGATTACAGGCGTGAGCCACTGCGCCTGGCCAATATTTGGTTAATTATTAAAGGTGCATATGCGCAGCATTTTAGGCAGCAACTTGTGGGACACAAAAGCCAGGAATTTCAAAATTTCCAAAACAATCATTGTGCATTTGATATAATGATAGAGTCTCTGAGGAGGCTGTAAACCTTAAATTGACTGATTTGTCTGGAGCTCCATATTTCTTCCATGATATTTTTATATATAATAGCATAATTAAAATATTTATTTTGCCTTTTCTATTTGCTAAAATGAAACAAAACATGTAGTAATTTGGTAGAGAACCTATATGAAAATGCTAAAAAATACAAAAGCACATTTGAAACATAAGGGTTTGTTTTTGTTTTTCATCGGTGTCAGCATTTTTGGAAGTAAAAAACAAAACAAAAATAGACTATACATCTATGCATTGTATATCAGGGATATGGTTATTATTCAGCTATGTATGCTGAATGTTAACTGCTTTATAATTTTATAAAACAAAACTACCACCCTCTCCTACACATACAACCACTGACTTTCAATCCTCAGCACATTCTTGAGAGTGGGAGTCCTATTAAAGTAACTGCCCTATATGAAGTAGTTACTGGGTGTGCAGGTATGCCAGGAAAGCTAAATTGAAAGTGAAAAGGGACACATCACTTAAATATGCTGCTAGTGCACTACTCACAATAGCAAAGACATGGAATCAACTCAGGTGCCCCTTGACAGTGGACTGGAGAAAGAAAATGTGGTACATATACACACTAGAATACTATGCAGCCGTAAAAAAGAACTAAATCACGTCCTTTGCAGCAACATGGATGGAGCTGGAGGCCATTATCCTAAGAGAATTAGTACAGGAACAGAAAACCAAATACCACACATTCTCGCTTGTAAGTGGGAGCTAAACATTGAGTATGTATGGACACAAAGATGGAAACAGTAGATACTGGGACCCACTTGAGGGAGGAGAGTGGCAGGGCCAAGGGTGGGAGGAGGGTGAGGATTGCAAAACTACCTATTGGGTATTATGCTCATTACCTGCGTACAAAATAATCTGCATACCAAACCCCCACGACACACAATTTATCCAGATAACAAACCTGCATATGTGCCTCTGAACCTAAAATAATAGTTAGAAAGAAAAAAAATGAATAGATTAAAAATAAAATAAATGTACTCCTAGCCAAGCATGGGTGAGTGAACTCAGATGTGTGGTGGCCAAGTTGTCCCAAATTGGCCCTTGATTCCTGTATATCCTCAGCCTTCAGTTCTTAATGTGATATCAGTGTGTGGGATTAAACTAAGCACACTCATGACTAAAAGAGTCACTGTTTTTGGCAAGTATTTAAAGTCAGTTTTGTTATTGGGAAAATTTTAATATAGCCACGTTCTTTTGGAGGTTACAAAGACCAATCTCTCTTTTCTTACTTGCTATTTAAAACTCCTCAAACTGGAAGTTTATCCGCATGCCCAAATGCATCCCTCTTTGTATTTGTTTAATCTTGATCTTGTTTGAAAGGAGCTTTATCCAGAATACAATTTCTTTATTCAGAATGAAATTTCTTTCAGATATTAGGACAGCTTAGATACAATTATATAATTAAAAATCTTTCAACTGGATTTTACTAAATCCATGACTGTATTAGCCTGTAAAAGCAAATTATATTTTGGCCTCTGTAATGGGTTTATAAACTTTAAACATCCCTATTGGGACGGACTGTATTTGTCCTTGAATTATGAGATAGAAAACACTTTCAGAGGTCCAGCCGCATGACTGGACCTATTAATACTTGTGATTGACAAGGAAGCTCCTGATGTTCTTGTTTTTTTGGCTAGCCTTCATTCTATTGGCTGGATTCACATGTGACGTTAAAGTGGGGGTAAAAAGGATGTTCCCACTAATGCAAAATATAAAGAAAGTAAAAATTACTCTGTTGTAATTCTACCATTTGTAACTAGCAGTTTTTCAAATGTTGGCTTTTTTTTTCTTTCTAGTCTTTTTTCTTATAAACAAAACTGGGAAGATGAGTATATTACATTATAGTCTACTTTCTCAATACTGCTTAAGAACATTTTCTCCTTTTATTAAATATTCTACAGATTTTAAAAAACTATCCATTGTTGAGTATTGTGTTTTAAAAATTATTTATAAGAGTATTACTTATAATAGAAAAATTCCTTGTATATATCTTTATGCCTATCTTGAACTCTTTAAAAGAAAATTTAGAGTCTTTTTAATTTATTGGTTTTTAAGAATGAAAAGTAATTCCATTCATTTTGTCCTTTCCAGCAATTATGGTTAAGCTGTCTTGTCTGCAAGAATCTATCTTTATAACACCGTCATCTTGATCTGTCCAAAATGGTCCTGTAATACCTCCTTTAACAACTTTAGGGAATCTTACATAAATAAATTTATCATGTAACTGAAGCTGACCCTTAAGTGTCTATGGTTGGTAATTGTAAACATTGTGAAAGACAATCTTTTTTAAATTGCATTACAATATGTTGCTGTCCTCTTAAACATAATGACAAAATATGAAAATCACAATTTCACCCCTTCTGGATAAATAACAAGTATCTTTTATAAACACTAGTTATTATGTAGTCAATTCTGATAAAATGATCTATGTGTTCTTAAAAACCACATTATGCAGAATCCTGCAGTAAAACTCACAGTGCTTAGGAGAGGAATGCAGTTGGGGACACAATACTCAAAAAACTATCAGTGACACATTAAAAAGGGATGGGAACTGAATAAATACTGTTGCACAAATTTTTCACATACTAAATGGTTAAATACATAAATAGTGCAATAAATATGGTACTTCAACTCGAAAAAGTCCTGACATTTGCTTGTGAACTCGTGCTTTAGAAGGGTTGCCACTTAGGAGTTATTGTGAAGTGGTGGCAGACGGATTACCTGAAATCAGATGGAGTCGGGATACCAGATATGGCTTGGTGTGGCTCATAGCACACTGGTGGAAACCGAAGTCACCGGTAGATGTTTGAGGCATGGACTGTGTTCATTCTGTGTAACCATATGCAGCTGGTTTTGGCCCAAGTGCAGCCTTCTGCGATAACCTAGTATTCTTGCAGTGAAATCATGCATAAAGAAACATGAAATTCGAGTTACACTCAAATTGTTCTCTTGAAAAAACACAAGCGTTATAGCAGAACTGAGTGTGCTGTATGGTAATACAGTGATGCCCAGGGGATAGGTGAAATGTGAAATTCTGCTTGTCCCTATCTGAAGTAGAGTTAATGCATGTAAGACACAGAGAAGAACCTGGCATAAGAGTTAACAGTATATAAATGTTGGCAGTAACAATGGCAATAGTAATAAATGATGCTTATGGTGTTTGCAGGGTTCTGTCTGATTTTTAGTTACAACTACTTGCTGTAGCTGTGCCCTCTTTCTAATTGATTTTGCAGTCTCCTGTGGCTTGTAAATGAGTGTATCACGCTTCTTAGAATTACGTCTAGTAGAAGTCCTGTAATAGGAGAGCCCGAGGGGTATGCCGACTTTAGGTTATAGGTTACATATGGCATCTGTTTTGCCTACTTAAACTATTTTATCTTATTAATGATTTTATTGCCTTAGAATCCATTTGCACGATTGTTGGGGAAGTAACATGTTTTTCTTTTTCTTTTCTTTTTTTTTTTTTGAGATGGAGTCTCGCACTGTCACCCAGGCTGGAGTGCAGTGGCATGATCTTGGCTCACTGCAACTTCCGCCTCCCGGGTTCAAGCGATTCTCCTGCCTCAGGCTTCTGAGTAGCTGGGATTACAGGCGCATGCCACCACGCCTGGCTAATTTTTTGTATTTTTAATAGAGATGGGGTTTCACTATGTTGGCCAGGCTAGTCTTGAACTCCTGACGTCGTGATCCGCCCGCCTGGGCCTCCCAAAGTGCTGGGATTATAGGTGTGAGCCACCGTGCCTGGCCTAGAAGTAGCGTGTTATAAGTGAGGTTAGAATTGTCAGATTTTCTGTTTCATTAGGAAAAAATGAACACGGCTTTCTCTTCCCATTCTTATCTGCAGAAATTAAGGTGTGCTTAATACATTTGAAGAGTATTTAAAAGTTGTTGATAACTTTCCTTAAGTTGTTGTGATTCACTTCTTTTTTTTTTTTTTTTTTTTTTTTTTTTTTTGAGACGGAGTCTCGCTCTGTCGCCCAGGTCGGACTGCGGACTGCAGTGGCGCAATCTCGGCTCACTGCAAGCTCCGCTTCCCGGGTTCACGCCATTCTCCTGCCTCAGCCTCCCAAGTAGCTGGGACTACAGGCGCCCGCCACCGCGCCCGGCTAATTTTTTGTATTTTTAGTAGAGACGGGGTTTCACCTTGTTAGCCAGGATGGTCTCGATCTCCTGACCTCATGATCCACCCGCCTCGGCCTCCCAAAGTGCTGGGATTACAGGCGTGAGCCACCGCGCCCGGCCGATTCACTTCTATTTACAACTACTTCTGTGTTGATAAGATGAGCTCATGTTTGGAAGTGGGAACTGGCAAGTGTGATTTCGGAAGACCTTCCTTCCCAAGTCACAATATAATTAGAAGTCCAGATTCTCCCTCGGTTCCTTTTTGTGACTCCCTGAGAAAGACATCTTTAACAGGAGTGGTTGCCAAGAAGCCTCACTAGTTCCTGCTTTTGAAACTTTAATAAGGCGACAGATCGAACTGCCATCTAGATTTAGAAAGCCTTGTTAGTATATTATGAAAGAAAAATAGTTTACATTTCTCATCATTTAAGGATCCCAATGACATCGTTATTTTGTTGATGCAGAGATACTCTGAATGACAGTCGGGTATTTTGATTTTTCATTTCTGATATGATTTTGAATTTAAAATTTTTGTCTCTACACACTTTCTAGATCGATCTCTTTGGGCTGCCTGACCTCCTTGGGTGCTTGCTATTAATTAACAGACTTTGTGGGGAAAAAAAGGAGCTTGCCTTCTGAGCTTTGTACCAAAGACCTGGGAAAAGTAAGTAATTTTAAACTTGCTTTTAAAAAATTCTGTTATACCTCTCTCAGAAAGTTAACAATAGATCCATGGCTTTTTACTTTCTTTCATTCCTGGCTTAATAAATTTTATATGTTTTCATGGATTTGTAACATGGAAGGAGACTCAGGAAACCTCTTTGTGTAAAAAAAAAAAACTTGCAAGAGATTAAGATGATGTTCTACATTGTGCCATTTCTTTTGGGTTTCATAAACTGAGTCCTCAAGGTTGTGACAAAACTTTTATCAGATTTGCAAGTGATTAAACATCAAATACAAGGCAATGTAATATGATGTGACAGAAAAGTGAGTCCAGTTGTCTGAGCTTTCAGGTGTTTTAGACTTTTAGATATTTTGGATAGGCTTTTTGGTTCTGAATTTTTAGAATAAGTATGAAATCGACTTGGTTCTTTTCTTGTCTGGAAAGGAAAGCAAAATGTGGAATTGCTTGTCCAATAAATTCTTCATGTAGCTTTGTCTTGGAAGAATTGATGCACCTCCCAGTTTTATTTTAGAATTTTTTTGAGGGCACTATAAGACATTCTAATTGAGACACTTGTTGAATGTTTTTGCTGTCTTTTAGAAAAAATTGCTTGGAACCAGAAAATTCAGTTTTATTCTCTTATCTTTTTGAAAAATGGACCTTACAGATCTATAAAGTCGATCTGTTTTTTTAATGGATACTGCTTGGAATTATGAGTGACCAAATGCCCGTAACAATATATGCAAAATAAAATATGCACGTGCACGCACAGAAACATACACAAATATCCTCTCTAGCATGTTCCAGAAACATTATCGACAATAGGAATTGTTCTTCCATTAAATTACTAGATAGCTTTCTAAACTTCCTATGCTTTGTGTCTTATAGCTCCACTCTATTTCTGGCAGTATAAATGAGTTAGTTGAAGCATGTTTAAAATAAAACAAGACAGAACAGAACTTTGCTTTAGTTCTATGAAAGCATTAAATAGTAAGATCGGATTTTATAGCTCTGTTGTTATTGTATTTACTATAAATTTAATTATTATTAAATTGGGTTTTATTTTGTAATAATTATAATAAGGTAAGGGTCTTGAGTTTTGAAGCTTATTTGAAGTTAAATATTTGTACTGAAAAAATAAATATTTTGGGAGGCCGAGGTGGACGGATCACCTGAGGTTGGGAATTCGAGACCAGCCTGACCAACATGGAGAAACCCCATCTCTGCTAAAAATACAAAAAAATTAGCTGGGTATGGTGGTGCATGCCTGTAATCCCAGCTACTCGGAAGCCTGAGGCAGGAGAATTGCTTGAACCTGGGAGGCGGAGGTTGCAGTGAGCCAAGATTGCGCCACTGCACTCCAGCCTGGGCAACAAGAGCGAAACTCCATCCCAAAAAAAACACAAAAACCATATACGTGTGTGTGCAACACACAAACACACATACACACAGACATAGACACTGCACATACACATGTAATTTCTGAGGGATGTCAAGTCTCTGCTAAAATATGAATTAGTTGAAAGTAAGGAAAATCTCACCCAAAATATATTTTTTTGTTACAGTGAAATATTTGTAATAGTGAAATATTATTGTCAGTGGAATTTAAAAAAAAAATAGAAATTTGTAGGTTGAATTTTATTGTCTTGTAATCACATGTTAATCTTAAAAGAAATATTTTATGTTGTAATTGTGTGTTGTAGTTGTTATTCCATTTTGGAAGGATATTTGAAAAAGGATTATGTTGGAGGCCACCCAATCTGTCTACAGAAATAGAACAAAAAGGTCAAATGATTGATTCTCTGGACTTCAGGGTCTAGATATTTGCAGTGGTGTTTAGATTGCAAATGTAACTTAGCTTCAGAAAGTAAGCTACTTAAGCTGCCTTTCAAATAAGCTGCCTTTTCAAATCCTTATTTCAAAGAAATAAGCATTTCTTTAAAATTTCACATAGTCTCTAGTGCAGTATTTTCTTTACATTATACCAAAATATTCCCTTTTGGGATACATTGTAGCATTGTTGTAAAAGTTGTGTTTTGATTTTATAGAGGGAAGGCATCTGTGGGACTTGTGTGTTTACAGTAAGCTAAAGACAGCCCTGTGTTACTACAGGGACTGTGACAAAAAGATCTCTGTGTACTAAACTTGATGTTAAGGCCAGACGCCGTGGCTCACTCCTGTAATCCCAACACTTTTGGGGGGCAGAGGTGGGATGATTGCTTGAGCCCAAGAGCTCAAGACTAGCCTGGACAACGAAAGAGACCCTGTCTCTACAAAAAATAAAAAAGTTGCTGGGCTTAGTGGTAAGTGCCTGTAGTCCCAGCTAATCCAGAGGCTGAGATGGGAGGGTCACGTGAGCCCAGGAGTTTGAGGTTGCAGTGAGCTATGATCACACCATAGCCCTACAGCCTGACACTTGAGTGAGATCCTGACTCTAAAAAAAAAAATTAGTAAAAATAAAGTTGATGTTACATGTGAATATTTATATACGCAGAAGGATGTTTACAATGTACCCTTAAGGTTAAAAAAAGAGAAGGTTATAATGCAGAAGTGTACTGCACATAAATCTGATTTTGAAGAACTAGTTAAGTTACATGGAAGTTAATGGGAGGGGACGGGAGGGGAGGGGGGAGGTGTCTTTTCTGATATTTATTAAAGTCATAAGAAAATGTTTCTGACTGCTCTTTGAAAACTGTAAGGGATACTTAAATGTCTTGGTGGTTTCTTTTTGGAAAAGCAAACACACAATTTTAGAGAAAATTCAGAACCCTAGACAACCTCCACACTTCTTTTTAACCTCTGTCCTTTACTTTCACTTTTTTCTTAATTGCATGTGTCTTCAAAGTCTTCCTTGTTTCAAGCATTTCAAGCAATTCAGAAAATTGATTGTTTGAGGTAGATTTTTGGAAACTTGAGTCTATAATGGTGATAAAATATAACCGTACCTTCAAAAAAATTAGCCATGGATTGTTTTAAAGGAAGTAAAATTTGTATTTTATTATCCTACTTAATGCATGTCCATGTTTGGTTTTATGTCAACCCTAAATGAGTATGCAGCAAGTTTTTTGGTAACTTTTTCCACTTAATAATAAATAATGCATATCCATGCTAATAAGTATTTACCTACAGCATCACTTTTAGTGAAAGGGAAACAACTGGATCTTAGCCTTTTGTTTAATTTTGGGCTGTCCTGGCTTTCAGTTAGAAAGGAGTGTAAATATGTGGAATATATGGCATAGGTTTTTCATGTGAGAACAGAACAGAAAAGGATTCCCCATTTAGAATCTTTATGGTGTTTACTGTAGCCAGACATATTCTGAATAGGAGGCTCATGGGTCTGAATATGTGCTCAAAATGGTAAGTGTCACTGGCTGACAGGTGCTGTATATAAAGCTTTGTGTCTTCTTTGGTCCCTTTGTTATATTATACAAGAGCGCAGGTGACATATTCCTCCTGCCGAGCTGTCTTAATCAATATTTCTGTGCCTAAGGGAGGATTTTACCTACGCATTTCTTTCTCCAAAGAAACTCCAAATAGCTCAGATGAAATGATGGTTACAGAAGGAACACTGATAGATTTTGGAATATAATTTATTTATGGAGCAAACTACAGTCCAGGTTAATTGGAGATCCAGAATGTTTTATAAACCTTTGTGTGCATTCTTAATTTTTAGTTCATTTATTGAGCGAACATTTGTTGAGCAACTATTGTGTGCCAGGAGCTCATTATTCAAAGATGAATGAGATATGTCCTTCCTTTTAGGGAACTTAATTTGAGTTTCAAAATTAGATTTAAATAACCTTTATGTAGCATGTACCATGTGAAAAGCAGTGGAATGGACGTTATATTCTTAGACAAGATGTTCAATGACTACAATTCGATAATGATATTTATTGACCTATACCTTTCAAAATAAGTTAGGAATATAGTTTTCTAATTTTTAAAGGTTTTTTTCTCCCATTATGATTTTGGTACCTGCTGCTACTTTTTAAGTTAAATTAGGAAATGGAAAAAGGAAAGTTAAACAAATTACAAATGTTTAATTGGTAAATGTAGAGAGTGGTTTTGAAAACATGGATGTGTGTGTGTACACACGTTTTATATTTGGAAGCCTATATGCATATAGTGTCATCATTTTTTTTCTAGTAGAATATTTCTTAGTTCACATGATACAATTAAATATATTTATCAAGATTTCTTGGTATTTTGCCCTTAGAGTGACTCTGTCGCCCAAGTAAGTTTGGAAGCCATACCGTTAAGCACTTGATGTCCACAGGAATTCTAGGGGTGGGCGTTATTGAAACTCGGGGGAAAAGTAACTTGCTACCTTGATACAGTTAGAACATGTTTGAGTCAGCCTTCCAATTATGATGCATCTCACTACAAAGCCCTGCAGTATCTTCCTGACTCCCATGAGCTGGTGGTGAAAGCTGATTCAAGAATGCTGTAGGTATGCAAAGGACGAGCAGTCATTTCAGCTGAGAAATCAGGAAGTATGTTCACTGCATTGAAGAGCTGGAACTGAAGTATGACTTGAGGGCTGAGTGAGAAGACAGAAAGTAGGGAGATAATTGAGGCTGTAGAAAAAGCATATGCCAAGGCATGGAGGAATGGGAACTCATGGCATATCCAGAGAGTGGCAAGAACTCCACCGTGGCTGGGGTATGGAGCGTGGAGAACAGAGTGGACCCTGAGATCGAAAAGGTGCCAGAGTGAGAAAGGTCACACATGTGCCATGCTAGAGACTTGGAGTTTCTAAACAATAAATAGCCATCCAGAGTTTTAAAAGGAGAAATAACTAGATGGGAGTTTTATAAAGATCACTTGGGCAGTAGTGTGGAATATCATCTGGAAAAGAGAAAACTGGAGGCTGGAGACCCAGGGCCACCATGTGAGGTTGTGTAGATTGTTCACTGCAGAAGTGTACGTGTGAGCAGCAGATGGGAGGACTTAGAACCACCCAGCACACTTGTCATCAAGCTGTGCACTCATGGGGCTTGGCCTGCCTAGAGAGAGCACCTTTTATAATTTACACAATGGGATGATCTACTTGCTTTTAATTGTTTTAAAAGTAATAGGTATGATTAGATAAGATGAAACAGTGTCCCCTAGGGCCTAAGAGTCTGGAGGTGGGCATACTAAGCTATTGGCTGTATGTCAATGGGCTCGTTCCCTGTCCTCTGAAAGCCTATTTCCTCATCTTTAAAGGAGAGTTAATAATAGGTTCTGACAGGGCCCTGGACAGACCAGTTAAGAGAAGGGGTGAAATATGAGAGATGGAGAAATGATAGATCTGGGACTGCAGGCTGCTGCTAGCTGTTGTTTAGCCCTGAGAGTGTGCTGGGAACTGTACTAAGAACTTTGCCTGTTTTATTTTATTTAATCTTATATCTGCTTTCAGCAGTGGATGTTATTACCCCATTTTCAAGATTTTGAAACTGAGCCCCTGGCAGGTAAAATAACTTGTCCAATGTCACACAGCCAAGGAGTGGCATTGTCACTACTTGAACCCACCACTGTAACTGTCATGTTTATGCTCTTAACCATTTTGCCACATTTATAAGTGATCTTTTCTGTTTCACTCCTTTAATATCCTCCTTGCATCCTGTGTTGTTTTTAACTTGAATTGATCATATTTATGTAACATTTTATTTAATTTGCTATACTATAAGATCCCGAGGGCTGGGGTCAGGTCTCATGAATTTTTTTGTCTTTCGTAGCACCTTGCTTAATAAAATATGGCAGATAACACTCAATAAAATGTGGTTGACAGAGGCTGGGTGCGGTGGCTCATCCCTATAATCCCAGCACTTTGGGAGGCCAAAGCAGGCAGGTCACTTGAGGTTAGGAGTTCGAGTCCAGCCTAGCCAACATAGCGAAACCCCGTCTCTACTAAAAATACAAAAATTAGCTGGGCGAGGTGGCATGTGCCTGTAATCCCAGCTACTCGGGATGCTGAGGCAGGAGAATCGCTTGAACCCGGGAGACAGAGGTTGTGGTGAGCCAAGATCGCACCACTGCTCTCCAGCCTGGGTGACAAAGGGAGACTCCCTCTTAAAAAAAGTGGCTGATAGAATTAATAATCTCTAAGATTCCTTCTGTCTTCTAAAGTTAAATAATTTTTCATTCTATAGGTAAAGCTTCAGTTGCAGTTATACAGTTAAAGTCCAGTAGAACTTAAAAAGGGCTTCTTGGATGTTAGTTTGGTGTTTGGACTGATGGTTAAAGTTTCAAGAAATTCCTAATTGCCATTTTATCTGAAAAATAATTTGTGACTTGCTGTCAAAGACTGAAGCGAAGAGTAAAGTGTACTTCTTGCAAGCCCTTTTTGGAGGCTATAAAGCTATGCTTGCTGCTTCATTGCTGCAGCAGGTATAAAACTCCAATGTCATAAATGATATTTTTGAGTTCATAAAAAATATTACATTGTCACTCATATTAGTAAGGACCTCAGTCTCTAAACTCATGTGGAGCCCCTTGGGCCAATGGTCACTTGTTTTTTTCTTCTTCTTATTTTTATTGACAAATAAAAATTGTATACATTTATAGTATACAACATGATGTTTTGAAATATGTATACATTGTGTCAATCCTAAATTAAGCGAATTAACATATGGATTACCTCACATAGCTGACAGTCACTCTTGTTTGGTGCCTGCTGGAGTCAGATTTAGACAACAAAGTGACAGTTAAGGGCAAGTGACTGTCAGATGCCCTGGAGTCAGACTGACTGTATAGGTTTGGATTCCATCTCTTCTGCTTATGAACTTTTTTTTTTTTTTTTGAGATGAAGTTTCGCTCTTGTTGCCCAGGCTGGAGTGCAATGGCACAATCTTGGCTCACCGCAACCTCCACCTCCCAGATTCAAGCGATTCTTCCGCCTCAGGCTCCCAAGTAGCTGGGATTACAGGCGTGCGCCACCACGCCCAGCTAATTTTGTATTTTTAGTAGAAGTGGGGGTTTCTCCATGTTGGTCAGGGTAGTCTTGAACTCCTGAACTCAGGTGATCTGCACTCCTTGGCCTCCCAAAGTGCTGGGATTACAGGCATGAGCCACCGCGCCCGGCCCTTCTTACGAACTTTTTAACCCTTGGCAAGAAAAAAATCTGGGAAATGAGGATGGGTAAGAAAACAGGTTGTGATCATAGGTTCATGTACCTGGTTCATTAGGAACTTAGGGAAAAAAAAAATCCTTATCCACTTGGAAGCCACTTTTTGCTCAGATACCCTTAAAAGGAAGCCAAAATTGTGAACTTGTAGGACAGAATTTAGCACTTCAGCGTTATAGCCTATGTTTATCTCAGGATGACCCTTTGCTGTTTTTAAAGCAGAGTTCACGTGCTCTTGTAACTACTGACTGCATCTACTCTCATGAGCCCTAAGGAGGTAGTTTAGGCTTTGCTTCATGCTCTGTGTGCCTGAGTAAAATAGGAAATGATGGCTTTTAAGAAAATGGAAATTATTACTTGAGATCAACATTTCATCTGGGCTTTGAAAAACTCTGGGGTTTCTTTCATCTTCCAGGAGAGCAGCACAACTGAGCTGTGAGAAAGGAAACCAAACCCTAGGGAAAGTTTTATAGCTCGTTTCTGCTGATGTTACTGGAAAAGAGGAAGGTAAGGGCCTCTAAATAGCTCTCGTAGCCTCAGTCGACAGTAAGTTCAGGTGTTCTGGAAATAGAACACAGGGGAGCTCTTTATCCCCATTGGCCTCTGCTTGGCCTGAAGGAGAGGGTGAAACAGCAGCAGAATGGATCTCTTAAAACATTGTTGTACAGCAAAAACAAATGTATTCCCACAGCAGAGTTTCATATTTTCTTTCATGAATTTAAAGTTGAACAGAGGCCGGTGATATTTTTCTCTTTTGAAGTTTTACATCTTAGATTGCTGTAAGAGCAAGCACAGTTGAATGAAAACTCTATTCAGACCAAGTACTTTTTTTTTTTTTTTTTGAGACGGAGTCTCACTCTGTTGCCCAGGCTGGAGTGCAGTGGTGCAATCTCGGCTCACCACAACCTCCGCCTCTCGGGTTCAAGCGATTCTCCTGCCTCAGCCTCCCGAGTAGCTGCGAGTACACACACGCGCCACCATGCCTGGCTAATTTTTGTATTTTTAGTGGAGACGAGGTTTCACTATGTTGGCCAGGCTGGTCTCAGACTCAGACCAAATCTTACTCTTGTTGTCTGTAGCTGCTTAGTTCTGCGCTTTAAACTAAGGGCAAACTTGGCTCCTGCATTCTTGACAGTGAAAAGCAGGAGCTAGGAATGCCGACTTTAAAAACCCACTTCCAGGTTTGCCTCCACCCATTATGTGATTCCTGCAAGAAAGCTTCAGTCTGCTGTAAGCTGGTAATCCCTTAATACTTTGATACTTTGGTAAAGCAAATAAGATCAGATTATATAACTTTTCCTTTTACTTGTGAACTAATTATTGTTTTCCTGCATTTAAAAGCAGATGTTAAACTCCTCCTTTGATGTTCAACAGCAGACAGACTCTAGTTGTGCCTTACAGCCCTTGATGCATGTCTGTTGTTTGAATGAAGATCAGCTTTGGCAAATTAGATTTTGATGGCTGCATTTTGATCTGGACCATAGAAGAGAATGGCAATTTATTCTTTTATTCAACATTTATTGGATTCCTGCCTGGCCCTTTACATAAATTGTGTTCAGATCTCACAAATACCAGAAAACCTTGCAAAACATGTCTATTTTATAGATAAGAAAAAATAGAGCATAGAGAGTGGTTAGAAAACTTGCTCAAGGTTACTTACCTTGCTGTTAAGTTCCTGGGTATTTGGTTGGATTTTTTTGCTGACCTCAAACCTGTTACTATATAGGGGCTGCCTTTTAAGAGGACATAATCAATGGAGCAAAGATCTTGAGGAGCTGGGATTAAGAAAAAAGTACTTAATATATAATCACAGTGTTGTGGAAGAAAGAAATAATCATGAGCCCCTCATTCATTCATTTACTCCGCAGATATTTATGGACTGCCTGTGTTGTGCTAGATAACTCTGCAAGGTGTTGGTGATTCAGTGATGGGAAAGACACAATCAATCCCTCACCAACTTCAAGAAGGAAGTAGGGATGCAAGAAAGAGTATATGATATGTTGCTCCCCTAAAAGGCCACAGTGTCTTGTTTGGGAGAGCTTTTATGAAGTTTTTCAAGATGTAAAAATGTTGACATCTTCACAAAAATTACTTACTTTTTTATTCTTTTGCTTCATTATGTATACAAAAGTATCTGCAAATAAACGGGGGGTGACTTCGCTAGCATACTTTGTAGCTGCACTCCTTGTTTGGGCTGCTTTGGACGTGCAGAAGTGGAGGTTGGAGCAAAAACTGTATTGCATTTTAAACAAAGTCTTGCAAACAAAAATTGTGGACAATTACCTCGCAAGGACTATATCTAACTCAGCTTTGGGTACCCCTTTTTCCGGAGAAGATAGCAGAGTGCCTAGTACAACTCTGATTGGTTGGCTCAGTGATGGGAAATAAAATACCAAAGCAAGGGGAGAGGAACCTCATAGATGGGGGATGAGTTCAGATGGTATCTAGGGAGAGTGTGAGGGTGACAATAAAATAAGCCGACAAATACACCAGGGGATCAGATCACATGGCATATCATGGACTTAATTCACACTTACAGACTATTGCAGTAACCAGGAGAGGAAGAGCAGTGTCTAGGTAGTCTGGAAATGACATTAGGTTTTGGTGCTTGAGAGAGACTGCAGTCTTCCTTTGACTTCTGACTCTTCTGACTTTCTGCTCACATATGAGCCCTCTATGCCTTCTTCCCCACTGTGGTCTTTATTTCATTTTTTGAGACTTTCAGCTGTTATATGCAGTAATTGTTTCTTTAATAAGTTAGGTGACCATACATACTAACTTGCTGGGACAATCCTAGCTATGCCTGCTGTTCTGGCAAAATTTTTGATACTGACCCCTTTCAATATCAAAAATGTCCTGGTTTCGATCATAAATTAAATAACCACCCTACTAATAAAGGAATGTTGTAGCATTCTATATCTTTTTAAAAAATCTTTACAGCATTCAGACTGCTTTGATGAACTAAATGTGGATGTAGTATCAGTAATATTACATAGCAGACTAGTGTCTGATGTCTTATAAGTAGAAAAAGGAAAAAATGAGCAGTAGCTGAAAAGGCTCAAATGTACTGTAGAGAGAAATTAATTGATTTCAACAAAACGAACTTTTATTACAACCAGTTGTTGGCATACCCATAGGAGAGAGGGCACTTAAAGGTTGCCATGATGATGGGTAGTGTTTAGGGAATCTAGCATCCTTCGAGAAAATCTTACCATAGCTTGTTTTGATTTAGAGTTTCAGTGTTTCCATTGCAGTGGTAATTTAATTCAGATGCATTTTCATTTATTTCTTAAGTAGAAAGTAAAAGAATATAACTTCTTAGAAGAAAGATTCTGTCAGAGGTTTATAGAAACGACTGGAGGGGAAATGTTAAATTCAAATTTTTCCCTTAAATCTTCTTTTAAATTATGTCTTCTGATGAAAATGGTGGTGTTTTAATCAAAGGAGATATTCATATAGGGACTCAATGGGACACCATATAATTTATGTTTGGGTTTTTTTACTTAATAAGTAGGGTTAAATTGCCATTATAGTTCATATACATGGATTTGAAGAAACAAGCTAGTGTTTCGTTATATAAATATATGTAAAATAAAAGCTTTCGGTGTTCAGGTAATGCTTGACAATAATTGCAGTAGGAGACATGGGCGTAGGATCAAAACATGCTTATGACCACTCTTTTCCATATCAATATTTTATGAAATAGTGATGCAGTTACCTTCAGATCCCATAGTGACTTGTACCCTGCAGTATTATCTCTTAAAGTAGGGTAGATTTACAGAGTAGAGGGACTGATATTATGTAATCTGGAAATTCTGTTTATCTTTGAATTAAATTTTGACTCTTCCACTGGCTATCTGTGAATGAGTTTTTTCTTTGAGCCACAACTTTCTAGCCTATAAAATGGGAATACTAATATCTGCTGCTTAGCTTATTAATAGAATTTTTGTTAACTCCTGAATCTAGGATAAACATGAAGTGTATAACACAAAGGTTGGTGTTCTCCCAGGCTCAGGAGTTAATACCAGATACTGAGGATGGAAAAAATGTGTGATTGTTGAAGGGTGAGACTCAAAACATAGGTTGAGCTTCCCTAAAAAAACCGAAGTCCAAAATACGAAAATAGATATCTGACACTTTTTGAGTGCTAACATGATGCTCAAAGGAAATGTTCATTGGAGCATTTTGGATTTCAGATTTTCAGATTAGGGATGATTAACTGGTAATTATATAATGCAAATATTCCAAAATCCCAAAAATCTGAAGTTCAAAACCCTTCTCTTCCCAAGCATTTTGGGTAAGGAATATTTAGCCTATAGTTAGTGAGCAGTTTCTGGCCAATCAGAAGGATGCTGACTGTAGATGTTCTGGATGGTCATCCTGACACCCACCCACTGGATATCAGCCTCGGTTGTCAATGTCCAGAAATCTGTGTTTAACCTGCGATGGTTTGCAAGGAAACCCACTGGATCTCTTAGTTAAATTAATGCCCCTTCTCTCAGCTTTGTTACCTAGAAAAAAAAATTAATGCCCCTTTCTCTGAGATGATCTGGAAGAGAAACCATTTTCATATGGTGAGGTGAGTCTGGACATCATGCCTTGATAGCTGTCTCAAAGATTCCCATTTTCATTGCACACCCTGCTAAGCATTGCTGCCAGCACTGTGGGGACCAGCTCTTTGGGGACTCTGCTTTCCCATTTTCCTTTCCATCCCTCATCTGGAAACATGTCCTTAATTCCCTAGAGAAGATAGAAGTTGAGTTTATGACTTAAAAATAAAACAAAACCTGCTAGTTATGGCAGGCCTAGACCCATTCCTCACTGGGCCCTCTACCAGGCTGCCTCTCTGGTTTAGACCATCCAATCCCTACTTCAGAAGTGACTGTCAGCACAGCTAGATATAGAATCTAAGCATCAAAGAGGATGAGGCCCTGGAAGAGGGAGGGTTTCCTCCTTCCTTCTCCCAAGTCTTTCCTTGCTAGTTTCCATTTCTTATCTCAGGATCTGCTTCTTCCCAGGATAATTGAAAATGGGAAATCCACCTCTCACAGCGCAGATCCTAACCCCTTTCCACAGGGCTGCGATGGCAATAGCCACAGCTGTCAAAAAGTCTAGTATCAGTACAGAAGCTCCCCATATAATCCTAGGAAGTTCCTTTGCTAGGGCAGGGGTGAGTTGATAAACCATAGTGGGTGTATATTGATGTGGTCAAGAGTCTTTGAGAAACCACTTTGTGGTGACCTTTTCACCAACAGACTAAGGTAATACTCCTGACCTTTAGCTCAGGAGTTCGATTAGAGAAGATAGAGGAACACAGGAAGCCTGAGTTTACAATCATGGTTGTACCACCTCCTTATGTGACCTTGGAGACATCAAGTACCTCTTCTGCAGTTCTCATTTTCTTATCCATTAAATGGTTTCACATGTAACATGATTTTTAAGGTCCTTGTCAATCACGAATTCTATATATCTATAATAACTCCTAAAAGTACCTCATACAAGTTTTGAATAGATTCAGCTTGTCTGTATCTGAAGGTGACGGTTACCATTCTTAACACCGACTTGGTTTGTGACTGCGGCTGTTTTGTGGAGGCCCACGCATCTATTGCTGGAAAAGGCTATCCCCCCATTATTTGGTATTATACCGCTGTCTTGGTATGCTTTTGAAATACAATGGCAGAATTGTTTTCTGATGATTATGATAAGCTCAACAAGTCTCCCCTGTGATTGTCTTATGTAAAATGTCCCACTGTAGGCCTGAATATTAGTGATGATACCGCTTTGTTTAAAATACTGGATTCTGGCTGGCCACAGTGGCTCACACCTGTAATCCCAGCACTATGGGAGGCTGAGGCGGGAAGATCACTTGAAGTCAGGAGTTTAAGACCAACTGGCCGTCATGGTGAAACCCCATCTCTACTAAAAAAAAAAAAAATTAGCCAGTCATGGTGATGCATGCTTGTAATCCCAGCAATGTGGGAGGCTGAGTTGGAAGGATCACTTCACCTGGGAGGTGGAGGTTGCAGTGAGCTAAGATTGTGCCACTGTACTCCAGTCTGGGTGAGAGAGCAAGACTCCATCTCAAAAGAAAAGAAAAAAATATGTATTGGTTCCTCTGTATCTGAATAGATTTAATTGCTTCTGATTTGTGATGTTGAATATACTTTATAGATTAAATACAGGTGATTGTTGGTAACTTTTAAGGTATATTTTAAAAGAGAATAAATGCTGATTTTTCCGTTTCTACAGAAAACATCATTGGGGTTTTAATAGGAATTGCATTGCTTTAAGTAGTATAGATGACTTAATGATACTAAGTGTTCTAATCTGTGAACACAGGATGTCTTTCCATTCATTTTTATGTAATCAATATTTATTTATTTATTTTTTAGAGAAAGGGCCTCAGTCTGTCTCCCAGACTGGAGTGCAGTGGTGTGATCACAATTCTCTATAGCTTTGAACTCCTGGGCTCAAGTGATCCTCCCGCCTCAGCGTCCTGAGTAGCTAAGACTATAGATACATGCCACCATGCCCAGCCTTTTCCATTTATTTGACTTTTATCTTATTCTGACAGGTTTTTTGTGTGTGTGTGTGTGTGTGTGTGTGTGTGGAATTTTTAAGGTTTTCTACCCATGAGATTATGTCATCTGCAAACAAAGATAATTTTACTGTTTCCTTTCCAATTTAGGTGAATTTTTTTTTTAGCCAAGTTGCTCTGGCTAGGACTTCTACTACTATGTTGATAAGAAGTGGTGAAAGTGGACATTCTTTTCTTCCTCTTGATCTTACAGGAAAAGCTTTCAGTCATTTACCATTGAGTATGCTATTAGCTGTGGGCTTTTCATATATGACCTTTATTATGCTGAGATAGTTTCCTTCTGTTCCTAATTCGTTGAATGTTTTTTATCATGAAAGTTTGCTGAATTTTGTCAAATGCTCTTTTTGTATCAAATGAGATGATGATGTGTTTTTTCCTCTTTGTTCTGTTAACATGGTGCATTTCATTGATCAATTTTCATATGTTGAACTATCCTTGCATTCCAGAGATAAGTCCCACTTGATCATGGTGTATAATCCTTTCAATAAGCTGTTGAATTTGGTTTAGTAGTCTTCTGCTAATGATTTTTGCATCAATTTTCATAAGAAATAATGGCTTGTAGTTTTCTTATTTTTAAAGCGTAATTGTTTTTCTTTGGTATCAGGGTAATGCTGGTCTGATAGGAGTTTAAAAGTGTTCCTTCTTCATTTCTTTGGAGGAGTTGAGGATTGATGTTAATTCTTCTTTAAACATTTGATAGAATTCGGCTGTGAAGCTGTCTACTCTTTGGGTTTTCTTTGTTGGGAGGTTTTTGATTACTAATCAATGTCTCTGCTGGTTATAGGTCTGTGTTCAAGTTTTTCATTTCTTCATGATTCAGTTTTGGTAAGTTTTGTGTTTAGGAATTTGTTCTTTTCATATAGGTTATCTAATTTTTTGGTAATTATACTCCTATAATCCTTTTGATTGCTGTAGAAACAGTGGTAATGTCCCCTTTTTCACTTCTGATTTTAGTTAGTCTTCTTTTTCTTAGTCAGTCTACCTAAAGGAATGTCAATTTTGTCAGTCTTTTCAAAGAACCACCTCTTGGTTTTGTTGATTTTTCTTGGAGGTTGGCTTTTATGACTTTCATTTATAACTTATTATTATACAAATCATTATAGATTATTTCAGTATTAGACTTCTTTTTTTTTGTTTTTGTAGTTTGGCAATGAAAAAGGCACCTTTGCCTTACATATGTAGATGCATGAAGGGTTTAAATAGTCAGCACTTTAAAATAATGAACTTGAATGTCTCTGCCATTTTTTGTTCCTTGGGTAGTGCCTTTGTCTCACTACTCATTGTAGTTTGTTCTTATTATTTGTTGCATTATTGTGGTTACTCTCTTGTGGATAGTTAAGGTAGTGTCCATGATTTGATAACCAACTGGAAAGTTTCCTTATGTTTTCTTCATGCTGAACTGCTAAAAATTTAGGTGAGATTAATTAATTGTCATTATTATATTAAATGAAAAGCCAAAGAGTGAACTTAGGGATGAAAGCTTAGAGGACCAGTGGTCTGAAAATTTCAAATTTTAATTCTGATTTTCTGAATCAGTGATGTTCCATTCAACATGTAGATTCATTATCTCTCTATACCCTATACCCCCATGTAAAAGTTTTGATGTTATTGTAATTCAGTGAGTGACCTTCTCTGAGATTATGTGCCATAGGCAGTTTCAGTCTTTTTTTTTTTTTTTTTTTGAGACAGAGTCTCACTCTGTCACCCAGGCTGGAGTGCAGTGGTGCAATTTTGGCTCACTGCAAGCTCCACCTCCCGGGTTCACACCATTCTTCTGCCTCAGCCTCCCAAGTAGCTGGGACTACAGGCGCGCATCACCACGCCCAGCTAATTTTTTTGTATTTTTAGTAGAGATGGAGTTTCACTGTGTTAGCCAGAATGGTCTCGATCTCCTGACCTTGTGATCCACCTGCCTTGGCCTCCCAAAGTGCTGGGATTACAGGCATGAGCCACTGTGCGTGGCCGGCAGTCTCAGTCTTATTTTCAAGGAAATGCCACTCAAACAAATCATTTAATGACTTACTTATACTGAAGCTGAGAATCTCGTTCAGGCTTCTTGGCTTACTTTAATTTCTCCCTCCCTTCCTTCATTTCTTCCCTGCTCCTCAGAAATCAAGAATTTTCTAGTTATGTTTTCTTTTTAAAAAAAAAAATTAACAAAAGTTGTATGTATTCAAGGAGTACAACATAATTCTTTGATATATGTATGTGTACTGATTAAAAATATGGAATACTTCACAAATTTGCATGTCATCCTTGTGCAGGGACCATGCTAATCTTCTCTGTATTATTCTGATTTTAGTATATGTGCTGTCAAAGCAAGCAATTTAATTTCTTTTTGATAATTCATTTACTCAATTCTTTTGGACCAGAAACATTTTATCTCAGGGGCATGATGAACACTTGTCCTCTGTAGTGCAATGTCTTGTGTATTTTATTATCGAAATTCTTACTTAAAACTTACATTTGCGAATCAAGCCATTTCTTTTTTTTTCTTTTTCTTTTTTTGAGACTGAGTTTCACTCTTGTTGCCCAGGCTGGAATGCAATGGTGTGATCTCTGCTCACTGCAACCTCTGCCACCTGGGTTCAAGCAAGTCTCCTGCTTCAGCCTCCTAATTAGCTGGGATTACAGGCATGTGCCACCATGCCTGGTTAATTTTGTATTTTCAGTAGAAACAGGGTTTCTTCATGTTGGCCAGGCTGGTCTCAAACTCCCGACCTCAGGTGATCCGCCTGTCTCGGCCTTCTGAAGTGTTGGGATTACAGGCGTGAGCCACCGTGCCCAGCCTATTTCTTTAAGAGATTTCTATCAAAGTTTTCATAGATTTATTAGTTTGTTATCTAGTCACTATTAATGATCACTTTTTTTACCAATAAAATATTTTTATATTGCAGCTTTATAATACATATTTTATTGATTCTAAGACACAGATCTTTTCACATTTTAATATCTTTAAAATTTGATATATCTTGCAATCACTGACATTTTGCAGCTATGATTCACAGCATTTTAATTTTTATTATTTTTTAAGGCCTATGAATGTAACATAACTTTTATTTTTATTCTTAGTACAGAAAATACTGGTGTATCTTCTAGTCAACAGCAGTTAGATGTGATGAAATAAGTTACTGTTAATGATCACTGTAATAATTACTGTTAGAAACTTACTGTGAAACTTCTACCTTTACAACAGGACCTATAAATGGCAATGAAACTTTTTTTTTTTTTTTTTTTTTTTTTTTTGAGACAGAGTCTCAATCTGTCTCCAGGCTGGAGTGCAGTGGCGTGATCTCAGCTCACTGCAGCCTCCACCTTCTGGGTTCAAGCGATTCTCCTGCCTCAGCCTCCTGAGTAGCTGCGACTATAGGTGCGGGCTACCGTGCCCGGCTAATTTTTGTGTTTTTAGTAGAGACGGGGTTTCACATGTTGGCCAGGATGGTCTTGATCTCTTGACCTAGTGATCCACCTGCCTTGGCCTCCCAAAGTGCTGAGATTACAGGCGTGAGCCACTGCACCCGGCCACAATGTAACAGTTTTAGAAAAAGTTTAGAGTGGAAAAAAATGACCTGTAAGCCCTAAAGCTATATACTTTAACAAGTATATTTTGTATGTATTTCATTCCCGTCTTTTTACATGTGTACATATTTTTATCTGTTTGTAGCTATAGCATACATACTACTTTGGTCTACTTATTTTTTTATTCCTGTTATATCTTAATTTCTCTTTGTTTCAGGCCTTCATATTTGTCTTATTTATTTATGTATTGAGACAAAGTCTTGTTCTGTTGCCCAGGCTGGAGTGCGGTGGGATGATCTCTCCTCACTGCAACCTCCGCCTCCCGGGTTCACGCCATTTTCCTGCCTCAGCTTCCTGAGTAGCTGGGTCTACAGGCATGCGCCACCATGCCTGGCTAATTTTTTTGTATTTTTAGTAGAGATGGGGTTTCACCATGTTAGCTAGGATGGTCTCGATCTCCTGACCTCAAGTGATCTTCCCGCCTCGGCCTCCCAAGGTGCTAGGATTACAGGAGTGAGCCACCGTGCACAGCCTATATTTGTCATTTTTAATAGTTCCATAATCTATCAGTGTATGACCATAATAAAACTGCATGCCGCCCAGCTGCTGAAAATTTAGATTGTTGCCATTTTTCCTTTTGTGAATAATGCTTCAGTGAACAACTCTTTTGCATATTTTTATTAATTTTATCATTAATTTTGGCCATTTGTTTTATGAAATATAACTTTGGAGAGGATCTCTTTAGCCCTGGGATTTGAAGCTGCAGGGAGCTATGATTGTGTCATTGTACTTCAGCCTGGGTGACAGAGCAGGACCACTAACTCTTAAAAAAAAAAAAAAAAAAAAGAAACATAACTTTGTAGAAGCCTCCTGAACTGTGTTTTACTGTGAAGAATCAATCTTTATATTCAAATAAATTCAAATTAACAGCTGCTATTATAACACTGTTCATTCATTCTTTCACTCAGCTATATATCCTCCAAGAAAATACACTGGATCATTATGCGTTCCATAGGTTCCAAGAGCTAAGGAATCAAAGTTAAATAGGACACCCCCCGATGTTTGATATTTTGTTGCATAGTGGGAGACTCAAACTTATCAAAAATAAGTACTGTGTGATGAGGGATGTTGGAAAGATAAGGGTTAAAGTTTCTTAGCATGTAATTTACTTTGAGAGCATTGTTGATTGGTGTTCTTTTAAGTTATGAGGTGTGGACATACCATGTTACGTTTTTAAAATGTGTCTAATAGGTTTATCTGACAGAAAATGGCCCCTCCTGACCTATCCATAACTTCCTTTTAAGTCTAAACGTGTGTCCTGTGATCCAATGTTTGTCTAGAGTTCCGTGTCATGTTCCTCCAACATACTGTGTCATGTTCCTCCAATATACTAAGTTCCCTGTTGCCAGTAACTGTGTCACAAGTCTTTTTCCTTTCTATACCTACTACAATCTGCTGTATTTGTAGTAGGTGTCAAAGTATCGGTAGTTCATTTGACTTGCTTTTAATTGTAGTTTTTTAAACGAATGACAATATTTCACCAATTTATACTTTCCTTAGTACTTCATTGACTATCAGTTGATATTCTATGATCAATGCAATTTTAATTCTGTCTTGTCATATTTGTTTAGTTAAAAAAATTTCAAGTTAAGATGGTTGAAAGATTATATAATCCCATAGAGATTTTTATAGTAAAAGTTTAAAATTCTGGTACTTGTGTTGGTTGGAAGTAGAACCTTCACTGGACAAGGTAAAACCCCTGTGTATAAATGTTTGGAGGCTGTCTTAAAGCTTTGTTGAGATGGAAAAAAAATTTTATATAACTAAGTATCAATTCAGGCATTTGACACAATGAATATATTTTGGAAATAGCCATTTATGGTTCTAGCATTAAAGGTGATTAGCTAGCTATGAATTTACCTCCTTTATACGCATGCATTACAAAGTGGACCCTACTTTTAAATTTCTCAAGAAGGTATTCTGGAAACAGCTTTTGAGAATGATTTCTTGGGATTTTTTTTCCCTTTTTGTCTTTCCATTTCTGAAACCTGAATAGAATTGTGCCATGTTCTTTGCAGAGCTGTGGTGATTAGATTGTACAGTTTCACACATGTGTACACACGTACACACATACACACACACAGACACACACACACTGCTGTGCAGAATCACTGTCCTGTTGTGTGATCTTCAAATGAAGCAAGAGAGGAATAATCTGGGATTGACTGAGATAAATTTATCTCAGCTCTTCAAAATACCATGTGAGCATAGTGTAACTCACTTGGACAGCTGTGGAATGAAACTCTTGTTTTAGTGGCCATTAGATACGTCAAGAGAACTGACTACGTAGAAGAATGTGTGGTAAAGGTAGTTTGGCAATTGGTCAAATTTGAAGTAGCATTTACAGGCCGAGGCAGGTGGATCACCTGAGGTCAGGAGTTCCAGGCCAGCCTGGCCTACATGGTGAAACTCCTAAAATACAAAAATATCTCCTAAATACAAAACATCTCCTAAAACAAAAAAACTCTCCTAAAAATACAAAAATTAGCCTGGTGTAGTGGCAGGCACCTGTAGTCCCAGCTACTCGGGAGGCTGAGGCAGGAGAATTGCTTGAATCTGGGAGGTGGAGGTTGCGGTGAGGAGAGATCATGCCACTGCACTCCAGCCTGGGCAACAAGAGTGAAACAACATCTTTAAAAAAAAAAAAAAAAAAAAGGAGCATTTACATCACCAACTGAAATTAAATAATTGTCCCCCAAGGTGATGTGTAGCCTGACTTTTGTGACTGAGGGATTGATCTCTTGACAAGTCTTTATGAAATAACACCACAGGAGGGAAAATTATATGCAGGCATCAAGCTTTGCATTTATTTTGCAAGCCCTCTTTATCGGGTTTGTATGATCTTGTTGTGTACAGCTAACAAAAGGTTACTTCTTTGTCATGAAAGCCGTCCTCAGTTTTCAGAGACAGTGGGGCACCACAGAGACTTTCTTTCTCTGCATCCACATTTCTATTAATGTCATTACTGCATTTGATTCCTTTATGAAGCCCTTTTGGTCACATCAACAGTGCATTCTAAGCTCTCTATCTTAACTTCTAGCTTTGTCTGCAAAATTTGTGTGGTTAGCCTGAGGCATATGCAGATAAATTGCCCAGGTTCAGTGTTCTCAGACTGGGAACTAAATGTGCTGCAGAATGCTGAATTGATGGGTGTAGCTTTTCAGCAATATTGATGTTTCTACAGTTGAATGTAAATCTTTGGATGCCTTGGTTTGCATTTTCATAGTCGTGTAGTTCCTGACCACTGGTTTTCAAACTGCCTCGTCTCTCTGAAAGCTGTGTTTCAGTGGAAAGACAAAGAAAATTGTTCTTCCTCACCCACTACTCTTCTGCCCATTCACAACAGTAAGAATCTGAGCATGTCTCTGGCCACACGCAAACAGTGGCAGCTCCCGATTCACAAGCTGCTTACATTTCCAAAGTGAGGTTGTTGTGAGGTCAATTAGTGGTTTAGAACTCTGAATGGGTTGGCTAATGGTAGAAACTAATATAAAGAATAGGTGAGCTGGCCGGTCGCGGTGGTTTACGCCTGTAATCCCAGCACTTTGGGAGGCCAAGGCAGGTGGATCACGAGGTCAAGAGATCGAGACCATCCTGGACAACACGGTGAAACCCCGTCTCTACTAAGAATACAAAAATTAGCTGGGTGTGATGGCCTGCGCCTGTAGTCCCAGCTACTTGGGAGGGTGGGGCAGGAGAATCACTTGAACCTGGGAGGTGGAGGTTGCAGTGAGCCGAGATTGTGCCACTGCACTCCAGCCTGGCGACAGAACGAGACTCCATTTCAAAAAAAAAAAAAAAAAATTGATGAGCCTACCAAAACTTTGGTAACCCTTAACGTTCCACAAACAGTTTTATCTGTATCTTAAAGCTTAACCTTCCCCCATGTTTCTCTATGGAAAAATCTTCTTTGTTCTGCTTTGAAATCTTATGAAACAAACATTTCATTCTTAACTTCAGTGGATGGCTACCTATCTCTACCTGTGTATCCTGGAGCAATGTATCAATCAGGGTTCTTGGATAGAAGCAACAGAGACTAGCTTAATGGTTTAAGCAAAGAAATAATTTATTGAGAAGATATTGGGTACATTCTGAATTTACCCAAGTTGGGGGAAAGAACAGGCACTAAAAAGAGACTGCACAGCCAGATTCATAGCCAAGGTCATACAATAAGATTAGTTCTATGTTGGGTAGACCCTGTCACTGAACACTGGACATTAGTGTTCGTGCTGACCATCTCTTCAGGATCAGACACTTGGTACCAACTCTGTCACTTCAGCCTTTGCTGCCTCTGAGCAGTGGGTGTTGTTGCCATTGCCCTCACCCATGGTAATTTCCCTCCTGCTCCTGCCTCTTTATGTCTCTGGTTCTAGATTCAGGGTTGACCACGGCTAAGTCATGTGCAAGCCTTGGCTATAAGACACTCTGGGAATGTTAGTGTCTAGCCATTTTTGCTTCTATGTTGAGAGATGTGCCTCTCATCAGAACTCACATGATGAGGAATTCCCCAAACATAGGGGAACAGAGTTTAGATGCCGGCCATTTCCCAGTCCTTCTCCCGACATAAGGATAAAAGTCACCATAAGAAGCTTCAGTAAGCACTCTGGTAGAAGGGGAGGTGTTACAGTGGCCAAGGTGTTTATCCATATGAAGCTGTGGTTAATGAACTCTATTTAACTAAGACGGCCAGTTGTTCCTTGTGCACTGGTGTCCAGGGTCCCCTTCACCATGTGTTAACTAAAACTAGAGGTGTGAAGATTTAGGCATATTTGACCTCTCACACTGTGGTCCTTAAATAACAAGATGCACTAAATTGAATTTTAACAATTGGATTAGCTAGGAGGAGCAGATTAAGACTTATCTGTTTCCTTGTTTATAGTAGAAAATGAAATTTCACATTATCAATTTGTCTTATACAGTTGGGTGGTTTATATGTTTCATTGATGAACTTCTACCCTTTTAAAAGTTGATTTTTTAATTGCAATTATACATGTATATAGCTTACAAATTCTTGCCCACGGATTTGCATTGCCGTTTTCCACTTCTCAGAAGCAACTACTCCTTAGTTCATTTAGCTCTTCTTCTGGTATTTACTTCCTTGTAGCAAATTAATATGTTTATATTGGTAATTCTTGAATTTTTTTTTTCCATTTTAGTCATTAAACATGAATTCCATTGAGGAAGAGAGGGGTTTATCTTTCTTTTATTCTTCCTCCCTTAAATACCTGCGCTTGTACTCTCTAAGATAGTTATATCTCAGTTTGTTTTCACTGTAAATATTTTTCACAGCTGAGCTATGCAGGATACTGTTATTTTATTTTCTTTCTTGTATAGCACATTAAAATTTTGTTGCTTGGTATTCTATTTATTTACTATTTATTTATCCCCAAATTCTCAAATAAGGTCAAACACAATGGCACATCTCTTGGTTCTTGCATGTGTGCATGTGACATTTTTCTTGGGCTCTCTGCTTGCTCATTCTGTTCTGGACTGTTTACTCTTGAGGCCTATGCACAGCTGTTGACCTGGAATTTGTCCTTAGCAATCACGTTGGGAATTCTTGATTGACCTGTTTATTGGATGCCATCTCTTTTGGTTTTGACCCTCTTTTGGGGAGGCACATTGCCTGGCTGCTTTGTGAGAAAGCATGTGTAGATGGAATTTTTTTGAGATCTGGCATGTGTCAAAATATCATTTGGTCTTCCCTTACATATGATTGATAATCTAATTTAAAGTTGGAGATTACTTTCCCTGGGAGTTTAGAGGGTTTGTTCCATTTTCTTCTGCTTCCAATTTTGTTACAGAATTGTTGCATGCTCTTCTGACTCTATGTACTTTGTATGTGACTTGTTTCTTTTCTTTTTGGATGCTTTTAGGGTATTTAAAAATCCCCCAGTGTTCTGAGCTTTTCTTGTAATCCACCTTGGTATGTCACTTTTTCATTCATTGTGAAGACTGTTCTCTTTTTTGGAGTTCCTATTTGTCAGATGCTGGAACTCTTGGATTTTTTTCTCCAATGTAATTATTGTTTAAAAAAAAATCCCTGGCTGTGTGTGGGCTTACACCTGTAATCCCAGCATTCTCAGAGGTCAAGGTGGGAGGATTGCCTGAGCCCAGGAGTTCCAGACAAGTCTGGGCAACATAGTGAGTCCTTATCTCTTCCAAAAAAAAAAAAAAAAAAATTAGCTGGGTGTGGTGGTATGCGCCTGTAGTCCTAGTTACTCGGGAAGTTGAGGTGGGAGGATCACTTGAGCCCAAGGATTCGAAGCTGCAGTGAGCTACTATTATACCACTGCACTCCAGCCTGGGCCACAGAGCAAGACTGTGTCTCAAAAAAAAAAAAAATCCTGATTTTTATCCTTTTATCTTTTTGTTCTACTTTAGGGGAACATTTACCTCTATTATCTATTAACCTCTCTGTTGATTTTTTTATTTCTGTGATTATAATATTAATTTCTAGGAGCTTTTTCTTGTTCTCACAGTATCTGTATTTTATAGCATCCATTCTTTATTGCTTTGTGGATGCAATATGTTTTACCCTCTTGGGGTTCTTAATTATGTATATTTGAAGTCTTCTCCCTGCATTGACCCTGTTCCCTCCTGAAGTTCCTGTCTGTCATGCTGGACCCTATTTCACATGCTTGGTGTTCATCTTGTCATCTTTATTCATGAGGAGGCACAAAGCAAGGCTTTGTCAATTGGTGGCCTCGCATAAGATGACCACCTCTTTTCAGAAGTCACCTTGTCTTCCAGTTTTGGTATCTGTAGATCTCTTTTCTTGGGCAGGTTAGTTTCTCCAGAAAAGTCTCCAGTACCAATCTCCTACTGGCCAGTGCTCTGGGAACCCAGCAGAGGAAGGGGCTGTGGAGTGCATAGTTCCACTTAGTCCTTCTCTTTTTCAGTCAGTCCCTCCACCTGGTCACTGTTCCTAGTGTCCCCGAGTGCAGATCTTCTCAAGCTTAACCTTTGCTGAGGTGGGAGGAGGGGCATAGCAAGCTTCATGGTTTAGCAAAGATATGGAGTTTTACTCCTTAAAATGACTTGCAAGCCATCCCCCAGTTTTCAGTGCTGCCTCCATCCTGTCTTCTCATCCAAACCCCACTTAACTGTGTCTTAACTTACACTTTCCTCAAGTTCTTTGCCGCATACTGGTTTGTTACTTCCTGACAATTCTGTCTATAGACGTTTATGTTTTGTCTGCCCCTGCTTTGAAAATTCACTCATCATTGGGCCATTTTCCAAAAATGTTTTCCATGAATTTTGTCCTCTTCCATTCTCTCTTCTCATGAACTTATCTCTGCCTCTCACTTACTGTCATTTAGGGGTGGTTTTGGGAGGGAATGGAGATAAGCACCGGGTTGTAATCTATCACATGTACCTGATAATCCCTGGTGATCAACTTGTGAGATTCAGTTCAATTTAGATACCTGGTTATCTGGTCCATTAAGGAAGAGTTCATTTGATCACTCTATACTTTTCAGTTTTATTCAGAGATTATTACTCTCACTGTCAAAATGAACTAAGTGATACTGTTTTGTTGGTTTGAGAATATAATAGAAAAAAGGTCAGTTATCTCTAAAGTATACATTCCAAGTCTGACCTCAGACCCAGTTATAAGCGTAACATAATATTTCCACCATTACAAAAAATAATGACCTTCATTGCCTGGAGCCATAATCACAGTTGGGTCAGTTTTTCTTAGATTTCCTATTAGGTTGACTTGAGTTGGGTCCAAGCTGGAAGAAAACATTCTTTTCTAAGAGCCCCTTTATCCAGTGGTCCCAGTTGTGTTCTATAGGGAACTGAGCTTCCTTGAGGCATCTCTGTAGATTCCATGAATAATGTTGGACCCTTGATGTTCTTCTCCATTCCCATGCTCAAATCACCCAGAGTATCTCTTACAAAATGCAGAAAGTTTTATGTGCCAGAAGCTTCCATCATTGAACATGTAAACACCACAGCAGAATCAAGGCCGAGTATTATCTTTCAACTTTTCTCCTTAAATTTCATTAGTACTTCAATTTTAGGAATAACAACTGATTTATTAAAATTATGTTTAATATATTATTAATGTGTATCAAAGATTACTGTAAAATTATTTTTGGGTCTTGTTCAACCATTGTAAAGTCAAAGGGCAATCAATTCAAATTTTAAAGGTTTTGTATCTCCAGAGTTTGAATGAATATAGGGGAATCTGATCTGATTTCTTTTGTTTTTTTGGAGACAGAGTGTCACTCTTGTTGCCCAGGCTGGAGTGCATTGTCACAAACATGACTCATTGCAGCATCGCCCTCCTGGGCTCAAGCAGTCCTCCTGCCTCAGCCCCCCAGGTAGCTGGGACTACAGACACGTGGCCAGATAATTTTTTGTGGAGTCGAGTTTTGCCATGTTTCTCAGGCTTGTGTTGGAATTCCTGGGCTCAGGTGGTCCACTTACCTCGGCCTCCCAAAGTGCTGGGATTACAGGCATGAGCCACCATGCTGGGCCTGATCTAATTTCTAATCTAGAGTTTACAAAAATCCTTTTAAAAAAAACAATAATATGGTGAAACCCCATCTCTACTAAAAATACAAAAAATTAGCCGGGACTGGTGGCGGATGCCTGTAGTCCCAGCTACTCGGGAGGCTGAGGCAGGAGAATGGCGTGAACCCGGGAGGCGGAGCTGGCAGTGAGCCGAGATGGTGCCACTGCACTCCAGCCTGGGCGACAGAGCAAGACTCCATCTCAAAAAAAAAAAAAAAAAAATAATAATAATAATATTTGCCTTCATATGGTAGAATTAATATTTTTCTGTTTCAGACGCCTCATGTTCTTTGTTGATAAATCAATAGATTGAGAGTATGTAGAAGTTCTGAGACGAAATCTTTCTATTTGCAGGTTCCTGTTGTCACTATGATAAAGAGTGCTGGGGCATCTGTTTTGTGCTAAAGCTAACTAGAAGTGTCGCTGCTCTGAGCAACAGGCAGGAAGTACTTCTGTCCTTAAAACCAAAAATAGATGCTCTTTCTCATTATCATAGCTCAAATGATCATCTTTTTTAATGAGATGGGCACATCCCTTGTGGTTTTCACAGATTTAATGACCAGATTATTTAATGCAGAGCTTGGGGAAGAACAGCTCTGGTAAGAAAGATGATGGAAATTTTACTGGAAGCAAAAATAACAACTTTATTCCTTCTTTTTTCTTTCTGCTAATGTTTTCAACCTCTTATTCCTTTGTTTGTTTGTTTAGAGATGGTCTTGCTCTGTCACCCAGGCTGAAGTGCAGTGGCACCATCATAGCTCACTGTAGCCTTGAACTCCTGGGCTCAAGCAATCCTCCTGCCTCAGCCTCCCAAGTAGTTGAGACTACAGGCACGTGTCATCACACCCGACTTGCTAGCATATTGATTGACTGCTTAATTGATGAGATGAGGTCTTGCTACATTGCCCAGGCTGGTCTTGAACTGCTGGCCTCAAGTGATCCTACTACTTTAGCTTCATTGTATCATTGTATTCATTACACACTGTAATGCTGAGATTACAGGTGTGAACCACCTCACTGGGCCTCCTGCTGTTTTTTTCTTTTGTTGTTGTTGTTAATTATTTTTCATGATTCTTAAAGGGATTCACTTGTCTTATTTTAATATATTGGTATGTTTACACATTTCTCACTATATTTTAACTTCCAAGAGACCATTACCACGGAGAAAAAAAATTATTTGTTAAGAGAGTTGGAGGTGTCAGGATTTAGGTATACTGTATGTGGTCTGACTTGCTTTGGACAGCTCTGCCAAGTATTGTGTATTAGTATGTTGGCAGTTGGAAGGTGAAAAATTGCTTCTTTGCTGATTTTAGAAAGTTCTGTTTGTATTTCTGAAAGTAAGGCAAGAAACAAAGAGAATAGAAGAAATTTAAGGGAAATAAGGTAATATATGTGAAGGTGCCTTGTAAACTGCTAAATCACATTACAGCAAGTGTTGAACTTAAAGTGAGAAAATAAGATCCACAAAGATGCTATAAAGAAAAATGGGAGAAAGAGAAAAGAACTTAGATAGGAAGTTGTTAAGAAGAAACAAAATGGGAAAATCATAATGGGGAATTTTTACATTCTAGGTTTTTTTTACTCTGAAAATTCAGGAGTAGTTGTTCTTGCTATATGAGCAGTGAAGTAAAAAATATTTTTTAGCCGAGAAGAATGTTCTGTGGAAATAATTGGGAAAAAGAATCTTATCTGGGGTGGTGAAAGTTGGATAGAAACTACTAGGCACAAGACCTAGTCTAAAAAAAGGTCTAAATAAAGATCTGTGTGTTGTAGGGGGTTATGTACTTAATTAAGGTGTAATTCACATTTGTTACCACTTAATTAAGGTGTAATTCGTATTTGTAGATCTCTTCTGAGCCTTTCCTTTTGTTCTCAATCATACCTTTGCAAGGCAGATATCCTTAGCCCATTTTACAGATGAGGCTTGGAAGGCTAATTGATTTGCCAACAGTCACTTAATGTATGCAATGGTAAAGTCCTCCCTTTCTTCAGGTTCTGAGTTTGTTCCCACATTTCTAGATTGTTCACATCAGGGCAATTGGTTTTGTTGTGTTTCTGGAGATTCTGCTTATTGAATTTCTCCAAAGGAGGTGCTTGTTAAATAACAGTGGTCACTTAGAAATAACACGCTCCGGGCAGGTTTTTTAGGCTTGGCTAAATGACTTCAAATGAGTTCTGCTTAAGGAACACTATTTGAATTCCCTAAGAACCAAGAAATAAACAAAAAAGGCATCACAACAGCCCAAGTATGTGTTCAGAGGCCGTGCCCTGTGCCCTTCAGATCTTATCTGGAGCTTGGTATTTTAAGTTTCGTTCTCTTACACTTCATTATTTTATTTGAATTCCAAAATCATAGCTGACTTGAAGAAGGGAAAGGTTGGTACTATAACAGAAATGAGATGCAACTCTTTAGGACAAAGGAGAGGAGATAGCCAGACTGTGAAAGGCAGACACATATCCCCAAAGCCTAGCCGCCATCTGCCTTTGAGTAGAGGAATAAACAGCCCTCTGTTGCCTCAGAAGCTTCTGAGAACAGCTGTCTTGCCACTGGCCTTTAATGGGCAGGTTAAACCCAGTTACCAGCAGGATACACACAAAGCCAACTTCACACCCTCTCCCTCTATTCGCCATCAATTTATCTCCAACTCAGATCCTGACTCTAGTCGGCCACAGCTCTTGACTTCAGACCTGGCTCTGTAACTTGGATTTCCCCTTGGGCTCTCCAGAGTGTATTTATATCTGTGCTTTCCTTGTTGTGAGAACTTCAGCAGTCTCTTCCTTTTGATTCTCATTGCACCCTGTGCTTTAGTAGTAACTCCCCATCCAGCTCTCTTTGTGGTGGTAGAAACCCAGCTCCTACCCAGTAACTGCTGCCACTCCTTTTCCTTGGAGTTAGTATTCTCATGTTCCAGCAGAGCAAGTAATTTATAGTCATGTTGATGATCCTGTGTCACCAAACAAAGATTAATCATATTCTGGATTCTCTGAAGAAGGCATTACCTTTTAGAAAAAAAAATTAATCCACTATGGTTGAAATTAAACCCATTTTGATACTTAAATGGGTAATCCTTCAGCTGTTTTGAAAATCGTGATCATTCTCAATGTCTTATTCTTTGAGATTTTTTTTAAAAAATTTTAATTGTTTTTTTTGAGACAGAGTCTCGCTCTGTCACCCAGGCTGGAGTGCAGTGGCATGATCTCTGCTCACTGCAACCTCTGCCTCCCGGGTTCAAGCGATTCTCCTGCCCCAGCCTCCCAAGTGGAAGAGATTACAGGTGCCCGCCACCACGCCTGGCTAATTTTTGTATTTTTAGTAGAGATGGGGTTTCGCCATGTTGGCCAGGCTGGTCTCGAGCTCCTGACCTCAGGTAATCTGCCTGCCTTGGCCTCCCAAAGTGCTAGGATTATAGGTGTGAGCCAGCGTGCCCGGCCTATTCCTGGAGATTTTAAAAAGCAGAAATTATATTGTACTATAACTGCAGAATGATGCAGAGAATTATAATTATTGAATTATAGAATATATTATTTTGGAAGAGCATAAGCAACCTTTTAGATAGCTTACATCACCTTTCTATTAAAAATTGTTGCTTTAAGTAAAGCCATTTAAAAATTTTTTGTGTACAAACTTATCTTTTAGGTCAACAGCAGGAAATGCTTAAGCAGAGCTATTACATATCTTAAAATAGTGAAATGAGCATTGTAGAACTAGTGGCTGTTGGCATGAAATGTTTACTTTGGAGAGAATTCTTGGCATTTTTGCCCCACATCAGCATAGTAAGAACTTGTAGGAGAGGAGGGAAGCATTAATGTATTTGTTGAGGATTAATGACTTTGTAGAGCATTTGTGATAGTGAATATATTATGGCTAGTACCGTAAATGCAGTAATTAAAAAGCTGCACACTAAACACTTTGTAGACTGGCAAATATATTCCCTTCCTTTCCTTGATGGCTTGCATTCAAGTGAATAGCGTATATTTATCTTGATCTTAGCGTTCTTAAGAGTAGAAAGAAGTCTCAAAGGTTGATTTCCTTCCCGAGATATTGCTAGTCAGATGGACACAATCAGATTTGATGTTTTCAGGATCAAGTTATTTTTTAACAGTTCAGAAAAATGTCACGTGGTACATACTAATAAAAAAAACTATTCCTCACCTTTGGAAGCTTTATTATTAAAGTTATTTTTAGACAAATATTACCTTGTGCTGCTGCGTAATATAAAATGTGTTCAGGCCAGGCATGGTGGCTCACGCCTGTAGTCCCAGCACTTTGGGAGGCCGAGGCGGGTGGATCGCTTGAGGTCAGGAGCTCAAGACCAACCTGGCCAATGTGGTAAAACCCTGTCTCTACTAAAAATTAGTCGGGTGTGGTGGTGCATGCCTGTAATCCCAGCTACTTGCGTGTCTGAGATACAAGAATCACTTGAACCCAGGAGGCGGAGACTGGAGTGAGCCGAGATCTCACCACCGCACTCCAGTCTGGGCGACAGGAGTGAAACTCTGTCTCAAAAAATAAATAAGTAAAATAAAATAAAATGTGTCCAGTAAGATCATGATACCTCAGGGCTTCTTTTATTATAAAAGAAGTAAAATTGTGAGTAATAGAAATATATATTAGGACTAAAACAGACCTGCAACCAAGGTGAATTTTTAAAATTTTCAAGGAAGCGAGACTTGGTTATCTCATGACTATTTATCTTACTGCCCCAGCAGGTTAAACTGAAGTGGGTTGTGTGAATGAGCATCTGGGAGGAGAGGCACCATGCTGTGAGAGTAATGATGTCCTGTCCTTCACAGGGGAGGATGACAAAGAAGGCAGACAGATGTAAAGTCTGCAATTTCTGTTGCTTTGTGTCCTCAAAATGTTCATACCCATCTATTTTCCCATTTAAGAGGCATCTTGTGTTTCATAATTTCTGAGTCCTCCCACTTAACATGCAGTATTTACTTACAAGTTCATATTTATGAGTTCATAAAGATTTTCTTCTGTGAAAAGTATAAATGCAGCTGAATGTGATTTGCAGCTTTGCTTTGAGTCAGTTAGGGTAGGAAAAGAAGAAATAGACTATTTCTGTTCTCACCATTTAATTGGCCTCCTTACCTCCTAGTTGTGAAAGCTTTTCACTAATGTATTGGTTTATTGATTTATTTCACATTTATTGACTGCTTACTACATCCTATGCCCCGAGGATACAGAGATGAGTGTTCCAGTTAGTAGGCATCTGATGCCTTTGAAACCATCTCTGTCCTGACTGACTTCAGTGCAGATAGCATTGGTTCTAAAATCCTTTCAAGTTCCAGAAATGGCCTGGATCTTGTTCCTGTTAACAGAATAGACAAACCGCAGAGCAGTCTTAGAGTTTTTGAGATCACAAAGGCTGTCTGGGGAACATAAAAGCTGCTTTTCCAGGTGTTTTCCATCGCATCGGGTTTCTAATGAATCTTGCTCCTTTGGCATTACTGGGATACTTTCCAAGTATAAAGTCACTCCACTCCATTTCTGAATTGGCTAAAACCCTAGATGGAAAAGCGTTCAGGAGATCACAGTGGGATGGCATAACTACTGTTTTAAGAGGCAGCTAGGAAGTCTCAGTGGCAGGTGCCACTGCCAACCCATTCTCCCTTCCTTCTTGCCTTTACTCTCAAATGTCTGCCTCTTTTTCATTTTCAGTAGTTTATCCATGGTAGGAAGGACCTTTGAATTGGAGCAATTCAAGAAGCTTTCTAAGATGGTGGGTAGGGCCAGGCATGGTGGCTCACGCCTGTAATCCCAGCACTTTGGGAGGCCGAGGCGGGCAGATCACAAGGTCAAGAGATCGAGACCATCCTGGCCAACATGGTGAAACCCCATCTCTACTAAAAATACAAAAAATAGCTGGGCATGGTGGCATGTGCCTGTAATCCCAGCTACTCAGGAGACTGAGGCAGCAGAATTACTTGAACCAGGAAGTCGGAGGTTGCAGTAAGCTGAGATCACGCCACTGCACTCCAGCCTGGCAACAGAGCGAGACTCCATCTCAAAAAAAAAAAAAAAAAAAAAAAAAAGATGGTTGGTAATAGTTTTGCTTAATTAAACTACACGTACACCTTTGGAAATGTTGACACCCAAAGCCTGAGATCATTTTAAGAAAAGACATCTTCCAGATCTTTTGCTTATAATAGTATTTTTTGATACTCTGAAGTTCTACTCTTAGGGGTAAAACTTATAAATGCTCTTTTCTATCTTGGTACAAACTGCCTTGTTTGTTTGTTTACCTTAAAACAGACTTAGACTACTTTAATTTGGGGGGATTGCTTGCCAGAAACCAAGAATTTCAAGATCCATGTCCTCAGACCATTTACCTGTCATCTCATTCTCAACAAAGAGACGTTGCCAACTATTTTCTAGAAACATTGATGCAATTTGGTCTATTGCCTCCAAATCCCAATACTATTCATTATGAACTTACTATAGCCAGATTTATCTTTCCTGTAGCCCCCACTTACCCAGTTTCATTTCTGTGATTGCAGTTTCCCATAGTACAGTACACTAAGATAGTTATGAGAAATAGAGACCACATTCACTTGCTCTATTTTATTATTGGGTATCATTGTTAATCTCTTACTGTGCCTAATTTAGAAATTAAACTTTATCATCGGTACATATGTATAGGAAAAAACATAGTATAGGTAGATAGGGCTTGGTTCTATCCATGATTTCAGGCATCCACTGGGGATCCTGGAATGCATCCCCCATGGACAAAGGGGAGCTACTGTACTTTCCTTCTAATATCCGAGGATTGTGGACTCCCCTCTTCTTCGAGGTCAGTCCCTTCATCTGTACTCCTGACCCTTTGGCCCACCTCTTTTGAGATCTCAGGCCATCTTTACCTCTTCCCCCTTAGACTTTCAGCCTCTCCCCCTGAACTGAGTCCTTCAGCCTGTAGCCATGCGCTGTGAGCACTTAGTCTCTTCCAGCAGCCACGCATTCCCTTTCCTGGGCTCTTCCACTTGCTCTGTTTATTCTGTTATCTCTGCCTCCACCACTTCACTAAAACAGCTCTCCATCAAGGTGGACAGTGACTTCTTAAATGTCAAATCCAAAGGTATACTTTTCATTTTTTATCTTTATTCATCTCTTTCTATCCCGTGGTACCTCTCTACCATTCTTCCTGGGTCTTCTTCAAAAGATGGTTTTCCTCTGCACATTCTGTTATGTGTGTTCTCCAGGATTCTGCACTGATCCTGTAATGTTCTCCTTCTGTCTATGTTCCTGCAGTGACGTCACTCACTGACACAATCTCTGCTCCTTTCTATGTTGTAATCACTTTTATGCCTTTATGTTTTTCTCAAGCTGCTTCTCCAGGCTTTACGCTCAAGAATATCTCAGTATCTCCCCCTGAATCTTCCACGCTTCAATTTCTCTCTCTTTTTTTTTTTTTTGAGACGGAGTTTCACTCTTGCTGCCCAGGCTGGAGTATGCAATGGCACGATCTCAGCTTACTACAACCTCCGCCTCCCAGGTTCAAGCGATTTTCCTGCCTCAGCCTCCTGAGTAGCTGGGATTACAGGCATGTACTACCATGCCCAGCTAATTTTGTATTTTTAGTAGAGATGGGGTTTCTCCCTGTTGGTCAGGCTGGTCCCGAACTCCCGACCTCAGGTGATCCGCCTGCCTTGGCCTCCCAAAGTGCTGGGATTACAGGCGTGAGCCACTGATGCCTCAGTTTCTAGTGCCCCAAACTAAATTCCTTGTCTTCCTTATTTCTTCTCCTATGTTCTCTACCTTGGTTGTCACTACCATCCACCCATGTGTAATAAACCTAGTGTTCTGCTTTGAACTTCCGGATGGTTCCAAGTACTAATTCTTCTCTCCTCTTCTCTACCTACTTCTACTGCCCTAATCTCCACCCTTTCCTTCTCCCTGAATGATTGTAACAACCGAACAGGTCTCCTGCCTCTACCCTGCCCCCTTCAAATCCACCCAGAGAATCATGCATCCAAAACCCAGATCTGACCCATCAGTGGCTGTTTACACCCAGGATAAAGTCAGAGTTCTTTGAGACATGTACATGGTTGCCATCTGGCTCCAGGCTTCTTTTCTGGCCTCACTCTGCAGGCCTCACTCTAGAGAGTGGCCAGCAACTCTGGACTATACCATGCGGTTTCTTACCTTTCCCTTTTCCATCGCCTTGTCTCGCATCCCTAGCGCGGCTAACTCCTACCCAGCCTTAGGACATGCTAGGCATCCCCTTTTCTTGGAAGGCCTCCCTGACCTGTCCATTTCTGGACTAGACGCCCATGCTTGATATGAATCTCAATGATTATGCTCATCCCATGGCCCTAGGGTGGCCAGTTTGTGTGCATCCTTTGCCTCCCCTAGACTTCACTTTCCTTAGAGATAGAGATGGTATCTTATTCATCTTTGTAGCTACAGTGCTTAGCATGGTGCTGGGTGTATAGTAGGTGTTCTGCATATGTTTTTTAAATAAAAAATCAACTGACAGTAAATCGACTTGATGGCCACAAAAATGGGCAAAAATAATTTCTGCGTAGGAGTCACCCTTAGAAGGGAGCATGAAGGGGACTTCTGCAGTGCTGATAATGTTCTGGTTTTTCATCTGGTGTATTTTCAGTTTCGGAAAATACATTGAGCTGTCCATTGTCGTGTGTGCATTTTCTATATGTTATATGTCACTGAAAAGTTTTTTTTTTTTTCCAATCAACATGACATCTAACCTCTCCAATACAGAAAAAAAAATTTCCTCATTTCAAGCTTTTAAAGTTTTATAGGATATTAGTTCAGATGTCAGAGCAAACAGCCAGGCAGTGCTATTCCTTGATGTTAAGGAAGAATAGAAAAGCATCAGGGAAACGCAGGTGAGATTGCCTGGACTTTTGATGGGGGTCAGAGAAGGCCAGCCCTGGTCAAGCCTTCCAGTGACCTGCACCTCTGTCACACTTATTGCAGGGCCTGCATGCTAATCATCAGCAAGCCCTGGGCCTGCCTGCGGTGACAGGGAGACTTCATCTTGCATGCGACTATGAATAATTCATAAACATGGTTATCTGGAAATATGTGGTCATCATTAGCATTTTAATGAAAAAAAAAAAAAAAAAGCTGTCATTATCCTAAGTCTCTGTTTTGTTTCTACCTTTTTTTTTTCTCCCCCCACCACAGCTAACCATCTCAGTCTTTCCTGAGGACTTGGGAACTGCCGAGGCCTCTGCCAATGTGTTGACTGTCGCTATGGGCTCACTGTTGTCCAGGCAGCTCATGTATGTATGGGATCAGTCTCTCTCTTGCTTTTTTCTCTTTAATTTTCATTGTAGAATATCACAAGAGTACTGAATTGGTAAAAGCTTTAAAGGTTTAAATAAGGATGTTTAGAAATACAAGAGAATGGATTGCTCTAGGGTAAGTTTTAAATATTGCATGGTAAGAAATGTTATCTAAATTAGGATTTTTGTAATTAAGTGGCCCTATAAGACCAGAAGTGTATGTCAACAATCTCCTTTTTCTGTTTCTGTGCATCCATTCTTTTTTTCCAAATTTTTCTTTTCTTTTTTGAGACAGGGTCTTGCTCTGTTGCCCAGGCTGGGGTCCAGTGGCATGAACACAGCTCACTGTAGCTTCGAACTTCTGGTTCAAGTGATCCTTCCACCTTAGCTTACGGTGCAATTGGGACTACAGATGTGCCACCGTGCCTGGCTAATTTTGTTTATTTTTTGTAGAGATGGGGTCTTGCTGTGTTGCCCAGGCTGGTCTTGACCTCCTAGGCTCAAGAGATCCCACCCACCTCAGCCTCTCAAAGTTTCTGGATTACAGGCATGAGCCACCATGCCTGGTCTAATGTATCTATTCTTCTACAGGCTTTTATTTTTTTAAGCTTTCCTTTTTCATCACAATATGTTAACATTTGAAATGATAATAATGCCATAAATTAAAAACGTTTCACAGTGATTGTTTGAATTCCTTTATAATCACAAAATTCATGGACCCAGAAGAGAGGTCCCCTGGGTATGTCTCTGTTTAATATGTATTAGGGAGGGAGTTCCTGGCTCTTACTTCTTAGCCTTCTCCAAAGGAGGAAACTCTTTCAGTTCCCTCAGGGATGACCTTCGATGTCTCACAACACTAAAGTTTTTCCAGCAGTCTTTTGGGAACTGCTATAGTTGTAGCCTTTTCCTATTTGTCGTTACCCCTGATTAACCTGGGAGAAAAATGATTCTTCCCTTTAATGATCTATGTTTATTTCTATGAAGGGCAGTGTGTCTCAGACTTACTTCTTGCTCCCTGCAGTCTTTTGGCCTTGGAGCAGCTGTATAGATATTTATTTGTTTTTGTTGCTTTCCTTTGGAACCTGTGGAATTTTGGCTCCAAGTCAGGGGAAATTTGGGGTAATTCCCCATAAGTGCTTTTGCCCCCATATCCTTTCTGTAATTATGCTTATTCATATTCATCTTTAAGTCCTATTACCTTGTGCAGCTCAGTTTTTTTCTTTATAGGAAAGTTATGGCTGGGCTCATGCCTGTAATCCCAGCAGTGGCTCAAGTCTGTAATCCCAGCATTTTGGGGCCAGGCGTGGTGGCTCACGCCTGTAATCCCAGCACTTTGGGAGGATGAGGCGGGCGGATCACAAGATCAGGAGATGGAGACCATCCTGGCTAACACAGTGAAACCCCGTCTCTACTAAAAATACAAAAAATTAGCCAGGTGTGGGGGCGGGTGCCTGTAGTCCCAGCTACTCGGGAGGCTGAGGCAGGAGGATGGCGTGAACCCGGGAAGCGGAGCTTGCAGTGAACCGAGATCGCGCCACTGCACTCCAGCCTGGGCGACACAGCACTCCAGCCTGGGCGACACAGCGAGATTCTGTCTCAAAAAAAAAAAAAAAAAAAAAAAATCCCAGCATTTTGGGAGGCTGAGGTAGGCAGATCACTTGAGCCCAGGAGTTTAAGACCAGCTTGGGCAACATGATGAAACCCTGTCTCTACAAAAAATACAAAAATTAGCCAGGTATGGTGGCATGTGCCTGTAGTCCCAGCTACTCGGGAGGCTGAGGTGGGAGGATTGCTTGAGCCCAGGAGGTACAGGTTGCAGTGAGCTGAGATTGCACCACTGCATTCCGGCGTGGGTGACAGAGCGAGACTCTGTTTCAAAAAAAGAAAAAAGAAAGCAAAGTTAGAACCACCCTCAAGCCCTCACCCAGACAATTGTTTGTAAAGTAAGTCAGACAGTTAAAAGCAGTGGCACTTTATAGCAGTAGGGAGGGATAGCTGATAATAGAATAGGGATTCGGACCAACAACCAGCATTAAAGCCAGCAGTGTTGGGGTAAACAGCTCTTCACATATTTTCAGATATTGTTAGCATCTCCAAGGGTGTTACAGATTTACTCTGAAATTATCAATTTTCATAGTGAGCATCATCAGAAAAAAGTTTACACCTGTACCCTGTATAACAGGGATCTGCATACTGTAGCCAATAGGTCAGATCCAGCCCATGCTTATTTTTATAGGAGCTGAGGGTGGTTTTTATATTTTTAAATGGTTACATTTTAAATGGTTATATAAGCACCTACATAATCTCTTTTTTGTCTCTTGGCCCTCAAAGCCTAAAATATCTGTGAGCCTGTTAAGAAAAAATTTGCCCACCCCTATGTAGAAGAAAGTTGAAGGGCATGTACTGCCATTGATCCAAGTGAAATTGTTAGTACTTGAGCATTTTTGACATACAGAAGGTTAATTTCATATGGTTCAAGCTAATATATTTTGAGAACATCGTTCTTTCACAGTGGTTAAAATGCTAACATTTGGGCTCTTGGAGTGGAAGAAGTAAATTTATCTGAAAAATTCACATATGTGGACTTGCTCCTTTTTTCATCTTAGAGAATGACACATTGGCCATCAGCTGAGTGCCTTTCCAGAGATTACCGAAGGGCCCTGAGCTGCAGAGGTGTGTGCTGTCCAGTAATTGCAAGGAAGCTCTTTATTTTCATTTGACTTGTTTCTTACTAAAAGCTCTTTAGGAGAAAACTATCTTCTCCTCACTGGGTGCCAGAAACGTGCTACCTGTGCTCAGCGTAGAGATTGCTGCCCCGAGGCCTCTGCTGAGCTTGTCACTTTGTGCCTTTTTTCTGGTGGAGGGAGAGTGAGTGACTGCTTTTCCGGGGGCACACATCTGCATAACACATTGCCTGAAATGCCCTTCCCTGGAACTAGAGTGTGGTTCGTACCCTCTCATGGTTTCCATCTCTGATTTCTTTTCCCGGTGTTGATCCCTCAGTCCAAGGCATGAACACTGTTACTTATTTTATTTGATTTGTTCTCCATTCCTCCCTTCTGCGTACTCCTTTGTAGCTTGCTTCTCCTGATCATTAAATAAGATTTGGCTGGGTGCTGTAACCCCAGCACTTCGGGAGGCCAAGGTGGGCGGATCACCGGAGGTCAGGAATTCGAGACCAGCCTGGCCAACATGGTAAAGCCCCATTTCTACTAAAAAAAAAAATACAAAAATTAGCTGGGTGTGTTTGAGGGCGCCTGTAATGCCAGCTACGAGAGAGGCTGAGGCAGGAGAATTGCTTGAACCTGGGAGGCGGAGGTTGCAGTGAGCCAGGATTGTGGCATTGCACTCCAGCCTGGGCGACAAGAGCAAAACTCAAAATAATAAATAAATAAATAAATAAATAAATAAATAAGATTTGCTTGTTGAAACCTCAAGCTGACGTTCTGCAGAGGCTACTCATAGCAGAAAGAAATGTTAACCTTAGCAGCCCTTGCTGCCCTCACATAAGGCAGGAAAGCCAATTTGACCTGGGGCCTGCTCACCAGGCCTGTGTCTGAACAGGGCCACAACTGTTCCCTGGAGAAGGGAAACGATTTCAGTAAAAAACAACAGCAACATGCCATAGTTAATAATTTTATCATCAGGTGTGGTCGGAATCATCAGTCAAGGGTCAGCAGTGCATACTGCTGTGCTCTACATTGTTTTTGAGGCTTGTATGTCAGACTGGAGTTTTAATTTTCTTTCTTTCTGTTTTGAGATTATTCTGCCTTTCCAGGCTATCTCCTTTCAGGACAGGGTGCTGCTCTTGGATGGAATGCAGAATGGCATCCATTGAGCACGAAAATAAGAAGTAAATAGCTAGAGCTGTTCTTGCCAGGCTTTTCATACAGATATTTGTGTTTATGTTAAAACTCCAGTTTTAAAATGAGTCATGTGCCACATAACAATGTTTCAATCTATGATGGACTGCATGTACAACAGTAGTCCCATAAGATTATAAGACCCTATTTCTCCTGTACCTTTTCTATGTTTAGATATGTTTAGGTGCCCAAATACTTATCATTGTATCACATTTGCCTGCGGTATTCAGTACAGTAACACGCTGTACAGGTTTGTAGCCTGGGAACACTAGGCTCTGCCATCTAGCCTAGGTGTGTAGTAGGCTGTGCCATCTAGCCTCGGTGTGTAGTAGGCTGTACCATCTAGGTTTGTGTAAGAACACTCCATGGTGATGTTTGCACAGCAATGAAATCGCCCAACGATGCATTTCTCAGAATGTATTTCTGTTGTTCAGCAACACATGACTATATTCCAGGAATTGCTAATAAAAATTGCATATTTGTTCATTTTTGTCTGTACCTATCCATTCCTTTGGATGACTGCAGCCACCACTGCAACTGCAGCTGTGAGGATCTGGACTGTTACAATAGCTTCCAGACCTTGGCCTGCAGTCTCTTTGCCTGCAAACTTAACTCATGCATAGTAGCCAAATGAATCTAACTGAGGCATGGCTCTGACCATGCCGCTTCCCTGCTGAAAATGTTTAGTGTGTCCCCACTAGTTTAAAAGGTCACCCTGGTATTTGAGTCCTTTAGGTTTCCTTTCACTGCTCCTTATTTTTATTACCCATTACTCATGATGAATGATCGTTATTGTTGTTAGTATTATTGCTATTCAGTAGACATTTATAGTAGTCTGTGTGGGCTGCTCCTGCCAGGGTACACCCTGTGCCTTTGGGTCACGTGCCTTTGCTCCTGCTGTTTCCCCTCTGGTATGTGGATCCATCTTTTGGTAACCCGCTAAAATCCTGCTTTTGCCATGGGGTGCAGCAGAGTCGTTCTCTTTCCCAGGGAGTTTTCCTGGTTTCCCTGCTGGAAGCACGTGTTCCTGCAGCTCTTAAATCTCCCTCTTGATGCTTGCTTGTGTCCTAAATTCCTTTTATATTTTGGCACATGTATATAATTTGTCTGAACTCCAGTACTATTTCCCTCCTCTCCTCTGTGAGTGAGGACACTATTATATCTACGGTAGTTGCTCCAGTATTTGTGGAGTCATCTTGGGCTAAGGGGTGGAACTGGATAATAACCATCCTCAGAGCCTGTGCCAGCCACGACTGAGGGGGAGGGAGTAATTGGAGCCTGACGCTGAATAAATGCTTAATAATATATATCGAATGGATGAATGAATGAAGTACTTGCTTAGAAACTTAGCTCAGCATTGATAAGGGGAGAAATTCTTTGCATATTACAAGTTTTTGCAAATCCTGTTTTCCAACACACATGGTTCTCTTTAGCTTTAGTTGTATTCATGGTAACTTTTTCCTGAACAACCGCTATTTACTTTTCTATTTCTAGCTCTTGGGCACAGGTTTTGCCAGTTGTGTCGACTGTCTCTTTTGGTAAATTGTTTCTTGTTTGGTGTTAAGCTTTCACTGTAAGTCTCTTCAGTAGAGGTTGTTTTATGTGGGAGTCCTGTACAACTAGGATTGTGCAAATCCCCCACTTTCTCATTTTCCTCAGTTAGTGCCCCATGGGTGTCCTGGCTTCTGGACCAGTGTTATTGTTATTATTATTATTTTATTTTTTTTTGAGACGGAGTTTTGCTGTTTGTTACATAGGCTGGAGTGGAGTGGCACGATCTTGACTCACTGCAACCTCTGCCTCCCGGTGCGGAGACCAGCTTGGTCGGGGAGACTCTAACCCAGCGGCACTAGAGGAATTAAAGACACACACACAGAAATATAGAGGTGTGAAGTGGGAAATCAGGGGTCTCACAGCCTTCAGAGCTGAGAGCCCCGAACAGAGATTTACCCACATACTTATTAACAGCAAACCAGTCATTAGCATTGTTTCTATAAATAATAAATTAACTAAAAGTATCACTTAAGGGAAATGAAGGGATGGGCCAAATTAAAGAAATAGGTTGGGCTAGTTAACTGCAGCAGGAACATGCCCTTAAGGCATAAATTGCTCATGCTATTGTTTGTGGCTTAAGAACGCCTTTAAGCGGTTTTCCGCCCTGGGCGGGCCAGGTGTTCCTTGCCCTCATTCGCGTAAACCCACAACCTTCCAGCTTGGGCGTTAGGGCCATTGTGAACATGTCACAGTGCTGCCGATATTTTGTTTATGGCCAGTCTTGGGGCCAGTTTATGGCCAGATTTTGGGGGGCTTGCCCCCAACATCCTGGGTTCAAGCAATTCTCCTGTCTCAGCCACCTGAGTAGTTGGGATTACAGGCGCCTGCCACCATGCCTGGCTAATTTTTGTATTTTTAGTAGAGATGGGTTTTCACCATGTTGGCCAGGCTGGTCTCAAACTCCTGACCTCAGGTGATCCGCCTGCCTCGGCCTCCCAAAGTGCTGGGATTATAGGCGTGAGCCACCTCGCCCAGCCTAATGTTATTGTTTTCTTGGCTTGGGGACCTGATGCTTCATGGGTGTTCTGTATTTGGATGCCATACCTCTAGGTGGGAGCCGTTTAAATTTTGATTTCTTGTTGGTGAGATATGACCCTTTGTTCTCCAGGGTTCATCAGGATCTCAGCCCCTACACACTAAGCCTGTCTCATGTTCTGATAGCCTTTTACATCTTCAGAGCTTTAACTTTCTCTCATCTGACTTTAAGTTCTATCTTTGGTTCTGGCCCAGGGATTTATTTCTTGTGATTTTGATTTTTTTCTTAGTATTTTCTTAGTTGTTAATGATCTCTCCCTCAGTTTTTCCACGTGTTTGAAACAGGCAGAGCCCTTCCCTGTCACCTCAGCTCACCATGTTGATTGGAAACTTTATTACCACCATCCTATTAAAGAATTTTAAGATATTTTTGTCACCAAATTGCAATCCCTGATTTCTGCAGAACTTTAGATGTTAAGTATTAATTCAGTGAATGGGTGCTCTGCACATCCCTCTACTGAGATGCCATGAACCTGAGTAACCACATTTTTGTAGTGTAGCATAGTCTTATCCGTGGCTACCTCCTTACTTGTAGATAACTTTCTGTGCATGTCTCAGAGTCCGTCAGTTAGATTCTAGATTTTTACATGGCATGTGAACCCAACCTGTAAAATTGGTGATCTGAGGCCTGTTGACCGCCATTATTTTCAGATACTCATAAATACAGACCTTGTTTTCACATACCTAGTACATAATCTTACATCTTGATGTTGAGACTAGTAAAGAAAGGTTACTTCTATGTATTTATCTTTCACTGAAGAAAGAAATGAAATTTCAATAGTCCAAATTAAGTCCCTTCTTTGTAACTTGCTCTTGCTTTTTTTTTTTTTAAACCTCTCTTGTAATTCGCTACTTCCAGGGTAGAGATTTGCAGTCTTATTTTGTTGTAATAAAAGAGTGTCCTTTTTGTTTGGATGCTCTGGATCTATCACTTTCCCTTTTCCAGCAAATAGAGTGGGACTAAGAAGCCCTGTGACAAGTCTTCACCAGGAGGAATCGGATGCCCTGGAAAGAAGCCTACCTGGTGTCTGCTTTTGTTGCAGAATGAGACTCTGGAAACATGCCAGAATAGTCTTTGGAGGGACTTTAGTCCTTTTTCCCTTCCCTATACTCCACATGAAGAGGATTAGGATGCTGGGGGTAGGTCAGAAAGGGTCCCATGTGTGTGAGAGGACAGGCTTTGCCCCTGAAAAAGATGAGAAGAATGTGTTGTCCTCAGGGCAGGAGGCACAGCACCTCTGCTAAAGGAAGAGCGGGGAGGAAATGCCCCAGCCAGACTTGGGAAGCTTAAGACCTATCTTCTGCGAGCAGCCTCCAGAAGGGAAAGGAGAAACACATGCAACTTTTTATGGGGCCTCATTTTGAAACCAAAGCAAAAGGACTTATTTTTCCAGGTTCTTGGACACTTGCTCATTTATGCAAACCTGAAATTGTCCTCAGGAGAAGTGAACTCTGCTGACCTTCCTTTGCACAAAAGGCCACAAAAATCCGTGCAAGATGAAACCAATAGAATTCTAAACGAATGACTTGGCATATTTATTTCAGAGTCATAAGATAGGTCAGTTTGTTGTTTGCCTCTGTAGCTTCTAGACCTTTCTGTTATGAATATATACTAAGAAAAAGAAAACAGCAACATATACTATTGAACATTGTATTTATTTTTGTTTTTGAGACGGAGTCTTACTCTTGTTGCCCAGGCTGGAGTGCAATAGCGCTATCTCGGCTCACTGTAACCTCTGCCTCCCGAATTCAAGTGATTCTCCTGCCTCAGCCTCCTGAGTAGCTGGGATTACAGGTGCCCACCACCACACCCAGCTAATTTTTGTATTTTTAGTAGAGAGGGGGTTTCACCATTTTGGCCAGGCTGGTCTTGAACTCCTGACCTGAGGTGATCTGCCCGCCTCAGCCTCCCAAAGTGCTGGGATTACAGGCTTGAGACACCGTGCCCTGCCTGAATATTTTATAGATGATGCTTTGTTAAAGGAATATCTAGACTTTTTAGTCTGTCTTTTTTGATTTTATGGAAAATACTTAAGTCCATGGGATTCCATTTGTTTTCTCCCCTGAATTCCTCCCTAGGAGTGTCCAATTTTTGGGAAAGTTGATCCCCCTCTCCCAGAGTACAAGAAAATTCCACAAAGAGCTTATGTTACATATTAGTTATTTGGAACTCAATACCAATAAATCCAACATGACTTGGCTAACTCTGGAAATCAGGCATACCTGCTGCCATCCTATCCTTGTGTCTTGGGCTTAGTTAGGGGTAAAGAGGATTCCTGTTGTTTTTGAACAAGAGATAGTAGCTTTTTGTTTTGAAATCACTGATCCTCACACCGCAGGATCCAGTTTAAGCAAGTAAGCGGGGTGCAGTTTATAAAGACGCTTCCCTTTTTTGAGGGAAAAGGTACAGTTAAGAGGAGATAGGGTGACCAGTGCCAATTAATAGGTAGAGACTGTGTTTGCTATACTCCGAATACTGTGTTGACTTCTCTGGGGTATTGAGAAGAGTTACATATTGCCCTCAATTCTTATATCTCATCTGTGGATGTGACCAAAGGTGGTAACTGTGTCATTTAGAATCAGTTTATGTGATGAAGCAGTTTAGAGGAGGGGAAGGCTGGTAAAGATGTGTGCAGTCAGTAAAGCCCAGGAGAACACAATTTCCAGATCATCTTCCTCCAACAGGACACAATGGTCTGGGGAGGAATGCAATTCAGATCAAGTTGTTGGCAGATCAGGCATGGGAATGCAGGTCTCCTGGGTGGGATTTGAAGGACACATTAAATGGTACATTACGGAGGGATCTGATGAACTGGGATCAAATGAGAAGGGCCTAGGGGAGTGCATATGCCAATAAGAACAAAGAGTATATTCTTAATAAGAAGTTACATTTATTTTACTTATTTTATTTTTTATATTTATTTATTTATTTATTTTTTTGAGATGGAGTTTAGCTCTTGTTGCCCAGGCTGGAGTGCAGTGCCGCGATCTCGGCTCACTGCAACTTCCGCTTCCCAGGTTCAAGTGCTTCTCCTGCCTCAGCCTCCCACAGGCACCTGCCACCATGCCTGGCTAATTTTTTGTATTTTTAGTAGAGACAGGGTTTCACCACATTGGCCAGGCTGGTCTTGAACTCCTGACCTCAGGTGATCCACCCACCTTGGCCTCCCAAAGTGCTGGGATTGCAGGGGTGAGCCACTGCGCCCAGCCAGAAGTTACATTTATTACCATTAAGTTATTAGCCACTTACATAGACACTGTTCTGAGCACTTAATGTGTATACTTTTATTCTTCACTACAACTCTGTTACATAGATGCAACTATTATCACTCAATGACAGGAAACTGAGGCACACAGGAGCTATAGAAGCAACTTACTTAAGCCTACACAGACAATGGTGGAGCTGAGATTTGAACCCAGGCCTTTCAGCTCCAGAGTCTGTGCTTTTAACCACGCTGTGTGCCTGCTTCAGTAGATGAGAGAGGAGTCAGAGGGGTGTGACAACCAAGAAAAGTTGTTGGGGAGAGAGGAAGTTCCAAGGTCAGGATTGCAGTGGAGCGGGTCCTAGAGATGTAGTGTTCATTTGGTGGCCACACGAAAGAGTGGGTGGTATAGAGGGCAGTGACAAGTCAACCTTATCAGGCAAGTCCTGGAACCAGGATGGCGAAAATAACAGTCCAGAGCCCTTACTCCGCGCTGGGCACTGGGAATAGAGCAGTGAAAAGGTAGATGAGGTCTCCGCTCCCATAGCACTTCTATTTGTTCTAGTGATGGAGACAGGTGATAGGAAAGCCTTCCAGTAGAGGAGATAATTGTGGATCATGGTACCTGCTATGGAGGAATGAAGAGTGTGATGGAGGGATACTGGTCACGGCCCACATGATGTTGGGTGACCAGGGAAGGTGTCCCTGAAGAAGCAGTGCTTGAGCTGCAATCTGAAGCATGGGGAAAGCCCAGTCTATGAAGAGCTGGGAAAAGCCCATTACAGACCAAGGGGTATGGACTGTTTAAGGAATGGCAAGGAGCCAGGGTGGCCAGAGCATAGCAAGTGTGGTGGGACCTGGTGGGAGATGAGGTTGGAGAAGGCGGCCTGGTCAAATCAGAGTGGAGGGCCTTGGTAAGGAGTTTCAGCTGTTTCCTAAGAGTAGTGGGGAGCCACTGAAGGTTCAGTAGGTGCAGGGCATCTAGGGTGCTAAATGGATGTGCCTGTTTGATCGGGAGGGGCAGGGAGGTGGCGAGAGCAGCATGCAGACAGCACATTTAGGAGGCTTCTCCCCCGTATGGTAGCTTAAAGGTTTCCATGGCTTTTCTGCCTGGGGAATAGCGAGCTGCACCTCAAAGCTTCTCAGTGGTCAAGTTGTGATCAGAGTTCACAGCAACAAGACTTCACACCCACCTTTTAGCCATTGACTGCCCATTTATACTTTATATAGAGAGAAGAACCAAGGTATATGAACTTAAAAGATTAAGCAATTTTTATTTGTTTGTTGTTATAGGTATGGGAATTTTTAAAACAGTTACTTTATAGGTAGTGGATGCTTTTGATATTGGCAGCAGAAAACCCTTCATTGGATGATTTTCTCCTTCCCAAGATGGAGACTCAAAATGGAGACACAATTAATTGCCCACTCACTGCCCATATCCTGTTCCATTGTTGCTCATAGGGCTATAGTTTAATTCAGGGTGGTGTGGAGATCAGCCTCGACAGTAAATTGTGATGATTAAGCCAATATACCAGTCCTGAACCCTGATTTTCCAGCATTCCTTGTAGCAAGTGTGGCCCTGTGACCTACTTCTGGCCAGTGAGACCTGAGAATAAGTCCACTGGGATGGGAGTGAGGTTGCTGGGAAAGCATTTATTGTCTCTATAAAGCCTGACAACTGAGCTTGTCAGTACCCTCCCTTGCTTTCCCATTCTTTCTGCCTTGAATGCTGATAAGATGCCTGGATGTACAGCAGCCTTCATGTCACCATGAGGTGACAAGCATGAAGGAAAGTCCAAGAGCCTCAGAGATACCTGCCCTGAGGTTGTTTTCAAGCCAACACCTGCAGCCCTGGGCCTTCCAACTCCTTTCTTTTTGTTGAATCCACTGTTAGGTAGGTTTTCTGTTACTTAAAGCTGAATGGACTGTTAAATTAAGCAGATATGAAGACGCAGATGTTATGAGCCTTTTCCTCATTATTGTGACAGCCTTATACATGTCCTTGATATTCAGTATGACCTTTATCTTGTGTGAAAACAGTCTTTGAAAAGAAAGCTCTAACTTATATTAAAAGTTGTTCACAGTTCAAAGTGATGAGTTGTGGAGTTGTGGACTTGGAAATGTAATTTTCAAAATAAATGAACTCCTCTGTGTGAACTTGCTGTAGCAAGTACCGTGGAGATATACTTCATGGGCAGTATCTTCCTTATGGCCTTTTTTATGATACTCTTAGTTTTCTGGTGAACTATATTGTGTGTATTTATGGCTTTATAGGAAACTATAGCAGTACTGGGGTAATAGCATAAATAGTCTGATTTCTTGAAAATGTTAAGCTCCAACAGGCTTTATTGGATTTCAGGGTAATGGTATTATTAAATTTTTTGCCACTTTTCAAACTTCTTGTGGCTGAGTTCCAAGCTGCTGCTTTTAAGAAATTTGGGGGCTGGTTCTGTTCATTTATAGAAAAAAGTTATCCTGGAATTTTCTATTGCTAAATTGAGGGGTAGGGAGAAATAATTTAACTTTTTTTTTTTTTAACTGCCTTGGATTTGGGTATAACACTCAGGATTACTTTCCACATGGAAGGTAGAAATGGCTTTGCAATATGTATCATGGAGATAATATAAGGTATGAAATGAAAATTGTCGTCTCTAGTTTATTGGGAAAAAAACTAGAAGTCATAGGGTCATCAAATTGTAAAGAGAAAAGAATTTTGCACATCATATAGTAAAATTTCACTTTTTTCCCTAGCCTTGGAAACTTGAGACCTGGAATGCTTTCAGTTATTCATTTAAAAAATAAAAATATGTGCAGTTACCCTATGTATCCTCTTCTTTAATGAAAAATTTTTCCAGCTGGGCACGGTGGCCTACGCCTGTAATCCCAGCACTTTGGAAGGCCAAGGCGGGTGGATCAGTTGAGGTCAGGAGTTTGAGACCAGCCTGGCCAACATGGTGAAACCCCGTCACTACCAAAAATATAAAAAATTGGCCCAGTGCAGTGGCTGGTGCCTGTAATCCCAGCTACTCAGGAGGCTGAGGCAGAAGAATCGCTTGAACCCAGGAGGCAGAGGTTGCAAGCCGAGATCACGCCACTGCACTCCAGCTGGGTGACAGAGTGAGACTGTCTCAAAAAAAAAAAAAAGAAGAAAGAAAGAAAGAAAAATTGTCCCAAAGGAACGAGAAACACTGTATAACCCCAAGAACCTTGACAAGAAGGCTTTTTAAGTCACTTGTTTCAACTACCTCATTTTACCGAGAGGAAGGGTTACTGCTTTAAGGTAGACCAGCCAATTAGCCCTTGGGCAGGTAGGAACAGGACCACAGAAACTGTTAGGTGTGTTAACATCCTCAGTGCTGTTGCTGGAATTCACGATGGCAGTATCTTATGTGGGATCAGTGCTTGATCTTGTCTACGAGAGCTGTGAGGGTTTGACAGACACTGATATGACACGGCATCCCAGGCAGAACAAATGGAAGAGGCTTGTGAGTGGGAGATGTTCAGTAACTTCAGTATAGAGTGAGGCACTGGTGTGGTGCCCTGCTTGGGATCAGGTAGGAGAAGAACGGCTTATGTCCATGCAGATTAGGGACAAGTTGGGGTTAGTTTGACCCATTTGGGACAGAATATAGAGGGTCATAAGAGCCTATCAGTGAAGTGAGATTTTGTTTTGGTATGTATGTATGTATGTATGTATGTATGTATGTATTTTTGTACAGACAAGGTCTTGCTATGTTGCCCAGGCTGATCTCCAACTCCTGTCCTCCAGTGATCCTCCTTCCTCAGCCTCTAAACGTGCTGGGATTACAGGCATGACCTACCATGCCTGGCCCAAGTGAGATTTTATTTGGTAACCAGTGAAAAGCTTTAAGAATATTCATGTTGGTGACAGTTAACACTTACACAGCAATTACTGTGTGCCATCACCATTCTGAGTGCTTTACACACACTCTCCTATTTAATTCCCACAACAGACATTTGGTATAGATATTCTCATTATCTCCATTTTACAGTGGAGGAAACGGAGGTTAGCTGACTTACCTAAAGAGACACTCAAAGGAAGCAGTGGAGATGGAATTCAAACCGGGGTGGCCCAGCTCCAGGGTCCTGGCTGTTGATAGCTTGGAGCGTGTATATGTGGTGGTGATAAAGGTGGTAGATGCTCTTAGGAAGGCAGCTCTGCGGGAGAGTACAGTTGGATTGGCATGAGGGCAGACAGGTAATGAGAATATCGACTGTAGGCCTTCGGGACGGTTAATAAGAGCCTGGCCTAGAGGCGACCGTGGAAATGAAAGGATGAGAATTCACATGTTACTAGCTTCAGAGGATGGATTAGTGCCAGGTTTCTGACTGGTCATGGGGCAAGGAAGGGATGGAGTCAGAAATGTCTGGGATATTGCTTGAATGTCCACCTAACCCAGTTAGGGAAGTTGAGAGAAGATTTGGTGGGAGAGTGATGATTTATTTTTACAGAGCCCTGTTTTCCTACTTTGTGACCAACTAGTGCAGTGGTTCTTAACCTGGGACTCTGGGGAAAACTGTCTAGAAAAGAGATCCATGTAAGTGTGTCCTAACAGATTTCTGTGAGTTTTTGGAGTCTGCCAAGCTCACATGTTGTTTTAGCATGGCCTTGGGCCCACAGAAGGTCTCCAGTGTTTTGAGGCAGTTTGTGGCTGAGGCACTTAGAATTCTATGGTGGCTTGTCCCCTTCCCAGCTTAAGAATCTGTGGGTGTGAGCTCAGGAGGAGGGGATGGGTGTGTGTCTGCATTTTAGAGACCCGCCTTTGTTTTAGCTTCCCTGGCCCTGATTCCTGACTTCCGCTTTCCTTCCTGCCCTTAAGTTCTGTTGAGGAAAGCAGGAGACTGTAGCTGGAGATAGAGGAGGTCCTTGGTGTTTCTTTGTGAACTTGCATCCTGTGTCGAGGGAAACACCCTGTTCCTGGTGGTGGCCTCCGGGCTCAACTCTTCCTGCTGCCGCCTTTCTGAGAAATGTGACCCTGGCCAGGTATGTCTTCTTGGAGGCTTCTAAATGCAGGTCCCAGCTGAAGGGCTGAGAAGGAACAGCAGGTTGTTCCAGGATAAGTAGCTGATACCTTTGTGGAAAAAAATCCTGACGTGGATGAGAGAACGTAGAGCTTGACAATTTGGACTTCTGTTTCATGACCATTTCTCCCTTTCTCTTTCCTTCCTCTTCTCCTTCCATTCCTTCTCCCTCCCTCTTCCTTATTTCTTATTAGAAGAGTTGCTAATTGTGCATGGTTAGTAACTGTGACTGTACCTATTTTTATCTTCGACTATGGTTTTCAGGCTTGATTTTCCAGGGAAAGGTAACATTGGCAACTTGCAGGTGACGTGTGGAATTTGTAGGAATGGCTACATAGGAAAGATGAAGGGAACTAGAAGTCTTGGCTACCCCTGTCCTCCAACCCCTTAAAACCCTCTGGAAAAACAATATGCATGTGTGAATTTGAATCCTACTTCAGTCACCAGCAGAATGTCCATGCGTGTGCCAGTTCCCTAATCTCTCATCTGTAAAATGGGGATGGTGATATTTACTTCTTTCCCAAAGGGTGTTGTGACACACAAATGAGGCAGCATATGTGAAGGAATTCTAAGCATCTCTCTTATCTCCTTGTTCCTGTCTAATTAAAAGTTTCTGTATTGTACCTTGGAATGATCCCAGAAATACTAGGAGGGAGGGAGAATCTAAGTGCTATATTAAATTGCTTTTTGTATGTTTATTCCATTTCTACATAGTAACCATGTGAGGTAAATATTTTTATTTTTATTTTTATTTTTTTTTATTGATCATTCTTGGGTGTTTCTCGCAGAGGGGGATTTGGCAGGGTCATAGGACAATAGTGGAGGGAAGGTCAGCAGATAAACAAGTGAACACAGGTCTCTGGTTTTCCTAGGCAGAGGACCCTGTGGCCTTCCGCAGTGTTTGTGTCCCTGGGTACTTGAGATTAGGGAGTGGTGATGACTCTTAACGAGCATGCTGCCTTCAAGCATCTGTTTAACAAAGCACATCTTGCACCACCCTTAATCCATTTAACCCTGAGTGGACATAGCACATGTTTCAGAGAGCACCGGGTTGGGGGTAAGGCATCCCAAGGCAGAAGAATTTTTCTTAGTACAGAACAAAATGGAGTCTCCCATGTCTACTTCTCTCTACACAGACACAGCAACAATCTGATTTCTGTATCTTTTCCCCACATTTCCCCCTTTTCTATTAGACAAAACCGCCATCGTCATCATGGCCCGTTCTCAATGAGCTGTTGGGTACACCTCCCAGACGGGGTGGTGGCCGGGCAGAGGGGCTCCTCACTTACCAGAAGGGGCGGTTGGGCAGAGGCGCCCCCCACCTCCCTCCCGGACGGGGCGGCTGGCCGGGCGGGGGCTGGCCCCCACCTCCCTCCCGGACGGGGCGGCTGGCCGGGCGGGGGCTGCCCCCCACCTCCCTCGCGGAGGGGTTGGCTGGCCGGGCGGGGCTGTCCCCCATCTCCTTCCCGGAGGGGAGGGCTGGCTGGGCGGGGGCTGACCCCCCACCTCCCGGACGGGGCGGCTGCCGGTCGGAGACGCTCCTCACTTCTCCGACGGGGCGGCTGCCGGGCAGAGGGGCTCCTCACTTCTCCGACGGGGCGGCCGGGCAGAGACGCTCCTCACCTCCCAGACGGGGTCGCGGCTGGGCAGAGGCGCTCCTCACATCCCAGACGGGGCGGCGGGGCAGAGGCGCTCCCCACATCTCAGACGATGGGCGGCCGGGCAGAGGGGCTCCTCACATCTCAGACGATGGGCGGCCAGGCAGAGACGCTCCTCACTTCCCAGACGGGGTGGCGGCCGGGCAGAGGCTGCAATCTCGGCACTTTGGGAGGCCAAGGCAGGCTGCTGGGAGGTGGATGTTGTAGCTAGCCGAGATCACGCCACTGCACTCCAGCCTGGGTAACATTGAGCACTGAGTGAACGAGACTCCGTCTGCAATCCCGGCACCGAGGCTGGTAGATCACTCACGGTTAGGAGCTGGAGACCAGCCCGGCCAACACAGCGAAACCCTGTCTCCACCAAAAAAATACGAAAACTAGTCCGGCGTGGCAGCGCGCGCCTGCAATCGCAGGCACTCTGCAGGCTGAGGCAGGAGAATCAGGCAGGGAGGTTGCAGTGAGCCGAGTTGGCAGCAGTACAGTCCAGCTTCCGCTCGGCATCAGAGGGAGACCGTGGAAGGAGAGGGAGAGGGAGACCGTAGGGGAGACGGGAGGGAGAGGGAGGGGGAGGGGGAGGGATAGGGAGAGGGAGAATATTTTTATTTTTTGAGAGGAGAGAACTGAGGTTCAGAGAGGTTTAAAACAAAATAGCTTCACCACCTGCTACATATGTGGCAGTTATTTACTATCTTGCTGCCTGTTATGACATCTATAAAATGAGGATAATAATAGTTTTCTCTCCATGGAGTGGTTATAAGGATTGAAGTGGTTAATATATATGAAGTCTTAACACATAATGCCTGGTAAATAGTGTGATTGATATATTAGCAGTTACGGGGTGAGTGTCTCTTATACAAGATGTTTGCGACCAGAAGTATTTTGGATTTCATATTTTTGTTTTTGGATTTTGCAGTGTTTGCATTATACTTAGCAGTTGAACATCCCAAACCCAAAACTCCAAAATCTGAAATGCTCCAAAATTTAAACTTTTGGAGCACTGACATGATTCTCAAAGGAAATGCTCATTGGAGCCTTTTGGATTTCAGATTTTTGGATTTGGGATGCTCAACTGGTGTTATCATTAAGAAAACTGCCAAATGTCTTCTAGGCCACTGTTTGGTGAAATCTGGATTGGCTCATATGTATAATATGTTGAAATGGGATTTCACTATAATTTTCTAAACTAAGAGTGGATTTGGTTTTTGTGCAGAAGGATTGAGGAAGTGATGTTAGACATATCACAAAAACTTAAAAGAGATTTAGAGAATGTGGGGAAAAGAGGAGAGATCCAGGGATAATTAGGAGGCAGGTCCAAAGGTAAGCTCTGTGTTGCTGCTGAGATGTGGTTGAAGAGAAACCATGAGTTGGTTCCTTGGTTATGATACTTAACCTTCTCTTGGAACCATCAGATCAGAGATAGATAAACTCAGCAAATGAGGTCTTTGGAGTCGCCATGTTACCAGCTTCATCCCACTTTCTACTTCCTGGAAGAGACAGTGGAGTAGAATGTTAAACTAAGGATTCTGGGATCGTTAGACCAGGATTGGAGCCTGGGCTCTGCTGCTTTTCAACGTCCCAATGTTATGCAAGTTTGTTAACCTTGCTACAGCTTGGTGTCCTTCTGTGTGAAACAAGGAGCATCATGGTGCCAGCATTCTAGGATTTATGTGAGAAATGAAAGGGATCATGAACACTCTTTGTATTTAGCCCAAAGGAAGCCCTCAACAAATGTTAGATACTTAATATTACCTGGAGCCCTATCCCTGTGGGCTTTGGTTAGGCCCCATAGGCAAGCCACAAGTGGCAATATTTGGGGGCAGTACCCTTTCTGTATAAATCCTGACTATAACAATAAAAGACTTGTACCTCCTGTCCCTGTTTCAGTTAACAATCTCTGGCATAGAATCTTTGAGTTTCCTTTGAGATACTTTTATCTGCCTCTCTTTTCTCTCAAAAAGCACCTTAGACCTTATAGGAGAACAGAAATGGAGTATCGAGTACCTTACAGTTGGAGTAGAACAGAAATTTTTTCATCTTCTACTGAGTTCAAAATACCTCATTCCCCTTACTCCAGTTTTTAATTTGCTGCACAGTAGGACCTTTATATCTAGCAATGGAGCTACTTAAACAAAATTACATTATAAACCAACAATTTTGCAATTCTGTTCTGTGCTATACAGAGATTTTCCTCTTTATCTCAACTGTTCTCACTACCAAGGCAGGCTAGGGGAATGAATGATGAGTTTTTCTAAGAAAAATTAACAGGTGACAAAATTGAACCAGGTTCATCAGAATCACAGATCAAGAACACAAATCCCATGTGTCCTGACTCCCCACTCCAGTGCTCTTTCAGAAAGGCCGTGTTACCCCTCAGCCTTCCTTCCCACCCCTGTGAATAGAGCCTGCCAGGGTGTTGCATGCTGCCTGGGAGGCAGCTGCCCTTGGGACGGCTTCCCTTGCTGATGTAGACCTTACCAAATGACCTGTGTCAGCCTCATGGGGAACCGTGAGATCCTTTAAAAAAAATCATGCATTCTTCTTCAGAGGAAAAAAATCTTCCTTGGCCCATTTAGCAAGATCCTTGCTCCTTAGTTTCCTTTAATTATCTTGATTTTTTTTTTTAAACTGGAGAAGACCATCTGCTTTATGAGGCAGTTCATCTCTTATGTTTTCTCTAATAGGTCTTTGAAGGCCCAGTTAAGCATATTAAGGCTTCATCTCATTCTTGTTTGGGATCATTTTGTTTGGTGATTTTAAGTCACTGCCACTGGCATCTCTTGGTTGTATATTTGAGATACCTTGCAGTGTAGATTTTACGAAGAGATGTTATCTTTGTTCCATGAATTGCAGGCTCTGTGAGCCATTTTCCATATAGTGCCAAACTATCACAACAGGATTCTTTGCTTTTTAAATTCCTTCCTCTCACTACAAGAAGTCCTATTAACATGTTTTCTGAGCTATAGAGTAAAATCTGTCAAATATAGCATGGAAAGCAGATGGGTGGTTGCTGTCATCCTTTTCACAAACTCTAAACCTAGTCTTTCTTAGTAAAACTCAGCTTTGTCACCTTCTTTTACCCCAGAGTTTTCATTTACGAATAGAAGACGTATGTGAGGGAGAGGGCACTTCTTTATTGTTTTTTTAAAGATATATGGTATCTATATACCCAGCTTCATATACAAACCTTTTTTTAAAAATTAAAAATCTTTGTCTCTGAATATAAAAATGTTTCATGCTCATTATTAAAAAAAACTTAGAAAAATAGCAACTTATAAAACATCAGAAGGCCATTTTCTAAATCCTGTCACCCGGAGATTACCACTATGAACATTTTGATGAACTCTTCTATTCATTCCTTTAGCAGTGATTTCTTGAACATCTGCTATGTGCCAGGCACTAGGAATATGCTAATGAATGAAACGGACATAGTCTCTGTCCTCATACAGGGAGCGAGAGAAAGACATTAAATAAATTATAGAAATTATATAAATAAGACATTTTATAAAAGTACAGAACATTAACAAAGTTAGATCCCATACAAACTTTTTAAGAAAGAAATAGAGTAAAATCCCTACTGACAATGAAAACATACCAGAAGACACGCTCAATTAGAAATGATTAAGACTGCCAGGCACGGTGGCTCACACCTGTAATCCCAGCACTTTGGGAGGCTGAGGCGGGTGGATCACGAGGTCAGGAGATTGAGGCTATCCTGGCTAACGCGGTGAAACCCCGTCTCTACTAAAAATACAAAAATTAGCTGGGCTTGGTGGTGGGTGCCTGTAGTCCCAGCTACTTGGTAGGCTGAGTCAGGAGAATGGCGTGAACATGGGAGGCGGAGCTTGCAGTGAGCCGAGATCACGCCACTGCACTCCAGCCTGGGCAACAGAGCGAGACTCCATCTCAAAAAAACAAAACAAAACAAAAAAATGATTAAAATCATAATATTCTATTTCAAAATAATTAAAAGAGATTATTACAAAATTATACAGGAGATGAAAGAGCAGCGTAAGTCTGAATTAGCAAAACTCAGAGACAAGGAGACAGAACTCAAGAAAGAATTAGAAATTAAAAAAAATCATCTTAGAAATAAATTCAAAATTGGAAGGAGCACAAAATCAACTAAATACTACAAATACTGACCTAAGAGAAATAGAAGGTGAAAAGGAGGAAAAAGTTAAAAATCCAAAGGAAATGAAGAAAGAAGTAAAATTTGGGAAAAGTTGACAAATAATGAAGATAGACAAAGCAGATCCAACATACAGGTAATAGGAGAGGAGAAAAATAAAGCAAAGAGGTGGTGCAAATGATACATTTTAAGACAAGTTTTCTGGAAAAAAATTGAAACTACTTTTTGAAAGAAAAAATCATGTATTTTAGAATATCACCTTAGAACAACCCATACCAAGATATTCTAATAAAACTATTGGGTTAAAAAGAAGAAAGAAAAAGAAAAAGTCCTTTGGGCATCTAGACAAAAAAGGGAAAAACAGTAATAGAGAATTAGATTGTTCTTAGACTTTTTGACGGAAACTCTTACGCTGAAAGAAAAGTCATACCTAAGGTATTCAAAGGAAACAAAATGTGAGCCAGTATTTTTATATCTAGCAAAATTGACCTTCAGACATAAAGAACACAAACTTATGAACATGCAAAAAAATCAGTGGAGGAAATATTGCTCCTCATGAGCTCCTCCTAAGGAACCTTCTACAGAGTGAGCTTCAAACAACAAAAATAACTGGAAAGATGTAAGATGAGCTTGGGACATCTCAAGATAATAAATAGGTAACAAGGAAGCTATCAAAGATTATTAGGGCATGTCAGAATGACTTAGGAGCCAACTTGAAGAGGCTCCTACTGGCCAAAAATAAAATTGCAAATATGTTTAAATCCATGAGATTATGATATTAAAAAAAATATTGGTTCTGCAGTATGAAGAAAAGGTTAATGGAGCACCATTTCATCATCTTGAAAGTAGTTAGGAAAGAATCAGCTTCTTTCTTACATGAACTGTACCACTGGAAAACCAAGTGGTAGATGAAGGAAAGCATCTCCTAAAATTTTTCCACCCAGTAGATGAAAATGAAATTAAATAATTGGAATGTCACTGTTTTCCAACCCCTGTGGATTTAGTGGATTTAGGCATTGAATAACAATGGCTGCTAACATTAGAAATGAATGAAAACCAGATACCATGTGCTTCCTGATGAAAGATCATACCACCACAGACTGAATTTCAATCTGTTCAAGCCTCTGAATCTAGCTCCAATTTGCAGGCAATTCAGAGGTTGGAGAAACGAGTTAAACATGCACCACCAAAATTCATACTGTGGAAACTCCATAACTCAGACAGCCCAGACTCTTTCAACAAATAAGTTGTAAGGAAAAGAAAAGGATAGAGGCGATGTAGATTAAATAACTTAAAAGACATCAAAATTTTAAAAATAGACAGCACTAATGGTGACTAGGATTATACACTCGGGTAACAGAATCATAAAGAAATGCCAGGAACTGATTACCATAAATTCAAGAGTTTGTTTACTTTGGAGGAAGGGAAGGGCATGGAGGGCCTTCTAGGGTAACAAGCAAAAGCTGTGTTTTGATTAAGATGGTAGTTATGGGTGTTTTCTTTGTAGTAAGCTATTTGTTTTGTGTGGTTTTCTTCATCTGTGTTTTATTTTACCATAAAAAGATTTTAAAATATTTTTATGAAAGAATGACACTATACATACTGCCTTTCTCCCAACTTTTATTATGAGAAGTTTCAAACAGAAAAATTGAAAGCATTGTGTAGGCAATACCTATATACTCATCATACTGTTTTACAGTTAGTTTTTTTCATTTAGTGTTATTTAGTAAATATCTTTCTGTGCAATTAAATATAGAAGCAGCCTCACTTTTAAGTGATGCATAGTATTCCATTGTAGGATGTGATCCTTTATTTAATCAGTTTCCTAATGATGGACATTTAACTTGTTTTTGATTTTTTTCTAATAGAAATAATACTGCTTATTTGTCCTTATGATAAATACCTAAAATTTGCTTTGTCACAGCATATTCTAATATGCAAAGTATAAATGCTGATGTGCTGTGAATGAACAGTTAGCAGTAGAGACTAAAGATGCAGCCTGTATTAATCAAGACAGCCCTGTGTAACCTAGGGAGAACATAAACCTCAAAGAAAAAAATAAAAAATAGATTCCCCCCGCAGGATCCTCACATAGCATTATACCTTTCTTGGATCAGTTTAGGTTTCATCCCACAGCTCTTCTACAATCTCATTTGGTTGTTGTGGCTATAACTAGTGTATCAATTGTGTATTGCCACAATTAATGCTGCATAATGAAGCACCCCAAAATTCAGTGGCTTAAACAATAGCCATTAGTATTTTTGGGATGGCTGAGTGGTTCTTCTCATAGTCTCTGCTGAGCTCACTCATGTGGCTACAGTCAGCTGCAGGGGTAGTAGACAGATCTGCTGATCTTTGCAGTGTTCTTTCATGTGTTTGATGGTTGGCTGGCTTAGGGTGGTCAAAAATGGCCTGACCAAGAAGATTCAGCCATCCTACCCAAGTCTCCCAACACCCTTCCAACAGGCCTAGGCATATTCTTATGGCAGTAGCACAGATCCTGTCTTTTTCAGGGGAGCAGAAATGGGTCCATACATTCTGAGCTTCTGTGTCATCCCATTTGCTAACATCCAGTTGGCCAAAACAACACAGTTGAGACCAGAGCCAGGGGAAAGGGATTGCAAGGTTACGGAGTAGAGGGCAAGGATGCAGAGACGCTGTTGATTGGGGTCATTAACTTAGTCCTCTATAGTTGTCCAATAGCATATTTTAAATTGGCACATCTTAGAAGCATTAAACATTGCAGTTATTTCTAAATTGCAGATGTTAATGCCTTTGGAATATGAAAGTTGGGGATCAGGCCGGGCACGGTGGCTCACGCCTGTAATCCTAGCACTTTGGGAGGCTGAGGCAGGCAGATCATGAGATCAGGAGATGAAGACCATCCTGGCCAACATAGTGAAACCCCATCTCTACTAAAAATACAAAATTTAGCCAGGTGTGGTGGTGCGCACCTGTAGTCCCAGCTACTCAGGAGGCTGAGGCAGGAGAATCGGTTGAATGCAGGAGGCGGAGGCTGCAGTTAGCTGAGATCACGCCACTGCACTCCAGCCTGGGTGACAGAGTGAGACTGCCTCAAAAAAATAAAAAAAAAGAAAGTTGGAGATCAGGTATATTTGTGGGGGAAGCATAAAGCTTTTGCTTCATTGAAAAAATTTCTGATTAAGTGTTATAAAGATAACTCTTAAATGGAAAAATCTACATTTAATGTTATATCTTGAAAATATTTCTTTTCCAGTTGTTGGTGTTTTCCCCTGGGATACATTTCAGAAAATAGGCTTTTTTTCTGTCTGTGCATATTTTTCTTTGTTTGATAGTGTTCTTGGAACTGGTTTTGAAATCTCACTTGGAGAACACAGAATGGAGTAAGATAAAGAGCTAGGATCATAAATCAATGTCCTTAAGTATTTTTGCGAAAGATAAAGAAATTGGTGATAGGATTAGTTCTTGGACCTTTATTGCCACAACTTTTTTCTCTCTGTTTTAGACTATATAAGTGGTAAATTAAGGATCTCTCAATGCTGTGATTTTTAACAGCAGGTATGCAGTGACCAGCTATGTGAATGGCAAAAAAATTATTACCAGTAACGGTTAATGTTCCAAAAATGTAAGAAATTCAAGTTTATTCCCATAGAGTACAATGTTATATGCCAATTCAGTGTGTACACTTCTGTGCAGAAATAAAAATATTGGAATGAAATTTTGCATTCCATATACTTATTAAATACTCTTCATTATGCATGCATTACAAGACTATACACATTTTACTTGTTTAACTGAAACTGTGTGTATTGTACTAAGCAGGCAATTTAAAGGATTTTTTTTTAAATAGTTGACTGTTATTGAATTTTGCTTTATTTTCTGACTTTAAAACCCACCCCCAGAGTGAGTTAAAATTTCACACATGTAGCCGGGCATGGTGGATCACACCTGTAATCCCAGCACTTTGGGAGGCCAAGGTGGGGGAATCACAAGATCAGGAGATCGAGACCATCCTGGCTAACACGGTGAAACCCTGTCTCTACTAAAAATACAAAAAATCAGCCGGGTGTGGTGGTGGGCGCTTGTAGTCCCAGCTGCTCGAGAGGCTGAGGCAGGAGAATGGCGTGAACTCGGGAGGCGGAGCTTGCAGTGAGCCGAGATTGCGACACTGCACTCCAGCCTGGGCGACAGAGCGAGACTCCATCTCAAAAAAAAATAAAAAAATAAAAAATTTGCAGATGTTCTCAAGTGTGCTTTATTTTGCTTTTCTCAGCTGCAAGCAACAAGAGGACTCAGGTTTTGCCTACCAGCAGTTGAGAGGCCCCTTTTTTTTAGTTGCCATGTATATGAGGATGTTGGACACAAACTTCAAAAGAACCCTAGTAATGTGGTGAGAATTGTCTTGTGGCATTAATTAATTTAGGCTATTTGAGTCAACTTGGAGAGAAGAGTTCCAAAAAACATGGTGTAATGATTTTGAGCCTCTTTTTTAGAGGTGAACAGCTGGTACCAGCTCCATCACTTGCCTCTGGTGGGATCTTTGGCATGTTACCTAACCCTCTGTGCTTCAGTTTCTTAATCTGTAAAACTGACATAATAACCATATCTTTTTCATAGGGTTGCTGGAGGTGATCAGTTAGATAATCCTTACAAAGTACCTACTTAGCACAATGCCTGGCACATAATAAGCATTCAATAAATGTTATATAGCGTTAGTGCTGGAAGGACCCGAGTCATCTGATAGAAGTACTTCGCTTTATAGATCTGGAAATAAGGCTTAGTTCTCCGGGGGAAAATGTTTAAAACCTTAAAGTAAGAGGGAATCGGTATGTTTTTGTAGATAGATCTAAGCCTGGAATGCAATGTCTACTTTAAAAGTATTCATCACTAAAATAATCCTGTAGATTTTCGAGAGCAAGCATCTGCCGACAGTTTTTTTGACAGCCCTTCCTCTGCTTGGCAGGTTACAATGATGATTTCACTAATGTCAGAAAGACAATTTTCTATATAATTATAGTTTTTAGCTCCATTCTTGGACTCAGCCTACTATTTGTGAACGTTTTCACAAGAAATCAGGATGGGGCAGAAAAAGAATACAGAAGATGTGAACTACAAAAATTTATTGGGCACTTACTTATGCCAGGTATACAAAGATCTCCAGGACATTGCTTTTTGGTCCAGAAAGCTTACAGCCTAGTTGAGGAAACAAGTATGGGTGAGAAAAAAATAACAACAGCAATAATAGCAGTGAGTATTTTTTTTTTTTTTTTGAGACAAGGTCTCACACCTTGTTTCACAACTCACTGCAGCACTGAACTCCTGGGCTCAACCAATCCTCTTGCTTCAGCCTCTCAAGTAACTAGGACTACAGGCATGTGCCACCATGCCCAGTTAATTTTTAAATTTTTTGTGGAGATGAGGGTCTCACTATGTTGCCCAGGCTGGTCTTGAATTCTTGGCCTCAAGCAATCCGCCTGCCTAGGCCTTTGAAAGTGCCGGGATTTACAAGTGTGGACCACTGCATCTGGCCTTAATTAGCACTTATTGAATGCTTAAGATGTGCTAGACACTAAGCAAAACAAGCAGCCTATGATACCCCATTCTGTTGTCATAGTAACTGTCAGATCGATGGTTACCACAATTTACAGTCCAACAAGACAGTTGAATAGGCTTCCAGACATTAAGTATTGGTTCAGGATCATACAGGATTTAAGTGTCAAATAAGTTAAAAGGAAGAGATAACTCTGGGCCAAGGTCATAATTTTCAAAGTTGGGGTTTGGGGGTGGCTAGAACTCCCACTAGGTGAGTGTGGAAGGGGTCCACTACTTGAATTTTTCAGGTGGAGACCAGGGATGATAAATGTCTTGCAGTCCTTAGGACTACCCTGTACAACAAAGATTGTCTTATTCTGCAAAGCTTTTAAATACCCTAGCAAATATTCATGTAGTTAAATAACATTTTTATATAATTATCTGACCCTGGAAATTCTAAACATGGTTTTAATATATACTATGTATTCCAGAAATGAAAGCTCCTTCTCATTTAAAAACAAGTGTATTTAACATTTTTTGGAATATTCCAAAGAGTTGTTCAGCATTTTGCAATTGATGTTATTGGCAGCAGTGCAAATCATGTCTGAGTTGTCAATACAACACATACCTCTTTCAGTCTGCATTTATAGCTATTGCACTAACAATGGTTCTACACATAGGTGAGCATCTGATACCTGTTTATTACGACTGCTGGAATAGTCATACCTGAGAATTTGCTTATTGAAATGTTTCCCTCCTTTTTTTCCCCCTTTTCTGGAATTTATGTGTTCAGATAGGTTATATTATCTGTGAATATCACTTTAGGATAATAAAGGGGTTATTATAAGCTATTTGTTATAGAAAGGGAGTATTGGGTTTTATAGCATTGCATTGAGTTTCTAGGGAAGTAGCTATTTGAAGGTAAAGAGGATAAATGAGAGATTCTAGAATCAGTTGGGTCTTAGATTGTCAGTGGTTGAAAGAACTTAATTCTGGAGATTTTAGATAAGGTGGTGATTGTGACCAGAGCAGTGTTTATCTGGCATTGTAGATCTGCGATAGATCCGGGACAATGTATGGGGAGGAATTAGACTGGCTGTCAGGGGAGGAGTTATGGGACTGTGCAGGACTGTTTTAAAAATGGGTTGGACAAAGAGCTAGGCACATTGAGAAGGAGGAATTGGTCAGACTTGTTTGGCAGTATTTGGGGAACATAGGTAAAATGTAATTGTTTGTCTGATTTTTATTTAAATCTTTCATTCCTCTTTAGAATTATTTAAAGGTACATAGCATCTTTTACTGAATCAAATGACAAGAGGGCATTTTATTTATTTATCTATTTATTTATTTATTTATTTATCTGTTTGCTTAATGGTGCTTTTGTGATTTGGGGTTGCAAGCTCTCTCTGTGGTCCTGTTGGATATTTATTGATCCCTAGTAGCATTATCATAAGGCATATCAGCATTAAGAATTTTCATTAACGGGACATGTGGAAACACTGCTAGAAGGAAACTATTGTTGCTAGACTGTTTCACCTAGGTAGCTTTATGCTTTGCCCCAAAATCACAACTGTATTCTCAGTGTAGAACTTGTAGTGGCCTGCCATTAGTCCCCAACAACTCTAAACTCCGTATGTCATTTTTATGGAAACAAGGACTCTCCTCTCAATGCTGACAAAATTTCTAGCATGCAGCACACTGGCTAATTTTTGTATTTTTTGTAGAGATGGGGTTTCACATGTTGGCCAGGCTGGTCTTGAACTCTTAACCTCGTAATCCACCCGCCTCAGCCACCCAAAGTGCTGGGGTTACAGGTATGAGCCATCGCACCCAGCCTAGGGTAAAGTTTTGAATTTGTCTACATTCTCTAGATCAGGACTTCGCCAGTAGAAATAGAATGCAAGCCACATTAAGTAATTTAAAATTTTCTAGTACCACGTTAAAAAATGTGGTACTAGACCTTGAATTTTTCGGGTGGAGACCAGGGATGATAAATGTCTTGCAGTCCTTAGGACTACCCTGTACAACAAAGATTGTGTTATTCTGCAAAGCTTTTAAATACCCTAGCAAATATTCATGTAGTTAAATAACTTTTTTGTATAATTATCTAACCCTGGAAATTCTAAACATGGTTTTAATATACGCTATGTATTCCAGAAGTAGAAACTTTTAAAAAGGTGAAATTATTTTTAACATGTTTTATTTAACCTAATATAACCAAAATATTATCGTTTCAACATGCAATCAATATTTAAAAATTATTAGACATTTTACATTTTTTCCACGCCAAGTATTCACAATCAGCGTGCATTTTACACTCACAGCAATCAACTTGGATGCAATATTCATTGGAAATACTTGATCTGTATTTAAATTTCATAAAATTTAGAGTTGAGGAAGTAGACTCACCTACCTAAGAAGTTCCAAACCTACTTAAATGTTTTCCAATAAGAGTCAAATATCAACTTATAAATCTGTATTTAAATTAATTGTAGTTAAATAAATTCAGTTGTCGGTTGCGCTACCTTTTAAGTATTCAATAGCTTCTAGGTACTAGTAGACAGGGACTGTATTGGACAGCACAGCTGTATATTGTTCTTAAAAGCCATCATTTGTATAGTGTTTGCCTATTTTCCAAGTGCTGCTTTGATATCTTCTCAGGTTATTGTTTATGTAGAATTAGTCCATGCCCCTAAGTTCCTCTCAGAAACTGTTTTAATTAGATGAGATTCATTCATCAAGGATATAAGTGTCTAGGGGAAAAAGTTCTGCATAGTTGTACCTCATCCCCAGGGCCAGGAAATGCCTTGCACATTCTAGGTGTTTAATAAATGTTTATCTACCTAAATCCTAGTTGGTCCTCAAATTGCACCTTAAATTTGACTTTCTCAGGAAAGCATTTCCTGACTCTCCAGTCTGGCCTGTGGTTTTTTGTTGCATTTTCTCTTACACCTAAGTTATTTTCCTCCAGAACTTATTTATGTGAGTAACTTTGTGATTAATATCCATCTCCCCAACAACTAGGCTGTAAGTTCCACAAGACGGTAAATGTGTTTTTACTCACTAAAGTATCCCCTGCTCCTAGCATAATGCATGACACATGGCAGGTATGGAGTAAATATGGGTCAGATAATAACTCAGGGCTATTTATAATATAAAGTCATTAGCAGAATGTCTAATTCTTAACTTTATAGAAGTTGGAGTTTGTTTGGTCAGGGAAACAGGAATATTTTATTTTAAGGATTATATACACTAAGGACAGTCATCCCTCGGTATTTGAGGGGGATTGGTTCCAAGACTCCCTTCAGATACCAAAATCTGGGGGTGCTCAAGCCCCTTAAATAAAGTGGTGTAGTATTTGCATAGAATCTATGCAACATCCTCCTGTATACTTTTTATTTTTTAATTATTTTTTAGAGATAGGGTGTCACTCTGTTGTCCAGGCTGGAATGCAATGGTGCAATCATAGCTCACTGCAGCCTTAACCTCCTGGGCTCAAGTGATCCTTCCACCTCAGCCTCCTGAGTAGCTGGGATACAAGTGTGTGCCACCCCACCCAGCTAATTTTAGTATGTTTTGTAGAGATAGGGTCTCGCTGTGTTGCCCAGGCTGGTCTCAAACTCCTGGGCTCAGGTGGTCCTCCCACCTGTGTCTCCCAGTGTGCATGAGCCGCTGTACCTGCCCCTTCCGTATACCTTAAATCAACTCTAGATTACTGATAATACTTAATACAATATAAATGCTATGTAAATAGTTTTGCTGTACTGTATTGTTGAAGGAATAATGACAAGGAAAAAAAAGTCTGTACATATTCAGTACAGATGCAACCATCACAGGCCTAACTTTCTGATCCTCACTTGGTTGAATGCATGGATGTAGAACCCGAGGATACGGAGGGCCAACTGTATGTAGATTCTTAGTTTTTGTTCAAGCCTTTTCAGAATGCTCACACTAGTATGCCTTTTTTTGACTTTCTCTCTACTGGTATTCATTTTCTTGAGTATCTATTACTTCATCTCTTTCTCTGCATAGCATTTAATGTACTGAAGACAAAAACTAAAATGTAAGAAAAGGAAAATGGAATTGTGAAATATGTTTAAGGAACTGAGCAGAAAGTTATAGGGCAAAGACAGAGGAGCACAGAGGAGGCATCACTTGCTGTTTCAGGACAGTTTAGAATAAACCCACCCTTTTAATTATACCAGAGTAATGAGCCTTACCCACAGTTTGTGAAAATATAATTAACAATGTATCTTGGTTCAGTAGACCAGGCTGTCAGGTCATTATCAGAATCATAAATTTGGAAGTGATGCCCATTAAAGGTTGCTAGTTTGGAAAGGTTAGATTAGAATTTAGAGCTTTTGCAAATATAAAGGTTTTTCAATTTAAGTTGTGCTTTAGAAAACCTCTGGCATTTGATTTTTTTCTTTTAACTTTTCATGGAAGTGCATTACGCATATAGAAATGTGCACGTAAGAGCACAGCCTGATGAATTTCCACATCTCAATGAAAAAAACATGACATTCTCAGTGTCCCAGAAGCCACCCTTTTGCTTCTTCCCTACCCCACCCCCATCATCCTGATATCAATCTGTTTTTCCTGTTTTTGTAATTCATATAAATAGAATCATACAGTATCTGTATTTGACTTAATATAACATGTTATCATTCTGAGTGACATTCCTGATGGCAACTCATTGAAAATAAGGTCTATTTTCAGTTTTCCTTATTATGTATTATTTTGTTAAACTGGCAGCTTACCAGTATTTCTAGATCTTTCTATTCCTTTAAGAAATTTTCCATGTAAATGCATGTGCATGTGAGTATACACCTAGGTGTGTGTGCACATGTATTTATATGTGTACGCTTTTTAAAAATGTTACTCAAATTAGATCATGCTTTGCTATGCATATTCTTCACCTCTTGGTGATGCATCTTAAAACCCTTTTTGGCCAGGTGTCGTGACTCACACCTGTAATCCCAGCACTTTGGGAGGCCAAGGTGGGCGGATCACTTGAGGTCAGGAGTTCAAGACCAACCTGGTCAACATGGTGAAACGCTGTTTCTACTAAAAATACAAAAATTAGTTGGGCGTGGTGATGCGCGCCTGTAATCCCAACTACTCGGGAGGCTGAGGCAGGAGAATAGCTTCAACCCGGGAGGTGGAGGTTGCAGTGAACCGAGATTGCGCTATTGCCCTCCAGCCTGGGTGACAGAGCCAGACTCCGTTGCAAAAAAACAAAAAACCAACAACCCCTTTTATATAGGCTCTTGTAGATCCACTTCATTTTTCCTAAGGGCAGCATGGTACTTCATTGTATGGGTGTATTATCATCTAATGAACCAGCTGTGCACTGAAGAACATCTAGGTGGTTACTGGTCTTTTGACTTCAGAAGAATAGAATCCACGTTAGCTTGTCTGTGAAACAAATTATCAGAAGTGGAATTGCCGAGCAGTGGGATCCATGCATTCAAAACTTGCTCAGATATTTGTAAATGGCTCTCCAAAGAATTTTGCCAGCTTTTACTCTCACCAGCAAGGTTTGAAACTTCCTGTTTCCAGTGTCCTGTCCTTAGATTGTGGTATTATCTGGCTTATTAATCTTTCCAGTCTGATATAGGAAATCCAGTTAGACATTGTTATTTAAATTGGTATTTTCTTAAGTTTTGAGTGAAGCTAGTGATTTATGTTTATTCAACATTGGTGTTTCTCTTGGGACTTGTTTCTTTTCTTATTCTCCTACAGACTTGTTCATATTTTTCTTAATGGTTTTAAGGAACTCTTTCTATATAAAGGAAATTAGCCCTTTTATGTCATCTGTGGTGGTAATTTTTTCTTCAGTCTGTTTTTTGCTTTTATCGTGTTTATAGTCACTTTTTTTCTAAACAGATGGTTTTAATTTTTACGTGGCAAAATGTACCAATTTTTTTTTTTCTGTAGTGGTGCTGAATTGTGTGTGTGTGTGTGTGTGTGTGTGTGTGTGTGTGTGATGAGAAAAAGCATTGGAAACTTGAGACAGAAAGGTAGGTAAGGCCTACCATGAAAAAAATCCTCAATAAATGTTTGTGGGAAATGTGACAAAGTAGGAATTCAAGTTTCAATCAAAAGTGGTATGACCAACTATAAACAAACAAAAATTTGGACATTATCTGCCAAAATTTGTTTGGTATATATAACAGCTTTTGGAGAGATTTTCACTGCTATGCTTTTCTTTCTTTTATGCTTTGTTATTTGGAGTTTTAATTTCTCAAATGATCCCTTCTTTTTAGATTTCAAATTATAACCTATTTCCTGCACCATTGCTGACGCCTGGTGATCCATGTCAGAAGTACTTCCAGGTCAGATACATTTTCTCATATTTCAATGCAGAGAAGCAGTTGAATATTAAAACTTAAAAAAAGATAATGTTTAATGTTAAACTTATGATTTGCTAAAATAACATGTTTTTTAATTTCATTGTTCTTCACTAATGTAATAGAAAAATGAATCTTGGCCGGGCGCGGTGGCTCACGCCTGTAATCCCAGCACTTTGGGAGGCCGAGACCGGCGGATCACGAGGTCAGGAGATCGAGACCATCCTGGCTAACACGGTGAAACCCCGTCTCTACTAAAAATACAAAAATTAGCCGGGCATGGTGGCGCGCGCCTGTAGTCCCAGCTACACGGGAGGCTGAGGCAGGAGAATGGCGTGAACCCGGGAGGCGGAGCTTGCAGTGAGTCGAGATCGCGCCACTGCACTCCAGCCTGGGCGACAGAGCGAAACTCCGTCTCAAAAAAAAAAAAAAAAAAAAAAAAGAAAGAAAAATGAATCTTTAAAATCAAGTACAAGAATTAGTTGGACTTAACCATATTTGTGTAATAATTGCATGAATACTTATATCGTAATGTAAAAATATTTTAGTTGACTATGACAGGAGCTTAAAACTGTCAAATTTTACCATCTAGCATTGTACATTACAGCCTGGGTACTGCTGAAATGTCAACAAAGGAGTAGGTGTTGGTGTTGCGTTTCTCAATCTGCATCTTATTAATAGCTTGTAGAGTTTGCTTAGACAGAAACCCCCCCCGCCCCCAATACTGAATGTATTCTCCTTGGGTCTAATCAGCAGATTAATTTCAGGCCTTAGGAAAACAACCTTAATTTTATTGTGCATCCCTTTTTTGGTCTCATGATAGATGCTAGTCTACATACAATGTGGTGTGGGATTTAATCCCTAGCCTCACAGTTACATAATAAGGAAAAAGCAATTGCAGAAACATTTCATATTAAACATCATATAGGACTTCAAGTGACAGATCTGGATAGATTTCATATTTATTAGGGCACATATTGCTCAGCAAGTTCTGAGTTTTTAAATAAGTAGATTTAAGCCATTGGCAAATAGATACTAATGTCCCTAAATTCTAAACTTATTATTAAATATAATCAAGCTGTTTTCTCCTTTATATGACATTTTTCATGTTATATTTCAACAAAGAACTAAAATAAAACATAAACACTAAGCTCAGCAGAGGTATATGAGAGGCAACAAATATTCTTTTATAAAAAACAGCCAAAAACTATGACAAACCTGAGTTTACACAGGAATATCAGTGTCTTAGAGCTGATTTTTAGAAGCCATATAATCATAGTGTGATGATTTGGGGAGGGTATGGATTTTGTCAATACATATTTTGTCAATACGTATTGAATAGATATATGAATTTTGGAAAAATCAAAATAAATACGTATGTTCTTTAGAAAATAGATTTTAAATGTTGAGAATAATTCTTTTAGGGATCCTTTAACTTTTAAAATCATATTTTTATGAGATAGGTTATTAATAGATTATTATTATAGTCTTATCTTCAAGGTACTCTAGTATGAAAACATTAAAATAAAGCTGGCAAGTGTATAAAATGATGTGTGTTCCTCTAAGTGAAGGTGGACTAATCAAATAACTTCTAGAAATTTCCTGTTCTTGCTATATTTTGTTATGCTGATGTTTTCATTCTTCATGCTGGTGCTCAAACAGCTTTATTCTTTGGTGGTTATAACGTAAGAGATACTGGAACAGTTATCTAGCCTGGTTTTTAAATAACAGCTACTACTCTCATGCATCGGTATGACATATAACACATTCTACAGGGAAAGAGGTATTCCTAGTTCAGTGGAAAATCCTATTCCAGCCATTTTTTTCACTTGAAAATTCAAATGGCGACTGATGAGAGAGGGTCTTGACTAATAAGTGGGGTAAGGTTTGCCTTCAGCTCCTTTTTCTAACTCTAGGGAGCTGTGACTACAGGGACATCTTTTAAAAACAAACATGCCAGAATTTATTTATTTATTTATTTATTTAAATTTTTTTTGAGACAGAGTCTTGCTCTGACACCCAGGCTGGAGTGCAGTGGCACAATCTTGGTTCACTGCAACCTTTGCCTCCCAGGTTCAAGCGATTCTCCTGCCTCAGGCTCCCGAGTAACTGGGATTACAGGCATGTGCCATGATGCCCAGCTAATTTTTGTAATTTTAGTAAAGACAGGGTTTCACCATGTTGGCCAGGCTGGTCTTGAACTCCTGGCCTCAAGTGATCTGCCCGCCTCGGCCTCTCAAAGTGGTAGGATTACAGGTGTGAGTCACCACGCCCTGCCAAACATACCAGAATTTATACCATTGTCTGCCTCTGAAACTCCTATTGGCCCTTCACGATTCAGCTCAGGAGTGCCTTCTGAGCAGGCCTTAGCCCATGATATCAAGTAATTACCCTATTTTAAGGATCCTGTTATTGTTTAACATTTTTTCCCTTTCAGAATGGATTTGGGGCCCAGCTTATCAGTAGTAACTCAAGAAAATATGTGACATTTCTTTATAGCTCACCTACTTTTTTTTCACCTAAACCAATATTCTCAAGCTGGATCATCATCAGGCTTGCCCGTAAGTCTAGAGCTCTATTAAAAAAAAATTATCTTTGAAAGTCACTGAGGCTTTATTAAAGAATGGAAACAGCTTAGAAATTGAGCAGGGAAGAGAGCTAGGTGTAGTGGTGCATACCTGTAGCTCCAGCTACTTGGGAGTCTGAGGCGGCAGGAGGATCGCTTGAGCCCAGGAATTTGAGGCTGTAGTGCATGATGACTGTGCCTGTGAATGCACTCCAGCCTGGGCAACATAGTGAGACCCTGTCCCTTAAAGTAAAAAAGAAATTGAACAGAGAAAATGACCTTGGAATATAATTTCCAAAGTTGACTACTCCAAAGGTCTTAATTCTTACTTGAATATACACATTCTGCTTGTGCTTCCTAAATAACTGACCATCACATCTGCCAGGTGTTATGTTGGGAATGGCAAGCTTTCCCCCATCTGGAATGCCTTTTTCTTTCTTGTCCACTGCTGGGCTCCTTTCCACCCTTCAAGATCCGGCTCAGCTCTTCTTTTTGTTTTGAGATGGAGTCTAGCTCTGTCGCCCAGGCTGGAGTGCGGTGGTGCGACCTCAGCTCACTGCAACCTTCGCCCCCCGGGTTCAAGTGATTCTCCTGCCTCAGCCTCCCGAGTAGCTGGGACTACAGGCATGTGCCACCATGCCCGGCTAATTTTTTGTATTTTTAGTAGAGACGGGATTTCACTGTGTTAGCCAGGATGGCCTTGATCTTCTGACCTCGTGATCCGCCTGCCTCAGCCTCCCAAAGTGCTAGGATTACAGGCATGAACCACCGCGCCCAGCCAGCTCTTCTTTTTGTGGGAAGCCTTCCCTGAACCTCTCTCCTCATCCCTAACATGGTGTTCTCATAAGACCCTCTGCCAACTTCAGCCATTGTGAGTTTGTGTAATCTGATTTTCTGCCAAATCTGATTTTCTTTTTTAGAAAATAACATTTCTTACTTATTTTTTATAATCGACAAATAAAACATGTATATGTTTATTGTGTACAACATGTTGTTTTGAAATGTGTATACATTGTGGAATGGCTAAATCAAGCTCGTTAAGATTGAGTTTATTAAAAAGTATGTGATACATCTGTCTTAAATCTCAGTTCCACTTCAAACATTGAACAGAGTGAGTCCTCAGGCAGTTAAGTTTAATGGGACACAAGAAACCCTCAAGTGGGTAAGATCTGATTGTATCTGACACTCTGCATCAGCAGTGTGACATTGCTCGCCTAGTTAGAATATTCTGAGGTTCAAATCCTCCCATCTCCCTGGCCCGGTGACCCAAGCTGCCTTATTGATAACTTTTGCCTCTTTTGTTCACAGAGTTCTTATCATTTTTGTCACATTGAAGGTTTCCTTTCATGAGTAGTTTCGGGAAGCCAGCTTTATTTAGCTTCTCCCTCCTAAAAGGAAAAGAAAAATCAGAGTTTATTTCATTTCCTTAATATTTTGTAATCTAGTTCAAACAGTGACATTCCTCAGGGTAGGTTTCACTATTAACTCCTCAGTGGAAATGAAATTGTATAGCAGAAAAATAAAAATGAAGCAAATGTGAAGTTTCATTCAAGCATGGGGCAAACATTGGTCTTCCTTTGGCCCATTTATCAACCCTGGGCCCGTTTGTCAGTTTCCAATTTTATAAGCATGTCGCGGGAGTAAAGGGAGAGCAGCAGGTTATTGAAGAGAGAAGTTCTTGTCATTACTCACAAACTCTTTCTTTGACAAAAGGCTAAAGGTCTTAGAAAAGGGAAAAGGAGGAGGGGGAAAGCCAGGTTTAACCACAGGATGCAGCACAGGTTTGTATTAGGATGTGGTCCGAGTTACAGGGCCAGTAGGCCTGGTTGTATCTGTGCTGGGGCCTTTGTGGCTGGGATCGAGAGAAGCTGGGCAAGTCATGAAATTAGAGTGATCCTGGCTTATCCAGTTTTGTTTAGGTTTCATAAAAAATACTTTGTGTATTAACGAGGGCTCTTTTAGTTGCAAAACAGAGAAAACCTAGCTCCAAGTGGCTTAGGCAAAATAAACACATAAATCTATCGACCTGAGAAGTCCAGCAGTATCATATTTCAGGCATGTCTTATTTTAGGGATTCAGTCATTAGGGCTTGCACATTTTCTCTCTGTCTCTTGGCTTCGCTTTCTTTGGTACAGTCATGCTGGGCAGGTTATCTCCTCATGGTGACCCCTTGAAGCTCTAGGCTTATATCTTCTAGTTCAAGAAAAAGAGAAAACAGAGCACCACTCTTACCTTCTGGCAAGTCTCATGGTTGGCTTCATGTGGGTCATAAGCTTTTCCTTGAACCAGCCACTAGAGCCCTGGGGATTTGCTACTGTGATTGGCTGTGCCTTGGCCATGTGCCCCCTGAAATAAGGAGTACAATCATCTCTGCCTGAAACACATGGGCCTAATCCCTAGAGTGTGCGCTCTGCGCTCCATAGGTATCTTTACTTTGTTGGTTTTGTTCACTGCTATATCCTCAGCACTTAGAAGCATATATGGCATGGAGTAGTGCACAAAAAATATCTGTTGAATGATTGAATGGGTGTAGGGGAAGGCTGATTCCCCTAGAAAATTTGCGAGGCTTTTAACAGAAAAGGAGGAAACACGTGCCAGGCTATAATAGATGTTCCTTCATCATGCATGCAGGAGAGCAATGACAGCAGTAATATTAGCTCTTGTCACACTCTTAAATCTGAACTTATACCCACCTCTGGATTAGGAATCGATCCTCTTGAATTGATGTTGGAGCTTCATAAATCACACTCAACATAGCATGATGAATAGACGTGGAGGGGATGGCAGAATCACTGGGGGACCCATCCACCTGCCAGGAATCCAAGAGAACCACCTTTATGCTAAAGACTAACCCTCATTGTTACTGGCATTTTGGTTATTCATTCCTCATTTAGTTTTGCTTATTTTGTTCACTGCTGTGTTCTTGGCCTTGGTATACATAGTAGGCTCTTGGTACATATTTAATGAATTAATGAGGAAATGAATTAAGGAGTCAAAAAACATTTATTGAGTCTTATTACATGCTAGACTTTATAATAAAAGGAACTGGAAATTCTGGAAAATGAAAGGGAAATGAAAAGCATAGCCCCAGTGAAATACCATTTCACACCAACTAGGATGGCTATAATAAAAAAGACAATAACAAGTGTTGGCAAGGATGTGGAGAATTTAGAAGCCTTATACACTGTTGGAGGGAATGGAAAATGGTACAGTGGCTTTGTACTACAGTCTGGGAGTTCTTGAAAATGTTATATATATATATATATATATATATATATATATATATATATGTAACAATATGTTTATAAAAATATAAAAATGTGTGTGTGTATGTACAAAAAAGTTACTGTACTCAGCAGTTCCACTCCTGAGTACACACCCAAGACAATTGAAAATGTGTTACTGAAACACCAGGGGTTCAGTCTAGGTCCTGCTGCTCACTGCACAGAAAGCCAGATCACTGAGAGGGCAGGTATTGCTAAGGAAGAAGGCTTTAATCGGGTGCTGCAGCTGAGAAGATAGGAGCTCAGTCTGAAATCCATCTCCCTGACCAACTAAAACTAAGGTTTTATATAGTAGGGAAGAAATGAAACAAACTGTAACAAAACAGGATCTAGGTAGGAGCAAGGAAGCAATTAGGATGAATGAGGGTTCCCCCATCTCATTGTCTGGATGCAATGATCTGGTGAGTTTCAGTTCTTTGATACTTTTTTTTTGAGAGACCTGAAGGTCATTTCCTGAGGAAGGATCTCAGATAAACAAATATAAATTTCTTTTAAGACCAGAAGGGTCAATTTCTATGTTTATCAAAAAAAGCTATCTGTAGGACTATTGGGTCAGTTTTACATATCCATAGAAGAAAAACTTGTATATGAGTGTTAACTCATAATAGCTAAAAACTGAAAACAACCCAAATGTCCATTAACCAGTGAACAAATAAAATGTAGTATAGCCATACAATGAAATATTATCCAGCCATAAAGAGGAATAAAGTACTGATACATGCTACAACATGGATGAACCTTGAAGATACAGTAAATGAGAGAAGCCAGTCACAAAAGATCTCATTATATGATTCTGTTTATATGAAATGTCTATCATCACCAAGTTCACAAAAACAAAGATTAGTGTTTGCAGGGGTTGGAGGGAGGGACGAATGGGTCGTGACTGTTAATGGGTACAGGATTTCATTTTTGGTGATAAAAATGTTCTTGAATTAGATAGTATTATTGGATGCACAACTCTGTGAGTATACTAAATAGCACTGAATTGTGTACTTTAAAATATGGTATATAAATTTATGATATAAAAATTTTTTAACTTTTAGGTTCAGGGGTACATGTGAAGGTTTGTTACATAGGTAAACACATGTCATGGGGCTTTGTTGTTCAGATTATTTCATCACCTAGGTATTAAGCTCAGTACCCAATAGTTATCTTTTCTGCTCCTCTCCCTCCTCCCATCCTCCACACTCCAGTGTTTGTTGTCTCCTTCTTTGTGTTTGTAAGTTCTTATCATTTAGCTCCCACTTATAAGAGAAAATGTGCTACTTGGTTTTCTGTTCCTGCATTAGTTTTCTAAGGATAATAATCTCCAGCTCCATTCATGTTCCTACAAAAGACATTATCTTGTGCTTTTTTATGGCTGCATAGTATTCCATGGTATATATGTACCACATTTTCCTTTTTTTCTTTTTTTTTTTTTTTTTTTGTGGAGATGGAGTCTCACTCTTTCGCCCAGGCTGGAGTGAAGTGGCATGATCTTGGCTCAATGCCACCTCCACCCCCCAACCCCTACCCCCCACCATCCCAGCTTCAAGAGATTCTCCGGCCATCAGCCTTCCAACTAGCTGGGATTATAGGCATCTACCACCACACCCAGCTAGTTTTTGTATTTTTAGTGGAGACACGGTTTCACCATGTTGGCCAGGCTGGTCTCAAACTCCTGACCTGAGGTGATCCACCCACCTCAGCCTCCCAAAGTGCTAGGATTACAGGCATGAGCCACCATGACTGGCCCACATTTTCTTTATCCAGTCTGTCATTAATGGACATTTAGGTTGATTCCATGTCTTTGCTGTTGTGAATAGCGCTGCAGTGAACATTCATGTCCATGTGTGTTTATGATTTATATTCCTCTGAGTATATACCCAGTAACAGGATTACTGGGTCGAATGGTAGTTCTGCTTTTAACTTTTTGAGAAATCGCCACACTGCTTTCCACAACAGTTGAACTAATTCACACTCCCACCGACAGCATATAAGTGTTCCCTTTTCTCCGCAATCTCACCAGCATCTATTATTTTTTGACTTTTTAGTAATAGCCATTCTGATTTGATTTGCATATTCTTTAATGATCAGCGGTATTGAGCTTTTTTTCATATGCTTCTTGGCCAAATGTATGTCTTCTTTTCAGAAGTGTCTGTTCATGTCCTTTGCTCACTTTTTAATGGGTTTGTTTTTCTCCTGTAAATTTGTTTAATTAAGTTCCTTATAGGGTTGTGGGAGTGAAGGAGGACCGGAGAGATCATGGTGAAACTGGAGGATTTTTATTGAGTGCACTCAGACCCAGCGGATTAACATCCAAAAACTGGGCCTGGAACAAAGACAGCACTTGAATTTTAGACACATTTCTAAAAGGGGGTGGGCTAGCCTGAAACAAGTTTACAGTGGCGCGAATCGTAGTGGCGTGAAAGCAAGGATACAGAGGCAGAACAAAGGGAGTTAATTAAATTGTGACAGGTTCATAACTCAGGATTACAGGTGACTCTTCCTGTGCAGTCCAGATGGCTGTTATGGAGGCTTGCTCTAGTGCCTTGCACAGGCTTATCTCTTAACCTTCACTATGGCGCCCAGATGGCTGCAGCCCAGGCCTGCTCAGGCATGTCTTATAATCTTCACTGTGCTGCTTAGATAAAAACAGAATACTCAAGTTACCGGAAAACAGGAATCTGTAAACTCATAAGTTTTACTCATAGGGGAAAGGAAAATTTGTTTTCTTCTCCCTATGTTGAAGGAGGGCTGGGAGAGTCTCCAGGGCACATTCCTTTGAGCTCTGGCTTCTTAGATAATATTATTGAGACTTCACCTGGGTCCAGGCTTTGCCTGCTACTGCCTTTGGAATGAGTCACCCTAATATAGAAGGCTTGTTTTTCTCTTTTTAATTTTATTTTTCTTTCGTTCTTCAATTTCCTCCCTCAATAGGTGCTGGATATTAGACCTTTGTCAGATGCACAGTTTGAAGATAGTTTCTCCCATTCTGTAGGTTGTCTGTTTACTCTGTTGATAGTTTCTTTTGCTGTGCAGAAGCTCATAAGTTTAATTAGATCCCACTTGTCAATTTGTTTTGATCGCTTTTGGTGTCTTTGTCATGAAATCTTTATCCATTCCTTTGTCCAGGATGGTATTGCTTAGGCTGTCTTCCAGGCTTTTTATAGTTTGGGGTTGTACATTTAAGTGTTTAATTCATCTTGAGTTGATTTTTGTATACGGTATAAGGAAAGGGTCCAGCTTCAATCTTTTGCATATGGCTAGCCGGTTATTTCAGCACCATTTATTGAATAAAGAGTCTTTTCCCCATTGCTGTTTTTTGTCAGCTTTGTTGAAGATAAGATGGTCATAGATGTATGGCTTTATTTCTGGGCTCTCTATTCTGTCCCATTGGTCTGTGTGTTCTTGTTTTTGTACCAGTACCATGCTGTTTTGAGTACTGAAGCCCTGTAGTATAATTTGAAGTTGGGTAACATGAGGCTTCCAGCTTTGTTCTTTTTGCTTGGGCTTGCCTTGGCTAATTGGACTCTTTTTTTGGTTCCATATGAATTTTGAAATAATTTTCTTTAGTTCTGTGAAGAATGTCGATAGTTTGATAGGAATAGTATTGAATCTGTAAATTGCTTTGGGCAGTGTAGCCATTTTAATTATATTAATTCTTCCTACCCATGAGCATGGGATGTTTTTCCATTTGTTTGTGTCTTCTCTGATTTCTTTGAACAGTGTTTTGTAATTCTTATTGTAGAGATCTTTCACTTCCCTGGTTAGCTGTATTCCTAGGTGTTTTATTCTTTTTGTGGCAATTGTGAATGAGATTGTGTTTCTGATTTGGCTCCCTGCTTGGCTGTTGTTGGTGGATAGGAATGCTAGTGATTTTTGTACACTGATTTTGTATCCTGAAACTTTGCTTAAGTTGTTTATCAGCCGAAAGAGCTTTTGGGCTGAGGCTGTGGGATTTTCTAGATAATAGTATATAAATTATATCTCAATGAAGCTGTTATTTAAAAAAAATGAATGGAATAGTCACTTTCCTCAAGGCGTTTGCAATTTAGAAGAAGACATAGACATAGGATCTAATCATAGAAGTCTGCAACTTCTTATCTACTGAGGAAGTATGCAAGAACTGCTAACTCATGCCCCCCATATTTAACAATATGCCTGATGCTTTTCAGATCAAGAAATGAGCTTTGAGCTGATAGGATTGCAACTGATGAACAGTCATGTTTGACAGGGAAGTACCCCATTCTGCTCTAAGTTACAAAACATATGCTTTTGACTCTAAATATTCCTTGTTCTTTCGGGAGCCACGGTAGAGTTGAGTAAGAATTTATTTGAGCTGAGACTGAGGAGCAAGATAAATTGGTCTATACATTATATTAAAGGATTTTATTTTAACTCTTGCTCAGATGCTACATGGGGTAACAGCTGAGATAACTAACTGATCATTGATCACCCTTTCTCTGATATATCAAGGATATCCTTTCCTTTTTTTCAAGGAAAGGAAAGATGAATTTCCTGTTGACTTAACTATTAATAACAGTGGTTTCCTTTCAGTGTTTAATAAGAAACTCTCAGAAATTCTGTCTAGACATTTTATGTCAACATTTTTTGAGATGTTAATTGAAACACTTGCCTTTCCCGTTTTACTTGAGGATTTATTCTCCAAACATTTATGAGTGCCTACTCTGTGCTAGGCCTCTGTGCTGGTTGGTGGAGGTCACAGTCTAGTGGGAAACTCAAACAGGTTAATAGTAAAAGTAAAACAGCATGAGTGATGCTGTAATAGAAATGCATTTATGAAGGTGTGAGAATTGTGAGAAGTAGACTCCAGAGGGACAAGAGAAGGCTTCATAAAGCGGTGACATCTTTTCTGAATCTTCAAAGAGGAGTAGGAATTTGCTGGAGGGAAGGAAGGGTACTGAGAGTGTGTGGAGGGACAAGGAAGATGATGTATGCGATCAGAGCATTCCATGTGCCTCTGAAATAATTAACTCCATGTACATCATTTTATTCTTCCCAGATCTCACACTTCCTCTTCCAGTGGTTCTCCAAATTGGCCACAGATTAGAATCACCGCAAGAACATTTTAATGCCCTGACTGGGCCCAATCCCAGAGGAACTGAATCAGAATCTTAGAAGTATTTTTGTGGGTGGGGCCTAGGCATCTATACTGTTTTAAAAGCCCCCCAGGTGGTTTTTACATGTGGCCAGGGTTGAGAACAGTTCCTCATTCCCTTCACATCTGTTCCTCTGTGTCCGGAATTTATTCCTTCTGGTGGGTTCTTGGTCTTGCTGACTTCAAGAATGAAGCCACGGACCCTTGCCGTGAGTCTCACAGCTCTTAAAGATGGTGTGTCTGGAGTTTGTTCCTTTAGATGTTCAGATGTGTCCAGAGTTTCTTTCTTCCAGTGGGTTCATGGTCTCGCTGACTTCAGGAGTGAAGCCACAGACCTTTGCAGTGAGTGTTAAGGTGGTGCGTCCGGAGTTGTTTGTTCCTGCCAGTGGGTTCGTGGTTTTGCTGACTTGAGGAATGAAGCCACAGACCCTCACAGTGAGTGTTATAGCTCATAAAGGTGGTGTGGACCCAAAGAATGAGCAGCAGGAAGATTTATTGTGAAGAGTGAAAGAACAAAGCTTCCACAGTGTGGAAGGGGACCCAAGCGAGTTGCCATTGCTAGCTCAGGTGGCCAGCTTTTATTCCCTTATTTGGCCCCACCCACGTCCTGCTGATTGGTCCATTTTACAGAGCACTGAACGGACCATTTTACAGAGTGCTGATTGGTGAGTTTACAAACCTTTAGCTAGACATAGAGGGCTGATTGGTGCGTTTTTACAGAGTGCTGATTGGTGTGTTTACAATCCTTTAGCAAGACATAGAGTGCTGATTGGTGCATTTACAATCCTTTAGCTAGACACAGAGTGCTGATTGGTGCATTTTTACAGAGTGCTGATTGGTGCATTTACAATCCTCTAGCTAGACAGAAAAGTTCTCCAAGTCCCCACTCGACCCAGGAAGTCCAGCTGACTTCACCTCTCAATCCCCCTCTAAACAGGACACCCCACCTGCTGTTGGGAATTGGGTGATGACTGCTCTAGCCACTTCCTGCTGGATAGGGGCGAAGACCGGGCCGTGCAGTTGTAGTGTCCTCCAGAGGGGAACTCTTTAGGCCAGTGAAAGGGCCAGCGGGTCGGTTCAGGGGTCCTCGGTAGAAGTTGTTAGTTGAGCTCATTTGGGGTTCCATTTGTAAGACCATCTGTAGCTTGACGGCCTCAATCCCAGAGGAAACAAATTTGACAAGGAGATTAAAAATACAGGGCCCGAAGGCAAGTAATAGCAAGATGGCTGTCATGGGACTTAGAAAGGGGAGAAGCCATGTTGCTTAACTCCAGAGGTTGGTATAAGAGTTTGAAAGGCGTTGTCTGATTTCAGAAGCCTTTTCCTGTAAACGCTGGGCGGCATCTCTTACTATCCCTGACCTGTTAGTGTAAAAACAACACTCTTCCCCTAAGAAGGTGCAGCAGTCCTCCTTTCTCAGCAGTGAGGAGGTCTATGCCTCAGAGGCTTCGGAGTGTCACTGCTGCCAGAGTCTATTTGGGATTGTAGAGTAAGGATAGGTTTCATTATTTCTTGCAAACTGAGAAATCCTTTGAGAGTGTGTGGTAGTAGGATAATACATGTTACACTGTTAACTTTTAGCAAACTTTACTTTTGTTGAAAACGTTGTAAGTTTGGGATTACCTTATAACCTAATAAATTTGGGATTACCTTATAAGTTAATATGGACTGAACGCCCTGGGTTCTTTGCTATTAATAAGATCTCGTTCAGTCCATATTAACTTAGAATTGGTATAGATGGTTCCTTCCTGATTCTGTAAGTACTTTAAGGTTTGGCTGAGTGCAAACAGCTGGCACTGGTTTGAGCAGACCAATTATTAGGCAATTTTCCTAACTGCTTCTACAGGAGTTCCCTTATCACTTACTGAATACCCATTGTGTCTTTTTTCCTTAATCACCTGGGAGGAACCATCTATTGTCCTGTCCTGAAGGAGTTCCTCCTAGATCTAGTTGGACCTTTGTATGGTAATTAGTTAAGATTTAGATCCCCTGTTAGGAAACCTGCAGGGTTAAGGATTTTTGATAGGAAGGCTATGGGTTGTCAGTGGCTTCAGTGCTTTCGGGTTACACCCTTGTTTACACTGGCAACAAGGTGGTATTGGAGTGTTACAGGGTTACAGAGAAGACCTTCAATTATCAATTATAGGTTTTAAATTTACCCTGGCTTTTAAAGGAATAGGGTACACTGTTTTCTCTTTACTGCTTCTGTCTCTTTCTCTCTGACTCCTTTGTCTCTTCCTCTCTTTCCTTCTCTCTTTGACTTTCTGTCTCTCTGTCTCTTCCTCTCTCTGTCTCTGTCTTTCCCTCCTCTCTCTTCGACTCCTTGTCTGTCTCTTCCTCTCTCTGTCTCCTTCTCTTTGTCTCTCTGTCTCTTCCTCTCTCTCTGACTTTCTGTCTCCTTGTCTCTTTCCTTTCTGCTGCCTCTGCCAGCTGCTTATGCTGCTGTTCTCCCCTCTCCTTCCCCTTTTTGATGGCTTCGGCAGTGGAAGACTGCCACCTCCTTGGGTTTTTGCACTGCATGCAATACCTCTACCTTCCTGGGACCTCTGACCTCTGGCCTTTTCCTTTTCTCCCACTTCTTTACCGTTTCTACTGTGCAGTCCCCTGATTTCCTGCTTTCTCCAGGCCAGATCCCAGGGTGCACCCTCATCTGTTCATCTCAACACGCCCGACGACTTCATCACCTTCCCCTCTGTGACTATTTCTGAACGTTGTCTCCCTTTTTAAGTTTCCTTCTACACCATACCCCTAGACTGTTTCCTCTCTGGGAAAACTTTCTCTTCATAGAGAAAATTAAGGCTGCCAGTTTCGCTTTTGCTCGGTTTTGTGTCACTGTAGTGACACACGTGTCTGTCCTTGTCCTTACCGCCTCTCTTCCCTCCTAGCGTGAAGGTACCCTTATCTTGGGCAGTGCTGTTTCCAGTCCGGTCTTGTCCCTTCTCTTCTCTCATCACGTGGATTCTACCTTACTGTTCTGTTACTCTTTTGTGTTTCCACTTTTACTCTCTTTATTGGCTTCTGCTTTTACAGCCTTTAAACAATAAACCATAACTAAGAATCTCATCTTTAAAAAGTATAAAGTCCCTCCCGTAAACCTGGGTCATCCTCCAGCTACTGTCCTGTCTCCCCCAACTTGAATAAAGTTCACTCTCTGCCCACCTCTGCATTCTCCTGAAGCTGATATGATAGAAGTCACCAGTGTCTTTCTAATTACTCAATTCACCAGACTCTTCAATCCTCACTTCTGAATCCAAGTGGCTAATGGGAACCTTATCTTTCTGCCCTGTTCAAGGGATGATTGACCAGAGCTGGAACTGTAGTAGTGGGAGAGTAAGACTTTCACCCCCATACCTAAGTCTCTTGTGACTACCTTGTCCTCTCCCACTTTCTTGACTGGACTGTTGCAAAGAACCTCCCAACTGGTCCTGCTTCCCTTTGGTAAATGGCAGAGTCCACTCTAAGGCCAGAGAATGAGCCTAAAAATGGGGCCAGCTTACCTCTTTGTTGGTTCAGAAGACACTGTCTGTGTACCTCTTTCCACTGTTTCTCTGATCACCACTGATGTTTTAATTGCCTGGTCTACATTACTTCTTTAATGTCTTTTCATCATAGTCATCGCCTTCTCGGAGAATATACTAGAGGAAAAAGGCTCAACATATACACAGATACAACACACACACACTCAGAATATACACATCAACCTTCCATTCATTCCTCCTGCTGTTGCCTCAGGGTCAAGTCCAAAGTGTTAGAGCATGCTTCAGAAGAACCCCTGCCTTTGCTCTTCTCCATCATACCGCCTCTCCTTTCATGTCTTGATTTGTTCAGGCTCCCTTGATGATAATCCTCCCTTCCCTGAAGATCCTCTCCAACCCTAGGTGAGTAGCCCACTTATTCCTCTGCATCTGCCCACCCGTCACCCTCTGTGATTTCTGTGACTTTATTGTGTGTTTTTCTTCTGCAAGCCTGAAAGCACATAGCAGGTAGGAACTTTATGTTCCTTGGTTTTCCAATTCCTAGCACAGTACCCAGCAAGAAGAAAGTGCTCAGTCAGTGGTGGCTTGAGGTATGGTGGTCAGAAATAAAAGTGTGCAAGGAAGGAGGGAGCTATAAGATTATGATAATCCCTAACATGTATTGAGCTCTTACAGTATGCCAGCCATTATGTCAAAGGTTTGACAGTCATGTTTTAGTCCCCAGCAAAACTCAATGAGGTGTAGATACTATTATAATTTCATTTTACAGCAAAGAAATGGGAGTTTAAGTAACTTGTTGGTTGTGTTAAAGAGTTTGGTCTTATTTCTTAGGCCTTTTGATTCCAAAGAAAACAGTTAAATATTAGAAGGTTTAAAGAAACATTGTAAGATTTTCTTTTATTTAAAGACAAACACAAACCTCTATCCTCTTAAACCCGAGGAATGTATATTTTTTTCATAATTAAATCCTCATAGACCCAACTTCTTTGTTCCTTCTTAGTCTCTTTCCTCTCTGTGTGTCTCTGCAACAAGACCATTTCAATCACTCAGACCAATTAGAGTGGGGGGTAATCTGGGGGCCCTGGTAGGCAGCCCCGCGCTATATTACTTGCGTACAAAGTAGTGAGTGGAGCTCACATTTATTGTTATAAACTCGTACAAAGTGGTGAGTGGAGCTCACATTTATTGTTATAAACTCCCTGTAGGCAAGTTTACTTGTCATGTAAACCAAGTACTATTATTATCCCCATTTTTAACCAGGAAGTAGGTTGGATAGGTCTTGAGCCTTTCTCTCCTTGACCCTGAGATCTGTGCTTTTAACCCTTACAGCATTTCCTCTCCCTTGGGGCTGCTTTCTTGTAGCCTTGATCTTTCTAGGATTTTGCTAACCTGTAGCTACTTCATGACCCTTTTGAGCCCAAGGACTTCCTAGCTGATATGTAACTCCTAGAGGAACTCTATAGTTCATGGGATTAGCTTGGCTGCCGTAGCTCTAGAATTGAACTTTTTCTTTTGCCTCCACATGATACCATTATTTAATGTCTAAGATATTACTCAAACTGTGTTCAGGCTTTGATATATAAAAACAACATATACAGGCTGGGCCTGGTGGTTCACGCCTGTAATCCCAGTACTTTGGGAGGCTGAGGTAGGAGGATTACTTGAACCCAGGAATTTGAGACCAACCTGGGCAACAAAGTGAGACCCCTGCCTCTACAAAAAGTCAAAAAATTAGCCAGGTGTGGTGTATACGCCTGTGGTCTCAGCTACTTAGGAGGCTGAGGTAGGAAGATCGCTTGAGCCTAGGAGGTTGAGGCTGCAGTGAGGCATGCTCCTGCCACTTGTACTCCAGCCTGGGTGACAGAGCAAGACCCTGTCTCAAAAGTAATGATAAATAAATAACCAACCCTGTCTCAAAAGTAATAAGTACGTAAATAAACTAATAAATATGGCATATACAGAGCTGCATTTTTTCATCCAGTTTGTATTGGATGGTCCTTTTCTATTCAGCCTCTTACCCCTCCTGCCTGCCCTCCATTATTTCTAGCAAGCAGAAGAGTTACATGGCCCCTGATAGGGTAATGGGATCCCAAAGACTGTGAAAATATGGCTAGAAGTCTTTTTTTTTCTTTTTTGTTTTTTGAGACAGAGTTTTGCTCTTGTTGCCCAGGCTGGAGTGCAATGGGGCGATCTCGTCTCACTGCAACCTCTACCTCCCGAGTTCAAGCGATTCTCCTGCCTCAGCCTCCTGAGTACCGGCATGCGCCACCATGCCTGGCTAATTTTGTATTTTTAGTAGAGACAGGGTTTCTCCATGTTGGTCAGGCTGGTCTCAAACTCCCGACCTCAGGTGATCTGCCCGCCTCAGCCTCCCAAAGTGCTGGGATTACAGGCGTGAGCCACCGCACCCGGCTGTGGCTAGAAGTCTTAATCTGTCATATTGAGGATATAAAAGTTATTTATATATTAAAAATCACCTAGAAATTCTGATGGTATTCTTTCTGAAAATATGTATGATTATAAACAAAGCAAATAAAAATATCTCCCTAATAACATTGCTAGAATGTATAATAGTACCTAGCATCATAAAGCAGCCTAATATAAATGTTTTGCCATGCCTTTTAGGAACAGCAGATTTGCACTTTCTCATAATCTCACTCTAAATACCCAAGAGTCTAAAAATAACTTTCTCTCATGTATCTATGCTCTGGATATGTGTCTCAGGGAAAACTTCATGTAGGTTTCAGGTAGGCCCTTCTCATATGAAATGCCACTCTTGAGTGAAATTAAATTATAAATTGAAACATGTTTCCCATAAAATGGTATAATAGTTGTAGCCAAATGGTAATAAAAATTGTTTTTTTTTAATTTAATTGTCAAGAGTATTGTTTAAAAGGCAGAAACCTTCCATTGGACTGGGTGGAGGAAAAGGAAATTTTGAAAAAGGAAAAACCACACTACATTCTCTGTTTCTGTAAAATGAGGCCTAAGAGCTAAGGTGAGGTGCTAGGTGAGAAGGAATCCCGATAAATAATAACTTTAAAGAATGGGGCCCAAGATCCTAACCCTTGGGGTTACAGCCCTTGACTCTCTTATGGGCCACATGGTCATACTGTTATAAAAATGGCCATGGCCTAGAGTGGAGGATTGATGTTGCCTTGCTTCCTGGAAGCATAGGGACTCTAGAATGAGCAACTTTTTTCTAAAATTGCCCAACCTAAGTATTTGGTGATGGAGAGATACCTCTAAGCTCCCAAACAAGGAAATTATTGCCCTTCTCTCCTGCAAAGATCCCTGTTTTGCCTGGGGGAGGAAGAGGGAATTGTCAGAATATAATTTCAGGAATTTCAGGAGCTGTGCTTTGGTTCATCTGCTGCTGAGGTAGAGATCACCAAAGTCTCTGTGGAGGGCAAAAGGATCAGATAAGAAAGAAGTCACTCCTCATAGATTGAGAAATCTGAAACCTTAGGAATTCTTGCTGATGAATTTTATTCCCTTCTAGTCTAAGAAACCTTTCTTTCTTCCCAGCGAGAGACATATAGAATAAATCACTAACGGCGCAAACAATATTTGAGATAAATGCGGTTGCCAGATAGTTTCCTAGGAGTTCTGCAGAGGCATGTGATGACTGCAAACAGCTGAGTCTGTATTTTAATTCAGTGGAATATATTCAGACTCCTCTGGGAGCTCTAACATGTTGTCTGTAGCCAAGGGCTCAATGCTACAGTAATAGTTTTGTGTGCGTGTGTACGTGTTCTTCAGAAATTAAGCCATTTCTTCAAAATTTCAGTTTAGTACAAACAGTAAGCCCAGGTCAAAAATGTTCACCAAGACATTAGCAAACTCTAATGGAGGGTTAGTTTTCCAGGCATTCAGAACACAGTTTCTAAACGTGGTTGAGAAAAATTACCTTGGATGTATGGAGCATCATTGAACAATGACCTTTCAGGTTAATTAAGAAAGCTGAAGCCCCAGAGGAATCTTGAGCAATTTTTTGTTGTTGCCTGAAGGAACCAAAGAATAAAAATGTAGTGGGAATATTTGGAAAGGGGATGATTTTTCAAGCTTGTAAAAAATGAAGACCAGCCACCAGAAGAAAATGCTTTTATGTGAATTCAAAGAGAAATGCTTTTTTATTTTAAGTAAAATTTAGGTCCTCAGACTTCTTAGCTTTTCTATAAATTGGCTTTTGGTTATCCACGTTAAGCCCTTTATTTGCTCCTGTTTAATATAGGAACAAATGGTGAAATAAAGAGGAAAATGGGTCCATTCTATGAGAATGTATGTGCAGTGGAAGCATTTCTTCTTTTAGTTTTCTATATAAAAATATTTACTCACACTGTATACTAAGTAGTTTAATCATGGCAGGTGTCTAATGACTTTTTTTTTCCCCAGCTGACTCAGGTGTTGACACCTTGGCAGTGTTTATGGCCAGCAGCGGAACTACAGACGTCACAAATCGGAACAGCCCAGCCACACCACCAAACACCCTTAACCTCCGATCCTCCCACAATGAACTGTTGAACGCTGAAATAAAACACACAGAAACCAAGAACAGCACACCTCCCAAATGCAGGAAAAAATATGCACTAACTAACATCCAGGCGGCCATGGGCCTCTCGGATCCAGCTGCACAGCCCCTGCTGGGAAATGGCTCTGCCAACATCAAGCTGGTGAAAAATGGGGAGAACCAGCTCCGTAAGGCTGCAGAGCAAGGGCAGCAGGACCCCAACAAAAACCTGAGCCCCACTGCAGTCATCAACATAACTTCTGAGAAGTTAGAGGGTAAAGAGCCCCACCCACAGGATTCCTCGAGCTGTGAGATTTTACCCTCCCAGCCCAGGAGAACTAAGAGCTTCCTAAATTACTATGCAGATCTGGAAACCTCAGCCAGAGAACTAGAGCAGAACCGAGGCAATCACCATGGGACTGCGGAAGAGAAATCCCAGCCAGTCCAGGGCCAGGCCTCCACCATCATTGGGAATGGCGATTTGCTGCTGCAGAAACCAAACAGACCCCAGTCCAGCCCTGAAGACGGCCAAGTAGCCACAGTGTCATCCAGCCCAGAAACCAAGAAGGATCATCCGAAAACAGGGGCCAAAACCGACTGTGCACTGCACCGGATCCAGAACCTGGCACCGAGCGATGAGGAGTCCAGCTGGACAACGTTGTCCCAAGACAGTGCCTCACCCAGCTCCCCGGATGAAACAGGTACCCCTGGGGAAGGCGTAGCCTCAGCTGGCACTTTTTTTTTTTTATCTTTTCAACTATTGGAGTAAATCTCTAGACTGACCAAAAATGTCCATTATGCAGAGAGGAACGTGAGCCTCTTGCGGTAAAATTGGGCAATTTATTTGCAAAATATTACTGCATTCCTCAACCATATTTTAGGTCAGTTTCATTTTGGATCGTGCATAAAGTTGTTTGTTCTGGGAAGCATTTTTGTAAAATAAACAGATCCTTGGTGTTAAGTACAGTAAAATATCATATATTTAGAAATTACACTTCCAGTGCATAGGTAGATCATTTCTATATGCTATCTAGAAATACTGGGTTTTGGTAAGCAAAATAATAAAAGAAACAAAGTTGTTGGGGGAAGGATATAACCCAATTAAGAGAACTATTTTAAAGTCCTCAAAATAACTTATTTATGGTGAAGCGCATAAAAAGTTAAAACATTAGCCATCTGTTCATTAAAGGCATTTCTCTTTTTGACATTTACTGAGGAGTGTTTTATTAGCCTTAAGTAATATTTAAAAGTGGGAAAATCGTATTTCTTGAAAAATATATTCAGAAGTTTAGACTTTTAACTAGTCTAATTGAGACCAGTCTTTCTGGACTTTTGTCTATATTTGTAATATTTTGGATTTGTCGGAGGTGTTAAAATGGTGACAGAAATGAACAGGATCCTAAAAGTCAGCTACTTTAAATATCATTTTCTTATAGCTCCCACTATACTGATTCTAAGATTGAAAAATGTGGAGAACCTTATTGTATCTGAATTCAGCGTAAACAAGCACTCAGAAAGGCTAATTTTTTAAAAGTAGTCCAGCAGTTCCCCTAGTGGGTCCCAGGGCTGTGTTAATATAGATATAACAAAGAAAATAGATAGAACCACCAGGGAAGGAAATCACATTTTTACAATCGATAAGGTAGATAAATTACAAGGACTAAAGATAAGGAAAAGAGGAGTTAAGACATTAACTTGTTTAAGAAGAAAAAAAAAGTAGCGTTTTTGAAGTGCCCTTTAAAAATCCCAGTACTTTCAATGATGCATACTACTGTGGAATGTGGCAGTAGGGAGGTTGAGATGAGGCCATTTCATCTCATAACTGTCTGGCCCTGCACATTATTGGAATCATAATTATGTTCAGTAATGTCCCTGAGTTCACAGCTCTCTATCCTTTTTACCCATTTAGAGAATTCATATCCTGAAGCTGATAGACATTGTCACCTGCTGGAGTTTGAATCTATTAATACATGAAAGACTCCTTGCACATCTTTCAGCCAAGCTCTACTTCCTGTGTTTGGCGTTTACTGACACCTTGCTGTCTCCCTCTGGTCATGGCACCCTTTCTGCTGCTCTTCCTGGTATAGCCGGTTCTGTTGTAGTTAAGTTTTAAACTAACCTAAAGTTTTGTTCAGGCACAGTGGCTCATGCCTGTAATCCCAGCACTTTGGGAGGCTGAGGCAAGAGGATCACCTGAGCCCACAAGTTCAAGACCAGTAAGACCCCATCTCTCCTCCTCCAAAAAAATTAGTTGGGCATGGTGGACGGTGGCATGTGCCTGTAGTTCCAGCTACTCAGGAGGCTGAGGCAGGAGGATCACTTGACACCAGGAGTTCGAGGCTGCAGTTAACCATGATTATGCCATTGCCCTGTAGCCTGGGTGATCGAGCGAGACTCTGTTTCAAAAAACATAAATGTATTTTTAAATGAATAATTAAGCTGCCTCTTCCCTTCACCCCAGCCCCCTTTCCCAGTGATGACCATTACCTTATGTTTTTATTTCCTCTCAGAAAATGTTTGAGTCATAGATCCGCATATTAATAATAAATTTTAAGACCGGCATGATGGCTCACGCCTGTAATCCCAGCACTTTGGAAGGCCAAGGTGGAGAGATGGCCTGAGCTCAGGAATTTGAGACCAGCCTGGGCAACATGGTGAAACCCCTTCTCTACTAAAACATTAAAAATTAGCCAGGCATGGTGGCGGGTGGCTGTAGTCCCAGCTACCTGGGAGGCTGAGGCACAAGAATTGCTTGAACCTATGAGGCGGAAGTTGCAGTGAGCCAAGATCCCGCCACTGCACTCTAGCCTGGGTGACAGGCGAGACTCCATCTCAAAAAATAAAAATTAGGCCAGGCGCAGTGGATCACCAGGTCAGGAGTTCAAGGCCAGCCTGACCAATATCGTGAAACCCTGTCTCTACTAAAAGTACAAAAATTAGCTTGGTGTGGTGGTGCGTGCCTGTAGTCCCAGCTACTCGGGAGGCTGAGGCAGAAGAATTGCTTGAACCTGGGAGACAGAGGTTGCAGTGAACCGAGATTGTGCCACTGCACTCCAGCCTGGGCAACAGAGCGAGACTCCATCTCAAAAGAAATTTAAAAATAAAATTAAATTAAATTAAAATTAAAAAAAAAAACAATAATAATCAATTTTAAAATTTACCCAAATGTTGTGATGATGTTTTTAGAATCCCTATGTTTTAGAGATATATACTAATATAAAATACTAATCTATGTCATAGTATAACATATATAATACAGTATAACACATACTGATGGAAACAATATTGTGTATGGTATTTTCTCCAAAATAATTGGGATTAGAAGGATAAAAAAAGAAACAAAATTGCCCATAAGCTGCTGATTGTTAAAGCTGCATTATGGGTACGTGCGGGTTCATTATTCTATTCTCTAATTTTGTATGTTTAAAATTTGCCACAATAAATAGTTAAAACCAGGAAAAAGTTACTCCAATTAGATTGTTTTATGAATGCTTTGCTTTTTTTCACGTAAGAACGTATTTTGTAGATCAGTCCATTTTTCTACGTCAGTCTTTTTAAGTATTATGTATACTATTCCACTATATACAAGTTCCACGATTTATTTAGCAAGTTCCCTGCTGATGAGTATTTAGGTATTTCTGTCCATAGCCCCTTGGCTTATTGAGTGCTGGTGTCAGTAGGGGCCTGTGGAGAGGGCAAAGTTTGTGCACTCCAGTCTACCTACTGGGACTCTTGAAATGTACACGTTAACTCCCTCTTTCCAGGAAGACTTTCAGGGGCCCCTCTGCTGTGACACTTACCACTCATTTGCTCAGTGTCCTGACATTACTTGCTGTTGGGTTTCCACAGAACATCTTACAGTGCTTGGCCTGTGATGAGAACTGGATTAGAGTTTTTTTTACATGTTAAGAAGATATGCTTAGTTTTCTCTCTGAAAGTTGGTTTTGACAGGATGATGGTGGCCCTTGATAAGTTGCTGAGGATAGGTATTTCAAATCAAATATGCTCGAAAAAATGTATTAGCTGTGACCGAAAAGCAATGAGATTGTGTTTTTAAAAAATATACTAGAAGCCAAACCTATGCCAGCCTTCAAAATGTTCACTTGGGATCTCTGCACCTGCTTCAGCATGTTGCACTGTCTCAATATTAATAGTCATAATTTTGGGAGTCCTCTTTTGGAATTGCCTCAGAGTCTGCTGTGGATCCCCATGAAATGAAATCACTTTGCTTTAATCACACTTCAGGTTTCAGGTAATACATAGATTGGTGAATGAAATAAAATAAGCAGTTTTTTAGCATTGTATTTCTTTTGATTTCATCCTTCCTGTGAAACATACTGTTAGTGTTTAAAATAATCATGATCAGTCTAAATTAAACATTGTATGTTTCACTTGTAATGATAAAGTTAGTGTTTATTATGTATGTTTTATATAGTATATACATGTGTATGTGTATATATATAAAATAAACACAAATACCAACAGTTGAAAGAAAAGAGAAAACGAGAGCAAATATCTTGTGACATCTTAGTATGCCATGCCATAGTACATGTATAAAAAGGGTATAGTTGTCTGTTGACTTGCTGTGTGTTAAATACATAGTCATCACAGTGGTGTGTGTTTTATGACTAAATCATGATGCAATTATCTTTGGATCGTAGACTGCACTTTGGGGAGCCTAGAAAAATAGACTCATTTCTACCTCAGGGGCATCCTTTCCAAGTTAGAATGCTATTTATACAATAAAATGCAATGGCTAACCTAGAGACTGACTACTTTCTATTTTCCTTTACTACTGAATCGCCCCCTCCAGCTGTTTAGTAACTTCTTTTTGTACAATCAATCATGTATACAATATGTGGCTGCCCTTTTCCTCCTCTGTAGTCTGTCCTTTAAGAAAACAAGAGGCTATTTGAAAAAGGAAAAGCATCTGTGAAATGACTATTTTCATAGGAGTTTAGAAAAGTTAAAGAGTGCCTTGGCCCTGATTCTAAAAGAAAGGTTGTATCTTGCTACTGCAAAGTGAGAACTTTGAATCTAGTTAGGGTTTTTTTCAAAGATACAGTTCCCTCAGTGGCCCCAGGTAGTAAGCATGATGGCTCAGATAAATAAATACCTGTTGGTCACACTGTATATAGTCTCTCTGTTAATCACTTAGTGTTTCATGTTTGCTTTATGAAAACGTTGAAAAGATGCATCATTTTGAACCTTCCTGGGTACAGGTTTCAGTGGTACCCACATGTAATTTTATGTTTAGTTTGGGATTTAATAAAATTGAAGACACAGAGTATGAAACTAGATGGATCTTGTGTAGTAACTGTTTCAAAATCAGATTCATTGCTAAAGTGTACAAAAGCAGAATTATACACAGAGAAAACCAAGTCCCAAGTCTAGATGGGTGTGGCAATGCGCCTCATGATCCATTAACTTATCATTAAGAGCATAGGCTCTAGAGTGAGCTTCCTGAGTTCAAATCCCAGCTCTGCTATATCTAGGCAGTTCTCATAGCCTCTCATCTATAAAATGGGGATAAGAGTGTTTTGGCATAGACCTGCTGTGAAGATTAAGCGAGAGCATCTTCAAAGAGCTTTTAGGAGCAGTATCTGGCATATAGCAAGAGCTCAATGAATATTCATGATTATTATATTAGAGACAGTATCAGTACAGTGGTGTGTTATAAAAGTTTGCTTTTCTCTTAATTATGAATTACCTATATTTTGGACTCTGAGTTACGACTTTCTGGACCTTAAGAGCAAGGGTTGGTTCATCTTCATCTTTGTATTTTCAGTGCCTGGAATATGGCAAGTGAGCTTAATAAATAAATAATGACACACTGAATGAAAATGGGAGCCATCTGCATATCCCAAAATGAACTTTATGTGTTGAATAAGACACTCGATGTTATATCTTAATCAATGCCTGGTTTTGGCATTGGCTACATATTTTATAACTTCATTGATCCTGTTGCCTCACAGTAGGTGAAGCTGAATAACCCGAGTTACTGGGGAAGGCACACTGAGATTCTGTGGGTTTACAATGTGCCAAACCCTGTTGGTGGTACTTTCTCACTCTCAGGTGGCCATGCTGAGACTTGAACCTAGGTTTTCCGACACAGCTCCAGTGTTTTACCACAGAGGCTAAATATATCAGATTTCATCTGGTTCAACTGGAGGCATATAGTAGTATCTTGAGAATCCGGAAAGTGGAAAATTATATTTTAGGGGATCTTTCCATTCCTCTAAGCAACTGAGGTTTAGATCAAATGCCACTTCCACTATGAAACCTTTCTAGACCCTCCGAGCTGTATAAAGTCCTTATAAAGTCCTTTCTCTGTATTCCCAAAGAAATGTTTCTAAGTTTCTGCTATCATGTTTATCTTAGTGGCTTTCGGCATTACTCAAAAGTTTCCATTTAGACTTAGAGCTCCATGAAAGCAGCAGCCACGTCTTCATTATGTGTGTATATGAACTTCTTCACACGGTATGTGGCACATAGTAAAAGGCTCCATAAAGTTACTCATTTGCTGGTTGGATGGATAGATTCACGATCATTAATGCATGCTCTCTGATGTTTGCTACATCAATATGCTTGTAGAAATAGAAAAAGTAATAACAATTTGTATAAAATAGTTGTTTAGAACACTCAGATAGGGTGATTCTTATTTATGTTCTAGGCTCCTGGAAAGAATGAAGAATTGGGGCCACTAATTCAGTCTTCCACAAACATTCTTTTATTCTATTCGAGTCTATAGGTCTATATGTTGGGAGGGCCAGTGCCAAGGAAAAGGGCCATTTTGGTTTCAGTTGACCTCACGCTTTGCCTTGGATTGAGATTGATCCATGGTTGTCATAGATTGTTTTCTGTTGCTATAACGAAATACCTGAGACTGGATAATTTATAATGAACAGAAATATATTTAGGTCACAGTTCTGGAGGCTGGGAAGTCCAAGAGCATAACACCAGCATCTAGTGAGTGCCGTTTGCTGCAGAATAACATGGCGAGGATATCACATGGCCAGAGGGAAAGAGAATGCATGTCAGCTTAGGTCTCTCTTCCTCTTCTCATAAAGACACCAGTCTTACTGTGGGAGCCCTGCCCAGATGACCTTATCTAATCGCAGTTACCTCCCAAAGGCCCCACTTCCAATCAACACATAAATTTGGGGATTAAGTTTCCAACAACACATGAAATATGGGGGACACATTTAGACTATAGCAGTGTTGCTTTAGAGTTTGAATCCTTTGATGTCTTAAATTGATTGGTTTCCAGTCTTGAGGCAAAGTGGAACTCTTGCATAGTTGATGAGAGCGAGAGTCACAAACCTAATTATGTCAACACAACTGGCAGCACCTCTTATTTCTGGCTTTAGCTAGCTTAAGTGATAGAGCTTTGGATAAGTCTGTATTTTTCACACTTTTAGAAACCTCTTCTAACTGTTCATTTTAGCTCAGATGGCTTTTGGTTAATTTTAACTGTAAATATTTTTCCCCCTTTTTTCTTACAAATACTAGGCCCATGGCTGGGCGCGGTGGCTCACACCTGTAATCCCAGCACTTTCGGAGGCCGAGGAGGTTGGATCACCTGAGCTCAGGAGTTTGAGACCACCCTGGCCAACATGGCAAAACCCCGTTTCTACTAAAAATACAAAACAATTAGCAGGCTGTGGTGACACGTGCCTATAATCCCATTTACTTGGGAGGCTGAGGCAAGAGAATCGCTTGAACCCAGGAGGTGGAGGTTGCAGTGAGCCGAGATCACACCATTACACTCCAGCCTGGACAACACAGCGAGACTCCATCTCAAAAAAAATAAAAAAATAAAAAATAAATAAATAAATCCCTAGGCCCAGTCTTCAGCTGGTTTGCCCTGCTGCATTAATTTTAATCTTTTAAGGACCTTGGGTGACTCACTAGCCTTCCTGTTATGTCTTCTCAGTTGAGAGTTCCATAATGCGACAGGAAGAATTCAAGAAGGCAGATGTGAGATGTTTCCAAAATAGTTTAGGCATGCTGTGTTCTGGGGTAGATAGTGTGTTTTCCGAGTAAGATTTTAGCACTTCAAGGGTAAAATGCATAAAAGTATTTTTTATTTTACCCCCCTGAACTTAAGAAAGAAAAGAGTTTGTTCAGTTTGTGTTTTTGGAAAGTTCTATGCAAAAATATATGTTCCAGTGAATAAAGTAGTTTTGGGTTGCCTTCCATCATAAGGTATCATACGAGGTACTTCAGGGGACGGAAAGGTGATTACAATGAGATGAGTGGCAGCCAGAGTCTAACAATGGTTAATGAGCACAAGACAGCAGATGTATTCAAGGTGGAATCAAGGGAGGCCTGTGAGAGGCTTGAGTGCTAAGAAAAGGAAGAAACGTCAGTCAGTTGGGATGTGGATGTTAGGGCACTTGAAGTTATCTGTGCTGGAGATTGAATAGATTTTCAGTGATGGAGATCTGGGGAGAGCATTGTCCCTCAGAGCTGTTGAAAAGTAAAAAATCTTTCTTTTTCAAAAATTAACCACTAAAGAAGTTTATGATTGTTTTCTCTCTCTTTACTTCACGGATATTTTGAAAATACAGATTTTAGTTCTTAGTTTGGCAAGTTGTTTAGCTTCTGGGGAGAGGGTCCTGTGGACAGTGGCAGCTTAGGAAGCAACTGGAGGTAGGCCTCTAGGAGTCCTGTGTGAGGCTTCTCAGAAGTGCCAGGTGATGCTCTCATACCTTGGAGGTGGGCATGCAGCCCCCAAGATTGTGAAGGAGTGGCTCAGTGGGATCAGAGAGACAAAAACACTACTGGACACTTTCAGAAATTTTCTGGTCAAATTTCATCATGAGCTATTTGCCCAGATTAGTTTTCTTCACCAAAAACAAAAACAAGCAAACAAAAAAAAAACCCTTAAGTTGGCCAGGCGCTGTGGCTCATGCCTGTAATGCCAGCACTTTGGGAGACCAAGGCAGGCAGATCACGAGATCAAGAGATTGAGACGATCCTGGCCAACATGGTGAAACCCTGTCTCTACTAAAAATACAAAATTAGTTGGGCGTGGTGGCACGTGCCTGTAGTCCCAGCTACTCGGGAGGCTGAGGCAGGAGAATCACTTGAACCGGGAGGCTGAGGTTGCAGTGAGCTGAGATTGGCCCACTGCATTCCAGCCTGGGCAATAGAGTGAGACTCCATGTCAAAACAAACAAAACCCTTAAGTTAATAAATAATAAAAGAGGCTACAGAAATATTCAGATAGCAAACTCGAACAGCTCTACATCCATGGGGAATTGAAATGCATCTGTAACTTTACCATGATTTTTCACTGAGCAGTATTGGTCATATAAGTTAACAATAGTTCAAGAATTTGTGAATTTGTTCATCATGACTTTGTTGATGTTCATTAGTTCATTCATTCTTTCATTTGTTACATGTACACATGCCAGTCTTTTTTTTTTTTTTTTTTTTTTTGAGATGGGGTCTCGCTGTGTCGCCCAGGCTGGAGTGCAGTGGCACGATCTCAGCTCACTGCAAGGTCCGCCTCCCAGGTTCACGCCATTCTCCTGCCTCAGCCTCCCGAGTAGCTAGGACTACAGACACCCGCCACCACGCCCAGCTAATTTTTTTGTATTTTTAGTGGAGATGGGGTTTCACCATGTTAGGCAGGATGGTCTCGATCTCCTGACCTCATGATCCACCCGCCTTGCCCAAAGTGCTGGGATTACAGGCGTGAACCATCGTGCCCGGCCACATGCCAGTCATTTTTAAAAGTCAACTCTGTGTGCTGAGCTAGGTGCCTGAGACATAGAAATAGATTAAAACCAGTCTGTGATGTCACATAGCTCACATAAAGTTTCCTGTCTCTGTGAAGCCCTCACCATACGCAGAGTGCCTGACAAAATGTGTCTTTGTGTTCTTTGCTCCATTTTGCCCATCATACCTCAGTAAGTAAGAAAAGATAAAGCCCACTCCAAACCTTGGATAGCCTAAGCAAAGAAGAGGAGGAGATGTTAAGATGTTTTGTTGGTTTCTTACGGCTGGTGTAACAAATTATCACACACTTGGTGGCTTAAAACAATAGAAATTTGTGGCCGGGCGCAGTGGCTCACACCTGTAATCCCAGCAGTTTGGGAGGCCGAGGTGGGTAGACCATTTGAGGTCAGGAGTTCGAGACCAGTCTGGCCAACATGGTGAAACCCTGTGTCTACTGAAAATAAAAATTAAAAAAAAAAAATTAGTAATAAACAATAGAAATTTGTTCACCCATCATTCTGGAGGCTAGAAATCCAAAATCAGGCTGGGCGTGGTGGCTCACACCTGTAATCCCAACATTTTGGGAGGCCAAGGTGGGCGGATCACCTGAGGTCAGGAGTTCAAGACCAGCCTGGCCAACATGGTGAAACCCTGTCTCTACTAAAAATACAAAAATTAGCTGGACATGGTGGCAGGTGCCTGTAATTCCAGCTACTCAGGAGGCTGAGGCAGGAGAATTGCTTGACCCCAGGAGACGGAGGTTGCAGTGAGCCGGGATCATGCCACTGCACTCCAGCCTGAGCAACAGAGCGAGACTCTGTCTCAAAAGAAAAATCCAAAATCGAAATGTCATCAGGGTCTCGCTCCCTTTGAAGGCTTTAGGGTAGAATCCTTCCTTGCCTCTTCCAAGCTTCTGGTGGTTCCCAGAAATGTGTGACATTCCTTGGCTTGTAGCTGTACCTCTGTTTTCACATGGCCTTCTTATAGGGACACAAGTCATTTGATTTGGGACCTACCCTAACCTAGTATGACTTCACCTCAATTTAATTAATTATATCTACAAAGACTGTTTCCCAATAAGATGATACATGCTGAGGTTCTGGGTGGACATGAATTTTCGTGGGTATATGGTTCAACCCAGTACAGACATCTTACAGATAATTCCTTAATAGATGCAACATGGAGGAGATGTGAAAGAATGTTTGCGAGAATTATATTCAAAATTTTCAGGAAGGAAAGCTCATAGTTGCAGGTCTTGTGAGACTTTGAGTGGAATATACTGTAAGGGACTTCTAGATAGTTTGGGGTTACCTTTGTTCAAAGTCTTCATTGTAAAGATGAGGAAATTTTGGTGTGGACTGATGAATCCGAAACTACAACCTCAACTGAGATTGGGAATAAGTGTGGAAATGGTAGAAAAACATGATAAAAATAAAAGATAAAAACATGATAAAGACATGGCAAAGCTTAATATTTAGTAGTATGGCTCAGTTCTGGAGGGTGGCATAGTTGAGGGGTGCTGGCATATGGAAATGGCTTTATTCCTTTGATCAAAGCTTAGAAACAGACAGACAAGACTATCAGTAATAGCCATGTTTTTCTTATGTTAGTTCAAGAGACATTTATTTCTTAGGAAACATAGGATTTTATTAAGGAGCTATGCAGAATATAAAATAAAAGGATATGACTCTGACTTTAGGGCACTACAAAGGCAATATGATGCCATAAAGCATCAGAGATCACAAACAGCAATACTGAAGAACGCACAAACTCACAGGCAGATTTTGTTCCATGGACAGTGTTACAGAAAATGCTTAATTAGATGCCAGTGCTTAGAAATTGAGATATTTTACATAAAAATAGAGGACCTCTCATTCCTCTTGTAAATTCAGAAATCTCACAATGCTGAGCTCAAATGCCAAAGAGACAACAGTCAGCAGCAGCCCCTTTAGATGGGTCCTGTCCCCTCCAGCTCAAGGCATTGAGCTTGCAGCCCCCTGCTCCCACTATCAATGGACTTAGCCATTGTATACACATGGAACTGTTACGGTAGAAGAACCAGGCTAATGTTGATCTTGCCTGTTACAGCTGCATACAAGTGTGATGCCATAGTAGCAGCATCCTTGGATCTACAGTCTTCTTTTAATCATAGTCATCCTAGTCTCAGTCCCTTGCCTTCTGGTAGAATCAAAGTGTGACATGAACTGTTAAGCAAAACGTGCTTGAAATTTCTAAAGACATCTCTAGATGACTTCTCAGAGTCTTCCATCTGTTAATCTGGTTAAGAAGAGGGAAAACATTAGCTTTTCAAAACCTAGGATGTGGGTGGTTCATAAATTTTGTGCTCAAGTCTGACTCAGTTAATATGCCCAGTTTGCTTTCATAAATGTGGGGGTAGTTACCAGTTACCCTTGTAATTTATTTATTGTGTTTCCTCATTAGAACCCTTGGGTGCAAAACAGTGAGATAAAAGCTTCATATTCAAACAGATTTGACTGGAAAAATCAAATAATTTGACTATTAGAAAACCATATATGGTTAGCATTCCATGTGGAATGGTCAGAAAGTGAGAGAATGAGATGACCCCAGCCATTGGTGTTGGTACCTAAGAGGTGAGCTGATGCTTATTGTGTGTAAGCTTTTGTCTTTTTCTTTTTCTTTTTCTTTTTTTTTTTTTGAGGCGGAGTCTCACTCTGTCACCCAGGCTGGAGTGCAGTGGCGCGATTTCGGCTCACTGCAAGCTCTGCCTCCCGGGTTCAAGCGATTCTTCTGCCTCAGCCTCCCCAGTAGCTGGAATTACAGGCACATACCACCATGCCCGGCTAATTTCTGTATTTTTAGTAGAGGCAGAGTTTCACCAGGTTGGCCAGGCTGGTCTTGAACTCCCGACCGTAGGTGATCCGCCTGCCTTGGCCTCCCAAAGTGCTGGGATTACAGGCGTGAGCCACCACGCCCAGCCTGTCTTTTTCTTGAGCTTTTCATAGACTTACTCTTGAATATAATTGGATTTCATCCTCACAAAAATTCATCCTTAGTATAATTAGATGTTGTTAGTTGATATTTTTCTCCCTGCGTGTTACTTGAAGAATTCTTCATATAGAACTACACTGAATTGGTATATCTGGGATATCATAAAGGTAGATCTTTATCCTATAAATGGCTTGTTGGAGAAGCTGGTTTTGTTGTGTTGTTTATTACCAGAACATGTTTTCTCATATACATGATGGTGTATGTGATGGTTAAGGTATACAAGGTGGTTTGCCCATGAAAGTCTATTTAATCTCTAACAGACATGAAGAGTGTTATTAATAGAACCTTTCCCCAAAATGTTGTAGGGGAAAATGTCCCAGTTCCATGTGGAATTGTCAGAAAGTGAGAATGGAGATGACTCCAACTCCATGCCATTGGGAAGGGGCTGATGGGAAGTGTACCAAAGGAAGTTCAAGAACTGATGGAGGCCTCTAGGGATACTTCTCAGTAATGGACTAGCTCTGCAGTTCCTGCTTTGCTTTACAGTGGGGGACCTCTGACCAGTGTTTCCATTCATCCCTTGCTCTCTGTGGACAAAGAAGCTATTCCACAGCCTGTGCTCTTCCCTTTCTCCAGAACAAGCCTCAGCCTCTTCCAGGATTTCAAAGTGGCTTTCGTCTTTTAGTTGATGTCCTATCTCTCTCTCTGTCTCCTTTTTTTTTTAACTTTGTGTGCTTGGAACAAGGGCCCCAAGTTAGAGAATGGACTCTATGCAGAACACATCAGAGAGAAGCCGTTTCATCTCAGGCTCATTATATCTTTAATGGAAGATTATTGGATTGGTAATAATCTGGAATGTGATATGTTAACCTTAAACCACTCACAGAGTTCCTTGCAGTCCATGAATGTCTCTTATATGCTAGGAACTGAGTTTAGTGCTCTGGACGATTTCAAAATTGAGGGACAATATTTCCATCAGGGAACTCATGGGTTCCTTCTTCAAGATTCAACTCTGATGACATTTACCACTTTCTGTGGTTTAGGGTCAGACATCCTGCTTGTTCTAGCTCCATCACTTGCTTAACCTGTGAGCTCCAGGTTCCTTAATCTCTAAAATGAGAATAGTAATAGTAGTAATCTGCTTTATAAGATTGTCACATATAGCCCTTGGTACAACAGCTGGACCACAGAAAGCATTTTTTGAAATGTTAGCTGTCACTAGAATTACTGCCTTATTTCTCCTAGGAGAAGGAAAGTTTCCCAGGATCTAGGCCAGTTTGACTTTGCCCTTTTTAAATATTTATTTATTTATTTATTTATTTAGAGACAGGGTCTCACTCTGTTGCCCAGGCTGGTGTGCAGTGGCGTAATCACGGTTCACTGCAGCCTCAGCCTCCCTGGACTCAGGTGATCCCCCTACCTCAGCCTTCTGAGTAACTGTGACTACGGGTGCACACCACCACACCTGGCTAATTTATACACACACACACACACACACACACACACACACACACATACACACATATATATACATATACATACACACACACACACGTTTGTTTTTTTTTTGTAAATACGGGGTTTTACCATGTTGTCCAGGCTGTTCTCAAACTCCTGGGCTCAACGGCCTCTCAAAGTGCTAGGATTATAGATGTGAACCACTGTTCCCTGCCTTTTTTTTGTTAAGCCCCAGAAATAAGTTCTTACAATAGGTATTTATGTTTGAATGATTAGCACGACAATTAAACAATTATTTATACTAGTGGTAGAACAAATTCAAGGTAATAGCGTACCTCCAAGAAGTTCACAATAGTTAGGGAGATGCATAAATCCTTTGCTTCTCAAACTATGCAGGAGTATGCCCTTGGGATCTTACTGAAATGCAGACACTGATTCAGTAGGTCTGGGTTGGGACCTGAGATTCTGCATTTTAAAAATTCTAATTTTCAGTTGTAGAAATTTGCATTTTAAATAAACTCTCAGGTGATATTGATACCCCTGTTGCTTAGACACTTGAGTGGTGAAACTGAACTGTAAGCTGCAGAAAGAAGGAATCCAATCTTTGTTCCCTGCCATATCCTTAGTGCCTAGAATAAACAGTGCCCAGGACATTCTTCTTATTTTTACTGATTTACTTTTGAGACAGGTTGTCTGTCACTCTTTGCCCAGGCTAGAGTCCAGTGGTGCAGTCACAGCTCACTGCAGCCTCAACCTACTGGGCTCAAATGGTCCTCCCACTTCATTTCCTGAGTAGCTGGGACCACAGGTACATACCACCAGACCTGGCTGTTTTTTAATTTTTAATTTGTAGAGACAGGGTCTCCCTATATTGCCCAGGCTGGTTTCGAACTCCTGAGCTCAAGCAATCCTCCTGTCTCAGCCTCCCAGAGTACTGGGATACAGGTGTGATGCAGAGTAGTAGGATACTGTATCTCAGGATACCTGGCTCCTGAGACATTCCGGTGTTCAATAAATATTGTGGAATAAATATAATTACCTCAAAATATAGTAGTCCTTGTTCACAGTTTCACTTTCTGTGGCTTCAGTTACCTGCAATACACCGAGGTTGGAAAAAATTCCATGGAAAATTCTAGAAATAAACTATAAGTTTTAAGCTGCACACCGTTCTCGGTAGCGCAATAAAATCTTGTGCCATCCTGCTTCATCCCGCCCAGGATGTGAGTCATTGCTTTGTCCTGCACACCCATCCTGCCTATGAAACCGACCTGTGAGTTGCTTAGTAGCCGTCTGTCTCTGTTTCCAGATCAGCTGTTGTAGCATTGCAGTGCTTGTGCTCAAGTCACCCTTATTTTACTTAATAATGACCCAAAGCACAAGAGGAGTGACGCTGGCAATTTAGATATGCCAAAGAAAAGCTGTAAAGTGATGTTGTTTTATGTATTTGAAAATCTCTTTAATGTACGGCTTCATCAAAGGCAGCTGAATTTGCTTATCTGCCTTTATCCTTAGTGTATCTCAGTAAATTTGGTTTTGGTTGAAGTAGGTAAAGAAAACCCTGCTGGCCTAATACAGATACATAGGTTAAAAAGGGACGACTATTTTAATAGTTGTTCAGGCAATTGTGGATATTCTTTTTTGATGTTACACCAAAATTCCATAATTTCTAATTTCTTAAAGATTAGTTTTAATGTGGAATCTGAAATGATAATAATAAGCTTGTTTGCACTCTTATATTAAAATCTATTGGTCTGTCATACATTTTGAGTGGATATTTATCCATACATAATTTTATAACATCATGCGTTGGTTATTTGGAACATATTGGTTCAGTGAGTTATGAAGATCTTCCAAATGTTGAAACATTTCATTATGCAATATGAAAATATTACATCTGTGAATCTTAACCATCTCATTAGAAAAGTCTTCCATTATTGGGAAGCTGTCAAGCTCACTGTGATAGATACAAGTTTTCCAAAATTCTGATTTTTGCTTAAAAGCTTGCATTTGATCATTGCCAACAAATAGTGTCAGTTGTTTTCCTTGAAGTGACAGGTCCACCTCATTTATTTTTGTGAAAATGTCTACCCAATACCCAAATTTGAATAACCATAGTTTGTCTGTCAGTTGTTCTTTCACGTAAATGAGGTATTGTGTGGAGAAGCAGCTAGTTCAACTTGCAACTCAATCACGTGTACTTTTCCTTGAAATGACAGCCCTACTTCAGTATGCCATGGAAGCACTTTATGTGTACCTTCATTAAAAACATAATACTTTGGGGTTGAGATTTAATAAAATTAATAATTTTTACCGCTTCAAGGACGTTATTACATTGGGGAACACAATAACCACTAATATAGCTTATGCTACTGTCTTGCTTCATGCTGAGATGCCAGCAATGTTATCATTTATTTTTTGTGCCCTATCACTTAAATGTCAACACAGTGAAAAGGGTTGTAAATAACATCTGAGTGTTATGAAAATAGCTTCAATCTCTGAGACTCCTCGAAGTTCCCTTTGGGAACTTCTGCTCTAGGTATGAGGATCAGTGCTCTTAGCAATTTGGTTGGAAAGAAGAGTCTTTGAAGAATGATAACTGTGAGAGAGAAAGTCAAATAGGTAGGTAGAGGCCAGAGAATGTGCTAATGTACTTAACTGACCTTGCTTTTGTTAATGAAACATGAGTGATGCTTATGAGAAAAGGAATGCCCTTTGTAAGGTAGAGTTTAAAGAAAGTATATCTGATATTGGTGGCTAGAATATGTTTGTGGGGTAAAGTGTTAATGTTGCTGAAACACCAGAGGTTTGGTCTAGGACCTGCTGCTTGACGCACAGAAAGCCATTTAATGAGATGAGTATTGCCAAGTAAGAAGGCTTTAATCGGGTGCTGCAGCTGAGGAGATGGGAAATCAGTCTCAAATGCATCTCCCCGACACACTAAACTTAGGGGTTTATATAGTAGGGAAGAAATGTAACCACATGTGGGAAAACAGGAATTAGGGAGGTGTAAGGAAGAGGAGCTGGTCAACAGGAAGCAGGTGGTTGGATAGGCAATCATGATAGGTGAGGGTGAGGGGTCTGGCATCTCATTGTCCATATGCAGCGGTCATGTAAGTTTCAGCTCCTTCATGCTATCTGGGAGGCTTGATGGTTGAGTTCCTGAAAAAGGAACTCAGCTAAGACAAAAGTAACTTTTTCAAGTTTTAAGACTGGGAGGATCAATTTCTATGTTTATTCAAAGAAACCATAAATATCAGCACTGTGGGACAATTGGGTCAGTTTCAAAAGGAGGCAGGTGATTATGAGAGTTTTACAGTAATTTGTTTAGATTATGAGGACTGGACAAGATTAGTAGTTTTAAAAATAGAGTGGAAGTAGAGGAAAGGATGAATCTCTAGAATTTAGTGATTGATTGGATGTGGGTGGAGAGGGAGTGAGTAGAATCAAATATGTCAGATTTTCAAGTTGAAGACTAAGAAAATGTTAGTTTTCAGAAATAGTAGAGATGGGAGGAGGAGCTAATTGTTGGAGAAAGATGATGTGTTTGATTTTAGACATGTCAGTTGAGATGATGTGGGAATAATAGCCAAGGACTGACATCCTCAAGATAGAGTTGTCGTTTTTAGGGAGAAGTCAGAGAGATTCAGACTTTGTCACCTGGACACCAAATTTCTGCACCCTGTCTGGGACTCGTGTATGTCCTTTATTTTAACCAAGATTCAGAGGGGTGATCAGATGAGGATGGGGTGGAAACATGGGTGGCTTAAACAGATTGGGTGTTATTAGAGAACTGCCTTAAAAAACAAAACAAACAAACAAAAACAGTGAAATACTTATAATGGTTTAACCAGTCTTCGTTTTTCCTCATCTTAAATATTAAATTCAACTTAGCCATAGTTCTAGAAAAATGGCTAGATATCTCATTCACCAATGAACTCTCAAATACAGTGATGACACATCCCATTTCTCTCATTTCTAGTTCTCTACAGTAAAGTGAAGGGGCCACTTGTAGAAAGACAAGCATGCTTGAGCACTCACAAACTGATGTTCAGAATCTCTGCCAAGTGAGACACTCAACAGATGTAACCTCAGTGAAATAACTGTGGCCAACAATCTAGCTAAGAGGCTCTAAAACCAGGCATTAAAAGCAGATCCATGGCGGGGCACGGTGGCTCACATCTGTAATCCCAGTATGTTGGGAGGCTTAGGCAGGAGGATCTCTTGAGGCCAGGAGTTCAACACCAGCCTGGGCAACATAGTGAGTCTCTGTTTCTGTTAAAAAAATGTTTAAGGGCTGGCACGGTGGCTCACACCTGTAATCCCCAGTACTTTGGGAGGGTGAGGCAGGAGGATTACTTAAGTCTAGGATTTCAAGACCAGCCTGGGCAACATGGCAAGACCCTGTCTCTGTAAAATTAAAAAATTAGCCAGACATAGTGGCACATGCTGGCGTCAGCTACGTAGGAGGCTGAGGTAGGAGGATTTAACTCAGGAAGTCGAGGCTGTAGTGAGCTGTGTTTGTGCCACTGCACTGCAGCCTGGGCAACAAAGTGAGTCTGTTTCAAAAAAAAAAAAAAATTTTTTTTTTTTAAACATTAGCCAGATATAGTGGCACATACCTGTGGTCCCAGCTACTCAGGATGCTAAGGCCAGAAGATCGCTTGACCCTGGCATTTGAAACTATGATGGTGCCACTACACTCCAGCCTGAGCAACAGAGCAAGACTCTGTCTCAAAAAAAAGATCCATTTCTGACGGATGGACTTATTAATCAACTTCTCGAGAAATACTAAAGCCAAAATAAGAAACACTGGAGCCAAAATAAGAATCTATTAATTTGTTATGAGAATTACCACTCTCCTAGGTGTTAGATTTCTTGGTACTGCATGTTCAGTGCACATTCTCAATGCCAGTGTATTATTTTCCAAATAGAAATAATTACTCAACTGCATAGGAAACCCAAGCATAAGCTTGTTTGCTTGGGGAACATGGTTTCAGCCAAAGGGGTGTTGGATGAATCAAATATTTAAATGGTCTCAGGCTGGGATAGTCTGAGGCGCGCTGTCCTTCTTTCCCTTGAGATGATGCTACTTGGGACCTAGAATCCTTGAAGTGCATTGCCTAAGAGTCCCTCTTCAGAGAAAAGGGAATGATTGCTTTTTTTTTTAAGGTACTTACATTTTTGATCAATACAATCTTTCTTAAGATACAGTAATATTTTCCTTCTTTATTTCTTTCCCTCCTTCCCTCCCTCCCTCCTTCTCTCTCTCCTTCCTTCCTTTTTCCTTTCTTCTTTTCTTTTCTTTTTTTTTTTTTCCGGAGTCTTGCTCTGTCGCCCCAGGCTGGAGTGTAGTGGCACAATCTTGACTCACTGCTACCTCCGCCTCCCAGGTTCAAGCGATTCTCCTCCCTCAGCTTCCCGAGTAGCTGGGACTATAGGCATGTGCCACCACGCCTGGCTAATATTTTGTATTTTTAGTAGAGATGGGGTTTCACCATGTTAGCCAGGATGGTGTCAATCTCTTGACCTCATGATCCTGCCCACCTCACCCTCCCAAAGTGCTGGGATTACAGGCATGAGTCACTGCACCCGGCCCAAGATACAGTAATATTTTCTACTGAGTTAAAGATAAGTCATACTATGTTTGGGAGACATCTTATCTCACTCTTACTCCATTTCTTGGTTTTGATCCATTGACTGATTCAACTATCATACTTTAACTTCAAGAGCAATCTTATTTTCTTCATTTGCAAGTCTTGGAGAAAATCTCGTTGCAGCTAGTAAGTTTGGCCTGTAGTCTGTCTGCATCAGAACTCCTAGGTGTTTCTTTTTTTTTTTTTTGAGATGAGTCTTGCTCTGTTGCCCAGGCTGGAGTGCAGTGGCGCGATCTCGGCTCACTGCAAGCTCCACCTCCCAGGTTCACGCCATTCTCCTTCCTCAGCCTCCCGAGTAGCTGGGACTACAGGCGCCCGCTACCGTGCCCGGCTAATTTTTTGTAATTTTTAGTAGAGACGGGGCTTCACCATTCACAGGATGGTCTTGATCTTCTGACCTTGTGATCTGCCTGCCTTGGCCTCCCAAAGTGCTGGGATTACAGGTGTGAGCTACCGCGCCCAGCCTCTCCTAGGTGTTTCTTTAAATGTAGATACCTGGGCCCTACCTGTGCCTTACAGACTCAGACGCAGGTAGTGGGTCTCAGGAACCTGCATTTTAACTTCCTCCTCTATGCATCATTTGAGAAGCATGGCTCAGATTCTGACACAGGAACTGCTTTAGTTAGGGCCTTCTGTTGTGTTTGAAGTGCTGTGTTCCTATTATAATGGATACTGATCTGGCTAACATTTAACAAGAATCACAGCCTTAATGAAAAACGTGGAAAACATTTATTTTCTTTTAAAAAATAATATTTTCTTTTGTTTTTGATAGAATCAAGTAGAAGTGGCCAGGCATGATGGCTTATGCTGTAATCCCAGCACTTTGGGAGGTTGAGGCAGGAGGATTGCTTGAGGCCAGGAGTTTGAGACCAGCCTGGGCAACATAATGAGACTTCATCTCTATAAAAAATAAACAAAAAATTAGCTGGGTATGATGGCACGTGCCTGTAGTCCCAGCTACTCAGGAAGCTGAGGTGGGAGGATCTCCTTGAGCCCCGGAGGTCAAGGCTGCAGTGAGCCAAGATCACACCACTGCACTTCAGCCTGGGAGACAAAGGGTAACCCTGTCTCAAAAAACATTTTTGTTAAAAAAAAAAAAAAAAAAAAAAAAGAGAGAAGAGTTCTTAATTGCTCCTGTGCTCCAGAAATTAAACTACTGGAAATCTCTTCTCTTGTTCTTGTCCCTAAAATGGAATTTGTGCCATAAGCTTTACTGCACTATGAACACTGAATATTTAAATCCCAGCTGTGCTATTACTAAATGGATGATTGTGGCTGAGTCACTTAACACCATACGTTTCCTCCTCTGTCAAATAGGGTTAATAATAGTCTCTGCCTTGTGGGGTGGTTGTGATGATTAACTGAAACAAGACATGTGGGGCACAGAACGTAGTGATTGCCATGTAGTAAGGGCTCAGCAAAAATTGGATTTTATAAATATTCTGGTATGGAAAATTAATTCTCCCACTGAAGGAAAAGCACAGAGAGAGAGTAAAAGAGGGACTACGATTGTGTACACAAACAGAAAATAACTTCAGATAAGCAGCAGAGTAGACTAGAACAAGTAGGCAGGAAGACAGTGTTTCACAACGTAGAGATCCTGCACATGGCAGGCCGGCCTATCTCCATCCGGCCCTGTGGTTTGGCTTGTTCGTCATTGCCCATGAGCCTCGGTCTTACTTGAAGGGGTGAGGAAGGTGATGGGTCCTGAGGGTGGTGCAGCTCCCTGGCCTGGACATCGGGGGTCGGTCTTCTGCTCGTGATACTCCTGCTCGCTGGCTTCATACTTCCCGCGTTACTTCCAGGGGTTACCAGCGTTTCCATCCAGTCATTTCACACACCTCATTGAACAATTTTCCAAGTGTTGGTTTGCTCTCTTCCTTACTACATATTAATGAGGTGTCCAAGACTGCTGTTCAGCACGTATCTAAAATGTTGTTTAACTACATCAGAAGGTAAATCTATAGCTGCTGAAGCGAACTAAAAAGCTGTGTCAATCTGGTGCAGTGGCTCACACCTGTAATCCCAGTGCTTTGGGAGGCTGAGGTGGGAGGATAGTTTGAGGCTAGGAGTTTGAGACCAGCATGGGCAACATAGAAAGACCCCCCCCCATCTCTACCAAAAATAAATAAATAAATAAAATTAGCTAAGTGTAGTGCCGTGCACCTTTAGTACCAGCTACTCGGGAGGCTGAGGCAGAGGATGTCACTTGGGCCCAGGTGGTCAAGGCTATAATTATGCCACTGGCTTCCAGCTTGTGCAACAGAGTGAGACCCTGTCTCTTAAAAACAAGCAACAAACAAAAAAGGCAGCTGCATTGATAATCAGTCAGGTAAAGCATCGTCATTTTCACTTTCAAAAAGTTGTTCTGAGTATTAAGTGTTAGCAAAGATGCTTTTCTCTCTGTAGTATTTTTAGCCTTAACAGTTTTCACTCTTAATTTCAGTGTGAGTGTGGTGTGTGTGGTGTCTGTGCGTGAGTGTGAGAGAGAGAGATGGGGAGGAGGAGGGAGAGTGAGAGCAGTGTTCTGATTGTAGAACACCCTCACAGGTAGAATTGTTATAACTTTCTAATTGCAGACCACTCTCATAGAAGATTCTTAAGGAAACCTCAGCCCACCTTCTGAAGGGATGAGACGAGTAGCATCTTCAAGTGAAATGCCCTCTGGGGTCTGAAGGTTCTAAAAAAAATCCTAGAAAACCAAGGAAGATGGTGAATTATGGAAGAACTACCCAGATGATTTTCAAAGCTGTAAATTAACAAGTGTGTCTGTTTTAGGAGGAGGGGGTGAAAAGTCTAGGGTGTGTGTGTGTGTTTTTCTTTCTTCTTTTCTCTGTTCACTTGCCAAAAACAAACAAAAATGACCTCACTTCAGACACAGGGATAAAAGCAGGAGGAAATTGCTATAGTTAGAACACTATAGGTTTTTTTTCCCCCTGTACTTTTTGGATACATATTTTTAAAAAAATAAATAGGATCACTTACTCTGGCCTAGCACAATTTCATCTAAAGTGTTTTGAAAGTTATAGTCTTAATTTTAGGGACAGAATAGGTTATCGTAAGGGGTGTGAGGGTTTTTAAATGCAAGGCATTTTCCAGGGGACTTTTAAAAATCAATACCAGGAAGCAAAATAAAAAATTTAAAAATCAAAACCCAGCAAGGCACGGTGGCTCACACCTGTAATCCTAGCACTTTGGGAGGCCAAGGCAGGCAGATTTCTTGAGCCCAGGAGTTCGAGACCAGCCTGGGCAAAATGGTGAGATCTCATTTCTACAAAAAAAAAAAAAAAAAAAAAAGCAAAACACACACACACACAACAAAATTAGCCATGCGTAGTGGCACACATCTGTAGTTCCAGCTACTCAGGAGGCTGAGACGAAAGTTGCAGTGAGCCAAGATTGCACCACTGCCCTGCAACCTGGGCAACAGAGTGAAACCTTGCCTCCAAAAAAAAAAAAAATGAAACTCAGTCCAAAATGACCAGAAATCTATGTAGTTAGCAGAGTAAATCTTACCCCTCCCTGCCCCCAACCCCCATTCAGGGTTTCCTTCCTTTCTTTTTCCTCCATTTGCCTCCATAGAGCATATCAACCCAATTTACACCTTCATGAGCTGTAACCTAGAGTCTTTGCTCTGCTTGGCAGAAGAGGAAGAGAAGATGCCACATACAGTTTGGAGTAGGATGATGACACAGTTTTTAAAATGATGGATGCAGTTTGGTATGAAATGAATCACTGTTTAATCTGTGTTACTTTGCTCATATGGACACACTTGGACTCAGCACCCACTTCCTGTGCAATGGCATATTTGGTCTGGGTTACGTTGGGGTGAAGCATTTCCCCCATGAGCTTGCCACAACTCCATCAAGAAGCCTTCTGGAAGTGCGAAAGGTTTGGAATGGTAGGCTGTGGAAATCCTGAGCTGTTTGCTGAGTTTCTCCCTGCCTTCCTCCCTTTCTCCTTTCTTGTGTGTGTGAAAAGCGGTTATGGCACAGTGTCTTTCATGAGAAATGATTGGCTTGGGATGAATCTCACCACTCCTTTCTGGCACTTTTGCAAAAAAGAACACTTTTTTTCACGGTAGACACCGGATACAACTGGAATATTCTTCTGATGTCCAACAACAGCTGGAGAGAGAAAGAGAGAGAGAGACAAGAGGGGAGGGGAGAAAGAGAGAGGGAGAGAGAAGAAAGAGAGAAAGCCTATAGCACCTGGTATTCTCATGGTGGTCTCCCATCCAAGTTCTAACTAGACCTGACCCTGCTTAGCTTCCCACATCAGATGAGATCTGGCAAGTTCAGGGTTTTATGGCCATAGACCCCTTCCACTTTAAAGCTGAGTAATTAATATTCCACTGTCTGTATATACCACGTTTTGCTTATTCAGTCATCTATGGATGGACACTTGGGTGGTTTCCACATTGTATCACTCCCGCTTTTGAGAACCCTTGTGGAGCAGCAACCCAGGTATCATTTAATAAAAGGCTCCTCTCTATAAGTTTTAGCGTTTTATATGTACTCTTTAGTTTTCTTCTTTTCTTTCCCAGTTGAGCAGACAGTTTATTGAAGATCTCTTTGAGGCCCAGAGTTGCTTTTCCTGAATACCCAGTGATTGTTATCTTGCTGCCATTGGATTAGGAAGTCTGGTTTGCAATATTTAATCTATGAATATGTTGTCTGCGACACTGCCCCTAAACAAACACATTCCCCTTCCGACGAGGCTCGGATGACACAGAGATCAGCTTAAAGCTTGGGACAGCGAGACCTGGACTCAGTAGGGGGCTGTATCAGTCTGTGCAGTGCATGCACCTCTGCACATCATGATAAATTGTTTATTGGAGTACAGTAGAGAATAAATAACCAAACAAGCAAATTAACAAAGCAAATAGGTAGCTAGTTTGGAAAACTGGCCACATCTGGGATGGATTTGGGAAAAAAAAAATGTAGTTTCTCCTTCTACTCAAGGGAAATTAAAAACTCTTGCATTTTATTGATTTCCTCTAAGCTCATCTGCACATTGTTTTTACAAAAGCTAAGTGGTGACATAAAGCCCATAATTTTGGGAGGCATAGATTTTTAGATGCAGAGATTTTGGTTTTGCTCCCAGGAAATGAACGTTTTCTGCAGAGGAGGCATCTACCTCTGGAAGCCATTTCTCATGTTCAATCTAGTGTGATCAGTGACCAGTTGAGGGGGAAAACGATTCTCTCTGAGCTTTGCTTGGCTTTTCCTTTTGCCACCAAGCCACTGAAAAGTATAGGAAGAGGCAAGGCATTGCAACATGGGATAGCTGCCTCCTATACGAGACTGTTAATACTGTGTATCAGTAAGTGAGGTGGAAGAGGGAGTTAGGTTATCAGTTTGTTTCTCACCCACTTTATGAACATTGCAAATTCTAGAAAAAAAGTACTCTGGGGCCAGGCGCAGTGGCTCACACCTGTAATCCTCACTCTTGGGAGACCAAGGCGGGTGGATCACGTGAAGTCAGGAGTTCAAGACCAGCCTGGCCAACATGGTGAAACCCTCGTCTCTACTAAAAAATTATCTGAGTGCGGTGGTGCATACCAGTAATCCCAGCTACTTGGGAGGCTGAGGCAGGAGAATTGCTTGAACCCGGGAAGCGGAGGCTGCAGTGAGCCAAGATCATGCCACTGCACTCCAGCCTGGGTGACAGAGTGAGTGAGACTCTGTCTCAAAAAAAAAAAAGACTTTGGATTGCAAATGAAAACTCATTATTTATTTATCATTCGTCACAGTAATATTAATTATATTTATACCGCATAGTAGCCCCTGGCTTTTTTTTTTTTTTGAGACAGTCTTTTTTTTTTTTTTTTTTGAGACGGAGTCTCGCTCTGTCGCCCAGGCTGGAGTGCAGTGGCACGATCTTGGCTCACTTCAATCTCCGCCTCCTGGGTTCAAGTGATTCTCCTGCCTCAGCCTCCCGAGTAGCTGGGATTACAGGCACCCACCACCATGCCTGGCTAATTTTTTTGTATTTTTAGTAAAGACAAGGTTTCACCATTTTGGCCAGACTGGTCTCGAACTCCTGACCTTAGGTGATCCGCCTGCCTCCACCTCCCAAAGTGCTGGGATTACAGGGCATGAGCCACCATTCCTGGCCTAGCCCCTGGCATTTTAAAACAAAACAGTGGGTTGTTGGGAAGTAGTAAACTTTAATTAACTTGAATTCAAGTACATATGCATCAAAATAAAGACTTCCAGCACAAGTGCAATGGGAATAACACATTTGGGTTAAGTCTGGATCTGGTGCTGTTGGGATTGTGTGTGGCTTTGATATGACTTTGGAATTCTTGTGACAGAATTGGCTTTGAGTTATCCTTGGGGCATAGTCACTTAGTCATGGTGACCATTTGTTTCTCACCATATGAACAGTCTGATCATTTCCATTATCTCATTTAGTTCACAAAATAATCCTGCTTGTAATTATTCGTATATTTCAGACAAGGACAGCGAGGTTTTGAGAGATCAATTTTATCTGGTGAACACTAATGTTTGAATATAAAAATCTCATTTTAATATGGTGGAAGACCATGAAATCTTAGCATTCGAGGGACCTTAACTTTTATTTACCCTTCTCTCCTTTCTAATTCCCTTCTGCTCCATTCTAGAGAGGTGACCATTCAACACATGCTTAGGATGAATCTGCTAGATTCTTAGAGAGAGGCTTAATAGCTCACAGAATCATTTATAGTTTAAAAGAGTTCTAGAAACAGGGCACTCACAAACATGATGGTACATATCTACTTACCGAAGCTCTTCTGCCTTTTCCATTTTGTGGCCATCAACCAGAACCCTCATGAGAATTCTCACGTCCTAGTTCGGAGAGTTAGACACACAGAGACTGTGTGCAGTCCTTCATTTTGCAGAAAAGATGACTATCTAATTTTAAATACATTTCAAAGAGTTAGCCATTGGATTGAAAGGTCAAATCTAAAAAAAAATGAAATATGAAATAGACCATCTTATCCTTTAGGCACAAATCAATACTTAAAGAGAACGAGGCACATTAAAATGAAGAATAGGTTCAGTATAATTTGTAATCAAACCGTCAAACCTTCCCGCTGATGATTGTGTAACTTTACATTTTAAAAATTGCTAAACTGAGAAAGAAAACAACTTCTGCCAAATGCTGAAGTATGTTTTGTGCCTGTTAAGTTTTAAATAAATCTTTTAAACTTTGGCAGGAAATCAGATATCTGAGTAATAAAAGAAATTTATTATTATTTTGATGATATGCTTAGTATCATATTGTTTAACTTTGAACCCTTTCTTTTAAAGTGAGTAAAATGGCAAGCTGTGGAAAAGAGTTAAAATTTTTACCTACTACTTCTCTTAAGGATAATAGTAATTTCTTAAGAGACACTAATTTAATTTTCCTCCTATACTGTGCAAAAAGAAATGTCCTGGTCCTTTTAACTGATATGATTTTTGGCTTTGCTTTAAATTATTGATTACATTTTAAAAGGGGAGGGACTTTCTGATGAGAATAGCACTCTCTTTAATAGCCTTTCACAAAATCAATTTCCCCCATTCCTGTCGTACTCCTTTGCCGTATTGACGGTTAAGAACCTTGGAAAGAATCTTTGTTTCCTAAATTTATCTTAATAATTTTTCATTATTTTACACCTGCATGTTTATTCAAGCAATTTGAAATAAAGATCTTTTTGAATGATTTCTTCAGTGCTTTCACGAGGGCTGTGTAAGGGACTTTGCTATTTAGGTGGCACTCATGAGTGATGGATTAATGCAGTAGATTCCAGGACCAGATGTCCCTGTTTCTAGATCTCAGCTCTTGAATGGAGTAAGTCAGATCCTGCATCAGTGTCTTTCAAACTGGAGGCAGTTCAGTATGAACACATTTTTCCTAGTGGCCTCGTTCCCAGCTCATCCAGACAAGGAAGCATTGATACCATTTGCACGTGGAACTTCAGCAATGTAATGTCCAGGCAAATGAGTATGTGTGCATTATGTGTACTCTCCCACACAAAATCTGATTCTACTTGGGCTAATTCACTAAATTCTTGTTTACACATGAAGCTGTTTATTTTGCTTTGAATGGGAAGCTGTTTTGGAGTCATGTGAAGAAGGATAGAAAACTACTGAGAAATGTAGCTCAAAAACCTGGAGGATGCTGGTAGCAGATGAGTTGGGAGTGGATTGCATGGTGACAACCAGAGAGCGTAAGTAGTCTCTTATTACGTACAGTATTTCATTGGTTATATCTTGCTTCTGGATTGTTTTGGAATTTTTTTAGCCTTACTATTTTATTAGACTGGCAGGGGAATCATAAATGGAGGAAATAAATAATTTTGAGTTGATGGAGTAGCTTGAGAAGATTGTCTCAAATTCAAGTTTTTGGCTTTCTTGTGTGGTCAGGTATTGAAGTTTGAAAATTGTGATCTGTGGAGCTTAAAGGTTTTTCAAATAGAACTAGGAGCCCTTACAAAACTTCTCTTTTGTTATTTATGTGTCACTTATTTCTTCTCTGGGACAACCTATTACCGGAGTTGAAAAAGTCTGTACTTAAGATAATTTGGATCAGCAAGCTTATTATCAGTGATGTTTTTCTTGCCCAATTTGACCTATATCTAGAAATGCTTTGCTCAACTTTCTAGAAATTACTGATACTCATCTTTTTCCCCAGCTTTGTTCTAACTCAAATTTGGATAATTTTGTGTCATTATCTTTCTGTTGTTTTAATACTTAGAGAGTTGGTGTGGTGAAATTGCAACAGAATAAAAAAATACTATTTTAATTTCAGTGTTTCTGGTAAGAAATCTGCCTTTACTAATGACTGAAATGGACCTGGTTTTTGTTTTCCCCTTTATTACAGTTTGTGGATTAGTCGGTGTATTGAACATGAAATTCAATATAACTAAAGTGGGTTTTAAAAGATAATGAAATCAATACTAACGTGAAAAGACTTGTCTTCATCAGAGCCACCCCACAATTGGCCCTGTGCTCTCTGTTGCTGCATACTTAGGTCCTACAGTTCTTCATGTAACCGCCTGAAAAGCTCTACTTTTCTACTAAGAATAAATAATCCTGCTGAAATGGACCATAGGTAACTCAATTAAACATAGCTTCCTACCACTGGGTTGTTTAATTATTTTTCAATAATTAAATAGATAGATTGAAATTTTATTAATTTATTAACTGCATTTTTTTTTAAGAAAAGACATACTCATTGAAGACAAAGTTAGGAAACATAGATAAACGTAAAATTTAAAGTCATCTGGGGCTGGACACAGTGGCTCACGCCTGTAATCCCAACACGTTGGAGGCTGAGGCAAGAGGATCATGTGAACCCAGAAGTCTGAGACCAGCCTGGGCAATATGGTGAAACCCCATCTCTACAAAAAAAAAAATTAGCTGGGTGTGGTGGTGCCTTGTAGTTCTAACTACTTGAGAGGTTGAGATGAGAGAATCACTTGAGCCACGAGGTTGAGGCTGCAGTGAGCCATGATCACACCACTGCACTACAGCCTGGGCAAGAGAGTGAGACCCTGTCTCAAAAAAAAAATCATCTGTAACTACAACAGAGATCAAAACTGTTATGTAAATGCTAAATACGGTGTTCACCAAGAGGGTGTGATTTAAAAAAATATCTAGTACCACGTATTTTTAAAATTAATTTCATGTACTCCCCACAACATGAGAACTGGGGTATGTCAGCCTCTTTATGCAAACTATTCTTTACCAAAAAATAAATAAATAAATAAGAATAAGCAATGCACTGAATTCCCAGCTTTGTCTGGGCAGTTTTTCTTTGCCCCTTTGCTACTTGTTAGCTGTTACTCCACTCCTTGAGGGTTCCAGGGGCCTAGATAGCTCTAGAAGAACGCTTATCACTCCATGGTGAACCAGAAAACCATTTCTGGCCTGTATTCTTTTCACAGAATAAAATGTTCTTGAGTGGGAGTGTCAGGGAATTTGGCCTCCCTGACCTCCCTGACCCCCCACCCTTCCTTTCTTTGGTGGAGGAGTTCCTTTGGCCAGGGACCACTTAACTTCTTTCAAAATCCCAAAATTGTTGCTTATTTTCCATGATCAACTTCTGTTTTTCTCAGAAATTAAGTCCTTTAAGTTCCCTGAAAGGTAGAAGGAAGACTCTGAACTCACTCAAAAGGTAACCGACTCTGGGCTCAGTCACATGAACTTTTGTAAGACACACAAATGTTAACGATCCAGACACTGGCCAGCTTCCCAGGAGTGCAGCTCCTGGCATTTCATCCATGACAACCATTGCCCTGCTTCTACTGAGAAAGGGTTTCTGTGTCTGTGTCGTACAGTATGTATACTGATGAGCCCTCAGCTTCCAAACCTCATCCGGCCATCCCTTGCACAGGTAGTTGTGCACTGCTGCTTTCTTTTGCTTCTAAAGATCAAAACCAAGTTTTGCATAGTCTGAGGATTAGTCCACCCCCAGCACTTTAACCAGATGGTTGCTGACGATGGATTCTCTTTGGATCATTTAATTAACCATTGAACTCACTAGCAGTTTTGCAATTACAAATTTTTTTCCCTTACAAGAAACCTCATGATTCAGGGATCAAAAACACCATAGTTTAAAAAAAGTTAGGCACAATGGCTCACGCCTGTATCCCCAGCACTTTGGGAGGCCGAGGCGGGAGGAACACTTGAGTTCAGGATTTCGAGACCAGCTTGGCCGACGTGTGGAACCCCGTCTTTACCAAAAATACAAAAATTAGCGGGGTATGGTGGCATGCACCTGTAGTCACAGCTAGCCAGGAGGCTGAGGCAGGAGAATTGCTTAAATGCAGGATGTTGAGGTTGCAGTGAGTAGAGGTGGCACCATTGCACTCCAGCCTGGGCAACAGAGTGAGACTCCGTCTTTAAAAAAAAAAAAAGTCATAATTAACAGGACTCTTCGTTAAGAAACTTGGACTCCCTGTGACATTGTACTAAGTCAGCTTTAGCTGTTTTGTCCACTACTGAGAGAAATAATATTTACCTACCTCCTAGAATGATAGGGAAGAGAATTTCTGTGAAATATCTGCTATTTCCCAATATTTTACATTTAAATTATAAAAATGTGCATTTCATTCTTTTTTCGAGAAACAGTACTCTTCAGAATATGGATGTGAGGGTAGATTACTGTAAGAACACTTTTAAATCATCTTTGCTCTGGTGTCTGTTCTGAAGGGAGAATGAATAGTGTGATGGTTAAGAGCACAGGCCGTGGAGCAAGACTGCCTGGGCTTGAATCCCAGCACCACCATTTATTTCTATGAACCGAGGCAAGTCACTTTGCCTCCCTGTTCCTCATTTCCCTGGACTGTGAAATGGCGAATTTTGAGAATTAAATGAGTAATAGACATGAAGTACTTAGAACAGCATCTAGTTAATTCATGGTAAGTGCTCAATAAAATGTCAGCTGCTTAGTATTTTCATAGCCCCAAATCTAGGTAATGGGTCCCCCATGTCTGCCTTCATACTTATCCACCTTCACCCTGCAGGTCAGGCTAGAAGGGCATGACAAAGGGCCATCGCAGTTCCCTAGAGAGGACAGAGTGACTCCTTAAAGTCCAGGTACATGGCAGGAGCCTGTCACATGTTGAGGGGGAATGGTTTGCTACTTTTGTACTTGCTGCATTTGGATAAGTGAAAGGACTTTTGGAACTCTGATATTCTTTTTTTTTTTTGAGACAGGGTCTCTGTTGCCCAGGCTGGTGTGCAGTGGCGTGATCACAGCTCACTGCAACCTCAACTTCCCAGGCTCAAGTGATCCTCCCGCCTCAGCCTCACAAGTAGCTGGGACTAGAGGTGTGTATCACCTCTAATTTTTGTGTTTTTGGTAGAGACCAGCTAATTTTTGTATTTTTGGTAGAGACGGGGTTTCACTGTGGTCCCCAGGCTGGTCTTGAACTCCTGAGCTCAAGCAATCCACCTGCCTTGACCTCCTAAGGGTTTTGCTACATTGGGAGCTGGTTTTGCTACATTGCCCAGGCTGGTCTCTGGTCTCAAATTCATTCATTCTTTCTTTCTTTCTTTCTTTCTTTCTTTCTTTCTTTCTTTCTTTCTTTCTTTCCTTTCCTTTCCTTCCTTCCTTCCTTCCTTCCTTCCTTCCTTCCTTCCTTCCTTCCTTCCTTCCTTCCTTCTTTCTTTTCTTTCTTTCTTTCTTTCCTTCCTTCCTTCCTTCCTTCCTTCTTTCTTTCTTTCTTTCTTTCTTTCTTTCTTTCTTTCTTTCTTTCTTTCTTTCTTTCTTTCCTTTCTTTTCTTTCTTTTCTTTCTTTCCTTTTTTTTGAGACAGAGTTTCACTCTTGTTGCCCAGGCTGGAGTGCAATGGTGTGACCTCGGCTCACTGCAACCTCCACCTCCTGGGTTCAAGCGATTTTTACGCCTCAGCCTCCCAAGTAGCTGGGATTACAGGCATGTGCTACCACGCCCAACTAATTTTTGTATTTTTAGTAGAGATGGGGTTTCACCATGTTGGCCAGGCTGGTCTCGAACTCCTGACTCAAATGATCCTCCCTTCTCGGCCTCCCAAAGTGCTGGGATTACAGGCAGGAGCCACTGCACCTGGCCTGGTCTCAAATTCTTACGCTCGAGAAACCCTACTGCCTTGGCCTCTCAAAGTGCTGGGATGCATTAGCCACTGTGCCTGGCAAGTTGAATGGCATTTTAAGGCATATTCCACTTTACTGCTTGTTCTGCGTATAGGAGAAGCATAGCCCCCAAACAAGAATGTAACTGCTGCAGTGGAAGAATTACAGGGGCTCCAATTGGAGTGAGTATGGGCAGACCACATGAGGTACATCATCATGGTGGCCTCATTGTCTGTTGGTAGCAGAGACCATGCATACAACCCAAATGAACTAATCACAGACCTTTGTGAAGTGGAATTTTTTTCCTTAATGTGTTTGCATATTGCTGTCACTACGAAGTCATTTTATCTTTAATGCTTAATTATCTGTACTAATGGAGGAGAATATTAGTGGGGAAAATGTAACAACACTGATTCATTTTCAGCTTCCCAATCAACATCAGTAGATTTTACATCATTCTGGATTCGAATTAATTCTGGCTTGCTCTGTCTCTTTTTTTTTTTGAGACAGGGTCTCACTCTGTCGCCAGGCCAGAGTACAGTGGTGCGATCTCAGCTCACTGTAAACCTCCACTTGCCTCAGCCTCCCAAGTAGCTGGAACTACAGTCGTGTGCTACCACACCCAGCTAATTTTCGTATTTTTAGTGGAGATGGGGTTTTACCATGTTGGCCAGGATGGTCTCAATCTCTTGACCTCGTGATCCGCCCGCCTCAGCCTCCCAAAGCTAATTCTGATTCTCTTTCTTGCTAACCCTAGCACTATAAACAAGTTACTTGGCCTCATGTTCTTCATTTATAAAAGGATGGGCTTGGCCAAGGTAGATTGTTGGCTTGCAGATTTAGTGTGCAGAAGATTCAGTGTGTTATAAATGTGCATTCCCTGAGTCTCATCCCAGAGAGATTCTGATTCAGCGGGGTCTTTAATTGGGCCCAAGAATCTTCATTGTTAACAAGAATTTCTAAATGAATCTAATGCAGGTGGTTCTCTCATCCCACTTCAAGAAACTTACTTGAAATATCTCCTAGTCAAGAAAAGAGATTGGAAGCTGGAATAGATTTGAGAAAAAGCCTGAGTTGGGGAAATAGTGCCTTTGGACATTTCTTATTGCCTTCTTTGGTCCTTATACCCAAAGCTATACAATTCAAATTTCATTTTATGCCCATGTGCAGCAGTTAAGCCTTGAGACCACAAGCACAATTCATTAGATTGCACAAAATAAAGAAGAGATCTATCTAACTTTAGGGCTATAATTTCTACTGTTTTTGACACTGTCCCAAACTTTCCCCTCCTTGGTATTATGCATCCTTGAAACAAACAGTTGTACCCAAGTTGGACACTCATTGGCTCTGCAGTTGGCTCTGCAGTGCCCCCTCGTGGGTCCTGTGTGGGCATTCTTCCTTTTCTCTCATGCCCATAGTGGGTTGGCTACTGCTGCTCTCTCCAGCCAGAGTTGTAGAAAAGTAAATGAATCCAAAGTGGATGCAAAAGAAATAATGAGGAGATGGGGAATCCTTTCCAGAAATGCATGAACTAGAAAAGACTAAGAAAGTTCCAGCTAGGGCCAGGCGCAGTGGCTCATGACTGTAATCCCAGCACTTCGGGAGGCCAAGGTGAGTGGATTGCCTGAGCTCAGGAGTTCGAGACCAGTCTGGGCAACATAGTGAAACACCTTCTGTACTAAAAATCCAGAAAGTCAGCCAGGCGTGGCAGCGTGCGCCTGTAGTCCCAACTACTCAGGAGGCTGAGGCAGGAGAATTGCTTGAACCGAGGAGGCGGAGGTTGCAGTGAGCCGAGATCATGCCACTGCACTCCAGCCTGGGTGACAGAGTGAGACTCCGTCTCCAAAAGAAAAGAAAATTCCAGCTAGTGGTGAAATAGGCAAGTAGTTCCTGGTTTTGTTCCAAAAAACCTAGGTGTCTTATATTAGTTTTCTATTGCCGCATAACAAATAATGACACATGTAGCAGCTTAAAACAACGTCCATAGCTTCTGTGTGTCAGAACTCTGAATATGGATGAGCTGCATGCTCTGTTGGGAGTCTCACCAGGTTGAAATCAAGAGCTCAGCCTTGACTGTGATCTCTTCTGAGACATGGGGTCCTCTTCCAAGCACACTTGTCGGCAGAATTCATTTCCTTGGGGTTGTGTGATGAGGTCCCTGTTTTCTTGCTAGATATAAGCCAGGCTCACTTTCCATCCCCAGAGGCTGCCCTTTGGTCCTTGCTGTGTGGCCTCCTTTTGTACATGGCAGTTTACTTCTTCAGGGCCAGCATGGGAATATCTGCTGCTGCTTCTCTCTTAGGAGCTTGCCTGATTAGGTCAGGCCCATCCAGAATACAGAATAGTCTCTTTTTAAATTAGAACAAAAACAGTTGACTATGGATCTTAATTAAATATGTAAAATCCTTTGAAGCTCAGAATTCAGAGATAAAAATAAGTAAATAAATACGTAAAATCCCTTCACCTTACAATGCAACATAATCACAATAGGATATTTCTAGGTCTTGCCTATAGTTGGGGGAGGGAACTGTTCAGAGCATGTGCATCAGGATGCAGGAATCTTAGGGCCATCTTAGAATTCTTTTATGTGTCCAAAGATTGTCTGTTGTATGTTGGACATCAAGTCTTTTAGTTGCTAGCAACTCCATAAAAATATTAATTTCTAGAGATCTCAAATTAATTGTACAGATTCTATTATACAGCTTTTTTGAGACATGTTGTTAAGCAGAAAAAAGTATATAGCCTTCCTTCCAGATTCTTAAACTAGAGAGTGTTAGAAAAACTCAGAGCTCATCAAGTTACCCGAACTCATTGTGCAGATGAGAAACCATCTCAGTGGAAGAAACTTCCCAAGGTCATGGAGCCAGGAAAGGCTGAGAATCCTTTGGCTCCAGTATTAGGGCCTTTTCTATCATTACTTTTCCTGTGTATCTCATAGTTTTCTTTTAAAAAAAAAATCATGAGTTCCAAGTACTCTTATTAATCTGCAGTTCATTGACTTTAATGAGCAATTTTTTTTGTTTCCCGTAATTGTATTGAATTAGAACATTTTTCATCTAATGTGTATACGAATTAGTTACTAACTGAAATGGAATCTTGGAGAAAATGAGCTTTTGCTTGTTTATTTGTAAGTATAAAATCTTCATAATTTTCATGATGACTCATATGGTCAAGGAACTGTGGAACTGAGGATAGGGATAGGAAGGAACCACAGAAAGCTTATATGATCCAGCTACCTTGCAAAAAACCCTTTTCGTGATTGACGGTTGGATTGACATTTGTTAAGTAATTTTCCACGCTTTTTTTTCCCAAGGAAAATATTCAGGAATGCTTGATTTAAAAAAAATACTAATTTAATTATAAATATGATTGAATATTTTTCTCTTTTTTTCTAGAGTAAAATCTTGTTGATAAGACAGTGTTTTTCTCTAGTGGTTTGTATTCAGGCTTCCTCTTCAGTCTCACTAAATGGCCTCACAGGTGGGTAGATGCATTTGTCTTGAAAGGTGACTGTTACCAAATACAAATCTTGTAGATGCACATTTATCTTGAAAAGTGACTGTTACCAAATAAAAATTTAAGTTATATCTCAGCATGGAGACCACGGCTCTGGTCAGGTAGGAGCCAAATGTCCTTAGCCTGAATGTGTGACTAGAAGAATATGTGACTTAGTCCAGTTTCATAGCTGCCTGATTTGGGGCAAGCTTGCTGACTTGGGTCTGGGCACCACATCTTTGACAGTTGTCAAGTATGCTGTGGGCTAAATACCCAAGGTTAAGAAAACAATCCAGGCATAGGCTATTTCTGGCCACCCTTTCTTCCATCTTCTATATGAGCACCTTGTTGTAGGTACAAAAGAGAACATTTCTATTATATTTACACGAGAGTTGCTGAACCATTTTTCCACTGCTTCTACCATGAAGCCTCTGATTGCCTGCCACATCACTATGTCACACCCTCCTGAGCCTTGGAGCTGGAGTTTGTGTTTTACATTCTATCTTATATGAAACTCCTGTGCACATTTGTTTTATCTCCATTAGAACTAAGGCTCTTTGAGGTGACAGCAATGTCTCCAGTGTCTTTCTGGTGATCATTTTTATATCTGTCACACACTGTAGTCATTCCTAGCCTCGGACCTCTTGGGAATCAGGTGATATTTCAGTCTGTATGTACACCATGTGTTTTATATGTGTGTGACTCTTTTTCAAATATTAATATATATAGACGCTCTTGAGACTATTAAAACACAAGTTTCTTTAAAAGTTTATTGAGACCAGGTGCAGTGGCTCACACCTGTAAACCCAGCACTTTGGGAGGCCGAAGTGGGAGGATCACCTGAGGTCAGAAATTCGAGACCAGCTTGGCCAACATGGCGAAACTCTGTCTTTACTAAAAATACAAAAATTAGTTGGGTGTGGTAGTGGGTGCCGGTAATCCCAGCTACTTGGGAGGCTGTAGCATGAGAATCGCTTGAACCTGGGAGTTGGAGATTGCAGTGAGCTGAGATTATGCCAGTGCACAGCTGGGGAGACAAGAGCAAAACTCCGTCTTAAAAAAAAAAAAAACAACTATATTGAATTCATTACAGTATGGTTCTTTTCTTAATTAGTATTTACTAAGAATAAAATAAAAGACACCTACATGCTTCCATGTTGAGAGCCACTGCCCTTCAGCATCTAGCAAGGTGCTTTGCATTTTGAGATATTTCCTCATCTCAAGCCTTCTTTGGCTCTGTGTTTCTTCTGTGAGGTATGTGAAGAAGATGGACAGTGCATTTCCTTTGTATCAGTAATAACCATTTCAGTTCTTTAATAATTTGAATGAAAATCTATTTTTTTTTGAGACAAAGTCTCTGTCACCAGGCTGGAGTGCAGTGGCTCAATCATAGCTCACTGTAGCCTCGACCTCCTGGGCTCAAGTGATCCTCCCACCTCAGCCTCCCAAGTATCTGAGACCACTGCCATGAGCCATCATGCTCAGCTAATTTTTTTTATTTTTTATAGGATGGGGTCTCACTATGTTGCCCATGTTGCTCAGGCTGATCTCAAACTCCTAGGCTCAAGCTAATCCTCCTGCCTTGGCCTCCCAAAGTGCTGGAATTACAGGCATGAGCCACCTTGCCCCATCTGAATAAATAGGAAATTAATGTTCACTTCCAGCCCTAGACTGGAAGCTCCTGAGCCCCAGTGCTGTGTCTGTTTAGGATCTATTGCTTAACAGATTGATGACCCTCACATAGGAAGTTCAGTACACATTAGTGGTCAGAGGCTCCATGATCACAGCTGTTAAGTGTTTTTAACTGCTGTTTAATCTCTAGGCACTTTACTAATTTTTAAAAGTTGGAAATTCCTATGGTAATATGATTCCCAAAGAAAGGTCTCCAGTCCCTTAACTAAAAGATTTAGAATACCTTAGCTAACCTTAGAGTTAAAGCAAAATGTCTGCCCCCTGGTGTCAGATCAACAACTAGCATCTTAGCTAATTCTCATAGTGAGTTCCATTAATTATATGATTTAGTTTTTACAGTAAATTATACATTGCACATAAAATTAAAAATAAGCACCATTTTAAACTTGCCACTCGCTGCTATGAAACTGGGATTTTTGGCTTATATTCAACATTGTTGGTTTTTTTCATGTCTAAATAATAATTTGAAATTAAAGTCTAATTTTAGTAAATTTTCTATATGCTATTAACTCTGTAGCACTGAATTTTATAGAGGAGAGAAATAATGAAGGTTTTATGTGAAACAAAAATAGCCTTAAACATTATTAATATTTTATGAGTTTGTATAAATCTTCATACTGCAGATAGTTTTCCTAATATTTTTGGCCAGAAAGAAGGATAAAAATTCATTTAATAAAAGTCTTTGAATATTTCCATATTTCTATATTGTGTGGGGAAAAAAAGAAAAAAAAAGCATTTGAGTAATGTAAATTTACTGGTTTGGATTAAATGAGAATGAAAGTATTCATGAGAGTCCCTAGAATCAGTTAATCCAAGTCCTGGGTTAAGAAATAAGAAATCAGTAGAGAATTTGTTCTCTGTTTTTGTAGAGAATGAGGTTTATATAGGGGAAAGTAGAGTGGTTGTTGTGTGTGTGTGTGTGTGTGTGTGTGTGTGTGTGTGTTTTCTTACTACATTTAAATTCTTTATTTACCTGAAAGCTGTTTGTGTGCACTGTAGGGAAGGCATCATGACGTGATGGTTCTCTTGCTAGGCCAACTCTAAGATTATATGAGATAAAGCATGTGGAGTATTTCATACAGTGCCTGGGGCAGTAAGGACTCATAAATGTTAGAAGAGGAAGATATTTATTAATAACGTGCAGCATGTACCAGGGATTGTGCTAATGATACGTCCATGAGGTTTATAGCCTCAAGGAGCTGAAATTCTATTGCAGAAGTCAGACAATAATTAAACACAAAATTAGACAAAAATGGTTGTGATTAGTACTCAACATAGAAAAGCACTGTGGTGCAGGGGAGTGAGGGGAGAACTGGATTAGTAATTTGAAGCCAAAAAAAGGGTGAAAGCCTTTTGAGAAACCAAAGATAGATTCCCTGTTGTCCATATACTGGAACACGTTCAATTCACTTATTGAAGACTCTCTGGGCCCTTACTCAAGGCCTGTTTACTCGGATTTATGTACATTTCTAACATGGTTTCATAGTTGACAAGACATTATTTGCAGTGGGTTAGAAGAGAGTGGATGGTGGGAGGACGGATCAGCAGAAAAAATAAGCTGATAGAACCAAGCCCTCTGGTATTAGGGAGTGATAGCCTAGCATTGGGGTGGGGAGGAAGGAGAGGGACCCAGACCAAACCCTAAATGCTGAAAGGACATGTCAGTTAGCAGTGGTAGAGACAAAGGGTTGAAGTGTCTCTTGTTGTAGCAGTTAGCAGTTGTAGCAGAAATTGGAGAATATTCTGCACATTTGGGATAAAAGGGGTATGTAAGTAAAATCATGTTTTGAGCACTTTTTTTAATAAAGCAGAGAAATGATCAATGAGCATCAATGCACATGCCCCTCGGCATTTGTAATGTAAGGTTGCTTTGGCTCCACTAGAAATGTGAGTTCCTTAAAGGCAGCGACTGTATGCCATTCTTACTGTGTATTCTCAGAATTTATGTTAGAATCCAGCCCAAAGTAGTGAGTCGTTCAGTAGATATTCTCTGATCATGTTAGATTAAAGAGGTTTACTTCTCCAGACAGATCTTCATGGAGATATTGGAATTAGATATGCCTGAAATTGGATGTATAGGCAAGCTGTAAGTTCAGCATCCCTTCTTATAATTCTATAACAGAGAAGTGGTTAGGCAACTTCTGTTCTTTTAGTCTCTGTTTACTATAATAAAACTATAAATCTTTCTCCTTTTAAAAAAGTAGCTGTATATGCCATTTATTAACTGGTTTACTGATTTGTTGGTCTGTTTGAGCACACATGTATTGCTCCTTCTGTGTCCTTGGCCCTGGGCTAAAACCTGAGAGTATAGTGTGGTGAAGATTTCTCCCTACCCTCAAACAGTTCTGGTATCTCTGAGTACATTCACTATATTAATAAGTTGAATTGTGTCCGCCCAGAAAGATACATTGAAGAGCTAACCTCTGGTACCTATAAGTCTGACATTATGTAGGAAGAGAGTCATTGCACCTGTAATCAAGTTAAGGTAAGGTCATTAGAGTGGTCCTAATCCAATATTTAGTGGTGTTCTTAGAAGAGGAAATTTGGCTGGGTGCAGTGGCTCATACCTGTAATCCCAGCACTTTTGGAGGCCAAGGTGGGTGGATCACAAGGTCAGGAGTTCGAGACCAGCCTGACCACCGTAATGAAACCCCGTCTCTACTAAAAATACAAAAAAATTAGCCAGGTGTGGTGGCGCGTGCCTGTAATCCCAGCTACTCGGAAGGCTGAGGCAGGATAATTGCTTGAACTTGGGGGGCGGAGGTTGCAGTGAGCCGAGATCGCGCCACTGCACTCCAACCTGGGCGACAGAGTGAGACTCTGTCTGGAAAAAAAAAAAAAAAAGGAAATTTGGAGACAGACACACACACAGAAGAAAGAGAATGCCAGGTGAATCCAGAGGAAGATGGATATGTGAAGACAGGCAGAGATTGCAGTTGTGCTGCCACAAACCAAGGAATGTCTGGGACTACCAGAAGCTCAAAGCAGCAAGGAAGAATCCCTCCTTAATGGTTTTGCAGGGGAGCATGGCCCTGCCAACACCTTGATTTTAGACTTTTTGCCTTCAAAACTATGGAACGATAGATTTCTGTTGTTTTAAACCACTCAGTTTGTGATACTTTGGTACAGCAGCCCTAGGAAATAAATACAACTGTAATACATTTCTGTGTGAATCAGAGACCTGGTGGGAAATAGGTGATGACTCCAGTGAGACACAGGGGTGAGAGCACACTTAAGAAAAACTTCCAAGGTATGGGGAAGGCTTCTAGGGTTGGCAGCGGCAGGTTTTCATTAGCACGTCCAGGCCTGAAGGGCTAAGTCAAGAGAAAGTTCTTGGAACCCAGGTAGAGCTAGATTGACACCTGTGAATTTGAGAAGATGGCCTGACTAGTCCAGGCTAACTTGTGCCATGGTAGAGAGGAAGCTGGGGTGTTAATATCCTGACCTTCTTTTCCCAGGCTCTCTGATCACTTGCTGAGCCTCTTATTGGTCGAACCTGCCAAGAGAGCTCATTGATGTAGTCCATAGAGTTTACCTCAGGATACACAGCAGGGTGGAAAAGAGGGAGGGTCGATCTGGAAGGGAAATTGGAGAATATTCTGCACATTTGGGATAAAAGGGGTATGTATATGTCATTCAAATATATGTTTATGGGAAGGAAAGAATCTAATGTGTAAGACAGTGTTTATTGTACATACCACTGGTTCTCAACAAATACTTCTGATTAAGGATATAAAATATCTAGAAATGTTTATGTTGCAGTCTAAGATTCAAGGCTGTGGAATTCATTTAGCAAATTCTTATTAAGCACTCACTGTAGTGCCAAATCTTAGACAGGCCCTGGGGATAAGTACTGAGCAAAATTGACTCTATCCTTTGCCTTCATTGAGCTAATAGTCTAATGTCACCAACTGTATTCACTAGGGTTAAAACTTCATGGGATTCGTTACTTCTCTCATGACACACAATGTAACTGGAAATTACTAACTGGATTCCACTCTTCACCTGTGGACTGCAAGCTTTGTGAAGTCAGCAGTGTGGTTGCCTCTGTTTACTTCTAACACCTAGTTCAATGCCTGGTTCCTGGCACATGTGCATTGAATGAACTGATGAATGAATACATGAATGAATGAATGAGTGCCTTGTATTTACTATTTAGGAGTTTCTGAAAATTAGTGGATGACTTAAAGTATATAAAAGTGGACAAATTAAATATATTAGGGATTTTGCTATTTTATTTATTTATTTATTATTATTTTTTTTTTTTTTGAGATGGAGTCTCGCTCTGTCACCCAGGCTGGAGCGCAGTGGCGCCATCTCGGCTCACTGCAAGCTCTGCCTCCCGGGTTCATGCCATTCTCCTGCCTCAGCCTCCCGAGTAGCTGGGATTACAGGCGCCCGCCACCACGCCTGGCTAATTTTTTGTATTTTTAGTGGAGACGGGGTTTCACCTTGTTAGCCAGGATGGTCTCCATCTCCTGACCCTGTGATCCACCCACCTCGGCCTCCCAAAGTGCTGGGATTACAAGCATGAGCCACCACAGCCGGCCAGGATTTTGCTATTTTAAAGGATTGTTGGATTAATCCTGTATAAAATTGAGCAGTAAAAATAGTCTATAATTTATCTAAGTGTGGATTTTTATTTGTGGGAATTTTATTTTTTGTTGAGAGCACTTTTGTTCGATGTTAGAGATTGAAACCAAATATTATATTTTAGTTTTCTCTGGTCACTCTTCTTATGAATTAATTGTCCCGTAAGGATACGCGCTAAAGTTGAAGCTCAAATCTGAACATGAAAGGATTCATTATGCACTATAGGCTTTTCATACCTATTAATAAGTCAATGGTTTGAATGTAGATCAAGAATTTAAGGGATTACTTTCACTAATTTTAATGTTAAAGCAAAATATCTGCCACCTGGTGTCAGATTAAGACTCAAAAGGTGTCAAAAGAAGGGGATATATGATAGGTTTTCTTTCTCTACTTTTGAAACATTTTCTAGTACTAAATTAGAGATATTAACTCCTTCAGGCCTCTTAAGTTCTATTGCTAAATAGAGATCAGTGCTCCTTTGATGACCATATAAGGAAAACGTTTCTGGGAAAAATATTGCAGAAGCCATGAGCGGTTATGTTATCTAATAGCCTCAGAATGGGAAAATTTAAAGAGAATGGAAAGCAGCTGACATAACCATTTTCCCAGAGAAAGCTCCTCCTGCTTCTGCATAAAGATGTATAATGTAATCCTTAGAGATCTCACTTCAATTATTGTGTCCTTTATTCGAATGAATAAGTAGAGAATTTAGTTTTTGCACTTGTCAGTACTATAACATGCCTTCTCAGCTTAAAAGTAATGGAGGAAATTACTTGTAAAAAAATTAATGAAAGAGATGAAAGATAAGAGAATTCAGGTTTAAAAAGTCACTGGTTTGTTTCTCAGTATGTTTAAATTTTAGGATTAATTTTTTTTCTTCCTCCTAGAGTTCGAGTCTCATAAGAAAGAATCGTGTTAATAGCCCCCGTTATGTTTTGCTGGAGTTTATCAGTCGGTAGAAATCTACTGAGCAATAAGAAGATGTTTCATAGCCTTGGTATAGGAATCATTGCGAGCTTGAAGGTTCACCCATACTAGGAACTTCTAAGGTTACAAGTATGTATGAAGGAAAATGCTTCTTCTCTTGAGACATAAACTGTAAATAAATGGCACAGTCAGAAGGGGACTGTTTAGTTATTGGACCTTGGAGAATTCTTAGAAGACATAGGGGCAAATGTATATGTACTGTCTGAGAGAGAGGAAGCCCTCCAATGTTTGGGAAGGGACAGTCTTTGGTTTTGCTGGACTTAAGGTGATGGTTTGCCTGGGACTGAGGGGTTTCCTGGCTTGTGGGACTTGCAGTGCTAAAACTGGCCAGGTTCCAGGAAACGAGGGCAGTGGGTTACCCTTAACTAACGTGACCTGCTCATTGCAGGTCACTTAGTGTGCCTGGCCTCTACCTACCAGTGGTGCCTCATTGTGGGAACCCATCACTCCCATACATTTTCATGTGTCCCGAGATAGGAAGTACCCCTCGGGAGAACTACTCTGAGTCTAGCCCGTGGTGTCAGAGCATTCTAGTCTCACTGGCAAGACCATTGCTGAAGTAGAATGGATGCATGAAGCTGTCTTCAGTCTTAAAACAAACAAAACCCAAATGCAGTTAGTTTAAATGCCTTTGGTTCAAAAAAAAAGGAGGAGTGGGGAGAGGTTGCAATGTTAATCTAAAATCAATGCTTGGAAAAAATGAGGAAATTGATTCTGAGGAGAATGAGAAAAAAAATGAGATTGAAACCATACTAAACGGGGCATCGAGTGCAGTGCCATGCGAAAGGAAGTCTTTCATTTTGTTCATAAACGTTTAAGTCAAGTTCTCACTTATTCATGATCCTTATTAAGGAGTAATTAGTGGTTCCCATATAATCTTCAAATTAATTTATATAGTCATGCCAAGATGTCCAACTTTTAGAAGATTTGGGAGGGTAGGAGGATTAAGGGACTTCCAGGATAATGGGCCCTCATCCCTCTTCCCCATCTCCTTTGAATAAACGGTTGCTTCCTAATGAGAAAACAATCCTGTAGAAGGGATGAGGATGAGGGCAGAAAAAAGATGGATCCCCTCTGACGTAGGCAGGTTTAGGGTAATATCAATACATGTAAGGGCAGGATATGTTTTGAAAAATCCCTGACTAATTACAGGGCTGTTATACAGCACTTAAGTATGTGTTATCATTATATGTGAAGAATATAGATGCAAGCACAATTTTATTGATTGAAAAAGCCCAGCCTGATTCTATTACTTAAAGGGATTTTAAAGATATTATATTGGGTAACCTTGGGTTGAAACATGTTCCCTTTACAATCCAAAACTGGTCAATGTATTCTTTATTTAACCTGATTGATTCTTGTCCTCTCCCTTTAAACATAAGCTTGTTCACAGAGATACAGCTGGAAGTCATGTTGTCATGACAACAGTTACACGCTGGGAGGAAGGACTCTTTAAAACATCCAGGGACTGGGTTTTTAATCACTGATTTATATTGATAGCAAAATTAAATGGGGATGCAGAATTCATAATTATATGTTACTTTGGCTCCATATTTTCACTTATTGACATGTAATTTTTGAACACGTTAGGATAAATAGCTTTTTACACTTATACAAATTCATCTCATCTGTTGTCTATGTTGTCAGTAATAATAATCTGAAAACATATGGATTTCCCTGCTCCAAACTCTTGATAGCATTGTGTTGCCTGTATAATAAATTCTAAACTCATGAATGTGGTACATACAGTCCTGCAAAAAACAGCTTCCACTTTTCATTAGATTTTCTTCTTAAAAGCATTTATTATGGATCTCACACATGTAACTTCAGGGTCCTTAACTTCAGGGTGTAGGAGCTAAAGGAGGTGGGTGTGTCACACTAGAAACTATAATGCTAAGTTGAAATTTGCCCTGAATAATTTGTCTCTAAATGGAGATGGTAGTACAGAGATGTATTAGTCTGTTTTCACACTGCTGAAAAAGACATATCTGAGACTGGGTAGTTGATAAAGAAAAAGAGGTTTAGTGGACTCACAGTTCCATGTGGCTGGGGAGGCCTCACAATCATGGTGGAAGGCGAAAGACACGTCTTACATGACAGCAGGCAAGAGAGAATGAGAGCCAAGCGAAAGGAGAAATCCCTTATAAAACCACCAGACCTTGTGAGACTTACTGACCACCATGAGAACAGTATGGGGGAAACCTCCCCCATGATTCAATTAACTCCCACCAGGTCCCTCCCAGAACATGTGGGAATTATGAGAGCTACAATTCAAGATGAGGTTTGGGTGGGGACACAGCCAAACCATATCAAGAGAGGAACAGGTTTATTTCAACAGTGGGTGATTAGGAAAAGTTTTGTGGAGGAAGTGACCCTTGAAGAATGAACAAGTTTTAGTGTCAGATAGAAAAACAGGAGATTCCAGCCCATAGGACCAGCAAAGGCACAGGGATACAGATATGTAAGGCATGTTGTGAGACCAGTGAGTGTCCATTTGGATACTGGATTGGAATGGGGCATAAGGAAATGAGATGGCAAAGAGAGGAGAAGCCATATTGAAGAGGGCATTGCATGCAGTGCCATTCTAAAGGAAATCTTACTTTGCACAGGAAGAGGAACAAGAATTGGTTGAAATGGATGTTCATGAGAAATTAATAGCTGTAGTATGATTAGAGGAAGCACTGTAGTCACAACAAGCAGTCATAAAGCCAGTTTTGAATCCAAGCGAGGCCCTGGAAAGTGTAGACTGAGGCACTGTTAAGGAGGTTAGCAAGCAGAGCATGCATCTACGAGCACTGTACTTTTCTGGAGTCAGTTTCTGAAATACAATTTTATATATTGACTAATAGGTACTCAGGAACATAGGTTCTGGTATATGACTGCCTGGCTCAAATCCCAGCCTACTGTTACTAGCTCTGGGACCGTAGTCAGTTACTTCCCTCCTCTGTTTCTGCTGTAAAATGGGGAGAAGATGACACCAACCTTAAAGGGCTGCTGATACACAGTAAGTGCTTAGAACAACAGTGCCTGGCACACTGTCAGAACTTCAGTAAATGTTAGTGTGGCTGCTGCTGTTGATGAAATGTGAAAACACTGCTCAGTGTTTGGCACTTTTTATGCTTTTTAAAAGCTATCTCAAGAATGTAAATTATCGGACTCTATTTCTACCCAGCATCTCAGCCTACCCCTCTAAAAGCCCTCCCTTCCACTTGATGGGTAGCTGTTGTCTAACCATTATGTCCCAGGCACTGTGCTTAGTGCTAGGGGTACAAATGTCACAGGATCCTTGGAGGTGTAGCTCTTCTGGCATGAAACCTCTGGCTGGTTGCACCTTTGCCCGAGTTTTGCTCGGGCCTGCTGGGCTCATTCCACCCACTTGGCCTGGGAGACTGCACTCGGCTCACGCTTCTAGCCTGGATCCCACACCTGCCAAAAGTGAGCCAGACACGAGTGGCAAGGGCTGTGTGAGTGAGCATGGGGTCCGGCCACTGCACACAGCCAGGCATACCTAGCTGTGGTGGGGCAGGCAGCTCCAGGTGCTGGCATGGGTACTGGCTCCCTGTGAGGCTGTGGCTGGACCAGGCATACTGCAAGTAACTTCCATGGCTGGCACCAGTAAACGCATCGGTGCCCAGAAGCTTGGAGATGCCAGGAACCACAGAGCCCCAAAGAGGGAGTCATAGCCCTGGCTCAGGGAGCTCCTAGGCCTGGGCTCCCCAAAAGGCTGCAGCTCTTTTTCTCATTGCCTGCAACGTGGCAAGCAAGGGGCGTGTTTCAACCCTGTTTGTGTTACAGCTCTTTCAGCCCTGCCATTCTGCAGGTCCCGAGTTCTTGTCCTACGTCCAGGAAGAATGAGGTATGCAGACAAGTAGAGGGTGAGCAAGGTGAAGAGGTGCTTTATTGAGTGACAGAACAGCTCAGAGGAGACCCACAGTAGGTAGCTCCTCTCCACAGCCAGGTCATCCTGTTGTCTGCCCAGCTCTCAGCAGAGAGGAAACCCACTGGGTTAGCGCCTCTCCACAGGCAGGTGATCCCATCATCTGCCTGAGTCTGGCTGAACCTGGGGTTTTTATGGGCTTCAGAGGGGAGGAAGTGCATGCTGACTGGTCCATGAGTGACCATGGGCAGGCCTAAAAAAGCACCATAAATTCTCACCCTGGTCCATGGAACTGGCAGCCCAGCCCCTAGGCCTCTGGTTGTCCCTGGCCTGAAGGTGCGGTTTCACTGTGGACCTGACCCTTTCTGCCCAGGAGCCTATCTGCCTCCTGCCGCCATTAACCTGCCATTCACAGTGCCCATGGTGCCCAGGCTGTTCATGCTGAGGGGTGCCTGCAGACCTGTGCCGAGCCACCCTTAACCTCCCCTCAGCCTCTCTGCTGTGCTTGTTGGTGCCCAAAGTTTGGAGGGGGCTGAGGCAGCAGGGGGCTGGTATGCCAGCACTGCCTCAAGCACGCACATGCCCATCCAGGTTGTGACAGTGCCCAGGCTCAGCCACAACTGCTCCAAAATTGGAGTGGGGAGAGGCCAGGCAGCAGGAACAGGCACTTCTGAGCCTGCAGGGGCAGGGGGCTTTCTAGGCCCCCAAGAGTACAGAGATGCCTGGGTCCACATTAGCAGCTGGGTGGCTGTAGCTGCGCCCAGGAGGGTAGTGCCCCCCTCCCTCCAACTTGGAAGGTGGGGCAGCATTCACCTGTTCCCAACTCCCTCTGGCTGGTGGAGTCCACAGCCCTGGCCATGCCTCCTCCACTGCAGCCAGCATCATAGCAGCACTCCAGATGGGCTACCGCTGCCATCACAAAGACGAAAATGCAAGGATCTTGTCATAAAAGAGTGTGGCAGCCTTTACTACATAGCAGTTCGTGCATACAAAGGAGTGTGAGGAAAATAGTACACATGTGACAGAGAGAAAGAACGAGGGGGGAGGAATTACTGAATATATAATCTCTAAATTGTTAATACAAAGGTCATTTTGATTATAAAAACACCTCCCAGTAGTAGATGCTTAAGTCACATATTTGTGCATCTATATTGGTAAATTATCAGTTTTTTCCAATTTAAATCATAGTTTCAGTATGAGTTATATTAGGATATTCTTTGTGTTTAGTTTCAAGGATTGGACTTGAATTTCTAAAGAACAGCATTAATTCTAGAGAAGGGTAAAAGTGTTGAAAGTGAGAGCAGTAGAACGTTATGAGTGCTTCAAAATTGTTGGCCATTCCTTACCTAGAATTTTAATATTTAATTCAGAACAAGTTTTGTATCCTTCCAGTCATGGGACCACATGATGTTTTCCAGGACCTTCCAATTTGAGGCTCCAAATAAATTTTATAAAAAGAATCTCTCTTGAACCTCTGGCTCACTGGAAGCCTCTAAAATACTGCCATTCATTAGAAATACAATGTGAGCCACATCCCTAATGTTAAATATTTAATAGCCACATTCAAATAAGTAAAAAGCAATAGACGAGGTTAATTTTAATCATCTATTTTATTTAACTCAATATATAAAAAATATCATTTTGACATAGAATCCATATAAATATTATTATTTTATATCCTTTTTATTGTTTTCCAAATTCATGTGCGTTTTATACTGACAGCACATCTCAATTTGGACTAGACACGTTTAATATGCTCAGTAGCCCCATGTGGCCACTGACTCCCCTATTGGACAGCACAGCTCTAGAACTTGGGGCTTTTCAGAGCCTTGGGCCCCTCCAATAATTATTTAAACAATGTCTGTATCTTTGGTGACTTTTCATTAGTATTTTTACAGTTAAGGAAATATATAAATCTAAAAATGCAAGTTTGTTTTGGACTTAAATTGTAAGCAGTTAATTATATGTCATAATTCGTGATATATTTTCATCCCTGCTCCACGCATGCAAAGCATCCCTCTTATTTAATGGACTTACTTGTTTACTTGCTGTTATTTCCTTACCTAGCTGCCACGTTTTTCCACCCATAGTCAACCATTTTTTTTTTTTTTTAATTTTTTGAGATGGAGTCTTGCTCTGTCGCCCTGGCTGGAGTGCAGTGGAGTGATATCATCTCACTGCAACCTCCACCTCCCGAGTTCAAGCAATTTTCTTGCCTCAGCCTCCCAAGTAGCTGGGACTACAGGCACGTGCCACCACGCCCAGCTAATTTTTTATATTTTTAGTAGAGACGGGGTTTCACTGTGTTAGCCAGGATGGTCTCGATCTCCTGACCTCGTGATCTGCCCGCCTTGGCCTCCCAAAGTGCTAAGATTACAGGTGTGAGCCACCACTACCGGCTACTATTCTAATGTGTTTAATGGGTAACTTTTTGTTCAAAACTATACTTGCAATGTGCATTGTTGTGTGTGTGTGTGTGTGTGTGTTTATTCAATGGGTATTTTCCCCCGTGTACTGTGTTTTGGAGATGTATCCATAGGCTATGTGTACATGGGCTGCATTGTTTCCAGTGGCTGGATGGTGCTCCATTCTGTGAATCCAACACATTTTACCTTTCCCCTGGTAGAGTGATAGACTTGCAGGTTGCCCCCATTTTCCCAGTACCACAGGGAGCACCCCGCACATTCCTCTAATTGAACTGCATGAGAAGGCATGTGGCATACACTCTCGATATTGCTGGGCCATAGGGTGTATGTCGTTTACTTCTTTTGGGGAAAAAAATGATTTGTTTATCTTATTTTTATTGATGAATGTATGGATATAATTTTACGTGGTTTTGCTCAGTGAAAAACACAGCATTGCAATTGTTGGTTGAATCAGATGACAGGTAGGTGAATCAGTTATGGACTGTTTTTTTAGGGATAGCTTACTAGTTCAATGCTTGTAGGTGTATTTCTCAAACAGACCCAGTGGCCACAAAAGAGGGTCAAGCTTTTCCAGGGTGACCAGTTGAAATCTGGGCCAAGTACAAGTGTATGTAGCCTTTAGTCACAGTAAGAAAATCTTCAGTTCTTGTTCTATCAGCAGAGCAGAATTTATTTTTTTTTTAAATGAGTTAGTCATGGAAGCAGAAAGTTGGTGGGGGGTTGGAGGGATAAAAAAAGGTATTACCCTTAACAAAAAGAAAGCCCATGGAAAATTCATGATGAAACTGCATTCTTGCTTTTAAAAGTAACTTGTACTGTTGCATTCTTCAAAGGAAATTTTTTAAACTCTGTATTTTCTTTCAATTCCTTTCTGTTTTGGGCTCCATGGTTGGGTACTTCCCACTGTAATATTTTCTAAAGAGAAGGGTAAATGCACTCAGTTCATTCATCAAAGCATGTCTGCAACACAGGAAGACACGCAGTGTTTTCTTCTATGAGGAAGAAAGCACAAACAGCTGTCTAGGACAAACTTCTTGACACAGCCATGCACTTGGTCCCACTGATGTTTGCCAAAATAGGCGATTATTGTCAGTATTTTTGTCAGCAGTGAGGAAGACTTTGATATAGCATCGGATTCATTTGCTTCCAAAGAATGTTTCTCTATTCCCACTTCTGAGAGCTAAGGATCATTTATGTGTGATGAGCAGAGTCTTCTCTCAAAGGCCTTTCATTTATAGTAATTCCTTTCATAGAAAAAGTAATAGAGGCTGGGCGCGGTGGCCCATGCCTGTAATCCCAGCACTTTGGGAGGCCAAAGCAGGAGGATCGCTTGAGCCCAGGAATCTGAGCCCAGCCTAGGCAACATGGCGAGACCCTGTCTTGCTAGAAAATCAAAAAACATAGTTGGGTGTGATGGTGCATACCTGTGGTCCTAGCCACTCAGGAAGCTGAGGTGGGAAGATCGCTTGAGCCCAGGAGTTTGAAGCTGCAGTGAGCCATGTTTGTGCCACTGCCCACCGGCCTGGGCAACAGAGAGCAATACCCTGTCTCAAAAAAAAAAGAAAGGAAGAAAAAAAGAAAAAGTAATGGAATGAGTTTGAGGAGGAAGATGCTTAGAACATGCCAGAATTCAAGAGCAGAAAGACCATCATTAACAAATGGACGCTAACTACCAGTAGATCCAGAAAGAAGGAACTGGAGCTAGCCCAGGACAAAAACCTGGTATAAATCAAGATTTTCACAAGCGAGAGGCTTAGATTTTGCAATGAGGAAGGGGAAAAAAAGAACCAAAGTATTTCTGTAGTGTAACAAATTTGGAAACCTTCCCAGAGACCCTGCAGATAAGAAACCTCTAACGCTTCAAGAGCGTTTTTCTCATAGGAAAATAATTTTAGCTACTGGCTGGAATTCGAGGCCTAGTGGGTTAACTGGTACATTTGTGGGTGAATAAAAAATAGCAAACAGCATTTCTGAATCTTTTTTGGATGTCATAGCAAAGGAGGACTCAGATTCCCCAGGCAGGCTGTATGGTGATATGTACTCCCCAACCCCCACCTGAATCCCTCCCTTCCTCCTTCCCTCCCTTCCCCCACTTCTTTGTCCTCCTCTTTCCCATTCATATAGATACTATCTAGGCAACCTTTGTAGTTTCTCAGAATGAGATAGGAAAAAAAGGGGACCACTCCTAAATACATTCTCTTATATTCAGAAAACTTACATTGCCCACCTATGACGTATGGGACATGTTTGCGGTACCTTGGTTGATTACAGTAAAAAGAACAAGAAGTCTGGTCTTTGCTTTAAGGAACTTAGATCTGTTCAATTTGTGATTAATAGCATCGATAAGAGACCTTTTTGAACATTTTGCAACCGAGAATTCACAATTTAGACACCAAATAGTTCTGTGTTCTCATCTTTACAGAAAGGAGGATGTCCTTCTAAACTTTGAGCATGAATTATCGTTTGAAAATTTTGAGAATAATTATTTCATTTACTGGTTCTTTCCTGGAATTTTGGCTCAATTACCTAATATTGTCTTATGCTAGATTCTATTTTTGAGAAGCGTTAAAAAAAATGGCAGTTTCTATACATGCATCCCTGGCAGATGGGATCCACAAATACCCCTGCCTCCTTTCTGTCAATAGCCCCTGCATCTTTGAAAAACTCAGAGCTCTGCATATCACTTTTTCATTGCTGGGAAAGAAAAACCAAGCTATTCCACAGGTGTGTGGCAGCTAATTGGTTTTGCCATTTTGTTAACCCTCTAGAGAACGTTTGCTTTCCTCTCTTGACCTAGAATTGGAGGGTCTTGAGGAGGAGAATGGCATAGATCAAAAATTGAAAACCTTGAGTCAGATTAATGACTGGATGTTGCTTGTGGTTGGCTGAATCCTGCAGGTATTTCTTGAAGTTTGTGAAAAAATAAGCCCAATGCAGTGTCTGCATTTGGTCTGCATTTGTCTGCATTTTTGACAATACTTGGAAATGAGGTTAAGATGCTTGGATTGGTGGGTGGTGGAAAATGAATGAATCATAACCGATGAAGTTATATTCCAACAATATGATGTTTCAGAAGGAGTCTTGGGCCAGATGAGAATCAGGAAACTGGTTTCTTTTTTTTTTTTTTTTTTTTTTTTTTTTTTTTTACATCTTTTTTTTTTCTTTCATTATTATACTTTAAGTTTTAGGGTACATGTGCACATTGTGCAGGTTAGTTACATATGCATACATGTGCCACGCTGGTGCGCTGCACCCACTAACTCGACATCTAGCATTAGGTATATCTCCCAATGCTATCCCTCCCCCCTCCCCCCACCCCACAACAGTCCCCAGAGTGTGATATTCCCCTTCCTGTGTCCATGTGATCTCATTGTTCAATTCCCACCTATGAGTGAGAATATGCGGTGTTTGGTTTTTTGTTCTTGCGATAGTTTACTGAGAATGATGATTTCCAATTTCTTAACCCAACTCTATAATTTAGATGTCTATATGTTTGTGTTTGAATAGGAGATTGCAAAGCTAATCCATTAGAAGCTGTTTCTTTCCTAGACTAGGCCTGGAATTTAGTTTTTTGCTGTGAGATGAATGAAATAGGATGAATTTCAACTATTAGTAATACAAGACCCCAAAATAACTGTGACTTATTACAATAAAAATGTACTTCCCTTTCACATAGAAGCCTGGCAGTAGCAGTCCACTAATATGATGGCTCTGCCCTACAAAGACCTCAGGAACCAAATTTCTTCTGCCTTCCTGCTCTGCTGTCCCTAGGCTATGTCCTCATAGTCCAAGGCAGCATCTCTGTTGCAGGCAGAAGGAAAAAGTATGCCCGACTGCTTTTTTTTTTTTTTTAAAGGAGGGCTCTTGGAAATTGCCATACAGTCCTTGAGCTCACACTTCAATGGTTAGAATTTACTTGCATGGCCACACCTAGCTGCAAGGGAGGCTGGGAAATGTAGCGTTTATATCGGGTGGCCATGTTTCCAACTAAAAGTTTATATGGCTGTAGGAAAGACTGGCTGTTGATGAACACTGGCTTTGATGAACATCAAAAACAGAAAAAAAGTGGCGGGGCACGGTGGCTCACACCTGTAATCCCAGCACTCTGGGAGGCCAAGGTGTGCGGATCACAAGGTCAGGAGATCAAGACCATCCTAGCTAACTCGGTGAAACCCCGTCTCTACTAAAAATATAAAAAATTAGCCGGGCATGGTGGCGGGTGCCTGTAGTCCCAGCTACTCAGGAGGCTGAGGCAGGAGAATGGCGTGAACTCGGGAGGCAGAGCTTGCAGTGAGCCGAGATCACACCACTGCACTCCAGCCTGGGCGACAGAGCGAGACCCCGTCTCAAAAAAAAAAAAAAAAAACCCGAAAAAAAATTTCTGTTTTTGATGAACTTCTTTTATTATATAACTTTGTAAATTTTTTGACCAGTAATTTAAATATCTTAACCCCATGGGTCTATTCTCTTGTGTTATTTATTGACTGAAATATATTTATATGTTTTATATAGCCTGCCTCAAATTCTTTTTTTAATGTAGGTAGAGGTACTCCTCTTATTACTGAGAGGAGTAATAAGAAAGAAGCTTTTACTCTGATCCCTTTAAGTATGTTTTCACAACATAATCTCAGAAAAACGTTTTTCTCTGTACTCCTCCTCCCCATCCATAGTCTAAAATCCTTTTTTACATCAAATATTAAAGCTTGTCCATTAACCACTCTGACAGGCTGAACAATTTACCTCCGTTCTACTGATTTTTTTAAGGGCACTTAACCTTTAAAATACACTTAACGAATAGGATGGCTCCCAAATAAAAATACACCAAGATTTTTCTGCAGCCAAATGATAAGCATTTTCCTAACCTCGATCAAGTTATTTAACATTGCTGAAATCTGTTTCTTTAGTAAAATGGGAATAATATCTGCTCTGCATCTGTGGCAAGATTTTGTGGGATCAAGTGAGATTGGATTAATTATAGCTCTTTGGAAGTCCTGTAGTGCTCTGGAAGTGCATGCTATAGTTCTTATATCAGAAATAAAATGTATATGGTTTATGCATATGTATAATATAATATTCATTCTAATCTATGAGAGTGTAGTATAATAATGTTCCCACACACAGATTTGGATTTTACAAAACATGACGCCCACTTCAGCTTGTAATTGTAATATGCTGATAAAAGGCCAAATTGTCATTGAATACTGTGTCAATTGCCCAAATTCTCCATAATGATCTTTTGTTGAAGTATCTAACTTAAGTGGGAAATCAAGTCCTGGCATGCCACCATTTAGAAGAATAATGACGTTGGAGTTGATCAAGGCCACTTCTAAATAGCTTCCATTTTGTGATCGTTGCTGTTGTATACTAGCCAGAGGACTGCAGCTCTGAGAGAAAAGCATATTGAAGATCCTGCCAAAATAACAGAAAAGAAAATTGTCTCCATTTAATATATTTTCAAACCTGCCTACCTTGAAAGAGTGTGATGCCACTAGTAATTCTATTCTGTTTAATTGTATGGAAGCCAAAGAAAGATTCATGCCCCTGGTTGTATTTTGTCTTCTCTTCTCCTGCTGCTCACTCTGAAATAAGAATAAAATTAAGTTGAAAGATTAGGTTGACAGAGGATGTGGCAGCGGGGCACATTCTCTGAATGATGTTGTGCAGTTACACTTAGCTTAATGTCCATATAATCATAGATCTTTCTGGAATACTGTGGTTAGGACGAGTGACTAGGTAGTCTTCCTGCCAAACCTAAATAAATCCTGCCTGGTATTGAACAGGTTGTATTGCTGTCACTCATTAGGTGGGTGGGATAGGCAGACAGCTGGAGGAGAAAGTAATAAAGCCTGCCTAGCTATTTTATCTAAATATGATGTGATCTCTACTTTTTAAAATTATAAAAAATTAAGGCTGAGTGCAGCGGCTCACGCCTGTAATCCCAACACTTTGGAAGGCCGAGGCGGGAGGATCACTTGAGGTCAGGAGTTCAAGACCAGCCTGGCCAGCATAATGAGACCCCATCTCTACAAAAAATTTAAAAATCAGCTGGGCATGGTGGCGGGCAACTGTAGTCCCAGCTACTCAGGGGGTTGAGACAGGAGAATCGCTTGAGCCCAGGAGGTCAAGGCTGCAGTGAGTTGTGATCATGCCACTGCACTCCAGCCTGGGTGACAAAGCAAGGCCCTGTCTCAAAAAAGGAAGAAAGGGAGAGAGATAGAAGATTATCAAAAATTGCTGATTTCAAGACCATTCTCACCTACACCCATTCTCCTTTCATTATTATGCTTAGGCTTTTGGATTTTTAAGGGTTGTGATCTCAATGCAGTTTTTTTCCCAGTACTTCTCAAGAAAACAAAATTGAGATTACCATAATTGTCTCTAGTTTTCTTAAAGTAAAATACAAATCTTCACTCAGATTTTAAGTTTTTATTAAGCTTTTTTGGAAGGAGCACCCTTAAGCCTGAGGTTCTCAGTAGTGCTATGTTGTATACTATGTGCACACTCTAAAAGGAAATAGTGTTCTTAGGTTATACTTCATCTCAAGACTTTAATATCACTAGTTAGAAAATACGTGTTTTATTCTGTGTGGAGGTATTTAGAATTAGACATTCCAGTGATAAAATATTAAAATATTTTACTACATCTAAAATATTCTATAACCAGGTCATATGATTAACCTTAATTATATATAAGTTTATGGATGGATGGACCGATGGATGGTTGAATATTTACAAATACAGAGTTTCCTTCTAGGTAATTTTTAGCTGCTTACATTTCATGCCTTTTAGTTTTAAGTTTGTATGCAGAGTCCTCCTGACTATGTTGTGTTTGGTTTTGGTTAATAGTCTATGAACGGAGATGTATACTTTTATCTTCTACCAACCTCTGATCATATCCTATCTGCATACTTTTATGAGAATATGAGGTGGAGGCCGGGTGTGGTGGCTCATGCCTGTAATCCCAGCACTTTGGGAGGCCAAAGCTGGCAGATCACCTGAGGTCAGGAGTTCGAGACCAGCCTGGCCAACGTGGCGAAACCCCATCTCTACTAAAACTATAAAAATTAGCCGGGCGTGGTGGTAGGCGCCTGCAATCCCAGCTACTTGAGAGGCTGAGGCAGGAGAATTGCTTGAACCCAGGAGGCAGAGGTTGCAGTGAGCCGAGATCGCACCATTGCACTCCAGCCGGGGCAACAAGAGCGAAACTCCGCCTCAAAAAAAAAAAAAAAGGAATATGAGGTGGAGCAGAAGCAGTCCCCCATCAAGAATGTCTTAAATAGAAAACAGATTTAAACTATTTTGTTCTAACTTCCTTTCTGTTTCTTTAAGGGCTCAACTACATGACAGAAAACAGCCACGTGCTAATGAAAGAGGCATGATGTACTCAAACAAGTGTGTTCTCACATGATACATCATTTCTAAATTGACATGTGGGTGGCCAGTGTTATTATCTAGTTTTCTTGATCTAAGTACAAATTACCTTTTTAATAAAAAAAAATGTGATTGTTGCAGACTCTCAGAAATCATATTTTTTTAATGAAGAAATACACTGTGGTTGATGGCATTTAAAAAAATGTTTTGAATTACAGAATATTTTTTTCCAAAGCCACATATGAATGTAGCAATTGATAGCTAATGATAATAAACATTTACTGAGTGATTACTATGTGCCCGGCTTTGCGCCGCCTTTGTTCCACATCCACCCTGTGAGGTAGGAGCTGAAATCAGTCCTGTCTTACAAAGAGCAGATGGGTCATTAGAATTTAAGCCATTTTCTCTGAGGTCACACAACTAGCAGGCATCGGGGCTAGATTCAATTCCAGGCTGTTGGTGTGGCTACAGAGCTCCTGTTCCTGATAGTAATACAGCCCCGAGAAAATGTAGTTGAGTAAGCCCAGCAGAGACTATGCCTCCATGTGTTTAAATTAAGAAACTTTTGTGTTGATTTTATGCCAACATGCTTGATAAAAATAGACAAAGTATGTAATGTTAAAAAGCCCAAATTTAAGGACCTTTTAAGTATTGAGTTCTTGGAATATTTACTCAAGAATCTTCAACAGAAAAATCCTCAGCTACAAATAGCTTCCTATTTCAAAGATACTCAGAAATCTTAACATTAATTTTTTAATGAAAAATATGGGGAAAGGTGTTAGGGAATTAACACTCCCAGAACTGTTAAGGTTTTTTTTTTTCTTTTTTTTAAACAACTGTTAAAATAATGCTACCACAGGGAAGTTCAATTGAATACAAAGTGTAATTTTTCTGAGGCTGTGGTAGACATTTCAAGACCTAAATTATGTCTTGGAAAGACATATTAAGAAGTATAAGGGCCTTGAAACTCTTCAGGCAGGCTTTCCTCCCCTCCAGCAGGCCAGTGGGTCAGGATTCTGGGCGCTCCCAAATTTTGGACACTTTGGGGCCTGTCCCTTTCTTACCATAGTCAGTGTTTCTGCCGATTCCTTTGGTTGAAGACAATTTCACCTCAGATTCTAAGCAGCCTCTGTTTGCTGCCTGGAACCCTCAGCAAACCTATTCATGATCTAAACCCAGAGTCCTGGCTCTGGGCTGTTGATTGTCTTCCAAAGTTGGTGGTGAAGCTGGAGGAAGTGAAGAGCCCTGCTTGCTATATTCTGACAACACAAACCTTGGGCCAGAAAAAATAAAGGGACTAAGTAGTGAGAGAGAAAAAAAGAGAGAGGCAAAAGAGGAGGGCCACCGTGTGATCAGAAAAATATTTTTTGGGCTAGGTGTGGTGGCTCACACCTGTAATCCCAGCACTTTGGGAGGCCGAGGTAGGTGGATCACATGACGTCGGGAGTTCGAGACCAGCCTGGCCAACATGGTGAAACCCTGTCTACTAAAAATACAAAAATTAGCCGGGCGTGGTGGCACACGCCTGTAATCCCAGCTACTCGAGAGGCTGAGGCAGGAGAATCACTTGAACCCAGGATGTGGAGGTTGCATTGAGCCGAGATCATGCCATTGCATTCAGCCTGGGCAACGAGAGCAAAACTTCATCTCAAAGAAAAAAAAAAAGAAAAAGAAAAATATGTTTTGGTTAGGGGAGGGAGATGGAATCTTTTTATGTTGCTCAGGCTGGCCTCAAGCTGTTGGCCTCCAGCAGTCCTCCCACTTCAGCCTCCCAAGTAGCTGAGATTACAGGCACGAGCCACTGTGCCCAGCCTGAAAAAGAGTTTTAAGGCTAAATTCAAATAGTTTGGATTGAAGCGTTAAGCTCCGTCGAGAATAACATTGCTCCAAAGAGTCAGTAGTAGCAGCTGCCACTAAGACTTTGTAAGAGATCAGAAAGATCCCTTCAAGAATGGGAACATTGTGCAGATTATTCCTCTGATCTTTTCAAAATACAAATCACATCACATAATAGCTTCAGATAATCCTTTGCATAAAGGATGAATCTTTAGCCAGTGGGGCTTTACGCCTTATCACAGACCTCTCACCCCTAATCGAGTGACCTTTCTGTTGTAATGACATACAGTCTTTTTCCAGCCACATGACCTTGCCCTTGCTGTTCCCTCTTTCAGAAATGCTGTTCTCTCTTTCAGAAATGCTGTTCTCTTGTCCCTTCCCAAGGCTGGCTCCTTCTCCTACTTTAGGGAGACCTCACTCCCTTAGAGGCCTTCCCAGACATCCTCTTAAATAGCCCACCCTATCCCCAGACATGATTGTTTGCCTCTCTTATTTATTGCTGTATTCCCAGCTTCTAAATAATATTTGGCGTTTATAGGAGGTCATCGGTACAGAAGAATGAGTAAGTGGATGAATGAATGACTGAGTACACACGTCACATTTCTTCTTCTGTGGAGCCCAGTAGTTAGATAGAGTTTGATGGAAAAGAATGACTACCTGGCCGTACAGTGGTGCATGCCTGTAATCTCAGTACTTAGGGAGGCCGAGGCGGGCGGATCACCCAAGGCCAGCCTGGCCAACATGGTGGAACCCTGACTCTATTAAAAATACAAAAAATTACCCGGGTGTGATGGTGTGTGCCTATAATCCCAGCTACTTGGGAGGCTGAGGCAGGAGAATTGCTTGAACCTGGGAGGCAGAGGTTACACTGAGCCAAGATCGTGCCACTGCACTCCAGCCTGGGTGACAGAGCAAGACTCAATCTCAAAAAAGAGAAAAGAATGAGTACCTTTTCTTTTCCTAGGCCAGTGGTTCTCAAAAGTGGGGACTGTTAGAAATACAGATTCCTGGGCCCCACTCCAGAGTGACCGAGGCTCCCCAGCAGTGTACGTTCTCACAAGCCCTCCAGGTGACTCTCATGCTTGAGAACTAGTGTCTTAGGCCGGGTGTGCAGTTCCCCATCTATTGTCATCACCTCTGCACCCCTAGCTTTAAACCAGTGTCTGGCACAGAGTAGACAGGAAGCATTTGTTGAATTAATTAAGCCACCTTCCCTCTTTCCTCTCCACCCCGTGCCTTTCACACCCAAAGCCCTGGGTGCACAAATGTTGGGGAAGGGAGCGATTGCCTTCCTAAGGACCCGAGGGAAATCTTGTGCTCTGTAGTACAGACCTTGCTAAATTTAGACTTTCAGCTCACCCCTTCCTCCTTCCTGTGCCCTCCGCAGCAGGAGAGGAAATTTCCAGCTGCTGCTAGAAGCAAATCTATTTTCATTTGACCCTTGGATTTCTGCAGGTGAGCCTAGGGGGAAGAGGGTTATTAGAAGTGGGTTTGCTTCACACACTGGCCCCACCCGGGAGTGGTCCTTGTTCAGAAGCCAGGCCCCTAGCCCTGGCGCCTGAGGTGGCTGGAAGGAGCCGGTCCTTGCTGCTCACAGATGGGCTTGTTCTCAGGCCAAGTATTGCTTTTGGCCCAAGAGGCTCCCAGCACAAGAGAGACTTTGTGGGGCTCTTCGCCTTGCTATTTTTACACTTTGACTTCCAGGCCCTGCTTCCTGTTCCCTCACAAAAGAACAAAAAGCACAAATTACGAAGAGCCGCAGAGCCCCTTTGAAAGGACACCGATGGCTTTCAGCTCCCACTCTTGACCTGTCCCCTGTCAGCAGGTGACAGTGCCTTCAGTCAGAGGCAGTGATGACAGGAGACTAGAAAGGAGGGAAGGTGGAGAAGCATGTGGATCTCAGCCTCTGCAGCATGTGGAGAGAGGAATTTGATCTTTAAGGCTTCTAGCACGAGGGTTTTAGAAATATATGGGCCAGCTGGAGTGGCTGGCCTGGATTTACTGGAGCAGAATTCGGGGGAAAGGCATTTAAAGGAGGCCCCTGGATAGAGGCCTGAGTTGGAAGTGTTCTCATTTTTAATATCCCCAGAATGTCGGGGTGGATTGGGGCTCAGGGCCAGTCTGCGGGCGAATCTCGGTGCAATGACACACCAGTTGACCATGGTCAAGCCAGCTGTGGATCTCATAGCCTCAGCCTTGTAGCCATTGTTTGGTTATGTTGTCATCCTTATTTATTCATCTTCTAATTTCCCAATGCTGTCCATCTGGGTTTTTCTCAGGTCTCTGTAGAATCCTTTTTTTTTTTTTTTTTGAGATGGAGTTTTGCTCTTGTTGCCCAGGCTGGAGTGCAGTGGCGTGATCTCGGCTGACTGCAACCTACCTCCCAGGTTCAGGTGATTCCCCTACCTCAGCCTTCTAAGTAGCTGGGATTACAGGTGCCCACCACCACGCCTGGCTAATTTTTTTTGTATTTTTAGTAGAGATGGGGTTTCACCATGTTGGCCAGGCTGATCTTGAACTCCTGACTTCAGGTGATCCACCCTCCTTGACCTCCCAAAGTGCTGGAATTACAGGCGTGAACCACTGCACCTGGCCTAAAATCCATTTTTATATGAGGACATAGTTTACCTTTTTGGCTGTAAACCCATCTGCTGTCCTCTCTGAGCCCTAGAAATGGGGATAAAGATAGTGCCTCCTTCATAGGGCAGCTATGACAAACCACAAGCTCCTGCAACGAAGGACACAGGGCGCGTGATACAGCACCTAGTGGCGTCAGTGTCCTTGCAGTTGTTGCTGTTACTGTTACTAGCTTTTATAACATCCCAGCGGGAAGATAGCACTTGCATTCAAGACCTGAAGGACCTGGATTCCACCCTTGACTTCTAGCTGGGATTGATGTGAGCATTAAATGCAGCGATATGTATGAAAACATGCTTTGTTTTATGGATGGGGAACTTTTTTCCAAATAAAGGCCTCACACCCAGTCAGGGGGAAGCTCAGAATCATGTACAAATGCAAAGCAAGTTTATTCATTTGGGGTTGGTTTATGTTTGAGAGAAACCTAGAAGTTTCACAAGTCTACTTAAAAATGGAGAATGAGGGCATCAATCTTTATTTTAAAAATTATGAAATATTTAAATTAAAAATTATGAAATATTTTTGCTTCCTCATTAATTGAGAGAGAAGAGAGATATTTGGAGAAAGAGAAGATGTCTTGTCACAGTAGAGGCGTCACCAGCCAGGGGCATACACGGTGTATAATAAGGAAGACAGTCAGCAAGGCAGGTGGGGTAGAATCTGGACTTGCCGGACCTCCTCAGATCCTGGAAGTCCGGCCCTGCTGAGGGAGCCTAACTGACCTTCTTCTCCTATGAAAGTCACCATAAAATGATCTTTTGTCCTTTTTTTTTTTTTTTTTTTTTGAGACAGAGTCTCGCTCTGTCACCCAGGCTGGAATGCAGTGGTGCAATCTCGGCTCACTGCAACCTCCACCTCCTGGGTTCAAGTGATTCTCCTGCCTCAGCCTCCTTAGTAGCTGGGATTACAGGTGCCTGTCACCACACCCGGCTAATTTTTGCATTTTTGGTAGAGACAGGTTTCACTGTGTTGGCCAGGCTGGTCTCAAACTCCTGACCTCAGGTGATCCACCCCCCCTTGGCCTCTCAAAGTGCTAGTATTACAGAGATCTTTTTGCTTTGAACCATGATGATAATTTGACCCTAGAGATTCTGTAGTGAGCATTTTCCTTGGGACCTATGAAAACATGTTCTTATATTGTGACTTTAGTGACTCGAATGTGCTGCTGTAGTATTGGCTTCTTGAGACCTCCAATTTCTAGTGATGGTGATGATAACACTAACAGTGACCATCCATGCAGTGAACACGGCTGCTGCATGCCAACCTTTATTCTAAGTGTTTTATACACTACCCAGTGAGGCAGGTACTATTATGATCCCTGTTTTACAGATGTGCATCTGAAGCCCAAAGAGGTTGAGGAACTTGTCCAAGGACACTCACATAGGGAGTGGCTGAGCCACGATACGAAGGTCCCTACCGCATTGACACTTCAGTTGCCACGCAGTTGCACCAAGCCATGGCTGCACTGAGCCGTATCGCGTCTTCGCAGACTCTCCTCTGGTTTCCTGGTCTCATTGGAGCCAGCAGGCATCTTGAATGAATCCATTCTTTTTGCTTGGATTATCTTTTAGGTACTGAAAAATACCTCGACTAGGCCGGCTTTCTATTCCGGCATATCTCTGTTTAAGAAACAACTGAAACTTTTGATCTCAGAACTCCACTGAGGTATTTTTTTTTAATTGTGCAAAAAAACATACATAGAGAAACACCCATACTGTAAACATACAGCTTAACACATAATTATAAAGGGAGCGTCGATGGTCCTGCCAGCCCAGTGAAGAAATAAAGCATTTCTAATACTCCAGAAGTCCTTGAGAAACCTCTCTGTGAGCTTCACTGTCTCTCCCCCACTCCAGGTATTCATCCTCCAGTTTTTGGTGATGACTGTATCCTTGCATTTCTTTATAGTTTTACCATCTACATCTATATGCCTAAGCAATGTAGTTGAGTTCTTGGACTTGGCATGGACACTTAATATATTCTGTTTTGTCTTCCTTTTGATCAATGATATGTTTGTAAAATACATCCATATTGTTGTGTATAGCTCATTTTTGTTCATTTATTCTGCTGTAATTTATTCATTGTCTTTTTTAAATTTAATTTTAATTTTTTTAATTATTTTTTTTTTGAGACGGAGTCTTGCTCTGTCACCCAAGTTGGAGTGCAATGGCACAGTCTAGGCTCACTGCAACCTCCGCCTCCTGGGTTCAAGTGATTCTCCTGCCTCAGCATCTTGAGTAGCTGGGACTACAGGGGCATGCAACCACACTCGGCTAATTTGTGTATTTATAGAGACGGGGTTTCACCATGTTGGCCAGGCTGGTCTCAAATCCCTGACCTCGTGATCCATCCACCTCAGCCTCCCAACGTGCTAGGATAACAGCTGTGAGCCCCCACACCCGGCCAATTTTGAAAAATTTTTAGTAGACATGCATCTCCCTGTGTTACCCAGGCTGGTCTTAAACTCCTAGACTCAAGCAGTTCTCCCGCCTTGACCTCCCAATGTGCTGGGATTATAGGCATGAGCCACTGTGCCTGGCCAATTCATTCTGTTTTAAATGGTTGTCTAGGTTGTTTCAAGGTTTTGGTTATTTCAGTGCTGCTGATATGAATATGTTACCTGGTGCACATACCGAGTGTGGAATTGTTGGGTCATAGAGTAGAGATATCTTCCACTTTACTAGTTAATACTATTTTCTTTTCTAAAATGATTGTACCAAATTACCCTTCTACGAGCAGTAGTATCTACAAGATCCTGTTGTTCTACATGCCTGCCAACAATTGGTATTGTAATACTTTTTAATTTTTGCCGAGCTGACAGGTATGGAAGGAAATCTATTGTGTTGTGACTTGAGGCATTTTAAGATGCTCTGCAGGCTTTTTATTAGATTTCTGCAGTTTCTGTAAACCTTGCCTTCAGTAGCCCCCGCAGTTGGTCCGAATTCCAGTCCTCCAGGCGAGTCGCTCTGAGTTGGGTTCCCACGGTGCGTTTTAGGCTGTCCAGTGCCGAATCTCACCCCCTAAGAGGACTGTTGCACATGACACACCCAAATAGAAAAACATTCTCCAGGGCGGAGGTTTTTTAGGTATTCCCACAGCAAACTAAGAATACCACATTGTGATTTCAAAGCTCTAAGCAGATCCGTCAAAAGGGGGTGCGTGGCAGACGCTCAGTTTAAGCAAATTGCTGAGAGTCAGAAGGGCAGTGAAGCTGGCAGCCACTGTTTCCTTTCCAGTTTTCAGCCGCTTGCCTTGTCTCCAGCAAAGCTTCACTAAGTAATTTTCTGAGAACAAAAGAGATTGAAACTTTCTCCTCAAATCGCCTGGTGTTGTCGAATACTCCTGTTTTGTTTTGTTCTGCTTGTGCTCCCTCTCGTCTCGTTGGTCCACTGTGATACCGTGATAACCATCGGAGGGCGGCCATTAAGCGGCTTTGCAGTATTCTGAAAATCTTTTACAGAAGCAGCTGCTTGGTATTTCGATAACTTGACCCCACTGTTCTCTTGGCTTAGCTATGGTTTTAAACTTTATTGTAAGTAAACATTTTAAAGAAAAACTGACGCTTGTTTTCAAGGAAAATCATACATAAAGACCAATGTGTAATGACGGACAAAATGGGTGCTGCTGTGGTTGAAAAGATCAGGAAAGGTCTGGACTTCCACCTACCTGCACCACTATCTTCTTCCCCTCCCCCCGCCTTTTTTGAGACAGTCTCACTCTGTTGCCCAGACTGGAGTGCAATGGCACGATCTCAGCTTACTGCAACCTCCACCTCCCGGGTTCAAGCAATTCTGTGCCTCAGCCTCCCGAGTAGCTGGGATCACAGGTGTTTGCCACCATGCCCGACTAATTTTTGTAAAGATGGGATTTCACCATATTGGCCATGCTGGTCTCAAACTCCTGACCTTGAGTGATCTACCTGCCTCGGCCTTCCAAAGTGATGGGATTATAGGCATGAGCCACCGTGCCTGGCCTTCTTCCCCAGTTTGATAACAGTTGAAAACCACTGACTGATAAAATTAATAAAGTCCAAAGTACTTATTTAAATGTGTAATTTTTTTTTTTTTTTTTTTTTTTTTTGGAGACAGGATCTCACTTCTGTCACCCAGGCTGAAATGCAGTGGCATGATTATGGCTCCATGCAGCCTCCACTTCTTGGGTTCAGGAGATTCTCCCACATTAGGCTCTTTTTTTTTTTTTTTTTTTTTTTAAGATGGGAGTCTCACTCTGTCACCCAGATTGGAGTACAATGGCACAATCTCAGCTCACTGCAACCTCCGCCTCCTGGGTTCAAGTGATTCTCCTTCCTCAGCCTTCCGAGTAGCTGGGATTACAGGTGTCCACCACAACACCTGGCTAATTTTTGTATTTCAGTAGAGACAGGATTTCACCATGCTGACCAGTGTGGTCTTGAACTCCTGACCTCAAGTGATCTGCCCGCCTCGGCCTCCCAAAGTGCTGAGATTACAGGCATGAGCCACTGCCCCTAGCCGTCCTCAGCCTCTTGAGTAGCTGTCACTACAGGCACGTGCCAACAAGCCCGGCTAATTTTTTCTATTTTTGGTAGACACGGGGCCTCGCTGTGTCTCGAACTCCTGGACTCAAGCAGTCTGTCTGCCTCAGCTTCCTAGAGTGCTGGGATTACAGGCATGAACCACTGCGTCCAGCCTAAATGTGTAGTTCTATGTAGAAGAACAAAGCAGATTGGGCTATGAAGGTTAAACAAAATGAATTATGATGGTGCTGAGAGTCTTCACTCGGCATACTTCCTGCCTTTCCTTGTGGAACTTCTCAGTATGAAAAATAAACAAAATCTCACTCAAGATTTCTTGGTCTCCAGCCCAGTACTCTTCCTAATTTATTGTATTATATTTTTTTTTATCCATGAGGACGTTCACATATGCCATCAAGGGATAGATAAATGTTAGTAAGTCTTGGGAGTCATGAAGTTGCTCTGTTCTGTGAAATCGCATAGAACTGATTTCTTTAGAATTTCTCTTTTGCTAAGTGCCAAGTTCCAGTTCCCATCATTGAAAGACCTAATTGATTTGCTCATTTCTTCCTTCTTTATTTATTCTTTCTTTCCCTCCCTCTCTCCCTCCCTCCCATCTCTCCATCCATCCAATTTTGATTGAATACCTGCCATGCTGGATGTCGAATATGATGGTGAATAAGACAGTTATGGTATCTGCCTACCCTCACAAGGCTTAAATCCCTTAAACCAATGTGAGATAATATGAAGGGATTCTATAAATGATTGTAGACCTATTAATAATACCGTAGGTGTGCCCACTTTGCATCTGTCACCAGCACCATTGTTACCACCTATTTCTAGCAACAGAATAAACCTCCTCTTTTTATTTCAACAAAATCTCAGCGTAAGCTTAGTAAAACTAGGGTGGGTTTAATTGAAGATAAACAGTCTGATTCGTGCCATTCAGCATAAAGTTCCTCTCATGATACCTCTAGGTACCTCCTTATCAGCCCAACTTGAAAGCCACCAACCTTGGCCTCTGCCGTTGGTCTGACATGGTGTCATATTTTGATAATGTATGTAGCTATTCTTCATACACGCTAATGTCTCAGTGGTAAAGACAACTAGGCTAAATGTGTAAATTCAGGCCTCCAGTCCTCATAAACCACAGAAATGGTAACTGGCAGCTTCTTTGTATCTTTTCAGTGTCTAGTTCCAGAGCTCGCTGTCTGTGAGCCACTAGAATGGGACGAGGGAACCCACTTGCTAGGGTTTTCTCCAACTTTATCCCAAAACCTATGTATCTAACCTTATGTGTCCCAGTTGAGATGCCGAAAACAAAATAATAGCAGAAGTGACCCCTTCGTCCCCTGAAAAGGAGACAGGACAAAGAAATGTAAACACATGTTTGATTAGAGTTGTTTCTGCAAAATTTGGTTAACTTGAAATTATTTAATTATGCTTCACTCCCTGTGGGGACAGGGGGAAATTCCCAGCATAATTTGAGACTAGTGGCACTTTTGCTTCTGGCAGATTTAAATGAGGAAAGTGACTGCATGCATGCACATCCGTGGCCACAGTCTTCATCAGCCCCTTTGTTTGATTTCTCTATTTCTCACGGTGGCTCTGCTCCCGTGATGCCTGCGCACGTGATGCAGCGACACTTGCACAGAGCCAGGCCCACTCGTGTTCTCCTTTGAATTGCCGGAAAGCACTCCGGTTGCTTTTGTATGGCCACATAGGAAACAGCCTAATCCTTAGAATAAAATTGATCCCTGGGTTTAGAGCTCAAGTTTTTAAAGTTTTTCTTCCTACATACATTGATTCAGCTGCCTGTGATTCCCTTATTACCCCTCCATCTCGGTGGATGTCTCATTCTACTTCCTCTCCCCTCTGTTCTCTCTTCTCTAGCACTGTTACCCATTTCCTAGTCAACTCAAGGCCAAAAATGAGATTTTTAAAAGCCAGCAGATATTCAGTAAACTGATAAGATATGTAGAAAGGCCAGATATGATGGGAATTGTCTAGTAGACGTATTTTATTTGGCCATCGCAGTGTTTAAAGGATTATTTTCTGGAATTGGGATGACTGGACTTTGCAGGTGCTTGCCCATTTTCCAGTCACCCACCTTTGTTGTCTCTCACACTCTGCTTCACATGTTTACATCACTGGCCTGTCTGTAGAGTCAGTCTGGTCCATTGTTGACTTCCGAGGCTTTTCCAATCTGCTTTCCTTGGGAATGTTTTTTTTTTTTTTTTTTTTTTGGAGATAGAGTCTCACTCTGTCGCCCAGGCTGGAGCGCAACGGTGTGATCTCAGCTCACTGCAACCTCCGCCTCCTGGGTTGAAGCGTTTCTCCTGCCTCCACCTCCCGAGTAACTGGGACTGCAGGTGTGCGCCACCATGCCCAGCTAATTTTGCATTTTTAGTAGAGACAGGCTTTCACCACATTGGTCAGGCTGGTCTCAAACTCCTGACCTCAGGTGATCCACCCACCTCGGCCTCCCGAATTGCTGGGATTATAGGTGTGAACCACCACGCCCGGCCTTCCTTGGGAATCTTTTGCGTGCAATTAGAATTCTAGAGTATTGGCCAGGCACAGTGGCTCACGCCTGTAGTCCCAGCACTTTGGGAGGCCAAGGTTGGCGGATCACGAGGTCAGGAGATGGAGACCATCCTGGCTAACATGGTGAAACCTCGTCTCTATTAAAAATACAAAAAGCCTGGCGTGGTGGCAAGCGCCTGTAGTCCCAGCTACTTGGGAGGCTGAGGCAGGAGAATGGTGTGAACCCGGGAGGTGGAGCTTGCAGTGAGCCGGGATCGCACCACTGCACTCCAGCCTGGGTGACAGAGCAAGACTCCATCTTGAAAAAAAAGAATTCTAGAGTATTATAAAAGACTACTACTATTGCTATTTTGTAGGTGTCCCAATCAAATGAGAGAGATTCTTAAAGCACATGAAAGATATAAATACAGCACTCATTTACAGAAAGCATTTTAGGAAAATTAAGAGTTATAGCTGGGAATGACATGATGCCAACCAATAAATCTTAATAATTGACAAAAGCATTCAGTACACTGTGTATAACTATGTGAATTTTGTTTGGGAAATTGATTCTGGTTTGGAGCTTTAGCTTGTTCATAGGGTTCTTAGAGCTATAGGATGACTTGATAGTGAGGATTTTGTGTCCCTGTTCTCAGGTGTTAGCCTTCCTTTCCAATTCTTATACTTGTTTCCATATTACCTGTTTTACCAAGTACAGCCACACACATCAGTATGGATGGATTTCACAAACATACCAGGAAGAACTAATCATTTGGACTATGGACACGTCTGCCTTTGGGGTTCACCTGACGAATAGTGCTGACATTCTTTTAATAAAATTCTCTCTTTCTCCCCCCGCCCCGCCCCCCAATTTTTCAGCAGATATATGGAGTGATCACTCATTTCAGACTGATCCAGATTTGCCGCCTGGCTGGAAAAGAGTCAGTGACATTGCCGGGACCTATTATTGGCACATCCCAACAGGAACGACTCAGTGGGAACGGCCCGTCTCCATCCCAGCAGATCTCCAGGGTTCTAGGAAAGGGTCACTTAGTTCTGTAACGCCATCTCCCACCCCAGAGAACGAGGTAAAACGGAGTGTCTTTTTACCAGCTTAGTAGAATAGATGTAACTTGTGGTTTCTCTTTACACTGGTTGCTTCTGCCCCAACAGGTCATCAAGGTAAGCTTTTTGATTATTGTGCATGTTGCATTTGAAATCTCAGTAATGCTTCCTCTTAGTAAATAGTGTTAATATCCATCTTTCAGGGATGTTTTTATTTTTTAATGGCTTTTGGTCTCTTGAAACAGCATTCCAGGTACAGAAAGCAAGAGGGGCTGATTAATGAGAAGTGGTTAAGATTCCCTAGGGCTCACTGAGGCAGTACTTTACTCTGCAGGTACCATTGCATGGTGCTGGCTCCATAAAATATTTACACACAGAAGAACATCTCTTGGCCAGACGTATTATAATTACTGCGTATCTTATTAGCCTTGGGCTCGTTTGATAGCGTGGAGGGAATGTCTGCAAGAATAACCCTGAGAGCCCTCAGATGCTTAATTTCTATTTTAAAAAATCTGTTTATTTAGTAGAAGTGACATTATTTTAGAAACGATTAACAGCATAAATTTCTGCTGTCCCTGAGGAAGAAATCTGGATGTTTAAACAAAGAATTGAGGCATTAAAAAAATGTCATTGTGGTGTTTATTAGTATAAGGATCCCCACAGTGAACTTTTGTGAATCCCGAAAGCAAACTGTTCAAGAGAATTAGAGTTGGAGAAGGTCACAATTAAGTAATGACTTCTTTTGACCCCTGACACCCAGGCATTTCTGCCCCTTTCTGACCACAGTCCTTGGTTCTTTGAACAAGCCCATCTTCTTTTGCCTTGAGGCATGAGGGCATTAGAACTACTGTGGAAGCTTCTTTATCTGTTTGCAATAGATATCACCCTTCCTGTTTTTAAAAGTAGACAATGTCTTATTTCCTAAATCTTTGATTATGTACTTGTTCTTCTCTGGGAGGTGGTAAGCCTTATATTCTCATCACATTCCTGCTGTTAGAGGGCTTTGGCCTCTCATTTACCCAGCCTGGACCTCAGATTCTCCAACTTGAAAGTGATGGGCTGGGGCAGCCATACCCTCATTGGTAGGCAAGGACTTTGGTTTACCTGTGCCATGCCGTGGTCATCAGGCACATGCTTCAGGACTGCTGAACCCCATATAGGGCTTTGTTGCTTATCACTGGGCAGTTTTAACAACTTTTTATTGAAGCATAATAATTCCTACTCCCTGGGCAATTTTTGTTCAGCCTTTTGTTCATCTTGCATTAGGTGTGCTGGGGGATAAAGATGAACCAACACCGTCTCAGCCCTCAAGGAGTTTGGTATGGAGAGGAGTCCTCTTCCTGTCCCCACCCAGTTGGATCCTGGGATTCCCCCTGTACCACAGTGGGGGCCTCCTAGAAGCTGAGCCGGCCAGGATCAATCTCTGTTCTCACTAAGGCACAGACGTGCTCTCCCTTTCTTATTTGTACACCTTTTCTCTTGGCATCTCAGTTGGCAAGAATCTTTCTCCATTCCTCTATTCCAAGCCTATAACCATTTTCATTTCCCTATTCCAAACCTTTAGCCATCTTCCCAGCCAGAGAGTGCCCTATAGCCAGAGAACACCAGGGTGTGAAGGCACCATTTGGTGCCAGCATTCATATGTTACAGACAGGGACACTGAGGTTGTAGAGAGGCCAGTGACCGGTGGCAGCTCTGGGCCTAGAGCTCAGAGTTCCTGAATCCTCCCAGATCCTAGGTCAGAGGTCTTCTCACTTAGCTCCCCTGGCTTTGAGATTTCAACCTGCTCTGCTTCCTCACTGTCCCAGATTGGGGAGATTGGACTGACTTTGAGAGACAGTTTTTGTGCCATGAATCTCCAGTCCTCTGCATCTGGCAGTGGTGAAGTCCTTTGTAAAGGCTGCCTGCAGAGGCCCAGGCGGGGGTGTGTGGACTCCAAGGAGGGCATCCTGAGGCTTACGGAGCTCAGAGTTGTATTTCTTTGATTAACACGTTAGCCTTTTGTTTCCGTGATTTGGGCAGAAGTCTTGGGAAGAATGCAGCACAGGTGGGTGCTGGCTCTGGGGAAAACTGCCAGGTAGCAGAGTGCATCTCTCCCCTTCCTGGAGCCCATTTTTGCCTACTCTTTCCCCTCTCTGTGCCTGCATCGTACCCCTTGCTAACTACTGCCCAGGGCCCCTCCCAGGCTCAGAAGGGCACACCCTTGGCACCTCCTGCCCTGGAGTTCAGTGTTCCCCCCCAACAGCCCCGCTGCTCGGCCTCCTCACTGCTCTTAAAAATCTGTTGTGGTTTTCAGGGTATTTTCCTAGACATCATTTCATCTGATCTTCTCAGGAGTCTCCTGAGGCAGAAAAGTCAGCTGGTATGTTCTCCATTTAAGGAAAGAGGTAACTGAGACTCAATGAGTTAAGTGTCCCTCAGCTGGGGTTAGGGTGGGATGTATCCAGTTCCCTGACTCCAGACCCCAGGACTCTAGAGCCCGAGGACTCTGAGAATCTCCACCTTCTATCAGTTCCATTCCTCTCTTCTGCTGCTCACTGTACCATTTGTATTGACAAAGGCTTATCCCTCCGTGGAAGCTGGTTAAAGGTGCATATTTTTAGAAGTTTCAGAGACAGGGACTCATATCCAGCACTCTCAGAAAGCAACAGGGCAAAAGTCTTCAGGCTGACCTTTCAGTTGTTCCCATAATACACGTGTTTCTCCCCCTACATAAGGTCCTCCGTTAAGTCAAAGAACCAAGCAGATTTAAAAGGAAATAAATAAGTCATAGAGGCAAAGAGTTGAGCAGATAGAAGAGGAATAGGAGAACTGGGGAAAAGACTTAGCCTGCCACATACGCTGATGTGCAGACCCTGTCACCAATATTAAACCAGAGGCACTAAGAGAAATCAAATATTTACAGTCCAGCCTAATGCCTTAACTCTTTACTCCCCATAAAACCCTTATGTGGTCAGGTGCTGCAGCTCACGCCTGTAATCCCAGCTCTTTGGGAGGCCTAGGCAGGAGAATCACTTGAGACCAGGAGTTGAGGAGCAGCCTGGACAACATAGCAAGACCCCATCTCTACAAAAAAAAAAAGATTTTAAATTAGCCAGGTGTGGTGGTATGTGCCTGTAGCCCAAGCTACTTAGGAGGCTGAGGCAGGAAGATCACTTGAACCCAGAAATTTGAGGCTGCAGGTGAGCTATGATCACACCATAGCACTCCAGCCTGGATAACAGGGTAAAACCCTGTCTCTTAAAACAAACAAACAAACAAAAAACACACCAAAATCCTTATGTATCTGGTACTATAGTTGTCTTTCTCATTTTACATTTGACACTGAGAGACAGAGAGGTTGAGGAGTTTGGGCAAGACACACAGCTAATACATGGTAGAGTCAAGCTTGAGTTCAGGTCTCCTGGCCCCTATTTCCACCCCGAACTTCACAATATCATATGTCTGGGAGGCTTGGAGACTCTTGAATCCCTTTAACTCACCCTAAGGGAGGCTATGTCACATATGGAGCCTTCTAGAAAATGACCTTTCTTAATATCATTGTCTCAGGTGCTAATGACAGTTGAAGAGAAATGATTATTTTTCTAACACCATTTCTTTGGTTCCTAAATAGAATCTATTTCAACCAATTTCAAAGCATGAGAAGAGAGCAAAATCTTAAGGGACAGAAGAAGCTTGTAATATGTTGTGTTAGAAATGCATATTTTATTCAGCTTTTTTCTGAGCTGGCTTCAAAAAAAAAAAAAGAATCAAATAACTAAGTGCTAAATCTGTTGACTAGGCTTCACAAAAGTTTAGAACTGAAGGCTTCCTTACAGTTTGAAAATTTTACATTTCACATTCCAAAGTTCACTTGGGAGGTGTTAAGCGCAGTGGATAATGTTTCCGCTGCATATGCCAGCAGTATTTTTGAAAGTTTATAAACTGGCCAGGAAGCATTTGCTGCTGAAATTTAGCACGTGGTGCTCCTCCCCGCCCAAACCATTTATTTGTTCCAAATTACCTTGCAGACTGCTTGGATATTGAATTTTAGAGAGAACGGAGAGCCACACAAAATATTTTTATGAATATCCATTGGCTTGTGGCCAAGTCTTCCCATCTTTTCAAATGAAGGTGTTTTGGTCTTCCTACAGAAGAAAGTATGGAGAAGGCGGGTCTGAAGCTCGAGAAAATGAATTGTTGCTCAAACTGTGGTTTCCTCTTGGTCCTAAATCAGCCTGTTCTTATGAAGTGCTCACAGCCTCACGGGCGTCATGAGAGCCTAACCCCCCCAGGAGGGTGCCCAGTGGAATACCTTAAGCCTGTGTATTCTCATATACATGTAGAAATAAGATGACAACATAAAAGGGCCGTTCTGCCGTCATTTTTCTGAACTTCTTCACTCAGTCAAGTAATCATGACATTGAGTGCTGGAAGGAATCTTGGAGCAGGGCCTGTTGAATGTGCAGGCCGTATTTCTCAGCCAGTGAGCCGAGGAATGGTGCCAGGAGAACCTCTGGGGATCACAGAATGGGATGGGGCCTGGGAACCTTTGCATAAGCTCTCCAAGTGATTTACGCTGAGTAAGTAGGACAGCAGGTCCTCTAATGACTATAGCCTCCCTATTTTTATTTGCATGTCCCTTCCTCAAAAATTATTTGGCCTCACCCCATTGTCTCCCCAGAGCTACTGCTCTTACCCCATTGCTTTGAAAGCCCTGTATTCTATCATGTCCCATTGTAGTGTTGTTACCTGTGGTATGTCACTTTCCCACTAGGAAGCTCCTTGGTGGCCGGGACCTGTTCTCCTCATCCTGTGCACAGGGCCCAGTACATGACGACATTCATTAACTATTTGCTGAATGAAAAAATAAATCAGCTGCATAGCCAAGGAAGCTGTTAGTTGATCTGTTGCAATGACAAAGCCAGCCCTAGAGCCCTCATTCTCCTGGCCCCCTCTACATTGTAGTTTCTGCATTGCACTGCTGCTCACAGAGACTGATTTAATTGCACAAACCAGTTTACTAGTTTGATTTTTTTTTAACTTCTCTGAATTATGTTTGTGTGATTAAACCATAATGCTGTAATCTTCTGATAGGGTGGGCAGATGGCTTGAGCCCAGGACTTTCTCTACTAAAAATACAAAATTTAGCTGGCATGGTGATGCATGCCCTGTAGTCCCAGCAACTTGAGAGGCTGAGGTGAGAGGATCAGTTGAGCTCAGGAGGTGGAGGTTGCAGTGAGATCATGCCACTGCACTCCAGCCTTGGTGACAGAGCAAGGCCCTGTCTTAAAAAGAAAGAAAAACTGTACACATATAAATTGATAAAACACTCACTGACATTGCCTGCCGTAGTCCTTGGAATTCCAGGTTTTCTGCCATTTACTATCAAGGCCACACTTAATCAAGGGTCAAGCCTTGACAAAATGGCATTGAGAGACATGATTCGTAACCCTTTGTATTCCCCAAACTGCTTTTTCTTTCGTGGAAAGACTAGATCGTAAGGAAACTCATTTGCAGGGCACCCTCGGGCAGCCAGTCCCTGTGCTAAGAGCTAACATTCTGAATCTCACTTTGTCTGCACATTGATGGGAGGCCTTCTTAGTCCTGTTTGATATGGGAGGGAGTTGAGGTCAAAGAGCAAGTAAGAACAGAGGCAGAATTTGAACCCCAGCATTCCAGCAGGCAATGTGTCTTTATTCATTTTCTGATGCTTATAACAGAATACCTGAAACTGGGTAATTTATAAAGATAAGGAATGTATTTCTTATGGTTATAGAGGCTGAAAAGTCCAAGGCCGAGAGACTGCATCTGATGAGGGCCTTCTTCCTGGTGGGGACTCTCTGCAGAGCCCTGAGTGGGTGCAGGGCATGACATGGTGAGAGAGCTGAGCATGCCAGCTCAGGTCTCTCTTCCTCTTCTGATAAAGCCACCAGTCCCACTCTCATGATAACCCATGAATCCATGGGTGAATTAATCCACTCATGAGGGCAGCGCCTCTTAAAGGCCCCACCTCTGAATACTGCAACATTGGTGTTTAAATTTCGATGCGAGTTTTGTAGTGGACAGACATTCAAACCATTGCATTGTATTAGCTTCAGAACTTCTCAAGTGCACACAGAGATGATATGATTTTAGCTTCTGTCACTGCCACTGTGGAATGTTTTAGTGCTTTTCCTCTCTACCCAGTTCTCAGCAGGTTCAACCCTCCACTCTTGCCCCCTGCTTTGCATTTTGCTACCACTTCGTAGAGATTTTCTTAGCATTGTAGAGAAAGTCCCCTGGTAGGGACATACCCAGCCCCTGAGACTTAGTCTTTAAGAGCACTCTGTTGATATTGTCAAAGAATCAACTCCATTGTTGGCCTTTTTCCAGCTGAAAGATAATGCGTCATTTTTGTTTGCTATGTGGAATTGCTTTCCAAGACCCCAGAAGAGAAACATGGAAGAAGAAAACTCTCAGTAGTCAAGGTTATATGATCGGATTCCCTCCTTACTGGGTCCAGCCTCACACAGCTTCCGTGTGGTGCTCAAGGGTTTTGAGGAGTGCCATACCCCGGGCATTGGGTCAGTCCCCCTAGACACACTGTCTCTGAGGAGCTAAGGCTCCAAGGCTCTCCCAGAACTGAGCAGGATCAAGTAATCAGAGAAAGGGAGGTTGCAGCCTGGACAAGGTCAGGACAAGCACCAGGAGGGTGTCCCAGCTATGACTGTGGTACCAGAATGTCACTCAGCTGTGCAAGGCTTTAGCTGCATTGCCTGGAGGGTTACCAGGCTCATGGAAGCTTGTTGCTCATAGAAGATGGTCCCTGTTGGTCCGTTACCACCTCTTTCCCCATCTTTGTGTTTGTCTTACCTGAGGCATATTGTCCAACTTGCTTTTTCCCCTTTTAATGTTTTTCTCTTTGTCTCTCCTCTTCCTCCTTCATCTCTCCCACCCCTACGGGGGTGGATACAGACTTTCTGTAGAACCAAAGAATCTCTGTTGGGTTGTGCTTTTTTAAAAATTTGTTAACTAAAAATTATTAGCAAAACTTATTAGCCAAATATAGAAAATATTCTCTCTTCTTAATTAAAAAAGTTAGATGAATAGACCATGTAATTCTTAAAATTTAAGACAAAGTGACTTTGTCTTTCATTGACTTTAATTTTTTAAAAAAGAAAAATTATGGTCACTTATACATTGGAGAAAGTTTGTCATATTTGATGTAAATGAATAGTTGTAAATATAGGAGGGGAAAAAAGATCTTTGGCCCAGTCATAACACATATAATGCCAGTTTCCATTTCCTTACTGAGTTTTGTGCTAAAGGATTTCCTTAAGAGTGCCCGTGTTAAGTTTTTGTAAAATCACTATACAGAGCCTTTGTTTATTTAAATCTGTAAAAGGTGATTGTTGGACATTTGCCATCTAACTCATGTTTCCATAACATGAGAGCTGGATTCTGACAGTCTTAATACTGTTTTTAGCTTTTGCTTTACAGATACCCTTATGTCCAAAGAGTAAATGCATTAAAAATTTTAAAAACCACACACACGCAGAGAACTGTTTTAATTAGGTACTGAAGACTTTTCTGAGTACTTGTTTTAGAAAATACTCTTCTTTTACTTTCTGTAGCCTCAACATATAGGGTCCCTTGGGGATAATTTCTGAAATTCTTTTTGTGAGGTAACTTTGTTTTTCTTGTTTCTTTATAAATTTCTCCACAAAGACACAATTATCTTGGGTCTTCCTAATTCATCATCTGATTATCCTTTTTTAAAGTTCAACTTAACAACAAATATTGCTCACATGTAAACAGTGATGACAATTTGAGGCCATATAAGCTTGTTTTCTTTTTGAAAAAGAAATTCTAGCTTAAAATTTTATTTTGTACTTGATATTTCAGGTCCTCATCTCACATCCATATTAGTAGCCCTACAGTGGTCCAAACCGAAATTGGTCACTGGCCCATCTGGAAATATGAGAAAAATTGGGCATCTTTCTCTCAGGAAAATGTACATGTACAAAACCCCGCACCCATTTCAGGGGTTCATAGCTCCTCCGAGCTAACAGGTTAAGATTGCCCTAGGTTATTAATTTTCTCTTCATAAAGACTGAACACTGCTTCTGGGGGTAGAGTGAGGGGAAAGGTAAGGGATTGGGCAACATTCCTGCCCTTTATTCATTAAGAGAAATTATTTTTTAAAAGTAAATATAGTGGTCTAAGTTCCCATTTTATTTTGAAAAGCTGCAGTTTAGGTGCCTAGACCAAAAATGAAAATGACACCACATGTGCAATAGTAATAATGGGTCTAAATTTGAAGTGTCTTTGCTCTCAGAGAGGCTTGCAGAGTTTGGTAAGTGCATGTTGCACCAGGCGCCATGGCTTACGCCTGTAATCCCAGCACTTTGGAAGGCCTAAGTGGGAGGATCACTTGAGCTCAGGAGTTCAAGACCAGCCTGGGTAGCATAATGGAACCCCCATCTCAACAAAAAAGTTTTAAAAAATTAGCCAGGTGTAGTAGCATGCACCTGAATAGTCCCAGCTACTCAGGAGGCCAAGGCAGGAGGATTGCTTGAGCCAGGAGGTCAAGGCTACAGTGAGCTGTGATTGGGCCACTGCACTCCAGCCTGGGTGACAGAGTGAGACCCTGTCTCAAAAAAATTTTTAAACAAAATAAATGCATCTTTCGACGCACAAGACATTTAAGCTTAGTTTTTTTCTGCTTTTAGTGGTTTTTAAAACTGTATCAATGTTGTGAGTAAAAGTTATGGGTCATTATTCACTTCTCATTTTCAAAGAACTTCAGTTGAAAAGTGATTTAGCTGAAAAGTTTTGATGGTTGATTTCTTATACAAACAGATTTGCCTAACCAGTCAGTAAAGCAATTCACAAGACTGTCCCTGAGTTTTATTAGCCTTGCTTGCTTATTTCCCCAAATCTTAGATGAAAAATACTTGAATATTCACTAGGCCTAGTAGAAAGAAAAGACATTTTCTCATTGTCTGAGGTGGATGGAGCAGTTGTTTAGATTTGGAAATCAGTTATTGCAAGAGCTCTCGCAACAAAGCCAGGCTTCATGCCTTGCACTATAATTACGTTTAGAAAATCATTTCATGATCAAGTATTAATTTGTGAAGAAGCTTTTGAAGCAAAAAAAAAAAAGTAGAGCTTTTATGAATTAGAGAAATTTATGTTAGACTGTTTAGAGTTGTTTTTTGTTAGGTTAAATTTCCGCCAAGTGTTGATGTCAGTCTGTGTTCTTCACTAACCCTCTCTCCCCATCATTCTCCTTTTTTTCTTTTAAGTGAAAATATCTTGACCCCCAACTTTTGGGGCCCTCAGCCATGGGCATTCCCTAGTTTCCAAACAAACACGGTACCCGTCCCTCATTCCACCCCCACCACCAGAAAACAGTTCTGTTTGGTTTATAGGGAGGAAAATGATTATTATGGAATTAGGTATGCTAGTTATTGAATACTTGGAATTATATTGTTTGCTTTTAAAATTACCTTAAGGAAATAACTTCACTGTCTGCTTCTAATAATGTTTAGTCATTTATTTGGTAAGTAATTAAAGCACCATCACTCTCCTGCCCTCGTCTTCAGGTGATAATCTAGACATAGAGGGAGTGAGCCAACAAGTTGCTGTTAGAGTTAACTTGTTCCCTAACCCATCTTGTGAATATCAATGCTAACAACAGTGTCTTGTGTTTTTTTTTTTTCTTTTCTTTTCTTTTTCTTTAAATCAATGTGCTTTTTTCCTATGTGAATAATTATATGTCTAGAAACAGCCATGGAGTGATTTTGCTGTTCTGAATGGGGGAAAGATTAATAGTGACATTTGGAAGGCAAGTATATTGTCAGATCTTAGATCATTTAATATTTTATCCTTTCTGCATGGCTGTGGCTGTATATTTTTCTTCTTTGTGAATATCATGCATTCTGCAGGGACACAGTGATCGGGCTTCTTGCTAGGGGCATTCAGCTCACACTCCTGTTGCCTTTTTTTGGTGTCTCCCATTGTGAATGCCCTAGGTTCCCCGTTGTTTTGTAAGAACAGGAGTTTGCACCAGTCAGCATTCAACAGTCCTTGCATGCCTTTCTCTGCCTAAGCTCACGTACACTCTCTGCCTCTTGCTGGGAAGACGTTTCTCCCCTTTGATATTTGAGGCAATGAATGGTCTTCTCCCCCATTGTACATTAACAAGGTTCTATTTTCCTCTAGGATTTGCATGCAGCCACTGTTAACCCGGACCCCAGTTTAAAAGAGTTTGAAGGAGCAACCCTACGCTATGCATCTTTGAAACTCAGGTAGGACATTAGTAGGATCGACCTGCTGTCAATGTATGGCTTTGTGCAGATAGTTTGCAATAGAATTCTAAGTCCACTTTTCTGTTTTTCTGCCTAGAAATGCCCCACACCCTGATGATGATGATTCTTGTAGTATCAACAGTGACCCAGAAGCCAAGGTTTGTAAAGACTTGCTTTCAGCCACCAGGTTATATTCTTAGATCCAAATAATGACTTTGGATCATTGTCCAGTTTTTACAAACCATCAACCCAGAGCCATTTAATAAGTAATTATCCCTCAATTTTCTCTTTCCTAATCTCCCTGACACTTGAAGAAAACCCCTAGGCTAAGTTAGGTTTGGGGGGATTTCTAGAACCATCAAGACTCTGCCTGTATCTCACTACGTCAGCTCTTTGCACAATGTAATAAATTACCATTATTGTTCAAATGGGTGGGCTTTAGAAGTCTTTAAAGATACACCAGGCTCTGCCTTGCAAAGCAATGGGAGAGGAAGCTAAACAGGTAGGGTGTGAGACCCCTCCCACCTACCGCCACCAGAGCAGCCTCATATCTGTGCAAGGTGAAATCTCTTTGCCATTCCTGTCATAAACACAGATTGGATAATTAGGTTTTATGATGGAAAACTGGGGGCAGTTGGGGCAAACTTGTGTCCATTTTGTTTCTGGACTTCTGGTAGGTTGCTAACAGAGCCAGCTTTCTGGGCATGTGGCCAGTGCAGCTGCACAGGCCCCACAATGAGAAGGCCCCTGTGTGTGGGGATGAATGCTTCAAGGTTGCTGTCAGGAAATTCTTAATCTTTGAATTTGTATCTTATAAGTCAAGTCCAATGGAATGTCCATGAGAGGGCTGGGCTTTGGATTGCACACAGTCCTGCCACCTCCCAGCGTCCCTGTGCGGTTCTCACCTTCTGGCCCCCCGGCATCTCAGGCCCTGCCAGACCTCCCTATCTCCCTCCCTACGTAGAGACTTCTACTGCCCTCTACCGCGGAAGAGACATGGGTGTGAGCACGGGAGGGTTGGGGTCAAGTGCACACTCCCTGGGTATCTTGGGATTGGAGCGTGGTGGTGACCAGCCCAGTCTGGGCTGGCAACACTGCTGTGTGTTCCACAGGCGACTCAGTGGGGGTGAGCCTCTTGCCTACCCGCAGTCCAGGCACCTAGCATGTCCCAACACTGATGTTGCAATACATTTATGGGCCACCCATCTGCTGTGGGTTGAGATTGTGGGGCCATGGGAAGAGAGGGTTCCTGGCTTGATTTACCCGCCCCTGATCAGTGCATGGTGCATCTGTCCAGCAGCTGATGGGAGAGGGTACCCAGAAGCCAATGGTCTGTGTGCAGGTACCAAGATATGGACAGGGCCCTGAGTGTTTGTAAGGGTTTGCACTTACAAGTATCCCCATGCCTGAGGGATTGTAACATTAAATAGCAATTAAAAAACACATTAACGGCCAGATGTGGTGCCTTACGCCTGTAATCCCAGCACTTTTGGAGGCCGAGGGCGGCGGATCACCTGAGGTCAGGAGTTCAAGCCCAGACTGGCCAACATGGTGAAACCCCGTCTCTACTAAAAATACAAAAATTAGCCAGGCTTGTTGGCACATGCCTGTAATCCCAGCTACTCAGCAGGCTGAGGCAGGAGAATCACTTGAACCCAGGAGGCAGAGGTTGCAGTGAGCTGAGATCGCGCCACTGCACTCCAGCCTGGGTGACAGAGCGAGACTCCATCTCGAAACAAAACAAAACAAAACATCTTAACAAGCCAAGAGAAAGCATACGGAAGAAAGGAAAAACTTTTATGTTTTATTATTGTTTGTAGCGTCTTCCCCCTGCTTTTTGAACGGGGCGGGGGCTTGCATTTTCGTTTTGCATTTTTCATTTACAAGTTATGCATCTGATCTTCGGTGCTAACAACCATGGAATTCCACCTTGTCTACTTCAGCACCTTCCCCTCCCCTCCCCTTCACCCTCCTGTGCCATGGAGAGAGAAAGAATCTTCCCAGATTCTTTTTTATTTGTTCTGAATCCCAAAGCAGATCTGTGTCTACAAGTAACATCGCAAATAGGTTTTCTTAGTAGCACTTAAGAGGGGAACACCATACAGGTTCAAAACCTTGACTCCTTTGCCAGAAACTGCCATATTGCCAGTTGGTTCTGTAAGTATCTTAGGGCTTGCAGTGAAATCTGTGCTGCTTCTGGTCAAGTCAGCTTTGTTCTGAGCACAGCCAGTAATATCATGGCCACTCTAGAGCCAGTGGCATTCTGAACAAGTCCTTGGGCTGCTTCTAACATTGCTGGTCTTTAAAGATAAATTTTATGGTAAGGAACGCAGGTTGTGAACAATTTGCTTTGCTACTTGATGTTTTACAAATTCTATCAGCAAAGGCTGGAAGAGGAGCAGTGAATATCTCTGTCCACCACTAAGGGCTGGGGCAGTGATGTATGTGGAGCCAGGGTGTGAAATTGACAAGAGGGAAAGCATGGAATGGAGATGGAATTGTAATAGGAATAGGAGGACTGGTTCCATTAAATCCAAGTCAGTGGGTTGGGCTTTCTCTTTTTCCCTTCCGGCTGTGTTGCTTACTGAATTCTTTATCTGCCACCTTTTTATTGCCAGCATGTCTATTTCAATGCCTGTTATGAGTCTGTTCACGTTAGTAAGGAAGCTCAGCTTTGTCTTACGTTCCTAAAGCTGTGCTTAGTTTTAAACAACAACAAAAAATACATGCATTGTATTATTCATCTGTGTCTTACTTTGTTCCATAGAAGATGTGAGGAGACTTCTAAGAACAAACACTTTAAAAAAAAAAAAAGGGCACAGAAAATATAAGAGAATAATCAGTGCATCAGTCTGGGCTGGAATAATATAGAGAGTAAGGAAAGATCAGCCTAGGGAGAATGAAAAACCTACAGCTTTTCAGATCTCAAGATTTGCACAGCTGCTAACATGGACCTGCAGGTGGGGTTTTCTGTGTGTGCCTCCTGGTGATTATTTAACCTGAGGATTTTTAGCATGAATGGAATGAATGCCTAGAAGGGCTCATCAGAATCTTGAAAGGACTTTTGCAAGCTGGTACAGTGGCTTGTGCCTGTAATCTCAGCACTTCGAGAGCCCAGGAGTTTGAGACCAGCCTAGCAACATAGCAAGACCTTGTCGCTACAAAAAAATAAAAAAATAGCTGGGTGTGGTGTCCCATGCCTGTGGTCCCAGCTACCTGGGAGACCGAGGTGGGAGGAGCCTGGGAGGTAAAGGCCGCAGTGAGCCATAATCGAGGCACTGCTGTCCATGAGAAGTCCATGAGTTCAGAGCTGACTTCAGTGAAGACACATTGGAGGAGCTTCCATCCCCTATCGGAGTCATTCCTGCCTGTTTTGTGTTGCCTGGGGGCCAGAGCCAGCACCTCAGAGGGAGGAGTGGCAAGACCTAGGCTTTCTGGATGTTCCAGTGCCTTTGTAGAATAAGTTACTCACCTTACATGACCCTTTACATTCTTGCAGTCCACCAAGAACCAAGGAACCAAGTGGTCCCCTCCCCCGAAAAATCCTGACTTTAAAAATAATATTTGGGCTGGGCACAGTGGCTCATGCCTGTAATCCCAGCAGTTTGGGAGGGTAAGGCAGGCAGATCAAGAGGTCAAGAGATCGAGACCATCTGGGCTAACACAGTGAAACCCCGTCTCTACTAAAAATACAGAAAATTAGCTGGGCATGGTGGTGGGCGCCTGTAGTCCCAGGTACTCAGGAGGCTGAGGCAGGAGAATGGTGTCAACCCTGGAGGCGGAGCTTGCAGTGAGCCGAGATTGTGCCACTGCACTCCAGCCTGGGCGACAGAGCGAGACTCCGTCTCAAAAAATAAATAAATAAATAAAAATAATATTTGATATACTATGGAATTCTAAATATAGTCTGTGAGGAATGATTACTTAAAAGTTATTATAGAAAATATCTTCCTTACTCCCTACTTAAAACTTACATGCTGAAAAAAATAAAAATTATTTTTAGACTGTCAGGATGGGGACACTTCCAAATCCTCTTCAGCTACTACTCTGAATCTGGGCACCTTAATCAGTTGTTCAGTGAAACCTCTAAATAGCAATGGCAACACAAAATCACCACACACATACACACGCATACGCGCACGCGCACGCGCGCGCGCGCGCGCGCACACACACACACACACACACACACACACTTCCCCAAAGAGCAAAGTCTTTTTCTAACTCTGAAAATGTTTTTTGAACCTACCAAAATTTTTATGCAGTAAAGTCTTTGTACTTGATAGCCATATATGTGTGTTTGTATATAATTCTGAGTCTCCTGTTTAACTTTTTATTTTGAAATAATTACAGATTTGTAGAAAAGTTGCAAATATTGAGTTCTCCTAGACCCCTTCACCTAACTTTCCCTAATATTAACTTCTTCATAATCATGGTACATCGGTCAAAACTAAGACATTAATATTGATATCATATTATTTGCTATAAACTTTATTCACATTTTCTCATTTTTTCCACTAATAACCTTAATCTGTTCCAGGACCCAGCCTAGGAGACTGTGTTGCATGTAGTGAGCTCTTGAAAAATTATTTCACATGCTCCTCTGTGTAGTCCTCGGCCTGGTCACTCCTAATTCCATGGTAATATTTCATTTAATTAATAGCACCGTAATCTGTCTAGGCACCAGTATCCATAGGAGGAGTTTTTCCCCCACTACAGAGCAGAGCTACAACTTCATAAAAATAGGTGACTTCTTTTTCTTTTAAATTATTGCTTTGGTATAGGTTGCTAAAACTGGTATTACTGGGGCAAAGGCTATCGGTTTTATTGCTTCTGTCACTTATTGCAAAATTACTTTCCAGAAAGCCTGCAGCAGCATATAATCCCATCAGTAATATCCTAGAGTACTCCTCTTTGTCCACGTATCAGTTCACTCTAGGCTTTGTCATTTGTATTTATTCATCTTAGTTTATTGTGTGTGAGCTACTACCCCCTAGTTTTAAAATTTCCCCTTATTGGCCCAGTGCGGTGGCTCACGGCCTGTAATCCCAGCACTCTGGGAGGCCACGGCGGGTGGATCACGAGGTCAGGAGATCGAGACCATCCTGGCTAACATGGTGAAACCCCATCTCTACTAAAAATACAAACAATTAGCTGGGCATGGTGGTGGGTGCCTGTAGTGCCAGCTACTTGGGAGGCTGAGGCAGGAGAATGGCATGAACCCAGGAGACAGAGCTTGCAGTGGGCTGAGATCGCATCAGCCTGGGCGACAGAGCAAGGACTCTGTCTCAAAAATAAATAAATAAATAATTTCCCCTTATTAAATTATCATAGACACAGGACATTTCCTCTGAAACTCTCTTTCTTTCCATTCCTGGCTGTTTTTTCCTCTTATTTTTCTATGCACTTTAAAAGTAAATTTTTATTCAGAAATAATTTTAGATTTACAGCAAAGTTACAAAGATAGTACAGAGTTCTCATAGCCCCTTCTCCAGATCGCCGTCATGTTGTATCCTACAGAATCACAGTACAAACAAAGAAATTAACATCAATAGAAAATTATTAATAAACACTGTATTCTGATTTTTAATAAACACTGTATTCTGATTTTACCAGTTTTTCTTCTAATGCCCTTCTCTGTTCCAGGATCTAATCTAGGATGCCATATTGCATTTTAGTCTCTATGCATGTATTCATTCGTTCGTTCATTCATTCATTCATTCGTTCATTTTGAGACGGGAGCTCACTCTGTCATCCAGGCTGGAGTGCAGTGGTGCGATCTCGGCTCACTGCAACCGCCGCCTTCTGGGTTCAAGTGACTCTCCTGCCCCTGCCTGCCGAGTAGCTGGGATTAGAGGTGTACACCACCACACCCAGCTAATTTTTTTATTTTTAGTAGAGACAGGGTTTCACCATGTTGGCCAGGCTGACCTCGAATTCTGATCTCAAGTGATCTATCCGCCTTGGCCTCTCAAAGTGCTGGGATTACAGGCATGAGCCACTGCACCTGGCCACATTTTTTTTAAAATTATTTATTTGAGACAGAGTGTCGCTCTTCTTGCCCAGGCTGGAGTGCAGTGGTGCAATCTCAGCTCACTGCAACCTCTGCCTCCTGGTTCAATCGATTCTCCTGCCTCAGCCTCCCAAGTAGCTGGGATTACAGGCATGTGTCAACACACCTGGCTGATTGTGTGTGTGTGTGTGTGTGTGTGTGTGTGTGTGTGTGTGTTTTCTTTAGTAGAGATGTTGTTTCATCATGTTGGTCATGCTGGTCTTGAACTCCTGACCTCAGGCGATCCCACTGCCTCGGCCTCCCAAAGTGCTGGGATTACAGGCATGAGCCACTGCGCCCAGTCCCCTTAACTTCAGAACTATCTGCTTCTGTAATCTTAGACATTTTCTTCAGTCAGTTCTTTTTCTATTTTACGCCACTTTTCCATGGAAAATGTTTTAAAACTTTCTATATCCAAGGCTTTTGTAGATGATTGCCCTTCAGGCCGCATTTGTTAAGAAGACAACTCCTTGGCACGTTTTAGGCGGCCAGGTAGCTTGCACTTCTCAATCCCCATCACCCGCTGTGCTCATGTTACTTTAATATCTTAGATTTGGAATTTAGCCCTTTTCCCGTGGCACATGGCTGACCAAATTCTTGATTAACATTCAAATAAAAACCAGTTACAATCAAATTGTAGAAAACTTAATGCTTTGAAATATATATACCGTTTTGTCAGAGTTCTTTTCTGTCCTTTGTGTAACTCCGCTCAGACTTCTGTAAAGGAGATGTTCTGCCACCTGGTGGACAATATTGAAAATTACATCTTTAAAGAAGAGGGGCTGGGCGCGGTGGCTCATGCTTTAAGTAATCCCAGCACCTAGGGAGGCTCAGGCAGGCAGATCTCTTGAGCCCAGGAGTTCGAGACCAGCCTGGGCAACATGGTGAAACCCTGTCTCTACAAAAAATGCAAATATTAGCCTAACGTGGTGGCATGCGTCTGTAGTCCCAGCTACTCGGGAGGCTGAGGTGGGAAGATCACTCGAGCCCAAGGAGGTCGAGGCTACAGTGAGCCATGATCGGCCACTGCACTTCAGCCTGGGTGACAGAGTGAGACCCTGTCTCTAAAAAAAAGAGGGGCAACATTTCATCTGGAATCAGAATTTCTTTTGCTTGGAAGTAACATTAGAGCCCATCTAATGGGCCTTTATTTTAGAGGTGAGAAAAATGAGTCATAGAGTTATTTGTGATAACAACTAGTTCTTGGTGGAGATGGCATTTGAAGATGGGTCTTCTGGGCCTCTGACCGCTCCATCCTGCTGTCTCTGTCTCAGTGTATAACACGTCATTTTCAATATATTTGTCAGGAGAGGTTTTTGGTACTGTTTTTAGAACCTTGTTCTTTGAAACACATAATTAAGGAAACGGGTAAGGAAGATTGTGCTGCCCCAGAGATTAAATTTTCTGGGTTTCAGCGTCCTCATCTTTCAAATGAATGTGTCATCAAATTAGAAGTCATTTCAGGTTCTGAGAAAATTTCAGATTTCAAATGAAATGTAGTAGCCCTGATCTGTGGCATCTGGAGATGAAATAGTCTGATCTGTATTTAAGTCTGGAGAAGGAAAGAGAGAGCGCCATGAACCAGGGCTGGCTCTTCTTTCCTGAACACTCACTGTGTGTGTGCCCTCCCCTCTGCCAGGCACTTACGTGCAATTTTCCTGCAAAAACAAGGCATTATAGTTATGTTTCCATATTGTAGATAAGAAACCGATGCTTAGAAGACGTCAATTTATCACACAGCTAGTAACTAATGGAACAGGGACTCAAACACAGATGCATTTGATTCCAAAGGCCAGGAAAGTGTCACGCCCACCTGTTCCCAGTTATCGCTTCTCTCAGCTTTAAGATCATTTTGGGGCCAGGCGTGGCGGATCACCTGAGGTCAAGATTTCGAGACTAGCCTGGCCAACATGACGGAACTCTTGTACCTACTAAAGACACAAAAATTAGCTGGGCGTGGTGGCACATGCCTGTCATCCCAGCTGCTTGGGAGGCTGAGGCAGGAGAATTGCTTGACCCTGGCAGGCGGAGGCAGAGGTTGCAGTGAACCAAGATCGCGCCACCGCATGCCAGCCTGGGCAACAGAGCAAGACTCCATCTCAAAAAAAAAAAAATCATTTTGGCAATTTGGGATTGGAGTAGCAGAGTTGTTGGAGGTGGGAATGGGTGAAGGAATTGGAAGGTCAGTGCTTGAGGACAGACTCCTTCTCACCCTCATCCAGACTTGTGGTCCAATCCTTTGCGGTGCTTTTCACACGTTACTGTACCTGTGGGCAAATTCTGATTCATTTGCTCTGGGGTGGGACATGAAATTGCATTTCTGTTAAGTTTGCAGGTGATACCAATACTGCCAGTCTACAAACAACACAGAGTAATAACATTATACAGTTGGAAACATGATAAAAAGAAGGCACCAATTTTGTGCAGCTTCTGCAGCGAAGTAGACATAGTCTTTCTATGCAGTATCTTCTAGTTCTTTTATGGCCATTTGCAACCAGTTCGCAGCTGCTCAGGAACTTTTTTTATTGGCACTGGATTTTGTGAAAGCTTTGTGTGCCTCCTTACTCTTTTGTTATAACTTACCTCAGATGGAGAGGAAGAGGAAGGAGATGAAACAAACCATCGGGTAGTAGGTTTGACGGAGCTTTCTGAACTGAATGGCGAATGGACATGAGATTCCAATATTCATCTGTGAGCTTTATTTATCTGTGCCCTCCCTTGGTTCCTATTAGCATAGATTTTCATGAAGTAATTATATTAGCAGCTACTGACTAGATTAGCACTAATAGATAAGCAGGAAGTAGTAGGGAAGTACCTTTTCTCATTCAGATTTATTTCTGGTCTGTGTAGCAAATTCATTGTCATTACTTAGCATTTATATGGGATGTTACAGCTGCATGTAGTTCTTATAATTGATTTTTATTCACGTGGTACAGGTTTCTTTCAGAAATCCTGATCTGTGTGGAAGTTTGGGTTTGATTTGCACTGTTGATTCATTCATTGAGTCAGAGACGTTTATTGAATGCTAAGTGCGAAAGGAGCATACATACTTAATGTATGGTGTGGTTAAGAGCATGGACTCTGGACCCAGACTGCCCGGGTTTAAAGCCAGGCTCTGCTGCTTACCAGCTGGATGACCTTGGGCAAGTTACCTACCCCCTCTGTGCCTCAGTTTCTTCATCTGCAAAATGAGGGTAATGATGGAGCCAACCTCACATGGCTGTTATAAACATTGAATTGACATACTATAAACACTATAAATATACATGTAAAGGTCTTGGAACAGTCCTTAGCACATAATAAGCATTCTTTATGCATTCGCCATTATACTGTTCCTACTACCAGAAGGAATGGATATGGCCCCTGCCTTCAAGTAATGGAGAAGAAACAAGCAAATTCAATGCACTGTACCAGGAGCTGAGCTACTGAGTCACGAATGGGGGTTGTTCCGGGGGCATATTCCATGGCTGGTTGAAAGGGGTGGCTCGGGTGGTTTCCCAGAAGGAGACGATACCTTAGCTAATAAGTATATTTGAATTGTCACTGGAGTTAGTGATTCCCTCTCCCCCCGCCACCATACTTTTCAAAAAATGTAAGTGTGGAAGCTTTGAAAATGATTTGATATGTAAATTTGTGTTCATTTTCAGCAAATGCTTTTAGGAACAGATCTGTTAAGATGAGGTCCATCTGTATTTGCCCAATACTGTGGATAACATTGTTTCTGTTATCTGTTCCTGCGTGCTATGTAGCAAACTGCACCAAAACTTCGTAGCTTAAAACAATTATTTATTTTGCTCAGGATTTAGTGGGTTCCAGAGTCTGGGGAGGGTTTGGCGGTGCAGTTCCTGCCTGATCCACATGGGGGCGGCCGGAGCTGGAGGATCCTCTTCAAAGATGGCTTCTTCTCCAACCTGCTTCCTGGCTCAGTGCTCCTCCTCACGTCCTCCAGGGCCTCTCCATGTGGCTTGGTCTTCTCATGGTGTGGTCTCTGGGTAGGCAGTTGTACTTTTTACCTGGTGTCCAGCTTCTAAGAAGCAGGAAGGTGAAGCCACCAGGTGAGGAAAGGCTCTTCTTGGCAATGGCAGCATGTCACTTCCACCGTATTCTGTTGTTCAGAGTTGTCAGACTCCACTTCTTGATGAGACGTGGCAAGTTCACGTTACAAGGAGCGCATAGGACGGGAGGTTTTAATGCAGCCATCTTTGGGAGGTACAATCTGCCAAACATGTCATTCCCACATTTCAGTCATTCAAAATTAGTGCCTTCAGTACAGGGCAGAAAATAGCAACATGGTTGAATCACGAAACCAAGGTCCAGAGCCAGTGATGGATATATCAAGTCCTGGCTGAATGAGATTCAGCCTCTCATGCATGGCTTTTAGGTTGGCATTCACAAGGGGAAAATAAGGATCATCTCATTCCAGCCTTAGGAAAAGCAGAAGGCGCAGAGAAAGTAACCTGCCCAAGCTTGCACAGCTGGTCGTGGCAGAGCAGGACCCGAAGCCAGGCTCCCTGACCCTTGTCCATCCTGCTTTTCCGTTGAGTGGTGCAGACACTCACTGCCATTGGCCTTGGCTGCTCATTTTGCCTCCTATCCCGGAGGACAGCTTTTGTGTTTCTAAAACTGTTTTCCTCCCTTTATTTGCCAACTCGGCCAAGCATAATGCCGTGTTCCTGGCAGAAGCACGGTGTTATTTCCCTTATTAACTTCTGGTCACTACACTTGCCTGAATGAGCGGTCGAGGAATTGGCAGCCGTGTGTGAGTCCCCGAGTTTTGAAGGGTGCTGTTGAAACAAGATGCATTGTTGTCTAACTCTTGGCAGCTGCGCCCTCTGATGGGCAGATGCCTGGAAAAGCTAATGAAGGAAAGGCAGACTTCCCTCTTCCCCTGAAGGAATGAGGTAGGAAACAGGTGAGGAAATGGGCACCAGCCAGCCGCGGTGGCAGCAGCCGCCATCCTGATGGCACCAGAGCGGCAGGTGTGTGAACCTGGCCTGGTGGGTTCTTGGCACAGAATTTTGGGCCATGAATAATCACAGAACTGAACAGCCTCGGGCAGGAGTAGCCATGGGACATCCATTCAGCAGGTCTGGGTGCTCCAGGAAGGCCAGCTGGTCGAGACCTGGGGGTCCTGAAGCTGGCATTCCAAGGCCATCTGGAAAAGAGCCAGCACGTCTCAGAACTTGTTCTCTCAGGCTTGCTGCCTGAGAGCTTAATGCCAGATACTGGTATTTAGATAGTGATGAAAACATTTCTGCTTTATTTGCAGTTTAAAAATTGATGGAGAGGCTGGGCACGACCGTGGCTCACGCCTGTAATCCCAGCACTTTGGGAGGCCGAGGCGGGCGGATCACAAGGTCAGGAGATCGAGACCATCTTGGCTAACACGGTGAAACCCCGTCTCTACTAAAAATACAAAAAATTAGCCGGGCGCGGTGGCGGGCGCCTGTAGTCCCAGCTACTCGGGAGGCTGAGGCAGGAGAATGGCGTGAACCTGGGAGGGCGGAGCTTGCAGTGAGCCAAGATTGTGCCACTGCAATCCGGCCTGGGCTAAAGAGCGGGACTCCGTCTCAAAAAAAAAAAAAGAAAAAAATTGATGGAGAACTGATGGTTTTTCCTACAGAACAATTAGATTAATTCAGATGCTGGCTGGGTGCAGTGGCTCATGCCTGTAATCCCAGCACTTTGGGAGGCCGAGCGGGGTGGATCCTTTGAGCTCAGGAGTTCAAGACCAGCCTGGCCAACATAGTGAGCCCCCTTCTATAAAAAAAAAAAAAAATACAAAATTTAGCTGGATGTGGTAGAATACACCTGGAGTCCCAGCTACTCAGGAGGCTGACGTGGGAAGACGACTTGAGCCTGGGAGGCAGAGGTTGCACAGAGCCGAGATTGCGCCACTGCACTCCAGCCTGGCCAACAGAACCAGATCCTATCTCAAAAAATAAGTAAATAAATAATTCAGATGCCAAGCCATTTCTAGCTAAGCCACAATACTTTGTCACTTATAGGATTCCTATTTAAAATCTCATCCAATTGTGAGGCCCTATAGCTAAGTCACAAAGATCAAGGTCTGAGTTCTCCCTCTGCTTCTGACTCGTGCTTATAAGAAAATCATTTCAGTAGTCAGCCTTCCACATTTTCAGACTCTAAACTGACACCAAGAGTGGCAGCTCTCAACAGCAGTCTGCAGTAGATTCATCTGTTCACTCGGCATGTATGTATTCAATAGCTAGTACATACATAGCAGGGTAGTAGATCAGTCAGACTGGGGAAGGAAACAAAATAATGCAGCAGAGACAATGCTAATATCATTTAAGAATGACAATTACAGTGCTGCTGGAATTGAAGAAGTAGCTTGCAACTGCACTGCAAGTTGGATTTCTGTTGCTTCATGTTGAAGCAGTTCGGTTAGATGAGTTCACTAAGCCCTAACACATAAATAATTTCACTTAGCTTTAGGAGACCCTCAGACTAATGATCGCTTCATGAAAGGTGTATTTAGTTGTTGAATCCACACATTCCTACCCCAGATCTCTAGCCAGACATGCTTAGTTCCCCCTCTGTTGTTGGCACCAATAGGATATGTGTCCCTTTCGATCCATGATGGTCTCATTCTCTCGGCAGACACGCTGCTCAGGAAGGGGCAGAAAGGTCTCCACCAGGGTCCCACTTTTCTGCCCCAGCCACATTACCAATGGTCAGGTTGAACTGCAAGCGACCCTTGTCTCTAGCAAAGCTGGAAAATGGACCCGTGTAAATGACACATGGAACCCAGAGCCGAAAGCATGTGATTTCTCAAAAAGTGCTTCTCCTGAGAGCCATGCTTTTTTCAGTTACGAGCTCAGATGAGATTGCAACCTAGAGCGTATTTGTAGAAAGTACTTAGTTTTTTTCTCCTCTTCACCAATGCAGTGGGCCAGTGTCACTAAATAAATAAAGCAAAATGCTACATCAGGCTCATCTCTTCTCTTCAGATATTCTTATGCATCTCACCGTGTTTTGGTTGAGAGCTAGAAACAATGGAATGAATGGGCATCCAGTGTCGACCTTCATCATTTGGCAAGAGTAGAGGATGGATGGAGAAGGAAATGAACATTTCTTCAGGTCCAGCCGTGTGCTGGTCGCTCTGCATGCATCTGTCTGATTCTCAGAACCACCATGCAGGGGAGATGAAGTTATTATTCCCATTGTACAAACGAAGAAACTGGGATTCCGAGAACCTAAACAACTTCCTTAAAATCACACATATATTATGTGGGTGAACTGAAATTTGAACCCAAGGAGGCAGGCTCTAAGGCCTGTGTTCTTCCCCGTAGTACAATAATGATTATGTTAGCCGATGTTCATAGAGCATTTAGCATGTATGGGCACAAATACAAAAAGGTGGTGTGAGGCCATTATGGACAAGTTCAGTTTTCTGTCTTTCAGTTTTATCACCACTTCTGGAAATGCTGCCACGAGCCTCACAGTGCTCTGTTCTCCCACAAGCCTTGTGAGGGTCTCTTATTTTGAGTTGAGGGAGCCGAGGCACAGAGGGTTCGGTGGCTTGATCACTGTTCCACTGCTAAATGGCAGAGCTGAGATTTGAACCCAGGCAGTCTGGTTCCAGAGTCCAAGCTTTTCATTGCTGGGCTACCCTTCCTCTCAGTGTAGGTCAGCCCGTCCCTGGCCTTGTTTTTTGTTTTGTGTTTATGAGATGGAGTTTTGCTGTTTTTGCCCAGGCTGGAGTGCAATGGTGTGATCTCGGCTCACAGCAACCACCGCCTCCCAGATTCAAGTGATTCTCCTGCCTCAGCCTCCTGACTAGCTGGGATTACAGGTGCATGCCACCATGCCCAGCTAATTTTATATTTTTAGTAGAGATGAAGTTTCACCATGTTGGCCAGGCTGGTCTCGAACCACTGACCTCAGGTGATCCACCTGCCTCGGCCTCCCAAAGTGCTGGGATTACAGGCATGAGCCACTGCGTCCAGCCCGGCCCTGCCCTGCCCTTTAAAGCCTGCATTTGGTTTGGTCCCCTGATTCCCTGTGGGGTTGTTGTGGTGGGAGTTCTGTTCCTTAAGCTCAGGTTCACCTAAAGACATGTAACTGTTTTAAAGATGGAGAGGTAAGAGAAAATGCAGTTTTGTGTATGTGTGTGGTTTGTGTTTGTGTGTTATTAGTCTGTTCTGATGCTGCTAATAAAGACATACACGAGACTGGGTAATTTATAAAGGAAAAGAGGTTTAATGGACTCACTGTTCCACATGGCTGGGGAGACCTCACAATGATGGCAGAAGGCGAAAGGCACATCTTACATGGCAGCAGGAAAGAGAGAGGGTGTGCAGGGGAACTTCCTTTATAAAACCATCAGATCTCGTGAAACTTACTCACTATCATGAGAACAGCATGGGAAAGATCCGCCCCCATGATTCAGTTACCTCCCACCATGTCCCTCCCATGATACGTGGGAATTATAGGAGCTACAATTCAAGATGAGATTTGGGTGGGGACACAGCCAAACCATATTAATGACATACCCGAGCAGTTGACTCCCAGTGAATGACAAAAGAGGAAAAAACAGCCAGAGAATCTTTGTCCCCAGTGCAGGGCCGTGGTACAAGTGGAAAGATGATGAAGCAGGAGCAGCAATACCTGGGTTCTAGCCCCCTACTGTCAGCAATGAGCCGTGTGGCTAAACCTCTCTGGACTTCGCTTCTCTCATCTGTAAAATGGGATGACGCTATTGCCTAGTCTGGGAACCTCACAGTGTTGCTGCGAAGATGAAACAAGACGTGTTGTAGAGATGCTTTGATAATCTACAGCCTACTCTAAACATCAAGTATAATTTTTGTCTTCCAAAACTGTCCTCAAAATATTTTCATGTAATGGGTCCCAGCAGTCCTGCCAGTCGGGGTGAGTTAGCCGTTTGGGCGGCTGTGTGGACAGAGTCACCTAGAGGCAATGTGGGGCTTAGCCCAGTCCCAAGTGTGTACCATTTCTAAGGCCACCTCATTCTCTGAGCCTGGGAATCATGATGTTAGCAGTGTTTTACAGTATGTCATAGCTTAAATTAAGCAGCATGGATTTCTTTTTTTCCAGAGAAATTTAAAGTGGGAAATGTCTGGCAATAAACTGGTTATTAATGAGGATGCATTAAAATGTAGATAGCACCTGATGACGTGAGAAATGCACCTGATGATGTGAGAAAGTTTTCACGTAACTTCCAGATAGGTGACCGTGAGGACATGTGTAAAGAAGTTCCTATATGTTAATGGGGGTGTTTGTCGCCTCCTCTTATGGACAAAACAAGCCTTGAAACAATTTTTCACTGGTTATATTTAGTAAGTGCATGTGCGTGCCTGTGTAGATTTTTTACTTAACGTAGAATGAATTACTGTCCCTTTTTCTTTACTCTGGAGCACATTTACGTAAAGCACTTGCCAGTTCAGACTTATTTAGTGGTTCAGCCACAATGGAAAGGATGCCTCTTGAGTTTATCTTACCAGCCTTCCTTTCCTTGTACCCCTGGTGAAAGCCCAGTCTGTTCTCAACCTCCAGAGGCCTGCTTGAAAAGACTTCAGCTTTAGTCACAGGGGTTTTATACTAGCTAAAAAAGAAAAAGAAAAAGAAACTCACCTCAAGGCTCTATATAAATGTAAAAATGGAAATTGCAGCCAGGCATGGTGGCTTATGCCTGTAATCCCAGCACTCTGGGAGGCCGAGGTGGGAGCATTGCTTGAGCCCAGGAGTTTGAGACCTGCCTGAACATAGTGAGACCCTGTCTCTGTTAAAAAAAACAAAAACAAACAAACAAAAAAAAAAACAGAGAAAAAATAAGGAAGGAGGGAGGGAGGGAGGGAGGAAGGAAGGAAGGAAGGAAGTCGTCCGAAAGAAGGAAGGAAGGAAGGAAAAAGAAAGAAAGCTGCCCCCATTTTACAGGAAAACATAGCTCCTTTGCATGCTCCTTGAGTTCCTCTGCTGCTTCTCCCCCCAGTGTTCGTGTTGTTATTGAGAGAGTGACAAGGACTGCCAAAAATGGGGATTGCCACAGAATCTGGCCTGCTGCCATTAACGGCATTAAAGCACTCTTACTGTCCAAGAGATAGGCTGTGGGTAAATAGTGTAGTGCCTATAAAACATTTTCCCCCAAATCTTTTAACTTAAAAAGTTAATACTGGGGACAAAATTGACACAGATAGCTCAGAGGTTCCCCAGTGGCACTCAAGCATGTGTTGGTGTGGCATTGCCTGCAAAACACCTTCACATTCCTATGGAGTTCTTTGTGGGCCTCTCTCTTTGAAAGATGTCTGTAGAGATGAGCTTGGCCAGTGCTCAGTAACTGTGTACTAGCCAGTGTGGGGATGTGCTAGTTCAAGCTAGTCCCTTTCCCACTAGATTAAGCTGCATAGAATTATGATAGAGTGGTTTGGCCAGCACTGGGATACGTCACATTGTAAATAAGTGAAAATATTCATAATATTGTGTTCTGTTTTATGTGCTAAAGTGTGAACTGCCATCCTCTCCTTCAAAAGCAATGTGAGAAATGGGAAGCTGTATTGCATTGTCATGGAATAAGTTTCACAGAGATTGCGTTTTGCATGTGGAATTATAACCTAGATACAGAATAAACCTGAGTCTCTGGTCCATTCATCTCTGTTAAAACAAGAAGGTTCATAGGGAGAGTTAACTGATCACTCTGTTTTTAAACCTTTGCCCTGTGGATAAAAAGCACACAGCACCCTTGGTAGAGGATTCCTTGTTTTAACATCTCTTTTTCTTAAGAAGTTCACCATTACTGTTCTGCAAATACTCCTCATCATTCCAAAGCTTCTACTTCTTTGATATCCTGTAGAAGGGCAACTCTTGGTTGATATTTTCCCAACTCATTCAAATACTTTAAGATAACCCATTCCCTCTCTGATAAAATTGACCTCAACTCCCTCTACCTTTATAATTCACAGAACTCATGTTGCTTTAATTATTTTTGGTGTTTTTTTCTCTGGATAGTCTAAATTTTCTCATTGGATGAAAAAAATTCATTGAGAGATCTTAAGTACTGGTTATCTGCTTAGCACTTACCTAGGTATTGTGGGATATGAAAAAAATACACATGGGGACCCTGACCTCAGTGGCTTGTCAGGGGACCGTAGCAGGTGGTGGGATGAGTACTGTGGACAGAGGACCCCACTGTTCACCCGTCTCTGCTGCTTCCAGCCCGGGAGACCTTGGGCAAGTCACTTCCCTTTCTTTGATGGGCCTCATCCATCAAGCTGAAGACAAGAAATCTTGGAGTTCAGCTCTAAAAGCCAGGTTCTGGGGCTAGCTGGGGAGCTGGAGTTCACTTAGAGAATAGCAGAATATGAAGGTGAAGAGATGAGCTACCATCTGCAGTTGGAGTTCAGATTTGGGATCAATAAACTTCTGCAGGGCCTCAAATCACTAGACCCACCCCAGGTCCATTCAGAAGACAGTCCCAGTTGTCCCACAGGTGGCAGTAATGAGCCGCAGTCAACACAGCACAGGAGTTGCCGCCCTGACTTGACCCTGAGTGAGAGCCCTGGCCACTTGAGGAAGCCTGCAGAAGTCTGCGGTGCAGCAGAGCCCAGGGACGTGGTATCATGGCCTGCAGGCTGTGTAGGCTGCATGATACGAAGTCCTCCCCTCTTCCCTCTGACCTTCCCCACCACAGACTCCACACTCAGGTCTCCCGTTCACTGCATACTTCTGCCCCGTCACCATCTCAAGGCTTCACAACAGGATCTCACCTGCGGTTGCTTCTCTTGGAATTTTGGGAATCCATTGCCTCGCAACATCCTCTGGGTCCCTCCTTGTTTTTGTGTGATCACCAGGGTCGGTCAGTCATGCTCGCTCTCAGAATAGTTTCTAGTTTCTGGACCTCCTGGGCTTCCTTCAGTTTCTCCCTGTCTGTCTTTCCTGGTGGCCACGTACACACAGGGTAAGACATGATTGCACAGAGACACGGGTATGTTACCTACTTGGAACAAAATCCAACCACATAAGTCTACATGGGCCAAATTGTTTCTTTCAAAGGGAAACATATCTTCTTGCATTTTGAAAATCGCAGCTCAGCCAATACTGAGGAACAGTTGCCAATCTCCATGTGCAGAACGGGTGGGAAGTGACTATCTTAGGAACATGACACATGCTTCTGGAACAGGCTTGCCAATGACAGCATCCACTTTTTGCCTTCTTGTGAGCAGAAGCCACAAGGGAGCACTTCATTCTGTCTGTCTGTCTGTCTGTCTGTCTTCAGGTCTAGCCTGAGAGATGTCTCCTCCTCAGATACCTTCTCAGCTCTGGGGTTAGGTTTCTAGCCTTAATTCCAGTCTGTGGCTGACTGTGGTCTCCTTTTTCATGTCTCAGCTCTGTGCACATACATTCCTCCCCGTAGGAATTCATCATATCTAATTTACAGCAAATTCTTTAGAACAACTACCTAAAATGTTTTCTCTTCTGCAATTACCATGCCTATCTTGGCAGAGAGTTTCTTTGTATTTACTTCACCTTTGCATTACACACTGAGTTCCAGTCGGTCAGGGACCATTTCCCTGAGTGTTGGGCAGTTACCAAAGAAACTCTTTAAAGACAGACTTCACTCACACAGGGCCCAGGACCCTGCAGTGCCAGCTCCACTCCCTCAAGGCAGAGCTTCCTTCTTATTAGTCACAACTCTGGCTAATGCTCTCAGGACTTGGATTTACTCATTCGTGAAATGAGATGGCCGGGTTCCGGGGTCCCAGAGCCCTTGTGTTCTGGGTCTCCATGCTGTGGTTAAATGCTCCTCCCCCGAGAGCACAGTGCAGAATCCCAGGAGTCAGCCTGGAGAGCTCAGACTTCATAAATCTTCTCTCTGGGGTTGGGAACAGCCGTGCTTTTAATTGAAGTCTTTGTAGGTCTTTGCACGTTATGAACTCACTGAGTTCATTTCAGACACTTTGCAAAAAGTTGCAGACTTTTCATTTCTTGGTGACTGGTACAGTAAAACCTTTCTTAGAAAACAACAGTGAAAAGTGAAATTAGCCCTGAAGATAGTTATCAGTAACTTTTACTGAGTACCAGGTATTGTTTTAAGGCCAACTTCGCAGATATACATTCATTTAACACTCACTAGGATCAGGCTCTGCGCTCCGGGGCTGAGGATACTGCAGACCAAGTCCCTGCCTTTGTGTAACGTACATTCCAGGGTGTGGAGAGAGAACCACACAAGTGGAATAAAAGTACATCAGGTGAAAAGACTTACTATGGAGAAAAACAGCAGGGAAGAGTGTGAGCGAGTGCCAGGAGGAGTAGCAGCTTTAAGTAATCAGGGAGGCTTCCCAGAAGGTGACACTGAGTACGAGATGAGAGAGGGAAGCAGGTAGATTGGGAGGGTGGGGGGAGCCCATGGTGATGAGTCCTTAGTGGATGAAGGATTGGCCTGGAGGCCACTGTGCCTTTAAGCCAAAGGAATAACCAGTGGGGACAAGAGTCGGATAAAGTGTTTGAGAGGTATTTCACAGCAGGCAATGTCCTGAGTTATCTTTTAGCCCAAACCCTTCTCCCTCCTCAACTGCCCCCTTCCCCTCTCTTGTCAGATGACTAAAATGAGGTCTGAGTAAATCAGGTGACATCCTGAAGGTTCTAGTCAGTAGCAGAACTAGGACAAAAACCCAGGGACTCATGGTTTCTAGTGCCTGCAACTCACTACACCAAAATCTAGAAAGCTTAAGAGTAATTAAGCACCACCCCCCACCCTGCTATCCTATGCCCCTCCATTCTTGCTCTGTGAAGAAGGACAGATACTGCTGATTCTCATCATTTGCGGCAATTGAATTCTATAAAGTCACCAGCAACACTGAATTAGTGAATACTGAAGCATTGCTCCTAGAGGAAATACAGAGTTAGGTTCCTGCAAGCCTCTGGTCACAACATTTTCATCACCTGATCAGTATCTAGCCTTGTTTTATGTGTTTCCATTTATTTGTTTATCTATCTGTCTGTCTGTCTATCTACCTATGTATTTATTTGTTGAGATGGAGTTTCACTCTTGTTGCCCAGGCTGGAGTGCAATGGCGCGATGTCGGCTCACTGCAACCCCCGCCTCCTGGGTTCAAGCAGTTCTCCTGCCTCAGCCTCCGGAGTAGCTGGGACTACAGGCGTGAGCCACTGCACCCGGATGATTTTTATTTTTTTGTTTTTTTGATTTTTTTGAGATGGAGTCTCGCTCTGTCACCCAGGCCAGAGTGCAGTGGTGTGATCTCGGCTCCCTGCAAACTCCGCCTCCCGGGTTCACGCCATTCTCCTGCCTCGGCCTCCCAAGTAGCTGGGACTATAGGCGCCTGCCACCATGCCTGGCTAATTTTTTTTTGTATTTTTAGTAGAGACAGGGTTTCACCGTGTTAGCCAGGATGGTCTTGATCTCCTGACCTCGTGATACGCCCACCTCAGCCTCCCAAAGTGCTGGGATTACAGGTGTGAGCCACCTTGCCTGGCCAATTTTTGTATTTTTAGTAGAGATGGGGTTTCACCGTGTTGGCCAGGCTGGTCTCAAACTCCTGACCTCAGGTGGTCCGCCCATCTCAGCGTCCCAAGGTGCTGAGATTACAGGCATGAGCCACCACACCCAGCCCCCTTATTTAGTGTATGTTATTGATCCGTTGACCTTCAACTCATGGCCACCAGCACCATAACTCACCCCTGAATGACTTACCTAACATAAGTATTTCTCCATAAGGCACCTCATAGCCTTCTCGCACTTAAAAGCACTTTAGCACTGTTCTCGGGAGCCATGTTAAACAGCAAAATCACTGCTAAAGGGCACGAAAATGTGAAAAAAGTGGTACTAAATGGATCGCAAAAAGGACACCTCTTTACAGTATAAGAACTGAAACAAGATAGGGGAATGTCACTTAGCTCAACCTCAGCTAGGAACATGTGCATTGGGCAACTCAAGTGTTTTGCCACCCTGTACATGTCCACAAATGACCGCAAAAGCACCAGGAGTATGGACTTTGGGGTTACAAATAAACTTTAGCAAGTAGGTGAACTTGCAGATATGGAATCTGCACATGATGGGGATGGAGTGTATTTGCACTTGAGCTATTCGGAGGAAGGACTTTATTCAAGGCTCAGTGGCATTATTCCGAGTGGACTCATGTGCAAAGGCACATTTTAGGGTAGAGAGTACCAAACTAGTTCTGAATTGCCTCAGATTCCGCCTAGGGAGCATGCTTACGGCAAACAGTTGTTAAAAACCATACACTTGTTTATTTATTTGAGAATTACATTTTCCATATTGCAAATATACCTGTTACTATTTGAGACTGAACTGTGTAACTTCACCATTGGCCCACAGCGTCCCAGCTCTGACCCCCCAGACTGGCGGGTACAGCCTGACTGCTGACTGCAGGCTGTCTCTGCTCCTTTCTTAGGATCAGCGTTTCCCCTAGAGCTCACGTGGCCTAGAGCTCATTTCCCAGCGAAATGCAATGTTCCACTTCATGTGCACAGTTTGGTGTGCATTCCGATTTTCCTCTGTGCTTACTCTGCAAATAACGTTTCTCAGCTTTGCAGCAGCAGAAACGTAATCTGTAGTGTAAATCAGCCATGCGGACCTCAGGACTTGCTTTCCAATCTTTTCCAAGACTCCTGCAGGGGAAAACTAAAATACCACTCACACTTTCAGGGAGTAAGAATGGTTTCCCAGTAGCGCAGACATCTGCTGCGTATCAGCAGGAATAGAAGCGGGATTCTGCCAGCCGAGCTTCTTGGCCTCGACTTCCATGGGCCCTTACTCAGACTCCGAGAAGGTGGGATGTGAATCTCATGTTTACTGCCACACACTCAGATTTGCTTGGCATTTGAGCATCTCCAGCAGCAGATTTGATGAAGTTCCCTTTTGTGTAACGTGTTCACTGTTCCTCCAGGGGAATTTCCACAGTCACTCTCAGAGCATTCTTAGAGATACTTTTGCAATAACTGAGCTGTCCTTTTTTTTTTTTTTTATGAGAAGGAATCTTGCTCTGTCAGCCAGGCTGGAGTGCAGTGGCACGATCTCAGCTCACTGCAACCTGTGCCTCCCAGGTTCAAGCAGTTCTCCTGCTGCAGCCTCCTGAGTATCTGGGATTACAGGCGCCTGCCACCACACCCAGCTGATTTTTGTATTTTTAGTAGAGACGGAGTTACACCATGTTGGCCAGGCTGGTCTCGAACTCCTGACCTGGTGATCCGCCCGCCTTGGCCTCCCAAAGTGCTGGGATTACAGGCGTGAGCCACCGTGCCCAGCCATTGAGCTGTCTTTGTAGGCCTTAGGCTGCGGTGGGTTAGGGGTATCTAAGAAGCATTGTGATTGGGAGTGTGGCTATGGGGATTTGACAGCAGCCCTATGTCAGACTGCCAGGGGTTGGATTTAAGATGTCTTTCCACAGGTTCCCATCCCACTCTTCCATAAGACAATCTCTATTTCCTATTAAATAAAAAAGAGTATTTTGCAAAAGCATTTGGCTTTTTGAACAAACTAAATATTATTGCATTCTGTGCTTGTCCCGTATCGCTGAGTGCAGGAATAGTCCAAACCATACTCTCCAAAGCTTCTGCAGGCCTGTTCCATGTCTAGCCGGTCCGATTTAATGAGCAGGCCTTTGCAGCATCCCAGTGCTCTGAAGCTCAAAGTCTGTGTAGGGGCAGAGGGAGGAGGGAGGTGATGTCATGACAATGAGTTATCTAGATCCCACTGGTACCTAGAGAAGAAATTAGCACAAAGCTCTGCATGGAGGCTCGGCTCCAGCACAGGAATCCGTGTCCCCCTAGGTGTTGGTCTGGGACCAGCTGGAGGCCCACTTATGAGGACTGCAGACACATTAAGAGCTCAGGATGCACCTCTGTTGAGGTGTCCCAGGACCCTTGGATATGGGCTCCAGTCTGCAGGTTCCAGGCCCCAGCAGCTTATGATGGCGCTCCTGATAAGCCAGACATGGATTGGATTGGGCAGAGTAAGCCCACAGGAAGAACTGGCCCTGTGGCCTACAGTGTAAGACACCTGGAGTTGGACATGTTACCTGACTCTAGGTCCCCCGACTGAATCGATATTTTATATGACTTTTATATCACTAGGCATGGCTTAGATCAGGATTTATTGATAATTTAGAGCTAATCATAATAAAGGTTGACACATTGTATGCTTACCAGGTACCATTGTGAGCACTTTATACACATGATACCATTTAGTGCTCCCAACATTCCTTAGAACATAAGCACAGTCATCCCCCAGTACATGCGGAGGATTGATGCCAGGACCCCCGAGTATACCAGATCCACGCATACTCAAGTCTCACAGTTGTCCCTGAGGAGCCCACGGATTCGAGAAGTCAACCCTCTATGAATTCTGCATCCTGCAAATACTCTATTTTCAATCTGCATTTGCTTGACAAAAATCTGTGTGGACCTACACAGTCCAAATAATCCATGTTGTTCAAGGGTCAACCCTATGTCTGTCGTTTCCATGTTAGAAAAGCCAAGACACAGGGGAAGGTCAGCAACTTGCCGTGTGTCATACAGGAATTAAGTAGGGAGCTGAGATTCAAACTGCAATCTCTGGCTTCAGAGTCCAGGCTGTGTACAATTTTACTATTATTCCAATAAAAACAACTGCTTCCCATAGGCTGTGCTGGGCTGGTTGCCAGGGTTCACAGCCCCTTGAATCCACAGCAGTGCCTGCAAAGGCAAGATTATCCCTCCGGTGATGCAGATGAGGAAACTAAGGACGATGAATGTGCTGAAGGCACAAATAGGGAGTGGTAGTCCAGGACTGCCAGTCAGGTCTGGCCTAGCCTTGCCATGATATTTCAGTCTGTCTCAAGCTCGAGTGTCTTCATCTGACAAGTATTTCTTGAGCATGTGGCACATCCGGGGCCACTTTTGGGTGGTGGGTATACAGAGGTCCACAGAACAGGCCTGATCTCAAGGATCCCCCTTTAGATTGAGCATTTCTGCTAATAGAACAGCTAATGTAGAGCAGAGAATGGGGAATCAAGACTAGGGCTGGGAGCTGGGCCCAGTGGCTCATGCCTGTAATCCTAGCACTTTGGGAGACTGGAGCAGGTGGATCTGTTGAGCCCAGGAGTTGAAGACCAGCCTGGGTAGCACAGTGAGACCCCGTCTCTACAAAAAAAGAAAAAATTAGCCGGGTATGGTAGTGCGTAGCCTGTAGTCCCAGCTACTCGGGAGGCTGAGGTTGGAGGATCACTTGAGCCCAGAAGATTGAGGCTGCAATGAGCCATGATCTTACCACTGCACTCCAACCTGGGCAACAAAGCAAGACCCCTCTCTAAAAATTAAAAAAAAGACTAGTGCACTTTAGGAGGCCGAGGCGGCGGATCACCTGAAGTCAGGAGTTCGAGGCCAGCCTGGCCAACATGGTAAAACCCTGTCTCTACTAAAATTACAAAAAAAAAAAAAAAAAATTAGCCAGGCATGGTGGTGGGTGCCTGTAATCCCCGCTACTAGGGAGGATGCGGCAGGAGACCATCACTTGAAACTGGGAGACAGAGGTTGCGGTGAACCTCAGATCAAATCTAGCTCTGCTGTTTATTTACATTGTGACATTAGACAATTCAACTAAGTTCCCTGAACCTCAGTTTCTCATTTAGAAAATAAGAAATACAGCACCTACTTTGTAGTGTTGTTGTGAAAACATGTTGTGCTACATGTTGTAAAGCATGCAGCTTGTGGCAAGTGATGTGTAAATGTCAGCGCCCACCTTCATGCTTTCCCTGCCAAGACCAGACTTGTATATAAAACACTCAGCACAGAGTGAGCCCTCGATAAATAGTCACTGCTAGTATCATGATGATTATAAGTGATTATCAGATTACATATGTCTAATGAGATATGCCTGCAAGTTCATCTTTAAGTAAACATACACTTAATTTGTTCCATGACATTCTGGAAACATTGTGCTACGTCTCTCGGTTGAACCCACCTCTGCTCAAATTTTCCATTGATAAAAATAGGACTCATAATGCCAGCCTGGTTCCTGGGCAGGAAATGACTAATGCAATTAACTGTTTCTGTACTAAATCACAACCCGGAGGCGTGTCTCTGGCATGAGTGAAGAATCGTCAAGAATCCTGGCTGTTAGGATGCTGATTGTCAGGTTCCTCTGCCTGCATCGTTGTTTGTCAGCCTGCAGTGGCCTGGGGATTGAAAACTGGAGTGGGTTTCCTGCAGAGAGCAAACCCTTTCATTAGCCAACCTGAACATGCAGTCGACTGACACTTGGCGTTTCTCTCCGTAAATTAATAAGTTGGCATTTCTGGTTGATATTTTTAGATTTGTATGACTTGTTCATAACGTGCTGATGATTGAACCTGCTCAGCAGGTTAATGAGAGTCGCTGTGGGGCAGGCATTGCAAATAATGGTGATTGCATGGTGCACCGGCCTTTCTTTAGTAGCAGAAGCCCTTCTGTGTAAGGGCAAGAGCAGGGCCACTGTGACAGGGGAGGCCCAGAGGCCTCAGCCCCACACTGGGCTCCTCTGCAGGTTGCCCCTGGACCTAAGAGTGCTACACCTCTGGAAAACAGTGTGGAGAGCAGTGCTGTGGCCTGGAGGGAGGAGGACGCAGCTAGCAGGCAGTTAGTCGGTTCCCTGGGCATTTCCTTTGCCTCCATAGGCCTCCTTGCCTCCAGTGATCTGTTAGCAGGTGTTGGGTGATGGTGCCCCCTAGTGGACAGTTTGCACAAGGGCACCCACACTACCTCAGGGCTTTTGGTTCCTGCAGTGGCGGGCTCCCCCATTGTCGGCTCTGAGGTACTTCTGAGAAGCCTCGGGACCAGCCCAAAGCTATAAACGTAGAGCTGGTGGGCTTTGAAGTACTCACTCCCCATTGAGGGATTATTTTCTTCTCCTCAGGGTACTCCTAGGAGGCCTTGAATTCTTCGGGGCCTCTTTAGAGTGGGGCTGGCCTCCCTGGGCTCCGGTGCCAGCCGGGTGTAGCTACTGGGTGCACCCAAGATTGTGAGGAGGGGAGGAGGCGTGTTGTGCACACGTGTATGGGGTGAGAGGCATTATAGGTGTGGCCTGGGGATGCCGGCCTCCCTCTCTCCGTCAGGAAAGCCAGCATTGTTGCCGCACCTAGGAGGCAGCAAGGCGCGGTGACAGGAATGTGTCAGGACACAAACTCAGGCTTCACTGCCAGCTCTGCCATATGCTCATGGTTACCTGAAGTGTATACACCACCGTGTGTTTGTTGGCTGGGGCTGCCATAACAAAATACCACAGACGAGGTGGCTTCAACTACAGAAACGTTCTTTTCTCACAGTTATGGAGGCTGGGAGCCCAAGGTCACTGTGAAAGCAGGTTTGGCTTCCCCTGGGGCCGCTCTCCCGGGTTTGTGCTGGCCGCCTTTTTGTTCTGTCCTTACATGGCCTATTCTCTGTGTGGGCGCCTCCCTGCTGTCTCTTCCTCCTCTTATAAGGATACCACACACACACACAGACACATACACACACACATATGCCACACACACACCACACACACCCACACCATACACATATGCCACACACACACACCACATACACATACACACATACACACACACACACCACACAGACACACACCTGGGCACAGTGGCTCACGCCTGTAATCCCAGCACTTTGGGAGGCCAAGGTGAGCAAATGGCTTGAGCCCAGGAGTTCCAGACCAGCCTGGGCAACATGGTGAAACTCCATTTCTACAAAAAAAAAACCCACCTTTTTTTAATTAGCAGGCATGGTGGTGCACACTTGTAGTCCCGTCTACTCAGGGGAGGCTGAGCCCAAAAGGTGAAGGCTGCAGTGAGCTAAGATCGCGCCATTTCACCCTAGCCTGGAAAACAGAGCAAGACCCTGTCTCAAAAAAAAAAAAAAAAAAAAAGGGTCAGGCACAGTGGCTCACACCTGTAATCCCATCATTTTGGGAGGCCAAGGTGGGCAGATCACCTGAGGTCAGGAATTCAAGACCAGCCTAACCAACAGGGCGAAACCCCATCTCTACTAAAAATACAAAAATCAGCCAGGCTTGGTAGCACACACCTGTAATCCCAGCTACTTGGGAGGCTGAGACAGGATCATTGCTTGAACTCAGGAGGCGGAGGTTGTAGTGAGCCACTGCACTCCAGCCTGGGTGACAGAGTGAGACTCTGTCTAAAAAAAAAAAAAAAAAAAAATATATATATATATATATATATATATATATATGTAATATATTAAATTAAATTAAATAAAGCATATCAGTCCTATTGGAGTAGAGCCCCATTGTTAGAGCTCATTTAACTTAATTACTGCATTAAAGACCCTTTCTCCAAATACAGTCACATTGGGGGTTAGGACTTAAGCATAGGAATTGGGGAGGGGACACGATTCAGTCTTAACAACTACCCTGTACCTCAGTTTCCTCATCTGTGAAATGGCAATAATAATATCTGCCTCATGTGTTGATATGTGGATTAAGTTGATTGAACAAGATATGTAAAAGGAAGTCTCTAGCTGAGTCCTTTGCATGTATGTCTATCTGTACCTAGATCCATCTACATATACACATATAGACATGCATATATGTGTGTATATATGCATATTTACATATACATGCATATATACCCGTGTGCACATATATACATGCATATGTACATGTATATACACACACTCTCAATAAGTGCATGTGTGGGACACTCCTTTCTGCCACCTCTGTTTTAGGAAACCTTAAATTTGCCAGGAGTCTGTTTGCTTATCTCAAAAATGGGAGAGAGGAGACCATGTGGCCTAAGGGAAAAGACATCTCACTTTGGGTCAGAAGATTGAGGGTTCAAGTCCTTTCATGGTCAAAATGTTTCCAATGTTTTGTATGGACACTTAAAAAAGATGCAGAGTCCCTCTTTCACTGGGTTCACTGGGTTGTGAAAATTGAACTAAATTAAGTTAGGTAACTAATAATAAAGCACCTGTGGTTACATCAGAGCGCTGGAAATGGAAGTTTCCTCCCTCCTCATTGGGACTCTGAAATCCCCTTAACTAAGTACTGGTGGGAATTTTTGTTTTCTTTTTTCTTTTCTTTTCTTTTCTTTTTTTTTTTTTTTTTTTTTTTTGAGACAGGTTTCACTCTGTCACCCAGGCTGGAGTGCAGTGGCGCACCTCAGCTCACTGTAGCCTCTGCCTCCCAGTCAAGCCATTCTCCTGCCTCATCCTCTCACCTCAGCCTCCTGAGTAGCTGGGACTACAGGCGTGTGCCACCATGCCCAGCTAATTTTTAAATTTTTTTGTAGAAACAGGGTCTTGCCATTTTGCCCAAGCTGGTCTCGAACTCCTGGGCTCAAGCAGAAGCCACCTCAGCCTCCCAAAGTGCTGGGATTATAGGTGTGAGCCACTGTGCCCAGCTGAGAATGCTTTTAAGTTAACAATGAATACTTAGAATCTATGCTTAGAATACACTGAAGACATTATTTCATTGCCATGCAAAAATGTGTATCTTGTGTCTTAAAAGGAAAGCATGTTGATGTCATGACTTTAATGCTACACAAATGTATATCTTAAATTAGAAGCCAAATCCAGGCCCCTCCAGGACAGTGGCACCCTCCCCCTCTCCAGCATGGCCTCAGACCACTGACCTTCATCAAACTCATTCTCGCTTCCCCACTCGAGCCACACAAGGGGTCAGGAAGGTGTCTAGGCTGCTGTTCTGGACCATCGTACCCTTACCAAAGAGATCTCTCAGTGCGGAGGAGTGAGGAGCTTTGGCCTCCCCTGAATAAGCGTGAGGAAGCAAAGATTCCCCAGCAATAAAGTAGATGCTGAATCCCCAGCAATAAAGTAGATGCCGAATGTCATCTCAGCCCCCACTGGAGTGAGACTGCCTTTGTGCATTCTCTCCAGCACATCAGTGGTTCCTATAAATCTCACAATGATTGCTTTTCTCAAGGTTGCTTCGTGGCAAGTCTGCAAGTGCGCTTTCTCCAACAGAGGGAGGAGGTTAGGAATAGACTTCGCAGGCAGGAGCTGACTTGGGAATGGCCCAGGGGAGAACAAGTAAAGATGCATCTGCTTTGAAAGAATCCTTTCGTTTTCATTTAAGGACTTGACATCAGGGAAGTTTTATATCCTGGGAACTCGCCTGGCTCCGTGTTGTGTGTGAAGAAGGATTGTGAGGCCGCTGCTCAACTGCGTTGCCTCTTTCTCCTTCCTTGTGTCAAATAATGTAGCTTTTATTTTGTATGATTGCGTGTGCGCTGGGTGTTTCCCAACTGCAGGGGATGGGGTTAGTATTCCTGGCCCTGTGAGCAGAGACAGAGGTGACCCAGGCTGGGAACTGCCCTTCATGAAGGGACCAGCCATTAGTGGGTGGCGGGCAGGCAAGGAGATGGATATCGTGGGCGATATTTCAATTATGGATCAACCCTTAGTGCCTGGCACATGGTAAGCGCTACATGGGGGTTAGCCATGATCATGACCGTCCTCTTTGTAGAAGGGCCTGTCAGAGGTTAACATCAGGGGAGCTTTTCCAGTTATGTGTCTTGCTCTGAAAAATAGGAAGGGGGAAAGTTAAGTTAATGGCAGTAGTGGGCCCAGGGCTTCAAAGGGCCATGCATCGTGTTTTCTACCTGAGTGCTCAGTGTATTGTAGACAGTCTGGGGGAAATGGCAGGAACAGCTGGAGCGCTCATGGGGACCAGTGTAGAAATGCTCTCTGGGTCCTCCCTGGCCACCGTGGTCTCTGCCATGCTGAATAATGAATCAGGCTGATTCCTTGCTTCAGCCGGATGGAGAACTGGGTCAAGCTTCACTCCAGAGAATCCCCAGACACCTCTCTGGCAGAACCCACTGACATCCTAGCTTTGAAAAGCATTTCAGTATTTAAAAAAAAAAAAAAAAAGCAATAACAAAGCCTAGTTATATTTAAAACCATATACATAATGACAGTGATCGTTTCTGCCTGTAATGACCACAAATGCCAGTTTACTAAAAACTTCTCTATTATGGAGGCAACATCCAAGAGGTATTTTGAATCTTGAAAAGCTTGCCTGTTTTTTGTATGGACTCTGTGAAAGTTGTTTTAGGTCATAGCCCTTTGCTCACTGGCTGCCTTATTATTTATTTATTTATTTATTTATTTATTTATTTATTTATTTGATGGAGTCTCACTCTGTCACCCAGGCTGGAGTGCAGTGGCGCCATCTCGGCTTACTGCAACCTGCGCCTCCCAGGTTCAAGCAATTCTCCTGCCTCAGCCTCCCAAGTAGCTTGCACTACAAGCTTGTGCCACCACGCCCGGCTAATTTTTGTATTTTTAGTAGAAACGGGGTTTCGCCATGTTGGCCAGGCTGGTCTCGAACTCCTGACCTCAAGTGATCTGCCCGCCTCAGCCTCCCAAAGTGCTGGGATTACAGGAGTGAACTACTGCACCTGGCCTAATTGCCGTATTTCTCAGTGAAACCTGGGTGGTGAAAAGACCCTGGGCTGCGGGCAGAAATCAGACCCGTTGCTGTCTACTGGCTACAGTAACTAGGAGATGACAGAGGGCTGTACTTAACTCTTAGGGAAATATCACAAAACATGCGCTATCAAATGTAACAAATGTACCCTAAGTGTACATTATTCTGGCCACCAATGTGAAATAAATAGTATGTGGGCTATATGATTATTAAAAAGGTTCTTCTTCATAGTCACATATAGCAGGAATACATGGCTTTTTTCCACCTGACCCCCAGAACATAGATAGAAAAGGTCTCCATAGAGCAGCTATTGCAGCATAGGCAGCAGCCGGGATCACCATGTTCCTAGGATCTAGCAAGACAGGCTGGAATCCCATATCCTGCAGTGGTGTGTGTATCCTCCCCAAAACCCTGCCTGTTCCCTGTGGCTTCTATTTCTCTTATGTTGAATCCCTATTCTCTACGCTGAAACTTTTGCATGTTCCTTTTTCTCTGCCAACGTTCTCCTCAGCAGAAGGGTAACACCCTTCTCCTTTAATTCCCCCTGACAACATCAGCCATCTCTGTAAGAGGCCCTTTGCTGGTGCATCAAGGGTAATATCAAGGGGGCTTACATCAAAATCAGTTTCTTGCATCATTTTTTATCTATTTATTTTTTTGAGACGGAGTCTCACTCTGTTGCCCAGGCTGGAGTGCAGTGGCACGATCTTGGCTCACTGCAACCTCTGCCTCCTGAGTTCAAGCAAGTCTCCTGCCTTAGCCTCCCGAATAGCTGGGATTACAGGCACCTGCCACCACACTCAGCTGATTTTTGTATTTTTTTTTTTAGTAGAGTTGGAGTTTTGCCATGTTGGCCAGGCTGGTCTTGAACTTCTGACCTCAGGTGATCCACCGGCCTTGGCCTCCCAAAGTGCTGGGATTACAGGTGTGAGCCACCACACCTGGCCCATTTTTAAATTTTATTACTGTTTTTTTTAGAGATGGAGTATCGCTCTGTCACCTAAGCCACTGCTGGAATGCACTGGCTTGATCCTAGCTCACTGCAGCCTCAAACTCCTGAGCTCAAGTGATCCTCCCACCTCAGCCTCTCTAGTAGCTGGGACTACAGGTGTGCACCACTGTGTCTGGCTAATTAAAAAAAATTTTTTTTACAGACCATGTCTCACTTTGTTACCCAGGCTTGTCTTGAACTCTCGGCCTCAAGTGATCCTCCTGCGTCAGCCTCCCAAGTAGTTGGGATTACAGGCATGAGCCACTGTGCCTGGCCAGTTTCTTGTATTAAAAACTGGGTGTTGGGTCCAGGTGGGGTGGCCCATGCCTGTAATCCCAGCACTTTCGGATGCCAAGGTGGGAGGATCACTTGAGCTCAGGAGCTTGAAACCAGCCTGGGCAACATGGCAAGATCTTTACTCTACAAAAAATAAAAAACTAGCAGGGTGTGGTAGGCACCTGTAGTCCCAGCCACTTGGGAGGCTGAGGTGGAAGGATTGCTTGAGCCTGGGAGGTCAAGGCTGCAGTGAGCCATGATTGTATCACTGTACTCCAACCTGGGTGACAGAGTGAGACCCCATCTCAAAAAAATACAAAAACAAAAACAAAAAACCTGGGTCAGACTTTCTCACTTTCACAAGTCATTCAGTCCTGCCTGTCAGCTCCAGCCACCCTGAAGTTGTGCAGCCCTTTCTTGCCCCTCCCTACTTTCCTATACCCATTTCTTCTGTTAGCTCTTAAATTCCTGATCATTTCCTATGTAGAGCCATTTAACCGGTTTCCTCATCCACTAACCAAAAGAGGATTGTGATGCTAACTAGAAAGCTTTCGCTAGCCCTGATTCACGTACACACATACAATACGTGTTGATGTCTTGACGGTGAGCACTCTGCTGTCTAACCTCCTTGGAACTCTTTTAAAGTACAGTAAATCCTTACTTAACATTATTAGTGAGTTCTTAGAAACTCCAGCTTTAAGAGAAATGATGTGTAAGGAAACCAGATTTTTTTCTCATCAACATTATAGCAAAACAACATTGAAAGAAGTTGAACAAAACCTTATTCGAGGTAGGTCATTTTGCTTAAAGTCACAGTTTTCAAGAACCTATCAATGATGTTAAGTGAAGATATACTGTACTTTGTATTTTTACAGCTTTTAGAAAACTGGTGAGAGCTTTGGACCATCTTTCCATCACACACACACACACACACACACACACACACACATAATTTTGGATATATTTTCAGGGTGTTTAGAACTTCCTGAAGCTCATCCATGGATCTCCCAGGTCCGTGGACCCTTAATAAAATCCCTGAAGTGTGGCCGAGCGCGGTGGCTCACGCCTGTAATCCCAGCACTTTGGGAGGCTGAGCTGGGGTAAGCGGATCACTTGAGGTCAGGAGTTCGAGACCAGCCTGGCCAACATGGTGAAACCCCATCTCTACTAAAAATACAAAAATTAGCTGGGCATGGTGATGGGCGCCTGTAATCCCAGCTGCTCAGGAGGCTGAGGCACAAGAATCGCTTGAGCCTGGGAGGCGGAGGTTGCAGTGAGCCGAGATCGTGCCAGTGCACTCCAGCCTGGCAGACAGCGAGACTCAGTCTCAAAAACAAAAAACAACAACAAAAAAAACCCTGAAGTCAGCTGATGAGTCAGCCTGCCCTTCTGAAGAGGACAGAGCACCCCCCACCCCCACCAGGCTCTGCATCTCTCCCTGTCCCCCACCACCTAGGGGTATCTTTATTGATGCTCAGTCATTAATTGTAAAAACAAAACTAGATTGGCATAGCTGGCTATGATATGTCAGGATTGGGGGATCAGAGACCTTGAGAAAATAGTGGCCACCTTTTCTCACCTATTTCCTTTGGGCCAGGCCCTTTGCAAGATTCTTAATCTAAGTCATCCCATTTCATCATGCCAGGACCCTATGAGGTCCATCCTGTTATCCTCATGGCAACAGATGAGGAAACTGAGGCTCACCAAGATTGAGTAACCTGGGTCACACTGCTAATAAGTGGCCGACCTGAGATTTCATCCCAGAGTTAGTGGCTTCAACATCTGGGCCCCAAGCCACACTGTGCTGGGCCCCTTCTCCCATAGTTGCACCTTACTCTTCTTGATCCATGTCCACAGAGCTGTGTGACCTTGGATGTGGCAGCCAAACGAATATGCCCTTCCAGTTTTTTGAAATACTACCTAGGGCAGAGTGTTTGGTCTGTTTGTCCCATTGATAATAAGTCTCTGGTGCCTAGCACATGGTAGGTGTCATAAATATTTGTTGAATGAATGAATTAATCTGTCCTGTAAGGCTCAGCTCAATTTCATGTTTTTAAGAAACTGTCCATCACTAACTCTGAATTAAAAAAAAAAAAAAAAAAGCCCGGGCTCAGTGACTCACACCTGTAATCCTAGCACTTTGGGAGGCCCAGATGGGCGAATCACTTGAGGTCAGGAGTTGGAGACCAGCCTGGCCAACATGGTGAAACCCTGTCTCTACTAAAAATACAGAAAATTAGGTGAGCGTGGTGGTCTGCGCCTGTAATCCCAGCTACTTGGGATGCTGAGGCAGGAGAATTGCTTGAACCCAGGAGGCAGAGGTTACAGTGAGCCAAGACAGTGCCACTGCACTCCAGCCTGGGCAGCAGAGTGAGACTCCATCTTAAAAAAAAAAAAAAAAAAACCTCCTTCCGTGAGCTCCCAACCCATGTTTGTGCCTCAGTGTATCCTTCATTCATGGTCCGTGCTATAGATTGCTGCTATGTGTCTGCTCTGTCACAAGCTTCTCAAGAGCACGAACTTATCTACTCTCAGATACTCTCAGGTAACTCAGGTGTATCTACAGGGAAGAATAGGCACTCATCTCTGTAGTCCTCCAGGACCTAACAGGCACTCAGGAAATGTTATCATCGCGAATACACAGTTGTTATTGTGCTGCAGGATAATTAGGCTTGAGTGGTAAATGATTCCCATAGATGACTGTTAATTAGGATTACATTTGTAGTGTCGGGCCACATTTTAGCTTTTTGATGTGAACTCTTTTCGTTTTCTAACATCTGTAACTTAACGTTGTTATATGTTCTGGTACCATTTACCTTTTGGTCACTGTCTCTCAACAGTCACAGAGCAGCAGCTGTGCCCTGGGTGTCGGATATGCTCCTTCATGGACATGAGCTCATTTTACCACTGTCTTCTTTGGTCCTGTACCCCGAGGCTGACTTTCCTGGTTACAGGCAAGGCCTGTATCCCACGGCTCACTGGCTCCTGGCCCCTGGTCTCACCCCTCACTGCATCCCCTGCCCCACCTGGTCCCTGAAGGAGATCCCCCAGTTTTCTGACAGCATGCTCTCATTTTGCTGCTTGCATTAAAGCCCAGAGAAAGGAAAAGGACAGAAACCTAGAAATTCAGCAGGAGAAAAGAGAAATGGAAGACAGGAAAACAAAAATTGAAATAATAGTATCTTGCGGAACCAGAGAGAACGAAGTCCATATTTGCTGAGGGCCTACAATGTCCCAGCCACTTGCCCTTCTTCATTTCCTTATCACTGTTCAACTGAGTAACCTTAGATGCCTGGAGGCTGAGCATCCACTGATTGGAATATAATTCGAACCCAAGACCATCTGGTCATAGATACCCAGGCTTTGCTCTGTGTTCTGCTCCACGACACATGTTTTAGGGAGAGGTCCTCTGCAGGTAGATGGCTGTATTATAAAACTCAGAGATAGAAGCTGCACACAAGATGAGTGTTCCAACTAAGATAGGATGACTCAATTCCACTGTGGAAGAAAAGAGAACAAATGGGAGAGAAGGGGGCCCAGGTCAAAAGCTGTGTCCCTTCTGGGTCAGCCATGACCCAGATCCCTTAAATGCCCATAGTAACTAACAACAATAACAGAAGCAGCAGCAAACTCGAATTTAGCCCAGTTAATCCTGACAACATTTGTTGTGAGACAAGTTATTTTTAGTACCCACATTTTATAACGAGGACATTGAGACACAGACAGGTTAACTAACTCACCCAAGGTCAAAAATGGTAAGAGGCAGCCCTGGGATTTGAACCTAGATTTTACTTTCAGTCTGAGGAACCACATAACTTAGGGTAAAGAAAGGAGCCATCTGTCTATAGCAGTGGTTCTCAAGGTGTGGCTCCCAGATCACAACTTCAGCATCATCTGAGAGCTTGTTAGAGATATAGATTCTTGGGTCCTACCCAGACCTACTGAATCAGAAACTCTGGGGAAGGGGCCCAGTGTTCTGTGTGTGTGTGTGTGTGTGTGTGTGAGTGTGTGTGTGTTTCTTTTTTCTTTCTTTTTTTTTTGAGATGGAGTCTCACTCTGTTGACCTCAAGTGGTCCGCCCACCTTGGCCTCCCAAAGTGCTGGGATTACAAGCATGAGCCACCATGCCCGGCCTGTTGTGTGTTTTAAGAAAGCCCTCCAGATCATATATTCGTATGTATCGTGGTCTACAGTACATCTCCACGTGCTGGCTTTGGCTGAAATCTGTTAAACTAGAGAAATCCTTAAAATCCACTAATAGAAAAGAGTAAAAGTTTATCAATAATAATAATAAAAGCCGGATGCTGTGGCAAATGCCTATAATCCCAGCACTTTGGGAGGCCAAGGTGGGTGGATCACCTGAGGTCAGGAGTTTGAGACCAGCCTGGCCAACATGGTGAAACCCCGTCTCTACTAAAAAGACAAAAAATTAGCGAGGCGTGGTGGCGCATGCCTGTAATCCCAGCTACTCGGGAGGCTGAGGCAGGAGAATCGTTTGAACCTGGGAGACGGAGGTTGCAGTGAGCTGACGCCACGCCACTGCACTCCAGCCTGGGCAACAGAGTGAGACTCCATCTCAAAAATAATAAACAAACAAAAAATAATAATAAACATTTGCGAAGTTTTGACTGTCTGCCAGGCATGATGCTAAGCATTTTACCAGCATTATCTTCTTTGGGCCTCGCACATGCTGTAAAGTATAGGTGGCATTATTATTTTACAGATGAAGAGACTGAGACTTAGAGACCTGAAGTGACTTAACTCAAAGTCACCAGCCAGAAAGTAGCAAAATCGTGACTTGAATCCAGACTCCTCTGATGACACGGTTCTACCCTGAACCATTACTCTTTTGCCCTTTTGGTTAAGAACTATTGAAGAATGGGCATAAGTCAAAGTGTATATGTTGATTTTTTTTTGTTAACTTTTTTTTTTAAGTGGCAGATGACTTGATTAAATACTTTGAGCTCTTCCCATGCTCCAAGATGAGCATTTATTCCCAGAACTGATTACGCCCGGCATCCCTTCCTGGGTTTAAGGGAAAGTGGTGGTGGTTATGAACCTTCCTGGCCACACGGGGGCAGCACCAAACATTGCAGGTTGCTCGTTTCTGCTCCCTTCTTTGGGAAGAAGCCAAGCTGGCCCCTCGGGCGGAGCTGCCTAGTCCCGCTTACACCTGTTTCCTCTCACTTAAGCCACATGGAATGGGGTGAAACTCTTCAGATGAGAAACTAAATTAAAACAAGAGCAGGGTTACCCAAGAAAAATGATTTTAAATAAACTCACTATAGTAATATGTCAGGCTTATATTCATCAGTATGACAAAACAATTTTTTTTTTTTTTGAGACGGAGTTTTGCTCTTGTCGCCTAGGCTAGAGTGCAGTGGCGCGATCTCGGCTCACTGCAGCCTCCGCCTCCCGGGTTCAAACGATTCTTTTGCCACGATTCTCTTGCCTCGGCCTCCCGAGTAGCTGGGATTACAGGCATGTGCCACCACACCTGGCTAATTTTTGTATTTTTAGTAGAAACGGGGTTTCACCATGTTGGCCAGGCTCGTCTCGAACTCCTGGCCTGAAGTGATCCGCCTGCCTTAGCCTCCAAAAGTGCTGGGATTACAGGCATGAGCCTGTTTGCCCACCCGGCAAAAACAGTATTATTAATGTGCTGGGGTGAGGTCGGGTGATTTGCATATTTTAGCTAAGAATGATACTCTGGGTGTTCAGTGAGCTGTTAGATCAAAATATTTGTCATCTTGGATTCCAAGGAGAGAAAACAGCCAGTATTCTTTTTTACCTTCTTTGTTGTTACTGAATTCTTTTGAGCAGTCCTAGGTTGTAGGATTTTATAGTAGACAGCTGGAGACAGTGGGAAAACGCATTTCTGACTTCTGGTTTGAAGAGTATTATCTCACAGTAACATTGCTGTCTTAGGGCTCACTCCAGCCAGGGTCACTAAGATGCTCTCCTGGTGGCAGCTTCTGTGGGTCTTGAACCCCATTTCCACAGTACCCTGTCCAAGCCCCAGTTTCCATGCCAGAAGCCGAATTCACCAGAATTTTGACTGAGGTGATCATATGATTTATTGTCTAACCCAGGACACTTTTTGAGAGTAAAAGGAGCTGCTCTGAATAATTTTGCCAGAATGACAGGGATACCCCAGAACTATTGAGGGGAAAATTGGGACATGTGGTCACCCTAATACAAATCTCTCATTTTTCCTTCTTGATTATTCAGTTAAGAGTTACATGACACTGTATTTATTTGCTCATTCATTCAACAAATGTTCAAGTGTTTTTTATTTTCTAAGTTCACTACTTATATTATTTTCTCCTCATGAAAACCCTCTGAAGTAATTATTATTATTGCTCCCATTTTTACAAACGAGCAAAATTGGGACTTAGTAAATGACTTGTCCAAGGTCCCACAGTACATCAGAGAGCTGAGATTAGAATGCAGGCTGTTCCTACTCTTGATCCACATACGCTCAGAACTGTATTGAGTTCTGGGTGCGGTGGCTTACGCCTGTAATCCCAGCACTTTGGAGGCCAAGGCAGGCCAATCACTTGAGGTCAGCAATTCAAGGCCAGCCTGGCCAACATGGTGAAACCCCATCTCTACCAAAATACAAACATTAGCCGGGCACGGTGGTGTACACCTGTAATCCCAGCTACTTGGGAGGCTGAGGCAGAAGGATCACTTGAACCCAGAAGGTGGAGGTTGCAGTGAGCTGAGATCATGCCATTGCACTCCAGCCGGGGTGACAGAGCAAGACCCTGTCTCAAAAAAAAAAAAAGAACTGTATTGAGGTCACCGGCTGTTTATCCAGCCTTGTTTATCATCCTAACACCATCTGACATTGTCCCCCAACAAAAATCTCAGAGGCATATAGCAAAGTGGTTAAGTGTAGGAGCCCAGAAGCCAAACTGCCCAGGTTTGAATCCTGGATCTACCACTCACCAGCTTTGTGCTGAACCCAGTTTCCTCATGTATAACATGGGTACAGTAACTTAGTATCAACCTCAAAGGGTTGGGGTGAGGACTCACTGAGATAATACTTTTGACATTTGAATAGAGGTGGTAGGAGACAAGGTTGGAATGGCAGGCCAGGGGAGTCAGCTGGGACACTGTGATTTTACTGACTAGGGCCTGGGTTGGGAACCGACATGGGAGAGAGGTTAGTGGGCTGCACAGCACTTTCTGGAGAGCAGGGCCTGGGCACTTAGGGATCAGACTGGCACAATTGTGCGTTTTCATAAAGCAGCACGTTTGGTGGAGTGCTTCTGTGGAATATCCAACACATCCACCTGGAGAAACACACTTTGGTCTGAGACTGAGGGAGCAGAGCTGCGGAGGGGCAGGCAGGCCAGGCAAGACCTGGCTAGCTCTGAATTGGCCACAGCCAGCTCTGGCACCCGGGACCTCCTCTTCACCATCGGGCTGGTTCCCTGCAGTGTGTATACATGTGCAGAACCTTTCCCCAAGATTCAGACTCCTGAGTAGCTTCTGTGATTGTCACGGGGACTGCCTTCTCTTTTTGGTTTCTTTGTGAAAGGCACCTTGTGCACCATCAGCAGAGTGGCTGCTGAGGTGGTCACACTTCTCCTCTGGGACGTGAGGATCAGCGCACTGTTTGCTTAAACGGGCTGTTTTGTCTTTGATATTTTGGTGAGTTTTTTTTTTCCCCTTTGACAAAGTGTGATCATCCGCTCAGGAACGAGGTGCCCAGTCTGTGCACGGTGACTGGAAGAGGGAAGGTGGCCCTTGACCGAATATGATCACTTCAGGACACTTTGCTGTATTCATTCATTTGGTTATGAAGCTCACATTTGGAAACTTTACAAGCTGTTCTTTGAGATCCAGTCTGTTGGCTCCCAAGGAAGGATGGCTCCATGTCTGCCTTTCCTATCTGGGGAAGGTGGCCTCTGCAACTGCTGGACAGCTTGCATGGGACCAGGGATGCAGAGAGAGATGAGGGACCCAGCTCAGGCATGCGGCAACCCTGGTGATCACCAGCAAGGCAAATGCTGTAGCCAAGTCACCCTTACCTGCACTGGGAAGTTTTTTCTCCATACGTCTTTGGATTTTTTACTTGTTATAATAAACAGCATATAGAACTTTTTTAATTAAAGGGAAAAATTGAATTACAGAACCTTAAAAAAGAAGTATGATCTCAAACAAAATATCTCTAAGTGATACAAGAATAAATGGTTTTAAAAGCACAAATCTGTCAATTCTGCAAGCACTTCAGCATTTAAAGATTCCCTCGTCACAAACGCTATAGGACCTGGCACTTATTTGTTATCATGAGTGGATACTTTTTTTCCTTGTTTTGCTGCCTTTCTGGGTATTAGAGAAAACACCTTGCTTCTCTGTTATTAGAAACAAGTGCCTAACATGCAGTTAATTCATTCTGTCTCCACTGTTTCTAGGTGCTTACCAAATAACAGATTTCACAGGGTTGCATTTCTCACTATTTAAAAAACTGCCTTATAAGAAGTATCAGGAGCTTAGAAATTTTTGTATCCATTAGCCGTATACTTATATTTCTGGTAATCTATTCTTTTTTTTTTTTTGAGACGGAGTCTCGTTCTGTGTCACCCAGGCTGGAGTGCAGTGGCGCGATCTCGGCTCACTGCAAGCTCTGCCTTCCGGGTTCACGCCATTCTTCTGCTTCAGCCTCCTGAGTAGCCGGGACTAGAGGCGCCCACCACCACGCCTGGCTAATTTTTTGCATTTTTAGTAGAGACGGTGCTTCACCGTGTTAGCCGGGATGGTCTCGATCTCCTGACCTCGTGATCTGCCTACCTCGGCCTCCCAAAGTGCTGGGATTACAGGCATGAGCCACCGCGCCCGGCCCTCATAATCTATTCTTTTTTTGTTGTTGTTGTTGAGATGGAGTCTCGCTGTGTCTCCCAGGCTGGAGTGCAATGGTGCCAACTTGGTTCACTGCAACCTCCGCCTCCTGGGTTCAAGCGATTGTCCTGGCTCAGCCTTCTGAGTAGCTGGAGTTGCAGGCACCCACCACCGTGCCTGGCTAATTTTTGTATTTTTAGTAGAGACGGGGTTTCGCCATGTTGGCCAGGCTGGTCTCAAGCCCCTGACCTCAGGTGATCCACCCACCTCAGCCTCCCAAAGTGCTGGGATTACAGGTGCTAGGATCACAGGTGTAAGCCACCGCACCTGGCCTTCTAGTAACCTATTCTAAGGAAGAAATCTGAACACATCAGGCAAAAAGATATTTGTCACTACATTTTTTTAAATAGCAAAAAATAGTTACAATTTAATTTCCAGCAATAGAGGATTTGTTAACTCAATTAGATGATTGAACATAATGAAGCAAATAAAGGTGCATTAAGTGTAGTACCTTTTAGTTGCGGGAGGGGAGTAGTGTAAACTGATATGATTGACCAAACCATGGAGTGACTTCTTGTCCTCTTTCACTGTCTTCCAGTGTTTTGCTGTGCGTTCTCTGGGATGGGTAGAGATGGCAGAAGAGGACCTCGCCCCCGGTAAAAGTAGTGTTGCGGTCAACAACTGCATCAGGCAACTTTCCTACTGCAAAAATGACATCCGAGACACAGTCGGGATTTGGGGAGAGGTAAGTGGCATGTAGAATGATGCACGGCAGGCTGTTTACGTTCTCCTGCATTTCAGGAAGCCCCACAGCTCAGTGACACATGGTACTGAGGGGCTCCGAGGTGTTCATCAGGTGCCTTTTCCCATTAATGCAGGAAGTGTAGGCATGGTACCCCCGTGTGACTGATCCCTTAGCACTGCCAGATGCCAGTGAGGACTGGGGCCTGGAGAGAGAGCGTTTCTCAGTAGCTAAGGACACAGATTCACGGGTGAGCTTTAGGGGCCCAGAACTCCCCTAAACATGCCTGCAAAATGGGATGTGCCAGTGTATAAGAGCAGTTTTGCAGACTGGAAGAAGGACCTGTATTCTCAAAGGGGAAGGTGACTTCCACACGTCCACACAAAAATGTTGATGCCTCTGCTTTAAAAGTTGACAAATTATTCTTTTATAACACTCTTCTTTACTTAGCGTCTGAAGAATCAACATTATACATGAATTGTGGAATTGATATTTATATACTTCTCCCTTTTAACAGAGTGATTCCATTTTGAAATGTTAGTTGAGATAATTTCAGAAAGGAAAAAATAAGTACAGATACCAAATGTGTATGAAACTCACATCAAACCGGAAAAGCTGTATTCCTGGTGTGCTCTGAGACCTGTGGAAAAAGCATTTTGGGAGCATCTTGGAATAGTGTTTGCTACATGAATAGATAGATGTTGTTCTCTCTGCTTCTAGTGAACAGAGCAGTGGTAGAAAAGTTTGCTTTTTGGTTGGGCTGATTGGGACTCCACTCACATTTTCTCCTAGCAGCACATCCCAATGGGAAGTAGGTTTCCAAGCCTTTCCATGGTGGAGTTTGTCTCCTTAAAGTGGAGCTGAATCACTGCATTGCCAAGCTGACTTTTAGATTCTAGGCATAAGGGAGAGCTGGAAGAATTTTCTTCCATCCAAGAAAAGCCATTTACCCTCTTCTGTTGTTTGACTTTACCGTCCTCTCTCACCGCATTATCTCCCATCCAAATACCCAAGCCTGGCTGAGCATAGTGGCTTATGCCTGTAATCCCAGCACTTTGGGAGGCCGAGGCAGGTGGATCACCTGAGCTCAGGAGTTTGAGACCAGCCTGGCCAACATGGTGAAACCCTGTCTCTACTAAAAATACAAAAATTAGCTGGGTATGATGGCACGCACCTGTAGTCCCAGCTACTCGAGAGGCTGAGGTAGGAGAATCACTTGAACCTGGGAGGCGGAGAGGTTGCAGTGAGCTATCGTGCCATTGCACTCCAGCCTGGGTGACAAAGTGAGACTCTATCTCAAAAAAAAAAAAAAAAAAGAACAAAACCCAGGCCTATGTTTCCCACCAAATTCTCCACCTGTCTTCTCTCTCCTTCAGTCAAAACTGCTGTTCTTTCTTGGCTAGGATTTAGAAGGTAGGTGGTTGTGACTTACACTAATATGTGAATGACTGACCTTTGGAGGAGCCATAGGTCTAAGGCAGCATGCTCAGCCTTCTGAGTAGCTGGTGAATCTGTTTCACCACAACAGTGCACAAGTTCTGTTTTCTGCCAGTGCTTTCATCTGTAAATGGCTTAGCTGCTCTTTGGGGAAGATTTGAGACCAGGCTGGATCTCAGCTGTAGACAGGCCACAGCTTCAACGCTGTCTGACAGAGGCACTGAGATACCTATTTCTGCCTCCCTGAGCATCAGAGCTGTATTTCACTCTGAGAATGTTTGGTAGGAAACTAAAACATCATTCCCCAAAACTATACCAGAAAGCAATTTGTCTGTTTTACTTTGAGATTTGAAGACCTACCGAGAAGCCTCACTGTTCTGCTGAGCCAGAACTTCCATCATCAGTGCTCCAGCATCTAGATGACCTTTAGGAGAGAGAGTCTTTCAGCTGTGCAACAGATGTTTAATGATGTCCTAAAATTATGCCGGGGAGATTGCAGGGGGAATCAAGTTGAATAGTCTAGTGCTTCTGCCCACAAAGAGCCAACACAGGTGGGGAGATGGGACACCAGAGTGTAAGACTCTGAAAGATAGTGCAGGAGTTGAGAAACCTGGGTGTTCCCCTGTGCTGGGATCCCAGCAGCACCCACAGGTTCTATGTCAGACCCTGAGCAAGTTACTTAACCTTTCAGCCTCAGTTTCCCCAGCTGCTAACTGGGATAGTAACAATCCAAGCCCTCAGAGGGCAATTTAGAGAGTTCATGAGCCAGTGCACCTTAAGCACGTAGCCTAATGTTGTCATTTAAATGTTTGCCATTGTTAGTGCTGAGAAATGTCACAAAGCTGTGCCTGCTGTCTGCCAGGCAGACCACACAGCTAGGAAGTGGTGTAAAAGCCGAGAGGAAGCAGATATCGTTGTGGGTTTGGAAAGGCCATCGAGGGGATGCTTGGTAGGATCTGGCCAGAAGAATGGGGAGAGACAGGTTCCAAGAGTTTGATGGGCATGGAATTAGTAAAAGACGTATTCTCCAGGGAAACCACAATTAGCCTTTTGTCGTAAAGATTCAGAAGTGTAAATAATTAAATTTAAGAGCAGCCTGGAAAGCAGGATGGGGACACATTTCAGAGGACTCGGAGAGGGAGAGAGAAATTGGGTGTATGAGGGGAAACTGAAAGATATCAATATTCTTGTCCAGAAAGGAAGTTTCTTAGGCAGACAAATTACAGACCCCAGGGTGGCTTCTTCTGATGGTTGACACGGCATTCCTAGATGGCCACACACACGATTAGGCTTTCCAGCCTGCATGAAGAAGACAGCGTGTTTTCTCGTTGTGTCCCAGGGGAAAGACATGTACCTGATCCTGGAGAATGACATGCTCAGCCTGGTGGACCCCATGGACCGCAGCGTGCTGCACTCGCAGCCCATCGTCAGCATCCGCGTGTGGGGCGTGGGCCGCGACAATGGCCGGTGAGTCCCTGGGTGGGGCAGTCTGGGTCACCTCACCCGTGTCCCTGGTCTAGCTGAACACCAAAGCATGGGCTCGCAGCATTTCACGGAATACGAAACTCATGTAGCTTCTATATAGAAATGTGAAAAATGAAAGCTTGTCTCTAGTTCCCTGCCTCTTAAAGACTTCAAACTGCTTCCCTTCCTGGTTTCTGTATCTCAAATCTTTTGTCAACTCTGATCCTGATCCTGCCTTCTAGTTCTGCATGTGTCTTCTCCTGACCCTCCTCATGCAACCAAGTTTCCAACCCAGGCCATCTGAACCCCTTTTTCCCCTCCTCTCTGCAGTCTTTTTAAAATGAATTCCATTTCATTCAGTGAAGTCTCAGCCATTTCAGAGGCCCTCCTGCTGCTGTTCTCTTCATCAAGGGCTTACTTGAGGGGGACGTTGTACAGCCTTTCATCACAAGCCTCAGGTCATTAAATCATGATTATCAGGAATTTCTGGGTTTTGGGATTGGCTAAACTTTTTTAACACTTGAAAGGTCTGGTCATATCAAAATTCCATTTGATGTGTATTTTTCTGAAATTCTACTGAAAATGTGTTATTTATAAGAAATGCATCTTAGATGTGTTATGAATTTTATGTTCTCCAGGATGATTGGAAACGAGTTCCGATTTTCAAGTGTGTATTTTAACTAATAAAATAGCAGTTATCACAGACTTTATGTTCAGAGACCATTGTTAAGTAATTGGTCTACATTAAATGCAGTTAATTCTTAAATTATAGTCAGTCTTTGGCAATTCCTAAGGTACTAGAGCATCTCCTAGCATTTAGGGACGAGCTATAGGATGATAGCTTGTTATTGCTTTGTTGAAAATGGACAAGAGCATTGCAAAAGAGGATAAAAATCCCCGACAACAGAGAGGCGGCTCTCCTGAGCTTATGGTTCCATTTCTGAACATTCTGCTTTTTTATTGAGTCATGTGGTCCTCTCTAATGGGGTTGTTGTCTACCTTGGCTTATCACAGCCTTTGTCAACCAACGCTGGGCATTAGCGCATTTGATTCAGTTCCAAGACCTAAACCAGAAAGGAAGGATTATGGCCAAGTATTCATCAGTGAAAGAGTAAGCATTTATGCTAGAACCAGACATGAGAAATGGTCTGCAAAGGAGAGAGCTGAAGTGTCTTTCTTCTCACTGCCAATTGGATAAGCCTTCCTGGGAGCACAGTTGCATCTTTGAGCTTTCGTACCAGAGTGATGAATGATGACAGCTGGGCCAGATGCTTTGGGGGAATGGGTGGATGGATTATGTGCGCACACCTGTCATTCCCTTGCTTGCCAGAGCTGTAGCCCTGGAAAGATGCATGAATTGGTTAATTTTACGAGGAAGCTCTCTGGTGATATTTGGTCGTCATTAAAAACATTTAACTTTGGTGGAAGGTCCTGGGTGTAAGATGCTTGAGCTTTTCCTGGTTTCTGTCCTCCAAGTTTGTTTTTAAGGCAGGAGCCAAAGTGCAGAGCTTGTGACATTACATACGTGTGCGACGCAGGAGCGAAAGTGTGGAGCTTGTGACACTACATACGTGTGCGAGGCAGGGGCCAAAGTGTGGAGCTTGTGACACTACATATGTGTGCGAGGCAGGAGCCAAAGTGTGGAGCTTGTGACATTACATACATGTGCGAGGCAGGAGCCAAAGTGTGGAGCTTGTTACATTACATACGTGTGCGAGGCAGGAGCCAAAGTGTGGAGCTTGTTACATTACATACGTGTGCGAGGCAGGAGCCAAAGTGTGGAGCTTGTGACACTACATACGTGTGCGAGACAGGGGCCAAAGTGTGGAGCTTGTGACATTACATACTTGTGCGAGGCAGGAGCCAAAGTGTGGAGCTTGTTACATTACATACGTGTGCGAGGCAGGAGCCAAAGTGTGGAGCTTGTTACATTCCATGCGTGTACGAGTGGATGAGCTTGGGTTTTCCTAAGGTCAGATTGTCAGTGGATTGTATTGATGAGGTTTTCAGCTTACCCTAACTCTTTAAAGTGAGGCCACATGCTACATGTCTGGAAGGAAACAAATGATTCAAACTCCAGTTGACAAAATTATTCAAGTTCTCTGAGCCTCAGTTCTCTCATCTGTGAAGTGAGGATCATAATAAGGACCACAACACATACGTATATGTGCATGTGCATGTGTATACAGTAATCGGTTCAGTGATAGGGACATGACAGATGCTTAATGAATGTTAGCCCTTGATTTTTAAACACACGCTAGCAGATGCAGCTAATGACATGGCTTCCTTTTAAAGACAGTGGAGGTCGGAGAGGAGTCAGACCGCAGGGAGACTTGAAGTACGCTTGATCACGTGATCTAGAGGATGAGCGGCTGTTCCAGACCCTAATGAGTTCAGTTGTCCTACAAAGCAGGAAGAGCTTCCTACTCCCTGATGAAATCAGTGTGAATTAGGTTACATTGCCTTGGTTATGTTTTTGAAACGTGGGCTGTATTACTCATGTTTTTAAATCACTTCTTATTCTCACTCAGTGTCAGCAGATGAGTGTAATTTCGAAATACGCTCAGGGTTCCACATAGCTAGCAGGACCTCAGCGAGATCATGGGAGGGTTCCACATAGCTAGCAGGACCTCAGCAAGATCATGGGGTTGTGGCTGCCTTCAGCTGGATTGGCATGGAAACGGTAAATTTTAAAAGTGTGTTTGCCAGTGAAAGGTTCTGTTTCTCCCCATTGGTCCCCTGAGTTTCCATTCCCCAGAAGAAGGGGTCTTTGTACTCCTGCTTTTTTTACTTTCCTTTGCTTTTGATTCCTTTTTTTTTCCTTAACAGCAATTTACAAGAGCAAATTCAATTTGTAATGTTGCAAAGGAAAGGGCTTTTCACTTTGCATGAATAAAACATTTTTGCTTGCGAAAAAGAAGCCCATTTCACATTCTCTTTTGTAACTTTCCTTGCTGAGAAAGTGGAATCTCTTCAGGGATTTCTTGATGTGGTTAAAATGAATAAGAGAAGTGTGTATTATACCAGACATGAAGGGCGCAAAATCTTTCTGCAAATCCAGAGTGCTTCCCTGAGCCACGTAATTTCAGAAATTATCAAAGTATTTTGGATGTGACATTTTCTTAAGGCTTTCAAGTGGTTTTGATTTACTTGGAAGAAATTCCTTCGGGAATGAGTTTACTTTGCATGAGGAGGTGATTGGCTATGACACCCCCACTGAGCCCCCCAGGGTTGAGTTGGAGAGACCTCTTACTATGAACAGCACAAGGAGTTGAGTCACATCTGATACCAGTCTTCTGTGGGGTTTTGGTTGTCGCACAACTATGCTGAAGGCTTTGTCTTGTTGAGAGCCATGTCTGTCTTTATTACGGTGTTTCTTGGGGCCCATTTGCTTTATTGCCTGGCAAAGTGAGGGCTGCCTCCTCTTTCTTGGCCATAGTTGAGTTTTGTTCCCTTTGATCAGTGAGGTAAATGTCACGGCCCCTGGAGATGGAGGCTGGGGCAAGGGGTTTCATGAGCTTTGTCTTTCCAATCTAGTTCAGCCCCAGGAGCACCCAGGTTGGCCTGCTTTGCTCCTGCCTGCTGTGCAAAGGAGGACGTACGCAGGTGTGTGCACTGGGCCTTAGAACTGGCATTTCTGCCCTTGGCGACTGAGGCCAATGACCGAATGCTCCCTTTCATCTTGTCTCTGTGGGCCTGCCAGGCTACTGTCTCAAAGGTGAGTTTGGAGGGATGTCCCTACCCAGTTTCAGGGACCTGTGCTAACTTCCGGCCTCAGCGTTCTTCTTATTCACTCAGACCCTGGCGAGCACCTTCCTCCTTATTCTTTTACAGAAGTACCAAAGCCAAGCAAACATAATTTCTTTTGTTTTTTTTTTCTCTTTTTGAGATGGAGTTTCACTGTTGTTCCCCAGGCTGGAGTGCAATGGTGCAATCTCAATTCACTGCAACCTTTGCCCCCCGGTTTCAAGCGGTTCTTCTGCCTCAGCCTCCCAAGTAGCTGGGACTACAGGCGCCCGCCACCACGCCCGGCCAATTTTTTGTATTTTTAGTAGAGACAGGGTTTCACCATGTTGGCCAGGCTGGTCTTGAACTCCTGACCTCAGGTGCTCTACATGCCTCGGCCTCCCAAAGTGCCGGGATTACAGGCGTGGGCCACTGCGCCCAGCCAAAACATAATTTCTGAACACAGGGAACTTGGAACAGGGACTCCCCTCTTGCCTCGTGGTTGATGGAGGCTTATCTTCTGGGTAGGGGCACAGAGATCCTTGTGTACTTCGCCAATGAGCCCTATAGTCTGCTCATCTCAGCCATTTCCCACAAGAAAGGAAAATGGATATTGTCAGAGGGTTTCAGACCCCGTAAATGGGATGTTTCCAAGAGGCTTCCCTATCAGTGATTAATCCACGGTTTTCCCTTGAGAAAAAAAAAAAGATTCTATAGTCACTTGGGAAACTGAGTTAAACCAAGTACACTGGGCCCTCTCAGAGGTTTTCCTACGCTGAGATGCACTAGGACTCTGCAAGAAAGCGTTTCCCAGGCTTGGCTGGACCGTTTCCTCGGTGGAAACACAATCACATGGAACACACTTCAGGAAATATTGCTGTCATTAGTAAACTCATTCATTTAAATTCGTGGCAACACTAAACTGCTATTTTTGATTATTAAGAAAAATTGGAATTACTTTTAATGAATATTATAAGTGGAGACCCCATTGGGCCTGCTCTAATGAAGATAAAATTTCTTCATAATGAATGGCAACTATGAGAAACACACTCACCCATCCAAACCCCAAGAATGGACTTAGAGGCACGAAGAACAGTGAAAGTGAGACTTTTTAATAACAGTCTTGCGAGATCGGGTATCTGGTGGGCAGGCACACCTGGGACAGTCACAACAGGTAATTTATCTCCTAGCACGCCAGTCCCTCCCCCAATTCCTCACTGGCCGAGTACTATGGGGCTACAATCTTCCTGGACATTACCTAAGTTTCATTATCCCCCTTATAAGGTTATACCTCATTCCCTTCCCCGCTTAATTTTCATTTCCCAATAAGAAAACTTTCTTCCCTTTAATGGGCTGACCCCTCCTCTACATTCTGTTAGCTTATTGTGACTTTCTAGGTGCATGAGCCATGTGGTTTGTTACATTTGCAGCCTGGCTGCCAGGACTTAGATTTATCATGCCTTGAAAATGGACCATTTAAAATGTTTTCTCACACAACCATCAACAGTCATGATGTGTGCAGTGCTTTTTAAACAGTGCTCTCTTATTCAGGTTCAGTGTTTACCCTGTGATGTTGCTTATGCTTACAGATTGTGTAGCCAAACTTCTCTTCCTTGAAGGTGTTTAATACCTTTCTTTTCTGGTTTTGATGAACAACTTTTAATAAAATCTTTCTGTGTCATAGATTATTCATAAATTTCCAAATGAGGTTATCTTTGACTTGATTGTTCTATCTGATTATGATCTCAGGAACTTTTGTCTAAAGAATATAGTGTCCACTGTACCGAATTTTTTTTCATATTCTCTTCTAAGGTATTCCCAGCTGTATTTATCCACCAAGACCCTGGCCCAAGTTGTTTTATTTCTTTTTATTTTTAGAGACAGGGTCTTGCTCTGTTGCCCAGGCTGGAGTACAGTGGCGTGATCATCACTCACTGCAGCCTCCAAATTCCTGGGCTCAAGCGATCCTCCTGCCTCAGCATCCTGAGTTAGCTGGGACTACAGGTGTTTTTTTTATTTTTATTTTTGTAGATACGGGGTCTCACTTTGTTGCCCATGCTGGTCTTGAACTCCAGGCTTCAAGCAGTCCTCCCACTTCGGCCTCCCAAAGTGCTGGGATAGCAGGTGCGAGCCCCTGTGCCTGGTTAGGATGTTTTAAAAAAGGCCTTTGTCACATGTACTTTATGTTCTTGTTTTCATGCCAGTGCTGTTCTGCTGCTTTGTTTTGACTTCTTTTGAAAACACTGCTTAATTTTGTGGAGGAGTTCAGGGATCCTGAGGAATATTGGGATTAATTATTTAGAATATGCAAAACTTTGACTCATAGGTTTTTAGATTTAAAAGGTGCTTTAGTATTAGTGTCTTTCAGTCTCTTTATTTTAGAGGTTAGGAAACTGAAGACAGAAGAGTGTGATTACCTTAGGTGACCCATGTAGTTTGTGGCAGAGCAAAAAACACACCCCAGGTATTTTTGCCAGCCCAAATGGGAAGCTACTCTGTTCATCTTGACAAGAGATGGTGAATGGTCTAAATGTCCCGGGGTTGGCAGGGGAGGAGAGGCTGGGTCAGATACGTCCTAAATACTATGTTAGGCAGCAGCAGGACACAGAAGGCTATGGCATGGTCCCTGTCCTTACAGTCTGGCTTCTTCATTGAAGAGATAAGACCACATGAGTGAATGGAAAGCAAAGGTGGACACACCATGTTCCTGAGCCTCGTTTTTGTGGGTCCATGAGCTGAGAATAGTTTCCACATTTTCAAAGCATTAAGAAAAAGAACGGGGGACCCAGATATGGGAACTCAGCACAGCCCAGCTCTTCATAGAAGGAACATTTGAGTAATAACATACTCAGAATGGAACGAGGCGATCTTTGTAGCTGCTGTATATAGAAAGTCGTTGTGGAAAGGGCCCATTTTTTTTTTTTTTTTTTGGCAGTCTCTATCTCCCTTCCTAGCCATGTCTTCTACTAGCAGCATTCGGGGGTCCCTGAAAGCACGGCTTAGCCTTGCTACTGTTCCGTAGAGTTAAGCTTGAGTAAGTTTTTCTTTTTTTTCAGATTGAGTTTCACTCTTGTTGCCCAGGCTGGAGTGCAGTAGCATGATCTCGGCTCACTGCAACCTCCACCTCCTGGGTTCAAGCAATTCTCCTGCCTCAGCCTCCCAAGTAGCTGGGATTACAGGCATGCGCCACCATGCCCAGCTAATTTTTGTATTTTTAGTAGAGGCGGGGTTTCGCCGTGTTGGTCAGGCTGGTCTTGAACTGCTGACATCAGGTGATCTGCCCTCCTCGGCCTCCCAAAGTGCTGGGATTACTGGTGTGAGCCACCGTCTCGCTCTGTTACCCAGGCTAGAGTGCAGTGATGTGATCATAGCTCACTGCAGCCTTGAACACCTTGGGCTCAAGTGATCTTCTCACCTCAGCCTTCTGTGTATTATAAAAGGGTATAGGGCAGGCTGCTGCCACAAGTACTCTGCAGTCCACTGGCTTCAGTGCCAGAGGTTAGTTCTCATGCCACAGCTGCAGTGGGCACTGCCACCTGGAAGAACAGCTCTGTGCCACTCAGGGGTTCAGGCTCCTTCCAGATTGTTGCTCTGCCATCCCTCAGTTGCCGTCCTGGCCTCACCAGACCAAGTGACTTGTCTCCAAGTTAAACACACCTGGAACTTGCGTACCTCAGGTACACTCACATTCCGTTCACACCCCACTGGCCACACTCAGCTGCAAAGGACTCGGAACTAGAGTCTCTAGTTGCACAGACATTTGCCAAGTTAAAACTCAATCACCAAAGAAGTTTAACAGCTAACGTTCCGACGCAGTGTGAAAACCAGTCACCTCAAGTTTCTCACCCCCACGGCCTGTTGCTTCCCGTACTAGTGTCATTAAGCAGCTGTCCCCTCAGCTCCAAACCCACACTTCCCCGCTCAGCTTTGTGATGCTGGGGCTGGGACTCCGCAGACTACGCTCCTGCTTCTCTCGTCTGCTACCTGTTAGACTCTGGTGACTGTGCAGCACTCGAAGGAGAACTGCCAGGTGGAGGAGGAAGGAGGAACTTGCTCCCTCCTTTGCTTCCTGTTTCTCTGAGCACCATCCTAGAAACACAGCTTTATCCCAGTTGCATCAGTTCTGAATCCAGTTTGCAGTTTTTCCAACTTCACAGAAATGCAGAACTGGCTTCATCACACGGCTTCTTCAGAGATTCCAGCACAGCTAGCAGGCAAGCCCTCTTTTTAAGTCTAGGTCCTGGCCCTGGGGTCCCTCCTTCAAGCCTAGGGACACCATCAGCAGCCAACAATGTCTCTTCCTCTGCAGTCCGAGGTTTTGCTCCAGGAGGCTCCTCCGTGAAGCTTCTATGTTTTAATTATTGCAACCTCTCTCCTCTGTTCCCTCAACCCTGCAGGTCAGAGCCCCCCTCTTAACAGTTGCAGCCTCCATGGGAGCTTTCTCAGGATCCCCTTTTGCCATTGTAGTTATTAGTTAAAATCCTATGTGCTATTCTCCGTTCAAATGACTGGTGTGGTTTCTGTCTCCTGCCTGGTCCTGCCTGTCCCCTCCCTGGTTGACCTTTAAGATTGAATTAGCGCTGACTGAAGGAGACAGCCACTCACACAGCGCAGTCTGTCCACCATATGGAGGGCAGTCAGGAAAGCTTTTCTGAGCAAGCCAGTGTGGCTCTTCTTTGTGTTTACACCACACTGCAGGTGACACTGCAGCCGTTGTGCCAAGGAGACTTCCTTTCTAAATTATTAGAAATTGTCTGTGATAAAGGGCAGTGTTTTAGGTGACAGTGATTTAGAAATAATGGGTCTCGGCCGGGCGCAGTGGCTCATACCTGTAATCCCAGCACTTTGGGAGGCCGAGGCAGGCGGATCACTTGAGGCCAGGAGTTTGAGACCAGACTGGCCAACATGGTGAAACCCCATCTCTACTAAAAATACAAAAATTAGCCAGGTGTGATAGTGCACACCTGGAATCTCAGCTACTTGGGAGGCTGAGGCAGGAGAATCGCCTGAACCTGGGAGGCAGAGGTTGCAGTGAGCCAAGATTGCACTGCTGCATTCCAGCCTCGGTGACAGAGCGAGAGTCTGTATCAAAAAAAAAAAAAAAAAGAAAAAGAAAAGAAAAGATAAAAGGAAAGAAAGCGAAAAGGAATAATGGGTCTCTTTTGTTTTTGAGCTAATCTGAAAGTTATCTCTGTTTCTTCTTGGTCATTGTTTTTTTTCCCTAGGAGTGATTAGGTGGGGTCTCAGTCTGGAAGAAGTAGAGTTTCCTGATGACATCTAGTAGGGGATTCTCTGAGCCAGTCAGTAATGAAAGACTGATGGAATTCCAAGATCTGCTGATGAAAGTTTAATCTATGGTATGTGCTGTCTTGCCTCAGGGAGAAAAGTCTTCAGGAAGGAACAATAATTCTCTCCCTACACTATAGTATTGTCTTGACCTCTGGAGTTAATTTCTCTTTAATGCAGCTCCATGATAAGCAGAGGCATCACGATTTACTTGACCGTTTTGCTGACTTACACTGTGGTTCTATTTTATCTCTTTAAAAGTGGCTTCTCTGCCTTCCATTAATCATGATGGGATGCTTGCAATACTTTCAGCACAGAATAACCTTTAAGGAAAGACATCGTAAGTGATTGTCCAAGAACAGTTTCCCTTAGAGGAAAGTGGGAGGGCATTTTCAGACAGATCGTTCATGGCGGTCCTGTCCCTGTTCATGAATCTATGAAGGCGACAGTTTCTCCTGAGAAATACCTCGTCCATTTTGGTAACTCTGGCTCAAAGCATGGTTCAGGATTTCTTGTGAGCATGTTTCAGTAGCAGCCAGTGACGTGTGGGGGCTTGAGGCTGTTGTGTCAAGAGAGAGCAGAAAAGTCTGATGATGATCTTCGAACAGCTTCCATCTCGCACTTCCCCTGAGTCCTGAGCCAGACAAAGGATGGGCCTTTCTGGATGCAGAGCGAGGGAGATCTATCATGTTTGATTCTCTGTGTCCATCCTCAAAGTGCCGTGATCTTCTTTGAATACTTGGAGCATCCCAGGAAAAGAAGAGTCATTTGAGTAAAGAAATAGCCTAACAACCCATGTAAACATGGATGAATGTCTTTGAGAACAGAGGAAGTCATAACCATGATAACCCAGAACTTATGCAGATGTTCAGTGCATGGTTTGGTGCTTGAAGAATTGCTAAAAGCCTCTTGTTGCAAAGGAAGGTGCAGTCACCACTTTTCATACACGAGTTGTCACCTGGAACCTTTTTACTCAAATGTCATCATCCTGAGATTTTTGGTTTCCTGGGGAGTCCAGTGACTATGAATTTAGTGCAGCACAGTTCGTCACTGGGAAAGAAGAATTTGAGAACATCAGGTGGAACTCAAGGAGTCTCATTGTGTCGAGTTTTTGAGAGCTAGAGTAGGTCAAGAGAAGGAACACTGGAGTAGGAATCTCACCATTTGCAATGTAATTGTGCCTCTTCCTTTGCACTGATGTTAGGGGCGCTCTGTGTGCCACTGTCTCCATCCGCACTGGAGATCATCACTGACGTAGCTGAAATATGGAGGTCCTTTCATGCAAGGGTCATAAGTGCCATCGCTCCCAGTGACACTCTTTTTATTAACATAGTAATATTTCCTTGAAATATTGTCCTGGGTCTGCTGGGTGCAGTGGCTCATGCCTGTAATCCCAGCACTTTGAGAGGCTGAGGCGGGCAGATCACCTGAGGTTAGGAGTTCGAGACCAGCCTGTCCAACATGGCAAAACCCTGTCTCTACTAAAAATACAAAAATCAGCTGGGTGTGTTAGCACATGCCTGTAATCCCACCTACTCGGGAGGCTTAGGCAGGAGAATCACTTGAACCCAGGAGGCAGAGGTTGCAGTGAGCCGAGATTGTGCCATTGCACTCCAGCCTGGGCTACAGAGTGAGACTCCATCTCAAAAAAAAAAAAAGAAAGAAAAAAAATATTGTCCTGGGTCAACCGTAACATATTATTAAAAATAAGGAGAAATTTAACATGAGAGCTTAGTATTATTCTGTCTTTTTAATATCTAGAAATTATCTCTAGTTCATAGTGAGTCTCAACTAACGAGTTGGTGACTCTTCATAGAGTTCCCTAGAGCTATTTGATGCTGCCCTTCAAAGGCTAAAATTGTTGTTCAGAGCCCCCCAAAATGGCTTTGTATTTTTCTAACCCTCTTATGAAGTCAGAATTGGTGTTTAAGTATCAGAGCTGTGAACTCAAGCTTTGGAATGGCTTGTGTTCAGAGGAGTTATATTTTAACAGAGAAAAATGAGAATGTAGGAGAATTATCGTGTCATGAATTTTCAGCTAGCCTTGAGCCTTTGGGTGGACTGAAAAAGTCTTGTTCACTTGGGAGCCAAGAGTTCCTGCTTCTGTGAGTCCATGTGAGGCTGCACCAGTTTCCTTCCAGGTCCCACGTTCTAGTCTCCTCCTGCACACTGCTCTCTCTTAAGATAAGAAGACAGTAGAGTTATGTTCCCTGCAGTCCCTCGGAGCAGCACCCACACTTTGGGCTCAGGCACTGGGTCTCATGTTTCTTTGTTATAACTTCAACTGGGAATTCTGTTCTTCTAGGCTATTCCCCAAAAAGTGGCCTAGGGATGTGCTTGTTTGAAAAGGGAAGACAGGAAAGGAAATCAAAGACAAGAATTAGGAAATTGAACCCAGAGTCCTCAAGCAAGAACCCAATTTCCAAGAGTAAAAAGCTCTTGGGAACAGAATCATGCAGGCGCGGTCATGGCAGCCAGAGGACGGAAATGCCAGATCAGACGTGGGGCCAAAGAAAAAGAAGGGAGCCAGAGAGTTGACTTAAAATGGAAAGAATAAACCTCTCCAAACCCTGGAAGAATCATCAAGGCTATAAATAAAGGAACACAGAGTGGGTGACAGACGGGCTCTGACACCATTCACTCATCTAGAAGAGTGTGATGGGGGAGGGGAGACTAAGAAAAATAAAACCCAGAAAATGTTCTCATTCAGTCAGAAATTTTATACCAGAAATACTCCAAAGAGGAAGAAACATTTGAAAGTCCTGAGGCGGGAGAGGATGAGTTAGGGGGCACAGTTACAGTCTCTGAGGGAGATCCGGACAGGGGGCATGGCAGGGACACAGTGGATGAAGATGGATGCTGACATGGCAAACAGGCAGGTAACGTGATGGGGAGGACAAAGCCAAGCAGACACAGGTGCCTTTCTCTCTGCGGGCAGTGCATTAGATAAGCTTCTGATTGCTTCTCTTTTATTTTGTTTTTTTTGTTTTGTTTTGGTTTGGTTTGGTATTTTTGGAATGGAGTCTCACTCTGTCGTCCAGGGTGGAGTGCAGTGGCAAGATGTCAACTCACCTCAGCCTCCCGGGTTCAAGTGATTCTCATGCCTCAGCCTCCTGAGTAGCTGGAATTACAGACATGTGCCACCACACCCGTCTAATTTTTGTATTTTTAGTAGAGATGGGGTTTTGCCATGTTGGCCAAGCTGGTGTTGAACTCCTGGCCTCAAGTGATCCGCCTTCCTCAGCCTCCCAAAGTGCTGGGATTACAGGCGTGAGCCACCGAGTCCGGCCTGATTGCTTCTCTAATGCTCAGCCACCCACCCTGTCTTGCCAAGTCTGCCCCTTTAGGAAAATGCTCCAGCTGCATTTTCAAGGGCTGCTTTTTCTCTGCACCAAGCACCCTGCCCACTGGAGAGCCATCTTCAGGCAGGGCTCACGAGCCCCATGCCCTGTACCCTGAGCTGCTCTGCCCGGGGTGTGGCAGGTCATGATAGAGTTAAGAGTCACTTTGCCACTGGACAATAGTTCATGACACGTGGCTCCTACCTCCCTGATCCCTAAATCCTTCTTGCCTCCTCCCTAAAGGAGAGCTCCTGAGTGAATTTGTTGGAAGCAACACTAGAAAACTGCAAGTCTCAATCTTCAACTCACAGAATCAAATGTTCCTGTGAGGTCCTAAAACCAGGTCTGTCCCAGCAGGTGAACTAAACAGGGCACAGCAGGATGAGTTTGCAGGAATTTTATATATAGCACCGATTAAGGCATTAATGCCATTTTTCAAAGAGTTGACCCTTCTTTGATTACCAAATCTGTGAAATAGAGATTTAGTTCAGATTGAAAGTATCTGATCCCCTCTGACCCTGGCCCTCAGCACCCCACCCCTACATGACCTGCCTTTATACAGACCTGGAATGAGGATGGGAACAAGGATGAGAGGGCACACGTCATCCCCTAAGTCCATAAACAGCATCTGAGCTCCAAAGAATTGAGTTGTCTTTTGAGAGAAGTCTCTTTCCTAACCACGTGCCACGAGGGTGTAAATAGTGGGTATGGCCCAACCTTGGCTAACCTAGGCTAGGCCACCTTTGCTCTCAGATGGGTAACAGCTTTCTGCTGGGATGCCAAGGCAAATCTGTTATACTCCACGTTGGCCAAGACAGACTCCTGACCCCATTTTCAAAGCTGTTCTTTCTATTTATTCTCCCGTGTTCTGCATTCATACATTCACTCATTTCGGCATGTGTTCATCCACTGGACTTATGCTGAGCCACTGTGGTTAATGGCTCTGCCATGTAGTACACAGGTCAGCAGTGTGGGAGCCCCCGACCCTGCTCCTGTGGGTCCTCCCCACCCATAGTGGTGGTCAGCCCTAAAGAGTCTACCTCCTTAATACCTAGGTCAGAGTTAAAAACAGGCTGTCATATTGACAGTGGGTAATGATTCAAATATCCATCAGCAGGTAAATAGATAAACAGACCATGGTATATTGTATAACAGATATCCACACAGCAGTGAAAAGGAACCAGCTGTTGATACAGTCGGCCCTCTATATCTGCAGATTTTTTACATCGACACATTCAACCAACTGCAGATGGGAAATATTTGGAAAAAAATACAACAATGAAAAATAATACAAGTTTTTAAAAATAATATAACAATTATCTACATAGTTTTGCATTGTATTAGGTATTATAAGTAATCTAGAGATTAAAGTATACAGGAAGATGTGCATAGGTTATATGCAAATACTGTCCCATTTTATATAAGAGGCTTGAGCATCGTTGGGGGTCCTGGAACTAATTCCCTGCAGACACCAAGCGACAACGGTATATACAGCAACGTGCTGAATCTCACAATAATTGTGCTGAGTGAAAGAAGCCAGACCAGAAAAAAAGGTAGTGTGTGATTGCATTTATGTAAAATTCTATAAATGCAAGGTAAACTAATTTGTAGTGACAGAAGGCAGTTCAGTGATTACCTGGGAAAGGACAGAAGGCAGGGATTATAACGAGGCAGGAAGAATCTTTGAGAGTTACAGATATACTCATTATGTTGATGGTGGTAATAGTTTCACAGGTACATATTGTCAAAACTTATCAAATTGGATATTTTAAATATATGCAGTTTATTGTGTATCAATTATACTCAATAAGGTTGCTTAAAATAAAAGTTTTAAAATATGCAGTGAGTGCATGCCAAAGATTTATTTAACTCATGAGCTGGCTACCAACACCAGTTCAAAGGAACCTAAGAAAGGCTGAGAATCTTCTAAACCTGATAACCAAGCCACCAGGAAGCACTTGTGCTTTCAAGAATTTGAAAAGGTTTCAAAAAACCTCAAGCCAGGAAGAATCACACACATACACAAACACACATGTACTGCTGCCTAGACACAGCCTAATAAAACAGTTGAAACCAAAGGCATAACACAGATCATAACAGCAGCTAGAGGAAAAGAGAAAATACTAGAATAGATGACTAAGGTGGATACAAAACTGGTTAATGTTCTACTGGCAATGAAATCCTCACCTTTGGGGTTATTTTTTTTTTTCTTAGCAGAAAGTTGCAAACATTACTTGTAACATATTAATGTTCTACAAATTAACAACTACTCTCCCAGAGTCTGAGCCCTAATCACTAGCAAAGTCAGATAAAAATACATTTCCCTAGAGCTGGGCTGTTCATTTCGGTGATGGCCTTGAGCACTTGAAATGTAGCTGGTCTGAATTGAAATGTGCTGTAAAGTGTAAAATACATGCCAGAATTCACAAACATTGTATTAAAAAGATGTAAAATGTCTCATAACAATTTCATATTGATTACACATTGAAATGATAGTATTTTGGACATATTAGCTTAAATAAAATATTGAAATTAATTTCACTTCCATTTTCCAGTTGTTTAATGTGGCTACTAGAAAATTGTAAATTACTTAATGTGGCTTGCATTGTATTTCTGTTGAACGGGACTCCCCTAGTGAAGTAAGTAATCCTTAGGAGGGTCCATTAAGTGTTGCTCTACTGTGACATTGAAAGACACACTGTCCTCCTTTTGTCTTATTTCCAAGTGTTGGTTAATTTTTCTTAACTACTTCTTATACCTGTTTGTCCACCCCTGATCTTTAACTCCCATCTCTGTCTGTGTCCTTGACAATCAGCAACCCAAGTGATTTTTCTGATGGGTAAAAAGACATGACATGTTCCCTGCTGCTCAGGATGGAGCCAAACCCCACGATGTGACATGTCAGGTCTCACCCCTGCCTGCCCCCATCCCAGGCAGCACAGCTGAGCCAGGCACTTACCCAGCTGCACCGGACTGTGCCTTCACACACTTAACTACCAAAAATGTCACACAACAGCTCTGACTTGCACTGTGTGCCCTGCTTTTTGATTTTTTTTCTTTACTACTCTTTTAACTTTTAAAACGCTGTTTGTGACCACTGATTGGTCATAGTTTGAATAATACTGATCTCAGTCAAATTTTCTAAGAAGTTTTTGAGCTGAGCACTCTACCAGCTTAGTAACTGGTGTTTAAAGAAAAAGAGATTCCACACTCACATAATTTTGGGAAACACTGTATGCAATGTTCTATTCTCAGAGAAAGCCCCTAAAACACACCCTCAGCTGTTGAAGGGTCTGAGCTGTCCCGCAGTCAACACTAGATGAGCAGAAGACATATTATTGGCTTCATTAACGGCGAACCTTCAGAGGGCCAGCAGTTCTGGGACCCACCAGGTCAGAAAACACTGTTCTAGGGATTCTGAATGATAACATTGTATCAGGGGACAGGATAACAAAGCTAGAGTTTCAGACTTTCATTTACTTATCTCCACCCCCCGCCCTGCCCCCGCCTCCTGTGCCTTCTCTGAAAAGTGTTGTGTTCTTACGAACAGCACTTCCATTGCATTCAGTCAATACAGTTGTAAGTGATGATCCCAGGAAGGAAATCTCTACTTCTTTGGTAATATCATCCCTGAAGACGTCCTTTATATTGTTAAATTGCCCTTGGATAAAAAACTGAAATGCAGATTTCTTTTAGATTTCAGTATCTAGAAAATATTGTCTCTCAAAGGATATGCATGTAAGAATTTAGTTAACAGGGAAAATAGTATAGTTTATCATGTTTCCCTTTTTGCTAGGAAGTTTCAAGTTAAATTAAACCTGCAATTGCAGTAATTAAATCAGATAGAATCATATAACATTGCTGTTTTTGTGGATCAGAAATGGTTGAATGTGGTTCCAACTAATATTTCGCCTCGTTAATTTATAGAATTACTTTCTCTTCCTTATATTTGGCTTTAAATTTTACTTTTCTAAATTTAGAACATAATAGACTGTGTGTGCCTTTTATTGTAAGCCACTTAATTCTTTTGGGAAGGAAATAGGATATAAATTTTGATAAATAAACAGAGTTCAATTGTAATGCCCCATTAACCAATGAGTGTATAAAATACAGATTTTTTCTCTGACTTCTCTATTATTCAATAATTGGGAAATGCTATGCATTCTAAAACAGGAGTATTTTGCGGGTTTTTTCCCCCTGTAAAATCCCTAAGCAACTAAAAGAACACAAAGTTAAAAATCTATCCCTACAGCCAATTAATATTTATTGACCTATCCAAATGACACCCGTGGCCTTCCCCATTAATCAGAGAATAATAGTGCACAGAACCACCTCAGCCCTAAAGATACTTGCTTGCCAAACCAGTTTCCTCCACCACCAGCGATCTCATTGCGAAGAGTAGCAGCAATTCCTAAAAGCATTTTAGCTAGTGGACGGTGTGAAATTTCTTAATATATTTCCCCCACAAACTCAGTGGTCTAGCATAATTGTCTCAGCTCCTTCTTGCCTAAAGGAAATGTTCTGATTCATCTCTGTACAGCGTTGAGCTTAAGAGTTGCTTTGTCTTCTTCATTGACGTAAGAGAAGCTGTAGAAGTTATTTATTAAGAAAGATAAAACCTGATACTATTAATTAAATTCACTAAGTCAAGGATTGAAAATTAAGAGGGAAAATTTTTTTTAAATAAAAGATAAGGTTTAAATATGTCTACACTGTACAAATTAGAGTGCTTCTTAAAAAAGAGAGGAGATATAGATCTTAAGTTGTCAAATCTTGGGTCACTTCTAATCATAACATTGTCAGTCATTCTCTTAGGCCCCAGAACTGGTAGAGCAGATTATACCACAGAAGTATGCTAACCAGGGCAGGAGGATAGAAATGGCTGTCATCATCCATATACGGTACCATCTTTTTTTTTTTTTTTTTGAGATGGAGTCTCACTCTGTCGCCCAGGCTGGAGTACAGTGGCATGATCTCAGCTCACTGCAACCTCCGCCTCCTGTGTTCAAGCAGTTCTCCTGCCTCAGCCTCCCAAGTAGCCGGGATTACAGGCACGCAACACCACGCCCAGCTAATTTTTTTGTATTTGTAGTAGAGATGGGCATTCACCATGTTGGCCAGGCTGGTCTCGAACTCCTGACCTGAGGTGATCCACCCGCCTCAGCCTCCCAAAGTGCTGGGATTACAAGTGTGAACCACTGCACCCGGCGCCATCTTTTTTTTTTTTAACCTTTATCATTATAATTTAACCAGATTTCTTCCTGTGTATCTTACAGTGATCTGTAAAGTTGGCTTTCTTCATGTCCAAGGCCACATCATCCTCATTCCTAACTTGAGATGTCAAGCCGTAGAATTCCTTTTCTCCCTCCTTCTTCCTCTATTGATCCCATCTAGCTTTCTGGGGATTTATTGGATACCCATGTGTTAAGTCCCTAGCATGTGTCTGCCACCATGCTTGGCACCAAGGATGTAGCCATGAATGAGAACGCCATGGTTCTTGCCCTCATGGGATGTGCTAAGAGGAACAGACAGGTAATGACATGGGCTCATGAGTCCCATGAAGCACTTTCTAACATGACCGTCAAGCCCTATGCCAGTGTTATGTGACATCCCTATCCTTAGGACTTAGTGCAGGTCCCACCTGTTCTGTTAGCCTTTCTGTCACCGTTCGTGTCCTTCAGCACAGGCTAGGTTAGACTGTAATAACAACCAAAAATCTCAGTGGCTTATAACAATTCTTTCTGCTAAAAGTCCATGGTGGGTTGGCTGAAGACACGGCTTCCTTTGTCATTGTCCTCATTCTCTGTCTAAAGCTGATGATAAAGTCACAATCTAGACTACAATATTGGCAACAATGGTGGCAGAAGGAAAAGATGCGCTGACTGAACATTTCTGCTGGAAATGATGCTTAGCGCTTTTGCTCACATTTCATTGGCAAAGCAAGATGCGTAACTGCGCCTCACTTCAAGGGTTGGGGAAATATACGCCACCCCTACAAATGGGAGTGAATCTTCACAGCACACCATGCCCTGTGCTGTCTTTCAGCTCTGTAGTCATGCATATATTCATTGTACTAGATCTCTTCAACCTCGGGTTGTCACTAATGTCACAGATGTGTGTCTCCCTGGTTAGACTGTGAATTCCTTGACAGCCATCACCATATCTTAGATTTCCTTGTGTGTGCTTCAACATGATGTTATCCTTATATTAGATGCTTAAAAGTACTTTTGATTATCTGAAGGGGAGAATGAGGGGAGAATAATCAGAACTCTGTGCATGTTTTGACACAATGCTTTATGGTTTACTGAGGGTCTATCTCCATTAGTCCTTTCAGGACTACAGGGTGTAGCATTATGTCCCTTTTACAGATGAGGAAACTGAGACCTAGAACTTTTACACGACTTAATCAGTTTTATACAAAAATGTGGCTGAACCGTGTCTGAAACCATGAATTCTAAATTAATGGGTCAGTGTTCCTACTCCTTTTAGCTGTTAATATGGACACTCCAATTACCTTGTGCAGAGGCCCACATGAGGGAAGGAAGAGGAAACTTCAGAAAAGGAGTTGAGGCCGGGTGCGGTGGCTCATGCCTGTAATCCCAGCACTTTGGGAGGCCAAGGCGGGCGGATCACTTGAGGCCAGGAGTTCGAGACCAGCCTGGCCAACGTGGCAAAACCCCGTCTCTACTAAGAATACAAAAACTAACTGGGGATGATGGCTCTTGCCTGTAGTCCCAGCTACTCAGGAGTCTGAGGCGGGAGGATCGCCACTTGAACCCAGGAGGTGGAGGTTGCAGTGAGCCAAGACTGCAACATTGCCCTCTAGCCTGGGCAACAGAGTGAGACTCTGTCTCAAAAAAAATAAACGGGTGCGGGGTAGTAGGGTCTTCACAGATGTGATTAAGTTAAGGATTTTGACCTGAGGATATTATCCTGGATTACCTGAGTGGGACCTAAATCCAGTCATAAGTGTCCTTCTGAGAGACACTTACACATATATATATATGTATGGCTGGGCGCGGTGGTGGCTCACCCCTGTAATCCCGGCACTTTGGGAGGCCAAGGCGGGTAGATCCCCAGAGGTGGGGAGTTCATCTCTGCTAAATATACAAAATTAGCTGGGTGTGGTGTCATGCACCTGTTATCCCAGCTACTCGGGAGGCTGAGGCAGGAGAATCGCTTGAACCTGGGAGGCGGAGTTTGCAGTGAGCCGGGATCGTGCCACTGCACTCCAGCATGGGTGAGAGTGAGACTTGGTCTCCAAAAAAAAAAAAAAAAAGAGTGTGTATACACACACACACACATATATGTATATAATACCTATAAGGTAACATTTGCAGGTTCCAGGGATTAGGACCTGATTTCTTTGGGATATTTTTCAGCCTTCTACAGTTAGGGCAGTGGAAGCCCCTTCTGCTACCCAGCTTTGCTCCTCCATCTTCCTCACCCAGCTGTCTCTCCTCTAGGTGGTACAGATTATATGACTTCTTAAATGAAAGGGCTTTTGGAGTGAGGCACACCGGTTGGCTTCCTGATCTGCCTCTGTTAGCTGGCTGACCCTGAGCCAGTTACACACTGTGCCCCAGGGCCCTCTTGTGTAGAGATGGAAGCTTTGGAACCCCGATGCAGCTTGGTTGTAAGATATTAAATGGGAGAGGGCTTGGCACGGGTCCCTGTCCCCTGGTGAGCACTCAGAAGAGAATGTTGTCCCTCCCTCTGCGCTGCCCCTCACTCTGCCCTCCCTCATCTGCACTGGCAGTGGTGGGCACAGTGGGCTGGAGGCAGAGGAGGCTGCTTGTTGAGATTCCTGGAGCATTTCCTCCCATTTATTTTTCTTAGTGAAGTCAAAAACAGACAAATGTTTATTAAATAATGAATCATTCTTTCCTAGAAGGATTATTTCATTTCATGGGTGAGCGGTTTATTGCCAGAGAATGATGTCTTCCCCCAAAATGATGTATAACGTGATTTGGTACCTAAGTTTTTAGACACTTGAATGTTTTTTCTCTCTTCCATTTAAACTTGAAGGTTGTGAAATGTAGTCCATATTCATTCATACTCTGTTCATTTCAGGAGATACCCACAAGCAGAATGGGGTGACTGGGGCCTGCTTTGACCTCATATTTTCCTATTTCTACAGGAATATATAGAATATTTACTAAATACTAGGTATTTAGTAATAAATACCACAAGCCTTCCTAGGTAATAAGCCTGTTAAGAAAAGTAAGCAATTATATAATTGGCAAAGAAATTAATACAAAGATCTAAACCAAGAAATATCAAAGTCTTTTATTCTTAGAATTTTTTTCATTTCACGTATATTCCTTGTCTGCCTTCAGAATCTAAAATTCTGGCCCACTTTGTTTATAGAGCGGTCCCTTTAGACATTTGCCTTATTTTTAGGCCTCTTTTATTTTTTTTCTTTGGAGACAGGGTCTCACCCCTTCACCCAGGCTGGAGTACAGTGGCAGGATCATAGCTCACTGCAGCCTGGATCTCCTGGGCTTAAGTGATCCTCCCACCTCAGCCTCCAGAGTAGCTGGGATTACAGGCACATGCCACTTCGCCCAGTTAATTAAAAAAAAAAAATCATATTGATGGGGTCTTGCTATATTGCCCAGACTAGTCTCAAACTCCTGGCCTCAACTGATCCTCCTACCTCACTCAGCCTCCCAAAGTGCTGGGATTACAGTTGTGGGCCACTGTGCCCAGCCCATTTTAATCCTAGGGCTAGGATTATTTGCCATTACCACACACTGTTGATTATTATAGCTATATATGCAGCTTTAAAATTGGATACACTGATTCATTCTACTTTATTCTTCTGTTTACAGGCAGGTGCCTGTAATCCCAGCTACTCAGGAGTCTGAGGCAGGAGAATCACTTGAACCCGGGAGGTGGAGATTGCAGTGAGCCAAGATCTCACCACTGCACTCCAGCCTGGGCGACAGAGCAAGACTCTGTCTCAAAGAAGAAAAAAAAAATAGAAAGGTGGTGTGGGGACAAATCGAGGTAACACATGTATAAGAAATAAATATTATTGATCTTTTAGTAGTTCGTAAGCATGGTGATTGGCTTTTCATGTGCATGTGTGAAATGTGCCTTCCACAAACCTTGTTACAAAGTTGGCACACTACCATTGATGTGAAAGAAAAAAGTTATTAAAATAAGAGGTCCTTGATGGCAAAAATAATAAAATGGCTCTTTGGTGGTTAAAAGGACCAATTTGGTCCAATCTCAACTCTTTAAATAAAAAGGAATTTTGCTTGAGGTAAGTAATTTAGTTCCTTTGTGGAAAGTTCTTTGACTTCTAAGATGATTCAGAGTTTGGAATTACTGATTTAGTCTTCTGACTGTATCAGGAGTCTTTAAATATACATTTTCAATTCAATTAATAAGTCATGAGTTCAGTTAATTTATCATCAGTGCAATCAGAAACCATCAAAGTAGACTGAGTTGCCAGCCTTTACTTCTGGCTAATCCTGACACATTTCACATGTCATGGATTCCTGAAATTCTGAAGCTGAGATTGCTAATGGTTCAGATTGGTTACTGGATCATTGTGTTCCTAAAGAAAAATTATACAGCTCGCTTCAATGATGCAGTTTCCCCTCTTTTCCTCAAAAAATTTTCTATATGAGAGAAGAAAGCAGAATCTATGGTCCAGTAAAGCAGTGATGCTCAAATCCAAGTGCATGTCAGAATCCACTGTGGGTCTTTTTCAAACAAAGCTGGCTTTGCCCCAGCCTCAGTGGTTCTGATTAATTCAGTAGGTCTGGGGTGGAGCCTGAGAATTTGCATTTCTACTAAGTTCCCAAGTGACACTAATTCTGTCTGTGGACCATACTTTAAAAACCAGCTGGGTGTGGTGGCTCACCCTGTAATGCCAACACTTGGGGAGGCTGACATGGGAGGATTGCTTGAGGCCAGAATTTCAAGACCAGCCTGGGCAGCATAGCAAGACCCCATCTCTAAAAAAAAAAAATAGCCAGGCACGGTATACCTGTAGACCTAACTACTCAGGAGGCTGAAAATTTAGAGCCCCTTTCAAGACCCTAGGAGGAGGGCTAGCAATTAGATCACATGGTTTATATAAAATGATTTTGCAAAAGGAAGATAAATTTTGTATTCTTAAAAAAAAAAAAAAAAGCCCCAGAAATTGTCTAAGCTTTAGGTCCCACAAAACCTAGATCAGCTCCCTGATAATTGATCAATATAATTAACTAATATATATGAAAGGAATACAGACTGTAAGCAAGAGAAGTTTTTTGTAGGCTAAGCAGTCTCTAAGTCCCAGGAATGAGAGTACATGGGAACGTCATCTCAGAGAACAGGAGCCCCATATGTGAACTTTGTGTGGAACTTTAATTGAATGAGCTCAATGGAGAATTTAGGCGGATGAAAATTCAAGTTGATCTTCACTCACCTACTAAATGATCAGCTTGCTATGTGTGATGTATCAATTTATTTGTGACAAGATCAGACAATTTGGAGAATGAGACAGGTTCAAATTTTGGCTTCACCTCTTATAATTGAGTTCACTCATTCCCTCTGAGCCTATTTTGTTTACAAAAAGGGGGTTGATAATAATAATAGCTAATTTAATAGGGCTAATGGGGTGCTATAGTGAAATGATAGATATGAAAAATGCTCTGAAGATAGAAAATGCTGCACAGATGTTAGTAGCTATACAAAGCTAACAAATAGTATACTCATCGTTTATATTAATAGAATGACTAAAAGGTCATTCTGCTGGAGAAGGAGTCAGTCGACTTTTTCTGCAAAAGACCAGACAGTAAATAGGCTTTGTAGGTCATGCTGTGTCTGCCATGGTAGGCAAAAGCACCTACAGACACGATATAAATGAATGTGCATGGCTGTGTTCCAATAAAGCTTTTATTTGTAAAAGCAGGTACAAAAATGGTGATACACTAAAATTGATCTAAAAGGACACTGTCGGCCGTGCATGGTGGCTCATGCCTGTAATCTCAACATTTTGGGAGGCCGAGGCAGGCAGATCAGTTGAGGTCAGGAGTTCGAGACCAGCCTGACCAACATAGTGAAACCCCATCTCTGCACGGGAAACTGCACAGTTCAGTGCTTTTGTATTCTACTAAAAATACAAAAAATTAGCCAGGCATGGTGGCGCACACCTGTAATCCTAGCTACTCAGGAGGCTGAGGCAGGAGAATTGCTTGAACCTGGGAGGTGGAGGTTTCAGTGAGTAGAGATCGTACCACTGCACTCCAGCCTGGGTGACAGAGCGAGACTCTGTCTCAAAAATAAAATAAAATAATAAAAGGACACTATAAAATAATAAAAGTCCCTTCAAATTAGGAACTTCCAGTTGAATCCGAAGATAAAACAAATAACAGCAACCATATATGATGTTTTTATTTAAACTCAACACTGAAGGATCAAAATTATATCGGCCTCAGTTTCTGTGGCCTTCTAATGTAGCTGATATCTCTTTAGGGCATGAGGGCACATAGGTGGAATAGGAAAAGCAAAGTGAGGAGGAAGAGGGAGGCAAGATTAAGAACAGTTGAGGGTGAAAATAGCAGCTTGTTTCTTTTTATGCTTCTTGCCACTGGAAGTAACGATCATCGGGTAAGCTCCTGCTTAAACCCTCCTCTGGGATTCAGCCTCAACAGTAAGCTCCTGAGCATGGAGTTTCGTGACCACCAAGAAAGTAAAGTGCTTCTATTTTGTAATCTCCTAGTGAATTTTTAAAGATGACTGATGGTGTCCAGGCCTGTGAACATGGAAAACTGAGGTAAACCCATCAAGAGACAGTTGCCCATCCATCTTAAAAGGCAAGTTAATCATGAACCATGAATAAAGCCGCTGTAATCATTCACATACAGGTTTTTGTGTGAACAGAAGTGTTCACTCATCTTGGGTAAATACGTAAGAGTGGGATCACTGGGTTGTAGGGTGACAGCACGCTTAAGTTTATGAGAAACTGCCAGCCCGCTTTCTGAGGAGGTGCACCGTTTTGCATTCGCAACAGCAAAGTAAGAAAGTTCAGTTGCTCCGCATCCTCACCAGCAGTTGGCATTGCCAGGATTTTTTGGTTTGTTTGTTTGAGGGTGGTGGTGGTTATTTTAGCATTCTAAAATGTGTGAAGTGGTGATTCATTGTGGTTTTAATCGGCATTTTCCAAACAAATGATGTTCAGCATGTTTCATGTGCTTGTGAAAAACATTTATCTTCTTTGGTGACGTATCTGTTCAGATGTTATTGCCCATTTAAAAAATTGTGTTGTTTGTTTTCTTATTATCGACTTTATTCATAGTTGCCAAAACTGGAAAGAGTAAAATACCTATCAACTGGTAGATGGATACACAAACTCTTGTACATCCATGCAAAGGAATTCTCAGCAATAAAAAGGAATGCACTGTTGATACACTCAACAATTATGCTAAGTGAAGGAAGCAAGGTTCAGAAAGCTAGGTATTACAGGACCCCCTTTTTATGACATTTTGGAAAAGGCAAAACTGCAGGGACAGAAATCAGATCATTGGTGGACTGGCAGTGAGGGAAAATTCTTACTTATTTTTAAAGAACTTCTCTTGTCTTCACTCCTTAGCCCTTACTGTCTTACTCTCCTAACCCTACCTTCCCAGCCATGGGTTTAGTATCTGTTTCAGCTTGAGTTTCTGATGCAGAAACACAAATGTGATTTTCTCAAATTACAATCATGGAACTTGCCAGACAGCCAGCTTTTTCCTTGGCCCTCCGTGACTGTGTGTCCCTGTGCATGCAGTACCCCTGTCCTTGCAATTCTGCTTTCCAGGGAGAGCAAGCCAGGGCGTTGAGTGGGGAGATGGTTGAACATTTTAAGAATTGAAAGGACCAGGCGTGGTGGCTCACACCTGTAATTCCAGCACTTTGGGAGACCAAAGTGGATGGATCACTTGAGGTTAGGAGTTCGAGACCAGCCTGACCAACATGGTAAAACCCGTCTCTATTAAAAATACAAAAATTAGCTAGACATGGTGGCACATGCCTGTAATCCCAGCTACTCGGGAGGCTGAGATGGGAGAATTGCTTGAACCCAGGAGGCAGAGGTTGCAGTGAACCAAGATTGCACTACTACCCTCCAGCCTGGGTGACAGAGTGAGACCCTGTCTCTAAAAAAAAAAAAAAAAAAAAAAGAATCAAACGTTGTGCTGACTCCCTTAGGATTCTGAACCATGGAGGATAACAATTTATGCTCACCCTCGCTACACCCTGCAGCAGTTAGGAAGAAGAGATCTGGTGGGTGGTGGGTGGTGGGAAGATAAGTCAAATCTCTTTATAGTACAGTGAAGGCCAGGGAATGGCCCGCAGTCTTTGGAGTAGTGGGAGGTTTTTTCTGCTGAATATTGCATAAAGAAAATGAGCTATGCTGCCTGCCTAGGGCTTCGGAATCTCTTCCACTTAACAAAGATTCTTGTTATACACATTTATTATAAATAGCCTTTGCATTTTACAGGGCAGAACAGGAAGACTCCAGGCCATTGGGCAGGAGAATTTCTTTTGTTTTTTTTCCAAAATTTTTGTTAGAGTTGAGTTAAAGAGATACTGTGGCAATCCCTTTTAGATAAAGGGCACATCCTTACGTGAGTGCAAGCTAAGCGTCTGCTGTGACTGATGTCTTGTGGGGCAGTGGGGTCTTTCTTTTACAAATATACGTTATAGAGTCCTCCAGGAGCAATAATCAGGTACACAGTGGTTTTTTTGTTTTGTTTTGTTTTGTTTTGTTTTGTTTTTATTGAGACGGAGTCTCACTCTGTCGCCAGGCTGGAATGCAGTGGCACAATCTCAGCTCACTCCAACCTCTACCTTCCCGGTTCAAGCAATTCTCCTGCCTCAGCCTCCCAAGTAGCTGAGATTACTCGGCGCCACCACACCCAGCTAATATTTGTATTTGTCATAGTGATGGGGTTTCACTATGTTGGCTAGGATGGTCTCTATCTCTTGACCTCCTGATCCACCTGCCTTGGCTTCCTAAAGTGCTGGGATTACAGGCGTGAGCCACTGCACCCAGCCTACATGGTGCTTTAAAAGAAGTTGGGAATGTTACTGTTAGTCCACAACTCCCTGGCTTGCTTTTTTTTTTTTTTTTTTTTTTTTTGAGACAGTCTCCCTCTGTCACCCAGGCTGGAGTGCAGTGGTGTGATCTCAGCTCACTACAACCTCTGCCTTTCGGGTTCAAGTGAATTCTCATGCCTCAGCCTCCTGAGTAGCTGGGATTACTGGCGTGCACCATCACAACCGGCTAATTTTTGCATTTTTCGTAGAAACAGGGTTTCACCATGTTGGCCAGGCTGGCCTCGAACTCCTGACCTCAAATGATCTGTCCACATCAGCCTCCCAAAGTGCTGGGATTACAGGTGTGAGCCACCGCACCTGGCCTCCCTGGCTTTCATTGTCCAAGCTCATTGAAAATCTTTTATGCTGCTCATTTGTCCGTGTGATCATGGTTTAGATGATTCACGTATGGATTCTTGCTATTCAAAGTGGAGCCTCTGAATAAGAACTTGGGCATCACCTGGGATGTAGTTTTTAGAACGACAGGGCCCTACCCAGACCCACTGAATCAGAACCTGCAGACCCACTGAATCAGAACAAGTCCTCAGACAATGCATTTGCACATTGAAGTTTGAAAGGCATTGATCTACCTTAAGGTCCTGCCAAAACATCCCGCCTGCTCTGTTGATAACCTTGTTGTGATATGACCCTCAGAAATGTACCCATGGTGAATGCTTCTGACATCCACATAGCTGTGAGTATAGATGCATGCCACTTTGTCCCGAATGTACTTCATTATTAAGTGCTTAGTGCTGAGCTGGGCACAAAAGATACAAAAACAAGTAAAGCATGGTTGCTGCCTTCAAGGAGCTCAGAATGCAGTGCGGGACACAGAAAGAGCTGCAGCATCCCATCCTCCAGTGTCTTTATCTGTCATCTGACTTTCTCCTCTGACACAAAGTACCAGTCCCCTTCTCTGGAAACAGTTTTGAATCCTCAATGTACAGCCCCCTGAACACCTGCCTCCAAATCATTTGGGTCAGAAGGGACGGTGCTTATGTAAAAAAAGCGAGGAGTCTGTTTGAGACCTACTGAGTTACACCCTCTGAGATTGTGGCGCTTTTTTTTTTTTTTTTTTGAGATGGAGTCTCACTCTCGCCCAGGCTGGAGTGCAGTGGCACAATCTCGGCTCACTGCAACTTCTGCCGCACAGGTTCAAGTGATTCTCCTGCCTCAGCCTCCCAAGTAGCTGGGATTGTAGGTGCCTGCCACCACGCCTGGCTAATTTTTGTAGTTTTAGTAGACACAGGGTTTCACCATCTTGACCAGGCTGGTCTTGAACTGCTGACCTCGTAATCCACCCGGCTTGGCCTCCCGAAGTTCTGGGATTACAGGCGTGAGCCGCGGTGCCCGGCTAGGACCCGCCCGGCACCATCATTTTAACTGTTATGATGCACGTTATAGTTTGAGACCACTAACCTGGGTGCTGCTTTGAAATCCTCTGATTATGCAAGTGTCATACAAATGGATGTTAAAATAGTCTCAAATATTTAAGGAATCCTTCAGGGATTCCCTTATCCTCAATTCAGGAGATTTTGAAGTGGCTTCCACATTCAGAGCTGCTTTTATCTTTGGCTGAGGCAATATAAGGATCTTTGTGGATGGTATTTAAGGATAGTTCAAATTCATATCTATGTATTTTAGTAGCATGTTCTCTAGGAGCAAATTATAATGCTTTGTTCTATAATGAGTTAATAGCGTGAACATTGTCCTAACAGTCCTGTGACTTTCTTGTTTAATGTTTATACTCATGTAATCAAACAAATTGAAATTGGATTATGGCTGTTGCACGTTATATCAGTTATTATCCAGTTTAAATGCAGGTCTGAAGGAAGTAAAATTGATTTTTCTATGCTACTTGGGGACATCATAGGTTATTGGTATCCTGGTTGAATTTTCAGTTAGGTTTCTATGAAAGAAAGATGAGTGGTTAGGTTTGTTGAATTTTTTTTCTTTCACAGTATTTTGTAAATAAACTGGGATATTTCATTCTAATTAGGAAGTCAGATGCCTTTTAAAAGTTGGGTGATCAGTTTCCATATTTTTATTTAAAGCATGTCTGGCTTTTTAAAGTGTATCATAATCCTGAGTAACATTTTTATTTTTAGAAAGAAAAAAGAAAACAATAGAACACCTTCATAATACTCAGTTACTACAGTAACAGCTACCATATTTATCAGAGAATTAGCTGTAATATGTACCAGAATTTCACACATAATTGAACCTGTCTTTCTGTGAACCAGACCTGTTTTTAAAAACTGCCTTCATTCCATAAACACCGTTTGTGTACCTTTTCTGTACAAGCCCCATGCCCAGTAGTAGGGACTCAGAGTTTATCTAACATAGATATCCTTCACAAAAGCAGATGTTTTATTTTTATTCATTCATTCATTTATTCATTTATTTTAGAGATAGCATCTCGCTCTATAATCCAGGCTGGAGTGCAGTGGCAAGATCATAGCTCTCTGCAGCCTCAAACTCCTGGGCTCAAGCAATCCTTCTGCCTCAGCCTCCCAGGCAGGTAGGACAACAGGTGCAAGCCACCACACCTGGCTAATGTTTAAAAAAAAAAATTTTTTTTTTTTGAGACAGAGTCTCATTCTGTTACCCAGGCTGGAGTGCAGCGGTGTGATCTCAGCTCACTGCAACCTCTGCCTCCCAAGTTCAAGTGATTCTCCTGCCTCAGCCTCCTGAGCAACTGGGATTACAGGCACGTGCCACCACGCCCGGCTAATTTTGTATTTTTAGTAGAGACAGGGTTCCACCATGTTTGCCAGGCTGGTCTCGAACTCCTGGCCTCAAGTGATCCGCCCACCTCGGCCTCCCAAAATGCTGTGATTACAGGCGTGAGCCACCACACCTGGCCTAATGTTTAAAATTTTTTGTAGATATGGGGGTCTCGCTATATTGCCCAGCTGGTCAGAAATACATTTTATTACTACTTAATGCTTCGAAAGCAAAGTGATGGGCCAGAGAACACAAAGGCAAGGGTGACGAGCCCTCGGGAAGTAGGGAAAGGCCTCATGGGAGAGATGGCATTTGTTTGATCTGGACCTTAACTCATAAGTAGGCATTTGCAAAATGGAAATTTGTTATTTAAATCATAAAAGCATTATATTCTGATTACCTGGTCATATAAAAAAATCGGTTAAAAAATAGTAACATTAAATTTAATCAATAGTGGATGTATTAAGCACTTACTGTATGTCAGGAAATGTGCTTACTGCCGAAAATACAACGGGAAACTGCCAAGTTAGAGAATAGTCAATGAGACCACCCTCAGGTTTGATAATTTGCTAGAAGGACTCATAGAGCTCACTGAGGGCTGTGATTATGCTCATGGTTGTGGTTTGTCACAGGGAAAGGATTCTGATTAAAATCAGCCCAAGGAAGACACACATAGGACAGAGTCCAGGGAAGTTCTGAGCCTTCAGTTGTCCTCTCCCCACGGTGTCCTGGGCAGCATAACTTCCCTGGTGTTGCCGTGTGACAATAGCACAGAGTATTGTCAACCAGGGAAGTTCATCCAAGCCTTGGTGTCCAGGATTTTTATTGAGGCTCCACCCCAAAGGCATAGACAACTGGTCCAGGGCTAATCTCAGTCTCGAGTCCCTCCAGAGGTGGAGCTGATACTGCATGGGCCAAGCGCCCACCCCAGATCACCCTATTAGACCCTCTAGTGTATCCCAAGGCCACTAGGCAAACAGAAACACCCCAGTCAGGCACAACATTCCAAGGTGTTAGAGTTTACCTCCCAGAAGCTGAAGGCAGAGGCTCTCTTCAGCCAAGGTTGAATTCTTCACTGTACAGAAACAAAACCAGACTCTGTAAGTTTATAAAGCTCACTGTAAAGTGAAGGAGATGAATAATAAATGGATGATTTTCCAAATATTTAACACCAAGCTGCAGCAGGAGTACGAAGGAAAAGCCTGGGATGCTGTCAGGGAGGACACTGCCTGTCAGGAACATCTTCCAAAGGAATCAACTTTTGGGCTGAGATTCCTAGAAGATGAGAGGGATTCATCAGGTGAGCAGTGCAGGGAAGAGCATTCTAGGAGGGTCACAGTCAGTGCAAAGGCTCTGAGGTGGGAAGTAGCTGGGCGTGTTCCAGGAACTGGAAGAAGAAAAGGGGACTGGAGCAGAGACAAAGAGGAGGGAATGTGGTTGCAGCATTGGAGATAGAAGCAGGGACCTGATCCCAGGCGGCCTGTGAGACCCTGAAAGCGATTATAGACTTTATCTGCATTGCAGTGGGAAGCCACTGTGTGGTTTTAAGGTTCGAGCATGGATACTCATATTTGTGATTTTCGTTTTTGAAGGGACTCGCATTTGTGATTTTTGTTTTTGTTTTGAAGGGACAGGTGTGGCTCCTGTGAGAACAGCTTGTTAGAGATGAGTGGAGGCAAGGAGACTGTTAAAACACTACTGCAGGCCGGGTGCGGTGGCTCATGCCTCTAATCCCAGCACTTTGGGAGGCTGAGGTGGGCAGATTACTTGAGGCCAGGAATTCAAGACCAGCCTGGCCAACATGGCAAAACCCCATCTCTGAAGCATGAGGATCACTTGAACCCAAGAGGAGGAGGTTGCAGTGAGCCAAGATAGCGGCCACTGCACTAGTGAGACACTGTCTCAAAAAAAAAAAAAAAATGACAGCAGCCCTCCTGATGAGATGTTGGCTGGAACTAGGGTGGCAGCATGGAGTTGAGAGAAGGGGGCAAGTTGGAGAGAGCAGGAGGAGGCAGAGTTGGCAGGACTTGTCACACATGACTTCCTGCCAGCAGACCCTCAGCTGTCACACTTGACGTACCCTGTGGACATCTGGCAGACCCATCTATTTGTTGCTTCTGCCCTGCTATAGACAGAGAATCAGACAACCAAACTCACTGGAATGATGTGTAAGGAAGGAGAGGCAGCCTTTGAAGGGGTGACAGGTACAATCCTGTTAACTTGTTTCATATCTCTGAGCTTGCTGCTGTCTGTTCTGGCTGCTGAACCCCAAGTCTTAAACCCTCTTCTAGCCTCACTTGCAGTTTGTGTTGTGTTCCAGACAGTTGTGGTTGCCAAAGCAGTTTACTGTCAATAACTCTTCCAAATAATTGAAGTGTTACTGATCGTAGATTCAGAAACAGCATGAGTTAAATCTTGCCCTCCCTAGAAAGACAACTGTTAACTAGAAAAGCATAATATAAAATTTTCTGCACAGAACCTGGTACTTAGGAGGAGCTTAGTAAATGTTGAACAAATGAGAAAACACCTGATCCTCATTTAAACATGAACATTAAAGTTGTCTGTACACCTGTGGTGTGTTTTACCAAACCCAAACAAGACCTATAGTTAAATACTCCCTTGATTTTCCATGTGTATTTCCTATTTTCTGTTCCTTTCTTTGTAAAAGGAGCGTATGAGACTTTGAATATAGCCAAAAACATGGCTAATATGCTTTGCCTATTTTGCTCTTTTTTTTTTTTTTTTTTTTTTTTGAGACGGACTCTCACTCTGTCACTCAGGCTGGAGTGCAGTGGCGCGATCTTGGCTCACTGCAACCTCCACCTCCCAGGTTCAAGCAATTCTCCTGCCTCAGCCTCCCTATTTCACTTTGTTAATTGGCTAATCAAATAACTTACGCTTGCCCAGAAACAATTAGAAAGAGGAAGTACTTTCAGTGCTCACAGAATACAGTCAGTGAGAGACCTTGGATTTTCCTTTCCAACTCATATATTTATATGACTAGTGGCTAGCCAGGACTCTTACTTAAAGTGCTGAAAGTGCTGTCACTTAGCCAATTGGACATTTTCTGCTTCCATGTATATGGGGGGAGGGGCGCTCAGCTAGAGATGACAATGTTGGGGTGCCTGTGGGATCTTGGCTTCAAGTCAGCTATAAACAAAAGGTGTCTTAAAAGAGGTAGGGATTACAAAAGGGTGTAGGGGTGTACTGCTAAGTGCTTTGTGTAAATTGGCAGATGATCTGTAAACACTTTCCAGCTCGATTCAGAATTTTCTGCCTCTTGAAATCTGATTATTCAGATTTATAAAACTACAATTTGGTTTCTGTCTTTCTGCCCAAAGGCTTTCTGGCTGTGGGCTGCAATACCTCCCTTCCCCAACCACCCCTCCCCGCCCCCCATTTCCCCCACTCGCCCCACAATCAGGATCGTAGAAACCCAGCCTGGTGCGGTGGCTCACCCCTGTAATCCCAGCACTTTGGGAGGCCGAGGCGGGCGGCTCACTTGAGGCCAGGAGTTTGAGACCAGCCTGGCCAACATGGTGAAACCCCATCTCTACTAAATAGGAAAAATTAGCCAGGCATGGTGGCGGGCGCCTGTAATCCCAGCTGCTAGGGAGGCTGAGGCAGGAGAATCGCTTGAACCTGGGAAGCGGAGGTTGCAGTGAGCCGAGATCGTGTCACTGCACTCCAGCCTGGGCGACAGAGCGAGACTCTGTCTCAAGAAGAAAAGAAAAGAAACCAGAAACCCAGCAGGCCTAGAGCATCAACTTTTTCTAAAGAGGTTCAGTGGGTTTGAATGAAGTTTCTAAGTCTTGAGAGTCCAAAAAGGAAACGTTCGTTACAGGAAGGGAGTATGTTGGGGTGGGGGATCCTCCTTGCCGGCCCTGAGCCAGTCCCCTAGCAGCTGGAGCATCTGGCGGGAGCACCTAGCGGGAGCACTTCACGGGAGTGCGGCCGGGTGGGGCGGGGCCACGCGCCTCCCCAGCAGCCAATGGGCGGCCGCGGCGGGCGGGGCAGGGAGGGCGCAGGGAGGCGCGGGCGCCGCTCTCTTCAACTTGAGCCCGGGGCAGTGCGCGCGGCTGCTTGAGCGACGGCACCGCTGGCTGGTGCCGGCACCCTGGGGCTTGTCGTAGCACCTGGGGCGGCATCCCCGCCCGACTTCGGAAGGACCGGGAGGCAAAGGTGAGGAAGTTGGCGAAGGAACGGCTCTCCTTTGTTTGCAGGTGCGTTCAGGGGGAACGGGGGTCGAGCCCAAGCTCGCTCGCGGGGACAGCGAGGCGGGCGCGGGAGACCTGCGGGACAAAGGCTGCGCCCTCCCTTCCCCGAGTCAGCGCTTAGCGAGTTGCCTGGTCCTGGACGGCTGGAAGGGCTGAAGAGGGGGCTTTCTGCCCCGCCGGTGGGAAGAAGGAGTGAGGCTTGTATGAAATGGGGGGGAGGCGTCCTTGGACCCCCAATTCGCCAGTGCAGCAGGACTGTTCGGGGTGGGCTATTCATTGATGGGGTCTGCACGGGGCATTTCTGCCGTGGACAGCGTTCTATGATTGAGGCAGTGACTGCCTTCGCCTCACGTGCCCCCTGGTGAGGCCACATTTCTGTCTTCCTGTCTACATTAGGACTGAAAGATATTTCAGGGTTTTGGTAATCCAGTATTTGGATTAAAAGCAATATCCTTTCGTGTAGAAAAACTGTGCATTTCCAAATGATTTTAGTTACACGATTTAGGATATTGGTGTGACTTCCATGCGAGAAAATATCTCAAATTCCCCAAATGTAGAAACGCAGCCAGCTCTTGGCATTGAGAAAGAAGTAGTGTTTTTGAAAAGAAAGGCGTGAAGATTTAAATATTGCTTACAACACTCTATTAGCTTGTGGGGGAATCTGTGCCTTTTCTATTATCTGTTTCCCTATACCAATATTGTAACCAGGCACGTCTATGGATTCCTAATTAATGTGTAGCTGTGAATCTTCATTACTGCCTTGGGTGGGAGAAGGCGGAAGGAGGGGGCAATCCCATTAGTCTTTTTCTTTCTTTTTATAACTGCAGCTGCAGCCTGGCTTTGACTTGTATCATGAATGGGGGTTCTGCCTGCTTTCCTCATGCTGTTCTCTTTTAGGTTTTCTTAGGCCATTGAGCAGTTGGCCCTTCCTCCAGCCGAGCTCTTACACAAGAGTAGTTTGTAAGATTCTCTCTAAAGTTCAGATCCTTGCTGCTGCCTTTTAGTTAGTTGAGTTCAGAAAGGAATTATTAAGTGTCCTGAGGCCTTTCCTAAGAAGTTAGAAGCAGAATGTGTTTGTAAATGTGGTCTGTAATTTTGTAAAAGTTATAAGTAAAAGGGAGTGTGAATGAAATGCTTAAGAGGGGAAAGACTTTCCATAAAGCATCAGCCAGTATTATCAAAGAAGGTGTCATGGTTTGTAGCTCAGTAAGAACCCTACTTTCCGTTTTGCTTCCTTTTTTTTGTTTTTTTTTTTGAGACAGAGTCCCTCTCTGTCACCCAGCCTGTAGTGCAGTGGCACAATCTCGGCTCACTGCAACCTCTGCCTCCCAGGTTCAAGTGATTCTCCTGCCTCAGCCTCCTGAGTAGCTGGGACTATAAGTGCACACCACCACACCCGGCTAATTTCTGTTTTTTTGAGTAGAGACGGGATTTCACCATGTTGGCCAGGCTGGTCTCGAACTGCTGACCTTGGGTGATCCACCTGCCTCGGTTCTCCCAAAGTGCTGGGATTACAGGCATGAGCCACCATGCCTGGCCTCATTTTATCATTCTCACTTTGCAGATGTGAGAAACACACTTTTCTAACAGCCGCCACGTTGTTTAGTTCTAGCTTTTCTGCAATGGGGATAATTTATTTAATAAGTATTTATTGGACACTTGCCATGTGCTGGGCATTGGTGCTGGTGATTAAGTGGCATAATAAATACAACAGGTGTCTTCTTCCTTTCTTGGAGCTCACACTATGCTGGCGTGGGGCCCATTGCAGGTTCTCTGCACTGGAGCATCCCTGGGAAGCAGTGTGGATGACACCAAGGTGAGACAAGAAGATACTGCTGCTGATGGCCGCCTTGGAGGTCAGCTGAGCATGTGGCAGTAGGCGCAAACAACGAGGGGCCTCAGGTCATCTGCACTCCAAGGGTGGAAGTATTAATCACACCAGTGGGCCATTGGGCACTAAAGTCGGTCATCTTGAACTTGCTTACTTTGATCTCAAAGGAGCCTGCAGCTGCAAGGAGGGGCAGAGCTGAGTTCTAAAGAGTTTGAACATTGGCATTGTTGATTTCAATGGGGTAATTCCAGTTTGTTACAAAACTATCAGTCATGCAGCCTCCTTGTCTCACCTATACAGCTTTCCTCTTGGACAGCCCCCCTAGGAAATGAATTTCTTTTTCTTTCTTCTTTTTTTTTTTTTTTTTTTGGAGATGGACTTTCGCTCTTATCGCCCAGGCTGGAGTGCAGTGGCGTAATCTTGGCTTACTGCAACCTGTGTCTCCCAGATTCAAGCGATTCTCCTGCCTCAGCCTCCCGAGTAGCTGGGATTACAGGCGCCCGCCACCACACATGGCTAATTTTTTTGTATTTTTAGTAGAGACAGGGTTTCGCCATGTTGGCCAGGCTGGTCTTAAACTCCTGGCATTAGCTTATCTGTCCATCTCGGCCTCCCAAAGTGCTGGGATTACAGGCGTGAGCCACCGCGCCAGGCCTAGGAAATGAATTTCATTCTGTACCACTGGCTGAGCAAAGCTTTACATCTGTCCAGGCTCCCGAGTGTTAAGAGATGACTTAACTGTGTCCCTATTTACTCTCCATATACGTTTCATGGGTTTTTGGGAGTAAACTGATGGCATATAACCTCTTATCTAGGTTTTCACAAATCTCTAGGATCACAGAAAAACATACTAAGTAGTAGTGTAACTTGTCTTTTTAAAGAGCTTGTGTTGAACACAGAATATGACATATTTGAGGAGTTCTTAGACTTTTGGATTCCTCGGGCCCTAACATAGTACCTAGTATAGGATGCCCTCCATAAATAACCCAGTTGATGAATGGGCAGATGAATGAATGTAGATGAAAATACTTCATTGTCTACTTTTAGGGTTTAATTTTGACCATCCATGTGCTTAATATTTATAGTCTAATGGTTAATATGCTGTTCGGCAGATAAGGAGCATCCATGTGTCAGGCACCTTGTGAGGCAGCATGAAGGACTGAGACAGATGAGGTCCCTGTTTGAAGAGGCAGGAGATAAGCCGGAAAAACAATTCAGGAAGCAAGATGATACAGGTTATGCCGAGTGTCTTGAAGACCATCAACAGCGTGATGCAACAGAGTAGCTCAGAGGGGAAAGGGGCCATCAGGAGGCAGCCTGTCCTAGGAGGCAACATTTGAGCTGGGCTTGAAGGCTGAGAAGAAGCCAGCCATGTAGGGAGTGAATAGAAAGCACTGAGGAACAGCTGGGTGTGGTGGCTCATATCTGTAATCCCAGCACTTTGGGAGGTCGAGGCAGGTGGATCACCTGAGGTTAGGAGTTCAAAACCAGCCTGACCAACATGGTGAAACCCTGTCTCTACTAAAAATACAAAAAAAAAAAATTAGCCAGACATGGTGGTGCGTGCCTGTAATCCCAGCTGCTCGTGAGGCTGAGGCAGGAGAATCACTTGAACCCAGGAGGCGGAGGTTGCAGTGAGCCGAGATCATGCCATTGCACTCCAGCCTGGACAACGAGCGAAACTCCATCGCAAAAAAAAAAAGAAGGAAAGCACTGAGGAAGTGGAGCACTCAACGTGCCTGAGGATGAAGAGGAGGCCAGTGGTTTGTGCTGGAAGAGGTGGGTGGGGACAGGATCCTTTAGGGCTTGTGGGCAGTGCTTAAAGGTTTGCCATGAGGTGCCCGTGAAGAGGGTTAACCAGGGGAATGCCATGATCTAGTTTATTTCATACAGAAAGATCTCAGGGAATAGATATTGGGAACAGGAGTGGAAAACGAGGGACCAGTTGGCTAGCCCTAGTCCAGGAGAGATCAGTGACATGGCAGAGGGCATGAAGAGAAGCAGGTGGGTGGGGGAAATGTGGAGGTTGAACTCGCCAAGTTGACTGTAGAAGATGCAGGAAGGGGTGTGATCTAGGACCATACCTGATTTCTTTGATGCGTTGTTTATGTCTGTAGAAAATACATGCTAATAGAAGTAATAACTGTTCGAGGACAAAGTTATTAAGCCATGGAACAACTCCCTTTACATTTATGTTGTATCAAGACCTTGATTTAAGCCAGACACGGTGGCTCATGCTGTAATCCCAGCACTTTGGGAGGCCGAGTGTCCCCAAAGGATCACTTGAGGCTAGGAGTTTAAGACCAGCCTGGGCAACGTGGCAAAACCTTGTCTCTGCTGAAAATACAAAAATTACCTGGGCATGGTGGCACATGCCTGTAATTCCAGCTACTAGGGAGGCTGAGGCACGAGAATCTCTTGAACCTGGGAGATGGAGGTTGCAGTGAGCTGAGATCGCGCCACTGCCCTCCAGCCTGGGTGACAGAGAAACACACTGTCTCAGAAAAAAAAAAAAGACTTTGACTTTCTTTTCTTTGGTTCTCCAGTGTAGATGAGCAGACGTATCCATCCAGTGCAATCTTGTGTATTTGGCCATTTTTCCAAGATGTTTTCACCCTTCAGTACCCTTTCTGTCATTCTCAACTGGTTATGAGACCTTTGAGCATTTTTCTTTGTTCTGGCATGAAAATAAAGAATCAGACTAAGAAGAGAAGATGGGTTTAAGCCTTAATTTATATGGAATTATTCTACCTTTGTTCCCAGTTTATAAGAATCCATTCATAATTACTTTTTTTTTTTTTTTTTTTTGAAGACAGAGTTTTGCTCTGTCACCCAGGCTGGAGTGCAGTGTCACGATCTCGGCCCCCTGCAGCCTTCGCCTCCCGGGTTCAAGCGATTCTCCTGCCTCAGCCTCCCAAATAGATGGGATTACAGGCATGCACCACCATGCCCCACTAATTTTTTGTATTTTTAGTAGAGACGGGGTTTCACTATGTTCGCCAGGCTGGTTTTGAGCTCCCGACCTCAAGTGATCCACCGGCCTTAGTGCTGGGATTACAGGCATGAGCCACTGCGCCCGGCCCCGTAATTACATTTGAAGTTACTTCACATGCAGCATCCTCTGTAGTTCCAACAATTGATACTCTCTCATAAATATAAAATTTGTTCCATATGTATTTCAATTCAAAGAGGGTAACTTTCTTAGTAACTTTGCAGGAAATTCACTGAGCATTTTGAGAGCTAGAGAAGCCATTTCCTTATAGCTGTAAAGTAGAACTAAATACTGAGTTTCTGATAGGATTCTCTGCCCCCTTCTTCCAGCTGCAGAATTGTGAACTTGAAAGCTTAACAACATGTTTGTCAGAGAACTTGAGTTTTGAGATAACTTTGGTTTGGTTTTGAAAAAAAAAAAAAAAAAAAATATATATATATATATATATATGCATAGAAAATATTCCTTCTGCAGTCAGTATTTTCAGCAGATGGGAAAGGGCAGGAGTGACTTGAGCTTCCAGCCATTTCAATCTGGGTACCTTATAACATGGAAGCTTGTCTGGGGATGAATAAATTATAGCAGTTGGAATAATTATGATAGAGGACAAGCAGCAGCCGAGAGTACAATTGACAATGGGGCCAAGTTGGCCTGATTCTGTCGTATCAGAGCATGCATCTGTTTGCCAGGTTACCTGAAAATGCTGTTTTCGAGGATTCTGGTGTGTTTTGTTTTTCATCGCCCTCCCTTTTAAAACACTGTAAGAGCCATCATCTGCTAGTGACCTTTTAGAAATAAAATGGCTGGGGCAGACGTCCACATGGCTGCCGCTTCACATGTTGGGCATCCGTGTAAGATTTAAATTGAGCAAAAGGTTGTTTGGTTCTAAAGCACTTGCAGGTTGTAAATGCTCTTACTCTTGCATCTTGGTGGAACAGTTTCTAGCCAGCCCTGGGAGTTTGTCACCTGTAACGAGAATTATTCTACCATCTCAGCCAGTTGCAGAGTCCCTCAATTGGTTTACACTCTGCTGTTAACATCTTGAAAATGTTCATTGTTTTTTTTGACAGCCTTGCATTTTCATTTTGCACTGGGCTCCACGAAGTGTTTAGCCAGTGCTGTCCACATCGTATGTTGCACCCTTGAAACAGATTGTCCTCTAGAGCAGGGGTTGGCAGATTTTTCCTGTAAAAGGCCAGTTTTAAAAAAAAATTTTTTTTTTGAGACGGGGTCTCACTCAGTTACCCAGGCTGGAGTGCAAGTGGTGTGATCACGGCTCACTGCAGCCTTGACCTCCTGGGCTCAAGCAGTTCTCCTGCCTCAGCCTCCTGAATAGCTGAGACTCACACTTTACACACCACCACACCTGGCTATTTAAAAAAATTTTTTTTAGAGCTGAGGTCTCACTGTGTTGTCCATGCTGACCTCGAACTCCCGGGCACTGGCCACATATTAAATATTTGAGGCTTTTGGAGCCATGTGGCCTCTGTTGCAACTACTCAGCTCTGCAGCTGTGGCACAAAAGTTGCTGTAGCCTCTGCCTAAGTGAATGAGTGTGGCCGTGGTCCAATACTCTTCATTCACAAAACAGTCTGAGATTTGGGGGGATCATAATTTGCTGATCCCTGATCTGAAGGACCTGCACAGAACCTTTAATGACAATTCAAATAGGGATTTCGTCACTTGGAAGTAAGAAGGTTCAGTCATCTTTGGCCAGCTTTGTGTTGTGTTGAAAATTAGCCCCCAAAGAGAATTCCTGCAGAAGGTCAGGGTCTTTGGGGTATTTCTACACTTGAGCCTCTTTCTTTTTTAAGATGACATACTTGTTATAGTTGTCAAATATGGACAATAACAGGAAGCCAAACTCAAATAATAATAATAGGGTGTTACAAAGCCGGGCACAGTGGTCCCCACCTGTAGTCCCAGCTGTTCTGGAGCCTGAGGTGGGCAAATCACTTGAGTCAAGGAGTTTGTGTCCAGCCAGGACAGCATCTAAGACTCCGTGTCTTAACAAAAACAAAGCAGGATGTTACAGCAGTGGCGTTGTGGTTTTCGTTTTTTAAAGATTCTTCATCATATTCAACAAAAAAGGAAAAATGATGCTGAAACAAAGAGACAAACTGCCTATAAAAAGTAACCTGAGTAGCAGGGCACGGTGGCTCACGCCTGTAATCCCAGCACTTTGGGAGGCCGAGGCGGGCGAATCACCTGAGGTCAGGAGTTTGAGACCAGACTGAGCAACATGGTGAAACCCCGTCTCTACTAAAAATACAAAAATAGCTGGGTGTGGTGGCGCCGAGTAATCTCAGCTACTCGAGAGGCTGAGGCAGGAGAATTGCTTGATCCTGGGAGGCAGAGGTTGCAGTGAGCTGAGATGGTGCCACTGCACTCCAGCCTGGGTGACAGAGCGAGACTCTGTCTCAAAAAAAAAAAAAAAAAAAAGTAACTTTAGTAAACAGGAAGAGTACATATTCTTTCAAACTGTATCAAGAAGTTAACTCCTGCCATTATACACTAGTACCTCTGAGGGGGTGGGAGGAATGCTTTGTGGGCTCCCCAAAGGGCAGCTTTTCAGTCCATAACTGCCTCAGCAGGTATGGGAATGTGTTGTCTTGGGTCTTTTCCCTAAATGATAAGCAGAGGTTTATTTCTCTTAAGAGTACAAATATAAAGAAAATTATCTGGGGATAAATCTTGATAGAAATCAATATACGAGGGAAATTTATATATTGATTTCTTCAGGAGCAGAGGAGCTATTTCTCATTTAGACAAATGTTCCAAGGAAGGAATCTAGTTAGGAGCTCTGGCAACATTGTTGTTGTTTCTGCTGGAGATGATCAGAGTATAGATTCGCTTGGCTTTTAAATAGAGTCATAAGAGATTAATAATCTTCTCAGAACTTGCCTCCTGCCTGTTCAGATGAAATATATGTTTTATTAACATTGTTTCAGCTGACATGAAAACAGGATATGAACCAAAGTCATTTTAAAAGCGCTGTCTGTGATGAGCAATAGCAGGAGAAAAAGGAATCCAGCCAACTCCCTACTGTTTGTGGCATCATTCCCTTAGCTTCTTACCAACCTGATCAGGAAGAAGGGAGTTCACTCTTTCCCCTACTTAGGTATTTATTCACATATTCAAGAATATTGATTGATTGCCTACTATGTGCCAGACAGTGGTAAGTGAACAGGCAGAAAGGTTCTTGCTCGCATGAGCTTTACTTTCTTGGTGGAGAGAGGGAAATAGGGTAGCTTCAGATGGCTGTGAATGTTGACAATGACTGGGGGATCCTCAGGGTTCTTTTGGAGGCAGTGATGATCAGGATGATGAGGGGAGGACCTGGGGGAAAAGCAGACCAAGCAGCCGATCAGCAAGCCCAGGCAGGGGCGGGCTTGTATGTTTCGGAGCAAAACGGTCCCAGTGTGGCTGGAGGCAGGGAGTTTGCGGCGGTGGGGCGGGTGGGGGTTGGGAATTGTAAGCAGAGGAGTCATGGAATAAGTGGCTACTGAGCAGATGATGAAAGGAAGGTAATTTAAACCAAACACAGCACTTAATTACCATCACGAGCTCCAGCAGTGGTGGAACCAAAAGTCCAATGGGGACAGAGAGAGAAAGGCAGAGCAGAGGCTACCTCCAGTGAGGGATGGGGTCCTGAGCAGAGCCAATTAACTGGGAGGGAGCCAGGCTCAGGTGCTAGGTGCCCCAGAGCTACACGGCAGGAAAGAGCCCAGCCAGCAGGCCTGTGTTCTGTTTGCAGATCTACCACCTGCTAGCTGTGGGCTTTGGAGCAAGTCAACTTAAACTCTCTGACCCTTCAATTCCTCATTTGTAAAATGAGTCGTGATGCTTCCCCCTGCAAGGTTATTGTGTGGCTTGGCGACAGTGCGCAGCAAGAATAGAGCCTGGCTAGACAGAAGCAATCATAGCCAGGAGCCGCTACTGTTACTTGGTTAGTGGTAATCAGCCTTCCTAGGGTTGGTGTCTGCTTTTCTTTAGATATTATTGAGTTTACATTATACCAGAAATACTTGTATCTAGATGGAAGTTAACAAAATTCAGGACTGGGCATAGTGGCTCATGCCTGTAATCCAAATACTTTTTTGAGAAGCTGAGGTGGGTGGATTGCTTGAGCCCAAAAGTTTGAGACCAACCTTTGCAACATAGTGAGACCTCATTTCTACAACAAATAAAAAATTAGCCGGGTATGATGGCAAACACCTATAGCCCCCGCTACTTGGGAGGTTGAGGCCGGAGGATTGCTTGAGCCAAGTAGTTTGAGGATGCAGTAAGCTATGATCGTGCTACTGGACTCCTGCCTGGGCAACAGAGCGAGATCCCATCTCTTAAAAAAAAAAAAAAGCAAGCAAAAACAACAAACAATTCAAATGAAGGCCATATGTATTGGCTTTCCATGTTATCTACCCTAGTACTCCTTTGAACTGGCACAAAGAAAGCCCCTTGAAAATTCAGAAAGTGATTCACCATATCCACAAGAGGTCCTCCATGTGGCTGGGTGCTCACCGTGGTTTTAAGTAGGAGGCTTGTCTGCACCTTGCCAGGAGTTTGTACCCTCATGGCATTCTGGCATGGAAACCACTGTGCTGTCATTTTCCCTGCTCAGAATCAGTTCTAAATCCTTATGCGTTCCTGTGCTTTGTCAGATAGGAGCCTTCTGGTGTCAAGGTGTTTCGTGTTGTTTTATTTTTTTGAGACGGTCTTGCTCTGTCACCCAGGCAGGAGTGCAGAGGCACGATCTCAGCTCACTGCAACCTCCACCTCCCGGGTTGCAGTGATTCTCACGTCTCAGCCTCCTGAGTAGCTGGGACTACAGGTGTGCGCCACCATGCCTGGCTAATTTTTGTATTTTTAGTAGAGACAGGGTTTCGTCATGTTGGCAGGCTGGTCTTGAACTCCTGGCCTCAAGTAATCCACCTGCCTCAACCTCCCAAAGTGCTGGGATTACAAGTGTGAGCCACCATGCCTGACCTGGTATTTTTTATTTTTGTTTTACCATCTTGGCTTTCAGAAAGGAAGCTAACCCATGGTTTCACAGTTCAGGTAGAATTTATATAACGTTATCCTTTCATTATACCCTAAACTTTAAAGTTGAAACTGGAACATGGTGTAAATTATCTCTCACTTAATAACTAACTATAATTTGTGTGTGTATTCTTCTCTCAGATATTCAGAGATGCAAGATTTTTGCATTTGGTTTTTTGTTTTTTTTTTAATCTGTGATATAGCACAGATGAAAGCTGAAGCTCGTTAATTCTTGCTTAAAGTCTTCAAAGATGGACTTTTAAAAATACTCGTTTCCTGGTTGCTTTTAAATATCCTTTTTCCCTCCTCCTCATTAGTAAGCAGGCTGGTAACTATTGTGTCTTCCCTCCAATGGCATGAGAAAGTCCTTTGTTTAGAATAATGTGCCTTGAATTTCAATAACCTCAACCACTTTAACTCCTGGCTTTACACTTCTAAGTGCTGGAAGTCTAACTTTCCCATCATGGCGCTGCTGGGCAGGACAGTGAGGTGGGAGGGGAGCTTGCTTTGGAAAGGAAGGCACACTTGGTCAGAGACGGTTGTTCATGTCACCGGTTGATCCTGGGAAGGATAGAACCTTTCCCTGAGATGAATTCTCTAAATATCAGCCAGAAATCAGATGGTAAATTTGCATAAATTCAGTATTCATTTCAGTTCAGAGGCCTTTCACCTGCGGCATGTAGATTCTAAAGGGACCTGGGATTGAGTTTCAAGAATCACTGAACTGTTCCAGCTCTGCCCCCTTCCAAAATTGTGTATAAAATTGTGAGTCTGTGCACTTTTTTTTTTTTTTTTTTTTTTGGAGTGTTTTCATCCGAGGGCCTTGATCCAAAACAGGTCAGGAACCTTTCCTTTCTCCTCGTGGAGCTCCCCTTCCCTCTCTCACATAGTGATTGGCCTGGCCTGCACTGTAAGGCCATACTCAAGCCGCCATCCTGTAGGAGCTTTATATGGATTAAATAATGGAATTTTATGGCACTCTCAGGACCTGAAGGCCTCTATGATTCCCATTTCACAGATGAAGAAACTGAAAAACAAAGAGGCTAAGGGCCCTGACCAAGGGCAGACAGCTGATAAATGACACACACACACACACACACACACACACACACCCCACTCACACCCACCCACCCACCCACCCACACCCACCTACCCACCCCTGAAGCTGGAGGGAAAAAATAAACTGTCAGACTCAGGAGCTGGTGCAAGAATTTTCATGATGTAAAGTTTTGCAGTGTTTACTTCATTGTCCTGTGGATAATGGTGTGATGTGTGCTCAAAAGGCTAGAGAGATGGCCAGTGATGAAAGACAAACATCAAAAAGAAGCATGCAACAGAGACTTCTGCAAAAATGGAGTGAGAAGTCTACTGGCAAGTCCTTGCCTCGCGTGCTCAGTTTGTGAAAAGTGGACAGTTGTGCGCAGCATGAGAAGTAGGTGGCTGTGCCAGGGAACAGGAGATGGCGTCCTCTTCCAAAAAGCTGGAATAGACATTGTCATTCTGGTGTGCTGGTTTTTTTTTTTTTTTTTTTTTTTTTTTGAGGAATTTCCTTTTCATTTGGATTCCAGTTACACATGCCAGGTACTTCTGTTATTTCAGGCTTATATTAATGAAAACATTGCCAATTACTCCGGCATTTATTTTCCCAAGGAACAGCCACGGAGAGCATGCTGATCAGGCAGCCTTGGGATGTGCGGCTCATGTGGAATTAATCTTGGGGTTTAATTCTTCCCACTGGCATCTTGTACAGCGAGAAGGGAGTAGACTTACGCCTGGCACTAAATTTAGCCTTCTCCACTCTCAGACTGGTTTGTCTTGTGCAGAAGCCCAGCTTTGGACTGATGTTTTCTTCCCAGCAAATTTACAAGGTGCTGAATTGGTGGAGCTGCTGGCACTGTCTGTGACTCTTCTGGGTTTCTGAATGACATTTCAAATATCACTCTGCGGTGTCTTATTTATGGCTGGTTTTCACTTTGATACTTAAATCAAGCAGTGTTTATTAACTCCAAATGAATTAACTGTGTTAAAAGTTTGCAGTAGCATTTTTTCCAAGTCTGCTTTCAGGGAAAAACACAGTAGCTACATCTTGATGGTATGTTTTTAAGTGAATCACTAGCAGTGGATCTGATTTAAAATATCCAAGACTACAATAATAATTATACACAAAAGAAACAGGTTGTATTCTCAGATTGTTAGATTTTTAAAGTTTTTGTCACACACTACAGATAGGCTTTTTATTAAAAATAAGAAATTGAAAACATTTGGTGTAATTAAAAGCAAGTCAAAGCACTAACATATCCTTTTCTGATAAAAATCTGAGCACTAAGAAGTTCCTAGCACATCCATTCTGAGATTAGGAACCCAAGAATTAGGGAGGTTGTGTGACTTGCATAATGTTACCCAGCTGTGGATTCAGACTGGGACCAGCATCCAGGTCTCTGGGTCCTTTGCTGATCTTGTAAATTGCTACCCAAGCCTGGCTTTGATAGGTGGAACCGAGTAGCACAGAGGGACCTGAGCCAAGGGGTGACTCTCCAGCATCCTGTATCAGCTGGGGTCCAGCAAACCTGAGCAGAGGGCCCCTGCCACTCCCCCAGGTGACTGTCCTTCCGTGGGAGACAGTCCATCTCAAATGCTGCCCAGCACAACCCAGCCGAAGAGATGAAGCTATTGGATGACACAGTGATAATAGCTGTTAACGTTGCAGGTTATTGCAGCTTTGTTACATGCCCAGCACTCCCATACACGTGTCGTCCCATTTAACTTCATGCTTATAATGCCCCTGAGCATTATGAGCATGAGCAGGTGTCCTTATCCCCTCTTCAATGATGAGGAAACAGGTTTTGTGGGGCATACCATGTAACACAGTGTGCCTGGCACACAGAGGGGCCCTGGAAATCTATGTTGGGTAAATAAAGAGAAGGTAAGCAGTGTACTTGAAGGAATGTGGCTACCCATCTGGATTTGAGCACAGCTGTGTCTGCCTCTTCAGCCCAAAGATCCTCTTAGGAATTTTTAGCCACCTCTTTCCCTACAAAAGTTCACCAAAAGAGAGGAATGTTCCCTGTTCCTCTAAAACCCTAGGTTCTTGGCCAAACCCTTTGGCCCTACCTTGAATACCTGTGCCTAGGGACTGTGTTTGCCATTTAGGAGACAAACCATTAGGGGGCTCTGCAGGACTGTGTAGAAGGGTGGAGTACCCATCATGGGTGCATCTAAGACTAGAATTCGAGTCCTGCAGCCTACTGTCAAACTCTCTTCCCCATGTAGTAGCTGTGTGACCTTGGCCAAGTGTCTTAGCCTCTCTGAACTTGTTTCCTCATCTGTCAGAACAGTAATACTGACCTTGTCCAGTTACTGTTAGGGGCCAAACAGAGCTCAATAAAGGGTAATTGGTGGCTGGTGTTACTGTAATCATTAATATTAGTCCTGTTAACTGCCCTGGGGCATGCTGATCACAATGGCTTTCCTTCAGTACTGAGGTAGATATTTGCATATTTTATCACAAAAGTCAAATGTGCTTATTGTATAATTTTCAAAGAGATAAAGTAAAATCCTCCATAATCCTCTTTCCATATTACAGTTGACAGTTCGGGTATTATATTCCAAGTTTTTTACTGTGTATATATTAAAATACACATGCAAACATTTTGTTGTTTTTATAAGACCATGCTTGTTTTATAAAAACAGCTTGGCTTTGTTTTTGCTCCACTTACTAGTGTGCCATGGTCATTGTTCCGCCTCAGGGTGAGCAGCTCTTCCTTTCCACTTAATGACTTTGTGGTTCACTGTCTGGTGCACTTGGCGTTTCATGCCATGATTTTAGCTCCATCCCTGCAGGGCCCTGCTGGCCGCTCCATGACCCTGGCCATAGAGTGCCCGAGAGAACGGGTTTCTGTAAACATTGGGTTTCTTCCTTTCCTCCTCGTTATCTATCCAGTGCTCCATGCTCTTCGGTCTAGTTGCTCTGTGTACGGTGCATGCAAATCGGCTGTGACAATGCCAGAAAGGAATGGTGTGAGCACCATGGGTCAGGGGATTAAGTGACTTCATTAGGGTCCCAGGCAGCTCAGGACAGCTCTGGGTAGCTCAGGGAGGGAACTCCAAGAGTGTGGCCCCAACCAGACTTGCACTGTGTTCCTCTCTCCGTTCCATTCCTCTCTTTCCTGGGACGTCTCTGATCTCTCCCCCATTGAGCTGTCATCTCCTGTCTCTCCCACTTCCCACCCGCCCTTGACCTGTGCTGCCTCCCTCCCTCCCTGTTGCCCTGTAAGGATGCATCTCAGGAAAAGTGCCTGGATTCCAGTGATGTGGCTCTGTTAATAGAGTGTCAGGAATGTCGGTAAAACAGGTAAGGCTATGTCCATGCCGTTGTTTCTGTATGTTTTTTATTGGGAGCAGGTGGAACTGGAAAATGAAGACACGTCCTCTGCCAGTGTTTACTGCAAACAGTTTCCTGTATTTGACTGTGATATTTTAAGCTTGATTACCTCCCCCAGTTGATATGTTGCCTCTGTAAATTCAGCTGGCATCTCTTGGCTTCATCATAATGTGGCTCAAAATACACACTTCTGGGTGATACAGTTGACCTAAAATAAGCACGGAAAGCCTATTAATTGCTGCAGAGTTGGGAAATTAGATGAGCTGTCAGTGCTCAGACTCGCTGTTAACGGGGCTGTGTTATTGGCGGGATGCCGTGTGAATGCTAACGTGTTGTTTCTGCTCTGTTCCCTCACGCCTTCCCGGATTCAGAGAGAGGTAACCGGCCGATTTTCACTTCTCCCCCCTTCGTGGTGTCTTAACGTGTCTGGCAAAGCTCACTTGCTTTCTTCATGTCGCATTGCCATCCTCACAACCATCCTTGTCTTTGAAAGGCAGAACTTTTGTTTTGTTTTGTTTTGTTTCGCCTCTTATCACCAGCATTTAAAACAGAGTCTGGAATTGCATCTGCGTTCCTCATTCTCTACTGTGTTTGACCCTGGTTGTGGAAGGTGATGGGCTGAGTGATTAAGTCTAACACCAATGTGGTCACTCACTAACGACTGAGAAAAATCTCATCAGTGTGGCAGGGAGTGAATGTGATGGAAATAGGTTATGTGCCATGTTGTAGAAGGAGGCTTTTCATGCTTCTGGAAAAATTAATATCATGGCCGGGCGTGGTGGCTCACGCCTGTAATCCTAACACTTTGGGAGGCCGAGGTAGGTGGATCACTCGAGGTCAGGAGTTCAAGACCAGCCTGGCCAACATGGCAAAATCTCATTTCTACTAAGAATACAAAAAATTAGCTAGGCGTGGTGGTGGGCACCTGTAATCACAGCTACTTGGGAGGCCTAGGCAGGAGAACCACTTGAACCTGGGAGGCAGTGGTTGCGGTGAGCCAAGATGGCACCACTGCATTCCAGCCAGGGTGACAGAGGGATACTCTGTCTCTAAATAAATAAATAAATAAATAAATAATATTAGTGCTTATATTACATATTCTCTAGAATTTGATTGGTAAGGGTTGGCACTAGGCTACTAGCCTAGCCAGAAGCACTGATTCAGTTTCAGTGTCAATTATTAGCCAAAATATATGGTCCTCCCTCTCCACCACAAGAAGGATAGAACCACAGAAAAGACATACCTATGAAACAAGAGATTTTGACCTCAGTTGTGTTTTTCCAATGCTCTGCATGTCCGCCTGCCCGTTTGATTGATTGGGGACTTTAAGCTCCATGATTCCATAGCTCTACCACTTAATAAAAACTCCACTTTTGATGGAATAAGGGAATTTGGAGATAATTCTCCTTGAATGAATGATGGTGGTTCCTGCTGGGCAAAGCGGAGAGACACGAAGGCAGATCTCCTCTTTGTGTCGGAGTTGGTGTCATGTAACCTCCCTGCCTGGTTGGGAGCTGGAAGTGATGAGTCCTCAGCTGGTATTTCCTGCCACACTGGTGTTGTGACTGCCCTCTGCTGGTGGCTGTTTTCCCCTGTGATGTGCTGCTGTCATAGTCCAGTGGTTAAGAGGGAGAGACAGCATAGAGTGGGCGGTGACACCTGCAGGGCTGGTCTTCCAGAGAGTGTGATTAGGAGAATTTGCAGGTTTCACTGACTTTTTAAATCACTTTGAGGAGACCCTGGCGGGGGCAGGTGGTGGAAAGTTCTGGAGGATGAGGGCTGTGCATGTGGATGTGAGCTCCTTCATGTAAAATAACAGCCAGTCCCATCAGAGTCAATGGGGAGGACATTTTCAGGTGTTCGCTAGTTCCTATCCTCCTTGTTTATGTGAGTGTCCTCGCTGGGAGGCAGTTGCTCTGAATATTAACACCAGGACCCTGTTCTAGAGAGGGCTACAGATTCTAGTTTGCCCAAGCCACCTCGATAATTGCAGGTGGTAGAATTTCAGATCTGCTATTTACACACTGTGTCTCATGAGCGTGCCTGGTGAAGAATTCCCTGCTAAGCCTGTGTGTTTACCCAGGTGACGAGTACCTGGGATACTCCTTTCGGAGGCTAAAAAACTTAGCATCTTTTTAAGCTTGCAAAGAAGGAGAAAGTAAGTTAAGCTTACCAAGCGAGAGCCTGAACTTTGTGAAATTAGTGATGCCTGCATGTGATACATGTGACATTGGGTTAAAAAGAACAGAAAACCAGAGTCTTACATGTGTGTGTTTTGCGGGGGGTCATTCTGGATTGGCCATCTGGAAAGATGAAGTTTCTTACGTACTTTCGCTTCCTGATTCCTCCCACTCTCAAAACAAGATTTTTTCAAAGTGCAGTCAGAAAATAAAAGCATCCAGTCTTGAAAACAGGACTCATTCTTCCTCCAGACCTTGTACAGACTGTCAACAACCCACATTTTTGTATAGCCCAGGAACCCTATAATTACACCGTGTTCTCATGTGGGCTTACCTTTTGAATTCTATTTTGGATCTCATGCTAGGCCCTGCACAGGTGAAACAAAGAGGAGAGAAAGCCCTTTGTCCTAAAGTGCCAGAAGTGCGATGTTTGGATCCAATCCGTTTGCTGCTGTCTTATCCTTATTTGCAGATGGGACCTGCCCTTTGCAATAGCATCAATAGAAAGATAAGCTGGGAGGGAAGGGTCACTGGGTACATTTTAGCAAGTCTTAGTATAATTCATATGAGTGCAAATATTTATTAAAAAACACCCCTCGTGGGGCCAGGCGCAATGGCTCATGCCTGTAATCCCAGCACTTTGGGAGTCCGAGGTGGGCGGATCACCTGAGGTCAGGAATTCGAGACCACCCTGGCCAACATGGCGAAGCCCCGTCTCTACTAAAAATATAAAAATTAGCCAGGCATGGTGTCACACGCTTGTAATCCCAGCTACTCGGGAGGCTGAGGCAGGAGAATTTCTTGAACCTGGGAGGCAGAGGTTGCAGTGAGCCGAGATGGCACCACTGCACTCCAGCCTGGGCAACAGAGCGAGACTCCACCTCAAAAAAAAAAAAGAAAAAAGAAAAATCCCTCATGGATAAGGAGACAGTATTTCAAAGTAGGCTTTTTGTTTGACTTCTTTTTCCTCATTTATAATATGGTACCTACCATTTATTGAATGCCTATCATGTGCCAGCCTTCACAAATTCCCTCAATAAAACATGCCATGTATTTGACCTGAGCAACTGTGATTGATGTGAAAGATGTTATCAAATTGTGGATACTTGGTAAGGAATCCCAACAACAGAGAATTGGTGAGAGATTGAGTGTAATGTGACTCTTAACAGAAAAGGACAGGTGAGTTCCTGCCAGTTACATGGGCTCTGGTGCAGCTGACAAGGTCAACTTGTTCTGTGCCACTCCAGAAAGCAAAACTAGATCCTACAAGCAGAAGTTACAGGGAGGCAAGGTTGCGTTCATCATTTAGAAAAAATATATTTTGAGCCAGGTGTGGTGGCACATGCCTGTAGTCCCAGCTACTTGGGAGGCTGAGACGGGAGGATCGCTTGAGTCTAGGAGGTCGAGGCTACAATGAGCTTTGATTGCACCACTGCACTCCAGCCTGGCCGACAGAGTGAGACCCTGTCTCAAAATAATAAAGTGAAAAATAGTATATAAAAATGTTTTAAGAAGACATATATATATTATTCACTGGAGCTTTCCACCAACAGAACAGGCTGATTTATTAAAGAAACGAGATGTCCTATCATGGAAATACTCTAGGTACCACCTGCTGGTGCTGCTGTGAAAGGGACTTTGAAAAGTTAGCCTGAGTCACAGCTAAGAGGTCTGTAGATGCCTTTTGGAAGAGAGGTAAACACATAAGCAAATTCCACTTACACTACGAGAGTTGCACAGGAGAGATTTAGGGAGAGAATAAGTAGTTCTGGCTATTTTTTAAAATAGAGCCTGCTTTTGCCAGGCATGGTGGCTCACGCCTGTAATCCCAGCACTTTGGGAGGCTGAGGTGGGCGGATCACTTGAGTCCAGGAGTTCTAGACCAGCCTGCCCAATGTGGTGAAACTCCATCTCCACTAAAAATACAAAAATTGGCAAGGCGCGTGGCTCACGCCTGTAATCCCAGCACTTTGAGAGGCCGAGGCAGGCGGATCACGAGGTCAGGAGATCGAGACCATACTGGCTAACTTGGTGAAACCCCATCTCTACTAAAAATACTAAAAATTAGCCAAGTGTGGTGGCACGTGCCTGTAGTCCCAACTACTCAGGAGGCTGAGGCAGGAGAATTGCTTGAACCCGGGAGGCGGAGGTTGCAGTGAGTCGAGATCACACCACTGCACTCCAGCCAGGGCGACAGAGCGAGACTCCGTCTCAAAAAAAAAAAAAAAAAAAAAAAATTAGCCATGTGTGGTGGTGCACACCTGTAATCCCAGCTACTCAAGAAGCCAAGGCATGAGAATCACTTGAACCCAGGAGGTGGAGGTTGCAGTGAGCCGAGATCATGCCACTGCACTCCAGCCTGGGTGACAGAGCGAGAATCTGTCTCAAAATAATAATAATAATAATAATAATAATAATAATAATAATAATGCCCACTTGAATAAAGAATCATTTATTCATTCCATAAAGATGGATTAAGCCCCTATTGAGTGATTAGAATGCTATATAACTGAGAATATATAAAAGCAATCTTTGGTCCTTTATATTTTTTTAATTAAGAAATTTGAGGCTGTCAGATAAGATGTATTAACACTGTCATTTTTCTCCAGCAAAACTCTATCTTGGTCCTCTGGGAGAGTAATTACTGAGGAAGACAGCCAAAAAGACAGGAATGAAAAGAGTTGGAAACACCAGGGCTCAGTAAGCAGGTGGCAACAGGTACTTGATTCCTGGTACTAGCTTCTGTCACCATTTAAAGAAGAGACACAAGAAACTATAGCTATAACCCTTCCACTTCCTGGCTTATAAAAGAAAACGCAATGATTCTCATGACTGCAGGCGTTAAATGGAGTGAGACTCCATGTATGGGCAGCAGATGGCTCCTGGCCTAGCCTTGTAAATGGCTAGGGTATGGCATGAGCTGGAGCAGAGAGCAGAAACGGGTCTTGCTGCCAAGTGTCAGACAGATCGTGTCTGATGATCACAGGTGGTAGAATTTCAGATAACCACAGGTTCCTGGGAATCTAGAAGCTGTTGGAAAAACTGGGAGTGATGTTCTTTCTGGCCCTTGGAGATCTTTTGGGCCAGCTGTGTGGTTTTACAGACGAGATGCTGAAGCCTGGACCCTGCGTGGCTGTGTGAGGCGCCCGGTTAATGAGTATGGCTCCCAGCCTGTCTGAGATGGGACCCTCCTGGTGCTCTGGAAGCCGGAAGTGCTAACGGAAGGATAGCCCTCAAGGGCTCCCAACCTGAAGGCTCCTCAAAGGTGCCTGCAGTGGACCAGCCAGCCCCCGTGTCCCATGCAGCAACAGAGCTGGCTACGGGCCCTGCCTGCTTGGCTGCCTGACGCCTGATGGCCATGTGGCACCCGACACACTCTTTCCTCCCCAGCCCACATGCTCGGCCTGAGCTGATCGCACCAGTTTAGGTTTGCACAGTCTGTCAGGAACACTCTGAGTGTGGAGGTGTGTTTACTACAAAGCAATTTCTTCTCCCCCTCAGAATACAAGAAAATCAAGGACCTACCCTGTTGCTCTTACGTATGACCACAGTGGCCTTTAGCATCATGACACTGGGATTGGGGAAAAACCCAGCTGTGTAAAAAACTAATGGGTGACATTTTGATCACTGTGGAAGCCAGCTGATGGGATATAGAGTTTGTTTACTATCTTCTCAATTTTTATGTGTGTTTGGAAAGTTCCAGAAGGAGAAGAGTAAAAAACAGAAAGGAGAGAGATGGATGAACTCTGTTCTTTTAACTCCTGTACTCCTCAGGCTGGGCCCCAAACTCCTTCTCCCAGGTAAGGGTCCAGGAGGCCAAGGTCACTGCAGACCTCCCTGTGGCTGAGACCACCTGGCCTGTCTCCCACTGTTCTGGAAAGCTCTCTACCCCTTTCCCTCAACCCCCTTTCTTTGATATCTTTGGGACCAGCCTCTCCTGGGCTTCTCCTGCCCTCTTCCCCAGCAATTTTTTTCCCACCTTCTCATTGGACCTCCTGCCTCAAACAAGGCCTCTAAATGTCTTTCTTCCCCAGTCGCCAGGCCTTGGTTTGACATGTTTTTTGTTTGTTTGTTTGTTTGTTTGTTTTTGAGATGGAGTCTTGCTGTGTTTGCCTAGGCAGGAGTGCAGTGGTGGAATCTCAGCCTACTGCAACCTCCATCTCCTGAGTTCAAGTGATTCTCACACCTCAGCCTCCCAAGTAGCTGGGATTACAGGTGCACACTACCGCACCCGCCTAATTTTTGTATTTTTAGTAGAGATGGTGTTTTGCCATGTTGGCTAGGCTGGTCTTGAACTCCTGACCTGAAGAGATCCACCCGCCTTGGCCTCCCAAAATGCTGGGATTACAGGCATGAGCCACCGCGCCCGGCCAGCTTTGTCTTTTCATGCTCCACACTCTCACCTGCTCCCCCGACTTCACCCACCTCCCAGATCCATGTCTCCTGCCCAGACCGCAGGCCTCAGTGCAGGGTCCCAGCACCCACCTGCTTGGTGGGCCTCGTCACCTGGTGCTCCTCAAGCACAAGCACCCCACACGTCTTGTCCACCCTGGAGCTCATCAACTTCTTGCACCAAACCAGCCCTCCTTCCCTCCCCCACTCCAGTGATGGGGTGCTTAGCTGTCCTAGCAGGGACCCCAGAGTTATTCTTAATCGCCTCCCTCATCCACGTCTCTCACACATCTGCCACTCCTGCCAGCTATCCTTCCAACACCTCTTCCATCTGTCTCCTCTGCCCTGTTCTCGCAGATGCTGATTTAGCCTGCACTTTGCTCATCCCCCTGCGCTGGACCACCGCAGTGGCCCCCAGCAGTCCCCTTCCCTTGGCCGGCTTTCTCCCACCAAACAAATCACATGGGGTCACCTGTAATATTGCAAGACTGGGATGGCTCGGAGTAAGGGCCAGTCCTGGCAAGACACAAGGCACTGTGCAAACTGAGTACAGACTCCCGCACAGCACCCCTGCAGCGGCACCTGAGCCTCACCACAGTGCCTGGGGCATATGCATAGGGCAGCTGGGAGTTCTCGCAAACAACTGGGGGGCCTTCTGACCTCCCTGCCTTTGCTCATACCTGTTTCAATGTTCTTTGAGCTGTCTGCTGCCTTCTTACTGTGATGAGGTCCTTCTTACACTTAAAGAAGCAGCTCAAACCTCATTGCCCGTCTGTAACATTAGACGGGCTTGCAAGGCTGGAACCTTATCTGTTTGAATTTGCCTCACTGGTTCCTGATACATAATATCAGCTAGAAGGTGCTTGTAGAAGTGAATTGAATTTTTTTTTTTTTTTTTTTAGACGGAATCTTGCTCTCTCACCCAGGCTGGAGTGCAGTGGCGCGATCTCGGCTCACTGCAACCTCCACCTCCCGGGTTCAAGCGATTCTCCTGCCTCAGCCTCCTGAGTAGCTGGGACTACAGGCGCCCGCCACCACGCCCGGCTAAGTTTTTGTATTTTTAGTAGAGACGGGGTTTCACGTGTTAGCCAGGATGGTCTCGATCTCCTGACCTCATGATCTGCCACCTTGGCCTCCCAAAGTGCTGGGATTACAGGCATGAGCCACCGCGCCCGGACTTTAATGAATTGAATATTTTAAAAAATATCAGTCTTTAATACCACACCATAAAATCCAAACGGCAGTTGCATTCATTTCCTATTGTTGCTGTAACAAATGGCCACAAACCGAGTGGCCTAACGCCACGCCACTTGATTCTTTTCTGTTTCTGGTGGTCAGAAATGTCAAATCCCAGTGTTGGCTGGGCTGTGTTTCTTCCAGGGGCTCTCGGGGAGAATCCGTTTTCTTGCCTTTTCCAGCTTCTTGAGGCTGCCTGCATTCCTTGGCCCCTGCCTCCTGTTCTTTCCCTTAGGAAGAAAGTGCCTCCCGCCTTCCCTTGTGAATTTGCGGGGCCCACCTAGATAGTCCAGAGTAACATCCCCATCTCAGGATCCTTTGTTGATCACATCCGCCAAGCCCCTGTTGGCATGTAAGGGAACATAGCCACAGGTTCCTGGGATGTGGGGAGGGATCATGACTCTCCCGCAGCAGCCCTTTTCAGAAGTCAGGTGCCAAAAAGGCAGGCTTTTCACACAGGCAAGTGATGCTTGGATTTCGTCTTAAATCAATGAAATTCGATCGCTTGTATGTTTCATTGTCCATAGATGAAGTCGCTCCACTGGTCTGTGCTCTAGGCCTGAAAGAAAGGCCTCACTGCCTCTTACAGATCTCCATATTTAGGGACTTGGGATATGTTACATGAGAGTGAAATGGGAAATGCACAAATCTCTTGACCTCTACAGTGAGGAGAAGACACCTGTTTTATCCTGGGAAGTGATGAAACCTCTGGAGGGTTAGTTACCGGACTCACCCACCGTCATGGACTGACAGATTGCTGCCTCCCTAATCTATTAGCCTCTACCTTGGAGGAAACAACAAAAGATAAGGCTGTAAAAAAAAAAAAGTGAGAATTCCTCCCAAAAAAGCCTGAGGCTGCTGAGTTTCTCCCTGGGGAAGCTGTGGGTTCCAGATGGTTGCCCTTAAGGCATCAGTCACCTTGCTCTGCGCCAGAGGAAAATGAAGATTAATAATCATAATTTTTTAAAGTTAAGCCTAAAAGGCTGCCTATGAAAGAACTGAGGCACAGAGGGCACAAAGCCGAAGTTCGATAGGAATAATCCATTGCTTATTGACCAGGACCTGTTCATCCGCCGTGTCGGTAACCTTGGGATGTTGCACGCTGGGGCCTGCCAGCCACCATGGAGAGGCTGATGGATCTTGGAGGCTTCTATCAGAGAATGTCAGAGCCGGGGAGGGACTTGGAAATCATGTTTTTCAACCCCTTCACTTAAAGATGAGGTGAAATTCCATGCCCAGGGTTGTATAGCTAAGTGGAAGCAGGGCTGAGACTCGAATGTGGGTGGCCAGAATCTCAATGCCTGGCCCTTCTGGCTGCTGCTGTCTCTTAGAGGACAGACACAGGTGACACCTGTAACAGTAACTACAAAAAGGTATGATATAACGACCTCTTCTTTGTAGCACAGAATGTAAATACCGTGGGCATTTTGATACAAGCAGGGTCCTGGGGCCAGAGGACCAGGCGGACCGTTGAGCTGGGCTAGGCTGAGTAGATGGGCGTGCGCTGGACAGTGTGGGGAGGGCCACTGGCCACCACGTGAGGGAAGACACCACTACGAGCGGACACCAAGACCCACCTCTTCTGGAGCAGCGGGGAGTGCCGTGCAGTGGGAGGAACATGCTGGAAAGTTGGTGGGACAAATTTTGGAACTCTTAAAATCCACCCAGAGGTTTTTGGACTTTGTGTGGTTGACCACAGGGAGCTTTGGGGAGATTTGGCCTCAGGAAGATGGTGGCTGCACATGGAAGTTGGAAGGATTGGAGTTGTGTGCCGGGAGACGTGGTGTATTTCTGAAGGACCCTCTAGGGAGGAGAACCAGAAGCAAGGCATCCCTTGAGTGTGATCTCCAAAAGGGATGTCTTCTGTCCATTTCTTATGTGTTGCCTTGATGGTGGTTGAGGCTGGATGGGAAGGCCACAGTGTGGAGAAGACTGTGCTCACCCCTCAAAGTCTCGGCCCAGTGACTTGCCCCAACCCACCCCCGAGCCCAGTCGTGGAACCCATTCAGTACTGAGCAAGGACCGACTTTCCCAACAGGAAGGAGGGATGTGTGCCACAGGCCCACACTTGTACTCAGCCCGCAAACATGTATTAGTACCGGTGATACGCCAGGCCTGAACTAGACGCTGGGATGAGTTAGGCACAGTCGTCTTCATGGAGCTGCAGAGTGTTGAGGGGAAGACACACTCAGACACTTGCTGTGCCCCCGTGTATGTACTGTGTGTGCGAGGAACCTTCCAGGCTCTCACCCATCTTCAGCTGAGTCCTGGCAAGGGGATGGAGATGGCCTGAGCACAGGCAGGGAGGCGAAGAGCAGCTTAGAATGGCTGCGTGGTGAGGGGGCTGGAAATGGAGGGATGGATGCCAGAAATTTCCAGGAGGTGAAACAGGACGAATGTGGGGATTGGGTGTGGCACGTGAGGCAGGGGGAGTCCGGTTCTAGCATGGAGGACACTGAGCTAGAACGTGAGGAAGCAGGAGTAGGTTGGGAGGAGAAATGTTGGGGTCATGTGTGGATTGCCGGTGATTAAAGCGTCATGGGGCAGCCAGGTGAGGTGCTGCTGAGCTGGAGCCTGGGCTTAGGGAGCCCCACTGCAGGGCTGCCTGGGGCATGGCGAGGTGAGGTTGCGAGGCAGGGTTTTCCGGCCAGACCTTCACGATGGCCAGTTGCCTGCTATAGTAAATCCCTGTCCCTTCCCAAGGCCGCCAAGGCTTTCTTGGGGAAAGTATCCATCATAGTCTATGAAAAGGCTGCCAGGTCTTACCTTAAGAGAAATAATTTAAAAATTCCTCTGTAGTTATATCTCCAGACAGTATCCTGGCTTAGCATCAGATGCAAATAAATCACTGTGATCCATTCCTAGATGGGTAAAGCTTGGTGTATATGTGTGTGTGTGTGTGTGTGTGTGTGTGTGTGTGTGTGTATATAAATAAATATATAAATATGTGTGTGTGTAAAAACACTTTCATCTTTGAACTGCTGTCTTCCAATGTTAACATTGAGAAATACAGTCGTATCGCATGGTTCTTTTGAAGCCAAGTAATGTCACAGTCAGTATCCTTTTTATCAGTAGAAAAAATGCGAACACCCAACATCGGCTGCATGCTCACCAAGGTGTCTCAGCAAGCAATAAATGATGTGCCGCCGCTGCCGTCGCTCTGAGATCTGGAGTCTGAGACGTGTTTAAAACAGTCAAAGGCCTTTGATAGGACTGCAGTCCATGGTGTCTCTTTGTGTTCTGACATTCCCTGTGATTGCCCTTCAACTTTCTCAGTCAGCTGTGGGCTGGTCCATTGTTTGTGCACATGTTTATACATCAGAGCCTATTGTTTGCTTCCGCTGCGCCACTGTCTGTGTCATTATATCATCTTGCGATTCATGCGCTCCTCAAGCCTTTCTGTTTTCTAATCATAACACTGGTTATTACACTAGATAGAAGGGTTCTGTGAAATTCAGTTTTCACTAAGGGTTGTTAGAGATTCCAAGAGTTCAACAGACTGGCTTTTGAAGTTATGTTTTTTTTTTGTTTTTTTTCAGAGGGAGTTTCACCCTTGTCCCCCAGGCTGGAGTGCAGTGGCACAGTCTCGGCTCACTGTAACCTCTGCCTCCTGGGCTGTTCAGGCGATTCTCCTGCCTCAGCCTCCAGAGTTGCTGGGATTACAGACGCCGGCCACCACGCCCAGCTAATTTTTTGTATTTTTAGTAGAGACAGAGTTTCACTGTGTTGGCCAGGCTGGTCTCCAACTCCTGACCTCAGGTGATCCGCCCACCTCGGCCTCCCAGTGCTGGGATTACAGGCATGAGCCACCACGCCCATCCTTTTTTAAAAAAATTTTTAGAGGCTAAGTCTTGTTCTGTTGACCAGTCTGGAGTGCAGTGGTACGATTATAGCTCACTGCAACCTCAAACTCCTGGGCTCAAGCAGTTCTCCCACCTCACCCTCCAGAATAGCTGGAACTGCAGATACATGCCACTGCACCTGGCATTTTTTGTTTGTTTTTTGTTTTTTTTTGGTTTTGGTTTTTTTTGATAGTGGTTTCACTGTGTTGCCTGGTTCGAGAGCTGGTCTCAAACTTCTGGCCTCAAACAATCATCTTACCTTGGTCTCTCAAAACGTTGGGATTACAGACATGAGCCACTGCGCCTAGCCCACATCGTAGGTATTTTACTCAGAAATGAATTTCTAATTGTCATAAAACTATATGTTAGGAAGCTATTGTAATTTAATTTTTCTTTTAATCATTGCATACATTGTTTACCATTGACACGCTGGCTGCTAGCTCAGTTAACTTCATAACTAAAGTATGTGTTGGTAATCAGCTTCTCTTACTAATGGACTGATACATTTTGCTTGCACAGGGATTTTGCTTATGTAGCAAGAGATAAAGATACAAGAATTTTGAAATGTCATGTATTTCGATGTGACACACCAGCAAAAGCCATTGCCACAAGTCTCCACGAGATCTGCTCCAAGGTAAGGTGGGTCAGGGCAGTATGGGCCGCCTCTCTCTTTTTTTCTTGCTGCATAAAAGGATGTGGAAGGGCGGGGGAGTGGGCACATCAACCTGCAGTTGAGCTCAGGGAGAAGTAGGCAGATTGTTCAGCCAGAGTCATTAAAGTATTCTTGCTGCGGGCCAGGCATCGCTCTTGAGTAGCACTCCATCTACACAAAATGAATAGAACCATAGTCCCTCCCGCCGCCTGGAAACATATATATATATATATGTGTGTGTGTGTTCAGCCAAGTCATTAAAGTATTTTTGCTGCAGGGCAGGCATCGCTCTAAGTAGCACTCCATCTACACAAAATGAATAGAACCATAGTCCCTCCCGCAGCCTAGAAATGTATATATCTCAGGTAGGCAAAACAATGGCAGAGATACGTACACCCCAGAAAACTGGGAAAAGGAGTCAAAGCGGATTTTCCAGGGGCAGGGCCATCTGACCTGAGAGTGAATGTGGGTAGAGAAAAAGGCTACAGGAAAGGAGGTGGCAAGAAACCATCCAGGGTTTCTGCAAATGCAGGGAGCTGGGGATTGCCGTTAACACACACCAACTTCCTGAGGACACACAGTGGCTCGTAGAAGCACCCTGTCCAGCTGGGAGGCAAGACTGTGGTCTCATGCTAGTGAGACTTCCTTAACCAGAGTCACAGCCTCAAAATGAGAACAAACAGTCTGGCGTCACCAGCCTAGCCTCCGCCTCCCACCAGCATAACAGCCCCCTTGCAGACATCCCCCCACCCTCTGCCCTACACACCCATGGACTCCCACAGATGGAGTCTCTTGCTTTTCAGGAGGAGGTTCTATTACCAAGCAGCTCTGGCTGTTACAGATTTCTTCTTTATGTTGACCCGAAATCTTCCTCTTGGAACTTCCAGGTACTGACTGGAGATCTGCCATCTGTAGCAGCAGAGAAAGGTCCCCCAATTCTCTTTGGTGGCCAGCTCCTCAGACACTTGAAGCCTTGCTGTGTTTCACCATGTGTTATGTGTTTTAGAGGCGCTGGACAAGCATCTATCATTGAGTCTTCTTGCCCCTGACTTCCTCCCTCTCCAGATCCACCACCCCCGTCTCTGCAGCCACTTTTGGGTCACATGGCTATTCCAGTCCCTAACCATTGTCTTCTGGGCACTCTCTGGTTGGATCCCCCAGATGAACACAGTATTCCAAAAGTGAGCAGAGAGCAGACCAGGGCCAGGGGCTGCTCTGTCCTTTGACCGCCAAGGACACACTATTGTGGTGCTCGATGTTCTTGGCAACCACATCACCCCCTGATTTCTCTTCACATGGTGGCAGCTGAACCCCCAACACACTGGCACAAGCTTCTTTTAGCCAGCCCTTTCCATGCCCCAGACTTGGTTAATTTCTTGAATTTAGATGCAGAATTTTGCCATCCCCTCTGTTGAATGTCACCTTTCTGATTCAGGCTGACATCATAACCCAGCCTCACTCCCACAATTCTTCCTGAGCCGTCAAGACCCAACCCAGGCCAGGAGTTGGCCCAGCCTGTTAACCGAGCAGGAGGTCCAAGCCATGGTGCCTGAGGGAGGGACAGGGGCAGGGAGCTGTCCCCAGCCTCAGAATGAAAGAGTGCCCCCGTCTGCTGCTCTGAATCCCACGATGGGGACGTGCAGGATGGGCACTGGTCTTGAGATCACCACGTTTATTCCCGCCCATGTTCACATTCTTGCATTGATGAGACGGGGGTGTTGCTGCCATTTGCAGCATTGCGGCCTGCTCCCTGGATTTCATTTCTCATTCATTCATGCAACACATAGAATGGAATGCCATTTATGTGCCAGGCACTATCAAAGGCACTGGGGAGAGGGCAATGACCAAAACAGAAAAAAAAAAGTCCTTGCCCTTATGGAGCTTATATTCTGGCATAAAGCCCTCAGAACATGGCCTGGCACAGAATAAGTATGCAGGAAACGCTTGATTTTATTCTTGTCGGCAGCCCTCTTGCTCGCTGCCCTGGGCACAGATCTGGAGATAGGCAGAGTAGAGGTCTGCGATGGAAATGACTTTCACTCCACTTGGAATGGAAAACTTAGTCTGGGAATGAAGATCCGAGTTACTTTTGGGGTCACTAAAGGGTGGGCTTCTTTCAGTCCCTAAACCCACAGCACTGTATGTAACTGGTGGAGAACAGGAGTATAAAGTGCTTTACTCTTAAGTAAAGCAGACATCAGTGTCCCTTACAGAAGAGAAGCAATTTAGAGCAGTTTGAGGATAACAGCAAAAATGGCAGGTGTATTAGTCGGCTTTCACGCTGCTAATAAAGACATACCCAAGACTGGGTAATTTATAAAGAAAAAGAAGTTTAATGAACTCACAGTTCCATGTGGCTGGTGAGGCCTCACAATCATGGTGGAAGGTGAAAGGCACGTCTTACATGGCAGCAGGCAAGAGAGAATCAGAGCCAAGCAAAAGGGGAAACCCCTTGTCAAACCATCAGCTCTTGTGGGACTTACTCACCACCACGAGAACAGTATGGGGGAAAACTGCCCCTATGATTCAGTTATCTCCACCAGGTCCCTCCCATAACACATCGGAATTAAGGGAGCTACAATTCACGACGAGATTTGGGTGAGGACACAGCCAAAGCATGTCAGCAGGGGACATTTCTGAGCACTTAATGCTGTCTAGGCCTTCCCTATGCGTGACACACTCACTCATGTGATCCTCAGAACTACCATCTGAGACAAATACTGTTAACCACCTCCGTGTGCAGTGGAGACACAGGAGATCAGGTCACTTGCCCAAGGTCAAGGTCACACAGCTAGTAAGTGGCAGAGGTGCAGTTTGAACCCATGTTGTCTGTCTTCAAAGGGTGGCATTTGGAAGCACTGGAAGAAGCCACTGCTGTGGCTGCCGCTGGCCACTGTGGGCCGGCAGGGTCCATGCAAGACCAGGGAGACTTGTTTGAGTTGTTTCTAGTAGAGGTGGGAGCCTGGTGAATGGAAGAAGTCCATTCCAAGCAATCAGGAGACTGCTACTCTGAGGAATAGTTTTTCACCTATCATCCCCAGAGAAAATGAGTGGAATTCCTCAACAAAATATGTAGCCCCAGAGATGCAGGGGTGGGACTTCAGGCAATAGACTAAAGCTGATCTAACTTGGAAGTGAAGTCAACCTAGACACTTTACAGGCTGGAATAGCTGAAGACATGGGGGCTTGAACCCACGCTCCAAAGCTGCACTTTTTCCCCCTTAGATTATGGCTGAACGGAAGAATGCCAAAGCGCTGGCCTGCAGCTCCTTACAGGAAAGGGCCAATGTGAACCTCGATGTCCCTTTGCAAGGTAAGTCAGTGGCACCTCATGTCTTCATTATGGCCCTGTCCCTCCTGGTCCAGGACTGAAGGCTCTCAGATGGTTCTCTGGTATTTCAAGTCTCCTTAAAGAGCACACTCAACTCAGTAAGCACAAGTTGAGCCTGCACGCTGGGTCTCACAGAGGCACAGAGTTGATTTTGCATCACTAGGGTTAGGCATAAAGCCAGGATGAGTTTTGTTGTTATTGGACAAGATTAAAGAATATTGTCTTTAGTTTTTGCCTTCGTTTTCATTTTGTTTTGTATTTTATGTTCTTTAAGAATACTGTCTTCATATTATAATTCATGTACAACCTGGGATAAGGACCCTGGCTGGTTTAAAAACACGTGGGTTGGGCTGGTCTGAAGGTAGTGAGTTACCTCAGTTGATGGTTCAGCCAGTTACAGATCGACCTCCTTGTGCTCCTCATTCTCCCCTTCCCACTACTATACTTGACTAATCTTAAAAAAAGAAAACATGGGCCAGGCGCGGTGGTTCACATCTATAATCCCAGCACTTTGGGAGGCTGAGGCGGGTGGATTGCCTGAGCTTAGGAGTTCAAGACCAGCCTGTGCAACATGGTGAAACCCTGTCTCTACTAAAATACAAAAAATTAGCCAGGTATGGCAGCATGCACCTGTAGAATTGCTAGAACCCAGGAGATGGAGGTTGCAGCGAGCCAAGATCGCACCACTGCACTCCAGCCTGGGCAACAGAGCGAGACTCTTGTCTCTAAAAAAAAAAAAACGTGGGTTGATTACTGGGGGAACTCAGTTATCTTCCTATGTCTCTGATTGTGCCCTTTGAGGTTACATTTTCTCTGGGCATCAACCACACCTAATTAAATAGGACACCAAAAGCTGCTACTTTACTTAATATACATCAAAGAGACAGTAGCAGCTTTAACACATAGATGCCACTTCCTGCTTTCACATGCATTCCTATCTTGAAAGTTGAACAGGATTTTAACAGAGCCCCAATATCTGGAGTAATGCTGCTCTTGTAGAATAGTTGTTACATTTACATCCAGAAACATAGGGCGTTATGGCACAGGGCGTGTCCTGAGCATTCAGATGATGCAGAGCCACGGCTGTTGTGTACATGTGTGTTGGAACCACTGAGAAAGATGTGTTGCTTTTGTTCCCTGTAGTAGATTTTCCAACACCAAAGACTGAGCTGGTCCAGAAGTTCCACGTGCAGTACTTGGGCATGTTACCTGTAGACAAACCAGTCGGTATGTGAAATGTTTATTGTCTTTCCACTTTGCAAGTGTGCGGGAGCTCACAGGAGGCGTTCGCCCTCCGAGGAGGGTGAGGTCTGCTGTTTACTCTCACGCCTTGTCTTGAATCAAACTGTCACACTGTCACCTGCCAGAGAACATAAACGGTCCTGATCAAAAGATGAGTAGAGGGACAGGCCCCGCTGCTTTGACCTGTCATCCCCAGCATGCAGGACTTTAGCAATACAGACGTGGATTTCTTGTTTACCCAGTAGTCCAGAGCTGTGTGACTCAGGGCCGTGGAAGAGCTCCGCTGCTCTGAAACGAGGCCTCCATCTCTGAGGCCAGGGCACCTGCTTCGTGTCTTGTCAGCTGGCGGGCCAGGAGAAAGGACTGTGGAGGCTTCATGCTGTCAAGGAGTGACACAGTAGTGGCACACACAGCATTCAGCTCACATGCCAGGGGCAGAGTGTAGTTGCTGGGCTATACCAAGCCAAAAAGAGACTGGGAGATGAAGCCTTCACCAGGGCTAAAAAAGGCTGTGGAGAAATCGCAAGCTACATATACTGCCAAGGGGGCTGTAAGATGGTGCAGCTGCTTTGGAAAACAGTCTGGCATTCTTCAGAAGGTGAAACATAGTTACTTTAGACCCAGCAACTCAGTTCCTAGGCGTAGACCCAAGAGAAGTGAAAACGTTTGTGCATGCAAAAACGTGTATGCAAATGTTCACAGCAGAATTATTGATGAGAGTCAAAAAGCGAAACAACCTGAATGTCCTGACAAATCAACTGACAATTAGATAAATAAGATGTGATACTTCCATACAGTGGAATTTTATTTGGCAATAAAAAGGAATGAAGGACTGAAGTGCGCTGTAGCGTGGATGAAGCCTGAAAACATGCTATGAGGGAAGTCAGTCCCAAAAGACTGCATACTGTGTGATTACGTTCATATGAAACGCCCAAAATAGGCAGAGCTCTAGCGTCAGAAAGTAGGTAAGGGTTGCCTTGGTCTAGGGGTCTGGGGAGTGGGGGAAAAATGCAGAATGACCCCTACCAGGCACGGGGTTTCTCTTTGGGGTGATGAAACTGTTCTAAAATTGATTATGGTAGGTCTAGCATGGTGGCTCACACCTGTAATCTCAGCACTTTGGGAAGCCAAGGCAGGTGGATTGCTTGAGCCCAGAAGTTCAAGACCAGCCCAGGCAACATGGCAAAACCTCATCTCTACAAAAAAAATTCAAAAAATTAGCTGGGCATGGTGGCATGTACCTGTAGTCCCAGCTACTCCAGAGGCCGAGGTGGGAGGATCATCTGAGCCTGGGAGGCTGAGGCTACAGTGAGCCGTGATTGTACCACTGCACTCCAGCCTGGGTGACAGAGCAACACCCTGTCTCAAAAAAAAATTGATGATGGTGATGGGTGCGCTCTGTGAATGTACTAAAATCCACTGGATTGCACACTTTACGTGAGTGAATTGCATGTGAATGATACCTCAATAAAGCTGTCACTCCCACCCCTATCCCCCAGAAAAACTGTGGAAACAGCTGGCAAAAGGGCCCTACTCAATGGGGGGATCCACTGTAAAGGTGCCATCAAGAGACAGTGAGGGTGGAGAGAGGCTGAAGGGCCATGGTCTGCATAGGTAGACAGCGTCTAAGGCACCAGGTCCCCGGAGCTTCTCCTGACTCTCCTCTCCTACTGAAAAGGCTGTTATTTCTTTTTTTTCTTTTTCTTTTTTTGTTTTTTGAGACAGAGTCTCACTGATACTTGCCCAGGCTGGAGTGCAGTGGTGCGATCTCAGCTCACTGCAGCCTCCGCCTCCTGGGTTCAAGCAAGCATGTCCAGCTAATTTTTGTATTTTTAGTAGAGACAGGGTTTCACCGTGTTGGCCAGGCTGGTCTCGAACTCCTGACCTCAAATGATCCTGGCTCAGCCTCCCAAAGTGCTGAGATTACAGGCGTGAGCCACTACGCCCGGCCAGAAGCTGGTATTTCATTCCTGTTGAGCAAACATGAGAATGAAGTGTCCTGTCTATTAAAAAAAGATCAGTCTGGGCGTAGCTGTTATTGGTGATTTGGGCCCACATTTGAGTGTGGTAAGTGGCTTTAGGACACTTTAAATTATCCTTTTCTGTCCCCAGGAATGGATATTTTGAACAGTGCCATAGAAAATCTTATGACCTCATCCAACAAGGAGGACTGGCTGTCAGTGAACATGAACGTGGCTGATGCCACTGTGACTGTCATCAGTGAAAAGGTGAGAAGGAATCTTCGATGACATTGGTGTGTCTTATACAGTGAGTATAAGATACAGTGGTTTTCTGTGGAACTTAGGAACATAGTCAAGGCCGGAGTTGTGCATCCTTGTGATTAAGATGGCCTACATTTGAAAGATTTGGCCCTTTGTCTGGGTCTAAATCTGTGCATACCTCTGTTTTCCTGTGGCCTGAGAAACTTCTCTTCTGGTGCTTCTGATTCTGTCTTCCTCATGTGCCCCAGAGAGAAATTGTTTGCTAGAGGTGAGTGTGTGACGCTAGTAGTCGCTCACTCTCAGGGCGCCAGTATTGCCTGGGCTGTGTGATCTGGGGATGAAAAGCAGAAGATGCTTCCATTTGGGAGAGTCCTGTGACTATCAGTAGCAGAAGGAGCTATTGGTTGTCTTGAGAAGAGGCCACATTAGCCTCAGCCCAAATTATCTCAGTTTCGTGGTTGAAGAAATTGAAGCACAGAGAGGCTAAGTCATTTGCCCAGCATCACACAGTTGGAAGCAATGGAATCAGGACTTAAATCCAGGCAACCTGGCCCAGACTTGTGCCCACTTTTCTATTCTGCCTCTGTGAAGCACCTGCCAGGGAAAGACCACCAGTCATCAGCCTGCCCCACAGCTGCCCGGTTCACCCTGGAGAGAGGAGCAGGGTGCTCACTGCCTGCCTCCAGCTGGCCACACTGAGCTCTCCTCACCTCTTCAAGTAGGTCCCGCCCTTCCCCACACCAGCATCATCGCAAGCACTGCACCCTCCATGCTCCACCCTCTGCCTACCCGACCCTTACCCAGATCACCACCACAGCCTCCTTCCTCCTGAGAAAACTTCCCGACCTCTCACACTAGTGTACTTTGCTCATTAAACACTCCCAAGGCACTAGAGTGAATATTTAATTAGTCAAGATGTTAATGATCCAAAAGTCAACATTTTGGATGTGTTTATTAATTCAAAACTTGCATATGGTTCTTGCAAAGGATGTGGTGTTCATCCCTATGAGAAAGAATTCTGAACATTTCTTTACGCTGCCTCATGTGGATCCCAGATGGACACCAGTTTGCAAGAGAGAAAAGAAAAAAACAATTTGACAACTTTTTGTTGATTTGGCAGCTTTTTGTTTTATATGGTTTTAGATGGAAATGTGATTCAGTGTGCTGTTTAGTTTGGGTAAGAATCACTGGACGAAGAAAGATACCGTGAATCCCTTTTTTCTGGTGCTCTGGGGGTTTACTTGGCCAAATGGGTTTTGGGCCACCAGGTGTCCTGTATTTGGGCTAGATGTAAGAAGTATGGACGGCACTGTCCCTCCCCACAGTGAACTCACAGCCACGTAGCATAATGGAGAATGGGACCCACATCACACCCCATGACAGCAGTGTAGTTCAGAGCAAGAATGACCTCCAGAACAGGGTAGCCATGCAGTGATGGCCTCTTCAGACATTTGGGCAAGGTTCCGCCTTTCGAGAAAAACACAGGTCCTTTCTGAATTCGGCCTGGCTATACTTTCTGAATGCCAGTTCCTATGTGCTGCCACTCTTAAGCTTGATCCTGGGATCTCCTGATTGGATGCCGCATAATGTCTCTTGCAGAATGAAGAGGAAGTCTTAGTGGAATGTCGTGTGCGATTCCTGTCCTTCATGGGTGTTGGGAAGGACGTCCACACATTTGCCTTCATCATGGACACGGGGAACCAGCGCTTTGAGTGCCACGTTTTCTGGTGCGAGCCTAATGCTGGTAACGTGTCTGAGGCGGTGCAGGCCGCCTGCATGGTGAGTTATCCCGGTACAGGCTGTTGAGCCCTCCCGCCTCTGCTCATCTCTAATATGCCATACATTATAGCAGAATCACTCACGGAAATGAAAAAAGTCGAATCCCTAAAGTAATGCTTTACTTTATAACGCCGTCATTCCTAGGGCCAGAATCAGTTATGATAAACAGATTACATCTCCAAAGGCCAGAACTCCTGAAAGAAGTGGGGCCAGATAGAGGCTCCGATGAGTTTCATAACCACCACCTTGACGACGGTCAATCCTTGATCCCAAATCAATTTCATGTGTGAAATGTTGGTCGTGTATGAGTTGGTACTGTTTGGGTTCAATTCAGTACTTTAAAAATCAATACATTGAATGACTTTTGTTTCCAGTGATTGGTTTCTGTACACCGTTCTTATATATTTTATTTATATCTGTTAACTCAGTCCTTCCGACAACTCTGTTAGGTAGTTGTTAGTTCTGTTTTATTTATGAGAAAATAGAGACTTTAGGGAAGTTAGAGAATGGGCCTCAGGGCTTGTCGGTAAGTGACAGAGCCGAGCCTGGATTCAGCCCCAAGCTGCCAGGTGACAAAGTCAGAGCTCTTTATACCACATGGATACTTGGAAACAAACAAGAATCCCTCATTATTCCTTCAGCATGTGTCTTTGTGCCCCTCTTATGCCAGACACTGCAAAAGTTCTAATAAAAATGAGGGAACTGGGCCGGGGGTGGTGGCTTACGCCTGTAATCCCAACACTCTGGGAGGCTGAGGCAGGCGGATCACTTGAGGTCAGAAGTTCAAGACCAGCCTGACCAAATGGAGAAGCCCTGTCTCTACTAAAAATACAAAATTAGCCAGCGTGGTGGCGCATCCCTGTAATCCCAGCTACTCGGGAGGCTGAGGCAGGAGAATCACTTGAACCTGAGAGGCAGAGGTTGCAGTGAACCGAGATCGCGTCATTGCACTCCAGCCTGGGCAACAAGAGGGAAACCCATCTCAAAAAAAAATGAGGGAGCTATATGAGTGTGGGCACCAAAGCCTGTGGGCAGGTGTGTTCCAGCAGCAGCAGGTTGGGTGCTGGGCCCGAGTGGAAGGAGGTGCGGTCCAGATCATGGCGGGCTTATGATGATGGCGTGTGGGGGCCTGATTTTCTTCAGCAAGGATTGCTAAACTGGGGATTGAATTGATTGTATTTAGATTATTTATTTATTTATTTATTGAGATGAAGTTTTGCTTTTGTTGCCCAGGCTGGAGTGCAATGGCGCGATCTCAGCTCACTGCAACCTTCGCCTCCTGGGTTTAAGTGATTCTCTTGCCTCAGCCTCCCAAATAGCTGGGATTACAGGCACCTGCCACCACGCCTGGCTAATTTTTTATATTTTTAGTAGAGATGGGGCTTCATCATGTTGGCCAGGCTGGTCTCAAACTCCTGACCTCAGGTAATCCACCCGCCTCAGCCTCCCAAGTGCTGGGATTACCGGCATGAGCCACCGCACCCAGCCTGTATTTAGATTTTAGACGAGTATCCAGCAAAAAAAGAAGACAACCAAGTAGAGGATAGGTTGGAGGAACAAGGCTGAGGTGGCGATCAGCCAGGAGCCCAGTTACCTTCTGCAGATGGGAGAGAGGAGGAGCGTCCACGCTAGGAGAGCAGCGTTGGGAACAAACAGGAGCAGAGGCTTTGAGAAGCACCGAGCTGCCTGGCTGGGGGAGAACTGCTGCATGTGAAGCCCCTGGGCTTCATTTAATTCAGCCTCGCACTTACGGGCTGGAATCTGGGGCATTCAGCATGACTGAGATACAGTCCTTGCATTGTAGAGCTCAGGTATAGTGGGGGAGACACAGAAACCTAAACTCTGTTACAGTGTAGAAAGTGCTGTAAATAAAAGTATGAGGATCTTCACTTTCAGCCGGGCGTGGTGGCACATGCCTGTAGTCCCAGCTTCTGAGGAGGCTAAGGTGGGAGGATGGCTCAAACCCAGGAGGTCGAGGTGCAGTGAGCTACGATGGCACCACTGTAGTCCAGCCTGGGTGACAGAGCGAGACCCTGTCTCAAAAAAATAAATAAGAAAAATAAGTATGAGACTGTGCTGGATTGAGAAGTAACTGGGAAGAAAAAGAAGTGGAGGCCCTAAAAGCAGATAACTTACAAAGTTTGCCAGTGAGGGGGAGCTTGAAGGGCAGCATTGGAGGGTTTGTTCATGTGTTTATTTCAGGACAGGAGAGGCCTGCCCCTTTTTTATTCTTTATTTTTATTTTATTTTATTTTTTTTAAGAGATGGGATCTTGCTATATTCCCCAGGTTGGTCTTGAACTCCTCCCTGGAACGGCAGGGGAGCACCACCATGCCCAGCTAGGTTTTCTTTTGTGGAAAATGGAGGTAGATAAAGAGTGGAGGAGGCTGGGCACAGTAGCTCACGCCTGTAATCCCAATACTTTGGGAGGCTGAGGCGGGCGGATCACTTGAGGTCAGGAGGTTGAGACCAGCCTGGCCAACATGGTGAAACCCATCTCTACCAAAAAATACAAAAATTAGCCGAGCGTGGTGGCATGTACCTGTAGTCCCAGCTACTCAGGGAGGCTGAGGTGGGAGGATGGCTTGAACTTGGGGGTGGAGGTTGCAGTGAGCTGAGATTGCACCACTGCACTTCAGCCTGTGTGAAAGAGTGAGACCCTGTCTCAAAAAAAAAAAAAAGAAAAAAAAAAAAGAGAGCCAAGGGGAGGGACTTAGCCTACGAATTAGTTAGAGAGACCTTTTACTTTGACATAGTCCAGAAGATGCTAAGAACCAAGAATGGGTGGAGCTTGGGGAAGGAAAGGGAGTTCTCTGACCGCCGCCCCCCCACCCCATACAGCACATTGTGAGGTTATGAATGAAGGGAAAGTTTGCACCTGTAGTCCCAGCTACTCAGGAGGCTGAGATGAGAGGACCCCTTGAGCCCAGGAGTTCAAGTCCAGCCTGGGCAACATAGAAAGGCCCTATGTCTAATAAAAATGTTAAAAGGATGAGGTGGGAGAGCAGATTGCAAAGGTGGGGCGTAGAAAAGAGGCATTTGACCTTTATCATTTGAAATAGAGCAGGAAGGAGGGAGAAGGGGAGGCCTGGCGTTGAACACTTGTTATCTGGTGTCACACTTACACCATCCTCTGTGAGAGTGGCTAACTCCCTGCAAGAACTGTAGGGCCAGGATTCTAACTCAGACACCCTGAATATGCAGGAGCAGGGCTGGGGTTCAGGGGAGCAGGGACAGTAGAGGAGTCAGGTGAACCCACTGACCAGGTACAGGGAGTTGATGAGATAAAGGAGATCTGTGAAGAAAATAGAAAATGGGAGATTTCAGCCAAGCGAAAATGGATGACAACTATTTTGGTATTTTATGAAATTGAAACAGATCATAGCAGATGGTTTTAGTCATAAAATGAATGGCTTTCCGACTTAATTATACGTTTAAGTGATAACGACAATGAGTTTTATCTCTTTGGCTACAGTTGGTTTTCTGATTCTCAATTCATTTTCCCTCTTGGAAACAACTTTTACTCATTTGCTTCCTATTTTAATTGTATCACTGCAACGAGTGGACACAGCTCAGCCAATCTAGTATAAGGCATACTAGTAAAATCAAACCATTCTTCTCTCCTGCCCGCTCTGAATCCAGTGTTTCTAGCTCAGGGGCTTTCTTCTTAGTTCAAATCCGCATGATTCTCCTCTGAATGGTCCGTATGTGAATTTATACCATGTGAATATCTATTGACACTAACGTTCTTTTGAATCTGCTTAATTTTTAGGCATATTTTACAGCTGTGTGGTATAGGCCCAACAGAAGACATTTTGGCAAAATTTAGAATAGAACAGAGAGGGACCCTTTATGAATTCCAACACTTAGGTGTGGTTTTGATTCACACTGGATGTACGTGACTACTATTTGAAATTCCAAGTCCAGAGTCCCATGTTGCCATGTATAAATCCGTGCTTTCGATGTGTGTGGTTTGGGTTGTGATGTGGGCCTAGTAAAATACCTTACACAGAGGAGACGTGTAATCAATCATCATATTTCATATGATTGATTTGAAAGGGGTTGTTTTGTGGCCTAAGGGGTATGATAGAACACTGTACCATATCCTTCCCCCAGGGTCTTGCTTTTTACAGGGACATCAGCCTATTCCATTACTAAAGAGCCTGTTAATATTTAAGTTGATTTTTTTTAAAAAAGCCATGGAGTGACAGTCCTTCCTTGGTATACGTGGGGCGGGGTGGAGGTGTTCTAGGACCTCTGAGTATACCAAAATCCTACATATTCAGGTCCTGCAGAACCCACGCATAGGAGAAGTCTGCCCTCTGAGTAATTGGGTTTTGCATACCAGGAATACTATTTTCAATCTGTGTTTGGTTGAAAAAAAATCCTCATATAAGTGGACCTGCACAGTTCAAACTCTGTTGTTCAAAGATCAGCTGTATTTTTTTTTCATTATTTATTTTGAGACAGGGTTCACTCCGTCGCCCAGGCTGGAGTGCAGTGGCCATGCTCACAGCTCACTGCAGCCTTGACCTCCCAGTCTGAAGCAATCCTCCCGCCTCAGCCTCCCAAGTAGCTGGAACCACAGGCATGTGCCACCACACCTGGCTAATTTTTGTATTTTTTGTAGAGACACGGTTTCACCATGTTGCCCAGGCCGGTTTCAAACTCCTGGGCTCAAGTGATCCGCCTCCCTCAGCCTCCCAAAGTGCTAGGATTACAGGAGTGAAACACCATGACTGGCCAGGTCAACTGTATTTTAAAACGTTTGGATTAGAAAAAAAAAAATTTGATAAATTTTAACTTTTTATCTAATCTTAAAGAATTAGTTATCTTCCCATTATGCAAAACCAGGTGGACTACATTGTTATATTTCTGAAGAACAGGAATTATCCCTGGTGCCAGTGCTAATGGATTTTTAAAAATTAATCCATAAAGATTTAGACTTGTATGTACCATGTATCTTGAAATCTTAATACCTCATCTTTTTAATTAAAACAGGAAATAGGGAAGGAAACAAACATTTCTGAATGCCTTCTGTGTTGCTAGGCCTATTTCAGGCATTCCACAAGCATTACAAGTATTACTTACTTAATCATAACACCCTCTGTAAATAGTCCTTTCTTCAGCCATTTTACAGTTGAAGAAACTGAGGCTCAGAGAGATTTAATAATTCGTCTGGGGTTCACAAGTGATAGACCTTAAACTATGCCCTTTCTACTGTGCTGTCAGTGTACCATGAGCACCTGCCTAGATTTGCATGTCTCTGATGAAAAATGTAATTAACACACTCTCTCCCAATCCTTTCTGGTTTCATTAGCTCATTGACTGTGAGGTGTATTCGTTGCGGACTATCAATATAGAGGACACGTGGAGGGTGGAAATGGATGGAAGGAAAGGGTGGCAAAAGCCAAAACCCCTTTGTTGAGCCTAATCTTTTAGGAGAATTTAAAGCACTCACATTCAGAGAAAAATAACTCTTGGATTTATGTTTAGGAACTAGGTCGTTAACCTTTGGGAGTCAATGTATTATGGGTCATGACTTAAAGTCATATTAAAGATGAAATAATATGTTGTTAATTACCTTAAAACACGTTTTGTTTTATTTCAGTTACGATATCAGAAGTGCTTGGTAGCCAGGCCGCCTTCTCAGAAAGTTCGACCACCTCCACCGCCAGCAGATTCAGTAACCAGAAGAGTCACAACCAATGTAAAACGAGGGGTCTTATCCCTCATTGACACTTTGAAACAGAAACGCCCTGTCACCGAAATGCCATAGCTGCACATGCAAAAGGACTCGGCTATTTACCTGAAGATTGACTAGCTACACTAAAGAAAATGAACTCCGCCATCCGACCTTCCATCCAGTTGCTGATGCTTTGTCTTCAGAGAATTTACCCTTAACCAAGCAGTGTTAGACAAGCATGTTCTCTCGTCTTGCCACCATCATGTGATATGAAAAGAAGCATGAATAATTTTTTTTGCTGTAAGTTACATCATGCGCAGTGGAAGGTCTTTTTCTTATTGTAAATATTGTGAACATTACTTAACTTCACACACACACAGAGAAGAGTGTGGCCCCACCCCTCCTAGTGAACTAACGCTGCGTCCTTGGAATGAATGATGCGTGAGTTAGTTTCACTGTCTTCTTGGCTGGACCTGTCACAAGCAACCTTTAAGTCCTACAGCACTTTGCCCTGTTTTCAACATTGGAGTAGGCACTGCATAGCAGATACCATTGAATTGCTGTAAAAATAGGATGGCGAGTTTGTGTTTTAATTTTTCATAAAATTGAACCTGTTGGTTGACAAAATTGGCTGTTGGCATCAGTATAGAAACCAACTGGCAGCTTTCCCTGACAAGCTCTTTGACACATGGACACCATTTCATGTCTACAGCTGTTTGTGGGATGTTGGAAAAAAATGAAACTTCAAAATTGATGAAAAACTAAATTCGAGGAATTAAAATCGAACAAAACATAGCCTTTCTTTTCCGATGGTTTTCAAACTGATTATTTTTAAAAGAGATTAATAAAATCATAATGCATTTTGGGTGGGACATATTTCAAACTTCTGCCTTATATTGTACGGTGCAGCTAGAGAATTATAGTTCACTATGGCCATTCTCTACATAAACATTAAGATGAAATACTCCTCATCAGCCTTTCATCCTTAGTTTGAGAATTAGCTGATATGCAATTTGAAGTTGAGGAAATATCATTGATATTTCTATCATGCACGATTATTTTAGATTTCTACCACCGTGTGATTTTTGCTAGTCCATGTGCTAGAGGTAAACGTTCTGCTGGAATTCTGCATCCAGCTCTATCCCCCTCTGATGCTTTTTGCCCAGAAAGCTGTCTGTCCATCATGTATTGTCCATGGCAACAAATTACATTAGGTTGAACCTTTCCTTGATTTTATGTATTTAATATTAGAATTTGTTGGACTCAACTAGATATATTTTTTAATTTATATTTTTTCCATTTTACTTTGAAGATTTGAAATGTTCATACCTGAGCAAAGTCTACACAGGAGTAATGGACTGTTTAACAAGTTTCCCAAAACAGCATTTTCCTGCTCCTTCGTATGTAGGTGAGAAACTTAGCTGGAAAGACATACAAATTTAGACTCTCGTTGACATTGTCGTTTTAAAAGGAAGTTGCTAAGGCGATCAATCTCAATATTAGTCTTGTTTACTTCTTCTTAATGTCAAAATTAACATTTACAACATCCAATTATAAAAGTAATGCTTTATGTTTATACACTGCTATGTACTTGTCAAAATGGTTTCCACATTCTTATCACATCTGAGCCTTACCAGGTAGAGAAGGTACTAAATACACTTTAGAAGTAAAAATATGAAGTACCGAGAGGCTAAACCCACTGGCCTAAGATCTCACCAAAGTTCATGAAAACCAGGACTAGGACCCACGGCTCCCAAAGCCCGTTCTTGCTGTGTTGTGCTGCCTCCATATCCGTCAGGAAGAGCCTTTCCAGAATGATTCTGGGCATATACTAAGAAGAGCAGGTATGGAAAGATCTATTGTCAGGGAATCTTAGAATTCCCTACACGAGTGGGAGAAAGATGTCCAAATTCCTTACGCAGTGGTATTCATGATGGTGCCCTATCTAAGTCCAGGACTGTTTTCCTACAGCGTGCCTCAAAAGTGTTGTAGAGGGCAGGATTCTACATTCACAGCCTGTTCCATCTACGAGATTTTCCAGATGCTACTTGTGGTAGACATTCCTAACTCATGGTACTTAGCCACCAGAGATCATGATGGAATGAGTGGGTGGCTTTTCTACCTGCCATTCCCTCAGAATTCATGAGGGGTGGGGGACAGGGGGACCGGAATTGTCTTAGCACCCCAATGTTATGACAAAACTATGCTACTTTAGAAACGCAGTCTGTTTTTCACCAATTGACATACTACTGATCTGAAGTAACCAGTGCCATCATAAGAAATTACTGCATTAAGAAAATCCTTGCTGTGCCCTTTGAAAAGCTGTTCAGAAATCATTTACAGTGATCTTTCATCTCGGTCGCTGTAGTGAAACATTTTAGTGTGATAAATTTCAAAATTCTAAACAAATTACCCACTTTTATATTGGAAATCTCTACCAGAACTCCCTCTTCATTTTTTAAGGCATACATTTGCTTGTTTTCAAGATCAAGAATTCTGAGCTAGCTTTAAGTAGCAAACTGATTTATATGTGCAATTATAGGATGCATTAAGATGAATGATAGCCTTTACATATTGAAAACTTTGCAGACGTTTTGTTTTGAAAATGGCATTGTATAGTAAATGCAAATTAATTTTGTAAAATTATGTTAAAGAGTATGTTCAGACACTTTCTGCCATGGCCAAAAAGTATGTATGAAAGTATGTGTGTATTTGTTTGTAAAAGGATGCCAATGTTTTACCTGATATCTTAGTGACACTTCAGTTATCTATGCATTCTTTAGATCTGTGATTCGGTAAACAGGCAGCCATGTTCACGATGCCTTCTATGTCTTACCATATTTTTAATTAACCTGTTAAATACAGCTTAAAATATTTTTATTTTATTTATTCTATTTTTACTGAAATATACTGCATTATTGTGTTAATGTATTATCTTTCCTGGATATTATCTCCCAGTGTATCCAGATCTAAGTAATCTCAGTGAACTATACATTGCCTAAAAAGTGGTTTTGTAATGATTTGTAGTCACATTTCTATTGGGATATGTAGAAGAAAAGGCAAAATGCTTAAAGTTCCTTTTATTTTTTAAAAGCAGCTAGATAGACACAGACTTGCCACCTCATACATCTGCTCCTTGGCAACATCAAGGGGAACGACTAGCCAACATGCCTATGGCTAAAAACTTTCCTTTGCAGACTAAAGCACTGCTTGGTGCTTCGTTTTTCTACCCTTCACAACATGTGTGATTTCATCTAAGAGATATATACATGTACACATGCCCTTTGTTTCCACCTGGATACAAGATCACTCATAGCTAATTAGGACCATTGTTTTTTGTTCATCTGTCTTGTTGCATGAAGGGACATTAGACCCATTTCCATTAAAATAAGTTCTTGGTGATAAACTGTGGCACTGCTACTTCTTTTTAAATCCACTTTATGATTTCAAGATGGACACTTGTAAGATGACTCGACACAAGGCCATTGCCTGGAAGCCCCAGAGCTTTCCTCTGTTTGTATGGCCCGTTCATGTCCCAGGCATTGCAACACAAACTCCTCAAGATTTCACCACAACATGACAAGCATTTTCCTAACTGATATTAGCACAATTTAACTAATAAGCCCCTTCGCTCTCTAGTTGGCCAGGCTTAACCTAATACACATCTAACGTGTGTGCCACACGGCCAGTAGAAAGTTTAACTTCAGCTTCAGGGCAAAGATACCCACTCACACCGTGTCAACGCAAGCAGTAGTTCCTGGCCTCCAGAGCAGCTTACTTCCCCTGAAAGAACGCTTTGTTTTCCTTTATGCCCTTTTCCTGTTGACCACTTTTACACATTTAAATGTAATTTGTTGTGAGAATAAATTTAGCTGCATAAAACGTTCGGCTCATTTATCTGACATCTTAGTCACATATACAAGGAATAGAAATAGAAACTCGGTGTCTCTAGTTATTTTTAAATTATTCTTACCTCAGACTTCTTAGAAATCACTTTAGTAATGGAGCATTTTGCTTTGATTAGTTACTACATATTTCTGCCTGGTAAGAACTAGGAAGTAACTTCAAATTTTGAGTAATCACCCTGTACTTATTTGGTGATCAGGAAGGCCAGCTGGCCTTCCGGACATAGAAGCCTATTTAGTCACCAACTCGAGTCTTTTGTAAGCGGTCTTGCTAGGATTGTGATATTTTAGCACGAAGAAGTTTATCACTTCCTTTAAGAACCTGACATCAAAGAATAAAGAATAGAGGTGTACACACACTAAATCCAAAATGAAAGGTAACTAGAGAAATCAGTTGAATCTGGTTTAGCTTAACTGTTAGGCGCAGGAAGGCAGATAAACAGAATTTAAAGTATGTCCCCGCTTTTTGTTCATCTTGCACTTCCACAGTGGTTTCTCTCTAGTCAGTAACAAAATTTCATTATGGTTTCAGGCATTATATGGTGGTAAATAATTTCAGATTAAAAATGTGTTTGCTATTGGAGTATCTGAATACTAGTAATTTCATTATTTAGAATTTTGCAGCACTTTTATCTCAAGAAGAAGTCCAAGAATGTAAAATGCCAAATGAAACATGTCAGTGGAATCAATATTCTCCTTCATTAGAATTCCCTCATATTGCTTTTTTTTTTTTTCTTCAGACAGAGGAGTCTTACTCTGGAGTGCAGTGGTGTAATTTCAGCTCACCACAACCTCCACCTCCCAAGTTCAAGCAATTCTCGCCTCAGCCTCCTGAGTAGCTGGGATTACAGGCATGCACCGCCACGCCTGGCCAATTTGTATATTTTTAGTAGAGACAGGGTTTCGCCACGTTGGCCAGGCTGGTCTCGAACTCCTGACCTCAGGTGATCCGCCCGCCCCAACCTCCCAAAGTATGTGAGCCACCACGTCCGGCCTCATATTGCTTTTATCCAAAATTCTTTTCCCTTTTCACTCTACCAAAGTATTTAAATAATCCTGTCCTTCATAGAAGATTCTCAAAGAAGAAAACTGCAGTGTAATTAATGAATGGTTTAATTCAGAATCTTCATATACTTCTAAAGAGAAAAATAATTTAGTGCCAAATGCATGTTAGGAGATAATCAATGTAAGTGGCAACAAATTGTGACTTCACATGCTACTGTAGAGATCAGAAAATTATCCTAAACTATTCCATAACAATGAGACAACATCACAGAAAATACACTTGAAAATAAAAATCTCAAGACCAGCTACTTCTGGACAATGGAATACTTTTCAGTCTGGTATGGTGGAGGGCCCGAAAAGGATAAGGGATTCTTATGATACACAATGGGATTCTTTACTGAACAATATGTTAAATTAAGCTGCACCGCCTTCCTTGAGGCATGGACTACCCTAACCAACCAGATAGAAATCTGGGTGGGATAAGAGGATGAGCCACACGCTATAATTTTAGGGCAAGGAGATAGTGTTTGATTTTCAAAATCAGCAAAATAAGCTGAGCACTTTATATCTTTCTGTACAAGAGTGATAACATGAAGAATTCTTCTTCAGGGATTTAAAATACAATAAGCCTGGTTCAACTATAAAAAGTCTTGTTTCCTTTCTTCATTGACACTTTTTTTTTTTTTTTTTTTTTTTTGAGGCAAGGTCTCACTCTGCTTCCCAGGCTGGAGTGCAGTGGGGCAATATTGGCTCACTGCAACCTGCACCTCCTGGACTCAAGAGATCCTCGTACCTCAGCCTCCTAAGTAGCTGGGACTACAGGCGTGTCCCACCACACCCAGCTAATTTTTGTATTTTTTGTAGAGATGGGGTTTTGGGGTTTCGCCATGTTGTCCAGGCTCGTCTGGAACTCCGGTGCTCAAGTGGCGTGCCCACCTCAGCCTCCCAAACTGCTGAGATTACAGATGTGAGCCACTGCACCCAGCCCACTGACACGTTTTACTGATAAATGTAAATCTAAGCTAAAATAAAAATAATGTATTACCGCTATAATACAATTCACCATTCTCTTTTCTCACTTCAAGTAAGAAAGTAAAAATAGAATATCAGAGCTGAAGTAGACCTAAGTATTCATCTTGAAGAAGATAATATTCTAAAAATCATGCCACCTGAATTGAGCATTTAGGAATTTATGTAACATTTCTATACAACTGAATTGCAAAAATAAAACTTTAAATTCAAACTTTATGAATATGTCTATGAATGTTTTTAAATAATAAGATATATAGTTGTATCTTAATTCTATTTAATGACAATTTCTGTTGCCATGATGAAAAATCAGTAGACCCAGAAATGATAATCATACCAATTTTTGGTAGGCAATTGAGAATACATTCAAGATGAATCGACATTTAATATAATTAATTAACATAGTGCTACAATATATTTAATTGTGCCTCAGAAATGATTTACCAAAGTTTGATTCCTGTGTGCTATTTGAAATGACTTGTAGATTTTGTTGTATCCCCTGATCTTAGAATCAGAAATTTGTGGGTTTCTTCAACAATAGGTATCGCTTGCATTCAACAGTTTTGCCTCTTCTTCAGAATTATTAATATTTAGATGGAAATTTGCTCACAGTCTTTTGTAACAGTGCTTGACATAGAGGAAGGGAGAGATGATTGTGTCCAGTCTGCTCAGGATCCTGGAAGCTCCCCCAGTGAGAGACACCTCACTGTAAAAGGAACTCTGAGCTACACACACCTGGCACTTGGGAACTTCCTGCGCTTCCTACTTAAACTCAACTTCAGTCACGTTACAAAAACTCATGTTCATTCCCTGTTCAAAGAACAGCTTGATATTTAAGAAAAAATCACCCTTGATCGTGACTGAGAAAGTCACGACTACAACCGCATGGATGCTGAAGAGCGGTCAGCTGGCGGGAGAGGCCAGGATCGTTTGCCTGTTTGGCTTTCTAATGAGCTACCTGCTGAAGGGAGGCAGTGTTTCCTTCCCTGCAGGGGAAACTTGGCAGCTTTAAGTCCAGCCTGAAAGTTCACAGGAGTGAGATAAGTTCTGACCGCTGATACTGAGTCTCTAACTGGATCCTCTCAGAGCAGCAGTGATTGGCTGAAGTCTCTGAATTCTGCTTTGCTGACTCCTACATTATTGTTTCTCACTTGTCTGAATTCTCTGAAAGTAATATCACACTTAGAAGATCCCTAGGTGACCAAAAGAATGAATATCTTGTGTAGAGATGTAGAATCTTCAGAGAAATACTAGACTTTGAAAAAAAATCAACTGCTCTTTGGCCCCTATAAAAAACACAAGACAATCAAAGCCATCGCCGAGGAGGCCTGAGTAGGGAGGAAGGTGTGTCATCTTTAGGCTTTTCCTCTTTTCTGGATAGTGAGTGTGTGGGAAGGCAGGTGGGCACAAGTGCCTTGGGTGCAACCCAACGACAGTACAAATGTTGAGTTGGCATCCGAGATCTGATCCCTTGGGGACTTGAAAATGGCATAAAGACTGGAGGCAGAACAATCTTGATGGGTTTCAGAGCAACCATTCTGTCTTCTGGCCGAGGTCTTAAGAAGTGTGTCTGCCGTTCACGCGGTCTGGAGGGACAAGTGTTCTTCACAAATGCAGGCACTGCAGGATGGGGGGCCAGCTTGTTGGGTTTTCTGGTCTGTGAGGAAGCCCCCACTTGAGCAGTATTTTTCTGGGGAAGAGGTGGTTTTGTTACAGTCTCTGATAGATTAGCACTGGCTTTAGTTTCTCGATTCAGGAACTCAGCAATTTTCATTTGGATGCCATTATCAGTAGTGGCACCTTTTGTCAATGATGTTTTTGATTTTTTCTTCTTCTTCTCCCGTTTTGATGATTTACCCAACTCAATCCCATCCAGCAGACCCTTGGCTGCAGCTCGGGCCAAAACATCATTCACAGACACTGTCTCAGAAGGGTCCCGCTGCAATTAAAGAAGCATTTACTAAATGTGGGAGTTAGCTATTATTGTGTCTCCCGCAAATATTTATCAATGTATCAGTAAAAATAAAAAGACTCTCTTTATTATACTAAAAGAAATAAGAAATAGTTTTTAGGCCTTAGTCCCCAATCTCATAAGCCTCAGCGAATGCCTTTTTAAAAAAACAAACAAAAAAAAAACTTAAACTTCCCCATTTATGAACCTGATACCTGATAGAAAAAAAGAATCACACAGATTTTTTTTTTTTTTTTTTTTTTTTGAGATGGAGTCTTGCTTTGTCGCCCAGGCTGGTGCGATCTCAGCTCACTGCAACCTCCACCTCCCAAGTTCAAGCAGTTCTCCTGCCTCAGCCTTCTGAGTAGCTGGGATTATAGGCATGTGCCACCACACCCAGCTGATTTTTGTATTTTAGTAGAGATGGAGTGAACCATGTTGGCCAGGCTGGTCTCGAACTCCTGACCTCAGGTGATCCACCCACGTCAGCCTCCCAAAGTGCTGGGCTTACAGGCTTGAGCCCCCATGCCTGGCTGCTTATTTCTTACATATGAGGGAAGATGCACTAGATGTTACAAAATGCTTGGGGAGGTGGGGGTGGCAGCCAGGCAGAAGAGGAACACTCGGGGGAAGTATAAAGAACAGGGCTGGCCGGGTGCGGTGGTTCACACCTGTAATCCCAGCACTTTGTGAGGCCGAGGCAAGTGGATCATGAAGTCGAGTTCAAGACCAGCCTGGCCAAGATGGTGAAACCCCGTCTCTACTAAAAATAAAAAAATTAGCCGGGCATGGTGGTGGACGCCTGTAATCCCAGCTACTAGGTTGAGGCTGAGTCAGAGAATTGCTTGAACCTGGGAGGCGGAGGTTGCAATGAGCCGAGATCACGCCACTGCACTCCAGCCTGGGCTACAGAGCAAGACTCTGTCTCAAAAAAAAAAAAAAAAGAACAGGGCTTATTTGCCAATTCTTGTTCCTGCCCTTCAGCTGAAATGTGTTTGTGAAATGCAAACACATCTTTACAGAATGTGCAAAGTTCCTGGCTTCCTCTTATGAGGCTTTGTAGTTTATTAATTCCAAAGTATGACATGGATTAGGATTTTTTTTCCTTACCTCCCTTGTTAAAATAGAAAGAAAACAACCATTGGTAATTTCAGATGGTTCCATTCTGAAAAATTTATCAGTAGACAATTGAATTTCCTTTAAGGAGCACAGTGGAAGAACAGGAGGACTAAGCCTGCAGCAGACAGGAACAAGCATTCAGCAGTTAGAATGGCTTCTTTGCCAAGAGAGGAAGAAAGTAAATTACACTACATTTTTTTCTAGTATACTTTACCAATCGTTTAAACAGAAATTCCAATCAAGAACACAATTCTGAAGCAGCCTTTCCCTAAATACTATTATAAGTTAAAAGCTCTAATATTTTATATTCATAATTTATTATAAATCCCAGATTCTCCATCTTTAACCAACTATGCCAAGAATAACAAATGTTTAACAAACTAAAAACTGACCTTCCCAAAGTCACTAATATGGCAGTAAAAGCTTTCCATTATCAAAGCAGGTAAATATGTACATTAATCACAGTTATCCAAAATGTCCTATATTTCTACCATTTTCAAAATACAAAGGAGAAAACGTTTTCTTTTGGTTACTTTTTGCACAATTACAATATAAAAATATAGCCTATCACTTTAATTACATTATTCTTCCCAGTCACTTTTTGAGGATTAATAGATGAGTTACATAGTGTTCAAGAAAGTACATAACAAAGACTTTGTGTCAGAAAAATCTCAAATCATGAATAGATTTAAAATGAAAATTTCAGTTTTTATGTTTAATATGAATTTATCATTTCTTAGTAAGTGGTTCATCATGAATAATAAATGATTCTATTTCCAGGCTTATATTATTAAAATATATTTAATAATAAGTTAAAGCAATTAAACACTATTCCACATGAGTTAAACTATCAGGAAATCTTTTATTAATCATTGTGTCCTGGCCAGGTGCCGTGGCTTACGCCTGTAATCCCAGCACTTTGGGAGGCCGAGGCAGGCAAATCACTTGAGGCCAGGAGTTCGAGACCAGCCTGGCCAACATGGTGAAACCCCGTCTCTGCTAAAAATGCAAAAATTAGCCGGGTGTGGTGGCAGACTCCTGTAATCCCAGCTACTCGGGAGGCTGAGGCAAGAGAATTGCTTGAACCTGAGAGGTTCAAGCCAAGATTGCACCATTGCACTCCGGCCTGGGCAACAAAAGTGAAATTCTGGCTCAAAAAAACAAAAATTAGCCAGGTGTGGTGGCAGGTGCCTTTAATCTCAGCTGCTTGGGAGTCTGAGGCAGGAGAATCACTTGAACCCAGGAGGTGGTGGTTGCAATTAGCTGAGATCACACCACTGTACTCCATCCTGGGTGACAGAGCAAGACTCCATCTCAATAATAATAATAATAATAGTGTCCATGTGACACAGCTACAAGCCAAAGAACAGCAAGGACAGCCAGCAACCACCACAAGCTGGGAGAGCGCAGGGGACAGGCCTCTCCAGCACAGGCCCCAGGAGGAATCCAACCGGCCAGCACCTTGCCAATGCCTTGGTTTAGGACTCCCAGCCTCCGGAACTATGAGAGAATAAATGTTTGTTATCATAAGCCACCAAGTTTGGAGGAATTTCTTTCAGCAGCCCAGGAAACTAACACACATGACAAAGGGGATTTTGCAGATGTAGGATAGGTCCCACGTTAGTTACCCCGAAGATAGGGATATTATCTGGGTGGATCTGACCTAATCACATGACCTTTGAAATCAGGGTCTAGAGGTCAGACATGGAAGAAGTCAGAGATTCAAAACACAAGATGCTATGACAGCTACTGCAGGTGCACAGATTGGGGAACTCGGGACAAGGAATAAAGTGGCCTCTAGGAGTGGAAAGCAGTCAAGTGACAGCAGCAAGGAGACGAGGACCTCAGTCCCGCAAACACAAGCGTGGGTTTGGAAGTAAACTGTTCCCAGAGCCTCCAGAGACTTCAGCCTAGCTCATATCCTGAGCAGAGAACCTGGCTGTGCCATGCCAGATATATCTGACTTATGTGACCTAAGTAATAGATGTTTTTAGCCACTAAGTTTGAGGTAATTTCTTAAAAAGAAAACAAACACACAATGGCTCACACTTGGTGAGGAAGCAATGCCAGGCTGCAGATGGCAAGCAGTAGAAGAAGGAACAAGAGGACAGAGAAGTGAGCTCGCTGCCGTGGATAACACTATTAAGGCTGGAAAACCCACCAGAAGGCTATGTTGAGAGGAGGGTCCCAAAAGTACACCCACTATCAAGCAGCAAGGAATGGCCTGGTGAGAGGGGCACCACAGCACTGAGAGGTTTGGTGGTGGTTTTCCTCTGCAGGCCAGGGCTGACAGTAGGGGATGCAGTGACACAACTGGGCTCATTGACAGCAATGAAAATAATAGGATCCTGAAACAAGAGAGACCAGGTGAGCAAATTAACCACCAGAAGCCAGGCATGTGCAGATACTGATGACCATAATGAGTACTAAGACCAGAGAAGCATGTACTCTGGTGCGTGCACACTAAGACCTCTCATGCACTGCTCACCTTCGTGCCCTCCACTCTTACTAGGTAACAGAAAATCAAAACACAGAACACAACCTAGACCTCAAGCTCAAAGACTGTTCACTATTAGAAAATGTAATTTTCTAATAGAAAATTGGAAAATGTAATTACTAAATGTAATTCACTACCATGTTAAAATGTCAGATGAGAAATAATATCTGATCATATCATTAAATGCTGCAAAGGCTTTTCATAAAACTAGGCATCCATTAGTGATTTTTTTTTTTTTTTGAGATGGAGTCTTGCTCTGTCACCCAGGCTGGAGTGCAATGGCGTGATCTCGGCTCACTGCAACCTCCGCCTCCTAGTTCAAGCGATTCTCCTGCCTCAGCCTCCCAAGTAGCTGGGATTACAGGCGCCTGACACCACGCCTGGCTAATTTTTTTATTTTTAGTAGAGACGGGGTTTTGCCACATTGGCCAGGCTGGTCTCGAACTCCTGACCTTAGGTGATCCGCCCACCTCAGCCTCCCAAAGTGCTGGGATTACAGGCGTGAGCCACCATGCCCGGCCCCATTAGTGATTTTGAAAACCTCTTATTGTGCTGTTGGCTTAAGTATAGACATATAAATCAACGGATAGAATGAGAATAGAATGAGAGTCCAGAAATAAGCCCATGCATCTATGATTAGTGGGTTTTCTATTTTCTTTCTTTTTGTTTTAGACAGGCTTTTGCTCTGTCTCCCAATCACAGCTCACTACAGCCTTGACCTCCTGAGTAGCTAGGACTACAGGTAGGCACCACCACACCTGGCTGATTTTTTGTGGAGATGGGGTCTCTCTATGTTGCCCAGGCTGGGATTAACTAACTGATTTTCAACAAGGGTGCCAAGACCATTCAATAGGGGAGAATAATCTTTTCCACAAGTGTTGCTGGGAGAACTGGATGACCACACGCAAAGAAGGAATTTGGACTCCTAACTCTTATCATATACAAAAGTTAATGGTGATTGTTGTACAACTTCGTGAATGTATTAATATTTTAAGGCACTGAATTGTACACTTTAAAATGGTGAATTGCATAGTATGTGAATTACATCTCAAAAAGCTTATTAAAATAGGAATAGTTACCTATACTTGATGTATATCTATAACATAATATAAACATACACATGAAAAAAAGCTCATCATCACTGGCCATCAGAGAAATGCAAATCAAAACCACAATGAGATACCATCTCACACCAGTTAGAATGGCGATCATTAAAAAGTCAGGAAACAACAGGTGCTGGAGAGGATGTGGAGAAATAGGAACACTTTAACACTGTCGGTGGGACTGTAAACTAGTTCAACCATTGTGGAAGTCAGTGTGGTGATTCCTCAGGGATCTAGAACTAAAAATACCATTTGACCCAGCCATCCCATTACTGGGTATATACCCAAAGGACTATAAATCATGCTGTTATAAAGACACATGCACACGTATGTTTATTGCGGCACTAGTCACAATAGCAAAGACTTGGAACCAACCCAAATGTCCAACAATGATAGACTGGATTAAGAAAATGTGGCACATATACACCATGGAATACTATACAGCCATAAAAAATGATGAGTTCATGTCCTTTGTAGGGACATGGATGAAATTGGAAATCATCATTCTCAGTAAACTATCACAAGGACAAAAAACCAAACACCACGTGTTCTCACTCATAGATGGGAATTGAACAATGAGAACACATGGACACAGGAAGGGGAACATCACACTCTAGGGACTGTTGTGGGGTGGGGGGAGGGGGGAGGGTTAGCACGAGATATACCTAATGCTAAATGACAAGTTAATGGGTGCAGCACACCAGCATGGCACATGTATACATATGTAACTAACCTGCACATTGTGCACATGTACCCTGAAACTTGAAGTTTAATTAAAAAAAAAAAAAAAAAGAATAGAATGCAGTACAAAGTGTCAGGGTAAAAGGTACTTACTTTTTCATGCAATATATGTAATTGTGTTCTGAGTTGTGATATAAAATGTATTTCCTACTGTAGGTTTCAATAAAAAAGTTTATGGTGTGATACAAAAAAACAAACAAACATACACATCCATGTAGTTGCTATTCAGCTGGTACATGCTGGTGTGGCTGTATCAGCAGTAAAAATATCAAAATTTCTGGGCTTACTCCTACTTGCTACCCCAGCTCTCCAAGTGTCCCTCCAGACCATCACATAATAAAAAGGGACCTAGCTCATCAAGGGACCTCCAGAACCCTACTTCATCCCTTTAATGGGATATTTTAGGACTAGAAGTGGCAAGATGTAGGAAGGAAATTGTTAACCATTTCATTATGCATCTTTGGATTGTGGGTGGGGTTTATGTAACAAAAAAAAATATAAAATTTGAGAAGAAACCCACTCAAAACTACAGTGGTTATAGCATTGTCATATTAGTATAGAAAGAGCCAAACGTCAATGGAATAGAATTACAGATCCACACAGTATATATGGGCTTAAAACGTAATTTTAAAAGATGGCATTTTAAACCAAAGGGGAACGGGGGCCAAGGAAAGATTATTTGGGGAAAAAATAAACCTTGATCCATACTTGACTCTCTTACCAAAATAAACAGCAGAAAACTCAATTATTTAAATATAAAAAAGATGAAATTATGAAAGTACTATAAGAAAACTGATCAAAGCATTCATAAGCTAGGAATTCACATAACACAAAATGTAGAATCCATAAGGAAAACATTGATACAAATGTCTACACAGAAATTGCTGTAAAGCGATTACTTTTTCTTTTCTTTTCTTTTTTTTTTTTTTTTTTGAGACAGAGTCTCCCTCTGTCACCCGGGCTGGAGTGCAGTGATGCGATCTCGGCTCACTACAGCCTTAACCTCTTGGGCTCAAGCAATCTTCCCACCTCAGCCTCCCGAATAGCTGGGACTACAGGAGTACACCACCACCACACGTGGCTAATTTTTGTATTTTTTTGTAGAGATGAGGTTTCACCACATTGCCCAGGCTGGTCTTGAAAACCTGAGCTCAAATGGCCCACCCACCTCAGCCTCCCAAAGTGCTGGGATTACAGGCGTGAGCCACCATGCTCAACCTATAAAGCAAATTTTTAATTCAAGTATTTATTTAAAAATAAAAAGATAAACAATCTGAAAAATATCTGTAATTCATATGAAAACAGCAACTCTTCCTAATATATAATAAGACATGTGAAAAGAAGAAAAAGAATAATCCAGTTGAAAACAGTGGGAAAGTACATGAACATGAAATTTATAAATAAATAATAACAACTATAACAATTTAAAATTATTGAACATTTATTATATGCCAGATACTGCTCGTGTGTTAATATATTCAATCTCCACAAGGATCTAATGATGTAGGTAATATCATTAACTGTATTTCACAGCCACCTTTTACAGCCACTTCACCATTCACAATACCCTTCTCCCACTTAACAAAAAAGGTATAACTGTCACTACCTTGTTATAGTCCATTGTCCTGGGATGTTAACATCTCCAGGATGCCAACAAAGGGACAACTCAGGAATGTGGCCCTCTTCTCCCATGGCAATGCAAGAGTTTAGGTAAGAAATCTTAAAGAGGGTATCAAACTCAGCAAACCTTCCTCCCTCCCTCCCTCCCTCCCTTCTTTCCTCCCTCCCTTTCTCCCTTCCTCTCCTCCTACACTCACTTCTTCCCTCCCTCCCTTTCCCTTCCTTATTTCTATATATCTATCTTAGAATTCAAATTTAGAAGAAAATCACAAAAGAATATTAATGATTATTTGAATTAAAGAATAAAGTCAGACCTTTTCTGACAAGGTAAATTTGGTTTTGACAATGAGAACTGGTTATATAAAATAGGTAACAAATTTAGCATTTTTCCATAAATCAAATAAGATAAATAAATCTGCAGGTCCAAACATTTAACAGAAATATGTTTAAAACACATATGTAATATAATATTCCAGAAATAATATATTTTGCAGCTATTTAAACTTACGATGAAAATGTTAGACATTAAGTCTAAAATAAAGAACAAGATATATAGTTATTCAAAAATGTTTAGGGGCCGGGCATGGTGGCTCACGCCTGTAATCCCAGCACTTTGGGATGCCAAGGCAGGTGGATCACTTGAGGTCAGGAGTTCAAGACCAGCCTGGCCAAGATGGTGAAACTCCGTCTCTATTAAAAATACAAAAATTAGCCAGGTGAAGTACCACGTGTCTGTAATCCCAGCTACTTGGGAGGCTGAGGCAAGAGAACTGCTTGAACCCAGGAGGTGGAAGTTGCAGTGAGCTGAGATCGTGCTACTGCACTCTAGCCTGGGCAACAGAGCAAGACTCTGACTCAAAAAAAAAAAAAAGTTTAAGGATTATTTGAGCAAAAATGTTTGACAACCACTGCTCTAGAATCCCTACTTTTAACCACTCCACAGTACACTGACCAGTCAGTAAACAGGAAGCATACTCAACCTCAGTAATAGAGAAATGAAAATACAATCAGTAACGACATCTCATGTTTTCACCCCACAAGTGAGTAAAGATTTTAAGTCTGATGAAGCTCAGCATTTCTGAAGCTGTGGGAAAACAGGTTTATAAGAGTGAATGTCTTGGTAGTAATTTGACAATATCGATTAAATCTTAAAATATGCACATTCTATGGTGGTGGAAAAATCTAGAAGACTATAAATCAAATTGTTAAGAACAATTATATATAAGAGGATGCCATTTGGAAAAAGGCTTTTGTTTTAAGTTAGTACTTCTGTAATGTGAAATTTTTACAATGGGGAACAAAAAAAATTACAAATTTGCAAATTTTATCATGACAGCTGAAGTCCAAAATGAGCTGAATATTTCTGGGATATTAAAAAGAAATACAAGCAACAGGTAGGTGATGAGATTAAATGACATGTAATATTGCTTTCAACTCTAAATTCTACCACTTTGGGGTACTAAGAAGTGATTCTTGGTATAATTCCCTAGGTAATGCATAATTTCTTTTGGCAGCATCCCCAACAAGTAGTTATAAACATCTTCAATATATGTACTCTCCAATTTGAGCTCAAATCTCAAACCAATATAGAATTATGGATTCTGTCTTTATATTACTTGTGTCTTTTATGCTATAGATTAATCATTAATCATGGCTTGCCTAAAATAAAATCAATATTCCTCCACGTTTGCCATATCATATTCTTTTTTTTTTTTTTTAAACACACAGGGTTTCACCATGTTGCCCAGGCTGGTCTTGAACACCTGAGGTAAAGGTATGTGCCCACCTCAGCCTCCCAAAGTGCTGGGATTACAGGTGTGAGCCACCGCACCAGGCCAGCCATATCATTTCTTAAATCCCAGCACTTTGGGAGGCCAAGGCAGGTGGATTACCTGAGGTCAGGAGTTTGAGAGCAGCCTGGCCAATACGGTAAAACCCCCATCTCTACTAAAAATACAAAAATTAGCCTGGCGTGGTGGCACTTGCCTGTAATCCCAGCCACTTGGGAGGCTGAGGCAGGAGAATTGCTTGAACCTGGGAGGCGGAGTTTGTAGTGAATCGAAATGGTGCCACTGCACTCCAGCCTGGATGACAGAGCAAGATTCCATCTTTAAAAAAAAAAAAAAAAAAAAAAAAAAAAAGAAAAAGGCCCTATGGAATCTTGGTTAAATTTGTAAGAAGTCAGGCAATTTTATCATACTAAAGTATAATTTTAAAAAGTAGAATGTCTTTATACAACTTAGAAAATAATATTTTTCCTTTTAAAAAATATTTGTTTGAGTTGTTTAGAAGAATCCTTCCTTTTCTTACCTGTAAGGTTGTCCTTTATTCCCAAGGTCTTGAAATTCCAGTGCTTTCTTAACAACAGCTTCATTTTCTTCTGGAAAAACTGAACATGTGCAGTAAACAACTGCTTGAGCTTTAGTAACTATATTAGAAGAAGATGCAATGACTGTAACAACTATATTAACAATCCTATACAAATGTGCTATGTTTCCAAACATCTATTTGATACTAATACCACATGGTTTTGATGAGAATAATTTCCCCAGATGCTTGAATGGCTCCCCTTTAAAGTAAAAGCTTGTCTTAGTAATTTAGTCTGTGGCCAGTAAGTAAAGTCACTCTAACTGGATTGTATGGAAATTGAAAATTCAACAAAAAATGAGGCCAACTTAGTTATAAACACAAATAAATAAATACTGCAGGTTACCATGAACTTGATACTTCTGCCCATTCTTCTACAAGCGATATTGCCTAAATAGTTTAAAGGACTCTAGAAACAGACAGACTTAGAGGTGAATCCCAGTTCTGTCACTTACTGCTGTATGAACCTGGGCAAATTACTTAAAGTCTTAAATTTTTCATCCGTAAAATGAGGTAATACTACCACCTGCAATTCACTCATTGATTCATACTTATTGAGCACCTACCACCTGCCAGACAGGCACTGTTCTAGGCTTTGGGATACAATAACACAAACAAAAATCCTTGCCCCTGTGGAGCTAACTTTCTAGTAGAGGAGAAAGACAGTAAGACAGAGATAAATAGGAAAACTATATAGTACTGTTAAGTGATCAATGCTATGGAGAAAAGCAGAGCCGGGTGAGGGATAGAGAGTTCCAGGAGAAATAGTGTGAAATAGAGCAGTGAGAGAAAGCATTGTTGAGATGGCAAACTGTGGGTAGACTAGATGGAGATAAGGAACCAGCCACAGAGCTATTTAGAGAAAAGCATTCTAAGGTAAAGGAACAGCCAGTGTAAAGGCCTGAAGTCAACATGGTGCTGGTATGTTCCAGGAAAGTGAAGGGGCCGGTTTGATCAGAGCAGAGGGAATGAAGAGAGAGTAGTAAGTCGAAGTCAGAAAGCATGGTCTGAGCCCCAGATAGTACAGGGACTTGTGGGCCACCGGAAGGGCTTAGGTTTTTACTTGGGTTATGATGGGTTTTAACAAGATCACTCCAATTGCTGTGTTAAGAATAGAGTGCAGAGGGCAGGGGCAGAGGCTGGCAGAGAAATTAGGAGGTCATTACAGTAATTCAAGTGTGAGGTGATGGTGGTTTGGACACCGTGGTAGTGGTGGAGGTAGCTGGATATATTCTGGATATAAGTTGAATGTAGAACCTACCTCATACACTGACAGACTGGCTGTGGGTATGAAAGAGAAATCATGGATAATGCTAACGTTTTTAGCCTAAGCGGGTGGAAGGCTACAACTATCATTAACTGAAATGGCAGTACTGTGGGAGGAACAAGTATGGCGGGAGGAAGATCAGAGCTTCCACCTTAGACATGTTAGCTTTGAGATGACTATGAGTCCCTAAGTGGAGATGTCAAGAAGGCAGCTGGAAATATAAGCTTAGAGTTTCAAGAGGAAGTTTAGACTGGAAATACAGATTTGGGAGTCACATAGAGGTGTTTAAAACCATAAGACTAGATACAATCACCAAGGGATAAGTATAGGCAGAGAAAAAAGATCCAAGGCATGGACTGTGGCACACTCCCATGTTAAACAGGGTGTTGAGACAGAGAGGACCCAGTAAGGGAGACAGAGAAGGGGAGGCCAGAGAGAAGGCCTGGAAGGTGGTGCCCTAGAAGACAAGTGATGGAAGTGTGTGAAGGGAGAGGAAGCGACCACTTCTGTCAACTGCCACAGACAGACCTAGGTAGACCAGGGCTGGCAACTGACACAACAGCATGGGGATCACTGGCGATCTTCACAGGACCGTTTCAGTTTAGTGGCAGGAGTGAACGTGTGATGGCAATAGCTCAAAAAAGAAGGAGAGGAAAGACTGAGGAAACACTGTTCCCAGGGGAAAGGCAAGTTACAGGAATTTTTTACAAAGGGGGAGGACATTCAAAGAAGTTAAAATATAGGGAATTTTTGTTGATGAGGAACTATAAATTCTAGAGAGCACAGAGTGAGAGATGTGGACAAAGGGATATGAAGAGAGTTATGGAGACCAGAGTATAGGAGATGAGGAATGACCTGGAGTCGGGGCCTCTTGAGTTAATTGTCATTAATAGGTGTAAAGGATATAAGGAGACATGTTTCTTATAACTTGATTTATTTGTATTTTTTTAATAGATGGGGTCTTGCTCTGTTGCCTAGGCTGGAGTGCAGTGAGGTGATCATGGCTCACTGCAGCCTCCAACTCCTGGGCTCAAGCAATCCTCCCACTTCAGTCTCCCGAGTAGCCTGCATGCCCCCATGCCTAGATAACTTTTTTTATTTTTTGTAGAGGCAGGGTCTCACTATGTTGTCCAGGTTGGTCTCAAACTCCTGGCCTGAAGTGATCCTACCATGTTGACCTCCCAAGCACTGGGATTTCAGACATGAGCCACCATGCCTAGCCCACTTATTTATTTATTTATTTAGAGACAGAGTCTCACTCTGTCACCCAGGCTGGAGTGCAGTGGTGCAATCTCAGCTCACTATAACAAGTGATTCTCATATCTCAGCCTCCCAAGTAGCTGGGACTACAGGCATGCGCCAACACGCCCGGCTAATTTTTGTATTTTTAGTAGAGATGGGGTTTCACCATGTTGTCCAGGCTGGCCTCAAGTGATCCGCCAGGTTTGGCCTCCCAAAGTACTGGGATTACAGGCATGAGCCACCACGCCTGGCTCCCACTTACGATTTTAAAGTAGAGAATAGTGGCAAGGCTGTGAGTCTTAGAGGGTAAGGGAATTAGGGGTGCCCGAGCCCCCTTGTTGCTCTGGTCAAAGATAGCATGGAAGCTAAGGAAGAAAATTTGGTGATTACTAAATAAAATGATACATATAAAGTAAGCAGCAGGTGCCAGGCACATAATAAGTAAACAATAAGTGCTCAAATATTTAAAAATTATTTTCACAACTAACAAGGACTCAGCACAGTTACCTTTTGGTATTTTTAATTTGTATTTGTTTTTACTCTAATCCCATGACAGATTACGTAATTATCTTTTATGTGGTTGACTTCAAATCGGGCTTTTAATCGGTTCTATCAAAATCTGGAGTCAAACCCCTGATTACACACCTGACTACCTAAGACAGTATTTCCTTATGGGAAACTAAATACAACTTGTTTTGACTTACAGTATGTCTTCCAGTAACATAAACTGCCATAATCTCAAGAGTTGCCAAATTTTATGTTTATTTGGCATCATAAAAGAGTTTATGTCATTAAAATCCCTTTGCTTTTCAGATTCTTTCTGAAGCTTTTTTAAGCTTGAAATATCCAATTAAAATTTAATTAAAATGCTTCAAGTAAAAGGCTTATTATTTACCAAATTCCTGATCTTCCAATCAACTTATTTCCTAGATCATATCCATATCATGTTCAAATGAACATTTATTAGCAATATGAACTAAAAGAAAAAGCCTCCTCTGTGCTTTCTATTTACTTATTTTTTGCTTTTACTCCTGGCAAGCTGTGACCTCTGTGATTTGTATAGGCCTTATTTCTACCTCATGTGTGTTTATATATTTATTTACTGAATGATCTATACTCAGATCTGTACCTATAATATAGATGGGGTCTATGCCCATATCCATTTATCTTTAAGCCTTTGCAGGTCAGGATTTGCTAACACTGATACACCTTACATACAGCTTAATACCTGACCCAAAGTGAGCACTTTATAAATATATACGGAATTAATAAAAGCTTATTAATTTCTCAGAGACATCTAGATTCCTGTGTGCATATGTGGAAAGGCAGTGGTACTCAAAATCTAAATGAAGTGATTAAAGCAATGATATAAATCACTCAAAGTGCCGCCTTGTTACTCAAACTTCAAATCAAGAGATCTAGGCTTTCTCTGCGATTGCACCTCTCTGTTCTCTACTTAGCACTAAGAGAAATAAGAGTTTGACTAAAATTTGGACTGTAGAAGAGTTGTTAAGGGTAGGCACAATGACAACAGAAAAATTATATCGAGTAAGAAATCTAAGAGAAGAAACAGGAAAGCTGAAACTACAATTACAAATATACATAATTATTTCACTTCGGCATTACAAAATTGGTAAATTATGCTTGCTAACCTGTTTAAAATTACAGTAAAGCATATATTCTAAAAACAGATTAAATTGGTAAAGATAAATATTTTGTTATTTGAAGGCAGTAAGACTGAATGTTCTGGAAAATGTGCTCATGGCTCACACTTCATTGCTTGATTATAATAGATCGTGAAAGACTAATATTTCTAAAATGTACACCTTATTTTAACAAGATGGTGCCTATGACAACCTTACATTTCATTGCATGTGTTAGCTGTTCATACTGCTGTTGAGCAAGAACGTGAAGTTTGTCCACTGAGATGCCTCCTTGAGAGTGATCTTTAAGGAATTCTGTATCTGAATTTTAAAAAGAAATGCTTTTAAATATAGCACCATTAAAAACTTTTTACATATTGTTATCATCATATAATTTTTCAATCATTTTGCCTACCAATAAAAGTGTTTCATGGAAAATATCTATTAAAACTAAATAGATATTAAAATGTTGACTTAAAAATTAGAACAATAAAGTTAATTCTGTTTCATTTTAATATTGCTTTTCAAAAACAATATTGAAAATATTTAATATTGTTTTTCTCCAAGTTGCTATGAGATAGTCATCCAAGTAGTCATATAAGTCATTTAGACACAGAAGAGAAAATGCCGTCAGTCTCGAGACTAATACTGGATAGAGAAAATAAGATTTATTTTCCAAGATAAAAACGAATGGGCTATAGTCAGATCTGGGAACACACAAGGATATGGTTTAAAATACTAACTTTCCAAAAGAAACTTTGGAAGAAAAAATTCAGAAAAGCAAATGTTATGTCTTCATAACAGATTAAGAAATAATGTCTTACATTTTTTAATTTTTGAAAAATAATTTAAATATATGTATTGACAATATTAATGAAGATATACTGAATGCTACTTTATGTAGATTATTTTAACGACCTCTTGAAGAATTACTAGCCCTTCTAACATTGAGATAATTGTTTAAACATACATTAAACAACTTGTCTAAGGTTATATAGCTACTAAGTGGACAGCCAGGATTCTAACTCAGAAATCTAACCAGAGGACCCAAATTTTTAAACTCTGTATTATACTGCCTCTCTAGAACTCACTAGAGCATGACAGCCAATTATTTATACCATGTATGTGGCTGTTGCCCATTCCAGTACTATCACTAAAGGTTAATTAAACTCCATTTCTTCCCAATTTAGTTTTACATTTCATGAGGTTTTGTTTTTTGTTTTTTGTTATTGTTGTTGTTGTTGCTGTTTTTTTGAGACAGGATCTCACTCTGTCATCCAGGCTGGAGTGCAGTGGCACCATCTCGGCTCACTGCAACCTCTGCCTCCTGGGTTCAAGCAATTCTCATGCCTCAGCCTCCTGAATAGCTGGGACTACAGGTGTTCACCATGATGCCCGGCTAATTTTTGTATTTTTAGTAGAGACTGGGTTTCACTATGTTGGTCAGGCTGAACTCGAACTCCTGGCCTCAACCGATCTACCCACCTCAGCCTCCCAAAGTGGTGGGATTACAGGTGTGAGCCACTGTGCCTGGCCTACATTTCACATTTTTTTTCTCTGTTCTAAAACTATCCATTACTTGTTAAAGGACTATTACAAATTATTATACTCCAAAGTCGTATTATCTATTTCTTTAATTCTATCTTAAAATAATTCCAAGTCGTTAGCAAGGACCAACTTCATATATTTCTCAATGGTTCTAATATTTTTCGATGTTAAAATGTTTTTAAAACTAATTCCTTATTGTTCCATTCTACCTTGTATCTAAGTTTAATAAAATAATCTTTCGGATTCACCCCCACTAAGTTTCTGGCTAACGTTCCACGTTCCCACCAGAGTCACTAGGTCGGCAGCTCCTTATTTGCTCAAGCTTTTAGCTCCTCAGAGTACAGGTTCCTTCAAAAGCCCGCTTACTTCAGGATACGACAACTTTTTTTTTTTTAAATGAGATGGAGTCTTGCTGTCGCCCAGGCTGGAGTGCAGTGGCGCGATCTCGGCTCACTGCAGGCTCCGCCCCCCGGGGTTCAAGCCATTCTCCTGCCTCAGCCTCCCGAGTAGCTGGGACTACAGGCGCCCGCCACCTCGCCCGGCTAATTTTTTGTATTTTTAGTAGAGACGGGGTTTCACCGTGTTAGCCAGGATGGTCTCGAGCTCCTGACCTCGTGATCCGCCCTCCTCGGCCTCCCAAAGTGCTGGGATTACAGGCGTGAGCCACCGCTCCCGGCCAGTATACGACAACTTCTTAGCTTATCCTATCATCTCCTCATCAAGGCTTTCAAAACATTACCAGTACCTAGGAAATGTTTTCCTTTCCCCACTTTCCTTATTTGTATTTTCCTCTGGGCCTTTCTCCTCTAGCCTTTAGTTTATTTTTATTCTGTGGTTTATTTTTTTTCTGGATTTCCACCTCAAAATGGCCCAGGATAAGGCCAGAGTCTCACAGTTCTGAGCTCTAGTTCTCCTGACTGCTATGCTTATTATAGCTGCTATTTCTTCCCCCTTTTTTCCTTCCCCCTTTTCTTTCAGTGTCTACTAATTGTTCTTTGATTATTTCTTAAAGTTCATCTAGAAATTTTCTCAGCCTACCTACCATTCTACCATCTGAATTGGTTATTCTTTGGCTGAAGTCTCTCTGGAAAGAAATTTTCTATAGCAAGTCAAAATTCCATGTGGTACAGTGTAAACCCAGTTAAAGATAGTGTCGTTTAGTGGAAGGAAAATGTGCTAACCCACCTGAATTTGAATCCCAGCTTCCCTACTTACTAGCTACATGACCATAAGCAACTGGTTTAATTTTTCTGAGTCTTGGTTTTTTTCCTCTACAATTAGAAGAACACTAACCTCAAAAAGTTATTGTGAATACTAAGTGACAGTATGTGAACACTACCTAGAATATTGCCTGGGACATTATTGTGTTTAATAAATATTAGCTCTTTTCCCTCCATTTCTTTTCCTCTTCTGTCCTTGCTAGAAACAGAAAACAGTTACTATATTCTGTACATTTGTGGGGTGTCTTCTTTTTCTAATATTCTAATTAACCTTTCAATTTAATATGCCTTTCAATATAAGCAAGGGATAAGCATAAGTTTCATTTAATTTGGAGCAATATAATGTGATTAAGAGAGTCATTAAAAGTGCCAGTCTCAGAGTCAGACTGGTTGTATTTGAATCCAAGCTCTGCCTCTTACTAGCCCAATGATCCTAGGAGACTTCATTAACTTCTCTGAGCCTCAGATTCCTCATTTGTAAAATAGAAGTTAACAAGTTACTACTTCACAGAATTCTTGTGAAGACTTACTGAAATAATCCAAGAAAAGTGCCACGCCCAGGGCCTTACATCTAAGTGCTCAATAAATGTTAATGTTAAATAATTATTATTTTAAATGTATTTAAAAGCCAATAAAATTAAATGTCAATGCTTCTATATTTAGTCTGAGACATTCATTTCATAAAGCATACATCCTAGCGATTAAGACACCTTTGAGTTTGAAATAATCTGATAATGATTTAATTAGAATCATGTTTAGAACATAGGCTCTAGAGTCAAACAGATCTAAATTTGAATCTTAGCTCTGTCTCTAGTTGCTTGACCTGAGAAAAATGAATCAATCTTTGAGTCTCAGTATTTTCATCTATAGAATGCCGGTAAATTTTAACACTTACATCAAGAGCTCTGGTATATTCAGAATAGCATACTGGCCAGCATCTTTTCTGATTGCCTACATTATTCCAATTATTAAATATTTTGAATATCACCCTGGTCTATTGGATTGGTGTAAGGATTAAATGAGGTAACAGAGGTAAAGGACTTTATACATAGTAAGTACTTTATATGTGGTTGCTATTATTTATTAATCAGATGTATTTGATATGCTATTTTAATGATTTTAAATAATTTTATATTTTAAACTGTCAACTAATTTCAATAATTTAGAAATTAAAACAAGTACCTTCATGTTCATTTAAAATAAATTCTACTGGATTACTAACACCCAGTCCTGAACAACGAGGTAGCAGCAAAATCACTTTAACTTTCTGTAACCTGTGATCCTTTGATTCAATGTTAATAAATTTCTCATGAAGTATTTCAATATCTGGGGAAAAAACACAGAAAATTTAATGTAAAATATTAATGAAAAATCTTAATGTAGTATGTGATTGTATCTATTTATTGTACATTTTAAAATCCTCAACCTCACAAAAATTCATTTTGATGTAGTTAGAAAAGAAGGCTATTCTTCTCTGATATCTACCCAAAGTTAATACAGGAATCCTATTAATAGAATGTTTTCTCCTTCACCTGAAATGATGTTGAAATTTAAAATTAAATTCTCATTCTGAACTGCAGGATATATAGTAGGGGAGAAATAGACTTCAGAGGCAGAAAAATTCAAGTTGACTCCCAGCTTCACTGTTTACTAGCTGTGCATTTTAATCTCCCTGAGCCTCCATTTCCTTCTTCATAAAATGGGATGGCTACCTCATATAACTGTGGTGAAGACTGAGATAAAGTAGTTAAGCTTAGCGTGCTGTCTATTATATAGCAAGGGCTCAATATTGGTTATTTCCCTCTCCTATTCTTTATCCCCTTTTATGTTCTATCTTCTCTCCAGAAAAAAAAAAAAAAAAAAGGTGGGGGAGGGTTATCAGAAGCACTTATAAGTTTCCAGTCCAAGGTACAGAATCCATACAAACTGGTGTAAAACATCAATCATACCTTTAAGGATCTTGTGACTTAGCTTAAGAGAGTCTGCCTTCCCTTGCATTATAGCCATCTGTGCCCCCTATCTTACAGCCAACCCTCTACTTTTGCGGTGGCTATCACGCCTCACCTGCTGAAGAATCACTCTTGATATGGCCCCACCTGCTGCCTTTCTCTTGCCTCACCAATTTTTCCCTCTTCCTATTCTCTGTGTCTTTTAAAATTATTTTTTCTTTAAATTGAGTGGTCCTTTTCTTCTTGCCCCCTGCCACTATTTTAAACATTTTATTGGGAAACTTCAAATATCTGCAATATAGGCATAATAATATAATAAATTCTCAAGTACCCATCACAGAGTTTCAACAGTGAACCATTCACAGTCAATCTTGTTTCATCTGTACAATGCAGCCCCTCCCACCCAGCCCCCTATTATTTTGAATCTATAAATAGTACCACATATATCTCTAAAAGGATAAAATCTTCTTTTAAAATGTAACGACACCAAAAAAGTTAAAAATGTTTCCTTATTATTATCAAATATCTAATCTGGCTCGCATTTCCCAACAGTCTCACACGTGTCAAAAGTTTTTTGTTTGAATCAGGATCTAAATAAGGTACATACATGGCAACTGATCAGTCTTACTTTACATTTCTTTTCACCTACAGGTTCTCCCTTCATTTTTTCTTAACATTTATTTCTTAATGAAACTTCATTATTTGCCCTGCCAGAGTTTCCCACAATCTGGATTTTGCTGTTTTCCTAGAATGCAGTTTAACATGTTCCTCTTTTCTGTACTTCCTGTAAATTAGTAAGTGAATCTTTAGAAGACCAATACTTTTTCCTTTGGGGGACAGAGAGAAAGAGGCAAAACTACTTAACAGATGGCATCATATTCTTCCACTCAGTTGCCTTTGTGGTACCACCAAAGGGGTTGCAAAACACTCATATTCTAATTCTAAAACCCTTTTTCCTTTATTAGCTGGAATACTTCTAAAAGGAGAAATTTCCTCTCTTCTACTGCCTGGCTCCCCAGTAGTTCCTATTCTCTTGTGTTAAGTAGGTAAAAACTGCTCAACTATTTGAAAACTCTAATGTGTACAGATGTAAGAACTGCAGAGAGCAGCCACTATTCCCACCCTCAGCCCCAAGACTGAGAGAAAAATGAACAAGGAACTTGGAAACTCAGCAGAGCACCTCCCTGCCCCCAAACCTACACACAACACACACCAGGCTGAGATTCAGGTCTCTGAGAAGAGGGCACGGTTACCAAAGGAATATGCTGTGGTGAACACTGCCAGGATTCTACACAGCCACCATAGGGATAAACAAGCATTGGAAGAAGAAAAGTCCTTTCTTCTTCCTCTTCCAGTCTTACAAAGTCTCTCGGCACCCTCTAATGACAGAGGCAGTTGGCAATGGAGAAACGGAGAATCAGAGTACAGTTCCAGCATCACAAGGCAGGACAAAGTGTGGGTTTAGAGCTGAGAGGCAATAATAAGAACTGGCCCAGTTCCTCAACTTGCTTTCTCTTGATTCTTCTCCTACTTCTCTGTGGCTCCTTTGCTGGTTCCCTCTTATTCAGCTTCCTGACCTCTAGGTATTGGAGTGTCCAGGAATTGGCTTTTAGATTTCTTTACTACCTAAACTCACTTCTTTAGTGATCATGACATTCAATATTATGTAAATGCTAACAAATCCCAAATATGTATCTTTAACATAGACTTCTCCCCTGAACTCCAAAAGAGTGTACCCAAATACCTGCTTGACATTTCCACTTAATGTCTAACAGGCATCTTAAACCTAACATAACTAAAACCTAACTGTACCACAGTCTTTCCCATCTCAGGAAGAGGCAACCTCGGCCGGGCACGGTGGCTCTTGCCTGTAATCCCAGCACTTTGGGAGGCCGAGGTGGGCGGATCACGAGGTCGGGAGTTTGAGACCAGCCTGACCAACATGGTGAAACCCCATCTCTACTAAAAATACAAAAATTAGCCAGGCGTCATGGCCTGCCTCTGTAATCCCAGCTACTCAGGAGGGTGAGGCAGGAGAATTGCTTGAACCTGGGAGGTGGAGGTTGCAGTGAGCCAAGATCGTGCTACTGCACTCTAGTCGTCTGGGCGACAGAGCAAGACTCCGTCTCAAAAAAATAAATAAATAAAAGGAAAGAGCAACCTCATCGACATTATAAAATGAACTGGGAAGTAGTTCCTCCTTCCATTCTCTGAAAGAGTATTATTTCTTCCTTAAATTATTTGCAGAATTCTGTGACAACATCATATAGGAATAAAATTTTTAAAAACTTTTTGTCTTGTGGGTGGGAAGATTTTCTATTATTAATTCAACAGATATTAATAGCCATTAATCTTAAGATCTTAATAGCCAGATTCAAGAGTATCCAGATTTTCCAAAACTATTTCTCAGTTTTGGCAAGTTGTCTATCCAGGAATCCATAGCAGTTAAATGTTCAAGTTTATTGGCATAAAATTGCTCATAGTATCTTTTTATTGTGCTTTAAATGTATCTAGGATCTGCAGTGATATTATTGATAACTGAATTGTTTTATGTTCTTTTTCTTGATGAATCAATTATATTTTCTTTTAAAATTATATTTTCTTTTTTTTACATTTTAAAATCACTTTTTTTATTTTTTTATTTTTATTTTTTAGTATTTATTGATCATTCTTGGGTGTTTCTCGGAGAGGGGGATGTGGCAGGGTCATAGGATAATAGTGGAGAGAAGGTCAGCAGATAAACACATGAACAAAGGTCTCTGGTTTTCCTAGGCAGAGGTCCCTGCGGCCTTCCGCAGTGTAAAATTATATTTTCTTTTTAAAAAGTCACTTTTTGGTTTTGTTAAGAGATACTCTGTTTGTTTTCTGTAACATTAATTCCTGCCATCTTTATTATATTCTTCCATCAGATTTATTTGATGCTATTTTTCTTTTTTTTTTTTCACTCTTTAAAGTTTTATTTCACTAACTTCAGGCCAAATTCCCACAACTGTGTTCTGGTCAATTTACTATCCTTGCTTGGCTTCCCCAAATGGTAGTACCAAAAGATTTGTGGGGTAGGGAGAAGAGACCACTTTAAGAAGCACTGCATTTACTTATCTTCCACAAGGCAACAGAGTTGGGCATCTGATTGTTCAACAAAACAAAGCTTTAATAGCATCCAGGAGGGCAGACAGGCAGGCAAACCACGCTGTAGACACTCTTCTATTTGTCAAAATCAGACCAGAGAAAACCTACTCCACACAGATATAATAGGTATTGATATTCATCTTTCTTTTTCTGTTGCCGCAACATTTTTCTTCTTTTAATGATCATATCATGTAGTTTCTCAAGTCCTTCCTTTAGGCCATCTCCTATGATTGCACAGGTAGGCTGCAAATGCCAAGGAGTTGATGAACTCAGGTCACCCATTGCTAACAATTTCTCAATTTCTGAAAGAGACAATGAGTTCTTCAAATCTTGTTTGTTAGCAACTATAAGTACAGGGACTCCTTGATTTTCTGATATCCTATTTATTTTGTGAAGTTCAGTTTTGGCTTCTTCCATCCTTTCGACATCAACAGAGTCCACAACAAACACAATGCCATCTGTGCATCTGGTATATGACTTCCACAGTGGCCTTAATTTCTCCTGACCACCTACATCCCAGAAATGAAAAGTGACTGTTTTAGAATTTCCCAAGGTTACCTTAATTTTCTCAGTGTTAAATCCTTTGGTAGGTACGGTATTTACAAATTCATTGAACTGCAGCCTGTATAAGACAGTTGTCTTTCCAGCACAGTCCAAACCCAGAATAACAATGTGGAAGGACTGAAATGAAGGCAGGTTGGACAGGATAGAAGTCTGGTCTGATAGCCCATTCCCCATTTCCAGGTGCAAATAAATGTCCCAAATTGAAATGCTTTTCTCTTCTTGCTTTAGAACTTCTCCTGGTAACTGATCCAGCTATAAGACTGACTAACTGTCCTTCCCTCTTCTTCACTCAGCGTCTCTCCCAGCCGCTGGGGAGGCGCCCTGATACCTATTCCCTGGCACCAGGGAGGCGTGGGCGATGGCGGAGGACTGGGCGCCTGGCAGGCGCCGCGCGCCAGCTTTGATGCTATTTTTCTAACTTCTTATCATGCATGTAAGCATCATCAATCTTTACTATTTCTTCTTCTCTAATGGTAGTATTTTAGCCTACAACATTCCCTCTTAGTTGCATTCTACATGTTAACATGTATTTTTACAATCGTTAAGTTCCAAATATTCTCTAATTCCCACTGTGATTTCTTTTATAACTGATAAATTATTTTGAAGTATTTTAATTCCAAAGTGTGGCTGGGCATGGTGGCTCACGCCTGTAATCCCAGCACTTTGGGAGGCCGAGGCGGGTGGATCACCTGAGGTCAGGAGTTCACAACCAGCCTGGCCAACATGGTGAAACCCTATCTCTACTAAAAATACTAAAAATTAGCTGGCCATGGTGGCACGTGCCTGTAATCCCAACTACTTGGGAGGCTGAGGCAGAAGAATCACTTGAACCTGGGAGGCGGAGGTTGCAGTGAGCCAAGATCACGCCATTGCACTCCAGCCTGGGCAACAAGAGTGAAACTCCATCTCAAAAAAAAAATCCAAAATGTCATGGGATTTCCTACTTTTCTTTTTCTTTTTTTCCCTGATTTCTTGCTTGATTCCACTGTGGCTGAAAAACATATTAGGAGCTAGGTGTGGTGACTCATCCCTGTAATCCCTGGGCAAAATAGTGAGACCTTGTCTCTACCAAAAAAAAAAAAAATAGCTGAGAGTGGTGGTATGTGCCTATAATAGCAGCTACTTGGGATGCTGAAGTGGGAGGACTGTTTGCACCCAGGAGATCAAGCTGCAGTGAGCCAGGATCACACCACTGCACTACAGCCTGGGTGACAGTGAGACCCAGTCTCTAAAACAACAACAACAACAACTTTGTATGATTTCAGTCCTTTGAAAGTCACTGAAACTTGCTTCCTGGCCCAGCATGTAGTAATTTTTGCTGTTTATGTGTTCTGTGCAGTCACTAGGTACGGTGTTCTACATATGTTAGCTTGGTTAACTTGCTGATCATGTTGTTTCCATCTTCTATATCCTTACTTATCTTACTAATTTGTTTTCAATTTGAGAGAGGTCTGTTAAAATCTCCCACTAAGATAAATTGACAAATTGTCTAGCTTTTGGTTCTGACTGATTTTCTTAAGGTTTAAGTATACAACTCAGGGGTTCTTTTGAGTACATTCACCAAGTTGTGTAACCATCACTATTACCAATTCTGCAACACTTTCTTCACTCCCAAGAGAAACCCCATACTCATTAGTAGTCATTCTCCCAGCCCATCTCAGGAAAGGGCAACCAGCCCATCACATTTGCTAATCTATTCTGTCTCCATAGATTTGCCTATTTGGGATATTGTCCTCTTCCCCCAAAATGTAATCATAAATGAGGACTTTTTTGTTTGGCTTTCTTACTTAGCATCATGTTTTAAGAGTCATCCATCTTGCACCATTAGGATTTCATTCTTTTTTATGGCCAAATACTCTTCCATTGTATGGATATACCACATTTTTAATCCACTCATCATTTGATGGACATTTGGGCTATTTCCACTTTTTAGCTATTATGAATAACACTGCTATGAACTTTCATGTACAAGCTTTTGTGTGAATATATGTTTTCAATTCTCTTGAGTATGGACCTAAAGGTGGAATTCTTAAGTTATATAGTAACTCTATGTTTAACTTATTGGGAAACTGCCAAACTGTTTTCCAAAGTAGCTGCACCATTTTATGTTCCCATCAGCAATTCTTCCACATTGTTGCTTACATGTTATTTTCCTGTTTTTTACTATAGCCATACTAGTGGGTTTGAAGTGGTATTTCATTATGGTTTTGATTTGCAGTTCCCTAATGATGAATGATTTTGAGCATCTTTTCACATGAGCTTACTGGTCATTTGTAGATCTTCACTGGAGAAATATTCAGATCTTCTGCCCTTTCTAAGTTGGGCTACTTGTCTTTTTATTGTTGAGTTGTTTATATATTCTGAATACAAGTCCCTTTTCAGATAGATGATTTGAAAATAATTTCTCCCATTCTGTGAGTTATCTTTTTTTTTTTTTTTAAATGGATTCTCGCTCTGTTGCCTAGGCTAGAGTGCAGTGGCACAATCTTGGCTCACTGCAACCTCCACCTTCTGGGTCCAAGTGATTCTCCTGCCTCAGCCTCCTGAGTAGCTGGGATTACCAGTGTGCACCACCATTCCCGGCTAATTTTTGTAATTTTAGTAGAGACAGGGTTTCGTCATGTTGGCCAGGCTGGTCTTGAACTCCTGACCTCAGGTGATCCACTCACCTCGGCCTCCCAAAGTGCTGAGATTACAGGCATGAGCCACCGTGCCTGGCCAGTCTTTTCAGTTTTTTGATAGTGACTTTGAAGCACAAAAGTTTTTAATTTTAATCAAGTCCAATTTATCGATTTTTTCTTGTTGCTTGTGCTTTTGATGTTATATCTAAACAACCACTGCTAAATCCAAGCTCATGAAAACTTACCTGTGTTTTCTTATAAGAGTTTTAGCTCTAACACTTATATTTTTGATCCATTTTGAGTTAATTTTTGTATATGATTTGAGATATGCATCCAATTTTATTCTTTTCCAAGTGCCTATCCCGTTGTCCCAGCACCATTTGTTGAAAAGACTATTCATTTCCCACTGCATGGTCTTGGCAACCTTGTTGAAAGTCTGACCATAAATGTAAGGGTTTATTTCTGAACTTTCAATTTTGTTCCACTGATCTATACATTTACCCTTACGCTAGCATCACACTTCTTGATTACTGTAGCTGTGTAGTAAGCTTTTAAATCAGGAAATGTGAGTCCTATAAACTTTGTTCTTTTTCATGACTCATTTAGCTATTCTGGGTTCCTTAAATTTCCATGTGAATTTTAGGAACAGTGTGTCAATGTCTGCAAAAAGCTCAGCTAAGCTTTTTATAAGAACTGCAATGAATCTGTAGATCAATTTAATATTGAGTGTTCTGATCCTTAAACGTGGAATATTTTCCATTTGTTTATGTCTTCCTTGATTATTTTTTATTTTTTTAGAGACAGGGTCTCACTTTGTTGCCCAGGCTGGAGTGCAGTGGCATGAACCAGCTCACTGCAGCCTTGAACTCCTGGGCTAAAGTGATCCTTCTACCTCAGCCTCCCAAGTAGCTAGGACTACAGGCATGTGCCACCATGGCTGGTTAATTTTTAAATTTTTGGTAGAGATGGGATCTTGCTACGTTGCCAGATTGGTCTCGAACTCCTGGCCTCAAGTGAGCCTCCCACCTTAGCCCCTCCCAAAGTGCTGAGATTACGGATGTGAGCCACTGCACCCGGCCCTAATTTCTCTTTTCTTTTTTTCTTTTTTTTTTTTTTTGAGACAGGGTGGAGTGCAATGGTGCAATCTCAGCTCACTGTAACCTCTACTTCCCAAGTTCAAGAGATTCTCCAGCCTCAGCCTCCCTCGTAGCTGGGACTACAGGCATAAGCCACCACGCCTGGCTAATTTGTTTTTGTATTTTTTATAGAGACGGGGTTTTGCCATATTGTCCAGGCTGGTCTTGAACTCCTGAGCTCAAAGTGATCTACCCACCTCAGCCTCCCACATAAGCCACAGCATCCAGCTTCCTAATTTCTTTAAGTGATATTTTGTAGTTTTTCATTGTACAAGTCTTGAGCTTCTTGTATTAAATTTATTGCTAAGAACTTTATTATTTTTGATGTTATAAAAAGGATTTTCTTTCATTTTTTAGATTATTCATTGTTGGTAGATAGAAATACAATAGATTTTTATATATTCGTTTTGTATCCTGCAACCTTACTATATACTAATTTGTTAGTTCTAATAGTTTATTCATTGATTCCTTTGGATTTTTTGTATACAGAGAAGGTTTGCTTGTTCTGGACAATTTTACTCTCTATATATTTTAGGACTATGTTATTAGGTACATATATCTTTAGTACTGTCATATTTTCCTGATGAATTAAACCTTTCATAATTATAAATACCTCTCTTCATTTTTAGCAGTGTTTCTTGACTTGAATCTATTTGTCTGCAGCTCTTTTTATTAGCATACACACAGCATATCTTTTTCTGTTCTTTGAAGTTTTTTTGTATCCTTTTATTTAAGAGCATTTCTGGTAAACAGCATTTAGTTGATCTTTTAAAATCCAAGACTGACCGGGCACAGTGGCTTATGCCTGTAATCCCAACACTTTGGGAGGCCAAGACAGAAGGCTTGCTTGAGCCGAGGAGTTCACAACCAGTCTGGACAACATAGTGAGATGTCATCTCTACAAAAAATAAAAAAATTAGCCAGGTGTGGTGGCACATGCCTGTAGTCCCAGCTACTTGGGAGGCTGAGCAGGAGTATCGATGGGGCCCAGGAGGTTGAATTTATATTGAGCTGAGATTGCCCCACTGCACTCCAGCCTGGGTGACAGAGCGAGACCCCGTCTCTATAAAACAAAAAGAAAAAAACAAACAAACAAATAGGAAATAAACAAAAATCCAATATTGACTTTCAAGTATTCAGCCCATGTATTTTAAATGTGTTTAATGTATAATATTTTAGGCCAGGCATGGTAGCTCACACCTGTAATCCCAGCAATTTGGGAGACCAAGGCAGGTGGATCACTTTGAGCTCAGGAGTTCGAGACCAGTCTGGCCAACATAGCATGTCTTTACTAAAAATACAAAAAAATTATCTGGGTGAGGTGGTGCATGCTACTCAGGAGATTGAGGCATGAGAATTGCTTGAACCTGGGAAGCAGAGGTTGCAGTGAGCTGAGATAGCTCCACTGCAGTCTAGCCTGGGCAACAGAGGGAGACTGTGTCATATATATATATATGCCGAGGCGGGTGGATCACGAGGTCAGGAGATCAAGACCATCCTGGCTAACACAGTGAAACCCCGTCTCTACTAAAAAAATACAAAAAATTAGCCGGGTGTGGTGGCAGGCACGAGTCCCAGCTACTTGGGAGGCTGAGGCAGAAGAATGGTGTGAACCTGGGAGGCAGAGCTTGCAGTGAGTCGAGATCATGCCACTGCACTCCAGCCTGGGCGACAGAGCGAGACACCGTCTCAAAAAAAAAAAAAAAAAAAAAAAATATATATATATATATATATATGTGTATGTGTGTGTGTGTGTGTGTGTGTGTGTGTGTGTATTTCAATGTTTACATAATATTTTAATGTCATATGTATATAATGTATGTAAGCTTAAATATATGTTATTTGGTTTAATCTACCATCCTATTTGCTATTTGTCTTGCTTTTTTTATGTCCCCTTTCTCTCCTTTTTTTTTTCTTTTTTTGAGACAGGGTCTTGCTCTGTCACTCAGGTTAGAGCGCAGTGGCATAATCATGGCTCACTGCAGCTTTGATCTCCTGGGCTCAAGCAATCCTCTAACCTCAGCCTCCTGAGTAGCTGGGACCACAGGTGTGTGCTACCACCTGGGTAATTTTTTGTATTTTTGATAGAAATAGGGTTTCACCATGTTGCCCAGGCTGGTCTCAAACTCCTGGGCTCAAGCAATCCACCTGCCTCAGCCTCACAAAGTGCTGGAATGGAATTACAGGAATGAGCCATTGTGCCTGGTCTTCTCTCCTTTATTGATTGATTGATTGATTGATTGATTTATGAGACGGAGTCTCACTCTGTTGCCTAGGCTGGAGGGCAGTGGCGCGATCTCAGCTCGCTGCAACCTCTGCGTCTGGGGTTCAAGTGATTCTCATGCCTCAGCCTACCAAGCAGCTGGGACTACAAGCCTGTACCACTCATCCGGCTAAGTTTTGTATTTTTAGTAGAGATGGGGTTTCACCATGCTGGTCGGGCTGGTCTCGAACTCCTGGCCGCAGGTGATCCTCCTGCCTTGCCTCCTAAAGTGCTAGGATTACAGGCATGAGCTACCACACCTGTCCTCTCCTTTTTAATCTTTTTTTAGACTCATATTCCAATTCTATATTTCATTCCTCTCCCCCTTAACTATTCATTATACATTATTTTATTATGTGTTACTCATTGTCCCAGAAATTATAGCAAACATCATTGACTTAATATACTACTTTACCACTTCCTAGAAAAGCAAAAACCATAGGACACATTAATTCTATTTTTCTTTCCTCTAAAATTATATGTCATGGTTGTAATTTATTTTAATTGCATATAACATTAAATATCTTTAGTCCCGCAGACATTAATTTGCAACCCCATTAAACATTAGATTATAATCATTTAGATTTACCTATGTACTTAACTTTTGTATTTTTCTTCATTTCTTTCAGCATCTCCACTTTTTTAGAGACAGAGTGTTTTTTTCGAAACAGTCTGGCTCTGTGGCCCAGGCTGGAGTGCAGTGGCGCAATCTCGGCTCACTGCAAGCTCCGCCTCCCAGGTTCATGCCATTCTCCTGCCTCAGCCTCATGAGTAGCTGGGACTACAGGCGCCTGCCATCACACCCGGCTAATTTTTTGTATTTTTTAGTAAAGACGCTGTTTCACCGTGTTAGCCAGGATGGTCTCGATCTCCTGACCTTGTGATCCGCCAGCCTCGGCCTCCCAAAGTGCTGGGATTACAAGCGTGAGCCACAGTGCCTGGCAGAGACAGGGTCTTGCTCTGTTACCCAGGTTGGAATGCAGTGGCACAATCATGGCTTACTGTAACCTTAAACTCCTGGGCTCAAGTGGTCCTCCCACTTCAGCATCCTGAGTAGCTAGGACTACAGCTGCACATCACTACATCCAGCTATTTTTTTTTTATTTTTAGTAGAGACAGTGTCTCACTGTGTTACCCAGGCTGATCTCAAACTCCTGGCCTCTTCCTAACTTGGCCTCCCAAAGCACTGGGATTACCAGCATGAGCCACTGTGCCCAGCCTCCAATTTCTTCTACCCAAACCATGTATCTTTAGTATTCCCTTTACTGTGTCTACTAGTGACAAACTCTCAGATCTTATTTGTCTGAGAATATCTTTATTTTATTTTATTTCAAAGAGTATTTTTGGTGGATATAAAAATCTAGCCTGGCAGTTTCTTTCAGCATTATGAAGACATTGTTTAATGGTTCTGGTTTTAATTGTTTCCATTGAAAAGTTAGTTTTTAATTTTATTGCTATTCCATTGATGGTATATGTATTTTCTCCCTGGCTACTCACCAATACCTTTCTCTTTGGTTTTCAGCAGGTATGCTATGGTATGCCTAATATGTTACCTTAGTCTGTTTGGGCTGCTACAACAAATGCCATAGAATGAGTAGCTTATAAACAAAAGAATTTTATTTCTCACAAGTCTGGAGACTAGGAAGTTGAAGATCAAGGCACCAGCAGATTCAGTGTCTGGTGTGGGCCTGCTTTCTTACAGATAGTGCCTTCCTGCTGTATCCTCAGATGGTGAAAGGGGGCTACCTAGGTCCCTGGGGTCCCCTTCGTAACGGCACTAATCCCATTCATGAGGGCTCTGCCCTCACAATTTCCCAAAGGCCCCACCTCCTGATACCATCACTTCGGGGGTTAGGATTTTAACATACAAATTTTGTGGGGATACAAATATTCAGGCCATAGGATATGTTTTCCATGTATTCTGATTAGACTTTTACAAGGCTTCTTGAATCTGTGGCTTAATGTCTTTCATCCACTTTCAAGAATTCTCAGCCTGAAATTCAAATATTGTTTCTTTCCAATTCCTTTTCTCCTCTCCATCTGCAATTCCACACACACATGAGATAACTGAATCACTGAGTCTCATGTGTGTCTTATGACCTCTTTCATATCCTTTGTCTCCCCATGCTTAAGTCTAGATATTTTCTTCAGGCCTATCAGTTCACTCATTGTATCTTCATTTCTGTGTAATTTACTGTAAAATCCATATCTCATTTATTTCCTAATTTCACACATTGTATTTTTCAGTTCTAGAACTTTCTTTTAGCTTTTTTGATTATAGTTTCCAGGTCTTTGCTAAAATTCTAAAATTTGACATTTAGTCCCTCCAGCTTATTAATCATAGTTATTTTAAAGTGTACATTTTTAGTCAGGTGCAGTGGCACCTGCCTGTAATTTCAGCTACTTGAGAGGCTGAGGCAGGAGGATTGCTTGATCCCAGGAGTATGAGATCAGCCTAGGCAACATAACAAGACCCTGTCTCAAAAAAGTAAAACTAAAGTCCACGTCTGATAAATCCAGTATCTCCAGATACACTGTGGGTCTGCTTCTACTGCAGTGCTTTCTGTTTTAGTCATATCTTTTCTTGTTCTGTCAGTGTTTTATAAAATTGAGTGGTAGATATTGCATTAGAAAAAATTTAGAAGATACAGGCCGGGTGCGGTGGCTCACGCCTGTAATCCTAGCACTTTGGGAGGCCAAGATGGGTGGATCACCTGAGGTCAGGAGTTCGAGACCAGCCTGGCCAACATGGTGAAATACAAAAATTAGCGGGGCATGTTGGCGAGTACCTGTAATCCCAGCTGCTCAGGAGGTTGAGGCAGGAGAATCGCTTGAACCCGGGGGGCAGAGGTTGCAGTGAGCCAAGATGGTGCCAACTGCACTCCCGCCTGGGCAACAAGAGGGAGACTCCATCTCAGAAAAATAAAAAAAAATTTAAAAAAATGAAAAAAATTAGAAGATAATTAGAAATGTAGGATGATGTTGTTTTCCTCCAGAGGGAATTTACTTTTGCTTCTGGCAGGCAGCTAAGACTGGGCACTAGCAATCCCAGATCACCTTAATCTAATTGGGAATTAAGATGACTGGAATGGGGGTTCTAATTCTTTGGAGGACTGATCACTATCCAAGATGTACTTCGGGACTCCAAGTGAAATCCTGAGTATTTACCAGGCTACCTCTCCTGGTCAAATCCTGAATTCCACTTTTTGTCTCCCTATCCCTGTGAATCTGTTAAAAGTTTTGCTTAGTTTTTCAGCCTCGCTGAACCTATAATAAAATGTAATCTTTAGTTAGAATGATCCAATGGAAACATTTTTAAAAAACAAGAAGCCTAAAAGACAGCTCCTAGGCCAGGCCTGGTAGCTCACGCCTCTGTAATCTCAGGACTTTGGGATGCCCAGGCAGGTGGATCACTTGAGCCCAGGAGTTTGAGATTAGCTTGAGCAACACTGCAAAACCTTGGCTCTACAAAAATTAGAAAAATTAGCCACGCATAGTGGCATGAGCCTGTAGTCACAGCTACTTGGGAGGCTGAGGTTGGAGGACCTCTTGAGCCCAGGAGGTAGAGGCTGTGGTGAACTGTGATCATATCAGTACACTCCAGCCTGGGCAACAAAGTAAGACTTTATCTCAAAAAAAAAAAGACTTAGCTTCTAGTCCTAGATATTATCTTTGTCACTTAAGCACTTATTTAAGTATTTATTAAATGATAATCATTCTTATTTATTAAATGATACATTTCTACTTTAAATGTTTGAGCCTCAAATTATGTGAGCTAAATGTCAAACAGTATTACAAAGTACCAAGAAATTAATTTAACCCACAGTTGTTTAACCAAATTAAGCAACAAGGACAGCCTGATAAGACATAGATTAGTAAGGATTTTAAGATATTAGTTCACATATAGAGCTTTTACATTACAAAAAAACTAATAAATTAAAACTTTTTAACGTTTCTAAAATCTTGCAGAACAATAATCACCAAATGAAGAAATATTTTTACATACTTTTACATCCTATTTTTGTGAAAAGGGTCTTCAAGTCAGGATCCTTAGCTTGTGATTGTACTCCACACACAAATACTTTTGAGGTATTATTATTTGTTAAAATTGACATGTGGGAAACTGTGTACCATGAGCCTGTATTGACCATTAAGACATCATCATCCATATTTAATAAAGCCTTTACAGAATGGACAGCAAGACTTCGAGATTTGTCCTGTAAGATAATGGTATGATTAGAATTTCAAAGGGTATGGCTAGAAATATAAGCTGACTTCTATTTGCTTTACATAAAAGAAAGTACCTCATAGTAATATTAGAGACCTAACCAATTTTAGTTTTAACATCTTAATATATGTCTAAGTAAAGAGTTAACAAAGACAACTGATGTTTAAAACAAAGAGCTTAACTTTGTTTAGCCTAAATTATGACTGTTACTGTCTAAGTTTTGTATAAAGCAATGCCAGAATCTCTAAAATATGGTCAACAGATTAATGATGTCCTATCTTAACTCCCATTCTTACCCCTTCACAAAAACCCACTCATCTACTACTTCCATTTTCTCTTCCCCATTACCTTGTCACCTAAATTGCCACTAGCTCACAGAGATTAAAATTAATATATTTGAGAAGCTCATCAAAGGGGGCTTGACAGGTTGGGCTTCTGCAGTTGATCTCAGTGCTTGATATGGTAAGAGATTCTGCCCAAGAATATGAATGTGGAAAAGGGATAAACCTTAGAAGATCAAGGTATATCTGAGGCAATAATTGGAATCTAAGGATGTAAAAATGAATTTAAACTACTTTTTTATACCTTTTATTTTCGTTCTGTTGAAACTACATTATACCTCACATTCTCTTCCTATATTGATAGCCTTTATATACCTCTTACAAATCAAAGCTATAAGACTATATTAAAGAAATTATGAAAAACTATTACAATTGTTTTTTCATATGCAAGATGGCACTAGCATCTTCCCCAGAAAGGGAAGGAAGAAAAGGTCTCATTGTACTTTCTCTTGAATTCTCCTTTAGGGGAGAAAAGTAGAACCTTACAGCTGCCAGCAATGCAAATCTTCCCATTCATGGAATCTGGGAGAAGAATATGTTCTTTATAAATTCACATGAGACAAAGACGCCAACCAGATGCACTGATTGTAGAGGTATTAATTTTATTCAAGGTGACAATTAGGCCTTATAAACCTCCCTGATAATCTATAAAAATATAAACAGTGTTAGGTTTTATTTTTAAGTGGAGAAGTTCTTTGGCTAGGTTGGATTGTTGAGAATCACAATGAAAGTAAATATTAGTTTACCTGAAATATAAGTTTGTAATCTTTGAAAAGATCTATATTTATAAGATCATTTTTAAGATGAGATGGAAAAATTAAGACATCATAGCAATGTTGATCCACAGCAAAGACTTTATCATCAATATGCAATACAGATTTGACTTTATTATAGCCTCTTCTCTTCAAATTATTATAAACTTCTTCAGGGCTGTAAATATACAACATTAGCTTGTAATTACAAATATAATACATTAAAAACGTCCTTAACACTAACACCTTTTTCCTGTAACAAAGAAAAATATCACTTCATACATTACATCTAATGGAACTAACAATTTTAACCAACAATAAACTAAAAGATAATTATAGGCAGAGAAGTTAACATATTTATGTAATTACCTTTGGTAATTTGGTCATAAGCTCTGGAACTTAACTCTGATTCCCTAATCACTCCCCTAGATGTGCCACCCCCACCTCTTAAAAAGGTAATGCTTCTCATCACATTATTTTAAAAGGATGGAGACTTGAAATATAAAGAATTTGATTTAAACACTTACCTGATTTTACAAGTATTTATCCAAGCATAAAGTGGTAAAGTGGAGGCCCTTAGTTCCTGTTTCCTAACTGTTTCTGGAAGGATGTGGTAAATTGAAAGGGCATCATGCTTGATTCGACATCTTGCCAATGCTGCAGCCAATTTTATCTTAAAACTAGAGACAGAAAATCCATCCTTAATCTATTGCATTTGAGACAAGACTATCAATTTTCCACTGGAAACTCTAAAAAATTACATTTAGAATTTTAACAAATAACAATTCTATTTCAAATTTTTGAAGTCTAAAATAAAAATGTGTCATATTTGTAAATAGAAATCCAAGCCCAGGCGCAGCGGCTCATGCCTGTAATCCCAACACTTTGGGAGGCCGAGGCAAGTGGATCACCTGAGGTCAGGTGTTCGAGACCAGCCTGACCAACCTGGGGAAACCCCATCTCTACTAAAAATACAAAATTAGCCGGGCGTGGTGGCGGGCGCCTGTAATCCCAGCTACTCGGGAGGTTGAGGCAGGAGAATCACTTGAACCCAGGAGGCGGAGGTTGCAGTGAACCGAGATTCCACTCCACTCCAGCCTGGGCAACAAGAGCAAAACTCTGTCTCAAAAAAGAAAAGAAAATAGAAATCCAATAATCCTGATTTCTTTCTTTCTGTTTTTGCTGCCCCTGTATAGTTGTGCAGCAATTTCTTAACTATTGTATTAATTACTGGTTGAAAGACAAACTTTTTTTTTTTTTTTGAGATAGAGTCTCCGTCTGTCGCCCAGGCTGGAGTGCAGTGGCATGATCTTGGCTTACTGCAACCTCTGCCCTGTGGGTTCAAGCAATTCTCCTACCTCAGCCTCCCGAGTTGCTGGGACTACAGGTGTGCACCACCACACCCAGCTAATTTTTGTATTTTTAGTACAGATGGGGTTTCGCCATGTTGGCCAAGCTGTTCTCAAACTCCTGACCTCAAGTGATCCGCCCGCCTCAGCCTCCCAAAGTGCTGGGATTACAGGCGTAAGCCACCGCACCCAGCCGAAAGACAAACTTTATTTATTGAGAAGGGTCTAGGATTTAGAGTCAGACAAACTTGAAGTTAAATCCAGGTTTTATCACTTACTAGCTGTGTAACCTCAGGAATGTTACTTAATCTCCTTTTTCAGCCTAGTTGTCTCATCTGTTAAAGGTGGTCAACTTACCTTGTTATTAATGTAGTGATTATCAATCATGTGTGCAAAATTCTTAGCGCAGTGCCTGGCACGTAGCAGGCACTCATTATAGGCTAGTTATCAGTATCACAGATGGCAACAGTATAGTCTTGATAAGATTAAAGAACTTTCATGAGTCTGTATTAAGTCCTTCCCAGTTCTGAATGTCCCATGCTTCAAAATTCCAAATCACAAAAGAAAAACAAGAACTGGTTAGCATCACCATGATGGCTCAATGATTTTTCTTGATCTCATAGCCCAAATTTTTAATGAATGAGAACACAGGACTTATTCCTGACCCATATTCATAGCATTTTCACAGTAGAAATCTAACTGAAATCAACCTCAAGTATAACCTTGAGTGAGAAATAAGAAGAGATGTCACAAAACAGTCAAATACGATCTGAGTTGTGGTTGGTGGGTGGTACAGAAGGGGAGCACACTTTCAGGGAATTACTGTCAGGCCCACCTAAATTGTTTCAAAGAATGCTGGGAGCCAGGACAAGAGGGGTAGTAAATGAGCATCTCTGTTATTTTTTTAGCACCAACTGTTAAATCCCTACTTCTTTTCTTCATGCCTGCAGTGTCCTTATTCTACATTTCTTATCTACTCAATAGAATGAGAACATCTCACCCAAAAAAATTGTTTATGTGGGAATATTATGTGTATGTATATGAGAGAGAGAAGATAGGGGAACTTGGTAAGGAAAGGGAAGGGTGATCAAACATTAAGCCTTTTGGGACTACAATAAAATTAGATTTGTCTAATTCTGTGTCTAAATGTCACAGAACTATGGCAGTGGATACTAAAAAAATGACATAGTACATTAATGCACCTCAAAAAATAAATTAATGTAAAAGGGGTGAGTTACTGTTCTATATTATACATTGTGAGATATTCTGAGTATAGACTATTTTTTATTAACAATACTTGCAAATACCTACTTAGTTCAAATTTATCATGATAAATGATATTACTGAATTATTCAATCATTAAAGACTAAAAATATGAAGCTGAGAAATATACATGTGCTGTGTATACGGGAGGAGTGTAAGGAGAAATAAATCTCCAATTTTCCAGATAGTAAACATTTTGGACCATGATTTTTAACAAAATTTAATCCCACAAAAAATAAAGTGTACATGCAGTTATACAGATTTTTATGTAAAGATACTATATTAGACTTAGGGCAAAGATCAAATCCATATGTTCTTAAAATAACCAGACCTATACTTCTGTAGATGAAGTATGCTATCTTGTGGTTACTAAAAAAAGCTTCTTCCATAGCTTTAAATAAGGAGGACTGCAATGATGAAAATGGTAGCAAAGTAGCCTTTCCCAATATTCTTGATCCAGAAGTCCTTTTTCTGCTACAGTTTGTATGTTATCACAGAGAGCTGCCTGATTATCTTTTTTACCATCATCCCAGTTACACACACAGTCAGAGCTTCCTTTATGATATTAAATATTAATAATATAATTATATATTTATAATTATATAATTATAAATATATATTTATATAAGCTTAAATTTTAGATGAAATCCACCAGCCACAGGACAGAATCTAAACTCCTTATGAGGATATTCTAGGATCTTAATAGCTCAACCTGAACCAACTCTTCCTGTCTCAATTCCCATCACTCTCATCCATAAATCTATCGTCAGTCATGTGCTGAACTATTTGCCACTCCTATGGTATGCCATGTCACATCTCCTCTTTCTCTCTCTTCCATATTCTCTCTCTCTCAATTATCTGAATTCAGGTAATTTGATTGCAGAGTTCAAGCCCAACTGGCGTGCATGAGAGAGAAGAGAAAGAGAGAAAGACAGAGATTTTTTGGAGGTAGAAAGAGAGAGTCAAGCCAGTTTTTCCAGTGTTTGGTACTATAAAATGTAGCTCCCATGTTAGGGAGTTGTTGGCAGCCAAGCTTCTTATCCTGGAAATATAGAATGATAAGAGAATGGAGGCACAGAGAAGCAGAGACTAGAGTCCTGATGATTTTGGAGTCACAGGCTCTATTTAGCAGAAGCATCGCTACATCACCGCCCTTCCTGTAGCCTCATGTTCAATTCTTCCATAAATGATCTTAAAGTCCCTCTTTTGCAGAATCTGTCAGTTGCAAAAAATCATCTTAACTAATATGCCATTTTTCCTCAGTTTATTATTTTTTATTTTTTGAGGCAGAGTCTTGCTCTGTCACCAGGCTGGAGTGCAGTGGTGCAATCTCGGCTTACTGCAACCTCCGCCTCCTGGGTTCAAGAGATTCTCCTGCCTCAGCCTCCCAAGTAGCTGGGACTACAGGTGCACACCACCACACCTGGCTAATTTTTGTATTTTTAGTAGAGATGGGGTTTCACTATGTTGGCCAAGATGGTCTCGATCTCTTGACCTCACGATCCGCCCACCTTGGCCTCCCAAAGTGCTGGGATTACAGGTGTGAGCCACCGTGCCCAGCCACCTCAGTTTATTTTTAAATGAAATTGATATTACTCTTTTTTGGCTTTTTACTACTTCTTTTGGCTTTTTGTAATATACATTTACATTTTTTAAATTTTCAGAAATATTTATGTAGTTTTTGACTCAAGTTTTTGAATGGCATTACTAATGTCTAACATATCAGAACTGTGGTTCTCTTTAAATATAAATTGAATAAAGTCATCTGCTGCATAATGACATTTAGGTCAATGATGAACTCTGTTTATGATGGTGGTCCCATAAAAGTTTACTACGGTAGTACCTTTGCTATATTTAAATAGGTTTAGATACACAAATACTTGCCATAGTGTTATAATTGCCTACAGTATTCAGTACATAACATGCTGTGCAGGTTTGTAGCCTAGGAGCACTAGGTTATACCATATAGGATAGGTGTGCAGTAGGTTATACCATCTAGATTTGTGTAAGTATGTTCTACGATGTTCCCATCAGAAGAAATCACCTAACGACACATTTCTCAGAATGTATCCCCATCATTAAGTGACACTTGATTGCAATTTCTTTTTTTTTTTTTTTTTTTGAGATGGAGTTTCCCTCTTGTTATCTAGGCTGCAGTGCAGTGGCATGATCTTGGCTCACTGCAACCTCCGCCTCCCGGGTTCAAGTGATTCTCCTGCCTCATCCTCCCAAGTAGGTAGGATTACAGGCATGCACCACCACGCCTGACTAATTTTGTATTTTTAGTAGAGATGGGGCTTCTCCATGTTGGTCCAGGCTGGTCTCGAACTCCCGACCTCAGGAGATCCACCCGCCTCGGCCTCCCAAAGTGCTGGGATTACAGGCGTGAGCCACCACGCCTGACCTTGATTGCATTTTCTTAATGCCAAAAGATAATCTTCAATGAACTGCTTGAATTTCCCAGAAAAATGTAAAATCAGTCATCTGCTTCAGACTCTTTACTAGGTAAGTGAAACAGGTGAAGAGTTTCTGAAGAAGGAGCGGAGAGAATGTGAGAGATAAAACCCATGAACAAGTATTTAAAGGGCATTTTGGCAATTAGAAATTCTGGAGCATTATGGGGAATGAGAGAAACTGGGGAAGATAAGAAAAAGAATATATCTGAGCAAATGTGCCTTATCCCAAAAATGCATGGCTGGTTTAACATTCATAAACCAGTCAATGTAAATCACCTGGCCACTTAATACAATAAAGAAGAAAAACAATCACTTCAGTCTTCTAAAACTGTTCTCTGTTTTCTTAACTCAGCAAGACTGCTGTTTTCTACTTTCTGCATTGCAGTTTGAGAATTCTTCCAGGCATAAAGCCAGGACTATTCTAGGGCTCACCTCATTTGTTTTGTTCTTTCAGGGATCAGGTTTCTGTGCTGCTTCTTGTCTAATGTCCAAAACCTTTACGTCCTATGATATATTTTGGCCAGTTTTCTAGTTGTTTACAGTAGAAGGGGAAGACTGATCCAAGATATTCTATCATGACCATACAATTACATTTTGAAAATATCACTCTACCTGCCATGTGGAATAGATTGCAGGAAAGTGAGAGTTATAGGCCAGGGAAATGTATCTAAGGAAGCTATCATGGTAGTCCAAGTGATAGATTATGGTGGCATAGATTTGGATGGTAGTAGTGGAAATGGAAAGAAGCACACAGGCTCAGTGTATGTTTTTGAATTGGAGTTACAGGACTTGATGCATTAGACACAGATTGAGTGCAGGGGAGGGGAGGAAAGAAGAATCAAGGATGATGTCTAGGTAGATGGTGATGCCTTAGCTGTGAAGTGGAAGACATCAGAATAAATGGTTTTGGGGTGGTTTGGAAGAAGAACTGACTAAGTCTTTCCCCTCCTTTCTCTACTTTTTCACTGCTTATTTTCCAATTGCTGCCTCACAACAGTCCAACAAATAATTTAATAGAAATAGATTATTGGGCTGGTGGAAAGGCATGGGGAGTGAGAAACAAGGGGTTGTGGTCTCTCTTTTTTTAACCTGGTCACACAGTATTAAAAAGACAGTTACATTTTATACAAAGAATGGGTTCTTAAAGACCTTTCATATGTAAAAAAAATGATAATAGGTATCATCTTGGATTACATGTCTAAACCCACGAATAAGTGAAGAAAAAGATACATGTTGGTGCTTAGGGGTATAAGAGTGAAAAAACACAAGGATTCCCAGGAGGAACAACAACAAAGGTCAAACCACTTTTACAAGGAGGAAATCATTCTCATTCAGCTTCTTGCTAATTACTTCTTCTTCTATAACCTCTTAGAGTTAGTCTTTATCTGGCCGAGCACGGCAGCTCACACTTGTAATCCCAGCATTCTAGGAGGCCGAGGCGGGAGGATCACCTGCGGTCAGGAGTTTGAGACCAGCCTGGCCAACATGCTGAAACCCCATCTCTACAAAAACACAGGCATAATGGCGCACACCTGTAATCCCAGCTACTTGGGAGGCTGAGGCAGGAGAACTGCTTGAGCTCAGGAGGTGGAGGTTGCAGTGAGCCGAGATTGTGCCATTGCACTCCAGCATGGGCGACAGAGCAAGAGTCCGTCTCAAAAAAAAAAAAAAAGAAAAAAAAAGAATTAGTCTTTATCCTCTAAGTAGATATATGCTAAGGTATACTTTGAGCTTACAGTGACTGAACTTCCTTGGGAACTACAGTCTCAAGCCCTAGAAGGCAGATAGAGTTGGCTTCCTGCTGTCTTTCTGTGGTTTAGAATACCACTTCATTGGCTACAGGGAATTGGCTCGAGAGACTGCACCTGACCTGCACTGAGGCAATCGAATTTCCTCTCACAGGAATTTAGAAATGGGAGGTAAGATAATAAGTTAGTCTCAGTGAAGAAACTAGCATACAACTGTAACATAAGCTTGGGTACTGGGGTACAACAGTAGGGCCTTCTCCATGCAGACTAGAAAAGCAGAGTAGGCAGATGTGCAGAGGAAAAAAATGAAGCAGATACTACGAGAGAAGCAGAGATAAAAAGATAAAGAGATAAAGCAAATTAAAGTCCTAACATCTTTCCAGTTCCTGATTTCATTCTCTTCCTGAGTCCTTGAGTTGTATGAGATATCCCAGTATCTTTCTTTTCCATTTTTGCTCAAGCTAAGTGAAGATGGCTTCAATTACTTGAAAGCTAAGAAGACTCTTGAGTAACAGCTCTGCACCAAGCGGACCTAATAGACATCTACAGAACTCTCCACCCCAAGTCAACAGAATATACACTTTTTTCAGCACCACACCACACCTATTCCAAAATTGACCACATAGTTGGAAGTAAAGCTCTCCTCAGCAAATGTAAAAGAACAGAAATTATAATAAACTGTCTCTCAGTCCACAGTGCAATCAAACTAGAACTCAGGATTAAGAAACTCACTCAAAACCGCTCAACTACATGGAAACTGAACAACCTACTCCTGAATGACTACTGGGTACATAACGAAATGAAGGCAGAAATAAAGACGTTCTTTGAAACTGGCGAGAACAAAGACACAACATACCAGAATCTCTGGGACACATTCAAAGCAGTGTGTAGAGGGAAATTTATAGCACTAAATGCCCACAAGAGAAAGAAGGAAAGATCCAAAATTGACACCCTAACATCACAATTAAAAGAACTAGAAAAGCAAGAGCAAGCACATTCAAAAGCTAGCAGAAGGCAAGAAATAACTAAAATCAGAGCAGAACTGAAGGAAATAGAGACACAAAAAACCCTTCAAAAAATTAATGAATCCAGGAGCTGGTTTTTTGAAAGGATCAACAAAATTGATAGACTGCTAGCAAGACTAATAAAGAAAAAAAGAGAGAAGAATCAAATAGACGCAATAAAAAATGATAAAGGGGATATCACCACCGATCCCACAGAAATACAAACTACCATCAGAGAATACTACAAACACCTCTACGCAAATAAACTAGAAAATCTAGAAGAAATGGATAAATTCCTCGACACATACACTCTCCCAAGACTAAACCAGGAAGAAGTTGAATCTCTGAATAGACCAATAACAGGCTCTGAAACTGTGGCAATAATCAATAGCTTACCAACCAAAAAAACTCCAGGACCAGATGGATTCACAGCCGAATTCTACCAGAGGTACAAGGAGGAACTGGTACCATTCCTTCTGAAACTATTCCAAACAATAGAAAAAGAGGGAATCCTCCCTAACTCATTTTATGAGGCCAGCATCATCCTCATACCAAAGCCAGGCAGAGACACAGCCAAAAAAGAGAATTTTAGACCAATATCCTTGATGAACATTGATGCGAAAATCCTCAATAAAATACTGGCAAACCGAATCCAGCAGCACATCAAAAAGCTTATCCACCATGATCAAGTGGGCTTCATCCCTGGGATGCAAGGCTGGTTCAATATACACAAATCAATAAATGTAATCCAGCATATAAACAGAACCAAAGACAAAAACCACATGATTATCTCAATAGATGCAGAAAAGGCCTTTCACAAAATTCAACAACCCTTCATGCTAAAAACTCTCAATAAATTAGGTATTGATGGGACGTATCTCAAAATAATAAGAGCTATCTATGACAAACCCACAGCCAATATCATACTGAATGGGCAAAAACTGGAAGCATTCCCTTGGAAAACTGGCACAAGACAGGGATGCCCTCTCTCACCACTCCTATTCAACATAGTATTGGAAGTTCTGGCCAGGGCAATTAGGCAGGAGAAGGAAATAAAGGGTATTCAATTAGGAAAAGAGGAAGTCAAATTGTCCCTGTTTGCAGATGACATGATTGTATATCTAGGAAACCCCATTGTCTCAGCCCAAAATCTCCTTAAGCTGATAAGCAACTTCAGCAAAGTCTCAGGATACAAAATCAATGTACAAATATCACAAGCATTCTTATACAACGATAACAGACAAACAGAGAGCCAAATCATGAGTGAACTCCCATTCACAATTGCTTCAAAGAGAATAAAATACCTAGGAATCCAACTTACAAGGGATGTGAAGGACCTCTTCAAGGAGAATTACAAACCACTGCTCAATGAAATAAAAGAGGATACCAAGAAATGGAAGAACATTCCATGCTCATGGGTAGAAAGAATCAATATCGTGAAAATGGCCATACTACCCAAGGTAATTTATAGATTCAATGCCATCCCCATCAAGCTACCAATGACTTTCTTCACATAATTGGAAAAAACTACTTTAAAGTTCATATGGAACCAAAAAAGAGCCCACATCGCCAAGTCAATCCTAAGCCAAAAGAACAAAGCTGGAGGCATCACGCTACCTGACTTCAAACTATACTACAAGGCTACAGTAACCAAAACAGCATGGTACTGGTATCAAAACAGAGATATAGATCAATGGAACAGAACAGAGCCCTCAGAAATAACGCCACATATCTACAACTATCTGATCTTTGACAAACCTGAGAAAAACAAGCAATGGGGAAAGGATTCCCTATTTAATAAATGGTGCTGGGAAAACTGGCTAGCCATATGTAGAAAGCTGAAACTGGATCCCTTCCTTACACCTTATACAAAAATCAATTCAAGATGGATTAAAGACTTAAACGTTAGACCTAAAACCATAAAAACCCTAGAAGAAAACCTAGGCATTACCATTCAGGACATAGGCATGGGCAAGGACTTCATGTCTAAAACACCAAAAGCAATGGCAACAAAAGCCAAAATTGACAAATGGGATCTAATTAAACTAAAGAGCTTCTGCACAGCAAAAGAAAATACCATCAGAGTGAACAGGCAACCTACAAAATGGGAGAAAATTTTCACAACCTACTCATCTGACAAAGGGCTAATATCCAGAATCTACAATGAACTCAAACAAATTTACAAGAAAAAAACAAACAACCCCATCAAAAAGTGGGTGAAGGATATGAACAGACACTTCTCAAAAGAAGACATTTATGCAGCCAAAAGACACATGAGAAAATGCTCATCATCACTGGCCATCAGAGAAATGCAAATCAAAACCACAATGAGATACCATCTCACACCAGTTAGAATGGCAATCATTAAAAAGTCAGGAAACAACAGGTGCTGGAGAGGATGTGGAGAAATAGGAACACTTTAACACTGTTGGTGGGACTGTAAACTAGTTCAACCATTGTAGAAGTCAGTGTGGTGATTCCTCAGGGATCTAGAACTAGAAATACCATTTGACCCAGCTATCCCGTTACTGGGTATATACCCAAAGGACTATAAATCATGCTGTTATAAAGACACATGCACATGTATGTTTATTGCAGCACTATTCACAATAGCAAAGACTTGGAACCAACCCAAATGTCCAACGATGATAGACTGGATTAAGAAAATGTGGCACATATACACCATGGAATACTATGCAGCCATAAAAAATGATGAGTTCATGTTCTTTGTAGGGACATGGATGAAATTGGAAATCATCATTCTCAGTAAACTATCGCAAGGACAAAAAACCAAACACTGCATGTTCTCACTTATAGGTGGGAATTGAACAATGAGAACATACATGGACACAGGAAGGGGAACATCACACTCTGGGGACTGTTGTGGGGTGGGGGGAGGGGGGAGGGATAGCATTAGGAGATATACCTAATGCTAAATGACGAGTTAATGGGTGCAGCACACCAGCATGGCACATGTATACATATGTAACTAACCTGCACATTGTGCACATGTACCCTAAAACTTAAAGTATAATAATAAAATAAAAAAATTAAAAAATTAAAAAATTAAAAAAAACAAAGAAGACTCGAGTAAAATACTGTGGCATCTTTGTACATGTATTTTCTCAGCAATGTGCTACTATTCTTCTCCACAATTCAATCACTAAACATAGGCATTTCTCCTATAGTATATTATGAATTGAGTATAACGTGAATTGAGTACAATGTGACTGATTAGGAATAAGATTCCTAAATTAATTCCTAGCAATAAGATTTGCAATGCATAAAATTCTATTGGTTTGGGTATGGGAAAAAACAACTGCACTGACAACAATGTAACCAGAATATGTGTTAAGGCAGGTAGTAGCATGATGTGAATTATGGGAATAGGGAAAATCTGGGGAATCAGGAATCCTTAGACATTAATATCTTCTGGTTCCTCTGACCTCTTAAACCAGGCCCTTTGCTTGTCCTACTCCTACTTTCCTCACCAGCATCCTCAGCTAAAGTCTACTTCTGATGAAACCACAGTGTAATCTTTCTTACTTGGTTAGAGCCCTGTGGGTTTCTTGGTTGACTCAGCATAACCCCAGCTGTCATCAGCCCCTCTGAGACTAAGTTCAGACATGAAAGTCCCCTAAATCCTGACTATGTCAAACAGAAACTAGGAGAAGCACGAGGAAACTGAAACTCGGAGCCTGTCCCATAGCATATTGCTCCAAGTTTCCTCTGAATGCCCATCCTGGGAGTCAGGCTGCCTAATACTGGTACTAGCAATAAGGTGGTTTCCCCCAGACACAAAGTAAACAGGCGCAAGATCCTTACTTATTTAACACAGAGAGTACATACATCTGATTGCTTTTGCTCTTCTCCATCCTGTGATTTCTCATGGCTATGACACTGACATGAGATATGACTATGTTCTAAACTTCCAGAGTACCTCAGCCAAGCCTCACTATGCTAAGTGGAAGGAATGCTAGCATATAAATGGTTGAAGTTTGGACTCTGGAGTCACTCCTGAGTGTGAATTCTGGCTACTCCCCTTTCCAGTTCTGTGGCATTAAACAGTCCCTTTAACTCAGCAGTCTCGAACCTTTTTGGTACCAGGGACCAGTTTCGTGGAAGACAATTTTTCCATGAACTGGGGGAAGGTGGAGGGAATGGTTTCAGGATGAAACTGTTCCACCTCAGATCATCAAGCATTAGATGATCTCATAAGGATCATCAAGCATTAGATGATCTCATAAGGATCATCTAATTAGATGAATCCTTAGATTCTCACAAGGAGCATGCAACCTAGATCCCTCACCATGTGCAGTTCACAATCAGGTTCACGCTCCTATGAGAATCTAATGCTGCTGCTAATCTGACAGAAGGTAGAACTCAGGTGGTCATTCTCATTCACCTGCTGCTCACCTCGTGCTGTGCTGCCCAGTTCCTAACAGGCCACAGACAGGTACTGGTCTGCAGCCCTGGGGTTGGGGACCCCTGCTTTAACTTGTCTGTTCCTCATTTTTCCCATGTGTAAAATTACAGGTTGGTAACAGTAACCAATGCATAGAATTGTTACGTAAAGAGCTTCTCAGAACAGTGGCTAACACATATTAAGTGCTCAATAAATGTAAGCTATTATTATCATTACTATTACCTGAATCTTCTGGTCTCAGCCTTCAATAATTTAAATAAAACTGCTTAAATTTCCTATAAAAATTAGACATCACAGTGACAATTGTTGACAGTAACAATCAGATTATTCACTTATTCACTAAGCCAAAATCTTCCTACAAGATTGTTGTTGTTGCTACATTGTACTTTCTATTAAAGTTCAACAACATAGAACTAAAAGCTGGAATCAACAGTATCTTAGTTCATTTTGCACTGCTATAACAAAATACCTGAGACCAGCTAATTTATAAAGAACAGAAGTTTATTTTCTCACAGTTCTGGAGGCTGAGAAGTCCAAAATCAAGGTGCTGGCATTTGGTGAGGGCCTTCTTGCTGCATCATCAAATGGTGGAACACAGAAGGGCAAAAGCACAAGAGAGCAAACCCATCTCACAAGCCCTTTTTATAATAGCATTAATCTATTCATGAGGGTGAAATCTTCATGACCTAAACACTTCTCATTAGGCCCCAACTCCCAACATTGTCATACTGAGGATTAAGTTTCCAATACATGAATTCTGGGGGACACATTCAAACCATAGCAAACAGTAACACTTAACATTTACTGACCAATTTACTTTATGTCTGGTTCTAACTGAGCATTTTACATGCATTAATTTAATCCACTGTCCCATCTACCCTTTGAGGTAGAAACTTCTTATTCTCATGGTAGACTTCTACTGATATTTAGGATAAAAAGAAAACAAATTTAAGATGTTAGTTTGTTCTTAAGTAGAATTTTTTTTTCTTTACTTTGGGAAAATAGTTGATTCTTGTCTACTGTTGGAATTTTCTCATTTGATTCATGTTAGATGTTTTCTTTGTTTTACAAAGCTATAAATAAAGTGAACTAAGCAATTAGTAGCTGTTTCAAATACAGTTTAATTTATGTGCTAAAAATTATTGAGAATTTTTAATGATTTCTCACATGCTTACATACTGGATCTTGTAATTCAAGCTTTGAAAAACAAATTGATTTCAAACAAAATTCTTAACCTGTTCAAGACTGTTTGTAAAGAAATTCAAGAATTTTATGAATTTTTATATTTTTCCCTATAAAATTTAACTCTTATCTACACATTATACTGTATGTAATTTTACCAATAACAATACCAATGTAGGTTTCATATAAAACATTCTTTTCACTTTTACGATTACCTGTTAAGAAGGTTCTCTACTTCTTGAACTTCTGATATGGGCTCTTCATTATCAGAAAGGACACGAGTTTGAAATTTTCTATCTTGGAAATCATATAGCATCACAATAATAAGACTGCTCAAATGATCTGGCTAACAAGGGAAAACATATATAAAGAAAAGTATACAAACAATATCTAACCAGCAATATTTTCCATTCCATTCCATTCCATTATTTTTCATAACAGAGCAGGAATACGACTATTTTTACATAGTCTGATTGGATTGGGAAGGTCTTCAAAATAGAAAAAATCCAGAAAAAAAAAACCCTTTCAAAAGAGACAGTTTTTGGTATGTTCACCAAAATGAATGATATTAGAAGTTGAAAGGAATCTATATTTAAGATTTAAGAGGTTTCAATATTCAGCAAACTATTTAAATCTTTTTTTTTTTTTTTTTTTGAGACGGAGTTTCACTCTTGTTGTCTAGGCTGGAGTGCAATGGCGCAATCTAGCTCACTGCAACCTCTGCCTCCTGGGTTTTCAAGCAATTCTCCTGCTTCAGCCTCCCAAGTAGCTGGGATTACAGGCATGTGCCACCACACCCAGCTAATTTTGTATTTTTAGTAGAGCCAGGTTTCTCCATGTTGGTCAGGCTGGTCTCGAACTCCCGACCTCAGATGATCCGCCCGCCTTGGCCTCCCAAAGTGCTGGGATTACAGGTGTGAGCCACTGCGCCCGGCCTCAAACTATTTAAATCTAAAGGCTTTTAAACACTTTCTTTTTTAAAAAAAATCATGAAACGATGTAATTCTAAAACTTATCTACTTACTATTGTGGTACTTGGGAAGATACAGCTGTCTATCAATATAGTTTCCAAAATATCTTGATCTGCAAAACAAGGGAAAGGCCTGTTACTGAAAATACAAAGCGGAAAATGAAAACTCTGGAATCAAAATACACTGTAATAATGCCATAAAATACATTTACTTTCATATCTAAAATATACCTCAATTCTGGATAATGACTTAAATTACAGTGACATGATGAAATATTTATAATCTTTATGAATGCTGGACCTTTATGACCTAGGGTCCGCATGGAATCATAGTTAAAGAAGCATTATCTGAATAGTCAAAGCAGTAATAAAAGGATTCCAATCTTTAATGTATGGCCTTTGAAAAATATTAAAGAGGATCTAATTAATAATGTTGAGCAATAGTTTTCTTATTCTTTTTATGTATTGCTGGATTTGATTTGCTAATTTTTTTGGTTTTGTTTGTTTTTGAGACAGAGTCTTGCTCTGTCATCTAGGCTGGAGTACAATGGTGCGATCTCAGCTCACTGCAACGTCTGCCTCCCAGGTTCAAGCAATTCTGCCTCAGCCTCCAGAGTAGCTAGGACTACAGGTATGCACCACCACACCTGGCTAATTTTTGTATTTTTTGTAGAAATGGGGTTTCACCCTGTTGGCCAGGCTGGTCTCGAATTCCTGACCTTAGGTGATCTGCCCGCCTAGGCCTCCCAAAGTGCTGGGATTACAAGCATGAGCCACCATACCCGGCTGCTAATGTTTTATTTAGAATTTTTGTTGTATGTTCATGTTCATGAGGGATGTTGGTCTATAATTTTCTTTTCTTGTAATATCCTTGTCAGTGTTGGTATCAGAGTTTTGCAGCTGATGAGTGGAAACTGTTCTCTCTTCCTCTATTCTCTCAGAGTTTGTGTTAGATTGGTATTATTTCTTAACTATTTAGTAAAACTCAATAGTGAAGACATTGATGTGATGACATTTAATCTAAGACCCAAATGACAAGGAGTTAGCCATGTGCATATCTAGGAAGGGACAGCATTCCAGGCAGAGGTTATGATAACTGCAAAGGCGGTTACGTAGAAACAAGTGGACATATTTAAAAACTTCCACAGGGAACACGAGTGTTCTTTTTGGTACGACTACTTAAACTATATATACATCATATAACAAATGCTTTATTTTATTTATTTATTTATTTATGAGACAGAGTCTCGCTCTATCACACCGGCCGGAGTGCAGTGGCACAATCTCGGTTCACTGCAACCTCCACCTCCCGGGTTCAAATGATTCTCCTGTCTCAGCCTACCAAGCAGCTGGGATTACAGGTGTGCATCACAGCATCACAACTAATTTTTGTATTTTTAGTAGAGACAGGGTTTCACCATGTTGACCAGGCTGGTCTCGAACTCCTGACCTCAGGTGATCTGCCCACCTCGGCCTCCCAAAGTGCTGGGATTAGAGGCGTGAGCCACCGTGCCCGGCGTATAACAAATGCTTTAATCAGTTGAACAGAAAGGTAGGCATGCCTAGCTTCAATTTATTCAATATTTATGGAAAGCCTACTATAACCAAGGTATAAATTGAATTTATACCTTGAATTTGAATTCATGAATTTTCTTTTTTTTTGAGACAGAGTCTTCCTCTGTCACCCAGGCTGGAGGGCAATGGTGCTGTCACAGCTTACTGCAACCTCCACCTCCTGGGCTCAAGCAACCCTCCTGCCTCAGTCTCCCAAGTTGCTGGGACTACAGGTGTGTGGCACCACACCTGGCTAATTTTTGTATTTTTTATTTTTTTATTGTTTTTATTTTTATTTTTTGTTTTTTAAAATATTATCTTTGTATTTTTTGTAGAGATGGGTTTTTGCCACGTTGGCTAAGTTGGTCTCAAACTCCTGGCCTCAAGTGATCTGCCCACTTTGGCTTCCCAAGTGTTGGGGTTACAGGCGTGAGACACCATGCCTGGCCTAAATTTCATTTGGGAGATAGGAAAACTAAAAAGAAGTGACTAATTTGGGAGCACAGACTCCAGTTTTCCCATAGAAATCCTCTGGGACTCGTTATCCACATTCTAGCCACAATTACGTACTTGTACTTCACAAGGTAATTATGCTTATAAGGAAATGAAGTTTACAGTTTCACATCCTTAGTACTTTCAAACCAATTCCCATCTACTTCATACTTTTTGTACTTTTTTTTCACAACAAGTACAGTATTAGAAAGAAGGACTTCTAACTTGGCAGACCTCTTTGAGCAGTGGAGATGCTGGACTCCTAAGAAATAGAAAAAGCTGGCCGGGTGTGGTGACTCATGCCTGTAATCCTAGCACTTTGGGAGGCCAAGACAGGTGGATCACCTGAGGTCAGGAGTTCAAGGCCAGCCTGGCTAACATGGTGAAACCCAGTTTCTACTAAAAATACAAAAAATTATCCAGGCGTGGTGGCGCACCTCTAATCCCACCTACTTGGGAAGCTGAGGCAAGAGAATCTCTTGAACCTGGGAGGCAGAGGTTGCAGTGAGCCGAGATCGTGACATTGCACTCTGGCTTGGGCAACAAGAGTGAAACTCCGTTGCCCAAAAACAAACAAACAAACAAACAAACAAACAAAAACAGGAATAGGAGAGGCAGGATGAACGACAAGAGAACAGAACATCCTTTTCCCAATAATTGCATTTTTTCCCCCTAGGGCTCTTGTCAAAACCAGTATCACCTTTAGGATGCCTTTGATATTGTGCAGAATGCATTACTTTTGTGTATGTATGTGTGTGTGTGTGTGTGTGTGTGTATATATACACACACACACAATGTATATATATACACAGTGTGTATATATATACACACAATGTATATATATACACAATGTATATATATACACACAATGTATATATATATACACACAATGTATATATATACACACAATGTGTATATATATATGCAATTTATATATATATATAATTTTTATATATATATATATAATTTTACCTTTTCACATAGTAATATCAACATGAATAACTGTATACTTTATACAGATGCTCCTTGCCTTACCATGGGGTTATATCCTGATAAACCCATCATAAGTTAAAAATATTGTATATCAAAAATGCATGTAATATATCTATCCTACTAAACATCATAGCTTAGCTTAGGCTATCTTAAACACATTCGGAACACTTACATAAGCCTGTAGTTGGGCAAAATTATCCAACACAAAGCCTATTTTATAATAAAGTGCTGACCATCTCCTGTAACTTATTTGTTTATTTATTTGTTTATTTATTTATTGAGATGGAATCTTGCTCTGTCGCCCAGGCTGGAGTGCAGTGGTGCAATCTCGGCTCACCGCAACCTCTGCCTCCCAGGTTCAAGCAATTCTCCTGACTCAGCCTCCCGAGTAGCTGGAACTACAGGCACCCACCACCATGCCCGGCTAATTTTTGTATTTTTAGTAGAGACAGGGTTTCACCATATTAGCCAGGCTGGTCTCAAACTCCTGACCTTGTGATCCACCCACCTTGGCCTCCCAAAGTGCTGGGATTACATGCATGAGGCACCACGCCTGGCCCTTTTTTGTTTGTTTTTATGTAACTTATTAAATACTGAAAGTAAAACACAGAATGGTTGTATGGGTACTCAAAGTATGGTTTCTACTGAATGTGTATAGCTTTTACATCATGGTAAAGGGGAAAAAGTATAAGGACCCCCATCATACATTGGGGACTGTGTATATAATGTTTTCTATGTGCTTGACAATGTTCTAAGTGCATTTCATATATTAATTCATTTAATCTCCACAACAACCATATGAATTAGGTTGTTTTATTTCATAGGAAATGGGGCACAGCACAGTTAAGTAATGTGTTCATAGTCACAGAGCAAGTAGCAGATCAAGGAGTCAAACCCAGGCAGTCTGGCACCAAAGTACGTGCACTTCACAACATTATGCTGCCTTCCTCTTATTATTCTCATGACAAACCAGAGTAACCAAATACACCACACCGATAATGCCTAATTTAGGTTATCAGGACTTACTTGAAAGTTGCAAAGCGTGCCTATTATAGAATTCAGCCCAATAACTCCAGTTATCTCTCCCTCTCCCCACTAATTAAAGCTTCTCTTCAGTCTGCTTCAGGGATCTCTTAACCACCATTTTACATGTTTCCATGTGGAGGGCCTTATCCTAGAGAAACACCTTAACTCTCTCTCTACCCTTTCTTACTACTCCCCATGAAAGAAAAATTGGGTTTATCAGACAGGTGAAATTGGAAGAAGGAACTGGGGTATCTCTCGCCCTCTTCCTGCTCAGCAGGCCTGGGTGGCCAAACTCTGGATATTCTAAAGAAACGGTTGGCCTTTGACTGGTTCCTAGGAGATAACCTCTAAGTTCTTGGAATATCTTGTCTGACAAAGGTACTTTTTTTTTTTCCTGGGGTCCTAGACCACACAGTATCGGCTTGGTCTCTGAAGAAGCTAGAGACTGAATAACTAAGGTCAGCCAGCCACACGACTGCACCTTGTCTACAAAACTGACCCCCCAATAAAAATGCTAAACAAACAGCAAGGCTCAGATGAACTTCCCTAGTTGACAATGCTTCATTCATGTTGTTATTTATCATTGGTGGGAGAATTAAGCGCTCTCCATAGACCACCCTGGGAAAGGAAAATAGGAAGCTTGCGTCTAGTCTCTCCTGGACTCTGCCCTATGTACCTTTACTTGTTGCTGATTTTAATCTGTCCTTTCACTGTAATAAACTATAACCATGAGTATAACAGCTTTGCTGAATTCTGTCAGTCCTTGTAGCAAATTATTGAATCTGGAGGTGGTCTTAGGAACCCCTGACTACAGTTACTAATTCGCAAAAGCTATAACCAAACCATATGTTAAGCATTTACTGTTTCTCACTGACAGATTATATGATTCTGAAATCACCAGGTTAATGCTACAATCAGTTCCTGGGATTCGAAGTTCAGCAACAAAAATATAAACCTAGAGAAGGTGGAGAAAGAAGCCAGGAAAAAGATAAGCAATTTCAGGGATATCTCTTTCTCCAATTTTTTTTTAAATTTGTTGTTTGTTCATTTCTTTAAAAAAAAATTGCCAGGTTTTTATTTAAAAAAAAATTTTAGGCCAGGCACGGTGGCTCACGCCTGTAATCCCAGCATTTTGGGAGGCCGAGGCAGGTGGACCACAAGGTCAGGAGATCAAGACCATCCTGGTAACATGGTGAAACCCCGTCTCTACTAAAAATACAAAAAATTAGCCGGGCGTGATGGCATGTGCCTGTAGTCCTAGCTACTAGGGAGGCTGAGGCAGGAGAATCACTTGAACCTGGGAGAAAGAGGTTGCAGTGAGCCGAGATCGCGCCACTGCACTCCAGTCTGGGCGACAGAGCAAGACTCCATCAATAAATTAATTAATTAATTGGCTACTGGTACTCTACTGCTTTGACAAAACTCTCAATAGGAATAGGCAACTTTTCATTAGTAATTCTACCTTCGTTAGCAGAAAATTGACCTTGGGGTTATTTGGTAAAGCAGAAATAATGGCACTCTTCATTTCAAAAAACATTTTACGGAGCGCTTTAAATCTTTAAAAGGTTAATCAGATAAATATACTTCCTGTCTTGAAAGATCTTATATACAATGAAGGACATCAGCAAAGGAACAAACAATAAAACTGAAAAGCATAAGACACAACCAAAGGAATACAGTTAACATTAGTATAATTAAGAGATTTTCTGTTATTGTTTTTCTTCTCCTACTCCTTAAATATTATGGTAATGTGATTTAATTACCTGTTCACAAATTCACAAACAAAAGGGACCATTACTCAAGCTCTCTTTAATTTTCACAATAACCTTTGCAGTTTTACAGCTCCTATAAAATCTTAGGGAAGAAATTCTGAGTTTTCTTTTCTGAATCATTATTCCTTGAACTTATACTGTATAAGCCAGATGTAAGTTTACAAAATATCACATGTGAAAGTATTGACAGAACACTGATAATACAGAAGATAAAAGTGAAATGCATAAGAGCCTCCAATATTTTAAAAGTAAAATAGCAGATGGCTTGTTGCAGTGGCTCACACCTGTAATCCCAGCAATTTGGGAGGCCAACGTGGGCAGATTATCTGAGGTTAGGAGTTCAAGACCAGCCTGGCCAACATGGTGAAACTCCCATCTCTACTAAAAATACAAAAATTAGCTGGGCATGGTGGCAGGTGCCTGTAATCCCAGCTACTTGGGAGGCCAAGGCAGAGAATTGCTTGAACCTGGGAGGCAGAGGTTGCAGTGAACCGAGATTGCGCGATTGACTGCACTCCAGCGTGGGTGACAGAGCAAGACTCTGTCTCAAAAAAAAAAAAAAAGGAAAATAGCAGGCTCCTAATTATCTTGGAAAATCCACTACATAAAATTCTGATTTTATTCTATTTGCACATTCAAGAATTACTGATAATTTAAAGCAAGACTGTTGTATTAGTCCATTTTTATGCTGCTGATAAAGATATACCCGAGACTGGGGAATTTACAAAAGACAGAGGTTTAATGGACTTACAGTTCCATATGGCTGGGGAGGCCTCACAATCATGGCGGAAGGTGAAAGGCACATCTCACATGGCGGCAGACAAGGGAAGAGAGCTTGTGCAGGGAAACTCCCCCTTATAGAACCATCAGATCTCATGACACTTATTAACTATCATGAGAACAAGTACAAGAAAGACCTGTCCCCATGATTCCATTACCTCCCGCCAGGTCCCTCTCACAATACGTGGGAATTCAAGATGAGATTTGGGTGGGGACACAGCCAAACCATATCAACGTATTATTATAAGAAAAAATATATTTAACAAGTAAACAATACCATCTTACCTTATAATTTGAACTTATAAAAACGAACGTTTCAAGAAAAGAAGTTTCATAAAGGTTTATGACAATTTATTTGAATGGGATTTTCTGTGTCATTAAGAAAGATCACAGCACTTTGGGAGGCCAAGGCAGGTGGATCACGAGGTCAGGAGTTCAAGACCAGCCTGGGCAAGATGGTGAAGCCCCATCTCTACTAAAAATAAAAAATTAGCCAGGCGTGGTGGCAGGTGCCACTTGGGAGCTACTTGGGAGACTGGGGCAGAGAAGTGCTTGAACCTGGGTGGCAGAGGTTGCAGTGAGCCTAGATTGTGCCATTGCACTCCAGCCTGGGTGACAGAGTGAGACTCTGTCTAAAAAAAAAAAAAAAGAAAGATAAAATAATTACAAGATCTTTCATAAAATAGAAAATAGGAGGGAGAGGACAAAAATAATAATCTATCACACATATCACTGTAATACAATCATTTAGTTAATGCATTAATTTTATATAGAATTATAATTCAGGCTTTTCTTATTGAGTACTAAAGGTAATACTCAATATTCCATTAGGAGAACAAATTGCCTAGAATAAAATTCTAGCATTAACATTAAATGCCAATTAATCAACACAGCTGCCCAGTCTGCATTTCACTGTTGCGAGAAAAAAAGTATAAAAATGTTCATTTGATTCATTGCATGAAATACAACACTTTGGTTAGGGGAGAGGGGAAGAAGATGGATGAAATAAAATCTCAGAGATTAAACTGGAGGAAGAATGGTTAAGACGGACTTAAAAGGAAAAGAAAAATTACTGAGGAGAAAACAAAGAAACAAAAAACAAAGAGACTCTCTGCAGACAACCAAAAATATATATTCCTGTCTAAATAATCAGTGAGACATTTTAATTCAACTGAGCATTTTTTTTTAATTTTAAAAAATAGAGATGGGGGGCCAGGTGCAGTGGCTCACGCCTGTAATCCCAGCACTTTGGGAGGCTGAGGTGGGTGGATCACAAAGTCAGGAGATGGAGACCATCCTGGCTAACACCGTGAAACCCCGTCTCTACTAAAAATACAAAAAATTAGCCAGGCATGGTGGCGTGCGCCTGTAGTCCCAGCTACTCAGGAGGCTGAGGCAGGAGAATGGCGTGAACCCAGGAGGCGGAGCTTGCAGTGAGCCAAGATTGTGCCACTGCACTTCAGCCTGGGCGACAGAGTGAGACTCCATCTCAAAAAAATAGAAAATAAAACTAAAAATAGAGATGGGGTCTTGCTATATTGTCCAGGTTTGTCTTGAACTCCTGAAGTCAAGCAATCGTCCCACCTCCACCTCCAAAAGTACTGGGATTACAAGTGTAAGCCACCGCATCTGGCTGAACTGAGTAATTAACTGCCTCCTACGAGCAAGGATGTACAAGGCTCATTAAGTACTAAGAAAATCATGCAAAAGAGTGTTGCCCTTTTTGAGGTGTCTCTTTAGGAAGGCTTCTGCTCATCATTTTGGCCATGCTGCTAATATTCTAAACATTTCTGGAACTTCTTTTTGGAACTACATTCAATCAGTTTACAAACCAACATAAAGTTTTTAGTCACAGCTAGTACGAAAACAAACAACTTCAAGCCTTTTGACTGCTCTCCTCATAGTAGCAATATTTGGTCATTTCCTAGTGTCAATTCCACAGGGTCTTGCTCTGTCACCAGGTTAGAGTGCAATGACACCATCTTGGCTCACTGCAACCTCTGCCTCCCAGGCTCAAGCGATCCTCCCGCCTCAATCTCCCAAGTATCTGGGACTAAAGACATGTGCCACCATACTGGGCTAATTTTTAAATTTTTTTTTGTAGAGAGGAGATCTCACTATATGCCCAGGCTGGTCTTTAACGCCTGAGCTCAATCAATCCTCCCACCTTGGCTTCGAAAAGTGCTGGGATTACAGGCCTGAGCAACCACCCTTGGCCTCAGATTGATAACTAACCATCCTTGAGTCTCAAACCCTGAAAGCAAATTAGAAAGGGAAGTTCTACTAAAGTTTGGCTCCTCCCATTAAAGCTAGTGGCTATGAATGGGATAGTCTTAATTGGGGTTGGTGTAATTTTGATATTCATTTTTTAAATTTTGCACCTTTTCTTTTTATTCCGTCTCTGTTCCTCTCCCCATCCTCCCTCACTGGTTTTATATTTGTGAAAGCTCATAAACTAAAATACCAAAAAAGGTAAACACAGGGAATGGAAAGAAATACACAGGGAGGCCAGGCGTGGTGGCTCACTGCCTGTAATCCCAGCACTTTGGGAAGCTGAAGAGGGAGGATTCCTTGAGGTCCAGAGTTTGAGACCAGCCCAGACAATAAAGCGAGACCCCTAAGTCTACGAGGGAAAAAAAAATACAGGGAGAGGGAAATGATCATTGGAATAAATTGTTTCCTTGTTGAATGTAATGACCGCGCACTACACCGATCTAAGGACAAACACAGTGCACGGGGAAATCTGCAATCCTGGGCTGGAAGAGCTAGTTTCATGGGAACCCTAATTCCTTGACACTTGCAATTAACCAAAGATATGCACATGCCTAAAACCAAAACCTGGTGTGAATGAGGGGAAGGGAGGAGGAGGGCTGCATTCCCCAAATTCTCTCGCTATTATTTTCTTTTAGTGTTGATCTTCCAGACTGGCACAACTCACATTTCAGGGCACTGAAAGCCAGCTCATAAGACAAACGCTGAAAGGACTGATCCTCAGACTCGGACAAGGACCGCAGGGGTTCATTCCCATACTTGATTAAGACTTTCTGTGCCGACTTTTCGATTCGAATACCCTGAAAAATGTTGGCTGCCATGACATAAACGGAGTCCGGATAGCCCGTTTTTTCGGGCACACCAGCTGAGCTTTTCCCACCGGACAGAGGCAGGGAAGTGAGTTGGGAGATGATCTCGGGATCTTCTTCGTTCGAAAACTCCAGTTCGCCCGTGGAATTCAGCATGTCTGCCCCTCGCCTGTCGTGAGTCCTTCACCCTGGGGTTAGAATTCCGATGTTCCAGGAAACGGCTTTCCTCGCATCTGCAGCATGGTCTCTGTGAAGAGAGAAGGTGATTGCAGTAAATCACTCTTTCTGCAGCACCCCTGTGGGTGGCCCCCTTCGTTGTGGCCTTAAAGACTAAGAGGGAGCATTTCCCGTCCCATCTGAGTGTCCCAGACTTCGAGCCTGGGACGCTCAAAAAAAAAAAAAAAAGCGAGGAGGGGTGCAGCGGCGGAGGGAGAAGAGCCCCAAGGAGACCGACGGCTTCCCTCAAGCCAGTCTGGGGGCAGAGCTGCCCCCGGAGCCCCGTCCGCGTCCCCACAGCCCAGTCACCGGCTCCCCCGACTCCTCCCTTACCCCGAGGGCGGATGGTTCCCGGGGCTTCGGGGACGAAGACGCGGAGGGCGGCGTCGGTCACAGGCCCTTGGGAGCCCCGGGACTGCGGGGCGACGGCTGCTGCCCGCGAAGGCCGTTTGGTTCAAATGCAGCCACTCCCACCGGCAGGATTCGGGGCAGGGGGGTCGCAGCCTCTGGCGCCCGGTTCGCTCCGGTGTCGTGAAGTGGTGGGCGCCTCGGGGCCTCGCCTGGCCTCGCGCGTGAGGCCTTCGCGGACGTGGCGGCGAAGAGGGGTGAGCGCGGTGCCCGGGGTCTGGCTGGCTCAGGCCGAGGAAAGCTCAGCCTCCCGAGTCTCCGGCAGTCGACTGCTCCCGGACCGGGTCTTCATGGCAACCGCGAGCGGAGGTGGGGCAGGGGGCGCGGCGCGAGGGCCGTTCCCGCGGGATTTGGCGGGTGCTACCTGTTGCCGGGAGAGTCGCTCTTCCCCCAGCGCGCGGAGACACCTGTTTCAGCCCCTCCGAGCCAGAGGCCTCTTGCACAGTTCCTGGACCTCACCGGGCCTGAGTGCGTGCCCTTGGCTTTGTTTATAAACATTTGGGGATATTTTTGAGGTAGTCTGACGTAGTTCCGTGGTTTTAACTCACAAGTTCCTGAAGTCCCTGTTAAAACTACACATTCTTTAAAATATTTTTAAAATATAGTAATAATTTTTTTTTTGAGACATGGTCTCGCTCTGTCGCCCAGGCTGGAGTGCAGTGGCGCAATCTCGGTTCACTGCAGCCTCCTCCTCCCGGGTTCACGTGATTCTCATGCCTCAGCCTCCCGAGTAGCTGGGACTACAGGCGCCCGCCACCACACCCTGCTAATTTTTGTATTTTTAGTAGAGACAGGGTTTCACCGTGTTGATCAAGTTAGTCTCGAACTCCTGACGTCAAGTGATCTGCCGGCCTTGGCCTCCCAACGTGCTGGGATTACATGCGTGAGCCACTGCGCCGTCTGTAATAATTTTTTTTAATAACAGAGACAGGGTTCCCATTATGTTGCCCAGGGTGGTCTCGAATTCCTGGGCTCAAGGAGTCCTCCCTCCTCGGCCTCCCAAAGTGCTGGGATTTCAGGCGTGAACCACCGCCTCCAGCTAAAAAAAAATCCTTGGAACCCATCCTAGAGATTTGAGTTGCTAAGACCCAGTAATTTGCATTTTTATCAGGTAACTGGCGATTCTGATGCAATCAGCCCAAAGACCACAGTTTGAAAAACTCTGGTATAGTTGAAAGACAACTGGTCCTAATTCCACCTCTGCCTTTCCTCCTTAGGGATTTGCCCTTCCTTCTTTAGGCTAAGGCCATTTCCATTTCCAGCCAGTGGTTAGTAGGATGAAGGGGAAAGAGAGGGCAGCCCATATTTTTCAATGACCTGAAAGGTGCACATATCACTTTGGCTCACATTTTATTGGTCAGAACTCAGTCATATACCCAGCAACCAAGAGGCTGGTAAATGTGTCCAGCTAAAAATAAGGGAACTATTACTGTAGAAGAAGGAGAGAATGGATAATGGGGAAAAAATTAGCAGTACAGAACTCTAACCCTGACCCCTTCTCTCAGAAATCCACCCACTTTCATTATCCCCGGAATACGTTAAACATTCCGTAACATTTTATGTATACATGCATTCATTCGTTCGTTTAACAAGTATATATTAAATTCTTGCTGTGTCCCTGGCATTGTGTTCAGCCCTACAAGTAAAATAATGAATGTATAGAAATGATCAGACACCTGACCGGGCGCGGTGGCTCACGCCTGTAACCCCAGCACTTTGGGAGGTCGAGGCGGGCGGATCACGAGGTCAGGAGATCGAGACCATCCTGGCTAACACGGTGAAACCCCGTCTCTACTAAAAATACAAAAAAATTAGCCGGGCGTGGTGGCGGGCGCCTGTAGTCCCAGCTACTCAGGAGGCTGAGGCCAGAGAATGGCATGAACCCGAGAGGCGGAGGTTGCAGTGAGCCGAAATTGGGCCACTGCACTGCAGCCTGGGTGACAGAGCCAGACTCCGTCTCAAAAAAAAAAGAAATGATCAAAGACCTTGCCCTCAAGAAATTAAAGATGGATATATTTGTATTTTGTCACCTTTTCATTTTTGTTATAAAGATTCGTGTACATACCTGCATTACCCCCCTTCTGCCATCTTTCTATCCACACAACACACACACTCTAAAATAGTCTTGTTTTATCTTTATCTTTTCATTTTTATTATATATCTTTTTTATTCCCAGATGCTAGCAAAATATCACTCTCTTTCACATACAGACATTCACAGAAGATTACAAATATGGAAGGTGTCTTAGAGGTCATGATATATTTTATCATGCATCACCCAGTACACAGTGATGTGAGGCAATAGCTAGCTATAAACTTTGAAATATTGTCATTCAAAATATAATTTGAAGAGTTTATTTTCTTTAATAATAGTTCAATGTAAGTAACAGTTTACTATATTGAAAACAAGGTTTAACGAGTCTCTATCCCCAAGGTAGAGCTTAGGCAAAGAGTTGTGGGGTTAGCAAATTCATGGTTACTATTTACTTTAATCATGTATATAATCCTGCCTCCTTACTTCTCACTCCTGGTTTATAGCCTCATTGTGGACTTAATGTATTTGAGGGGAGGGTCAGAGGAGAGCATATTAAATTTCAGTGAACACTGTAAAAAAGTAACCATAGAGACAGGCATATGAGTTCAATTGTTGTGAAAGCAGGATAGTAAAAAAAAAAAATGTAGTTTTTGTTTAAGTTACACTCTGTAATATGACCAGAGCATTAAATCAGACATGAGGAGAAAATCAAAATGTACCTGAGGCTTTCTGCCAAAGGAAATTAATGATTTTTCTTTCCCCAGGGGGTAGAATATTTAAGATATTTGTAAATTAACATTCTTGCATTTGACTCAGAGTACTAGTATATGTTAGGCATGTGAATATTCAAAATACATCTGCTCACTTGCATCAATTTGATCTAGACAATATAAAACGGTGCCCAGTTCCAATGAAGCCTGTTACAGAAATATAAAAAGCATAAGAAACATAAAGAATCTTAACTTGTGTTCTTAAACACCAGGACTCAACTTCCAGTTATTGCTTCTTAGAAACAGTATGGTAAATTTTCATTGCAACACCTTTTGCAGATTCCTCTGTCACCTAGGCTGGAGTGCAGTGGTGTGATCATAACTCATTGCAGCCTTGAACTCCTGGTAGCTCAAGCAATCCTCCTGCCTCAGCCTCCTGAGTACCTGGGACAACAGGCATGCCACCACACCCAGCTAATTGTTTTTTACTTTTGTAGAGGTGGAGTCTCACCATGTTACCCAGGCTGGTGTCCCCCGAGCTTAAGGAATCCTCCCACCTTGGCCTCCCAAAGTGTTGGGATTATAGGCATGAGCCACCATGCTCAGCCTTTAATTATTTTTGTTTTATAAAGTGTTTTATTGTAGACCTAAGCTATATCCAATTGAAACTCTGGGGACTAGGGCAGGCCATCAGGATTGCCATTTGAGGATCATTTGGGCCTTGTGGGTAAGGTACATTTGGGGGCTGACGGTCAGATGCTGAGTTATTACATCCCCAGAGGATGAAAGGGAATAGATGCTCAAGAAAGCATCACCTGAGGTAGATGAACTTCGTTCTGTGATACTGGGTGAAAGTTGGTATGCAGGAACACTTTACATATGCTAGAGAGTAGCCTACTCAAGTGTCCTCTTAATACTTAGCCAAAAGATTAGCCAAAGAGTCATAACCACTTGCAGAGGAGAAAAAAAATTCTCCCTTAATTTGGATGCAGAAGATTCTAACGAAGCTGATTCCTGAAGGGTGGTGCAAGTGGAGAAGAATGGAACTCCACACCATAGCAGTTCAGAGACAGCACCGTTAGAAAGAACACTCTTGATATTTAGAAGCCAAAAATGACAAGAGCAAATAAGGAGGAGTTTGAGTGACCTAGGATACAAGGGGAAAGAAGATTCAGGGCCGGGCGCGGTGGCTCATGCCTGTAATCCCAGCACTTTGGGAGACTGAAGCGGGCGGATCACCTGAGGTTGGGAGTTTGAGCCCATCCTGACCAACATGGAGAAACCCCGTCTCTACTAAAAATACAAAATTAGCTGGGCATGGTGGTGCATGCCTGTAATCCCAGCTACTCGGGAGGCTGAAGCAGGAGAATTGCTTGAACCTGGGAGGCGGAGGTTGCGGTGAGCCAAGATCGTGCCATTGCACTCCAGCCTGGGCAACAAGAGCGAAACTCCATCTCAAAAAAAAAAAAAAAAAAGATTCAGGAGAGTTGTCATTCCAGGTCTTGATTACAGTAGACAACCATTTGTAACAGATTCTAGCAACACAGTGTTTCCTGGAGTTAGTCACTCAAGCACTGCCTTCATGATTTTTTTTTTTTTTTTGCCATATATACATATACAACCATGTATAGTATTTACTCAATATTTTACTTTAAATCAGATTCACTTTCTTAAATTGAAAACTAAAAATGGAAAGTCAGCATTATTTGCCATAAATGAAAGCAACCACCACAAAAGCAGAACAATACTGTTAAATGCTAGCTAGAAAAGGTTGTGCCATGTCCCCAGGCTTGAGGTTGATGGTTCTTTATTAAAAAGGGAATGGACAGTGTCAGAGAGGTGTTAAACACTCGTACAAAAATGAGACTTTATCCTTGTCAGAAGGATTGAAAAAGCATTATATAAAGCAGCTTTCTCACTGTGTGATTAAATGTTATTCGATGCCAAATCTGCATACTACTCAAATCATCTCCCATACTGTCAGTGGTGCTGACCTCACACTTTGGGCCAAACACTGCATTGAGAAACTTGAATTCCACCAGGCGTGGTGGCTCACATCTGTAATCCCAGCACTTTGGGAGGCTGAGGCAGGCGGATCACTTGAGGTCAGGAGTTCAAGACCAGCCTGGCCAACATGTTGAAACCCCTGTCTCTACAAAAAGTCCAAAAATTAGCTGGGCGTGGTGGCGTGTGCCTGTAATTCCAGCTACTAGGGAGGCTGAGGAAGGACAATTACTTGAATCCAAGAGGCAGAGGTTGCAGTGAGCTGAGATTGCACCACTGCACTCCAGCCTGGGCAACAGAGCAAGACTCTGTCTCAAAAAATAAAAAGAAACTTGAATTAAAGAGTTAGAGGAACAGGCTAGGCACAGTGGCTCACTCCTGTAATCCCAGTGCTTTGAAAGGCCAAGTTTAGAGGGTCACTTATGGGCCAGGAGTTCTAGATCAGCCTGGGCAACTTAGCAAGTCCCCATCTCTACAAAAAATAAAGAAATTACCTGGCCTTTTGGCACGTGCCTGTAGTCCTAGCTCCTTGGAAGGCTGAGGTGGGAGGATGGCTTGAACCCAGGAGTCCCGAGGCCACAGTGAGTTATGATTGTGCCACTGCACTCCAGCCTGGGCAACAGAGGGAAACCCTATCTCTTATAAAAAATATATATATTTTTTAAAAAGTTAGAGGAACGGTGCTTCCCCTGCAGCAAAAGAGAGGAAATACAAGAAAATCAGAACTGGCAAAAAAGAAATTAGGAAAATCTCATGTCACACATGAATTCAGCCCATTTATATGATCCTGTAATAGTGGGAATTTTGAAACTAGAGAGACTCAATGGACCTGGTTTCTAGTTTTAATATTATCAATTAGTTGTATAACACCAGGCAAGTCTCTTCACTCTTTATAGCTATTTCCTGATATGTTCAAGTCTACGATTTATTTACTAAGAAAATAGTGGGTGGAGAAGGATTTGAAGAGACTGAGAAGGATTGGCCATCAACAGGAAAAAGTGATAGGAAGTCAAAAACAAAAATAAATGTTTTAGGTTGCTTAGCAACAATGAGGCCCTCGCTGGCATAGGCACAGTGTCACTAAAACACTTTGGAGGCATGCATGGCTTGATGTGGTACAAAAAGATCTCTCCACATTTAGGACTTAATTAAGGAAGCAAGAAAGAATAAAAGTAAGAAATCAGTTTACCAAATATCATTAAAAGTATGTGAGCACATTAATTAATAAACTCGTGCCTGATGCCAGGCTTAATACTAGTCTGGCAGAGATGGTGCCAATTAAAATGTCGTTGGTTAAAGTATACAAGGTGCTTATGGTATGTCATTGCTCTTATTTTCTATTTTGATGAGAGTTTTGTGATTTTTACACTGCTATAGAACAAACAGAACTGTAACTTGTATTTCATATTGTTTGTAGCTGATTTTGCATACTTCGAGGAGTTTAAAAAAATCGTTTTCTCCTGAAATGTTATGGGGTAGCTTGTGCACCTTGTGCATACTCCTTCCTTACAACTTAACCAGCATGGTTTATTATTATGTCCTTTTCAGAAAATGGAGATAAATAGGCCGGGCGCGGTGGCTCACTCCTGTAATCCCAGCACTTTGGGAGGTTGAGACGGGTGGATCACCTGAGGTCAAGAGTTCAAGACCAGCCTGGCCAACATGGTGAAATCCTATCTCTACTAAAAATACAAAAAATTAGCCTGGCGTGGTGGTGTGTGCCTGTAATCCCAGTTACTCAGGAGACTGAGGCAGGAGAATCCCTTGAACCCAGGAAGCGGAGGTTGCAGTGAGCTGAGCTTGTCCCACTGTACTCCAATCTGAGTGACAAAAAAAAAAAAAAAGAAAGAAAAAGAAAATGGAGATAAATAGGCCAGATGCGGTGGCTCACGCCAGTAATCCCAGCACTTTGGAAGGCCAAGGCCAGCGGATCACTTGAGGCCAGGAGTTTGAGACCAGCCTGGCCAACATGACGAAACCCCGTCTCTACCAAAAAGACAAAAAAATTAGCCAGGTGTGGTCACGCATGCCTGTAGTCCCAGCTACTCTGGAGGCTGAGGCACGAGAATTGCTTGAACCCCGGAGGCGGAAGTTACAATGAGCCGAGATCACACCACTGCACTCCAGCCTGGGCCACAGGGTGAGACCCCACCTCCAAAAAAAAAAGAGGGGAGGGGAGAGGAGAAGAAAGTGGCTGGTGAGGATTTAAACAGGTATTTTTTAATGGCAGAAGGAATAGCAGGTCAATGAGATGAAGGTTCCTGAATTATGGTTCCTGGTCTTGGATTTTCATGCAATTTTTTACTCCCTTACTGCCATCCTTCACCTTCCAATACCTTACCATTGCTTATGCTGTTCTTCCTTGTGACCAAATCTGAACAAAAGAGGCTGAAGGTAATTGGTAAAGAAGGAAGACTAGTGATGAAATTCAATGGCTTGAAGAGTCAGAGTGTTTTCTGGAAAAGGGGATATTAATGTTGTCATCAGCTATCTTCCTAAGCCATTCCTGGGGCCATATTGATGTTTTGCTTCTGGGGAGTGATTTTGTAAATGTATTACTCAATATAAAAGGTAATTTTTTCCTTTAGTTTTTCTAAAACTACCCCTAAAGGCCTCATTACATGTTTGTTCTCTAGACTCAGTGGTCAGCATTGATGAATTTCATTTCTATCAAGGTTAAGGACATTAAAATCTAAGGACAAAAATATTTCTAGTCACTGAAAAACTCAGCAAGATTAATTTTTTCTCCCTGTTTTATTTCATTCATACCCTTCATTCATTAATTCATACCTTTCATTCATTACATTATAGTAAGAGATGACATAAATGAGGCAAGCAGCCTCAAGAAATTAAAATTTGTGAAGTTTTAATACCTATATTGTCAATTTTATACTGAAGCTGTATTTGTAAGTTTTTGACAAAGGTCCATATAGTTAAACTTCTTTGGATATCTATTTAATGTATTTTCACTCTAATCTTTATTTTCTTCCTTCTGCTTTTTTCTAATTTCATTTGCTCATCTTTTTCTAGTTTCTTAAAGTGAAAAGTTAGGTTATTGATTTGATACCTTCTTTATTAATAGGCATTTACAACTATAAATTCCTTCTGAGTACTGTTTCTATTGCATCCCATAAGTTTAGTATGTTCTGTTTTAATTTTTATTCATCTCAAAGTATTTTCTTGTTTCACTTGTGATTTCTTTTTTGACCCATTGGCTGTTTAGGGGAATATTACTTAATTTCCACATATCTCTTAATTTCTCAAATTTCATTGTATCATTGATTTCTAATTTTGTTCTGTTGTGTATGAATGGTGAACATAACTTTGCATGACTTTCATCCTTTTACATTTACTGAAGCTTGTTTTATGTCCCAACACATGGTCTATCCTGGAAAACATTCTGTGTATGGAATATGCAACAGAAGAATGCATATTCTGCTGTTGTGGGTGAAGTGTTCTATAGATGTCTGTTAGGTCTAGTTAGTTTATAGTGTTAATCAAGCCTTGCTAATCTCTGTCAAGTTGTTCAATTTATTATTGAAAGTGAGGCATTGAAATATCCAACTATTATGTTGAATTGTCTATTTCTGTCTTCAATTCTGTCAGTCTTTGTTTTATATATTTGGAACTCTTTGTCAGGTGTATTATGTTTATAATTGCTATGTCTTCCTGACAGATCAACCCTTTTATCATTACAAAAAAAAATTTTTTTTTTTAGATGGAATTTCGTTCTTGTTGCCCAGACTGGAGTGCAATGGCATGGTCTCAGCTCACTGCAACCTCCACTTCCCTGGTTCCAGTGATTCTCCTGCCTCAGCCTCCCAAGTAGCTGGAATTACAGGAGCCCACCACTACGCCCAGTTAATTTTTGTATTTTTAGTAGAGACAGGGTTTCACCATGTTGGCCAGGCTGGTCTCGAACTCCTGACCTCAGGTGACCCACCTGCCTCAGCCTCCCTAAGTGCTGGGATTACAGGCGTGAGCCATGGAGCCTGACCAGATATTAATATTAACTAAAAATATTCTAAGACAGTAAGGGCATTCAGTTAGATCATCATTAGGGCTCTGTTTAAATGATAAGAAAGGGCCGGGCAGCCGGGCACGATGGCTCACACCTGTAACCCCAACACTTTGGGAGGCCAAGGCAGGCGCATCACCTGAGATCAGGAGTTCGAGACCAGCCTGATCAACATGGAGAAACCCCGTCTCTACTAAAATTACAAAATTAGCTGCGCGTGGTGGTACATGCCTGTAATCCCAGCTACTTAGGGGACTGAGGCAGGAGAATCACTTGAACCCAGGAGGCGGAGGTTGCAGTGAACTAAGATCACGCCATTGCACTCCAGCCTGGGCAACAAGAGTGAAACTCCATCTCAAAAAAAAGAAAGAAAGAAAAGGCCGGGCTCATGCCTATAATCCCAGCACTTTGGGAAACAGGGCTATACTTTCCTGTTTGATTGCATGTTTCATATGTTTTTTTTTTTAAATGGCATTTTAGATAATATACTGTGGCAACTCTAGATATCAGATGTTCCCTGCCTGATCAGGTTTTGTTATTGTGCCTCTTGCTTGTAATTGCTGTTGTTGCTGTGTTATTGTTTAGTGACTTTTGTGAATTAATTCTATAAATTCTGTATTCCTTGGAGTGTGTGGTCATTGAAGTCTCTTCTCACTTAGCCTAGTAGTCAGCATATGATTGATCAGAAATTTTCCTATATGCCTAGAATCAATCTATCTACCTAGCTATTGATCGATTGATCGATCGATCTATAGATATATGTGTGTATGTGTATATATATACATATACATACACATATACACACACAGATAGATGGATAGATAATGGATCTATCTTTCTATCTATTCATAATGTCTGTATATACATATATATATGTACAAGCACACAGACTGATAAACTGTGTGTGTGTGTGTGTATATATACACATTCATATATCAACATATATACGTAGATATGTATGTTAGACATATTGTTTAAATAAGTATTAAACCAACTATTTGTATTGTTTGTATCAAATTTTCACTAAAGGAAATCTTAGTTCTATCAGAAATATCTTATTTTCAGGCCAGGCATGTTGGCTTACACCTGTAATCCCAGCACTTTTGGAGACCAAGATGGGTGGATTGCTTTGAACTCATGAGTTTGAGACCAACATGAGCAACATGGCAAAACCCCAACTCTACTAAAAATACAAAAAAATTAGCCAGGTGTGGTGGTGCATGCCTGTAGTCCCAGCTATTCGGGAGGCTGAGGTGGGAGGATGGTTTGAGCCTGGGAGATGGAGATTGCAGTGAGCAGAGATTGCACCATTGCACTGCAGCCTGGGTAACAGAGCCAGATCCTGTCTCAAAAAAAAGAAAGAAAGAAAAAAGAAATCTTATTTTCAAAGACTAAGATAAAATTTATTATTAATCACTGACATTTCTATTCATATGTAAATGAAGCACTATAATGCATGACTTCACTTAATCCCCTTTTTTCTACTTCGTTTTGCCAATAATTTTTTCACAAATTTATTAGCCCAACTATCTTGAAATGAATGTTTTCAGAGGAAGGAATTCTAATGTGGTGAAACCCAAATATAAATTGCAATATTTACTTACCAAAAAAGGATAAATATATTTAATTTTCTAAAGTAGGAGAAGAGATTGTTAAAAGGAGTTTTGAAAAAAATTAAGAGTATATGTTTGAACTTCATGCTGAAGTAAAATTCCTGTGAAAGTTTCAAGGAAACTGAAGGGTTAAACACTATAAAATGCTAAGTGGTTCTGTTCTTACCTTAGGGCTATATTTATATATTCATAATAAAATTAACTTTGGTCATTTTTCTAGTTAATTTGATCAGTATCTATTGTTGGTTCAAATAATCTAAGGCTTAAAATGAATTTTTTCATTGTCATTGGATTATCTAGATCAACCATTTTGCATTGCTGATAACTAGATTACCTAGATAAACTAGATAAATGCCAAATCTGTAATTCACATTCTGTTAATAGATACCACCTGTTCATAATGTCTCCACTATTATGAACTCTATTACAAATTATTTATTGTAAGTGTTCCAAAGCTTTGTAAGAATGGATCAGATCTCTCTTAAGTAAACATACTTTTCTCTATATAACATAATGCCTATTAAGTATCGTTCCCATAAATTCAGATGATATCATGATTAGCTCTTTAAAAATATAACATTGATCTCATATGCAAGAAAAAAGTTCATAAGATATTATAATATTCTAAAAGATTATAAAGTGTATATTAAATATAAAATATAAGCCCTTTTCATCTATGTTTTAAAATCACTTTAAAATTTTGAATCCTTTTAAAAAATTATTATAATGCTGGGTGCAGTGGCACACCTATAGTCCCAGCTACTTGGGAGGCTGAGCTGGGAGGATTGCTTGAGCTGAGGAGTTCAAGGCTAGCCTGGGCAATAAAGTGAGACCCCATCTCTCTATATAAATAAATCAATAAATATTTATTAAGAGAAGAATATTAAACCAGGCTTTTCAGTGACTCATTTAAGATTTCTTAATTTTTTAAGACCCAGCAGGATTTTGCCCTTGTTTATGTGAAAAAGAGTTAGAGAAATACTCTTTTTATTATTAAAAGTTTTTTTAGAGATTTAAAAAGATTATTTAAATTTGTATTATGAAAACTTCTATCAGATTAAGTGAAGATTTACTGAACATCTACTATCAGTAAGACAAAAATAAGACACAGTTCCTAGTCTTGTGGATACTTACAGATGCAACGGGGTGGGCAGAAAATTATAGTGCAGTATAGTGATACTGGTGCCTAAAGGGCCCAATGGAGCAAACAGAACCTCTACCCCAGATTTGGGAGAAGGGAGCAGGAAAGGTCTATTTAGAAAAAGTCACCTGATAGGCCAGGTGTGGTGGCTCACGCCTGTAATCCCTTTGGGAGGTCGAGGCAGGTGGATCACCTGAGGCCAGGAGTTTGAGACCAGCCTGGCCAACAAGACAAAACCCCATCTTTACTAAAAATACAGAAATTAGCTGGGCGTGGTGGCACGTGACTGTAATCCCAGCTACTCAAGAGGCTGAGGCAGGGGAATCGCTTGAACCTGGGAGGCAGAGGTTGCAGTGAGCCAAGATGGTGCCCTTGCACCACTCCAGCCCGGGCGATAGAGCGAGACTCTTGTCTCCAAAAAAAAAAAAAAAAAAGAAAAGAAAAAGAAAAGAAAAGATCACCTGATAGAACCTATAGCCTTCAGTAGAAGTTTGCATCCAACCCATGGCAACTCACCAGTAGAGAGTGAGCTGGAGAAACATATTTCTGATCTCACTTTTCCTGCTCTCCCCATCTGCTGCAATATCTACGATTGGCTGATTCCAACCCACAGTCTGAGAGCAAGGGAGCCCTTTGATGCATTCCATTCAGGGCACCCTCCTGGGGCACAGAGCATTGGAGGATGGAGACCACTTCTAATATGACATATACACTCTTTTTGTGAATGCCACATTAAAATAGTGCCCTTCACATTGTATGAGAACATTCTAGCCTAATTCGTTTGCAATGCAGGAAAGCCATTATTATAGAATAATCATGGTTTCTCAGCACATTCTTTGAAGGATTCTATTAAACCAGTGTGGAACTAAGAATGAATAGTATACGACAACAGTTTTTAAAAATCCAAAATTGAGTTGTACGTTATGTATTAATAGAAATGTGGGAAATGCAACTTAATTATTATATGTTTCTTGACGGTGGTTCCTGAGTTTTTCACCGGAGCCTAAGCTTGATTGTTTTTGGAGGTATTCTGGCATTAGCAAAGGGTTGGTAAAATTGTGGCAGATCTAAAAATTCCACTGAATCAATTATTTCATTGGGAGTGTTGGGTGTGTGCTTTGGAGTCAAAACAAAGCTCATGCCTCAATGCTAAAATATTGTAGCAAATCGGACTGCATGAAAGAGGCAAAGGTATAGTTTTTATAAAGATCCCTAACCTGATGCTCAGCATACATAATCTAATGGGCATGGAATTCCTTCGCGAAATGTCAGAGTCACCTTATACTGAAATTATACATGTTGCCTTGGTATTTAAATGCTTGAGCAAATATAAAAGAAAAAATATAGAAAATTAAATTGTGATTTCTTTTTCATTTTAACATTAAAGTTAAGGATCATGAAGAATCGTATGAAATGATGGTAGAAGATATTTAATATTTTTATATAACTAAATAAAAATTATCACTGCCCCTTCCCCCCACCCCTGGCAAAAAATGAATCCAACCAGACCAGGCCAATCAAACAAACACTCAAAACAAAAGCCCTGAAACAATAATGACTTCTCACTATGTTTGGATGCACTGTTTCATTCTAAACTAGATTTGGGGAGCCATCTGCTGGCAAATTGGTAAGTTGTTTATTTTTTTTTTATTGCATGTACAGTTAGGGTTGCCAGATAATTTATAGGATGCCCAGTTAAATCTGAATTTTAGATAAACAACAAATAATTTTTTAGCATAAGCATGCCAATACAGTTCAGTATTTACTCCATATGCCAATGCTACCCTGTTTCATTTTTTATTTTTTTTGAGACAGGGTCCGGTTCTGTCACCCAGGCTGGAGTGCAGTGGCATGATCTCAGCTCACTGCAACCTCTGCCTCCCAGGCTCAAGTGATCCTTCCAACTCAGCCTCCCAAGTAACTGGGACTACAGGCATACGCCACCATGCCTGGCTAATTTTTGTATTTTTTTGGTAGAGATGGGGTTTCGCTATGTTGTCCAGGTTGTTCTTGAACTCCTGAGCTCAAGTGATCTGCCCACTTCAGCCTCCCAAAGTGCTGGGATTGCAGGCGTGAGCCGTAGAACCTGGCTCCTACCTGGTTTTAAATTTAGAATTATATGTTTCCAAGTGACTCAGAAAAAGGTTTTCTTGAAATCTGGATAGCATGATTATTTAGGATTGCTCAACTCATATGGTTCTATTCACACTGCTCCAGTTTGAACTGCTTGCCTTTCCCATTGAACCCTACATCTGACTCCTTGTCTATTCTCTTTTTCTTCTGCTTTCTCTATTCTTAATTGAGCTCTGCTTCCTAGCCTGTGTATTTCTTTTTTGCTGCTACATTCTCATGTTTAAGCAATCTGGGTCAATTACAACAGATAAATGAAAAACCAGAAGATAACTGTGTTCTGGTAGTACCTTAGTTATAGAGTCTACTTCTTTAAAAAAGTAAAATAAAAGGCAGACACATGCATATTTTATATTTGACCCTAAAAATGTCAATTTATTATCAAGCTATCTTGCTCTGACTGAAAAAATTAATAAATAAAAATTGACCAGGCATGGTGGCTCACACCTGTAATCCCAGCACTTTAGGAGGCTGAGGCGGGTGGATCACTTGAGGTCAGGAGTTCGAGACCATCCTGACCAACACAGTGAAACCCCCGTCTCCACTAAAAATACAAAAATTAGCCGGATGTGGTGGAGGGCGCCTGTAATCCTAGCTACTTAGGAGGCTGAGGCACAAGAATCACTTGAACCTGGGAGGCAAGGGTTGCAGTGAGCCCAGTGGCGCCACTGCTCTCCAGCTTGGGCGACAGAGTGAGACTCTGTCTCAAAATAAATAAATAAATAAATTTTAAAATAAAAAAAATTAGTTTTGTGTTTGAATTAGTAATATATTCACATACTCCTAAGTTTTTTTTAATACAAAAGGATATTCAGTGAAAAGTCTCCCATTCCTAACCTTCAGATACCCAAAAGTTCCTTGATGCAGAGGCACGCATCGTACTTGAGATGTATGTACTCAGCCATCTTGGGGAAGGACATTATTGTAAAGTGGAAGGATGCAGGAGGGTTGTCCCTCAGAAAAGAAAAAGTAAGACAGATGACAATAAGAGACCTTTCTTTCCTCATAGCTGTGGTTTTTAATGTAATGGCTTAATTTTATTTTGCCTATGGAGCAAATTTTTTTAAGTATTCTCTTAAATTTCAGTTGTGTCTGAACGATCTCCTACAGTTATAAAATTCAATTATTTAAAACCCGTATCATAAAATATCACAAGATGGAGATGTTGCTCCTTGAAAGTGGCAGTTAAAGTGGGTGAGGAAAAACATCTTTTTGTCTCTTTTTGGACATCTTTTTTCTTCTCTATCTTGCTCTCTGTCTTCAGTCATTCAAGGTAGTGAGAAACATTCAAAGCTCAGTGTTCAAATCCCAGCTTTGTCTCTTTCTGCCTGTAATTCTGAATTAAATTAACCTTTAGGAGCCTTATCGTCATCTATAAATTCAGGCTTATGCTCACGTTATGAGGATGAAATTAAATGATGTACTTGAGATGACAGTGCCCTCCAGCCAGAGCCCACCAGGAGCACAGCAGTAGTGGAACGAATTGGGTTTATTACTCATTGCAGCAAGGGAGAACACACACCATGGGGAACTGTGGGGCTTCTCAGTAAGAGGGTATCAGACCTACTATTGGATTCGGGCTGCGGTTGGGTGGTCTGTGGAAGGATCCAAGGAAGTAGGGGTTCACTCTGGATTGAATGCTGTCAGAATGCAGGGAAAGTCTATGACTGGGCATCTCAACGTTTATAGGGACAGTAGACTAGAGCAAGGCTAAAATTCTAAAGGTAAAGAATCACTAGAGGCTCATATTAGCTGAAAGAAGAGCTATTCGTGTTTTAGGGGTTGCACAGTGACCTCATTTTTGTCTGTGCTTAGACAAAATTATGAAGTGGTCTTGTTTTGTCGCACTTCCTCATGATCTCAGAGTGACTTGACTGGTGTCAGTGTTCTGTGAGATTGTTTACACGCAGCAGGAGAATAACTTGTCCTAGCTGTGAGCTCCCGGCCAGCTTCTGCTCCCACTCAGGCCTACCTATAAATTTTAGGCCAGTCCTTAGATGTCAGGGGCTGCTTTTTTTTTTTTTTTTCTCAGAAAGCATCTGGCTCTTACTAAATGCTCAATAAAACTTAATTACATCTGGATTTTATTTAAATTATTTAATGACATATTGTTCTCCCCTGTTATTGGATAATGAGCTCCTTAGGGCAGAGGACTTAGTTCACTCAACTTTTTCTCTGTCCAACATGAAATAGGTACTTAATACTACTGAAACAAGAAACGCCTTCCATGGCCTGTCCGTGAATGCTTTTCTTTTCTCTCCTTCTATGTCCCTACTATCCTTTTCTCTCCCTTGATCATCTGTAGTAAACAGATACATATAAGGTTTATAAAGCAGTGATTTCTATGGCACAATCAGAATCATATTCCTTTAAAGCAGTCAGCCAGGACAGAAATTTTACTCTTTTTTCTCTCAGAGTTAAGAGGGCCTAAGCACAAGGACATAATAGCTCTTCTTTAAAACCTTCATTGTTTAAAATTCTCTTGCACCCAGAAATTCCTAGGAGCCTCTCATCTTCCTCACCACAACTTCACGCAGCCTCCTGCACACACCTCGTGGCCCCTCAGTTTGCTCCGCTCTGCTCTGCACAGCAGCACACAACACTGCGCTCCCTAGGACCCGCCCTGGGGCCCCCAGGAGAGGGAAGGTTTTTTCCCTACCTCAAATGCTCTTCTTAGGCTCTGGTGGACTTTTTCTGGTTCTATTTCCTTCCTTCCTTCCTTCCTTCCTTCCCTCCTTCCCTCCTTCCCACCTTCCTTCCTTCTCATTCGTTCGTTCATTCATTGGTTTTGTTTTTTGAGATGGAGTCTGGTTCTGTTGCCCAAGCTGGAGGGCAGTGGCATGATCTCAGCTCACTGCAGCCTCCACCTCCTGGGTTCAAGTGGTTCTCCTGCTTCAGTCTCCTGAGTAGAAAGGCCGCCACTGCACCCAGACTTTCTGGTTCTATTTTATTCTCAAAGACTTGGGATGGTTGTAGGTGGATTTGTATCTTTCTGTAATGGTGGGCTAGGTTTTTCAGATTAATGATCCCTTAGAAAACAATTTTTAAAATTATAGAAAACTATGAAAAAACAACAGAAACTTTGGGCCAGGTATGGTGGCTCACACCTGTAATCCCAGCACTTTGGGAGGCTGAGGCAAGTAGATCACTTGAGGTCAGGAGTTTGAGACCAGCCTGGTCAACATGGTGAAACTCCATCTCTAATAAAAAATATAAAAATTAGCCAGGTGTGGTGGCACGCACCTGTAATCCCAGCTATTCAGGAGGCGGAGCCAAGAGAATCTCTTGAACCCTGGAGGTAGAGGTTGCAGTGAGCCGAGATCAGGCACTCCAGCCTGGGCAATAGAGCGAGATTCCAAAAAAAAAAAGAAAAGGAAGGAAGGAAGGAAGGAAGGAGAAAAGAAAAGAAAAGAAAAGAAAAGAAAAGAAAAGAAAAGAAAAGAAACTTTGTAAAGCTGACAACATGGTGAGGAATTGAAAGGCAAAACTGAAGCTAAACCAGGAGAACCAGAAAGGTGATAAGGGCACAGAATCTGCTTTTGCCCTGAGGGGATTTGTGAGTCCCAGCAAATGGGAACCTTCATTGAGATGAACTTGTCATGAGGTGAGAAAGGAGGTAAGGAGGTGAGAAATGAAAGCACCAGGTCTATAGAAGATGCAAAGTCTAATCAGACCTTCACAATCTTAAGCTGGGGGCCCACAGGGCTGCATCCTTAGGGTTGGGGTGAACCCTAAGTAAATGAGACCTCGTGTAGATTTTCTTTGTGGGTTTGGGAATCTCAAATCTTGGACCAGTTGGTCTTATGTTGGTTGTGCCCCCAAGGAGCATGGTAAAAACAAATGCAGATCTTCTTTGGAGGAAGATGTTTTTCATCTAGGCCTCAGATTATTCCTACAAATAATACTTCAGATACAGGCTGGGCACGGTGGCTCATGCCTGTAAACCCAGCACTTTGGGAGGCCGAGGCGAGTGGATCACCTGAGGTCAGGAGTTGGAGAGCAGCCTGGCCAACATGGCGAAACCCCAGCTCTACTAAAAATAAAATACAAAAAAAAATAATTAGCCAGGGGTGGTGGCGCGTGCCTGTAATCCCAGTTATTCAGAAGGCTGAGACAGGAGAATCACTTGAACCCGGGAGGCAGAGGTTGCAGTGAACCGAGATCGCGCCACTGCACTCCAGCCTGGGCGACAGAGGGAGACTCCATCTCAAAAAAAAAAATCAGGTACAGTGGGCTGCTCAGCACAATAATGAACATGATAATCAACACTATAAAGAAAGACATCAATGGAAAAGCTTAACCATTAAAATAAAAAACAAATAGGACCTGGTTAAATGACAGCATGTGTGAATAAGCTTTAGAGCTGAGGCTTGGCTATGATGTTATGAACAGGGACATATAGAAAGAGGTGCATTAACAGAAGTAGATTGTTTGAATAATTTCCTGCCACAAATGAGGCAAGATTCTTCAGTGTTCTAACCCATTTCTGTGAATTGTGAGGCTTTCTACTGTGGTTGGTAGGAATAGGGACTCTCTGGCCTTTTGTGAGCTCCAACAACTGTTTCCTCTTCTGTTTAATCCTTTCACGTGGTTCTTTCCCTGACCTTGGGTAACTTCCTCACACATACGCGTTAATTAATACTCAACCGGAGACTAAAGTGGACCCTTGGCACACCTCCAGAACTGTCTCTCTGCACAGCTTTCTGATCCTGTACTTGGCTGTCCTGGACTTGCAACTGAATGTCCTCGACCCAGAGACACTGCCGGTCTCCACTTGGGCTCCCAGTGTGCTGGGGCCTGAAAATATTCTCTACACATTTAGCTGGAGATAATTATAGTTACACCTCATTTGTTTCCATCTTTCAGGGATCACTGTCCTCAGTTGCCTAGTGTCAATATCTTGAATGCTGTTGTTTCTTAATATTTTGTCCAGTTTTTTGGTTATTTCAGGTGGGAGGGTAAATCAGGTCCCTGTTGCTCCATCTTGACTGGAAGCAGAAGTTGTCTTTAAAAAAAAAAAAAAAACTTCCTCAAAAATGTTTTAAAAAATAGAAGAAAACAAAAAACAAAACCACTAGATTATAGTGACTTAAACACAAAGAGACAAACAGCAAATACCTAATATTACAATAACATGAGAAACAGATTTTGACTCAATGTGTAAAGAATGGCTTTCTATAATCAAAGTTATGCAAAGATGGAATAGTTTTCCTTGAAAAGTGGTGAGTTTCTCTATTGCAGCAAATGCTAACAGAGGTTATCAGCATTGTTGGAATATTACAGGGCATATACAAGTAGGAGTCTGCAAACTACAGTCCACGGGCCACACCTGGCCCACCACCTGTTTTTGTAAATTAAGTTTTATTACCACACAATCATACAATTTTTTTTTAGCATATTGTGTTACAGTGGCATAATGGAGCAGAGACTGTGCCACTCAAAGCCTAAGATATTTACTATGTGACCCTTTTCAGAAAAAGTTTGCCAAACCCTGGATTCAAGCATCTGATATGGCTGATGTGAGAAAATGATTAATTTGACCCCTTCTAAACCTGAAAGTCTGTGGACCTGGGGAAGCAGGGAATGAGTTTTTTGTCTGGCTGGGTGTGGTGGCTCACTCCTGTAATCCCAACACTTTGGGAGGCCAAGGTGGGCAGATCACTTGAGGTCAGGAGTTCGAGACCAGCCTGGCCAACATGGTGAAACCCCATCTCTACTAAAAATACAAAAACTAGTCAGGCATGGTAGCACACGCCTGTAATCCCAGCTACTTAGGAGGCTGAGGCAGGAGAATCGCTTGAACACAGGAGGCGGAGGTTGCAGTGAGCCGAGATCACACCACTGCACTCCAGCCTGGGCAACAAGAGCGAAACTCTGTCTTTAAAAAAAAAAAAAAAAAGTTTATTGTCTAATGCGAATTATGCATCTTCCTTTATCACATATCTATGTTGATTTTACCATTATATTTTCCTCCCCACTGCAATTCTTTGGGTAAAGTCAATTCTTGCCAAATATTAGTTCTTCTTCTTTAATTGCATTCCTTCTATAATACCACCATAAACACTTTGTGCGGTGGTAGCAGTTTATTCTTCCCCTTTTTCTTCTACTACCACTTTTTTCCTTTCTTTTCATCTTCTCTCTTCCTCTTGTTTCTCCTTTTCTCTTTCTTAACTTCTTCTTTCTCTCCCTTCTCTTTCCCTTCCTTCTTCTTTTGCCTCCTCTTCTTCTTTTTTTTTTTTTTTTTTTTGAGACAAAGTCCGCTCTGTCACCCAGGCTAGAGTGCAGTGATGCAGTCTCAGCTCACTGTAAACTCTGCCCCTCGGGCTCAAGCAGTATTTACACCTCAGCCTCCCAAGTGGCTGGAACCACAGGCGTGTGCCACTACACCCAGCTAATTGTTTGTATTTTTAGTAGAGACAGGGTCTCACTATGTTGACCAGACTGGTCTCAAACTGCTGACCCCAAGTGATCTGTCTGTCTCTGCTTCCCAAAGTGCTGAGATGACAGGCGTGAGCCACCGTGCCTAGCCCCTCTTCTTCTTTTTTATTCAATAATTATTTATTGAGCACTATGCCAGACTGTATTCTAGATACTGGGGATATAGCGGGCAACAAGACAATCTGTTGTCCCAAAGCTTACATTGGAACCCCAATTTGGAAAGCATAGCCATCACATGTTCCCAGGCCACAAACAAGTTAGCATCATTGAAAGGGGTTTCAGAGACGCCAAAGCAAGGCACACTCAACAACCTTCATGATGCAAGAAAACCCACAGTGATCATCCTGAGCAGAGCTGACATGCTTTCACAGCCTTGTCAACTTGCTGTCAAACATAAGTGGAAAAATCTCCTGATTGAAAAAACACTTAATAATAGTCATCTAGGATGACAGTGAGAAAAGATTGGGAGCCACTGTCCTCAAAGAACAATCACAGTGCCACATATGGTTTTGTATATGTGCTATATCAAAATGTTTTTGCCTCTAAGTTGCTGAAAGAGATCTTCTTTTGAGGATGAAAGGTACGATCACTGAAAGAGCATATCACAACATGAAGTAACTTATATATCAGAAAGTCACCAGTGCCCCAGAGTTAATCTTCCTAATTTTATTGAAAATGTAAAAATAGCTTCTGCTTCAATCTCCATGCAAAATCTTTCCACTTTAGTTTCTGTTAATTAATTAAATCTTTTTTTTTTTTTTGAGATGGAGTCTTGCTCTGTCGCCCAGGCTGGAGTGCAGTGGCACCATCTTGGCTCACGGCAAACTCTGCCACCCGGATTCAAGTGACTCTTGTGCTTCAGCCTCCCGAGTAGCTGGGACTAGAGGTGTGCACCACCATGCTGGCTAATTTTTGTATTTTTAGTAGAGATGGGGTTTTGCCATGTTGCCCAGGTCTCAAACTCCTGGCCTCAAGTGATCCTCCCACCTTGGCTTCCCAAAGTGCAGAGATTACAGGAGTGAGCCACCACACCCGACCCTAAATTAATTTTTTTTTGAGATGGAGTCTTGCTCTGTCACCCAGGCGCCCAGGCTGGAGTGCAATGGCGTGATCTCGGCTTACTGTAGCCTCCGCCTCCTGGGTTCAAGTGATTCTCCTGCCTCAGCCTCCTGAGTAGCTGGGATTACAGGCACACGCCACCATGCCTGGCTAATTTTTGTATTTTAGTAGAGATGGGGTTTCACCATGTTGACCAGGCTGGTCTTGAACTCCTGACCTCATGATCTGCCCACCTCTGCCTCCCAAAGTGCTGGGATTACAGGCATGAACCACTGTGCTCGGTGCCTAAATTAATTTTTTAACAAAAAATCTTCAGAAGAATTTACATTTTTATCACGGTCCATTTCTTTTTTCTCAGAATCTTGGTTTTAATATGGGACTAATATAAATTATAATACTGGGAAATAAGCAATGCTAATTATAGAGGAGTGTATACTTATGAAGCATTTTACCCAACAATTTAACAGTGTCTTCACCTCTGAAATGAGCTTCGTTCTTTGGACTTTAAACTCGTTTACAGAAAACTTCTAAAACAAAATTGCTGCAAAGTTCTCCAATTGTTTCAGACACAGGGAGCCACTGTTTGGCAAACTAGATTGATCTTGTTTCTTTGTTCTCTTCTTGAATCCTGCTGTCTGTTTCTCTGGGTATGCAGTTTATACCTTTGTTTAAATGCTTTCAAACTGAAATGTGTGTTCATGAAAGGTATTCAGTAGATCTGACGAATAGGTACCTTGACATTACTTTGCTTCAAATAAACTTTCAAATATCTACTACTGAAAAGGATATATCTCTAATATTCCTCATTGCTTCTTTCTGATTCATTTAAACAGAACAACTTAAAACTGGCTATGTTTTGGAAAAAATATAATATTGTATCATAGCTTTATCAAAATTCCTCTTATCTGCTCAAAATGTTACAGAAGGAATACATGCAGATTAAGATTAAGCAAATGCTATGAAAAAGTTACTGAGTTTAATGTAATATACAAAGGAAGTTTGTTATTATATTTATATTATGATGAATTTTTTGCTATGGTAACTGTATTTGCTGTGATTTCTTATTTAATAAGATTGATGACTTGAAAACTGTAATTTTCTACTACTTAAACCACTTCTGTATAAACAATGGTAGATAACGTATATGATTACAAATACAAAATTTAAAATGCTAGTGTGTGTGTTTTAAACACATATACAAAAATTAACTCAAAATGAATCACAGACTGAAATGTAAGACCTAAAACTACTGAACTCTTAGAATACAACAGAAATCTTTGTGACCTTGTATTAGGCAATAGTTTCTTAGCTATGACACCAAAAGCAAAAACAACAAAAGAAAAAAGATAAAGTGAACGTCATAAAAATTTAAATATACATCATCAAGAGCAAATTAAATATATATCATCAACAACAAAAGAAAAAAGATAAATTGAATGTCGTAAAAAAATTTAAATATACATCATCAAGAGCAAAAACTTTAGTGGTACAAAAAACACTGTCAAGAAAATGAAAAGGTAGCCCAAAGAATGGGAGAAACTCTTTTCAAATCATTTGTTTGATAAAGGGCTTGTATCCAGAATTTATTTTTTAAAACTGTCTTACAACTCAAACTAAAAAGACAGATTACCCAATTAACATATAAGCAAAAGATCTGAGTAGACATTTTTCCAAAGAAGAAATTCATGTGCCCATAAGCACATAAAAAAGATGCTCAGTATCATTAGTCTTTATGAAAATTCAAGTCAAAATCGCAATGAGATACCACTTCACACCCACTGGGATAATCATATTTTTAAAAGAAGGAAACTAAGTGTTGGTGAGGACATGGAGAAATTGGAACCCATACATTGCTGGTGGGAATGTAAAAATGATAAATTTCCTTTGGAAAACAGTTTGGCAGTTCCTCAAAAATTTAAACGTAGACTTACCATTTTATTCAGTAATTATATTCCTAGGAGAAATGGGAAACGATGTTCAAACAAAAACTTGTACACAAATGTTCATAGCAGCACAATTCACAATGGTCAAAAGGTAGAAACGACTCACATGTCCATCAACTGATGATTAGATAAACAAAATGTAGTTTGTTCATACAATGGAATATTATTTGGTTATAAGAAAGAATGAAGTATTGATACATGATACAACATGGATGAACCCTGAAAACATCATGCTAAGTTAAAGAAATCAGACACAAAATGCCATCTACTGTATGATTTCATTTATATGAAATGTCCCAAATAGGCAAATCCATGGAGACAAAAAGTAAATAGTGTTGCCAGGGGATGGTAGGAAGGAGGAATGAAAAGTGACTCCTAGTGGATACAGGATTTCTTTTGGGGGTGATGAAAAAATGTTCTGGAATTATATAGTGGTGATGGTTGCATGACTTTGTGAATATACTAAAAACCACTGAGTTGTATACTTTAAAATGTTGAATTTTATGGCATATGGAGTTATAACTCAATAAAAAATTGTAAGAGTAAAAAGTGAGAATGTATGGTTGAAATCAAATCCTTATAGACTACCCAATAAAATTAATTTCATCTAATTTATAAACATGCAGGTGACATCAGAGCAATCCTTTGTAATGCTATTATATAGCATATATTTACCTGGCTTAAAATTTAAGTATAAAATTAGAAATTGTTTACCGTCCTCATGTGAACCTGGGGAAAAAAATAAAGTTGCAATTTATGAATAATGGAATGAAAGAAACTGCTGGTGGTTCCAACAAAATTGGTCCAATTGAAAATAATTTTCGGCTGGGCACAGTGGCTCACGCCTGTAATCCCAGCACTTTGGGAGGCTGAGGTGGGCGCATCACCTGAGGTCGGGAGTTCGAGACCAGCCTGACCAACATAGAGAAACCCCGTCTCTACTAAAAATACAAAATTAGCTGGGCATGGTGGCGCATGTCTGTAATCCCAGCTACTCGGGAGGCTGAGGCAGGAGAGTTGCTTGAACCCGGGAGGCAGAGGTTGCGGTGAGCTGAGATCGCACCGTTGCACTCCAGCCTGGGCAACAAGAGCGAAACTCCATCTCAAAAAAAAAAAAAAGAAAGAAAATAATTTTCATAACTGATGAGCACATATTTATTAAGCCTTTACCATTTGTAAGACAATATGATGAGCATTTTGATAGGTTATCTACCATAAGGCCAGCATGATGCAAGGCTCTGTGAAGCTTACATATATTTTTCTATTATCAAAGAGATAATCAAATTGAAGGCTGTAAACTTTTTTTTTTTTTTTTTTTTTTTGATACAGAGTCTCACTCTGTCCCCGGACTGGAATGCAATGGCGTGATCTCGGCTGACTGCAACCTCTGCTTCCCGGGTTCAAGTGATTCTCCTGCCTCAGCCTCCCAAGTAGCTGGGATTACAGGCACCCACCACTATGCCTGGCTAATTTTTGTATTTTTAGTAGAGATGGAGGTTTTGTCTTGTTGGCCAGGCTGGTCTGGAACTCCTGACCTCAAGGGATCTGCCCACTTTGGCCTCTCAAAGTGCTGGGATTACAGGCGTGAGCCACTGCACCCGGCTGCTGTAAACATTTAAAACAGAATTTAATGTGGCCAGGCACAGTGCTTGTAATCACTGCACTTTGGGAGGCTGAGGTGGGTGGATCACTTGAGGTCAGGAGTTTGAGACTAGCCTGGCCAACATGGCAAAACCGCATCTCTACTAAAAATAAAAAAATTAGTCATGCTAGTGGTGGCACACGCCTGTAGTCCCAGCTACTTGGGAGGCGGAGGTTGCAGTGACCGAGATCGCGCCACTGCACTCCAGCCTGGGTGATAGAGTGAGACTCCGTCTCAAAAAAACCAAAAGCAAAAACAAAAACAGAATTTAATGCTACTTTTCAGAGTAGACAATATGTGATCAAGCTACCATTTAACTTGACCATTAATTTTTTTTTCCCGGAAAGAACATAATGGATTCTGGATTCTGTAGTCAGAGACCAACCTAGGTTCTGATCTTTAGTTACTAGCCATGTAACCTTGGACAAGTCATTTAATCTCTCAGTCTCAGTTTTCTCATCGGCAAAATGGAGATAATAATATTTCCTATCTTGCTGGGTTGCCCTGGGTTTTAATTAAGGCAATGTAGATAAAAGTTTTAGCATTGTGCCTAGTACCTCATAGACTTCAATTAATGTTAAATACGATATTTAGGGAAAAGATTATTTGATCAGCTATTTTTTCCAATTACAATTCATAAAGCAGCCTTGGAGATGGAAGATGTATCTTTACCTTAAAATAATGTCAATTTTTTTTTACTATTACTTTTCATTACATATTTCTGAAAACAAAAACTAAAAATGTAAAAAAGTCTTAACTAAAAGATAGATTTTGAATAGAGGCAATTAAAATATTTTATGTAAGACAGGTTTTATTTATTTATTCTTTTATTATTTTTTTTTTTTGAGAAGGAGTTTCGCCCTTGTCACCCAGGCTGGAGGGCAATGTTGTTATCTCGGCCCACTGCAGCCTCCGCCTCCTGGGTTCAAGTGATCCTCCTGCCTCAGCCTCCCGAGTAGCAGGGATTAGAGGTGCCCACCACCACGCCCACCTAATTTTTGTATTTTTAGTAGAGAAGAGGTTTCACCATGTGGGCCAGGCTGGTCTCAAACTCCTGACCTCAGATGATCCACCCACTTCAGCCTCCCAAAGTGCTGGAATTAGAAGCGTGAGCCACCACACCTGGCCTATTTATTCATTTATTTAAAAAAAATTTTTTTTTTAAGTAAGACAGGTTTTAAAATGTTGACTTGCCCCTGGCACAGTGGCTGACATCTGTAATCCCAGCACTTTGGGAGGCCGAGGCGGGAGGATCACTTGAGCTCAGGAGTTCAAGACCAGCCTGGGTGATATGGTGAAACCCCATTTCTACAAATACAGAAAAATTAGCTGGGTCCGGTGGTGCGTGCCTGTGGTCCCAGCTATTCAGGAGGCTGAAGTGGAAGGCTGGCTTGAGTCCTGGAACTGGAGATCGCAGTGAGCCAAGATTGTGCCACTGCACTCCAGACTGAGTGACAGAGTGAGACCCTGTCTCAAAAGTTGACTTGCCATAATCCAAGTTCCTTGAAATCAGAGTGGAAGAAACTCATATTTAGAGAATAGGGAAGAGTGTAGGCTGGAAGGCAGGGACTTGAGGAACTGGTCATGGCAGTCATGGAAGGTTCCTCAGAGCATACTGAGAGGTTTTGCTTCCTGCCACAGAAACTGACATTCCTGTAAGTGGAAATTCTATGAATTGACCAGAACCATAAATGAGAAGCTGAATAAGGCAAAGTTTTATATGACTGTCAAGCAATTAAAACTACAGGTCAGGCTGGGTTCGGCGGCTCATGCCTGTAATCCCAGCACTTTGGGAGGCCGAGGCAGGTGGATCATCTGAGGTTAGGAGTTCGAGACCAGCCTGACCAACATGGAAAAACCCTGTCTCTACTAAAAATACAAAATCAGCCGAGCGTGGTGGCATGTGCCTGTAATTCCAGCTACTCTGGAGGCTGAGGCAGGAGAATCATTTGAACCCAGGAGGCAGAGTTTGCGGTGAGCCGAGATCACACCATTGCACTCTGGGCAACAAGAGCGAAACACAATCTCAAAAAAGAAAAAAAACAAAACCAAAAAAAACCCCTGCAGGTCATCTGGCTTGGGCCCTTGAATGAGTAGGCATCCTTTCAAAGTTAAGGAAATAAGGCACAAAAAAGTTTAATAATTGGCACTTAATTACTAACTCAATATTCTTATTTTAAAAGTTAATAGTAGGTCTAGGCTCAGTATTTCCCACTGGCAACTTGCTGAGGGAGGTTGAATTCCATAGAGACAGTAAATTGGTGATTGATTGCCAGGGGCTGCAGGGGGTAGAATGAGGATGGAGTTATTGATTTAAATCAATGGGGATACAGGGGTGAAGAGAATAGACAAGGTCCCAGTCCTTATGGAGGTTAGTGTTTATCAGGGAGACAGACAAGTTAAACAAACATTGCAGGAGGTGGAGGGGGCTGGGTCAGCGGCACTTATGCAGGAAGTAATTTCTAAGAAGCAGTAAGTAATGTCTAAGAAGCAGTAAGTTACGGTAAGAGAGATTATGAATATAATTTACTTCCTGTCTCTATTCACCAGGAAGTAAATTATGGTGTTCTTGGCAAAGTAAACAGTATAGTTAAAGGCCCACAGATGAAACAGCACATGGTATGCTTAGGGAACTGAAAAAAGTTTAGATCAGTGGAAATGCGGTGGGGAGCAGGAAGAGGCAGATGAGGGTCAGACCACTCATGTGACAAAACAAAGGGGAACCATCAGAAGCTGTTGAAGAGGCAAATGACATGATCACATTTGCGTTTTTGAGACATCACTGCAGAATGTAGGATGGATTGGGGTGAGGCAAGGCTGGAAGTGGAAAGACCGGTTAGGAGACCAGGAAGGATAACCTTGGTGAGAGGTAGTGTGCCTGAACCAGGGTGGTAACCCTGAGGATGATGAGAGGTAGACAGGAGTAAGAGATGTGAAGTTGAATCAGCAGGACTTAGTGATTAATTGGAATGAGGTATCAGAGAAAAGGAATCAAGGTTCTGGCATGGGCAACTTGGGGCCCTTCACTGTTCCAGGAGCACAGAAAGGGAGGCGATTTGGGGAGCTTTCAGTTTAGAAATGTTACGATCATGATACTTCCAAAGATATTCAAACAAATATGCCTACTAGATGCAAAGACTTGGCCTGGAACCATCACTAGTCATCCACCTGGGGATGGTAATTGTAGCCATGGGAGGAGATCAGATCCAGGGAAAGTAGAATGAAAAGAGAAGGGATCTCTTATCTTTTGGTAGAACCATGGGGAAACACTAACAAGTCAGAGAAAGACAGAAGGGAGGAGCCAGAAAAGGAAACAGAGGTGAGGCCAAGAGGAATGAGGAGAATCGTAGGATCATCGAGTCACAGAGGCCAAGGAAAGAAGTGGTCAAATGTGTCAGCTGCTAAAGAGAGGTCAGTAGAGCAAGGACTGAAATTTGCTATTGAATTTAGTAACAAGGAAGTTGTTAGTAACTTAGGAGATTTCAGTGGAAACCCAGATTTCAGTAAGCAGATGAGTAAGTCAGGCAGTGGAAACCATTCTTTTATGAAGTAGATCTGTGACATAACCAGAGGGAAATGTGGAGTCAAATAGAGTTGGTTCTTAAAACAAACAAATAGAAAAGGTGGGACAGGGTTAACTAAGTTTAAATGAGAAAAAGAAGTCAGTCAGTAAAAAAGGGGGAGGTTCAGGGCCAGGCATGGTGAGTCACACCTGTAATCCCAGCACTTCAGGAGGCCGAGGCGAGCGGATCACTTGAGGTCAGGAGTTCGAGACCAGCTTGGCCAACATGGTGAAAACCCGTCTCTACTAAAAATACAAAAATTAGCCGGGCATGGTGGCAGGCACCTGTAATCCCAGCTACTTGGGAGGCTGAGACACGAGAATCACTTGAACCTGGAAGGCGAACTTTGCAGTGAGCTGAGATTGTGCCACTGCACTCCGGCCTGGGCGACAGAGCCAGGCTCTGTAAAAAAAAAAAAAAAAAAAAAAAAAGAGGTTAGGGGGAAGTAGAAGATACAAGAAAAAAGGATTTTAATTGATAGAACAAGATACCATAGAAGGCAGATCATTTGCTTTAGATAGGAGGAGAATAGGAGAGACCTCTCTCCTATTGTAACAGATGTGGGAAGGAGGATAGGATGCCTTGGATCCATTTAAGTTTCTGAGTTGTATGCAGTGGGTGCTGGAACCAGCTCCTACAAGCTCACAGGAGCCAATTGTTAAATTTTCAGCAATTTTGCTAATTGGTTAACCTCACATTAACAGCTGGAATTCAGCCACAGTGGGGATATTTACATCATGGAAATTAGTAAATACTATACATCAGTACTTCCCCATACCCTGACATCTGGAGAGCCAGTTATCAGGCATTTACTCATACCACTGGTTAGGGTGAGAAGGTGAAGGAGTTCCTTAATAGCATTATCTTCTCTGTTGGGGAGGAAGGCAGGCGTCAGATTTTGAGGAAAGTGAAAACGTTGAATTCTGTGAAGCACTGTGCAAAGGAGAGAGAGCCACCTAGGAAAATACTAAATGACTACCATGTCGTTTTGAGGAACCAGTTAAGGATGGAGACTATTAGTTTACAGTGCAATTGATGTGTACATTTGTAAGATTTCTTCTTGCAAAGTCAGCAGCCTGGGGATCTTAGCAGAGAAACGGATAGGTGGTTTGATCTGGAGTCGGTCTTTTTGCCTGGCACCTGTAATGGAAGAATGAAACGCAGCAAGGATGACAGAGTTTTTTGCAAAAGAGTAGTTGCAGTAATGGACCATGGAACTTAAACTGTAAAGGGAAGGAGGTGAAGGTGGGAGAAGGTGATATGCAAGAAGGCAGAGGAGTCACGTTTTCCTGGTATCACATGCTTTGAGTCCCCTTACTATCCTGGCCTCATTTTTGCAACTTGGCCCTCCCATTTGGCAACGTCCCTTTTAGAATGTGGCATCCAACTGCAAGCCCCTCAGTCTTGCACAATGTTCTAGCTTGGCCTGACCATCAAACACCACATCATTGTCCTTGTTTTAGATGTCATGCCTGAAAGATGTCGATGTCCAGCATCATTGAGAGAACTCAGAATAATTGTTAGACACGCAAGATCAATGAGCAGAAACAAGGATAGGCAGACTTTTAAAATTTATTGGAATGATCTGATACTTGAAAATCTTTTCCTCTGCATTAGCTAACTGAATGTCCAATGAATAATCATGGATTATCATAGCTAACAGAATATCCAATGAAAAATCATGGATATTCTGTAATACAATCACTCTGGCTCATCAACACCAAACATAATTGCCATGAGGACATTATTTTATGAATTATTAGAAAAGCATAAAGTACTAACTAAATAGGGAATTTCAGAGTTAATGCAAAACCTCAAAATGGCTTTCAAAGAAGCTTATTTTCTCAGAGTAGTTTAACCAATGGGAGGAAAATCACTTCTGGATTATACAGAATTTGTTCATAAGGTTTGATCAGAAGGTGACCTAGTGATGAGGCTACTAATAATGGGAGAACTACACGAAAGAACAAATCTGCTGTTATGAGGCTCCAGGGCACAGGAACTATTACTCTAATTTCAAGTGACAATGAGTTTTTATAGCTGATAGCTACTTATGTCTCCCAAAACACTCTAATGCACGTTCCTGTCAGAAATTTGTGTATTTAATAGACTATATTCCCGATGTCACCTTTCCATCAGATTTAAATGAATCGGGTATAGTGTCATGTTTTAATTTCTCAATAAATATATGTAACAGGAATTTTCCTACTGAATTAAAAATGTCATTTCAGTGAGATAACCAAATTGATGATACTCGGAATTTGCAATTCATCATGATTACTGCCAGATTTAACAAATATAATTCACTTTCTCCTACTACCCTGTGATTAGCTAGAGGTCATGGCTTTGACAAATCTAGACTCCCTGGTGCTTTGGGTATAACTCTTGCCCACGTAACTTCTGTTATTTCTTATGAGGTATATGAAGGTGAATAGCATGCAGTTTTTACACCGGGGAGGGCATTTTTCTTCAGCAAAATAATTATCTCATTGCATTTCCCACTGGAATAGCTGACACCCCCCTGCCCCTCAAAAACAGAGAAAACAAAGGCTATCCATTTTAGTCCCCTCACGCTAGGTTTTTTTCCTTACCATTTCCCCCTTGTTTTTTCCATTCTTGGGGTATTTGGATATGAGGGAAGATGAAGAGGTAACAGACTGAGAAGTGTTCATTTTTCTTGTGTCGCTCTTCACATTGGCCAGCAAGGGGAGTTGTAGGAACAATTACAGTGGTTTGAGCTGATACACTTGTGAGCATACCTCTCACGATTGGTTAGGAGTCACAATGTCTTTTGCCCTGGACTCCCTGTGTAACACAGGTAGTATTTTGTGTACCAGTCTAGTTTTCCTTTCATCTCATACTTTGCTGACCAAAAATTAATTGTGAACTTCAAAATAAAAACCTACTGAAATGGTGAGACATTGGAAATGAAGTGAGCCTTCTATGCCCAGGTGGCATAAAAATCTAATTGTAGCTTCAAGCAGCCCAAGCCCCTTTAATGCGGATAAGAGAGCATTCAACTGACTTCAATAAAAAGGGACTTAAATGGAAGGGAGGTAGCCTTGAGGAGAGCTGGCGCTGACTGCTGGGACTGAGGAGGCCATTGTTCTACATTCTCCTAGGGCTTAGGGAGATTGACAAGGCACCTGCTGCTTTCCAGAGATGAACGTTTAGGTCAGCCCTGAAAACACCCAGGCCTGAGACACTCCCCTGGCCTCTTGGCCCCCTGCCATCCAGGTGCAGGAGATTCAAAGGTACAAAGCAAAGGCATGGGAAGAGCCCTTTGGAGAGATCTGGGGAGACTGTTTCTGCTCCATGAACAATCCAGGACAGCTCTCTCCCCTTTAAATCATCTTTCATGCTTCTTAGCTCCAAGGCTTTCTATGTTCTTCCATGGATTCCTCTACTGTATCTATGCCATAGGAACATTTGATTACTAACCACTTTCACAGATCATGGTTCACTTCACTGAGTTTGGGACCAGGATCCATGAATATGTACCCTATTTAATGCCTTAATGCTGCTTTCCCAATTCCCATCCTGGCTACTGAATATATTTTGCTGTTGACTGCAAAATAGACTAAAAATCAGTAATCACTAGTTTTCTGAATGTGAAGTTCAGGTTTTTATTTCTATGTTTCTTTTGTTAAGTACTGAATAAATTTTGTGCCCTGTGCTTAGTTCTCCAACAGGCTGTGTTATATAAAGGAGAGAATCTGGGCTTAAGAATAGGAGATGTAGTCTTTCTTTTTTTTTTTCTTTTCTTTTTTTTTTTTTTTTTTTTTTTTTTTACTTTATGGTACTACAGGCACATGCCACCATGCCTAGCTAATTTTTTTAATTTTTTGTAGAGAGGGGGTCTCACTGTGTTGCCCATGGTGGTCTCAAACTGCTAGACTCAAGCAATCCTTGCACTGTAGCCTCCCATAGTGCTGGGATTACAGGTATGAGCCTCTGTGCCTGGCCTAGATTTTAGTTCTGGTTCTGCTACTTAATAGCTGTATGATGTTGGACAACTCATATAATCTTTCTAGGCTTGTCTATTTTCTCATCGGCAAAAATGGGGAGGGAGGACAAGATTCCAGTCTTGAGAGTCAAGCAGACTAGGGTTTTAAACCTATTTCAGGTATTAGCTGGATGACTTTAAGCAAGTGACAATTAGTGTTATTTTAAGGCTTTAGTGAGATAATATATGTGAAACCCTTAGCATCATTCTTAGGACACAATCAGCACTCAACAAATAATAGTTATTATAATAATCATGACAATGTCCATGTTATTAAAGTTCTTTAGAACCCTTTTTTAAGCTCTAAAATGCAATGATTTAAGTTTGAAATGTTGTGGTTGATTGCTGTAAATAAGGCTGTTCACTTGATCCTGGGCTTCTTAAGAGAATTTGGTAAGAAATAGGCTGAAATTATAGAGGACTTTGCAAAGTGCTTAGATTTTGTTATATAGTACTATAGTAACATTCAGCAAACAATGTGATTATCAGCATTGTAATAAACACAGTCATGGGCCAATTTCCTTTGTTTTTTCATAGTGTAATGCCTACTAGAAATTCTTTAAAGGTTAAACTTCATATTCAGCACACCATGTCCTCTCTACAAACCCTCTCTTCCTAATGTGTGTATACCTTTTTTTTTTTTTTTTTTTTTTTTTTTTTAATGAGATGGAGTTTCACTTTGTTGCCCAGGGTGGAGTGTAATGGCGTGATTTGTATATATCTCTAGCATGTATATATCTCTCTCTTCTAGGAGAATTTGACTCACCGCAACCTCCGCCTCCCAGGTTCAAGCGATTCTCCTGTTTCAGCGTCCCAAGTAGCTGGGATTACACGCACACACCACCATGCCCAGCTAATTTTGTATTTTTAGTAGAGATGGGGTTTCTCCATGTTGATCAGGCTGGTCTCGGACTCCTGACCTCAGGTGATCCACCTGCTTCGGCCTCCCAAAGTGCTGGGATTACAGGTGTGAGCCACCGCGCCTGGCCCTAATGTGTGTATACCTTTTTTACAGATCACAAGGTGCTTGCACAGACATTTCCTCACTTTAGGCTCCAACCAAACCATGAAATAGGTAAGATTGGACTTATTGGTTGCTTTATATAGGAGATTTTTAAAATGAAACCAAGAGGCAATAGGTCCTCTGGTTATTGAAGTCTTTAGAGGAGGGAAGAGGAGGTGTTCCAGATGTTTCATGAACAAGAGGAGAACAGTAGAAAAGGAGAATGAGGACAAATGTTATATAAAAATCTTAACTGTGAGGTAGAGGAGAGTTGGGGTGCGGTAGAGCTGGATTAGAACATTGTGGTGGGGAAAACACTGCGTCTCAGGGATTGACTGATTTACAAATAATGCTAGAGATATATACAAATCTCCTCAACTTATAATGGGGTTACATCCCAATAAAATCATTGTAAGTTGAAAATATCCTAAGTTGAAATGTATTTAATACACCTGACTACCAAACATCATAGCTTAGCCTAGCCTACCTTAAACATGCTCAGAACACTTACATTAGCCTTCAGTGGGGCAAAATCATGTAACACAAAGCCTATTATATAATAAAGTGTTGAATATCTCATGGAATTTATTGAATACTGTACTGAAAGTGAAAACAGAATGGTCATATGGGTTCTTTTTTTTTTTTTTTTTTGAGACAGAGTCTCGCTCTGTCACCCAGGCTGGAGTGCAGTGGTGGATCTCAGCTCACTGCAAGCTCCGCATCCTGGGTTCAAGCCATTCTTCTGCCTCAGCCTCCCGAGTAGTTGGGATTACAGGCAACCACCACCACTCCCAGCTAATTTTTTGTATTTTTAGTAGAGACAGGGTTTCACCGTGTTAGCCACAATGGTCTCGATCTCCTGACCTCGTGATCTGCCCACCTTGGCCTCCCAAAGTGTTGGGATTATAGGCTTGAGCCACCGCGCCCAGCCCCTATGGGTTCTTGAATTACAATTTCTACTGAATTTGTATGGCTTTCATCCCACGGTAAAGTCAAAAAATTGTAAATCAAACCATCTTCAATTTGGGACTGGGGAAAGGGGAGTAACCATGAATGGAATGAAAAATTGCAGGTGACCAGGCACCTGCACGCCTGTAATCCCTGCACTTTGGGAGGCCGAGGCAGGTGGATCACTGGAGGTCAGGAGTTCAAGACCAGCCTGGCCAACATGGTGAAACCCCATCTCTACTAAAAATACAAAAATTAGGCAGGCGTGGTGGCAGGCACCTGTAATCCCAGCTACTTGGGAGGCTGAGGCAGGAGAATCACTTGAACCCAGGAGGTGGAAGTTGCAGCGAGCAGAGATTGCACCACTGCACTCCAGCCTGGGAGACAGAGTGAGGCTCTGTCTCAAAAAACAAACAAACAAACAAACCAAAATTAAATTAAGACTGAAAGCACAAAACAAGATAAGGAATATTATGTAAGGATGCAAAATTATTTAAATAAATTTACAACGTTTAAATTATATATTTTTATTTTTTTTTGAGACAAGAATCTAGCTCTGTCACCCAGGCTGGAGTGCAGTGGTGTGATCTCGGCTCACCACAACCTCTGCCTCCCGGGTTTGAGTGATTCTCCTGCCTCAGCCTCCTGAGTAGCTGGGAGTACAGGCGTGCACCACCAGGTCAGGCTAATTTTTGTATTTTTAGTAGAGGCAGGTTTTTTGCCATGTTGGCCAGGCAGGTCTCGAACTCCTGACAAAGTGATCCACTGAATGATCCGCCCACCTGGGCCTCCCAAAGTGCTGGGATTACAGGCATGAGCCACCATGCCCGGCCACTTAAATTTTATTTACAAAAATAAGAAGAAGAAAAATTTATCATGGGCCAGGTGTGGTGGCTCAAGTCGCTAATCCCAGCACTTTGGGAGGACAAGGCAGGCAGATTACCTGAGGTCAAGAGTTCGAGACCAGCCTGGCCAACATGGCGAAACTCCTTCTCTACTAAAAATACAAAAATTAGACTGGCATGGTGGCAGGCACCTGTAATCACAGCGATTCAGGAGGCTGAGGCAGAAGGATCACTTGGACCGTGGGAGGTCCAGGCTGCAGTGAGCTGTGATCATGCCACTGTACTCCAGCCTGGGAGACAGAGTGAGACCCTGTCTCAAAAATAAATAAACAAATAAAAAATTAAAAAGTTTATCATAGACTTAACCATCATTAGAGAATTAAAAAAATTAAAAGAATGAGCAATCCATTTTAAGAGATTAGAAGTGAGAAAAAGAAAAAATAACCAAACAAACAAGGAAGAGGTAATTAATAATGGCGAAAGTGGAAACCAATTAAATTTTAAAAACCAAAATGATAGGACAAATAAATCTAAAATCTGTTTTTTGAAAACATCAGTGAAATAGGTACCCCTCCCCTCCTCCCACCTTATGCTCACTGACAGGAGTAGCAAGAGGCAAAATGAGGAAAGAGAAAGAAGTCATATTCACAGACATAGGAAAGATGAAAGGAGTTGTTAGAGGTCACTTCATGCAGTTCTATGGCAGCAGTTTGAAAACAGAGGAAATGAATGAGTTCCTGGGTTAAAAAAAAAAAAGTGAGTAAAACTGACCCCCAAAAGAAGAAAAAAATGTGAATAGGCCAATTACTATAGAAGAGACTGAGAAGGTGATTGGAAATCTATCAAAAAAGGCCACCAAAACCATATGGCTTTCCAGCTGAGTCTATCTGACTTTAAAAGAAGAGATAATTACAATATTTACCATTCCAGAAGAAACTCTTCTAATTCATTTTGTAAAACAGTAAACTTGAATACCAAAACCGGAAAAATATAAGACCTGCCACAGTTTGATGTGTCCCCTCCAAAATTAAGGTGTTGCCAACATGATAGTATTAATGACTAGGTCATGCGGGCTCCTCCCTCATTAATAGGACTAAGGTCCTTATGCAAAGGACTTCACTCAGCATTTAGCTAGATTGCTCCTGAACTCCTCTGCCATGTGAGGACACAGCTCCCTCCCAGGATGCAGCTTCATCAGACACCTGAGCCTACCAGTGCCTTGATTTTAGACTTCCTAACTTCCAGAACTGTGAGAAATAAATTTCTGTTCTTTGTAAATTACCCAGTCTCCAATATATTGTTATAGCAGCACCAAACTAAGACAACAACATAAAACTATAAAGATCTCACTTATGAGTATAGATGTAAAAATTCAAAATAAAATATTAGCAAGGTCTAACTATGTAGCAAAAGCATAATATGCTATGAACAAACAGGATTTATTTCAGAAATACAATAATGGTTTATTATCAAATAACCTATTACTTAATCTATTGCATCAATAATCAAAAAGAAAAATATAAGCATATAAATAAATGCTAAAAAGTTATTTGATAGAATTCAGTGGCCATTCCTGATCAGGAATAAGAATATAAGGAAAACTATAGATGGCCCCTGACTTATGATGGCTCGACTTATAATTTTTGACTTTATGATAATACACAGTTATTCTGTTTTTCCCTTTCAATACAGTATTCAATAAATTACATGAGATATTTAGCACTTTATTATAAAACAGGCATTGTGTTAGATGATTTTGTCCAAGTTTAGGCTAATATAAGTGTTCTGAGCATGTTTTATTTTTTATTTTTTGCATTCCCTGCCTCCCTCCAACTCTGCATGTTTAAAGTGAGCTAGGTGGCTGGGTGTAGTGGCTCATGCCTGTAATCTTAGCACTTTGGGAGACCGAGGTGGGTGGACGACTTGAGGTCAGGAGTTTGAGACAAGCCTGGCCAACGTGGTGAAATACAAAAATTGGCTGGTCATGGTGGCACGTGCCTGTAGTCCCAGCTACTCGGCAGCCTGAGGCAGGAGAATCGCTTGAACCCAGGAGGCAGAGGTTACAGTGAGCAGAGATCACACCATTGCACTCCAGCCTGGGTGACAAGAGCAAAACTCCATCTCAAAAAATAAAAATAAAAAAATAAAGTGAGCTAGGATAAGCTATAATGTTTGGTAGGTAAGCTGTATTAAATCCGTTTTTGACTTACTTTGACTTGGGGTTGTTTATCAGAACATAACCCCATCATAAGTTGAGAAGCATCTGTACTTAAATGTGCTTCAGAATGGCAAAACTCAGCAAACAAATATGCAATGGCAAAACACAAATACCATTTTCATTAAAAAATGAGATACCTACCATCACTAAATATTATTTACATTGCCTTATAGTTTTTTTCAAACAAAGAAATTAAAATATCTGTCATCTATATAGGAGAAAATGAAACAGGAGCTTCACTTTATACCAAAACAAAATAAATTCCAGGAAGATTAAAAACTTAAATGTAAAAACAACACAGTGAAGTTATCACACAAAGAAATCCAGGTTATTATATGTTCAATCTAAAAGCTGAGAGGATATTCCTCATCTTATCCTTTAGATTTTAGATTGGCTAAAAAACTCTGAAACTCTAATAAAAAATGCAGACATACTTGACTATATACAAATGACAGCCTTTGTATGCAGAAAATATAAACAAAATAATAGACAAACAATGGACTTGGAAACATGGACTTTGGCTTTTTCTATGAACATCATTTACACAATCAGAAAAAAAGATAATTTTTCACTGTGGAAAATGAATCTGATTAGATCTAGAGACTCTCTGAGAAAATAAGTATGTACACATATAATTTAGTACACAGTATCAGTGTCTTCATGACTGCTTGAATCCCATCCATTCGTACTAGGGGAGTTCATGCATCCTAAATTAAGAATGCCTCAACAACAACAACAAGGCTGGGGGCAGTGGCTCATGCCTGTAATCCCAGCACTTTGGGAGGCTGACGTGGGCAGATCAACTGAGTTCAGGAGTTTGAGACTAGCCTGAGAAACATGGCGGAAACCCTGTCTGTACTAAAATTACAAAAATTAGCCAGGTGTGGTGGTGTGTGCCTGTAATCCCAGCTACTCGGGAGGCTGAGACAGGAGAATCACTTGAACCTGGGAGGCAGAGGTTGCAGTGAGCCGAGATCCTGCCACTGCACTCCAGCCTGGGCGACAAAGTGAGATTCTGTCTCAAAAAAAAAAAAGGTGGGGGGCGGTGCTGAGTGCCGTGGCTCATGTCTGTAATCCCAGCACTTTGGGAGGCTGAGGCAGGAGGATCACTAGGTCAGGAGTTCAAGATCAACCTGGCCAATATGGTGAAACCCTGTCTCTACTAAAAATACAAAAATTAGCTGGGTGTGGTGGCACACACCTGTATTCCCAGCTACTCCAGAGACAGAGACAGGAGAATCGCTTGAACCCAGGAGGCAGAGGTTGCAGTGAGCTGAGATCGCGCCACTGCACTCCAGCCTGGGTGACAGAGTGAGACTCCACCTCAAAAAAAAAAAAAAAAAGAAAAAAAAATTACCTGGCTGGGTGCAGTAGCTCATGTCTATAATTCCCAGCACGTTGGAGGCTGAAGCGGGCAGATCACCTGAGGTCAGGAGTTCAAGACCAGCCTGGCCAACATGGGGAAACCCCGTCTCTACTAAAAACAAAACAAAACAAAAATGGCCTGATTAAAATTGGGCAAAGAACTTGAATCGAAAATGCTCCAAAGAAGAGAAGAGAGAATGGCCAACATGCATATGAAAAGATGCTCAACACTGCTAATCATTAAGGAAATACAAATCGGAATAACAATGAGATATCATCTCATACCCATTAGGATGGTTACTATTTTTAAAAAAACACAGAAAATATGTAACAAGTATTGACAAGGTTGTGGAGAAATTGGACCTCTTGTATACTGTTGGTGGTAATGTAAAATGGTATTGCTGCAATGGAGAGAAGCATGCTGGTTCCTCAAAAAATTAAAAATAGAATTACTAGATGATGCAGCAGTTTCACTTTTGGACATGTACCAAAAGAATTAAACTAAATCCTAAAGAGATTTTCTTGCACCTGTGTTCACACAGCATTATTCATAGTAGAAAGACGTGGAAGCAACCCAAGTGTCTCTCAAGGGATGAATGGATAAACAAAATGTGATAATATACATACAATAGCATATAGCCTTGAAAAAGAATGAAATTCTGACACATACTACGTGGAAGAAAAGACTTTATGCTAACTGAAATAAACGAGTCAGAAAAATACAAATACTTTATAATTCCACTTATATGAGGTATCTACAGTAGTTAAACTTACAGAAAAAGAATGTGGAATGGTGAGTGCTGGGGTCTGGGGATGGGGAAAATGGAGAGTAGTTGCTTAATAGGTATAGAGTTTCGGTGTTGCAAGATGAAATGGTTCTGGAGATGGGTTGCACAACAATGTGAATAAACTTAACACTACTGAACAGTACACTTAAAATCGTTAAGATGGTAAATTTTGTTATGTGTATTTTACCACAATTCCAGAAAAAAAATCCTGCCTTACACATTTTCTACTTACTTCTAATTTTGACTACTATCAGTTTATGCAAATGACCCCCAGATCTATAATTTTAGTACGTGCTTCTCCATCCTGATGTGATAATTGAAGTCTCCGCTGCCTGCTGGGCTACTCTTACTGGATTGCGTTCCTCTGGTTTGTCAAACTTAGCATCTTCCGAACTGATTTCCCCACAAACCTGCTCCTCCTCCTGTTTCCTATCCTGTGCCTTTTCATGAATGAATGAATGAATGGATGGATGAATGGATAAATGTACCTTGGATCTTTTTCACAGGGACCTAATAATCTGTCTGATTTCAAGATAATGAGTCATTTGAATCATGTTATATTTTTCCAACAGTTTTCTTGAGGTATAATTCACCCACCATACAATTCATCCATTTAAAGTGTACAATTCGTGGCTCTTAGTATATTCACAGTTGCACAACTTTTACCACAATCCATTTTAGAATATTTTCATCACCACCCCCCACTAAAACCCTGTACTTTTTAGCCATCACTCCCTCAGTTTCACCATCTCCCCTAGCCCTAAGCAACTTCTAATCTACTTTCTGTTTCTGTAGATTTGCCTATTCTGGACATTTCATATCAAAGGATCATATAATATGTGGTCTCTTGTGACTGTTTTCTTTTCTTTTCTTTCTTTTTGAAATGGAGTCTCACTCTGTCGCCCAGGCTGGAGTGCAGTGACGCGATCTTAGTTCACTGCAACCTCCACCTCCCGGGTTCAAGCGATTCTCTTGCCTCAGCCTCCTGCGTAGCTGGGATTATGGGCACGCACCACCATGCCTGGCTAATTTTTGTATTTTTGGTAGAGACAGGGTTTTGCCATGTTGGCCACGCTGGTCTCAAACTCCCGACCTCAGGTGATTCGCCCACCTCGGCTTCCCAAAGTACTGGGATTACAGGCGTGAGCCACAGCGCACAGCCGACTGTTTTCACTGAGCGTAATGTTCCTGATATTCATCCATGTTGTAGCACATGGATGCTACAGGTGATCCATATCTTTACTTTTTCTGGCTGAATAATATTGCATTGTATGGATACACCACATTTTGTTTGTCCATTCATTAGTTGATGGAACATTTGGGTTGTTTCTCCTTTCTGGCTATTACGAATAATGCTGCTGTGAACTTTCACATGTAAGTTTGTGTGTGGACATATGTTTTCATTTCTCTGGGGGCATATACCTAAAAGTGAATGAATTGCTGGGTCAAATGTGAATTCTCACTTTTAACTTTTTGAGGAACTGCCAGATTTTCCACATTGTGCCAGTTTTCCACATTGGCTGCCCCATCTTACATTCCCACCAGTAAAGTATGGGGGTTCCGATTTTTCTACATCCTCCTCAACACTTGTTATTTTCCTTTTTAAAAAACATATTCTAGCCAGCCCAGTGGGTGTGAAATGGTATCTCATGGTTTTGATTTGCACTTCTCATGACTAATGATGTTGAGCATCTTTTCATGTGCTTATTGACCATTTGTATATCATCTTTGCAGATGCATCTATTTACCTCGTTTGCCCTTTTTTTCTTTTTTTTTTTTAAGAGACAAGATCTCACTATATTGCTTAAGCTGGTCTTGAACTCCTGAGTTCAAGCTATCCTCCGACATTAGTCTCCCAAAGTGCTGGGATTACAGGTGTGAGCCGTCACGTCCGCCCTCTTTTGCCTATTTTTAAATTGAATTATTTGTCTTCTTTTTATTGTTGGGTTGTAAGAGTTGTGGGGTTTTTGTTTGTTTGTTTTTACAAATTCTAGATGCAGGTTCCTTATTGGGTATATGATTTGCAAATGTTTTCTCTCAGTCTGTGTGCCTTTTCACTCTCGATAGTGAGTGTCCTTTGCATCACAAAAGGTTTTATTTTGATGAAGTCCCGTTTATCTATTTTTTTCTTTTGTTTCTTGTGCTTTTGGAGTATCTTTTTTTTTTTTTTTTTGGTAGAGATGGGATCTCACCATGTTGCCCAGGCTGGTCTCAAACTCCTGGACTCAAGCATTTCTCCTATCTCAGCCTCCCAGAGTGCTTTGGGTATATCTATGAAATCATCACCTATCTAATTCAAAGTCTTAAATATTTACTGTTGTATTTTCTTCTAAGAGTTTCATAGTTTTGGCATTTACATTTAGGTCTTTGATACATTTTGCTTTAATTATCATATGAAGTTCAGGGCAGAGGTTCAACTTCATTCTTTTGCAAGTGGATACCCTGGCGACCCAGCACTATTTGTCTAAAAAGTCTATCCTTTCCCTTTGGATGATCTTGACACTGTTGTCAAACATCAGTTGACCAGATATATGGGTTTATTTCTGGAATCTAAATTCTATTCGACTGATCTCTACGTCTGTCTTGGGCCAGTACCCACACTATCTTGAATATTGCTGCTTTTGTAGTAAGTTTCAAAATTGGGAAATCTGAGTCCTTCAACTTTTTTCTTCTTTTTCAGGATCGTTTTAGCTATTCTAGGTCCCTCAAGTTTACACATGAATTTTAAGATCAACTTGCCCATTTCTACAAAGAAATAGATGATATTTTTATAGGTTGGTGTTGAATCTGTAAATCAGTTTGAGGAGTATTACCATCTTAACAATATTAAGTCTTCCAGTCATGAACATGGGGTTTCTTTACCATTATTTAGATCTTTAACTTTTTTCAACATTGTTTTGTGGTTTTCAGAGTATAAGTTTTGCCCTTCTTTTGTTGAATGTATTCCTGTTTTATTATTTTTGATGCTGTTATAAATGGAATAATTTCTGTTTTCTTTTTTTTTTTTTGAGACAGGGTCTCACTCCAATCACCGAGGGTGGAGTGCAGTGGTGTGACCATGGCTCATTGCAGCCTCGACTTCCAAAGCTCAGATGAGCCTCCCACATCAGCCTCCTGAGTAGCTGGGACTACAGGCGGGTATCACCACACTTGGCTAATTTTTTGTCTTTTTATTAGAGACAGGTTTTTGCCATATTGCCCAGGCTGGTCTTGAACTTCTGGGCCCAGGTGATCTCCCCACCTCGGCCTCCCAAAGTGCTGGGATTACAGGTGTGAGCCACTGCACCCAGCCATAAATGAAATAATTTCCTAATTTCATTTTAGATTATACATTGCTAGTATACAGAAATACAATAGATTTTTTCATATTGATCTTGTATTCTGCAACCTTGAACTCATTTACTACATTGTGTTTTATTTACTTATGTTTGAACCAGAAAATACTGCATTCCTCAAAGAGTTCATAATTGTGAAATGTTACCATTTTGGAAGTAAAGGGCACAGAAAAATAAATTTTCAATTTATATGTCATATTATTTATGAGTGTGCTTTTCAAACCAAATTTTATATCTGCTATCTTTTTTTCAGAGAAAGTCATTGGTTTCTCAAGTGATTGAAAGCAACAGAGGTTAGACAGTCATGCCAAAAAAGTAAATACAACTTGTAAATTTATTTTTTCACTATTTTAAACAAAATGAACAGTTTTGCACTTACCTGCCAAATTTACTTATGAAATAAGCAATTTATCAATGGTTTGGTTTATCAGTATTCTTGTATATATCTGATAAGTTACTTGCTTATGATTTTAGACAGCTGTAGCTAGAATTCAGATTGCTCCAGTTTAAATGTCAAGATTTATATCAAGCACAACTTTTTACAGTTTTTTTAACTTTTCAAATTAAACAAGTTATTATTTTCTCTTTTTTCTTTCTTTCTTTTTCTTTTCTTTCTTTCTTTTTTTTTTTTTTTTTTGAGACAGAGTCTCGCTCTCTCGCCAGACTGGAGTGCAGTGATCTCCGCTCACTGCAACCTCCACCTCCCGAGTTCAAGTGATTCTCCTGCCTCAGGCTCCCGAGTAGCTGGGACTACAGGCATGAGCCACCATGCCCAGCTAATTTTTGTATTTTTAGTAGAGAAGGTGTTTCACCATGTTGGCCAGACTGGTCTTGATCTTTTGACCTCATGGTCTTCCTGCCTCGGCCTCCCAAAGTGCTGGGATTACAGGCGTGAGCCACTGCGCCTGGCCTAACAAAGATATAATTTTCAAAGAACAAGACCTGAGTTTAGATCAGTATCTTTAAAAAATAAAGCTTTGTTCACATGGTGGTAATTATTATAAAAGGATTTTTTGATATGAGCTAACTTTGAATTTGCATTTTGCTTTAGAATAAAGCATAGTACTCTCTTTATCTACCTAAGCAGTTATATCCTTAGACATAGACTACTAGAATTATTTACACATTCTTTGCAGCATTATATACACATGCTCACGTATAAAGGTTACTCTGCTGGCAGCACTAAATACACCAATCATCTGTAAAAGTAGTTACACATTATACTTTCATCTTACCATGTACAGGAATTTCTCATTTCTTTTGACCATATGTTTTAGTGTCTCTTTTTAAATAGGAATGCAAATGAAATTATTTTTCCTCATCCATTAATTGAAGTTCTTGAACTTATTTTGACAAAAGAATCACTGCCTAAGTTCAGGCTTGAAAGTCTCTCTTTGCTGGCCGGGTGCGGTGGCTTGTAATCCCAGCACTTTGGGAGGCCGAGGCGGGCAGATCACCTGAGGCCAGGAGTTTGAGACCAGCCTGACCAATATGGTGAAACCCTGTCTCTACTAAAAATACAAAAAATTAGCCGGGCGTGTTCGCGGGTGCCTGTAATCCTAGCTACTCGGGAGGCTGAGGCAGGAGAATTGCTTGAACCCGGGAGGCGGAGGTTACAGTGAGCCAAGATTGCGCCACTGCGTTCCAGCCTGGGCGACAGAGCGAGACTCCATCTCAAAAACAAAAGACTCTCTCTTTGCTAACATTTGTGGTAATATTTTCATGGTTTGAGGATAGTTAACTATAACTTAACTGGTATTATTATTGTTGATAATGCTGCCATTGTTTCTGTCAATAACAACAGTTGTCTTTACCACTCGTTTCATTTCTGCTAATAGGGTACATTTTTAGAAACGAGGTGAAGATGACCCCAATGTTGTCATCCTCAGGACTTTTAGTTTGGCCCAATCTTAATCATCCCCAGACTAGGCTTTTCTAGAACACCATTTATTGACCTCTAATTGCAGGTTTATAAAATAGTATTGAGCTGGGGCACAAAGGGCTCTTTACTGAGGCAATTTTTCCACATTTAAGGAGGCAAAAGCAGAATCATTGGTGTAATCAGTAAAATCATTGGCGTAAATCAGTAAAATAAATGATTTATGTCCCCTAAATTTTCTAGAAGATTTTGCAGTAAATTATCTAAATAATTGTCTTTTTGTGTCATGTCGCTTTTGGAAAGGCATCTACTCTGAGGCTGCTTCCTGTGCTCAGAACCACCAGCATATCCTGCAAACCTGCAGCAACAAGCAGCTGGGGGACAGACTGGGCAGGACTAATCCTTCACTGGGTAATAAGACTGGGATTTGTGGCCGGGCACGGTGGCTCACGCCTGTAATCCCAGCACTTTGGGAGGCTGAGGCGGGCAGATCACGAGGTCAGGAGATCAAGACTGTCCTGGCTAACACGGTGAAACCCCATCTCTACTAAAAATACAAAAAATTAACCGGGCGTGGTTGCAAGCAGCTGTAGTCCCAGCTACTCAGGAGGCTGAGGCAGGAGAATGGCGTGAACCTGGGAGGCGGAGCTTGCAGTGAGCCGAGATTGCACCACTGCACTCCAGCCTGGGCAACAGAGCGAGACTCTGTCTCAAAAAAAAAAAAAAAAAAAAAGACTGGGATTTGCAAATGAAATGGATGGAGAGGAAGTGGCATCCCCAGCCTGGAAATTTCCTCATTCAAGTGGTGGCAGGGTCTTTTACTCTGTTTATCAATCAACGGGGTTTTTTGTTTGTTTTTAAACCTCTCAGGGATTGTTAGTCCAGAGTCCATGGATAGAATTCAGGCTGAACTTGGATGAAAAACTTAAATTTTGGGTTTCACCAATATCTAAATAAAATTTAGCATGTTCTTCAATAATGAATGTAGGCAAAAAAACCACAGTAGGATTAGCAATACTTGCAACTTTTTACTAAAAGAAATTGCTGGGCGTGGTGGCTCATGCCTGTAATTCGTACACTTTAGGAGGCTAAGGCAGGTGGATTGCTTGAGTCCAGGAGTTCGAGACCAGTCTGGACAACATGGTGAAACTCTGTCTCTACAAAAAACAACAACAACAAAAATTAGCCAGGCATGGTAGCATGTGCCTATAGTCCCAGCAACTTGGGAGACTGAGGTGGGAGGATTGCTTGAGCCGTGGAGGATGAGGCCGCAGTGAGCTCTGATTGCATCACTGCATTCCAGCCTGGGCAACAGAACGAGATTCTGTCTTAAAAAAAGAAAAAAAATTGCAGGTATTTTCTTATCACATTACAGTTGTTGCAGATATTTTGGAAATATCATTTAAACTACTTTAAATATATGGGAGTTATTAGAACCCAGATTTTGTTAATTAATGTTTTAACAAGGAAGCACATACTTTATAGTTTTAAAATGTATAACTGTATTTCAATACAGTCAAAAATAATAATTTGTTTTTAAGTCATATATATGACTTAAATATAGGGTTAAGGTTAGGTTTAAATGTGGCAGGGCAAGGTGGCCCATGCCTGTAATCCCAGCACTCTGGGAGGCTGAGGCAGGTGGATCACCTGAGGCCAGGAGTTCGAGACCAGCCTGGCAAACACGGTGAAACCCCGTCTCTACTAAAAATACAAAAAAATTTTAGCTGGGTATGGTGGCGCGTGCCTGTAATCCCAGCTATTCAGGAGGCTGAGGCAGAAGAATCGCTTGAACCTGGGAGGCGGAGGTTGCAGTGAGCTGAGATTGTGCCACTGCACTACAGCCTGGGCAACAAGAGCGAAGCTCCATCTAAAAAATAAATAAATAAATAAATAATAAAGAGCCTAGGTATAATAGGCCTAGGTGTAGTAGGACTTGACATGTGCTCTGGGCAGGGGGCTGCCTATGTATGGTCACTGACTTTGCCCCCCTCCCTTTATTCCCTGTGCTTGAAGGGAACTATGCCAGTTTCAGTATCCACCAGAACAGCAGGTCCTGGTTAGCTCCAGTCCAAAAGTCGATTTTTTTTCTTTTTCTCAGCGGAGGAACAGGGTCTGTGTTCCTGTTTCTCAGCGGAGGAACAGGAACCTTGGCTTCCCAGGTTCAAGCGATTCTCGTGCCTCAGCCTCCCAAGTAGCTGGGACTACAGGCGTGTACCACCACGCCTGGCTGATTTTTTGTATTTTTTGTAGAGACAGAGTTTTGCCATGTTGGCAAGGCTGGTCTTGAACTTCTGACCTCAAGTGATCTGCCGGCCTCGGCCTACCAAAGTGCTGGGATTACAGGCCTGAGCCACTGCACCCAGCCCAGAAGCTGATCTTAACAGAAGAATTTCTCCTGTCGATGTAAAGTTAACTTGCAAACTTACATGAAAATGCAGCTTCTCAGAATCTGCCCAAACTAGATTAGAATGATAAGCTTGGCCCTTAGCCAGTCCTGAGTCAGGTGGATTTCCGTTTTCACCCTTGAACCAAAAGTTGGGGTTATGAGACCAGCCAGAATATGCTGAATGGGGTCTCCCCCCATCACCACTGCCACCTACCACATTCATCCCTTAATTTGCCACTAGATGCTCTGAGGAAAGGGTCAAAATAGGGGCCACTCCAAACCATAAGTGAGAAGTGGAAGAAAAATATACAGGTGAAGGCATGAGTTTACCAGCAATGTCATTTCAGTGGTTGGGCCAGGAGGTGGGGATTGGGGCAACGGAAAGACAAACTGATAATTTATTCAAGGAAAAGTCAGCCGTCTAACCCAGGGGCTCAATGAAATCATCACATTTCAATTTTAGCTGTTTGTGGCACATATAAAGTGATCTTGCAGGTAAAAAGTTCAGCTTGCCATGCATTAATTACCTCCAGGTCCATCTGGTATTTCTAGTTTTGTATGTTTGTAGAATAAAAGTGAAAAGGAAAAAAAAAGTGTCCTTGTTTTTGCTCAATATTTCTGTTGAACAGAAATATTGTGTGTGACAAACACAGAGTTTGCTTACAAGTTGGAGCTGCCTTTTGATTAATGGTTTATTTAAATTGTTAGTATAGGAGATAATGGGTAAAGGAAGATTCTTAAAAATGGAAGCCCTGGGTTCTAGCTGTGATACTCCCTCTGCTTATACCAGTTATGTTCTTATTCGAGTTTCTGTATCTTGCCCTGATCTGATTTTTTTTTTTTTTTTACCTGTTTGACGTAGAAATTGTGGGAAGAAGTGAAAGAGGTGAATGAGAGAAAAAAACATGTGTGACGTGCTTTAAGTTTACTGGAAAGTTCATCATACATATTATTGTGAACTTTTTTACAGTTTATGCCAGTGATAGTTTGCCTTGCAAATAGTAAGTGAATGTTTATCGATTTGCATTTGCCTGACAGCATTGTTCTTTATGTTAAAGCACTTTTTAATAATCAATTAACTGTTACTAGTTTTCTGAATGTTCATTTTGTTGATTGTCATATAAGGAATATGATGGTAGTAGAATGTAGCTGAAGTTTGCGAATGCGGAGAACTTTATATTGTTCATCCCTTTGAAAAGACGTGTAAGAGAATTTGTTTACTACAATATACTCAGGGCTTGGAATAGTGGCTGGTACATGGTGAAACCTCAATAAATATTGAATGATGTAAGACAGGAGCCAATTAGCAAATCTTCAAAGGAATAGCATATTGATTATATATAAATGGTACATAAATTATACATTCATGGAGAAGGTTTAAGCAAATCTTTCTAAGTCCTCTAACTCCAGATTGGGACAACAAATATTGTAATTTAAATTCAACCGGCTGGGTGCAGTGGCTCACGCCTGTAATCCCAGCACTTTGGGAGGCCGAGACAGGTGGATCATGAGGTCAGGAGTTTGAGACCAGCCTGACCAACAGGGTGAAACCCTGTCTCTACTAAAAATACAAAAATTAGCTGGGCATGGTGGTGCATGCCTGTAATCCCAGCTACTCAGGAGGCTGAGGCAGGAGAATTGCTTGAACCCAGGAGGCAGAGATTGCAGTGAGCCGAGATCACACCACTGCACTTCAGCTGGGCAACAGAGTGAGACTCCATCTCAAATAATAATAATAATAATAATAATAATAATAATAATAATTTAACCTATTGCTCTCCTCTCCTCTTCCACTTTAGTTTAATATTTGCAGAGTTTTTAGTTAACAATAGTATAACATTTTGTGGCAGAGGAAAGGAAACATTCCTAAAAGAAACAGTGTATTGTATTTTTGCCATTATGTTACAGATAAGGCATATGGGGGAATGATGGCAGGCCTTTTGACTTTGCTTTCATTAAGGATTCATAGCCTGGGCTCATGACCTTAAGATGTCCCTTCCCCACAGATAATTAAATTAACTTCTTATGGCTTTCATGATTTCCATTTCCTTTTTTCTTGTTTTAGTAGAGACAGGGTCTCACTATGTTGCCCAGGTTGGTCTCGAACTCCTGGACTTAAGCAGTCCTCCTGCCTCAACTTCCCAAAGTGCTGGGATTACAGGTATGAGCCACTGCACCTGGCCAATTTTAATTTCTGGTTTTTTTTTTTGTTTTTTTTTTTTTTTTTGAGATGGAGTCTTGCTCTGTCACCCAGGCTGGAGTGCAGTGGCTCACTGCAACCTCTGCCTCCCGGGTTCAAGCAATTCTCCTGCCTCAGCCTCTGGAGTAGCTGAGATTACAGGCGTGTGCCACCACGCCTGGAAAATTTTTGTATTGTTAGTAGAGATGGGGTTTCACCATGTTGGCCAGGCTGGTCTCAAACTCCTGACCTCAAGTGATCCACCCACCTTGGCCTCCCAAAGTCACAGACGTGAGCCACCGCTCCCAGACTTATTTCTTTATAATAGAATACAACCCATTAAGCTTAGCAAGCAGAAAAAAAATGGAGCATAGTCCTATTCTTCCATATTCTTAGGCAAGCTCCTACATTTCTCCAGGTTTTGATTTCATGCTCTACAATTAGCGGTGGCAAACTAAGAACTGAACATCAAATCCAGCCTACCACCTGTTTTTATATGGCCAGTGGGCTAAAGATAGTTTTTATATCTACAAATTGAAAAAAAATCAAGAGAAGACTAATATTCTGTGGCATGCAAAGCTATATAAAATTCAAATTTCAGAATCCATAAATAAGGTTCTTATTGGAACACAGACAGGCTAATTTGTTTATGTATTTTCTGTAGCTGCTTTCACACTACAATGGCAGAACTGAGTACTATGTAAGTTTTTAAATAAATGAAAGCAATTTAATTGTTTTTCATCAATTGAAGTATAATCTTTAAAATGAATTTGGTAAAACCTCCTCACTTGAGGTCGGGAGTTCGAGACCAGCCTGGCCAACATGGTGAAACCCTGTCTCTAATAAAAATACAAAAAATTAGCCAGGTGTGGTGGCCAGTGCCTGTAATCCCAGCTACTCGGGAAGCTGAAGCATGAGAATCGCTTGAACCCGGGAGGAGGAGGTTGCAGTGGGCTGAGATCTCACCACTGCACTCTAGCCTGGGCGACATCTTAAAAAAAAAGTCCTAGCTGTTTCCTTCAAGTACAAGTTCAGGTTTTTAAATGGATGTTCTAACATTCTCTTTTCAATCAGAATTTCAACCACAAAAATCAGAGAAAGATGAGTCAGAGTCAAGTCTACCCAACAGGGAGTCAGAATGGAATTCTTGAGTAGATTCGTCCCAAGTTTCAATTTCTACCACTGATTACCCAAGAAATATGGCACTTAACTTCTTCGAGCCTCAGTTTTCTCATCTGTAAAATGGCAGTAAACATAGTTATCTCTAGGGCCGAGCTAGTACATGAGAGCATCCCAGGTATTATTAATTTAGTGTCTTTATTTCAAACCAATATTCCTTAAATATTTATTTACTGTTAGTGGGAGTGAAGAGAAATTGTTTTCCTATTGACAAAAATAAATTGCTCATCATTTTTTAATGTTCAAAATATTTCTTACATGAAGTTATTTTGAATCACCTTTTATTTTGCAGTTTTTTGCATCTCTTGGAACTGTCAGTTACTCTTAGCCACCAAAGATTAGGCCAACATATATAGATATATTTATTAAGTCTAATTCAAAATACATTTGAGATGCTGGGTGCGGTGGTTCACCCCTGTAATCCCAGCACTTTGGGAGGCTGAGGCGGGCGGATCACCTGAAGTCAGGAGTTCAAGACCAGCCTGGCCAACATGGTGAAACCCTGTCTCTACTAAAAATACAAAAATTAACTGGGCATGGTGGTGCGGGCCTGTAGTCCCAGCTACTCGGGAGGCTGAGGCAGGAGAATCGCTTGAACCCAGGGGGCGGATGTTGTAGTGAGCTGAGATGGCATCACTGCATTCCACCCTAGGTGACAGAGTGAGACTCTATCTCAAAAACAAAACAAAAACAAAAACAAACCCCTCCCATCTTGTTCTTGTCTCTGTGTGTGTGTCTGTATGCTCACATATACATGTTTGTGTGTATACTTTCCTGAAGCAGACCTTTTGTTAAGGGATAGATTAAAGCTGTTATAATTTAAATGATAAAGAGTAAAGTCCTCCTCAGTAAAGAACACTAAGCCCATGCATTGTTTTGCTCCAGATTTGAATCTCCCCTGGCTGCCTTAGGCCTCAGGGTTAGTGCCCTGTGGTCATTGAACTTGTAAGCCCTCCAGATTCTGAAAAGACACAGATGCCACACTAACAAGAATTATCTTTTATTTGCATTCAAGGGCTCTGTATGATCTGATGCGATTGAGACCAATTTACATTTTTAAAAATGTTTAGACGTATATAGACATATTTTTTTTTTTGGCTGCTCCATGGACAGAGCAGGGCCATCCCACAGGCAGAGTAGCCCAATTTACATTTTGCCTGTTGAGTAGGGAATGGGGGTGGAAATCTGAGTTAATGGTCATCAGATTTCTGATTTATTACAATGATCTTATAGAATGGTCTCCTTGAGCTGACTCATGGTTGAATCCTATGAGGACTAAATAAGATAATATGTACATAAGGCCAGGCGCAGTGGCTCACCCCTGTAATCCCAGCACTTTGGGAGGCCAAGGCTAGCAGATCACTTGAGGTCAGGATTTCAAGACCAGCCTGGCCAACATGGTGAAATCCTGTCTCTACTAAAAATACAAAAATTAGCTGTGTGTGGTGGCATGCACCTGTAATCTCAGCTTCTCGAGAGGCTGAGGTGGGAGAACCTCTTGAACCTGGGAGGTGGAGGTTGCAGTGGGCTGAGATCGCACCACTGCACTCCCGCCTGGGCAACAGAGTGAGACCCTGTCTCGAAAAAAAAAAAGTACATATATAAGATACTCTCTTACTACCTTACTGCTTGACACAAACTAGGCACTGAAAGAAAGGTGATTGACAGAGTCATTGTCACCCTGTTGCAGATACCTCCTCAGAAACAGAAGATACATCAAAGCACGAGGGAGATGTGAGAGGTAGGCTGTCCAACAGAACTCTCTGCAGTGATAAAAATGTTCTATATTTGTGGTATCCACTATTCACATCAGAACTGAGGGATGCATTTTTTTAAAATCTGATTTTAATTAATTTAAAATTTAAACCACGTATGTGGCTGGGCCACCATACCATATTGAACAGCACAACTCCTGAATTTTAAAAGATATCAACAGAGTATTAGACAAATTAATATACCTCTGGTAACACAGGGAGAACTAATCTTTCTGGTTTTTTTTTTTTTTTTTTTGAGATGGAGTCTTGCTGTGTCACCCAGACTGGAGTGCAGTGGCGCAATCTCAGTTCACTACAACCTCGGCCTCCTGGGTTCAAGCAATTCTCCTTCCTCAGTCTCCGAGTAGCTGGGATTACAGGCACCTGCCACCATGCCTGACTCATTTTTTGTATTTTTAGTGGAGATGGAGTTTCACCACGTTGGCCAGGCTGGTCTGGAACTGCTGACCTCAAGTGATCTGCTCGCCTCGGCCTGCCAAAGTGCTGGGATTATAGGAGTGAGCCACTATGCCCAGACTGTTAATAAGATACTAAAATGGGGAAATCCATTACAGGTGAAGAATTCCCACTAAAATTTATGATAAGCATATATATGTATGTGTGTGTGTGTATATATATATATATATATGTATAATTATTGTCTTTAATTTTAAAAAGCATATATATATACACATACATATATGCATGTATATGTATACATACATGCATATATGTATGTATACCTACGTATGTATGTATGTATGTGTATATATATGCCTTTTTAAATTAAAGACAATTTTTAGAGTAATTTTAGGTTCCCAGCAAACTTGAGGGAAGGGTACGGAGATTTCCCATATACCCCTGCTCCGCCACATGCACAGCCTCCCCTATTATCAACATCTTCCACCAGAGTGGTCCATTTGCTACAATGGATGGACCTACATTGACACCTCATTATCACCCACAGTCCACAGTTTACATTAGGGTTCACTAATGGTGTGGGTCATTCTATTAGTTTGGACGAATACATAACGGCATGTATGCACCATTGTAGTATCATACAGAATAGTTTTACAGCCCTACCACCCCCCAGTGCTCTGGCTATTCATTCTTCCCTCCCTCTGCCCAATCTCTAGCAACCACTGATCTTCCTACTGTCTCCATAGTTTTGCCTTTTCCAGCATGCCATGTAGTTGGAATCATTCAGTATGTAGCATTGTACATATAGTAGAAGCCTTCTGATTGTCCTCTTTCTCCTTTTTTTTTTTTTTTTTTTTAAGACAAGTCTTACTCTGTTGCCCAGGCTGGAGTGCAGTGGCGTGATCTCGGCTCACTACAACCATCTGCCTCCTTGGTTCAAGCGATTATCCTGCCTCAGCCTCCTGAGTAGCTGGGATTGCAGACGTGTCCCACCACGTAGAGCTAATTTTTGTATTTTTAGTAGAGACAAGGTTTCACCATGTTGGCCAAGCTGGTCTTGAACTCCTAACCTCTGGTGATCCTCCTGCCTTGGCCTCCCAAAGTGCTGGGATTACAGGCATGAGCCAGCACGCCCAGCCAGGATTGACTTCTTTCATTTAGCAATATGCATTTAAGTTTCCTCTGTGCCTTTTCACGGAACAAGCCTATATTGAAGAGGATATGTAATGTATTATGCTGTAATGTTGTGGCAAGGTGAATTAGAATGATAACATCTAGGAAAGGTGTTCAAAAATATAATCACATAGTTTGTTAATATCACATATATTCACTCCAAAATATATTCAAATAATTTAAAATAATACTAAATGAAATTTCAGTATTAGTGAAATCGGAGCCTTCTTCCAAAATAGAAATAACTCCACACCATGGATTCAGTAGTGATTTCACTTATGTACCACATGTAATTGATGAATTAACTAATTCAACAGTTTCTGGAGCTCTCGGGTACAGGATACTGGGATAAACCATGCAGACATAGCGAAGAATATAACAGGAAGAAGAAAGGATCTGGGGGAAGGCATTGTACCGGGAAGCACCAAAAGAGGACCACTGTGGCTGGGGTAGAAAAAGGGAGACAGAGTAGAGCTCAAAGGAAAGGGAAGTGAGCAAGGGCTTAATCTTGCAGGACCTTTTAGGCCACAAAAAAGAATCTGGACTTTTTCCTTAGAGCAACTGACTTTGAAAAGTTGATGGCTGGGGCCGGGTGCAGTGGCTCACGCCTATAATCCCAGCACTTTGGGAGGCCGAGGCAGGTGAATTACCTGAGGTCAGGAGTTTGAGACCAGCCTGGCCAACATGGCAAAACCCTGTCTCTACTAAAAATACAAAAATTAGCCAGGTGAGTGATAGGCACCTGTAATCTCAGCTACTTGGGAGGCTGAGGAAGAAGAATTGCTTGAACCCAGGAGGTGGATGTTGCAGTGAGCTGAGATCACGACACTGCAGTCCAGCATGGGCGACAGAGCGACATTCTGTCTCAAAAAAAAAATAATAAAAATTAAAATACAAAAATTAGCCAGTCGTAGTGACGCACCTGTAGTGCCAGCTATTTGGGAGGCTGAGGCACAAGAATCGCTTGAACCTGGGAGGTGGAGGTTGTAGTGAGCCGAGATGGTGTCACTGCACTCCCACCTAGGTGACAAAGCGAGACCCTGTTTCGTTTGTTTGTTTGTTTGTTTGTTTTTTGAGACAGAGTCTCTCTCTATCACCCAGGGTGCAGTGCAGTGGCATGAACTTGGCTCACTGCAACCTCTGGTTCCCGGGTTCAAGCAATTCTTCTGCCTCAGCCTCCTGAGTGGCTGAGATTACAGGTGCCCGCGATCACACTCAGCTAATTTTTGTATTTTTAGTGGAGACAGGGTTTCATTATGTTGGCCAGGCTAGTCTCAAACTCCTGACCTCAGGTGATCCACCTGCCTCGGCCTCCCAAAGTGCTGGAATTACAGGTTTGAGCCACTGCACCCAGCTGAGACTCTGTTTCAAAAACAAAAAAACAATCACCACCACAACAAAAAGACATATTATATATAGTTGTTCTAGTATCAAATAATATATAAATGTAATATTATAAACATTCAAAATACCTTAAACAGGGAATACCATATAGTAAACACTCATACCAGCTGTTAAGATAATGGATCATTAATCTACTAAAGATAGATTCTCTATATGCCTAATTTTAAAAGGGGGAGGAAGCCTCTCTGATTTTAAATATAGAAAATGGATCAATGGCTGGGTGGCTCTTACCTGTAATCCCAAAACTTTGGGAGGCTGAGGCGGGCGAATCACTTGAGGCCAGGGGTTCAAGACCAGACTGGCTGACATGGCGAAACCCCGTCTCTACAAAAATACAAACATTGGCCAAGTGTGGTGGCATTTGCCTGTAGTCCCATCTACTCGAGAGGCTGAGGCAGGAGAATTGCTTGAACCCAGGAGGTGGCGGTTGCAGTGAGCTGAGATGGTGCCATTGTACTCCACCATGGGCAACAGAGTGAGAACCTGTTTTTTGTTTTTTTTTGTTTTTAAAGAAGTTAGGGGTTGCAAAGGGAGGATGACAAAATCAGATTTTGCATTTTAAAGAATCTGATGATTGGAAAGGAAACAAATAGATGGAAATCTGTCTGGGGAGAAGCATAAAAACCCACCTAAAAAATGAGGGCAACTGAGTCATATACAAGACCTTCCAAGAATGAAGTAGATTTCCATCATGTTCCATGGCATAGCCCCAAGATGTTTTCCACAACAGCAGCTGGGAGGATTCTTTAAAAGTCAGATTCTATCATTGCCTTGCTCCATGCCCTCCAGTGGGCCTCTGTCTCCCCTGAGCCTAATGCTGTCCTGCAGGTCCAGGACCCACAATCTCTCTGACCTCATCTACAATTTCCCACCTCCTGCTGCTCCAACCCTACTGGCCTCCTAGCTATTCCTTTAACATGCCAAATACTCCCTGCAGTGGAGTCTTTTCACTTGATGTTCCCTCTCCTTAGAATTCTCTTCCCATCAGATATTTTCATGGCTCCTTCCCTCATTTCCTTCAAGTCTCCATTCAGATGTCAGTGTCAGTAGTCAGCACGTTATCAGCCTAACTGGCATATATAAGATCACCTCTAGCCCCAAACAGCCCCTTTTCCTCTCACCCGACTTTCCTGTTCTCCACAGCACTTATCACCAGCTGACATGCTACAGGCATACCTCGCCGTAGTGTGCTTTGCAGATATTGCACTTTTCACAAAGTGAAGTTTTGTGGCAACTCTGTGTCAAGCAAGTCTATTGGTGCCATTTTTCCAACAGCATGTGCTTACTTCGTGGTCTCTGTGTCACATTTTGGTAATTCTTGCAATATTTTAATTGTTGTTATTATTATATCTGTTATGGTGATCTGTGATCAGTGATCTTGGATGTTACTATTGTAATTGTTTTGGACACCATGAACTACCCATATTAAATTGAGAACTCAATCAGTAAATATTGTACGTGTCTGACTGCTCCACTGAACAGCTGTCCATCTCTCTCCTCAGGCCTCCCGATTCCCTAAGAAACAACAATACTGAAATAAGGCCAATTAATAACTCTACAACAGCTTCTAAGTGTTCAAGTGAAAGGAAGAGTTGCATGTCTCTTACTTTAAATCAAGAGCTAGAAGTGGGCTGGGCATGGTGGCTCACGCCTGTAATCTCAGCACTTTGGGAGGCCGAGGTGGGCAGATCTCTTGAGGTCAGGAGTTCAAGACCAGCCTGACCAACATGGTGAAACCCCGTCTCTACTAAGAATACAAACATTAGCCTGGCATGGTGGTGCATGCTTGTAATCCCAGCTACTCAGGAGGCTGAGGCAGGAGAACAGCTTGAACCAAGGAGGCAGAGGTTGCAGTGAGCCGAAATCGCACCGCTGCACTCCAGCTTGAGCCACAGTAGACTCCATCTTAAAAAAACAAACAAACAAAAAACAAACAAACCTATAAATCATTAAGCTTAGTGAGGAAGGCATGTCTAAAGCCAAGTTAGGTTGAAAGTTAGGCTTCTTGCAGCCAAATTGTGAATGCAAAGAAAAAGTTATTGGAGGAAATTAAAAGTGCTACTCCAGTGAACACACAAATGATACAAAAGCAAAACAACTTTATTTCTGATATGGAGAAAGTTTGAGTAATCTGGATAGATGCTCAAACCAGCCACACTATTCCTGAAGTCAAAGCCTAATCCAGAGCAAGGCCCTAACTCTCTTCAATTCTATGAAGGCTAAGAGAGAAGAGGAAGCTGCAGAGGAAAAGTTTGACACTAACAGATGTTGGTTCATGAGATTGAAGGAAAGAAGCCATTTCTGTATCATAAGAGTGCAAGATGAAGCAGCAAGTGCTGATGTAGAAGCTGTAGCAAGTTATCCAAAAGATCTAGCAAAGATTATCAATGAAGGTGGTTACACTCAACAACAGATTTTCAGTATAGACAAAACAACATTGTATTGGAAGAAGATTCCATCTAGGACTTTCATAGCTAGAGAGGAGAAGTCAATATCTGGCTTCAAAGCTTAAAAGGACAAGCTGACTTGCTAGGGGCTAATGCAGCTGGTGACTTGAAGTTGAAGTCAATGCTTATTTACCATTCTGAAAATCGTAGGGCCCTTAAGAATTATGCTAAATCTCCTCATCCTATGCTTTATAAATGGAATAACAAAGCCTGGATGACAGAACACCTGTTTACAGCATAGTTTACTGAATATTTTAAGCCCACCATTGAGACCTGCTGCTCAGAACAAAAGATTCCTTTAGAAATATTAGTGCTCAATGACAATGTGCTTATTCACCCGAGATCTCTCATGGAGATGTACAAGGAGATTAATGTTTTCATGCCTGCTTACACAACTTTCATTCTGCAGCCTATGGATCAAGAGTAATTTCGACTTTCAAGTCCCATTATTTAAGAGATAGATCTCAGCAGGATGCAGTGCCTCATGCCTGTAATCCCAGCACTTTGGCAGGACGAGGCAGGTGGATCACTTGTGCCCATGAATTCCAGACCAGCCTTGAGCAACATGGTGAAACCTTGTCTCTACAATTAAAAAAAAAAATTAGTTAGGCATGGTGGCAAGTGCCTGCAGTCCCAGCTACTCGGGAGGCTGAGGTGGGAGGATCACTTGAGCCCAGGAGTTTGAGGCTGCAGAGAGCTGTGATTGCCACTGCACTCCAGCCTGCATGACAGAGCAAGGCCCTGACTAAAAAAAAAAAAAAACAAACGAAAGAAAGAAATGATCTCATAAGGGGCTGAAGCTTGCATCAATAGTGATTCCTCTGATAGATCTGGACAAAATAACTTCTATACGCACTGGGAAGCCAAAAAATTGATGTGGCTCACTTTATTGCAATATCAACTTTATTGTGGTGGTCTGGAACCAAACCCACAAAATCTCCAAGAATGCCTGTATTTTTTTGCTTGCTTAAAGTTTGTCTCTCCCTGATCGAGACCATCCCGGCTAAAACGGTGAAACCCCGTCTCTACTAAAAATACAAAAAATTAGCTGGGCGTAGTGGCGGGCGCCTGTAGTCCCAGCTAATCGGGAGGCTGAGGCAGGAGAATGGCGTGAACCCGGGAGGCGGAGCTTGCAGTGAGCCGAGATCCCGCCACTGCACTCCAGCCTGGGCGACAGAGCGAGACTCCGTCTCAAAAAAAAAAAAAAAAAAAAGTTTGTCTCTCCCCACTAGAATGTAAACTCCTCGGGGGCAGGGACTTTGATTTGTTCCCTACCGTATCCTAAGCACCTCTAGGTGTTCAATAATCATTTGAAGGAATGAACAGATGAATGAATGAATGGATGAATGAAAGGTGGACTTGATGACCTCTTAAACTCCTTCCCCAGCTCACCAGCTGTAGTTGGAGAACCAGAACCAGCACTTCATGTTCTGCTACCTTGTGCAAAAGCTTCCTGGCCCCTTCCTTCGGGGCAAGTTCCAAAAATTGTGGCCAATCTCTCCCATCTTCTACTTCTTTCCCCATCTTAAGTGTCTATAAGGAACTATGCCAACCCTTCATCCAGTAGCAACTTTTCCAGTGCCAGCTACCTTCTCCCCAACTCCTGTGTTTTACCAGATGAGAAAGCAGGCCAGGGCAGCTGGGAGCCACTGGGGCTGGATTGGGAGCAACATTTGGTTGCTGTTGTCCAATTGCAGTGCACTGGAACTCCTCCAAGGACACAACAGAGAAGCTGCTGCCAGGTCTCCCCAAAGGCTGCATAGACTTCATCCCCACCATACAATGCCAGTCCTGTTGATAAATACAATGCCAGTCCTGTTGATAAATGCCCCTATATTGGTTGTAGCACAGAGGTGCAAACTACATTGAACACACCTGGTAAGTTACTTACTGTGTTTTTTTTTAGAGGGGGAAGCAGGCAAATGAGATTTTTAGTCTGTCTCAAAACATCAATATCTTCTTTTTGCAGGGAGAAAGTGCTGGGGAGGGGGAAGCAAAATATACAGAAAAGAGAGTGGATTAGGCACCAGAAGGTCTGGATTTGAATCCCAGTTTGTGAGTTGGTGTGTGCCACAGCCTTGGGCAAATCTCTTCCGTCTTCAGTTTCCCATCTGTAAGTAGAGATTAGAATTCCTGATCTGCTGGCCTTTCACGGATGTTGTAGGGATCATAAGATGATAATAGCTGCATACTTTGTGAACTATACAATACTATTCCTACATGGAGATTTTTATGAATAGAACCATAGTGGTGGCATCTCTCAAATGCCTGATGAAATGAAAGCATGATCTCTCTTCACCCAGTAATGAAAGTTCAACAGAGGTGAGGAAAGGAATCACTATACATTTTTAAATTTCGTATTTCTTTTTTTTCTTTTTTCAGAGTTGAGGTCTCACTCTGTCATCCAGGTTAGAGTGCAGTGGCATGATCACTGCAGCCTTGACCTCCTGAGCTCAAGCAATCCTGCCACCTCAGCCTCCCTACTAGTGGAGACTGCAGGTGTGAGCCACCAGGCCAGCTGGACTTTGCATTTCTATGGAAAATGACCTTTAGTCATTTATATTAAGTTAATAACAAAAAAATGGATTCATGCAGACATGGTGACTATTCGAAATTATGGCTCTGAAAAGAATTGACTTTTTTTTTGTTTGTTTGTTTTTGCAAAGAGTGGGTTTTGCCATGTTGCCCAGGATAGTCTCAAATGCCTGACCTCAAGTGATCCACTGCCTCACCCTCCCAAAGTGTTGGGATTACAGTTGTGGGCCACCTTTTTAAAGAATTTTCTTTAAAAAGAAAAAAGATTGCTTTGATTTTGTGTGTATGTGTATGTGTGTGTGCGCGCTCATTTGAAATAAGTGTTCATCCAGAAATGCTTTAAAAATATATTGCACATAGCTGAGCGCGGTGGCTCACACCTGTAATCTCAGCACTTTGGGAGGCTGAGGCGGGTGGATCACATGAGGTCGGGAGTTCGAGACCAGCCTGACCAACATGGAGAAACCCCATCTCCACTAAAAATACAAAATTAGCTGAGCATGGTGGTGCATGCCTGTAATCCCAACTACTTGGGAGGCTGAGGCAGGAGAATCACTTGAACCCGGGAGTCAGAGGTTGTGGTGAGCCGAGATCGTGCCATTGCACTCCAGCCTGGGCAACCAGAGCAAAACTCCGTCTCAAAAAAAAAAAAAAAAATATATATATATATATATATATATATATATTCCAGATAATCTTAACCTAAGCAAATAATTTAATTAAGATTGACATTTTAGGCTGAGCGCAGTAGCTCACGCCTGTAGTCCCAGCACTTTGGGAGTCCGAGGCAGGCAGATCGCTTGAGCTCAGGAGTTTGATACTAGCCTGAGCAACATGGCAAAACCCCATCTTTACAAAAAATACAAAAATTAGCCATGCATGGTGGCATACACCTGTGGTTCCAGCTATTTGGGAGGCTGAGGTGGGAGTATGGCTTGAGCCTGGGAGGCAGAGATTGCAGTGAGCAGAGATTGTGGCACTTGAACGGCCTGGGTGACAGAGCGAGACCCTGCCTCAAAAAAAAAAAAAAATTCAGAAATTAAAAAAAAAGATTGTCATGTTAGAGTACAATGTTATGAAAGAAAATGTCATCATGCTTGTTGAAGAGTATGAGCAAGACAGTACCCTAGTGTTCATTTGTCATTTGCAAGCATGACTTTACTGTGTATATCCAGAGAAATGGTGAGAATCGTTTACTGTTTATACGGGGAAGAGTAGGTGGGCATAGGTAAAATCTCAAATAAAAACCCTACAGTGAGTAGAATTAAATTATCTATATGTCTCTTCCCCACATTAAAAAGACTTGAGACTTATCAAAGAAAAAATCTAAAATTGCCTTGGGTGGTTGATTCTGAGAATGAGTCAGGTAAACCTGGTGTGCTGTGTGACACTGTAATGAAGTCTTCTGACTGCACTCCAATGTTCAGTTTCCAAAGCGTTTCCATCCAGCTTAGAACTGAGCCATGGCCTTGGCAACTTTATTCACGTACTTTGTGACTCAGTAGTTCCTTCTGCAGGATGTGAATGGAAAAGAGGGTGGACTCCTGCCTACAACATAGGCCTTGGTTACAGTATCCCTTTTGGTTAGCAGAGTTGATGAAACTAATTCAGTTGAAAGTAAATTGCTAAAATAAGAGCTTGAATTTGTCTGTGAATTTCAGATGTTTGTGTTATCCCTACCTACATAGCATGGAACTCCAACATGGTACTCCCCACCTAAACTGGCATGGCTGCAAGGATTTCTGAGAAATGAAGGGAGGTATGGATTTCTCCTGTTTTGCCAGTTAATGTTTGCCCACATTGGGAGGGGACCAGTGTGTATCTGGTAGTTCTGCCTGTGTCATTTGAGGTCATCATTTTGTCCTCTCAGGAGCTGAAAACACCACCCTTTAAACCTTCACCTTGACTCCTGGTTGCTCATACGTTTGGCAGCCTAGAGACCCATTTCCTTTCACGCATGTTTTAATCATGCAATACATGAAGCCTGGGAAATAAAATTTCCACATTATATAAATTGCAGTAATCAACTCTTGACAGATTTCTGCAAAATGTTTGTCGATAGCTTCCTTCAATGTCCTGAGACATTTTACAAAGAATCATTGTCAATGTTTCAGAGTGAAAGAAAAATGAGATAGTTATCTACATGATTGCTCCATTCTACTATTGCATGTGCTTGGACACCAACCAGATTTCTAACAGGGTTTAAAATGTCAGCCAGAATGTACTGAATCTATAGTAGAGGCTAAGATTAAATTTCCTTTGGTTTACTTAGATAAGCTGAGTTTGGGGTTAGTTTGGAAGGAAGGAGGGAGGAGTCACTGGTTTTAATAATATAATTCACTACCCTTTAATAAATCTGGTCTTACTTTCCCCTTTAGTCTGTTCCTTTCTGTGCTTTTTATCATAACCAAAGAGTTGGGTAATATTCTTTTTTTTTTTTTTTTTTTTTTTTTTTTTTTTTTTGAGACGGAGTTTTCCTCTTGTTGCCCAGGCTGGAGTGCAATGGCGCGATCTCGGCTCACCACAACCTCCGCCTCCCAGGTTCAAGCAATTCTCCTGCCTCACCCTCCCTAGTAGCTGGGATTACAGGCATGTGCCACCATGCCTGGCTAATTTTGTTTTTTTTTTTTAGTAGAGATGGGGTTTCTCCATGTTGGTCAGGCTGGTCTCGAACTCCCGACCTCAGGTGATCCACCCTCCTTGGCCTCCCAAAGTGCTGGGATTACAGGCGTGAGCCACTGTGCCTGGCCAGAGTTGGGTAATATTCAAATCTATAAATGGCATCTTCTTTGAAGAAGTTATTTAAATCAAAAAAAAAAAAAAAGGCTGGGCACAGTGGCTCACGCCTGTAATCCCAGCACTTTGGAAGGCCAAGGAGGGTGGATCACCTTAGGTCAGGAGATCAAGACCATCTTGGCCAGCATGGTGAAACCCCGTCTCTACTAAAAATGCAAAAATTAGCCGGGTGTGGTGGCTCATGCCTGGAGTCCCAGCTACTCGTGAGGCTAAGGCACGAGAATTGCTTGAACCTGGGAGGCAGAGGTTGCAGTGAGCCGAGATCATACCACTGCACTCCAGCCTAGGCAACAGAGAGTGAGATTCAGTCTCAAAACAAACAAACTAAAACAAACAAACAAAACTTAGCCAGGTGTGGTAGCAGGCACCTGTAATCCCAGCTACTCAGGAGGCTGGGGCAGGAGAATCACTTGAACCCAGGAAGCAGAGGTTGCAGTGAGCAGAGATTGCACCACTGCATTCCAGCCTGGGCGATAGAGCGAGACTCTGTCAAAACAAAAACAAAAATAAAAACGAAAATAAAAACAAAACCCACAAACTACCATGAAACGAAATTAGCCATTGAATCACATACATTTCTCTATCCCATGAGAAAATAAAAATGGAGCAACTCAAGCAATCCCTTCATACTCTCCCTAAATTAAACAAAGATGTAGAGTTCCCCACTGAAAATGAATTTGCTCAAATCAGACCTGAAGAGCATTACTTTGTTTGAAATTCAAACAGACACAGATGTTTTCTGTTTGATGAAAACAATTTCTACTCTTAAATTGCAAACAGGCTGGGCGTGCCGGCTCATGCCTGTAATCCCAACACTTTGGGAGGCCAAGGTGGGAGGATCGCTTGAGGCCAGGCCAGCCTGGGCAATATAAAGACACCCTGTGTCAAAAAAAAAAAAAAAAAAGAAGAAGAAGGTTGAAAACAGATATGCTAAGTTCACATGTCACTTTTGGGCCTCTTTGAGTATGCCTGGAAATGCTCCAGATTCAGCCCAGCCTGGCAACCAGCACAAGCTTTGGGGACATTTCTTGGGCACTGTCTATGGGGAAAGGTCTCAGATCTCTCTGCACCTGTCTTCCTGCTGATATTGGCAAAGCAGAGCCATGTTACTGAAGCTCTATGACTCTTTTTTTCTTTTTAAACAATGGCTGTTGGCAATATCTGGGCTCCCTTGTCTTCTGCCACGGAGATTTTCTTAGTGTCCAGGAGCTGCCAGTGGTCACTGGCCCAGCTTCTCTCCCTCCGCATAGGATCCTGGATTGAAATCCTGCTGACAAGAAGTTCATGTCTTCAGGTCAGGGTAAAGAATCACCATGCTTGTGTGCTTTTTAAAAAAATTTCTTTGGCCAGGTGTGGTGGCTCACGCCTGTAATCCCAGCACTTTGGGAGGCCGAGGCGGGCGGATCACCTGAGGTCAGGAGTTTGAGACCAACCTGACCAACACGGAGAAACCCCGTCTCTACTAAAAATACAAAAAATTAGCCAGGCGTGGTGATGCTTGCCTGTAATCCCAGCTGCTCAGGAGGCTGAGGCAGGAGAATCGATTGAACCCAGGAGGCGGAGGTTGTGGTGAGCCGAGATCACGCCATTGTACTCCAGCCTGGGCAACAAGAGCAAAACTCCATCTCAAAAAAAAAAAATTCTTAATTTTTCTTTTCATAAGAGATGGGATCTTGCTGTTGCCCAGGCTGGTCTCAAAGTCCTGGGCTCACATGACCTGCTTGCCTTAGCCTCCCAAAATGCTAGGATTACAGGCATGAGTCACCATACCCAGCCAATTGTGTGGTTTTAACTCCTAAGGAATCCCAAGTATCTTTCTATACAAGCATAATTATATGGATGGAACTGTGTATGTGGTGGAGGTGCTGTGACTTCACTGTCACACATAGACCATTTCCGTTTATTATTTACTTCATGAGCATAAAGCCATGGGAGGTTCATGACTATAGACATATGGACCTGGATGGGGATCTAAAGGTAAGTCTCAAATTTGAAATGTACATTAGCTACCTTTCAAAGATAGTGCTTGTCTATTCCTAGTGACCTCGAAAATATATAAGCAAAAAAACTGGATCTTTTACAAAAGGAGAGAGTCTTTCCTTCTGCATCTCCCATCCCTGTGGCCTTCCTTGGGAAAAAGTGGAAGCAGGGACCTAAATCTTCTCAGAATTTTTTTTTTTTTTTTTGAGACGGAGTCTCACTCTGTCACCCAGGCTGGAGCGCAGTGGCATGATCTCGGCTCAAAAGCAGTGATTTTCAAATGCTTTCCCAAACATCCACAGAAAGAAATACATTTTGTGACCCAGTTCCCAAATGGCATGGCTATGGAGGTGCATGCATGTGTGTACATATAAAACTGAAACAAAGCCTACAGACAAACACTGGCTCTTACTATTGCAGTGAATTCTGCTCTGTTTCATGTTTGGAAAACCTGTTGCTTGTGACCCATTGAATTGATTTTATGTGTCGTTTATCAGTAAGACACGATTCTGTGGCTTTACTTCATAGACTGTACCTGGCTTGCTTCATCATCTTCTTCCTGCCCCAAATATAGCCAAGAAAATTGTTTCTTAATATGGGACCCAGTTATAGCCTATAAAACAAGTCACTGGGCGCCCTCTTGGTTGCTGTTGTACATTATTAAAGGACTTTCCCCTGGGCAGACACATGTTCCCCAGGGGAGCAGATGCCCTTTAAGGACAGAGCTTGCATTGCCTCTTTTAAGCTGCTGGCTTGTCTTTTGGGTTCCCTTTCCATTGCCCTTCCCAAGTAGGAGAAATCAAAAAATAGTTGCAGACCAACCTGTTCCACTCTATGACCTTGGGCTAGTTGCTTAAACTCTTTGACCCTCAGTCCCTTGATCTATAAAATGAAAAAAATAATTCTACCTCACACGGCTGTTGTGAAAGATAAGTGATATATTACATGTGAAACTGCCTTCTCTACATTAAAGTCAATGTTAAGTATAATTATAATCTTACCTATATCACTATAGGCCATGACACTGGAGAATTAAATGTACAAATAACAAAGGGACCTGCTCTGAACACCTCATTAGTTTCTGATACTTCAACTCCCTGGTGTTTAATAAACTAACAAAAACATTAATACATTCTAAAAGCTGATCATTAAATAAACCTATTAACATCTATGTAAAGTTATATGTTGCTACCTAACAAGCTACCTTAAAACTTATTGACTTAAATTTATAGAGACAGAAAGTAGAACAGTGGTTACCAGCGGCTGGGAGGAGGAGGGAAAGGGGAACTATTGGTGAGTGGGTACAGAGTGTCAGTGTGAGATCATGAAAAAGTTCTGGAGATGGATGGTGGTGATGGTTGCACAACAATGTGAATGTACTTCATGCCATTGAACCACACACTTAAAAATGGTTAAAATGGTTAATTTTACGTTGTGTACATTTTGCCACAATAAAAAAGAATCATGGGCCAGGCATGGTGGCTCATGCCTGTAATCTCAACACTTTGGGAGGCCGAGGTGGGTGAATCACCTGAGCTCAGGAATTCGAGACCAGCCTGGGCAACAGCTGGTCTGAAATTAGCCAAGATGGTGGCTAATTTCAACATTTTGAAATACAAAAATTAGCCGGGCGTGGTGGCAGGCACCTGTAATTCCAGCTACTAGGGAGGCTGAGGCAGGAGAATCGCTTGAACCCCAGAGGCAGACGTTGCGGTGAGCCGAGATCGCGCCATTGCACTCCAGCCTGGGCAACAAGAGTGAAACTCCGTCTCAAAAAAAAAGAAAAAAGAAAAGAAAAAGTTCTGGAGATGGATGGTGGTGATGGTTGCACAACAATGTGAATGTACTTCATGCCATTGAACCACACACTTAAAAATGGTTAAAATGGTTAATTTTATGTTGTGTACATTTTGCCACAATAAAAAAGAAACACGGGCCAGGCACAGTGGCTCATGCCTGCCATCTCAACACTTTGGGAGGCTGAGGTGGGCAGATCACCTGAGCTCAGGATTTTGAGACCAGCCTGGGCAACAGCTGGTCTGAAATTATCCAGGCTGGTGGCTAATTTCAACATTTTGAAATACAAAAATTAGCCGGGCATGCTGGCAGGCGCCTGTAATTCTAGCTACTAGGGAGGCTGAGGCAGGAGAATCACTTGAACCCAAGAGGCAAAGTTGCAGTAAGCCAAGATTGTGTCACCACACTCTAGCCTGGGCGACAGAACCAGACTCTGCCTAAAAAAAAAAAAAAAAAAAAGGAAGAAAACACTTGGGGACCTAAAACCACAACGCTTTTCGAGTTAGAATTTTGGCCAGCTCATCTCTGCCCTATATGGTGTCTGCTGGGACAGTTCAACTGGGACCGAAGCATCCAAGATGGCCTCCTTTGCCACGCTGGTGCTGGCTCTTAGCTGGGATGCCTCTCTTTTCCTCCATGTGGACTCAACCTTCAAGGCTTCTTTCTCCACGTTGCTGCTGTCTACAGCTGGACAGCCTGAACTTCTTTACAAGGCAGTTGGGTTCTCAGAGAGAAAGCAAAAGCTCTAGATCTCTTAAGATCTGGGCTTGAAGTCCCATCACCTCTCAGTGGTTCAGGCGAGTCATTTTGCTGGTACGGATCCTGCGTGGGAGGGGAGGACACACGGGTGAATTCAGAGGGGCATGGTTCCTTTAGGGCCATTTTGTAACAATCTACTACAGCCTCCATGCCAATTTATTAGCATTTCTCCATGCTCTGCCTTATCTTGAATTCTGTTCTAGTACAATATCTCCAGATTAGCACATAGGGTCATTGTTAAGACGATGGACTTTGGCCTAAGGCTTCAAATCTTGGCTCTGCCATTTGTTGACTGTGAGACCTTTGGCCAGTTCTTTACTCTCTCTCTGTTTCAGTTTTCTTACCTATAAAATGGGGATGACAATAGTCTTTATGTCATCGTGTTGCTGTGAGTATTGAATGAATATGAATAAAAAGCTTAGTAACAGTGCCAGGCACAAAGTAAGAACTATATAAGCGTTTGCCATTATTGTTATTGTCATTGTCGTTGTTATAATAAACATAAGAAGCAGCATGGTGGAGAAGGGAATATTTAGAGCTAAATAAGACAGAAAGGTTGGAAACGCTTGGATACACAGGACCTCCCTGCCTCACAGAGTTCTCACTTACATCTAAATCCTTTGCTGACATTTAAGCTTCTTTCCTTTTGTTCTCTACACAGGAGACATGGAGAACAGCTGATCAACATCTCTCCATAATAATCCTCTGAACACCTGAAGACAGCTGTGAGAGCTTAAAGATTTGCTGAGGCTAATCTGGGTACAGGTAATTGTGTTGATGATATGTTCAAATGCATCTAAGTCTATGCCTGAGTATAGTTGCTGGGTTATAAACAGGCACGTCACACTTCTCTTATACACTTCAGGAAGCTGGAGCGCTGGGTCTTGTTTTCCCTGAAGGCATTAGGGAATGTGCCTGCTCTTTTTCAGAGCGTAAACCTGGAATAGGTTTCCAACGAGGACAATGCAAGCCAGGGCTGAGAGGTGCCATGTGTATGGCACACTGCTGGCCCCAAAGACCAGTTAGGCCAGGAACCAATCCTGTTGAACAGTTAATTAGCACCTATTGTTTATTACTGTGAGTTCTTTCTGAGCTTACCAGTGGCCCTTTTGCCTAATCCAATGGACACTTTTCTTTTTTCTTTTCTTTCTTTTTTTTTTGAGATGGAGTCTCGCTGTCACCCAGGGTGGAGTGCAGTGGTGCCATCTCAGCTCACTGCAACCTCTGCCTCCCAGGTTCAAGCTATTCTCCTGCCTCAGCCTCCCAGGTAGCTGGGACTACAGGCATGAGCCACCAAGCCCGGCTAATTTTTGTATTTTTAGTAAAGTCAGGGTTTTGCCATGTTGGCCAGGCTGGTTTCGAACTCCTGACCTCAGGTGATCCACCCACCTTAGCCTCCCAAAGTGCTAAGATTCAGGTGTGAGCCACTGCGTCTGGCCCCAGTAAGCACTTTTCTATCCTCAGCTTCATGGACAGCCTTGCTGCATTTGCCATCTTGTCTTATTTTGGAGTGAAGCAGTACATTGTGATGTATTGGAGCCAGAATGCCTGGATCCAAGTCCTAGCTCTGCCCTTTGCAGCTCCATTGACCTTGAGCAAGTTACTTAACCTTTGAGTTTCATCATCTTTATCTCCATCTATAAAATGGGACTGATAATAGCATGTTGTCATAAGGTTGCTTGAAAATTTTTAAAGCTATTTTTTTAGCACAGGGGAGGAAAACAGTAAAAATTCAAAAAAAATTTAAAAACCTCTTCTCCATTGACTTCTGGAACATTTGGTTCTTCTCTTGACTGTTGGAGCAGTCCTTCTGTTTCTTTTGCCAGCCTTCTTCCACTCATCCATGAAAAACTGGTGGTTCCCCCAAGATTCTGTCTTTGATCCTCCCCTCTTCTCATTTTGTATAACTTTCCTATGTGATTTCTGCCCTTGGTCTTCCAAACCGTTGTGCCCTGATGCCTTCCAAACCTTTATCTCTAGGCTTTTTTCTTTGTAGACTCCTTTGTCTGGATGGTCCAAGTTTCCTTAAATTCAAAGGTCTAAAGCCAGAACTTCCACTCTTGGCTATAATGGGGTAGTAATTGGTATAAGACCAGCCATCCCACCATTAAAACACACACACACACACACACACACACACACACACACACACACCTGTAATCCCAACACTTTGGGAGCCTAGGTGGGCAGATTGTTTGAACCCAGCAGTTGTTTTTGTTTTTGTGTGTGTGTTTTTTTTTTGAGACCGAGTCTCGCTCTTGTTGCCCAGGCTGGAGTGCAATGGTGCAATCATCTTGGCTCACCGCAACCTCTGCCTCCCAGGTTCAAGCAATTCTGCCTCAGCCTCCCGAGTAGCTGAGATTACAGGCATGCACCACCACGCCGGGCTAATTTTGTATTTTTAGTAGAGACGGGGTTTCTCCATGTTGAGGCTGGTCTTGAACTCCTGACCTCAGTTGATCCACCCACCTCAGCCTCCCAAAGTGCTGGGATTACAGGCATGAGCCACCGCACCCGGCAAGCCCAGGAGTTTAAGACTAGCATGGTCAACATAGCGAGACCCTGTTGCGCATCCTGTGGTCCCAGCTACTTGGGAGCTGAGGTGGGAGGATTGCTTGACCCCAGGAGTTCAAGGCTGCAGTGAGCTGTGATTGTGCCATTGCACTTCAGCCTGAGTGACAGAGCGAGACCCCATCTCAAAAACAAAACAAAACAAACAAAAAAAACCAAGTATTAGTCAACTGTTTCAGGAATTGGCCAGGAGAGAGTACAAGTCTCTGGTCCCTGAGGGAAAAGAAACTCATCATTTTGTTTGTTTGTTTGTTTGTTTGTTTTTTGAGACAGAGTCTTGCTCTGTCGCCCAGACTGGAGTGCAGTGGCGCAATCTCAGCTCATGCAACATCCACCTCCTGGATTCAAGCGATTTTCCTGCCTCAGCCTCCTGAGTAGCTGGGATTACAGGCGCCTGCCACCATGCCTGGCTAATTTTTTGTATTTTTAGTACAGACAGGGTTTCACCGTGTTAGCCAGGATGGTCTCAATCTCCTGACCTCATGATCCGCCCACCTCAGCCTCCCAAAGTGCTGGGATTACAGGCATGAGCCACCGCGTCCGGCCGAGAAACTCATCTTTTTTAAGCCCCAGAATCATTCTGGCTCTTTACCTGGGGGGCAATTTCCTGGCATCCAAGTAGGAAAAGGAGAACTTAACTAAGCTGAGGAGGCAGAGTACAGAGTTTCGGGCAGCTGAGCAGCTGGAATCTGCTGGTTAGAACACTGGAGACAGGAGCTTTGCAGAGGAAGGACTCCAAAAAATCCTCGTGGGGGTGTCCTCTGAGCACTTGGTTAAGAGCTGTGTTGCACATTTGAAAGGTGAGACTACCCAAGGATGACCAGGTACCAGCTTCTGTGCGGTGGAAGAAGCTGAGCAGAGATTGAGTTCAAGCAGCAACGGAGGGGGCGGGCATTAGTTATGGCTCAGCCTGAGTGGGAAAGCACTCTAACACTTTGTTAATGACACTCCAGGCATCCAGCTGGGACATCGAAGAGTTCACGTCTTAAAAGTAAGGACCACGGCCGGGCGGGTGTCTCGCGCCTGTAACTCCAGCACTTCGGGAGGCCGAGGCGGGCTCAAGCTTGAACTTGAGCTCTTGAGCTTCAGCTCAGGAGTTTGAGACCAGCCTGGGCAACATGGTGAAACCCCATCTCTACAAAAACTACAAGTAGCCAGGTGTGGTGGCATGTGCCTGTAGTCCCAGCTACTCAGGAGGCTGAGGCAGGAGGATTGCTTGAGCCTGGGAAATTGAGGCTGCAGTGATCCCTGATCACACCACGGCACTCCAGCCTGGGTGATGACAGAGTGAGGCCCTGTCTTAAAAAAATAAATAAATGAAAGTAAGGATCATGGTCTACAGCAATATTTCTTAAATTGCTGTCCCCTGACCAGCAGCATCAACATAACCTGGAAATTTGTTAGACGTTACTGTTGGAAATGCAAATTCAAGGGCCCCACTTCAGACCTACTGAATCAGAAACTCAGGAGAAGAAGCCCAGAAATTTATGTTCTAACAATAGCTCTTCAGATGATTCAGATACAAACTAAATTTGAGGCGACTGTCCTAGAGGAAGGCCCACACTAGACATGCCCTAACAAAGCCTAAAACTACGCCTTGACAAAATCCACAAGGGAAACAGAGCTCGAAGGTTGGAAAAATATCTTGAAATTTCCAAAGATCTACCCTAACGAAGTTAAAAGCAAAACAAACAAAAAACTCGTATGCAAGCTCAAAGTGACCAGGAAATAACTGACCTGCCTATTGGAACAAAAATAAAGATAACAGAATCCAAAATTTCTACAACGTATTAGCTGTAGTGTCCAGTATTACCATAAAACATTACTAGACATGCAAAAAAAAAAAAAGGAAAAAAAGAAGAAGGAAGAAAGAAAATAAAGAAAAACAAAAGTAGTCAAAGAAATTGACCTGATCCTGAGACTACGCAGATATTAGATGTAGTAGACGAAGACATTTAAGCAGTATTTATAAAGATATTTGTCCAGGTGAGGTGGCTCATCCCTATAATCCCAGCACTTTGGGAGGCCAAGGCAGGAGAAACACTTGAGCCCAGGAGTTCGAGACCAGCCTGGACAACAAAGTGAGACCCTGTCTCTATGAAAAACTGAAAAAAAATAGCCGAGTATGGTGGTGCAGGCCTGTGATTCCAGCCTGTGGCTGAGGCAGGAGGTTTGATTGAGCCCAGGAGGTCAAGGCTGCAGTGAACCAAGATTGCACCATGCATTCTAGCCTAGGCAACAGAGTGAGACTCTGTCTCAAAAAAAAAAAAAAAAAATTAATCTTTTAAAGTAAAAATAAAGACATTCAAGCCTGGGAAATATAATACTACCCTGTCTCGTGGCCGGGCGCAGTAGCTCACGCCTGTAATCCCAGCACGTTGGGAGGCCGAGGTGGGCAGATCACTTGAGGTCAGGAGTTCGAGACCAGCCTGGCCAACATGGTGAAACCCCCTCTCTACTAAAAACACAAAAATTAGCTGGGCATGGTGGCAGGCGCCTATAGTCCCAGCTACTCGGGAGCCTGAGGCAGGAGAATTGATTGAACCTGGGAGGTGGAAGTTGCATGAGCTGAGATCACGCCGCTACACTCCAGCCTGGTGACAGAGCAAGATTGTCTCAAAAAAAATAAATAAATAAAGTAAAATAATAATAATAATAATAATAATAATAATAATAATACCCTGTCTCTACTAAAAAAACAAAAGTAAAGGCTAGGCGCAGTGGCTCACGCCTGTAATCCCAGCACTTTGAAAGACTGAGGCGGGCAGATCACAAGATCAAGCGATCGAGACCATCCTGGCCGATATGGTGAAACCCTATCTCTACCAAAAATACAAAAATTAGCTGGGCATGGTGGTGCGCACCTGTAATCCTAGCTACTCAGGAGGCTGAGGCAGGAGAATCACTTGAATCAGCGAGTTGGAGGTTGTAGTGAGCCGAGATCGCGCCACTGCGCTCCAGCCTGGGTGACAAGAGTGAGCTCTCGTCTCAAAAAAAAGAAAAGAAAAGAAAAGAAAAGTAAAAATTAGCTGGGTATGGTGGCTTGTGCCTATTGTCCTAGCTACTCAGGAAGCTGAGGAGGGAGGATCGCTTGAGCCCAGAAGTTTAAAGCTGCAGCGAGCTATGATCGTGCCACTGCACTCCAGCCTGAGTGACAGAGGAGATCTTGTCTCTAAAGGAAAAAAAGACCAGGCATAGTGGCTCATGCCTGTAATCCCAGCAGTTTAAGAGGCCGAGGCTGGCAGATTGCTTGAGTCCAGGAGTTTGAGACCAGCCTGGGCAACATAGCGAAACCTCATCTCTATTTCAAAAAAAAAATTAAAAATAAAGATATTTAAAGAATTAAAGGAACACATGTAAATATGTTCAAAATAAAGGAAAATATTATCTTAATGAGTAAGTAGGGAACCTCAGCAGAGAAATGGAAACTCTAAAAAAGAAGCAAATGCAAACTCTAGAACTGAAAGGCAAAATAAAATAACAAAACTCACTGGAAAGACTTAACAGCAGACGGAAGATGGCAAAACAGTCAGTAAACCCAAAGACCAACCAATAAGAATTATCCTATTCGAAAAACAGAGAAAAAAGATTGGAAAAAAATTAATACAGCCTCAGAGACCTGGAGGACAATATTAGACCTACATGTAACTGATGTCCCAAAAAAAGACAGTGAGAATGGGACAGAAAAATAACGGAAGAACGAATGGCCCAACATTTCCCAAAGTTGATGAAAATATCAATAAATCCAAGAAGCTCAGTGAATCCCAAGCAATATAAATACAAAGAAAATCCATACCTTAGCTCATCCTCCCCAGATTGTCCAACAAATTTTATTTTTAGAAATAAAGAAAAAATGGGGCCGTGCAAGATGGCTCACGCCTGTAATCCCAGTACTTTGGAGGCAGAGGTGGGTGGATCACCTGAGGTCAGGAGTTTGAGACCAGCCTGACAAACACCATGAAACCCTGTCTCTACTAAAAATAGAAAAATTAGCTGGGTGTGGTGGCGGGTGCCTGTAATCCCAGCTACTCAAAAGGCTGAGGCAGGAGGATCCCTTGAACCCAGGAGGTGGAGGCTGCAGTGAGCCAAGATTGCGCCACTGCACTACAGCCTGGGCTATAGAGCGAGACGCCATCTCAAAACAAAACAAAAAAAACTTCACTTTTCTAGGCACATTTGTTCATCTCCATTTCCATTACATTAGGTCAGGCTTTTACTGGCTATAGTTAGAAGCTCAGATTTAGGAATCCAGTGGTCTGGGTTTGAATTTTGGCTTTAACCACTTACTAGATGTGACTATGGGCACGTTCTTTGACTTCTCTGAGCCTTAGTTACACAGTCTGTAAAACAGGAATAATAATAAACCTATCTGTGGAGATTTTTTTTTTTTTAGATAGAGTCTCACTCTGTTGCCCAGGCTGGAGTGCAGTGGCGTGATCTCAGCTCACTGCAACCTCTGCCTCCCGGGTTCAAGGGATTCTCCTGCCTCAGCCTCCTGAGTAGCTGGGATTACAGGAACCCACCACCACGCCTGGCTAATTTTTGTATTTTTAGTAGAGATGGGGTTTCACCATGTTGGCCAGGCTGGTCTCGAGCTCCTGACCTCAGGTGATCTTCCCTCCTCGGCCTCCCAAAGTGCTGGGATTAGAGGAGTGAACCACCATGCCTGGCCAATCTGTGGAGATTTTTAAGGTTGCATAGAAATATTCAGTGTCGCCACTGTGAGAGTCCCAGGTGGACTGTGTTATGCTATAATTACAGGTATCCCCCAGGCTAAAAGAACAGAAGCTATTTGGAATATTGCCAGTTGCCATGGCAGAGGGGAAAAGAGTCTTCTGACACATTATGGTCTAGCTCTTAGTCCTTAAAGTTTTGGCTGGGTGTGGTGGCTCATGCCTGTAATCCCAGCCCTTTGGGAGGCCGAGGTTTGCGGATCACCTGAGGTCAGGAGTTTGAGGCCAGCCTGATCAACACGACAAAACCTCGTCTCTACTAAAAATACAAAAATTAGCTAGGCATGGTGGAGGGTGCCTGTAGTCTCAGCTACTGGGGAGACTGAGGCGGGAGAATCACTTGAACCCAGTAGGTGGAGGTGTTGCAGTGAGCCGAGATCGTGCCACTGCACTCCACTCCAGCCTGGGTGACAGAGTAAGACTCGTCTCTGGAAAAAAAAAAAATTAGCTAGGCATGGTAGCTCGTGCCTGTAGTTCCAGCTACTTGGGAGGCTGAGGCACAAGAATCCCTTGAACCCGGGTGGTGCAGGTTTCAGTGAGCTGAGATTGTGCCACTGCCCTCCAGCCTGGGTAACAGAGTGAGACTCCATCTCAAAAAAAAAAAAAAAAAAAAGAAAAAGAGATTTCAGTATGGATTTTGGAGGATCACCAAATTCAGATCATAGCAATACTTGTGCTATAAAAGCCAAATGCAGAGTCCTGTGTTAAGGAACTCCACCAAAGTACATGAGAAGGAAGAAGAAGCAGCAGCTTTGCCAAAATGATTTGATAAAAGAGAGAAATAATGTATTCAGAGAAAAGGGGAGGAACTCAATCTTTGTCTAAGGTGAACTTCCAAATCAACTCATTAATAAATGCTCCAATAAAAACAGTGTACTTGTTATGCGTGAAATGCTGTTTTAATATTCATACATATAAGAAAGGTAATGATAGGTGTTTACCATAGACTGTTTGGAGTCTGATCTTTTTTTTTTTTTTGAGACGGAGTCTCGCTCTGTCACCCAGCCTGGAGTGCAGTGGCGTGATCTCCGCTCACTGCAACTTCCGCCTTCCCAGTTCAAGCTATTCTCTTGCCTCAACCTCCTGAGTAACTGGGATTACAGGCACACGCCACCACGCCTGGCTAATTTTGTATTTTTAGTAGAGACAGGGTTTCTCCATGTTGGTCAGGCTGGTCTTGAACTCCCGACCTCAGGTGATCCGCCTGCCTCGGCCTCCCAAAGTGTTGGGATTATAGGCATGAGCCACAGCCCTGGCACCGGAGTCTGGTCTTATACTTGATTCACTGAGTAGCTCAGTTACTTAGTTGCTCCCTGCATCAAAGAGGCTCTTATAGTAATAGCAGCTATTAGCAGCTGGCAACTATTTTACACACATACATCATCTCTAATTTTCAAAAGAGTTCTGCAAGGAAGGCATTTGTTGTAGGCAGAATGTCTAAAATGGACCCTAAAGATGTCCTTTATCTCTGGAACCTGTGAATATGATGAGATTTCACTCTGATGATTATATTATGTTGTATGGCACAGTTGACCTTAAGAAAGAGTGATTATCTGGGTGAACATGAGCTGCTAAAGCAGAAAGCGGCAGGCATGGTGGCCCATGCCTGTAATCCCAGCACTTTGGGAGGTCAAGGCAAGAGGATCACTTGAGCCCAGGAGTTTAAAATCAGCCTGGGCAACATAGCGAGATCCCCACTCTACAAAATAAATAAGTAGATAAAAAAAAGAATAAAAGCAGAGAGCTTTCTCTGGCTGAGAGCAGAAGTCAGATGTTTTCCAAGTGTCAGAAGGGTTAGGTGTGTAGTTGCTGCTTTGGAATAGAGGGTCACTGTGGAGGAAGGGGGCAGGCTTAAGGAGCTGAGAAATGGCCTCTGCTGACAGCCAGTGAGGAAACAAGGCCTCGGTCCCACAACTGCAGGAACCTACATTCTGCTGACAACAGGGATGAGCTTGGAGGAAGACCCTGAGCTCTAGGTGAGGACACGGACAACCAACATCTTGATTTCAGCGTTTCAAGGCTCTTAGCAGAAAACCTGGTTACGCCATCTGGGGCCTCTGGCCTACAGCACTGTGAAATGATGAGTGGGAGTAGCTCTTACCCTCTAGATCTGTGCTAATTTATTACACAGCAGTAGAAAACTAATAAAGCATTCATACCCTCCTCCTGCAGAGGAGGAAACTGAGGTTCAAGGAAGTTTAGTAAATGTGGTGAAAACTATCTTGAGAATGTGGTTAGGGCAGGATTTGATGCAGGCAGACAGACCTACCCACGTCACCATTCAGTAATGTGTTAACCAACCAAGATCCACAGGATGCAAAAGGAATAAAGCTCTTGATAGAGGGAAGGATGACTCAGCTTTCTACTCAGTTTTAGAATGACTCGGATTCTTATTTACTATTGGCTGAACAATGGCTTGGGTTTCTGCAAGGATCTTGATCTGTGGGAGTGGCTCCCACGTATCTGCTCTGTTGAGATGTATTAGCTTGTCTCCTTTTTTCGCTACAAGCATTAGATGACTGATTTCCAAACGAGTGAAGCTGAATGGATTTAGCCAGATTAACATTCTAACAGCAAGAAACAGGGGAAGAAAAGGCAAATCCTGGGGCGCTTTGTTAACACACGGAATCACTCACACAAACATACTCAGGAAAAGCCTTCTCTCCGAGGCCTAGCTTTGTAGATATTCAGCTTCCTGAAGACACGCCAGTTTTAAAAGGAGGAGTTCCAAAGAGCACTTACCATCAGGACCTGGCCCCAGCTCTTCATGTGACCTTTCCTTCCTCTTTCCGGCTCACTCCACTCCAGCCGCAGGACCTCTGGACCCTCCCTTGAGTTATGCTAAACTCCTGCCTGCCTTGGGCCACTGTGCCTCTGTTCTCTTTGGCGTGGAATATTCTTTCTCTAGTTCATGTCGTTAATTCACTCAGATCTCTGCTCAAGTGGCATCTGACTGGAGTGTCTTTCCCTGACCAACTTATTTAAAGCAGCGCTGTTCCCTGCCCGTCACTGTCTCCTTATCCTGCTTTATTCTTTTTTTTTTTTTTTTTTTGAAGAGGGGGTCTTGCCCTGTCTCCCGGGCTGGGGTGCAGTGGCACGATCTCGGCTCACTGCAACCTTCACCTCCCAGGTTCGAGCGATTCTCGCGTCTCAGCCTCCCAAGTTGCTGGGACTACAGGTACGTGCCACCATGCCTGGCTAATTTTTGTATTTTTAGTAGAGATAGGGTTTCACCATGTTGGCCAGGCTGGTCTCGAACTCGTGACCTCAGGTGATTCACCCACCTTGGCCTCCCAAAGTGCTGAGATTACAGGCGTGAGCCACCGCGCCGGCCCCTGCTTTATTCTTCTTCATAGCACTTTGGCTACCTGATATGCCTCAGATGTACAAATATGTTTATTTGTTTGTCATTGCCTTTCTCCCGCATGAGGTTTTGTTTTATTCATTGCTGTATTCCCAGTATCCACAATAATTTACAGCACATAGTAGGGAATCAAATATTTGTTGAATGAATTAATGAATCAAGAACAAAAGCACTGCATCTGTTAAATGATTTGGCATTCCTGAGCTATTTCTGCACCTAATCTCTCTCTCTCTCTCAGGGGTATTTGCTAATGGGTCTAATATGGGAAAGATACTTAATTCCATGGTTGTACAAAATCTAGAATACAGAAGATTAAAACCTGGAGACAAGGCCGGGTGCAGTGGCTCAAGCCTGTAATCCCAGCACTTTGGGAGACTGAGGTGGGCAGATCATCTGAGGTCGGGAGTTCAAGATCAGCCTGACCAACATGGAGAAACTCCATCTCTACTAAAAATACAAAATTAGCCAGGCATTGTGGCACACGCCTGTAATCTCAGCTACTTGTGAGGCTGAGGCAGGAAAATCGCTTGAACCTGAGAGGCGGAGGTTGGAGTGAGCCAAGACTGCACCATTGTACTCCAGCCTGGGCCACAAGAGCGAAACTCCGTCTCAAAAAAAACCAAAAAAACAAAAACCTGGAGACAGTGTGGTGTAAGAATGAAGTCCTTCAGGCCAGGCGCAGTAGCTCACGCCTGTAATCCCACCACTTTGGGAGCCGAGGTGGGTGGATTGCCTGAGGTCAGGAGTTCAAGACCAGCCTGGCTAGCATGGTGAAACCCCGTCTCTACTAAAAATACAAAAATTAGCCGGGTGTGGTGGCACACACCTGTAGTCTCAGCTACTCAGGAGGCAGGAGAATCACCTGAACCCAGGAGGCGGAGGTTGCAGTGAGCTGAAATGGCAACACTGCACTCCAGCCTGGTGGTGACAGAGTGAGATTCCGCCTCAAAAAAAAAAAAACAAAAAAAAAAACGAATGAAGTCCTTCCTTGCCTTTCAATAGGCGTGTGACCTAGGAAAAGTCATTTACTTCTTTTAGCACCAGATGTCTTATCTTTTAAATGCGGGTAATGATAGGGTGCTGTTTGGAAGGACTAGAGCAGATGGGATCTGGCGATTTCTTCTTACACTAAGATACTTTGAAATTAGAGCTCAGTTGGTAGGGAATTAGGAAATGTTGGTTTTAGCCCTATGTTAAATGTAAACTGAGTGTATAACATAGGGCTAGTCCTTTAACCTCTCTAGAACTCCAGATAAACCAGAATTTCTTTGAGGTCCCTTTGAGGTCAGCTCTCAATCACCTGCAGGCATTGGGAGGAACCAGGTTGACCAGATGTCCTGGTGTTTGTGAGACCTTAATCTCTGTCCCTCCAGGGCTTGAGTCCACCTGTTGTTTGGTAGAGGTGAGGCTTGTAAAGTAGGTATTTTCTGTAAGTATTTTCAGTAAGTATTTTCTGAGCACATGTTTTGTGTCATGTGCTGGGGATACCACAGTGAACAATGCAGACAAGGCCCCTGTCCTCTCACATTCTAGGGATAAGAAACAGACAATAAACAGGTAAATGGAAAATAAATCAAGACCGGGCGCAGTGGCTCACGCCTGAAATCTCAGCCATCTGGGAGTCCGAGGTGTGCGGATCACCTGAGGTCAGGAGTTCGAGACTAACCTGGTCAACATGGTGAAATCCCCCATCTCTACTAAAAATACAAAAATTAGCCGGGCATGGTGGCGCACGTGTGTAATCCCAGCTACTCGGGAGGCTGAGGCAGGAGAATCGCTTGAACCCGGGAGGCAGAGGTTGCAGTGAGCCAAGATCACACCACTGCACTCCAGCCTGGGTGATAGAGTGAGACAGTCTCAAAAAAAAAAAAAAGAAAGTAAAAAAGAAAATAAATCAAGACTAGTGTGATATTGCAGTATAATAAAAAATATATATTTAGTCTTTGTCTTCATTTCCCGCCTAGAGCTCCTAAAACCTTTGTAATTTCCCAAGTGATAATTTGAAAAGAGTGTCTTTTGTTACTCATAAAAAGCCCCTTTCAACTATACCTGAGTTTTTTGTTTTGTTTTTGTTTGGTGACAGGGTCTCACTCTGTCACCCAGACTGGAGTGCAGTGGCATGATCACAGCTCGCTGCAGTCTCGATTTCCTGGGCTCCAGCAATCCTCCTGCCTCAGCCTCCCAAATAGCTGGGACTACAGGCACATGTCTGGCTGTATTTTAAAATACATCTGGCTAATTTAAAAAAATTTTTGTAGAGGCAGGGTCTCACTGCGTTGCCCATGCTGATCTTGGGGTCCTCCTGCCTTGGCCTCCCACAGTGCTGGGATTACAGGCATGAGCCACTGCACCCGGCCTACACCTTCACAAGTTCGTGAAGTGACTTTGGGAAAACCCCTAAGGAGGGGGCGCTGGCTGTCAGGGGAGCTATCTTTGTGATTAGACAGTTGAAACTTTCGGCCCCACCGTTCAACCTCTGGGGAGAGTCGGAGGGTTAAAATTTGAGTTCAATCAGTAATGGCCAGTGAGTTAATCAATCATGCCCACATAACGGAACCTCCATAAAACCCCTACACAACAGGGTACAGAGACCTTCCAAGTGAGTGAACAAACACATCAAGATGCTGGGAGGTCAAAAGGATGTGGCTGGAGAGAAAAAAAAAAAGATGCTGGGAGGGTGGCATGTTTGGAGAGCATGGAAGCTCCACCTGTCCTCATACCTTGCCCTGTGCATCTTTTCCACCTGGCTGCTCCTGAGTTGCATCCTTTACAATGAACTGGGTGATGGTACGCAAAGCGTGCTCCTGAGTTCCGTGAGCCATTCTAGCAAATTATGGAACCCAAAGAGGGGATTGTGAGAACCCTTTATTTATAGTTAGTTGGTCAGAAGTATAGGAAGCCCACCGGTTCCTGCACAGTTTTCTGGGCATAGCAGCTGTTCTCCTTCCTACTCCAGCTGTTTCAGGAGCAACAGAATCAAGGTCCTCTAGGCTCAGGGAGACAGGTTATGAATTTAGACCTTGACCTTAGGCCTTGACAACAGCAGATAACTACTAATTAGAACTGGGTGGCTGGGCCAGATGCAGTGGCTGACACTTGTCATCCTAGCACTTTGGGAGGCCAAGGTGGGAGGATCACTTGAGGTCAGGAGTTCAAGACCAGCCTGGCCAACAAGGTGAAACCCTGTCTCTACTAAAAGTACAAAAATTAACTGGGCATGGTGGCATGCACCTGTAATCCCAGCTACTCAGGAGGCTGAGGCAGGAGAATCACTTGAACCTGGGAGGCAGAGGCTTTTTTGAGACTCCGTCTAAAAAAAAAAAAAAAACACTGTAGGAATCCCAGGCTTGCATTTTGGCATCAAAGGGTAGTCTTATGGGACTGAGCCCTTCCCCAGTGGGGTCTGTGCTAACTCCAGACAGTTAGTGTCAGAATTGAGATAAATTGTAGGACACCCAGCTGTTGTCTGCAGAGAATTGGTGAATCGCTTCGTGTGAAAAACCTACCTGGTTTTCCTGACATGTGTTGTGTTGTCAGAAGTGTTCTGTAGGAGTATAGAAAAAAAGGGTTCTTTTTTTCCTTTTCACTAGTGATAAGTGCTAGGCAGGAAATAGAAGAATGATATCATAAAGAATAGCAGATAGGATCTGTTGAGTTAACTCAGATCAGGAAAGGCCTTTCTGGAGCATTTAAACTGAGCTTTAAGGGATGAGAAGAATCCAGCCATGGGAAGAGCCTTCCAGGCAAGGGAAAAGGCGAGCACAACCCTCGAGGCCTTGAGGATGGAAAGGGCCGGGCTGCCTTAGAACCAGACCAAGGCCAGTGTGCAGAGGGTGTAGTGATTGAAGGCACAGTGGATGAGGTGAGGCTGTGAGGCAGGCAGGAGCTCTTCATGTGAGTGAGGCCTTAAAGGCAATGGTTAGGGGGAACCATTGCCCCAGTTTGCCCAGAACTGAGGGTTTCCTGAAATGCAGGACTTTCAGTGCTGAAATCAAGAAAGTCTTGGGCAAAACAGGATGAGGTCACCCTAGCCATGGTAAGGAATTGTGCCAAGCTGATATTGTGCTGTACTTAGTCTGCAATAGGCAATCACTGAGGGTTGTTTTTTTTTGAGACAGTTTCGCTCTTGTTGCCCAGGCTGGAGTGCTATGGCGCGATCTCGGCTCACTGCAACCTCCACCTTCCAGTTTCTTTCTTTCTATTTTTTTTTTTGAAACGGAGTCTCACTCTGTCGCTCAGGCTGGAGTGCAGTGGCGCGATCTGGCCTCACTGCAAGCTCTGCCTCCTGGGTTCACGCCATTCTCCTGCCTCAGCCTCCCGAGTAGCTGGGACTACAGGCACCCGCCACCATGCCCGGCTAAATTTTTTTGTATTTTTAGTAGAGACGGGGTTTCACCGTGTTAGCCAGGATGGTCTCGATCTCCTGACCTCGTGATCCCCCTGCCTCAGCCTCCCAAAGTGCTGGGATTACAGGCATGAGCCATCTAGCCCAGCCAACCTTCTGGTTTCAAGCGATTCTCCTGCCTCAGCCTCCAGAGTAGCTGGGATTACAGGCACCTGCCACCACTCCCGGCTAATTTTTGTTTGTATTTTTAGTAGAGACAGGGTTTCACCATGTTGGCCAGGCTGGTCTCGAACTCCTGACCTCGTGATCCGCCCGTCTTGGCCTCCCGAAGTGCTGGGATTACAGGCGTGAGCCACCGCGCCCAGCCGGCAATCACTGAAAGGTTTTAAGTAGGAAATGATGCCCAGTGATTTCTGATTTTAAAGGTCACTCTGGCTTTTGTGTGGCGAATGCTTAAGAAAGGAGCAAGTTGGAAAAAGAGGTGGCCAGTTAGCCAATTATTACACTCCTCCATGCAAGAGATGATGGGGTATTGAAATAGATTGAAGATGGAGAGAGATGAATGGATACAAGATACATTTTGGAGGTAGAATGAACAGGACTTGGAAATGTATGTGGAGAAGGCAAAGGAGTTAAAGATGATATCTGGAGCAGCACAACTCACAATTGCAAAGATGTGGAACCAACCTAACTGCGCATCAAGCAATGAGTGGATAAAGAAAATGTGGTATATATACACCATGGAATACTACTCAGCCACAAAAAGGAACGAAATAATACCTTTTGCAGCAACTTGGATGGAGCTGGAGGCCATTATCCTAAGTAAAGTAATTCAGGAATGGATACCAAATATCATATGTTCTCACTTATGAGTAGATGCTAAGCTATGATGATGCAAAGACATAAGAATGATGTAATGGGCCAGGCATGGTGGCTCACACCTGTAATCCCAGGACTTTGGGAGGCTGAGGTGGGCAGATCATGAGGTTGAGTTCGACACCAGCCTGGCCAAAATGGTGAAACCCCATCTCTACTTAAAAAATACAAAAAGTAGCTGGGCATGGTGGCACACACCTGTAGTCCCAGCTACTTAGGAGGCTGAGGCAGGAGAATAGCTTGAACCCAGTAGGCAGAGGTTGCAGTGAGCCGAGATCGTACCACTGCACTCCAGCCTGGGCAACAGAGTGAGAATTTGTTTGAAAAAAAAAAAAAAAAAAGAATGATATAATGAACTTTGGGACTTGGGGTGGGGGGAAAAGTCAGGAGGGGGAAGAGGGATAAAAGACTACATTTTGGGGTACAGTGTACACTGCTCAGGTGACAGGTGCACTAAAATCTCAGAAATCACCACTGAAGAATTTATCCATGTAACCAAAAACCACCTGTACCCCCAAAACTATTGAAAGAAAATTTTTTTAAAAGATGATACATGCACTCTGGTTTTACTATCTACTTAATTGGTTTTGCCAATAGAGAGAAATCTGAGGAGAACCTGGGTGTGGAAGTTCAGAGCAGGCAAGGATGGAGGTACCTGGAGTTCCATTCAGAAGAAAATGTGATACTCAGAATGAAAACACTCTTATTGTTAATGTTCAGGGTATTTTGTAACCATTAGCTAATTAATTCTCAAAATAGTTGTTCTGAGTTGTTAATTACCTAAATCCCATTTTACAGTTTCTGGAGAAGAGCAAGTGTCAGTAATTTGCCTAAGGCTAGACTAAATTGTAGAACTGACAGCAGCACCAATTAATTCCTGGTAGTCTTATGTTCTGCCAATCTTTTAAAAGAGGAGCTCTTAGTTGGGATGAGTAAATTGAATGATGTTTGGGAGAGTAAGGCATAGACTTAATAGTCTGAGGGTTGTGCTTTGACTTTCCCTCTTATTACGTAGGTGACATGGGCACATATAAGAATAATCCTTAGTCAGGCTGGGAGCGGTGGCTCACGCCTGTAATCCCAGCACTTTGGGAGGCTGAGGTGGGTGGATCACGAGGTCAGGAGTTTGAGACCAGCCTGACCAACATAGTGAAACCCTGTCTCTACTAAAAATACAAAAATTAGCTGGACATGGTGACGCACAGCTGTAGTCCCAGCTACTTGGGAGTCTGAGGCAGGAGAACAGCTTGAACCTTAGAGGCGGAGGTTGCAGTGAGCTGAGATCACGCCACTGCACTCCAGCCTGGGCAACAGAGCAAGACTCTATCTCAAAAAAAAAAAAAAAAAAAAAAAAAAGAATAATCCTTAGTCTTAGTTTACTCATCCATAAAATAGTAATTTTTATCTTATTTTATCTTAGAAAGTCAAATGTTCAACATTTTCTTACTTTTTGCGGTGTCCTCTATCTAGAAACAATTTTGCCCAGAAAACTGTTAACCTATTAGAGAAATCTTCTTTGATCACCCTATAATAAATTAACAGCAGCCACCTTTCACCTAAAGGTACTTTTCACCCCACTTTAGCCAAGTTTGATTTCTCTTTATAGCACTTATTACCGTCTGACCTATTATATATCCATTTTTATAAGATCATAGATTTTGTCTGTTTTATTCCCTGCTAGTATCACCCATGTCTAGAACATTGCCTGGAACAATATATGAGTGCTCAATAATATTTGTTCAATAAATTAAATGAAATTATGCACATAAAATACTTAGCACAATATCTGCTCATGATAGAAACTCAGTAATTGTTAGCAGTTGCTATATCAGAATAGGAATTTGGAGACGTACTCAATTTTATACATTCCTTGCCTAAGAAACTTTTAAAGCAATATTTTTTTATATATCTTTATTAAAAATAACTTTTTTTTTTTTGAGACGGAGTCTCGCTCTGTTGCCCAGGCTGGAGTGCAGTGGCGCAATCTCGGCTCACCGCAAGCTCTGCCTGTTAGCCAGGATGGTCTTGATCTCCTGACCTCATGACCCACCCGCCTTGGCCTCCCAAAGTGCTGGGTTACAGGCGTGAGCCACCACACCTGCCCAAAAATAACTCTTTAGGCCGAGCATTTAATGCTCATACCTGTAATCTCAGCATTTTGGGAGGCCAAGGCAGGAGGCTCACTTGAGGCCAGGAGTTTGGGACCAGCCTGAGCAACATAGAGATACCCTGTCTTTATATAAAAAATAATAATAATAAATAAAATTTTAAAAATAGTCTATTCCTGGCCAGATGCAGTGGCTCACACCTGTAATCTCAGCACTTTGGGAGGCCAAGTTGGGTGGATCATTTGAGGCCAAGAGTTCAAGACCAGCCTGGCCAACATGGCTAAACTATGTCTCTATTAAAAATACAGAAATTAGCCAGTTGTGGTGGCAGGTGCCTGTAATCCCAGCTACTTGGGAGGCTGAGACACAAGAATTGCTTGAACCTGGGAGGCAGAGGTTGCAGTAGTTGAGATTGCATTACTGCACTCCAGCCTGGGAGACAGAGCAAGACTCAGTCTCAAAAAATAATAATAATAATAATTTTTAAAAATAAAATTATATATATAAAATATATATTTGGGCTATTCTTGAAACAGCATACCAGTTACGTACTTCATTTTATTAATTTACAAAAAGTCTTTATATTCCTTGGTGATTCTCATTATTATTTTGTGGATAAGTTATGTGGCTGTGAGAACAAAGCAAGCCCAGGGCTGAGTTTTTTATTTTATTTTATTTATTTGTTTTTTCTGAGATGGAGTCTTGTTCAGTTGCCAAGGCTGGAGTGCAATGGCACAATCTCAGCTCACTGCAATCTCCACCTCCTGGGTTCAAGTGATTCTCCTGCCTCAGCCTCCCAAGTAGCTGGGATTACAGGCATGCACTATTATACCTGGCTAATTTTGTATTTTTAGTAGAGATGGGATTTCACTATGTTGGTCAGGCTGGTCTGGAACTCCTGACTTCAGGTGATCCATCTGCCTCATCCACCCAAAGTGCTGAGATTACAGGTGTGACCCACCGTGCCTGGCCTCAGTTCTTTATTTTAGAAGTGGGTATCTTTTTCTCTAAACAAAAACAGAGTCAAATATATGCTATATAATCAGTGAGTTTGCAAACAAGGATTCCAGCTCCTTCTGATAGATCAAAACTAAACATGCTAGGTTTCAAATCTGGTATGGGGGAAAAAAAAAGAACTAAACATGCAAACCAACAGGTTCCTAAAACTATCGGTGAGTCAATTCAACTAGAAAAACAAAAAACACTCTCCTGGTCATGGCTGGGCCAGAGTGGGTGGAGGAAAAAGCTAAACGTTTACTCATAAAGACTCTGATTCACTTAGAAAAAGAAAAAGCCAGATGCCATGCGACTGGGATTTGTGTTCACTGCACTGAGGAGTACAGAGCCTTCGTACTCTCAGGGATGACAAGCCATTATTTCACTCTGAACACAAAGAACGGTTGCTTCGTGCACCCTTCACTATGATTAGCTCTTGCAAATAGAGGATGAAGAATTGAACCCGAGAGGACCTTGGCTGTGGGCCAAGGGCTCAGAATTATTTATTTTACTTTCGTTAAGAAAACAGTATAAGAGGGCCATGTCTAATAGCCTATTTCTTCATGGGCCCCTGATTTAGGCGCAACGGGATAATAACCACACACTCTTCTCTCTGAGAGCAATAGGAGTTTTCTTCCAAGAGACCCTGGCTGCATGTGCTGGTTTGAGCCAGTGGTGTGCTGGTGGATGTTTAACCACCAGCTTGGGGGAGGCAGAAGGGCTTGTCTGTAGTGTTTGCTGATTTCTGCAGTGTAAATATTCCCACTCTGGCTGATTTCAAGCTACTAATCTGACATCACTGAATGAAGAGTTGGGAAGAAAATGTGAAGTAGCATACTGTTATATACAATTTCCACTGTTCAAATATGGCCAGGTGCAGTGGCTCATGCCTGTTATCCTAGCACTTTGGGAGGCCGAGACAGGTGGATCATTTGATGCTAAGAGTTAGAGACCAGCCTGGCCAACATAGTGAAACCCCATCTCTACTAAAAATACAAAAATTAGCTGGGCGTCGTGGCGGGCACCTGTAATCTCAGCTACTCGGGAGGCTGAGGTGGGAGAATCACTGGAACTCAGGAGGCAGAGGTTGCAGTGAGCCAAGATCATGCCACTGCACTCCAGCCTGGGAGACAGAGCGAGACTCCATCTCAAAATAAATAAATAAATAAACAGGCTGGGTGTGATGGCTCACACCTGTAATCCCAGCACTTTGGGAGGCCGAGGCAGGTGGATCACCTGAGGTCAGGAGCTCAAGACCAGACTGGCCAACATGGCGAAACCCCGTCTCTACTAAAAATACAAAAATTAGCCGGGCATGGTGGCACATGCCTGTAATCCCAGCTACTAGTGGGGACTGAGGCAGGAGGATTGCTTGAACCTGGGAGGTGGAGGTTGTAGTGAGCTGAGATCATGCCACCGCACTCCAGCCTGGGCAACAGAGCGAGACTCCGTCTCAAAAACAAACAAACACAATTGATGTAAATAACCTTAAAAACATAAACCACAGTGAACTGTAATAAAATCATTAGGAAGTGATAAGTTTTGAGTATGTATTGCTCCATTGTAAGTGTAATGTATTTCATCGTAAGTTCATATAATTTAATTTTAGTAATGGCTGTGTTTAACAACTGGCTTACAGACTTTCTGAAAATTTAACAGTTGGCTCTCCGGAGCCCGTCAGAGCAGGTTCAAGGTGCCCTGCTGATGTGAACCCTGAGGCAGGAGTCCTGTGTGGTCTGGGGCCAGGAAGAACACAGCAGACCCATTGCTTCAAAATGGAGCTCACCATTCTCTTCAGGGGTTCTCTTTTCTCATTCTGTGAGAATTGTCATTTTAGCATGCCTTGCCTCATTTTACTCATTAGCAAAACAGAGAGAAGACCACTCCCGTTCCTGGTTATGGAGACTGTAGGCTACCTGTGATTTTACAAGGGAGGAAAGTAAGTCTCAGAAGAGTCATATAATGATAGTGGTGGTGATGATGATGATGATGATAGTTGACACTGGTTAAACTTGTACTATATACGCCAGTTACTGTGCTAGATGCCTTACGTAACATCTCATTTGAACCTCATAAAAATCATATGGGTAGGTGCTATTATTTGTATTCTCATGTTGCAGATGAGGAAACTGAGACACAGATGACTACACAGTATTTTCTGATTCCACTTCTAGAAAGAAGTTAAGTCAAGATGGAAATTCCGTCTGTCTGGGCAAATTGCTCCTGCTCACAGCTGCTATAATCATATAGTTTGTAAGTGAGGCGGGGGTTGGCAGGAGTCAAGGGTTGGGGAGTGGGGGTGGTGGTCAAACATAGGTCTTCCAGTTCCTGTGGTGGCATCAAGATTGAAAAAGGTGAACTTCTGTGGTTGGTTCATTGTTTTTATTCCTAGTTTATCTGTGGAAAAAGGAACGTTCTGAAGAATTGAACCACTTGGTTAAATGAGTTGAGTGATCAAGAATGAATGCACAAAAAAATAAAAAAGACTGTCTCTACAAAAAAATAAAAAAGATTGTCTCTACAAAAAAATAAAAAAGAATTAGCCAGATGTAGCGGTACATACCTGTGGTCCCAGCAGTGAGCTATGATCACACCACTGCACTCCAGCCTGGGCCACAGAGTGAGACCCTGTCTTAAAAAAAAAAAAAAAAAAGAGGCCAGATGCGGTAGCTCATGCCTGTAATCCCAGCACTTTGGGAGGCCGAGGGGAGTGAATGACCTGAAGTCAGGTGTTCAAGACCAGCCTGCCTAACATGGCGAAACCCTGTCTCTACTAAAAATGCAAAAAATTATCTGGGTGTGGTAGTGCATCTGTAATCCTGGCTACTTGGAGGCTAAGGCAGGAGAATCGCTTGAATGCAGAAGGCAGAGGTTGCAGCGAGCTGAGATGGCGCCACTACACTCCAGCCTGCGTGACAGAGACTCTGTCTCAAAAAAAAAAAAAAAAGGAATGATCATGGGCTTCTCCTAGGCTTCCTAAGGTGCCTTTGAAAACAGGTAACTCTCCAGATTTGAGAAAAAGTGATTGTGACAAAAACTCACATCTTCCATTTCCTTTCTTAAATAGAAATAACATGCTGTGTGTGTTAGAGATAGGACAGTTATAGATATCTTTTTTTTTTTTTTTTGAGACGGAGTCTCGCTCTTTTGCCCAGGCTGGAGTGCAGTGGCACAATCTCTGCTCACTGCGAGCTCTGCCTCCCGGGTTCACACCATTCTCCTGCCTCAGCCTCCCGAGTAACTGGGACTACAGGCGTCCACCACCACGCCCAGTTAATTTTTTGTATTTTTAGTAGAGACAGGGTTTCACTGTGTTAGCCAGGATGGTCTCGATCTCCTGACCTCGTGATCCGCCCGCCTCGGCCTCCCAAAGTGTTGGGATTACAGGCGTGAGCCACCGAGCCCGGCCTAGTTATACATATCATCATACCTTCTTTTTTTTTCTTTTTTAAGAGACAGAGTTTTACTCTGTCATCCAGGCTTGAGTGCAGGGGCACAGTCATAGCTCACTGCAGCCTCAAACTCCTGGGCTCAAGGTGATCCTCCTGCCTCAGCCTCCCGAGTAGCTGGGACTACAGGCACGTGCCACCGTGCCTGGCTTTTTAAATTTAAATAAATTTTGGCAAATCCACAAGTGGAATATTAACAGCCTTTTTAAAAGAATTAGGTGGATTCAAAAGCACATACAGAAATCAGTTACACTTTTGAATTACATTGCAACTAAAAAAAAGCAAGGGCAGAAAAGTGTGATAGTATGTCATCATTTATGCAAAAAGAGATAAAGGAAAGGTACATATGCATATATGCTTGTCTACCTGCTTCGTATCTCTAAAAGGATACACACACACACACACGCGCGCGCGCACGTACATACCCAACGGTTACCTCTCGGAGCCTAGGGGATTGGAGTGGAAGGGAGATGGGACTTTTTACAGCGTAGCATTTTATTTTATTTGTCCTTTATCCGTATGCATGCAGTACCTGTTCAAATAAATAACTTTTTTTTTTTCTTAGAGACAGGGTCTCACTCTGTCGCCTAGGCTGCAGTACAGTGGCACAATCATAGCTCACTGCAGCCTTGACCTCCCAGACTACTCTCTCAGCCTCCCAAATGTAAATTTTAAAAACCACTTTCACATACGTTATCTTTTCCATCTTCATTATAACCTTATACTATAGTAGGGCAGATTGTATTCTTCCCAGTTAGGGATGAGAAAATGGAAGTCCAAAGAAAAGTGACTGACTCAGTGTTACCCAACAATGTAAGTGGCTGAGGTCAGGTGGAGACAGCCTATGGCTCTAAAAGTAGGTGGGACTGCATCCAAATTGTCTCATTTTTAGCCCTCGTTTGTGTTTTTTCCCTCTGAGGATTCATCATTTATTAATAAACAAGGGACTTTTTTAAAAAGAAAAGGAGATAAATGTGATGTGGGAATGTTAAAAAAGAAAGAAAAGAAAGAAGAGAAGAGAAAAAAAGAAAAGAAAATCCAGGACAGGCACTGTGGCTCACTCCTGTAATCCCAGCACTTTGGGAGGCCAAGACAGGCGGATCACCTGAGGCCAGGAGTTCAAGACTAGCCTGACCAACATGGAGAAACCCCGTCTCTACTAAAAATACAAAATTAGCTGGGTGTGATGGTGCATGCTTGTAATCCCAGCTACTTGGGAGGCTGAAGGAGGACAATTGCTTGAACCTGGGAGGCGGAGGTTGCAGTGAGCCGAGATCGGGCCATTGCACTCCAGCCTGGGCAACAAGAGCGAAACTCCATCTCAAAAAAAAAAAAAAAAAAATCAATTCCAGAGTAGTTACAAACATAAACTCTGGAACCAGGTGGCCTAGGCATGAATCTGGGCTTTTTCACTTACTGCTGTGTGACATTGGGCAAGTTATTTAACCACAGAGAGGTTAAATAACTTGCCCAATGTCACACAGCAGTAAGTGGCAAAGCCCAGTAAATGTAAGATGGCCATAGTAATACTACAGTTCAGGTTATTCAGGTATTTTTGTGAGAATCAAATATGTTCATACTAATAAAGAGCACTTACATAGTGCCTGGCACAGAACACGTTACAGAAGTGTTTGTTAAATCAATAAAAATATACCAATGCCCTTTTGGTACCTTAGGATCATCATTCACCAAAAAGCTGCTTCTTTTCTTGGCTTTGTGTTTCTATCACTGAAGAGGACTCCCATTTATTCTTTGAGAGTGAAGACTATGGCTTCATCATTTTTCACTGTATCCTGCACAGAGCCTTGTATACAGTAGGTGCACAACAAATGTTTGATAAATTGAGACGTTTAGACTCCAGACCCAAATATGCTGCTTAAAGTCTTGGAAAACTCTGCCCCAGCATTCTCTGTCATTGGCAATATGGCTTTTAGAACTATTTTTTGATAATAAAATATAATAAAATATATCATTTTAATGATTGCTATATATTTTTTTTTTTATTTTATCTTTTGTAGAAATGAGGTGTCACTATATTGCCCAGGCTGGTATCAAACTCCTGGCCACAAACAATCCTCCTGCCTCAGCCTCCCAAATTGCTGGGGTTACAGGGCATGAACCACCGCACCTGGCCTAGTGATTTTTTTTTTTTTTTGAAATGGAGTCTCTCTCTATTGCCCACGCTGGAGTGCAATGGTGCGATCTCGGCTCACTGCAACCTCCACTTCCTGGGTTCAAGCGATTCTTTTGCCTCGCCCTCCTGAGTAGCTGGGATTATAGGTGCCCGCTACCATGCCTGGCCAATTTTTTATATTTTTAATAGAGATGGGGTTTCACCATGTTGGCCAGGTTGGTCTCGAACTCCTGACCTCTGGTGATCTGCCCGCCTCAGCCTCCCAAAGTGCTGGGATTACAGGCGTGAGCCACTGCATCTGGATAGAAATATTATTTTCTATGTCCACAATTTAAGCACTCTATACATAACAACTCATGAATCTTTACAGATATTCTCCCATATAGCTTGGTGCATACGAATGTGATATTGAAGTCTGTATGTGTCAAAGTAAAAATTATTGTGGGAAGCCTGAGCACGGTGGCTCATGCCTCTAATCCCAACACTTTGGGAGGCCAAGGTGGGTGGATTACTCGAGGCCTGGAGTTCAAGACCAGCCTGGCCAACATGGTGAAACCCAGTCTCTACTAAAAATACAAAAATTACCAGCCTGGCCAACATGGCGAAACCCCATCTCTACTAAAAACGCAAAAATTATCACCCTGGCCAACATGGTGAAACCCCATCTCTACTAAAAATACAAAAATTACCAGCCTGACCAACATTGTGAAACCCCGTCTCTACTAAAAATACAAAAATTAGCCAGACATGGTGGCAGGCGCCTGTAATCCCAGTTACTCGGGAGGCTGAAACAGGAGAATTGCTTGAACCCTGGGAGGTGGAGGCTGCAGTAAGCCGAGATTGCACTAGTGTACTCCAGTCTGGGTGACAGAGTGAGACTCTGCCTAAAAAAAAAAAAAGATTGTGGGAGCACTAAAGGTGGAAGGATGGGGAAGGCAGCAGCACTGTGAAGAGAAAACTGTTATGGAAAGCGGGAGATTCATGTTTTGCTTGAGCCACTGATGAGTTCTCTGGCCTTCAGAGTAGTTCTCTGAGACTTTGTTTTCCTCACCTGTGAAATGGAAGCATTTGGCCAGATAAGTTCTAAAGTCCCTAACATGTTTGAAAAGTGCTAGGACTTTTTTTTTTTTTTTTTTTTAAGACAGGGTCTCGCTCTGTCACCCAGGCTGGAGTGCAGTGGCACAATCACAGCTCACTGAAGCCTCGAACTTCCTGTGCTCAGATGATTCTCCCACCTGAGCCTCCGGAGTAGCTGGGAAAATAGGCACACGCTATCATGCCCGGCTAATTTTCAATGTTTTCGTAGAGATGGGGTTTCACCATGTTGCCGGAGCCATTCTTGACTGAACTCCTGAGCTCAAGCGACCCACCAGCCTCGGCCTCCCAAAATGCTGGCATTACAGGCGTGAGCCACCATGCCCAGCCTGAAAAGTGCCATGACTTTTTAAGGGAATTTAAGAGATTAACGTAATTAGCAGGGCAGGAGGAGGGCTCCCCAGATGAGTATTGATACCTCAGTGGGACCAAGACTCCCACACTGACTGTGCCACCTGTTTGAGTGGTCTGATTACCCACATCCTCTTTTGAAGGAGCTATGCCCCATCCCTTTGCACGGAGACTCAGTTTCAAGTTAACGTGATCCAGTTCTAAAAGGCCAAAGAGATTCTTTGCTGGCCTTGATACTCATAGGAACATTTTGCCACCTATTTTATTCTGATCACAACCCAGAATTCCTGCACTGATAGATTACTGAGTCTTTTGATTTATTTTTTTGCAGAAGTAAAATCTGGCAGCTAGTAATCTGGTTATTTTCTGATCCTTGTGGCCAGATGGCACTTTCGATGTTAAAACTGTTCAGAGAAAGAGGTTTCACAATGTTCTATACCTTCTCTGCACTGTTTCTCACATATCCACATTTTTGATGATGCAAACTTTTTTCTGAGCCCAGAAACTTAGACATTCAATGATGAAAACTGATGCCGGAAGCTCCCAATGTCTGGTTAGCCAGGGATCATCCTCCAAACCCTGTTTGATTAGACATTCGATACAATGATTTATAGTTCCTGTTTAGATATTCACTTTGATGATGAGCATTTAAAACTTTTTCCATTACAGTTGTTATTACTGCATGATAACCATTATTGTTGCATTAATAATGAATATCGTATAGAACACTTGCATATTGTCATTTGCAGAGTATCCTTTTATATTTGCCTTTTTTGGGCCGAGCACACTGACTCATGTCTGTAATCCCTGCACTTTGTGATGCCAAAGTGTGAGGATCTCTTGAGGCCAGGAGTTAGAGGCCAGCCTGGGCAACAGTGAGAACCCATCTTTATCTATAAAAAAAATTACCGGCCAGGCCCAAATAAAGCAAATTTAAAAAGATACTCTGCGAATGACAATATACAAGTGTTCTATACAATATTCATTATTAATGCAACAATAATGGTTATCATGCAGTGGCTCAGGCCTGTAATCCCAGCACATTGGAGGCTGAGGCGGGCAGATAGAGGTCTGGAGCTCAAGACCAGCCTGGATGATATGGCAAAACCCTGTCTCTACCAAAAATACAAAAAATTAGCTGGGTGTGGTGGCACGCACCTATGGTCCCAGTTACTTGGGAGGGTAAGATAGGAGAATCCCTTGAACCCAGGGAGCAGAGGTTGCAGTGAGCTGAGATCGCACCACTGCACTCCAGCCTGGGCGACAGACAGACGGGGAGACCTTGTCTCAAAAAAAAAAAAAAAAAATTCTACCCAAGCCTTTCCACTGTTTTTTTTTTTTTTTTTTTTTTTTTTGAGATGGAGTTTTGCTCTTGTTGTCCAGGTTGGAGTGCAATGGCGTGATCTTGGCTCACTGCAACCTCTGCCTCCCGGGTTCAAGCAATTCTCCTGCCTCAGCCTCCCGAGTAGCTGGGATTACAGACATGTGCCACCATGTCTGGCTAATTTTATATTTTTAGTAGAGATGGGGCTTCTTCCTGTTGGTCAGGCTGGTCTTGAACTCCTGACCTCAAGTGATCCGCCTGCCTCAGCCTCCCAAAGTGCTAGGATTACAAGGGTGAGCTACCGTGTCCAGCCTCCACTGTTCTTTTGGGTGCCCTTGCCACCCAAAATAACTCTTTTAGTGCAATACAAGTACCTAGTTTTCAGCCAGGCGCAGTGGCTCACGCCTGTAATCCCAGCACTTTGGGAGGCTGAGGCAGGTGGATCACGAGGTCAGGAGATCGAGACCATCCTGGCTAACATGGTGAAACTCTGTCTCTACTAAAAATACGAAAAAATTAGCAGGGCGTCATGGCAGGTGCCTGTAGTAGTCCCAGCTACTCGGGAAGCTGAGGCAGGAGAATGGCGTGAAGTAAAATCTCCAGGGGAGGCAGAGCTTGCAGTGAGCCGAGATCGCGCCACTGCACTCCAGCCTGGGCAACAGAGCAAGACTCCATCTCAAAAAAAAAAAAGTAAAAGTACCTAGTTTTGTTATCTAACTTATTAAAAAGATACTTGTTTTTTAAAAATTTTACATGCTGTTTCCCTTATTTCTGTTTACTTCATAATCTTTCTTCTTCTTCTTTCTCTTTCATTTACTAGAACTCAAATTAGAGAGTTTGAAATGCGTAGCAATACAAATAGTTCTTGGATTGATTTCTGACTCATCATCTTTTAGCCAAACAGCTTGAAATTACAATCAATTGCCTATCTCTTTGGCAGCCTCTGAAGACTCCCTTAGATTTCTGGAGCTGGGAGTTCTTTTTGGTGTTATCTAGCACAGCTTCTTCATGAAACAGAGGAGAGTAAAGGGGGTAAAGTTACCGCAATAAGTTCAAACGAGTAAAGGGAAAACTAGAGGAGTCAGAACTAGAACCCGCACGTGCAATATTCCAGCCCAGGTTTTTTTCTTCTTCCCTTTGCTCTTCCATGAGTGCTATCCCTCCTCTATCCTTTTACTTAAACGAATGTATATTATCTCCTTAATCCCATGTGATGGATTCAAGGGTGATTTTATTTTAGTTTTTATTTTTTGAGACAGAATCTTGCTCCGTTGCCCAGGGTGGAGTGCAGTGACGCCATCTCAGCTCACTGCAACCTCCAACTCCTGGGTTCAAACGGTTCTCCTGCCTCAGCCTCCCGAGTAGCTGGAACTACAGGCACAGGCCACCAGGCCCAGCTAATTTTTGTATTTTTAGTAGAGACAGGGTTTCACTATGTTGGCCAGGCTGGTCTCGAACTCCTGACCTCAGGTGATCTGCCTGCCTCGGCCTCCCAAAGTGCTGGGATTACAGGCGTGACCCACTATGCCCCACCTTCAAGGATCATTTTAAATATCAGTGGGTTACACAACTGTGACACTTGAGACACATCAGTCATAAGACTAGCAAGGCCTCTTTGGAAATCACAGCTTTCAAGATGGGAGTCTCCTCCCAATTTTTTTGTTCTAGTCTTAGGGCGGTAACAAGAGGCTTTCTCGTGACATACCTAAGCCTTCCTGCTTTGGACTGAATTGAAAGTAGGGCAGTACTTGCCAATCCCGTGATATTTTGGTGTCTCTCTCTGGTCCTCACCAAGATTAGGAAGTGGGAACATTTAAATCCCATGCCTGCAGGCTCCCTTTCTCCCTCCCTTCTTTTTTTCTTTTTTCCTTTTTCTTTCTTTCTTCCTTTTAAGCCAAGCACACTGCTAAACCCAAATTGGGAGATTTTCCAAAAGTTAGGCCTCTTTAAACTCGATCCTTTCCCCCTTCTTTCTCCCACAGTCATAATGCCTGCCTCACAATGCACCCAAAGGCAGTAAGTCTACAAACGCACAGAGGAGGAAAATAGGAATCGTGTACTGAGTTGTATTTATTTATTTCATTTTTAATTCCTCTTTTACTATTTATTTATTTTTTTGGCCAGGCGAAGTGGCTTATGCCTGTAATCCCAGCACTTTGGGAGGCTGAGGCAAGAGGATCACTTGAGGTCAGGAGTTCAAGATCAGCCTGGGCAACACAGAGCAATCTACCAAAAAAAAAAAAAAAAAGAAAGAAAAAAGTTGGGCATGGTGTATGCCTGTAGTCCTAGCTACTCAGGAGGCTGAGGTGGGAGAATCACCTGAGGCTGCAGTGAGCTATGATTGCACCACTGCACTCCAGCCTGAGCAACAGAGTAAGAGACCCTGTCTCTATAAAAATAAAATAAAACTTGTTTTTTTAGCCGGGCGCGGTGGCTCACACCTGTAATCCCAGCACTTTGGGAGGCTGAGGCAGGCAGATCACCTGAGGTTGGGAGTTAGAGACCAGCCTGACCAACATGAAGAAACCCCGTCTCTACTAAAAATACAAAATTAGCCAGGCATGGTGGCGCATGCCTGTAATCCCAGCTACTCGGGAGGCTGAGGCAGGAGAATCGCTTGAACCTGGGAGATGGAGGTTGCGGTGAGCTGAGATCATGCCATTGAACTCCAGCCTGGAGACAGACTTTTTTTTTTTTTTTTTTTTTTTTTTTTGAGACAGGTCTTGCTCTGTCACCCAGGCTGGGTTCAAACTCCAGGGCTCAAGGGATCCTCCCACCTCCGCCCTGTGTGTAGCTAGCTTACAGGTGTGCACCACTGTGCCCAGTACCATACAGAGTTTTAAATTATTATGATTTTTATTTTGAACACATGACCTCAATCAAACCATGATAGTTATCTTTTTTTTTTTTTTTTTTTTTTTTTGAGATGGAATCTTGCTCTGTTACCCAGGCTGGAGTGCAATGGTGCGATTTTGGCTCACTGCAACCTCTGGATCCGGGGTTTAAGTGATTCTCGTGCCTCAGCCTCCCGAGTAGCTGGAATTACAGGCACACACCACCACACCTGGCCAATTTTTATGGTTTTAGTAGAGATGGGGTTTCACCATGTTGGCCAGGCTGGTCTCCAACTCCTGAGCTCAGATGATCTCAGCCTCCTGAAGTGCTGGGATTACAGGCGTGAGCCACTGCGCCCGGCCTCTTTTTTCTTTTTGTGAGACAAAGTCTCACTCTGTTACCCAAGCTGGAGTGCAGTGGTGCGATCTCGGCTCACTGCAACCTCTGCCTCCCGGGTTCAAGCGATTTTCCTGCCTCAGCCTCCTGAGTAGCTGGGACTACAGATGTGTACCACCATGCCCGGCAGATTTTTGTATTTTTAGTAGAGACGAGGTTTCACTATGTTGGCCAGGCTGGTCTCAAACTCCCGACCTCATGATCCGCCCGCCTCAGCCTCCCAAAGTGCTGGGATTACAGGAGTGAGCCACTGTGCCCGGTGGTTCTTTCCTCATTTCTACTAACAGCATGGCTAAACACGAGTTCATTTTCCTAGGCCAACTCCCCATTTCTTACACTCCAGGCTGTTTGGTTCATTTCCATTTCCACCCAGCAGGGAAGACTAACTTTTCTTCTCCCAGCTCTGGAATTTGTGTTTCTGTTTGTTTGTTTGAAGTCTAACATGGCAGGGGATCCTCCTGCATCTTCCATTCCTGCTCATCTTGGTTCTTCAGAGGGGATCAGGTCTTCCCTGGCAGGGAAATTTTAAAATAACACCTCAGGCAAAGCACAAGAAGCAGCTGAAACCAGCTTTCCCCAAAGACCAGCTGCCTGCTCACCCAACAAACAGTTTGGAATTCCTCTACAGGATTCTATCTTTTGTAGGGGGCATTTATTCAGCCCTTGGTTTACTACCAGAGCTGGTATTTGCTGTCACCCTGTGATAAAAACTACAAAGATAAAAGCTTTCTTAAGGACTGATGGCATCTTTGAGATGCCTCAGGCTGATCTGCAGAGATTTTCACCACAGTTTAGCTGCCTTTGCACCCGTCCTCCGGCCTCACTTATTTTCACACTCTTGGAATTTACTTCATTGATTCCTAATGGCCTGGGCAAGTGGGCCTAGAAAGGGAGGTTATTCTCTGCAATAAGATCACAATTAGAGTCAGCCCTATGGGAGGGAGAAGGAGAGATTTCCTAACCTTTCCTGAAAGCACACCAAGAATTCCCCTTGGCCCAGAGCTGGGGTCAGGAACACGGCTTCCAACTTCTTACTGTCTACCCAAGAATTAAAGCCAGGAAATCACAGCAGAGGGGTCATGTATTCATTCATCAAATATTTATTAGGCATCTACTCTGTATGAGGCACTCTACTAGGGCCTCGGTTTACAAAGATGCATGTCATAGTTCCTACCAGGCAAAGTCAAATAAACCTACAGATGCTCACAGTGCTATGTGATTCACATCTTAAGAGAGGTCTGTGTTGGCCGGGTGTGGTGGCTCACGCCTGTAATCCCAGCACTTTGGGAGGCAGAGGCGGGCAGATCACCTGAGGTCAGGAGTTCCAGACCAACCTGGCCAACATGGTGAAACCTCGCCTCTACTAAAAATACAAAAATTATCTGGGTGTGGTGGCACACACCTGTAATCCCAGCTACTCGGGAGGCTGAGGCAGGAGAATCGCTTGAACCCGGGAGGCGGAGGTTGCGGTGAGCCAAGATTGTGCCACTGCACTCCAGCCTGTGCAACAGAGTAAGACTCTGTCTCAAAAGAAGAAGAGAGGTCTGTGATAAGGTCGAGGATCTCAGAAGAGGGAGGCCATCACACTGCAGATGGTGGAACCTGGTGGAGGAAAGATAGCATCACAGAAGAGGTGACTGTCCGCAGAGCCTTTCAGAAGGCAGAGCTCAGCCGCCGGAGACAAATGGCATGAGGGCTGAAGTATGGGAGAAAGAAGTGACTGTTCTGTTTGAGTCCTTTCTGAAGCAGGCCCAGAAACAATAACTTGAAGGCAGTCATGAATTTGGGAGATGATTCCAGGAAACCGCAGAGGGGTGTGGGGAGTGCAGCAGGGAGTGGAAGAAGGGCATGCATGGCGTGTTAACAAGATGGTTGCCACTGTGGGCGATTGGAGCTCGGTCCCACCAGGCAGCTCTGGAAGTTGATGTAGAGCAAGTTTCAGAGTCATCCAGTAGAAGGGCAAAGAAGGTGGGTGGGGGGAGTTGCTTCCAGGGATACTTCCAGCTTGCCCTGCCTAAGTGTTTTTAGGGCCAAAGAAAAGCCGCAGGAGAGTTGTAGATATGTGCAGCAGTATTCAGTGTGTACGGGTCAATGCAGCCAGATATTAGCGAGGCCCCACAGCATCTGCTACATGGACCAAAGGCACTGAGACATGAAAACAGCACCACAGGCTCGGTGCGGTGGCTCACTCCTGTAATCCCAGCACTTTGGGAGGCTGAAGCAGGCGGATCACCTGAGGTCAGGAGTTCGAGACCAGCCTGGCCAACATGGTGAAACCCTGTCTCTACTAAAAATATGAAAATTAGCTGGACATGGTGGTGGGCACCTATAATCCCAGCTACTCGGGAGGCTGAGGTAGGAGAATCGCTTGAACCTGGGAGGCAGAGGTTGCAGCGAGCCGAGATCATGCCACTGCACTCCAGTCTGGGTGACACAGCGAGACTCCGTCTTAAAAAAATAAATAAATAAAATAAATTTTAAAAACAATAAAAAAAGAAAAAAAAAAAGGAAACAGCACCACAAATGATGGTCCATTTGTCGAAGTGGCAAGAAGTAGGTTGTGATCTGGGAAGGCAGAGTGACACAGAGACACCAGCCTTGGCCAGTATACCACATGGATGAATTGCTAGCACTTACGGGGATGTGAATGAATCATTCCTTCTTCTGTACTCCCAGGCAAAGCAGAGCCCTTGTGCTACTTTAGTATTAGCTTTGTATGCCTACGTGTACCCAACCAGACCATCAGTTGTGGATTGTGATTTCACTCACCATCCTGAGTCTAACAGCCAGCCCAGGGTCTAGCACGGGGCAAGGACCCAGAAGGTATTTGAGTGATGGATGGCTAGTTTGGTTTATACTCACAGCTCTACCCAGAGCTATTTACTGTGCTTAGAGCAGGATTATCTTGGATCCAAAAGGGCACGAGATTATCTTGTGTATGCACTTTGGAAGTGGATTGGAGAGGCGTGGTTGACAGGATGCTCTGAAATATTTTGGAGCTCCTTCTCTGTAAGTCCGAGCCGGTCCCAGGAGACACTTCCTTCCTCCCCTGCTGCTCTAGCAAGGCCTTGGTGGAACTTTGCCGAATCATCATTTTCATGGAAGACATTTTGCCGCAGTCCTGATGTCATCGGAGGAGCCTGGACTTTCCCTCTGGCCTCAGCCAACTGAGTGGCCTAAGCTCCTCTTTCTGACTAGTTCAGACAGCGGTTGCCTCTGGTTGCCAACCAGAGAAAGAGGCTATCATTGTCATTCAACAAGAGGACGACTTTCTGAAGTGGCCATGTGACCTTTTCAGAAAATCCCCATGGAAAGGGGAAATATTGTGATGGTAAACAAGAGGAAAACAGAAACAACTCAGTCACCAAAATGGGGCCTCACACCCAATGATTCTGACACAGACCTCAAGATAGAGGAAAGTTAATAAGATCTCATCACAGAGTCCATAAAGAATCTCTAGAGGTCTAGTCAGTCCATCCTCGTGCTGGAGATACAACCAAACTGAATTCATTAAACAGCTATACTTAAACATTTTTTAGCAAAGAATTTTTTTTTTGTCTTTTCTCATTAGACATCAGAAAATGTTTAGATAAGAGGCTCTTTGGAAAAGAGATTTCTTTTGTCTTTTCCCATTAGGGATCAAAAAATGTTTACAGGTAAGAAGGAATAATAGAACTTATTTCCTGGAAACTCATTTCATAGCTGAGGAAATTGAAGCAGAGCCAGTACTAAAATGTGTTCTTTGAGCCACAGTTCAGAAACTTCCTTCAATCATTCATCAAGCATTCCTTGAGTCCCTGCCCCATGGACTTTTACTTGGAGCTGGGGAAATGCAACTCAGCAAGGCAGTTTCTACACCCCCAGGAGGCAGCTTATAATCCAGATGAACATGAATATTTGCATTGAATTAACTATAACCAGATGTCACCAATGCCATAATGAAGGCACATTCAAATGCATCTTAAGTCTTACTAAAGGGCTTTTTGGTTTTAAAAAATGGGCACCAGGCTAGGTGAGGTGGTTCTTGCCTGTAATCTTAGCACTTTGGGAGGCCCAAGGTGGGAGGATTGCTTGATTTCAGGAGTTTGAAACCAGCCCAGGCAACACAGTGAGACCTCATTTCTACAAAAAATTTTTAAAAATTAGGTAGGCATGATGACACATACTTGTAGTTCCAGCTACTTGGGAGGCTGAGGTGGGACGATCACCTGAGCCTAGGAGGTCAAGGCTGCAATGAGCCGTGATTGTGCCACTGCACTTCTGCCTGGGAGACAGAGTGAGATCTTATCTCAAAAACTAAAAATAAATTTAAAAACAGAGAAATGAATTCACTTGGGCACACACTTAATGACAATTGTGTAAATCCCTAAATTCTGCTGTAAAAACAGAAAACACATGTCCCCATCTCAAGTCTGTAGTGCCAGGCTGTTATTTGTTGAAAGAATTCAAAGGAGCTAGACCTTCCTACTGCTGCAACCTTGGAAATGTGGTCTCACTATGTTGTCTGGGCTGGTTCTCCAAAATAAAAGAAGAAAAGGAAAATCCTTCTACTTGTCCAGATTTATTGTAGAAAACCACAATGAGGCTGGGCATGGTGGCTCACACCTGCATCCCAGCCCTTTGGGAGGCTGAGGCGGGCAGATCACTTGAGATTAGGAGTTCAAGACCAGCCTGGCCAACATGGTGAAACCCCGTCTCTACTAAAAATACAAAAATTAGCTGGACATGGTGGTGGGCGCCTATAATCCAAGCTACCTGGGAGGCTGAGGCAGGATAATTGCTTAAACCCAGTAGGTAGAGGTTTCAGTGAGCTGAGATCATGCCACTGCACTCCAGCCTGGGCGACAGAGTGAGACTGTCTCAAACAAACAAACAAACAAAACAAAATAAATGAAAACCACAATGATATACACTGTCTCTCTCTTTCTCTCTCTCTCTCTCTCTATATATATACACATATATATGTATATATACGTATATATACATATATACATATATATGTGTATATACACACATACATATATATGTGTATATATACACATACATATGTATGTGTATATATACACACATATATATGTGTGTATATATATATATATATATATATATATATATATATACACACACATATATATTTGAGAGAGAGTTTTGCTCTTGTTGCCCAGGCTGGAGTGCAATGGTGCGGTCTTGGCTCACTGCAACCTCCACCTCCTGGGTTCAAGCAATTCTCCTGCCTCAGCCTCCTGAGTAGCTGGGATTACAGGTGCGTGTCACCACACCCAGCTGATTTTTGTATTTTTAGTAGAGACAGGGTTTCACTATGTTGGCCAGGCTGGTCTTGAACTCCTGACCTCGTGATCCGCCTGCCTCAGCTTCCCAAAGTGCTGGGATTACAGGCGTGAGCCACCATGCCCAGCAACTCTGTAACTATTTTAAGCAGAAGGGGATTTATTTATGCAAGTAGGTGCTTACACATTTGTTTTGTTTTGTTTTGTTTTTGAGATAGTCTTGCTCTGTTGCCCAGGCGGGAATGCAGTGGCACAATCTCGGCTCACTGCAACCTCTGCCTCCCGGGTTCAAGCAATTCTCCTGCCTCAGCCTCCCAAGTAGCTGGGATTACAGGCACCTGCCACCATGCCCGGCTAACTTTTGTATTTTTAGTAGAGACAGGGTTTCACCATGTTGGCCAGGCTCGTCTCCAACTCCTGAACTCAAGGCAATCTTCCCGCCTCGGCGTCCCAAAGGGGTAGGATTACAGGCGTGAGCCACTGTGCCCGGCCCTAAACAGTTGTTGGACGAGCAGGTACCTGGCTGGAACTTTGGGCATGACGTCCATAGTAACACTACAGAGCTGGCCTGCCAGGGGAGCTGCCGCATCAGCCCCATCCAGGAAGGTGAGGAATCAGAAAACTACCCCTGTAACTATTGCGTTCATGGACATGCCACTTTCATTTTTCAGGGATCAGAAAAGCTGCCACTGCCGCATCTGGAACAGAGCCGTGCTATGTCTGCCAGGTCCATACCAGCAAAAGATGGGTGCCCTGTGTTCTCTCAATACCCACAAAGCTAGAGCTGCACACTGGGATGGAGCTGCAGGAACATTCTATGTGTGTGCGCCTGTACTTGCTGGAGAAACAGCCAGAAACCTGTCCTCTCCCTTGCTTTTACCTTCTAAACCTGGCTCAGATGGCTCTGTTTGTCAGAACATACATTACATTTGGAACTTTGACTGCAAGGAAGTCTGGGAAAGGTAGCTTTCAGCTTTCCAGCCTTTTAGTACAGGAAGGCATGCTGGAAAAAGAGTGGAATGAGATCACCTATAATAGTTACCACATTCAACATCTCTGTGGACCTTGTCATCTCTTACCTGGCCCTGTGGACCTTGTCATTTCTTACCTGGATGATTGCAATCTCCTCATAACCAATCTCTCTGCTCCCAAGTTCCTTCTTCAGTCTATCCTCTGTGGTGTGCTTGAGGTTTTTTCTCTGAGATACATCCTTGATTATGTCACTTTTCTGCTCAGTCTTGTCACCCATAAAAATAAGAACCAGCTGGGTGTGGTAGCTCACACCTGTAATCCCAGCACTTTGGGAAGCCAAGGTCGGAGGATTGCTTGAGCTCTAGGAGTTTGAGACTAGCCTGGATGTAAAACCCCATCTCTACAAAATATACAAAAATTAGCCAGGCGTGGTGATACATGCCTGTAATCCCAGCTACTTGGGAGGCTGAGGCAGGAGAATCACTTGAACTCAGGAGGTGGAGGCTGCAGTGAGCCGAGATCGAACCACTGCACTCCAGCCTGGGAGACAGAGTGAGACTGTCTCAAACAAACAAACAAACAAACAAACCCATTCTCCTTTCAAAGCTCTTAAGGACCTGGCTCCAACCCATCTTACTAGCTGCAAATCCTGCCACTTTACCACACTCCCAGTCACACCAGATACTAAATGCTTTCTAATCCCAACCCCTACCCCCACATCCGAATCTTGTCATTGTTGTTCATGTGGTTCCTCTGGCTAGAATGCCCTGCCACCCTTCATTTTCTCATTTTTAATTCCCTTGTCCAGGTTGGGAATGGTGGAGCATGTCTGCAATCCCAGTACTTTGGGAGGCCAAGGAAGGCAGATGGCTTGAGCCCAGGAGTTTGACACCAGCCTAGGCAACATAGCAAGACCCCATGTCTACAAAACATTTAAAGAAAAGTTAGTTGGGCATGGTGGCACATGCTTGTAATTCCGGCTACTTGGGAGGTTGAGACAGGCAGATTGCTTGAGTCCAGTCCGGGAGTTTGAGACTGCAGTGAGTTATGATCACACTACTGCACTCCAGCCTGGATGACAGAGTGAGACCATCTCTAAATTTTTTTTTTCTTTTTGAGACGGAGCCTCGCTCTGTCATCCAGGCTGGAGTACAGTAGCGTGATCTCTGCTCACTGCAACCTCCACTTCCAGATTCAAGTGATTCTCGTGCCTCACGCCCAGCAATGTTTTGTATTTTTTGTTGCTGTTGTTGAGACACAGTTTTACTCTGTCACCCAGGCTGGAGTGCAGTGGTGCCATCTTGGCTCACTGCAACCTCTGCCTCCCGGGTTCAAGCGATTCTCCTGCCTCAACCTCCCAAGTAGTTGAGACTACAGGCACGCACTGCCACACCCACCCTAATTTTTTAATATATTTTTAGTAGAGACTGGATTGCTCCATATTGGCCAGGCTGGTCTCAACCTCCTGACCTCAAGTGATCCACCCGCCTTGGCCTCCCAAAGTGTTGAGATTACAGACATGAGCCACCGCACCTGGCCTAAAATTTTTTCTTTCAATAAAAACATAATAATAACTCCCTGTCCAAGGCCAGGCACAGTGGCTCACGCCTGTAATCCCAACACTTTGGGAGGCTGAGGCGGGTGGATTACCCAAGCTCAGGAGTTCAGGACCAGCCTGGCCAACATGGTGAAACCCTGTCTCTACTAAAAAAATACAAAAATTAGCTGGGTATGGTGGCAGGCACCTGTAATCCCAGCTACTTGGGAGGCTGATATAGGAGAATTGCTTGAACCCAGGAGGCACAGGTTGTGGTGAGCCAAGATCGCGCCATTGCCCTCCAGCCTGGGCAAAAAGAGAGAAACTCCATCTCAAAATAATAATAATAATAATAATCCCCTGTCCAAATATTACCATCTCTAGGAATTTTCCCTTACTGTTTCCCTTTTTCCCCACAGGCACAATTAATAGATTCTTCTGGCATTTACAACCATCTCTACTGCTCCCCTCACTTTGTACTCTTGTATAGTTATACATGTGTCTGTAGTTCCAAGGTGATGGAATGGATCATGTTTCTATTTATCTGTGTATGCCCAGTGTTTGACTCTTGATAGATTATGAATACTTGTTGAACAAGTGAATGAATGGATGAATGATTGTCCTGCATGTCTAAGACACCCAATCACACCTGACTGGCTTTTATCTTCAGTTTATAGACATGCTCATCTCAAAAGGCCAGCTCTCCTTTGATCCAATGGTGATTACCCTATCACTGTTCTTCATTTCATGGCCCCATTAGTTGAGCAGTTTGTCTTGCTTGCTGTCTTCCCGCCTTCACTGCCCAGTCACTGCTCAGCCTTACCACTCCACGGAAACCACCCTTGTCAAGGGCGCCCGTTATCTCCCAGTTGCAAAACAAAATGATCGTTTTCAATCCTTGTCTTATTAACCGTTTGCCTCAGTTGACTTTGTAAACACACCTTCCTTCTTGAATCTAATTATTTCCTGGACTAACGCTTTCTTCTTAGCTTCTCCATATGCTCTTGTCCCTTTGCCAGGACACAGTTTCTGTCCCTAGTCCTATCCTCCTCTTGTTCACCCAACACTCTGGGCGATCTCTTGGCTTCAAGCCTTATCAATTCGCTGCCAAGACATCAAACTTGTGCCTACATACGGGACATTCTTCTGCCTGCTAGGTGCACCTGATGAGGCTCACTAGGCCTGTATGTGTGGGAGTTTTGAAGTTCGGGAGTTTGAAGATGAATTCAGGCACTACAGCAATGACGTCCAAAGTGGTGCCTCTGCTGCTGCTCTGATCCCTTGCTATGTGCACTAATACTGCACTCAGAACTAGTGACCTTGTTAAAACTAGCATCTGTCTGGGCACGGTGGCTCATGTTTTTAATCCCAACACTTTGGGAGACCAACGCAGGCTGATAGCTTGAGGTCAGGAGTTTGAGACCAGCCTGGCCAACATGGTGAAACCCTATTTCTAATAAAAATACAAAAATTAGCTGGGCGTGGTGGTGCACATCTGTAATCCCAGCTACTGGGGAGGCTGAGGCATGAGAATCGCTTGAACCTGGGAGGCGGTGGTTGCAGTGAGCTGAGATTGCGCCACTGCACTCCAGTCTGGGCGACAGAGCAAGGGACTCTTTCTCAAAAAAAAAAAACCCAAAAACGGCCGGGTATGGTGGCTCATGCCTGTAATCCCAGCACTTTGGGAGGCCAAGGCGGGCGGATCATGAAGTCAGGAGTTCGAGACAAGCCTGGCCAATATGGTGAAACCCTGTCTCTACTAAAAATACAAAAAGTAGCCAGGTGTGGTGACAGGCGCCTGTAGTCCCAGCTACTCGGGAGGCTGAGGCAGAAGAATCGCTTGAACCCTGGAGGCAGAGGTTGCAGTGAGCTGAGATTGTGCCACTGCACTCCAGGCTGGGCAACATAGTGAGACTCCATCTTAAAAAAAAAAAAAACCACTAGCATCTATCTGACTGGTCACTATTTTACTCAATGGCTCTGCACGCCATCAGAGCAAACGCCAAAGTCCTTACAATGGACCAGAAACCTTAGCAGGCTGTACACAGTTTGGCCCCATTATCTTCCTACCTCATTTCTTATTTCTTTTTATCTTCCTGTGTGTGTGTGTGTGTGTGTGTGTGTGTGTGTGTGTGTGTCACAGAGTTTTGCTCTGTTACCCAGGCTGGAGTGCAGTGGCACGATCTCAGCTCATTGCAACCTCTACCTCCCAGGTTCAAGCAATTCTTGTGCCTCAGCCTCCTGAGTAGCTGGGATTACAGGTGCCTGCCACCACGCCCGGCTAATTTTTGTATTTTTAGTAGAGGCGGGGTTTCACCATGCTGGCCAGGCTGGTCTCAAACTCCCAACCTCAGGGTGATCTGCCTGCCTCAGCCTCCCAAAGTGCTGGGATTACAGGAGTGAGCCACCACGCCAAGGCCTCATTTCTTATTTCTATCCACTCTGGCTACTGCAGCCCAAACCTTCCAGCTGTTCTTTCTTTTTTCTTTCTCTTTTTTTTTTTTTGAGACGGAGTCTCGCTCTGTCACCCAGGCTGGAGTGCAGTGGTACAGTAATGGATCACTGCAGGCTTGAATTCCTGGACTCCAGCACTTTCCCTCCCTTAGCCTCCCAAGCACAGCCACTGTGTTGGCTGCCAATTTTTTTAAACTGTGGCAGGATCTCACTACGTTGCCCAGGCTCCTGAACTGAGTAGCTGGGATTGCATGCATATGCCAGCATGCCCTGCTCTTCTAGCTGCTTTTTTTTTTTTTTTTTTTTTTTTGAGAGGGAGTCTCGTTCTATCGCCCAGACTGGAGTCCAATGGCACCAACTCAGCTCACTGCAACCTCTGCTTCCTGGGTTCAAGTGATTTTCCTGCCTTAGCCTCCCGGAGTAGCTGGGACTACAGGTGCCCACCACTATGCCCAGCTAATTTTTGTATTTTTAGTGGAGACGGACTTTTGCCATGTTGGCCAGACTGGTCTCAAACTCCTGACCTCAGGTGATCTGCCTGCCTTGGCCTCCCAAAGTGCTGGGATTACAGGCGTGAGCCACCGTGCCCAACCTTTCCTTTTTTTTTTTTTTTTTTTTTTTTGAGATGGAGTCTTGCTCTGTCTTCCAGGCTGGAGTGCAGTGGCACGATCTCTGCTCACTGCAAGCTCCGCCTCCTGGGTTCACTCCATTCTCCTGCCTCTGCCTCCCGAGTAGCTGGGACTACAGGCGCCCACCACCATGGCCGGCTAATTTTTTTTTTTTGTAGTTTTAGTAGAGACGGGATTTCACCATGTTAGCCAGGATGGTCTCGATCTCCTGACCTCGTGATCTGCCCGCCTCGGCCTCCCAAAGCCTTTTCTTTTCTTTTCTTTTTTTTTTTTTTTTTTGAGATGGAGTCTCGCTTTGTCGCCCAGGATGGACTGCAGTGGCACGATCTCGGCTCACTGCAAGCTCCGCCTCCCGAGTTCACGCCATTCTCCTGCCTCAGCCTCCCCAGTAGCTGGAACTACAGGCGCCCGCCACCACGCCCGGCTAATTTTTTGTGTTTTTAGTAGAGACGGGGTCTCACCGTGTTAGCCAGAATGGTCTCCATCTCCCGACCTCGTGATCCGCCCGCCTCGGCCTCCCAAAGTGCTGGGATTACAGGAGTGAGCCACCCAAAGCCTTTTCTTTTTTAACTTTAATTTTAGGTTCAGGAATACAGGTGCAGGTTTGTTAATGCAGGCAAACTCGTGTCACAGTGGTTTGGTGTATAGACCATTTTGTCACCCAGGTACTAAGCATAGTACCCAATAGTTATTTTTCCTGATCCTCTCCCATGTCCCTCCAGCAGGCTCCAGTGTCTGTTGTTCCCCTCTTAATGCCCACTGGTTCTCGTTATTTAGCTCCCATTTATAAGTGAGAACATGTAGTGTTTGGTGTTCTGTTCCTGCAGGATGTGAAGACTAAATGAAACACTGATTTAGAGTCAGATGTCTGAGTCCTGACACTGCCTTTTAGAAAGAGGCTGGTTAATCTTGGGAGAAGTCACTTTGTCTTTCCAGGTCTGTTTCCTTACCTATAAAATAAAATGATTGAACCAGAAAAGAGATGGCAGATATGTTTCTCTTTTGGTGCTAAACCTGACAGATGACTCGTGGTTTTCTGGATAATTTGTTGAGAATACCAGGCACAGTGGCAAAGAATTAAGTTTGCTAGGAATGCTGGCCTCCAGCTCCATCCACGTTCCTGCAAAGGACATGATCTTGTTCTTTTTTTTTTTTTTTCAGGGTCTTGCTCTGTTACCAGGTTGAAGTGCAGTGGCATGATCACAGTTCACTGCAGGCTCGACCTCATAGGTTCAAGCAATCCTTACACCTTAGCCTCCTGAGTGGCTGGGACTACAGGTGTGCACCACCATGCCCGACTAATTTGTAGAGACTAATTCATTGCCCAGGCTGGCCTCGAACTCCTGGGCTCAAGTGATCCTCCCACCTCAGCCTCTCAAAGTGCTGGGATTACAGACGTGAACCACCATGCCTGGCTAATCACTCTTTTTTATGGCTGCATAGTATTCCATGGTGTACATGCATTCTAGCCATTCTTTTTTTTTTTTTTTTTTTTTTTTGAGACGGAGTCTTGCTCTGTCGCCAGGGCTGGAGTGCAGTGGCACAATCTCAGCTCACTGAGAGCTCCACCTCTGGGGTTCACGCCATTCTCCTGCCTCAGCCTCCTGAGTAGCTGGGACTACAGGCACCCACCACCACGCCCTGCTAATTTTTTGTATTTTTAATAGAGACGGGGTTTCACCGTGTTAGCCAGGATGGTCTCAATCTCCTGACCTCGTGATCTGCCCGCCTCGGCCTCCCAAAGTGCTGGGATTACAGGCGTGAGTCACCGCGCCCGGCCTCGCATTCTAGCCATTCTTGAAGGCACCAAGCATACTCTTGCTCTGCCTGGAATATACTTCCTCTGAGCATCTGCATTAATCTGTCCCTTACTGTCTTTAGTTCCTCTCAATGTCACCTTCTCAGGGAAGTCTTTCCTTATCACCTTTGAAATATTGCAACCAGCTTTCAGCTTTATTTTGTCTCTGTTTTTTTTTCTATTCCCTTCTCTGCTTTGTTTTTCTTCATAGTACTTACTATCATCAAGCATGCTTTATATTTTACTTATTTGTTTTTTCTTTGTCTGCTCCCAACAGAAGCAAGCTCCACGAGGACAGAATTTATGACTGTTTTGTTCACTGCTGTTTTCCCCAGGTCTAGAAAAGTGATTGGGATATAGTAGGAGTTCAATGAATATTTACAGAATGAATGATTATCTCATCTCTACTCCAAATTTTCTGCTGTCTTCTATCTTACCCCCAATTATCTGACTCTTACCATGATACCATGACTCTCATCTTTTAAATATATCGTGAATCCTCTCTTCTCCATCTACTTTGCCACTACCCTGGACTCTGATGGATATGCCTATCTGATCTCAGCACTCCTTATTTGAAACCTTTCTGAACTCCCTGGCATGACAGACACTTTTCCTCATGAACTGGCCCCTGTCTGTCTCTCAATTTCATCTCACATCACTGCCATGCAACCCTCCAGCCATAGAAAACTCCTTGCCTTTACACACCTTAATCTACAATTTATTTTGTTCCTTGGTGATTTTTGCTCACCTGAAATGCACTTCTCCTCTTCTTTGCCTCACTAGCTTGTAGGCAACCTTCAAGACTCTCAGCTCTCCCCAAGTGTGGCCCTTTAAGCCTAGGTTAGAATATATAAGTACTCCCCAAAACAAAAAACAAAAGCAGAACAAACAAACAAAGAATATATACCTACTCACAAAGCATCCTGGGCTTACACACCATATGACCATTGGCTGGTTGCTTACCTGCCTTCATAAGATATGAGTTCCTTGAGGACAGGAACCATAGCTCATTTACTTACCTACCTTCCTTGAACCATAGCTCATTTACTTACCTTCCTTTCTTTCTTTTCTCTCTTTCTCTTTCTTTCCTTCCTTCCTTCCTTTCTTTCTTTCCTTTCTTTCTTTCTTTTTCCTCTTTAAGATGGAGTTTTACTCTTGCTGCCCAGGCTGGAGTGCAATGGCTCACTGCAACCTTTGCCTCCTGGGTTCACGTGATTCTCCTGCCTCAGCCTCCCGAGTAGGTGGGATTACAGGCACCCACCACCACGCCTGGCTAATTTTTTTGTATTTGTAGTAGAGATGGGGTTTCACCATGTTGGCCAGGCTGATCTCGAACTCCTGACCTCAGGTGATCTGCCCACCTCAGCCTCCCAAAGTGCTAGGATTACAGGCATGAGCCACAGCATCTGGCCAGCTCATTTACTTTTCTACCTTCAGCATGATGCACAGAACCTGACACATAGTAGATGCTTGAAAAATGTTGGTTGAAACATTGGCTGGATGTTTAGATGAATAATCATAACAGAAAATACTTAGATGAGGCTTATAATGGTCTGGTGTTGTTCTCAAGACTGCACCTACAGTTACACGTGGAATCCTCCTAATACTCTCAAGGAAGTGGGTACTGCTGAAGAGTCTAAAGGCCCTGGATGGCTAAGTGAATTGCCCATACTCACCCAGTAAGTGGCAGAGATGGGATTCAGACTCAGGCATCTGGCTCCAGACTGTGTGTGTGCGTGTTTTCTTTTCTTTACTGTTTTTGATTGACACGTAATAACTGTACATATTTATGGGATACATTGTGATATTTCAATACATGTATACAATGTGTAATGATCAAATCAGTGTAATTACCAAATCAAATCCATCATCTCAAACATTTACTATTTCTTTGTGTGGGAACAGATAGTGATCTTTTAAAATTTTTATTTATTTTAAATTTAATTTAATTTATTTTTGGGGGACAGAGTCTAGCTCTGTCACCCAGGCTGAAGTGCAGTAGCAGAATCATAGCTCACTGTAGCTTTGATTTCCCAGGCTCCAGCGATCCTCCCACCTTAGCCTCCTGAGTGGGTGCCACCCTGCCTGGCTAATTTTTTTTTTTTTTTTTTTTGAGACTGAGTCTCCCTCTGTCGCCTAGGCTGGAGTGCAATGGTGCCATCTCGGCTCACTGCAACATCTGCCTCCCGGGTTCAAGCCATTCTCCTGCGTCAGCCTCCTGAATAGCTGGTATTATAAGCTAATTTTTGTACTTTTAGTAGAGAAGGGGTTTCACCATGTTGGCCAGGCTGGTCTCGAACTCCTGACCTCAGGTGATCCGCCCGCCTCAGCCTCCCAAAGTGCTGGAATTACAGGCATGAGCCACCGCGCCCGGCCCTGCCTCGCTAATTTTCATATTTTTTGTAGAGACAGGGTTTTGACCTGTTGCCCAGGCTGGTGTCAAACTCCTGAGCTGAAGTGATCTGCCCGCCTCAGCCTCTCAAGGTGGTGGGATTACAGGTGTGAGCCACCGCACCCAGCCCAGAACAGCCCTGTATTCTTGAGGATTAAGTGTATATAGGCGACAGACAGATGGTGGCACAAAGGTATTCCAAGCAGAAAAATAATAGAAGCAGAGGCAAGAATGTTCACATTATTTTGATGTAGATTTTATAGTCAGTAAATTTGTCCACATCTGCAATTAATTCTGTCCTATAAAATCATCATCCCCTGCAGTATATTTCAAATTAAAACCTTAACCCTCCCTGTCCCAACACACACACATTTTTAGAGATGGTTTCTCACTATGGTGCCCAGGCTAGACTTGAACTCCTCGGTTCAAGCAATCCTCCCACCTTAGCCTCCTGAGTAGCTGAGACTACAGCTGCATGCCACGGTGCCTGGCTTAACCATATTTTTGAAAACACACTTTTAATCATTCTCAAATGTGTTCGTAACCCTCAAATCCTAGATGAGCTAGACCCTTTCTTGACACACACCTCTCAATATTGAGATCATAACATTTAAATGTACATCCACATTCGCTCATTCATTCAATGGACACTTGTTGAGAGCCCATTATGTTCCAGGCAGTGTTCTTGACACTAGTGATACCACTACTCGAATACACACAACATTTGTAACACAATCATGGACACATATGGCATTTTTTGTGAGGCCGTGGAGGCCATGGTTAGGGTTACAGGTTCACGAGCCAGAAAGTCTGGGTTAAACCCCAACTCTGCCACTTTCTAGTTGTGGGAACTCAGTAATGTCACTTATTTTGTCTCTTTCTGTATAAAATGGGTCTAACAACAATCTCTAGCTCATGGGCTTGTTGTGAGGATTATACAGTTAATACATGTAAAGTGTGTGGCACAGTGTCTGGCAAATACTCCGTAAGCACTTAATAAATGTTAGCAATTTTATGTTGGCAATCTTTTCTGATAAGTTATTGCTGAATGATTGGGCTTCTTAGGTGGGGCTGTTTTCCATTATAAAATAGAAAGAAATCTGCAGATCGTCTCTGGTAGGGAATAAGTCTTAAAGGGATACAGGGGAATTAACAGCATTTGTTGCCATAACAAAATCATTCCGTGGTCTTGAGTGGGCCTTTAAGAGCCTATAATTTACATTAGTGCTCCCTCCATCTCAGCGGGACAGGCTTTGGCAGAGCTATTTGTGCAAGAACGAAGGTCAAGGGACTCCTTGCATTGAAGGCCTTTCTCAAAATGAAGGATTTGGCTTCTGAGATTAATGTTCGAAGTGAACCCCTGCTATACTTAATTCCCTTTTCTGTGAACTCAGTACATTTTTAAAATTCAGTCAGGGGCCCTCCTATGGTGTGGCACGGAAACCAACAGCCCAGACTCCCTTCTAAATGAGTTCTGAATGGCTCTCCCTCATCCTATGGGCTGGCTACTGCATTCTAGGGGTAGGCCCTGGGCTAAATCCTTTGGATTAAAGAGTGCCCTGGAATAAAACGTCTTAAATTTGCACATATTAGATTTAGTGGGAGTTTAATATTAAAATTGAAAACAAAAATATTTTTTAGAACAAGCTTCTATGGGTGTGGCCACCCTATGGGGAAAGTGGAGGCTTTAGAAACTGTGGGGATGAGAGGTCTCTCTGGTCAAGCTGCATGTTCTGGATTAAAATAGGATTTCCTGGCCAGGCTTGGTGGCTCATGCCTGTAATCCCAGCACTTTGGGAGGCCGAAGTGGGCGGATCACGAGGTCAAGAGTTCAAGACAAGCCTGGCCAACATGGTGAAACCCCTGTCTCTACTAAAAAAATACAAAAATTAGCTGGACATGGTGGTGCACATCTGTAATCCCAGCTACTTGGGAGGCTGAGGCAGGAGAATCTCTTGAATCCGGGAGGCAGAGGTTGCAGTGAGCCGAGATTGCACCACTGTGCTCCAGCCTGGGCGACAGAGCAAGACTGCGTCTCAAAAAAAAAAAAGGATTTCTTTTCTGAATAATACCTGTTGAGAGAAATAATCACCAGTCACAATAGGAAGCTTAGGTTCAGGCTGGGTGCGGTGGCTCACACCTGTAATTCTAGCACTTTGGGAAGCCAAGGCAGCCAGACCACTTGAGCCCAGGAGTTTGAGACCAGCCTGGATAACATGATGAGACCCCATCTCTATAGTTTCAGTAGTGTGGAATAGTGAAAAGCAGTAAAAACAAACAAACAAACAAAAACAAAATAAAACTTGGCTCTGCAACTTATAGCAACTACTGAGAACCTTACTTTCCTAATCTGAACCATGGGGTGATACAACTGTTTTGTACCTTATCCATTTATTTATTTATTTATTTATTTATTTTTCTGAGATGAAGTTTCGCTCTTGTTGCCCAGGCCGGAGTGCAACGGTGCGATCTCGGCTCACTGCAACCTCTGCTTCCAGGGTTCAAGTGATTCTCCTGTCTCAGCCTCCAGAGTAGCTGGGATTACAGGCAGCCGCCACCACACACGGCTAATTTTTGTGTATTTAGTAGAGACAGGGTTTCACCATGTTGACCAGCCTGGTCTTGAACTTCTGACCTCAGGTGATCCACCTTCCTCGGCCTCCTAAAGTGCTGGGATTACAGGTGTGAGCCACTGTGCCCAGCCCCGCCTTATCCATATTTAACTCTCACAGTTGTGATGATCAAAGGTGATAATAAATCTATCATTGGAAATGCTACGTACATGCTATGCCCATGAGTGCAAATGGTATGCACATGACTGCTTATTTTTCTATTGTGGCTTACCTCTCTTGATGAGGGTGTCTTAGATAGTGTTATTTGATCTAGGACTTAAGCATGGGAAAGACAATTCTTTGTGAGCTGTGGAGCAGGTTTCTTTCCAGATTCAAAAGGAAATACCATTTCTTCAGTAACTTCTATGTGCCAAGGACCATGCTGAGATTTTAGCTTTCATTTAACTCTTGTAGAAATCCAGAGAGATGGCCAGGTGCAGTGGCTCACGCCTGTAATTCCAGCACTTTGGGAGGCTGAGGCGGGTGGATCATCTGAGGTCAGGGGTTCGAAACCAGTCTGGCCAACATGGTGAGACCCTGTCTCTACTAAAAATACAAAACTAGCTGGGCATGGTGGTGCATGCCTGTAATCCCCACTACTTGGGATAATCGCTTGAACCTGGAAGGTGGAGGTTCGAGCTAGCCAAAATCGCACCATTGCACTCCAGCCTGGCCAACAAGGGCGAGACTCTGTCACAAAAAAAAAAAAAAAAAAAAAAAAAGGCCAGGCGTGGTGGCTCACGCCTGTAATCCCAGCACTTTGGGAGGCTGAGGCAGGCGGATCACGAGGTCAGGAGTTCAAGACCAGCCTGACCAACATGGTGAAACCCCCTCTCTACTAACAAAAAAATACAAAAATTAGCTGGGCGTGGTGCTGCGTGCCTGTAATCCCAGCTACTCGGGAGACTGAGGCAGGAGAATCACTTGAACCTGGGAGGCAGAGGTTGCAGTGAACCGAGATTGTGCCATTGCACTCCTGCCTGGGCAATAGAGTGAGACTCCATCTCGGAAAAAACAAACAAAAAGAAATCCAGAAAGATAGCTGTTATTAATTTATAAATGAAGACACTAAAACTCAAAGCGATTAAGCAATTTGTCCAACATCACATAGCTCAGAGAAGAAATTGAGATTCAAACTCAAATCTATTGGAAACTAATTTTCATGCTGTTTGCACTCACTCCGGAACATTGCCTCATAGGCAGAAGGAAAAGAAGAAAACAGAAAGTAAAAGACAAGGGTCTAGAAAACTAAAATGCCCCAGGAAAATGGAGTGGGCCTAAGAATTAAAATAATTATAATAATAATAAAACAGGCGCCAAGGTTAGCCACAAAAAAGAAATAATAAAAGTTCACATTTGTTTTGCTATAGCCTGCCACTTAGAAAAATCTGTTTTATTTTTGTCATGTTCCCGGGGAGGGCAGTGAGAAATAGGAACAAGAATTATACCCATTTCTCCAGCGGATATGGAGTGCAAAAAAAGAAAGAAAGGATATACCCATTTCATAGGTGTCAGTGGGCAAAACTGAAGAAGGAGCAGGCAACATCTGAAAAAGGGTAACTGACCCTCTTTGAGATGAGGACTCACTTCCTGAAGTGGAACCTGAGCCTCCTCAAGCAGGAGTTTTCCCTGACTCCAGTTCCAGTTCACCTGGAGTCACTGACCTCCACACTTTCAAATTTCTTTTATTTTTATCATTTTTTAAATTTATTTATGTGTTTATTTTTTTTTTTGAGACGGAGTCTTGCTCTTTCGCCCAGGCCGGAGTGCAGTGGCGCGATCTCGGCTCCCTGCAAACTTCACCTCCCGGGTTCAAGCCATTCTCCCGCCTCAGCCTCCCGAGTGGCTAGAATTACAGGTGCCTGCCACCATGCCCAGCCAATTTTTGTATTTTTAGTAGAGACGGGGTTTCGCCACGTTGGCCAGGCTCATCTGGAACTCCTGACCTCAGGTTATCTGCCTGCCTCGACCTCCCAAAGTGTGGGGATTACAGGCGTGAGCCACCGTGCCCAGCGAGAATGTCCCCTCTAGAATCCTTCAGCTCAGACAGTCTGTGACAGCGAGCCTTTTTTGAGGCCATAATCCAGATACTTCTGGAAAAGAAAAGAAAATTTCAGGCTAATATGGAGCTGGGTTTTTTAGTTGTCTTAAGGGGGTGGAGCCGTTGTTTGTGCCTGGCAGCATCAACCCTTAGGTCTGGTGAGGGAACTTAGCTAAGAGAGTTCCCACTGCCTGCTGTTCACAGTACATGCTGGCTGGTATCGACAAAGAATGAACCTAAAACACAGGAAATGTTGAATTTGTCTGGGTTAAATTTTGCCTCATGAGAAGATAAAAGATCAGAAGGATTTAAAATGTTCCAGAATGCTTTGCTGGTTTTAAGGAATCATTTTTCCCAAAGGTGGCAAATGCTGCTTTTTAAATTTATGGTTTTCTTGATACCCCTTCAGCCTTTGTTTCTCTCTCTTAGGACTACTACTTTTTAATTAATTTTCACTTAACTTTCCAATACTGATGAAATAAAGAAAAATGAGGGTTATTTATATATATTTTAATAAATCCAGTTTGATTTTTCAACTTAAAAAAAAATTAACTAGAACTGAGAACCAGTCCTGGCCTCACCACCTTGGACTTACACTTAACCTGTGTGATCTCAGTGTCTTCATCTGCAAAATGGGGACAAAATAGCTCATAGGATCATTTTGTAAGGATCACATAAAGTAAGAAGGGTGAAAGTGCTCCATAAAGTAGAAAGGGCCTCACTAATGGAAAGGGATTATGATTTCTTTCTTTAAATGTGAAGTTAAATGGAGGATAAAGGGTGGAGGCACTGATAACATTTTAGCCTTCAATAATCACTTTTTAATATTTATGAGGAGTTTCAAAATCATTTCCCTCTCTTTCATACTGCTTTTCAAACGGCAAGGGTCATTATTTGTCCGGCCCAGTCTGGGATAAGTAACTATCCCAGGGTAAGACACCAGGTCAAGTGCCAAAATACAAATGAGAATTAAGCATAGCAGATGGGTGATTGCTGGGCCCTGAATTTCCTTCCCGTTAGTGAGCTTCATGGAATGCAGGCAAATTTATCTCCATTTCTGTTGTCAATCTTGTAACTTTTAAGTGAGATGAAATTCAGTTGGCTACCCTTTACAGGGACTTTATTTCCCATTGTATTCAAGACTGTCAGCAATGAATATAAACTGTTTGTAAAAATCCCATCGTTAGAATCTTCCAGAAACTGAGGCTGGGAGAGATTAAATATCTTGCTCATGGCCTCACAGCTGGTGAGTGGCAATGCTGGTGCTACAGCCCATGTCTAACTCTGACCACACACTCTTCTTCAGAAAAAAGCCATAATGTAAATAATAATAAGAAGAATAACAACAACAATAACGGCAGCTAACACTGTGTGCTAGGCACCGTTCTAAGCTCTTTGCATGTGTTAACTCAACCAGCAAAGAACCATTTTTGGAACATTCTTTCACTAAAGTAGCCCGGTATTTTTTTCTTTCCCCTCAGCTGAATGACACTGCAACCCGAAATCACAACTCTGTTTTAGGTTCCTGGTGGTGCCTGCTTCCTCTTCTAGTTTGTTTAGTCACAGAATTCGATTCCTGTTGGCCCATTCCGCGCCTACAAACAGGCTTAGCGCTCCACTGAAATGCGGGAGGCTCCTTAACTCTTGTATAAACAGGTAAGGCGGAGGGGGTGGGGCGCGGATTGCGGACATCTGGGTTTCTTGGGAATTGGGATGGGGTGGGGGTTCGAGCCAACTCCCCAGAGAGCAGGCAAGGTGAAGCGAGGGCTTGGCTGCTGTTTCTAAATGCAGTGTTTTTTTGTTCCCTTTCTAGAAACCCTCCGTAACTCTAGGTCAGAGCGCACTAAAATGAGCCACTTCTGAACGAGCAGCGCCCAGGCCCCAGGCCCTGCTGCGAAGGCCCCGGCAAAGGTCAGGGCCCCGTCCGCGTGACGCTCCTGCCTGCGCGCGGCCAAGCCATGCTCGGCCCCAGGTAAGGACGCCCCGGGAGCTCGCCCCGGGAGCTCTCCCCGGGCACGCGGGGGTCGCAGAGATCCCACCTCGTCCAGCGACTTGTTTATGGGGGGAAGAAGGGGAGCGGGGCGGTTCCGATCGGCTTGAAATTCAGCAGCAGGTTCCTAATTTCTCCAACGTGGTTCTGGCTGGGTTTCTCGGAGCAGCCCGAAGGGGGCCGAGCGTCTGACTCGGACAGATGCCCCCAGGTGGAGCAGGTGCCACTTCTGGGTGTCTGAAAGGCATGTGACTTTTGGGGCGGGGAGAGAAGTCCGTCTGGTCAAGTCCCCCAATCTCTGCCATCAAGGCCGATTTTCTTTGAACCTTCAGCAAAGGTATCTGCGCTCCTAAAAAACAACAGGAATGTGGCACTGGCCTTTAGCCAGGGGAGGCTCAGCCAGCAGGATAAAATTTCAGGGCAGATTTACGGGAAGTTGCCGGTGTTGGGAGTAAAAATCTGGTTTGGTGAGTTTAAGGGAAGGGAGTAGACGAGAGACAACCTTGCTACTGTGAGGCGGATGGCCTCGGCAGGGGGCGGGCGGCGGGAGGAGAGAGGGAGGGAACCGGGAAGGGCCCGCAGACTAGACGCTGAGCGCTCCCGTGCGCAGCGCCCCACGCAGCCGGGACGCGGCGCCGCTCTGCGGGTGGAACCGCCGCGCGCTCCCGGCCTCGGGAGCTGAGCCCGAGAGAACTTCGCTGCCTTCGGGTCGCCGCTCCCGCTTTCCACTGTGGAATGTGCAGCTTGGGATAGAGAGAAACCAGGGTTTGGGGAGCGGTCCTCCTGGAGACTTTCTCTCTGCAAGTCTCCAAGGTTAAGCAATTCTGACCCACTGGAATTCCCAGAGCCTGGGAGTTAAGCCTAAAACGCTCTGTTGCTTTAAGCGGCGCGGTGGGGAGTCGCTGGACACTCCTTATTTTGGTTTTACATTAAAAAGAAGGCGGACGAGAAGATGTTGTAGGTGACTTCCTAGCTGTGTTAAGTTGCTCCTGGGCTGTGAATGGTGTTAATTTCTGAAGTGGGCGGCTCCAAAAACTTAACAAGGAAAGGTAAGGTGGTTTTTGGTAGTCCTTCTAACTATTGTCCCTTAATCTTACATTTGGGTCCCAATTTTTGAAGTGTATATTTTTTTCTTATTCTTCTCTCTTTAGCTCTTATCCCTCATGCTATCACTCATCTTCTGTCTCTTGGTATATTTAGTGGGAAATAAAGGGTTTATAAAACGGTTTTAAAAGGGTCAACCTCTGGGAAGGCAGATAATCATATACAGTCAGTCCCATCGTGTTTCCTGTAGTGATGAATCTTTTCCCATAAAAGAAACTGATTTTTTTTTTTCACTCTTGAAAATACATGATTGGACCGCCCAGAAGCACAGGTGACTTTAGACTCAGATTATTACAGTGAGACTGAGGAAGCGTCCTGGACAGGAGGCATCTCATTTAAGTGTTAACCAAGGCAGAGGGGGGTCTTCCTGCAGTAATTTACGTCTGAAAGTAACACTCGGTAGAGGTGTAGTTGTTTCAAATTAAAAATTCAGCCTGTAGAAAAGGGTAGGACTGACGAATTATGACATCTGACAAATTAGCAGTTGACCGGATATTTAAGAAATCAGATAAAATAAATGGAAGTGGAATTTTTCAAATAAATGACTCATTTTTTAATTAGGTAAAAGTTCAGCCACTCTTGGGTACTGTCCCAAGGCATAAGTGATAGGAAGATACCATCTTCAAGGTACTTACAGGCCATTACCGACCTGAACTAAAAATCAAACCTTTTTTTTTTATCTGGTGGTATTTTAATGACTCACTGTTTTCTTTAGCAGGAATATAGATTTTAAAATGTATTCTTTAAAAGTTTTAAGGCAAGGTCATACGAATTTCTCAGGGGAGGGAAAGCAAAGGGTTGACAACCCAACATGAAGGAGTTGCCGAAGTTTTGAGCTCAAAAGGTTGGCAATTAGATCCAGAGCATTTGAGAATTGCAGGTGCCGATTCTAAAAGGTGAAAGGTGGTCAGCGGCGTAACACACAACCTCTAGATAAACCAAAGTACTCAACCTAGAGCATAAGAAGAGATCACTTTGTGGGAGTTTGTGTTGCTATTAATTTAAACAATGATCTTTGTTAGATCAATGACTTGAAGTCTTGGAGGGAACTAAAATCAACCCAGTCTGAAAGGAAAACAGAAGGAAAAAAAGAAAGGAGGAGATGGTTTGGTTTTTAATATTTTTTTCTGGTCTGCTTTACCCTTCACCTTGTTCTGATATACACACTGTTGGCCTCTTTGACTTAATTATTGCATGCTGGAAGGATGGGGTCTCAGAAATTTCCCAAGCACCTAGCTTCATTATTAACTTTCAGTATGTGTCAAATGAAGAAATAAGCCTAGCTGTGCCGTCCTTTACCTGGCTAGGTAGGCCATGCTTTAAATTAATTAGATCAAGATATTCTGAATATCAATCAATTATTAAAGATTTATTATCTTCCTCTTGGTTTTTGCGTTTACAGAAGTTTGTAGGATTGAGAATTCATCATCATCATTTTTTTTACCAATCTCTATATTTTTAATAGTCAACATATTTATTTTTGATTCCCCCACTGTGCTGCTTTAAATTAAATTTTGAAAGAATTCTGCCCAAAGCAGTAGTGATACTGAGGATGAAATAAAGACAGAAAGCAAGGGAACTACATGCTTCTGGACACGTGTTCTATAGACTTGCTCTAACTAGTGTTAAAGACTACTCATTTTTTTCCTCACATGATAAGAACATTCATATTAGACTATTTGGTTTACTGTTCTAGGTAATGATTTTTTAAAAGATTGGGTTAAGATGAAATTATTTTCTTACAAAAGGATTTAATTTGCTTTTCAAATTCTGCTCTGAAGCTCAAGATTAAATCATGTCCCAAATGACTGAGCTTTCATTGCTATAGAAAAGCATTTGGCTATTTCAGTAAGTTTCCGCCTCCACATCTTAAGTCTCTTGATTTTTCAGAAAAGGTCAGGGGAGTGGATATAAGCGTGAAGGGAGGGAGATTTTCTTAAAATTGGACCCAGGCTCAAGTGAAACTGTGATTAGGTAATCCCAGAAGATACATAATTCTGGGGAAAAAAAACTCTGAAGAGGGTTTAAGTTTGGGATTCATGAGACTTAGAAAAAGGGTATGCTTAGAATAAAGGTAGAATTTGTGTGCCAAACTTTGATGAAGTTACAATGAAGACATTAAATGCAGCTTTAAGTGCTTGTCACCGTGATTCCAAGCTACAGGTTATATTGCAGTGTTTCAGCTACTGGCCTGATTAGGAGATATATTTTCTTTCCCTCTTGGGAACAGTCTCTGTGTCTTAATGATGATGCTGATTTTCTGGTTTAATATCATAAAAGGTGTGTGTTGGTCCCAACATTACTGCTCCAAGTAGTGGCTTCAAAGAGCAACTGGATAAAGATTTTCAATAATAGCAATGCAGAGATGACCTGGGTTTCAAGATAGGAGGCCTTTGGAGCCTTCAGAGAATTGTCATAGAAATGATCAGTAACTAATTGCTCAGTTGCCACCTCAAGTTGTTGTTTCCATCTTATGCGGGAGAGATTCGGGGGAAATGGCACCCTGCCATTTTTTGTGTGTGGTCCTGAATCATCCTGTTGGTAAAACTCCTGAGGTCGTCTGAGCTGGAGTTCTGATTGCTTCTGTTTCTCTCATAGTTGCTTCCCCGTCTATTCTGTGAGCGTCTGTATGGGGAGAGGCAGTGGGGAGGGCGATCTCGTCCCCTTGAAGTCAATGACCACCTGCTTTTAAGGTTCTCGTATCTTTTGCTCTGAAAAAGGTGTGGGGGAGGAAAACTTTCATTTTCCAGCGAAAGTAGAAAGGGAGAGAGTGTCTAGAGGAATAAACGGCCAAGAAACAGGTAAGTTCTGAATGTGGTCCTAGTGTGGAATTTACCAGAAAGCTCACATGGAGATTACCACTGCCCTCAAAGGATTGCAGGTAAACTAGCAACTGTGGGAAGTGGAGGCTCCTCCTCTCCTTTTGTAATTCAAATGTTCCTAGTGTACTGCAATAGACACTAGTTTGAATGAATTCAAGATATCATCTCTTGGTAAAACCAAAAGTAAACTGATTACAAAAGGCACAAACCCTTCAACCATACTCCCACTGTCTGCCTTTCCTCTACTTTCTGTGTGGTTTAAGTACACCTGAAAAAACAAAACAAAACAATTACAGCTCAGTTTATGTAACTTGCATATTTAACAGGAGCATCTTTTTTGGTTGTTATGAATCTTCCATTTTTGTCATCATAGGAACTTAGTTTATGTAAACAACGATTTGTGGGTGTGTCTAGATGCATATGGTTTATGTGTTTGTAAAGTAAAATACATAAATAAGCTGATCACGTAAAAGTGATTGTGACTATAGTAGCTCTTTTGGTGCACCCTATCAAAGCTTTTAGAGTGGAGTCATTTTAGAAATCAAAAGCACAATCTCTGCTTTTCTGAAGGCCATTTCAGGGAGATGACATCGGGAGAAGACAGAGTGCTAGTGTAACCCTGAAAACCCTTTGTGTTTTAGGAAAATATCAATCTTTTGGTCTCAGGAGATTTCTGGTTCTGCAAAATGTATGCTTTATTTATAGATTACACTCAGCCACATTAATCAAGAAAACAACATCCAGTCTCCCCAAATCACGATATTTGTCTTTGGGGATGCTATATATTTGTGGTTCTCATGAACATGGTGGCCCTGCACGAAGACCACAGTGGGTTCCTGGTGGGTGTACGCTGAATGAGCCTCCTGATTGTGCCTTGCTTCAATGAATTGTCAGTTTTGCTCATATTCCCTGAGTATCCACCAGCTGGGGTGGAAGACAACCCGTTCCCAGACGCTATGGATAATCCACATGTGGGTGAGCAAGAGTTAAGTATATGTACCAATGGGCAGTGGGTGAGTGTACAATGAATGCAGGGCATTGTGCAGCTGAAACAGGAACAGGACGCCTGTACCTGACCAAGGAAATGTCAGCATATTAATATTATAATAAAAAGTATCTACCTTTCAGAGCACTGAGACCTGGCTCAATCATGTTTGTAAAGCATTTCACGTGCCCCAAGAAAAACAAAAAGTACAGAAGTACAAAATGGACAGGGTTTTTTCAGGTGTTGTTTCTCTTAGATCAATTTAATTCCTATTCTGAAAATGTGTATTTGAGCCTTGTAAGCTCAGGTAAACCATTTGTGTTTCAAAAACGAGGGTTCCAAGTTGGTGATGATAATAGCACTGTGACTTTTAAAAAGATGGCTTAGGCTGGGCACGGTGGCTCATGTCTGTAATCCCAGCACTTTGGGAGGCCAAGGCGGGTAGATCACAAGGTCAGGAGTTCGAGATCAGCCTGGCCAATAGGGTGAAACCCTGTCTCTACTAAAAGTACAAAAATTAGCCAGGCATAGTGGCGGGTGCCTGTAGTCCCAGCTACTCGGGAGGCTGAGGCAGGAGAATCGCTTGAACCCAGGAGGCAGAGGTTGCAGTGAGCTGATCGCGCCACTGCACTCCAGCCTGGGCAACAACAACAAAAAAAAAAAAAAAAAAAAAGAAAAAGAAAAGAAAAGATGGCTTAAATAATATTTCTTTTTGTGTGTTGTCATTTGATTAAAAAATAATAACATGGTTCTTGGTACACCAAGCCCTTGCCAAGATTAGGCCCATCTTCCCAGTAGCCTTCTCAAGACAAAGTTGCCTTTGTGTAACTACAACTGGGAGGCTTTGGTGACACAGAAAATTTAATGGGGCACTGCAACTTCTTATTAACAGAAAATGCAATGGCCTAATGTTTTTGTTGTTTTTGTTTTATGTACTACCAGTTAATACCTATGATCTATTTCTCCATGAGGATGATCTTACTATTTTAGACATGTCCAGGGAAGAATGAGGTGGTTATGGCTTTACCTTAGAATTTAGTTAGATTATAAAAGGCTGCAGCATGCTGGCATGGAGGAGAGCTCAGCACTGTGGGCTAGTTTGTTATCAGGGTAATCAGCAACGTTTGGTCATGTGGTGAGAAAAAAAGGGGTTTATCTAGAGTAAAGATGCAGATTTTAGGGAAAGGATGGCTATTCATACTAAATTCACACTCCATAGCAGAGTGGCTAGGAGCATGGGCTGCCTTGGTTCCAATCTTAGTTCTGCCACTTACATGTGACTTTAGGCAGGCTAACTAAAAAAGAAAACTCTGTGACTCAGTTTCCCCAACTGTAAAATGCCTACCTCACAGGGTTATTATAAGGATTAAATAAATTAATCTGGGCCAGGCTTGGTCACTCACACCGTAATCCCAGCACTTTTGGAGACCAAGGCATGCAGATCACTTGAGCCCAGGAGTTTGAGAACAATCTAGGCAACATGGCAAAACCCCATCTCTACAAAAAATACAAAAATTAGCCAGGCGTGGTGGTACACGCCTGTAATCCCAGCTACCAGGGAGGCTGAGGTGGGAGGATCCCTTGAGATCGGGAGGCGGAGGTAGCAGTGAGCCGAGATTGCGTCACTGCACTCCAGCCTTGACAGGGCAAGACTCCATCTAAAAAACAAACAAACAAACAAACAAACAAACAAGTTTATACCTCTTTGTCTGCTATTTAATATCCTTTAAAAGGCTGAGAGTTGCCAATAAGCAATGATGAGGAGGAAAAAAGTGCATTTTTTCGTAATTAGAAAAAACTTATTAGGTCATTACTAGAAGGAAAAAAGTATGTTTTCTCAAAATTAGGGAGAGTGAAGAGCTGAGCGTGGTGGTTCATGCCTGTGGTCCCAGCTACTTGGGAGGCTGAGGCAGGAGCGTCGCTGGATGACAGGCGCTCAAGGCTTTAGTACGTTATGATTGCGCCTGTGACTAGCCACTGCACTCCAGCCTGGGTAACATAGTGAGATCTCACCTCTAAAAAATACGGAGGGTCAACCAAGAAATCCAAGAGTGAAAGGGCAGTATCAGGTGAATATCAATGAATCACAGCAGTGTGGCTTTTCTGGTGGGCTGACAGTGTACTCTTAGTTACTAAGAAAAGAGATGAGGAAGGACAGGTGGCTGAAGAAGTATTAGAAGAATTGCCTCTAGTGAAATCCTATTTGCAGAGCAAAGAGAAATCCAATAACAAGTTAGCCCTTCCCATTTGGTGCAAACAGTAGTTTGGCCCAGGGACCTCCTTTGCTTTTTGCTCCACATTGTGGGCTCCAGCATCTACCTCAAGGTATATGTCAGTTTGCCAATGAGTAAACAGAAACTGCCAGCTCATATGATACGGACAAGCCCAGCCTGAAACCTAGGAGTCACTTCTCCGGTGGGAACTGCAGGAGGCACACAGACCCTGAAATTAAATGGTAACACCCATGTTCTCATACACCCTGGTCATGTATGAAAGGTCTTGCCCTTTCTCCATTGGCTAGAGCTAGTCACGGAAGGGTGGATACGTCTGCAGAATCTGCTTATCTGCTCCCCTGCTTCCACCTTTGTCCTCACCGCTCTCCCCGCACACTCCTTTCTTAACCCAGTATCCAGAGTGACTCTTTTATTTTTTGAGATGGAGTCTCACTCTGTCACCCAGGCTGGAGTGCAGTGGCACGATCTCAGCTCACTGCAACCTCTGCCTTCCAGGCTCCAGTGATTCTCCTGCCTCAGCCTCCTGAGTAGCTAGGATTACAGACATGCACCACCATGCCTGGCTAATTTTTGTGTTTTTAGTAGAGATGGAGTTTCACCATGTTGGCCAGGCTGGTCTCGAACTCCTGGCCTCAAGCGAGCTGCCTACCTTGGCCTCCTAAAGTGCTGGGATTGCAGGTGTGAGCTACCTCACCTGGCCAGAGTGACTTTTTTAAAACAGAAGTCAGCTCGTGTCAGTCCCCTGCCGAAAACTTTCTAGAGCTTCTCTATCTCACTCAAAAGCCAGTGAATGACTTTATTTCTAGTCCCATCACCTCTTTAACCTCGCCTGCTACCACACACATCCTTACTTCCTCTGCTTTAACCACACTCCTTTTCTTGATGGGGTGTGCCCAGCACATTCATACCACAGGGCCTTTGCACTGGCTGCCCCGATGCCTGAACCATCATCCCCAGACATCTCCATGCTTCACTCCTTCACCTCCTTCAAGTCTTTGCTCTGCCTCCTCCAGGTTAAAACAGCAATTCCTCCTTCCTGCCCGCATCCTCTGTCTCACTACCCTGCTTTCTCTCTGGTATTTATCGCTTTGTAGCATACTATGTAATTGTGTGACCTATTATCTGTCTCTCCCTGACTAGAATGTCTACTTCATTCATTGGTGTATCCCAAGCACATTAGAGGAGCGTCTGCCACAGAGTAGGTGCTCCATAAATACTTGTTGAATAAATGAATAAGACACACAGGCTTTTACACATTTCAAGCGTGACTGAATGCGTTTTACTCGAAATACAACCACGAACATACCTTTCTGAATGAGCATGGGTTTTCTCCCAGACCTCTCCCAGGAGGCTGCCATGTTTTCTGTGGTTTATTTTCTCTGCCACCACAAGTCCTTGATGGAGGCTGATGACTAAGTAACGTGCAAGGCAGGGCCAAATGTGGGGATGTCGCAATCGTTTCAGCACTTCCCCATTTCAGAGCTTCCCTGTTTCCAAATCAAAGCCTCCTCTTTGGCAATCTTTTTGTGATTTACATCTAAATGTGTAGCCCTCTGTTTGAACCATTTTGTGAATCGCATGCCCTACAGATAATTACACTTGACTGACTTATGTTACTATATTGTTTATCACCTTTTCTACTGTCATTTAATTATAATTAATGATTTTCTGAAAGTAACTGTCAAGACAAATTTTCTTAACTATCTCTTTTCACCTTTGAGGTTTCCACAAGTGCCAATTGCTGCTACAGGATTCCATTTAGATTGTTCTCAGCTGCAGAGCTCAATTAGGTATTTTTGTCTTGACCTGGCATGAAACGGAAGTGCTAGAGTCATTGTTTGAGTCTTTAATTTTTCCCCAGAACCTTTGTACAAATACTTGATCTTGCCTTTACAAAGTGGCAAAACAATTCTCTGATCTGTCATGTTTGTTTGCTAGCCCTGGCTTCGTTCTCTCCTTTGGACAATTACCTAGGTTTGGCAAAATTGCTTTTCGTGGCCTTTGGAGGCACAGTTCCCTCTCTGCGTTCATTTGCCTTGTTTAGATCCATAATTCACTGAAAAAGGCTTCCTCAGTTGCTGTTAGAATCCTGTGGCTACTAGGCTTGGGGACCCTAAAACCATCTTGAAGGTAGTACAGACTCCAGGAAGGTTCTTTGCAGTAAAAAAAAGGCAATAGTACATAAAGTCTGCTGAGGGTAGATGAAGAGCCTGGATTTAGTTATTTCTGACTATTGTCAGTCATGGTTTGTGGCTGATTTAGAATTATTTGGATTTTGGGTTTTTTTTTTTTGTTTGTTTCCTTCTAAATTGATTTGGAAGACATCATCACAATTTGTTGAGGAGTTCAAAAAATACACAGACAAATTATGCCTAATAAACAAAGAGCTAATGTTCATAGTTCTTTCTGCAAATCATCTTATTTCTTATCATATGCACTGAATGGGACATTAGAAATGAATAGGGGGGCCGGGTGCAGTGGCTCACGCCTGTAATCCCAGCACTTTGGGAGACTGAGGTGGGTGGATTGCTTGAGCCCAGGAGTTAAAAAGCAGCCTGGGCAACATGGCGAAAACCCTTCTCTATTAAAAAAAATTTTTTAAAGAAAAGAAAAAATGAATAGCATATAAATGTTAAATTAGACTTGTCTTTGGTAATATACTATATAGAGGGAGCTGGTGGTAATTATTTACTAAAATATAGAACCAGTAAATATGAATTAAATGGGTTTATAAACTAGACACATTGAAAGGACTTATTTTTCTTGCCCAGATACAGACTTTTTGTTTTTTTTTGAGATGGAGTCTTGCTGTTATCGCCCAGGCTGGAGTGCCATGGCATGATCTCGGCTCACTGCAACCTCCACCTCCCAGGCTCAAGCCATTCTCCTGCCTCAGCCTCCTGGCTAGCTGGGATTACAGGCGCCTGCCACCATGCCTGGCTAATTTTTGTATTTTTAGTAGAAACGGGTTTCACCATGTTGGCCAGGCTGGTCTCGAACTCCTGACCTCGTGATCCGCCCGCCTTGACCTCCCAAAGTGCTGGGATTACAGGTGTGAGCCACTGTGCCCGGCCCAGAGTTTTTTTTTTTTTTTTTTTTTTTTTCATACTGAGTCTCACTCTATCGCCCAGGCTGGAGTGCAATGGTGTGATCTTGGCTCACTGCAAACTCCGCCTCCCTGGTTTAAGCGATTCTCCTGCCTCAGCCTCCCGAGTAGCTGGATTACAGGCATGAGCTATGAGGCCTGGCAAATTTTTGTATTTTTGGTAGAGACAGGGTTTCACCGTGTTGGCCAGGCTGGACTCAAACTCCTGATCTCAAGTGATCCGCGGCCTCGGCCTCCCGAAGTGTTGGGATTACAGGCGTGAGACACCGTGTTTGGCCTAGATACAGACTTAACTGCTGTTTGAGCAGCTACTGTGTGCTGGACACTGGATACGAAGTACCCAGTGGTGAATAAAGATTCTCCGCCCTCTGGGACTTTCTTTGTTGGGTGGAGATGAGATTTAGTGTTCTGAAGGAACCAGGAACCCACAGGTACTACACAATAGTAGGTGGGAATCCCATAGGTGAGGTCATCAGAGAAGGCTCCTCCAGGGAGGTGGGGCTGAAGGTGTTTGATGGGCAGGGAGATGTCCATCTTCGCTAGATGGAGTAGCGTTCATGAAGGTCCTAAGGCTGGGAACGCTTGGCATGTTGAGGGACTTAAAGAAGGCCGACCTTGCAACAGTGCAAAGTGCCCAGCAAGGAGGAGATGGGCACAAGGTAGGGTTATGGGGATTACTGAGACTCAGAGCATGTGGGTCACTAAAGACCATGGAAAAGAGTTTGCATTTTGTTACTCCAGGCCTAAGAGAAAGCCATTAAAGACGACTTCTTAAAAGACAACCCTGACCCAGGCTGGAGTGCAGTGGTGCAATCATGGCTCACTGCAGTCTTAAAGTCTTGGGCTCAAGTGATCCTCCTGCCTCAGCCTCCCAAGAAGCTGGGACTACAGGCACACAATCATACTCAGCTAATTCTTTGATTTTTTTGTAGAGACAGGGTCTCACTCTTTTGCCCAGGCCGGTCTTGAATTTCTGGGCTCAAATAATCCATCCATCTTGGCCTCCCAAAATGTTGACATTACAGGTGTGAGCCACTGCGCCTGTCCAGGGGTTGATTTTTGGGGGTGTTGGTGTTGGTGGAGAGAGCCAGTGGCCTGCATGGGATGTCTTCTGTGTATCTACCTGCCTCTGTTATGGTCTGAGTCTGAGGCCGGCAGTGGCCAGCAGAAATAGCAAGATGTGGTGATGGCCTGGAGGAAGGACTGAGGATGGGGGGTTCTGATCTGTGTTGCTGGCTGTGATGGCAGAGACTGGGGGAAAACAAGTTTGAGGCAGGTAGAGGAGATCAGGAGTTCAATTTTGGGTGTGTTTACTGAGATTCCTGTTCAAACATCCCAAGGAGATGCTGGAAGTTTCCCTTTTTTTTTTTTTTTTTTTTTTTTTTGAGATGGAGTCTCGCTCTGTTGCCTAGGCTGGAGTGCAGTGGCTTGATCATGGCTGACTGCAACCTCTACCTCCCAGGTTCAAGCAACTTTCCTGCCTCAGCCTCCCGAGTAGCTGGGATTACAGGCGCGCGCCACCATGCCTGGCTTATTTTTGTATTTTTAGTAGAGACGGGGTTTCACCATGTTGGTCAGGCTGGTCTCGACCTCCTGACCTCGTGATCTGCCCACCTCGGCCTTCCAAAGTGCTGGAATTACAGGTGTGAGCCACTACCCCCAGCTAGAAGTTTCCCCCTTTTATATCCAGTGCCTCTAGCAAAAGCAGGAGACACCTCTAGTGCCTAGCATTCATTTTTCGGAAAAGTATTTCTTATTTTATTTTATTTTTAGAGACAAGGTGCCACTCTGTCACCAGACTGCAGTGCAGTGGCGTGACATTGCTCACTGTAAAATCTTGGGCTCAAGCAATCAATCCTCCTGCCTCAGCCTCCTGGGTAACTGGGACTACAGGCACATCACATGCCTGGCTGCCTAGCATTTTTTCTTTTCTTTTATTTTCTTTTTTCTTTTTTTTTGAGGGTCTTGCTCTGTTGCCTAGGCTGGAGTGTGGTACAATCATGTTTCCCTGTAGCCTTGACCTCCCTGGGCTCAGGTGATCCTCCCACCTCAGCTTCACAAGTAGCTGGGATTACGGGTGTGCATCACCATGCTTGGCTAATTTTTTGTATTTTTTGTAGAGACAGGGTTTCGCAATGTAGCCCAGGCTGGTCTCAAACTCCTGGGCTCAAGCAATCAGCTTGCCTCAGCCTCCCAAAGTACTGGGATTATGGTGTGAACCACCATGCCTGGCCCTTCACATTCTTTTAGACAACTGTTTTGTATTTCAGTGTTTCTCTTTATGTCCATATTGGCAAATATAAAGTATGTGATCTTTACTTTTATACCACAAATGACAAAATAATGCTAATCGAGTATCTAGGGTGTATAGGAAACTGTAATGGGGAAAGGGGGTTGGGGGCAAACATTAAAAAAAAGACTTAAGTATAGTTTCAGTCATCAAACTTATAACTCAAATTAATCATATATATTTACCAAAATTTTAATATTTATATTATATATTTAATATTCAATCACATTAGTATAAATATAAAGTACATGTATATATTTATACTTAACACTGAATATATTTAATATATTTAGCATGTATATGTACTTAATTTACAATATTAAATGCCATATTTATTTATTATTTTGAGATGGAGTCTCACTCTGTCACCAGGCTGGAGTGCAGTGGCACGATCTTGGCTCACTGCAACCTCTGCCTCCCAGGTTCAAGCGATTCTCCTGCCTCAGCCTCCCGAGTAGCTGAGACTACAGGCACGCACCACTATGCCCAGCTAATTTTTTTGTATTTTTAGTAGAGATGGGGTTTCACCATGTTGGACAGGATGGTCTCCATCTCCTGACCTTGTGATCCGCCTGCCTCGGCCTTCTAAAGTGTTGGGATTACAAGTGTGAGCCATCACACCTGGCCTTAAATGCCATATATATTTAATAGTGAAAACAAAAATTTGTGTGAACAGAGATTCATCCCACATAACAAGTAAGAGAAAGATAAAAGAAAATGTAAGATGAGGCCAGGCGCAGTGTCTCACGCCTGTAATCCCAGCACTTTGGGAGGCCGAGGCGGGTGGATCACCTGAGGTCAGGAGTTTGAGACCAGCCTGGCCAACATGGTGAAATCCTGTCTCTACTAAAAATACAAAAATTAGCTGGCCGCAGTGGCGGGCGCCTGTAATCCTAGCTACTCGGGAGGCTGAGGCAGGAGAATTGCTTGAATCTGGGAGGCGGAGGTTGCAGTGAGCCAAGATCGCGCCACTGCACTCCAGCCTGGGCGACAGAGCAAGACTCTGTCTCAAAAAAAAAAAAAAAAAAAGAAAAGAAAATATAAGATGAAACAGTGGATTTCCTTGTGAGTTATAACCACTGAGAGACATGCAAATTCATGCTGTAAATATTGACACTGTAAAAATGGATCCATTAGAACACGTAAATGTATTTCTTGTGTGTCTCTTACCTAACTTTTGTAAGCTTTGTAAAAAGGGTCTGCTGTGTTTCTTCTGCATATTATGTGGGTGGAAATTAGAAAGCTGATACAGGCACATTTTAAACCACATAATGAAAGGCTGATTTGTATCTCTAGCAAACTGAGTTTTTGAGTTTCTAGTACCTAAAGCGAACTGGGGATATGAGGGTGAGCAACACACAGGGCTTTTGGAGCTTATAGCGGTGGAAGCTTTATCCGTTTGTTTTTAGCGCCACACTACAACCTCCCAAGCAGAGATTATTCTAAAAAAAATGATTGCGCATATACTTGCAAACTCATAGGAATAAAATGATTTTGGTCTCAAGCAATGACCAAAGAAGTGATTTTTTTTTTTTCTTTTTTTTTTTTTTGAGACAGAGTCTCGCTCTGTCGCCCAGGCTGGAGTGCAGTGGCGCGATCTCGGCTCACTGCAAGCTCCGCCTCCCGGGTTCACGCCATTCTCCTGCCTCAGCCTCCAGAGTAGCTGGGACTACAGGCGCCCGCCACCATGCCCGGCTAATTTTTTTGTGTTTTTAGTAGAGACGGGGTTTCACCCATGTTAGCCAGGATGGTCTCGATCTCCTGACCTCGTGATCCGCCCGCCTCGGCCTCCCAAAGTGCTGGGATTACAAGCGTGAGCCACCGCACCCAGCCAAGAAGTGATGTTTTAAAAAGTCATGAAGCTTTAGAATTGGATGGAGGTAGAAGAAGCTATGACAGATAATGTTTTGCAACCGTGGCTATAGAAACTGTCAGTGACTGTAGCATTTTATTCTCCAATATCATGTCAACACCAGTGGAGCCCATGAGGTGTAATTGTATTTATTATTGCTTAATTGAGCCACAGATGGTGTGGTTATTCGTTTTGCATAAGATGGTTCAGTTTCCAAAAGGATATGAAGCGCCTGAAGTTTTCACAATTAATTAGTTAATTAATTAATTTTGAGACAGAGTCTCACTCTGTTGCCCAGGCTGGAGTGCAGTGGCGTGATCTTGGCTCACTGCAACTTCCACCTCCCAGGTTCAAGCGATTCTCCTGCCTCAGCCTCCCTAGTAGCTGGGATTACAGGCATGTACCATTATGCCCAGCTAATTTTTGTATTTTTAGTAGAGATGGGGTTTCACCATGTTAGCCAGGCTGGTCTTGAACTCCTGACCTCAGGTGATCCACCTGCTTTGGCCTCCAAAAGTGCTGGAATTACAGGTGTGAGCCACCATATCTGGCTAAATTCTGTTTTTAATAAGAAAGCAACTTTGGTGAAGAGCTGTATAAGGTGTACCTGGAACAGTACTTACTTTTGTCATCCAGGCTGTAGTGCAGTGGAGTGATCTAAGCTCACTGCAGCCTTGACCTCCTGGGTTCAAGAGAGTCTCTCACCTCGGCTTCCCAAGTAGCTGGGACCACAGGTGCACACCCTCATGCCTGGCCAATTTTTTTTTGTATATTTTGTAGAGACAGGGTTTCACCATGTTGCCCAGGCAGGTCTTGAACTCTTGAGCTCAAGTGAGCCACCACGCCCACCCAGCCATGACTAACATTTATTGAGCACCCACTGTATGCCATGCATGGTTTCTTATTTTTATTATTATTATTTTTTTGAGACAGGGTTTTGCTCTGTTGCTCAGACTGGAGTTCAGTGGTGTGATCATACCTCACTGCAGCTTCAACCTCCTGTGTTCAAACGATCCTTCTGCCTCAGCCTCCCAAAGTGCTGGGATTACAAGTGTGAGTCACTGTACCTGGCCATGATTTTATTTAACCAACAAACCACCCGTGAGAAGTAGGTTTTACAATTATCCTCATTTGACATGTGTAGAAATGAGGCGCTATCTAGTAACTTGCCCAAGGTAAATGGTGGTCAGAATTGAGACTCTTTTGTGTATGTGTGTGTGACAGTGTCCTTTTTACCATGTTGCTCAGGCTGGAGTGCAGTGGTATGATCAAGGCTCACTGCAGCCTTGGCCTTCTAGGCTCAAGTGATCTTTCCATCTTAGCCTCCTCAGTAGCTGGGACTGCAAGTGTATGCCAGCTCAGTTAATTTTTTTTTTTTTTGTAGAGATGGGGGTCTCATTCTTTTGCCCAGGTTTGTCTCAAACTTCTGGGCTCAAGCGTTCCTACCCCTTTGGCCTCTCAGAGTGTTGTAATTACAGGTGTGAGCCACTGCCCCTGGCCAAGACTCTTGTAAAGCTTCCCAAAGGAGGTCAGGTTTGGAAAAACCAGGTCTTTGGACCAGGACCCAGTCTTCTACAAGATCTGTTCTTGGCTTATATCACCTCAGACAATTGACCCTGGCCATGGCCCTTCTCCTCACTGCCTTTCACTTTCCTTTCTTTTAAAATTAGATAGAAGGGAGGGGAGATTTTGGACTAGGCTTTGACTTATGTTTTACACAGCTGCAATTTTCTCTAATTCTTTTTACTTTCATGGTTCAAGTCACTAAAAGGCTGCTGGTTCATTTGATGTTGAAGGGAAGATGGGGGTTGGGTGGATGGGGGATGGTTACTTGGCTTTAAGTCGCAGGAAGGAAATAATGCTGGGTTAGATGGCTCGTTCCAAATCTTACAAAGTTCTTACAGATTTGATTCTTAACTCTCAGATCCCTTCTGAGATAGTGAATATTGCTAGTATATAGGATGGTTCCAGACTGGTGGTTCTAGATTTTGTCTTCCAAGGAACATTTGGTAATGTCTGGAGATGTTTTTGGTTGTCACAATGTGGGAGGCAGTAGTGGGGATGGGGATTGGGAGCTTCTGGCATCTAGTAGGTAAAGGCCAGGTGTACTGCTGGACATCCTACAATGCCCAGGAGAACCACTCAAAACAAAGAATTATCCAGCCCAAAATGTCCATAGGGCTGAGGCTGAGAAACCCAATTCTAGACTGTTCTCCACAGTCACTACTGTCCTTTTTTTTTTTTTTAAGTTTTATTTTTTAAGACATGGGATCTCACTATGTTGTCCAGGCTGGTCTTGAACTCCTGGTTCAAGCAATCCTCCTGCCTTGGCCTCCCAAAGTGCTGGGATTACAAGCATGAGTCACCATACCTGGCCTGTTACTACTGTCTTACACACCATGAACAGCATTCCTTTCTTTAGTTTTTTATCACCAATGAGTTAAACTCATCTGTCTTCTGATGATGCAGGGTCTAAGAAGGTATGAGGGGAGAAGGTCAGTAAAAAGTTGAACTGAACTCTGTTCTTAGGAATGTTAAGTGTTTTAACAGCAGCCTGCTAGAAAAGTCATTTCGTAGTTTATTTTTCCCTTTCTTGTGGATTCAGTCACTTCACTGTTTCCTTCTCAGATTCTAAGAATTTTTCTTTCGAGGCTACTAATGTCATTAGAATATCCCCAGAGTTTTGGTATACTTTTTTTTTATTGAGGGACTTCTTGATATTTATATATTTTGGACAAAGCTGAACTTTGAGAAAGTTGTTAGTAGAATCTTTTCAGACCTAAAGATGCCTGAAGTTTAAAGGTTTAGGTTTGGTTAAAATGAAGTTGTCCTATGTTTTATTAAGACTGTATCTTGACTTCATTTAAAGCAAAAAAAATAAAAATCATTGTACAGTGCTTTCAGCTTCATGGCGAGACACTTATATTAAATGAACACATGCTGGTGTATAGCTGGACTGTCAGCAGCTTTGGGAAAACAGCAAACATTCAAGGATGGCTAGAAATGAGCTCCGTGTACCAGGCTGACTTTCCTTTGAAGAAACCTTTTAGTCAATATTTGATGTCTTGTAGATTTGGGGAAGAAAGATAAATAAATGTGTTTGCAGTTGTTCCTGGCTGAGAGAAGCTGAGTTTACCTAAGTTTCCATAATAAATTAATTACAACCAAAGGAAATGAAACAAAAGCCTAGGGGATGAAGATCATAGGTGAATGAAGATCCCTCTGCAAATTGACATGGGTTCTAGGTTTGACTTCTTTGTAGTGGAAATAAAATGCAGCTGAATGAGCTCTCATTTTTGCTGAATATAAGATACCTTCAAATTTAATAAATGGGAAAATGATGTGTACTGAGAAGCTTGGACATTCTCTGATGACCTTTTGTGTTATTTCAGTTCATTTAAGGTCACAAAAGTCCTACAAATGCCCTGTTGGATCAGATTAAAGAACTGCTCATCCTAGTTTCTGCAGACTTCAGAGAATATATTTTAGACAAAGTCATTCTTAGAATTTCTAGCTATACTTCTTCTTTTTTGAGAGACAGAGTCTGGCTCTCTTGCCCAGGCTGGAGTGCAAGTGCAGTGGTGCGATCTTGGTTCACTGCAACCTCCGCCTCCTGGGTTCAAGCTATTCTCTTGCCTCAGCCTCCCAAGTAGCTGGGATTGCAAGCATGTGCCACTACACGTGGCTATTTTTTGTGTGTGTTTTTAGTAGAGGCTGTTCTTGAACTCCTGACCTCAAGTGATCTGCCCACATCGGCCTTCCAAAGTGCTGGGATTACAGGCGTGAGCCACTGCACCCGGCCATCTAACTATACTTCTTGAATATCAGTTAGATACGGACCCTAGATACCATTAATTCTCCACATCCACATGTTATGGATCCATGATCAGGATCTAATTCATTCAGATTCCCCAGGACTTCTTGTTAAAGCAGTATTTACTTTTCTTCCCTCCAAAGCTCACTTTCAGACTTCTACAGGTGGCCCATTTACCTTCATTCCAACGCTCTTGACCCTTCATTCTTTTAACATTTGAATTCTATTCCATTTCCATCTTAATCCTTCTGTTCTGAAGAGGCCTGAGTCTTGCGTGGAAGGCCAAGACTCAACGCTTGATTATTTTATTACACCTCTCATGTATCTTATTGGAGATACATTATATATATATAATCAATGATATCTTGGATAAGATGTCCCAGTTTAATCTCAGATGCTCTTTGGTTTTGCCCAAGTCTTGAATAGTGATTTCAAGTTTGCTTCCAAAACTCATTTTGATGATTCTATGTGGGTGGTTTTTTTTGTTTTGTTTTGTTTTTGTTTTTTTTGAGACAGAGTTTTGCTCTTGTTGCCCAGGCTGGAGTGCAATGGTGCGATCTCGGCTCACCGCAACCTCTGCCTCCCGGGTTCAAGCGATTCTCCTGCCTCAGCCTCCTGGTAGCTGGGATTACAGGCATGCGCCACGATACCCAGCTAATTTTTTTTTTTTTGTATTTTTAGTAGAGGCAGGGTTTCTCCATGTTAGCCTCGAACTACTGACCTCAGGTGATCTGCCTGCCTTGTGGCCTTCCAAAGTGTTGGGATTACAGGCGTGAGCCACCGTGCCCGGCCTATGTGGGTTTTTTGTTGTTGTTTTCTTTTGAGTAGCAACAACTCCAGCCATTTATTCATTGAGTGGATACAGGTTCTGTGTCAGGCATTGGAGATACAAAATGTATCAGAAGTATTCTGGGTTGTTGAGAAGCTCACAGACTAAATCAGACACGTAAGCAAAAATAAAATAAAATACTCTTTTGTGCTTTCTAGAATAGAGATATTCATTTATCCATCCATTGATTCATTGAAAACCATTTATTTTGTGCCTACATTTACCTAGAGAGACTGAAGCATTAAAAATGAGTCCCATGAAATTTTCTAGATGCTATGATAGGAATCGGTAGCATCAGTTTAACCTGAGGAGGCACAGCAGGGGATGAGGGAAACGTTTAGGGGACTCCTCATAAAGATAAGACTTTTAACATACTTAATATTTACATAGTGTATTAGTCTGTTTTCATGCTGCTGATAAAAACATACCCGAGACTGGGAAGAAAAAGGTTTAATTGGACTTAACAGTTCCCCATGGCTGGGGAGTTCTCTCATAATCATGGGGGAGGGTGAAAGGCACTTCTTACATGGCAGCAGCAAGAGAGAATGAGGAAGAAGTGAAAGCAGAAACCCCTCATAAACCCCTCAGATCTGGTGACACTTATTCACTATCACGAGAATAGTCTGGAAAAGACCGGCCCCCATGATTCAATTACCTCCCCCCTGGGTTCCTCCCACACCACATGGGAATTCTGGGAGATACAATTCAAGTTGAGATTTGAATGGGAACACAGCCAAACCATGTCACATAGCATGTGTTATGTGCTTGGTCCTGTTCTTTTTTTTTTTTTTTTTTTTTGAGATGGAGTCTCACTCTGTCGCCCCAGGCTGGAGTGCAGTGGCGCGATCTCGGCTCACTGCAAGCTCCACCGCCCGGGTTCACGCCATTTGCTGGCCTCAGCCTCCTGAGTAGCTGGGACTACAGGCACCCGCCACCGAGCCTGGCTAATTTTTTGTATTTTTAGTAGAGACGGAGTTTCACCGTGGTCTCCATCTCCTGACCTTGTGATCTGCCTGCCTCGGCCTCCCAAAGTGCTGGGATTACAGGCATGAGCCACCGCGCCTGGCCGTGCTTGGTCCCGTTCTAAACACTTTACGAAGATGAACTCATTGAATCTGCATAAGAAAACTATGAAGTACTTACAATTATGATCCCCATACACAGAAGACCTAGGCACAGAAAGGTTAAATAACTTGCCTAGGGTTATGTAGCTAGTAAGGGCAGAACTCGGAGTTGAACCCAGGTGATTTGGCTCTAGAATTAGAGATGATTCTTAAATGAGGTTTTTTTGTTTGTTTGTTTGTTTGTTTTTATTTTGAGACAGAGTTTCACTTTTGGCACCCAGGCTGGAGTGCAGTGGCGTGATCTCGGGTCACTGCAACCTCCGCCTCCCGGTTCAAGCAATTCTCCTGCCTCAGCCTCCTGAATAGCTGGGATTACAGGCATGCGGCACCACACCCGGCTAATTTTGTATTTTTAGTAGAGACAGTTTCTCCATGTTGGTCAGGCTGGTCTTGAACTCCTGACCTCAGGTGATCTGCCCTCCTCAGCCTCCCAAAATGCTGGGATTACAGGTGTGAGCCACAGCGCCTGGCTTGAATGAGCCTTAAATGAGATCCAGAGATATGAAAAGCAGGTAGTTAGTTACCATTTGGAGAGGGATTCCGGAACCTAGAGAGAGATGAGGCTGAAGAGGCGGGAAGAAACCAGATGGCAAGGACTTTGTCTCATGCGCAAAGCATATAATTTATAGAAAGCAGAGAAAAATGGAAGCTAAAAAAGAAGAAAAAGGTCATGGCTGGGCGCAGTGACTCACGCCTGTAATCCCAGCACTTTGGGAGGCTGAGTCGGGCAGATCACTTGAGGTCAGGAGTTCGAGACCAGCCTGGCCAACATGGTGAAACCCTGTCTCTACTAAAAATACAAAAATTAGCCGGGCGTGGTGGCGGGTGCCTGTAATCCCACTTACTCTAGAGGCTGAGGCACAAGAATCACTTGAACCTGGGAGGCGGAGGTTACCGTGAGCCAAGATTGTGGCACTGCACTCCAATGTGGGCCATAGAGTGAGTCTCAGTCTCAAAAAAAAAAAACCAATAAAAATAAAAATAAAAAATTAGCAGGCCAGGCATGGTGGCTCATACCTGTAATCCCAGCACTTTGGGAGGCTGAGGTGGGTGAATCACGGTCGGGAGTTTAAGACCAGCCTGGTCAACATGGCTAAACCCCATTTCTACTAAAAATACAAAAAAATAGCTGGACGTGGTGGTGGGCACCTATAATCCCAGCTACTCAGGAGGCTGAGGCAGGAGAATCACTTGAACCCGGTAGGCGGAGCTGCAGTGAGCTGAGATCATGCCACCGCACTCCAGCCTGGGCGACAAGAGTGAAACTCTATCAAATAAATAAATAAATAAATAAATAAAAGAAGAGGTATGGAGACATAGCCAAACACTGCAGAGAGCTCACATGTTTCGTGTCATCTCGTTTTTCCAAATCAGCAATGACAGCAGGATGAGTGGGCCAACTCTAAGGAATGTACATATAAGATTTAACTTCATTCATTGGTTCCATGTTTGTGGGATTTCTGCTATTTACATTTACTTCACAACATGTGCTCACCCAGAGTGTGCCTTTCATGCCAGAATTTTAGGATTGTACTTGCCTTACTAACACCAACTTGAGCAGAATGATATTATCACAGTCAAAATGGTTATTGCTGCAACAGTCTCTAAGTTCAGGATTTGCAGTTTGTCCAGCATCATCAAGCCTAGTTGACAGGATAGAAAAAGAGTTCCAAGTCTAAGCTTGTTTCACTCTCATTGACAAAAGAAAGGGCTTTTTATTGCTATTTCGTACTTGGTCTTAATACTCGATATGGATTGGGCCCCTGAGCAGAGGCAGTTGTTTCTTTGCTACCAGGTTGGTAATTTAGAGCCTGCCCATTTTGGAAAATAAATTAATCTCCAAGTCTGCCTTCCCCTCAAATGATAATGCTCTGCTTATTATATCAGTGAGCATTTACTGGAGCAACTACTTGGTACCTATTGGTCGCTCTGCTGAGTTCTGGGGAGTTGTAGGTGAACAGGACACTCTTCCTGCCCTCAGATGCTCACACTCATGTGGGGACAACTCACTTGTGTCCAACTCACTGTACTATAACATGGCATGTGATATTGAACAGGGAGCCCACAGGAGGGACAGTTGGGGAAGAAGGGTGATCTTTTAGCTAGATTTTTTTTTTCTGAGATATAATTAGCGTACTGCGAAATTCACCATTTTAAATTAGAAAATTCACCTTTTTTTTTTGGAGATGGAGTTTCGCTCTGTTGCCCAGGCTGGAGTGCAGTGGTGTGATCTCAGCTCACTGCAACCTCCACCTCCCTGGTTTAAGCAATTCTGCCTCAGCCTGCTGAGTAGCTGGGTCTATAGGTGTAGGCTGCCATGCCTGGCCAATTTTTTGTATTTTAGTAGAGATGAAGTTTCACCATGTTGCCCAGGCTGGTCTTCAACTCTTGAACACAGGCAATCTTTCCGCCTCAACCTCCCAAAGTGCTAGGATTACAGGCACGAGACACCGCGCCTGGCTGAAAATTCGCCATTTTAAAGTAGAAAATGCAGTGGCTTTTAGTAATTCACAAAGTTGTGCAACCACCACCATGATCTATTCCAGAATATTTTCTTTTCTTTTTCTTATTTTACTTTGAGACATGGTCTCACTCTGTGGCCCAGGCTAGAGTGCAGTGATGTGACCGCAGCTCTCTGCAGCCCCGATCTCCCAGGCTCAAGCAATCCTCCCAATGCAGCCTCCTGAATAGCTAGAATTAGAGGCGTGTGCCACCATACCTGGATAATTTTAAAATTTTTTGTAGAGATGGAGTCCCACTGTGTTGTACAGGCTGGTCTCAAACTCCTGGGCTCAAGTGATCCTCCTGCCACAGCCTCTTAAAGTGCTGGGATTACAGGCATGAATCACCATGCTCCGCCCTATTCCAGAATATTTTCATTATCCCAGAAAGAAAGTCCAAACCTATTAAGCAATCACTTCTCATTTCTCTCTCTCCCATCCCCTGGCAACCAGTAATCAACTTTTTGACTATAGATTTGCCTGTCTGGACATCTCACATAAATAGAACCATACGATATGTGGCCTCTCATGTCTGGCTTATTTCTCTTAGCATATATGTTTTCAGGATCCATCCATGTTGTGGCATCTATCAATACTTCATTCCTTTTTATGGCTGAGTAATATAATAGTCCATTGTACGGACATACCAGATTTTGTTCATCCATTCATCAGTTGATGGATGTTTGGGTTCAGCTGGACTTTGAATAAATAGATTTTTGCACAGCGTAGAAGAGATGTTGTGATTTACGGAAGATAAAACACATCATTTTAAAGTAACACATATGTTTGCGGGCTTTTTTTCTGACAGGGTCTTGCTCAGTTGCCCAGGCTGGAGTAGAGTGACACAATAATAGTTCACTGCAGCCTCGATCTCCTGGTCTCAAGTGATCCTCCCACCTCAGCCTCTCCACGCCTGGCTAACTTATTTTTGTTTTTGTTTTTAGTAGAGAGGAGGTGTCACTGTGTTGCTCAGGCTTGTAACACATGTTCATGTTAGTACTTACATCTCAGTACTTACTGAATGCCATGCACATTTCAAGTCCTTTACAAATAGTAACTTCCTCAGTCCTCATCACAACCCTACTAGATGGCAAATGAGGCACAAAGAGGTAAAGCAATTTGCCCAGGTTGCCAGCCAGCAAGTGGAGAGCCAGAGACCAAATCCAGGCAGTGTGGCTTCAGAGTTCATCTCTCAACCACCAAGCTGTGCTGCAGAGCAGGGGCTTGGGGCCAGGCGGGCCGTCGGTGAAACTGTCCAGGTGGGGCTAAAGGGCAAAGAGGGTGCAGGAGAGAGTGATGGATGAGGCCAGAGATTGTGTGTCCTCTGCTGTCAGTAGCTGTCCATCTGGAAGACAGATCTGACCATGTCATTCACTTGTTAAAAACTGCCACTAGTCCACCGTTTTTCTTTTCTTTTTTTTCTTACCGAGACCACATTTCCCAGAAGTTCCCTGATTCTCTACAGTAGTTTCTCGGTAACAATCATTTCCCTACTACCTTTTCAATTTCCCCATATCTATATATCACCTACATCATCATTTAATATTTTTCTTTTTCTTTCTTTCTTTCTTTTTTGTTTTTTTTTTGAGATGACGTCTCACTGTGTCACCCAGGCTGGAGTGCAGTAACGTGATCTTGGCTCACTGCAACCTCTACCTCCTGGGTTTAAGAGACTCTCCTGCCTCAGCCTCCTGAGTAGCTGGGATTGCAGGCGTGCACCACCACACCCGGCTGTTTTTTTTTTTTTAAGTAGAGAAAGGCTTTCACCGTGGTGGCCAGGCTGGTCTCGAATTCCTGACCTCAAGTGATCCGCCTGCCTCAGCCTCCCAAAGTGCTGGGTAATATTTTTCTTTAAATCAACTCACTTTTGTTTTACTAAAATCCATTTACTTAAAGTGGAACACTATCTCATTTCTTAAATGGAAAACCCGTATTTTTCTTTCTTTTTTTTTAAGATGGAGTCTCGCTCCCCTTGCTCAGGCTGGAGTGCAGTGGTGCGATCTGGGCTCACTGCAACCTCCACCTCTCGGGTTCAAGTGATTCTCCTTCCTCAGCCTCCCAAGTAGCTGGGATTACAAGTGTGTGCCACCTCGCCTGGCTAATTTTTGTATTTTTAGTAGAGACGGGGTTTCACCATGTTGGCCAGGCTGGTCTCAAACTCCTAACCTCAGGTGATCTGCCCGCCTTGGCCTCTCAAAGTGCTAAGATTACAGGCGTGAGCCACCGTGCCCGGCCGAAGACCAGTATTTTTCTAATATGCATATAAATTATCCAAACCTTGAAAATGAAATGCCTCCACTCATTTGCCACCTAAAAGCAGCAGTGTGTGGTATACATATGGAGAAATCAGGGCTTACAGAATGAGGTTTGAACACTATACTAGGCCCTTCAAAACTGGGGTTCAGTCTGTGCTCCAGCCCCAGAGCTGGCTCATGCACTTTTGTAAGAGCCATGTGGCGCGCCGGGCAGAGTGGTTCACGCCTGTAATCCCAGCACTTTGGGAGGCCAAGGCGGGCAGATCACCTGAGGTCAGGAGTTGAAGACCAGCCTGGCCAATATGGTGAAACCCCGTCTCTACTAAAAATACAAAAAAATTAGCTGGGCGCGGTGGCGGGTGCCTGTAATCCCAGCTACTTGGGGGCCTGAGGCAGGAGAATTGCTTAAACCTGGGAGGCGGAGGTTGCAGTGAGCCAAGATTGCGCCATTGCACTCCCGTCGGGGCAACAAGAGCGAAACTCCTTAACAACCACGACAACAACAACAACAAAAGACCAGGTGCGGTGGCTCAAGTCTGTAATCCCAGCACTTTGGGAGGCTGAGGTGGGTGGATCACGAGGTCAGGAGTTCGAGGCCAGCCTGGCCAATATGGTGAAACCCCGTCTCTACTAAAAATACAAAAATTAGTCAGGCGTGGTGGTGTGCACTTGTAGTCCCAGCAACTCAGGAGGCTGAGGCAGGAGAATTGCTTGAACCCCGGAGGCAGAGGTTGCAGTGAGCTGAGATTGCACCACTGTACTCCAGCCTGGGCGACAGAGCGAGACTCCGTCTCAACAACAACAACAACAACAAAGAGCCATGTGGCAATCGTGAAATGTGTCTTTCTCATTCCTGGACTGGACTCATCATGCTTATTTTTTTTTATTTTTTATTTTTTAGAGAGACAAGGTCTTGCTTTGTTGTCCAGGCTGGAGTACAGTGGCACAATCACCACTCACTGCAGCCTTTAACTCCCAGGCTCAAGCAATCCTCCCTCCTCAGCCTCCCAAGTAGCTGAGACTACAGGCAGGTACCACCATGCCTGGCTAATTTTTAAAACAATTTTTTAGACATGGAGTTTTGCTATGTTGCCCAGGCTGGTTTTAAACTCCTGGCTTCAAGGGATCCTCCTGCCTTAGCCTCCCAAAGTGTTGGGATTACAGGTGTGAGCCTCCACACCCAGCCCATCATGCTTTTTCATTGCAGCATGTTGTTACTCTGTCTTTCCTCCTTTCCATCCATCCTTTGCTAGGACCAGCTCAAATAACTTCTCTTAAAGCATCTCAGATCTTCTGGATCCCTCCAGAACTTGGCTCTGCCAGGTCCTGTGTAATATTACAGACACTTGTTTAGTTTGTCCCTACCAGACTGTGAGGTGTCTCAAGGTTGGGGACATTATTTGTTGAATGGATAAATGGTTGGTTAGGGCCAAAGGGTGAAGACCTTGAATGTGATGGTAGGTGTTATGGATCGCAGCATTCCCAAAACATGTTTTGAAATGAACATGATCAGTGCTGTTTTTCACTATGCTGGGTGTGGTTGGTTGTGTGGAGACTGAATGAAGGAATGAGATCCTGGAGTCAGGGACAGGAACATAAAATCAGCACTGATTGAAATGCCTGGTGCCGGCTGGGAGTGTGGCTCACGCCTGTAATCCCAGAATTTTGGGAGGCCGAGGCAGGCAGATTACTTGAGCTCAGGAGCTCGAGACCAGCCTGGGCAACATGGTGAAACCCCGTCTCTACAAAAAATACAAAAATTAGCTGGGTGTGGTGGTGTGCTCCTGTCATCCCAGCTACTTGTGAGGCTGAGGTGGGAGTAGCACTTGAGCCTGGAGGTCGAGGCTGCAGTGAGCCAAGGTCATGCCATTGCACTCAAGCCTGGGTGACAGGATGAGACCCTATCTCAAAAAAAAGAGAGAGAGAGGGAGAGAGAGGAGAGAAGAGGAGAGGAGGGGAGGGGAAAGGAGAGGAGGGAGGAGAGGAGAAGAAGCCTAGTGCCAAAGAGGAGTCACTAAATCTAAAAATATATGTACATTATAACTCAGTGATTCCACTCCTAGGTTATATACTCAACAGAAATTTATACATATGTTCACCAAAGGAAAAGTTTAACAATGCCCTTAATAGCACCATTAAAAATATCCCCATACTGGAAGCAACTCAGATATCCATTAATAGTAGATGAATTAAAAAATTGTGGCTTATTCATTGAATGGGATACTACATAAAATGAGAACAAACAACTATTATGGTATGCAAAAATGTGCTTAAAGCCACAAACCCATGTTCAGTGAAAGAAGCTAACAGGGTGTATCCTGCAAAATCTCTTTTATATAAAGTTCAAAAACAGACAAAATGAATCTAGTGTTAGAAATCAGGAGAGCAGTCAACCTTTGGTGGGCGATGACTATATGTAGGACTTCTGGGGTGCTGACTATATAAGTACTATGTTCAGTTTGTTAAAGTTGACTGAGGAGTACTCTTCAAAAAAAATTTTTTTTTAAAGATGGGATCTGACTATATTGCTCAGGCCAGCCTTGAACTCCTGGGCTCAAGCAATCACATGCTTCAGCCTCCCAAAGTGCTGGGATTACAGGCATGGTGGACCATCACACCTGGCCTGGGGTACTCTCTTAACTTGTGAATTTTCTATTTATATATGATACTTCAGTGAAAAGTTTATATTTTAAAAAATGGGAAGAAAAGTGATTTGCAAAAATAAAAACTTTTCCTGTTTCAGGAAGAAATAAAGAGCTGACTTAATAAAAAAATAAACAGAGAAATAAACAATGAATCTAAGATTCTGAGCTGCTTCTCTCAATTGCCCATTTGGCTAGTTGTCTTGAGATTTATGATATTCCTTTTTTTTTTTTTTTTTTTAAACGGATTCTCACTCTGTCGCCAGGCTGGAGTGCAGTGGTGTGATCTCAGCTCACTGCAACCTCCGCCTCCTGAGTTCAAGTCATTTTCCTGCCTCAGCCTCCCAAGTAGCTGGGACTACAGGCGTGCGCCACCATGCCCAGCTAATTTTTGTATTTTTAGTAGAGACGGGGTTTCACCATGTTGGCCAGGATGGTCTCGATATCTTGACCTCATGATCTGCCCGCCTCGGCCTCCCAAAGTGCTGGGATTACAGGCGTGAGCGACCGCGCCCGGCCGATATTCTACGTTTTGGCTCTAAAAGTAATAACTACTAACAATTGCATTTTGTTTTATAACATTCAAACCATATGGAGTCATTCTGTTTCCTCTTTAGAACATCTCTATGAGGTTCATTAATTATTCCCAGTCTCCATAGGAGAAAAATGGAAGGTACAGTGAAGTATCTTTTTTTTTTCTTTTTCTTTTTCTCGATGGAGTCTTGCTCTGTCACCCAGGCTGGAGTGCAGTGGTGCAGTGGTACAATCTCCACTCACTGCAACCTCCACCTCCCGGGCTCAAGCGATTCTCCTGCCTCAGCCCCTGAGTAGCTGGGATTACAGGTGCCGACCACCACACTTGGCTAATTTTTCTATTTTTAGTAGAGACAGAGTTTCACCATGTTGGCCAGGCTGGTTTCAAACTCCTAACCTCAAGCTCTCCACCCACATTGGCCTCCCAAAGTGCTGGGGTTACAGGCGTGAGCCACCACGCCCGACCCAGAGAGATTTCTTAATTTCCCCTAAATTGAAGGGCTAGTAAGTGGCTGAACTGAAACAATTTCCTTTAAGGCCTGTTCTTTTCACCACAACTTGGGGCCACCTGGGGTTGGCAGTTGGACTCGTAGTTTCCAGGAACAGAGAGCAGAGGAAGGAGGCCAGTGCGGGAAGAGTGGCAAACAGTATACATGATAAATCCACAATGGAAGCCTTGTAACTAATTACGTCAAGCCAACAAACAAGCAAGCGAAGCTTTTTTGGCATGCCAGTTTAAATCCATTGTTCTTTTGCTGCTTTTCTGCTTAAATAATTAAGGCTCTTAAGTACAAATTAACCTCAAGCTAACAAAAAGAGAATGCCATTGACTTGATTGAGATGTCATTGAAATCTTTTCCGTTGCGTTCAGGTAGTTTTCTGCACACATGAACTTTCCATGAGTGGTCATGGAATGATCCAGCATGTTTTTATCTGGACAGGGCCAGCGGGGCTTTCTGGTTTGACACACCATCCAATGTAGAAATGCCTCTCCAACATTAGCGATAGTCATGATCTGACAAGCATGTGCACCAAGAACTTCCCTTGGGCCAGGCACTCATTTATAGTTCTCTGAGATTGCTGTTACCAGTGTCTCTATTTTACAGTTGAGCAAGTAGACTCAGAAAGGCTAAGCAACTTGCCCTAAAACACACAGCTAATTATAGCAAAGCAGATCCAGATTCAGGTCTTCCTGATTTGGTATTTGGAGGGTTCAGTTGCTATGCTTCTTCATTGCTTCCGTCCTGGCCTTGAATTCTTACGGTGATGGTTACATCATCATTTCCGTGAGGCACTTGAGGCTGTGACTGGAAAGGCTTACTAGGAAGATCTTTTTTATGTTCTTCTTTCTTTTTTTTTTTTTTTTTGAGACGGAGTTTCACTCTTGTTGCCTAGGCTAGAGTGCAGTGGCGCGATCTTGGCTTACCGCAAACTCCGCCTCCCGGGTTCAAGCGATTCTCCTCCCTCAGCCTCCTGAGTAGCTGAGATTACAGGTGCCTGGCACCACGCCTGGCTAATTTTGTATTTTCAGTAGAGACGGGTTTCTCCATGTTGGTCAGGCTGGTCTTGAACTCCCGACCTCAGGTGATCAGCCCGCCTTGGCCTCCCAAAGTGCTGGGATTACAGGCGTGAGCATGAGCCACTGCGTCCGGCCTTGAAATCTTCTTTCTTGTAACTTTCATCTATAAAGCCTACTTCTGCTTGCTTTTCTTTTTTTTTGAGACGGAGCCTCGCTCTGTCGCCCAGGCTGGAGTGCAGTGGAGCGATCTCCGCTCACTGCAAGCTCCGCCTCCCGGGTTCACGCCATTCTCCTGCCTCAGCCTCCCGAGTAGCTGGGACTACAGGCGCCCGCCACCACACCCGGCTAATTTTTTGTATTTTTAGTAGAGACGGGGTTTCACCACGTTAGCCAGCATGGTCTCAATCTCCTGACCTCGTGATCCGCCCGCCTTGGCCTCCCAAAGTGCTGGGATTACAGGCTTGAGCCACCGCGCCCGGCCTCTGCTTTCAAGAATAGTATCAATTAAGATCCCTTCTTTAGGCCAGTTGTGGTGGCTTATACCTGTAACGCCAACACTTTTGGAGGCAGAGACAGGAGGATTGTTTGAGACCACACATTCCAGACCAGCCTGGTCACCACAGCAACACCCTGTCTCTACAAAAAAAAAAAAATTCATAAAAAAATTAGCCAGGTATTATGGCTGTAGTCCCAGCTGCTCAGGAGGCTGAGGTGGGAGGATCACTTTGAGCCCAGGAGGTCAAGGCCGCAGTGAGCTATGATGGCGCCAGTGGACTCCAGCCTGGGCAACAGAGTGAGGCCTTGTCTCAGGAAAAGAAAAAAAAAATTCCTCCTTTGGCGTGGGAAAGGCACTCATCCAAAAATTTAAAGTGTAGGGGTATATTAGTGTGTAGTTTCTAGAATGATGCCAAGGGCTCAGTTATCTCTTGATGTACAACAAACCACCCTATATTCACTGAGTGCCTACTATCTCATGATTTGGACCAGATTTGGGCAGAGCTTAGCTGGGAGATTCTGCTACATGTGCATTACCTGGGGTTAGTTGGTAGTATTCAACTTGTGGCTAGTCTGGCTTGAGGATTTTTTTTTTTTTTCTAATTCATTTCTGTATTCTCATCTGAAGGCTTGATGATTTAAGATGGCTTTGCTCACATGCCTGACACCTTGGCAGGAACGTTTCAGGGCCTCTCCATAAGGCCTCTCCTGCTGGGTGGTTGGACTTCTTACATTTCAAAGTGTCCCAAGCGTGAGTGTCCCAAGAGATAGGACAGCAAAGCTACCAGGCCTGGGTTTGGAAGCTGGAAGAGTGTCACTTCTGGGTTGAAGCAGGCACAGAGCCCACTCAGGTTCAAGTGGAGAAAGAGTGGATCCCACTTCTCAATGAGAGGAGTGTCAGAGAGTTTACAGACATTTTAAATCTGCCACACTAAGGATCAACCTAAATGGGTTTCCATTTTCCTGGGTTGGGGGTGGTAAGTGTAAGTACCTATTTGGATTTGAAAATCCTGCTGAACTTATTTTCTCTATTTTGTGGCATTTGAACTTTAGGGACTTCTCTTTCTTTTTTTTTTTTTTTGAGACGGAGTCTTGTTCTATCGCCCAGGCTGGAGTCCAGTGGTGTGATCTCGGCCCACTGCAACCTCCGCCTCCTGGGTTCAAGCCATTCTCTTGCCTCAACCTCCTATGTAGCTGGGATTACAGGGGTGTGCCACCACACCTAGCTAATTTTGTATTTGCTTTTAGTAGAGTTGGGGCTTCATCATGTTGGCCGGGCTGGTCTTGAACTCCTGACCTCAAGTGATCTGCCCACCTTGGCCTCCTCAAGTGCTGGGATTACAGGTATGAGCCACTATGCCTGGCCAGGGACTTCTCTTTCTAATAATTATAGAATAATGTTTACCAGTACTAATTATTTATTGAAGTCAAGGATGATGAATAAATTACGACAGATTCCTCCTCCCCAACTCTTTTTTTTTTTTTTTTTTGGTTTTACAAGAATAAAAGACTTTCTGATAATTCATTTATGGCTTAAACACATATGAGCAGAGGACAGATGGACACTATAGAATATAGAATGTAGAAACCCTAAATCAAAGGATTTTTTAAAAATAGCTTAATTTGTACTCTTACTATATTACATCATTTTCAGACTTTCATTCCTGCAAAGCATTTGCGATGTTTTTATTCTTTAAAGCAGCATTTTATTTTTAAAAATTCACCTATTTATTTATTTGTCTCTTCTTTTTTTTTGAGACAAAGCATCATTTTAAAGTTCTATGATTGGGGCCGGGCGCAGTGGCTCATGCCTGTAATCCCAGCACTTTGGGAGCCTGAGGTGGGCAGATTGCTTAAGCTCAGGAAAGTTTGAGACCAGCCTGGGCAACATGGCAAAACCCTCTCTCTACAAAACAATACAAAGACTAGCTGGGCATGGTGGTGTGCACCTGTGGTCCCAGCTACTCAGGAGGCTGTGGTGGGAGGATGGCTTGAGCCTGGTAGGTGGAGGTTGCAGTGAGCTGAGATCACACAACTGCACTTCAGCCTGGGTGACAGACTGAGACCCCATCTCAAAATAAATAAATAAATAAATAAAGTTCTGTGATTGGGGTCAATGGTAAATCTCCTGTGTGCGCACTTTATTTCCCATTAGACATTGCGGCAAAATTCAGTGGTCAGTCCTCTGTATATTAGTAGAAGGAGTTAATTGAAATTGTTTCTAATCTTTTGATCCTTGTCACACTACTCTGCTATGCAATAATACACTAAAGAATTTTCAGAAAGTGAATGTTGGAGACTTAATATAGCTCCCTGCCTTAAAAAGATTCCGTTTTGTGGAGTTAGGCTAGCAGTTGGTATGCTAAATTGACCAAAAGATCTTGTTTTAGAAAACAGAAAATGCTTTAATGCAGAAATGAAATCAAGAGACTTAAGATTAGAGAGGTGAATACATTTTTGCCAGTGTCTGCTCCTTCTGGCTAGATGCTCAGGAAAATTTTTCATGGTGATTCAAAAACTGAAATAAGAGCCTTTTCATGGGCAGGTGCTATTGTTTGTTTGCTTATTTATTTAATGCCTTTTACTAACATAATCATTTCTGCAAAAAAATGGTAATGAACTTGGGCACATTTATGTGCATTGTTTTGTTTTATTTAAAATTTCCAGTTTATCAAATTATTTCAAAAAGTATTCATTTAAATGAATACATATTTAATACCTATATGAATATATAAATATTTATTCATTTATTTATTTGAGATGGAGTCTTTCTCTGTCACCCAGGCTGGAGTGCAGTGGCGTGATCTCGCCTCACTGCAACCTCCGCCTCCTGGGTTCAAGCCATTCTCCTGCCTCAGCCTCCAGAGTAGCTGGGATTACAGGCCTGGCTAATTTTTGTATTTTTAGTAGAGACGGGGTTTTGCCATGTTGGCCAGGCTGGTCTCACACTCCTGATCTCAAGTGATCCGCTCCCCTCAGCCTCCCAAAGTGTTGGGATTACAGGTGTGAGCCACTGCCCTCAGCCTATAAATATTTATTTATTGAAGTATTTTGATAAACTAAAACTATTTTTTTTTTTGAGATGGAATCTCGCTCTGTCACCCAGGCTGGAGTGCAGTGGCACGATCTCGGCTCACTGCAACCTCCGCCTCCTGGGTTCAAGTGATTCTCCTGCCTCAGTCTCCCAAGTAGCCGGGACTACAGGCGCGTGCCACCACGGCCAGCTAATTTTTTGTGTTTTTAGTAGAGATAGGGTTTCACCATGTTAGCCAGGATGGTGTCAATCTCCTGACCTCATGATCTGCCTGCCTCGGCCTCCTAAAGTGCTGGGATTACAGGCGTGAGCCATCGCGCCCGGCCGATAAATTAAAACTTTAAATACTTAAATACTTAATATTTAAAAATTTGTTTTATTTCTGACCTACTGAAAGGTACAACAAACACCTCTGTATCTGGGACCAACATGAGGAATAAACCACTGGAGAGATAACTGAAGCCCCTCGTGCCCCTCAACTTGATTCTCTCTCTCTCTTCTCAGGGGTGGCCACTCCCCTGAATGCAGTGATTATCCTTCCCAAGGACGTCCTTTTTCCTGTGCTACATATGGTGTGTACTCATACACAAGGCGTGGGGCTTTGCATTCTTGATGGTTAGGGAGGAAGATTAAAAGAAGATTAATCTTTTGGGCCACTTGGGACATTAGATGAAAGTCAAATTTCATTGTCCATAAATACAATGTTATTGGAACACAGTGTAAAGACCTATTTATGACTGTTTTGCTCAACATGGCGGATTTGAGTAGTAGCCACTCAAACTGTATGGCTCAAAAAGCCTAAAATTTTTCCCGTCTGACCCTTTACAAAATGGTTGCTAACCTCTTGTGTAGCATAGGCACACACACTACACTGAGTAAATAATCTGGCTACAGAAAGAGCAATATATAGGTACATGTGCCTGCACCAGGAAGTGAATAAAAGACCTCTTCCCCCCCTTAAACCTAAGAATTCTCCTGTCTTTTTCTCTTGCCTCAGGAGATCAGGAATGATCCACCTTTCTCCTCCCACCTCTATCCACGGAATGATGTTATCTTATTCCTCTGCTTTAAGCTTCTTTCCTCTTGCTCTTCCTTTTCCCACCTCATGTCGACAAAACCAGCAAATTCCATTTGTCCTGTGACAGAAAGAACAGCTCCAAGGATAGTCACGTCCCTGCTCCTGAAAGTTCTCATCTTAGCAGCATGCTTTGCCCATGTCTCTGATTAGGCACATTGCATTCCCTTGCAGCTTTCCTTGTCTTCTGTGGCTTAGAATGCTAGCTTATCAAACACTGACTGCGTGCAGAGAGGCTGCGTCCACACTGGCTGCAGATAGATACATGAAGACCAGCAAAAAGTAATTGAGCAAATAACATCTCTTTTTTTTTTTTTTGGCAGGGGGGACGAAGTTTCACTCTGTTGCCCAGCCTGGAGAACAGTGATGAGATCTCAGCTCACTGCAAGCTCTGCCTCCCGGGTTCAAGCAATTCTCCTGCCTCAGCCTCCCAAGTAGCTGGGATTATAGGCACACGCCACCATGCCTGGCTAATTTTTGTATTTTTAGAAGAGACTAAATATACAAAGGTTTAGGGTTTCGCCATGTTGGCCAGGCTGGTCTTGAACTTCTGACCTCAAGTGATCCTCCTTTCTCAGCCTCCCAAAGTGCTAGGATTACAGGCATGAGCCACAGCACCCGGCCTGATCTTTTAAACATAAATGATAAAGAATTGATAGGGTGATTTCCATTTCTTTTGCAAAAACAAATCATAACTTTTCCCTGTTTCTTTTCTTTTCTATCCTTTTCTCTTTTTTTGAGATAGTCTTGCTCTGTCGCCCAGGCTGGAATGCAGTGGTGCAATCTCGGCTCACTGCAACCTCCACCTCCCGGGTTCAAGCAGTTGTCTTGCCTCAGCCTCCCGAGTAGCTGGAATTACAGGCACCTGCCACCAAGCCTGGCTAATTTTTGTATTTTTGGTAGAGATGGGTTTCACCTTGTTGGTCAGGCTGGTCTCGAACTCATGACCTCAAGTGATCTGCTGCCTCAGCCTCCCAAAGTGCTGGGAATACAGGCATGAGCCACCATGCCCAGCCCTTCCTTGTTTCTTTAATGATGGCTATTCCCCCTTCCCAGGCCAGAATTATGGAGATAATTGTCTCAACTGATTATTTCCTCCTCCAAGAAAAGCTGAAGAATGCATAGTGTTAAGCACACGGGGTGCTTGATAGCATAGTGGTAAGGTTCAAGAGCTTTGAAGCCAAGCAGTCCATCTGTTAGCTACGAGACCTTGGAGCTCTCTTAGCAAAGAAGAGAGGAATGTCTATTGCGTGGCAATCTGTGGTGCCTGCCAAAAAAGATAGAATACAAAGATTAATCATACAGTAATACTCAGTCTTCAACCTCGAGGTGCTCTTAAAGGAGCCCATGAAATAAAATAATAAACCATAGAAAATGATAAGTACTACTAGGTAAAAAATCAAGGTAGAGAGTGATAGTACTTACAAAAGAGATACAGAAAGAAATTGGAGTGGAAAGGAGGGAGACAGTCAGGAGGGCTTCTTGAAGGAGGTGGCCGGGAGAAACAAGGATTTGGGTCCATGGAATTCAGAGCAAGAATATTCTGGGCTATGAGGATAGCATGAGCAAAGGCATTGAGACTGATATATCAGGTTGCATATAGGGAACAGAGACAAGAGAGTGGCTCGGTTTGACCACGAATGAAGTGAAATAGAGGGAGAGAAGAGAATATAGGGTTGAGGTCCGGTTAGGCGAGGCCTTGAATGTCATGCAGAGGAGTAGCTTTGACAGTTTATATGCTCCTCCCCAGTAAGACGTGTAGCCGTATAATGAGAGCTTTCGAGACCAAGCTGTGTCGTCAATTCTGGAAGACTGTCGTACCAGAAGGCCTTGACTTTTCCTATCTTGGTCCAATGTCACTCCTTGCAGATTTGCTATCTCAGTACAAAAGATGTGAAAGACACTGGAACATGCTGTTTTACAAAACATCTCAGAAAGAGCCAGTCTGAGAAGCAGTGTGCAATGGCCTCAGGTGTGTACCCTCAAATTAAGAGAAATATTCCTGACCATAGCAGAATATGCTTTCTGTTGTCTTTCTTATTCCTATACAGTGCTGGTGGAGGAAACAGGGCAGCGTGGAGATTTTCATATTTGAAGTGGGTGGAAGCGGGGGTGGGGGTAGAGAAGAGAAAAATGATTTTCTTTTCTTTCTTTCTTTCTTTTTTTTGTTTGTTTTTTGAGATGGGGTCTTGCTCTGTTTCCCAGGCTGGAGTGCAATGGCGCAATCTCAGCTCACTGCAACCTCTGCCTCCTGGGTTCAATCGATTCTCCTGCCTCTCAGCCTCCTGAGTAGCTGGGATTACAGGCACCCACCACCACGTCCGGCTAATTTTTTTTTTTTTTTTTGAGACAGAGTCTCGCTTGGTCACCCAGGCTGGAGTGTAGTGGCGCGATCTCGGCTCACTGCAAGCTCTGCCTCCCAGGTTCGCGCCATTCTCCTGCCTCAGCCTCCCGAGTAGCTGGGACTACAGGTGCCCGCCACCACGCCCAGCTAATTTTGTTTTTGTATTTTTAGTAGAGACGGGGTTTCACCGTGTTAGCCAGGATGGTCTCGATCTCCTGACCTCGTGATCCACCCGCCTCAGCCTCCCAAAGTGCTGGGATTACAGGCGTGAGCCACCGTGCCCAGCTGTGTCCAGCTAATTTTTGTATTTTTAGTAGAGATGGGCTTTCACCATGTTGGTCAGGCTGGTCTTTAACTTCCGACCTCAGGTGATCCACCTGCCTCGGCCTCCCGAGAAAAATGATTTTCTAAGCGATTCCCTTGGCAGGGATGTACAGGTGTATCAGTGTTTCAGGTATTTCTAAAGCGATCTTCCAGGGGCCTCCCTACTGAAGGTATTATTCAGTGCTTTCATTGTTAAATACTGAAGGTATTATTCAGTGCTTTCATTTTATAAAAACATTAAAAAATTATTTAATGTTTTTATAAAAATGTATGTCCCGGCTCACGCCTGTAATCCCAGCACTTTGGGAGGCCAAGGTGGGCGGATCACGAGGTCAGGAGATCGAGACCCTTCTGGCTAACACGGTGAAACCCCGTCTCTACTAAAAATACAAAAAAAAAATTAGCCTGGCGTGGTCGCGGGCGCCTGTAGTCCCAGCTACTCGGGAGGCTGAGGCAGGAGAATGGCGTGAACCTGGGAGGCGGACTTGCAGTGAGCCAAAATCGCGCCACCGGACTCCAGCCTGGGCGACAGAGCCAGACTCCGTCTCAAAAAAAAAAAAAAAAAAAAAAAAAAAAAAAAAATATATATATATATATATATATATATATATATATATATATATATGTCCCAAATTGTTTGCATTGATTCTAAATTGGATGAGGACGTTAGTAAACCTAACTAAGGTTCAGATGCCATTTCAGTTTCACAAGAAGAAATAAGGGGTCGAGTGCTGTGGCTCACTGGGAGGCCAAGGCAGGCAGATTGCCTGAGCTCAGGAGTTTGAGACCAGCCTGAATAACATAGCGAGGCCCTGTCTCTACAAAAAATACAAAAGTTGGCCAGGCGCGGTGGCTCATGCCTGTAATCCCAGCACTTTGGGAGGCTGAGGTGGGCGGATCACCTGAGGTTGGGAGTTCGAGACCAGCCTGGCCAACATAGAGAAACCCCGTCTCTACTAAAAATACAAAATTCGGCGTGCATGGTGTCGCATGCCTGTAATCCTAGCTACATGGGAGGCTGGGGCAGAAGAATTGCTTGAACCCAGGAGGCGGAGGTTGCGGTGAGCTGAGATCATGCCATTGCACTCCAGCCTGGGCAACAAGAGCGAAACTCTGTCTTAAAAAAAAAAAAAAAGAAAAAAAAAAGATTAAGCCAGGTGGATGCCTGTGGTCCTAGCTATTAGGGAGGCTGAGGTGGGACGACTGCTGAGTCCAGGAATTTGAGGCTGCAGTGAGCTGTGATTGCACCACTGCACTCTAGCCTGAGCGACCCAGTAAGACCTGCCTCAAAAAAAAAAAAAAAAGTAAAAGAAAAAGTAAATGTGATACCAGGTGGTGTAAATAAGAGGAAAATAAGTTAATAATTGCAAACGGATGATTCCCCTGTACTCTACTTTGATGCTAGTTTTTGCAGAGTCACAGGTCAAAGATTCTGCATTTGAAATCTGAATGGGAAATGGTGGACTTCTGGAAATGGAGAGACTCCTATTATAAATGAGCATAGCATTGTTTTATTTATGAACAAGCATTTTTCCTGAGGGGTAAAGCATTGTTTTGGGAAGTGATGCTCTCTCAGATTACCATGGTGAAGCTCTCCTAGGCATCCAAAATATATATTAACTTTGAGAGGTTCCATTTTCACATAAATTTACCTCCCACCAAATTCTTGCCAGTTCCTGAGCATTACGTGCTCTTTCTGCCATATGTCTTCACTTGTACGTGTCCTGTGCCCTCTCTAAAAGGCTAGAGAACTCCACTCCAGTGTTGACGCTCTGGAGAGCCCTTGTCTCAGGTAGAACCTATTACTCATTAGGGTAACTGTGAAATTCTCCCCACATATCTTCTTTTCTTCTTTTCTTTTTCCTTTTGAGATGAAGTCTTGCTCTGTTGCCCAGGCTGGAGTGCAATGGTGTGATCTCAGCTCACTGCAACCTCTGCCTCCTGGGTTCAAGCAATTCTCCTGCCCCAGCCTCCCGAGTAGCTGGGATTGCAAGGTCATGCCACCACGCCCAGCTAATTTTGTATTTTTAGTTGAGATGGGGTTTCACCATGTTGGCCAGGCTGGTCTTAAGGCTGGTCTTAAACTCCTGACCTCAAGTAACCCTCCCACTTTGGCCTCTCAAAGTGCTGGGATTACAGGTGTGAGCCACCACGCTTGGTCACATATCTGATTTTCTTATCCCAGATGTTGTTGCCTTTTTTTAGACCAAAATTTACATAATGTAAAGTTAACTATTTTAAAGTATACAATTCTGTGGCATTTAGTAGATTGACAATATGGTATAACCATCACCTCTACCTACTTCCAACACATTTTCATCACCCCCCAAGGAGACCCTTGTCCCCATTTAAGAAGTTACTCCTCATCCCACCTTCCCCCAGCCCCTGGCAACCACTGATGTGCTTTCTGTCTCTGTGGATTTACCTATTCTAGATTTTTCATATAAATGGAACCATGCAGCAGGGTGTGGTGGCTCATACCTGTAATCCTAGCACTTTGGGAGGCCGAGGCAGGTGGATCACCTGAGGTCAGGAGTTCGAGACCAGCCTGGCCAACACGGGGAAACCCCGACTCTACTAAAAATACAAAAATTAGCCAGGCATGGTGGTGGGTGCCTGTGGTCCCAGCTGCTCAGGAGGCTGAGGGAGGAGAATCACTTGAACCTGGGAGGCGGAGATTGCAGCGAGCCAAGATCGCACCACTGCACTCCAGCGTGGGTGACAGTGCGAGACTCCATCTCAAAAGAAAAGGCATCATGTAATATATGGACTTTTGTGTCTGGCTTCTTTCACTTAACATGATATGCTCACAGTCCATCCATGTTATGGCATGTCCAGCACTTCATTTCTTTAAGACTGAATAATATTCTGTTGTAATGGACAATATCACATTTTGTATATTCATTCACCTGTTGATGGATATTGGGTTGTTCCGCCCTTTGGGCTGTTGCTTTTTAAGATAACCACAACAAAGCTAAAAGCTGATCTCTTATTCACAATGTCATTCACCAGGTGAGGCAATGTGTCTAAGGCTTGGAGACTGGGGTCCAAGATGAGAGGTTGCAAATAGAGAGTTTACAGGTAATAGGAGGCCCCCAAGATGTTTGCTTGCTCTTCTGTGCACTGTTGTCTTGCCCAGTCTTTGTGGGGTTTTTTTGTTTTTTTTTTAAAAAGAGACAGAGTCTGTTGCCCAGGCTGGAGTACAGTGGCATGATCATGGCCTGCCGTCACCTCAAATTTCTGGGCTCAAGCAATCCTCCTGTGTCATCCTCTGGAGTCGCTGGGATTATAGGTGTGAGCCACCATGCCCAGCTCCGATCTTTAAAAAGTGAATCAGTTGACAATGTTTAAAATTTAAGATGTTACACAGGCACACAGGCGTGCACACGTCTAGATTTCCATCTTGTTACAAAAAAACTTTCTCAGTACCTGGCCTATTCCCCGATCTGGCAACTCTCAGCTAGAATGGAGTGTGGGCTTCTGTCCCTAATGTTTGGGGAAAGGCTTCTCAATTCATCATAGCCCCCAAACCTTGATGAGCCTGAAGGTCAGGAAACATTTGAGCTGCTGTTTTTTTTTTCTAATAGGCGTTAAGGGGAAAGTGAAAGATTGTTGGGCTCAGGATTCTATCAAAAGTAGAAAAGAAGAAATGAAAGCCGCCGCCTGTCTCATTGCCTTTGTTGCCCCTCCAGGTACTTATGATTAGTGTTCTTGATCAGTGTCTTATGTGCTCCTCATGTTCCTAAATGCCAGAATTAAAAACAGCTTTATTAAGATATTATTCATATGTTGTACAATTCACCCTTTTAAATTGTACAGTTCAGACTGGGCGCGGTGGCTTACGCCTGCAATCCCAGCACTTCGGGAGGCCGAGGCGGGTGGATCACTTGAGGCCAGGAGTTCGAGACCAGCCTAGCCAACATGGTGAAACCCCGTCTCTACTAAAAATACAAAAAAATTATCCAGGCATGGTGGTGTGTGCTCGTAATCCCAGCTACTTGGGAGGCTGAGGCAGGAGAATGGCTTGAACCCAGGAGGTGGAGGTTGCAGTGAGCTGAGATTGTGCCACTGCACTCCAGCATGGAAAGCAGGCTCTGGGAGACAGAGCGAGACTCCATCTCAAAAAAATAAAAAATAAGTAAATAAATAAATAAATAAAAACTACATTGTACAGTTCAATGGATGCTAGTATATTCACAGGCATGTGCAACCCTCACACAGTTTGGGAACATTTCAACAATCATTTTACACAGTAAGTTTAGAACATCTTAATCACTTCAAAAAGAAACCTTTGGGCCGGGTGCTGTGGCTCACGCCTATAATCCCAGGACTTTGGGAGGCTAAGGCAGGTGGATCACTTGAGGTCAGGAGTTCGAGACCAGCCTGGCCAACATGGTGAAACCCCATCTCTACTAAAAAAATTAGCTGAGCATGGTGGTGTGTGCCTGTAATCCCAGCTACTTGGGAGCCTGAGGTGGGAGAATCACTTGAACCCGGGAGGTGGAGGTTGCAGTGAGCCGAGATCACGCCACTGCACTGTCTCAAAAAAAAAAAAAAAAAAAAAAAAAAGAAACGCTTTAGCTATTATTCCTCTAACCTCTTTCCCCTAAAACTAAAACTTAAGCAATTTCTAATCAAATCCCAGAGTTTTTGATGGCACACAAAAAGGGACTGAAAGAGAACATAACAGCAAACACGTCGGCCACGATTCCAGTGCCCCTGTTGCTGAACTATGCCAATGTCTCTCCTTGTTGCTCCTGCTTATTAACTAATGATGCAGTCTCCTCCCTTGGGCCAGTAAATTCAGGATCTCTTTTTGGAGTCTTCATTCTAAGAAAGTAATTTATACTTGTAATGGCTCATTACTACACCCCAAGACTAACCAGGCAGCTATCTCCAACGGGCATCTGAGAAGATGGAGATGGATGTAGCTAAAATAAATGTGTGTGCTGGATCGAAGTCTAGCTACCACCATACCTTCTAGGCTCTCATCCCTGTCAGTGACCTGCTGTGTGAATTTCAGAAATCAAATCTTTTATGCTGTCCATAATTTCGTGTTTTCAAGAGAGTAACATAGCTTGCTCCCTGACCCTAACACTTCTTCCTATGATGGTCCTCCTTTGAGGAAAGGTTCAGTTTGAATTAGACATGTGTAAGGACCTTCTAGGTCCTTGTCATTATTTTCTTTGAGTGTTCAATTTTGGGACTTTGAATCCTGAAAGGGAAACTGGCCCAGGAGTGATTACCTTGGTTGAGGAGCGTTGCATTTTAAATGATAGAGCCCTGGGAAGCTGGAATGTTCCCCCCAAAGCCTGCTGGACTCACCCTGTAGGCAGCCCTGACTTTCTTGTTGGTCTAAGGTTACTATATTTAGCAAATGAAAATTATTGGTTGCTTATCTGATATTCAGATTTACTGCGTATCCTTTATTTTATGTGGCAACTGTCTTTGGCTGCACCCCAGTACACCTCGTGGCTTTGTGTTTGCTGTGTGCCACTGGTCCTCTGAATTGCAGGGCCCCATGAACTGGCCAGGCAAAAAAGAGATTCTATCATGTTGCTGACAAAAAGAAGAAATGTAGGCTGCAATATTACCCATGGTGTTGTCTAGCCGAGGGCAGCCTGAGGCCCCATTTCAGGGCTGGCTTAGTCACCCTTGCCTTGAGCAACTCACTATAATTCCTTGGAACTGCAATTTTGTCCTTTTTCCTCCTCTGAAATGAAAACAGTCAAAATACCAGTAACCAGCATGTCAGCATTACTATTTACTTGTCTCATTTTATTAGCAATCCTATTTACCGTGGCATCACCTCTCCAACTCAGGTAATTCTTACCTTTGAGGGGTGTTATGACGCCCATTATCTAGATAGAGAAACCAAGGCTCAGGAGGGTTAAGGAAAGTGCTGGAAGGTCTTTCCCTTTTAAGTAAAGGTTCTGAGAATTCCCCACCCCATTCCTCCAATGTGTTATTTGGTGAAATCAAGTTAAACTGCAAAACATGCCCCAAGGGGAAAAGGGTTCTTAGAAGCAGAAGGAAGGGGCAGTTCCACTTATTATGTCTTCATATTTACAGTGTCTTCTTTTTCTCTTTCTGTGTGTTCCCTGCCCCTGGCTCCTAGCGCTTCATAAATGTTTATTGAATGGATAGATGTTTGGAGACTGAGGGAAAGTGAGGGTGGTCAGGGCCTTCTGGTCTCTTCTTAGTGTTAACCCCCATCCCTGCCCCACAGTTCCTCCCTGAGCACTACCTGTGGCCCCTTAATATGCTCTCCTGAGTCAGCAGTGAGGATTTCCCCAGATGCACCCCATATATTCCCAAATCCTAGCCTCTGAGTCTGTTCAAACTGTTCTTCCCGTTTTCCCCCGCTTGTCTCTAGATGCCTGAATCTTCCTCCTCCTCCTCAGCCCCAGTTCAGAGTCCTGCCTCTTCACAAAGCCCTTTCCATGCACCCCAGGTGGACCCCTCCTCACGGCTCTTCCAGCCCTTTGCCTGTATCACACATTTGAGTGTTTAGGGTGGTAGCTGATGCCGGAGCAGGAAGTTCCCTTTAGTAATGTGGATATTACTAAACCCCTCATTTTATAAATGAGAACACTAAGGCCCGAGGAAATCACGTGATGTGCCCAAGGTCATGCCGTTGTCTGAAATGCTTGGCAGCTGCCTGCACACAGCTGTTGTGAATCCCCTCCTGCCCCTTCATACCGTGCCACTGTCTTGGATTGACCCACTGTGACTGTGTGCACTGTCTTCTATAAGGAAACCCCAGAAGACACCCGTCATGAAAGTTCACAATGGAGAGAGGTCACCGGTGGGGTCTTTGCCTTCTTCACTGTGACTCTTGCTTCCAAGGTCCACCTTCTCGTTGGCCAGCGCTCATCAATTACCATTGCCCCTGCCTGCCTGTTCTCAGGAGTCCCATTCTCACTTGAAAAGTGGACGGAGCGCCAAGCTGGATCTAGGATGCTTGGGGTGGAATTAACCCAGAACGGAATATGCAATGGCTGTTCTGGTTAACAGGGTAAGGCGTTTTCATCTCTGCCTCTACTCTCTCCCTCCCATTTCCCTGCAACAGCCCTTGCCATTAACCCCTTCTTACCCAGGAGCACCCTCCAACATGCCTGCTTTCAAAAAGTCTGACTCCACACCCAGGAGAAAAGCCCCTAACTCTGTTTCTGTCTCCTGGTGGTCAAAGGCTTACCTTCCAGACTCTCTTTCTCTGGTTTGAGGAACCTCTTCTTTTCAAGGTGTTTGACAGTAAGAATTATCACAATCTTTTGGAAAGACACTTACACAACCTCCATGACTCAACAGAGTTCTTTACCTCAAACCTCAGCAGGATGAACCGATCAGAATCCAATGCAGTTATGCTCACATTCAGCACAGTGCAGAGGAGAGTGAAGTGGGGGTGTGGTGAGGGTGGGGGGATTTATGCTATCTCCCTAACATGTTAATTCTGCAAGAAGTGTATCCCCTCTTATGGATTTCTGCCCCATGGCGTTTTGCATAGTGCTGGGCATTTAGTAACACTCGGGCTGAGTAGCTTTGAAACCATCAAATGTACTTTATAGAGAAGGAGCTTGGTGTTGGGGGAGGAAGCCAGAGATAAAGAGTACCGTCCTGCTTACCTGCTTCCAGACTTCCACAGAATGCCCACTCTGCTCTGTTCCCTAGAATGTGTTAATTCATCCACTCATTCAACACATAGGTCTAGAGTGCTTGCTGTTTGCCAGATATGATATTTGCTGCTGGGCATCAGCAGTGAACGACAGATGCTGTGTCCTATGTGCCGTGCTTGATGGATGACCCATCACAGTCACATTACTGATAGCAGGGGCATGGTTAATAAACCGTGCTTGATCGTGTGCCGGAACACCTTTGTCATGTGGGACTGCTTGGGTTCGCTTTGGTTTTGTTGTGAAGTATGGGTGCTAAGACAGGCTTTGCCTTGAAAACTCCCCACCACACCCCACCTATTGTGGTTACTCTGGCTAATCAAGGCTGCTAGTATGAGGCAATAGGCCTATAACAATAGGCAGTTATAATGTACGTGCTTTTTCTTTACACAAGATCTTTAAAAGTCAGTTTATTAGAGCCTATTGAAACAATTAGGAATATTTATGGGGCGATTTTGTTGCTTTCTTACCTCTACAATAAAAGTCATAGTTCTTGATGATTGAAAGCTTGTTCTGGGGCTCTGAAATGGAAGATCCATATGAATTAGGCTCAAAGGAACTTGATCTCATTTTCCTCTTTTCTTTTTCATTTGGCTCACAAATTCCATTCCATACCCATTTTTTTCCCCTATGGACAGCAAAGTTTTAAAATAAATAGCAGCAACTCTGTTTTCCTAGTTTAACTAACATGGAAACACTTAATCCTCTTAGTTTTCTTGATTTTGCAAACAAGGATTTGTGAGGATAAAACTTTAAGTAGTCCAGTCACATGGACTAGGTATTCACTTAATGACCCCGAATGAAACCTGTTAGAAAAGCAAAGTAGTGAATTAATAATGTCCCCTAGTCATTTTCTCTGCCTTAATTTTCAGCCACAGGTTGTGCAACTTTAGTGGAACCTGTAGATATGGTCACTGCGCCTCCATTAGTTGGAACAGATTCTTTGTATCACTAGCTGAGACTCCATCAGCTTTCTGATCTTTCCATTTTGAGCATTAGAAAACAAACAAACAAACAAACACACATGATCTATAGCTGTGCCATCTGATATAAGAGCCACCAGTCACCTGTGGCTCTTGAAATGTGGCTGGCGCAACTGAGTTGAATCTTTTATTTTAATTAATTTGAATTTAAAAACTGAAGCCATGTACATTTTTTTTTGTTAAACACAACTTTATTGGGAAGCTTGTAAGTACATTTGAGGCAACATGTAGGTGTGTGTGTGTGAGATCTACTTTTTTTACTGTAAATTTTATGCAATACATACCAAGTATTTCTGTTGAAATCTAGCATCCAAAATGAGATGTGCTGTAAATGTAAAAAGGAATATGAAATATCTCAGTTTAATAGTTTTTTATACTGATTACATGTTGAAAGGACAATGTTTTGGATATGTTGGGTTAAATGAAATATATTATTAAAATTGTCACCTGTTTTTTACGCTTTTAAAATGTGGCTTCTAGAAAATTAATCAAATACGTGTCTCCCATTGCATTTATAATGGACAACACTGGTCTGATGGATTGGAGTGGAAGTTTCCATGTCATGGCTCACAGGGTTTTTACCAGCTTACCTTGGGGGAGTGTCATGATGTGTGACGTGTTCAGTTTAATAAGTGAACAACCAGCCCAGCACGGTGGCTCATACTGGTAATCCTAGCACATTGGGAGGCCGGAGCAGGAGAACTGCTTGAGCCAAGTAGATCAAAACCAGCCTGGGCAACATGGTGAAACTCCATCTCTATAAAAAACACAAAAATTAGCGGGGCATGTTGGTGCGTGCCTGTAGTCTCAGCTGCTCTGAGGCTGAGGTAGGAGGATCGCTTGAGCCTGGAGGCTGCAGTGAGCCAAGATTGCGTCACTGCACTCCAGCCAGGGTGACAGAGCAAGACCCTGTCTCAAAAAAATAAATGCAGAGTTTGATGGTAGATTTGCATTTTAAACAAATTCCATGTTATAATAAATCACAAAATATATTTAATCATTCTGCTTTTTGGTTTTTTTGTTTTTTGTTTTTTGTTTTTTTTTTTTTGAGACGGAGTCTCGCTCTCTCGCCCAGGCTGGAGTGCAGTGGCGTGATCTTGGCTCACTGCAAGCTCTGCCTCCCGGGTTCACGCCATTCTCCTGCCTCAGCCTCTCGAGTAGCTGGGACTACAGGCGCCCGCCACCGCGCCCGGCTAATTTTTTGTATTTTTAGTAGAGACGGGGTTTCACCGTGTTAGCCAGGATGGTCTCGATCTCCTGACCTCATGATCCACCCGTCTCGGCCTCCCAAAGTGCTGGGATTACAGCCATGAGCCACCGCGCCTGGCCCATTCTGCTTTTAAGAATTAATTAGTTAATTAATATTTTTTAGAGGCAGGGTCTCACTACATTGCCCAGGCTAGTGTTGAACTCCTGAGGCCAGGAGTTTCCTCAGCCTCCCAAGTAACTGGGACTACAGGCGTGCATCACCTTGTCCAGCTTCTGTTTCCCTTTTTTTTTTTTTTTTTTTTTTTTTTCTGAGATGGAGTAGTGGCGTGATCTCGGCTCACTGCAACCTCCACCTCTCAGGTTCAAGTGATTCTTGTGCCTCAGCCTCCCAAGTAGCTGGGATTACAGGTGTGCACCACCATGCCCAGCTAATTTTTTTTGTATTTTTAGTAGAGACGGAGGCTGGTTTTGAACTCTCGGACTCAAGTGATCTGCCCACCTCAGCCTCCCAGTAAATGCTGGAATTACAGGCGTGAGCCACTGTGCTTGGCCGGCCTGACCTTGCTTTTGTCTCCCTTTGCTCTTTCTTGTTCTTTATTCCCATTCTGCAATTAACCCATAACCTTGAAGCTCCTTTTCCCTGTCTCTTCTGTACTTCGCACATTCCACTTACTCTACTAGTTTGATTTTTGAGTGTGTATTGAGCACTTGCTATGTGCTAAGCTGCCTTCGAGGTGCTTATTCACTAGCAGAAAGAGTTTATAAATAAGGGCAATGCAATGTTACAGTTGCTCTGATAGAGTTGGAAGAGAGTACAGCATGGGCAAGGGTGGTAATGAGACATGGATTCTACCAGGGTGGTGACTAGACTTTGTAGAGGAGGTGACAATTGAATGGTTTTGATGACTGACTAGGCGTTGAGAGTAGGGTATAAGGTTGAAGAAGAAACAGGTAGAGGGCTCAGTGCAACACATGAAACAGCCCGGAGCCAGAAGAATGTGTTCAGGAAACGTGACAAGTTTGTATGGCATATGGGGTCATAGTACGGAAGGATGGAGTTGGAGTGAGGCAGGGAACAGATCCTGGAATGCTTTGCTGACTATTGGTAGTGAGTGATGTCATCAGATCCTAGTTTTTGTTTTTATTGTTTGTTTGTTTGTTTTGAGATGGAGTCTTGCTCTGTTGCCCAGGCTGGAGTACAGTGGCATAATCTCGGCTCACTGCACCCTCCACCTCCTGGGTTGAAGCGATTCTCCTGCCTCAGCGTCCCAAGTAGCTGGGATTACAGGCACGCACCACCACACCTGGCTAATTTTTGTATTTTTGGTAGAGTCGGGGTTTTACCATGTTGACCAGGCTGGTCTTGAACTCCTGACCTCAGGTGATCCTCCTGCCTTGGCCTCCCAAAGTGCTGGGATTACAGGCGTGAGCCACTATGCCTGGCCCAGATCTTAGTTTTGGAAAGATTAGTTTGGCAACAAGGACTAGAGTTAGGAATGGCACCTGTTAGTAAGCTATAGTGAGGGTCTGAGTGAAGAACTTGAACTAAGACATAGGCTGCAGGGATAGTAAGAGGGAGATGAGACATGAAGATTCGAGATGGGTTCTGGGAGTGGACTCAGTAAGCCTCAGTGACTGACTGGGTGAAGGGAGTGTAGGAGCAGGAGTGAGAGGCGCCAACCGGGATTCTGGTGTAGGGACCTGGGGGATGGCGATCCACTTGCTAAGATGGGTGCAGAGGAGGGGAAGCGGGTTCGGGGGAGATAATGAGGTCAGCATTGGATATGGTGAGCTTGAGGCGCTGCTCACAGAGTGGAGGAGGGAGGTCTGGTTGCTCCTGGGGCTGGCGTTCAGGAGACAGCTGGGCTCCCGAGCTCTGTGACTGTGGGAGCTGCTGAAGCTCCCTTTCACTTCTTTTCCCTCTTGCAGGACTGATGCCATACACCTGGGCTGCAGCCTCTCTTCACACACACCCTGAAGGCTCTCTGGTTATCTTTTAAGGCATTTTCTGTCTGTGGTTTCTGAGCTGTCTTCTGAAGAAGAGATAATTTAATCTCACCTCTTCCCCCACCACCCCCACCTTCTCATCCACTCACAAGTAGATTGTATCAACCTGGAAGAAGTCTTCCTCCAAGAAACCAAACAAACCATCTCTATGAGATGCTTTCTCATTCTTCATCTTCCCCAGAGTCCCCCTGCAAGCTTAACACTCTCCAATGACCTCTCCTTTTATTTATTTATTTATTTATTTATTTATTTATTATTACTTTTTTTTTGAGACAAGTTCTCGCTCTGTCACCCAGGCTGGAAGCAGTGGTGTGAGCTCGGCTCACTGCAACCGCTGCTTCCCGGACTCAAGGGATCTTCCCACCTCAGCCTCTCGAGTAGCTGGGACTACAGGCGCATGTCACCATGCTCAGCTAATTTTTAAATGTTTTGTAGAGATGAGGTCTCACTATATTGTCCAGGCTGGTCTCGAACTCCTGGACTCAAGCAACCTTCCCATCTCGGCCTCCCAAAGTACTGGGATTATAGGCCTGAGCCACCGTGCCCGGCTTTCTCCTTTTCTTTAGACTAAAACCCAAGCTCCCTCCTATGGCTCATGAGTTTTTCAGCTCATGACCTCTGGCCACCTCCCAACCTCTGTGCTCCCACCTCTGCCTCCATTACCAGATTCCAGCCACAGATTCTTGTTCCTGGAATTAAAGCGAAAACAAAATGAACAAACCTGTTCCCGCCATGGGGCGTTTGCCCTTGTTTGTGCCTAGATTGCTCTTTCCCTAGATCCTTGCTAGGCTCCCTGTCTCTTTGTTCAACTCTCAGCACAAATATCAGAGTGGCCTTCTCTCTCTCACCAATCTCTGTTAATCTCTGTCCCATTCCTCTGCTTTATTTACCTCACAACTTTTACCACTGTCTGAAATTCTCCTGTCTCTGCCTTTATGTATTGTACATCCTTTCCCATTCATGTGCGAGCAGTGGTAGGGATCATTCCTCAATATGTGTGAGAGCTGAGCCTAACTGAATGATATGGGAAACTTGCTCAGCAATGCAAGGAAAGAGAACGGGTGGCTGCGGCTGCCAGTGCGTGCTGGTGAATGCAGCCCATGGGCGGTTGGTGGGTTGGGGAATGATGGTAACCAAATTTCAAGGCCTTTAAACCATCACCGTGCTGTGGTCATCGGGCTTTCTCTTCAGCATCCCTCCTAATTATCTGGCCTTCCCACGTGCCTGAGGTTCCTGATCTGGTGTCCACAATGATCTGAGAACTGATTCAAGGATTCTTGGAGCCCTCAGACCCAGGAAGAAGAGAGTTTTTAGGTTCCAAATGAGGAGAGTAAACTTTTTGTTGTTCAGTTTGATTATCCTTCACAACAAAGAGAAGGTACTAGAAACTTGGATGAGGGAGATGAGACAGTGGAAAGGATTCAAGCACACAGATGAGTCACTTGGATTCTAAGAGTTAAAAAAAAAAAAGTATGAGGAAACACATTTAGAAAATATCCATGAAGTGGACTCATTTGACTTTGCTAACTAAACCAAGTTCAACTGAAGGAAAATTTTTTACTGGTGAGAGGTCCAGGATATTTGGCATGTTGGAACTTAGACCAATTCGAATTTATAAATCCTCTAAAAGTAGGCCGGAAGCGGTGGCTCACTCCTGTAATCCCAGCACTTTGGGAGGTCAAGGCAGGAAGATCCCTTGAGCCCAGGAGTTCAAGACCAGCCTGGGCAACAAGGCGAGACCCTGTCTCTACAAAAATAAAAAATAATTTAAAAAAATAGACAGGCATGGTAGTGTGCACCTGTGGTCACCTCTACATGGGAGACTGAGGTAGGAGGATCCCTTGAGCCAGGGAGGCAGAGGTTGCAGTGAGCTGTGATTGTGCCACTGCAGTCCAGCCTGGGTGACAGAGTGAGACCTAGTCTCAAAAAAAAAAAAAAAATTACCCTAAAGTTTACTTTCTCAATGTAATAACTCCAGCAAAGACCCACAGAGAAAAATGCTTCAGAGCTTCTTGGGAATGTAGATTGACTCGTGTATGGAGAAGTGCTCTGATTTGAACCACCTCCATAAGATGGGTAAATTTTCTTCATATCATCTCCCTAAAATAGGTAATCTAGTTCCCACTTAAGTCAGATCTTATTTTTTATAATTTTAATAACTTTTAAATAATTACCCTTAAAGTTATAGAGTTTTACCTAGAGAATCTGAACTAGTTATTCCCATCCAATTTGTTTCTTTGCTATTGCATTTTTTTTTTTTTTTTTTCTGAGACAGGGTCTCGCTCTGTCACCCAGGCTGGAGTATAGTGGCATGATCTCGACTCACTACAACCTCCACCTCCCGGGTTCAAGTGGTTCTCCTGCCTCAGCCTCCTGAGTAGCTGGGACTACAGGCGCGTGCCACCATGCCCAGCTAATTTTTTGTATTTTTAGTAGAGATGGGGTTTCAGTGTGTTAGCCAGGATGGTCTCAGTCTCCTGACCTCGTGATCCGCCAGTCTTGGCCTCCCAAAGTGCTGGGATTACAAGCGTGAGCCACCGTGCCTGGCTGCATTTTTTTTTTTTTTAATTTAAGATAGAGTCTCGCTCTGTTGCCCAGGCTGGAGTGCAGTGGCATGATCTTGGCTCACTGTAGCCTCCGCCTCCCAGGTTCAAGTGATTCTTCTGCCTCAGCCTCCTGAGTAGCTGGGAGTACAAGTGCACGCCACCATGTCTGGCTAATTTTTTGTTATTTTAGTGGAGATGGGGTTTCACCATATTGCCCAGGCTGGTCTTGAACTCCTGACCTCAAGTGATCTGCCCTCCCTGGCCTCCCAAAGTGCTGGAATTACAGGCGTGAGCCATCGTGCCCAGCTTGCTATCACATTTTGAGCACCTACTGTGTGTAGCATTGTGCCAAGCACTTTGTGTGCGTTACCCCTTAGCCCTTACAGCAGGCCCTGCTACACAGCACCATTTACAGATGAGGAACTGAGGCAGTGAGAAGTCATATCTCTTGTCCTAGGTAACATAATAACTCTAGAAGTTAAGGTAGAAGAGAAAATGATAGAAAAGGCCATAAGCAAAGCTTTCAGATGGAAGAACAATGAAATCTAAGTGGTGGGCATGTAGAAAGAAAAAGCTAAGAACACTGAAAATGAATGGAAGTAGAAAATGGAGGCAGAGGGAGGCCATTTATTCTACAATTGTCTATAAGTGTCAGGAGGAAAATCCTATGTGTCAAAAGACAAAATTGCAACAAATTTAGTTTAAAGTTCTCAATTGCTTTTATTTGAGTTTCTAGAATCGGGCAACACTTCCTTCCATATTATAGGAAAAGGGTTCCAGTCAGCCGAGCAGAAGAGCTTGGCTTTATAAAGTAGAAGGAAAGAACTTAAAGTATATTAATTGTTTCAAAGATACTTTTTTTGTAAGGAATGGGACAACAGGAGACAGAACAACAGAAAAATAACATCAGATTACTTTAAGGATTAAAGCAGGGAGTTTCATTATGCCAATTAAAGATTTGAAACTGGCCCATTTAAGAAATTTGGTGTTATTTCTTCGTCCTGATTACTGAGAAGGTCAGACAACAACTTAGTTTCTGTTTTGTGATGTGGAACTTTAGCCTGGGTGACTCCATTTTGATTTTCAGTCTGGTCTATTGGGCCCTAGTTGCAGAAGTTTAGTCCAAAACAGTGACCTCCTATAATTCTTTTTTTCTTTTTTTAAGAGAAGAGGTCTTGCTGTGTTGTCTAGGCTGGCCTTGACCTCCTAGGCTCAAGCCATCTTCCCATCTCAGCCCCCTGAGTAGCTGGGACTACACGCACGCACCACCGCTCCTAGCTTCCTGTAATTTTTATTGGACAGTTTGTTGGTTTCTTCACCAGGGAGTAACACAATGGTACCACATTTATCTAATCTTGAGATATGTGCTGAAGTAGGAAAAAACTCCAGAGTTTTAAACGGTCTGTGATAAGGCAGAGATTTGGGGCTTTGGGTTTCTGGTTTGTTGCATTCCTGTTTCTTTGTGACTATCAGCTTATCCCAGACTTTTTTTTTTTTTAAGTATGAGATACCATAAGGGAGGATCAGGAAAGGGAAAACAGGATTTTTAAAAAAATTGGAACAGGGAATAAATAGCAGAGAGGAACATCCTTTTTTTTTTTTTTAAACAGAATCTAACCAGGTACCCATTATACGATCTGCATTTGTCTGGACTGTCACTTGAGCTGTTCTCTGAGCTGTCTTCATGTAACTATTAACTCCCTGATCTTTCTGAGGCTGCCTGTGTGAGGTGGCAGCCTTGTTTAGTCGGCAAACAAGCTGTTGCTGAGGACTCTTGACAACATGAGCAGGCATTTCCCAGTTTGAGGAAGTCCCTGTGGCCTGTGTTAGATTCGGCCACCAGCATGCACAGAGCTGAAGCGTGGGTGCAGGCATTGGCTAGATGGGGTTCAGCCCCTTTCCCAGAACTGAAACTGGTCCCAATCCATCTCTTGGCTCAGCACTCCAGGAAGGCTATTTGAGGAAGCAAACCTATAAGGAACTAAGAACAGTCATGTGTTCATGATTGACTCACTCAGGGTTTCCTCTTTAGCACGTGACCCTCAGGCCACCCATTCCTTGGAGTGGGCTGAAAGTTAATGATTCGTTACTGCCAGGGACGCTTTATTTGAGCAACTCCTTTTTTTCTCCTGGCTTGAGTCACAGGTAGCATTCAGCATGGACTTTGGAGCCAGCCTGTCTGAATCTAATCACTCAGCTCCACCAGCTCTGTGACCCTGGGAAAGTTATTTAATGTCATCCTATCTCAGTTTCTTCATCTATAAAATGGGTATCATCATCATCATCATCAGGATTTCTGTGAATATTATATGAGATAACACATGCAAAGTGTTTACAACAGTGCCTGCCACACGGGAATTTAAAGTATCTAGAAAGTGAAACAACCCTCAGTTGCTAACTTCAAAAATAGAAATGAGCTGAGCTTGCACCTGTAATCCCAGCACCCTGAGGGGCTCAGGCAAGAGGATCACTTGAGGCCAGAAGTTTGAGGCTGCAGTGAGCCATCCATGATCATGCCACTGCACTCCAGCCTGGGCGATAGAGTGAGACCCTGTCTCTTTTAAAAAAGAAAAATGACAAATGATTTCTCATTGTGATGTTAGTATGTTACGTTTGTCTGATATTTTACAGTTTCCAAAATGCTTTCATATATGTTATGTAAGTTGATCACAGGGGCTAGGTAGTAGTTAGAAAGTTTCACCTTTGTAAGAAATAGGCTTGGAGGCCAGGCATGGTGGCTGTTGCTATGTTGCTCAGGCTAGGAGTTCAAGACCAGCCTGGGCGACATAGCAAGACCCCATCTCTACAAAAAAATTTTTTTAAAAAATTGATCAGGCATAAATATGATTGTGGGTGACAGGGGGAGACCCTGTCTCCGCCCCCCCCCAAAAAAAAAAAAAAAACAGAAAAGAGAAAGAAAAAAAGAAATAGGCTGAAGAAAGGGCATAATCTGGGAAAGATAAGGGAAAGCATGTAAGGGATCCTTTCTCAAGGAATGCATTCCATTGCCTGGGGCACTGCCCCAGGAGGAGGTGAGGAAAGATGCCTCTTAGCAAGCTATGTGAGCCTGCAGGGAAGGAACACTTCCCCAGTGTCCGATCCAAAGGAGAACCCTGCCTTGGGTGGCGACAGAACCAGATGAGCTATTAACAATGCCCTCCTGGCCACCAGCACTGGCAGGCCCCCATTTCTTCTGGGCTTCCTCTGGATCAGAGAGCACCTCTGAGATCAGACCCTTTCTCTCCCTGCTGGAGCCAGGCCTCAGGAGCTTGGTAATGTGTGAGAACAAGCACAGAGGAAACCATGAAGGAATCTGAGGTTTCTCTTCAAAAGAGAGAAAATTCCAGATGACCAAATATCACTGTACTCTTGGCGGACAGAATGGCTTCATTTGTCCTTTCAGTGCTAAAACCAGGACAGTCCTGGGCAAACTGGCATGGGTTGGTCACTCAGACACACAGTAGCCCTTATCAAAGTGGTCCAACGGGGATTAAGGACAAAACCATTAAGTATTCAAATTTTAAGTATTCAGTTAACTTGGGGAGACTTCTTTATAGGTAGCTATTCCTTGGTAGTTTTTTTTTTTTTTTTGAGATGGAGTTTCGCTCTTGTTGCCCAGGCTGGAGTGCAGTGGCACGATCTCGACTCACCGCAACCGCTGCCTCCCAGGTTCAAGCGACTTTCCTGCCTCAGCCTCCTGAGTAGCTGGGATTAAAGGGGCCCGCCACCACTCCTGGCTAATTTTGTATTTTTAAGTAGAGACCGGGTTTCTCCATGTTGATCAGGCTGGTCTCGAACTCCTGACCTCAGGTGATCCGCCTGAATCAGCCAAAAAGCTGGGATTATAGGTGTGAGCCACCACGCCCAGCTTCCTTGGTATTTCTTTATAGGTAGCTGTATTAATAACATTCCCTTTGTGAATTACAGTGTCTGTTCAGTGTTTCTGTAGGGCCAGTATTCTTCAATGTAGGGTTTCTCAATCTTGGCACAGTTGATATTTTGGATTGTTTTAAGGGGTTTTCCTGTGCATTATAGGATGTTTAGCAGTATGCCTGTGCTTATTAGAAGCCAGTAGCACCCACCACCAAAAATGTCTTCATGCGTTGCCAGATAACTTCTTGGGGACCCAAATGGTTCCCAATTGAAAACTATTGCCTTGAGGGGTCTATGGCAGCTCCCATGTTTTAGGGGAATTGACCCAAACTGATTATCTTCGTAACCTATCTGATGTTCTCTTCATTTTTTGTTCTTTTCCTCCAGTTTTGCCAATTCTGATGCTTTTTCTTTCTTCTTTGATACAGAGTCTCACTCTGTTGCCCAGGCTAGAGTGCAGTTGTGTGATCTTGGCTCAATGCAACCTCTGCCTCCGGGGTTCAAGTGATTCTTCTGCCTCAGCCTCCCGAGTAGCTGAGATTACAGGCATATGCCACCACACCTGGCTAATTTCTGTATTTTTAGTAGAGATGGGATTTCACCACGTTGGCCAGGCTGGTTTTGAACTCCTGATCTCAGGTGATCTGCCCACCTCAGCTTCCCAAAGTGCTGGGATTACAGGCGTGAGCCACCACACCCAGCCCATTTCCAATACTTTGATAGCTTCCTTGACTTTTTCATCTTCCCTGTCATCTATAATCTTGTGATTACCTATGAGATTCTAAAACATACCTACAGAATACAGGTTTGTCTAACGTTCTGAAAAGAGTCATTCTGTTGAATTATTTTTGGAATCTGGAAATTCTTTCTTCTAACTTTTCAGTTTGTCTCAGTCGGGTGTCCCCTGAGGTTCTCTGGAATCAAACAAATAAAAGTCTTTATTTCTTAGAAAAACCAGAATTAAACTCGGTCTTAACTGAAAAGCTTGTTTCTTCTCATGGTACTAGTTTTACCCAGTCTATTTCTGAAATAATGAGATTATATTTTATGTAAAACTTTAGGAGGAGTTTCCTACACTCTGGGAGAATATTTAGATCTCGGAAGTCTAATAACCCACAACAACTGCAGAGAGGCTGCAGAACGGAAGACCATTTGCACAATCTGGATTCTTCCACCTCGTGCAGTCAGCCCTGTTCTTCCTCATTATTTAAGTGAAAAATATTCTAAACACTGCTCTTCGGTTGCTATGAAAGCTTTGTGGCAAAAGGTCATCTGATCCACCATAGCCTTTAACAAATGAAAATTTAAACCAAAGATGTCTAATACAATTTTATAAAGTTTTACAGAAATGGAAATTATGATTATCTTTCTTAGGAAACTGTTCCAATTTTTCATTACCCTCAAAGTCAAAGTTTATTTTTCTTTCTTTCTTTCTCTTTCTTTCTTTCTTTCTTTCTTTCTTTTTCTTTCTTTCTCTCTCTCTCTCTTTCTTTCTTTCTTTCTCTCTCTCTCTCTTTCTTTCTTGCTTTTCTTTTTTTAGACAGAGCCTTGCTCTGTCTCTTCCCCAGGCTGGAGTTTAGTGGCATGATCTAGGCTTACACCAACCTCTGCCTCCCGGGTTCAGGCAATTATCCTGAGTAGCTGGGACTACAGGCACATGCTACCATGCCCAGCTAATTTTTGTATTTTTTGTAGAGATGGGGTTTCACCATGTTGGCCAGGCTGGTCTCGAACTCTTGACCTCAAGTGATCCACCAGCCTCAGCCTCTCAAAGTGCTGGGATTACAGGCATAATCCACTATGCCCAGCCTAGTTACCCTCAAACTCAAAATTTCATCCTTTTCTTAACTACTGAAGACAATTTCTCTTTATAATATTTACTTTATTTGAACAAATTTTAAGCTAATTATAAAATTAACAGTGGCCCTGGAGAAACACAGAACACAAAGGAGATAATTAAAATCACCTGCAGTCCCAGTACCAGGGATAACTGGAATTAATGTCTTTAAAAAATGCATATAAGATGTGCTTACCAAATTCTCTGGTTAGATTTCTCTTCTTCAGTTCTCAACTAGGGATAGAAAACACTTCTACAATTTTTTTTTTTTTTTTTTTTTTGAGATGAAGTCTTGCTCTGTCACCTAGTCTGGAGTATAATGGCGCAATGTCGGCTCATTGCAACCTCTGCCTCCTGGGTTCAAGCAATTCTTCTGTCTCAGCCTCCCAATTAGCTGGGATTACAGGCACCTACCACCACACCCAGCAGCTAATTTTTGTATTTTTAGCAGACAGGGTTTCACCATTTTGGCCAGGCTAGTCTTGAACTCCTGGCCTCAAGTAATCCGCCCGCCTCGGCCTCCCAAAGTGTTGTGATTCCAGGTGTGAGTTACCGCATCCGGCCCACTTCTGCAATTTTGTGGTGAATTTTAATATATTGTACTTTCAAATGAATAAACAAGGAGGCTCACAGGAAAATTGAAGAATGCATAATGTTGAAGACTTTTTCATTATTATTATTTTTTAAAATTTTTATTATTTAAATTTAAAAAATAGAGATAAGGTCTCACTATGTTGACCAGGCTGGTCTTAAGTGATCCTCCCATCTCGGTCTCCCAAAGTGCTGGGATTACAGGCATAAGCCACCACAGCCGGCCCACTTTCATTATTAAGTTGTTGTTTTGTTCAAATAAACTACATGTGGGTACCAACTGTTCTTAGTTTCTAATCTGTCTTTAGGGAATTTTTTAATGCTATGCAAGTAAATACACTTAGAGCTTCTATTCCTCTCCTTTTCCACAAAAAGTAGAATGTTAGGTGCAGCTTGTTTTTCTTCACTTAACAATATATCTTGAAGATTTCTCAATAACAGTACATTGAGAGCTTCCACATTGCCTTTTTTTTTTTGAGATGGAGTCTCGCTCTGTCACCCAGGCTGGAGTGCAGTGGCGCAACCTCCGCCTCCTGGCTTCAAGCAATTCTCCTACCTCAGTCTCCCTAGTGGCAAGGATTACAGGCGGATGCCACGAGGTCCAGCTAATTTTTGTATTTTAGTAGAGAGGGGGTTTCACCAGGTTGGTCAAGGCTGGTTTCGAACCCCTGACCTCAGGTTATCCACCCGCCTCGGCCTCCCAAAGTGCTGGGATTACAGGGTGAGCCACACCTGGTGGGTTTTTTTTTTTTTTTCCAGTAGTTTTTGAGGAACAGGTGGTGTTTAGTTGCATGGATAAATTCTTTTTTTTTTTCTTTTTGAGATGGAGTCTCGCTCTGTTGCCCAGGCTGGAGTACAGTGGTACAATCTCGGCTCAGTGCAACCTCCGCCTCCCGAGTTCAAGCAATTCTCCTGCCTCAGCTTCCTAAGTAGCTGGGATTACAGGCATGGACCACCACGCCTGGCTAATTTTTTTTTGTATTTTTAGTAGAGATGGGGTTTCACCATATTGGCCAGGCTGTTCTCTAACTCCTGACCTCAAGTGACCGCCTGCCTCAGCCTCCCAAAGTACTAGGATTACAGGCGTGAGCCACCGTGTCCAGCCAGATAAGTTCTTTAGTGGTGATTTCTCAGATTTGGGTACACCCATCACCCGAGCAGTGCCCACTGTATCCAAAGTGTAGTCTTTTATCCCGCACCCTCCTCCCACCTGGTTTGTATTTTTTAAAAAAAATTTTATGTAGTTGAATTGTCAATCTTTTATTGTGATTTTTGGATCATGAGTCAGAATAGAAAGGTCTCATTTCAGATTATAAAAGATTCTCCTATGTTTTCTTGTAGAACCTTTGTGGTTTAATTTTTCACATTTCAATATTTGATTTACTCAGGACTTATCCTGGTATGAGTTACAAGGTATAGATACAACTTATTTTTTTCTAGATGAATATCTAGTTGTCCCAACACCACTTATTCAGTAGTTCCTGTCTCTACTGGTATGATACACCTCTTTTATCATTTACTAAATTCCCATATATACTTGAACATATATCTGGATTTTCTATCCCATTCCATTGTTTTGACTACTTATGTGTCAGTATTTTCTTTTCTTTTCTTTTCTTTTTCTTTTGAGATGGAGTCTCACTCTCTCACTCAGGCTGGAGTGCAGTGATGCAATCTCGGCTCACTGCAACCTCTGCCTCCCAGGTTCAAATGATTCTCCTGCCTCAACCTCCCAAGTAGTTGGGATTACAGGCATGTACCACCACGCCCTGTTAATTGTTGTATTTTTAGTAGAGACGGGATTTCACCTTGTTGGCCAGGCTGGTCTGGAACTCCTGACCTCAGGTGATCCACCTGCCTTTGCCTCCCAAAGTGCTGGGAATACAGGCGTGAGCCACCGCGCCCAGCCGTCAGTATTTTATTTTCGTATGTAGGTGTCTGTGTTGTATCATTCCACTGTTTCCTCTGTTAGTTTGGAAGTCTGTCTTTTAAAAAATATAACTTTAGCATTTACCCACTTTCTGACTCATATGCTAGTCATGTATTTTAATTCTCTTTATATACATATTTGAAATTTATTAGATATTTCTTTGTTCTTATTAAAACCCCTTAAAACATTATCATGATTATTTTATGCAGTATTTATTTAAATTTATCATTTTTATTGCTCTTCATTCTATGCTGTGTTCTCCAACTTTCCATCTTGGTCCATTTTCCTTCTGCTTCAGGAACGCCCTTTAGATCAGGGGTTCCAGGCAGGAGTTGAACAGCACAGCAGGAGATGAGCAGCGGGTGAGCCAGCACAGCTTCATCTGTATTTACAGTCGTTCCCCATCGCTTACATTACTGCCTGAGTTCTGATTCCTCGCAGATCAGTGGCAGCATTAGATTCTCATAGGCGCGTAAAGCCTATTATGAACTGCACATAAAGGGGTCTAGGTTGCAGGCTTCATATGAGAATCTAATGCCTGATGATCTGTCACTGTCTCCCATCACCCCCAGATGGGACCATCTAGTTGCAAGAAAACAAGCTCAGGGCTCCCACTGATTCTACATTGTGGTGAGTTGTATAATTATTTCATTATGTACTGCAATGTAATAATAGAAATAAAGTGCACAATAAATGTAATGTGCTTGAATCATCCCCAAACCATCACTTCTCCCTTCACCATTCTCACCCCTATCCACCATGGAAAAATTGTCTTCCATGAAACCGGTCCCTGGTGCCAAAAAGGTTGGGGACCGCTGCTTTAGAATATCCTTTAGTGGCAGTCTATTTGTGACAGACTCTCTCACTCATTAGTTTATGTTTATTTTCAAAAAATATTTTTGGCCGGACATAGTGGCTCATGCCTGTAATCCCAGCACTTTGGGAGGCCAAGGCGGGTGGATCACTTGAGGACAGGAGTTCGAGACCAGCCTGGCCAACATGGTGAAACCCTATCTCTACTAAAAATACAAAAATTAGCCAGGCGTGGTCACAGCCAATCTGTAATCCCAGCTACTTGGGAGGCTGAGGCAGGAGAATTGCTTGAAACCGGGAGGCAGAGGTTGCAGTGAGCCGAGATTGCGGCACTGCACTCCAACCTGGGCGACAGAGCGAGACTCCATCTCAAAAAAAAAAATGAGAATAGAGCCGGGCGTGGTGACTCACGCCTGTAATCCCAGCACTTTGGGAGGCCAAGGCGGGCGGATCACCAGGTCAGGAGATAGAGACCGTCCTGGCTAACACGGTAAAACCCCATCTTTACTAAAAATACAAAAAATTAGCCGGGTGTGGTGGTGGGCGCCTGTAGTCCCAGCTACTCGGGAGGCTGAGGCAGGAGAATGGTGTGAACCCGGGAGGCGGAGATTGCAGTGAACTGAGATCGCACCACTGCACTCCAGCCTGGGCGACAGAGCCAGACTCCGTCTCAAAAAAAAAAAAAAAATGAGAATAGAATTCTAAGTTCATGGTTTGTTTCCCGGCACACTGATGCTCTCGTTCTACTCTTTTGGCTTCCGTTGTTGGTGCTTAAGAAGGCAGTTGTCGGCCTGCTAGCCCTTTGAAGAAAACTCCATTTTGTATAATAAGCGTAGTTGTTTATAGGCTGTCTAATAATTTCACTCTATGGTATTCTCTGTGAGTTTAATTTTGTTTCCTGTATTTCTTCTGGCTCTCACTCATGTTGTATTCATGCACCTGGTTATCTTTGACTGTATGCTGGATCATGTATTTGAAACTGTTTTTGTAGAAATAATTTGACTTCTATGATTAATGTCCCTCCCAGACCACATATACTATCTATCTATCTGTCTGTCTGTCTGTCTGTCTGTCTGTCTGTCTATCTATCTATCTATCTATCTATCTATCTATCTTTTGAGACAGAGTCTCACTATTGTCGCCCAGGCTGGAGTGCAATGGCGCAATCTCGGCTCACTGTAACCTCCGCCTCCCGGTTTCAAGCAATTCTCCTGCCTCAGCCTCCCGAGTAGCTGGGACTACAGGCACCCATCAGCACGCCCAGTTAATTTTTGTATTTTTAGTAGAGACGGGGTTTCACCATGTTAGTTAGGCTGGTCTCGAACTCCTGACCTCAGGTGATCCACCCGCCTCGGCCTCCCAACACTATACTATCTATTAAGACCTTCTACTGTGTTTTAATATCTGGTAGTGCTAGTGGCCCGTCAGTCAGAATATTCCTGGTTAGGAAAATTCTTTAGGATCAACTTGTCTAGTTCAAATGCCTTGTTTAGTTCCTCTCCCACTTAAAATATGCCTTCCTATTTTTTTGTTCGTTTGCTTTTGTTTTTGGAGGGCAACATGTTAAATTCATGTCAATTCGGAAAAAAATTGACATCTTAAGATGCTGAGTCTTCCTATCCAAGAATATGATAGAGACCACCCTTTTTTTTTTTTTTTTTTTTTTTTTTTGAGACAGGGTTTTACCATGTTACCTAGGCTGCAGGGCTGTGACGTGATCATGGCTCACTGCAGCCTCCATCTCTCGGGCTCAAGCAATCCCTTTACCTCAGCCTTCTGAGTAGCTGGGACCAGAGGCACTGCGCCGCCATGCCCAGCTAATTTTTGTGTTTTTTTTGTAGAGAATGGGTTTCGCCATGTTGCCCAGGCTGGTCTCGAACTTCTGAGCTCAATTGATCGTCCTGCCTTCGCCTCCCAAAGTGCTGGGATTACAGGTGGCATGTGAGCCACCATGCCTGGCCTGGGACAACACTTTTTTTTTGTTTTTGAGACAGAGTCTCGCTCGGTCACCCAGGCTGGAGTGCAGTGGCCTGATGTTAGCTCATGGCAACCTCCGCCTCCCGGGTTCAGTCAACTCTCAAGACAACATTTCTTAAAAAAAAGAATATTGTTGGGATTCTTAGGTGTACATTTTATTCAGTTTGGGACTTTAGAACATTCTCTGAGATCATAACAGAGGTCAGTGTGAAGCTGTAGTTTAACATGTAAATACTCATTTTAGATCTCTCTACAGGAATATAAAGCATAACTTTATCAATGATATTGTGATATTAGATTTGTGGCCTCTGGAAAACAGAAGCATTGGGTTTCATTTTTGTGCCTCTCTTGTTTTGCCTCATCCTGAATCATGTTGGGAACAAAATACCTTAACCTTGGTCTTGATTCTGTCAGGCTAGCCCTACATTTCTTTGGTTTTTGTGGACACTGGATTATAAATCTTTCTTCAAATGTGTATGTTGTGCTATAAACCATTATATGGGCCACCCAAAAACCATGCTTTCAATGCCTTTACAAGATCTTGGGATCAGAGACAACAGTTACTGCATGACTATTCTCTGTGCGCACTGCGTGTTACTGAATTGGTGTCTTACTAAACTGGCTTGAAGTCATGGCTGGGCTTTATGATGCTGGGCTAGATACTTAACTTTTCAAAGATACAGTTTTGTCCTCTGGAAAATGGTCATAATTATAGAATCTTTTCCACAGTATTGTGAACATTAAATGAGAGAACTTATATATAGTATGTGCAGTAATAGGCACATAATAAATGCTCGATAAATGTTAGTTGTAATGTAACAAAATCGCATTTTACAGGTAACCTCTCTGAGCTTCAGCCACTTACGTAACTTTCCTAAAATTCCGAAGTTGTTAGAAAGTGACACTGCCCGAGTTCAATGTCTCTGACTCCACTGCTCTTTTCTTGGTGTCACCGATTCATAATAATTAGATTTGGGCTCAAATCTTAATTATGTTACAATCTAACTGTGTGAACATGGATCACTATTACTTATATTCTCTGAGCCTTAGTTTCTCAGTCAATGCTAGTCTCCCTAAGTCCCTTCCCCAGCTCACACCATCTTCAGAGCAAGCCCAGGGCACAGGAACAAGGATAGAGAAAAAAAAGAGAGGATAAATGATGAAGACACAGAATGGGCCGGGCCCAGTGGCTCCTGCTTGTAATCTCAGCACTTTGGGAGGACGAGGTGGGAGGACTCATGGGAGGATAAAGAGTGGCTAAGGCATACACTCCTTATGAGGTAGCTACTGCTCTTAGCGCTTTACCCGTGTTAATTTCATTTATCATTATCCACCAGAACATAGGTAATGTGTTATGATTATCCCCTTTGTACAAATGAAGAAACTGAGCTACAGAGAGGTGAAATGGTTTGCATACACTAGTAAGTGACAGAGCTAGGATTCAAACTAAGATATCTAACTCTTTTTGTTTTGTTTTTGAGATGGAGTCTCGCTCTGTCGCCCAGCGTGGAGTGTAGTGGCGCTATCTCAGCTCACTGCAACCTCTGCCTCCCAGATTCAAGCGATTCCTCTGTCTCAGCCTCCTGAGTAGCTGGGATTACAGGCACGCGCCACCATACCCGGCTAATTTTTGTATTTTTAGTAGAGACGGAGTTTCACCACGTTGGTCAGGCTGGTCTCAAACTCCTGACCTCGTGATCCACCCACCTCAGCCTCCCAAAGTGCTGGGATTACAGGCATGAGCCACTGTGCCCAGCAGACATCTAACTCTTAACGATGTTGGCCTCAGAGGTGACTCCACAGTTCATCCCCAGCATGATACAGGGCTTTTGGTCAGTGACTTATTGTGAGAATGAGCACCCAGCTAACCTGAAGGTCAAGTCTGGGCGGTGATCCCTACCACTGACCTACTTATTCCTGAAGCAGTTCTCCTCAATAATGTGTAGCCACTTCCACCAAGTTGCTCTTTTGCTTTGTTCTTTTCTCTTGGCTCTCCCTCATTCCTCCTATTCTGTTTATTCTGTCCATCTTTTTCCTTTTTTTTTTGTTGTTGTTGAGACAGGGTCTTGCTCTGTTACCCAGGCTGGAGTGCAGTGGCACAGTCACAGTTCACTGCAGCCTTAACCTCCTGGGCTCAAGTGATCCTCCTGCCTCAGCCTCCCAAGTAGTTGAGACTTCAGGCGTGTGCCACCGCGCCGGGCTAGTTTTTTATTTTTTGTAGAGACAGGGTCTCCCTATGTTACCCAGGCTGGTCTTTCGTGGGGTCAAGCAAGCCTCCCACCTCGTTCTCCCAAAGTGCTGAAATTACAGGCATGAGCTGCTGGGTCCAGTCCATTTTGTTTCTTTATCATTTATCCTCTCTTTTTTCTCTATCTTTGTTCCTGTGCCCTGGGCTTGCTCTGAAGATGGTGTGAGCTGGGGAAGGGACTTAGGGAGACTAGCATTGACTGAGAAACTAAGGCTCAGAGAATATAAGTAGTAGTTATCCATGGTCACACAGATGGATTGTCACGGAATAAGATTTGAGCCCAAATCTTAATTCCAAAGCTTGCACTTTTCACCAGGGCTAATTGTACACATACAGCCAAACTAGTTGTTAAAATGTGGAAGTCCCTCTGTGCCTCTTAGTGGAGAGCTGCTGCTTGAAGCCTCCTATGTGTCCACCACCACCGGCCAGGCCTCCCTTGCCCCTTCCCCAGGAACCCAAGGACCTGCTCATGAGCCAGCAACTAAAGGGTTAATATCCAGCCCAGCAGAGGCATCAAGGACCCAGCTCCAGCACCAAGGTTGGCTAGCAGATGCATGTTGGTGCCCTTGAGGCTCCCCTGCTCTTAACCACACTGCTGTGTAGTATCAAGTGTCATGCTGAGTACTGCTTAACATCACTGGGGGAGTTCAGAATGAATGAGAAAATAACTTCACAGCTCATTAATGAAAATGCCATTTGGGATCAAATCAGAAACACTGTGGAAGCTTAGTTGAATTCATTGCCTCCCTTGATAAAGTACAGAATGAAGAAGGTTGCATCTGCAGACAAGGAGAAATTCTCTTTGTGTTCTCACCAAGGCTGAGGTGACTGGATAGAGTGTTTCCTTAGGCCCTGCTCAGTCCCCACGTTCACTTCCGGACCTATTCAAGACACACACAAGAGAGCCCTCCTTCTAGGCCTTCAGCCTCTGGGGCCCTTGCTCAGAAGCTCCGCCACTCCTGCTTCTGCCCCTTCCTCCCACTGAGGATCCTCGGGCCTCAGAGGACCACAAGACTGGTGTTTACTTTTAGAATGGTTTCTATTAACTTGAGCAAAAAAATAAATTTTCGGTAGGGCCTGAGGTCTTGAATATCATTTCTAATATCCTCTCTTTGAAAAAGGCTTTCTGTGTCTCAAAAAGTAACTCATAAATAAACTTTTCTTAAAGCTAGACAGTGATTTTTTTGTATTCTAAAAGGACTAAATGAGTATGTTTTACTCTTCTCCAAATTCTATTGATTCCTTCCTATTGCTTCATGTTTGATGATAAACCAACAGATGTGTTGCCTGTGCTGTTTATTTCTCCTGCTTTAAAGCCATACTTCTCCTAATCTTTGGAGATTCCCCATGTATTCCTTAGGATAGGCTAGGTGGCTGTAACATAAAGACCTCCAAATGTCACTGGCTTACCCAGTAGAAATTTATTTTTTACTTAAGTAGCTTTCCTGGGTGTGCAGCTTTCCTGGGTATGTGTGTGTGCAGGTTCGGGGGTAGCTCACCTTCATAAACTCATTTGGAGATCCAGACTGGCAGCTGCTTTGCCATTTTTATCATATGATGGCCAAGGTTGCCTGGGCATTGCCATCCCAGTCAGCCAGAAGAGGAAAGAGCCCAGAGGAGAACGTGTGGTAGATTTTTATGGGCAGGACCACGTCACATCATGATGACACACACCACTTCCTCTGCATCCACTGGCCAGAGCATAGTCAGTGGTCACACCTCACTGCAATATGGGAAGCTAGACTGTGGTCTATGCTTCCATGGAAGGTGGTGACCTCTACACCTTGTATTTTTCATAATTAAAAAAATTGTTTTTTACATTATATGAATAGAGATAGTGTCTTGCTATGTTGCCCAGGCTGGTCTTGAACTCCTGGGCTCAAGCAATTCTGCCTTGGCCTCCCAAAGTGCCGGGATTACAAGGTGTGAGCCAGCACACCTGGGCTATTTTTCATAGCTTTCTTTTTTACATTTTTGCTTAGCTTTTTAGAGACTATCATAAAATATATTTTTCATAACTTTCAAATACATTGGGCAATTGCCATTGTAAATGTGCCTTCCTGAAGGGTGTACCTAGGGCCCTACCACTGCAGTTTTGTGCTCTTTTGTCTTAATTTCAAGAAGTAGCTTTGGTAACACAGCCACACGGAAAGGGGTGTTGATTACCCCTCTGGGTGAGGTAAGCAAGCTTAGCACATGGGGAAGTAAACCCAGGCTCTGCTTAGTGGACACCACCCTCTGTGAGTATTAACCATGTGTGCAGTGGGAAAGGCCTTCCTTTGGGGCCCCCAACTGACCACTGTGTGACCTTGGGAAAGTCACCTTTCTCTCTGAATCTCAGGTTTCTTATCTAGATCAACTAGCTGATATCTAAGGTATTTTGCGGTTTTAAGAGGGCACAATTCTAAGAATGCGGGCCATGGGTCATCCTGCAGTATAATACAAGCACAGAGTTTGATTTTACCGCTTCTACAGCCATTTAATCATTTTTTTAAAGATGGGGAAAAGGAAAGAAAAGAAAGCATGATGGCATTAAAGTGTTCATTGTTTCAGTGCTATTTAGGAAGCAAAACAGATTTCTGTGGAGCTAGCCTAATTGAATGGTCAACAACCCTGAAGTAATCAACCATGCTAAAATATACTCTTTTTAAAAAAGGTATTTTATTTATTTATTTATTTATTTTGAGATGGAGTCTTGCTCTGTCGCCCAGACTGGAGTGCAGTGGCGCCATCTCGGCTCACTGCAACCTCTGCCTCCCAGATTCAAGTGATTCTCCTGCCTCAGCCTCCTGAGTAGCTGGGATTGCTAAAATATACTTTTAATTTTTAGCAAGGGCTAACAAATGCCAGTTTAATACAACACATGGGTCCCGTCATTTTGGATATTTTTAGTAGCCTGTTTACCCTGCTTTGTCATTGTACTTGACCCTTTTGGGGGTACAGCTTTTTGGAGCATAATGCTCACCTAATGACTCATCCCCTCGAGGGAATTCTTTATTGTTGCTGTCGCTTCTAAAAAATGATGCAGCTCCTGAGCAGCTATATATTATCAATGAAACAAGTTTTTGCTTCTAGGGAATAGTAGTCAGAAACAGAAAGGAAATATTTCGGCTGGGCACGGTGGCTCACGCCTGTAATCCTAATGCTTTGGGAGGCCGAGGTGGGCAGGTCACTTGAGGTCAGGAGCTAGAGAACAGCCTGGCTAACATGGTGAAACCTCGTCTCTACTAAAAATACAAAAATTAGCCGGGCGTGGTGGCGCGCACCTGTAATCCCAATTATTTGGGAGACTGAGTCAGGATAATTGCTTGAACCCCGGAGGCAGAGGTTGCAGTGAGCCGAGGTCGCACCAGTGCACTCTAGCCTGGGTGACACAAGAGTGAGACTGTCTCAAAAAAAAAAAAAAAAAAAAATAGGGAGAAGTGGGAGGAGAAGGGGTCTAAAATGTAATGACACCCGCCTCCTTAGTCTGATGCAACCTCAGTGTATTTCACAGTAGAATGATCTTGTCTTTGGGACCGGAAGCCTTCTGAAGTCCCTCTCCTGGTCTGTGCTTCAGTGGGCATGATCAACTTTCACCTGTCCTCTTTTTTCCAGGCTTCCAAAAGAGGACCACTCCTTCTGAGAGACACATTTTTCTTTGATCGTGTTAATCCTACAGCCTGATTACCCACCCCTCCTGCTAGTCTTAGAGTCCAGCAGACCAGGTGGTCTCTTTCTGTTAACTTTGCATATCTTTAAATCTAGTGGATTTTGCAGATTATCACTTGGGGGTATGTTTCCTGGATTGTAACCATGGGGTACTGATTGTAAAACATGCAATTGATTTAATAATAGCTTTTTAAAATGAGTAAGTAGTCACATGGGCTATTTGAGAAACAGGTTTCAAGTCATTGAGTCATTGAGGGGACCTTGCATTGTGGACCTCTAATGAATGTTAACTGACTGGCTGAATGAATAAATGAATGAGAGAAGGACAGAGATTTCTGATCTAGTAAAAGGATATCTTACATTAAGACAACGGAGGCCAGGCGAGGTGGCTCACACCTGTAATCCCAGCACTTAGGGAGGCCCAGATGGGTGGATTGCTTGAGCGCAGGAGTTCGAGACCAGCTTGCGCAACATAACGAAACCCCATCTCTGCAAAAAATACAAAAATTAGCTGGGCATGGTGGTGCAAGCCTGTAATTCCAGCTACTCAGGAGGCTGAGGTGGGAGGATCACCTGAGCCCAGGAGGTGGAGGTTGCAGTGAGCTGAGATTGCACCACCGTACTCAAGCCTGGGTGACAGAGCAAGACCCTGTCTCAAAAAAAAAAAAGAAAAAAAAAAGAAAAGAAGAAGCAAAAAAGAAGTTGGGCACAGTGGCTTATGCCTGTAATCCCAGCACTTTGGTAGGGCAAGGCAGGTGGATCACCTGAGGTCAGGAGTTCGAGACCAGCCTGGTCAACATCCCATCTCTACTGAAAATACAAAAATTAGCTAGGCGTAATGGTGCATGCCTGTAATCCGAGCTACTTATGATGCTGAGGCCGGAGAATCGCTTGAACCCAGGAAGCGGTGGTCGCAGTGAGCCGAGATTGCACCATTGCACTCCAGTCTGGGCAACAAAAGTGAAACTCCGTCTCAAAAAAAAAAAAAAAAAAAAAGACAATGGAAAAATAGTCCCAGAAAGGCTAAGATTTAAGTCCCATCCTGCCTCTTGGGCACTTTATAATAAGATAATCTCTCTGGACCTCAGTCTTCTTTACTGAAAGTGGGTTTAACAGTTCCTTACCAGGCTTGATTGTTGGGAGGTAAAAAACCAGACACATAGTCTCCTTTAATGCAGTTCCTGACACGTAGGCAGTGCTAAGAATGTGGGAAATAGTGAGAGAAAAGGGAATAGCAGCAACTTTTTTTTTTTTTTTTCCGAGAAGGAGTCTTACTTTTTGCCCAGGCTGAAGTGCAGTGGCGCGTTCTCGGCTCACTGCAACCTCCACTTCTGTGTGCAAGTGATTCTCCTGCCTCAGCCTCCTGAGTAGCTGGGATTACAGGCGCCTGCCACCATGCCTGGGTAATTTTTTGTATTTTTAGTAGAAACGGGGTTTCACCATTTTGGCCAGGCTGGTCTTGAACTCCTGACCTCGTAATCCACCTGCCTTGGCCTCCCAAAGTGCTGGGATTACAGGCATGAGCCACCACGCCCAGCCTAGCAGCAACTTTTTAGTTATGGTGGTCAGCAGTCAAAGAGGGCATAGATGGCTGCATCATACAAAATAGATGAAAACTTCGAATGTATGACTAGGCAGGAGAGGGTCGGGGAGGTCACCTCCTGGCTTCCCCTGGACTGGCAAGTGACCAAAGGCTGGCACTGCCGGGAGCAGGGAGAGCCGAGGTGTCCTCATTCAATCCAAGGAATTGGTTGTATTGTGAGCTCTGGTTAGATTTTTTTTTTAAATGCACCTGGCAAGGTTGCTTTGAACTCTTGATCATCCAAGAGTGGTAAGAAAGTGCTGGGCCATGCACATGCTCATTCCTCAAACACCTGTGCCTTGGCAAAGTGGAGATAACCAAAAGTCTGAACTTCCATACTCTTGTGTTTTAAAATCAGAACCTTAGGCAGCACAGAAAGCATTTTAAGAGTTTTCTGCACTTTTCATGGAGTGGAGTTAGATTTTGCAGGTGATACCAGTGAAACCTTTAACTGTCAGTGACCCTGGCCATGTTAGGAAATTCCTGACAACTGTCAGACCTCTGTGGGTCAAAACTCAGCTTGGCTGCGTTTTGACAACACTGTTTTGCTGACCAGGCTGGTGTTTAACTATTGTGCCAGGGTCAGGATGGAAAAATAAGAGAGTAATATCAAGAAAGTGAGCGCGTGGTTATGGGTGAGTGATTCTCAGACCTACTTGCTAATCTCTCTAACAGCTATCTGGCTAGTGCAAGTAATTTGGCCAAAATTTTAAAAAAGGTAAACACTAGAAATGGCTTGTAATGTACAGATTTGAAGGAACAGTGACTTATCTATTTCATTTGCAGTTTGTTGTGCTTGAGAGTCAAGGCTGGGGCATATTATGTGCTGCCAACAGGAATCAGAAGTTGAGAAATCAGGAACAAGTGTTCTTTCTACCCTCTAATAAAGGGCCTGACTTCGCAAAAACAACAATAATCCTATTTTTGCACCACCAAGAGTCTTCCCGATTTGGGTGGGACCTTAGAGGATGGTGGAGGGGATATTTCATGAAACTCAAAAAATATTTGCTGAATCAAGATTTTCTCTACCCTGGTGTTGGTCACCCACAGGAACAAAGATAGAATCTTTTATATTTAAACAACACCTCAGTTTTTCTTCCTTAACAGTCTTATTTTTAAAAAATTTAGATAAGATCTCCAATGTTTGCTTCAGGCTTTCTCACTTGACATTATCTTGGACTTTGGGGCTTGAGGGAGAAAATGCAGCTTCTCTGTATAGTTTCTGAAATGATGCTTGCATACCCATGTCACTTGATTCGTTATTGTAGAAATAACACCCACATTATGGGCTAGCCATATCGTATTCTGTGTTTGTCACCTGTAATTGTTTGAGAAACACAGCCTGATTTCATGTTAGACTCACTTGAAAAATATTTATTAGGCTCTCTCCTTCTATTTGCCAGAAATAGAGGCAAAGGCTGCTTTTCCATATAATCCAAACTAGCTTATATTCTGTCTTGGTGAAGTAGCCTCTAAAGAAAAAACCATTACTGAGGGGCAAATGCTATCTATGTCATGGTAATATACCTTGTAATAGGGATAAATACCTTGTAATAGGGATAAAATAAAGGCTGGATCTGCCCTATTCACCACAATCACTAGCACAGTGCTTGGAACATAGGAGGGGCTTAGTACACATTTCTTTTTTGAGACGGAGTCTCACTCTGTCACCCAGGCTGGAGTGCAGTGGCGAAATCTTGGCTCACTTCTACCTCCGCCTCCTGGGTTCAAGTGATTCTTCTACCTCAGTCTCCCAAGTAACTGGGATTACAGGCGCCTGCCACCACGCCCGGCTAATTTTTTTTTTTTTTTTTTAGACAGAGTTTGACTCTGTCGACCAGGCTGGAGTGCTGTGGCACGATCTCGGCCCACTACAACCTCTGCCTCCCGAGTTCAAGCAATTCTCCTGCCTCAGCCTCCCAATTAGCTGGAACTACAGGTGTCCACCACCACACCTGGCTAATTTTTGTATTTTTAGTAGAGATGGGGTTTCACCATGTTGGCCAGGCTAGTCTTGAACTCCTGACCTCAGGTTATTTGCCAACCTCAGCCTCCCAAAGTGCTGGGATTACAAGCATGAGCCACCATGTCTGGCCCATTTTTTTTTTTTTTTTTTTGTAGTTTTAATAGAGACAGGGTTTCACCATGTTGGCCAGGCTGGTCTTGAACTCCTGACCTTAAGTGATCCACCTGCCTCGGCCTCCTGAAGTGCTGGGATTACAGGCGTGAGCCACCATGCCCAGCCTCAGTACATATTTTTTAGACATTTACTCATTCAATAAATGATTGAGTAAATGAATGTCTAAATGTTAAAAGTCACAGAATTCGATATAGTTTAAGTTAAAGCAAATGACAGACCAAAAGTTCACAGGGAGAAAAAATGATTTCTGAGCCTGTGTTAATGAGATATCTGTAATTTAAGAGGAGAAATCCCAAATTTCAAATATCAACTTATACAAACTGTGAGTCACTTATTTCTCTGAGCTTCAGTTTTCTCCATCTGCAAAAAATGAGAATAATAATATCTGTTTTGAGCACAAAATGAAGCAACAGTGTAAAAAGATTAGGTGCAAAACTCCACTATGGGAGCTTTGAGGAATTCAGGACGATGTAATTTACACTGAGATGTGCTTATAATCTGCTTGGGAAGACAAGATCTAACCAGAGTACACATTAAAAAAGAATAAGAAAATTAAGCAACAATCCACAACTATAAAGATAACAGGTCACTGAGCAACATATGATAAATTGCCAAATAGGATTGCCTAGGCAATAACAATTTCACAACTCAGAGGTGGGAGAAGGCCTTGTGTTTGTCTGCTGAGGAACCTCTGATTTTTTATTGTAAAATTCTATACTCATGCATTCATTCATTCAACAATTTTTTTTTTTAAGGTGGGGTTTCGCTCTTGTTGCCCAGGCTGGAGTGCAATGGTGCGACCTTGGCTCACTGCAACCTCCGCCTCCTGGGTTCAAGCGATTCTCCTGCTTCAGCATCCCAAGTAGCTGGGATTTCTGGCACCCACCACCATGCCCAGCTAATTTTTGGATTTTTGGTAGAGACGGAGTTTCACCATGTTGGCCAGGCTGGTCTTGAACTCCTGACCTCAGTTGATCCGCCCACCTCAGACTCCCAAAGCGCTGGGATTACAGGCATGAGCCACTGCGCCCAGCCAACTCAACAAATATTTATGGAGCTACTAGGATGTGGCAGGTGCTATGCTTCATGCTGGGAACACAGATGAGCATATAGATATAGTACTGTCCTCAAGGAAATTACAGTCTAGTAGGAACAGCCAGTCAGTGAACAAAGAAAGCCAGGAGTATTTAATTAGAACCCACGATGACTGCTCAAAGGGAAAGTGTACACCAAGATGTGGGTGAGAATTAAAGGGTGGGACAGTCTACTTTGGGCATTGGGGAAGGCTTCCCTGAGGAATTGACATTTGAACTGAGATCTGAAGAATGGAGGTAACCCCAAGGACTTAGCCAAGTAAGCACACTGTGGGCCCAAATGATCAGCATCTTTTACTTCCACCAATAATGAATTTAGGGGACAGAAAAGTTGAAGCATAAATTATAATTGCTCTGCATTCTGGACATTAGGGAAATATCAATTTTTAATGAGCGTACACTTTCATATGTGCACAACTCCCCCCAACGTGCCCCCCAACACACATTCTCAGGCTCACAACCCACCTGCAGCTCTTCATCCCACCTCATCATGTAAATGTATATATATATATTTTTTTGAGACAAGGTTTCTCTCTGTTGCCCAGGCTGGAGTGCCGTGGCGCAAACTCAGCTCACTGCAACCTTTGCATCCTGGGCTCAGGTGATTCACCCACCTCAGTCTCCCAAGTAGCTGGGATTACAGGCGTGCACCACCATACTCGGTGAATTTTTTTATTTTTTATAGAGACAAGATTTCGCCATATTGCCCAGGCTGGTCTGGAACTCCTGAGCTCAAGTGATCCTCCCGCCTCAGTCTCCCAAAGTGCTAGTATTATAGGCATGAGCCACTGTGTCTGGCCCTCATAGTATAATCTTAAAAAGAATGTATTAGTTTGGTGCAAAAGTAATTGCGGTTTTTGCCATTAAAAGTAATAGCAAAAACTGCAATTACTTTATTTTTGAGACAGAGTCTCACTTTGTCACCCAATCTGGAGTGCAGTGGTGTGATCGTGATCCTCCTACCTTGGCCTCCCAAAGTGCTGGGATTACAGGCATGACCTACTGCACCTTAATCTTCATTAAGTAATGAAGATTACTTAACCTCATAGTGTAATCTTAAAAAGAATGTATTAGGCTGGGTGCAGTGGCTCAGCCTGTAATCCCAGCACTTTGGGAGGCTGAGGCGGGCAGATCACCTGAGGTCAGGAGATGGAGAACAGTCTGGCCAACATGGTGAAACCCCGTCTCTACTAAAAATACAAAAATAAGCCAGACGCGGTGGTGCATGCCTGTAATCCCAGCTACTCAGGAGGCTGAGGCGTGAGAACTGCTTGAACCCAGGAGGCAGAGGTTGCAGTGAGCCAAGATCACGCCACCGCACTCCAGCCTGCGCGACAGAGCCAGACTCTGTCTCAAAAAAAAAAAAAAAAGAAGATCTTTTCAGGTCTTTAGCAGGTTGGCTTCAGTGTTTCCCAGAGGCTCCTGGGGAAGATGTTCAAGGAGGCAAAAGTTTTGATCTCCAAGCCTCTGGATGCCATTTTCCCGAAAGTGGCCATGACTTCTGGGAAGTCAGCTGTTCTGTGCCCTAACTCACCTGGTGTCATCGCTGGTCCAAATTGCCTTCACAGGTGACAGCACAAGGCCACCTTGGCTGTTCATCTTTCCGAATTCTATTTCTGGGACCCACATCAGAAAAACAGTTGAGGAATCACTGACTTTCAGATCACATTCCCATCATTCATGAGAGAGGCAGGATGATGTGGCGGCCGCAGGCATGGCCTGCAGAATTAGGCTGCCTGATTGCAGTCCTAGCGTTGCCAGTTACTAGGTGTGTGATGTGGGCAAGTTACTTCTCTGCATTAATATAAGTGAGAAATCCTTGTCGAAACCCATTGGGTCAGATGTGTTTTAGAAGCCAGAACATTTCAGATTTTAGAAAGATAATATGTTGCACGTACCCTGTGTTGCTTAATACCACTCATCTCAGGCAGTATTCCTTGATCACACCCATCACTATTTCTTCAGCAGAGCGAATGGACACTCAGACATGCTGCAAGAAACGAAGGCTGTAGAGAGTCTCATTAGAAACTAGAAAGTCAGGGGCTGGGTGCGGTGACTCACACCTGTAATCCCAGCACTTTTGGAGGCTGAGATGGACGGATTACTTGAGGACAGGAGTTTGAGACCAGCTGGGCAACATGGCAAAATCCCGTCTCTATTAAAAATACAAAAATTAAGCCGGGTGTGGTGGCTCACGCCTGTAATCCCTTTGGGAGTCTGAGGCGGGTGGATTGCCTGAGGTCAGGAGTTCGAGGCCAGCCTGGCCAACATAGTGAAACCCCATCTCTAGTAAAAATACAAAAAATTAACTGGGCATGGTGGCGGGCGCTTGTAATCCCAGCTACTGGGAAGGCTGAGGCAGGAGAACCGCTTGAACCTGGGAGGCGGAGGTTGCAGTGAGCCGAGATCGCGCCATTGCACTGCAGCCTGGGCAACAAGAGGGAAACTACGTCTCAAAAACAAAACAAAAAACCAAAAATTAGCTGAGTGTTGTGGTGCGTGCCTGCAGTCCCAGCTACTCAGGAAGCTGAGGCAGGAGAATCACTTGAACCCTGGAGGTGGAGGTTGCAGCAAGCCGAGATCACGCCACTGCCCTTAAGCCTGGGAGATTCGTTAAAAAAAAAAGGAAGAAAGGGAGGGAGGGAGGGAAAGAAAGGAGAGAGAGATGGGGGGAAGGGAGGAAGGAACTAGAGCGTCGGATTTTGCTGCTAAATTATTTCTTTAAAATTTTTTTTCTTCCTCTAGAGCAATCAGAAAGAATGCTGAATTATTTCTAAAAATTACTTGGTTTTTCAGAGTTGTAGTGCCTCTTACAGGTGAGATGTACATCTTGGAAAGAATTCAATGAGAGCATATATATATAAAGTGCTGAGAACAGAAGGCACCATGCAAGTGTGAGCTTTCATAAAGTAAACTTACTTGTTATGATGAAGCCACTGGAGACTTCATTTGTGACACCGTGGCCAGCCCACCAGCTTTTGTCTTTTTTTTTTTTTTTTTTTGAGGTTTGCTTTGCATATCCCACTTTTTTCCTAGGTATTTTCCATGCTGGGCTATTTGACTTACGTTAGAAGCAAAGCAGCCCCCAGATGTTACTGTTGTGCCTGGTATGTTGTCAAACTGCACTTTAAAAGGACAGAGGACAGGAAGTAAATGACGCATGACTCAAGTGACTGGAAATGGTTCTCGGATAGGAAGTTATCATTGGGACAGTAATGAGAGGAAGTACAGTTCAGTTGAATGAGGCCTTAGAGAGCATTCGTTCCCTGGGCGCAATCCCACTGAGTGCATTCTTTGCACCAGGCACCGTGCTGGGTCCTGGGGTTGCGGAGATGAATACGGGACTGTGCATCCTTTAAGTGGTCCCGCGTCTCCTGATGTTCACCATTTCTATGTGAGCTTGGAGAAACCAGGTAACCTCTCTGCACTTGCGTACTCAGTTTCAGGACAAAAGGGCTGGCTGGCTCATCTTACGACGAAGGCCCTATTTTACCTTCAAATGTCTCTGATCGCAAAGAACTTCTTAGTAGAGGTTGCTGGCCAACCACTGTTCAGCACTCTGAATTCAAGTAAAGGACATGGGCTTTTTAGCTTGTTGATAGTAAAAGTCTTGGAACAGGTTTGATTAAGGGCTTATTATCTCTCCAACCAGGGGATATTTTATTTCTCAAATATTGACTATTGACTAGTGCTAGACCCTGCGTTAGGAGCTGGGAGTGCCTTGGTGAAGAAGAAAAAGTCCCTTATCATGGAGCTCACATTTTAGTGGGGCAGATAGATAGTGAAAAGTGATAAAAATGAATACATAATTGGCTGGGCGTAGTGGCTCACACCTGTAATCCCAGCACTTTGGGAAACCAAGGTGGGCAGATCACCTGAGGTCAGGAGTTCAAGACCTGCCTGGCAACATGGTGAAATGCCATCTTTACTAAAAATACAAAAAATAGCCATGCATAGTGGCATGCGCCTGTAATCCCAGCTACTTGGGAGGCTGAGGCAGGAGAATTGCTTTAACCTGGGAGGCTGAGGTTGGAGTGAGCCGAGACCACGCCACTGCACTCCAGCCTGGGTGACAGAGTGAGACTCTGTCTCAAAAATAAAATAAAATAAAATAAAAAATACATAATGCAATTTCAGATAATAATATGAGCAAAGAAGAGAAATAAAGATAGGGAAGAGGAAGAAAGAGTATACAGTTGGTGATTGGAGAACTCTTTTAAAAGAATAATCAATTCATGAAGTATTCCATATTAAAAAAAAAAAAAAGCAATCAGAGGTGGGGCGTGGTGGCGCGTGCCTGTAGTCCCGGCTACTCGGGAGGCTGAGGCAGGAGAATCACTTGAACCCGGGAGGCGGAGGTTGTAGTGAGCCAAGATCGTGCCACTGCACTCCAGCCTGGGTGACAGCGTGAGACTCCGTCTCAAAAAAAAAAAGAAAAAAGAAAAGAAAGTTGTCAGAGAAGACTTCTTGGAGGAGATGGCATTTGAGCAAAGACCTGAATTCAGTCAGGGAGAGAGCTAGGATGGGGGGTGGTGTAAAGGCTGGGAAAGGAAATTCCAGGTGGGGCCGACAGTGAGTGCCAAGGCAGGAGAAGAGGATGAGCTGGTTTGTTTAAGAAACGGCCAGAAGGCCAGTGGTATAGCCAGCACTGTGAGGTTGATGGAGAATGAACAGCAGGGAATGGAGCACAGCCAAGCCACGCTATGCAGGCTCCTAGAGGGAACCTGGGGAAGGACTCTGGATTTTATTCCAAGTGTGAGGACATGCCATTGGAGGGTTTTGAGAAGGGAAGTGACGTGACCGTGTTTAAAAAGAAAGATTGATCTATCAGAATGTGGATTCGGCAGCCATATACAGAAATGAGTCTACCCCTGGTTCAAATTAATTTAGCCCACCTGCTACTGCAGGATCTGGACTAGATGAATTTTTAACACGTCAATAGTTGAAATACAGAGCCCATTTTTATTTATATCCTTTATCTTTTTATTATTTATTTATTTATTTATTTTTGAGACAGAGTCTCACTCTGTCGCCCAGGCTGGAGTACAGTGGCGGGATCTCAGCTCACTGCAACCTCCACCTCCCAGGTTCAAGCAATTCTTCTGCTTCAGCCTCTTGAGTAGCTGGGACTACAGGTGCCCGCCACCATGCCCTGTTAATTTTTTGTATTTTTAGTAGAGACAGGGTTTCACCATGTTAGCCAGGGTGGTCTCCATCTCCTGACCTCGTGATCCACCTGCCTCAGCCTCCCAAAGTGCTGGGATTACAGGTGTGAGCCACCGCACCTAGCCCCTAAATCCTTATCTTTAAAAAAGTCTTAGGGCCTCTATGTTTTTCTTTTAAACAAGGTCTTGTATAAAGATGGATTGCTCTCTAGAAGAGAAAATGTTTCCAGTTTTTGAGTCAATGCCTGTGTCATCTTTTGTCTTCTTTTAGTGTAACTTTTGAAAATTATGCTGTGGCTATGCAGTGACTCATACCTGTAATTCCCAGCGCTTTGGGAGGCCAAGGCAGGTGAATCACTTGAGGTCAAGAGTTCGAGACTAGCCTGGCCAACATAGTGAAACCCTGTCTCTACTAAAAATACAAAAGTTAGCTGGATGTGGTGGCACGCTCCTGTAATCCCAGGTACTTGGGAGGCTGAGGCAGGAGAATCACTTGAACCCGGGAGGCGGAAGCTGCAGTGAGCCGAGATCCCACCACTGCACTCCAACCTGGGCAAGAGAGCGAGACTCTGTCTCAAAAAAAAAAAAAAAAAGAAAAGTACGCTATTTGATTCTCCCTCCCTCCCTCTTCCTTGTGTACTTCCTTCTTCCCTCCTTTCCTTTCTTTTTTAAAAGTGCTTGTTATTTTATTAGAGATCTGGATTCTGCTTGCCAATGTTAATAAAATGCAGGATTGTTTTTATTAGGTACTATTTGTTTACTTTGTTTTGTTGTTTTCTTTCTTTGTACAAAGATATCTTGGGAATATTGAATATATTCACAGATGGTAGAATCGGAGTTTGCAGTTCTGCTTTCTTTGCCCTGACCTTGTTTGAGACGTGCTTGCTTCTGATATGCTGATTCCACGTTGCAAAAGTGAAAGTATGTACTAAAGGGCCTTAAAATTAAGCAGCAAAGTAAACAGAGATTAAATTGTCTTTTGAATTTGTCAGCCTCGAACCATATGTATTTTGTGGCCACCGTATTTTCTTCATTCTTTTGTAACTGTGACCCAAGCCCATAGTGATGTGTGTATACCTCTCATGTAGAAGCAGGTCAGAACATTCACTCTCAGTTACCTTGACAAATATTTGTGGGCAGGCTGGGCTTGCTACCTACACAGCTTCCTAACAGCCCACTTTTGTGCTCAGGAAATATATCAGAACCACAAGAGGGCAGCTTGTTCAGTGAACCTAGGGGTAAAAAAGTGCTGTTTGTTAGTTACAGGATAATGAGAGGGGGAAGATGTCTAAATTTTTCAAAATGTTTCTTGCATAAGGAAGTTTTTTTTTTTTTGCATTCCTTGACAGTTTCATCTATTCAAAGAGAGAATGATTTTGGAAATTAAAAGTTTTAAGACGAGTTTCTTCATGCATATCTATTTTTTCCTTCTCTGGAATATAAATACCCATTTCCCCTTGAATCCCTTTTTCCTCTATCTTCCGTCCCTTCAATCTTTATTAAGGTATAATTTACATATGATAGGGCCAGGCGCGGTGGCTCACACCTGTAATCCCAGCACTTTGGGAAGCTGAGGTGGGCGGATCACTTGAGGTCAGGAGTTTGAGACCAGCCTGGCCCACATGGTGAAACTCCATCTCTACTAAAAACACAAAAATTAGCCGGGCATGGTGCTGGGCACCTGTAGTCCCAGCTACTCTGGAGGCTGAGGCAGGAGAATCACTTGAACCCAGGAGGATGAGGTTGCAGTGAGCTGAGATCATAGCACTACATTCCAGCATGGGCGACAGAGTGAGACTCTGTCTCAAAAAAAAATTACGTATGATAAACTTCCCACATTTTCAGTGGTGACTTTTAACACATGTATCCAGCTGTGAAACCACTACCCCAATCAAGATGTAGGAACTAACATCTCTGGAAAGTTTTCTCATGCCCCTCTGCAGTCAGTCTCCCCTCGAAGGCCCCACATCCCCTTTAATCTTTAATCGTTGAGAACATTTTACCTGACACAAAGCATTTTATAACTTTAAAGTAATGATCATGCACAAAATTTATGGTCTTGTGTAGGAGACCATGTGAGAATTCGGGAGAGATGCAAGGAAATCAAACCCAGCTTCGTTCCAAGACAGCTCTGTTGGGTTTGACCCTTTGTGGCTGTGGTGGTGGTTATCCTCTGGCTAATATTCATGGAGAGGGAGAACTGTCATTAACTGAACAATCATTAATTTCCCATTTGTTCTTTAATATTTATTTCTGCTGTATTTAACATTTATTACTGCGCACGGTGGCTCACACCTGTAATCCCAGCACTTTGGGAGGCCGAGGCGGGTGGATCACAAGGTCAGGAGTTCGAGACCAACATGGTGAAACCCTGTCTCTACTAAAAATACAAAAATTAGCCAGGCGTGGTGGCACACGCCTGTAATACCAGCTGCTTGGGAGGTTGAGGCAGGAGAATTGCTTGAACCCGGGAGGCGGAAGTTGCAGTGAGCTGAGATTGCGCCACTGCACTCTAGCCTGGGCGACAGAGTGAGACTCCGTCTCAAAAAAAAATTAGCTGGGCATGGTGCCACACACCTGTAATCCCAGCTACTTGGGAGGCTGAGGCAGGAGAATTGCTTGAACCCGGGAGGCGTAGGTTGCAGTGAGCCGAGATCATGCCACTGTACTCCAGCCTGGGCCACAGAGCGAGACTTCATCTCAAAAAAAAAAAAAAAACGAACAAACAAAAAAAACATTTATTGCACCTATGTACTCGTATTATTTAACTTAAGGAATCCTCCCTCTAAGGGAAGTGCTATTATTATCCTTACTTACAGACTGAGGAAAATAAGAGGGAGACTGAGGTACTGGCTGGGCGTGGTGGCTCACGCCTGTAATCCCAGCACTTTGGGAGGCAGAGGCAGGTGGATCACTTGAGGTCAGAAGTTTGAGACCAGCCTGGCTAACATGGTGAAACCCTGTCTCTACTAAAAATACAAAAATTAGCTGGGCACGGTGGTGCGTGCCTGTAGTTCCAGCTATTCGGGAGGCTGAGGCAGGAGAATCGCTTGAACCCAGGGGGCGGAGGTTGCAGATTATGCCACTGCACTCTAGTCTGGGCAACAGAGCAAGGCTCTGTGTCCCCCCCCCCAAAAAAAAAGAAACTGAGGTACAGTCATGTGTGGCTTTTGATTGATAAAAAGAATGAGTAAGGTTAGTTTCCTGATGAGGATAAGTGAAATTAAAAGTTTCTTAAGAAACTCATTTTCTCATTGATCATAATAATATGTACCCAGGCCAGGCACAGTGGCTCATGCCTGTAATCCCAGCACTTTGGGAGGCCAAGTTGGGCGGATCACTTGAGCTCAGGAGTTTAAGACCAGTATGGCCCACATGGTGAAACCCTGTCTCGGCTAAAAATACAATAATTAACTGGCATGGTGGCATGTGCCTGTAATCCCAGCTACTTGGGAGGCTGAGGCAGGAGAATCCCTTGAATCCAGGAGGCAGAGGTTGCAGTGAGCCGAGATGGTGCCATTGCACTACAGCCTGGGTGACAAGAGCAAAACTCTGTCTCAAAAAAAAAAAAGTAATATGTACTCAGATTTAAAAGCCAGGGCTTCTCTTTCCCTACATAATGCCCTTGGGCAGTGTCACCCGTGGCTGCAGCTGAACGCCATGATGACTGACCTTGACCGGCAAGCATCCCTATGTCTGTTTCCCTATTTCCTGCCTTCTTTGTCTCCAGACAGGTCGCCCTGCCTTTAGCCCTCCTCTGCATTGTGGTCAGAGTGATCCTTCTAACATGCAGTTCTGGTGATGTCACCTTCCTGATTAAAATTCTCCGATGGCTCCCTCGGCAATCAAATGTGGGCTCCTGGTTCCTTGCCTTGGCAGCGGCACGTCCTGTTGCTCTCCCCTGCCCGTCTTCACCCTGGCTGTGCTCAGCTCATTGTCGTTCTCCAGAGATCCTGTACGCTCTTATGTCCCTGCACCAGGAACTGACTGTTCTGTCTGGAAAATGCCCTCTTGTCTTTCAGATGTGTCTGCCGGGTAAACTGTTATTCATCCTTCAGGACTTGGCTCACATGTTCCCTGATTGACACAGACATGGGATCATCTTCTTCCCAGCTTCCAGGGCCCCTTGTGGATTAGAGCTGGTGTCACGTTGTTTTATAATGGTCTCGTCCCAACTCTGTGCTCCACTAATCTGTACCCTCCTGGAGGGCAATGACTTTGTCTTCTCAACTTGACATTTCTAGCCCAGCTCAGCACCTGGACTCACTATCCACACTGTAATACCACAAAGGCAGAGAACATATTCACCACTGCTATTGCCATTGCCTGGCATAGGGCCTGGCCTGTAGGAGGCATTCATTTCATATTTGTTGAAAGCATTAATAATGGGTGTTTTTAAATATCATACTGTAATGGTTTAGCTCAGGAATTGCAACCTGAAGGGCATCATCAAGCCATAGCCGTCTTTTGTATGGCCTCATAGTATTTTAAGTTTTTTGAATTTGATACCTTTGGATAGAGCATGTGCTCTCCTGTTTACCACTGTTTAATTGCACAGTTAATCCACTCTGATTATCATGCCCTTGACCTCCTTACTCATCTGCGACTCATCTGGTCCTGGGAGATGAGGTTGGGGGATGTGGGGAGGGGCAGTGTATTTCTTTGTTTAGGCTGCCATAACAAAATACCATGGACCAAGTGGCTTTAACAGCAGACATTTATTTTCTCATGGTTGTGGAGGCTGGAAGTCCAAGATCAAGGTGACAGCAGGGTTTGTTTACCTGGAGGCTTTTCTGCCTGGCTTGCAGATGGCTGCCCACTCACTGTGCCCTCACACAGTCATCCCTCGGTCTGTGTTGTCTGTGTCTGAATTTCCTCTTCTTATGAAGACACTGGTTATATTGCATTAGGGCCCATCCCCGTGACCTCATTTAATCTTAATTACCCATTTAAAGACCCTGTCTCCAAATATAGTCACATTGTGAGATACTAGGGGTTAGACCTTGAATTTATGAATTTGGCAGGGCAGGGAGGGGCACTGTATATCCTAGAACAGGAAGAGACATGAACTCTCTAGTACTGTGGTCTGTTCCTTGCATCTGATTCCTGTTTTATAACATGTCACTAAAAGGGAACCCAGGAGCTAGCAGAGAGAGCAGTTTGTTCACTGAGGCACAATTTGGATGGTTATAATATGCACCTGCTCAAACACCTGATCTCTACTCTGGTCCCTTTGATCTTGGTACCATATTCATGTTTCTTAAGCAGCTAACATTTAGTCAGAATGCCAGGTAGAACTTAGGTGCTTTTCAGTTTGGAAATCCATACCCTTTTTCATTCTATCACTCCAAAAACTGATGTGTGGGCTGCAGACTTTATTTGCCAAGGGTTAGGTGGACAGGAGAGGTAAAAGCTGTATAATGACATGGCACCACCTCCATTTGCTGTAAGCAAACAGCCAGGTCCTTTATTACCCTTGAAACAGGCACTCGTGACACAGGTTGGACTCACCGAAGCAAGTCAAATGCCAGGTTTCTGTGGGTCAAAGTTCCTTCCAGCACTGTATGTTAATCAGAAGCTCAACCTTAGTTAATTTGGCCATTGCATTGGGAAGAACTTTGGAACAAATGATTACTGAGCTGGACTGCAGGAGTTAGCATAGCCCAGTATTTTCTTATCCAAGAGGTACGTTGTAGTCTTTCTTGGAGGGGATCGCAGGAATGAGACATTTGTCACAGCTTTATTTATTCTTGGTGGAACAGTAGTATAATAAAATCTTCTACACTGAACCTAGCTAATCAAAAGTATTTACTTGCTGTAATCCCAGCACTTTGGGAGGCTGAGGCGGGTGGATCACATGAGGTCAGGAGTTCAAGACCAGCCTGACCAACATGGTGAAACCCCATCTCTACTACAAATACAAAATTAGCCCGGAGTGGTGGTGCATGCCTGTAATCCCAGCTACTTGGGAGGCTAAGGTGGGAGAATCACTTGAACCCGGGAGGCGGAGGTTGCAGTGAGCTGAGATCATGCCACTGCACTCCAGCCTGGGTGACAAGAGGGAAACTCCATCTGGAAAAAAAAAAAGTATTTACTTAAAAATATGAAACTGAATTGTTAGAGAATATTATTTGTGTATAGGCAGAAAAGCCAGCTGTAGAGGGCTTCCAAGGTGAAGGAACATTTAAAACTAACACAACTCATAGTGATTTAAATGATTTTGAATTTAATGTGCCTCTGCAGAAAGAATTTTAAATGAACATAATAATCATAGCCGCCCTTCATTGAACATTTTCTCTGTGTGCTAGGCCCCAAAGGCTTCATATCTCTTGTCACAATGTCTCCAACAAATGGGTACTATTAGGCCCATATTAGATGAGAAAAACTCAGAGGTTCAGAGAGGCTGAGTAAAATGCCCAAGATCAACCAGCTAGCAAGCAGTAGAGTGGAGTTTCGAGCACCTGGTCAAACCTGTGAGCTTCCCCTCCCTGTTAGTCCACTTTTTATACATTTCCTCTTCTCTCCCTCTCTTTCTCTTTTATTTATTTATTTATTTATTTATTTATTTATTTATTTTTGAGAAGGAGCCTTGCTCTTGTTGCCCAGACTGGAGAGCAATCGCGTGATCTTGGCTCACTGCAACCTCCGCCTCCCGAGTTCAAGCAGTTCTCCTGTGTCAGCCTCCTGAGTAGCTGGGACTACAGGTGCCCACCACCACGCCTGGTTAATTTTTGTATTTTTAGTAGAGATGGGGTTTCACCATATTGGTCAGGCTGGTCTTGAACTCCTGACCTCAGGTGATCCACCTGCCTCGGGCTCCCAAAGTGCTGGGATTACAGGTGTGAGCCACTGCGCCTGGCCTCTCTCTCTCTCTTTTAAAGACAGGATCTCAGGCCGGGCGCCGTGGCTCACGCCTGTAATCCCAGCACTTTGGGAGGCTGAGGCGGGCAGATCATGAGGTCAGGAGTTCGAGACCAGCCTGACCAACATGGTGAAACCCCGTCTCTACTAAAAATACAAAACATTAGCTGGGCATGGTGGGGCATGCCTGTAATCCCAGCTACTTGGGAGGCTGAGGCAGGAGAATTGCTTGAACCTGGGAGACGGAGGTTGCAGTGAGCTGAGGTCTCGCCACTGCACTCCAGCCTGGGTGACAGAGCGAGACTCCGTCTGAAAAAAAAAAAAAAAAAAAAAGGATCTCACTCTGTTTTCCAGGCTGGAGTGCACGATCATAGCTCACTGCAGCCTCAGAACTCCTAGGCTCAAGTGATCCTCTCGCCTCAGCTCCTCCAACAAGCTGGGACCATGGGCGCCCAGCTAATTTTAAATTTTTTTGTAGAGATAGGCTCTCACTATATTGCCCAGGTTGGTCTCAAATTCCTGGGCTTAAAGTGATGCTCCTGCCTCGGCCTTCCAAAGTGCTGTGATTACAGGCATGAGGCTCTCCTTTCTCTCTTTGTCATAGTAAGATTTTCTTTCCTTGAGTGTCTTTTAATTAATATGAAACGGAATAGTCTTGCAGAGCTGGCAAAATGATGTGACCAGTGGAGATTTCCTATATTGCCTGGTTATGTAGCTTCCCTTGTAGTTCCAGGCACACACAACGGCCTGTGATAATAGCAAAACACCATGTTCCTTCTTCTCACCCGCTCTCCCAGTTCCATTTAGTGATCACTAACTTTGGACTTCTCAATACCAGCCTTTGGGTCAGTAGTGTTATTTTTTTCATTTCACAGCTCAGGTAACGGAGGCCTTGGAAAGAGACTCTGCGTCAGGTCACCCAGCAGAGATCAGCAATCCTTGGCTCACTGAGGAGGTTTGGTAAGTTGGCATCATCTTCACCATGACTCAAATGCACATAACCCGGTGGCGGGGGAGAAAAGTGGGTGAACATCACATAGCGACATCAAAATGCTAATCCTTGCCACCCCCCTTTGTTTTTGTTTTTACAAACGTATTGTTGTTGTGTTTGTTTAATTTACTAGGCCAGAGTGCCCTGTATGTTTGTAAGCACAAATGTCCTCAGAGGACTCCCACAGCCAAAAAGAATGACAGAGGTGTATTTGAATGATTTCAGTGAAACTCTTTTAATACTGATTTCATGAAAATGTCTGGTGGTGGGTTCTTCCTGTAGCATTACTGCATATCATCAACTAGAATGCATCCCCCGCCCTTCACACATACAATTTAACATGTCTGAAATTCGGTGCACCTTATGCAAACAGGTCTGGTGAAATACAGCATTTCTCTGATAATCCCCAAATGACCAGCATTAAGTATTCCCTACCTTCTATTTTTCACACAATACAAATGTTTTTTTTTTTTTTTTCTTTTTAGAGGGTTGAATTTTTAAGGGTAAGAAATGCATAGTCTGATGAGTAGATGATTAGTAAGAAGTCTGTGCTTACCAAAGAAAGAATTTAGGTTTCCTTTTTTGTTTTTGTTTTTGAAATGAAGTCACATTATCACCCAGGCTGGAGTGCAGTGGCACGATCTCGGCTCACTGCAACCTCTGCTCCTGGGTTTATGTGATTCTCCTGCCTCAGCCTCCCGAGTAGCTGGGACTGACTACAGGCACGCACCATCACACCTGGCTAATTATTGTATTTTTAGTCGAGATGGGGTTTCACCATGTTGGCCAGGCTGGTCTCAAACTCCTGACCTCAAGTGATCTGCCCACCTCAGCCTCCCAAAGTGCTGGGATTATAGGCATGAGCCACCACACCCAGCCAGAATTTAGTTTTCTAATACTGAAAGAAAAACTTTTTTTTTTGGTGACTTCATATGATAGTCTTGAGATGAGCACCCCAAGGACCTTGTAAATAGTGGGCGCTGGCACTCAGAACAGCCCATGTGAGATAATGAAGCAGCCTTCCAGACATAAGATCCCAGAATCAGACACTTATCCAAGGTTCCCCTCCTGCAATCAGCGGGTAGGAGTTTGCAATGAAAACACTCCATGCTATGTCCCAGAGTGACTCGTTCATTTATCCGTGAAAGCAGAGTCCAAATCCATGTTCATGTTAAATGTGCAGAAAAATAGCATCTTGAGAGTTAATGCCACAGAATGGGCATGATTCCCTAAGCCACATTTGCCTGATTGAGACAGACTTTAACATTTGCAAAACCTCCATGTTATGAGACCCTATAGGTGATAGTACATGATCTGTAGGGATACAAGTAAATCCATTAACAAACATTTTTTGAGCACCTGCTATGTGCCAGGCTCTGTGCTAGGCTCTGTGCTAGATGTAGCATAATTAAGAAGTAATTAGGACAGAAAGGATTGCTGTCCCCACAGGGCTACTTTAGTAGTCACAGAAGATATTAAATAATACATTAACAGAGTAATGAGTGGGCTGATGAAGAACTGTAAGGAGTTAAGAGTCTAAAACAAGAAAACCTAAGCTAGCCAGAGTGGCTCACGCCTGCAATCCCAGCACATAGGGAGGCCAGGGTGAGAGGATCACTTGAGCTCAGGAGTTCAAGACCAACCTGGGCAACATAATGAGACCTGTCTCTACAAAAATTTAAAAATTGTCATCCCATTCTCTACTGGAAAATAAAAAATTAGCTGGGTATGCTGGCACGCACCCATAGTCCCAGCTACTTGGGAGGCTGCAGTGAGAGAATTGCTTAGGCCTGGGAGGTTGAGGCTACAGTGAGCCAAGATTGCATCACTGCAGTCTAGCCAGGGCAACAGAGCAAGACCCTATCTCGAAAAAATAAATAAATAAAAACAAGAGGACCTAACATAATCTGAGTCAGGAGGTGACTATTGGGAAGGTTGCTTGGAGTTTGAATGGCATTCTAACTGAGACCTGGAGGATAGGCAGAGGGGGATTGGAGACAGGCGGCAGTGGCTACATTAAACAGCCTTTGCAGGGGCCCAGTATGGAGAGAGTGTTGGGGTCAAGGAATAGCATGAGCTATGGGGGGAAAGGGAAAGGGAGAGGGAGAGGCTTCAGAGAACAGGTGTCTCTTGTAAAATGAAAACTTAGTCAAATTTCTGGAAGAATCTTTAAAACCTCTTAAAGAGATTGATTTCAGACTGATGATCAGATTTTTTTGTTTTTGTGGTTCAGACAGAAATCTTACCTTGTGTATCAGCATTATTCCCTAGAGTTAGAGCCCAAGTATTGCTCCCCTGCTAATCCTTTGAATTCTCCCCAAATCTATGTTCTTAATTTACCTCACCTACCTCCCCAAGGAAGGTAATCAGCTTCTAGTAAGAGGTGGTTTTCACAGACAATGTGTCCACATTTCTTTGTCTCTGCATCCTTGATGGCATCCAGGAAAGGTGATCATCGACATAGTCAATGTATGTGTACGATTCTCCCACCAAGGGCAGGATTTAAAAAATAATGCTTTAAATAGAATGAACAGAGGCAGCTACTTGAACCAGCTACTTGACTCTACTTGTGCTTTGAACGTGTGAGATTCTCAGGTTTCAAACCTTAGTGCTCTGTGTTGACATTTTCTTTTTCTTTTTCTTTTTTTTTTTGAGACAGAGTTTTGCTCTTGTTGCCCAAGTTGGAGTGCAGTGGTGCCATCTCGGCTCATTGCAACCTCCGCCTCCCGGGTTCAAACAATTCTCGTGCCTCAGCCTCCCGACTAGCTGGGATTATAGGCATGCGCCACCACACCGGCTAATTTGTTGTATTTTTAGTAAAGATGGGGTTTTCACCATGTTGGCCAGGCTGGTCTCGAACTCCTGACCTCAGGGAATCCACCCACCTCTGCCGCCCAAAGTGCTGGGATTACAGGCGTGAGCCACCACACCCAGCAGTGTTGACATTTTCTATCAAGAGTACTGCTGAGCTGGCGCCCTTTGGCCAGTTACTGAACTGACGGATGCAGAAATTTACACATGTTCATGTATACACAAAAGGAACCCTAATTCCATGGAACTGGCCTTCTCAAGCTTGCTGATTTCTTAGTTATGAGTAAATTTGATGCGATTTTTTTTTTTTTTTTTTGAGAGAATCTTGCTCGGTCACCTAGGCTGGAATGCAGTGGTGCAATCAGGGCTCACTGCAGCCTCGAACTCCTGGGCTCAAGCAATTCTCCCTCCTCAGCCTCGTGAGTAGCTGGGCCCAGCTAATTTTTAATTTTTTATAGAGATGAGGTCTCGCCATGTTTCCCAGGCTGGTCTTGAACTCCTGGGCTCAAGCGATCCGCTTGTCGTAGCCTCCCGTAGTGCTGGGATTGCAAGTGTGACCCACTGTGCCTGGCTTGATTCAAAAAAAGTCCAGGTCATTTCCTGACTTTCTTTGAGATGTTTATTTGTTTTATGACCTTATATAGAGCTTATTTCACAATACAAAGAATAGAATGAGGATATTATATATGATTTATATCAATAAGCTTGACATTTAGGTTATATGGAAAAATTCCTGGCAAAATGTAAATAATGAATCTTAAAGTTAGCTGATTAAAAAAACCAAATAAATAAATAAATAAATAAAATATATAAATTAAAAAACCCAACTGAAGGAGAAAAAAACCTATATAGTTCTATAAGGAAAAAAATAGTAGGGTTTTTTCCCCATTATTCCCCATTTATTATTATTATTATTATTATTATTATTTTTTTTTTTTTTTGAGACAGAGTTTCACTCCTGTTACCTAGGCTGGAGTCAATGGCGTGATCTTGACTCACTGCAACCTCCGCCTCCTGGCTTCAAGCAATTCTCCTGCCTCAGCCTCTTGAGTAGCTGGGATTACAGGCATGCGCCACCATGCCTGGCTAATTTTGTATTTTTAGTAGAGATGGGGTTTCTCCATGTTGGTCAGGCTGGTCTTGAACTCCTGACCTCAGGTGATCCTCCCACCTCGGCCTCCCAAAGTGCTGGGATTACAGGGGTGAGCCACTGTGCCCAGCCTGTTTATTTTTAACAAAGAATTTTAACATCCTTCTTATATTCTCTTTTGGTTAATTTCTTTTTTAAATTTTATTTTATTTCATTGACAAATGATAATTGTACATACTCATGAGGTACATAGTGATGTTTTGAGACATACCATGTAAAGTGTTTAGATTGGGGCCTTGATTTTTCTCAAGCCACAGCAAGCATATTTTCCTTGATCAACATGGCACCTGAAGTTAGATGGTGGCGATCTGTAGGAAAGATTAGAGGAGGAAATACCACAGGGCTCCTGATGGGAACTTTAAGTAAAATAAAAATAGTAAAACATTTGGAGTCCTTACCCTTTCCTACTAATCATAGCCTAGATTTTCATTCCAAGTAAGTTAATAAATTAAGAGGTAGATATTATTTAACTCACAAGTTGAAAATGCAAGTTGCATTTGAAAAGGAGGAAAACGTGGCCTGGTGAAGACATTGTTTCTTTGGTAAATGGCTCTTCATATTTTGGAATTGTAGCTCATTTAGTGAAGTCACAGATCTCTTAGAAATAGATTTTCCTAAAATCCCTATCCTAATAACCTAATAATTACTAGAAGATATATCTTTTTTTTTTTTTTTTTTTTTTTTTTTTTTGAGACAGAGTCTTGCTCTGTCGCCCAGGCTGGAGTGCAGTGGCACAATCTCGGTTGACTGCAACCTCTGCCTCTCAGGTTCAAGTGATTCTCCTGCCTCAGCCTCCCGAGTAGCTGGGATTATAGGCACCTGCCACCACGCTCGGCTAATTTTTGTATTTTTAGTAGAGACGTGTTTCACCATGTTGGCCAGGCTGGTCTCGATCTCCTGACCTCAGGTGATCCACCTGCCTCGGCCTCCCAAAGTGCTGGGATTACAGGCACGAGTCACCGTGCCTGGCTTAGAAGATACACCTTTTGGAAAATGGCCTCCTCATCATGTTGTTTCAAAAAGGCAGACTCTAACCCAGTTAAGACTTCAGGTAAAACTCATGTGGTCCATATGAGGGATGCTTACTAAAGAGCAAATACACCCAAAGGTCAAACAACTGAGCTAAAACACATTGACTTTTCCTTGGCCAACCACTGGTAGGGAACTGTCACAAAATGACCCCAGGCTGCTCAAGGCAATCCCAAAAGGCAGCTTCTAAAAACGAGTTTTCTGCTTCTTCACTTGAAAATGGAAGAGATTTTTTTTTCCATTACACATTACTTGGTACTGTTTATTTTGTACAATGTAGCTTTTTACTACAAAGAAGGGGAAAGTGGCCTATAATTTAATTTGATTTAAATTAAATCTACATAGGACCATCATATAAAAGATACTGGAACAAGTGTGTGAGGGATACAAAGATAAATCAGACCACTATCCTGGCCCCAGCAGAGTTTAAGAATGAGCATTTAAACATTTAGTTAATAAGAAACATGGCTGGGCACAGTGGCTCACATCTGTAATCTCAGCACTTTGGGAGGCCAAGGCAGGCAGATCTTTTGAGGTCAGGAGTTCGAAACTGACTGGCCAACATGGTGAAACCCTGTCTCTATTAAAAATACAAAAAAATTAGCTGGGTGTTGTGGTGCACATCTGTAATGTCAGCTACTTGGGCTGAGGCAGGAGAATCACTTGAACCCAGGAGGCAGAGGCTGCAGTGAACCAAGATTGTGCCACTCCACTCCAGCCTGGACAACAGAGCAAGACTCCGTCTCAAAACAAACAAACAAACAAAAAACAAAAAAGCCTGGGCGCCATGGCTTACACCTATAATCCCAGCACTTTGGGAGGCCAAGGCGGGCAGATCACAAGGTCAAAAGATCGAGACCATCCTGGCCAACGTAGTGAAACCCTGTTTCTACTAAAAATACAAAAATTAGCTGGCCGTGGTGACGTGCGCCTCTAGTCCCAGCTACTTGGGAGGCTGGGACAGGAGAATCGCTTGAACCCGGGAGGCGGAGGTTGCAGTGAGCTGAGATCGTGCCATTGTACTCCAGCCTGGCGACAGAGCAAGACTCTGTCTCAAAAAAAAAAAAAAAAACAATACCAATAAAAGAGCATCCTACCTCACATATGTAATGGTATATTTGAAAATGCAGTAGAAGTTACTGGATCCCTTTTCTCATCTGTATCCAGATTTGCCAGGGAGTATATTCACTACCCTCTTGTCTGGACCTCTCCCTTTTCTTTCCTTCTGCCTGATCTCTGATCAAATTTGACGTCAGTGTTAATTTAGGTATGGAGCCTGCTGGTATTGAAAACTTATGCAAAAGTAACCCTGAAGTCCTTTGCTGTTTATAAACATAAATGTATAATTACCACTATGATGCAGACTGAAGAACTTTCCAAGACTTGATGTAGCTGGGCATGGTGGCACACGCACACGCCTGTAGTCCTAGCTACTTGGGAGGCTGAGGCATGAGGACCACTTGAGTCCAGGAGTTCAAGGCTGCAGTGAGCTGTGATTTATGATTGTGCCACTGCACTCTAGTCTGGGCAAAACAGTGACATCGCATCTAAAAAAAAAAAAAGAAGGAAAAAAAAGACTTGTCAGAGTAATTGCGCCGAATTTACATTTAGCCCATGGTGAATACAGACAACCAGTGACTTCATCACAAAGCCTTCCTGTAAAAGCTAAGATGTTGCTGAGATCTGCTTTCTGGACCCAAACAGATATTTGGAAAAATGGTTTTTGGTAGAGTGTAAGAGCAGTGAGTTTAAGGCTAATTCCAAACTTAATGATTTGCCCTTTTAAAATCAGTTCATCAGCCTGGGCAACACAGTGAGATCGTGTCTCTACAAAAAAATTTAAAAATTAGGCCAGGTATGGTGGCTCACGCCTGGAATCCCAGCACTTTGGGAGGCTGAGGCAGGCAGATTGCTTGAACCCAGGGGTTCAAGACCAGCCTGGGCAATGGTGAAACCCTATCTCTACAAAAATTAGCCAGGTGTGGTGGCTTGCACCTGTAGTCCCAGCTACTCAGGAGGATCTCCTGACCCGGAGGCTCAGTCAAGGCTGCAGTGAGCTGAGATGGAGGCACCACACTCCAGTCTTGGAGACAGAGAGAGATGCTGTCTTAAGAAAAAAAAAATAGCTGGGCATGGTGGTGCATCCCTGTAGCCCCAGCTACTTGTGAGGCTGAGGTGGGACGATTGCTTGAGCCTATGAGGTCAAGGCTGCAGTGAGCCATGATTATGCCACTGCACTCCAGCCTGGGCAACAGAGTGAGACCCTGTCTCAAAAATAAATAAATAACATAAAATAAAATTAGTTCATTCATGTGGGCAAAAGTTTCATAGATCTAGTGGTTAGTTACTTTGTCTGTGTGCTCTTTGATGTCTTGCTATTTGCCAAACAAGATAACCTATTTTCAAAACTGAAAAGGCAGGCTGGGCGCAGATCATTTGAGATCAGGAGTTTGAGACCAGCCTGGCCAACATGGTGAAACCCCTCATCTCTACTAAAAATACAAAAACTTAGCCTGGCGTGGTGGCAGCTGTCTGTAATCCCAGCTACTAAGGAGGCTGAGGCAGGAGAATTGCTTGAACCTGGGAGGCAGAAGTTATAGTGAGCTGAGATCATGCCACTGCTTTCTAGCCTGGATGACAGAGCGAGACTCTGTCAACAACAACAATAAAAAAAAAACAAAAACACACACACACACACCAAAAACTGCAAAGGCAGAGAGGTGGATATGAGCCATGACTCAACCAATAACATGGCAGGGAAGCAGACAATTACCTACAAAAGGAGGCCTGTCTACCTAAACGGAAGAGGTCTGGACCTACCATAGAGGAAGAAAAAGAAAATTGTGGGCATCAACAAAGTGTATGTGTCTTTTGGCAGAATAACAGGTCAATAATGGCTTTATGCTTTGTAGGATGGTATTTAATGCTCTAGAAAGCAAAGAGAATACTCCAAGGTTATGAAGCCGAAATTGGTAGCTAATGTCAGCGTTGAACCTTGAGGCAAATTTCATGGGTGATACTTAAATGTCAGCCCTGTAGTTTCCAAGAACAAGGTCTCCAAGCCAGTCATTAGACATGCATCAAAGTTCTGCTGAGGTGGGGCCTCATCCCGGGCTGCACTTTGGGTAAAGCAGGTTGCCCCAAGTGTGTCAGTGGTTGCTGCACCGTGGGCAGACAGAAATAGAATGTCTGACATTCACTTCAGCCATGCTCATTGGTTTCTATGCAGGTGTTGCCTGCCAAGAAGTAGCAGTAGAACAGCCGCATTGCTTTCATAAAGAATGACAAAATTTCTATGTCTGCAAAATAAATGAGTTATTTGAAACTAAGAACAAGGTCAGCAAAATACAAGTGACACCTCAAGCAAAGAATGAAGTGGGCATTGAAATACCATACCAGAGGCTGGGCGCAGTGGCTCACGCCTGTAATCCCAGCACTCTGGGAGGCCAAGGCGGGTGGATCACCTGAGGTCAGGAGTTTGAGACCAGCCTGGCCAACATGGTGAAACCCCATCTCTATGAGGGGGAAAAAAAATATATACGAGGCCAGGTGTGGTGGCTCATGCCTGTAATCCCAGCACTTTGAGAGGTCAAGGTGGGCGGATCATAAGGTCAGGAGTTCAAGACCAACCTGGTCAACATGGTGAAACCCAGTCTCTACTCAAAATACAAAAAGTAGCTGGGGGTGGTGGCAGGCGCTGGTAATCCCAGCTACTCGGTAGACTGAGGCAGGAGAATCGCTTGCCCCGGGAGGTGGAGGTTGCAGTGAGCCGAGATCTCGCCACTGCACTCCAGCCTGGGCGACAGGGCTAGACTCCGTCTGAAAAATACAAAAACAAAAACGAAAAAAAAAAATACAAAAATTAGCCAGACGTGGTGGTGGGCACCTGTAATCCCGGCTACTCAGGAGGCTGAGGCAGGAGAATCGCTTGAACCCGGGAGGCGGAGGTTGCAGTGAGCTGGTATGTGCCACTGCACTCCAGCCTGGGTGACAGAGCAAGGCTCCGTCTCAAAAAAAAAAAAAAAAAAAGAAATACCATACCAGGCTGGTATGAAAAGGTGCTGAACACAAACCAGGCCTTTCAGTCTAGGCATGTCAGTACCCACTGATTTTTGTTCATCTATACCTGTGTAATCAGTGATTCTTGGAATCTTAAAATATTGGAGTTGTAAGGAACCCTAGAGGTCTTAAGAAAATAATGATGATTTACATTTACTGAGGGTTCACTATATGCCAGGCATAAGGAAGTCTTTTACTTGTATTATCAGTTTTACTTGTATAGCCTCATTTGATCTCTTCCATAATCTCTAAAGAAGGGGCTAGGATTCCTATTTTGTCAATAAGAAAACAGACTTAAAAGACAACAGGGAACTCACACAAGGTCATACAGTTCATGCATGGCAGAGCTGGCTCACATACCTACGTCAGTCTGAGGCGAGTTTGCATTTTTTTTTTTTTTTTTTTCTGAGACGGAGTCTTGCTCCATCGCCCAGGCTGGAGTGCACTGGCACGATCTCGGCTCACTGCAAGCTCCGCCTCCCGGGTTCACGCCATTCTCCTGCCTCAGCCTCCAGAGTAGCTGAGACTACAGGCGCCCGCCACCATGCCTGGCTAATTTTTTTGTATTTTTAGTAGAGATGGGGTTTCACCGTGTTAGCCAGGATGGTCTTTATCTGCTGACCTCGTGATCCGCCTGCCTCGGCCTCCCAAAGTGCTGGGATTACAGGCGTGAGCCACCGCACCCGGCCGAGTTTGCATTTTTTAACTACCAGCTCCTTAGAGGGCCAAGGGATTCTCAGAAAAAGGTATGTCCATCGACATTCTGACCAGGTCCCCAGGAGTTCGCTAACTCACAGTTCAGTGAAAATGACCAAAGGATGCATTGAAAATCATGGAATCTACACCCTGAATTTTAGCTATACGGAGTGTAATATGCAATTATAAAATGTATTGGTGGGTTCTATTTTGGCCTCTAGCTCCCACATCACTAAGGAACTTGCTGTAACCCTTAACCCAGGTGGCTAAGGGCACAGTGTGGATCCCAGCTGCTCTGCTGTCCCTTGAACTGTTTTTTCTCCAGGGCATCTTCTTGTGTTTCAAGTTTCAATCATGTTGTGAATTTTAAAAAATTACCAGGCTAGGCATGGTGGCTCAGGCCTGTAATCCCAGCACTGTGGGTGGCTGAGGTGGAAGAATCACTTCAGCCCACGAGTTCAAGACCAGCCTGGGCAACATAGTGAGACCCCATCTCTAAAAAAAAAATAAATTAAAAAATATTAGCCAGGCGCCAGGCATGGTGGCTCATGCCTGTAATCCCAGCACTTTGGGGAGGCCGAGGCATGTGGATCACCTGAGGTTGGGAGTTTGAGACCAGCCTGACCAACACGGGGAAACCACATCTCTACTAAAAATACAGAATTAGCCGGGCGTGGTGGTGCATGCCTGTAATCCCAGCCACTCGGGAGGCTGAGGCAGGAGAATCGCTTTAACCTGGAAGGCAGAGGTTGTGGTGAGCTGAGATCACACCATTGCACTCCAGCCTGGGCAATAATAGTAAAACTCCATCTCAAAAAAAAAAAAGAATTAACCAGGCATGGTGGCACGCACCTGTAGTCCCAGCTACTGGGGAGAGGGAGTGGCAAGGGTCTAGGATGCAAGGATCATTTGAGCCCGGGAAGTCGAGGCTATAGTGAGCCATGTTTTTGCCACTGCACTCTAGCCTGGGTGACAGACTGAGATCCAGTCTCAAAAAATAAAACAAAATAAGACAAATCAATTCACAGACAACACTTACTGAGACTCTGATTTAATTGGTCTGAAGGGGAGCCCAGGAATCAGTATTTTTTAAAAATGTATAGATAACCTCTGGTGTAAACTTTTGCTTATTGGCCTGATGAATGTCTTTGTATTGCTCTTTCCTACCTGAGAGCTTTTTTTTCCCTTCTTCTTTTTTTTTTTTTTTCTTTTGAGACAGAGTCTTGCTCTGTTTCCCAGGCTGGAGTGCAGTGGTGCGGTCTCAGCTCACTGCAACTTCTGCCTCCCGAGTTCAAGTGACTCTCCTGCCTCAGCCTCCCAAGTAGCTGAGACTACAGGCATGCACCACCACACCCAGCTAATTTTTGTATTTTTAGTAGAGATGGGGTTTCACCATGTTGGCCAGGCTGGTCTTGAACTCCTGACTTCAGGTGAACCGCCTACCTTGGTCTCCCAGAGTGCTGGGATTGCAGGTGTAAGCCACTGCATCTGGCCTCAGAGAGCATAATCTGTATTCCCTAGCAGCTGTTTTTACTATTGTTTTTCTTATAGTCTTCAAAGATGTATTGGGCTTTGAAAACCTTTTGGCTCCTAGGAAGAAGCTATTTCTGCTTGGTGGAGTCCTGTCTGAAAGTGAATTCTCTGTTTACACTGCCCCATTCATATCCTGTCCCATGAACTACAGCTACAGATCCTCTTTGTAACACTGCTCAGAATAGAAAGTTTAATTACTCTACCCCTAAAATTTTGCAGATTGCAAGAGGCTATAAGCTACTGGTATAGCCTAGAGATCAAGGGATCTTGTGTGGTGTTATGACAACTACTTCTATTTATATGTGATGTTCACTTTAAATATACACAGACATATCTGTACGTTAGTTGAAGGGGGTCTCAAAAATCTCATCTGACCTTTAATTAGACTCCAATAAGAAGTGGTTAAGACATTGACGTATGGGCCAGGCGTCTCAAAAAAAAAATGGAAAAAAATATTTAAAAAGAAAAAAAAAAGGAAAAAGAATAATATTTTTTTTAAAAAGGCCAGGCATGGTGGCTCACGCCTGTAATCCCAGCACTTTGGGAGGCTGAGGCGGGTGGATCATGAGGTCAGGAGATCAAGACCATCCTGGCCAACATGGTGAAACCCTGTCTCTACTAAAATACAAAAAATTAGCTGGGTGTGGTGGCACATGCCTGTAGTCCCAGCTACTCGGGAGGCTGAGGCAGGGGAATCACTTGAACCCAGGAGGTGGAGGTTGTAATGAGCCGAGATCGTGCCACTGCACTCCAACCTGGTGACAGAGCAAGACTCCATCTCAAAAAAAAAAAAAAAAAAAAAATGCCGGGCGTGGTGACTCACGTCTGTAATCCCAGCATTTTGGGAGGCTGAGGAAGGTGGATCACGAGGTCAGGAGATCGAGACCATCCTGGCTAACACAGTGAAACCCCGTCTCTACTAAAAATACAAAAAATTAGCCGGGCATGGTGGCTCCCACTTGTAGTCCCAGCTACTTGAGAGGCTGAGGCAGGAGAATCTCTTGAACCCAGGAGGTAGAGGTTGCAGTGAACTGAGACTGCGCCACTGCACTCCAGCCTGGGTGACAGAGCAAGACTCCATCTCAAAAAAAAAAAAAAAGATAAAAAAAAAAGAGAGAGATTGATGTATGGCAAAACCAAGGCTGGGAGTTCAGGCCCCACAGAATACCCAGGTCTAGAACTCCTGTCTTTGGAAGCTAATTCTCTTTTGTCCTCACCCCCCTGCCTCACTTAACGATATCTTTCACGGCCTTTCCTCTTCATTCGCACTACCATCTTCCTAGTTCAAGTCATAATGTTAATTCCTAAATTACTGCACTAGCCAGAGAAGGAGGAAAAAAACTGTAAGAAACCACATCAAAATGTCATCTGTGGTTGGTAGACATCTGATTTTAATTTTTTTATATCTGCTTTTCTGACATTTATACATTTTACATAATAAACAAGTTTTATTTTCCTAAAGGAAAAACACACATCATTACTGGCATAGCCTTCACCCTGGTATCTGAGCGCATGTCCATTGTACAACCTATCTGTGCCTAGCTATCAGAGTTGCCTTTCTAAAATGTGTTCTCCAGGCTCCTCTGAAACCCTCAGGGTGTCCTGGAATTTCAAAGTCATAACCCAGACCCACCCTTCCGCCTATCCCCTTATCTCCAACCACACCCAACCCAACCCTCTCTGCTTGGCAGGCCAGCATCCTCCTTGTCCTAGGACCAGGGGAGCTCCATTCAGCTCCTTCGCAGCTACTCTCCTCTATACAGAGAACCCCATACTCTTTGTCCTTTCCTCTTTATCTCTCCAGATGTTATCCTTTGAAGCTCAGCTAGTCTGTGGCCAGACCACCCTGATCACTCCCGATCTCATCTGAAGCTCACCTCAACTCCTTCCTTCTCCAGGTCACCTTTGTCACCTTTTTTAATCTGCATCGGGAATGGCAAACAGGTTTCGTTTTATGTAAACCAAGTCCATGCCATTGACAATGGTTGCATAGAGAATTCTATTTTATTTATTTATTCCAGAGTCTTACTCTGTCACCCAGGCTGGAGCGCACTGCCGCGATCATGGCTCACTGTAGCTTCTACCTCCAGGGCTCAAACAGTCCTCCTGCCTCAATTTCTGAGTAGCTGGGACTACACGCATGCACCCCCATGCCCAGCTAATTTTGTTTGCTTTTTGTAGAGACAGGTCTCACTATGTTGCCCAAGCTGGTCCCCAACTCCTGGGCTCCAAGGATCCTCCCACTTCAGCCTCCCAAGGTGCTAGGGTGGCAGGTGTGAGCCACCGTGCCTCGCCTTGCATGGAGAATTCTGAAAGCCTGCCCATGTTCAAAGGAAAAAGAGTCCTGTGATCATAGTGGTTTTTGCCATAGGCAAAAGAAGGAAAAGTGACAGAATGAATGTGACATATTTTTCATCCAGATTATAATAATTATTTTAGACCTGTGATGTCCAGTACGGAAGTCCCTAGCCACACATGGCTATTTAAATTCAGATTAAAAAGAAGAAAAATAGGGCTGGACGCGGTGCTTCACGCCTGTAATCCCAGCACTTTGGGAGGCCGAGACGGGTGGATCACAGGTCAGGAGTTCAAGACCAGCCTGGCCAATATAGTGAAACCCTATCTCTACTAAAAATATAAAAATTAGCTGGGTGCGATGGCGTGTGCCTGTAGTCCCAGCTACTTAGGAGGTGAGACAGGAGAATTGCTTGAAACCAGGAGGTGGAGGTTGCAGTGAGCTAAGATTGTACCACTGCACTACAGCCTGGGCAACAGAACGAGACTCCATCTCGAAAAAAAGAAGAAGAAAAATAATAATAATTTAATTAAAATTAAGTACAGAAGATGCTCCACCTAGAATTTTTAAACTTCATGATCGTCCAGGCATGGTGCCTCACACCTGTAATCCCAGCACTTTGAGAGGCCAAGGTGGGCGGATCACCTGAGGTCGGGAGTTCCAGACTAGCCTGGCCAACATGGTGAAACCCCGTCTCTACTAAAAATGCAAAAATTAACCAGGTGTGGTGGCACACGCCTGTAATCCCAGCTCATCGGGAGGCTGAGCCAGGAGAATCGCTTGAACCCGGGAAGCGGAGGTTGCAGTGAGCCGAGATCACACCACTGTAATCCAGCCTGGGTGATAGAGTGAGACTCCATCTCAAAAAAAAAAAAAAAAAAAAAAGGGGGTCTAATATCCTTAAAATCCATCGTGAAGTTTATTTACTTTTATTTTAATATTTATTTATTTATTTATTTATTTATTTATTTATTTATTTATTATTTTTTAGATGGAGTCTCGCTTTGTTGCCCAGGCTGGAGTGCAGTGGCACAATCTCGGCTCACTGCAACCTCCGCCTTCCGGGTTCAGGCAATTCTCCTGTTTCAGCCTCCCAAGTAGCTGGGATTACAGGTGTGTGCCACCACACCTGGCTAATTTTTGTATTTTTAGTAGAGAGAGGGTTTTGCCATGTTGGCCAGACTTGTCTCGAGCTCTTCGGGTGATCTGCCCACCTCAGCCTCCCAAAATGCTGGGATTACAGGTGTGAGCCACCATGCCCCGCCTTAGATGCTTTTTTTTTTTTTTTTTTTTTTTTTTTTGTGACAGAGTCTCCTTCTGTCACCCAGGCTGGAGTGCAGTGGCACGATCTTGGCTCACTGCAGCTTCTGCCTCCCAGGTTCAAGTAATTCTCCTGCCTCAGCCTCCTGAGTAGCTGGGATTACAGGCATGTGCTACCATGCCCAGCTAATTTTTATTTTTAGTAGAGACAGGGTTTCACCATGTTGGCCATGGTTGGCCCATCTGGTCTCAAACTCCTGACCTCAAGTGATCTGCCCACCTTGGCCTCCCCAAAGTGTTGGGATTACAGGCGTGAGCCACCTCGCCCAGCCACATTTTTGACTTATGATATTTTTTACTTATGATGGGGTTAATGGAAAGTAGCCCATTGTAAGTCAAGGAACATCTGTAAAATTAAAAATTTTTAATATGGTAGCCAGCGGCACATTTCAAGTGCTTAATAGACATATGTGGCTACTGGCTACTATCCTGATAGCAGCAAAGATACAGAAACTTTCCACCATTACAGAGTTATACGAGATGGCCCTGTTTTATTATTTCTTTCTTTATTATTTATTTATTTATTTATTTATTTATTTATTTATTTTTTTTTTGAGACGGAGTCTCGCTCTGTCGCCCAGGCTGGAGTGCAGTGGCGGGATCTCGGCTCACTGCAAGCTCCGCCTCCCGGGTTCACGCCATTCTCCTGCCTTAGCCTCCTAAGTAGCTATGGCCACAGGCGCATGCCACCATGCCCAGCTAATTTTTGTTTTTGTTTTTTTCTTTTTGAAACAGGGTCTTACTTACTCTGTCACCCAGGCTGGAGTGCAGTGGCACGATCTCGGCTCACTGCAACCTCCACCTCCCAGGTTCAAGCAATTCTCCTGCCTTTGCCTCCCAAGTAGCTGGGATTACAGGTGCATGCCACCATGCCTGGCTAGGGTTTGTATTTTTAGTAGAGATGGGTTTTCACCATATTGGCCAGGCTGGTCTTGAACTCCTGACCTCAGGTCTCCCAAGTGCTAGGATTACGGTGGCTCCCATTTTAGATATGTAGTTACATGACAATGCAAGGAAGAATATATTTGCTTAGTGTGTGTGCCTTGTTTTCTCAGTGAGAGACCAAAAGGGTTTTTTGTTGTTTTTTTTTTAAAAAAGCCTCACTCTGTCGCCAGGCTGCAGTACAGTGGCACGATCTCAGCTCACTGCAACCTCGGCCTCCTGGTTTCAAGGGATTCTCCTGCCTCAGCCTCCCAAGTAGCTGGGACTACAGGCGTGCCACCACGCCCAACTAATTTTTGTATTTTTAATAGAGATGGTGTTTCACCATTTTGGCCAGGATGGTCCTGATCTCTTGACCTTGTGATCTGCCCGCCTTGGCCTCCCAAAGTGCTGGGATTACAGGCATGAGCCACCACACCTGGCCCAAAACATTTCTATGGGCAGTAATCTTCGCTTACATTTATTTTGTAACCTTAGTGCACCTAACCAGTGCTAGATATATAAGAAATACTTCGTAAGTATTTGTTGAATTGATTTTTTAGTACTTAATGGGCAGTGCACCATTAAAGTAAAGTGTATGAATTTTGAAATACGAAAACAAGTTTCTGGCCCCTTCTCTTCTGCAAACTAACATGTGACTTAGAATATCTCATTTAACTGAAGCAGGTCAGTTTCCTCAAGGGTAAACAGTTGTAGACTGGACTATATTGGAAGATTCTTCCAGGTTTGGAATTTTGTGGTACATATGGAGTATTCACTTTTAAATAAAAACGTACACCCCCCCACCCCCCAAACACACACACACACACACAATGAAAACTAGCAGGTTAAAAAATATTCTAGCTTATTTTAAACTTCATTTGTCCTGGGAGGCTGAGGCGGGCGTTACCAGTTGAGGCCAGGAGTTCGAGACCAGCCTGGCCAACATGGTGAAACCCCGCCTTTACTAAAAATACAAAAGTTAGTCCGGGCGCAGTGTCTCATGCCTGTAACCCCAGCATTTTGGGAGTCCAAGGCGGGTGGATGACTTGAGGTCAGGAGTTCAAGACCAGCCTGGCCAACATGGTGAAACCCTGTCTCTACTAAAAAATACAAAAAAAAAAAAAAAAAAAAAAAAATTGCCAGGTGTGATCTCAGCTACTTGGCAGGCTGAGGCAGGAGGATCGCTTGAATCTGGGAGGCAGAGGTTGCAGTGAGCCGAGATCACACCACTGCACTCCAGCCTGAGCAACAGAGCTAGATTCCGTCTTAAAAAAAAAAAAAAATTAGCCAGTTGTGGTGGCATACGCCTGTAGTCCCAGCTACTTGGGAGGCTGAGGTGGGAGGATTGCTTGAACCCAGGAGGTGGAGGTTGCAGTGAGCCAAGATCACACCACGACACTGCAGGGTGGCTGCCTGGGCAAGAGAGAGTGAGACTGTCTCAAAAAAATAAAATAAAACAAACACAAAACCAACAACTTCATTTATCTAATTTTTCAAAGATATAAGCCTAGCATTTCCAGATTAAATTCTCTGCCACAGCTATAGCTGACTTGGGCAAGTCAGATGGAGAGGTAGTTGCCTTCGTCAAACCTGGTGAGGTTTTGTACTATCTTTAGTCTCACTACATGCAGCAGTCACCAGTCAATGCTGCCAGCCCTTTTCCATTGCTCTAAGTCAGGCATCAGTAAACTGTGGTCTGTTGTCTGTTTATGTGTGGCCCTCTAGCTAATGGTTTTTACATTTTTAAAAGGTTGCAAAAAAAAAAAAAAAAAAAAAAAAAAAAGAACCAAACTGGGCAGCACAGTGAGAGACCCTGTCTCTACATAAAATAAAAAAATTAGCCAAGTGTAGTGAAGCACACCTGCAGTCTACTCAGGAGGCCGAAGCAGGAGGATCCCTGGAGCCAGGGAGGTTGAGGCTGCAGTGAGCTGTTATGGCACCACTGTACTCCAGCCTGGGTGACAGAGGGAGATCCTGTCTCAAAAACAAAAAACAAAAACCCCAAAAACAAAAAACAAAAAGAAACAAATAAAAGAATAATATGTAACAGAAAACACATGGCTTGCAAAGCCTATAGTATTTACCTAGCCCATGACAGAAATGTTTGCCATCCTCTGTACTCAGTGACTTTCTTGTACAGACCCAACCATTTTTTAAGGCCAATCGTTTTCTGAAGTGTTCTAAGGTCCTGTGACTCAAACACCATGGAATTAAACTCTATCTTCTCTATGATTTAGAAAACTCTGAAGACAGGGAAGGGCAGCCAGGCTGGCGGGGAGTAGATGGGGACCCTCGGCTTGATCAGCTTTGTATTGAAATACTACAAAGTAGGCAGGATCCCGTGTTCTGAAAGCAGAAAGCGAGTCCTTGGATCCAGAGTCTGTGTGTTCTGGTCTTGGCTTTGGGAATTTGATGAGTCACGGTTTCTGGCTGTGTCCTCCTTGACTTACAGCTTTCACAAGAATGAATTCTGAAGGTCCCATGAAGGGGGAGAGCTGTGAGAATCGTCATCTAAGGTCCATGCTTGCATTTCAGTTTGTCCTTCTTTTTCTTTTTCTTCTTGTTGCCTCTCCTTTGAGCACTCCGGGGATCTAGATTGGATGGGCAGCTAAAGGGACTGAAATGAAGAGGCAAGAGCCAAACTTCAGGCCCTAGAGCAGGGCTGGGCCAGTATCTGAATTCTGATAGCAGCACTGCCAGGCCAGCCCCAGGGCAAATGCAAAGTTGATTGGTTTTTCTTAAGAACTCTTACTTTTCTTTCTGATGCTCACTGCCAGGTGTCCAAGGGCCCTGGAGCTTCCCAAATCTCCTTTCTACTTAAGCCTATTCCCTAGGTTTTTACCAAGCCTTGGCTTTTAAAATGCCCCTCTTCTTAGTTACCAAAAAACTCCAGTTTTTGCATTTTTTCCCCTATTTATCCTTTTTTTCCCCTTCCTCTCTTTGTCCCATTCTTTCCTCTAGGCTATTTTCGAAGTTCTTTCGCCCCTGGCTTCTGTATACACAACTGCCTTTAGAATAATCCAGTGTGCCTCACCTTAATAAAAATCCAGATTTACAAAACAAAAATTGTTTGAAAGGTGAATGTTTTTGTTAAAGAAATCTGGCCAATATGAAAGACCAGCATCTCTTTTTTTATGTTTATCACTTTGTTTGTGACAGTCTCACTCTGTGATCTGCAACCCTGCCTCCTGGGTTCAAGCGATTCTCGTGCCTCAGCTTCCCAAGTAGCTGGGACTACAGGTGTGCTAATAGTCGTATTTTGTACTAATAAAATAGCTGGCTAATTTTCGTATTTTTAGTAGAGACAGGGTTTCGCCATGTTGGCCAGGCTGGTTTCAAACTCCTGGCCTCAAGCAATCTGCGCACCTTGGCCTCCCAAAGTGCTGGGATTACAGACCTGAGCCATCATGCCTGGCCATGTTTATCACTTTCTACATTTCATTATAGCAAGCGGTAACTAGGGGAGGTCCCCTAGTTGGGTGCAAGCAGATTCATTTTTGTATTTGCAAATCATGTAACACAGTGAAATTCATAGCCTTACCCCCATACTGGATCATAAAAATATTTTACTTTCCCTATTTTGTTTACTATCAAGCCTGAGCTCATTAAATATATCCAGTGGCCTGGATCAGGATCATGTGAAAAACAGGACCTTGGCTTGCTTACAACGTTTGCATTTGTTTTGGTTGGTACAGATTCATTTGGATAAATTCCCAGCTTATTCTCAAAGAAGATTCTAGCGCAGTACCGGGCTCCCAGTGGCTTTTCATTCATAGTAATGAGCATTAGCCGAGCGTGGTGACGTGCGCCTGTAGTCCTAGCTACTCAGGAGGCTGAAGCAGGAGGATTGCTTGAGCCCAGGAGGTCAAGGCTGCAGTGAGCTGAGCGGTGTCTGTGCACCATTGCTGCATTCTAGAATTCCCAGCCCAGAACTATGCTGTTGTCATGCCTAGGAAAGCATCCATGAGAAAATCCTTTTCTGAGTCCGAATGCCAATTCCAGTTCTGGTTAGAATTCCTTGACACACACGGCACTTCCAGCCTTGGTTTTCACGGTTGCTGTGATAGCAGAACACACAGCTGTGAAACAGAGAGAAGATGAGCAACAGAAATGGATGTGCTAAAATGTGAGATGAAAATATGCAGAAAAGCCAACCATCTTTAGAAATCTCATTTATTCAGGGTTCAGTGTAAGCCTAATAGGTACAAGCTGAGATTTTGGAGTCTGGTGGGTTCCAGTCTTGCTTTCCACCAATAATTAGCTTCACTTGACTTCTTTGGGTTTCCGTTTCCTCATTTGTATGAGAAAATAGGGATCATGAGAGTACTTGCCACATGAGATTTGGCAGGAGGTTGTATATGTCGAGAATTTAGCACTGTGTCTAGTACACAGCAGGTGCTTAATAAATGTTTGTATTAGTGTTTTAGCACATGTGGGAGGGACATAGCCGAGTGCAGTGTTTCTCAAATTTTGGGGACTCTGGACATCTTCACAGACAGATAAGATACAGGGCACTCAATTGGCTGTAACTTCAGATAAACAGTAAATAATTTATTAGTACAAGTATTTCCCAAACATTGTATGGAACATATATGAAAATATTCATTTCTTATCTGAAATTCAAGTTTAATTGGGCACCCTGAAGTTTTATTTGCGAAATCAGACAACCCTGTTTTCCTTTCCTTTTCTTTTCCTCTTTTTTTTTTTTTGAGACAGGGCTCACTCTGTCACCCAAGCTGGAGTGCAGTGGCGCGATTACTGCTCACTGCCGCTTCAACCTCCCAGGCTCAGGTAATCCTCCCACCTCAGCTTCCAAAGTAGCTGGGACCACAGGTGCATGCCACTATGCCTGACTAATTTTTGGTATTTTTTGTAGAGACAAGGTTTCACCACGTCACCCTGGCTGATTTTTTTTTTTTCCTAGATGGAGTTTTGCTCTTGGCGCCCAGGCTGGAGTGCAATGGCGTGATCTCAGCTCACTGCAACCTCTGCCTCCTGGGTTCAAGCAATTCTCCTGCCTCAGTCTCCCGAGTAGCTAGGATTACAGGTGCCTGCCACCATGCCCAGCTAATTTTTGTATTTTTGGTAGAGACAGGGTTTCACCATGTTGGCCGGGTTGGTCTCCAACTACTAACCTCAGGCTATCTGCCCGTCTTGGCCTCCCAAAGTGCTGGGATTATAGGCGTGAGCCACCACGCCCGGCCTACCATGGCTGATCTTGAACTCCTGAGCCCAAGCCAGGAGGGCTGGGATTACAGGCATGAGCCACTGTGCCTAGCCCTGTTTTTATATTCTTAAAAATTATTAGCCAGGTGTGGTGGCTCACTCCTATAATCCCAGCACTTTGGGAGGCTGAGGCGGGTGGGTCACTTGAGGTCAGGAGTTCAAGACCAGCCTGGCCAACATGGTGAAACACTGTCTCTACTAAAAATATCAAAAATTAGCCAGGCATAGTGGCGCATGCCTATAATCCCAGCTACTTGGGAGGCTGAGGCATAAGAATCGCTTGAACCCCGGAGGCAGAGGTTGCAGTGAGCCGAGATCATACCACTGCACCCCAGCCTGGGTGAGTGAGACTCTGTGTAAAAAAAAAAAAAAAAAAAAAGATTTTTGAGAAATGCAAAGTGCTTTTAAAGTGCTTTTATTTGGGTTCTATATATTGATATTTACTGCATTAGAAATTAAAATTAAGAAAAATATTAATTTCCTTTAACAAGAATAATAGTAAGCTCATTTTTTATGAAAATGTTTTCATGAAAAATAATTATATTTCCAAAAAAAGTAGATAAAGAGAAGATCATGTCGTTTATATTTTTTCAAATCTCTTTGATGATTGTCTTGATAGAAGTCAGCTGTATGCTCATATTTGCTTCTGCTTCAATCTATTGAGGTATGTCATTTTCACTGAAATTCTATAGGGAAAGAAAATTCAACCTCACAAAGATATGCAATTGGAAAAGGGAGGAATATTATAGTAGAATTTTTGGATTATTGTGAACATTCTTCTTTGATACTAAACCCAAACTCTACAAGAGGTAGTTTTTGTTTTGTTTTGTTTTGTTTTGTTTGAGATGGAGTCTTGCTCTGTTGCCCAGGCTGGAATGCAGTGGCACAATCTCAGTTCACTGCACCCTCTGCCTCCCAGGTTCAAGAGATTCTCCTGCCTCAGCCTCCCGAGTATCTGGGATTACAGGCGCCTGCCACCACGCCGGGCTAATTTTTGTATTTTTAGTAGAAACAGGGCTTCACCATGTTGGAAAGGCTGGTCTCGAACTCCTGACCTCAGGTGATCTGCCAGCCTTGGCCTCCCAAAGCTCTAGGATTACAGGCGTGAGCCACTGCACCCAGCCAAGAGGTAGTTTCTTAAAGGTTAGTTGCAGCAGAATCTGAAACCATAAAAAGGAAATTTTCATGCTCTGTTACATTAAAATTGGTTGGCCCATCTTGAACTTTGAATGGACTGCTTACCCATGCATGATTCTGTAACATCATGGTTGGTTATTTGGAAAATATTGGTTCACTGAATTGTGAAGATCTTCCAAATATTGAAACATTTCAGTATGTATTTTTAAAAATCCACATTTGTTAATGTCATAGCTGATCTCATGAGAAAAGCCTTTAATCACTGACAAGCAGTCAAGCTTGTGGTGATAAATGCAGGTTGCCCCCAAATTTTTTCTTCCTTTTTTTGTATTTTTTAAAATTATTTTTCTTCTCCTTGCACAGCAGAGCTAACTCATAGGCAGTACACCCAGAGTTAGCCAGGTTCCCCCATATTTAACTTTTGCTTGAAAGCTTGAATTTGATCATTGGAAATCAATACTGTCTGTTGTGTTCTTTGAAGTGCCAGGGTCACTTCATTCATTTTCTAGAAAAGGTCTGCCAAATATTCAAGTCTAAATAATCATAGTTTGTTTTATCAAGTAATGTAGCCTGTGACTCTCAAGTGATTTTTCCTTGAGACAGCAATCATAATTTGGTATACAGTAGAAGTGCTTTATCATACTTTCTGTTTCATCGCACAGAATATTTTTAAAACATCTACTTGAATTGAGACTTAATAAAATAAATAGGCTGGATGTGGTGGCTCATGCCTGTAATCCCAGCACTTTGGGAGTCTGAGGCAGGTGGATCACCTGAGGTCAGGAGTTCAAGACCAGCCTGGCCAACATGGTGAAACCCCATCTCTACTAAAAATACAAAAATTAGCTGGATGTTATGGCAGGTGCCTGTAATCCCAGCTACTTGGGAGGCTGAGGCAGGAGAATCACTTGAACCCAGGAAGTGGAGGTTTCAGTGAGCCTAGATTGTGCCACTGCACTCCAGCCTGGGCAACAAGCAGACTCTGTCTCAAACAACAGCAACAAAAAAATTAAAATTAAAAAATTTAAAACATTTTAAAAAGAAATAAAAAATAAAATAAAATTAATACTGTGTTACCAAATACATTCTTAAGGAAAATTGGCTTTAAAAAAAGGTAGAACAACTTCAAATGCCTGGTGGTAAAAAAATGCCACAATTACTAGTATACTTTGGTGGCACTGCCTCTCACACGGCTAGAAGTTTTAGCCACCATTGCCTTTTTATCACTAGTCCGTGTCAATGCCGTGTAAAAGGGAAATATGTTAGTATTTTTAAGAACCGTGGAGCCTCTCAGCATTCCAGGGACCTCACTTTGAGAACTGCTGGTCTAGCGGTTGATGTCCCCATGATAGGCAGCACCGGACAGTGTAGACTGATCTCCCCTCTCCTATTGCAGCCCCTCCTTCCTTGGGCAGTTTGGGAAAGCACCAAGAGCCCCTGGGCCCTTTCTTACACATCTGTTGAGGTTGGCTAGGTGATGAGCAGTTTCTGAGGTCACATTCATGGTACTCTTTGAAGTCCTCTAAAGGGGTTTGAGTATGATTCATGGGCATTCCTAAACCTTTGGAAGATTCCGGAAGATTTAGAAGCTCCAGATTAAATCTCTACCTCTCCTTTCTCCTCTACTATTTCCTAGTGTCCAAGGGAGCTCAAAACCCCTTTCAGAAGCTGAAACTATTCTGCAGGCCAAATATATACTAGCCTCAAAGATATTCAGGCTAGACATGGGCCCCTACAGCTGAAAGATGCTTTGGAATAGGCCTGGGGCGATAGAGCAGCACTCCCCAGAGACACATTATTCTGCCCTATTGCAGCTCTGCAGTTGAAAATTCTAGGGGTATACCTGCATGCTGGCATACCAAAACCAATAGAGAAAAAACTCCACTTAGAATCACATGGCTGGAGGTGGAAAATGCTATTATAAAACATTTCTATTGCACAGAAGGCACAGTCCTTTCTCAGGGACACATAATTTAGTCTCTGAGCAGCATGAGACTTTTATGTGCCAAGTGCCGTATAGAACACGGGGAATTCTAATACAACCTACAGGGTTTAAAGTCAAATGACAAATTTGTGATCACAGAAAAAAAAGAACATAAAAGGCTTACCCAAAGTGGGAGAAGCCATATTTTTTGGTTGGATTTTATGGTCAAAGGAGGGCTTCAATATGAAATAGAGTTCATCAGTAGATTTCAAAGTGAGCAGTAGAGATGATCTTAATTAGGGATAAGAGGGTAGGGTGGGCTGGGCACGGTGGCTTATGCCTGTAATCCCAGCACTTTGGGAGGCCAAGGCAGGTGGATCATGAAGTCAAGAGATCGAGACCATCCTGGCCAACATGGTGAAACCCCGTCTCTACTAAAAATACAAAAATTAGCTGGGCATGGTGGCGGGCGCCTGTTGTCCCATCTACTCGGGAGGCTTAGGCAGGAGAATTGCTTGAACCTGGGAGATGGAGGTTGCAGTGAGCCAAGATTGAGCCACTATACTCCAGCCTGGGCAACAATAGCGAGACTCCGTCTCAAAAAAAAAAAAAAAAAAAAAAAAAAAGGAGGGTAGGGTAGAGGGAAGTGGGAGAGGAGGGTGAGGAGACCAAGGTAAAGGATTGAAGGATGCTGGGTGTGGTGGCTCACACCTGTAATCTCAGCACTTTGGGAGGCCGAGGTGGGCAGATCACCTGAGGTTGGGAGTTCGAGACCAGCCTGACCAACATGCAGAAACCCCATCTCTACTAAAAATACAAAATTAGCCGGGTGTGGTGGTGCACACCTGTAATCCCAGCTACTCTGGAGGCTGAGGCAGGAGATTCGCTTGAACCCGGGAGGCAGAGATTGCAGTGAGCCAAGATCGTTCCATTGCACTCCAGCCTGGGCAACAAGAGTGAAACTCCATCTCAAAAAAAAAAAAAAAAAGATTGAAGGAGAAAAACAGTTGAACTGGTTCTGGTCAGAGGTTGGCAGAAAATACATGCAAGTGATTTTTATTTTTTATTTTTTTTAAGGACAAGATCTCACTCTGTTACCCAGGGCAGAGTACAGTGGTGTGATCTTGGCTCACTGTAGCCTCAACTACAGTGAGGAGTCCCGGCCCAAGCAATCCTCCCACCTCAGCCTCCCAAGTAGCTTGGACCACAGGCGCATGCCACCATGCCTGGATCATTTTTTATATTTTTTTTTTTATAGAAACAAGGGTCTCACTATGTTGCCTAGGCTGGTCTTAAACTCTGGGCTCAAGTGATCCTCCTGCCTGGGACTCCCAGAGTGCTGGGACTACCGGTGTGAGCCACCACTCCTGGGCTGGATCTTGATTTAGACCAGGCTTGTCCAACCTGTGGCATGTCCAGGATGGCTTTGAATGTGGCCCAACACAAATTCATAAGCTTCCTTTGGGATTTTTTTTTTTTTAAAGCTCATAAGCTATCATTAGTATCAGTGTATTTTATGTGTGGCCCAAGACAATTCTTCTTCCAGTGTGACCCAGGGAAGCCAAAAGATTGGACACCCCTGATTGGGCAGTAGGGTGTGTAGGCTACAGTGTGCATGTGCATGAGAGTGTGACTCAGGCAAAGAGAAGGGCTCCAACTGGGACCCGCTGAGGTTCTCAGATCTGTCATTATTAGCTGTGTATCCTTGGGCAGCCTCTCTGAGTCTGTCCTCTCATCTGTCTGTTTAATTAAATGAGGTGTCATATATCAAATACTTGATTATTGTAGGCACTTGAGATGCAATGTTTGCAGCTGGGCGTGGTTGCTCACGCCTGTAGTCCCAGCACTTTGGGAGGCCGAGGCAGGTGGATCACTTGAGCTCAGGAGTTCGAGACCAGCCTGACCAACACGGTGAAACCCCATCTCTAAAAAAATAGCAAAATTAGCCGGGTGTGGTGGTGTGTGCCTGTAGTCCCAGCTACTCAGGAGGCTGAGGCAGGAGAATTGCTTGAACCCGGGAGGTGGAGATTACAGTGAGCCATGATGCCATGATGGCACCACTGCACTCCAACATGGGTGACAGAGTGAGACTTCATCTCAAAAAAAAAAAAAAAAAAAAAAAAAAAAGAAAAGAAAAGAAACAATGCTTGTTTTGTGGTGTGATTTGATGGCTATCTTATTGGCTATCTGGACTTCATAATCCCATTTTCTCATCCTCATTGAAATACAAAATAAATAAATAAATAAAAGCAAAGCAACTACCTTAAAACCCCAAATTCTGGCATTTGTTTATATAGTGATCCTTCTGTATCCATGGGGAATTGGTTGCAGGCCCCCCAGATTTTGGATGCTCGAGTCCTCTATATAAAATGGTGCAGTATTTGCATATGACCTACACATATCTTCCCATATACTTTGAGTCATCTCTAGATGACTTAGAATACCTAATCCAATGGAAATGCTAGTAAGTAGTTGTTATGCTGTATTGTTTAGGGAATAATGACAAGAAAAAGAAGTCTATGTGTTTAGTACAGACACAGCCGTCCTTTTCACATTTTTACATTTTTAATTTTTTGTGGGCACATAGTAGTATATATATTTATGGGGTACATGAGATTTTTGAATATTCTTGATCTGTGGTTGGTTGACTTCAGGGATGCGGAACCCACAGACACTGAGGGCTGACTGTACGTAGAATATATGCCTTTGAAACACTGTTTTGGATTCAGATTTTGTGTCTTCAAACTTTTTTTTATCAAAATTTAAGTATATTTCTGAACAGTAAGGCATTGGACTCCATGCCAGGGGGTGCAGAGGTGAGTGTTCTGGTGATCTAGAAAGGAGTTGAGGGTCGGGCACAGTGGCTTATGCCTGTAATCCCAGCACTTTGGGAGGCCGAAGCGGGTGGATCATTTGAGATCAGGAATTCAAGACCAGCCTGACCAACATGGTGAAACCCTGTCTCTACTAAAACTACAAAGAAATTAGCCAGGTGTGGTGGTGCATGACTATAATCCCAGCTACGCAGGAGGCTGGGGCAGGAGAATCTCTTGAATCTGGGAGGTGGAGGTTGCAGTGAGCTGAGATTGTGCCACTGCACTCCAGCCTGGGCAAGAGGGCGAGACTCCATGAAAAAAGAAAGAAGGAAGGAAGGAAGGAGGGAAGGAAGGAAGGTGGGGAGGGAGGGAGGGATGGCATTTGAGGACACGCAAATACCCTAATGCAGAGTGGAATGAGACAGGTGACCCAAGAGGGGTGCTCATGGGAAAGACTTCTGTGATAGGAGTAATTAATCCCTAGCATGCAGGGGATTTACTCCTCTTGGGTTTGCATAAAGAAGGGCACGCAAGGGACAAGAGGTCAAGTGAGATAAACCCTAACATTAGAATAAGGGGCTGGCCCGTGCTGAGGGAGGAAGGAAGATGAGGAGAGGGATCTGAGAGGAAACTATGCCACAGGTGGCGGGGAGAGCAGGTTAGACCAGGTGGGGCCTTACGGCTCTGAGAGGAGGTGCTTTTGGAGGTCAGTGGCTTAAGGGAAATCCTGGGCTGTCAGGAAAGGCCACCTCAGCCCCTGGCCTGTCAGCAATGGCTCAGTGACCTTGGGCTGTTTTTGGATCTTTCTGCATCTCTGAATCTCGAGAATAATAATAATACCTGTGTAAACCATGCACTGGGTTGTGTGATATGTCACATAAAATAGTAGAAGGAGAAATAGAATGATGAGGGCCAGGCATGGTGGCTCATGCCTGTAATCCCAGCACTTTGGGAGGCCAAGGCGGGCGGATCACCTGAAGTCAGGAGTTCGAGACCAGCCTGGCCAACATGGTGAAACCCTGTCTCTACTAAAAATACAAAAATTAGCCAGGCATGGTGTCAGGTGCCTGTAATCCCAGCTACTTGGGAGGCTGGGGCAGGAGAATCGCTTGAACTTGGGAGCGGAGGTTGCAGTGAGCCGAGATTGTGCCACTGCACTCCAGCCTGGGTGACAGAGCGAGAATCCGTCTCAAAAAAAAAAAAAAAAAGAAAGAAAAGAAAAAGAGAATCATCGCCCTCCCCCAACACCCATTATGTTCCTCTCAGGGAAGCAAGGCAAGAAAGGAGAGAGGAAGAGAGGGAAAAAAGAGAAAAAGGGAGGCCCGGATGAGGCGTTAGGAGGCGGGTCAGCTCACTGTGATAGAGGGCAAGACGAGAAATGTTGTGAAAGCAAAAGGAGCTGACAGGCAGGGCTGGGGGGCGGGGAGGCCCTGTTGCCACGCCCCGGGCAGGCAGATAAAACGGTCATTTATGGTACCCACCCTAACAGATTAGTCAGTCAGACCCAGGAGGAGTGAGGTCAATTGCCCTTTAGTCCCAGGACTAACCGGAAGCTTCTGCAACAGGAGGACATTGAAAATAAGATGGAACCCATCCACATAAGGTAGGAGACCAAAAAATGACAACAACCCTTCTGACATTTTAAAACTGTCAAGAACTGCTCTGTGCCATTTTCTAGGCTCCTGGAGCTGGAGAGCTGTCAGTTCTTGGAAATAACTTCTGTGTTTCTAGACATTTGTACTTTATAGATGAGGAGACGGGCTCAGGGAGGTTAAGTTACTCCCTCAAGGTCACACAGCTGGAGTGTAGAAAACACATGATCTCAATTCTAGGTTCAGTTTTGTTTTGCTTTGTTTTGTTTCCACCCCAGCAGATATTTTAAAGGTAGGAAATGCAAAATTCTGAGCACTCTCTTGGGGATTGGAGGAGTGGGTGGGGACAGAGAATGGGTTATCTTATTTGCCTATCCTGCCTGTGGGTGTGATTCTGCAACCAAAGCCAATTCTGGCTTCTTCTCTAGACGGTCTTGGTCTCTTTTTAGCGAGTGGGCTTGACTGTAGCTAAGTAATTCTGCTTTTTCATGTCTTAGATGTCCCACTCAGTCCTCCAGTAGCCGATGAGTGCGTGCTGCTTGCATGGGCCCAAGACTCTAGCAATCTCTATAGGTAGTTTCTGTAAAACCAGGCAGATAGATCATCCCTGGGCACCCTCTCTTTATCTCATTAACCCTGGTGGTACCAGGAGGCACCTGACATTCTAATAGTTTGGTGCCAGCAAGTTTCTGTTATCCTTCAGTTGTAATTGTTAACTTGAATGGAATGCAAAACTTCTGGTTTGGAGCAGAGTTGGGTCTTAACTGTGAATAACTTGAAGGATATGGAAAATGGGAAGTACCTTTGGTTATTGTGGAGGATGGTTTATGAGCACTTTTTGAGTTGCATTTTCTCTGATAAATAGGAATATGTGGTCAATGTGGAGATGCTACTGCGTCTACATATTCGCCGGTGAACTCCACCCTTTATTAACTCTTGCCTTTGACAGTTTTTCAGCTCAGCAAGCCAAGACTTGTTTGAGGATTAGAACAATGAGCTTATCGTTATGCCACCTTTAAAAAAATCGCTCTAACGCTTCCAGCGTCAAGGTTTATTTCTATGAGCCTTTCCGGCAACTCCGCCCCCACCACCTGAAAGTTTGACATTGCTTTCCCCCTTAAGGGGAAGTGTGGAAATAGAGCCTGCTTGTTCATTTTCATTATTGTACATTACATGATATCTTTTCGACCATTATATTGTGTTCCCTCAGTGGTGTTTGCTCTGAGGGTGGGACACAAGCCTGTTTAGTGTCTCGTAAAACATTTACCAAAAGCACTGAGCCATGGTTTTTGAAGGGCATTCCGTTGCCAGAGTGTGGGAGGAGAGAGCAAGCAGGGAAAGAGAGCGCCAGGTGCTTAGCAGGTACGTGCTTCCTACTTTAGTATATTCATATTAAAAATTTCAAATTGCATACGATTTGGGTTCCCTTCTGCGGAAGGGGCAGGGATGGTGAGGGGAAGACGGGGGCAAAAGGGATTTCTTTGCAAACTCTATTTTTTAGTGGCTCGGAGTCCCCGGATAATTGTAATCTTTAGCTTCCATCAAATGCTGTTTTTGGTTTTGCTAGAGGGACATGTGTGTAATGGAGAGTAAGTGGAAAACCTACTTGTGCTTGAGATTTTACAGTGGGCTGAATCAGAATCCTTTAGCAAAGAGTTCAGAACCAGGTCCTGTGTTTCTGGGAGGCAATGTGTAACCTTGCAATTTGCACTTCTGTGAGCTCGGGAATTCATTCCATTTAAAGGTTTTGCTAAATGGTGGTTCTGGTTTCATGAAAATACTTTTAAACTTTCTCCCCCCACCCCACCCCCAATTCTGTTAAATTTAGACAAGATAACAGCAAATTAAAGGTCAGGTTAGGCTGGGTGCGGTGGCTCACACCTGTAACCTCAGCACTTTGGAAGGCCGAGGTGGGTGGATCACTTGAGGTCAGGAGTTCGAGACGAGCCTGGCCAACAAGGTGAAACCCCATCTCTACCAAAAATACAAAAATTAGCCGGGCATGGTGGTGTGCGCCGGTAGTCCCAGCTACTCAGGAGGCTGAGGCAGGAGAATCGCTTGAACCCCGGAGGCAGAGGTTGCAGTGAGCCAAGATTGTGCCACTGCACTCCAGCCTGGGTGACAAGAGCGAAACTCCGTCTCCAAAAAAGAAAAAAAAAAAAAGTCAGTTTAAAACGGCCTCTTATCCTCAACTCTGTGTTTTTGAAACAGACCAGCTTGAGACCGACTTTTTCTATACTGGTCATGGTTTAGGAGAAACTAATGAATAAATACTTCTTGGGAATACTAAGTCTTTATAATCTAGCTTTTTTGGGTGGGTAGAAAATATAATAAAGCTACAGCCTTAATCAAATGTTTATGTATGATCAATTGTAATAATGATATGCCACACACAGATAGCAGTAACTGTGTTATTAATAGTTAAAACTCAAACAGTTATAGGAAAATCTAGGAAAAAAAATAGTTCCAACAGATTTCTACAATTGCCAGTTCTTGGGGAAAAGTGTTGCAGTATAAAACGGGCAATATAACAAGGGTGTGGGATCTTTGGCCTGTACAAGGACAGTACTAAGTTGAAGAGCTCACCAATTATGAAAGAACATGATTTGGGTATATTTTTGCCCAATGACGCTTGCAGTAAGAAGCCAAGGGTTTTTTCTTCTGAGAAGTGGCCAGTCATTTGAAAACGGCTGGAAGAAATGATTGTTTCAAAATTGGAAGACATTTCCTCCACAGGACAAACTTCGCTGTGGCTTTGTATATTCAGGCAAATAGGAAGAAATCTAACAATTGTAGAGGTTAAAGACCTTGAGTTCCCTGGAAGCATGGCAGGTTTAATATCTTTTTATATGCATATCGGAAAATTGAGTTTAGCAGAAAGTCATTTCACTACTCTGACCACTGCAAGTTTATGTAACTTTTGACAAGTGGATTAATGTTTTCCTATGTCTCTTTTAAGATTTTGATACTTACTGTATCTAATTGCCTGTTACACAGGTGCACTTAGATTGCTTGAGTCTATCAAGTAGGGAAAGAGAGCCATACCATGTGAATCCAAAATAGAAACCCTGACCAGTGAAATAATTCATGCATTAAAAGCACACTTTTTCTTTTCTTTTCTTTCCTTTTTTTTCTTTTCTTTCTTTCTTTTTTTTTTTTTTTTGAGATGAAGTCTCACTCTGTCACCCAGGCTGGAGTGCAGTGGCACAATCTCGGCTCACTGCAACCTCTGCCTCCGGGGTTCAAGTGATTCTCCCACCTCAGCCTCCCAAGTAGCTGGGATTACTGGCAGCCACCATCATCTCCAGCTAATTTTTGTATTTTTGTAGAGACAGGGTTTCACCATTTTGGCCAAGCTGGTCTTGAACTCCTGACCTCAAGTGATCCACTCGCCTCGGCCTCCCAAAGTGCTGGGATTACAGGCGTAAGCCACCGCACCCGGCCTTTTTTTTTTTTTTTTTTTTGAGATGGAGTTTCGTTCTGTCACCCAGGCTGGAATGCAGTGGCGCAATCTCGGCTCTCTGCAACCTCCACCTCCCAGGTTCAAGAGATTCTCCTGCCTCAGCCTCCCAAGTAGCTGGGCGCCCACCATCATGCCCGGCTAATTTTTTGTATTTTTAGTAGAGAAGGGGTTTCATTATGTTGGCCAGACTGGTCTTGAACTCCTGACCTCAGGTGATCCACCTGCCTTGGCCTCCCAAAGTGTTGGGATTAGAGGTGTGAGCCACCGCGCCTGGCAATACCACACTTTCTAAAGTAGATTGAGCCTGTGTTGAGTCTGAAATTTTATCAAAGGAACAGAAAGACTCTGGGGAAAAATCTAAAAACAAACCATTTCTAGACACTTGTCATTCCTTGTTTCCCTTTATTTCACTAGGAAAATCCATATTCGGTACAATCTTTTTGTTTAGTTTTTCTTTTTTCTTTTCTTTTTTTTTTTTTTGAGACAGAGTCTTACTGTGTCCCCCAGGCTGGAGTGCAGTGGCACAATCTTGGCTCACTGTAACCTGTGCCTCCCAGGTTCAGGCGATTCTCCTGCCTCAGCCTCCCCAGTAGCTGGGGCTATAGGCGCCTGCCACCACGCCCGGCTAATTTTTGTATTTTTAGTAGAGATGGGGTTTCACCATCTCCTGACCTCAACTGATCTGCCCACCTCGGCCTCCCGAAGTGCTGAGATTACAGGCTTGAGCCCCTGTGCCCAGCCCGATTTAGTATTTCCATGAGGAATTGTAAGAAACTAAGATCAACAAAGGCTACGTTGGATCCTCCTGTTAGGGGTTCTTATGGTTTCATGATAGTTTATTGACAGATCTAGTCATGCATCACATTAAGTCCTGAATAACTTGGCCCACGTTTCTGGCATTTTAGACTCTGCTGCTATTAAACGTGATATGATAATAATGCTTCTATGTCAGGTTGGCTGTATTAGGCATATAATTGAGTAACGTCTCTACAAGCGTTCTTGTTTGTTATCTGCTCCTTCCATCCTTTAGACTGCAAGTTCTTCTTGATTTGTAAAATGTCATGAGGCTGAAATTTCTGGGGACAATAATAGGACCCAAATGAAAAGGCATTTCACAACATGCCATAATGCCTAAGAGGCAGGCCTGCTGTCTTTTCTGAACAGAGCTGTATGGCTTTGTTAAGGAACAGGTAGGTGACAACCTTTCAAGGTGATTCTGGCGGCTGTGCCAGAAAAGTCACATGCGTAGGAGCTCGGAGTCAGAACTACACGGGCAACTTGGAGGAACCTTCAGACACTTGGGCCATATGTGGCTGGTTTTGCTTTTTGCAGGATGAAGTAAAAACTGAATGCGTATAGGTTAGCCCAGTGATAATGAAAAATCCTTCAGTTGTCTAGCAACTCAAGATCTTAAGTAAGGCAATAAAACAGCCCCCACAGCAGCCAAAATTAATGCCATAAATTCTATTAGTACCTCACTCAGTGCCTGTTGACTCTTTGTATTTTTCAGTAGAGACAGGGTTTCATGTTGGCCAGTCTGGTCTCAAACCCCTGACCTCAAATGATCCACCCGTCTCAGCCTCCCAAAGTGTTGGGATTACAGGTGTGAGCCATCATGCCCGTCCCCCTATTGACTCTTAGTTTAGACATCTTTCAATAACATTTCTGGTTCCTCAGTGCATAATAAATCACGACTCTTTCTTTTCTCCTTTCTACTTGGCTGATGACCATTCAAGCAAGCATTCACACATGGACTCATTCATTCAGTCAGTACTTACTAATGGCTCACTCTGGGATAGGGTCTCATCTCACAGTTCTTGAATGTCACCTCTTCAAGGTGACCTTCCCAGGTCCCCTAAAGGAGGTCCTCTAATTTTGCTCTGAAAATACACATTGTATTTGTTTTATGCTTGCCTCTTTTGCTAAAATATTAAGTTCCCTTAGGTCATGGATCACAAGTGTCTAACTTGCTACTGTATCTCTAGCTCTTAGCATATCCCACGTGTTCAAAAATATGTACCAGATATATGAATAAATGAATGAAAGGAAACAAATGAGAAGGACAGGGATGATTACAGGCAGGCAGACAATGGTGAGAAATAGGGCATATAACAAAGGGGTAAAACTGCTGCCATCCAATCCAGAAGCAATGGTCCCCGAAGCTATTGCCCCATCTCAGCTGAGCTCTACCATGTAAGTTTCTTTACTTTTTTTTTTTTTTTTTTTTGAGATGGAGTTTCACTCTTGTTGCCCAGGCTGGAGTGCAATGGCGCTATCTTGGCTAATTGCAGCCTCCGCCTCCTAGGTTCAAGCAGTTCTCCTTCCTCAGCCTCCTAAGTAGCTGGGATTACAGGCATGTGCCATCATGCCTGGCTAATTTTGTATTTTTAGTAGAGACAGGGTTTTACCATGTTGGTCAAGCTGGTCTTGAACTCCTGACCTCAAGTGACCCACCCCCCCTCAGCCTCCCAAAGTGCTGGGATTACAGGCGTGAGCCACTGCACCTGGCCAGTTTCTTTACTTTTTTTTTTTGAGACGGAGTCTCACTCTGTCGCCCAGGCTGGAGTGCAGTGGCGCAATCTCCGCTCACTGCAAGCTCCGCCTCCCGGGCTCACACCATTCTGCCTCAGCCTCCGCAGTAGCTAGGACTACAGGCGCCCGCCACCACGCCTGGAGAATTTTTTTTTTTGTATTTTTAGTGGAGACGGGGTTTCACCGTGTTGGCCAGGATGGTCTCGATCTCCTGACCTCGTGATCCACCTGCCTTGGCCTCCCAAAGTGCTGGGATTACAGGCGTAAGCCACCGCGCCCGGCCCAGTTTCTTTACTTTTTAAAAATTTTATAGAGACAGGGTCTCACTATGTTGCCCAGACTGGTCTCAAATTCCTGGGCTCAAGTAATTCTCCCACCTAGACCACCCAAACTGTTGGGATTAAAGGCATGAGCCAATACAGGTCACCAACATGTAAATTTCTATGGATAACCTTGGTTCACCAAGAAGAATGTGCTTTGGAGCCTCTTTAAAATGATAGTGAGGGTACAAATCATTTTAGAAATATTTTTACCCAAGAAAGTAATAGTGTGTTTGCTTACATGAGTAAATTCAGTTATTTGGAAAATATCCTATACAAGTGATGTCTACAATTATGAAGCACCAGTGAATGAATTTATCATTCAGAGAAAATATTAAATCAAATAACTACTTTGAAAAAAATATATTATTATTATTTATTTATTTATTTATTTATTTATTTTGAGATGGAGGCTCACTCTGTTGCCCAGGCTGGAGTGCAGTGGCACAATCTCGGCTCACTACAACCTCAGCTTCCCAGATTCAAGCAATTCTCCTGCTTCAGCCTCCCAAGTAGCTGGGCTACAGGCACGCGCCACCACACCTGGCTAATTTTTGTATTTTTAGTAGAGACAGGGTTTCACCATGTTGGCCAGGCTGGTCTCGAACTCCTGACCTCAGGTGATCCGCCCACCTTGGCCTACCAAAGTGCTGGGATTACAGGCGTGAGCCACTGCGCCTGGCCGAAAACATATTATTTTAAATATTCATTGAAGTGTATAACATAAAGGCAGTAAACTGCACGACTGTTAGGTACACAGCTTGATGAATTTTTATATGTGTATGTACCTGTGGAACCACCACCCAGATTAAGGCACAAAATATTTTCAGCATCTCAGTATCGTCGTGCCTCTCCTCCCATTATCCCCTCAACCCAAGGTAACCACCATTCTGACTTGTATCACCATAGATTACCTTTGGCTATTCTTACTTCATTAAGATGGAATCAGACAGTATGTACTCTTTTGTATCTGGCCTCTCACTCAACCCTTTATCGGTGACGCTCATCCACATAGTTTCATGTAGTTATAATTTATCCTGTTGTTGCTGCATAGTATTCCTTTGTAAGAACAGACCACAACGCAGAGCATTTTCAGGAATTAAAAACATGACTATATGAGCTGAAAATCATTCCCTATCTGTGCCAGCTCTTTAAAGTTAAGTGATATCTTAAGGTGGGATGGAAATATTATGACCTGAAAGGGTGGAAGGAAAGAGGTCTGTTTCTGGGAGTGTATTTGCTAAGTGCTCTATGTTGGCTGTTTAACTGCAGTAATTACCCTAGAAGGTGACTGCTGCTGTTTTGTACATGAGGAAACTAAGCATCAGAAAAGTTTTATGACTTTACAGTGAGGCTGAACAAAACGTGAAAATTGTTAGTTACACCAGAGGGCAGTCCCGTCCTGGCAAAGACAATGCCAGAACGCTGTTGAGGCTCCGCCACCTCCGATTTCTGAGGCTCAGGTTTTACGTACTGCAGACTTTTCTTTTCTTTTTGAGATGGGATTTCGCTCTTGTTGCCCAGGCTGGGGTGCAGTGGGGTGATCTCGGCTCACCGCAACCTCCGCCTCCCGGGTTGAAGCTATTCTCCTGCCTCAGCCTCCCAAGTAGCTGGGATTACAGGCATGCGCCACCACGCCTGGCTAATTTGCAGACTTTTCTATCTTCTGTTGGAGAGCTGGCCAGCCATCTGACTTTTTTACTTAGGTCATTTTGTCTCTTTTTCCCTTCAAATTTGTTTTGTTTTAAAAATAAGACTTGCTCTGGACTTTTTTTTTGAGATGGAGTCTCACTCTGTCGCCCAGGCTGGAATGAAGTGGCGCGATCTCGGGTCACTGCAACCTCCGCCTCCCAGGTTCAAGTAATTCCTTGCCTCAGCCTCCCAAGTAGCTGGGATTACAGGTGCACGCCACCACGCCCGGCTAATTTTTGTATTTTTAGTAGAGACGGGGTTTCACCATCTTGGCCAGGCTGGTCTTGAATTCCTGACTTCATGATCCATCCGCCTCGGCCTCCCAAAGTGTTGGGATTACAGGCGTGAGCCACCGCGCCCAGCCGTAACTCTGGAATTTTAAATTTTTGCTTATGAATACTTGTTATTTTCAGACACACATGGTATTAATATATTCAAAAACTTTCATTTAGCAATTTTTGAATTTTTTTTTAAGATCAGGTTTTAGTGTGTATACATAAGGAAATATTTAATCATCATAAGAAAGTTAGGTGAATTTCAAGTGAGAATTACTGAGAAGTTTCCTGGGAGTCAATAATCATGTATTTTAAAGTGGAGTTTATGGACGTGCTTAAGGCCAGGTGTAGTGGCTTATGCCTGTAATCCCAGCACTTTGGAAGGCGGAGACTGGCAGATCACCTGAGGTTAGGAGTTCGAGACCAGCCTGGCCAACATGGTGAAACCGTGTCTCTACTAAAAATATACAAATTTGTCAGATGTGGTGGCGCATGCCTTTGATCCCAGCTACTCGGGAGGCTGAGTCAGGAGAATTGCTTGAACCCGGGAGCTGGAGGTTGCAGCGAGCCAAGATCGCACCACTGCACTCCAGCCTGGGCGACAGAGCAGAATCTGTGTTTTTGGTAGAGATGGGGTTTCACCATATTGGCCAGGCTGGTCTCGAACTTTTGACCTCAAGTGATTCGCCTGCCACAGCCTCCCAAAGTGCTGGGATTATAGGCATGAGCCACCACGCCTGACCAAGATTTTTTTGAAGGAAAATTGGAGAGAGGCGTTCAAGCCACTGCTTGTTTGGCTCCATCTGAATCATTCTTTTCCTCCAATAAAGAGCAAAGTATTTAGGTAACATAAGAAGTAGAATCAACTGGTTTCTAGCACCCAAGGTAGGTACAAATGTCCCTGGCACTCAGGATGGTCTCAGAGACACTGAGTCAGCCAGAAGGTAACTTGGAAGCCAGTTGAGTACAAAAGCCATTGCCACAAGGTTGACCTCATGCTGGTCTTGTCCTGTGTAACAGAATGAAAGAGCCAGTCAACAGCGGAGCCCTCTGCCCTTCCCAGTGCAGTGGCTTTCTCTGTATAGAACTTTTACCTTTTCCACAAAGATTCCAACCATGGGTGTTTATTGTTGGGATTAATTGAGATAATTTGCAGTATATTAAAGTATCTGGCACATCATGGGTGTCTAGGAGATCTCAGTTTGCCTTCCCTTTGAACAGGATTCCTTGGAGGGAAATTTGCATACATGAACGGAACCGGACTCTTACTTAATAGTGAATTCAAGACATTGAACATTGTCCCAGGTGGCATTTTTTCCCTTGAGGATTGTGAAACATTTAAATTAGCCATTGTTTAAGTAAGCACCGTTGCTGTCAATCACAAATGCAAACCTGGACTTGGAGTAGAAACAAAACAAAGACTTTTATTCTGCTTTTCCAATAAAATGGCTTCTTACTATAAAGCCATAATAAATACCTACTGTTTCATTTTTTAGTAAGAGTATTAGAGCAATTTGTCTGTACCATCACTGCTGTTGTTTGATAGTAGATAGGTCAGAGAAAGATCATATAATGAAGGTTACAGCTCACTGCCCACCCAACCCCCAAGGAAGATTGACTTGTCATATGATAAGGGCTTTATTTGCTGCATAAAATGACAAGTAAGTTTTTTTGTTTTTTGTTTTGTTTTGTTTTGTTTTGTTTTTTTTGAGACAGACTCTCGCTCTGTCACCCAGGCTGCAGTGGTGTGGTCTCGGCTCACTGCAACGTCTGCTTCCTGGGTTCAAGTGATTCTCGTGTCTCAGCCTTCTGAGTAGCTGGGGACTACAGGCGCACACCACCATAACCAGCTATTTTTTTTTTTGTATTTTTAGTAGAGATGGAGTTTCACTATGTTGGCTAGGCTAGTCTCGAACTCCTGACCTCGTGATCTACCCGCCTCGGCCTCCCAAAGTGCTGGGATTACAGGTGTGAGCCACCGCGTCCAGCCAAAATATATATGTTTTTAAATTCTAGGAAATAACGTTGATTTGGATATAGAAAAATTAAATACCAGGGAATGCTGGCTTATAAATTTTAGTCCAGCATCTTTTTTTTTTTTACACTTTTTTTTTTTTTTTTAGATGAAGTCTTACTGTGTCACCCAGGCTGGAGTGCGATGGCACAATCTCGCCTCACTGGGTTCAAGTGATTCCCCAGCCTCAGCTTCCCAAGTAGCTGGGAACACAGGCACATACCACCATGCCTGGCTAATTTGTGTGTTTTTAGTAGAGACGGGGTTTCACCATGTTGGCCAGGCTGGTCTTGAACTCCTGGCCTCAAGTGATCAGCCACCCATCTCAGCCTCCCAAAGTGCTGGGATTACAGACGTGAGCCACAGTGCCCAGCCTGTTTTTTTTCTTTTTAGACACAAGATCTTGCTTTGTCACCCAGTCTGGAATGCAGTGGTGCAATTACAGCCACTGTGGCCTCAAACTCCTGGCCTCAAGCAATTCTCTTACCTCAGCCTCCTGAGCAGCTGGGACTACAGGCATGTGCCACCGTGCCTAACTGATAGCCCAGCATCTTTTAAAGATAAAAATCTTTATCTTTGCCTAAAGGAAAATTAAGGAATCTTGTGCTTATTCTGAAAAACAAAATACAAACAACAATTTTTTGTCTTCAGAGGTTGGCAGTCCTTGGTCCTCCCCAAGTACTTCTTTGGTAAAGAATCTGCCATTGGCAGATAACTCACAAATGACTTATATCTAGGCCCTACAAAAACCATGACCAAAATAAGGAATGTGAATAGAAGGTGGACAAATTAAATGGTGATAATTTTTGGTGGGTGGGACTTTCAGCACAAATAAGTAATCCAATATTCTTTTAATTTAATTTCTATTAACAAGGCCTTATCATAGAAGCTGAGGTGGGGAGGGAAGTAGAAATAAACAGTCTAATTCACAAAAGAAAAATACTGGTTTACAACCTCACAAATAACCTGCAAATTAAAACAACAATGAGGGTCGGGTGCAGTGACCCAAGCCTGTAATCCCGGCACTTTGGAGGGCCGAGGCGGGTGGATCACTTGAGGTCAGGAGTTCGAGATCAGCCTGGCCAGCATGGTGAAACCCCGTTTCTACTAAAAATACAAAAAGATTAGTCAGGTGTGGTGGCGGGCACCTGTAATCCCAGCTACTGGGAAGGCTGAGGCAGGAGAATTTCTTGAACCTGGGAGGTGGAGGTTTCAGTGAGCTGAGATTGCACTACTGCACTCTAGACTGGGTGACACAGCAAGACTCCATCTCAAAAAAAAAAAAAAAAAAGAAGGAAACAACAGAGAGATACCATTTCCCTTCCATGAAAGACCCCAGCTTATTCATACATGCCTGGTGGCCACACAAATAGGTATGCCTTATTCAGAAAACAGCATGTCAATGTATGTCAAGAACCTTAAAGATGCTTAACTCAGTATCCCTACTAATACTGTTCCAAAGAAAGAATGCAAAATAGAAAACCATCCCTGAAGAATCTGAGCACTCTAATTCCCACCCATAATGAGAGGGTATACCATTTCCTTAAAAAAATTTTTTTTTCACTTTTTTTTCCAAGACGGGGGTCTCACTATGTTGCCCAGGCTGGCCTTGAACTCCTGAATTCAAGAGATCCTCCCACCTCAGCCTCCCAAAGTGCTGGGATTACAGGTGTGAGCCACCATGCCCAGCCTAATTTCATTGTTAATTTTGCTTATTTCCGTGTCCTCTTTTGCGTCCCTATTGTCTTTAATATGAAATCTCTGGCCATACCTCTGTGTGTGTGTATGTATGTATATATGTATCTGTGTGTGTATATGTCTGTGTGTGTGTGTGTAATATATTTACATATATTCTTCTCTCCCCCCTCTTAGGCTCTTCCATGCTTTCCATGAGTTTCTTATATAATGAGAAGCAGCATATAATACATATTATTTCTAAAAATAACTGAAATAATTAAAAGCCTTCTGCTGGCAAATCTACAAGACAATGACAGTAAACACTGTCCAAGGTGAGGGGCAGCAGTGAGGGGTAACCACAGTCACTGTCTCTGCTGCCCTTCACCTTCACCTTTTTGACCTTCCAGTGGACACCGCTAGTAGCACTTCTCAAACTGGAATCCTCTGCATCTTTTCAGAACGTCCAGGACTGGCATTGCTGGTACCCACTCCTCCTCTTTCACTCTTGTCCTCCCTTAGAGGCAAACCTGCAAATCACCTCTCATGAATAATCCCCTCATCCATGATGTGAAGTACACCTACTCTTCCCAATGCCCACCACCTACTAATGGCCATCAGCACCTCCAAAAGCATCTACCCAGCCTCCTTCCACCTTGAGGCCACCTTGTCAGGAGAGTCCTTTGCCTAATGCAGACTCATCATACTCCTGTGACAGTTTTTCTTTCTTCTCAGTTTTAGGTTCTGATTTCATGTCTTTGTAGTGCTTGTTTCAAAGACAGGAAGTGAAGGAGGAGGGAAGATAGAAATGTCAGACTTTAGTCACTGTTTCTGAGTCTGTGATGTAACACTGTCCTCTGTCTGTCCAGGCTTAACAAATTCAACTGTTTTCTTTTTCCATTCTTTTTTTTTTTTTTTTTTGTACAGACAGGGTTGTACAATGTTACACTATGTTGACGAGGATGGTCTTGAACTCCTAGCCTCAAGCAATCATCCTGCCTTGGCCTCCCAAAGTGCTGGGATCGTAGGCATGAGCCACCACGCCCAGCCGTCTTTTTTTTCGGACAGGGTTTTGCTCTCTCAACCCAGGCTGGAGTACAGCAATATGATTACTGCTCACTGCAGCCTCAACCTCCTGGGCTCAAGTGATCTTCCTGCCTCAACCTCCTGAATAGCTGGAGCTACAGGTGCATGTCACCACACCTGGCTGACTTTTAAATTTTTTTGTAAAGATGGCGTTTCCCCATGTTGCCCAGGCTGGTCTTGAACTCCTGGGCTCAAGCAATCTTCCTGCCTCAGCTTCCCAAAATGCTGGGATTACAGGCCTGAGCCACTGCACCCAGCAAATTCAACTGTTCTCAAGTTCTGTGTCGTTGGAGTCTTACTGATTCACGAGCACTCATTGGCCTCTCTTCCTCACCTCTTCTCACCCCTCCTTACCAGAGAGATGGGAAAAACACTGTCTTAGCTGGGGAAGCATTTCTCAGCAGCATTCAGGGAGTTCAGTCCACTTCCTCCTTCATGCTTGACTTCCCTTCAATTCAGACCAGGCTATATTCATCAAATGACGTTCTGGACTCCATTTTTTGAACAGAATAACAAGGACACATCAAACAAATTTGCTGTGGGAAATGTGTCAACATGAAAACAATATAACAGGTGATTTGTCCAATGTGACGTACCCACCCTTCTCATCCAAGAAGTGAGGCAGTCCAACCTGCTTTAGACATATGTCAGAAACAGTTACAAAATGCTCAAGCTTGGCCTCTGTAAATTCATTCTATTGAGCTGACTGGCTTGTATGGAGGTTCTAGACCATGTTAGTGTTCAAGTCTACATGGATGGAAACCTTCAAGCAGGCCAAGCAGGAGACAGGTGGAAGAAGATGTGTGCATTTGAGGGCCTCGCTGTGGGGCTTGTGGTGGTGTTGAGTGGGTAATTAATGTCAGCATCAGAAAGGGAATTCTGCCTCTGGAGAAGAAGAACTAAAAGACTGAAAATAGGGCCACTATTTTCTGAGTTTCTGAGCTTTATTTCACTCTTATCTGAGCATCTGTTGACTCTTGAGAAAAGTTGATCACACATTTCTAATAGTGTATTAAAGTGTATTGGAAGCTTCTGCTCACCATTGCAATGGAAAAGGCATTAGTTAGATTAGCTTCTCCACCAGAGTGGGTGCAGCATTTCTAAGACTTACTGATCTAACTCTGCCCCAAATCTCTCATTCTTCTGTCCAGGAGCTACCCTGTGAACACAGACATGTGTTGTCCAATATGGTAGCCCATAGCTGCATGCAGTGCAGTTATTTAAATTTGTTTAAAATTAAATGAAATAATTCCTTGTTTGCACTACACACATGCCAAGGACTTTGTGGCACATGCGTATCAGTGGCTTTTGTATTAGACGGTGCAGACGCAGAGTGTTTCCATCATTACAGAAAGCTCTGTTGGATGGCACTGGCCTAGATGCTTGTTTTCAGCATCTGACTATGTGAAGTATGGGCTGTGTATCTCTCCACCCTCTGAGGTTAGAACTGTGAGCAGCAGAACCTAAATGGGTTTTGCATACCAATCCTCTTTCTGCTTTCCACATCTTCTTTGTCATCCAACTTTTTTTATCATCCAAATTTTATTACAACCTTTGTCTTCATGTTTCTCCATAAGGTATGATGCTACATTGCAAGGATCAAGTTGAAGTTTAGATTATGCTTAAATTAAAACTGCGACTGTTTTCCTATGTTTTATTTTACTCGTCACGATAAATGAAGCCAGCAGCTGCTCTTCTATGCAGCATTTGGACTCTGAGTTAAAACTTCAGTCACCCGGGATCGCTTGTTTTATATTGCTGTTTTGTTTTTTTTTTTAACATTGAGGAACTTAATGAAGAACATAATCATTGCCAGTGGCCAGTTTAAATATTGACTTGCAGATATTTTTTCAAACCTTAGAATTTGAAATTCAGAAACAAGTGAAACCTGAGTAAGAGACGTGATAGAAAACCAAAGAATGTCACGACCATGGTCAGTGTTTTCTGTGATAGATTTGTTACTGAAAAAATTGTGGTTAAGGAACATCTGGTAAGTCAATCAGGTTTTAAATGTATTGAGAAAGCATAAGAAAAGTTGCTAAATTATTTTTTAAAATGACTTAAACTACCTTCTAATTCATTTGGTAAAATTCAGAAGTTTATGTACTATGTTGTTATCCCTGCAAGGCTATACCTATGACCAATTCATTAAGTACAAAATTAAGGCAAGTTGTTTAGGGTCAAGTAGATGAAACTTTTGTTGGTTTTATATATATATATATTTGGAGATAGGGTCTTGCTTTATCACCCAGGCACAGTCATGGCTCACTGCAGCCTCGACCTCCTGGGCTCAGGTGATTCTCCTGCCTCAGCCTCCTGAATAGCTGGGACTATAGGCACATACCACCACACCCAGCTAATGTTTGTATTTTTTGTAGAGATGGGGTTTCACCTTGTTGCCCAGGCTGGTCTCGACTCCTGGATTCAAGCATTTCGCCCATCTCGGCCTCCCGAAGTGCTGGGATTACAGGCATGAGCCGCTGAGTCCAGCCCTTTTTTTTTTGGGGGGGGACGAAGTCTGGCCCTTGTCGCCCAGGCTGGAGTGCAGTGGCACGATCTCGGCTCACTGCAACCTCCACCTCCAGGGTTCAAGTGATTCTCCTGCCTCAGCCTCCTAAGTAGCTGGGATTACAGGCATGCACCACCACACCCGGCTAATTTTGTATTTTTAGTAGAACGGGATTTCACTCTGTTGGCGAGGCTGGTCTCGAACTCCTGGCCTCAGGTGATCCACCCGCCTCGGCCTCCCACAGTGTTGGGATTACAGGCGTGAGCCACTGCGCCCGGCCTATTTTTTAATGTCACAACCAGATATGTTAGAATTGTTTAAGCACAGCTAGTAGCTTTGGGATACCCCAAATACAAAGGTGTTTTAGGGATTTATGTTATCTTTATGCTAAAAAAAGTTTATAGAGGGTTATAATTATATTATTATGGATCTTGCAAAAGAGCGGCATTAAGCACACATTTATTGAATGAATGACTGAGTGAATGAGTGAGTGAATACTCTATAATATGATTAACCCAATGGTTCTAAGACCTGCAATTGTGACCTGTGTTTATCTAATTTATTCCAAGGAGTCATAGAACTTAATTTTTTAAATTCTAATAACAGGCTGAGCGCGGTGCCTCATGCCTGTTATCCCAGCACTTTGGGAGGCTGAGGCAGCAGGATCATGAGGTCAGGAGTTCAAGACAAGCCTGGCCAACACGGTGAAACCCCGTCTCTACTAAAAATAAAAAGATTAGCTGGACGTGGTAGTGTGTGCCTGTAATCCCAGCTACTCGGGAGGCTGAGGCAGGCGAATCACTTGAACCCGGAAGGCGGAGGTTGCAGTGAGCTGAGAGCGTGCCATTGCACTCCAGCCTGGGCGACAGAGCAAGACTCCATCTCAAAATAAACAAATAAATAAAATAAAACAAAATTCTAATAACAAATTGAAATTAGATTTACCTTAATTTTACAAAAGAAAATCTACATCCTAACCTACTTTTAATGAAATAGGGGTGCTATTACATCAATCACAGAATGTTATTTCAAAACCTTAAGAGAACTTTGACTAGCCCTCTGAGTTTTGCAGTCTTCATGTAAGTATGTACTAATTGGTTTTGTTTTTTAAAAATTACAAACATATTGAAGTTTAGAGGGAATAAAATACAAATTCCAATATACCCATCACACAGATTTCTTAGTTATTAAGGTTTTGCTACATTGTGCCATCTATCACTCCCCTTTCCATTCAGCTAAGTCTTCTTTTATTTATTTATTTATTTTTGAGTTGGAGTTTCACTCTTGTTGCCCAGGCTGGAGTGCAATGGTGTAATCTTGGCTCACCGCAACCTCTGCCTCCCAGGTTCAAGCCATTCTCCTACCTCAGCCTCCCAAGTAGCTGGGATTACAGGCATGTGCCACCGTGCCCGGCTAATTTTGTATTTTTAGTAGAGACGGGGTTGCTCCGTGTTGGTCAGGCTGTAACACCTCCAGTTTATAAAGGCACCAAATCACAGTCACATTTATACATTGTGTTAGAAGTGAAAACTTGTATTTTCAGACGCTATGTATAAATGCCTTATACCTTCTTGCAATCAAAAGCTAGCACATCGTACATCAATTGTCATACTTAACAATTTTTTTTTTTTTTTTTTTTTTTGAGATGGAGTCTCTCTGTTGCCCAGGCTGGAGTGCAATGGCGCAATATTGGCTCACTGCAACCTCCACCTTCTGGGTGGATTCTCGTGCCTTAGCCTCCCAAGTAGTTGGGACTTCAGACAAGCACCACCATGCCAGGCTAATTTTTGTCTTTTTAGTAGAGACGGGTTTCCCCATGTTGGCCAGGCTGGTCTCAACCTCCTGACCTCAGGTGATCCCCCCGCAGGGATTACAGGCGTGAGCCACCATGCCTGGCCAAGGCCAATACTTAACAATTTTTAATAGAATGCTGTAGTATAATTTGCTTTTCAAGAATTCCCAAGAGGAATTCCTAAATTTACCAGTAATATAAGTATCTTCAGGAAAGGGAATTTAAAAAAGCATCAATTTTAGGTAACCAGTATTCTGGGGTGTGCATTACTGGAAGGCTCACCTTTGGTTATATGGCCCAAACCAATTGTGTATTCATCAAACTAAGCAGAACCAGCTTGTTCAGTGAAGTACGATCATTTTAAAAATGGGCATTAGAATTTTGAAGTTGGTCTGCTAACAGCGCTCAACATTTGTCTCTGCTTTCTGGAATTAGATAAACATATATATATATATATATATATATAAAACAAGCACTTACATTTTATTTGCAAAATAAAGGAGGCTTACTTTGGTTTTGGTTTTGGTTTTGAGATAGAGTCTTGCTCTGTCATCCAGGCTGGAGGGCAGTGGTGTGATCATGGCCCCCTGAAACCTTGACCTGCCAGGCTCCCAGGCTCAAGTGATCCTCCTGCCTCAGCCTTCCAAGTAGCTGGAACCATAGACATGTGCCACCACACCTGACTAATTTTTTTTTTTTTTTAATTTGCTGTAGAGACAGGGTCTCCCTATGTTGCCCAGGCTGGTTTTGAACTCCTGGGTTCAAGCTATCCTTCTGCCTCAGCCTCCTAAAGTACTGGGACTGCAAGCAAGAGCCAGTGTGCCTGGCCAGGGAGGCTTACTTTGAATTTATAAGTATTTCTCTGGGTTTTGCTAGTTTTTATTTTTATTTATTTATTTAAAATTTTTTAAAAAATTATTTTATTTGAGATAGGATCTCACCCTGTTGCCCAGGCTGCAGTGCAGCCTTGACTTCCTGGACTCAAGCCATCCTCCATCCTCAGCCTCCCGAGTAGCTGGAACTACAGACCACACACTACCACGCTCAACTCATTTTTAATTTTTTGAAGAGAAGGGGGTCCCACTATGTTGCCCAGGCTGGTCTCGAACTTCTGGGCTCAAGCGACCCTCCACCTTGGCCTCTCAAAGTGCTGGGATTACAGGCTTGAGCCACCATGCCCGGCCCTTTGCTTGTTTTTAAATAGTCATATATTTGTACACATGGCAGGATATTAGAAGGATATGAACTGAAAGTACTTTGGATTTTGTCAAAAGCAGGAAAAAAGTAAAGCCAGAAGTAAAGACACACCGAAGTGAGGGACCATCTTTGTAGTGGAGAGGGGTCGAACTTGGGAGTTAAGGCCAGCTGGGATTCAGATCTTGCTGTGCCATTTAATTGCTGTACCTTGTCTTGGGCAAATTCTTTAACAGCTCCATTTTTCCATTTCTTTCTTTCTTTCTTTCTTTTTTTTTTTTTTTTGAGATGGAGTTTTGCTCTTGTTGCCTGGGCTAGAGTGCAGTGGCGTGATCTTGGCTCACCGCAACCTCCGCCTCCCAGGTTCAAGTGATTCTCCTGCCTCAGCCTCCTGAGTAGCTGGGATTATAGGGCATGTGCCACCACGCCTGGCTAATTTTTGTATTTTTAGTAGAGATGGGGTTTCACCATGTTGGTCAGGCTAGTCTCGAACTCCTGACCTCAGGTGATCCACCCACCTTTGCCTCCCAAAGTGCTGGGATTACAGACGTGAGCCACTGTGCCTGGACATTTTTCTGTTTCTTATGCTAAAAGCAGGAATGGTACTACTTTCCAATCCAGGGTGGCTGTAAAGATTAGAGATTACGCATGTAATGTGCTTAGTACGGCCTGACACACTGTAAACTTCGAACAGTGATCGCTGTGGTTGTCTGCTGGTAGAGAGGAAACAGAGTAGCCTAGGTAGCCATTTTGGTTGGTAGCTATTTGGGTTATAGCCAAAATTGGCTGAACAATTGCAATGGTTGGATAAAGAGTTTATGTGAATGTCTGCATAGACAAGTGATTTTTTTTTTCCAGCCTTGGCTACACATTAGACTCACCTGGCTGGGGTGGTGTTAGAGGGTGCTTTTAAAAACTATTGCGGCCCAGGACCCTACAAAGATTCTAGGTTTTTCTCTCTTTGTGTGTGTGTGTGTGTGTGTGTGTGTGTGTGTGTTTAAGTTCTCCAGCCAAGATACAGAATAGTTTAGACCAAGTGACAGTTTGGAAGCTATCACTCCTGCTGGTAGCCTTGCCTTGATTTGTGAGTGAGCCACTGCATAACCCACACAACACAGGTGCTGATCTGATTCAACCCTAGTCAAAAAGTCTTATGGATTTTCCACAGTTTCCTGTGCAAGTTGCCTCCTTGTGGGTTTTGTTCTTTACTCTTGTTTCTTCTCTCTGCCTTTTTTCTCAGAGGAAAGCAGGAGAAGGCAGATGAAATAAAAGGGAATAGAAAGATGGGGATGATCAATTGTTTCTTAGTCCTTTGAGCCATCTCAGTTAACACTGTCAGGACATTAGGCACAGACAAGAGATCGACAGGCAAGAGAGCTTTTCAGGGCAGCATGTAAGCGGCAATCAGCTATAATCAGTGAAAAAGGTTCTCTCCACGAACGTGAGGGTATTCTGTTAGCTTCTACTACAGAGGAAAGAGAGAGAGAGAGAGCGCGCACAATGTGACCACTTTTCAGAAGTTATAAATAAGGAACCTCCAGGAGGAGCCTTCTTTGATTACAATGTGCTTTGTCAATTTTCAGTCTGAGTGCTAGCATGCCTCTTCAAAGAAATGTTAGATTAGCACCACTCTTCTGTTATCCCAAAAACTCTGTAGAAATTATTAAATGTCCTTTTCAGTACAGGGAACGAGTCATAACCTAAACTTTTTTTTTTTCTTTTTTGAGATGAAATTTCACTCTTGTCACCCAGGCTGGAGTGCAGTGGTGTGATCTTGGCTCGCTGCAACCTCTGCCTCATGGGTTCAAGAGATTCTCCTGCATCTGCCTCCCAAGTAGCTGGGACCACAGACACCTGCCACCACACCTGGCTAATTTTTGTATTTTTAACAGAGATGGGGTTTCACCATGTTGGCCAAGCTGTTCTCCAACTCCTGGCCTCAAGTGATCCACCTGCCTCAGGCTCCCAAGGGGATTACAGATGTGAGCCACCATGCCTGGCTGAGTAAAATTTTAGGGAACAAATTGAGGAGGGAAAATGGCAACTTTTCATGAGACCTGGAAAAATAGATGGGAAGAATGGATCAGTTGAGATTTCTATGGGACCTCGGTCATCCCATCCCCATAGTAATATATACCAAGGAAGAGCCAGGGTGAGGCCCTTTGTTAATTCAGAACTTTTGGCTGCAAGTAATAGAAACCTAATCCAAAATAGTTTAAGGGCTGGGCATGGTGGGGCGTGCCTGTAGTCCCAGCTGCTCAGGAGGCTGAGGCAGGAGGATCGCTTGAGCTGGGGAATTCGAGACTAGCCTAGGCAACATAGTGAGACTCCCATCTCTAAAAATAAAGAAAATTTTAAAAATAGCTTAAGGAATCAATCGACAAATGAATGCATCAGATTATATTTATACATATATATTTACCTAACTGGAAATTCCAAAGCATGCAGCATGACATGCTTTGGTCATCAGGACTGTTTTTCTCTATATGTTTTCTGTGTTGGTTTTATTTTCTACCATTCCTGAGGAAAACCTATAGCAGTCTTATCTGCAGGATGAGAAATTCCCCCAAAGGACTCTGATTCACCCTCATGGTACCACACCTGTACCTGTCCCTGGCTTCTGGGGCTTGGAGGGGTCTGTTATTGGTAGACTTGGGAAGGTGAGTGCACAGGAGAAAGCACATATGGGCTACACCTGAGAGCCCTCGTCTCAATGCGGTGCTTTGTTGATCTCTGATTTAGGAATCTCCACATCCTATCCCACAGACTCAGTTGCCCCCAAAGCTGAATGACACCTTGTTCCTTGCCCTCCCACAGATTACTGACTCTCCGGATTATCTCTGTACAGCTGAGCCACTCATTAAGTGGTAGATTTAGCAAGATATTGCTCTGAGGACACTAAGTATTTGACTTGTCTCTACTGACAAACTTTATCATTTCTTGTTTTCACCAAGGGGAAGCCATTTCTAAATATCTAGTCCTAGAAATTAGCATAGAAGTGCAGGAAAGGTCTGATCAGAAGGGACTCATGTTAACATTATCTCACTGCTTTATTTCAAGAGTAAGAAAACCTCTGAAGCAGTGACTGGGGAGGTGGGGGATAAATGCAACATGCCATTCTGCCGTGTATTATAATTATTGAGAACTTGTTTTGTCTTTTCGAGTCATCTGTAAACTTGTTGTAAGTTCAATTTTGTGTCTCTGTTACCCGGTATCACATAAAAGGGGGTCAATAAATATGTGTCCATTGAAGGAAGAATCAAGGATTTCTGACCATTGTTCTTTGGCAAAGTTAGAATTATCAGTTGAAATTCACAGTATTAACCCTAAGACATCAACATTAGTTTGTTATACAATAAATTTATTATAATTAATATCCTTTATTTTTGAGACAGGGTCTCACTCTGTTGCCCAGGCTGGAGTGCAGTGGTGCGATCTTGGCTCACTGCAACCTCTGCCTCCCGGGTTCAAGCAACTCTCGTGCCTCAACCTCCGGAGTAGCTGGGATTACAGGCATGCATCACCATGCCCATCTAATTTTTTTTTTTTTTTTTTGAGACAGGGTCTCACTCTGTCACCCAGGCTGGAGTGCAGTGCCAGCCACTGCAACCTCCGCCTCCCAGGTTCAAGCAGTTCTGCCTCAGCCTCCCAAGTAGCTGGGATTACATGTGCCCACCACCACGCCTGGCTAATTTTTGTACATTTGGTAGAGACAGGGTTTCACCATGTTGGCCAGGCTGGTCTTGAACTCCTGACCTCAGGTGATCTGTCTGCCTTGGCCTCCCAAAGTGCTGTGATTACAGGTGTGAGCCACTGCGCCAGGCCAAAACATATAAATTTTATTTTCTGCATTCCTAGGGCTCTTTGTGAAGAAAGAATTTCACATTCTTTGAGCACTTACCGTGTGCCAAGTGTTCTGTGGACACATTGTCTTACTGAAGTCTTACATCCACCCCAGAATGCCTTCTTCCTCCTCCTCAACCATGAAGAGAATTAATCCCTCCTGCCTCCTTAATGCCACCTGTCATGGCCTTTATCACACTGCATTGGAATTTGTTTGCATTTCTATATCTCCTACTACACTATGAGTTTTTCAATGACAGTCTACATGTGTCATTCAGGTTGTAACCTCGGCACCCAGCTCATAGGGGGAATCCTATAAATATATCTTGAAATTGGGTATTATGTGATCTTCATTTGACAAAGTTGACATCGTAGGCTTGCCTGGGGTTCCTAAGTGGAAAATGACAGGGCTAGTTTTTGAGCTTCTCTGTGCCACACTCCAAAGCCTGTTTTCTTTCTGTCTTCTTTGCTTAATGTTTGCTTTGTTTAGCTTGGTTGCTTGGGAATATTGGAAAGCAACATTGAGATAATGAGGGTGATGGAGGAGGGGAAGCAGAAGGGGAAGATGCAGGGGAGTTGCTGCCTGCTGAGGCTGGGAAGGGAGGCTAATTATGCATTGCTCAGTTAAGCAATGCTCCAGCCCCCTGATTCCCATCCTCATCACACTGCACACTCGTGTGTGCGCGTACACACACACACACACACACAGGTCATGATGGGAGTGCTGAGTGAACAGGGACCAGGGAAGCATTTTCTTGGAAAGCTATTCACTGTGAGAACAAAGAGCTGGGACACAAAGCCAGGCAGCCATTGGGACATAAAAATTGTGTCATAAGGAAACTTCTCTGTAAGATAATTCTGCATGGTGAGGTTTTTAGTGATAAGGTTCTAGTCTGAAGTGAAATTAGTGGAGAACATGGAACATGGACATCATGGCATCCACAGGTGCATGCCTGAGCTTTGTTCCTTGGAAACAATGATCGGAACAGGAGAGGTGTCATGGGAGCCTTTGAAATGTGCCCTTCTGAAGTGGAGGGTAATAAGTGGCAGCATCTGCCATACTTCTCCCACTCTCGCAAAGTGTGACTTCATTATTTTTTTCTTTTCTTTACTTTTTTTTGGACACAGGGTCTCGCTCTGTCACCCAGGCTGGAGTGCAGTGGCACAATCACTGCAGCCTCAACCTCGGGGGCTCAAGTGATTCTCCCACCTCAGCCTCCGAAGTAGCTGGGACTACAGGCGCATACCCCCAGGCCTGGCTATGTTTTTGTATTTTTCATAGAGATGAGGTTTCGCCATGTTGCCCAGGCTGGTCTCGAACTCCTGAGCTCAAGTGATCTGCCTATCTCTGCCTCCCAAAGTGCTGGGATTACAGGCGTGAGCCACCGTGCCTAGCCTTTTTTCAGTTCAGGTTTTAAACCAGAACCTTTATGGCATGACTAATCACTGAAATTCGTGAGATAAGCTGGATGTTGCAATAGCTGCCTTCTTGGGTTTATGTGTTGTTCTTTCACAGAATCCATGCCTGAATCTGCAGTGTGCAATTTTTAGGCGCCCCATATGATCAGTCCTGGTGGTGTTTCAACTTTTAGCCTTGATACTTCAGTTACACTTTCTCTTGCACTTGGCAATGTAGCCACATTTGCCACAGGTTGACTTCTGAAGGTGGTAGGCTTCAGAGCCACAGCGGTGGCACATCGTGTGCATCTTATTGCGATGCTTTCCAGACGATGACGTTCTCTTTGTCATTTGGCTTCTGCAGCTGAGACCAAAGAGTGTGTGTAGCTTTAGAGAAATGTCTGTTCAGACTCTTTACCTATCTTTAAGTTGGGTTATTTGTCTTATTCATTATTGAGTTGTAGGAGTTCTTTATATATTCTAGATACAAGGCTATTATCAAATATACATCTGCAAATATTTTCTCTCATTTTGTAAGTTGTCTTTCCTTTCTTAATGGTGTCCTTTGAGAAATAAAGCTTCCCATTTTGACAAAGGACAATTTCATTATTTTTTCTTTTATTGCTGTGTTTATCATATTTGAAAGGTATCATATCTAAAAGGCTGCTGCCTACCTGAGCTAAGGTCATGAAGATTTATACCCATGTTTTCTTCCAAGAGTTTTACAGTTTTAGCTCTTATGAGGTGGTTGATCTATAATGATTTAATTTTTGTATATGATATGAATTAGGGGTCCAACTCTATTCTTTTGCATTGTGCGTATCCAGTTATTAAAGCATAATTTCTTCAAAAGACTATTCCCATCAAATAGTCTTGGCACCCTTGTCCGGAATCGATTGACCACAGATACATGTTTTGGGTTTTTTCCCTGAACTCTCATTTCGAATCTATTGTCCTATGGCCATCCTTATGCCAGTACCACGCTGCCCACCCTCCCCGCACCTTATGGTTTTCCCCTAAGATTTCTGCACCCTATACACTGTCTCGTTTACTGTAGCTTTGTAGTAAATTTTGAAACCTGGAAGGGTGAGTCCTTGAGCTTTGTTCTTCTTTTTCAAGTTTGTTTTGGCTATTCTGGGCCCCTTGAATTTCTGTAGGAATTTTAGTATCCATTTATCAATTTTTTTTCCCAGAAACTAGCTGAGATTTTGATGGGAATATTGTGTTGACTCTGTAGATCAGATCGAGGAGTATTGTCATTTTAGCAGCGTTCAGTCTTCTATTCATGAACAAGCAGTGTCTTTCCATTTATTTAGATTTTTTTTCTCTCTTTTTTTTTTGAGACAGAGTCTCACTTGTCAGGCTGGAGTGCAGTGGCGCGATCTCTCCTCACTGCAACCTCCGCCTCCCGGGTTCAAGTGATTCTTATGTCTCGGCCAGGCGCCACCACGCCCGGCTAATTTTTGTATTTTTAATAGATGGCCTAGATCTTTGATTTCTTTGAACAATGTTTTGTAGTTTTAACACTTGTATTATTTTTGATGCTATTGTAGATGAAATTGCTTTGTTAATTTTATATTTTAGTTTGTTCATTGCTAGTAGATAGAAATTTATAATTGATTTTTCTATATTGCTTTTATGTCCTGCAACCTTGTTGAACTTGATTATTAGTTCTAATAATTTTTTAATGGATTCCTTAGGTTTTTTACATGTAATTGACTACGTCATCTATGAACAGAGTTTTATTTCTTCCTTTCCCATATGGATCCCCTTTCTTTCTTTTTTTTTCTTTTTCCTTTTTTTCTATTTATCCTGGCTAGAAACAAGTACAATGTTGCATATAGAAGTTGAGAGAGTGCAAATCCTTGTTGCTGTTCTTCATGGGGAGAGCATTCAGTCTTTTTCACATTAAGTGTATTAGTCATGGGTTTTTTGTAGATGTTATTTATCAGATTGAAGAAGTTCCCTTCTGCTTTAATATGTTGTGTTTTAGTTATGAAGGGTTGGTGCATTGTATCAAATGCTTTTCTGGCAGCTATTCAGATTACTGTGTATAGTTTTTGTCTTTTGTTGATATGGTGTATTGCACTGATTGATTTTCATCTGTTAAGCTATCTTGCATTTCTGGGTTAAATCAGACTTGGTCATGTTGCTGAATTCAGTTTATTAGTATTTAGTTGTGTATTTTTAAAAAGTCCATATGCATAAGACATATTGATTTGTCATTTTCTGATAACTTTGTCTGTATTTTCTATGCATGTAATACTGGCCTCAGTGGGAAGTGTTCTAGTCCCTTCTGTTTTTTGGAAGAATTTGTGAAGGATTGGTGGTAATTAGACTTTAAAACATTTGATAGAATCCTCCAGAGAAGTCATCTGTTCTTGGGCTTTTCTTTGTGGAAAATTTTTATGTTACAAATTCAGTGTATTTACTTATAAGTCTATTCAGATATTCTATTTCTTCTTGAGTCTATTTTGGCCCTTTGCATCTTTCTAGGAATTTCTCCTCTACATGTAGGTTATCTAATTTGCTGGCATATAATTGTTCATAGTATTTCTTTGCTATCCTTTTTATTTCTAGAAGGTCAGTAGTGTTGTCACTTCTCTTATCCCTGAGTTTAGTAAGTTGAGTCTTTTCATTTCTTTGTCATTCTAGCTAGTGGTTTGTCAATGTTGTTGCTCTTTTCAAAGAACCAACTTTTGGTTTTATTAACTTTTATTTTGTTTTTATAGTCCGTATTTGCTTTATTCCCACCTAAATCATTATTATTTCCTTCCTTAATCTGTTTCAGATTTATTTTGCCCTTCTTTTTTCTGGCTTCTTAAACTGAAAGCTTAGATTGTTTACTGTATTTTAACTGTTATCTCCATTCCCCCAAGCTCCATTTTACAGGACAGTTTGTGAGTATGAGTGACCAATGCTGAAACAGTCAGGGCATGCAAACTTTCTCCTTTGGGGACAGAGTTACAGGGCAACTGAATACATGAGGGGGGCATACAGAGTACAGTTGACACAGCTGTTTCATTATGGTGCAGTCCATATAGCATTGTGATTCTGGGGCAAAAACTTGGGCTCTGGGGTTTGGGAACCTGGATATGAGTTCTACATCTGCCACCTAATAGTTGTGAGACTTTGAACACTTATTTAATCTTTGTAAGCCTCAGTCTCCACATCTGCAAAATAGCAGAAAGATAATTAGTACCTCATAGGATTGTCGTGAGGATTAAATGAAATAGCATATGTGAAGCACCCAGAACTGGTGGTAACAACTGTTCAATAAAGATTAACTATTCTAATCTGGTTGTTGTTGTTAGGTCAGATGGGCCTTTGCTGAGTCAACTCCATGTAAAGTAGCTACAGAGCTTGTTGTTGTGTTTCCATTAGTTTGTACCTCTTTGCCAACCATCTATGAACTCTCCTGTATGTACTACCAGGGTGGACCTCACCTGCATTTGCTACCAGGTGCTGAGATACACTTCTCACTTGCGGTTGCAAAGCTCAGGATGTTATTTCCAAATGAGCTCTTTTCTCAGACCAATTGCCGGCCTTGCTTATTTGATCATCCACCCATATTACAATGATGATATGAGAACAAATGAAGGTATGAGAAGAAAATATTTTCCTAAACAAATTTGAGGCATGCTTGGGGTGGAAGTACCATAAATTATGAAAATGGTGCGCACTGAAAAGTTCTAATTTTCATTTTATAGCGTCTCAAGTTCTCCCCCTTCCCCCCCACCCTTTTTTTTTTCTTTTGAGACAGAGTCTCGCTCTGTCACCTAGGCTGGAGTGCAGTTGTACAATCTCGGCTCACTGCAACCTCTGCTCACTGCAGCCTCTGCCTCCCGGGTTCAAGTGATTCTTGTGCCTCAGCCTCCTGAGTAGTGGCGATTACAGGTGCGCACCACTACACTGGCTAATTTTGTAGTAGAGGCTGGGTTTCACCATGTTGGCCAGGCTGGTCTTGAACTCCTGATCTCAGGTGATCCACCTGCCTTGGCCTCCCAGAGTGCTGGGATTACAGGTGTGAGCCACCGTGCCCAGCCTCTCTCTCTCTTTCTTTCTTTCCCTCACCCCTAACTCTTATTAATCCCTTTCATCAAAAGCTTCACTAAAGAACAGAAAGGATGTGCGTTCCGTTTTTTTCCCTCCTCTGGCCCTGTAGGTGCAGAGAAATTACAAAATACTAGGCTATACATAGGGGAAAAGTAAGAAAAATTCATTAGCATATAAATTGATAACCAGCTTTCTTTGGTCTATCCATCAACATGAATTTTATCCAAGTAGATTTATTTTTTTGGAAGACTAAATTTAGTGTGAATAATCAATAATATATTAATAACAATTAAATTTGATTTATCTCTTCATACTTGGGGCTTGCCATTCTTATTCTTTGTGTAGCTATGCTTACGAAGTGTTATGCCAGGACGTGAAAGGTGAGCACAGAGGGGTGCCTAGTTGACTGTCTGGTTTTTGATAAAAAAAGAAATGATGAGGCCAAGCATGGGGGCTGACGCCTGTTATCCCAACAATTTGGGAGGCCAAGGTGGGTGGATCACTTGAGGTCAGGAGTTCAAGACCAGCCTGACTAACCAGGTGAAACCCTGTCTCTACTAAAAAATACAAAAATTAGCTGGGCATGGTTGTGCACACCTGTAGACCCAGCTACTCAGGAGGCAGGAAAATCACTTGAACCTGGGAGGTGGAGTTTGCAGTGAGCCGAGATCGCGCCACTGCACTCCAGCCTGGGCGACCGAGTGAGACTCCATCTTTAAAAAAAGAAAAGAAAAGAAATGATGATGTAGAGCTGAAATTACCAACATCATCAGATGGAGGAGTCCTTGAGGAAATCTGAGTTCCCAAGATGCCAATTCCTTTGGGGTCTTTTTTGTTGCTTTCGGTTCCATCTGCCAATCCCCATGAAGGCTCCACTGAGTCTAAAAGAGCTAACAGATGACCCTTGACCATCCTAAGGTTGCTCATTGTGTCTGTCCCTCTTGGGGGAGCACAGAGAATAATTTTTTGTGGCTACTGAAATCTTAGGACTCTTCCAGTTTAAGTAAGTCTTAAAGAAATACTGGCCTTGACTTTAGGATCCAAAATAAACCTGAATCCTTGTGAGTGTCTAGACAACAACTATAGAAAACAGCAACAATCAGAGATCACCTGACAGTTAAGAACTGGCTAAAAATGTTTGCACATTACCAAGATCAAGCAACATATAAATTACCCAGAGACATAGAATGAATGTTGCATAAATGCCTTTGTTATTAAACAGGATGTGTGCTCTGTTGAATCATAGTTACATGGGGGAAGTCCTCCTGCCTGAACTTCTAAATTTATGGGAATCACAGTCAAGGTTGCTCAATCCATGTGCCCTCTACCCAACCCTCACCCCATTTCCTCTAAAGATCCTCTACTGGGGGTAAGATTTTACAACTTCCATTTAAATCTGTGATGGGGTTTCACCATATTGACCAGTCTGGTCTCGAACTCCTGACCTCAAGTCATCACCCACTTTGGCCTCCTAAAGTACTGGGATTACAGGCATGAGCCACCACACCCAGCCCAAATTTAAAAATTTTTGCTGATATAGTAGGACTCACTGTTTCGATTTCTATCTATTTTAATCAGACAAAGTTTGATTTGAATAGAGTTGAACTATTTTCATGTTTATTCATCATAGAATCTTGTTTTTCTGCAAACTGCCTGCTGATATCTTTGCTCGTATGTATTGTGTTGTATTTTTTTGTTGATACGGAAGCACTCTGGCATATTAAGGAAATTGGCTCTTTAATGACACACTCCTAATTGTAGTTTGTCTTTGATTTTGTTTTAATAAATGTTTTAAAATTCCATTTAATGCTCAGTTCTTGGAAAAAGGAAGAGTGATTGGGACCAATGTTTAGTTCAATTTGAAATTCAGATAAATAATCAGTTTCTTCCTTAGCTACTGTATTTAGTTTCTAAACTCTTCACACTAAGCTCTTTTTTTTTTTTTTTTTTTTTTTTTTTTGAAACAGGGTTTTGCTCTGTTGTCCAAGCTAGAATGCAGTGGTCCAAATATGGCTCACTACAGTTGGAGCTTCCGGGCTCAAGCAGTTCTCCCACCTCACACCCCCAAGTAGTTGGGACTACAGGCGCATGCCACCATGCCTAGCTAATGTTTGTATTTTTTTTTTTTTTTTTACACAGATGGCCTTTTGCCATGTTGCCCAGGCTGGTCTCAAACTCCTGGACTCAAGCAATCCGCCCACCTCAGCCTCCCAAAATGCTAGGATTACATGAGTGAGCCACCCTACCCGGCCTATTTTCTCTTTATAACAGTATATTCTCATATTAATGTGTTGTCCCAATTTTTAAAATTGTCTATTTGAGTAATTATCCAGAATCATGACTGACACTACCATTTTCATTAATACTTTAGATCAAAGTAATTCTCACTTAATTCTTATAGTAATTTCACCTGACACTTGGGGACTGGTAATTTTAGCATTGGTGTTTCTAAAAACATACTGTGATAAGCTGCTCCATCACCATGTATTTGGTTTCTTTGTCTATAAAACTAAAGCCAGAGAAATGAGGTGCTTGACAAAGCATTGAGGTGTCAAGGGGCACATACAGATTTCAAATTGGAATCCTGGAACAAACATGGTAGGAGAACAGAAGAGGGTCCCATCTGCATATTCTTACTGCTTAGATAAAGCAGCTGTCGACTTGGCTTTCCTTTATCCTGACTTTCCAGAGTTGTTCACCAAACAGGTAACAAGATTGAGCTTTAAGTCTTTATTTCATATTGATTCTTCATAAATTAAATTATCTTATGACTTATGGCTCCATGTTGTAAGTAAAAAGTCATTTGACCAACTGTTTGGAATTCTTGTCAATAACAATTATTGAGCACCCATGTTAGTGAATTTCTGTGTGTGTGCACTGGGTGGTGAGAAAAGGTTGAGAGCAAATACCTTGGGTATACTTTGTAAGGAACCATGATCAGCTTGTCATGCAAACATATGACAACTGTGCAAACATTTTTTACAAGAGACAGTCTTAACAAAAACAAAAAAGAAAAAGAAAACAAACAAAAAAAAAGAGACAATCTTAAACTTTGTGTATAAGCTTTAATTTTCAAATGTAGAATCAGAAGCATTGCTGTTTAGGCAATGTTGTGATGAAACAGGAATCAAATTTGATCCCAAATGACAAATACACAATTGCCAAATATCTAGAAAAGAAGAAATGCTGAAGTGGTGTGGCAGTGAGTAAAGTTGTGTTGAGAAAGATAGATACCTGGATAAAAAAAATCCTTTTGGAGGAAGGTGATTCTAGAAGAGAGTTACAAAGGAAAATAAGAATCTGGTAGATAGAGAAGGAAGGAAGGTAGTCTTGGAGATTTTGTGTGTAGCTGTGTATCTGTTGAGGTTGAAGGGAACAAAGGGAAATTATGCAGTGATTTGTCATCATAAGTTAACCAGAGATTTGCAGCTCATGATCAAAAGCCTGCAATGTTATGGATGACCAAGGATCACCTCAAATTCCCTTCATGGGAGTAACATGATCCCAACCATACCTAAGGAAAATGGTTCATCCTACTGCTTTCAGGATGGTTAGCAGGGAAAGGTGTCAGCTAGGAAACCCAATGGGTGGGGGTGGGAGGTTGTGCATGGTTAGTGCTGAACTAAATCAGGAAGAAAGGAAAAGAAAGGAATTGGCAGAATGTAATGATGGGTCGAAATGGAGAGAATGAGGGACAGAACAAATAGGTTCGTTTTATCAAATCATTAAAATTTTGCTGATCAAAGTCATATATGTTACAGATATTTAACATACATGTGTTACATATGTATTTTAATCACCCATATTCATATTCTTACTCTCCAGAGACGACCACTGTCAATATTTTGTTATATTTTTCTACATTTGATTACTATAATATCAGTAGAAATTGTACCCTACATAAAGTTTTCTCTACTCTCTTTTTTCTTAAGCTCACATATTGTGAACCTTTACTCATGACATTAAATTCTTCATAAATGTAATTTTTAGTGGCTGGTGTGTCACCATTTATTTAACCATTCCTATAAGGATTGTTTCTCAATGTATTATAAAGAATTCTGAGATAAATATCTTTGGATGTAAACATGCTTTTTTTCTTATTTCTTAAGGATAGATTTATAATAACATCATTGCTAAGTAAAAAGAATAAACATTTCCAGGCTCTTCAAATACACTATGCAATTTCTTTTTTAGAAGGGTTTTGATGCTTTCATACTTGTTTTACTGAAGTGTGACACTTAATCACTATTAAGTATTTTAGCTAATTTTATTGGTTGATTAAAAAATGATAGTGTATTGTATTGTACTGTATTGTATTGTATTTTTGTTCTTTTGAGATGGAGTCTTGCTCTGTCACCCAGGCTGGAGTCCAGTGGCACAATCTCAGCTCACTGCAACCTCTGACTCCCGGGTTCAAGCAATTCTCCTGTCTCAGCTTCCCGAGTAGCTGGGATTACCGGCGTGAGCCAATGCACCCGGCTGCACACCAGTGATCTTAAAAAACAGAAAAGCAGATCACAGCGCTTCTCTGCTCAGAATCCTCCAATCAGCCAAGGAGAACTTGAAGTCCTCTCCTGGGTGTTATAACGCTCCCATCTGACCCCTGCCTGTCTCGCTCCCTCTGCTTCCGCTACCCCGCCCCTTTCTTGTTGTTCTGTTCTTCAGGGACTCCTCTGCCTGTCACCATCCAATCTTCGGGGTCTAGAACAAAGCCACGCATAGTAGGATCAATAGCCATTGTTGAACGATTGAGTGACTCTTGCAACCAATTCAAAATTGAATGCCTTGCCAAGTTACCATTTGCTCATGGAAAATCAGGCTCATTGTGTCGAAACGATTTGCTTCACTAGCATTTTATGTTGTTCTTTTTCCTGAGCTTATACTCCTCGCTAATTTTAGCATCCCGTCTAAACTGATCAGCCTTGGAGTTGACCTTTTAAAGATGTTCTCGTGTTTCTAATTTCACCTGTAATCATTAATAGCGTAACCAGTATTTATAGATCCATCGCAGCTAAAGTTTTAGTGTTTGATTTTTTTCGAATGATTTCAATTATTTCCATATTGCTTTCAAATTTCTTTAGAATATCTACTTTTATTTTTCAAAAAATAAGAGCTCCCTTTTCAAAGTGGTAAAATAATATGTTGAACAGGTAACTAGGCTTAAATAAGAACTGAACCACAAGGTCTTAAGAAGAAAAATTTTCAAAGATTTTTAGACTCCACATAACTCATTTAGTTACTTGCTAGCTTATCAAGCTCCTGAAAAATTTCCGTTTCTTGGCTGATTATAAAATATGTCTAAGGTTTATTCCAATTTTAGGAATACTCAATTCTTGAAATAAGGAACATTCTTCAGGAAAGAGGTGTTTTACTTTTTAAATCACAAAGTAAACAAATACAGAGAATACATATTTTGAAGTGTAGGATTTTGTGATTGCCTCTGTTTGTAACCTGATGCAATTGTAAATAAGAATGCAGGCTAGGCCAGGTGCTTACACCTGTAATCCCGGCACTTTGGAAAGCAGAGGCAGGTGGATTACCTGAGGTCAGGAGTTCAAGACGAGCCTGGCCAACATGGTGAAACCCCACCTCTACTAAAAATACAAAAATTAGCCGGGTGTGGTAGCATGAACATGTAGTCCCAGCTACTTGGGAGGCTGAGGTGGGAAAATGGCTTGAACCGGGGAGGCGGAGGTTGTAGTGAGCTGAGATCGCGCCACTGTGCTCCAGCTTGGGTGACACAGTGAGACCCTGTCTCAAAAAATTAAAAAAATAAGATAAAAAAGGGAATGCAGGCTAGTTATACCTCCTCCAGGAAGCTTTCCCCATGGACTCTGATCTGTCTTAGCAATACTCTTCACCTGATTGTGGTGGCTCCCATTGTCTGGATAGCACATGCTGTTCCATTTCTGTGTATTCTATATGTTGTAATTATCAGACATTTAATGATCTCTCCAAGAGGATTATTAGCTCCCAGTTAATAGAAATCACATCATGGCCAGGTACGGTGGCTCACACCTGTAATTTAATAGAAACCACATCATGGCCGGGCGCAGTGGCACATGCCTGTAATCACAAGTACTTTGGGAGGTTGAGGCCGGTGGATCGCCTGAGGTCAGGAGTTCGAGACCAGCGTGGCCAACATGGCGAAACTCCATCTCTATTAAAAATACAAAAAGGCTGGATGCGGAGGCTCACGCCTGTAATCCCAACACTTTGGAAGACCAAGGCGGGCGGATCGCTTGAGGTCAGGAGTTTAAGACCAGCCTGGCCAACATGGCAAAACCCTGTCTCTACCAAAAATATAAAAATTAGCTGGGCATGGTGGCGCACACCTGTAATCCCGGTTACTCTAGAGGCTGAAGCAGGAGAATTGCTTGAACCTGGGAGGCAGAGGTTGCAGTGAGCTGAGATCATGCCACTGCACTCTAGCCTGGGCAACAGAGCGAGACTCCGTCAAAAAAAAAAAAAGCCACATCATGATCCAGGTCTTTGACTGCACTTCCCCAGGGCTTGAGTACATCTCAAAAATAAAAATAAAAATAATAATAATAATAATAATAATAATAATAATAATAATAATACAAAAATTAGCAGGGAATGGTGACATTCACCTGTAGTCCCAGCTACTCTGGAGGCTGAGGCAGGAGAATTGCTTGAACCTGGGAGGCAGATGTTACAGTGAGCCAAGGTCACGCCGCTGCACTCCAGCCTGGGTGACAGAGTGAGACTCCATCTCAAAAAAAAAAAAAAGAAAGAAACAACATATGATCCAGGTCTTTGACTGCACTTCCCCAGGGCTTGAGTACATCTCGGGATATTATAGAAAGTGCTACTTAAACACCAGTTGAAATGGAAGAGCATAGTACTTGATAAATCCAGAATGTTAGGGGATTTTTGTGGCAATTTTGAGGAAATTATTAAAATATCATTTGATTATTAAAGAGTAAAACTCACAAAATACTTGGCAAAACCACACACTTCCTGAGCCCTTGTTAACCTGACTGCCTTGTTCCTCCTGGCTCAGGAGGAAATATATCTACTTTTCATATTATGACAATGTAGCTGGCTTTTCCTTAGCACAAGTGGAAGAAAGGGCTATAATGTTACACATGATATGTGACTTGGTAATAGGTGTCTTCTCTCCACCAGCATTCAATATGTATTCTGAACTTTCTCTTTTTAAGATTAAGAAGTCTGTTAAAACTACCACAGAATCTATTAGGTAAATACTAATAATTACTTAGCTTATCAGATGCTACATTTTGCTGTGTTAGAGGGACAGACAGAAAGGGATCGCCATAAAATCTAGCAGGTTTCTAAGAATTAATGAAGAGTGCTGCCTCGGGTAGAGGAAGGGCTTAGAGAGAAAATGCAAAGAGAATTCTCTTTAGATTCAAATTAGATTTTGTGGCTTTCTTAACTTATGGTTTCATTCATTGAACATTAAAGGGTTTCCTACTTAGCTCCAAAGATGCCATCTCAAAGTTCCAAAGTTTTTCTGGGTTAGTACAGAAGTTCCTGTCCCTGGCAGGCTGACAGAGCAGCAAGGTGAAACATGGGTAGGTAGGTAGAGAGGTAGCTAATTAGGAGGAAAGAAAGAAGATTATCTACTTAGCTTGAGGCGGTAAAGTGTGATCTCTAAGAGCCAGAATGCCTGGGTTTGAATCCTCACTCCACTACTTATTTGCTGGCTGTTGGTCTTGGACCAATTACTTTATTTCTTGTTTTCTCATCTATAAAATGGAGATGAGGCTGAGCGCGTGGCTCACGGCTGTAATCCTAACACTTTGGGAGGCCGAGGCAGATGGATCACCTGAGGTCAGGAGTTCGAGACCAGCCTGACCAACGTAGTGAAACCCTGTTTCTACTGAAAATACAAAAATTAGTCAGGCATGGTGGCGGACACCTGTAATCCCAGCTACTCAGGAGGCTGAGGCAGGAGAATCACTTGAACCTGAGAGGTGGAGGTCGCAGTGAGCTGAGATCACAGAATTGCATTCCAGCCTGGGCAACAAGAATAAGACTCCGTCTCAAAAAAAAAAAAAAAAAAATGGAGATGATACTAGTACCTGCCTCAACCTATGTATGGGGGTTGCCTGTGTTAATATATGCGAAACACTTAGAACAGTGCCTGGTGAAGGACAAGGGCTGTATGTAGGAGTTAGCTATAGTTATTTTATTACAGGTGGATGTGATGAATAATTTTAATCTTTAAAACAGTTGTACCTCTGGGCACAATGGTGCAGCTGTAGTCCCAGCTACTTAGGAGGCTGAGGGAGGAGGATCGCTTGAGCCCAGGAGTTCTAGACCAGCCTGAGCAACATAGCTAGACTCTATCACAAAACAAAAATGAGTAAATAAACCAAGGATGCCAATTGAGAAGGTACCATTTTATTTATATTTATATATTTATTTATTTATTTATTTATTTTTGAGACAGGATCTCACTCTGTCATCCAGTCTGGAATGCAGTGATGCAGTCATGGCTCACTGCAGCCTCAACCTCCCAGGCTCAAACAAGCAATTTTCCCGAGTAGCTGGGACCACAGGCATATGTCACCATGCCCTGCTAATTTTTTTATTATTTGTAGAGATGGGGTCTCACTATGTTCCCCAGGCTGGTCCTGAACTCCTGGGCTCAAGCAATCCTCCTGTCCTGGCCTCCCAAAGTGCTGGGATTATAGGCATGAGCCACTGTATCCAGCCTACCATTTTAAATTTTAAAAGGACAGCCCACAGATCCTTCCTAATGTCCAGATAAGGAACACTCATTTCAGATATGACAATGTCCATTGTTTAATTCTTCCTTCTCTGTGACTGTTGATGCTATAATAGGATAATAGACAAATTAACCGAAAGAAAATACTATGGTGCTTTAATCATATAGGCTTGTGGATACTGCTTTATACTTCATCTGTTTTTCAATACTGGTTAATTAGCTTCTTAGCCAACTATTATTGCTGATACCACCAATACAGTTATGTGATTTCATTATCAGTGTTTGACACCTTTTCAGGTGAAGGCTACCATCTGAATGTCTATGCGCACACATATGTGCAATTTCTTTTATGCTTTAGTCATGTGTTAATACAATAAACAGTTTCAGCAAAGGCTTGAAATTCTAAATAGTGTCAAATATACTTGTGGAAAATGATATGCTACTACTATATACAAAAGCAAATACACACATAATCTTTGCATTGGCTATATCTTAGCTTTTAGATAATTAAACTAAAAAGTAGGCTGGGCATGGGGGTTCATGTCTAATCTCAGCATTTTGAGAGGCCAAGGCAGGCAGATCACTTGAGCCTAGCATTTCGAGACCAGCCTGGGTAACATAGCAAGACCTGTCTCTAAAAATAAGAAAGTAATAACTAATAATAATAACTCTCTTACCAGGATGCCACAGTGGCCTTAATAGATCCTATCTGAAATAGGCCACATAATCATGTCTTACTATGCTCCATTTCTTCCTCTCCTGGACCTGAGTCCTGTTTCTTACCCCTTTTTCCAAATCTACCTCAGAGCTTATCTCATCCCAGGCTTCTGTTTTGCGTCTGTACTTTTTTTTCCTTTTCTCCACAGCCTCAGACCTCAGAACTGCCTGCTGTCACTCTACTCTAAATCAAAGATGCTTTGTAAAAGACAAAGGATCACTCCTCCAGGGATGATTTAAGCTTGTTGCAAGCCAGAGCTATACAGAAGTTAATGTGACCGGGTGTGGTGGCTCAGGCCTATAATCCCAGCACTTTGGGAGGCTGAGGCAGGTGGATCACCTGAGGTCGGGAGTTCAAGACCAGCCTGACCAACATGGTGAAACCCCGTCTCTACTAAAAATACAAAATTATCCGGGCGTGGTGGCGCATGGCTGTAATCCCAGCTACTCGGGAGGCTGAGGCAGGAGAATCGCTTGAACCCAGGAGGCGGAGGTTGCGGTGAGCCAAGATCGCGCCACTGCACTCCAGCCTGGGTAATAAGAGCAAAACTCTGTCTCAAAAAAAAAAAAAAAAAAAAAAAGAACATGCCACATGGCTCATGTGGCATGACTTTTCTACTGTGATGCACACGTGCCTATACAGAGGGCTGTGTAGTAGGAGCCACTTTTACTATCAGTAGAAGGGGTGACTTGCTTTTTCTGTGTACTTTTCTATATTTTTTGAGTTTGTTAAAACTAGTATGTTTATGTGCATGTATTTTTTAAATTAACTTTGTTCAAAGCCAAGGCAGGAAAAATTTGCTCATTTTTTATTTAGGGCAGCCCATAATTGTAATTGTTGTTTTCAGGTATTCAGTGAAAAATTGCTCTCTCCTTACCCCCTTAGTCTTAAAATTCATCATCCTGAGATGGTTTATTTCCTATGTTTTTGCCTAAGTTATTTTTTGGTAGCATTTGGTATAGGAGCACACGTGCACACACTCACACCAAACCTCAATCTCAGAATACTCTCTAATGCTTAAAACATGCCAGAACTTTTTCTTATATAATATACTAAATTACTCTTATAGAAAAACAGACTTTCTGAGTCCCATTTGTAGTCGAGAGGAATTTAAATTTGTCTGAAATCAGTAGATTTTGAAAACACTGCCTTAGTAACTGACTGCTTCAGAGTTCCTTCAGCCAGAACATAGCGATTTAGTTTTATATAATATTTAACATAGTTATAATCTTAGACTTGTTTTGGATTTTGACCCTATGTTAACTTGTTGATAATTTATAGTCACTGTCGATAGCTATTATTCTATCTAGGAGTAATAAAACTGTCTTTTTAAAAAATATATGCGTAGATGAATAGATTGAAAATGTTCTTGTCGTCATTCTGGCCGTTTTTGTTTGTTTGTTTTTCGAGACGGAGTCTCACTGTGTTGCCCAGGCTGGAGTGCAGTGGCGCCATCTTGGCTCACTGCAACCTCCGCCTCCCAGGTTCTAGCGATTCTCATGCCTCAGCCTTCCGAGTAGTTGGGATTACAGGAGCCCACCACCACGCCCGAGTCTCGAACTTCTGACCTCAAGTGATCCACCCGCCTCCGCCTCCCAAAGTGCTGGGATGACAGGCATGAGCCACCACACCCGGCCCATTCTGGTCTTTTTACTTCCAACTCTGGCTCCTTCCAGTTACTAAGGTTTAACTGAATAAGCTTAACAATGATACAGTGATGACTCAGGGAAAACTGGGGACCACATTTTTTTGAAATTTTTGTTTTAGGAGGAGTTAGTTTCTCCTTCCTCTCTTGATGTGCTGCAGAGCTCACTTTAATCCTGATGCAGAGGACACAGAAGTCACATTGCTTTCAGGACCTCCTCCAGGCAACTTCAGCTCCCTTTTCCTCTAACCTCCCAATTGCCTGAACTGACAAACTCAGCCTCCAGAGAGACTTTCGATGAGGTTCCATCCCATAACTGCCTGAAAAGGAGTGTATTTACTCAGCTTAAGTGCCTCAGGTCCTCCTGATCTGTTGTTGTGTACAGATGGTTTTATTACCATAAATCCTGCTGTACTGCCTGCTTCTCTTTCATTCTATGCCTCTTCTACTTGTCTCCACTTCTTATGAGTAAATCAATTTCTAGCTCCAAACTGATAAAGTAAAATAAGGTGAGGGTTTGGTTCATGTGTAATTTTTTCCTATTTTTTTTCTCCCAGACTGATCATCATAAACATGATTGTTGACAGTCTTTTAGACACAGGGTACTTAACCAAAGTTACCTACCCCAGATATAATGAGAAGGGGAAAAAGCAACACTTGCTAAAAATATAACATTTCTAAGAAATCCTAGTAACACTTTTTGAGTACTTTCTATATGCCAGGAGCTTTTCTAAACACTTTACGTATATTTATTTATTTAATCCCAACAGCCTAGACAAGGTGGGCATTATTGTTTTTTATCTCTGCATGTAGCTGTACAAATGTAATGGGCATCTATCTGGTTCTAGGATGGTGGACTTTGAAAAATCATTTGTTTCCTTACGGTCGTTATTTGGGTTTGAATAAAATATTTCTGTTAAATGTCCTCTATGAAGTGGCAAAGCTTTTGAGCCTTCCCCAAATCCATCAGTTACAGTAGGGTTTCCATTCCGTTTCAGGTTGCTGTTGAGCATTATCTTTGTGGCAGTTTTAACACCTCCCTTCTTTCTGTACCACCCACTCAAGCTCATTCCAGGTGCCCTTAGCAAATGACTCCCAAGGCATTAAGTGGCCAAAGCTCATTTCGTTGACCAATGAGGAGCCCTGTGCCATGTATAACAGAGTTACACAGCTCCTGGTATTGGGAGCGAAGGTTGCTTAAGCAAAGCTTTCATTACAGTTAGCCTGTCGCACCCAGATCAAGATTGGAAAGGTAGGGGAAACCTTATTTGTTTTAAATGAAGAGAAGAAGAGGTAACTGTGTTTGGTTAAAGCAATTTAGATCAGACCAGATAAACAAATGATCCATATTGTTTGTTTTTTAATTGAAGACCCCCCCAAAAAAATTTGGAAGTTGGTAAGAATTTCAACTGCTGCACAGTCTGCCTTACCAGCAGTAAAACCAAAATTCTTAAGTTAAAAACATTTTCTAAAAAATGAGTTTTTCTAACAGCTTTTCACTTTATATGCTTGAAAAATCTAGATCTTCACAGTATTGTTGTTGTTTTATAGTTTCCTGTTATTTAAACTATGGGGTAAGAAGCAGGAATTTATCAGCAGTGTTGCCCATATTTGATTTTTAAAGCCATTTCAGAGTCAGTGTTTAGAGAAGGAAATTATAATTTTAAGATGTGATAATTAAAATAAGGAAAAATTAATGGAATTAGCTTTATGATAATTAGCATATAAAGGTTGACAATGATGACATTTCCTCTCAGAGTAAAGTTCTTGTATAAGAAGACTTTTATCATTGTTTTCAAACCAATAGTTAAATTTATGAAATGGAATTATTTAGGTGTAGATTATATGCTTTAAAGTATTAACATTAGTTTCACTTTCATTATAAATAATTGTTTAGTTATATTTTATATGCTATTCAAAATTTGTTTTAATATTAACTCAAATGACCAGAGAAGTAGAATCTTTAGTCATTTCTGTCTGGCAGTGGAGCAATTTGAATAGCATTTGAAGTAGAAGCTAATCTTTTAAAGAAAAATACTCTTCTCTCTTAACCCTTCTCCCTTCTCATTATGATGAATCAATGTTGCAACAAAATGTATATGTGAGAAATGCATATTCTTATACTTTTTATTAGCCTACATCTGATATTTAGTGTCAAAAGATAAGTTTGGGTTCAAAGAAAAGTGTAACTGGTTTTCCCTGATTGCTTTTTGCCAAAGGTGGCTTAATATGGGTTTGTATTTTATAACAGAGATTAGGTAATATGTTTATTTTAAAATGTGACAAATGAGAGATGGCACCATTTGATTAAAAATGTATTTAAATATTTCATTTTGAACTCTACTTTGGTCTAATTTGTAAAGGAAATTTTTTAATGTACATATCACAAAGTATTAAATATCCAAGAATTTCAGTTATTGCAGATTCCATTTTCTTATTTTGACATATTCATTTAAAAAGACTTGCATCCTGAAATTGTATACTTGTATTAGATTTGTTCCAAATGCCTTTTTGTAAGACGTCTGCCATTCTCAAGATCATCGTTATTTGTGTCTTTTACTCTGGATGACTCTGTGGGGGAGGTGGGTGTGGGGGGCGACCAACAGTCACAGTGTTAACTATTCACGATGGAGAACGCTTGCTAGCCACCTTGTCCTGTATAAGTCAGTGCTGCTTCTCGGTTCCAAGCTAAGGTTCAAAGGTTTAGACTAACTTCACAGATCAGAGGTCAGGTACGAATTGCTGCAATTTGTAGTTCAATTCTGCCGATATGACAGAATTTCACAGCTATGATGATTGCTTTTTTCCACTTCTGCACAGAGGCCAGGCTGGGCAGTTAACAGCGTAATTTGTACAAGTCAGCCCTCAGCACCCAAGTTTAATGAGTAACTAACTGGTGCCTTAGGTTTCACTGGTACAAGGTGCATATTATAAAAAGGGTCAAATGTCAGTGCACAAAGACGGAGTGGGGAGGGGCATGATAATCTCATCACCACCATCTGTGAATCATATGTAAAGATTCAGTAATTTGTGTTTATTTGTAAAATTATATTTCCACTGTAAGAATGTTAGTATGTTCATTTTCTTTGCTATTTGAAAGAGGTGGATAATTTTGTTAGGTGTTAGCAGGAAACAACTGTCTGATTAGAGATTATTAACTAAGCAGTAGAAAGTGAAATTGCAGTTTTGTTTACTCATTTTGTGGGGTCTCTGAGTCCTCAAAAACTTTCTAAAGTGTGATAGTTTTTTAAGAAGCTAGGAAACAAGTCAGAACACCAGATATTTCTGAGCCCATGATATTTATGCCTATCTGATATTCTCTATTCGTCACCCAAAAAGTTGAACTCCTATCTATATTTCTAACCTAGGTTGAGAATATCATTTACTGTTTAAAGCTGAATATTGGGGTTCTTGAAAAAATTCCTACCTGGTAGGCCTTAACAATTCATGAATTTGCCATTCAGGTTTAACTCCTCATGTTGACTCTGAAGCTGTAATATATAATGCATATAGAATCATTTGTCATTTTTGTTATAGCACAGATTTCAGTTTTCTACTCTTCCAGATTGGAGTGCAGCAGCAATTGGATTCTTCCATAGAAGGCCTGGGGTTTGAACCCCAGCTTCTTCACTTCCAGCTAAGGGACCTTAACAAATGGGCAGCCTCATTATACCTCAGTTCTGGCATCTCCAGAATGAGTAGCATCATAGATCTTGCTTCATGAGGTTGTAGCAATGATTAAATAAGACGATGTATGTGGAATGCTTAGTGCCATACCTGGTGCATGATAAACATTCAATGAATGTTGATGGTCATTACTATTATTAATATTATTATGTTACTTAGGTTGTGAGTTCACCTAGCCTACCACATATACCATCTCAATTTGGTTTAGACTTGGTCTTGGCTGTGTTCATTTCATGAGGGACATCGTTGGATGTGGCATAGGATAAGGTGATTTGGGAATGTTTCAGGATGCATTTCTTTTGAATGTCATGGGGAAGCTTATAAAATTCCTCCATTTCAAGTCTAGCACTCTTTTAGATGCTATCTTTTTTCTTTAGCTGATTTGCTGTCACATGGCAAAAACTATAAAAGGGGATAAATCCAAATTATCTGGTTTCCTTTGAGAGCTCCTTTATTCTGCCAAGCAGTGAAAAACATTTGAGTTTAAAAAAAAAATCCATAAATGATACCTTACCAGTGGGCTAAATTCTATACTTGTTTATATATATATTACACTTACTAGAATTCATGCTTTCCAGAAATGCCAGAAATGAAAGTATGAAAGTGATTCTTTTTCATTCCATTTTTTTCATTTTAGTCCTATGGAATGTATCAATAGCATTTGAAGAAAAACATGATTTTTTTTTTTTTTTTTTGAGACAGAGCATCACTCTTGTTGCCCAGGCTGGGGTGCAATGGCGTGATCTCAGCTTACTGCAACCTCCACCTCCCAGGTTTAAGTGATTCTCCTGCCTTAGCTGAGATTACAGGTATGCGCCACCATGCCTGGCTAATTTTTTGTATTTAGCAGAGACGGGGTTTCACCATGTTGGTCAGGCTGGTCTCAAACTCCTGACCTCAGGTGATCCACCCACCTTGGCCTCCTAAAGTGCTGAAATTACAGGCATGAGCCACCGCACCCGACAAAAAACTATTTTTAACTATTAATGACGATATAAAATTTATATGCTTGGCATTAAAAAGGTAGTAACAACATCTCAGACTAATTAAAAAATTAAGTGCCTACTATTGGCTTGGATTGGGTGTGGAACTCTAGGATTCTAGTTATGAGTCAGATCTAGATTCTTCCCTGGTAGAGTTTAAAACTGACTCAAGATGACTAGCATTACAGCAATTACTATAAGGCTAAACCAAAGAAAATTGTCAACAGTCTACTGTTTTTGTCCTATAAAATAGCAATTTCATATGGTTCAACCTAGTGCTATATGAAGGATTATATGATGTTGGGGGAGCATATCACAGGGGGCTGCAGGAATAGCTTTGTAGAAGGAATGAAGTTCGGGATGAGTGCAAGCTGGCTAGATGGGAATTGGTGAGGGCTGAAATATTGGAACAGCATGTGTAAGGGGGAAGTAACACAAGATGAGGCTGGAGGAGGACGTGGAGCCTCTTTATAGGCCTTACAAGCCTTACAAAGGATACAAACTTAGTCTAAGGGCAATGGGAGGAGAGTGTAGGGGTTTAAGCAGAAGGGTGATAAAACGCTTCCTTTTTTTTTTTTTTTGAGGTGGAGTTTTGCTCTTGTCACCCAGGCTGGAGTGCCTGGCACGATCTCGGCTTACTGCAGCCTCCACCTCCCGGATTCAAGCAATTCTGTCTCAGCTTCCTGAGTAGCTAGGATTACAGGTGTGTGCCACCACACCCGGCTAATTTTGTATTTTTAGTAGAGATGGGGTTTCACCAGGTTGGCCAGGCTGGTCTCGAACTCCTGACCTCAGGTGATCTGTCTACCTTGGCCTCCCAAAGTGCTGGGATTACAGGCGTGAGCCACTGCGCCTGACCAAATTGTATATTTTTTAAACGGTCCCTTTGCCTGTAAGGAGACCTAGATTGATTGCAGCAGGCCTGAGTGGATAGGGAGAAGCCAGCTGGGAGTCTACTGTAGAAGTCCAGGCAGGAGCTAATGGTTAGTTTAGGAGATGCTTTCAAATGTTGTGTCTTGTGTAATCCTTATAATGGTGATCTTTCAGTGTACGGGTAACAACCTGAGGCTCAGAAAGTTGTGTAGCATGCCATGGTCAAACTGTTCAGGTGGCAAAGCGAGAACTAGAACTTAGTTATTTGACTCTCAACCTGGTGGTCTCCTGGCAGCTTTAGGACCCCATGTACTAGCATCCTTGGGTGAGGGCAATTGGTTTATCTTAAGAAAGGTTCTGGCGAGACGCGGTGGCTCACGCCTGTAATCCCAGCACTTTGGGAGGCCAAAGTGGGCAGATCACTTGAGGTCAGGCGTTCAGGACCAGCCTGGCCAACATGCTGAAACCCTGCCTCTACTAAAAATACAAAAATTAGCCAGGTGTGGTGGTGTGCACCTGTAATCCCAGCTACGTGGGAGGCTGAGGCAGGAGAATCACTTGAACCCGGGAAGCAGAGGCTGCAGCGATTCAAGATCACGCCACTGCACTCCAGCCTAGGCAACAGAGCGAGACTCTGCCTCTTAAAAAAATAAAGAAAAGAAAGGATCTGTTTTTAAGAAATGGAATTATCATTCCTTGGTGGAGGGTTGTGGTGAGAAAGTTATTTTTAGCTTAGCTTTATGACTGAGAGAAGTAGAACAGGACATGACTTGATATTAGACTGGAGCATCTTTTTCCGAAAAATAAATGTATTAATTTCAAGTGTTTTATGTATGCTATGCTTCATTCCAAAAATGGACTTGAAACAGCTTTCAAAACTACATACGACACGTCAAGACACAAATAGAAGAGGGGGCAAAAAAATCAAGATAGGCAAACTAAGATGATGCCAGAAGCATCCAATAAATGCTTGCCCTCAAGTCCCCCCATGTGTTGAAGACGGAGTCATGAGCGGCTGTGAGATTCACATGCCCCAAAACATTAAAACAAACCAGTTGTTCTGTCAGTATAGCTTTCCTCCTACTGGAATCTATAAACTTTTCCCCATTTGGTCTTTATAAAGACTCCATGATGGGGTGAGTGATGTCTATGCAATTTCAGGGTACCAGGCTGGGGGGCGGGGGGAGCTGGAATGAATTAACGCCATTAATGTCTGGAAACCACCCCGTTTCTCCAGAAACTGCCCCACAAATCTTATTACTATGTTTCCTACCTACTGTGTGACCTTTGGTAAGACAGTTTCCTCCATAGTAAAATCAAAGGTTTGGACTGGAACTAACCTTCTCAAACTGGGTTCTCTGGAGTATCCAATATTGTGTCAGGAGGAATGTGAAGCCACAGGACAAACATAACATATAGGTTTTGCTTGAAGATTTTTATGGCAAACATAACAATATTAAATATTCTGGCCGCACATGGTGGCTCACGCCTGTAACCCCAGCACTTTGGGAGGCCGAGGCCAGCAGATCGCTTGAGGTTAAGAGTTAGAGACCAGCCTGGCCAACATGGCAAAACCCCATCTCTACTAAAAATACAAAATGTCTCACGTAGTTTTGTGCTACATCATAAAAAGGGAAAGAAGGATCACAGATGTGCCTTTCATGGCTATTCAAGTAACACAGGACATTTCCCCAAAATGAAACACTTAGGGTCAATGTTTGTTTCCAGAAAAATCTGACTTTCCAGAATAACTCCAAACACAATCTATTTCATTTGATCTGCTGGCCTCGGCCTCCCAAAATTAGCCAGGCATGGTGACGCACACCTGTAGTCCCAGCTACTCAGGAGGCTGAGACAGGAGAATCGCTTGAACCCAGGAGGCAGAGGTTGCAGTGAGCCGAGATCAGGCTACTGCACTCCAGCCTGGGGGATGGAGTGAGACGCCATCTCAAAAAAAAAAAAAAAAAATTATGGAATGGATTGTGTTTGGAGTTATTCTGGAAAGTCAGATTTTTCTGGAAACAAACATTGACCCTAAGTGTTTCATTTTGGGGAAATGTCCTGTGTTACTTGAATAGCCGTGAAAGGCACATCTGTGATCCTTCTTTCCCTTTTTATGATGTAGCACAAAACTACGTGAATTCTGTGTTTCATTTATATATTAATAATTTGCTTTCAATTCTTAGAGTTTACATGTTCATTACCTTGGTATTACATTTTAAAGGGAGACATTTTACCATTACAGAAAGAGTGAAAACTCAAAATTCTGCACAAATAATATATGTCGAGAATGGTGCTTTATAAATATTTTCTCTGTTCTCCACAACAGTCCTGCCAGGAATGATTTCTGCTTTATGGAGGTGGAAACTGAGGCTCAGGAAAGTTGAATATACTTGTCTGGATTTACTTAGCTAGTAGATGAGAGATGCAGGAGTCTATTGTCCAGACAGTGTACAATTAATTTCAAGACACACCTTCTTGTACTTTGTACATTCGTTTTCGTAGTTTTTATCAACCACTATGATCTTGATTACTAGGTATTATCCAGGATGCAGCATTTCAGGAATTATCTTTTCACAGAGTTGGGTAAAGATTATGTGTATTAAAACGTAAATCATTTTAACAGCTATTGCTCTGTAATTTATTTGAGGGTGTGGCTTTTTTTCTTTCAGGAGATCATTGTTAACAAGATTAAAACTAGATCATGGTAAAGTATTATTGCTGTGTTCCCATAACGTTATGGATCTCACTGAGCACCCAGTCATTCCAATATAAAGATAGTTATGGCAGAATAATTTTGAGCTATAAGTTATATTAAAGGCCATTTAATCCAGAAGGTTTCCAACTGTGCTCTATGGAGTCCTAAAGGTCTTACGGTGTCTCCACAGGGACACAATGAATGATGGAAGTGGGGGCACCTCCCGACAACATCCCCTACCTATACTTCAACCAGCAACTGTTTTATTGGTGTTGTTTCTGCAACTAGTTAGATTTTTGGTGGAAAAAAGTGTGCTACAACTAAAACACAAAGAAAAAACAAACACAATTTTTTTTTAATGTTGAGAACTATTGGTAATCCAACTCCTTTATTCTTATTTTTATTTATTTAACTTTTTTGAGACAGTCTTGCTCTGTCGCCCAGGCTGGAGTGCAGTGGCACAATCTCAGCTCACTGCAGCCTCCGCATCCCAGGTTCAAGTGATTCTCCTGCCTCAGCCTCCTGAGTAGCTGGGATTACAGGCGCCTACCACTGCACCCAGCTAATTTTTTGTATTTTTAGCGGTAACAGGGTTTCACCATGTTGGCCAGGCTGGTCTTGAACTCTTGATCTCAAGTGATCCACTCATCTTGACCTCCCAAAGTGCTAGGATTACAGGCATGAGCCACCACACCTGGCCTCCTTTATTATTTTTTTTCCATGGGAGTAAACTTTGGCTCAGACAGGTGAAATGAACTGGGCATGACAGAGATAGCCTTAAAACTAGCCTTCTGGTTCCCAGTCTGGTGTTGAAACCACTGTGCCATATTGAATCTTGTATAAGTTATTTGGAGCTTCAGTTGGCTTGATGGGGGCTCTCTGTAGTTTGGAAAATCAGGCAGATTATATTTCCACACATTGAAATAAAAATAAAAGTTTTGTGCTTAAGATATATTTTAATTCCTCATCTGAAATATCTTTATCTTGAACTTTAAATTCTTTTCATGTGAATATTTCCTATATCATTACTTATTAAAGATTATTCTAAACCCCCAAATCATATTTTTCATGGGCCTCTCCATGCGATGAACATCCTCAAAAGAGTCTTGACTCTGCCGAGTACAGTGGCTCAAACCTGTAATCCTGGCACTTTGGGAGGCTGAGTCGGGTGGATCACTTGAGGTCAGGAGTTTGAGACCAGCCTGGCCAACATGATGAAACCCCAGCTCTACTAAAAAATACAAAAATTAGCCAGGCGTGGTGGTGGGCACCTGTAATCTCAGCTACTTGGGAGGCTGAGGCAGGAGAATCGCATGAACCTGGGAGGTGGCGTTTGCAGTGAGCCGAGACTACGCAACTGCACTCCAGCCTGGGCGACAGAGCAAAACTCCATCTCAAAAAAAAAAAAGAGTCTTACCTCTACATTTTAGGGGCAGAACAGTAAGTCTCTTTCATACCAACTCTGGTTGGTAGTGGATAGCTGGAGTACTTGCTTCAATGGTTTTGGGAACCCTCTCTGGACCCTGCAGGAAGAGTTTGAAGATCTATTAGTGATGTGTAGCATAAGCTCCCAAATTGGCTGGGAAGTCCATGAGCTAGATATGATTATTTCTGTAAAGGATACTACCTCTTTTTGTGAGTCTATAAGTGTAAAATATAGGCTACATCTGTATTCCTTCTTAAACATTATGTGCATCTTGAAGTCATGCACACTCTGAAGAAGGCATAGAGACAAACACAAATGGAAGAAATTAGTCATTTTCTTATTATTACTGTTCCTTGTTTCTTTAAGAATCAGATAAGCAGTTGCACTTGGTTTATAGAGAACATGATAATTAGAGTAATGGTATTTCATTTTTTGAAGAAAATGGCCCCCCAGTTTCTAATTATTATGCTTAGGAACTACGCAAGAGGATCTGCCCCCCCCCCCCCAATTTCTAATGCACATATGAAAATCATGTTGAAATAGAAAATATTTCTAACCATTTCTTTTTTAACCCTTAGGATTTGCCTCAAAGGGCACTGCAAAAATTGAACAGAGGAATCCCAAGGAAGCTGCCTGAATTTGCCTGTATACTCTCGTTCTGCGACTTATAAAGGACCAGACAAATCAAATTAGTGGTTTTGGTGAGTATACTTCCTCTGGTCCTTTTCCCTTCCACTTAAGCAAGAACATAAGTTTTCATTCCTTTCAACCAAGATACCTGCTACTTAGACAATGTGTACCTGTTGTGTGTTCATGTGGCAACGTTAGTGGAATATAGAACGTGATAAGTCATTTGGAACCCTCAATATAAACCTTTATGTCTTTGTACACTTTACATCTTTGTGACTTAAGAGACAAGATATAACTATGTGTTGCTTATAAATCTGACCCTTAACCTCCCAAAAAAGAGGTCAACTGTATTTCTTTCTTTCTTTTTTTTTTTTTTTTTTTTGAGACAGTCTCACTCTGTTACCCAGGGTGGAGTGCAGTGGCACGATCTCAGCTCACTGCAGCCTTCACCTCCCAGGTTCAAGCAATTCTCGTGACTCAGCCTCCCGAGTAGCTGGGATTACAGGTGTGTACCACCACATCTGGCTGATTTTTATATTTTTATTAGAGACAAGGTTTTACCATTTTGGCCAGGCTAGTTCTCAAACTGCTGGCCTCAAGAGATTCACCCACCTCAGCCTCCCAAAGTCCTGGGATTACGGACATGAGCCACAGCACCCAGCCAGTCAACTATGTTTCAGTCAGACTGTATTTTGATTGTGTGACACGAGGCTGGGTTCTTGGTACAAACTAGACTAGGATTCAGTGTGATAGTATCTTGTATTTTTGATCAATCCTCATACCTTCTCTAAGTTTCTGTTTCCTTGCCTGTCATATGAGGTAAAAATAACTGTCATCCCAATTCATGATGATCCAAAGAACCACAACATATGTAAAAGCACTTTGACAACCATTTAATCTTCTCCAAGTAGGACTGAGCCAAGGAGGCAGAGGTTGCAGTGAGCCAAGATCTCTCTTTTTTTTTTTTTGGAGATGGAGTGTCGCTCTGTCGACCAGGCTAGAGTGCAGTGGCACGATCTCGGCTCACTGCAGCCGCCGCCTCCCGGGTTCGAGCAATTCTCCTGCTTCAGCCTCCCGAGTAGGTGGGATTATAGGTGCACGCTACCACACCCGGCTAATTTTCATGCCCAGCTAATTTTTTTGTATTTTTAGTAGAGACAGGGTTTCACTGTGTTGCCCAGGCTGGTCTTGAACCTCTGAGCTCAGGCAATCTGCCCTCCTCGGCCTCCCATGTGCTAGGATTACAGGCATGAGGCACAGTGCCCCGCTGAGCTGAGATCTTTCTATGGATCTAGTGAGTGAGATTATTCTATGGACGATAATCTTGTGTGTGCTAGGAAGGGAAGATAGGAGAAAGATTAGCTTCACCCTGACCTTGGACCCCAGCCCTCACATAGCTCCAGAAGGTGGAGGCAGTAGATATTGGTGTGTCAGGGAGGGGCTGCCAGCGACACTGATGTGCCCAATAATCCCTGCGAGAGAAAATAGGTACTTTGTCTTCATGTTCCCTAGGCTGGGTTTTGGATTTAGTCCATTGAATTCAGGGACTCAGAGAGCAAAATTTTTTTAATTGTAATTTTTTTCTTCTTATAAAAGTATACTAATGGAAGGAAATCTGGAAATTATAGAAAAATGTAACAAAATCTACCCATAAGCCCACAATCCAAATATAACCAGAATTAACATGGTGTATTTACTCTGATTTTGTTTGGTTGTTTAATTTTCTTTTCCTTTTTTTTTTTTTTTTTTTTTTTTTTGAGACAGAGTCTTGCTCTGTCGCCCAGGCTGGAGTGCAGTGGCGCGATCTCGGCTCACTGCAAGCTCTGCCTCCCGGGTTCACGCCATTCTCCTGCCTCAGCCTCCCGAGTAGCTGGGACTACAGGTGCCTGCCACTGTACCCGGCTAATTTTTTTTTTGTATTTTTAATAGAGACGGGGTTTCACCGTGGTCTCGATCTCCTGACCTCGTGATCCTCCCGCCTCGGCCTCCCAAAGTGCTGGTATTACAGGCGTGAGCCACCATGCCTGGCTGATTGTTTAATTTTCATATACAGTAGTCAGCCCCCATCTGCAGTTTCACTTTTCTCGGTTTCAGTTACCCGTTGTCAACTGTATTCCCAAAATAGAGGCATACAGTATGATATTTTGAGACAGAGAGAGAGACCACACTCACATAACTTTATTATTAGAGTATTGCTATAATTGTTACATTTTATTATTGTTGTTGTTAATCTCTTACTGTGCCTAATTTATAAATTAAACTTAATCATAGGTATGTATTATATATGTAAATATGTATAGGAAAAAACAGTATATATAGGGTTCATTACTATCAGAGGTTTCAGGCATCCACTGGGGGTCTTGGAACAGGTCCTCCTCAGATGAAGGGGGACTACCGCATATCTTTAAATATTATTTAGCAAAGTTAAAATAGCTGAGAACATTAAACAGGTACTCTAAGCTGTGGCTATGCCACGATTTATTGACCATTTTTATACCATTGAATATTTGTGTTTATTACATTACGTGTAAATATATACTATTATGTTCATTGCATTGTATTATAAATAGAACTTCAGTAAACAGATTTGAATGTAAATCTTTGCTTGGGTATTTGATTATACATGTCTATAAATGGAATCATTGGGCTAATGAGAATTGACTAATGAACACTGTAAAGCTCTTGATATTGTCCAACTCTTTCAGAAACAGCAAATTTTACCCACCTTCCCACCTATCCCCACGCATCATATATGGCAATGTGCGTTTCACAGGGCACATGTAAAAACTGTATTACCAATTTAGGAAGATTTTAAAACCAGAAATATTTTTATAGATACTCAAAAAATATTTAGGTTGGTGCAAAAGTAATTGCAGTTTTTGCCATTAAATGTAACGACAAAAACTGCAATCACTTTTGCACCAACCTAATAAAAGCCTATTCCCTCCCCTTTACCTACCCCACCTCTAGCCAATATCAGGTCTCTAAAGTAGAAGACAGTGTCACCAGATCTGTTATTACTTACCAACCTCAATCTCTCTATGGGAAAAAGATATGTGAGGCCTACATTCATTCACTGAATATTTATTATTACCACTTATGTTCATTTCTTGCACTGTGCATCAGGAGAAGCTGCTGGCTCATGTGGTACTTCTGTTTATTATGATTATATTTTTGAAGCACCACCATACTTTTTCCCACAGAAGCTGCACCATTATACATTCCCACCAGCAGTGCACAAGGGTTCCAGTTTCTCCACATTCTCACCAACACTTGTGGTTTTGTTTTTTTGATAATTGCCATCACAGTGAGTGTGAAGCGGTATATCATGGTGGCTTTGATTTGCATTTCCCTAATGATGAATGATGTTGAGCATCTTCTCATGTCCTTAAGGGGCATCTGTGTGTCTTCTTTATTTTTTCAAGGGTCTTTGCAGATGTGTAATGCAGATGTATAATGTATATCTTTGCGGATGTATAATGTATATCTTCCTTGGAAAAATATCTGTTCAACTTTTTTGACCATTTTTAAATTAGCTTGTTTGCTTTTTGTTATTGAGTTGTAGTTCTTTATATGTTCTGAATATCAATTCCTTATCAGACATGATTTGCACATATTTTCTCCTACACTGTGGGTTGCCTTTTCACTCTCTTGACAGTGTCCTTTGGTGCACAAAAGTTATTAATTTCGATTAAGTTTACTTTATCTATTTTTTCTTTTGTTGCTGTGCTTTTGGGGTTGTCCAAAAAATCATTGCCAAATCCAGTATCATGAAAGTTTGCCCCTGTATTTTCTTCCAAGTCTTATAGTTTTAGCTCTTACATTTAGGTCTTTGATCTATTTGAGTTTATTTTTATATATAGTGTAAGGTAAAGGCCAGGATTCTTTTAAAGATGTACTTTTGATTCCCACCAAATCTCGGTGAAAGCCTGTATCAAGCAGTTAAGAAAACGACATGAGTATTCAAGCCAACATTTGTTCTGAATGATTTTTCTTCCTCGTATAGGCTTAGGTGGTTTCCCAACAGACAGGTGAAAGCAAGCGTTTGGGGAACTGATGGCTCATGTAACTAGGATACAGCAGTGAGGCGGCAGTTGGGCTCAGCAAGTGTTTTGTAAATATGCTTGAAGAAATCCCCAAAAAGAGAACAGCAGGGGTAGATAGTGGCTTAGGCTAGAAAAAAACGTGCATGTGGGTGTTATGTAGGTGCATATATTTGCAGCAGAGGGAAGGAGAGAGGACACTCTGTTGTTGGGAATTGTGGGCTATAGAAGATAAAAACATCTTTTGTACAAAAACAAATTTCTTTTCATGCTGCTTCAGAGAAAAAAACTAAATTAGCTACAATTATGTGCTAACTATGTTTCCAAAACAGTTGTCCTAGTTCTGTTTTATTGTGGACAGAACCTAGCTGTACTTAACAAAATGTGAAGCCTGTCTAGACTTCCCTTGGAGAATATTGAAAAGTACAAAGACTCCCCAGGCTGTGTAACCCGCCTCGCCTAGCTTCAAATGTCTGCACTGGACGGGCGCTGTTCTCTGACGGGCTTGGAGATGACAGTAGTGCCATGCTAATGCAACTCAGGGTCTCAGAGGTCTCCCCACATGAACAAGATTCTGTATTAGGCTCTCAACATTGGAATGCTTGACATTGGCAGTTGGCTGTCCAAATTCCAAATAAATTAATGTTAAATCTTTTTTTTTTTTTTTTGAGACGGAGTTTTCACTCTTGTCACCCAGGCTGGAGTACAATGGTGCGATCTTGGCTCACTGCAACCTCTGCCTCCCAGGTTCAAGCGATTCTCCTACCTCAGCCTCTCGAGTAGTTGGGATTACAGGCGCCTGCCACCATGCCCGACTAATTTTTGTATTTCTGTTTTAGTACAGACAGGGTTTCTCCATGTTAGCCATAGCTGGTCTTGAACTCCTGACCTCAGGTGATCCGCCCATCTCAGCCTTCCAAAGTGCTGGGATTACAGGCATGAGCCACTGTGCCCAGCCTGTTAAATCTTTTAAAACTCTGACTTCGGAACCTATGAGAAACAAACTGAAATCCAGCCCATCCCTGTTTTGGTTTTCACAGGGACTGGTTTAGGTCCTCAGCAACGTGGGCTGCTGTAGGTCCTCATTTTCTCTTTGCCATAAAAAGGGATTTGGGAAAGAGGAAATAACTAAGCCAATTAAATTTTCTGATGTAGGATGGGATAAGACAGACCATGCTGTCTAAAAAAACCATTTGCAAGACTGGTATACTATATTTCCCTTGAATAATTAAAATCATTTCACACTTTATTAACTCGAAGAATATCCAGTATTTCCCTGTGAGCCTGAGAATAAATGATTAGCTCAAATCTGGGCGTTTTTACTGATGTATTAGTTTTTTAATTGAAATATTAACTCCAAGTGCACTCAGTGAAAGTACAGAGTACGCGAGACATGAATAGCAATTAAATGCCAACAATTGTTCCAGGAGTTTAGTAGACCTGGGAAATCATAAATTTCCTGACACCTGAATTTTTCATTTTAAATACTCTAGGTTCAGTGAAACTCTAGATATGTATTTTCTGTTCATTTCCATTCTTAATTTAAGTGCATATTTCTTGAGTTTCTTTAATTAATGTAGTTGTGCTTTTTATTTAAATTTGTAAGAATTTCCAATTGTCTCTAACTGCCTAGTTTAATTATAGAGACTGGGAAAACTGATTTTCCTTCTCTTCCTTCTTCTTTTAATAAGTATCTTTTTTTTTTTTTTTTTTTTTGAGACAGAGTCTTAACTCTGTCACCCAGGCTGGAGTGCAGTGGTGCGATCTTGGCTCACTGCAACACCTGCCTCTGGGGTTCAAGAGATTGTCCTGCCTCAGCGTCCCGAGTAGCTGGGACTACAGGCGCCTGCCACCATGCCTGACTAACTTTTGTATTTTTAGTAGAGATGGGGTTTTGCTATGTGGGCCAGGCTGGTCCTGGACTCCTGACCTCAGGTGATCCACCTGCCTCAGCCTCTCTGGAGTGCAGTGGCACAATCTCACCTCACTGCAACCTTCACCTTCCTGGTTCAAGCAATTGTCCTGCCTCAGCCTCCCAAGTAGCTGGGATTACAGGCGTGAGCCACCACACCCGGTCTATTCCCATTTTCCAGTTGAGTGAACTGAAGCTTGGGAGAGTAAGTCACTCACCTGAAGTCACACAGTTAATAAATGGTATTGAACTCAAGCGGTTGAGCTCTGGCATGCAGGAGCTCGAGCTCAAGCACTGTAATAAGCAGCCTCTCAAAATACCTTCAGATAAAAGAGTGATTAAAAACTGCCTTCATGGGCAGGCCTCATTTATGTGCCTATTTCCTTGTGGCATAAAATCTCTACCGAATTCCTGAGACAGTATAGCAGAAGCTAAGCATATCAGTTAAGGCCAAAAGAAAAAAGAAAAAAAAAAAAAACAGTGATGGAAATTTTATAGCTCCCTGGCCAGTACCTACTTTACCAAGACGGCTCAAGGGATATTAACATTGGCATTCAATATAATCCATTAGGGGTTGGTGTGGCTTTTCCATGTGACATTCCTGATGCCTGGGCATGTGTTAGAAATGCCAGCTCCTGGCCAGGCGTGGTGGCTCAGGCCTGTAATCCCAGCACTTTGAGAGGCCGAGGCGGGTGGATCACCTGAGGTTGGGAATTTGAGACCAGCCTGACCAACGTGGTGAAACCCCGTCTCTACTAAAAATACAAAATTAGCTATAGGCATGGTGGCACATGCCTATAATCCCAGCTACCCGGGAGGCTGAGGCAGGAGAATTGCTTGAACCTGGGAGGCGGAGGCAGAGGCTGTGGTGAGCCAAGATAGCGCCATTACACTATTGCACACCAGCCTTAGCAACAAGAATGAAACTCTGTCTCAAAAAAAGAAAGAAGAAAGAAAGAAATGCCAACTCCTGTACCAAAGCTGGCCTATTCATTCTCTGATGGGCTCCTTTCGGCCATGCAGAAATACCACCAGATAGTACCTGGGTATGACTATTTGTACCCAGTTCTATATGCAGGTAAACCACAAAAGTTTTTTTAAATTATTTTTATTATTAATTTTTTTTAGAGATAGGGTCTTGCTCTGTTGCCCAGGCTGGAGTGCAGTGGCACAATCATAGCTCAATGCAGCCTTGAACTCCTAGGCTCAAGCAATCCTCCCACCTCACCCTCCCCAGTAGCTGGGATTTCAGGCATGCACCCCCATGCACGGCTCTCCCACAAAACTTAGTAAATAGATACGTGAAAAAAATGTCCAAAGCAATTTGGTGGATGTTAGTTATAAAAGGAAACTCTTTTTGTAGCTTTGTCCTACCATGTTTCTTGCAAAAGACAGTGCACATTCATTCATTCTTCTATCCATTCATTCTTTTATTCAAACATTCATTCAGTGCCAGGCACTGGGGATAAAATAAGCATCACTGCCTTTGAGATGCTTCAAGTGTAGCTAATAAAATAAACTATAAACACTATTGTTTTAACTTTTCTAAGACATTTCAAACAATGCATAAAGAAGTGGAAAGAGCCTTTAATATCTAAAATCACTTCATAATAGAAGGCGAATTTTACTTTTTCTGTGTTAAAGGACCTGTCTCAGATGGTCTCATTTCTAATAGAGTTCTTTGGAAAGACTTAGAAACAAATGAAATTGATAAAAGAGCCCACAATATTCACAAATACCACAGGATGACGCAGGTTCCTACTCATATCAATGAACTCATGGTGCTTACTTTTCCAAATTTTTAAAGTAAACAAGCCATGGGGTATTAGAGTTTAACCTTCGCCGTATGTTTGCAGAAGGACCTGTTTTTTAAGCTATCTTTTTTTGTTTTTCACTGTGTACCCAAAAAAGGAAGAAAAGAAAAGGGGGAAAAAAAAACAATTATCACCAGAGCTGGAAAGGTGGAACAACATTGAAACAATGCAATGAATAAAAAGAACACATATTTTCTGGATTAAAGTTGTATTTAATGCATTTTGTCTTTAAGTGATCCCCCACCAGAAAGTTCACTTCCTTTTTTATATTTTCTCATAAACAGCCTACTATGGTCATATTGTCATAAATATAGTTGATTTTGAAAATATTTTTAGCTTCCAAAATACCCCACATTAAACTTAAACATTTATAGAAGAAAGTATTTTAACTCATGACTTTTTCAATGTTGAGAGTATTCCTGGGCGAATGCTATTCTACTATAATTATTGCCTTGAGATAACTGGTCAATGAACATGACATCAACATAATCAGGATCTGTTTTTTTCTATAGTAGCAGATATTGTTTCCTAGTTGCAACTGAAATGACTAATGTTCACCAAATAAAAGCAGAAGGTCACACCTAAAACTGAAGCTAATGTTTGACTATGTCAGTCTGTTTCAGAGCCTTTGTTTCAGGACAGGCAATTTGTCATTTGTTTTACAAAAAGACCTATGTTATTTTTGTATACTACTATTTGACATACCACCAGAAGGTGCATATTGTACATGTATTCATGTGTAATATAACACAGTAATAATAGACCATACTGTTACTATATAACTACTACTTGCAAACTACTAATATAGTTTCAAATTAGGAGGAGAAGACTAGCATTCACACACCATTATAATGACTGTAAGTTTATGTTTGGGAACGTTCACTTTCATTTTGTTTTATTTTGTTTTATTTAATTTTATTTGACTTTATTAGAGGTGGGGTCTCATTATGTTGCCCAGGTTGGTCTCAAACTCCAAGGCTCAGGTGATCCACCTACCTCAGCTTCCCAAAGTGCTAGGACAGCACACCCAGCAAAAAGTTCACTTTCTAAATCTGTTTGAGCATAAATTTAAGAAAATTTTTTTAAACTTAATCCCCAATGTGATAGTAAAATTTAAGAAGTTTAACGAATGAAAAATACCCTTGGCTGGGCACAGTGACTCATGCCTCTAATCCCAGCACTTTGGGAGGCTAAGGCCAGTGGATCACTTGACGTTAGGAGTTCAAGACCAGCCTGGCCAGCATGGTGAAACCCTGTCTGTACTAAAAATACAAAAAAAAATTAGCTGGGCGTGGTGGTATGCACCTGTAATCCCAGGCTGAGGCACGAAAATCACTTGAACCTGGGAGGTGGAGGTTGCAGTGAGCTGAGATCGTGTCACTACATTCCACCCTGAGTAAACAGCCTTTTACACACAAATTTTAAAATGCCTTTTTTTTGTTTTTTTTTTTTTTTTGAGATGGAGTCTCACTCTGTCACCCAGGCTGGAGTGCAGTGGCACTATCTTGGCTCACTGCAATCTCTGCCTCCTGGGTTCAAGTGATTCTCCCTGTCTCAGCCTCCCAAGTAGTTGGGATTACAGGCACCAGGCCACCACGCCCGGCTAATTTTTGTATTTTTTAGTAGAGATGGGATTTCACCATGTTGGCCAGGCTGGTCTTGAACTCCTGATCTCAGGTGATCCGCTCCACTTGGCCTCCAAAAGTGCTGGGATTACAGGCGTGAGCCACCACGCCCGACCCCCACAAATTTTAAAATTTTTTAAAATTCTATCTTTTATATTTGGACTCTCTGGGTTTGGTTTGGTTTTGGATATAAAACAACTCTACTGCCAAAAAGAAGTTAAATTATAAAGTATCACCCCAAAGATAAGGCATCTTTATAAAATTACAATCACAAATTTGCCATTATCTAATTGTGATTTTGAAGTAAGCACATGATCGCCCTCCTTCTCAGTTTCTCCATCAAGAAAATGAGGCTGGCCGGGCGTGTTGGCTCACGCCTTTAATCCCAGCACTTTGGGAGGCCGAGGCAGGAGGATTGCTTGAGCCCAGGAGTTTGAGAACAACTTTAGGCAACGTGGTGAGACCTCATCTCTACAAAAAAATAAAAAATTAGCCAGGCGTGGTGGTGAGGACCTGTAGTCCCAGCAACTTGAGAGGCTGAGGTGAGAGGATCCCTTGAGCCTGAGAGGTCGAGGTAGGAGGATTGCTTGAGCCTGAGAAGTTGAGGCTGCAGTGAGCCGTGATCATGCCACTGCACCCCAGCCTGGGTGACAGAGCCCTTGTCTCAAAAAAAAAAAAAAAAGAAAAAAGAAAAGAAAAAAAAAAAAGAAAATGGGACTAATACTTTTGTATAGTATTGTTGGTATATATAGATATATAGGAATAGTATGTACAGGAAATATATATCTATAAATTCTCAGTAACTTGAATCATATTCTTAACAACACAGGAAATTTCCTATCTAAAAGAACACTATTATGAATTTTTTGCAATTAAAGATGACTTTTATAATTAAAAAGTAATCATGCATCAAACTACCAGTTCATATATTCAACTTCTGGCACATAAAGTTTTTCTAAGAATATTATGCCCGGGTTTCTCTCTTAAACCTGCTTCAGTAATTGTAATATTTTAATTTTAACATGGTATATGACACCATAATTAGTTAACAGGCAATATTTAGGGCCTACTACATTCAATGGGTAGGCACAAAGCTCCCGTGCAGGAATACAAAGTAGTGATAAAAAGAACATAATACTTACATAATTAGAAAATATAAAAGAGAACATAGTAGTAGCCATTATAACTACACATTTCACATGTACAGTGTCTTAAAGCACTTTCTCACATAAATGTAGAAGGTAATATCTGTGTAAATGCCCTTTCAGTTTGTCCATAAACATTTGGGAGTGAATCCCCTCAGGTTCTTTACATTTTAATTTTAAAAAGTATCTTGCCAGGCAGATAATTAACGACTCTAAACTGTGACTACACAGTTGTCTACAAAAAGAAGATCCTTGAAAAACATTTATTCTTGACCATCTGAAATAATAACAAAGGGCCTTGAGCATTTACTGTAGCCAGGTACTTTTTTCTTTTTTGTTTCTTTTTGTTTGTTTGCTATGAGGCAGGGTTACCCTCTGTTGCTCAGACCGGAGTGCAGTGATGCAATCACGGCTCATTGCAGCCTTAACCTCCTAGGCTGAAGCAATCCTCCCACCTCCGCCTCCTGAGTAGCTGGAGCCACCACACCTGGCTAATTTTTGTATTTTTTGTAGAGACAGGGTCTCACTATGTTGCCCAGACTGGTCTGGAACTCCTGAGCTCAAGCAAGCTTCTCACCTCAGCCTCCCAAAGTGCTGGGATTATAGGCTTCAGCCACCACGCCCAACCAGCCAGGTACTTTTTAATCCTCCCAACAATGTTAATGATAATATTATCACCATTTTATAGATGGTGAAGCTGAGGCTCAAGGAGAGAAAGTGACTTGTGTGATGGCATTTGTTTTTCAAGTAGTACAGTCAAGAGATAGGAAGCGAGGCAGTCTGGCTCCAGAGCCTGGGCGTGGAATCACTGCCTCATCACAGTCCCATGTTCTCACTTGAACATTGCGATTACGTGAATTCTAGTCCTTCAACATTTCCATTTAAGAATTTAATTCCATAGGTTTTTAAGTCTAAAAACATAGTTTGAATATGTTAACTCCTTTACAAAGAGCCAGAAATAGGCTATGGGACAGTTTGCAGAACTCTTTGAAAGCTTAGAAGAGTGGTGGGGAGAGTGCAGAGGGGAAGCGATGGGGATGGTAGAAAGTAATGATTTCCCAACAACTTTACCATGTGTCTGTACTGGAAATTCCTTCCACTCTATCAGCCAATGTCCATTTCTCACCAATCGTGGTCTTATCCTGTTAACACTGGCTATTGCTAAACCTGCTGTAAGTAAGTAAGTAGCAAAGAATGAGTATCATGGTAGAAAGAGCTTTGGCTTTGTCATCAGATTGACCTACATTTCAATTCTGTAAGTTGGGTCAAGTTATTTGATACCCTCAATCTCCTGATCTTTAAAAAGGGGCAGTATGGCCAGGCGTGAGCCACCACATAATTTCAGCACTTTGGGAGGCTGAGGTGGGCGGATCACCTGAGGTCAGGAGGTCGAGACCAGCCTGGCCAACATGGCAAAACCCTGTCTGTACTAAAGATACAAAAAAATTACCCGGGCATGGCGGCACTTGTCTATAGTCCCAGCTACTCGAGAGGCTGAGGCAGGATTCGCTTGAACCCAGGAGGCGGAGATTGCAGTGAGCTGAGATGGTGCCACTGCACTCCAACCTGGGTGACAGAGTGAGACTCCATCTCAAAAAATAAATGAATAAAAATAAGTAAATAAATAAATAATAAAAAAATTAAAAGGGGGCACTAATAGCTAACACTGATCACACCCTTACTTAGCTTCATTCTAAGCCCTTGGCTATCTCATTTATTCCTCACAGTGATGCTTTGAGATAGCGATAATTATTACTAGTCTCATTTTGCAGGTGACGATAATGAGGAATCAGGATTTTAAATAGTTAGTTTACCAATGTGTCACACAGCTACACAGCTGAAGAGCTAGGGCTCAAACCCAGGAAATCTGACTTTAGAGCAGAGGTTGGCAAATGTTTGCAGTAAAGGTCCAGACAGTAAACACTTTAGATTTCATAGGCCGTATCATCTCTGCTGCTACTTAACTCAACTCTGCCACCGTCCCCATAAATGCAGCCACAGACTATATGTAAACGAATGGCTGTGGATTATGTGCCAACAAAACTTTATTAAAACAGCCAGGGAGTCAAATGTGCAGGTCTCCAGCAGGCGTCTACCCCGTACTCTAGAGCCCACATTTAAAATTTCCACTCATAGAAATGTCATGAGAAATCAAATTACACATACGTGTTCAAAAAAATAGTTAACTATCATTAACTTGGGAGTTTTAAAACCATACATTAAGGAAACTCTTGGAGAGATTATTTCTTTCTTTTTTTAAAAAAAAAAATTTGACCTCTGAGAGCAAAGAACAAGAGAGATTATTTCTAATTCATCTCCTTCCCTGTAGGGAGGATTGCATTTAAGCTGGCTATTCTCTTTTAGCGCTGCTCTGTTCTTAGCATGTAAGTGAAATACACTCTCCAGCCACTTCTCCAGAAATACTAGACATGGGGTGGGACAGTATCCTCCTCTGAAATTCTCTCATGGTGCTAACTGCTGACAGTCAGCAGAAGGTCTCACTCATAAAGATGTTCAATAAAATGGAGTTCATCTTCATCATCTTAATCAATTATTTAACATCATTGTGTATTGCATTGGCAATAACATGGCATATGATAACATAATTAGTTCTAAGTGTAAGAGGATAAGTAGAACTTCTACTGCTGCATAATTTCCATCTGTCTCTAAATATAATTAAACAAGAAATGTGCAGATTTTCAATCCTCGGCTACATGTGATAGCTGGCTTATTCCCTGAAGTCTGTCTTGGCCCACAGTCCATCCTTGCTTGTGCACTTTACTAAGCCACTGTCTTCATTTTGGCACTCAATCAATGTTTGTTGAAGGAAGTTTTGTGACCTCCTAGGGCTGAACAATCTTATATGGTTTTTTATGTTCCCTCCCACCCATTTCTAGCACAGTGCCTTGTACAAAAATAAGTAATCTTTAAGTATTTATCGCTATTAATTATGTTATTAAGAAGGAAATGGGCCGGGTACAGTGGCTCAAGCCTGTAATCCCAGAACTTTGGGAGGCTGAGGCGGGCAGATCACAAGGTCAGGAGCTCGAGACCATCCTGGCCAACATGGTGAAACCCCGTCTCTAAAAATACAAAAATTAGCTGGGTGCAGTGGTGGGTGCCTGTAGTTCCAGCTACTCGGGAGGCTGAGGCAGGAGAACTGCTTGAACCCGGGAAGTGGAGTTTGCAGTGAGCCAAGATCAAGCCACTGCACTCCAGTCTGGGTGACAGAGTCAGACTCTGTCTTAAAAAAAAAAAAAAAAAAAAAGAAGGAAATCACAGTCCATTTAATTATTTGACAAATATTTATTGTCTTTTAAGTGTCAAGCTTTGAGGAGTTTATGATAACCAAGAAGAGACATAAATTCTGCTCTCTCAAAGTTTACATTCTAATTGTAGAAAAAAGGCTTAAAAAAAAACTGCAGTAGTGTTATGTATTATGAAAAGGCGGATGTTTATAATAGACGGTAGATTTGACCTGGCGGACGCTAGACTAAGGCTGACAAGATACAGAACTTCAGGTTTATCTCGTGCTTTTAATTCCTGAGTTTTCGGTCTCTTGTCCCCTTATAAACACTACTCAGGCCTCCTGCTTGCTTAGCAGAATACTTCATAAACAAATTTATAAAATCGTTTCTATTCCTCTGAATAAATAAAACTCCTGGTGCAAGAGCTACTCATTCTTTCACTGAGGACTCAGCCTGAACTTCCTAGTCATGGCTAAAGCTTCGTGGCTCTCCACTGTCTACCACAGAAAGTGAGAGACTTAGACCCTTCACAATCTGGTTTCATTTTCTTTTTGAGCCTCATCTTCTGCCCCATATCCACCTCCTACATTTCAGCTATTTGAGACCATTCCAGCATTTTTGCAAATGCCCACCTTTGCTCATAATGTTCCCTCTGCTCTGTCTCCTCCCTTTCCTTCTTTTTTTTTTTTTTGAGATGGAGTCTCGCTCTGTTGCCCAGGCTGGAGTGCAGTGGCATGATCTCGGCTCATTGCAGCCTCTACCTCCTGGGTTCAAGCAATTCTCCTGCCTCACCCTCCCAAGTAGCTGAGACTACAGGCACATGCCACCACACCCGGCTAATTTTTGTATTTTTAGTAGAGACAGGGTTTTGCCATGTTGGCCAGGCTGGTCTCGAACTCCTGACCTCAGGCAATCTGCCCGCCTTGGCCTCCCAAAGTGCTGGGATTACAGGCATGAGCCACTGTTCCTGGCCTCCCCTTCCTTCTTCATCTACCCTTGCCAGACTGTGAACTCCAAGGAACATGCAGTAGCCACCACTGTATCCCCAAGCATCTAGCACAGCCTCATACGCAGCCAGTGCTCAATTAGTGTTTGAATGAGCGAGGGAATGAATCAATTCATATGCAAATATTGTTTAATCATTTATTTTACCACATCATTGCCTTTTGCCTACAGACCTGTACAGATGCTGACTTTAGTACCAGTGAATTGACTGTATCCCAGAAGCCCATTTTCAGTGATTGTTCATAGTATGTCTTTAAAAAAAAACTGTAAATTTTAAGTAAGGGTTATTGCATTATTGAAGAAACCAGTAATGACATTTGAAAACAGCCCAAGTCTTAAAAACCAGATTGTCAGCAGTTCTCATGTGTCCATGTAGCAGCGGGGTCGGAATTTAAATGAGACAGTTGGATGCTTTAGACTGATTTCGGCAGTGATGTTTCTATGACCCAGGCCTGTCAAGTTTGCTGTGATGACAAGTCAATTAGACAACAGAACCATTCTTAACAAGCCTTTATGGTAGCTGTTGTTTTGTCTGAAAATTAAATTGATAGTGTTTCAACCAAATTAAATGAGTATTATTGTATCACAGAGACACTTACCTCAAACCCTTGAAAAATGTTGCACGTTTCTCAGTCTTGATAGCCTTGACTTTTTTTTTTTTTTTTTTTTTTGGTAGCTACTGCGCCTTGCCATGCTGCCCAGGCTGGTCTCGAACTCCTGGGCTCCAGCGATCCTCCCACCTCAACCTCACAAAGTGCTGGGATTACAGGCGTGAGCCACTGTGCCCGGCCAGCCTTGACTATTCGTAAGAGCCAGATCAAGACACCAGGCCCATGTTGAGGGAGGGCTGTAGAAAATAACAACTTCTTCTCTATTTAAAAAGTACCTACCATGTGTGCCAGTATATAATCATATTACACAGCTCCAAGATAGACTCCACCAGTAATTCTCGACAGAAAGCAATTTTATGCGCACCCCCTGCCCCCAGATTTGCAATGTCTGGAGACATTTCTGGTTGTCACAACATTGTGGAGGTAGGGGGCTTTTGCATCTAGTGGGTAGAGGACAGGGATGTTATGAAACATCTGAAAACACACAAGACAGCCCCTCATAACATAGAATTATCACAAATATCAATAGGGCTGAGGTTCAAAAACCCTGGGTTAGAGAACACCTATATTCCCTGAGCAGCTCAAATTCTGGGATTTTATGAAATTAGATAATATATGTGAAATAATTTTTTTTTTTCTTTTTTGAGACAGAGTCTTGTGTGTCACCCAGGCTGGAGTGCATTGGTGCGATCTTGGCTCACTGCAACCTCCGCCTCCCAGGTTCAAGCAATTCTTCTGCCTCAGCCTCCCAAATAGCTGGGACTACAGGTGCATGCCACCACGCCTGGCTAAGTTTTATATTTTTTTTTTTTCAGTAGAGACAGAGTTTCACTATGTTGGCCAGGCTGGTCTCAAACTCCTCAACTCAGGTGATCAGGCCGCCTCAGCCTCCCAAAGTGCTGGAATTATAGGCGTTAGCCACCTTGCCCAGCCTGAAAGAATTTTATAAATTGCAAAACACTGTATGAATTCAAGCTAGTGTTAAATGATAGAAGCCACTGTGGCTTCTCCTTCCTTTTCCTTTCTGGTGTCTGCCAGTCGGCCTTTCTGTTCCTTGCCAGATCCCTCAAAGGCTTAGGTCAAAGGAGCCAAGGTAAGGAGTGAAACTAGAAGTCCCTCCTACTGTTTGTTCATGGATTGGAAAAACGTTGGCCCGGGAGGCATATGTGTGCTGAATTTGTGAGTTTCATTTTTGTTGGTTTCAGCATTACCCCATCAACCTTTAGAGACAAAGTGTAAGTAATGCTTATTTAAAGGGAACAAGGCCAGGTGCGGTGGCTCACACCTATAAAACCAGCACTTTAGGAGGCCAAGGCAGGCGGATCATTTGAGGCCAGGAGTTCGAGACCAGGCTGGCCAACATGGTGAATCCTCATCTCTACTAAAAAAAGTACAAAACTTAGCTGGGCGTGGTGGTGCATGCCTGTAGTCCTAACTACTCCGGAGGCTGAGGCAGGAGAATCACTTGAACCCGGGCGGTGGAGGCTTCAGTGAGCTGAGATGGCGCCACTGCACTCCAGCCTGGGCGACAGAATGAGATTCCGTCTAAATAAATAAAGGGAACAAGATAATAGTTTCCTAACTGGTATTTGTGTGCTGCCAAACCCCTGCAGAAAATCTCCCCACTCCACCCCTTTCGGGAGGGTGGCTTCAGCCGTCTTGTAGTACACAGCAGGCCTCCCTGAGAACCCACAGCAAAAGGCCGCATTCTCAGGTGTGTGTTGATAGAAACGTCTGGGAAAATTGAGCCTCTTGGCTTTGCATCTGTTTATCATACACAAGCATTCATTGAATGATGTGCTTTGACATAACAAAATCTGTACAATCATCAACACAATTAAGACCCATTATGAATGAACGCTTTCTCAGATGAGCGAGGGGTGGGCAGAAGGCATGGCCCGGAATGTCATTATTCCCTTGTATCTTCAACCTCCCAGGATTTTACCTAAAGAAAGGAGAGTCAAGGAGAGATGTTTATGTGCCCCAAGGGCCATGCTTTTCAGTAGCAAGAGGTCCCTGCCTGTGATAGAAAAAAAGAGCCCGTGTTTCAAAGTCTTCGGCTTATTGTTTGACCTCCCAAGTAAATTCCATGTTCTGCCTCCATTTTGAGTGGAACTCCTTTTCCACTTTCAAACTCTGAGGTAATAGAAACATCCTGGTGCCAGGGGCCTGCCCGAGAGTGGGCGTGTCCTCTCCAATGTTTATTCTACTGGGTGGTGGTAACTTGGACCAAGGCAGTAAGATAAATGCTCAGGGTAAGGCCAAATCTTGGAAACCTTTTGCAGAAACTGTTTTTCTCTCTGATTTCCTACCCCACCCCCTCCTTCACCCCAAGTTTGGGGCAACATCTTCCTTTACCAAATAATCAAATAATTTTTCTGTAAACCATGAGGTTATTCTGAACTTTTGTGAGAGACTCCTCTCTAAAACACAAACTATGGCTTTTAAGTGGCATTCTTTAAAGTAATAATAATAATTGCCAAACTTTTTAAACAAATTGTGTGCCACACATTGCCAAATGTCACTTAGTCCTGGTGCTGTTACTAGAACCATCTTAGAGATGTGGAAATGGAACTAAGGTGATTTGCCTGAGGAGACACAGCTAGTAAGTGGCACAGTCATGACTTGAACTTAGATCTCTGACTCCAAAGCCTTTGCTCTTATGTGCATTGTGTGTGTTAGGTCATGCTTAAGACGTGATTATTAGGACAAAATTTTATGGTATGAATAAGGAACATCAAAATAGAAATCTAACCACAGAGATAGAATTATCTCTTGGATCAACACATTTTAAAACCCTCCACTGAATTAAATTCCAGGTAGTGATTGGAAGACACTGTACCCCACTGTATATAGCTTCAAATTGCAATTTGTCAGTTGGTCAGCAAATAAAGCTCTCCCAAGAATTCCAAATTGCATACTCATCTCAAACACACACACACACTCAAACACACACACTCACACTCACACACACACACTCTCACAGTCACACTCCAAGAGCTGTGAACCAAAGTTAACTTGTAGTCTTATTTATTTATTTATTTATTTTGAGATGGAGTCTCACTCTGTCACCCAGGCTGGAGTGCAGTGGCGCAGTCTCGGCTCACTGCAACCTCTGCCTCCCGGGTTCAAGCAATTCTCTACCTCAGCCTCCCGAGTAGCTGAGATTACAGGCACCCGCCACCATGCCTGGCTACTTGTTTTGTTTTTTTATTTTTTTATTTTTATTTTTTTGAGACGGAGTCTCTCTTTGTCACCCGGGCTGGAGTGCAGTGGCACGATCTCGGCTCACTGCAAGCTCCACCTCCCGGGTTCACGCCATTCTCCTGCCTCGGCCTCCAGAGTAACTGGGACTACAGGCGCCTGCCACCATGCCCGGCTAATTTTTTTGTATTTTTAGTAGAGATGGGGTTTCACTGTGTTAGCCAGGATGGTCTCGATCTCCTGACCTTGTGATCCACCCGCCTCAGCCTCCCAAAGTGCTGGGATTATAGGCGTGAGCCACTGCGCCTGGCCTGTTTTAAATTTTTAGTAGAGATGGGGTTTTACCATCTTGGCCAGGTTGGTCTTGAACTCCTGACCTTGTGATCCACCCGCCTCAGCCTTCCAAAGTGCTGGGATTACAGGCCTGAGCCAGTGCAGCGGACCGGTAGTCTTATTAATTCTAGAGTAAACTCATGCATGATTTTGATCCTAGGTAAACACTGGTATGTAAACATTGATAATATTTCCCAGTAGTACACTGGTATCCTTTGCCCTCTAAAATGTCCCAGTTCAAAGTTAAAATCCTAATGAAAGCTACTCTGAACAAACGCTAAAAAGAGAATTCAAATCCTTGATGATGTCTGCTTTACCTGTTTGCCTTGAAATTTTATTTTAACCCAACAAGTTCAAACTCTCCCTAAAACATAACAAAAATCCCTAGTTCAGAATAATAATAGCTTGATTTGAAGGTATATTTTTTCTGCTTGTTTTATATACAAAACTGTGAGTAAATGATTTATTTCAAATATATTGCCATGTTTATTTAATGCTAGCAGCCTTCAGTGAAGACTCATGCATTTTTAGTGTTGGGAAGAATAGCTGTGTGCTGGGAGGGTCCTACCTCAGGGGATTTGGCATCTACATAGATGGTTGGACATTTTGCATCCAATGTGGCAAGTCTCTTCATGTTCTTTCTGGGAGAGCTTCTGCAAAGTGCTTTAGCCAAGGATTAGGTGAGAAACAGGCTTACACATGGATGCATAAGCCACATCACCAGTGGAGAATCACACTGCCAGACAGCTTACCTGCTATGAAAGGAATCTGGGAGACTCTGATACACTAGTCTCCACCAGAACTCACAGGCTAGGCTTCTCTACTGACTGGTTTAAAGTTGGCTGGGATAACCTCTTGCCTGTTTTCCCATAAACACAGAATCCTACATGGGGCAAGATTCTTCCCTCCAGTTCAATTTTTTTTTTAAGTTTTATTGTCTTTTTTCCTTTTTTTTTTTTTTTTTTTTTTGAGACTGGGTCTTGCTCTGTCACCTAGGCTGGAGTACAGTGGCACAATCATAGCTCACTGCAGCCTTGACCTCCCAGGCTCAAGTGATCTTCCCACCTCAGCCTCCCAAATAGCTGGGACCACAGGTGTTACGCCACAACACCCAGCTAATTTTTTAAATTTTTGTAGAGATGGGGTCTCACTATGTTGCCCAGGCTAGTCTCAAGCTCCTGAGCTCAAGCAATTCTCCTGCCTCAGCATACCAAAGTGTTAGGATTAAAGGTATGAGTCACCACGCCCAGCCTTAAGTTCAGTTTTCTTGTGCTAACATTCCTTGATCACTTAGTGCTAGGTTCTGCACTAAGAACTTTACACAAATCATTTTACTTAATCCTCATCACAGCCCTATGATGAAAATCAGACTCCCAGGGTTCACACACCAGCTCTGATGCTCATTAACTGAGAATCTACTTAGCCTCTCTGTGCCTCAGTTTCCCTATCTGTAGGGTGGAGACCCTAGTCGTATACCATATAGACACTGTGAGGATTAGAATGAGTTAATATGCACAAGCATAGCACTCTGCCTGTCACATAATAGACATTCAGTAAACATTGGTTAATACAGTCATCATTTTAGAGATGAGAATATAGATTCTTAATGATGTTAAATGGCTTTTCTCAAGGTTCACAGCTAGAAGTAGAGGAACTAAGATTTGGACTTCAGACTGTCTGACTCTAGAGACTTGCATTTATTCAACATGCTACGAAGCCTAAACCAGAATGCCCAGTCCCTTTTAAAACTGTCACATGGTGAATGGATGAAACTGGGGAACTCTGTGTTATTTATCTAGATATTTTGATTTGCTCACAGATAAGTTTCTACTTCTGAAGTATACTTATTATTCATTCTGTCCACACTTCTGCCCCAAGCAAGAATCTCAACATTCAGGATATGGTATTTCACACTAGTCCCCAGACACCCCTGATATATTTAAAAGCAAAATTCTGATGGTATATGGGCTTTTAACTTGGGGAACTATGGCCTTATCAGAAACGAATGTTAACAATGTTGAGGTGTATGACCCTTTTGAAGCAGGCTCTGGTCAGTAACCATGAGTACAAATACCTCAATTCTCACCTATTTGGCATTTGAAGCGTAATTCAGTTAACTGAGTTCACTTAACTCAGAAGTCAGCTCCACAAGGACGAGGTCCACCATAGCTAGCACAGTATCTGGCACATAGCAGGTGGTCAATAACTATTTGCTGAATGAATGAATGAATGAATGAAAACAAACCCTCTTGTATCTCTTTTGGAATTTTAAGAAATTATTAATATATAAGTGTCAGGAGCTGAGCCAACAACCTTCATCAGATATTTTCTTCTTCCATGTCTCATAAATTTGGCCATTGGAGTTAAACGGAAAACAGCTTGGAAGAGGGGGAAAGGCAGCTAAACAACACTGTCTTTTTTTTTTTTTTTTTTTGAGACGGAGTCTCGCTCTGTCGCCCAGGCTGGAGTGCAGTGGTGTGATCTCGGCTCACTGCAAGCTCCGACTCTCGGGCTCACGCCATTCTCCTGCCTCAGCCTCCCCTGTGGCTGGGACTACAGGCGTCCACCAGCACACCCAGCTAATTTTTTCTATTTTTAGTAGAGATGGGGTTTCACCGTGTTAGCCAGGATGGTCTCAATCTCCTGACCTTGTGATCCGCCCTCCTCGGCCTCCCAAAGTGCTGGGATTACAGGCATGAGCCACCGCGCCCGGCCAAACAACACTGTTTTAAAATATGTTAGAATTTAAGGCCGGGCACAGTGGCTCACACCTGTAATCCCAGCACTTTAGGAGGCAGACAGATCACTTGAGGTCAGGAGTTCGAGACCAGCCTGGCAAACATGGTGAAACCCCATCTCTACTAAAAATACAAAAATTAACCGGACATGATGGTACGCACCTGTAATACCAGCTACTCAGGAGGCTGAGGCAGATAAATCGCTTGAATCCTGGAGGTGGAGATTGCAGTGAGCCAAGATCATACCACTGCACTCCAGCCTGGATGACAGAGTGAGACTCCATCTAAAAAAAAAAAAAACAGTTAGAATTTAAAAATTAGTCCTGAAATTAAGTTATCATTCAGCATAGGAAAACTATTATACGTAGCAAGCAGAATCTAAGAGCTTCAAGGATGCGCTCTTCCACATCTCCTAGACCAGGGGTCAACAGAGCCGGAGAGTAAATACCTTAGGCTTTATGAGCCACACTGTCTGGGTCTCAACTATTTCGCTTTGCCATTGTAGTATAAAAGCAGCCACACATTATCTTTTCTTTTTTTTTTTTTTAAGGATAGGGTTGTGTTCCAATACAATTTTATTTATAGAAACAAACAGCAGGCCATATTTGGCCCACAGCCATAGCTTGCCAATGCTAATCTAAAGCACATATAATTACAATAAGTTAAGCATTTCATTACATCTTTGAGAGAAGGGTCATGTTAGCTGTACAGTTGTCTTTTTCAAAGTAACTTGAAAATCTTTTCCTTTTCGTTATTGTTGTTGTTGTTTTTGAGACAGGTTCTCACTCTGTTGCCTAGGCTGGAGTGCAGTGGCGCAGTCACAGCTCACTGCAGCCTCAACTTCCTGAGCTCAGGTGATCCTTCCACCTCAGCCTCCCAAATAGCTGGGACTACAGGCACACACCACCATGCCCGGCTAATTTTTGTACTTTTTGTAGAGATGGGGTTTTGCCATGTTGCCCAGGCTGGTCTCGTGCTCCTGAGCTTAAGCAATCTACCTGCCTCAGCCGCCCAAAGTGCCAGAATTACAGGCGTGAGCCACTGAGCCCAGCCTCATTTATCTTTTAATATATCTAAGTGTTTGGCATCTGAATTCATTGAGTAGAGTAGCACACCATATAATTTATTTAATATGGTATATTAAACATGATGATAAGGAGAATAAAACTTGTAGGCCATAAGATTTTCTTGAATGTGTTAACCTGAGTCAGTGTACCTTTTTTTTTTTTTTTTTTTTTTTTTTTTTTTTTTTGAGAAGGAGTTTCACTCTTGTTGCCCAGGCTAGAGTGCAATGGCGCCATCTCAGCACACCACAACTTCCGCCTCCCAGGTTCAAGGGATTCTCCTGCCTTAGCATCCTGAGTAGCTGAGATTACAGGCATGTGCCACCACGCCCAGCTAATTTTGTATTTTTATTAGAGATGGGGTTTCTCCATGTTGGTCAGGCTGGTCTCGAACTCCCAACCTCAGGTGATCCGCCCACCTTAGCCTCCCAAAGTGCTGGGATTACAGGTGTAAGCCACTGTGCCCAGCCCAGTGTATCATTTTTTAATGGCCTCTAATGAAATCCTAGTTTTATCAACTCTAATTTTTGTCTTTTTTGCATCTCTGAACCTTTTCTTTTTTTTAAAGGATTTTGTTTTTACTGTGGTATATTATACATAACATTTTACCATTTTTAAGTGTATGGTTCATTGGCAGGAAGTATATTCACACTGTTGTGCTGCCATCACCACCATCCATCTCCAGACCTTTATTATCCCTAATTAAGACACCCACACCCATGAAGCACTAATTCCCCACTCCTCCCTTTCTCCAGCCCATGGTAACCACTAGTCTACTTTCTGTCTATGAATTTGACTACTCTAGGTACCTTATATAAGTGGAATCATATAATATTTATCCCTTTGTGTCTGGCTTATTTCACTATTAGCATAATGTCTTCAAGGTTCTTCCATATTGTAGCACGTATCAGAATTTTATTCAAGGCTGAATAAGCCGGGCACGGTGGCTCACACGTGTAATCCCAGTATTTTGGGAGACCGAGGCGGGCAGAGCACCTGAGGTCAGGAGTTCAAGACCAGCCTGGCCAACATGGTGAAACCCCACCTGTACTAAAAATACAAAAATTAGCTGGGCGTGGTGGTGTGCGCCTGTAGTCCCAGTTACTTGGGAGGCTGAGGTGAATTGTTTGAACCTGAGAGGTGGAGGTTGCAGTGAGCAGAGACTGCACCACTGCACGCCAGCCTGGGTGACAGAGTGAGACTCTGTCTAAAAAAAAAGCAAAAGAAAAAAGGCTGAATAATACTGCATTGTATATGTATACCACGTTCTGTTTATCATAATCCATTGATCAACATTTGGGTTGCTTCCATCTTTTGGCAACTGTAAATACTGTTGCTGTGAACATCATTATACAAGTATCTATTTGAGTCTTTTGGGTATATACCTAGAAGTGGAATTGCTGGATCAAATGGTAATTCTATGTTTAATTTTTTGAGGAACCACCATACTGTTTTTTACAGCGGCTGTACCATTTTATATTCCTACCAGCACTGCATGAGGGTTTCAATTTCTCCACGTCCTTGCCAATGCTTATTTCCTGTTTTTTGTTGTTTTTATAATAACTATCCTAATGAGTGTGAAGTAGTATCTCATTGTGGTTCTCACTTGTTGGTATGCAATACTTGTAGTTGGTGTAAGAGACACAGCAAATTTGGATATTGCATTAATCAATGTCTGGCTGTAATTAGATATATATGCATGTATGTATGCATTGATTCGTCTCCTCCAAAATTACAACATGGTTTATAAGAACATGTGAACAATAAGATAAATAATACAAACAGCTCAATTCATGTCACTGGGAAAACTGAAAAAATAGAAGAAAACTAAAAAATGAAACTATAACCCAAATTAGATGAACATGAAAGTGTGTTGTAATGTCCCCTACAGTTACTAAAATTGGAGTGAAAAAAATCAATCGTGAACTTCCTAGAGGCCAAAGTAAAAATAAAAACAGGGTCGCTAACATGGTTTGTTTATTACAGAAGATGATAGCATAGGTGAAGAAAGGCTTTTCTTGGCTCATTGATGTAAGAAATAAGCTATCGCTATTTTAAAATATGTAGAGATAATTGTGTTACTGACACCAGCAGATTTCAGACTGAAAGCAAACAGGATTTTTTCTTATATTATTGGGGTTGGAATTGGCAATGACTCCGTAGCCTGACTACTGTAAGACTGTTTTTGTAGGTAGAATAGTAGTTTCAAAGCACAGTTAGGGTGACAGGAAGGCAACTCCACCTATCTCAGCAGAGAGATAAGTTCTATTCCCTTGGACTTTAGTCAGTTAATGTTGTATACAGTACAACAGGTAAGATCTTGAATTGTCTCCTATGTATTTATATATGTACCTGGCATTTCCTGCCTAGGTCACAGATTGTAACTACATGGGTGTTTATGCAAATAGTCCTCTTAAAAATATATCCTTATCTTCCATTTGGAAGAAGGGAAAGGTCTTCATGTTCAGATTTAATGTTGAAATTTCTTGGTTGGGTGTGGTGGCTCATGCCTGTAATCCTAGCACTTTGGGAGGCTGAGGCAGGAGGATTACTTGAGCCCAGGAGTTTGAGACTAGCTGGGGTAACATAGTGAGACTCTATCTCTATTTTAATTGGGATCTTTTTTTTTTTGGTTCCTTTTTTTGTGGAGAACGAGGTCTTTCTATATTGCCCAGGCAGGTTTCAAACTCCTGGGCTCAAGTAATCCTCCCACCTCTGCCTCCCTAAGAGCTGGGATTACAGGCACAAGCCACTCTGCCTGGCCCTCCATCTCTATTTTTAAAAAAAGAAAAAAAAATGTTTTTCAACTTGAAACTACAGAAACTAATTTTCCAAGTATACTACAAAAAAATTTCATGATAACTGGAGACGTCAAACCAGCTTCCAAGCACTTGAAGAGGAAAAAAATAATAAGAATAGAAGCCACGTGTAACAGATATTTTTAAAGAACTGAAGATGTTTATCTTAAGAATTACTCTAAAATTGAAAGAATTGGTCTAAGATTTTACTCAAAAGTTTGGATGAAATTAATAACTGACATTTCTTGAGCATTTATAATATTCTAGGCACCATTCAAAATGCTGTGTATGTATTAACTCACTCCTCTAAACTTAATGAGGTTAATACTATTATTATCATTCTGATTTTATAGGTAGGGAAACTGAGGTGAGGCATGGAGCAGCTAACACTAGCAAGTATTAGAGCTGAGATTCACAAACAAACATATGCAGTCTGGCTCCAGAAGCCACATACTTACCTGCTAAACTGTACTGCCGCTTGATATTAGAGCAAATTAACCACAAAAGGACTATTTTGGCCATCTGGCAAATAAATAGCTCAGATTTATTTTGTTTCATTATAGTTTTATTTTTTCCTTCAATGATCAAATTCATTTTTATTATCCTTGAAATTTCCCTTAATATTCTTGTATACATCTCCTAGTCCTAAATTTTAAAAAATGAATGATACTCCGGGTTCTAATTAATTGATGAAACCTTATATGGCCATTAAAAATGATGTTTTTACAAAGATTTTTAAGAATACAGAGGAATGCTTATAACATAAAGTAGCACCATGTAAATTAGGCGGAAGCCAGGCTTCCCCCTCCCACCTCCTCAAGAAAACATCTAGAAAACAGATGAGAAAGTTTCATTGTGCTATCATTGGGTAGGAAAATTAGGAATAATTTCTTATGTACTTTTCTTAACTTTCTATAAATTTAACTGAATACTTTTATAGTCCAAAAAATGAAATAGATTTCATTTTTTAAAAGGCGAATTGGAGCCTTTCATTACAGAAGTATAGTCTGCAGCTCATCGTAATAATCTTATTGCATAATTTAGAATCACTTCCACAGAGCCCTTGGCCATATAAGTGAAGGCGGCACAGTTCAGACCTGCACTGTGATACGTGGCTGTTTAATTAAAATTTAAAATCCAGCTCCTCAGTCACACTAGCCCCATTCCAAGTGCTCAGTAGCCACATGTGGCAAGTGACAGCTTTTCTAGCATCATAGAAAATTCGATTGCCCAGCATTGGTTTGGAAGAAAAAACAGGGAATCTGGAGCCAGAAAACTTGGAATCAAGTCTGCCTACAAGCTGACACTTGCTGTGTGAAATGGGGCAGTTTACTCAACCTAAGCCTATTTCCCCATGACCAAATTGGGACTGAGGATAATACCATGTACCATATACAGAGGTTAAGAAAATTAAGAGAATGCAGGTGACAGTTCTCTGAAAACAATAGTGTGGTTTACCAGGTAGATGCTGCTTCCCAGTCCCCCAGCTTGAAGTCAGTCTAGCTCTTCAAGGACTGATTCCAAATCTTTGAATGCTTCACACCAAGAATTTTACCTGAATGCCACCATCAAAATCAGATTAGCTCTTATTACAGTTCCTGGACCAAGCCCGTGGCAATGTGCACATTTCATTTCTTCCTTGTAAAAAGCTTTAATACACAGCTCTCTCTATACAATGACAGCTCCTAAAAGTTTTCTTTAATAATTTAAAATCTTCACTGTATTTCCATTCCTACAATTAAAAAGACTCCCTTAAAAAAGAAAAGAAGAAAGCTGTGTTCACCAAAGAAATACATGGAGTTTGTCAAATTCCATATAACAAGGAAATCAGGTGGAGTTAACGGTGCAGGAATGAAGCAAAAGAACGTGAGGTTTTTACCAAAAATGAGAGCAGCTTCGCAAAACTTCAAAGCTGTCGGGGTACTGATGAAATGGAAGTACTTGCTCATTCTGATTTTTTTTTTTCTCTCCTAACTCACTTCTGGTTTTTGCTGCAAGACAACTTGACTATTTTAGACAAATGTAGGGCTGCTGCATTTCCAGAACGCCTCCATCCTATTTCTCATTTAAACCACCTCCCCTTCCCCGTGGCCTATTAATGCATACTTGCAAGGCTGCGAAACACAACCCAAAAGAGGCAAGATCCAGCGGTTCCCCACTCACGCTTCTTTCTGCTTCCCCAGGTTTCCGCCAGCTGTGGATGCCTTTGACATTATGACCGCAGAGGATTCCACCGCAGCCATGAGCAGTGACTCGGCCGCCGGGTCCTCCGCCAAGGTGCCCGAGGGCGTGGCGGGCGCGCCCAACGAGGCAGCACTGCTGGCGCTGATGGAGCGCACGGGCTACAGCATGGTGCAAGAGAACGGGCAGCGCAAGTACGGCGGCCCACCGCCCGGCTGGGAGGGCCCGCACCCGCAGCGTGGCTGCGAGGTCTTCGTGGGCAAGATCCCGCGCGACGTGTACGAGGACGAGCTGGTGCCCGTGTTCGAGGCCGTGGGCCGCATCTACGAGCTGCGCCTCATGATGGACTTTGACGGCAAGAACCGCGGCTACGCCTTCGTCATGTACTGCCACAAGCACGAGGCCAAGCGCGCAGTGCGTGAGCTCAACAACTACGAGATCCGCCCGGGCCGCCTGCTCGGCGTGTGCTGCAGCGTGGACAACTGCCGCCTCTTCATCGGCGGGATCCCCAAGATGAAGAAGCGCGAGGAAATCCTGGAGGAGATTGCCAAGGTCACCGAGGGCGTGCTGGACGTGATCGTCTACGCCAGCGCGGCCGACAAGATGAAGAACCGCGGCTTCGCCTTCGTGGAGTACGAGAGCCACCGCGCGGCTGCCATGGCTCGCCGCAAGCTCATGCCTGGCCGCATCCAGCTGTGGGGCCACCAGATCGCCGTGGACTGGGCCGAACCTGAGATCGACGTGGACGAGGACGTGATGGAGACCGTGAAGATCCTCTACGTGCGCAACCTCATGATCGAGACCACCGAGGACACCATCAAGAAGAGCTTCGGCCAGTTCAACCCCGGCTGCGTGGAGCGCGTCAAGAAGATCCGCGACTACGCCTTCGTGCACTTCACCAGCCGCGAGGATGCCGTGCATGCCATGAACAACCTCAACGGCACTGAGCTGGAGGGCTCGTGCCTGGAGGTCACGCTGGCCAAGCCCGTGGACAAGGAGCAGTACTCGCGCTACCAGAAGGCAGCCAGGGGCGGCGGCGCGGCTGAGGCAGCGCAGCAGCCCAGCTACGTGTACTCCTGCGACCCCTACACACTGGCCTACTACGGCTACCCCTACAACGCGCTCATTGGGCCCAACAGGGACTACTTTGTGAAAGGTTAGTGGGGGCTCTTCTCCTGGGTGGGGCCCCCAAGAACGTTGCCTCCTAGGCAGGGGGCACCAGGGATACCGTGGCTGGCATTTGCTGAGCTGGTAGGTGCTGAAGGCCCTCCCACCCCCGTTTTGGGTTTGCATTCTGGGTCTAATTCTTTCCTGGCACCGAAGGCCGTCACTTATGCAGCACTGATAGAAATACAGATCGTTCTGGGGTGAGCGGTAAAATCACAGGAATATGCAAGTGCTGGAATTCTTCCTTGCCGAGGTCCACCGGGTTAGGGGCTAGTCCACCATTCTCTTGGTGCTTACGTTAAAACCTGCTTGTGATATTAAATCTTAAGATGTTGGTGGAGTCCGTGATTTTTAATTTTGTTTTTTGTTATCACTGATTAGGATATAATGACACCCAGCATAACCTGGAAAATAAGATACATAGGTTCTGGGTCCTGTTCTCTGATTAACTGGGTCTGTGACTTTAGTTAGTCACTTTAATCTCCCCTGGCCTGTTTTCTCAAGCATGAAATGAGGAAGGTGGACCAGCAAATCCCCTTCCAAAGCTAACTTTAAAAAAAATTATTTAATAGTATATATATATGTATTATATATATATATATGTATTTTATATATATATATGTATTTTATATATATATATATGTATTTTATATATATATATATATATATTTTTTTTTTTTTTTTTTGAGACAGGGTCTCACCATGCTCCCCAGGCTGGTCTTGAACCCCTGGGCTCAAGCCATCCTCTCGCCTCAGCCTCCCAAAGTGCTGGGATTACAGGCATAAGACACCACACCTGGCCACAGTTTTTTTTTTGGCGGGGGGGAGGGGGTGGTGGGTAGTCTATGAATGTTTTTCTTTACTGAAATTGCAGATACAATCCTAGAAACTCACCCTGCAAGTTTGCCTCTTGTACTAAGAAGACATGCTTAGGATGCAAATCTAGGCTGAAATAGAATGTTGGAAGCATCTTTACCAGCCTATTAAAGAGCAAAGGTGTAGCCACCTGCAATTAAGACTGGGGCAGTTAAATGCCGAGAACCGAGGGCTGAGGTCTGCCTCCAGCACCGTCACTGTTGGTTGCTGATCATCTTTTGTGTTGTTATTACAAGCAGGCAGCATAAGAGGCCGAGGGCGAGGTGCAGCTGGCAACAGAGCCCCAGGGCCTAGGGGTTCCTACCTCGGGGGATATTCTGCTGGTCGTGGTATATATAGCCGATATCATGAAGGGAAAGGAAAGCAGCAAGAAAAAGGATATGAACTGGTGCCGAATTTGGAAATCCCTACCGTCAACCCAGTTGCCATTAAACCTGGTACAGGTCAGTATGAAGCAGATTGAGAATGCTCCCATTCAGCATAAACCCCAGCCCTTCTGTTTGAAGTGAATCCAAGCGTTTTTCAGGCTCTCACATCTGCACAGGGGTTCCTCTTCTCCTAGGCAGCTAGAGACAAGGCAAAAATAAAGTGACCCCCTGGACCTCCTTATCTAGAACTTCAGGGGATGGTGTAGCTTTGACTATGTTCAAATCAAACTTGCCTGAGTAAGGTTTTTTTTTGTTTGTTTGTTTGTTTGTTTTTTTTTTTTTTTGAGACAGAGTCTCGCTCTGTCGCCCAGGCTGGAGTGCAGTGGCATGATCTTGGCTCACTGCAAGCTCTGCCTCCTGGGTGCACACCATTCTCCTATCTCAGCCTCCAGAATAGCTGGGACTACAGGTGCCCACCACCATGCCCGGCTAATTTTTTTTTTTTTTTTTTTTGTATTTTTAGTAGAGATGGGGTTTCACCGTGTTAGCCAGGATGGTCTCGATCTCCTGACCTTATGATCCACCCGTCTCGGCCTCCCAAAGTGCTGGGATTAGAGGAGTGAGCCACTGCGCCTGGCCATGCAGTAAGGTTTTCAAAGGGCTGTCACCCATTGTTAGGTTTTGTCTCAGTCTGTGGCTAAGTAAGGAGAGTTGTAGGGGGAAGAAAGGAAGAACATGAGGCTCTCTGTATCTTCTATCAGGTAAAACCTGTCTTTTCCTTACTCAGGCCTATTTCTGCCCCGACCATCTGAAGTCGGAGGGTAGAGCTTATTGCCCCATTCTGAGAGTTGTTTGGAAGGGCAGAAAATTCCCCTTCAGGAGTAAGCAGCACCTTTTGTCCCTTGTCATGGTCTGAGCAAATAAGAATGCTTGAGGACAAGGCAGTGGTGAAAGTTTTGTTGTTGTTTGAGATGGAGTCTTGCTGTGTCACCCGGGCTGGAGTGCAGTGGCATGATCTCGGCACACTGCAACCTCCACCTCCCGGGTTAAGCGATTCTCCTGCCTCAACCTCCCGAGTAGCTGGAACTACAGGCGCGCACCACCATGCCTGGCTAATTTTTGTATATTTAGTAGAGATGGGGTTTCACCACATTGCCCAGGCTGTTCTCGAACTCCTGACCTCAAGTGAGCCACCCGCCTGAGCCTCCCAAAGTGCTGGGATTACAGGCATGAGCCACTGCACCTGGCCTTTGCTGAAAATTTTTGCAGCTAATTCCCTGGTTTCTCATTTCCAGCACTCATTTCCTCCTCTAGTTGGATCAGTAGATTGGGAGTAGGGATGCTCAAGTATTTCAAGCCAGGGACCCTGAACTTAGCCTTCACCTCCAGGCCCTACAAACCTGTTTATTAATGTCATTAGTGCCCATGACCATCTAATGTGAGGCCGGTCTTCTGATCCGAACCTGCAAAAAACATTAACTCCATTGTGTGAGTCTATCACAAACTCACGTAGCACCCTGCAGAAGCATCCAAACACATGGAAAGCTCAGTCCGTGGGTAATTGGCACGACCCTCCTCCAGACCCCTCCTGGCTTCAGCAGGAGGAAGTTGAAGAACTGTTTGGAGCCCAGCTACTCTGATTTTCTTCTGGTTGAGATTGTACACTTCTCTCCCTAGCTAAAATAGAGTCAAGGAATCTGTGCATTTGGGACATAGGTACACATTGGCCTCATAGAGTTAAAAAGCATTTCCCCAATTGAACTTTCTTTTGATGATTCTAGTAATGATTTTTTTTTTTTTTTTTTTTTTTTTGCCTGTGTAAAAATTCTGCAATTTCTGCAGTTAAGTGACTCCTTAGACTAGATTGCCTTTTAAATGTCATTGGCACTGTGGGCAAAGTAAAACTGATCCCACAGCTCTGTAACTTAATAAAATAGAGCCTGGATATGGGAGTCGTCGCTTCTACTTGTTGAGAAGGGAACTCCCTTTGGCAAGTTACGGTAGCTTAAGGTTTAACAAGAGAAAAGAACTGTTAAATAATCTTTAACTATGTAAAGTTGTGTCCTGGAGCCTGAGGTAGAAATTCCTGTGGGCTGATAGCCAGAACAATTCATTTACTTCATACAACCCCTTGTAGCTTAAACTCACAACCCTCTCTGGGCCCCATCGATTGGCGTCTATTTCTGATCATCCAGAAAATGAGAACATTGTATTTTAGGAGAGGCACCAGGGTGGTGGTGAAGTATCTGGGCACAAGACCAGTGGAAGATATGGTTGGAAAGGCAGGTAAAAGATTTGATTAAGGTTTTAGGTATATTTTATCGAATGGCTGTACCATTGTTTAGCTTACAATCATTTGTCTCTTTACCTTTGATTGAGTCTGTCCTATTTAGAATAAATGTACCTACAGTTGGAGAAAACCAGAAATAGAAAGATTCTTTGTGTACACATTTCATATTTTTGTTTGTCCTTTCAACACACACACACACACACACACACACACACACACACACCCCCGCCCCACACACACACACTCACACAAAAGGGCTGATATCTTTTCCTTTTGATCTCTTCTTACTGTACCTTGACATTCAATAGCTGCTGTTTGAATCTCTGGTTGAAATCATAATTTTGGACTTTACTTGCAGAAATTCTTTGAATTGGGAGGTCCCACTAAAAGCCAATCACTCCACATCTTCACTACTTTGCGTGGGCATGAGGAAACTGGGGAATGTGCTATTTTTTTTTACCATGTGTTTTTCCTTGAATCGGTAATGTTGAAATCTGAAATACAGGGTGGGGAGGATGTACACAGGTCTGAGTTCTCAGAATGAAACCCTCAACAGCACCTGTTTCTTAAATAGTGGTGAAAGTGAAAAAAAGGCAGTGCGGCTGGTAATGAGTGAGGTGAGTAGGAAGGAACAGGCAGGCCCAACTCTCACAGGCAGTAGGCTTCAAGCCTCTGATCTCACTTCTTCGTCTAAGCCTGTTTTCCCATAGTCAGAGGCCCTTTCTTGCTCAGTAGGACATCAAGAATAACATTCAAACTGTGATTTTTCTGTAGAAATAGTAGAAAATATTGGTGCAAAAGCCTTACTCTAGGGGTCTCTTCCACAACAGGCAGGGGGAGTTACCTGCCACCACCCATCCCTTCCTCTAGGGAGCAGGCATCTGGGTACATGGCTTGTACTGAGAGAACAATAGTGAGCATGGAGAGGCCCAGGACCTCTAAACGTGGTTTTAAAAAATATCTTAGGCTGGGCGCGGTGGCTCACACCTGTAATCCCAGCACTTTGGGAGGCCAAGGCAGTTGGATCGCTTGAGCTCAGGAGTTCAAGACCAGCCTGGGCAACGTGGCGAAACCCTGTCTCTACAACAGCAAAAACAAAAAGCTGGGCAAGGTGGCCTGTACCTGTAGTCCCAGCTACTCAGGAGGCTGAGGTGGGAGGATCTCTTGAGGCCAAGAGATTGAGGCTGCAGTGAGCCTTGATCGCACCACTGCATTCCAGCCTGGGCCACAGAGTGAGACCCTGTCTCAAAAAAAAGAAAAGTTTTTAAAAAAATAAAAATAAAAAATATCTTAGAGCAAGTGCTGGACCCCACTCAGCGACTGAAAGTGATTGACCTGTTTTTCCTTCTTGCTTCTCTTGCAGTAGCCATCCCTGCCATTGGGGCTCAGTATTCCATGTTTCCAGCAGCTCCAGCCCCTAAAATGATTGAAGATGGCAAAATCCACACAGTGGAGCACATGATCAGCCCCATTGCTGTGCAGCCAGACCCAGCCAGTGCTGCTGCCGCCGCAGCCGCGGCCGCAGCCGCCGCAGCCGCTGTCATTCCCACTGTGTCGACGCCACCACCTTTCCAGGTAGAGTTCTTATTGCAGGCATTGTCATTTGTGTGTGAAGCCTCTCTTTAACATGGATTCATTTAGTATTCAGCACTGAGAATTTACTGTGTGCCTGGCTCTCTGTTACAGCTATGGTTGGGTGACACAAAGCATTTTGAATTTGAAGCATGACAGAAAAAAAAATTTTTAATTAATTGTACTACCCTAATAATATCATTGTATTAAGGGTGGTAATCAATATGCAAAAATTATGTGTAATTTTTCACAGTGTCATAATATTGTGCATATATTTTTTTAAAATAGCACTGGATAATTTTTAGCTCATATTGTTAAAGAGCTGACACACAAAGTCCAGGGAGTGATTTCACATTTTCACATTTCAAACTGCAGCTCAATGAAGATTTTTTAAAAAAATGTTAACCCCCGTGTGTGTGTGTGTGTGTGTGTGTGTGTGTGTGTGTGTGTAAAGAGAGAGAGAGAGAGAAAGAACATCTGTATAGATACGTAAAATTTTGTGCTGGGTACAGTGGCTCATGCCTGTAATCCCAGCACATAGGGAGGCCAAGATGGGAGGATCACTTGAGGCCAGGAGTTCAGGACCAGCCTGGGCAACATGGTGAGACACTGTCTCTACAATTTTTTTTTTTTAAATTAGCCTGGCATGGTGGCATATGCCTGTAGTCCCAGCTACTGGGGAGGCTGAGGCAGGAGGACCACTTGACCAGCCTTGAGGTCAAGGCTGCAGTGATCTGTGATTGCACTACTGCACTCCAGCCTGGGCAACAGAGTGAGACCCTGTCTCAAAAATAAATTTACAAAATATGCCCATAATCCTCTCTTCCAACCATATCTCCCACTGTTCCCCTATCTCTTCCCAAACTCATCTTACCATGTTGGCCTCCTTCCCCACCTTTTTCATAGTGTATCCTGGTTTCTTTATTCTCATCTCTTCCATAGAATCTTTCCCATCCACCTCCTAGATAAATTTTCTCTCTCTTTTTTTTTTTTTTTTAGACGGAGTCTCGCTCTGTCGCCCAGGCTGGAGCGCAGTGGCGCCATCTCGGCTCACTGCAAGCTCCGCCTCCCAGGTTCACGCCATTCTCCTGCCTCAGCCTCCCGAGTAGCTGGGACTACAGGCGCACGCCACCATGCCCGGCTAATTTTTTGTATTTTTAGTAGAGACGGGGTTTCACCGTGTCAGCCAGGATAGTCTCAATCTCCTGACCTCGTGATCCGCCCACCTTGGCCTCCCAAAGTGCTGGGATTACAGGCGTGAGCCACCGCGCCCGGCCATGAAATTTTCTCTCTTGTACTCCTGATTACTACATCATTACTTGGCCTATGGCTGCCAGTGTGTTCTATCTCCCAAGGAAAATGAAGCTCCTACAGACCAAAGACTGTGTCCTGTTTCTTTGTATCTTCACCTTATAGGACATAGGGAGGACATCCATTTAACAGAAGAAAATCTTGTTAAAGCTGTTTTCTGTGAGGCAGTGAATCATGAATACCGATCACAAGTACTCAGGCCCAGGATCCCTTATCCAATTGAAAAAGAATTATCCAGGCCACTTTTTTTGATTTTTGATTTTTGATTTTTTTGAGACAGTCTCACTCTGTCACCCAGGCTGGAGTGCATGGCTCACTGCAACCTCAACCTCCCTGGTTCAAGCAATCCTCCCACCTCAGCCTCCCAAGTAGTTGGGACCACAAACACGCACCACCATGCCCGGCTAACTTTTTTATTTGTAGGGACAAAGTCTTGCTATGTTGCCCAAGCTGGTATTGAACTCCTGGGCTCAAGCGATCCTCCCACCTCAAGCTCCCCAAGTGCTGGGATTACAGGCATGAGCCGTTGCCTACATTTTTTAAAAAACAGAGATTCTTAGACTCTAATCCCTGAAGATTCCAATTCGGTCAAACTGGGCTGGAGTCCTAGAATTGATATTTTGCACAGCTCCTCAATGATTCTGAAACAGAGCCAGGCCTGTGACCCTCCACAGTAGGATGCTGTTTACTTGCTTTTGCCCACTCTGAACACTAGTCTTGACTGCATTATTCAGAAAGGGCAGACTAATTGAAGCTTATTTATCTTTCAGTATGTCATTAAGTATTCTTTAACTTGGGATCTCTGAAAGACAAAAAGAGGAATTGGTTGTAAATGACACTGTAGAATAACAACTAAGTATAGTTATAATACTTGTGGACTGACGGTAAATATTTACTATAGCGTAGCAGCAGTACTTAGTGGAATTCTGATAATAATTTCTAATTCTCCTTTAGTAAGAAATTCATGAACACTTGTCTTTCATGTGCACTGTGAGTTCTGGTCAGGTCCAAATTCCAGGCACCATAATCATGTCCTGACTATTTCTGTCTCCTATCAGTCCGCACTGGCTGTTGCCATCAGGGTTTTTTTTTTGTTTGTTTTTGTCTTTTTTTGTTTGTTTGTTTGTTTGTTTGTTTGTTTGTTTTTTGCGACGGTGTCTCGCTCTGTCGCCCAGGCTGGAGTGTAGTGGCGTGATCTCGGCTTACTGCAACCTCCGCCTCCCAGGTTCAGGCGATTCTCCGGCCTCAGCCTCCTGAGTAGCTAGGACTACAGGCACGTGCCACCATGCCTGGCTAATTTTTTGTATTTTTTTAGTGGAGACGGGGTTTCACCTGTTAGCCAGGATGGTCTTGATCTCCTGACTTCATGATCCGCCCTCCTCAGCCTCCCAAAGTGCTGGGATTACAGGCGTGAGCCACCGCGCCCGGCCACCATCAGGGTTCTTATTTGCAGTCTTTGCTTATCCTCCCCTACCTTCGATCATCCTCCCCTACCTTGTAGGCGCTCAGGGGTGTTCCTATTTAGCCAATTTAACAACACCTCTTGGTATAGTTAGAGCAAGGATAACTGCTCCTCCTTGACAGGAGGGAAGACTGCAGGGACTCTTCACCTGAATTAGAGGCACTTTTTTTTTTTTTTTTTTTTTTTTTTTTTGAGATGGAGTCTCACTTTGTCACCCAAGCTGGAGTGCAGTGGCGGGATCTCAGCTCACTGCAACTTCCGCTTCCAGGGTTCAAGCGATTCTCCTGCTAGAGGCACTTTTTAGGGATGGGTAAATGTTTCTCCCACTACCATCATTGCATTTTTCTTTATTCCTGCTCTTTGATGATGCTGTATTAATGCAATTGTATACTGGTCCCCCCTTATCCTTGGGGGATACATTCCAAGACCCCCAGTGGATGCCTGAAACACAGATATTACCAAACTAATAATATACTATGAACGAATTTTTTTTTCCTTCTTCACAATTTCACAGATAGAAAATTTCTTTCTTACTGTAGTTCTTAGCAACCTCAGCATAGGATTTTTTTTCTTTCCTTATTAAGTAGAGAACTTTCCCCTTTTCATTTACAGGAAGGCCTTTAGTGCTCCTCGTTGGCATATCCAAATTGCCAGCATTACTACTCTTGCACTTTGGGGCTGATATTAAGTAAAATAAGGGTTCCTTGACGGTCAATCTGATAACCCAGATGGCTATTAAGTGACATGGGCATGGAGCACAGACAGTGTCGTTTTCCTGGACAAAGGGATGATTGGTGTCCCGGGCAGGATGGAGAGGGATGACATGAGATTTCATGGAGCTACTCAGAAGGGTGCACAATTTAAAACTTATGAGTTATTCATTTCTGAAATTTTCAGTTTAATATTTTCAGACTTCAGTTGACCGCGGGTAACTGAAACCATGGAAAGCAAAACCAAGTGCTTCCCCATATATTCTCATTTTACAGATAAGAAAATTAAGGCCCAGCAAGGAGACAGAATTGCTGGCCGGGAGTAGAATTGGGATTGGGAGATCAGATGCCTGATCTCTGCATGCTTTGTCCTTATAGTGTGGTGAATGCTATCATAAAAGGGACATCACATGAATGAAAAGAGAAGCCATGGGTTTGGGGACCTACTCTTGATTCCAGGCCGTAAGCCAGTGCATGTCTATGTGCAAAACTTGGTGTTGGAGTGGGCAGCCTGAACCCAGGTGTTGGGCCGTCCTGTAGCACATGGAAAGGTCTCTCTCACATGTTGCCTTCCCTGCCATTTCCTCTCCCTTTTTGCACTGGTTATTAAACCTACGTCCACACATGTGGAAAAGGTGACTTGTGTCTTGCTGTGAACCACAGTCTTTCCAGTTCTGGAGCTCCTCTCCCTGGTTGTAAAATGTCACTGATGAGACACTCATTGTTTAGGGTTGTAAGAAGCAAGTTAACGTAAGGCTAAAAGTGCAGGCTCCAGAGTCACACATTGCATTGCTTAAAAGCTGTGTCACTTTGTGCAGGTCATTTAACACTTCCACACAACTCCATATAATCATAGTACCAACTCTACTGGTGGCTGTGATGATTCAATACTGTCATACAAATAAGGCACTTAGAATAGTGCCTGAGTTTGGGGGTTTGTTTTGTTTTGTTTTGTTTTGTTTTGTTTTGTTTTGTTTGAGACAAGGTCTCACTTCCATTGCCCAGGCTGGAGTGCAGTGGTATGATCCCAGCTCACTGCAGCTTTGAATTCCCAGGCTCAGGTGATCCTTGCACCTCAGCCTCTTGAGTAGCTGGAACTACAGGAGTACGCACCGCCATGGCTGGCTAAGTTTTGTATCTTTTGCAGAGACAAGGTTTCGCCATGTTGCCCAGGCTGGTCTCGAACTCCTGGCCTCAAGCCATCCTCCTACCTCAACCTCCCAAAGTGCTAGGATTACAGGCATGAGCCACCTCACCCAGCCTCTGAGTTATTAATTGTTATAATTATCATTATAATTATAAATTAAAATTATTATAAATTATAATTACTATTTGATTATAGTTTTAAAAAGTAATCTTAGGCTAGAAGTTCCTAAGTTCCTTTGAGCACAATTTTGGAACTCTGATTTGCAAATTTTGTAACAGAAATTAGAGCTAATTCCTTTATAAAAATCCAGGAAGAAATAATTATTTTAATTCACCATTTCACATATGCTGAATTGTTTATTTTGAAGATGTATTAACATATAGGGAGACCATACCAGCATTTACTACCAGGCATTCTATGGCTCATGAGGTGCACCAAATATTTTGTTAAATGAATGTTTTATTTTATTCAGAATCTCTTTTCAATGAAGCATCTCACAGAACTAGTTCCATGGCAAACACTTTGGGAAATACTGAACCACAGTCTTCCCATTCATACTCCTGTTTGTTCTGAAAACATCTTATGTTGCACTTTCAAGTAGACAGAAGGAAGTAGCAGGGGCTTTTCTAGAGCCAGTGGTGGCCGTCAACAGTTCAGGCAACTTTACTTAGCTTGTCCTTGCCCACTTCTTCCTCATTTGGAAACTGCTCTTTATCCTTCAAAACTCAGCTCGAATATCCCCGCTGCTGAGACATTTTCTCCAACTTCCCCATTAGTTGGTTCTTTCTCTAAGCTTCTACAACAATTTGTATACATTAATGGTGTCATCTCTTAGGTGGGAGGTGATGGAAACCATCACATTGGCTGAAAATTGTGTATGGTCACAATTTTTTAAGGTCACAGCTTAAGAAGCTGTCCCTTTGGAGATCAGTATATTTGGTTTCTCTAAGTTGACACAGTCTGTTCCTCTCTCTGTCTCTGAGACAGATCATATTCCATCAGTTAAGTATGAGTTGAGGCAGCTGGCATGTATCTAGAGGCCATGTTTAAGGAAAAACACTGATTTTTAATTACTGTGAAATCAATTGTGTGGATGGTAGATTCTCCGCTGCCTTCTCTAGCTCACTCTGGGGCATAGACTGATTGAGTGGAATGGTAAGTAGAAGATTCCGGAATACAGTACAGAGAAGGTCCTCCTTATCCGCAGTTTCTGCATCTGGATTCAACCAACCGTGGCTTGAATAAAGACAATAAAAAATAACAATACAACAATAAAAAAATACAAATGTCAAAATACGATATAACAACTATTTACATAACATTTGCATCATATTAGGTATTATAAGTGATCTAGAGATTATTTTTAAAGTGTATGGGTCCCAAGACTTTGGGAGGCTGAGACAGGAGGATTGCTTGAGGCCAGGAGTTCAAGACCAGCCCTGGGCAACATAGTGAGACCTTGTCTCTATGAAAAAAAATTTTTTTACAGTATACAGGAGGATGTGCATAGGTTAAATGCAAATACGCCATTTTCTCTCAGGGACTCGAGCATCTGAGGATTTTGGTATCCACGGAGGTCCTAGAGCCAATCACCTGTGAGGATACTGAGGGGCAACTGTATTTCACCTTTCCCTCAGCCTTCCAGGCCTCTCACTTTCACAAGGTGGCATCACTGAGTTTGAGGATGCAGCTCCACCTTACCTCTTCAGTGGCTCTTCTCCCACTTGCTTACAATAATTGCTGTTTGCCCGCCCCTCTGCCTTTCTCTCCCTTGCTTTTGTGTCTTTGTATTCCCGTCTTCTGGGAGAGGCTTGTTGAATGAATGGATGATAGGTACATACACGTGTTCAGGAAGGCTCCTTTTTGTCTCTTCTCCTCAGGGCCGCCCAATAACTCCAGTATACACGGTGGCTCCAAACGTTCAGAGAATTCCTACTGCCGGGATCTACGGGGCCAGTTACGTGCCATTTGCTGCTCCAGCTACAGCCACGATCGCCACACTACAGAAGAACGCGGCAGCCGCGGCCGCCATGTATGGAGGATACGCAGGCTACATACCTCAGGCCTTCCCTGCTGCTGCCATTCAGGTCCCCATCCCCGACGTCTACCAGACATACTGAGGCTGGTGACCAGCACGAAGACAGACCACACAAACACCACTGAAGGAACGCTTGACTATTTATGAAGAAGGAACATGTTGGATTCACACATGCAACCTGAAAGTGAAGAATGTTAGCAGATTTATTTCTGAATTATTTTATATACATGAAGTTTTCACTAGTTTTTTAAGACTATTTTCAACTTAGCATGCCTACGTTCATACATTTCCAAAAGACTTGCAATGGTTCGTGCCTTCATTCCATCTTTTAAAAATTTGTATGCTGTACTACATTTGTATAGAGGTTTTTGTTGTTGTTTTTTTAAGGATATATTTTCAGTATGAAGGTTATTTTCTTAACTTCTGCACTCCAGAGATTTCTATTTTGTAGTACCTTCAATAATATATCAACTATATATTAAAAAAGCACACTTGAGGAGCTAGGGAACTATTTTGAAAAATATATACAATATTTAAAGATACAAACAGTAGTGCTTAAAAATACTACATAAAGCATTATTTTAAAGGTTATACTGGAAAGTGCAATTTTAAAATGAGTAAAACCTCTGTATTTCTGCTGGCATTAAGGGTTGATGGTGTTACCATGTATCATCATGGCGGTACTATTTTTTAAAAGAAATTAAACACTGGATCTCTCCTTAAGCCAACATTGAAAAGACTTGCCGCACTTCTGAGTCCAAACACTGGAAAGCTCTCCTTTGCCACCGTTAGCCGGGGCTCATTCTCCATGTGCCTTAGCCTTAAACATGCCCCCACTCCCACATCTCTCACCCTGTCCCCTCCTCCCCAGATTCCCAATCCCACCGCAATGTTTGGCAAGCCTAGGACTGATAAGTAGCTCTGATAGAGGAGCTGGTGGCTTTTATACTTCTTCCTGGGTTTTTGTTGGGGTTTGTTGTTTCGTTGTTTTTTGTTTTTTTTTTTGTTTGGTTGGGGAAGTATTGTCTTCTACGTGTGCTATTTTCAGTAGCAGAGTAAGCACAAGGTTTTAATCGAGTTGCATAAGACACCTTTGCATAGCTATTTAATTGCCCAATGTAAAACTTTAATGCCATTTCTAATGCTTTTATTCATTTTTGAAGTATGAGTTTGTAGGGACAAAGAATGTATGTTATCGTAGACAAGACCCCCAGAGACTCTTTTCAGCAGAAAGTTATGCTTCTAGTTGCCTTACCATGTTTCTTGCAAAACTGTCCATGGTCCTCAAGGGTGTTGGAAACATTATGTTTATTAAATGGGCCTCTCTTCCTTTGCTGTGCACTTGATGGGTGAACTGGATTGGGGTGTGCACATCCAGGAGGAGGAGGAGAGACCTGTAGAAGTTTAAAGATAGTTTGTAAATATCTTCTAATGCTTGTTTTTAGTCCTTTTATGTTGGAGAAGTTCATGGTATGTAGTTTAATGCAAAATGAAACCATTTTATTTCAATGTTATTAAAAAGGTTTGTTTTATTAGGAAGTTAATGTATTGTTGCAGTGTTTTGTGCCTGTTTAAAGGCTTTTGTTTAGCAGAGTGAATGTAAAATACAGTAAAATGTTAAGATTGTCATCTACTTTTTAAAAAAAAATATCAACTTGGAATTGTTTTTTAAAGGCTCAATCAAGGAAGTGAGGTGTGCAATAAGGTAGCAAGTAAAACGCAGTTGCGTTTTTATGTCATGTTAGAGATCCATACAATTTTCCACTCACGGGATTTTTGTTGATGGCTGAATTCTTGTGGATTCATAAGAGGATCATGCCCTTAGCAAGTACTTTTGTTTTGTTTTAAATTAAGAGATTCCCAAATGCCTTTTTCCCCCTCATCTTGAAATGAGATGAGTTTTTATGTGTAAGCAATATTTATTTAACTATTCTATAAAATTATTGAGTGCCTACTGAGGCCTTTAAGCACCGCTAACATTCCTTTCCATCATTCTTTTAAATGACATAAAATAATTGTGCAATGTTCCTGATGATGTACCCCACAAGCTGCATTCAAACTCAAATCTGTGGGAATGAGTGACTCGACAAAATGTAATTCGGATCAGATCCTCATCCCCTGACTGTGTGAAAAAAGTACTCTCCTTCTAGTGAAGGATTGTCACAGAGTTTCACTGGATGAAACTATGACCCAGTATTCTTACTGTATTTTACATATGCCTGTAAATTATTTGCAAAAAAGAAGAAGAAGAGGAAGAAAGAAAAGAAAGAAAAGAAAGAAAGAAAGAAAGAAAGAAAGAAAGAAAGAAAGAAAGAAAGAAAGAAAGAAAGAAAAAGAAAGAAAGAATAAAAAAAAATGATAACATGGCAACCACCAAACTCCCTTAAAAACAAACATTGGTGACATGGCCAATTAAGTATCAGTGAGCCTCCTATCTGGGACTTATCTGTTCCTATTGTTTCAAAACCATTTCATGTACACTACTGAGGTAAGTTTATAACTTGAAATGTGAACTTTTTTTTTTTTTAGTGTTAAGAACAAACTATATAAATGTAAAAAAAAAGTTTTAGAGTTCTGTTTTCAAACATTGCTAGTGGTTTAGTTAACTTTAGCTGCTTTATATTTGAAAAGCTTTTATTTAGATCTTGCTCCATTTACAGTACATTCTTAGGATGTATGTAGTAAATAAAGCTTTCTTTAAAGCAATCGCAAGACCTTATTTTAAATTGTGTTTTCTTTATACTGATTTATTTTTTCTAAAAAAATTAGGAAAACCCTTACAGCATAGAAAGGATTGGCTAATTCGATATTTTCCGTTGGAGAAATCAGCAAGTTAACGGTCATGTGTTTGTCTTGGGACTACCATTGAAGATGGGTTACATCGGCCAGGTGCGGTGGCTCACTCCTCTAATCCCAGCGCTTTGGGAGGCCAAGGCGGACAGATCACCTGAGGTCAGGAGTTCGAGACCATCTGGCCAACATGGTGAAACCTCATCTCTACTAAAAATACAAACAAAATTAGCCAGGCATAGTGGTGGGTGCCTGTAGTCCCAGCTACGTGGGAGGCTGAGGTAGGAGAATTCCTTGAACCCAGGAGGCGGAGGTTACAGTGAGTCGAGATCATGCCTTTGCACTCCAGCCTGGGCAACAACAGCAAAACTCCATCTTAAAAAAAAAAAAGATGGGTTACATAGCTGAATTGTGAATTATGAGTATCCTCAAACTTTGGCTCAAGTGGTAGGAGATTGAACACTCAAATAATACTCAAATCTGGATTGGAATAGGATGTGACAAAGCCTGTCACCACCCTCAGTGCCAAAGTTTATTTATAATCCCAAAGGCTTTACACGCAGAATTTTAAATGGAGAGAGTTGATGTACATTGAGTTTTCTGATGGTCTCATGAAAGTGCTGGGATGACCTTGATGTTGGTCATTGCATTTGAAACCAAAACCTTCTCGTTTCTCCTTTTCACCGTGCATAGCAAGGTTAACAGGACACTTTCCTTTTCTCTAGAGATCATCACTAACTTCAGACAGTATCTATCATCAAAGCCAATCAGATGACAGGAGGGAAGGTGGTGGATTGTCAATAGAATAAAGTTCCACTTGGATTTGCCAGTGATTAAGAATTTTACCTTCTTAGATTTGAACCTGGACTGTGGCCTCCCAACCTGCATTTCTTGGAATTCTAACTTCCTGCTTCCTCTTAAATGGATAAAGGCCTTTTTAGAGGCTGAACAGACTGGGAAACTTCCCAAGATGACAGCTTATTAGGCAGTGTTTTTAGGAGCAACAAGAGCTGCTGATCTTCTTGTTCTAGCAAATAAGTACAAAAGGTCTTCAAGTTGCAGGATCACATTCAGGTTAGACTGATCTCTTTAGAAAAAGAATTAACAATCAAAATGAGGAGGCCAATAGCGTGTCACATGAGGAGAATGACTATGATCATGTGATTCACTGGGCTGTTAGGCTTCCATAACCTCAGATGGACCTGTCAAGAACTCAGCGAAACAGGCAGGACAGATAAAGATATGTGACTGGTCAAGATCACACAGCTGGTAATAGGACTCAAATCTATACTCAAGGCCAAGCGCAGTGGCTGCCGCCTGTAATCCCAGCATTTTAAGAGGCCAAGGCAGGTGGATCACTTGAGGTCAGGAGTTCAAGACCAACATGGTGAAACCCCATCTCTACCAAAAATATAAAAATTAGCTGGGCATGGTGGTGGCACCTGTAGTCCCAGCTACTCAGGAGGCTGAGGCAGGAGAATCAGTTGAACCCAGGAGGGCAGTGGTTGCAGTGAGCCAATATCATGCCACTGCACTCCAGCCTGGGTGACAGAGTGAGACCTTGTCTTAAAAAAAAAAAAAAAAAAAAAAAAAAGTCTACACTCAAGACTCCTTGTCCCAGGTTCTAAATGCCCCATTTTTTTGATTCCAAAAATGTCTGTCATGACAACATGCAAAGAACTTAATTGAAAGAAGAGTTAGAAAACATAACCTGATTTTTCTTGTATATTCAATTTTTATATGATTTCTTTATTATAAAGCCTTCTGGGCACTGAGGCTTTGTATTTGAGTTTTTTGTTTTGTTTTGTTTGGATTTGATTTTTATTTTATTTTTTTTTTTGAGACGGAGTCTGGCTCTGTAGCCCAGGCTGGAGTGCAGTGGCGCGATCTCAGCTCACTGCAAGCTCCGCCTCCTGGGTTCACACCATTCTCCTGCCTCAGCCTCCGGAGTAGCTGGGACTACAAGTGCCCGTCACCACGTCCGGCTAACTTTTTCTATTTTTAGTAGGGACGGGGTTTCTCCATGTTAGCAAAGATGGTCTCGATCTCCTGACCTCGTGATCTGCCCACCTCAGCCTCCCAAAGTGCTGGGATTACAGGCGTGAGCCACCGCGCCCGGCCTTGGATTTGATTTTTTAAGTCATAGGAAGTGTGACATTTTGGCATGGCTGTTTAGATGAAATAACGTTTTGACACCATGACCCTAAAAACAAAATCCATCTTCAGCTACTGGGTAGGATGATACAGATGTTCTGACCTTATCCTACCTTTTCCTTGACACATTCACCATTTCTGAACCCCCAAGGTCAAAGGGAGGATTAGGTTTAAATATAGAAAGAGACTCAGGGGACATCCACAAAATGTTTTACATCAATTCCAAGGTCTAAGCTATTGGACTGGGTACAGCCTTTTCTCCTGTCTCCTCTTTTCACTTACTAGTACCCAGCATTCCTGTTTCTAACTCTTCATGCCAATAAATTTAGGGGACAAATGTGATTACCCAAATGCTAACCTGTATGAGCAAGTGCCATGGCCTACTAAAATAGGCTGGGTTTGTGGTCAGAATGCCTAGGGGTGAAACCCCAGCTTTGCTACTTGCAAGTCATGAGACTTTGAAGAAGATGCCTTACCTCTCAGTACCAGTTTCTTAACTGGTAAAATAGGGATAATAATCCTGACCTCATAAGGTTATTATAAAAATGAGATGAGTTGGCCAGGCGTGGTGGCTCACGCCTGTAATCCTAGCACTTTGGGAGGCTGAGGCTGGTGGATCATTTGAGGTCAGGAATTCAAAACCAGCTTGGCCATCATGGTGAAACCCCGTCTCTACTAAAAATACAAAAAATTAGCTGGGCATGGTGGTGTGAGCCTGTAATCCCAGCTACTCAGGAGGCTGGGGCAGGAGAATCACTTGAACCCAGGAGGCAGGGGTTGCTGTGAGCTGAGATCGTGCCACCGCACTCCAGCCTGGGTGACAGAAGGAGACTCCATCTCAAAAAAAAAAAAAAAAAATGAGACGAGTTATAGACAGTTATTTCCTTTCCCATCTCCTTTTTAAACTCTAGTGTGACTGCATTCCTCTTTGTTAATTCTATCAAGCCTTTCCATTTTAAATCCTTTTATGATTTTTTTAACTCTTTCATTCACTGAAATTTTTTATTCTTTTATTCACCTGTTTATTCCATAAACATTCATTGCTGGAGTACCAACTATGCAGGATTCACCAGAGAAATAAATCAACAAAATTGACCCTCTGCCTTCTGGAAACTCCCAGGCATGATAAGACTGTTTTATGGAAGGGGCACACACCCAGGCTCGAGCCAGAGATCTACAAGATGAATAGGAGTTAGGCAGATGAGTAGGGGGAAAAGGGATCGGGAAATGCCTGGGCCCGGAGGAAAGAACACGGTATCATCAAGTCCATGAAATCAGTTCAGGGTGGCTGCCTTAAAGGAGGAGAAAGTGTGAAGAAATCCAACCTTTGCACTGTTCAACATTAAATAGGGTTCATGGCCCTGTGTTAACTGTGGGAGGAAGAGATTTGGTCCCTATGACAAGGAAGCTAGGGGAGCCAGTAATCACAGAGAAAGAACCCTCAATCATTCATTCCTTCTTAGGACTTTCAGGAAATGGTGGAGCCCTGCGTTTATCTACACTGCTGAAGCTAGAGCTGCCCCTAGTGAAAAACTCCCTTCCTGCTGCCTTCCTGGCCCCAGGGGGGGATGCCTCCCAACTCTGAGCTTGTCCAGGAGTTTATAGCAGCAATCAAAGCTTTTAGGGCTGCCCACCTGTTTCTTGTGCAGGTCCAGGTTCCAGCCTCTGGGACCTTCACCCTTTCCTCTTGGGTCATACAGCAGCTGCATGTGGGTGTCCCCACTGTTCCTACGTAAACCCCCCATGGGACAGGAATGCAGGCTTCTCAGCAAAGGTGATGGAGGCCTATAGTCCTCCAGATGACTGAGGGTGGATGATATGGTTTGGCTGTGTCCCCACCCAAATCTCGTCTTGAATTGTAGCTCCCATAATCCCTATGTGTCATGGGAGGGACCTGGTGGGAGGTAATTGAATCATGGGGGCAGGTTTTTCCCGTGCTGTTCTCACAATAGTAAGTCTCATGAGATCTGATGGTTTTATAAAAGGCAGTTCCCCTGCACATGCTGCCCTGCCTGCTGCCATGTAAGACATGCCTTTGCTCCTCCTTCACCTTCTGCCATGATTGTGAGGCCTCCCTGGCCATATGGAGCTGTGAGTCCATTGAATCTCTTTCCTTTATAAATTACCCAGTCACGCATATGTCTCTATTAGTAGCATGAGAATGGACTAATACAGTGGAGGAGAATCCTAAGTAAAATCTTCAGAGACACATTGGCTTCCCCAACAGGATCATATTTCCTTGAAACTCCATTCTGCACAGTTACCAGAAACAAAAGCAACACTAATCCCTGCATATGCAAGAAATATGACCTTTCCTAGGCTAATTTTTAGCCACCCTTCTTTCTTGGCTCGTTCTACTTTGTTTGTCAAAAATCTTCATTAATGATTAACCAACCATGAGGTTTAAATAACCTTAGTCATTCTAAGGCAGCTAAGAGATGTCACTGAAGCCCAGTTTTTTCTGAGATGACCTTGCTGGGGGTGTGCTGGGTCAAAACATTTGCACTTAATGGTATTGTGATAACACTGGGCCATGCCAGTTTGGTTTTGCTGGGATTTTTCCGCTCCTTTTTCACGACCTTTATTCCAAACTGACAGCACCATGAGATAGTTTTACTTCCGTCGACCTCACCACCCTCACACCTCCACCCCCATTCAAATTTGGCCATTTGACCCTTTCTCAATCTTATATAGAGTACTATGCAGACTCAGCTTCCCAATAAACCCCTAATGTCCCCTTTCCAAATAAGACACTCCCCTAAGGAGAGAAATTCTGGAAATGCAACTGATTCTAAATGTGCTCTAGCATTTATAGAGGGAATCTCTTGTGCATAAGAGACAACAGCCAAAATAATCTACTTAGAAATTACCCAACGCTTTAGTGCAAACAGCCGTGCCACTGAGTGCTCAGTCAAGCCTGCCTTCGGCGAGCATGTCTTTTTTTGGTTCCTCATTTTCCTTGTGTTTGGGAATAATGTTAAAGTCTTAGATGATGATCATTCAGCAGGAGATAAGAATAATGGCTGACAGTAACTTACCATATATGCCAATGGTCAAGTACTTTACGTGGATATTTTTTAAACTTTTTATTAAAAGAGTAACATAGATACAGTAGTGTACATACCATAGAGAGCTTGATGAATTTTCACAAACTGAGCACATCCATGTAACCAACATCCAGAGGAGTAACATGACCAGCATTCCAGAAGGTTTTGCATGGCCCTTTCCAGTGACCACCTCAACAAGGGAAACAGTCAAATCTACAGCATAGATTAGTTTTGCATGCATCATGTTTTCACACTTGAGCTTGCTACTCTTAATACCCCCATTTTACAGATAAAAAGCAAGGAGGCAGAAGGAGGTTTCATAACTTCTCCCGAGACCACGTCGCTGGTAAGTGAAACAGTGTAGATCTGAACCTGGAATATCTAACTCTAGAGCTGGGGCTGGGGTTGGAGGGATTATAGATCACCCATTTTGTAAGGATGTAGAGTCATTTGTTTGTTCTAGAAGTCACACCGATCTCCTAATAGAGTCACTTTATCTTAAAGGACATTGGAGCAAGTGGAAAGGAAAGTTTAAAAATTACACACATTGCAGAATATAGATGCAAAACTTTCTGGAGTCTGAAGGTCTTATAGGGTCACCTTTCTACATTTTTTTTTCCTGGTGGCCTCCAAGCCTCTTACATTCTAGCATGTCTTTTATCAAATGTTGCTCTCAGAAAGGGAAGAAATAAACAAATTCATTCCCAAGGAGGTGAGTTATGTGGGGCTTTTTGTCTTTTGTTTGTTTGTTTTGAGACAGGGTCTTGCTCTGTCACCCGGGCTGGAGTGCAGTGGCGCAATCCCTGCTCACTGCAGCCTCGATTTCCCAGGCTCAGGTGATCTTTCCACCTCAGCCTCCTGAGTAGCTGGCACTACAGGCATGTGCCACCACATCCAGCTAATTTTTTGTATTTTTTGTAGAGATGGGGTTTCGCCATGTTGCTCAAGATGGTCTCGAATTCCTGTGCTCAAGCGATCCTCCCATCTCATCCTACCAAAGTGCTGGGATTACAGGCATGAGACACTGTGCCTGGCCTCCTGAGTTATGTGGTTTTCATTGAACAAATCCCTTGTCAACGAAGCTAAGGAAGAAAGCCCTAACTTTGGAAGTTAAGGCCATAGCCAGTCAAATAAAGAGAATAACTTCAAGAGTCAGGAGGTTCTCCACCAGCTCCAGGACACTGTACCACAAAAGCAGCCCAATCTAGGGAGGCTAGCCCAAGCCTTCTGAGTTGCCGAGGGGCCAAATAATTAGACCCTCTGGACAGTTCAATGAATAATTTTAACAACTAGTGTCTCAAATAAAAGATATACGATATAAAATGCTGGAAAGACATGCCAGTCAAGGATAATCAGCTAATCCTTGAATAGCATTTCACTGGCCACAGAAGCCTTTCTAAAACTCTATCTCCCTGATCTTCATGACAATCCTGTAAGATAGTTACAGATGACATTCTCCCCTTCCCATTCATTTAACAAATGTTTTGTTTTTCGAGCATTTATGTGCCAGGCTTTGTGATGGGGCCTAAAGACAAAATGGTGAACATGATCTCCATTTTATCAAGGGAGAAATTGAGGCCTAAAAAGGATAAGTTACTTGCTCAAGATACAATGATACTCAAAATTCAATTTTTTTTTTTTTTTTTTGAGACAGTCTTGCTTTGTCTCCCAGGCTGGAGTGCAGTACACTCTCCGCTCACTGCAACATCTGCCTCCCGGGTTCCAGCAATTCTCCTGCCTCAGCCTCACAAGCAGCTGGGACTATAAGCCTGCGCCACCACGGCCGGCTAATTTTTTGCATTTTTAGTAGAGACAGAGTTTCACTGTGTTGGCCAGGCTGGTCTCGGACTCCTGACCTCGTGATCTACCCACCTCAGCCTCCCAAAGTGCTGGGATTACAGGCGCGAGCCACTGCGCCCGGCCTCTTGCTTCTCTTTCATTTGCCTTCCACACTGGGGCCACAGTGATCTTCCTAAAACCAAATCTGAGTGTCACTTATGTCACATATCTTTAGAAGTATCCCACTGCTGACTGTACCAAGTCCAGCTTAAAACACACAAGGCCCTTTATAAACTGGCCTCTGTGCACGTCTTCAGAATTATATCCTGCCAGTTGCATATGGGCAGAACGGATATCCACTATGCACTGGTATGTCCATTTTGGTCACTTACTGCCCATGTTCCTCTGACTGACCAGTGCCTGTCCTGGTTACTGAAAACTTTGATTTTGTCTTTCACCTGCTTACCATTCTCTCCCATTATTCCGAAATATTAATATTTGCAGTTCCTTTAAAAAGCTCCCTTCCCGGCCGAGCGCGGTGGCTCACGCCTATAATCCCAGCACTTTGGGAGGCCAAGGCGGGCAGATCATGAGGTCAGGAGATCGAGACCATCCTGGCTAACACTGTGAAACCCCGTCTCTACTAAAAATACAAAAAATTAGCCAGGCGTGGTGGCGGGCACCTACAGTCCCAACTACTCTGGAAGCTGAGGCAGGAGAATGGCATGAACCTGGGAGGCAGAACTTGCAGTAAGCTGAGATCTGGCCACTGCACTCCAGCCTGGGCGACAGAGTGAGACTCCATCTCGAAAAAAAAAAAAAAAAAGCTCCCTTCCCTCTAGGAGTGTCCACCCAACAAACTCCCACTTATTCATCAAGTATTTATTGAGCACCTACTATATATACACTTGGGCTAGGCATTGAAGATAGAGAACTAAAAGTCCTGTCCTCAAGAAGGTACTGGTCTAGTGAGAACACAGACAAGTTAAAAGATCGTGATAAACTAGTGGGAGAAGTGTTAGGACAGAGATAAATCCTGATGCTTGGGTAGCACAGAGAAGCGATACTTAACCCCAGACTTGGGGTTCAGGGAGCTGCTCCTGGATCGGGGACATCTCAGTTGAGTTCTGAAGGCTCAGACAGGGCAGAAGGAATCTTGATAAAGGGAGCAATGGATCTGTAAAGAACATAAAATAAGCAAAGCCTAGAATGGGAGGTGAGGCTAGTGATATGAGGCTGAAGAGAGTTGCTGGACGGTGTGTGGGGAGGGAGCTGGTGCACGCTGTGCCCAGTTGGCAACTCAGTGTAACATTCTATCCTGACCACAGTGAGGAGTCAATGATTGATTTTTTTTTTTTTAAGACAACATTTCTCTCCTGTCACCCAGGCTGGAGTGCAGTGGCATGATCTTCCCTCACTGCAACCTCCGCCTCCTGGGTTCAAGCTATTCTCCTGCCTCAGCCTCCCAAGTAGCTGGTATTAGAGGTGCATGCCACCATGCCTGGCTAATTTTTGTATTTTTAGTAGAGACTAGGTTTCACCATGTTGGCCAGGCTGGTCTCAAACTCCTGACCTCAGGTCCGGAGTTTGCCTCTGCCTCCCAAAGTGCTGAGATTACAGGTATGAGCCACTGTGCCCAGCAAATAATTGATTTTCAACAGAAGAGTGGCTTGATCAGAATTGCACTTTAGAGAGAGTGTTCTGGCCAGAGCATGAGACTAGACTGGAGGGGAAAAATGCTGAAGGGAGGGGGACCAGTTAGGAGGCTGTTGCAGAAAGCAGGTGAGAAATGATGGTGGGCTGGGCTAAGGTGATAGCAAACGGACAGGAAATGGACTCAAGAGGTGCTAAGTTAAAGTCGATCAGTGCCGGTGACTAGTAAGTGATAGCGCAAAGGGAGGTGGATGAAGAATGACTCCTGAGTTTCTCACCTGGGTAATTGGGTGGATATGGTGCAGTTTTATGGAGCTGACAGTCCATAACTCTGCGCTGGGCAGTTTACGTGAATTGATCCATTTAATCCTCTTAACAACTCCATGAGTTGACAATATTCTTAACTCCATTTTACAGACTAGGAACCTGAGGCACAGAGAGTTTCAGTAGGTTACGCAAGGTTACACAGCTAGTTTAAGTGGAAGAATCAGGATTTAGACTCATACAGTCTGACTACAGAATTCGTCTTTTTCTTTTCTTTCTTTTTTTTTTCTTTTTTTTTTTTTTTTTTTTTTTGAGACTGAGTCAGTCTCGCTCTGTCGCCCACACTGGAGTACAGTGGTGTGATCTCGGCTCACTGCAACCTCCACCTCCTGGGTTCAAGTTATTCTCCTGCCTCAGCCTCCCAAGTAGCTGGGATTACAGACACGTGCCACCATGCCTGGCTAATTTTTGTATTTTTAGTAGAGATGGAGTTTCACCATATTGGCCAAGGTGGTCTTGAATTCCTGACTTTAAGTGATCCACCTGCCTTGGCCTCCCAAAGTGCTAGGATTACAGGTGTGAGCCACCGCGCCTGACCCAGAATTCATCTCTTAAACCCCACCACTGGATTGCGATTTACTTAAATGGGGAGTACAGACAGAATGGCAAATTTGGTTGAGCATATGACAAGTCCAGTCATACTGGGACATATTGAGACATGTTGAGCTTGAGACGCCTGTGGAAGATCCAGGCAAAGTCTAGAAGGTAGTTGGATATAAGGAGGTGGAGTAAAACTATGAATTTTAAAGTAGGACTCATTTTACCATAAGACAGTATATTACTTTTGGAAAATATAAATGGATGTATTTTTCATTTGCCTTAAATCATGGTGCTCTGAGACTCCTCACACATGACATCAGTGGGATTCAGGGAAGGGTGGCTGCCAGCCAGATGTCCGTCAGCCCTCAGCATTGACCATCAAGTCAGTTTCTGTTCAGTCCATAGTGAGACAATAGTCCTGAGACTCAGGTCTTATCTAAGGAGAAAAGGAATTTCTGCATTGTGAAATTTTTGAAATTTCAATTTTGAAATTGAAAAGTTCCCTTTTCAAGGGCCAGTCCTGTCAACTCAGACTGTTGAACATTCTCACGATTGGTCAGTAGACAGCATATGGGTATCAGCCAACAGCTAGGCTGACTGATCAGCGTCTATTCTGATTGGTGGATTCTGTGTCATACCGGTAGTTAAATATTTTTAATATCACACACGTGTTCGTGCACACACACACAGAGAAGCCAGGATATGACTAAAGAGACATGCCCCTCTAACAGGAAGAAAGGAAGAAAAGGCAAAATATAGGAAAAAGGACAGGTAGTCAGTGACAAAAGTTCTGGTCCAGAGTCAAAAAAACTTGACTAGTGGATGAGAGTGGATTTTTTAAATGTGTCGGTGCAGAGCAACAGGATGAGATCATCTAATACCCTTCGTTCAAGAAGAGTCAAAGAACATTACAGCCAGTGCAATGTTCCTCTCATGTAATATGGCCCAGAGAGGCAGAATGATGTGTTGAAGGCAGGTGGCTGGATAGATGTGCTCCTGAGATGGTGCTGCTGGTTCCTGGATCTCCAAGGCCTTATCATGATGTGTTCCCACGTGCTCTCTGCCCCTCTCCCCACAACACCCAACCCAGAGGGGAAGGAATGGTAACCAGGGTGACCCACAGCATAGGTTGCCATGGACACCCAAGGCAGGGGCCTGGTGGAGGATGTGACAGACACCAAAGGTCTGCAGTTCCAACACCACCAAATGCCCTGGTAATCTCTTATGTTGGTGCAAAATTAGTTGTGGTTTTTGCCATTACTTTTAAAGGCAAATGGGTGGATGAAGAATGACTCCTGAGTTTCTCACCTGGGTAATTGGGTAGATATGGTGCAGTTTTATGCAGCTGACAGTCCATAACTCTGTGCCACGCATTTACATGAATTGACTTATTTAATCCTCTTAATAACTCCATAAGTTGACAATATTCTTAACTCCATTTTACAGACTAAGAATCTGAGGCACAGAGCGTTTAAGTAGGTTGCCCAAGGTTACACAGCTAGTTAGTGGCAGAATCAGGATTTAAGCTCATACTTTTAAAGGCAAAAACTGCAATTATTTTTGTACCAATCTAATAGAAGGATGGGGCCAAACTCCCCATGCCTAGCTAAGAAAACTTGCTGCAGCTTCACTGGCCATAGACTTCATTGAAAGGCACCAGGACCAAAGCGCCCAGGAATTGGATTAAATCATCTCAGTGCATCAGAAACCAGCAAAGACTCATGGACCAGCCTGAAGATGCAGAGCTCCTCACCTCCTGCCACGATGCTATCTAAGCTCCCTGCAAACACAGCACCATCTTGGGGAGAAGGAGCAAGAGGGGAGGAAGAGCTCTGGCAGGGAGGTGAACTAAATTGATTGAATATTTACTGGAAGGAAACTTTTTAATCTGAAAGAGATTATTATAGACTAAAAGAGCCCTAGATACCTTCAATGGCAATACCAGGTATTGCTATTATTCTGGCTATCCAGGAAAACAAAGATGTAAACTGTCATATAAAACAAAGGAAATTATATTCATTTTCAATATTGAGTGCATATTTCTGATTCTGTTATAGCAAGGAAAATGCTATCCCTTCTGACATTTCCTTTCATAGGTAGTGTAAGGAGTTCAATAAATACAACTCTGACCCTTCTTCTGCCCCCTTTTTCTCTTCACTCCTGGAGTGATAGACTTTCATATCTGATTGAAAAATTTGAGAATGACTGGACGTTCTTGGTTATGCAAGTCCCTCTTCTTCTTGGGGGAAGTCTAACAGTAGATGGGTTCCCCTCTGTTTTTCCCTCTCCTAATCTGCTCAAGCCCAGTGTTCTGACTGAATGGGGTAAATCTGCTTAATTTGGGGCCTCATCTAGCAGGCTCGTTTTTCTCCAATATAAGCTAAGTCCTCCAACCCCCTCCAATCTCCTCCATCAGTAAGAAACATGATACTTTACCCTTTTTTAATTATTTATTTTTTATGTAGAGATGGGGTTTTGCCATGTTGCCCACGCTGGTCTAGAACTCATAGGCTCAAGCAATTCACCCACCTCGGCCTCCCAAAGTGCTGGGATTACAGGTATGAGCCACTGCGCCTGGCCCCTTAATTTTTTTAATTGAGATAAAATTAACATGACATAAAATTTGCCATTGTAATCATTTTACAGTATACAATTCAGTGGTTTTTATTATATTCACACTGTTGTGTAACTATCATCACTACATAATTCAAGACCGTTTTCATCACCTGCCTGCAAAAACAAACAAAAACACCAAAAACCAAACTCAGTAAGCAGTCACTCCCCATATCCTCTATTCCCAGCCCCTGGAAATCATGAATCTGCTTTCTGTCTCAATGGACTTGCCTATTCTGGATGTTTCATATAAATAGAATCATACAATATGTGGCCATTCACGACTAGCTTCTTTCATTTAGTGTCACGTTTTCAAGTTTCATCAATATTGTTGTGGGTATCAGTATTTCATTTCTTGTTATGTGTGAATAATATCCACTGCATGGACACGCCACATTTTCTCAGTTCCGCAGTTGATAAATATTTGTATTGTTTCCACTTTTTGTAAAAAAAAATTTTTTTTACAAAAAATATGTAATTTGGCCAGGCACAGTGGCTCATGCCTGTAATCCTAGTACTTTGGGAAGCCAAAGGGGGTGAATCACTTGAGCCAAGGAGTTTGAGACCAGCCGGGCATAGTGAGATCCCATCTCTACAAACAGTGCCAAAATTAGCCAGAAGGGGTGTCATACACCTATTGTCCCAGCTACTTGGGGGGCTGACGTGGGAGGATCACTTGAGCTCGGGAGGCTGCAGTGAGCTGAGATCATGCCACTGCACTCCAGCCTGGGTGACAGAGCCAGACTCTGTCTCAAAAAACAAAAAAAAAGTGACTTTTTTTCCACATTATTCATAGCTATTATGAATAATGAACACCTGTTTTCATTTCTCTTGGACATATATGGAAGTATACAATTGCTAGGGCCTATGGTAATTCTGTTTAACTTTCAAGGAAATATCAAACTGGTTTTCACAGCTGCTGCACCATTTTACCTTCCCATCAGTGGTATAAAGGGTTCCAATTTCTCCATATTCTTGCCTACACTTGTAATTTTCCATTAAAACAAAGTTTAGCCAACCTAGTGAGTATGAAATAGTATCTCACTGTGGTTTTGATTTGCATTCCCCTAATGACTAATGCTATTGAGAATGTTCTTGTGTGCCTATTGGCCATTCTATGTAATCTTTGGAGAAATGTCTGCTTATGTTCTTTGCTTACTTCGTTTGCCTACTTGGTTTGGGTTGTCTGGATACCAAACCCATGTCAGATACATGATTTGCAAATATTTTCTCCTATCTATGTGTTGTCCTTTCATTTTCTTGATTATGTCCTTTGATACACAAAAGTTTTTAATTCTTATGAAGTCCAATTTATCATTTTTTTGTTCCTTTTGTTTGTTTTTTGTTTTTTGGTTTTTTTTTAAGACAGGGTCTCACTCTGTCACCCAGGCTGGAGTGCAGTGGCACGATCCCAGCTCACTGCAACCTCCACCTCCCAGGCTCAGGCGATCCTCCCACATCAGCCTCCTGAGTAGCTGGGATTGCAGGAACACACCACCACACCTGGCTAATTTTTTTTAATTTTTATTTTTTTGTAGAGACAGGGTTATGCCATGTTGTCCTGGCTGGTGTGGAACTCTTGGACTTAAGCAATCTACCTGCCTTAGCCTCCCAAAGTGCTGGGATTACAGGCATGAGCCACCACACCCGGCCTTTTTTTGTTTCTTGTACTTTTGGTGTCACATCTGAGAATCCATTGTCAAATCCAAGGTCATGCAGATTTTCCCTTATGTCTTATTTGAAGAATTTTATAGTTTATAGTTAGATCTTTGATTCATTTTTAGTTAATCTTTGCTTATTGTGTGATATAAGGGTCCAACTTCATTCTTTTTGATATTTCATTGTCCCAGCACAATTTGTTGAAGACCATTATTTCCCTATTGAGCAGTCTTGGCACCCTTATCATAAATCAATTGACCATAGATGTATGGGTTTGTTTCTAGATTCTCAATTCTATTTCACTGGTCTACATGTCTACCCTTATGCTGGTACTGCACCATCTTGATTACCATAGCTTTGTAGTAAGTTTTAAAATTGGGAAGATGCTAATGTACCTTCAAAAATAAAAATAAGGCCGGGCATGGTAGCTCATGCCTGTAATCCCAGCACTTTGGGAGGCCAAGGTGGGTGGATCACCTGAGGTCGGGAGTTTGAGACCAGCCTGACCAACATGGTGAAACTCTGTCTCTACTAAAAATACAAAAAATTAGCCGGGTGTGGTGGTGTGCACCTGTAATCCCAGCTACTAGGGCGCCTGAAGCAGGAGAATCACTTGAACCTGGGAGACAGAGGTTGCAGTAAGCCAAGATCATGCCATTGCACTCCAGCCTGGGCAACAAGAGCAAAACTCCATCTCAAAATAAAGAAATAAATAAAAATAAAATAAATAAATAAGTAAAATAAAATCAAATTGGAAAGAGTGAGTCCTCTAACTTTATTCTTCTTTTTCAAGATTATTTTGGCTATCAGGGTCCCTTGTAATTTTGTATAAATTTTAGGATCAATTTTTCCATTTCTTCAAAAAAAACTGTTGGGACTTTTATAAGTAAGTGTTGCATTGAATCTGTAGATCACTTAGTGAAGTATTGCTCTCTTAACAAAATTAAATGATCCAATTCATGAACACAAGATGTTTTTCCTATTTACATGTTCTTTATTTATTTCAGCAATGTTTTATAGTTTTTAGTGTACAAGTCTTTTGTTTGTTTCTATCCTTTTTTTTTTTTTTTTTTTTTTTGAGACAGGGTCTCACTGTGTTACCCAGGGTGGGTCCACACTCCTAGGCTCAAGCAATCCTCCTGCCTCAGCCTCCCAAAGTGCTGGCATTACAAGTGTGAGCCACCATGCCCAGTGTCAGTGTACAAGTCTCCTATATCTTAGTTAAATTTATTCCAAAGTATTTTATTCTTTTTGATGCTATTGTAAATGGAATTGTTAATTTCATTTTTGGATTATTTCTAGTATATAAAATTACATCTGATTTTTGTGTGGTTTTAGCACCCATTTTAGTTATTTGTTTCATTTCTCAGATTATTCAGAATATGGAAGGGGAAAACAAGTGCTATTTACCAGGATTCTTTCAGAAACCAATACTTGATATACATACATTTGGCAGCCAAGAACATGAGATAAAGAAGATCAGACAGGAAGAACATGCACAATGACAAAGGAGGCAGGATGCAAATAGAACTTTGAGGAACATCAACAATTAGAGGGCAGTTAGAAAAAGAGGAGCCATGCATGTATCTGAGAAGCCACAGTCAGAGAAGCAGGAGGGTGGATTAGTCCGTTTTCATGCTGCTGATAAAGACATACCCAAGACTGGGCAATTTACAAAAGAAGGTGGTTTAATGGACTTACAGTTCCACATGGCTGGGGAGGCCTCACAATCATGGTGGAAGGCAAGGAGGAGCAAGTCACGTCTTACATGGATGGTGGGAGGTAAAGAGTGAGCTCATGCTGGAAAACTACCCCTTATAAAATCATCAGATCTCATGAGACTTATTCACTATTATGAGAACAGAATTGGAAAGACCTGCCCCCATGATTCAATTACCTCCCACCAGGTCCCTCCCACAACACATGGGAATTTGAGATGAGATTTGGGTAGGGACACGGCCAAACCATATCATTCTGCCCTGGCCCCTCCCAAATCTCATGTCTTCACATTTCAAAACCAATCACACCTTCTTAACAGTCCCCCAAAGTCTTAAGTCATTTCAGCATTAACTCAAAAGTCCCCAATCCAAAGTCTCATTCCAGACAAGGCAAGCCCTTCTGCCTATAAGCCTGTAAAATTGAAAGCAAATTAGTTATTTCTTAGATACAATGGGAGTACAGGCATGGGTAAATACAGCCATTACAAATGGGAGAAATGGGCCAGAACAAGGGACTACAGGCCCCATGCAAGTCTGAAATCCAGCAGGGCAGTCAAGTCTTAAAGCTCCAAAATGGCCTCCTTTGCTTCCATGTCTCACATCCAGGTCACACTGATGCAAAAGGTGGGTTCCCATGGTCTTGGGCAGCTCCACCCCTATGGCTTTGCAAGGTACAGCCTCCCTCCCAGCTTCTTTCACAGGCTGGTGTTGAGTGTCCGTCACTTTCAGGCACACGGTGCAAGCTGTCAGTGGATCTACCATTCTGGAGTCTGGAGGATGATGGTCCTCTTCTCACAGCTCCACTAGGCAGTGCCCCAGTAGGGACTCTGTGTAGGGGCTCTGACCCCACATTTCCTTTCCACACTACCCTAGCAGAGGTTCTCCATGAGGGCCCCGCCCTGCAGCAAACTTATGCCTGGGCATCCAGGTGTTTCCATACATTCTCTGAAATTTAGGTGGAGGTTCCCAAACCCCAATTCTTGATTTCTGTGCACTTGCAGGCTCAACACCATATGGAAGTGGCCAAGGCTTAGGGCTTGCACCCTCTGAAGCCATGGCTCAAGCTCTACATTGGCCCCTTTCAGCCACGGCTGGAGGAGTGGCTGAGATGCAGGGCACCAAATCACTAGACTGCACCCGGCCCACAAAACCATTTTTTTTCTCCTAGGCCTCTGGGCCTGTGATGGGAGTGGCTGCAAAGTTCTCTGACATGCCCTGGAGACATTTTCCCCATTGTCTTGGTGATTAACATTTGGCTCCTCATCACGTATGCAAATTTCTGTGGCCAGCTTGAATTTTTCCCCAGAAAATGGGACTTTCTTTTCTATCACATTGTCAGGTTGCAAATTTTCCGAACTTTTATGCTCTGCTTCCCTTGTAAAACTGAATGCCTGAGCCAGGCATGGTGGCTCACGCCTGTAATCCTAACACTTTGGGAAGCAAGGTGGGTGGATCACCTGAGGTCAGGAGTTCAAAACCGGCCTGGCCAACATGGTGAAACCCCATCTCTACTAAAAATACAAAAAATTAGCCAGGCGTGGTGGTGCATGCCTGCAATCCCAGCTACTTGGGAGGCTGAGGCAGAAGAATTGCTTGAACCTGGGAGGCAGAGGTTGCAGTGAGCTGACATTGCACCATTGCACTACAGCCTGGGCAACAAGAGTGAAACTCCATCTCAAAAAACAAAACAAAAAAAACTGAATGCCTTTAACAGCACCTAAGTCACCTCTTGAATGCTTTGCTTCTTAGAAATTTCTTCCGCCAGATACCCTAAATCATCTCTCTCAAGTTCAAATTTTCACAAATCTCTAGGGCAGGTGCAAAATGCTGCCAGTCTCTTTGCTAAAACATAACAAGAGTCACCTTTGCTCCAGTTCCCAACAAGTTCCTCATTTCAGCTGAGACCACCTCAGCCTGGATTTCATTGTCCATATCATTATCAGCATTTTGGTCAAAGCCCTTCAACAAGTCTCTAAGGAGTTCCAGTCTTTCCCACATTTTCCTGTCTTCTTCTGAGCCCTCCAAACTGCCCAACCTCTGCCTGTTACCCAGTTCCAAAGTTGCTTCCACATTTTTGGGTATCTTTCCAGCACTGCCCCACTCTACTGGTACCAATTTACTGTATTAGTCTGTTTTCACGCTGCTCATAAAGACATACCTGAGTTTATATATATTTTTTATTTCTATTTTTCTTGTATTTACAAGCCCATAACTAACATCGTAAGGTTTATGTATTTTACTTTCAGTAATGGCTGTGTTTAACCATTGGCTTGTCTAATTTCTGAAAATTTCACAATCAGCTCTCAGGAACCAGCAAAAGCCAGCTCCAGCCTGGGCTATAGGCATACTTTGAGCTAAGTGACACGTCCTTGCACAAAAGGAAGAGCAAGGACCACGGGGTCAGACAGACCTTTCTCAGACTTTCTTCTTAAGATAATCTGGGCCAGTCACTGAATCTCAGTTTCTTTATCAATAAAATAGGTGATAATATTAACCTCTTGAGGTTGTGATAAAGATTAGAGATCAATATGTAGAGACTGATCCATAATAAGGGTTCAAAATTACCAGAATAATCTTATTTTGCTATAGCTTTAAGCACAGCTTTAATACACAGAAAGATAATTGGGAGTGACCCAGGGTACAGTTGAGAGTTACCACGTCCCTCATTAAGTGTGGCATTTGTGTGAGGAAACAGATGCACAGAAGTTTCGCTTACTATATACTTCGCATGGACAGAGCACTGGAAACCTTTTCTCCAGCAGTATGGGAACAGGGCGAGCAGAGTATCAAGCTTGTGACAACCCTAGAAATGAGTGACTCAGCCTGTGATTGTATGGCCCCTCCAAGGCCTTCCTGGCTCCCCAGATGTATCCCTGACAGATGACTCAGAAACTTGACAACTCCACCTTTTAAATCTCAAATGTGTTACCTAAGTGGAGCAAGTTTCCCTTGAGCACGTCACATGGATCAGCTTATCAGTCAGCCCGGAGGACAGAGAACAGGGCCCCAGAGGAAAGGCACATGGGACAGGTAGTGTTTACGGGACAGAGGGAAGGAGGACTAGGGCAGAGGTTCTGGTGTGGAGTAGGGCCTTGCAGGGGACGGCTGGGACATGAAGGAAGGAAAAGACACCAAGCAGCAGGAGAGGGATGGGGCAAGAAGAGACACAAACCCAGCTCGGCCCCAACTCCCAGGGCTGTGAGGAACCTCTGATTTCACACCACCATATGAGAAAGCTAACATTCTCTTTGCTTTCTGTGTCCTCAGCGACAAGGGCCATGGATACAACTAATCAGGAAGTAAGTGCACAGTGGCTGGCACTTGATCCAACTTTAACTCGTTTGTCAACATTTCACAGCCTTTTTGGAGAGGTCTATGGAAAGCTGAGCTGAGAGCTATAATTCTTTCGTTCTGAGGAGGCCAGGTAGTTTCTTCTCCCTGTTGTACTGGTCTCTTACGAAACAGCAGCGCTTGCAACCTGCCAATCATGTCATGCCATGTCTTAGATGTGGAAAATCCAGCATTCTGACAAACCCACCAACAAAACAGGGTCTCACTTTAGAGAGTGGTGGCTGAGAGAGTGTTGGAAACCTGGCTTTGGCTGGGCGTGGTGGCTCACGCCTGTAATCCCAGCACTTTGGGAGACTGAGCCAGGCTGATCACCTGAGGTCAAGAGTTCGAGACCAGCCTGGCCAACATGGTGAAACTCCATCTCTACTAAAAATACAAAAAAAAAATTAGCCAGGTGTGGTGGCAGGAGCTTGTAATCCCAGCTACTTGGGAGGATGAGGCAGGAGAATCGCTTGAACCTGGGAGGTGGAGGTTGTAGTGAACCAAGATCACACCACTGCACTCCAGCTTGGGTGATAAGAGTGAAACACTGTCTCAAAAAAAAAAAAAAAAAAAAAAAGCAAAGAAAGAAAGAAAAGAAAAGGAAACCTGACTTTGTGCTAAGCTGGGGGGCTCCCCTGGGCAAGTCACCTGCCTTCTCTGGGCTTCCATTTTCTTTGTGTGAATCAGAGATTATAGCACCTATCCTGCAAGGTTGTGGTGAGGAGACATAAGGCAGGTAAAAGCTTTACCCTATAGCAGGTAACACAGTAGGAGCTTAATAAGTTGGGGCGACTGGTGTTATTTATACTGGGCCTGCGTGACCTTGGGCAAGTTATTTCATCTTTCTGCGTCTTAGTTTCCTCATTTGTGCACTGTGGGCCAGATGATCCAGGAGACATCTACTGGTTCTGCATTCTATTATTCTACGACAAACAAGATTCTTTGCCTTAGCTCTGGCCCTGCCTATCTAAGTAAGGGATTAGGCCATTTGCTTTTGCTGTTGCAATGCTCAGATAGCAAAGGCCTTTGACAACTGAGAAGGCTTGTTCACTCCCTCCCCTTGAACTGAGTTCTGAGGCTGTGGGACAAGGAGCAAACTGGAGTGTTTCTCTAAACACAGGATTAGAAAGGAGGCAGGGGTGCTGGGCAGCAGGACCTGGGTGTGTTGCGAACGGCCTAGAGCAGGGCTAAGGTCATGACAGGTATGCCACCACTTGCTCAGGGTCCCAGCACCGTCTCCTGGTATTCTAACCCCAAGGCAAGAGGTGGGGGAGATAAGACGGATCTCCACTTTCAGAAGAAAATTCCTCTCTGGACTCTGGTTGAATGAGGCAAAAACTTTTTCCTCCAAATGAGGCCCTGTGCATTATTATCATAAAGTAAGAGAGAGAGATGGGTGGATGAAGTCAATGCTTGTGTTTCCTGGTTGGAGGGGATGGAGGGGTAGTTTGAAGGCAGGTGGAACCCTATCGATGTTCTTAGCCTTGCTTAATATTTTGGGCTGTCCTAATCCTGAACTCAGGCATATCATGGGATAAGGATTGAGTACCTTGAACACAAGCAGAGGGAAAACCTTTCCCCACACCTGGGTCCCTGAGGCAGGATGCTGAGCAATCCAAGTGATGAGCAATCTGGCTCATTCCCTGAATAGCTTGGGTCAACTGATTTACATTTTAAGAAACCATTGTTTTAAAAAAGAGTAAAACCCACCAGGTGTGGTGCCTCATGCCTGTAATCCCAGCTCTTTGAGAGGCTGAGGTGGGCAGATCACTTGAGGCCAGGTGGCAGATCACTTGAGGCCAGGAGTTCCAGACCAGCCTGGCCAACATGGCAAAACCCCATCTCTACTAAAAATTTGTACAAAAATTACCCAGGCGTGCTGGTGCGCACCTGTATTCCCAGCTACTTGGAAGACTGAGGCACCAGAGTCCCTTGAACCCCTAAGGCGGAGGCTGCAGTGAGCCAAGATTGCACCACTGTACTCTAGCCTGGGTGACAGGGAGAGATGTTGTCTCAAAAAACTGAAACTAAAAAATAAATAAATAAACAGTAAAACCCAGGATTATATGTAATACATATACGTGTACATATATGTACATACATATACGTGTACATATATGTACATACATATACGTGTACATATATGTACATACATATACGTGTGCATATATGTAATACATATACGTGTACATATATGTACATACATATACGTGTGCATATATGTACATACATATACGTGTGCATATATGTACATACATATACGTGTGCATATATGTACATACATATACGTGTACATATATGTACATACATATACATACACATATGAAATACATACAATGTATTATATGTATATATGTATTCTATGTATTTCTAGAATATAATAATCCTAGAAATGTGTAGGGTTTCTATAATCCGTGTTTTCCCAGAGCCTGATTTCTTTTGGGGCCTCCCCTAATTTCCATTAGTCATTTCCAGATGTCAGTTAAGCAGCTGGTTTCCAGCTGGTAGAAAGCACCGCTCATTAGGAACATTCGCAAGACCCCAGGCCTTTGGCTGACAAGTCACAGAGTTTCTGTCGCCCTTGCAGCTGGAAGGACTCTGCTAAATGACAAACTTCCTGACGTTTTCTCTTCTCAGCTTGTACTGTGATAAACTTTCGGGGATCACGTTTCAGTTTTTATACCGTCTCTCATTTTGTGCTGCTAATTTCATGCCTACCCCTCAAAAAAAAAATACATAAAAAGGCCAGGCGCGGTGGCTCACTGCAGCCTTGACCTGCCAGGCTCAAGCGATCCTCCCACCTCAGCCTCCTGAGTAGCTGGAACTGCGGACACATGCCATCACGCCCGGCTAAGTTTTGTATTTTTGGTAGAGACACCATGTTGCCCAGGTGTGGCTCTGTTTAGCCATGGCGGCACTCACTGGCACAATTCTGTTACCTGAGCAAAAACAAAGAAAGGTGAGTTTATTGGTTTTCCAGGGCTGCCATAACAAAACACTACAGACTGGGTGACTTCAACAACAGAAATTTACTCTCATAGTTCTGGAGGCTGGAAGTGTGAGGTCAAGGTATTGGCACGTTTGGTTTTTTCTGAGGCCTCTCTCCTTGGCTTGCGGCTGCCTTTTTGATGCCTGTTCACCTGGTCTTTTCTCTGCGTGCACTGTGCGTGCATCCCTGGCATTTTTGTTTGTTTGTTTGTTTTGTTTTTTGTTTTTTTGAGATAGGGTCTCTCTCTGTCACCTAGGCTGGAGTGCAGTGGCGTGATCTCTGCTCACTGAAGCCTCGACCTCTTGGACTCAAGTGATCCTCCTGCCTCAGCCTCCTGAGTAGCTCGGACTATAGGAGCATATACCACCACGCCTGGCTAATTTTTGTATTTTTTGTAGAGACGGGGATCTCACAATGTTGCTCAGGCTGGTCTTAAACTCGTGAGCTCAAGTGATCTGCCCACCTTGGCCTCCCAAAGTGTTGGGATTATAGGGATGCGCCACCATGATCGGCCCCCTGTCTCCTCTTATAAGGACACCAGTCAGATTGGATTAGGGACCACCCTAATGTCTATTTTAACTTAGTTACCTCTTTAAAGGTCCTATCTCTAAATCAATGCATGAATTTTGGGGGACACAATTCAACCCAGGAACAGCGACACTTTCCTGCTTCTTTTTGTTGTTGCTGATGTTGAGGAGGAGGGAGAAGAAGAGAACATACTCTGGTATTTCAGAGGGATATGAACATTCAGAAACTACATAGAGGTTAGCAATTCGAACCAAGAAGGTAAAATAAGAAGAAAAGTTAAAAGACCTGAAACCACTGGGCCTGATAGAACAGCTAATTTTCTTTTATTGAAATACACAGTGGCAGACTTAAATATGCTCACCATACAGCTTGGATGTGCAGGGAAAATATTTTGTGTTGTCATCTCATTTGTTATTTGCTAGGTAAAGAGAAGAAATAGAGCTAAATGCCCAGTTCAGCTTAAACCTTAGTTCAAATCAACAGTTTAATTGGTCCCTTTGGGTCCTGCTTAGGGTCTCTGGTTTCTGCTGCCTCCTCCCCCATCCCTCATCAGAAGGTGTGTGAACCTATGGCTCATGGCATCATCAAGGGGAAGAAGGCACCTTGGCTTTGTGCAGGTCCTGAACCCTATGGGTTCAGCTGGCGCCCATGACTGGAGCCTTCAGCTGGCATAGCACCTGCCTGGGTTCCCTCTTATTTTCCCCCTGTGTCCTCACCTCGCCCCAACTCCTTCTGGAGCAGTGGCCCCATCAGAGCTCTGCACCCCCTCCCTCTGCCATCCTGGACTGCGGTCATCAGGCCTAACTTGCAGGCTCTCCAATGGGGCTGTAGAGTAGGCCCTCTCACTGTCTGACATGTGACCTGCCTTTTGCTCCATTTGGACTGCTCACCCCATCCTTGCTTTAAGTCCCAGAGTAAAGGACTCTCCTCCCACAGTTCTAAACAAGGACTGAGGAAGAGCCATGTCTTCCGTGTGCCTCTCAGCTTGTCAACACGCCTTTCACAGGGATGTCAGAGCACACATCTCACACCTCCCTCCTAACCTGGCATCTGTTCATGGCCTCCTCCTCTGACAATCCCCCAGGACAAGAAGAGGCAATCAGTTCATTTACTTCCTCCACCTTATAACTTCCTTATTCCTGTAGTCAGACTCCAGGCTAAACCTAAATCATAAACTGTTACCTTCTCTCTCCTGTGGGAGAAACTGTATGATCCGGACCAACTGGGAGCTAAAGAGATTCAGAAAAATCCTTTCTTTCACTCCAAACCTAGCATTCAAGTCATTGGCTGGCTGTGAAATCCCATTTTGAATGTCAGAAACTGAATACTAGCTTTCTTTCTTTCAATTCCTTCAGGAGCCACTCTAATCATTCTCCCCTTCTCCAGATAAAACAGTTCTTCCAGCCAGTAAGGAAAAAATTAGAAGAGAAAAGCACATTAATCCCCACAATTATTCCTCCCATTGTAACAGTTTTTGCACTTTTTTTTTTTGAGTGGGGTTGGGGGGAAGGAATTTCGCTCTTGTTGCCCAGGCTGGAGTGCAATGGCACGAACTCGGCTCACTGCAACTTCTGCCTCCGGGGTTCAAGCGATTCTCCTGCCTCAGCCTCCCAAGTAGCTGGGATTACAGGCACGCTAGTTTGTGCACTTCTTGATGGGCAAAGACAATTCCCCCAAAGCACTTGCTTCATATTCTTTTTAGGGAAGAGAAAGGAAAGCAAGGAAGGAAATTAATATTTTGAATATCATAATTAATTATTCCTGGTTTTGACAGGGTAGAATAAGGAAAGCTTGGTTTAAATTGAAATGGAAAATGTTTTGAGCAGTATGAGAGAGACAGAGCGTGTAACCATTCTTGGGGATTGGAATAAGAAAGTTTAATTGTGGCCAGGAGCGGTGCTCACGTCTGTAATCCCAGCACTTTGGGAGGCTGAGGTGGGCAGATCACGAGGTCAGGAGTTCGAGACCAGCCTGGCCAACAGAGTGAAACCCCATCTCTGCTAAAAATACAAAAAAATAAGCCAGGTGTGGTGGTGGGCGCCTGAAATCCCAGCCATTTAGGAGGCTGAGGCAAGGAGAATCGCTTGAACCTGGGAGGTGGAGGTTGTAGTGAGCCGAGATCGTGCCACTGCACCAGCCTGGGTGACAGTGCGGGACTCCATTTCAAAAAAAAAAAAAAAGAAGAAGAAGAAGAAAAAAGAAAGCTTAATTGTGCCAAAGGTGAAGCGATGAAGTCAGAGACCTACAAATCTCTTCTAGGTCACCGTCCTGTTCTCCTAACCCCAAGAAGGCCCAGAGATGCTATTACAGCCATTCTTTGTGGAGTCCAGCATATGCATATGGTCAAAGGGGCTCATGAACCTGTGTTCCTTCAGGACCATTCCTAGCTTTGTGGCTTCTGTGAGAACCAGAACATTATGGGGGCAAGAAGTCTTTGGCTCTACAGGGTGTCTGTGCAATTCTTCTCAGCAAGGCTACTGAAGCTTGGTTAACTTTGGGAAACTTGGAGCTTTATAGGAAGAAGGAAATTCAAAAGGCAGCAGAGATTCCTCTACCCCTGGAAATGAGGAAGCTGCAGAAGCTGAGGGGCCTTTAGGAAGAGTGAACCAAGCCCATCAGAGGACCTGCCAGACAGGGTTCCTGAGAAAAAGATCACTTGGTTTCTATAGGCCTCAGTTTTGGTACCTACCTCTTATGTTTATTGTGAGGGTTACATGAGATAACATAGATCCAGCATCCAACATATGGCCTGATATATAGCAAGTTGTGAGTAAATGGTAGCTGTTTTTATGACTGCCATCATTTTTAAGGAAAACCCAAAAGAGGCCTGGCACCATGGCTCACACCTGTAATCCCAGCATTTTGGAAGGCGGAGGATCACTTGAGCCCAGGAGTTCGAGTCCAGCCTGGGCAACGTGGCGAGATGCCCTCTCTACCAAAAATACAAAAATTAGCCCAGATGTGGATGTGTGTGCCTGTAGTCCCAGGGACTCGGGAGGCTGATGTGGAAGGATCGCTTGAGCCCAGGAAGTCGAAGCTGCAGTGAGCCATGATTGTGCCACTGTACTCTGACCTGGGCAACAAAGTGAGACCTTGTCTCAAAAAAAAGAAAAAAAAATTGGATAACTCTAAAATTCATACTTAAAAAATAAAACCCCAAAAAAATAGTATAGGTTTGCCAGGCAGTGGCTCACACCCATAATCCCAGCACTTTGGGAGGCCGAGGAAGGTGAATCACCTGAGCTTAGGAGTTCAAGATCAGCCTGGGCAACACAGTGAAACTTCATCTCTACCAAAAGTACAAAAAAAAAAAAAAAAAAAAAAATCCAGGCATAGTGGCCTGCGCCTGTAGTCCCAGCTACTCAGGAGACCGAGGTAGGAGATCACTTGAGCCTGGAAGGCAGAGGTTGCAGTAGCCAAGATGGTGCCACTGCACTCCAACCTGGATGACAGAGTAAGATGCCATATCAAAAAAAAAAAAAAAAAAAAGAAGAGAAAAGAAAAGGAAAGAAAAGAAATAGTACAGGGAAGGCAGAGTGGGAAAGCCTGCAAGAAGATCCTCTGGTATATAAAATAAACAAAAGATCAGGCCGGGCGTGGGGTCTCATGCCTATAATTCCAGCACTTTGGGAGGCCGAGAAGGGCGGATCACTTGAGGTCAGGAGTTTGAGACCAGCCTGGCCAACATGGTAAAACCCCGTCTCTACTAAAAATACAAAAAAATAGCTAGGCACTTTGGGAGCCCGAGGCGGGCGGATCACGAGGTCCGGAGATCGAGACCATCTGGCTAACACGGTGAAACCCCATCTCTACTAAAAATACAAAAAATTAGCCAAGCGTGGTGGTGGGCGCCTGTAGTCCCAGCTACTCAGGACGCTGAGGCAGGAGAATCGCTTGAACCCAGGAGGCGGAGGTCGCGGTGAGCCGAGATCGTGCCACTGCACTCCAGCCTTGGCAATGGAGCAAGACTCCGTCTCAAAAAATAAATAAATAAATAAATAAATAAAATAAAATAAAGATTGCTTTGTATGGCTTTTTTCCTCCTTCAGAGTAAAACCAAGGAGCAAAGATATGATTCTAAAGTTGCAGTCCATATTGTCAAAAAGGAATATAATGTAACCAGGATCATCTGAGTTTTACTGCGCAAATGACAAGGACATTTGACCCCCATACAGTATGGTAAGATCAAATGCTGAAAGCCCGGCCCCTCTACAGTGCTCCTGTGACCCCAGAGAAGTCAGACTCCTAAAGCTGAGTGATTCAGGGCAATGCATGCATAACGAGTGGGAGGACTCTGGGTAGAGCGAAAAATAGAAAATTTCCATTTTTATTGTGGCTTTCTAACTAATATGTCAAAATGGACAGAGGATAGAAATACTGCAGACCAGAATCAGAAGCAGGAGAGCCAGAGAAGTCCAGAACCCAAGAAGTAGAGTTTTAGAAAAAAGACACTCTGGTTAGAATCATGATCACTGTGCTTCAGCAGCTCAAGAAATCTTTGTAGTCAAAAGATTTCCTTTCTCTTCCCAGGGGAGGAATCCGAGGCTCCTAAGGTCAGATTACTTGCCCACATCCACAGTTAACAAATCTGGGCCTGTTAGCCTCAATGTATCACTCTTTTCATATCTAGGGATTTCAGAGAAGACCCTTAGAGGGAAGAGTCAAGAAAATGGGGGTGGGGAGAGGGTCATTTCTATCCAAGTCCCAAGATCTGTGATTGGCTTAGCTGGCAAACTGCAGCTTCATGAAAGGAAACTTGACTCCAAGAACTGCAGCCAGGAGAAGCCCTGGGGATGAAGGCCAAATGTTAAAACAACAAGAGATTGGAGTTGAGCAATGGATGGCAGGACTCCAGGCACAGGAAGGGAGCGAATGCACCTGCTTAGGTACTGAAGCATGACGGGACTTGGACAGGCCCTACCCCCACAGGAGAGACACTGGAGAGGGCAAAGCAAGAGGGCTCGACTGGAAAAACTCACGGGGATTGTAAGCACAATCCAAGTTTCTGGCACAATCATGGGATTTTTTTTTCCTTGCTACCTAGGATCTAAATCCCCCTTCTTAATTTTGAGGAATCTCCCACTGTGAGTGACAGTATTCTTCTGGCACCAGGATCTCAAGAGTTAACCAGAAGTTCGGGAACCCAGTGTAATGATGCCTCATCTTCTGCTTGTTAGCCAGCGCATGCATAGCACAGAAGCTAAAAGGCAGAAATTCTTGCCCTTCTTGTCCATGGCTGCCAAAGAGATCACACAGGTCTCAGGAGACCACCACCCAGGACTTTGCACCATGCAAAGTCATAGACATAGTGATATTGAATCCATGGTGGCAGCTGAAGTGGTCAAGCATTAAGATCAGTGTCCAAGGATGGTGGCCACAGTTGGCCATGGTGGCAGCATCCTGGCTGCATTGTGTCTACTAGCTTCTGAGCCTGCCTCTCATGCCTTCTTACTTACTCTGTGATCAACCTTTCAGTAAATACCCCTCTGCCATTGCTGGCCAGCATCCAACAGATTTCTGGCTGATACCAGCACCATTCCTCACCTGTAACAGGAAAAGCTGAGGAGTTTTAGAGGCCAGTACTCACCTTGATTGTGAATCTTACTAAGGCAGAAGATGTAAGAATCCACACCATGGAAGATTTTTCTTTAAAATTCCCAACAGAGCATATGCTGGGAAACACATTTGAAAAACCACCTGTCGACCAGGCACGGTGGCTCATGCCTATAGTCCCAGCACACTGGGAGGCTGAGGCGGGCAGATCACCTGAGGTCAGGAGTTCGAGACCAGCCTGGCCAACATGGTGAAACCCCCGTCTCCACTAAAAATACAAAAATTAGCCGGGCATGGTGGCTCACGCCTGTAATCCCAGCTACTCGGGAGGCTGAGGCAGGAGAATCGCTTCAATCTGGGAGGTGGAGGTTGCAGTGAGCCGGGATCGTGCCATTGCACTCCAGCCTGGGCAATATGAGTGAAACTCAGAAAAAAAAAAAAGAAAGAAGAGAAAAACCACCTGTCTTACTTGCCTCCTATGATGCCGGGAGAGAGATTTGGCAGGACAGGCCATAGTCCTGCTGCTGCTGCTCTCCATTAGGGACAGACCCCTGTTTCAGGTCAGAGGTTTAGGAACTTAACCAGGATCACACAGGTAGCCAAGTGGCAGAGTGCTTGGAAGCAGATGGATTCGCTTGGGCTTTGAAATATCGAGGAGAAAAGGGGCTTTGGTTCCCTTTAAAAAGAGACATTAGAGGCTAAAAGTCTGGCGTGGATTATAAAATTGGCACTGAGGCTTCCATAGTTCCAAAAACAATGAAGTACTGATTGAAAGAGAGAGGGAGTTTGAGAGCTGTTTCCTGATTGGAAAAAGGAAGGCAACCCTGGGATTTGTGAGCCACGCTGAGAAAGTCTGACAGCCGTTCTCTCTCCCTGCTTTCCTCTGCTGATGTATACAGAGGAAGAAGGGAAGTACACATGGTCAGTCTGAGGAAATACCCTTTGATCTTCTTCTGGGTTCCTATTTTCTTTTTCTTTTTCTTTTTTTGGGGGGGCGGGTGGGGGGACGGAGTCTCACTCTTGTCGCCCAGGCTGGACTGCAATGGTGTGATCTCAGTTCACTGCAACCTCTGCCTCCTGGGTTCAAGCAATTCTTCTGCCTCAGCCTCCTGAGTAGCTGGGATTACAGACACCCACCACCACACCCGCCTAACTGTGGTATTTTTAGTAGAGACGCGGTTTCACCATGTTGGCCAGACTGGTTTTGAACTCCTGAGCTCGGGTGATCCATCTGCCTTGGCCTTCCAAAGAGCTGGGATTACAGGCATGAGCCACTGCGCCCGGCTCTATGTTCCTATTTTCTATGGCTGGGCCCTGGGCTCCCCTTTCCTTCTTTGCAACAAACCCTAGGGACTCATCCGATTTCCGTTTCCTCTCTAAAGCTGCTCCCACTCACTCAGTTCCCTGGAGTTCTTTTCCATTTGTTTGTTTTTTGTTTTCATTTGTTTTTTGAGACAGTCTTGCCCTGTTGCCCAAGCTGGAGTGCAGTGGCGCGATCTCGACTCATTGCAACCAGGTTCAAACAGTTCTCCTGCCTCAGCCTCCCAAGTAGCTGGGTCTATAGGCACCCGCCACCACGCCCAGCTAATTTTTGTATATTTAGTAGAGATGAGTTTCACCATGTTGGCCAGGCTGGTCTCAAACTCCTGATCTTAAGTGATCAGCCCACCTGGCCTCCCAAAGTGCTGGGATTACAGGTGTGAGCCACTGCGCCTGGCCCCCTTGAGTTCTTATTCCTGCTCCAAAATGGCGACAGAGTAAGATCTCATTCTAGCTGCTCCCAAACACAAATATACATCTTTATTCTTTTAAGGATTCTCTTCTTAAAAATTCCAGAAAAACAAACAGGGACAAAAAATATATAAAGGATGTAGCTGCAATGCTTAATAATCTTTTTTTTTTTTTTTTTTTTTTTTTTTGAGATAGGGTCTCACTTTGTCACCCAGGCTGGAGTGCAGTGGCGCAATCTTGGCTCACTGCACCCTCCACCTCCTGGGCTCAAGCAATCCTTCCATCTCAACCCCCCAAGTAGCTAAGATTACAGTCATGTACCACCATGTCCTGCTGTTTTTTGTATTTTTGTTAGAGACGGGGTCTCACCATGTTGCCCAGGTTGGTCTCAAACTCCTGAGTTCAAGTGATCCGCCTGCCTCAGCCTCCCAAAGTGCTGAGATTACAGGCATGAGCCACCATGCCTGGCCAAGGCTTAAGAATCTTACACAGTTCTTGCATGCTGAGCCAAGACAATACTAAGTATAGCTATCATCTACCAGTTACTTATTATTTACCAGGCACTGGACTAAGTGTTTCAGGAGGCGTCATCTCATTTTATATTCCCAACAACCCTGTGCAGTTTATTAATGGAACTGAGGCCAAGAGAGTAATTTTCCAAGGTCAGACGGTGGTTAGCTGCAGAACTGAAATTCAAACCCATGTCTATATGACTCGATATCTGCTGCTCTTTTTCATTTAATTTAAATTTGTATAATGCTCACTTCCATCCTTGTTCTCTCTTCTCATCCCTTCTACCCCTATAGATAATAATTTCTATTAATTTCTGGTTTATCTGTCTAGTGTCTCTTTTTGAGAACACACATCACACACACACACAATGATTAAAGCTGGTGCTCTATACTGTGCCATGTCCAGTTGAATACCTACTCTGTCTTTTTATTTTTTGAAATCAATTTAGTCAGAAGGAAAGGGTTTTCCAGAGCCAAATAAGAAAGCACTTGTAGGACTTGAGTGCCTCTTTAGATAGTTGAAAACAGACACATGAGGACTATTTTTGTTTTTTTTTTTTTTGAGACGGAGTTTCGCTCTTTCGCCCAGGCTGGAGTGAAGTGGCATGATCTCAGCTCACTGCAACCTCTGCTTCCCAGGTTCAAGCGATTGTCTTGCCTCAGTCTCCTGAGTAGCTGGAACTACAGGCACGCGTCACCATGCCTGGCTAATTTTTCTGTATTTTTAGTAGAGACGGGGTTTCAACATGTTGGCCAGGCTGGTCTCGAACTCCTGATCTCAGGTGATCCACCCGCCTTGGCCTCCCAAAGTGCAAGGATTACAGGCATGAGCCACAACGCCTGGCCCACATGAAGACTTTTTAACATTGCCTAGAACCTGCTAGATGTCTTTACAGGAGACTGCAGTCATAGTATTAGAGCTTGGAAATCAGAAAACAAAAGCACAGACAAATTAGATGTTTCCCTAACATGAAAGAGAAATCAGTAAAAATCTAGTAAAAGCCAAGTGCTTCTGTGGCCAAGTCTTTGCAAAGAGGCACACATAAGGAAGCATATTCCTGCAACCAAAAGTAATAAAACCCAAATTTCAATCTTTACTCATATCTCGTCAAGAACATAAATAGAAATATTAATGCAATTCATAAGCCCCACCGAATTTCTAAAATCTAAATTCCCTCCCACACTCTGCCATGATGTTTTTCTTCATCCTTCCATCTTTCTCCCTCTCCGCTAGCTCTTCAACATACGGATCAACTTGGCTTCTTCTGTTAAGTCTCCTTCCCTTTCTTCTCACTTCTCAGATCTTGTCTATTTCTACCTATTCTCCTTATTCTCTCTGGTCACAAAAGATCTACCAAACTGAGCTGTCAATGATTCTTCTTTAGTGGGCAAGGGAGGTAGTTATTTTAAGGAATACTCACAGTAACTTATCATTGATAACGGTTGCAGTTTAGTGGAGAAACATATCAGATCCATCTCCAGCAAGGAGAAGGAAGCCACACCAGTTATTTGAATAGGGAAACTTTAATATAAAAAATTGTTTACTAGTAGAAGGTGATTAACTACCAAAATGAGTAAGAGAGGCCTCTAAGGGGTTCAAAAGTAGCCAGCGCAATAAAAAGAAGCTTCTACCCGTAGGCTGACAAGAGGAGACAGAGGAGGAATTTAGGACTTAGGAGATCTCTTTAAGAGAGTTTGGCTACTATAAGAACACACACCTGTCACTGGGAGAAACTGGCCGCATAGACTAGAGCTGGTCTCTAGAAGCAGCCCTCCATTGTCAGAGGGGGTGAGCAGACCAGAGCTGCTTAAAAGTCACAGTAGTGGCCAGGCACAGTGGCTCATGCCTATAATCCCAGCACTTTGGGAGGCCGAGGCGGGTGGATCACTTGAGGCCAGGAGTTCAAGACCAGCCTGGACAACACGGTGAAACCCTGTCTGTACTAAAAATACAAAAACTAGCTGGGGATGATGGCATATGCCTGTAATCTCAGCTACTCGGGAGGCTGAGGTTGGAGAATCACTTGAACTCAGGAGGCGGAGGTTGTAGTGAGTCAAGATTGCACCACTGCACTCCAGCCTAGGCGACAGAGTGAGATTTCATCTAAAAAAAAAAAAATTCACAGTAGGAAGAGCAAGGTGTGAGAGTGCAGCAGAAACTTTGTTCACATGGGTTGTTAGGCTCTCAGGCTAAATAATAATAATAAAGGGCCAGAACCTAGAAGGCGATGATCTTTCTGCAGCTATGTCCTCTCGATGTCACTCCAGTGCCTCATTGATGAAACCTAACATTCTGCCTCCTGAGTAGCTGGGATTACAGCTGATGAGAAATGTTTCCAGGGTCTGGCTCTGTTATCACAAGGCCATGTAAATTGGAACTGAGAGACAACATAGTGACAAGTGGCACAGGCGCTCATCAGTCAGCGTGGATGTAGGTAGAAAAAACATGACACCCTTACTGGGTGCGTTTTAGTTGAGTATCACTCCCAAGTTGTACAAAGATGTTGTGTTGCTCTAGACTCTGTCTCAGCTTTCTGCTGTATCCCTAGAATTTTGATGGTGGAAAAGCCAGGGATACGGGATATAACCTATATTCAAAATCAAAGAGGCCTAATAGGGACATAGCTGGTGATCGAGTGGGGTTGGGTGAGGGGTTTGAAGGATAATTTTTATTGAAATCATTTATAAAATACCAACTGTTGTCCAGACATTGTACTAGATAACGTATATGTATTATCTCGCTTAAAGCTTATGGCAGTCATGGGAGGCTGATGTTATCATTCCTGTTATTCACATGAAAATATTGAGCTTTGCAGAGCCTAAATAACGTAATGAAGTCACATAGCCAGTAAGTGCTGGAAAAGGGATATGAGCTCAGGTCAGCTTGATCATCACCAAAGCCTGCTTGATTTATCTGTCTCTTTGGGAGATGTTTAAATGCTTACCATTCTGTGAATTATTGCTTTATGTGTTCCAAGGCTATCTTAGGTGCATATTTGTTCATGATTCTTGATTTACAGTTCTTTTAACCAACATTTAAAGTGCCCCGTGTCCCTCATGATCATTTCTCATCTTAAATTCTATTTTATCTGTTGCTACCCTAGCTTTCTTCTGGTTTACCTTACTTGTGGTATTTAATTCCTTATTTTCAAATTTTCTATACCCTTTTGTTTTAAATACATCTCTTGTAGATAACATATTACTGGATGGAATTGGGAAAGATGGTTTTATTGATATTGTTGTCATTTTTGTTGTTTTGTAAATCTGAGAAGTTCTGTCTTCTGCTCTTTAATTCTAAGTCTGTACACTTTTTTATTTTATTTTATTTTTTTGAGACAGTCTCACTCTGTCACCCAGGCTGGAGTGCAGCGGCGTGATCTCCGCTCACCGTAACCACCGCCTCCTGAGTTCAAGCGATTCTCCTGCCTCAGCCTCCCGAGTAGCTGAGATTACATGAGCCTGCCACCACACCCAGCTAATTTTTGTATTTTTAATAAAGACAGGGTTTCACCATGTTGGCCAGGCTGGCTGAGACCTCTTCTTAGAAAAGTGAAATGGAAGATGGGGAGTCGGATTGTGAGGACACTAGCAAAGTTAGAGTTATCAGAAACAAAGTCAAATGAAGTAAATATGGAAAAACATGGTGTTCACAAATATTAAAATGTTTATGATTCTGTATCCCAGTATCACATGGGCTTCTTTAGCAGGTGTGCTAAGTGTCTTTTTCCAGTGTTTATGTTTTTTCCACCCTGTTTTCCTGATGGTCGTATTTGAGGGTAAATCAAATTCTTTTAAAACAATTGAACAAAATATGTTCCAACGCAATTTAAATCTAGTAATCACTCTTACAGAATGATTGAATGTACTTAACCATCTTTCTTCTCCCAGTTCTTGGGCCTGCTCTTTGATATCAAAGCCACTCCTCTCATCTGCAAAAGGGAATAATGTCACTGAACTCTATACTTCCAGAACAATTCATCACAGAAAAAGAACCGGAAAGACTGGCAACGGGGCAGTCTCGAAGAGTCATCATGCATTTGGCTGCTTTATTATTTTCCTTTGGTAGTCTCTCCATTTATGAAAAGTCCTAGAGATTGAAGTTTGGAGTTCTATTGACTCGCGCTTTGGTTCACTAACTATGAAAGGTTATTTTGCATCCTTTCACAGTGGTTGCAATCCCTTACAGAGAGAGAGCATTTTCCAGGCTGTGAAAACTTTCACATGTATTACGGCATTTACAGTCTTCCCTTGCCACTGGCATTCTGCAGTTGGGAAAATGGATGCTCAGAATAGTAGAGTGCATTTTTTGAGATTATTACACAGCTAGCCAGTGACGGAACAGGGACTTGAAGCCAGGATTTCTGACTCCAAGCTCAATACTCTTTTCACTTTTGTTGTTGTTGTTGTTTTGTTTTTAGTTAAAAAAAAAAAAAAGACCTGTAGACCTGCACACGGTCCAACCCTCCCCTAACTCTCTAACCTCATCTCCAGCCACACTGGCCTCCTCTCTGTGCCTCAATCACACGCAGCAAGCTTGTCCTTGGGGTCTTTACGTTTGCGGTTCCCTCTGCTTAGAAAGCATTTCCTCAAGACAGCCACATGGCTCACTCCCCCGCCTCCTTCAGGTCTGTGTTCACATAACTCTTCATTAAGAGGCCTTTCCCAAGCACTCTGTCTAAAGGAGCACACACACCTCTCCCCATCACTCTCTGTCTCCACGGCCCTGCTTCATTGTTCTTCATTGCTCTGTTGACTATTGAGTCTCATCCCCTGGAGAACATAAGCTCCATCATGACAGAGAGGTCTCCTGATTTGCTCATAGGTGCATCCCCAGTGCCTAAAACAGTGCTTGACACAGAGGAGGAGCTGGGAATGAATGAACAAATGAATGATCCTTTTCTGAGAAAATGTTGGCTCAAACACCTTCTCTTCTGGGTCCATAAGACTAAACAGGTTTTCATCAACCAAGATAAATACAACTGAGGGCACTAGTACACTTTTTCTTTTTCTTTTTGAGATGGCGCCTCGCTCTGTCGCCTAGGCTGGAGTGCAATGGCGTGATCTCGGCTCACTGCAACCTCCGCCTCCTGCATTTTTTGAGACAGAGTCTCACTCTGTCACCCAGGCTGGAGTGCAGTGATGCAATCTTGGCCCACTGCAACCTCTGTCTCCCGGGTTCAAGCGATTCTCCTGCCTCAGCTTCTCGAGATAGCTCAGACTACAGTTGTGTGCCACCGTGCCCAGCTAATTTTTGTAATTTTAGTAGAGACAGAGTTTCACCATATTGGCCAGGCTGGTCTCAAACTCCTGGCCTCAAACCATGTGCCAGCCTCAGCCTCCCAAAATGCTGGAATTACAGGCATGAGCCACCACTCCCAGTAGGATTTTTTTTTAAAGCAGTTTTACACTCACAGCAAAATTCAAAGGAAGCTATAGAGAGTTCCCACATACCCCTCCCCATACACATGCATAGTCCCCAGTGTATCAACATTCCCTTCCAGAGGGGTCCGTCTGTTACGCATAAACCCACATTGATAGTTCATCGTCACCCAAAGTCCACAGTTTACATCAGAGTTCACTCTTGGTGGTGTACATTCTGTGGGTCTGGACGAATGTATAATAGCATGTATCCACCATTACAGTATCATACAGAATATTTTGCTGCCCTAAAAATCCATTTATTTTTACATTTATTTTTCTTGGCCAGGCAGTTGCTCACACCTATAATCCCAGCACTTTGGGAGGCCGAGACAGGATGATCACTCGGGCCCAGAAGCTCGAGACTAGCCTGGGCAACATAGGGAGATTCTATCTCTACAAAAAAAAAAAAAAATTAATTAGCCAGATGCAGTGGCACACACCTGTGGTCCCATCTACTTGAGAGGCTGAGGCAGGAGGATCTCTTAAGCCTTGGAGGTTGAGGCTGCAGTGAGCCGTGACTGTGCCACTGCACTCTAGCTGGGTGACAGAGCAAGATCCTGTCTCTAAAGAAACAAAAAAACAAACAAATAAATAAATAAATACATTTTTCTTACAAGTAACATACTGGAGAAATTTAGAAAAACATTTTTAAAATTTTTATTACTTCTGATAACTCACAGAACAGGAATATCTTAAAAGTAAAATGAAGGCTGGGCACGGTGGCTCACGCCTGTAATCCCAGCACTTTGGGAGGCCAAGGTGGGTGGATCACTTGAGGTCAGGAGTTTGACTCCAGCCTGGCCAACATGGTAAAACCCCGTCTCTACTAAAAATACCAAAAATTAGCTGGGCATGGTGTCACATGCCTGTAGTCCCAGCTACATGGGAAGCTGAGGCAGGAGAATGGCTTGAACCTAGGAGGCGGAGGTTGCAGTGAGCCAAGATCGCACCATTGCACTCCAGCCTGGGTGACAGAGCAAGACTCCATCTCAAAATAAAAAAAGGAAAATGAAGTCAATAATTTCTTAGGCTGGGTGCAGTGGCTCACGCCTGTAATCCTAGCACTTTGGGAGGCCGAGGTGGGTGGATCACCTGAGGTCGGGAGTTCGAGATCAGCCTGACCAACATGGAGAAACACTGTCCATACTAAAAATACAAAATTAGCCGGGCATGGTGGCACATGCCTGTAATCCCAGCTACTCAGGAGGCTGAGGCAGTAGAATCACTTGAACCTGGGAGGCGGAGGTTGCAGTGAGCCGAGATCGCACCACTGCACTCCAGCCGGGACAACAAGAGTGAAACTCTGTCTCAAAAATAATAATAATAATAATAATTTCTCGTAATCCCCCTCCTTAGATATAACAACTGCTCAAAATTTTATGAGTTTCTTTATAGTCTTTTTAATATGTTATGCTTTTTTTACTCATATATACAACACTGATGGCCTCCCTTTCATTAGTCACATTTTTGATCATTTATTTCTATAAGATACTGCTCCAAAGTTTGCACCCAACTGGATGGCCATTTTTAAGCTGTTTTGAGACATATTGCCAAGTTGCTTGCCAAAGAGGTTGTACTAATTTACATTTCCTGCAGCAAGGCATGAGAGTACATATCTTACTGAGCCCCACTGAGCCTCCCTCCCCTCTCCTTCCCTCCCCTCTCCTTCCCTCCCCTGGCCTCCCCTCCCCTCACCAATGCTGACAAAAATTACACAGAAAACATGTTAATCAAGTTACTATGTAAAAAGATGAAATCAGCTGCTCCTACTCAATGACCACCTTACACTTCCCAGAGAGGCAATGAAAAAGCAAACGATAAAATCTGACCAATGGAGGTGCCCTCTTAGTCTATACAGTGCATTTCTCATTACCTGCCTTGTTTTATGATCACTACATACCTGCTCCCCAATTCTCTTATCCGATCTGTGGACAATCAAACCCCTGCCCCAAAGGCTTCTCTTCTCTTCTTCCTTCAAGCCACATTAAGGATCTCCCCATTTTTTGTAATTTTCCTGGTTAGCTCCTTGGGAATCTCCTGAACTCACAGCCCACTTCCCTGCCCACAGCAACTTGATCTCATCACGCACTGATTTGGCCTCTCCTACTCCTGATTGGCAGCATTTCTTACCTCCCTTCTTCCTTCTCTCCCTCCTTCCTTCCTTCCTTCCCTCCCTCCCTTTCTTCCTTCCTTCCTCCCTTTCTTCCTTTCTTTTTCTTTCCTTCTTTATTTCAGACAGAGCCTCACTCTGTTGCCCAGGCTGGTGTGCAGTGGCATGATCTCAGCTCACTGCAACCTCGTTTTCCTGGGCTCAAGTGATCCTCCTGCCTCATCCTCCTGAGTAGCTAGGACCACAGGCACGCACCACCATGCCTGGCTACTTTAGCATTGCTTTCTATTCCTCTGTCATTTGGAAGTTAAGAGGATATATGCAAGCCTCCCTACTTGGGTGTTTTGTTTTGTTTTGTTTGAGAGAAGGTCTTGCTCTGTTGCCCAGGCTGGAGTGCATTGGTGTAATCATAGCTCACTGCAGCCTCAGCCTCCTAGGAAGTGATCTCACTCCCTCAGCCTTCTCAGTAGCTGGGACTGTAGTCTCATGCCACTACTCCTGGCTAATTTTCTTTTAAATTTTTTTAGAGGCCGGGAAAGGTGGCTCACACCTGTAATCCCAGCACTTTGGGAGGCCGAGACAGGCAGGAGCACGAGGTCAGGAGATCGAGACCATCCTGGCTAACATGGTGAAACCCTGTCTCTACTAAAAATACAAAAAATTAACCAGGCATGGTGGTGGGCACCTGTAGTCCCAGCTACTCAGGAGGTTGAGGCAGGAGAATGGTGTGAACCTGGGAGGCAGAGCTTGCAGTGAGCTGAGATTGCGCTACTGCACTCCAGCCTGGGTGACAGAGCGAGACTCCGTCTCAAAAAAAAAAAATTTTTTTGGAGATGGGGATTTTGTTACGTTCCTCAGGCTGCTCTTGAACTCATGGCCTCAAGTGATTCTCCCACCTTGGCCTCCCAAAGTACTGGGATTACAGGTATGAGCCACTGCACCCAGTCTTACTTGGGTTTTTATTCTGTATATGTGAGATTTAAAAATTATTTTTAATTTTAATTTTTTTATTTCTGTGGGTGTATAGTAGACATATATATTTATGAGAGTACATGAAATATTTTGATACAGGCATGCAATTTATAATAATCCCATCAGGGTAAATGGGATATCCATCACCTCAAGCATTTATCCTTTCTTTGTGTTACAAGCAATCCAATTATACTCTTTTGGCTGTTTTTAAATGTACAATAAATTGATGTATTATCAAATACTAGATCTTATTAATTCTATGTAACTATATTTGTGTATCCATTAACCACCCCACTTCCCTCTTCCCTCTATCCCCATTACCCTTCCCAGCCTCTGGGAATCATCACTCTATTCTCTATCTCCCTGAGTTCAATTGTTTTAATTTTTTTTTTTTTTTTTTTTAAACAGAGTCTCGCTCTGTTGCCCAGGCTGGAGTGCAGTGGCGTGATCTCGGCTCGCTGCAACTCTACCTCCCAGGTTCAAGCAATTCTTCTGCCTCAGCCTCCCAAGTAGCCGGGATTACAGGTGCCTGCCACCACGCCTGGTTAATTTTTTGTATTTTTAGGAGAGACGGGGTTTCACCGTGTTAGCCAGGATGGTCTCGATCTCCTGACCTTGTGATCCGCCCACCTTGGCCTCCCAAAGTGCTGGGATTACAGGCGTGAGCCACTGTGCTCAGCCCTGATGTTTCTTTGTGGATTTTTCTGTCTGAGTGATCTGTCCAATGCTGAAGGTGGAGTGCTGAAGTCTCCAGCTATTATTATATTGGGACCTATTTCTCTCTTTAGGTCTGATAATAATTTGCTTTATATCTGAGTGCTCCAGTTTTGGGTGCATATATATTTGTAATTATTATATCCTCTTGCTGAACTGACCCTTTAATCATTATATAACAAACTTCTTTGTCTCTTTGAATAGTTTTGTCTTGAAATCTATTTTGTCTGGTGTAAGTGTAGACACTCCTGCTCTTTTTGGTTTTCATTTGCATGGAATATCTTTTTCCATTCCTTTATTTTCAGTCTACATGTGTCATTATAGGTGAAGTGTGCTTCTTATAGGCAACACATCGCTGGGTCATGTTTTTGTTTTAATCTCTGCAGCCACTCTATGTCTTTTGATTAAAGAGTTTAGTCCATTTACTGTCAATGTTATTATTGATAAGTAAGGACTTACTCTTGTCATTTTGTTGTTTTCTGGTTGTTTTGTGGTTTCTTTTCTTCCTTCTTTCCATTCTTCCTGTCTACTTTTTGGTGAAGGTGATTTTCTTAAGTGGTATGTTTTAATATATTGGGTTTTTGTTGGTTTTTTTTTCTGTTTGTTTTTGTTTTTGAGACTGAGTCTCACTTTGTTGCTCAGGCTGGAGTGCAGTGGCACAATCTCGGCTCACTGCAACCTCCACCTCCCAGGTTCAAGCAATTCTTGTGCCTCAGCCTCCCAAGTAGCTGGGATTACAGGCACCTACCACCACACCTGGCTAATTTTTGTATTTTTAGTAGAGACAGGGTTTCACCATGTTGGCCAGGCTGGTCTTGAACTTCTGACCTCAAGTGATCCACCTGTCTCAGCCTCCCAAAGTGCTGGAATTACAGGCATGAGCCAACGCTCCAGGCCTATTGTTTTTTATTGTATGTTTTTTGATTTGAGGTTACCAGGAGGCTTGCAAATAAATAATATCTTATAACCCATTATTTTAAACTGATGACAACTTAACACTGATTGCATAAACAAACTAACAAACAAAAACTATTACAAATGTTTTACTCTAACTTTATCCCCCACTTTTTAACTTTTTGTTGCTTCTATTTATATCTTGTTATACTGTCTAATTCTTGAAAAGTTGTTGTAGTTATTATTTTTGACGGGTTCACCTTTCAGTCTTTCTACTCAAGATAGGAGTAGTTTTTACACACTACAGTTACAGGGTTATACGGTTATACTGTGTTTTTCTGTGTACTTACTATTACTAGTGAGTTTTCTACTTTTAGATGATTTCTTATTCTCATTAACATCATCCTTTTCTTTCATATAGAAGAATTCCTTGTAGCATGTCTTGTAGGACAGGTTTGGTGTTGATGAAATTCCTCAGCTTTTGTTTGTCTAGGAAAATCTTTATTTGTCCTTCATGTTTAAAGGATATTTTTTCTGGATATACTATTCTAGGATAAAAGTTTTTGTTTTTGTTTTTTCCTTCAGCACTTTATTTATTTATTTATTTACTTTTTTTTTTTTTTTTTTTGAGACAGAGTCTTGCTCTGTCACCCAGGCTGGAGTGCAGTGGCACGATCTCAGGTCACTGCAATCTCTGCCTCCTGGGTTCAAGTGGTTCTCCTGCCTCAGCCTTCCAAGTATCTGGTATTACAAGTATGCACACCACATCTGGCTAATTTTTGTATTTTTAGTAGAGACGGGGTTTCACCATGTTAGCCAGGCTAGCCTTGAACTCCTGATCTCGAGTGTTCCACCGGCCTCAGCCTCCCAAAGTGCTGGGATTACAGGCGTGAACCACTGCACCTGGCCCTCCTTCAGCACTTTAAATGTGTCATGCCACTCTCTCCTGGCCTGTGAAGCTTCCACTGAGAGTCTACAGCCAGATGTATTGGAGTTCCTTTGTATATTATTATTTATTTTCTCTTGCTGCATTTAGGATCCTTTCTTTATCCTTGACCTTCAGGAATTTGATTATTAAATGCCTTGAGGTAGTCCTCTTGTCGTTAAATCTTCTTGGTGTTCTATAACCTTCTTGTACTTGAATATTGATATATTCCTCTAGGTTTGGGACATTCTGTTTTATTAATTCTTTGAATAAACTTTCTACCCTGATCTCTCTCTCTCTACCTCCTCTTTAAGGCCAATAACCTTAGATTTGCCCCTTTGGACCTATTTTCTAGATCTCGTAAGCACGCTTCATTGTTTTTTATTCTTTTTTCTTTTGTCTCCTCTGACTGTATTTTCAAATAGCCTGTCTTCAGGCTCACTAATTCTTTCTTCTGCTTGATGAATTCTGCTGTTAAGAGACACTGATGCATTCTTCCACATGTCAATTGCATTTTTCAGCTCCAGAATTTCTGCTCGACTCTTTCCAATTATGTTAACCTCTTTGTTAAACTTATCTGATAGGATTCTGAATTTGTTCTCTGTGTTATCTTGGATTTAGTTGAGCTTCCTCAAAACAACTCTTTTGAATTCTCTATCCAAAAGGTCACACATCTCTGTGTCTCCGGGATTAGTCACTGGTGTCTTATTTAGATCATTTGGTAAAGTCATGTTTTCCTGGATGATCTTGATGCTTGTAGATGTTCATTAATGTTTGGGCATTGAAGAGTGAGGTATCTATTGTAGTCTTCACAGTCTGGGCTTATTTCTACCCATCCTTCTTCAGAAGGCTTTCCAGGTATGTGAAGGGTCTTGGGTGTTGTGGTCCAAGTCTTTGGTCACTGCAGCCTTATCTGCTTTAGTGGGCAGTCCACACTCAGTAATGCTATGGCTCTTGCAGACTGGCTGAGGTACCACCTTGGTGGTCTTGGGTAAGATCTGGGAGAATTTCCTGGATTACTAGGCAGACATTCTTGTTCTCTTCTCTTACCTTCCTCCAAAAAAATGGAGTCTCTTTCTCTGTGCTGAGTTGCCTGGAGACGGGGGAGGTGTGATACAAGCGCCCCTATGTCCACCACCACTGGGGCTGTGCTGGGTCAGACTCAAAGCCAGCACAGCACTGGGTCTTGCCCAAGGCCCGCAGTGACCACTGCCTGGCTACTGCTTCTGTTCCTCAAGGCCCAAGGGCTCTACAATCAGAATATGGCAAATCCAGCAAGGCTTGTGTTCTTCCCTTCAAGGTGGCGAGTTCCCCTCGGCCCCAGATGGATCCAGAGGTGCTATCTAAGAGCCAGGCCTGGAGTTGGGAACCTGAGGAATCTACTTGGTACTCTATTCTACTGCAGCTGAGGTAGTAACCAAGCCACAGGACAAAGTCCTTTTCACTCTTCCCTTCCCTTTCCTCAAGCAGAGGAGTCTCTCCCCATGGCTGCCGCCTCCCCAGACCCATGGCAAGTACTGCCTGGCTACCACCAATGTTCACTCAAGGCCCAAGGGTTCTTTTTTTTTTTTTTTTTTTTTTTTTTGAGATGGAGTCTTGCTCTGTCACCTAGGCTGGAATGTAGTGGCGTGATCTCGGCTCACTGCGGTCTCCGCCTCCCGGGTTCAAGCAATTCTCCTGCCTCAGCCTCCTGAGTAGCTGGAAGTACAGGCTTGCGTCACCACGCCCACCTCATTTTTGTATTTTAAGTAGAGACAGGGTTTCACCATGTTGGCCAGGCTGGTCTCGAACACCCGACCTCAGGTGATTTGCCCGCCTCAGCCTCCCGAAGTACTGGGATTACAGGCGTGAGCCACCATGCCCGGCTGGCCCAAGGGTTCTTTAGGCAGCTTGTGGTGAATGCTGCCAGTCCTGAGTCTCTTCTTTCAGTTCAGTGGGTTCCCCTTTGGCCCAAGGCAGGTCTGTAAGTGCTACCCAGGAGCCAAGGCCTGGAACTGGGGCCTAGAAGCACCTACTTGGTGCTCTATTCTACTGTGGCTGAGCTGGTACTTAAGCTTCAAGACAAAGTCACTTTTACATTTCCTTCTCCTTTCCTGAAGCAGAAGGGGTCTCTCCCTGTGGCCACCACACGTTGGGAATGAGCTGGGTCTCACCTGAAGCCAGAATGTCTCTGAGTCTTCCCCCAGGCCTGTGATGAGTCCTGTCTGGCTACCATTGTTGATTACTCAGGGCCCAAGGGCTCTGTAGCCAGCAGGTGATAAATTCTGCCAGAACTGAGTCCTTCCATTCAAGGTAGTGGGTTCCCTTCTGGCCCAGTGTGTGTCTAGAAATGTTGTCCGGGGGCTAGGGCCTAGAATGGGGGCCTCAGGACTCTGCCTGGTGTCCTACTGGACTGTGGCTGAGCTGGTATCCAACTGGCAAGATGAAGTCCTCTTTACTCTCCCCTCTCCTCAAGCAAGGGGAAGGATCCCTCTTGAATCTGTGAGATGTGCTACTGGGGTTGGGGGAGGGGCGATGGAAGCGCTACCTTGGCTGCCCCAGCTGGTGTCTCACTAGGTCATGTGCATCCCAATTTCACTGGCTCCAAGCCCTGCACAGCAGGAGGAGTTGCCCAGGAATTGCAGTCCCTGTGGCCTGCACTGCAAGTTTATTTAGGACCCCAGGGCACTTTAGCCCAGGGTGGCAGGGTTTGCTGGAGCTCAGGTTCCTACCACTGGGATAGATGATTTGCCTCTGCCTAGGGCTCGTCTAAATGCTCCCCTGTGGGCACCAGCAGAGTTCTGCCCCTTGTTTCTTTTTGCTGTGACAGGGCAGCAATGAGTGCCAATGCAACATCCCATAATCACTGCACTGTCCTCCCCCAAGCACAGATTCTCTGCACCAAGCAGCTGCTGCCAGCGGATGGGGGTGGGTGGTGTAAGTGATTCAAGAATGTCTTTCCTACCCTCTTCAGTGCCTCTTTCCTTAACATGATGTGATTTCCTTAACATATGATTGCTCACCTGATTTTTGGTTCTTATGAAGGTAGTTTTTTGTGTGGATAGCTGTTCAATTTGGTGTTCCTGCCAAGGGGATGATCACTGGAAGCTTCTTTTTGGCCACCTTGCTGCAAGGTTCATTTTGTGAGTACATCTTTCGGCATTTAAGAATGCTTCAGAGATCATGATGATGATGATGACGGTAGTGATGTCATTGCTCTGTGCAGCAGTGCCCAACATTGACTGAACATTCCATTCACTGTGCCCAGCCACTGGACACACATGTTACTCTTGTTAGCCCTCACAGCTAGCCTATGGGAGTAGACACCACTATTATACCCATTGCACAGATTAAGGAGATTTATGGGAGGAGGCTTGATTTGGGTCACTTAATTTGTAAATGTCAGAGCCACACCTAGAGGTCTGTCTGACTCTGAAGATGATGTTCTTAAACCTTCCCCAGTCTTTTCAATGTGTGTGTGCTAAGCATTCCTAACATTTTACTCTTCCAGGCTCACCCATTCCTTTAATAACATGATAATAATGATAATATCTTGAAACCACATTCTATATATTTGCCGGAAATCTATTCCCCTAACAAAGATTTCTCAAGCTCTTGGGGAATGCTGAATTACTGTGACTCCTTGTATAAATGGTGGTTCCCGGTTGCTTCGTGGATTGGTCTTGCCTTCTCATAACTTTTCTCCAGGTGACGGATTACCCTAAATGCCCCTAACACTGCATCTTTTCATTGTGTGCCCAGCTTCACTCTTCCCTCTCACCTTCATGACTCTGCTATACACAGAGGTGAGTATCAACCTTTCAACCTGTGGTGAGTCATTTATTTCAGCTTTGCGGAAGACTTAGGAGGAACAGGAAGAGGTTCCTCAATGGCACAGGAGAGTTTGAAATTGGCTATCAGGCTTCTCTGCTGTGAAGTCTAGTGATGAGACAGTATAGGGGGATGCATTCAAGAATAGAGGCTGCCAGGCTCCTGGAATAAAGCCTGTTCTTGGTAGTGAGACCATACTGGTCATTCACAGCTGGCCTCTGTTCTGACTGGTTAGAGTTCATACTGGTGTCTGTTCTGACTGGTCAGGCTTTTTTCTTTTTGCTGTGTGTATGTGTGTGTGTCTATTCTGTTTCCTAGAAACATCTTGCTAGTTTTAAATGTTTTGAATATTGCTCTCTTACTCAGTATGTAAATTTTAGAACGTTGCTTAAACATTTTTGTGCCTGAGTTTCCTCATCTTGTTGCCAGAGGCCAGGAGGCCCTGCGGGATTGGAGTAGAGGAGGCTACTAATTTGGTGACTGGCATAGGAGGATGGATGGGAGGCAGCACAGGAAATTAGACAGCCCTGTACATTGCTGCTGCGATAGACCATCAGCCATGTAACCCAAGGCCAATCCAGTGGGACTGGGCCCCGGATGGCACCAATAAAAAAATCCTAAACGCACATGACTGTTTGCTGACAATTACAATTTCATGAGGGTAAAATCCATGTGTGGTTACCACTATAAAAACTCACACTCTTTGTGTTACAGCTGCTTTAGAATTTGTCTAGCAGACTTTCCTGTTTTTAACAGAAAGCCCCCTAAAAATTATTTAAAAATAAATAAATAAATAAATTGCACTCCTTATAGAAAAACAGCTTACTGTCGCCTGTCCCAAGTGAGTGAGTTTCAGATGAATGAGCATCAGAGGAGTCTCTGGAAATAAAATACAGGGAGATTTCTTGGGAAATTGACACAATTATTGAAAGCTGCTGTTTTAAGACCAACCTCACCTCAGAAAAAGTACTCACAGTAAATTTAACTACATAAAAAATATAAATTATTTTGTTGTAAAAAATCATGAAAAGGCTAACCACAGACTGAAAATATTATGTTATAAAATATGGCAGAGAGAGGGTTTAATCTTTTTAATACATAACTCATACTAGTTAGTAATGTTCTAAGGAGAGGCAGTAGCAATATAGAGAAAGCATTATCTTTGGACCCTAACTTTTTTTTTTTTTTTTAAGAGACAGGGTCTTGCTCTCTGCCCAGGCTGGAGTGCAGTGGCACAACTGAGCTCCTGGACTCAAGCAATGCTCCCGCCTCAGCCTCCCAAAGAAGATTAACAGGCACGTGCCACCACGCTTGGCCAATTTTCTACATTTTTTGTAGAGATGGGGTCTCACTAGGCTGCCCAGGCTAATCTCTGACTATAGGCCTCAAGCGATCCTCCTATCTCAGTCTCCCAAAATGCTGGGATTACAGGCGTGAACCACCATGCCTGGCCTGGACCCTAACTTTTAAAATAACTGAAGAACATGAATAGACAAAACCTAGAGTAAAATTACTAAAACATTTTTGGAAGAAATGGTCTGCATCATTGATAACTAAATAAATTTACATTTGCCTGTCAAATCATGTATTCATTTATGCAAAAAAAAAGTTCAAAGAATGTATTAAAGAACTTCAGCATTAACAAGGAGTGAAGTGGGAAGCCACGGAGGGTTTTTGAGAGACGATGGTGTAATCTAATGCATTGGTTCGCTCTGGCTACCATAACAAAATACCACACGCTGGCAGGCTTAAACAACAGATATTTGTTTTTTCACAGTTCTGAAATCGAGGTTTCAGAAGGGTCCATTTCTCTGAGGCCTCTCTCTTTGACTTGCAGACTTTATGTACTTTGTGCAAGACACTGTTCAGACCCTGGGACATCTGCAGTGAAAAAGCAGACACAAATCCCACCCTCTTGGAAAAGTCATTCTAGTGCAAGAGGCAGACAGTGAAAAACAAATAGTAAAATACATTGTATGTTAGATGGGTGATAAGTGCTAAAAAAAAGTAATAATAATAACCAGCCTAGGCAACATAGTGAAACCCCATCTCTACAAAAAAAATTAGCCGGGCATGGTGGCACAGGCCTGTGGTCTCAGCTACTTGGGGGCTGAGGTGGGAAGATCACTTGAGCCCAAAAGGTCGAGGCTGCAGTGAGCCATGATTGTGCCACTGGGCACAATCCAGCCTGGGCAACAAAGTGAGATCCTGCCTCAAAAAAAAAAAAAAAAAAAAAAAAAAAAGAAAACCAGAGAGAGGAAGGCATTAGGGTTGGGGAGTGGGGGTGCTCTTTTAGATAGGATGTCCAGGAATGAGCGAGTGCCTGAAAGAGGTGAGAGAGTGAGCCAGGTGAGTATTTGGGAAAAGGGCTTCTCAGCAGAGATGCCAGTGCAAAGGCCCTGAGGCAAACATGTGGAGGTTGTGTAAACCAAAAAGTATCTGAGACAGGTCTCAGTCCATTTAGAAATTTATTTTGCCAGGATTAAGGACACGCCTGAAAAACAGGAACACAAAATCACAGGCACAGTCTGTGGTCCATGCCTTTTTCCAGAGATGATTTTGAGGGCTTCATATTTAAAGGGAATAAGTGGGCTGGAGGGGAAAGAGGATGAGTATGGTCACATTGCTGAATCCACCTGTTGCAAGAGGAAAGGAGAAGGCAGGGGAATTGCCAATTGTGTATTCATCTCGCCCTCAGTAAATTGGCACTTCAAGGTAAAGTGAGCATACCTGTGGAGATACCTGGCCTTTCATCTGTCGCTATCTGCTTAGGAACAACAGCAAAGGCAGCTTCTTGCATGATTCAACTTTCAGTTTAATTTTTTTCTTTTGGTAGAGTGAGTTGGCGTCCTAAGTTTTATTTTCCTTTCACAGTTGCACGGCTAGCACCGAATGATCCAGAGCAGCAGGAGATAAGGTTAGGGGAAGAGAGTGGGGCTAGATGGCCTAGCGCCCTGAAGGTCATTCAACTTTGACTTCAGAGAACTTATTAAAGAACTTCAGGTTTAGCAAGGAATAGAACGGGAAGCCACGGAGGGTTTTCGAGAGACGATGGTGTAATCTAATGTATTAGTTCGCTCTGGCTGCCATAGCAAAATACCACATGCTGGGTGGCTTAAACAGCAGAAATGTATTTTCTCGCAGTTCTGAAGTCTAAGATCAAGATGTCAGAAGGGTCCATTTCTTCTGAGGCCTCTCTCTTTGACTTGCAGACTTTATTTGCCTCCTTGCTGTTCCCTCGAATGGCCTGGTGTCCCTTCCTCTTCTTATAAGGACACAAGTCCTGCTGGATTAGGGTCCAACTGCTAGGACCTCATTTAATTTTTTTTTTTTTTTTTTTTTTTTTGAGACAGAATCTCACTCTCACCCATACTGGAGTGCAGTGGCGCGATCTCGGCTCATTGCTACTTCCACCTCCAGGGTTCAAGCGATTCTCCTGCCTCAGCCTCCTGAGTAGCTGGGACTACAGGTGCCCGCCACCACACCTGGCTATTTTTTTTTGTTTTGTTTTTTGTTTTCTAGTAGAGACAGGGTTTCGCCATGTTGGCCAGGCTGGTCTCAAACTCCTGACCTCAAGTGATCCACCTGCCTCTGCCTCCCAAACTGCCGGTATTACAGGCACGAGCCCATGCCAGGCCTTCATTTAATCTTAATTACCTCTTTAAAGTTCTTATCTCCAACTATAGTCACATTCTGAGGTACTGGGAGTTAGGGCTTCAACATATGAATTTGGGGAAGGGGGTCACAATTTGGTCTCTAACACCTGGTTTACATTTAACAGCATCTCTGGGTTGAGAATAGATTCTAGATTTGCAACATCAGAAGCCAGGAGACCAGTAACCCTGTAAAGACTTCCAGGTAACAAGAAGCTGAAGGAAGCCTCCAGCCAACAGATAGCAAGGAACTGAGGTCCTCAGTCCAACAACCATGAGGCGAGTGAGCTTGGAGTAGCTCCTCTTCTAATTGAGTCTTCAAATTAGACCATGACCCATGGTGCCTACAGCCTCCTGAGAGCTCAAAAATCAGAGGCATCCAAGCGAGCTGTGCCTGACCCACAGAAATTGTAAGATGATAAATGTTTGTTGATTTAAGCTGCTAAGTTTTAGGATAATTTGTTACTCAGCGATAGAGAACTAACATCACCCAGAACACAGAATAGTTCTCTCTAAATACTGGTTGAATAAATGAGTGAATAACAAATACATAGAGATATGCAGAGGAAAAAAGAAAGAAGATACTCAAAATCATTGATAGTGATTCTCTCTGGATAGATTCATAGGCACATAACTGATTATTTTTAAGTGTTTATCATTCCCAAATATGGTTCCAGCTTCTTATTGTGAAATATAACGGAGACATAAAATTGCATAAATGAAGAACCTAATGGAATATTACAAAATCAACACCTACGTAACCACCATCCGGGTCAAGGAGTAGAATATTGCCTGCACCCCAGAATTATGAGATTCTTTATAAAAACACTTTCTTCATATTCTATGCTTCCAAACCCAGGTATTATCTTTCTATTAATTACTTCTTTTTTCATTTTTTATTGTGCTAAAATATACATTGCATAAAATTTACCATTTTAACCTTTTTTTTAAGATGCAGTTTTGCTCTGTTTCCCAGGCTGGAGTACGATGGTGCAATCTCGGCTCACTACAAGCTCCACCTCCCGGCTTCAAGCAATTCTCCTGCCTCGGCCTCCCAAGTAGCTGGGATTGCAGGTGCGTGCCACTATACCTAGTTAATTTTTGTATTTTTAGTAGAGACAGGGTTTCACCTTTTTGGCCAGGCTGGTCTCAAACTCCTGACCTCAGGTGGTCCGCCCACCTCAGCCTCCCAAAGTGCTGGGATTACAGGTGTGAGCCACCATACCTGGCCCATTTTAACCATTTTTAAGTGTACAAATGAGTAGCATTAGGTACATCCACATGGTTGTGCAGCTGTCACCACCATCCATCTCCAGAACTGTTTTCATCTTCTCAAGCTGAAACTCTGCACCCATTAAGCACTAACTCCCCATCCTCCATTCCCCCAAACCCCAGCAACAACCATTTTACTTTCTGTCTCTATGAAGTTTACTCTAGGTACCACACATAAGTGGAATCATGCAGTATTTATCCTTTCAATGAATTACCTCTTAAATTAAAAAAAATTAGTATTTAAAAAATAAGATTAAACTAATGAGAACCAGTTCAGCCTTGTTAAATCCCATGATGCCCAACAATAAACAGTTCAGACGTGATTTAAGCAGCTCACTGGATGTCTCAACATGACAAGACTTAGCAATGTCTTGGCAAAGACTTACTTTTTCACCTCTTTCCATTCCCAAGTTTCCTCAAACCAGTTTGGGTGGGAGTAGAGCAGAAGCTAGAGAACAGGAGGAAGGTTTAGGGATGTCAAAACATCATTCCAGGTGTGCCTGCCACCTCACCCCACTAGCCTTTGCCTGGGAAATGTTTATAGCAGAACAAGAACGACAATGAAACTACTAACGATTAATTATACCAGCTGTCATCTATTAAACACCTTCTGTGGGCTAGGTCCCATTTAAAGTCCATTATGTGTATTATCTCATTCAATCCTCATAGCAGCTCTATGAGTTAGATATAACTATTATCCTCATTGGGCAGATGGGGAAATTGAGGCACGGGGAAGTTGGATAACTTGCTCAAGTTCACACAGAGAGTGGGAAGGCAAGATGATTTGAACCCTTGGCGGTCTGGTTTATTGCCCATGTTCCTCACCAGTAATTCTCAAACCTGAGTACATGTCAGAATCCCAGGAGGGCCTGTGAAAGCTCTCCCCTCCAGGGTCTCTGATGCAGTGGTCTGGGGTGGAGCCCCAGAATGTGCAGCAGAGCATTCTCGCTGTGCTGATGCTGCTGGTCCGGGGACCACACATTCAAAACCACTGCTCCCAACAAACTTAAAGGTAACTGCCATGTCTTGAGGACCTACTACAAATCAAGAACAGAAGGACTCTGAGAGAGGTTGCTTCCATTTTGCAGCTGAGGATTTGAGCACTAACAAGACTGAGGACTCGTTCAAGTTCACAGCCTGTATTCCAGGCCAGCTTCCTGAATGCCAAAGCCCCTGTCTCTTGCATCCCACTGCCACACTGATAGAACGAGGATAGGTGCTGTAGGCAGGGTAGTAATAGGGCACCTCTTTAAAGCAATGTTCAGTAAATATTTGTTGTTTATTTTAGTGGAGGCAAGAGAAATTGAATTTCTGTTAAGAAAATTATACATCTCACACATGTTATCTTTATGTTCAAAAATAGAATTAGCTGGGAGCAGTGGCACATGCTTGTAGTCCCAGCTACTTGGGAGGCTGAGCCGGGGAGGAATGCTTGAGCCCAGGAGTTTGAGGCCAGCCTGGGCAACATAGTGAGACCCCGTCTGTTAAAAAAAAAAAAAAAAGAAAATAGAACTACTCACCATAGCCTAACTTTTTAACCTCTGTAGCAGTGTCTTTTGCTTTATTTTATTTCTGTCACTCGTAGTTGAGTAGCATTTGGCCATTCACAGTCATTAAGTTTCAAAGTTTTGTTCAAAATTTACTAAGTTTGCTTTGTCCTTTGTGATTCTGATGTTGGCATAATAGCTCCTTGCCTTTTTTTTTTTTTTTTCTTTTAGACAGAGTCTCTCTCTGCTTCCCAGGCTCGAGTGTAGTGGCTAGATCTCGGCTCATTGCAACATCTGCCTCCTGGGTTCAAGAAATTCTCATGCCTCAGCCTCCCAAGAAGCTGGGATTACAGGCGCCCACCACCATGCCCAGCTAATTTTTGTATTTTTTGTAAAGGCGGAGGTTCGCCATGTTTGCCAAGCAGGTCTCAAACTCCTGGCCTCAAGCAATCTGCCTACCTCAGCTTCCCAAAGTGCTGGGATTACAGGCGTGAGCCACTGTACCGGCCAACATCTCCTCAATTTCTAAAGTTCTTTTTCTGCTTTCTGTGCTGTTTTACAGTTTATCAAGCCAGACAAATTCTGAGAAAAACTAGTAAAGGATTTAAGTTTGAGACTTTCAGCCAGCTCTAGGAACCAACCTTATGTTACTGTTGGCCGCTTGACCTCAGAGTTGATGATGGGGCCTATAATTGTGCTACTTGAGCATACATGGACCTAGAGAAGAGTTTTTACTCCCCATTCAAGGTTGATGTCTACTTTGGCAAGATAGGGACAAATTTGTATTTGTCCTGTTACATAAAGAGTCAGGTACAGAGACCGGAATTAAATGGTCCCCTATTTTTTGCTTTTTTTTTTTTTTTCAGTGTTGTTGCGGTCCATTCTGTTGCTACCCATCCAAAGTCTTCCTTGCCTACAGAGCCCTGCTGTTATTCAGGTATTGGGAGTGCAGCAATGTGATAAGGGAAAGCAGAACCCTTCCCCAACTCCAGGGAATCAATTTGATTGTTCTCAAGCGAGTCATGGTAGTCTACACCTTTGTCAGTGATTGATCTAGGAGTGCACATGTGACCAAACTCTGGCCAATGAGATATAGAAGGAATACTGCTGGGGCCTCTGGGGAAGATTTTGCGCCCTGATAAAAGTAACAAAAGTTATTCTACTTCTTCTTTTTTTTTTTTTTTTTGAGATGGAGTCTCGCTCTGTCGCCCAGGTTGGAGTGCAGTGGCACAATCTCGGCTCACTGCAAGCTCCGCCTCTGGGGTTCATGCCATTCTCCTGCCTCAGCCTCCCGAGTAGCTGGGACTACAGGCACCTGCCACCACGCCCGGCTAATTTTTTGTATTTTTAATAAAGATGGGGTTTCACCGTGTTAGCCAGGATGGTCTCAATCTCCTGACATCGTGATTTGCCCGTCTCGGCCTCCCAAAGTGCTGGGATTACAGGCGTGAGCCACCACGCCCTGCCCTATTCTACTTCTTAATTCTTCCTTACTGCTGATCTTTTTTTATAGCACTTGTTTCTTTTGCAGAACATTTTTCAGGATACTATAAGTTACTATCTACTTCTCCTAGAAAGGATTGAAACAAATGTTAGAACTAGTTCCCATGAAAAGAAAAACTCCTGTAGCTTTGACCCTACAGCAGTTGCCCAAGATGGGGCCAGAATTGGAATGCTCAGAGTCCATTCTTGGGGACAAAGAACTCCTGGATGTCAGCCATCTCTCTCCTACGAGCTGGTCTCTGGACTTTGGCCCAGTTATCTAATGTGAGAATCTCAATTGCTATATGTTCTACAGCTATATTACTTATGAAGGCTCAGATAGTCTTACAGCTTAAATTACTTCCTGCAAAACCACCCATTCAGAATTCAATATAGCTGGTGCAGAACAAGACAAATCCCTTTCTGTAGGTAGGGATTTTCTGGGTTACAGGGACACCTGTGGGCTGTATCTGAGCCTTTGCAACTGCCCAATTACTACCAGTCATGTACCACTTATTAATTGAATTAATTAACAAAACATGGATGATGGCATCAACTTTGGTTTGGAATTCATTTCAACCTGGCCCAAGACTCTCAGGGTTAGAGATAGACAGCCCTGCTTCAAATCTCCAAGATCAGAAACCAAGGCCATTTTCTCACTTTGGGTTTCTGTATCAACCTTCGAACCTTGGGGCCTGCAAGTAGAGTCACTATTCTGTAAATGACTGAACCCAGAAGGCTCTAACCATAGTCTTTGGGCCAGAGACGGAGTAAAGAAAATCCTTCTTTGGTTTGTAGCCAGAAAGGGGGCCCTCCCACCTCCCAGCCAGTATTTGTCAAAATGCTGTTTTTCCAGACCCAAAGAAGAATCAGGCTTTCATTCTTTCTATGAAAATATTGAATTGTTTTACAGTTCACATGTCTGAATTACACCATTGTCTCTTCTTCTTGACTAGAATTTCTCAATTTTTTAAAAACTCAAGTCTCCTTCAAAGCTTTCTCATACCAAAGTCTATATATTCCTGACAGTCAAGATTGACGCAGCTTCATTTCCTGCGGTTTGGTTAATGAAAACAATCACTATGTAGAATTTATTTTTTGAACCAAAGGCACTTCTCTGGTCTCCGGGGTCCCCTAGACATAGTGACCTTTCCGTGATTTGAGAATGTGTGTTCTAGTCCTGAATAATCCTAATCTTTGCACTTTCAACCTGTGGTGAGTCATTTATTTCTAAATGTAATTAAGGTACAAACCGTGTAAAGCAGGAATTTTATTTTATTTTAGTTTCTGTAACCTGGATAAGGAAATGTAAAAAGGAATGAAATCTTCTCTCACACCCCCCATATTTACTTATTTTATTTATTTATTTATTTATTTATTTATTTTGAGACAGAGTCTCAGTCTGTCACCCAGGCTGGAGTGCAATGGCGCGATCTCGGCTCACCTCAACCTCCGCCTCCCGGGTTCAAGCGATTCTCCTGCCTCAGCCTCCCAAGTAGCTGGGATTACAAGTGCCTGCCACCATGCCCAGCTAATTTTTTGTATTTTTAGTAGAGACGGGGTTTCACCATGTTGTCCAGGCTGGTCACAAACCCCTGACCTCAGGTTATCCACCCACCTCGGCCTCCCAAAGTGCTAGGATTACAGGCGTGAGCCACCAGGCCCAGCCTACTTATTTTATTATTATTACTTCACTCCCTGCAATTGACATGAATTGTTGGCTACGTATCGGTGTACATTTTGCTTTTAGTATACTTTCTCTTAGATCACTAACATTTTATAGCTTGTTACAAGTTCTATAAATTTTTCTTTTTTCTTTTCTTTCTTTCTTTTTTTTTTTTTGATACAGGGTCTCCCTCTGTCACTCAGGCTGAGTGCAGTGGCACAATCATGGCTCATTGCAGCCTCAACCTCCCCAGACTCAGGGGATCCTCCCACCTCAGCATCCCAAGTGGCTGGGACTACAGGCTCGCTCCATCACATCCCACTGATTTTTGTATTTTTTGTAGAGACAAGGCTTTGCCGTGTTGCCCAGACTGGTCTCACACCCCTGGGCTCAAGCAATCTGCCCACTTTGGCCTCTCAAAGTGCTGGAATTACAGGCATGAGCCACCGTGCCTGACCTTAAATTTGCAGGTGTATTCAAGTTAAAATGAGATCATGCTGTATTAGGGTGGGCCTTATTCAATCCTAATTAGGATTATTCAGGATTAGAACACACATTCTCAAATCAGGGAAAAGGCACTACATCTAGGGGACCCGGCAGACCAGAGAAGCACCTTTGGTACAAAAAGTAATATTCCACATGGCGATTGTTTTCATTAGCCAAACGGCAGGAAATGAAGCTTAGTCAATCTTGACTGGTAGAAATATACAGACTTATGAGAAGAGAGAAATTTGAACACATAGACAGATGCACACGTAGGGAAACCCCATGTGGAGACAGAGGCAGAGATTAGAATGTGGAGGAACACCAAGGGTTTCAGGGGTCCCCTAGAAGCTGGAAAAGGCAAGGAGGGATTCTCCCCTAGAATCTTTAGAGAGAACACGTCCCTCCCAACAACTTCATTTTGGATTTCTAGCCTCTAGAACTGTGAGGCAGTATGCTTCGGTTGTTTCAAGCCACCTTGTTTGCGGTACTTGGTTGCTACAGCCCTTGGACAATGTCCACCGTGATGATGGAATGTGAAGATAAATAAGACACAATTCCTGTCATCACAGTGGCCACAATCTAGAAGGCACAGCTGTGGACATTTTTAAATTACAGATTTTTAGTGTGTCATAAGTGTGAATATAAAACTCTGTCCACACTATAGAGACAATGCAAAAAAGGGGGTAACTAACACACTGGAAGTATACAGGAGAAGCTTTGTGAAAAAAGATAATTTTTTTTTTTGACGGAGTCTCGCTGTCACCCAGGCTGGACTGCAATAACCCAATCTTGGCTCACTGCAACCTCTGACTCCCGGGTTCAAGAGATTCTCCTGCCTCAGCCTCCTGAGTAGCTGGGACTACAGGAGTACGCCACCATGCCTGGCTAATTTTTGTATTTTTAGTAGCCTGGGGTTTCGCCATGTTGGCCGGGCTGGTCTTGAACTGCTGACCTCAGCTGATCCACCTGCCTCAGCCTCCCAAAGTGCTGGAATTATAGGCATGAGCCAACGCGCCTGGTCAAAAGATGAATTTTTCCAATTATTTAATTTTTTTTTCTTTTATTATTTTTTTTTAAGAAACAGGGTCTCGCTCTGTCACCCAGGCTGGAGTGCAGTAGTGCCATCATAGCTCACTGTAATCTTGAACTCCTGGGCTCAAGTGATTGGAACCACAGGCATGTGCCGTCGTGCCCAGCTAACTTTTTAAAAGTTTTTTGTAGAGACGAGGTCTCGCTATGTTGCCCAGACTGGTCTTGAACTACTGGCCTCAAGTGATTCTTCCACCTCAGCCTCCCGAAGTGCCGGGATTACAGGCATGAAACTTTGTCTCTTTGTGAACTATCTTTTTATACTGTTTGCTAATTATCCTTGATGGAGTTGTTTACTCTTTTGGATCAGTTTGTAAGTGTTTTGAATATTAGCAGTATTTATGGTATGTTTAAGTCTATCAATTTTCATTTGGCTTTTTCATTGACTTTATTTTTTTTTTAAAGAGAGAGGGTCTCACCATGTTGGCCAGGCTGGTCTCAAACTCCTGGCCTCAAATGATCCTCCCACCTCAGCCTCCCAAATTGCTGGGATTACAGGCGTGAGCCACCAGACCCAACTGACCATTTTTAATTATATCTTTTGTCACATGACATTTTGGGGTTTTATGCAGTCAAATATGTCTATCTCTTTTTTTAATAGCGTCTGGTTTCCAGTATTTGATAAGGGAATCTCCTCTGCCTCTTACATGTAGTTTCCTAGATTTTCTCATAGAATTTATATATTATTATTTTGTTTTTTACATTTAAGTTTTGATCTATCTTAAATTAATTTTTATATCTTATATAAAACAGGGGCCTGAAATTATTTTATTTTTTAATAGATAGCCTTTCCTCACTGATTTCAGCTACTCTCATGACCATATATTAAATTCTCACATGCACTATGAGCCATTTCTGGATTCTCTGTTTTCTCTATTCATTTCCACTGTTTTTTTTCTCTTTTTTTCGTTTCTTTCTTTCTTTCTTTCTTTTTCTTTTGATGGTAATGGTGAGTCTATTCCTAGCCCAGTCCCAACTTGATTTGCTTACCATGACCTCCAATTTCCTCTCAAGCAAGAACCCCTCACAGCCTTCTTTTGCATATTTTTTTTTTGGCTATTGGCATTTGGTATTCATCTTTCCATATAAACCATAAAAGGCTTAGGGTCTCAGGTGAAGGTCCATGTCTAGCTCAGCAGTTGAGTCACATGCTCAGAGAGGCAAGTCAGCTTGGCTTCTCCTTTTTAAACCATTAAACACCAAAGTTCTTATTTCCATACCCCCTTCCATGCTGAAGACCCTGACTGCTCTCAGGGCGTCTCAGACCCTCGCAACAGAACAGGTCTGATTACTTTGCCTGAAAGAGATTGAAGGGTGATTACTCTCTAAGCCAAGAACATGATTTACACTCCTGGGGTGAACAGGGAGTGAAATATGCAAAGGCATCCTAGAACAGCAGAAAAGAAAACACACACACACACACATTTTTAATCTCTGCTGTGTCATATTAAGGAAGTTGGATTTTATCCTGTAGGTATTTAGCCATTTTAAAAGTTTTAGGCAAAGGAGTCACAAGATCAGTTTGACTAGGATGGAGTCAAGGGGGAAGCAGCTGGAGGCCCAGTTAGGCTGGCGCTGCAACAGGCCAGGCAAAGAGGATAAAGATCTAGAATAACACAATTGTCAAAGAGAAAAGTGGACAGATTTGAAAACCTCTTAGCAAGTAAAATTGTCAGGATCGGTGAGAGGTTTGATTTTAGGTTAGACAATAATCTAGGAAGACTCCCCGATTTCTAGGCTGGTTGATGGAGGTGATGGTAATACAGCTAAATGACACGGAAAACACAGGAGGAGGAGGAGACCTGGGTGGCAATATAGATAATAAACTTAGTTTGGGATGTGTTGAGTTTGAAGGCCTGTGAGAAGTGGAGATACTCAGAGGACTTGAAGATTCTATTGGGTTTGGAGCTAAGGGGAGCTCAAGATTGGACAAGCGGTTTTGAGAACCTTCAGGACATACATAATCATCAGGAGAGCTGAGGATGTAACATGGAGGGACACCAACCTTGACCAGAAGAGGAGGAGTCGGAGCCAGCCAGGGGTTCTGAGAACGTGCCACTTAAGAAGCAGAAAGGGGTAACACAGGCCGGGTGAGTGGCTCCTGCCTATGCGTCTGCGGTGGCAGAGGTGGGTGGAACACTGGAGGTCAGGAGTTCGAGAACATCCTGACCAATGTGGTGAAACCCCATCTTTACTAAAAATACAAAAATTAGCCAGACATGGTGGCAGGCACCTGTAATCCCAGCTACTCGGGAGGCTGAGGCAGGAGAATTGCTTGAACCCAGGAGGCGGAGATTGCAGTGAGCCAAGATCACATCACTGTATTCCAGCCTGGGCGACAGAGTGAGACTCTGTCTCAAACAAAAAAAAAAAAAGTGGGGAGGGGGTAACAGAAGATAAGACAGAAGTGTTTCAGGAAAGAGAAAGCAGTCAACTGTGCTGAAGGCAGCAGAGAGGCCTCAGCGGTATCCAGTGGATTTGCAGTTACCAAGTCCATGGTGAGCTTGGTCAGAGCAGTTCCAGTTGACTGTGGAGAAAATAAATCAGGTTTTAAACACAGAGTGAGGACAAAGAATGAGGGAATGTGCCAGATGTCTCCCTTTGTCCTTCCAGATTCACACTCAATGCTTTGCCACTCTGCTGTCTGTCCTGGGCACACAGGCAGCACCAACAGATTCCCATGACTGTTGAGTTTGGCCAACGGTGAGCCCTAGGAGGAGACTGGAGGGAAGGAGGGTGAGATGGGGATATATATATATATCCCCCAACTCCTTCCCTAAGGCTTCTGCCACATTTGCTCAACCAGAAGTCATGGCTTTCCTCCTGGGTCCAGGTAACCACTCCTTCCCACCTCCTCTCAGGCCTAGAGTGGTAACAGCTCTGCTTTTCTAGGCCTGGGATTTTCTACTGCCCCTGGTGTTTCTCTGCAACCTGCCTACACCTTTGCAGACACTCCTTTATTACACCTTCCTCAAATTATCTTTATATGAACACACCATCTGTGTCCTGCTGGAAGCCTGAATGATCCAGGAGGGAAATTTGACTGACAAGAGTAAAGAGACAGAAATACACAAAGGCAAAAGAGGTTTTGTCATGGGGTTTTATTTTTTAAGTGTTGGAGTGGCTTGGATATATTGATAAGCTCATGAAGTTTTAACAGTCAGGTCTTATTTCAAAGGCGTAATCTGAGAGGAAGGAAGAAAAGGCAGAGAGCTCTTTGCTCTCTGGGGTTGGTGACATGTCAAGTGGCCTCACCACAATTGCTTCAGATGTTCTAGAACTTGTGTTTCCAGTTTGTCCAAGACAGTCCAGTTGCCAGGTTTGTCCCGGTTGCATTGGTAAAGCGTTGGTCTGAGCCCTAAGCTGACGGAAAAGGAGACACAGAGGCTAAAGAAGGAGAAAGAACAAAGGTCAGGACCTCAACAAACCTGGACACACCTCAGCGCGCTGAGGCAGTCAGACAATAAACAAAGTAGTTGGTGTTTTCTTAAACTTTGCAAGGCTCTGGATCACCCAGCCCTGCTCACCTTGCCAATCTCGACTCTTATGTCTCTTGGGTCATTGATCTGATTTCACTGTTCTGCCTCAGGGGCCTCCTCTCCCTTTCTCCAACGTCAGGAGCTGTGTTCTGCCCTTGAGCCTGAGCTCCTACCTGCAACCTGGCACTTCTCCCACCTCTAACCCCGGCCAGCTCTTTCTCACCCTCAGGTCTCATCTGAAACACCACTTTCTCCACAGGCTGCCCACCCAACCCAAAGCAGTCCCTTGCTTTATCTCCAGAGCACCCTGGCTCCTCTTCCATAGTGGCTACCACTTCTTAAAATGCATGGAGGTGAAGAATTTTATTTAGAAAGTCTAATTTTTGGCCGGACGTGGTGGCTCACACCTGTAATCCCAGCACTCTGGGAGGCTGATGCAGGCAGATCACCTGAGGTTGAGAGTTCAAGACCAGCCTGACCAACATGGAGAAACCCCCTCTCTACTAAAAATACAAAATTAGCCAGGCGTGGTGGCACATGTCTGTAATCCCAGCTACTTGGGAGGCTGAGGCAGGAGAATTGCTTGAACCCAACGGGAGGCGGAGGTGGCTGTGAGCCGAGATCACGCCATTGCACTCCAGCCTGGGCAACAAGAGCGAAACTCCATCTCAAAAAAAAGGAAGTCTAATTTTCTTACAAGCTTTTTTGTTTGTTTGTTTGTTTTTGTTTTGACATCTATGTCTTTAATCTGTCTGAAACTTATTTTTGTATACAGTAGTCTGATTGTCTCAATAGCTATACAACATTTACCTTCCCGCTTTGCTGTAGTATTTTGTATTTTGTTTGTATTTTTACTTGCATTGCTTATCCAGGGAACTCTGTACCAAAGCATGGCTAAGAGCAGTTGAATGAAGCATCTCTTCTATTTTTCCCCTTTTCTGTCTTCTTTTGTGTTGGAAATAGTTTACCTTTCCTCGTGTTTCCTTTTTCAATTTAGAAGACACAACTAATATTTCTATACTTTTAAGGCCATTCCTTAAATTTTTGGCATCTATTCAAATATGATATATTTTACTAATATTAAAAGTAATTTGTGGCTGGGCACAATGGCTCATGCCCGTAATCCCAGCACTTTGGGAGGCTGAGGCAGGCAGATCACTTGAGGTCAGGAGCTCGAGACCAGCCTGGCCAACATGCCAAAACCCCATCTCTAGGAAAAATACAAAAATTAGCCAGGCATAATGGTGGGCGCCTATAATCCCAGCTACTAACGAGGCTGAGGCACGAGAATTTCTTAAACCCAAGCGGCGGAGGTTGCAGCGAGCCAAGATTGCAGCAGTGCACTCCAGCCTGGGTGACAGAGTAAGACCGTATCTCAAAAAAAAAAAAAAAAGTAATTTGTTATCTAGACAAAGACCTTAGTGTGGTTTAGGTTCCATCTTACCTTCCCCTTCTTAATTTCCACATCATTACATAGAGTTTTTGTTCTACCTTATATGAAACATGTCTTTGTATTATTAATAATACTATTGCAATAATTACACTATACACAATCTAGGCTCATTGCAGCCTCCACCTCCTGGGTTCAGGCAATTCTCCCACCTCAGCCTCTCGGGTAGCTGGGATTACAGGGGCGCTCCACCATGCCTGGTTATTTTTTGCATTTTTAGTAGAGCAAGGTTTCATCATGTTGGCCAGGCTGGTCTCAAACACCTGACCTCAGGTGATCCACCCGCCTTGGCCTCCCAAAGTGCTGGGATTACAGGCATAAGCCACCGTGCCCTGCCACAAATTATATTTTATTGATGTTTTTCTCATTGTTGCTTTCTGTATTTTTCTTCCTTCCATTAAGTTCACTTTTGTTCTTGTTGAAGTTATTTAAATTAAGGGTCAAGGGTAAGGGCAAGGTAAGTATTGTTATTTTTTTGTACGTCTACATTTTTTTCTGCAACTGTGAATAGTTCAGCTGAGTGTTCAAATTTTATGTTGACAGTCAATTTTCTTTGGCATTTTGAAGATATTACTCCATGTTTCTTGGCTTCTATAGTTGCAGATGAGAAGTCTGTTGCCAACTCAATTGCTGTTATTTTGAAGGCAGTCTGTTGCATAATATAGGAGGCTTTTCATGGTCAGCATTTCTGTAGTGATTTGTTGGACTCTCTAACAGCTCTTCCTTTCACCCGGTCATTCATTTAACAATTGTTTACTGTTTAATGATTGTGTACTAGGCCTGTTATTGTGCACAATGACGGAGAGAATAATGACAGAGCTTCTGGGCCCCAGGTCTGGAGAGGGTCTGAATATACTTGGGGAAGTAGACATGAAAATGAAGAAATGACCGCATAACAAGATAAAGCTTTAATGATGCAGACTGATTGTGAGTTTCTAGAATTCTGGCAAGGAATGTGATTTTATTCTATTGAGTTTCTCACAGTTTGTAGCACCATGTCTTACCCACTGAAATCAGTTAAAAATACTTTAACAATTAACCTGAGTATAACATCTCTTTAATATTTTTCTTTTTCTTTTTTTTTTTTTTAACTGAGACAGAGTCTTGCTCTGTCACCCAGGCTGGAGTGTAGTGGCGTGATCTTGGCTCACTGCAAGCTCTGCTTCCTGGGTTCACGCCATTCTCCTGCCTCAGCCTCCAGAGTAGCTGGGACTATAGTTGCCTGCCACCACGCCTGGCTAATTTTTTGTATTTTTAGTAGAGATGGGGTTTCACCGTGTTAGCCAGGATGGTCTCGATCTCCCGACATCGTGATCCGCCTGCCTCAGCCTCCCAAAGTGCTCAGATTACAGGCATGAGCCACCACACCCCACCTAATATTTTTCATTTTAAAATTATTTTAGCTTTCACTTTTCTCCAGTTTCAAATGCATGGTCGACTACTTACTAGCTATCTCTGCCAGGATTTCCTATGAGAATTTCCAGCTCAAGATGCCCTACAAAGAATTCTTTCCTCCAATACCTGGTTCTCTTTTACTCTTCACCTTGATTGTCTGCATTATTCTCAATGCCATCCTCTCCCTAAGCCCGTATCCAACTAGCCTGTCTATTCTAGGTCATAAATATTTTGTGATCTGTAATCTTATCCATTTTCTTATTCCCACCATCTTGGGTCAAACCTTCATTATCACTTTCCTAAACAGGTAAAAAAAAAAAAAAAATCCCAATAGATCTCCCTGCCTTTTACCACTTTTCTCTACAGTCTTTTAATTGCCACCACAGTCTTATTTCTTAAACATTGGATACTGAATTGGTTTTCTATTGCTGCTATAACAAATTACCATAAATTTCATGTCTTAACCCACATTTGTTATCTTGGAGTTTGGGAGGGTCAAAAGTCTGGAATGGATCTCACTGGGCTAAAATTAAGATATCAGCAGGGCTGCTTTCCTTTTGGAGGCTCTAGGGGACAATCTGTTGCTTTGACTTTTCCGATTCCTAGAGGCTGCTTCTCACACTGTTGGTTCATAGCTCTTTTCCTCCATTTTTCGAAGTCAGCAACATTGGCTGAGTCCTTCTCATGATACCATCTCTTTGGTTCTCTCTCTTCTGCCTCCCTTTTCTACTTAAAAGGATCTTTATCCAGCTGGATAATTTAAAATTATCTCCCCACCTCTAGGTCAGTTGATTAGCAACCTTAACTTCTCATTGCGGGGTAACTTAGCACACTCACCAGTCCTTCACATTAGCACTTGGACATCTTTGGTGGACCATTATTCTGCCTACCACAGGTTCAGTACAAATTGAAGAACGCATACCTATAATACCAGAGTCTTTGGGAGGCTGAGGTGGGAGGATCACTTGAGGCCAGGAGTTCAAGACCAGCCAGGGCAACAAAATGAAACCCCATCTATACAAAAAATTATTTAAAAATTGAATGCTGTCTGGGCAGGTGGCTCACACCTGTAATCCCAGCACTTTGGGAGACTGAGTGGGAGGATTGCTTGAGCCTAGGAGTTTGAGACCAACCTGAGCAACATAGTAAAACCCCATCTCTATAAAAAATTAAAAAATTAGCTGGGCTTGGTGATGCATGCATGTAGTCCCAGCTACTCAGGAGACTGAGATGGGAGGATGACGTGAGCCCAGGAAGTCCAGGCTTCAGTGAGCCGTGATTGCATTACTGCACTCCAGCCTGGATGACAGAGCAAGACCCCATCTCAAAAATGAAAATAAGTCCAGATGCGGTGGCTCATGTCTGTAATCCCAGCACTTTGAGAGGCCAAAGCAACCAGATCACCTGAGGTCAGGAGTTCAAGACCAGCCTGACCAACATGGAGAAACCCCATCTCTACTGAAAATACAAAATTAGCCGGGTGTGGTGGCACATACCTGTAATCCCAGCTACTCAGGAGGCTGAGGCAGGAGAGTCGCTTGAACCCAGGAGGCGGATATTGCAGTAAGCCGAGAGAGAGCCACTGCACTCCAGCCTGGGCAACAGAGCAAGACTCTGTCTCAATAAATAAATAAATAAATATAGCAGGACAAAATAGTAAATACATAATGATTATAATTATAGCAGAGAAACTAGACACATAAATATGATTGAAGGAAAATAATAGTAAATGAATAGTTGTTATTGCTATGATTGTGGAACTTGAGTAATTGTTATTCTTTTTTTTTTTTTTTTTTTTTTTTGAGACAGAGTTTCGCTCTTGTTGCCCAGGCTGGAGTGTAAGGGCGCAATCTTGGCTCACCACAACCTCTGTCTCCTGGGTTCAAGCGATTCTCCTGCCTCAGCCTCCCGAGTAGCTGGGATTACAGGTATGTGCCACCACACCCGGCTAATTTTGTATTTTCAGTAGAGATGGGGTTTCTCCATGTTGGTCAGGCTGGTTTCAAACTCCTGACCTCAGGTAATCCACCCACCTCGACTCCCCAAAGTGCTGGGATTACAAGCATGAGCCACCGTGCCTGGCCTGTTATTCTTTTATATCCTGCCCTTACTATAGTGTGGCTGTATAATTGAGGCAGGAACTGCTTGTTATCTACCCAACATCTACTCTCTCTTTCCTTCTTATAAAGATAACATTGATTGTCTTTGGGAAGGTAAAACTATTCCAAGATTTTCTTGCATGTGATTCATTTCTAGCTAATGAGCTACAGAAGAAAGTCATGGATGTGCTTCTGCTTCTAGGATTTTTTTCTTTTCTTTTCTTTTCTTTTTGATACAGAGTCTTGCTGTGTCGCAGAGGCTGGAGGGGAGTGCAGTGGCATGATCTCAGCTCACTGCAACCTCTGCCCCCTGGGTTCAAGCAATTCTCATGTCTCAGCCTCCCAAGTAGCTGGAATTACAGGCGCCCACCACCACGCCTGGCTAATTTTTGTATTTTTAGTAGAGCCAGGGTTTTGCCATGTTGGCCAGGCTGGTGTCGATCTCCCAGCCTCAAGTTGATCTGCCCACCTCAGCCTCCCAAAGTGCTGCTGGGATTATAGGCATGAGCCACTGCGCCCAGCCTAGCATTTTTAAAAATTTTTATTATTATTATTATTTTTTTAAAGAGGGAAGTTCGGCTGGTATGTCTCTTTGGCCTTCCATTCTTTTTTCTTCCCATTTGGAATGTGGCTGCAAAGCCTACAGATGCAACCGCCTTTCTGTGACCGCGAAGCATCAAGCCTCAGGCTGTTGGGCTTCACTTCCAAATGGAGGAGAGGAAAGATGGAAAGATCCCTGGGCTTTGCAGCTCTGGATTTATTTTTGTGTGAGATGAGTAACCTCTGTTTGCTTAAGTTATGGCTCACTGGGTTTTCTGTTATTCACAGCCAAATACAACTCTAACTGATAAAATTACTTCTGTAATTAAAATAAAATAAGAAGAAAAGTTGTCTGATTCCATTCCGTGACTAAACAAGGTTTTTGTTCTTCCTTTTTTGTTTTTGTTTGTTTGTTTGTTTTGAGGTGGAGTTTAGCTCTTGTTGCCCAGGCTGGAGTGCAATGACGCCCAGGCTTGGCCACTGCAACCTCCGCCTCCCAGGTTCAAGCGATTCTCCCAGCTAATTTTGTATTTTTAGTACATACGGGGTTTCTCCATGTTGGTCAGGCTGGTCTCAAACTGCTGACCTCAGGTGATCCACCCGATTCAGCCTCCCAAAGGGCTGGGATTACAGGTGTGAGCCACCGCACCCAGCCTGGTTTCTGTTCTTCTAAGCTCTGCCCACACTCTTCTTTCACCAATCCCTTCTAATCCTTACCCTCATTTCTTTCTTTGTCTAGCAAACTCCTACTCAACCTTCAAAACTCAGCTTAAGACCGGAAACAGAGGCTCACGCCTGTAATCCCAGTGCTTTGGGAGGCCGAGGCGGGCAGAACATCTGAGGTCAGGAGTTTGAGACCAGCCTGGGCAACAGGGCGAAACCTCATCTCTACAAAAATACAAAAATTAGCCAGGCGAGGTGGCGCGTACCTGTAGTCCCAGCTACTCAGGAGGCTGAGGCAGGAGAATTGCTTGAACCCAAGAGGTGGAGGTTGCAGTGAGCCGAGATTACACAGCCTGGGTGATAGAGTGAGACTCCATCTCAAAAGCAAAAGACAACAATAAAAAACCTCAACTCAAATGTTAATGTTATACCCTGCAAAGTCTTTCCTAAGCTTTCCCTCAAACAGATTCATCATCATTGTGCCCATGGTGTTTTGTCCGTGATTCTGTGATAGCACGTTTTACACTTGACTATGTTTGCCTATTTCCTTGGTATCTCCTCCACTGAACTGTGAGCAACATGTGAGCAACTGGAGGGTAGAAGCCACGTTTCATACTTGTTCCCTCCAAGGCAGCTGGCATACATACCACTAAGTATATAATAGGTGCACAACAAATATTTTCTGGAATGAGTAAACACAAGAATTAAAAAACAATGCCGGCCAGGTGCTTTGGCTCACACCTGTAATCCCAGCACTTTGGGAGGCTGAGGCGGGCGGATCACGAGGTCAGGAGTTCTAGGCCAGCCTGGCCAATATGGTGAAACCCCGTCTCTACTAAAAATACAAAAAATTAGCCAGGCGTGGTGGCACGCATCTGTAGTCTCAGCTACTCAGGAGGCTGAAGCAGGAGAATCACTTGAAACCAGGAAGCGGAGGTTGCAGTGAGCCAAGATCAGGCCACTGAACTCCAGCCTGGGTGACAGAGTGAAACTCCGTCTAAAAAAAAAAAACAACAAAAACAAACAAACAAAAAGCAATGTCTATATGTTTAAACCAAACATCATCCTCCCCTTCCTAGGTTGACTCCTGTTTTCTCTCCACCTCTGTTTAACTGGAAAAAGAATAGTTAATGAGTTGGCAGTTAGGGAATGTTTCACACTGTCACCTAGGCTAGTGTAGTGGTGCAATCACAGCTCACTGCAGCCTCAGTCTCCTGGGGTTCAAGTGATCCTCCCACCTCAGCCTCCCAAGTAGCTGGGACCACAGTTGTCTGTCACCATGCCCGGCTAATTTTTAACTTTTTTGTAGAGACAGGTTCTCTGCATGTTGCCCAGGCTGCTCTGGAACTCCTGGGCTCAGGCAATCTTCCACCTCAGTCTCCCAAAATATTGAGACTATAGGGCTGGGCACGGTGTCATGCCTGTAATCCCAGCACTTTGGGAGGCCAAGGTGGGCAGATCGCTTGAGGCCGGGAGTTCCATACCAGCCTGGCCAACATGGCAAAACCCCGTCTCTACAAAAAATACCAAAAAAATTAGCCGGGTGTGGTGGCACACGCCTGTAGTCCCAGCTACTAGGGAGGCTGAAGCAAGATAATTGCTTAAACCTGGGAGGCAGAGATTGCAGTGAGCCAAGATCGTGCCACTGCACTCCAGCCTGGGTGACAGAGTGAGACTCCCTCTCAAACAAACAAACAAAACAAAAAAACAGGATTATAGATGTAAGCCACTGCACCCAGCCTTGGATCATTTTAATCTAGGTGGGAATGGGGGGTGAATTTGAAGTCACATTTTATTGAAAGTAGGAAAGAAGTTGAGACATACAGGAAGTAAATTAGGGCAGAAAGTTCAGAATTAAGAATAAGAATCTCTCAGTCTCTCCTGTGCTAAATCATAATTTGTCATGGCCAAAAGCAGGGTGACTTTAGCAGATGTAGCCCAACTCTGAGTCCCAGTGCTGAGGGGTGAGTCCCAGTTCCACTTACACCGTGTTGGATGTTGAGGAGGCAGGTCACTTACATCCTCCTTTTAAGCCACGGTTTCTTTCTCTGAGAAAGAATAGTAACGCTCGCCTTCCCAACTCACAGAGTTGTTGTGAGGATCAAAGTGATCAGGCTTGTGCATAAGAATTGCTGTGACACCCCATGCAAATGTGAATCATATTGCTTTTATTACATGCAGGAAAAAACGTGATCCATGTTTGGTGAAAAGTTCAATGAATGAATGGATGAGCCCAGCTTGCTAATCACCTTATTTTAATACAAGACTAAATGCAGGAACAGCTTCATCTATCATATTTTAATCAAAGGGTAAATGCAGGAATGACTTCATCTTTTGGGTTTATATAAAACATAACCAACATATACGACATCACCATTATGAAGAAAGTTCTTTTCCCCATTAAACAGCTGATGCTTAGACTTTCTTTACATGGGACAAAACCTTTTATTCCACTATTTGAGATATGACTTCAAATGCACTATGCCTGAATAAGGTACCATTGAGACTTAAATCACACTAATATATATATGACTATTTCATTTTTCAAATGCATATTTTAATGGGAACTAAGGGGAAAATGAGTTTGTTTTGTTTTGCCTTTTTTGTTTTAAATTTTACCAGTAAAGTGTATTTTGTTATCTGTACTGCCAAAGAGGTAAATAATTATATAAACTAGAGGCCAGTCACCCACCACTACGGTGGGCTATAAAAGGGCTCTTTCCCTATTTCTTCCATCTTCCTACCCTTGAAATTTTGGTTCTTCTGCTTAATTTAACAGAGCAGATAGCTTCGACATTCATTTGAAGCTAAAAATAAAAAGCACAGACAACATAACCCCTAAATTATAGATGAACAAAAATCTTGGAAGAACATTGGAATAGATCACAGGGAATTGTATTAATTTCTACCCAGATAGCAAAGCCAATATCTGTGACTAATCCGCTCTTGCTATGATCAAAATAGTCATCACAAACACCATAATGAAAAAAATCCACATGAAGAATCGGTCTATGACTTTCGCCACCTTCTTCCATTCACTCCCCTTGGAATTGGTGGCCTTGTGGTCTTTGAGGCACTTGGCGATGTACTCAATATTCCTCGTCAGCACTTTGTACTGTGCACAGTAACTCTCGGCCTCCTGAGGGTTCTTACCCTGGCAGCCCAGGTCGTTCTTTAAGCGTTTGTTCATGTCCTTCTTTCTGGAAAGGTCTTTGTTCCTGGCTGCTTTCAGGTTAGACTCTGGGAGTTTGCTATAAACTTTCGTGAGGTGGTCCCGCTCTCTACTGTGGTGCGGGCTGAGGCAGCTTTCACCCACATCATAGACAAACAAGACCCTGGACATGTATTTCAGGATGACCACCCTGGCCCAGTGTGGCACCGGCCGGGCCTCGGCCCCACAGAAGTGGATATTCATCACCATGATGGTCAACGCAGTGGAGGCTGTGATCAGGGCCATCGTGGCTATGTAGTATTTACCTGGAATTAAAATAACAACCGTAACTGAATTTGCTTTAAAATGGTCCTCATACAGCCACGAGTCACTTAACAACAGGGATACATTCTGAGAAAGGTATTAGTCATTAGGTGATTTTGCTGTTGTGTGAACATCATAAGAGTGTATGTACACAAACCTAAATGGTCTAGCCTTCTATACACCTAGGTTGAATGGTGTAGCCTGTTGCTTCTAGGCTACAAACCTGTGCAGCATGTTACTGTATTGAATACCGCAGGCAATTGTACACATGATTATCAAACGGTCAATATTTGTGTATCTAAACATAGAAAAGATAAAGTAAAAATTGACATTATAATCTTATGGGACCATTGTTGTATACACGGTCTGTCATTTACCAAAACATTGTTATGAGGCACATGACTGTGTTTGGCTTAAAAAGAAACAAACACCCTTTCTAAGGAGGTGTTATACCCTAGTGGTTAATAGTATAGACTTTTTTTTTTTTTTTGAGACAGAGTCTCGCTCTGTCACCCACACTGGAGTGCAGTGGTGCAATCTCAGCTCACTGCAACCTCTGGCTCCCAGGTTCAAGTGATTCTCCTGCCTCAGCCTCCCAAGTAGCTGGGATTACAGGCGCCCACCACTACGCCCGGCTAATTTTTGTATTTTTAGTAGAGAGGGGGTTTCGCCATCTTGGCCAGGCTGGTCTCGAACTCCTGAACTTGAGAGATCTGCCTACCCCGGCCTCTCAAAATGCTAGAATTACAGGCGTGAGCCACCGCGCCGGGCTATAGTATAGACTTTTGAATCTGACTTCCTGGATTCAAATCCCAGCTTTATCACTCCCTAGACTTTCAGCCTTCAGCAAGGCATATAATCCTGGACTTTCGGCCTTCAGCAAGGCATATAATCCTGCTAAGCCTCAGTTTCCTACTCTGTAAAGTGGTGGGTGTAATAATAATATCTAACTCGCAGGAATATGAGGAGGCGTAATTGAGATGATACATGTGAAGTTCTCAGCACTGTTCCTGGCTCGAAATTAAAAAGTTTGGAAATGTTTGCTGAGATCATGAGGTGAAAAATTTTTCCACACTCAACGAACAAACAATTAATGAACTTGACCAGTTCTCAGAATTGTCTTCAGACCTCATTAATATGAAAGCCAATTCTATTAGGTAAGAAAGGAGACTGTATCACTATTAGTCTTCAAAATGTGATTATATAAAGCACATGTTGATGAAAAAGTGAAATTAAGGAAGGAAACAATTAAGATAAGGCTACAAATTTATGAAATATAGAACAAAAAGCCAAGAAGATGAATAAAACCAAAAGCAAACTTTTGAAAAGAGTAATAAAATTGATAAACTTTTGATAAGACCACTTACAGGATAGAGAGAGAAATAGAGAAAGGGAAAGAGAGAGAGAGAAGATGGAAAAGACTTATAAAATAGTACAATATTATAAATAACTGTATAGTCGGGCACGGTGGCTCACACCTGTAATCCCAGCACTTTGGGAGGCCGAGGTGGGTGGATCACTTGAGGTCAGGAGTTGGAGACCAGCCTGGCCAACATGGTGAAACCCCGTCTCTACTAAAAATATAAAAAACATTAGCTGGGTGTATTGGCACGTGCCTGTAATCCCAGCTACTCAGGAGGCTGAGGCAGGAGAATCACTTGAATCCAGGAGTCGGAGGTTGCAGTGAGCTGAGATTACACCACTGCACTCCAGTCTGGGCAACAGAGCTAGACTATGTCTTAAAAAATAAAAATAGCTGTATAATAACATATTTGATAATCTAGATGAAACTGCTGGAAAAATGTTAGATGTCAAAATTAGTGCAAGAATAAAGAACACTTTAATAGAAATGGGAATCAATCAAATACCATCCCCCTACCAAATGTTCCAGGCCCAAAAATAATTTATAGGTGAGTTTTACCAAACTTTCAAGAAACAAATAGTTCCCATCTTATGCAACTTGTTCCAGAAATAGAAAAAGAGGGAAAACTGTCCAGTTCATTTTGTGAAGTCAATTTGACCTTGATTCCAAAAGTGACAAGAAAAGAAATATTAAAGCCATTTCACTAATCGACATATTTGAGAAAGCTCTACAAAATATTAGCTAACTGAATCCAACAGTGTCTTAAAAGGATAATGTATCATAAGAAAGGAGTTTGGTCCAGTTATACAAAAGAGTTCAACATCAGAAAACTTATTGATGTAATTCACGACATTGACGAGTAAAAGAAAACTCACATGATTATCTTAATAGATGAAGACAAAGTATTTGATAATGTTTATCATCTTTTTTATTTGTCTGAGTTAATATATGAGACCTTTCTTAAAATGGTAAAGGCCATGGGCCAGAAACCGATATCAAGGGCTACATTTGATGCAGAAAACTTAAACATATTTCTATAATATTGTGAGCACACTCCATGGGTGCTATGAATAACAAATTTTAATTGTTAAATAAATGTTCTCAAGAGATCTGTGGGCACTTTTCCTAAAAAGATAAATTTCAGCCAGTTGCGGTGGCTCACACCTGTAATCCCAGCACTTTGGGAGGCTGAGGTGGGAGGATCACTTGAGCCCAGGAGTTCAAGACCAGCCTAGCCAACATAGTGAGACCCTATCTTTCTTATTTTTTTTCAATTTTTTTTTTTTGAGACGAAGTCTCACACTGTCCCCCAGGTTGGAGTGCAGTGGTGCAATCTTGGCTCACTGCAACCTTCACTTCCTGGGTTCAAGTGATTCTCCTGTCTCAGCCTCCCAAGTAGCTGGGATTACAGGCACGCACCACCATGCCCAGCTAATTCTTTTTATAGAGATGGGGTCTCACCATGTTGGCCAGGCTGGTCTTGAACTCCTGACCTCAGGTGATCTGCCTGCCTCAGCCTCCCAAAGTGCTAGGATTACAGGCGTGAGCTACCAAGCCCGGCCTTCATTTTTAAATAATAAAAATAAATTAAAATAAAATTTAAAAATACAAATTTAATTTAATTTTTAAAAGATAAATTTCATATTATCATAAAAACAGAACAAGCAATTCCTGTGAGACATCTGCCTTTAGAAATTGTGCCAGCTTGCTGTATAATGTCACTACCCAAGAAGAGAGTGGGACCGCCCCATGATCTTTCCTCAAACAGGGCTATGATTGGATGTCATCACTGCCAATCATTTCTGCCTCAGGAGAGGTAATAAAATGCCAATACATCTCCTTTTTATTAGAGGTGGAAAAGCCTTCTGTGTTTAATTCTGAAAAAGAGAGGTGTGTGTGTGTGTGTGTGTGTGTGTGTGTGTGTATTTTGCAAAGAGAGACATAAAAAGGAAGATATCTCCAAATGGAGAAGCCACTGTAGTATCATCTCAATATTGGGTAACTGGACTCAGTAAAGAGTAAAAGGGCAAGGCAACATCTCCTGATATTGGACTCTAAGTTCGTTGGTGTTCTAAAATTTCTCCTTGTTGCTTACTTTAAGGAACTCAAACTTAGATCTAGCTTGATTCTGGTAAGCATCTGTTACAACAGCAACTCCTCGAGATGGAGGTGTTGGATCTCAAGGGTATCCTTGGAGGCAGAAAGTAGATGTTAAAGGGGATAGGAAAGCCCTCAGAACAAGCTAGGCAAGGATAGGGGAGGCAGGGGTGGTACCCTCAGTCTGCACTCCAACCCTTGGAGGGATATTTCATTATTGCAGATTTTTGAAAATGTAGTCTGCTTTGGAATCACCTCAGATTCCCAAATCTCGGCCAAGTTGCTAAATCAAACTCTCTGGGTGTAGGAACTTGCATTTTAATACACTCTCCCACTGCTATTATACCCAGTGAAGATGAGATTTTTCTGTTAAGGGTAGATGTCAGGCTTAAAAAGCACATCTTTCTGCCATGTTTGCCACTCTTCCCAAGAAGAAAGCCCTTGTCACGTGAAATGATAACAGTAGTCACTGTTTACTCAGTACTTACCATATGCCAGGGTGTGCACTAAGCAATGACACAGAAGGAAGCAATCACACAAATTTTCCAGATGATGAAGCAGAGACTAAGAGAACAAGTAACTTGCCTGTTTGATCAAGGAGTGAGCAGTGAAGTCAGCGTTCAAATGCAAGTTTCTTTGACTTCAAAATCAGGTCTTAACCTCTGGGTCAGTGGATTTCAGACTTCAACAGAAAATGCATCAGAATCACCCATAAGCCTTGTTAAAACAGGATGCCAGGGCCTTATCTCCAGAATGTCTGATTCAGTAGGCTTCCGGTGGGCCCTGAGGTTTTGTGTTTCTATAAGTTCCCAGGGGATGCCGATGCTGTGCATCTGGGGACCACCACTTTGAGAACTACTGCTCTAAAGTATAATGTCTTTCATTGCTCTTTCGTGTAAACCCAGAGACCATAAGACCAGTTTTGATTGCAAAAGGCTCATCTATATTGAAAGATGCTAACTGCAACCACCAGAAAAATTTGAGACAGTCTGTATTGAGTCGAAATTGGCTCCATTTTTTCAAGTTTAAAGGCACACACACAACCTTAAAGGCATGACCCCAGGCACTACAAAGCTGGGCTTGAAGTGGAAGACACTTGGACTCACCTATCAGGGGCACATTTTCTGAGGCCGGCATGATTTCTGCCACCATTAGCTGAAATACAGTCATGGCCAACAGGATGGTCACTCCCAGGGAGACCTTTTCTCCGGAGGCTGCTGGGAGATAAAAACTCAGAGGAGCCAGAAAAGATATGAGGACGCATGGGATGAGGAGGTTGACGATATAGAACGAGGACCTCCTCTTCAGAAGGAGGGTGAATGTGACATCCGGGTAAGGCTCAGAGCAGCAGCCATAGGAGATCACATTCTTCACAGCGGGCATGCCATGGACCTCCCATTCCACATCTTCAATGAAGTCAGAGAGATCTCCGCTGTCCAAGGCGTTGAATATGTCCACCTGATTGCCATTGTAGGTCCAGGAACCAAAAGTCAGGTTGCACTGCTGGTTGTCAAAAGGGAAGTAGGTGACATCCACCACACAGGAGCTTTTGGTGATGGCCGGTGCATCCCAGGTGATCAGCCCATCATACCGCAGGACCACATTGGTGTTCACAGGCTCTGAAGATTCATCATCAGCCCTGAAGGTCAGATAAGGAAAATGAAAGCCGCATGCTAGGAGAACTTGCCACCTTCCTTACCCCAGACAGCTCACTGTCCCCATCACTTCAGTGTTTTGGCAATGGACCACCATTTTGCCTGTCACTGTGGCTCGGAAGTCTGGAATCAACTCTAATTTGTCCTTCTCCTCCATCTCCTGTAACTAGTCAGGGCCAAGTTCTCTTGGATTCTTCCTTTAAAGCATCTCTTCTCTCTGTCCCTTCCTGTCCATTCCCAGTGTCACTTTCTTGGTCCAGGTGTAATGATTTGAACACGCAGACAAAAAGTAAGCCTGTCGATACTAAAATCTGCTTACTTGATTTGTTAACTTTAGGCACTAGAATATTAAAATAATATATTCTAAAAATAAAGGCCTGGGGTCATGCCTTTAAGCAATAACTTTATTGCTATTATAAAAGTTGTACATGTTTATTTGTAACATTTGGAAAACTCAGAGAAAAAAAGTTGTTCACCCATAACTTTAGAGATAGTCACTTATTCCAGATATATCTTCTTTTGCTTTATCAATATTTATGCCTTGTATTTTGGGGTACAGAATTTCTATTTTTCTCTAGGGAATTACTCTTTCTCCCGTTACTTCCTCCTTCTCCCATTACTTCCTCTCCCATTGCAAGGCAGAGGAAGTGTTGGTCAAGGTGCCCCAGTGTCCCTGGCCAAAGGCCGGCTGGGTGGCCCAGGCTTGGTCCAACAGATTCACCCTCTCCAGAGTTTAGATCTTAAGCAGAGTGATCCAGAGACCAAAAGCATCACCCTAGTGATGGCTGAAAAAAAACAGACAGTCCCTCCTGCCTTGAACACTAGAGCAGCCTTGGTTCTGTCCTTTCCAAGAGCTGGTTGTTTACTTTTTCCTTTAATTCAATGAGATGTGCCACATCCTTCTAACAAATTCCTATTTCACAAGGTTGCCAAAGTCAGTTTCTGATGCTTACAACCAAAGAGCCTTAATTGGTACATTTCTGTTAACATTTGGATGCATATTTTTGAAGTCTTCCTTACAAGTTTTTCCCCGAAAAGTATATTTTGGCTAAATATAATGTGGTATTCTGGATTGGATCCTGGAACAGAAAAAGTACATTCATGGAAAAGCTGGTGAAATCTTAATAAAGTAGTTTAGTCAATAACATTGTATTAATTTTGGTAAGTATATTATGGTTACGTAAGAGGTAACATTAGGGGAAACTGGGTGAAGGGTATAAGGGAATTCTGCACTATCTTTGCAACTTTTCTATAAATCTAAAAATTATCCCCAAATTTAAAGTTAACTTGCAAAAAAATAAAAGGGAAAAAAAAGATGAGACAAAATTTTTAAAAATACGTGGTCATTTGTTCATACTCTTCTACAACATTCTTTTCATGTCTAAATAGCATTCTATTATAGTCCATTATATTAGATACACCATAGTTATTTAACCAATCTACTGAGGCTTCACATTATGGTTGGTTCCAGTTTTTGTATTTATAAGCAATGCTGCAGTGGACATCTCTGTAGCTGAGTCTTTACATTTATCCACTGACCCTTTCCTTAAGTTAAATTGCTGAAAAAGGATGTGCTGGGTCAGAACAGGCATGTTTTTGAAGGGAGGTAAGGGATAAAAAAACTACATATTGGGCACAGTGTACACTACTCGGTGACAAGCACACTACAATCTCAGATTTCACCACTATACAATTCATCCATGTAACTAAAAAAGACTTGTACCTCAAAAGCTATTAAAATAAAAAATATATTGGCTGGGTGTGGTGGCTCACACCTGTAATCCCAGCACTTTGGGAGGCCGAGGTGGGTAGATCACTTGAGGCCAGGAGTCCGAGACCTGCCTGACTGACATGGCAAAACCCCATCTCTACTAAAAAAATACAAAAATTAGCCAGGCGTGGTGGCGCGCACCTGTAGTCCCAGCTACTCGGGAGGCTGAGGCAAGAGAATCACTTGAACTCAGGAGGCAGAGGTTGTAGTGAGTTGAGATCACACCACTGCACTCCAGCCTGGGTGACAGAGTGAGACTCCATCTCAACAACAACAACAAAAAAATAAAATAAAATAATATATGTCTATATATATTTTTTAAAGAACAGGCATGTTTTTAAGGTTTTTATTGTTTCCACTCATTAGAAATGGGTGCCACAATATTAACTTTAATGGTCTGACTGAGTTCACTCCATACCCAAGAGGATCTTTAATGTGAGTGTTCGCGAAGATAACAAAATGAATTTTTTGAAAATGCCTGAAGCTTCCTCCTGTAACCGTGAGAAATGTGTACAGTTAGCTATCTGAGAAGTGAGAATTAGACGTGAACTGAGAACACTGCTCACCCATCCTACTTCCTTGGTGCAAGAGAGATCTGGGGATCAGAGAGAATCTGTTTGGGGCTAGGACATTTGCACTGGGCATGATCCCTGTAGGAAATAGATGGCCTACTCCAATTAGATAACCTGAGGAGAGTTTAAGAAAGGGACTGTTCATAAAGATATGGAAACAATGCAGAGAAACCATTCCTGGACATGAAGAGGTGAGGAGAAAGTGCAGTTACCAGAACCTGGAAGGAAAGATTTGCATGAAGTAGGTCACCATGATAGGAGTGATGACTTTCTTTCAGGGCACACATCCAGCCGAAGATAACCTCCCAGGAAGACAGCGAGGGAATACACATGCTAACCTCACTCTCTCTTTTCCCTGCAATTGCCCACTGGTGCTCCACATTGGCCAAACCCAACCCCAAGCCAAAGGGCAAGGGAACCTGCTGACCAAAAACATCACCCCAGCTGCTTTGGAGTAGGTTGTGGGTTTTTGTTGTTGTTGTTGTTGTTGTTTGTTTGAGACGGAGTCTCACTCTTGTCACCCAGGCTGGAGTACAGTGGCGCCATGTCAGTTAACTGCAACCTCTGCCTCCTGGGTTCAAGCAATTCTCCTGCCTTAGCCTCCTGAGTAGCTGGGATTACAGGTGCCAGCCACCATGCCTGGCTAATTTTTGTACTTTTAGTAGAGACAGGGTTTTGCCATGTTGGCCAAGCTGGTCTTGAACTCCTGACCTCAGGTGATCCACCCGCCTCAGCCTCCCAGAGTGCTGGGATTACAGGTGTGAGCCACCGTGCCCAGCCATTTGTTTGTTTGTTTGTTTGTTTGTTTTTTGAGATGGAGTATCACCCTGTTGCCCAGGCTTTAGTGCAGTGGCACAATCTTGGTTCACTGCAACCTCCGCCTCTCAGGTTTAAGCAATTCTCCTGCCCCAGACTCCCGAGGTGCTGGAATTATAGGCACGCACCACCACGCCCAACTAATTTTTGTATTTTTAGTAGAAACAGTGTTTCACCATTTTTACCAGGCTGATCTCAAACTCCTGACCTCAGGTAATCTGCCTGCCTGGGTCTCCCAAAGTTCTGGGATCACAGGTGTGAGCCACCACGCCGGCCTTGAGTAATTTAAATACATTATATTAAAAATATATTTTTTTTGTAGAGACCATGCCTCACTATGTTGCCAAGGCTGATCTTGAGCTCCTGGCCTCATACGATCCTCCTACCTTGGCTTCCCAAAGTGCTGGGATTACCAGTACAAGCCACCGCGCCCAGCCAAGACATTATTATTTAATCACTTCATGACCAATATCTTATTGTTTATCTCCCTAGATTTTTGATCATAACACAGCTCAAAACTTGCAGTGGCTTCCTATAGCCCAAACAATACTTCTGCACCTCCGCAGTTTAGTGTTCTAGATATTCCATGATCTATTCCCACCTCACTTTCTAGCTGTGTGCCTTCTGCTGGTCTCCTTCACTCCCACTCCACCAATCAAGGCTGAAATCCCAACAAACCCTGTGAGTTTCTCTTACTCAAACTCTTTCTTCAACTCATAATAGTCCCCCTTTTCTGCATGTAGCAGTATAACACATCCTTCAAGACTCTGCTCAGAGGCGACCTCTGTGAAGCCTTCCCTGCCTCTCCAGTCAGATATCTTTCCATCCTTAAAGGGCCACAGCACTTCACTTCTGTGTTATAAGGGACTTGCATTTTTACCTTGCACTATAGTTTTTACATATATAGCTTATTAGATTGTTCCTTGAGGTCAGAGACTGGGTCTTAAAATTCTTATTTACTTCTCATAAAAATATCATGGAGATTTGAGTTCAGAACCTGATTCAAGTTTCATAACCTTAGGTGGGTTATATCTCTGTCACTCACCTGTAAAAATGGGCATTATAATACCTTAAGGCTTCTTTTTATATTAAACAAACTATATATATTAATTTCTATTGCTGCTGTAGCAAACTACCAAAAACCTAAATCTAATGTCTTTTTTTTTTTTTCTTGAGATGGCATTTCACTCTGCTGCCCAGGCTGGGGTGCAGTGGTGCCATCTTGGCTCACTGAAACCTCCGTCTCCTGGATTCAAGCAATTCTCCTGCTTCAGCCTCCCGAGTAGCTGGGATTACAGGCTCCCACCACCATATCTGGCTAATTTTTTTGTATTTTTAGTAGAGACGGGAATCTTGCCATGTTGGCCAGGCTGGTCTCAAACTCCTGACCTCAAGTGATCCACCCACCTCAACCTCCCAAAGTGCTGGGATTACAGGCACGAGCCACCGTGCCCAGCCCCTAATGTCTTAAAACAACATAAATTTAGTGTCTTAACAATTCTAGAGGTCAGAAATCCTAAAACCAATGTGAGCAGGGCTGCATTCCTTCTGGAGACTCCAGGGGAAGATCTGTTGCCTTTCCTTTTCCACCTTCTAGAAGCCACCTGCATCCCATGACTCAGGGCCCCTTCTTTGCATCACTAACCTCTGCTTCCTTTGTGGTATCGCCTATTCTGGCCATCTCATCTCCCTCTTACAAGGACCCCTGTGTTTACATTAGGCCCACCAGGATAATCTCCCCCATCTCAAATCTTTAATTCAATCATACCTGCAAAGTCTCTTTTGCCATGTAAGATAAATCTTCACAGGTCTTGGGGATTAGGATGTGGACATCTTTAAGGGGGGCATTATTCTATCTATCACACTTTGTAAAGCCCCAGCTCCATGCAGACACATAGTAAGTGGCCAATATGTATTAATTTCTTCCCCTTCCCTCTGTTTCTAACTGTGTTTTCTTGTTCTCAACTAAAACATGAAAAAATTACAGGGACAAAATGTAAGCCGGAGGTTGGGAAGGCATGTTTAATAATATAACCCTCACGGAATATTTAAATTGCTTTCCTCTTACCTTCCCTTTCCTCAGCCACTCAGTGGCCTTCAGGCAGTGATATGGTTTGGCTGTGTCCCCACCCAAATCTCATCTCGAAGTGTAGCTCACATAATTCCCACATGTTGCAGGAGGGACGTGGTGGGAGGTAATTGAATCATGGGGGCGGGTTTTTTCTGTGCTGATCTTGTGATAGTGAATAAATCTCATGAGATCTGATGGTTTTATAAAGGGGAGTTCCCCTGCACATTCTCTCTTGCCTGCCACCATGTAAGATGTGACTTTGCTCCTCATTTGCCTTCAGCCATGATTGTGAGGCCTCCCCAGCCATGTGAACTGTGAGTCCATTAAACCTCATTCCTTTATAAATTACCCAGTCTTGGGTATGTCTTTATTAGCAACATGAAAACAGACCAATACAGGCAGCCCCCTCTCCTCTTCTGTATCTGATCAAAGACTGAGCTAACTTTAGTTGTTTTGCAATTGAGCGAAAATGACTTTCCCAGCCTTGGCTGTAAGAAGCCCATTCCTGGGAACTGGAGAGGAGCAGGCTGGTAAATGAGGGAGCAGGGAGAGTCGCCCAGTGTTTTCAGTCCCCAGAGTGCCTGGAACCTCAGCGTAGACTTGTCTGTTTACTCAGTCCCAGGATCCCTTCCTCGTTCCATCTCCAATGTCTCTTTCACATATTCACTTTTCCTTCCTTTCCATATCAAAAAGAAGTTCCCCCCTCTCTCTTCCTGGCTAACTTCCCTTCTGGTCGTGTGAGTCCTCTCCTCCCATGCCTCCTTCAGGATTTTGCCTCCCTTGGTCCCTCTTCTTCTCTCTGGCCCCTCTAGCCACTTTCCAACTCTGTTCGCAAGTCTCTCCTGCCAAACTCCTTTTCTCCCTGGCCCTTCTACCTCTCTCATCTCCTTCCACACACTGCTTTCAAAAGTAACTGATACCTGCTATTGTCCCGTTTCCTCTTGCTTTTATTTCCTGACTCCTGCTTTTTGATGTCTTTCCGACAAGTACAACTAGGCAAATCTCAAGACTTCTCCTAAGTCTTCATCTTCTTCAACTCTTCCCAAACATTGGGATTATGGCTTATTCCTAGACATCCTCTCTTCCCTTGGTTTTCATGACATGACTCTCTTGCTTCTCCTTCTATCTCTTTAACTACTAATTCTAAGTTTCCTCTGTAAATTCCTTAAATGTAGAGGTTTTTTCAACTTTATTCTCAGCCATTTTCTTTCCTTCCATGAGTAGTTCTATAGGACTTTAAGGGCTTTTGGCATCTCTATTAGCCCTATCTGTTTCTCCAGGTTTCAGATTTGCCTTTGCAATCTCACTATTGGACATTTCCATGAGGATGTTTCTTTGGTTCCCCAAACTGAACATCAAATTCATCCTCTTTTTTTCCAAACCTGTTTCTCCTCGCCCTCCTTTATTTCCAGTCTCTTCTGGAAGTCTTGCCATTCTCTAAATCATCTTATATGGCTAAAGATAGATACATAAGCTGGCCTTAAAGCTAAATTCTAGACAAATTCTTTTGAATACAATAGGGCACCCAGTTCCTCACCAGGTCTAAAATCCAACCATTAAAACTGCTCATTAAAATCCAACCACTGGGGCCAGGCATGGTGGCTCATGCCTGTAATCCCAGCACTTTAGAAGGCCAAGGCAGGAGGATTGCTTGAGCCCAGGAATTCAAGACCAGCCTAGGCAACAGGCAATATAGTGAGACCTCATCTCTATAAAAAGGTTTGTAAAAATTAGCTGGGTGTGGTAGTGCATACCTGTAGTCCCAGCTACTCAGGAGACTGAAGTGAGAGGATCACTTTGTTACACATGGAGGGTCTTGACTACAGGTCGTCCACGTTCTTGACATTTTGAACAAAGAATTGGACAAAATGCACAAATAAAGCAATGAAAGTACAGAACAATGAAAGAAACAATAAATGCTCAGATTTATTGAAACGAAACCACACTCCACAGAGTGGGTATGGGCTCGAGTAGGCAGCTTAAGACCACCAGTTACAAAATCTTCTGGGGTTTAAGTACCCTCTAGACGTTTCCCATTGGTTGCGCCCTATGTAAATAAAAACTTGGCCCACAACCAATTGGAGGCTGAAGTGAAGTTATACCCTATGCAAATGAAGATGTGACCTACAACCAATCAGAGGCTGAAGTGAAGTTACACCTCATGCAATGAAGACTTGGTCTGTGACGAGTTGGAAGCTGAAGTGAAGGCTCCCTGTCTCCAGACCCTACTGAGGAGAATACTCTCTCAACTTGAGTCCAGGAGGTCAAGGCTGCAGTAAGCTACGATCACACCAGGGCACTCTAGCCTAGGTGACAGAGCAAACTACCGCCACCACCCCCGCCAAAAAACAAAAAAAAAAACCTGACCATGAAAACCCTGCCATAATGAATTCAAATTTAAAATTTCTGTAATCTGCATTTTACCTAATCTAAAAATGTCAGGAATCCTTGTAGCCTCTTATACCAGCCACTATACTAACCATATACTAATACTAAACATTCCTGCCAGAACTTTGAGCCCCAATTCATTTATTTCTCTACTGATTTACTGAAAGAGCCAGTATCTACTTGAACTGTTACATTGCTAAAAAGCTCACTATTTCTTGGGACAATTCATTGCCGAAGTTATTAGGGAAATGTTCTTTTTTTTTTTTTTTTTTTTGGAGAGCTTATCTTCCCTTTGGCTTCTACTGATTATCTCGGGTTTTGTCTTCTGGAACGTTGTTTGTTCTCTTTTTTCTACCTTACTTTCTCTCTGATTACCTAAGGTAACCATCATCAAGTCTTCAAGGTCTTCTCTCTTCCAAACTAAGCATCAGCAAATTCAACTGTTCTGTGAAGTGGCATCCAGGCCCATCTCCTTCCTGATCACTCCCTAACCAGTCTAGCCCCATGGATTTGGGCACCAATGGTGACTCTAGATGCTAAGCATCTTCCTGCCTGAGTGTCTTTATCACACTGGACTGACTCACCTACCCCCTAACCCTATTTCTCCTTCTTGCCACAACTCAGGAAGCCCATTGTGTTGCCTATGATGTTCTGTACCTGCTTCTGAGAAGCAATGATATTGTATCTGGCATCAGAAGATTCTACAGAGTCAGGGATTCAGCAAGAAGGACTGAGCTCAGGGAAATAGCCATGACTAAGGGCCCTTCTTTGCCTGATCCTGCAACACTCTTCCATTTTCATTTCAATTTGTTAAAGGCATGAAGATGTCATCCAACCATAGCTCCATTTAGAGGTTCCTCTACACAGCAAAACTCTGAGAAGTTTTACTGAGAAGGAGAAGGCAAAAGAGAAGAGAGGAGCAGAAACAGAATTGTCCATGACAAGAGCACAGAGATGACTAAAGAGTCAACCAGAGGAACAAAAAGGAGATGATGAATCAGTGTGGTGAAAGGCTCTGTGTAAAGGGGTGGAGAGTGGGGAAGGGACAATGTGGACAGAACCAGCCAAAGCCACACTAGGCTTGTGTGAACTCATGAGTACATAACTGGCTTCTCTAATAAGGGAGCAGTGGGGTCAGCTTAACTTAGGATGCCTTGTAAGCTTGCAAAGAAGCATTTCAGTAAGACAAGGTCACCACCTCAGCCTATCAAAACAGGAGGGAGAGGGGGACCACCGTTCTGTTTGACTTCTGGAGAGAATTTTTAGAACTTACAGAATGCTGGCCGGGCACAGCAGCTCATGCCTGTAATCCCAGCACTTTGGGAGGCTGAGCTGGGTGGATCACTTGAGCCCAGGAGTTCGAAACCAGCCTGGGCAACATGATGAGACTCTGTCTCTACTAAAAATTAAAAAAAACAATAACTAGGCATGGTGGCATGCACCTGTAGTCCCAGCTACTCAGGAGGCAGAGGTGGGAGAATAACCTGAGCCCGGGAAGTTGAGGCTGTAGTGAGCCATGATCACACCACTGCACTCTAGCGTGGGCGATAGGAGTGAGACCCCGCCTTTTTTTTTTTTTTTTTTTGAGATAGAGTCTAGCTCTGTCACCCAGGCTGGACTGGAGCGCGATCTCGGCTCACTGCAAGCTCCGCCTCCCGGGTTCACGGCATTCTCCTGCCTCAGCCTCCTGGTGCCTGCCACCATACCCAGCTAATTTTTTTGTATTTTTAGTAGAGACGGGGTTTCACCATGTTAGCCAGGATGGTCTCGATCTCCTGACCTCATGATCCGCCCCCCTCGGCCTCCCAAGGTGCTGGGATTACAGGCGTGAGCCACCATGCCTGGCCCCCAGACCCTGTCTTAAAATTAAAAAAAAAAGAACTTACAGAATTCTGTAAGAGATCATCTGTGTCAATGAAATTATCTTTCTTTTTCTTTTTTCTTTCTTTTTTTTTTTTTTTTTTTTTTGAGATGGAGTCTCGCTCTTGTCGCCCAGGCTGGAGTGCAGTGGTGCAATCTTGGCTCACTGCAACCCCTGCCTCCCGGGTTTAAGTGAGTTTCCTGCCTCAGCCTCCCAAGTAGCTGGGATTACAGGCGCCCGCCACCACACCCAGCTGATTTTTTGTATTTTTAATAAAGACCGGATTTCACCATGTTAGCAAGGCTGTTCTCGAACTCCTGACCTCAGGCGATCCACCTGCCTTGGCCTCCCAAAGTGCTGGGATTACAGG